>NC_000007.14:52866712-55493182 GCF_000001405.40 Homo sapiens | reverse complement strand
ATGGAAGGAAGCCATTCATGTGTTCATTCTGCAGTCGTTTACTGAATGCTGATGAAGTGATAGTCAATGAGAATTCACAGATGGGTTGGACAAAGGTGCTACCCTTAAAGAGTTCAGCTCTGCTTCTGTTATTGTTTGTATTTTATTTCTATTGATAGATTGTATTTCTCTTGATTCTATTTTCATTGATTGTATTTCTATTCCCATAGTTTCTCTGTAATTAAGGTGTGCTCCAGGAAGGGTACTTCTGTTTCCTTGTGGGTGTTGATGTGATAATGGAGACGTGGTCTGGAGGATAAATGTGCTCTGCCTTGGTGCTTTGACAGTGAAGAATGGAAAACAGAGACAGACAGCGAGGCCAAGGCTGGATCGGCCATGGCTTTCAGACAGGATTTAGATGGCATCTCCTCTTCTAACTAAAATGTCGAGCTGAGGTCAGAGCCGTGGACGAGGAAGTGACTGCATGAGCTTTTTCTTTTACGGTGCTTTTCAGGGTGGGTGGCCTCACCAGGGGCTGTCCCAGAGGCCGCAGGTCAAGCATCTACTTGTTGCTATCCACTAGAGGAATGTCCCTGGGTAAAATGGGCCCAAGAGGACCAAGTCTGAGGTGCGAGCCTCATGGCTCTGCCCTTGCCTTCTGACTCGTGCATTTGGGAGTCATTGGTCCCGGACCCCCGAGGAGTGCATGAGGCCTTTGAGCTGTAGGGCCAAGCCCTCAGGGCCCCCACCTGGGAGCACCACCCTCACGTCTGTACTCTCCTCAGGTTCCTTCTGATGATGGGCGTGCTTTTCTGCTGCGGAGCCGGCTTCTTCATCCGGAGGCGCATGTACCCCCCGCCGCTGATCGAGGAGCCAGCCTTCAATGTGTCCTACACCAGGCAGCCCCCAAATCCCGGCCCAGGTCAGCCAGCCCTGTCCTTGTCTCTCCTCCCCACAGTGTGTGTCGTCTGCCAACATTTATAAAGGGTACTGCTGCAGAAAGGGTACTGCCAGAAGAGAGCGCTCAGGTGTGTTATTCATTTTTTTAGTTCTGATGACCAGCTCCATTGTGCATTTGTGCAGATAACAAATGTAAGGTATATCGCACGCCCGTCACCTCATATTCTTACAGTTATCAGTGTGCCACATATGCACGTGATATGATGCAGTTTGTATAAGCGTATTATTTGCTCTCTGCCCTTTTCCTTAAACATTATTTCACATATAAATTTCTGTGTAGGAGCGGTAATACCCCTGCCATTTTTAGTGCTTCTGGACTAGATACTAATTATGTTACTAAATGGTAATTTGCTTAGATATTTTATTATTGCTGATAATTTGTTTTGTTTTCTCATGTTTTGTCTTTTATTCATGCATTCAACAAGTATTCATTGTGCAGTTACTAGTATTCCAAATACTTACAAAGACCATAGCAATAGACATTCTTGTACAGGTCACATGTAGTCTGTTTAGTGCATAACACCCAAAGTGACATCCCAGGGTCAAAATGAATTAGCTGTTTCTTAATTCTTGTAAAACATTGCCTTAGCCATCTAAAACTCCTACATACTGTGGTGGGTGGTGTGGACTTCCTTAGGACACAGGCCAGGGAGCTCTCTGATGACAGCGGGGAGCCAAGGGTCCTGGAGGGCTGGGCTGGCTCGGCTCATCAGAGCGCTGGTCTTCTGGCCAGGTGTAGAGTGAGGCTGGGCAGAGGGGTGTTGCTGATGTCTGCACCGCCATGCTCCCAGCCACAGTTTCCACCTGGGAGCCTGGGGATGGGACTGTCTATTGATTGCACACTGTGGATAGGTGGTCAGTTCTAGGAGCAGTGGATGCCTTCGCTTTTACAAAGTTTCAGTTAAGAAAAATGAATAAGTCCTAGAGATCTATTGTACAGTGTAGGACCTACAATTAATACAACTGTAATGTATAATTAAAATTTTGCTAAGAGGGTAGGTCTTATGTTAATATATGTTCTTATCACACAAAAATAACAAGAAGAGCAGAGAAAACTTTTGTAGGTAATAGAGATGTTTATGGAATAGAGCATGGCTATGGTTTTCTGGATGTGCCCCTGTCTTTAAACTCATCAGGTTGTAGGTCTTAAACATGCACAGCTTTTTGCCTGTCAGTCAGACCTCAATAAAGTGGTTTTTAAATAGGAGAGAAGTAGAGGGATTGAATGTAATAGGAGAAAATTATCTTCTCTCTTCTGTTTTCCTGAGAACAGGCTGTTATCAAGATGCAAAGTCATTTGCATATTTGTTCTTTTACAGCTTTTTTCCACCAGATACTCCACAGGGTTTTCCTTTCAGAAAGAATTTTCTTTATTTTAAAAAATGTTGCTCAGAAAAATATATATTTTCCACAGCAGTTCACTGAGAGCTGTGCCTTAAACTTACAGTCAGGTTAGTACCATTTTGAATCCGTAAGTGGATTTTAGCCTTTGATATTTGGAAATATTTGAATCGTTTCAGATTTGTGCTGCATCATAGGGTAAAGTGCAAAATTTCTGTTAAAATGAGAGATGAAAGCCGCCACTCACTGGGTCTCATCTGGATCAGTCAGAGAGGTTTTAGTACAGGGAGGAGCAGCCCCTGCCCCACTTGGCATGGGAGGCCCCACTGCCCCCAGTGCAGAAGGCCACATGTCCCTGGTCCGTGGTCCTGGCCGAGCTCAGAGTCTACCACTCATGTGAACTGGGGCTCTTGTGGTGAGTAGGTGAGGTGCTGAGACTGTGCCTGCAGCTGCATAATTCTTTTGAACCCTGGCATGCCAGGGTTTTGAGAAGAGAATGCATCCCTATGTGCACTCCTTTCTGGTCCCATCCCTCTGTTCTGCACAGCCCCACACCCCACCTAACCCCGCTCCATCTGTCTGGGAGAATCCCCAGCAACCAGGCGATTAGATCTGCCACATCCCTTATCTCACCCTGGAGCAGTGCCTGCTGGCCACTGGTCTCCACCAGCTCCTCTGTCTTCCACTTGGCTATCAGAAGGGTCTTAAAAAACAAAAAACAGAAGCACATCGGCCGTGCTATTTTTCTGCGGCAGGGTCTCTGCCAGCTCACCTGGCTCACAGTGTAAGTCCACAGTCCCTAGCTGAGGACTGAGGACGCATTCACAGCTTCCTCAGACCCATCCCCGCTCCTCTGTGTCCAGTTTGAGCGACCTCCTCTCTCTAGTCCTGCATCGCACTGAGGCCTGCACACGCCCTCCTTCTGCCTGGAAAATGCCTTCCTCCAAGGTGCTGCTCTGTGTTGTACCCATAGTGAAGTTGTCTCTGGCTGCTTCACATCTCCACTTTCTCCCTGGGTCCCCTGCCAGGGGCTTTACCAGCTTTAATGCTCCATGTTTACACTGGGCTCCCCACGGGGCTGTGTACAGGACTCATGGTCTCAGGCACCAAGTAGATGCCCGGCCCTCATCCTCAGGCTGGATGAACTGTGGGAGCTCCCAGGTTTGCAGCCTGGTAAACCAGGGTCGGAATACATCACAACTACAGTCACAGCCTGGAGCGCAGACCTGCCTGAATTGCTGTCTTGGCCCATATTTACTGCACACCTGCTGAGGCGCCTGCAGGAGCTCAAAACACTGCACAGCCTGGACACCTGCCCTCAGTCACCGCTGCATGCACAGCTCCAGCACCCGTGTGAGCTTTCACGCAAACAACTCTATAGTGACTGACCATCATGAGTGCGAGGGAGAGAAAGTTGAGAATGCTAGGAAACCATGTAAGTAGGAGACTCCATCTGGTGCACAACTCCAGGAAGGCTTCCCACGGAAGAGCCATTTGGATTAAGAATAAGTAAGCCCCCAGCTCTCTACAGCGAGTGGCTGCTGGTCCCAGCGCATCTTCTCTGACCAAAATGTAGACTTGGTTTGCCATCCGTTTTTCATTTTATACTTCTTGCAGGCCTGCAACGGTGTGGCTGATCCCAGGATATCCAGACTGTCATATGAAAGCAGGCTCCCAGGGCTCCCGGTAGTGTACAGTTTCCATCATTTCCCTGTCAGGTCCAGGGCTGGATCATTTGTTAACAGTGCTGAGCTTGGGAAGAATTCAGCTGTTTCCTAGACAGAGTAATAGTGAACAAAAGAATGGGGTCTGCAGGGTCCTGTCTGCTGTTGGTCTGGACACCTGCCTCCCCTGAGGGTGGCTTCACCCTGCTGCAGCTGTCTGCTCAGATCCCAGACTATCTGTGGCATGGGCCCTGGGGGCGTGGGGACTGAGAGGAGGGCCACACAGAGTTTGGCAGTCCAGGGAGAGAGAGGAGCCGAGGAATCCCAATGTCCCATGTGGTCCACAGGGTAAATGTCATGCCTGAGGCTGTCCGGGCAGTGCCAAGGTGTGCAGGCATCTGCACAAAGCAGGGTGGGTGTTAGTGAATTTTCAGCAGAGCCCCATTTTTCCTCTGCTGGTCTGAGAGGGGAAGTGGGTTCAGGCGTGGGATGCCTGTTAATGAAGATGAAAAAGCAGAGGGATTTAGAGGACCCAGACTCACCCACTGGGGCAGGGGGGGCAGTGGCTCATATTCTGGGGTGTAGGGGGGCTCGCATGGCGCTCCTGCTGGGACCAGCATCACTGATGAGCATGGGAAAGCAGAGAATCTGTGCATTGCAAAGAGGCTTCTGGTCGGGGAGGGGAGGAAATTGGCAGCATTGTGGTCCTGGGGGTTGGTGTGGGTTGGGGCAGAACTCTGAACGTGGTGGAAAGGGGCTGGCAAAGTCAGCAGGAGGCTGAGGTTCAGAGGTGGGGCTCCAGGCCAGCCCAGGAACCAGGACCCAAAGGCTGCAGCTGCTGGCCGAAGGGCTCAGGGCCTGGCCGGGTTGTGCAGAGGCTGGAAAGTGGGAGGAGTGTGGAGTAGCTGTGGTTTGAGGAAGAGGCCCTGGTCAGGGAGTTAAGAGGCCTGAGGTCTGTGAGACCCAGGGTAGGCCACGGTCCCTTCTAAACCTCAGCACCTTAACTGCAAAATGAAACGGTGTGCAGAAAAGCACTCCTCATTCTGTGTAATCTATGCATATAGTGTCAGCCAAGATGCAGCAGCAGCAGAAAGAGCTCCCTAAATGCCCAACCCCAAATCCTTCCCCATCAGGATGCTGGCAGGGTCCCACCAATATGTTTTCCTGGGTAGAGAGGAAAAAATTGTCTTCATTCATTTATTCACTCACTCTGAAAACATGAGCTAACTAGCTCCAGCCACTGTGTTCACACAGGTGGAGGGTGTGGGTGAGAATCCTCCCTGCTCTTTAGGAACTGTAGAACGGTGGAGAAAATGTAAAAGCCTAGGCTGAGGCAGCACTGTAGGCCTGGGGGAAGGAAGGGCTGGCTGGCTGGCTGGCAGGAGGTGGCCTCAGCTGAGTGTGGTGCCCCTGTGATTGAATGTGGCAAGGGGGTGGTTAAGGGAGCTCCAAAGAAAACGATGATTGAATTATGGTCCATCTTCTTTGTGGAATATTATGTGGCCATTAAAGTTCATAGTCAAGATCAAGACAATTTGCTGGTACGGCAAGACCATCAAGGTGCAGTTAGGGAAGAGAGCATTGGATAGTGTTTTTTGTGAAATGGTCATGAGGCTAGCCAGGCCCAGTGACATACACCTGTAGTCCCAGCCAGTCAGAATGCTGAAGTGAGAGGATGGTTTGAGGCCAAGAGCTCAAGACTGTAGTGTACTGTGATTAAGCCTGTGAATAGCCACTGTCCTCCAGCCTGGGCAACATAGCTTGACCCTGCCTCTAAAAAATGGTCATGAGTTCAACTATGGAATTCCACAGATACATAGAGAGAGATTGCGGAGGACAGTCAGTGAAATCTGTGGTGTTAATGTGATTCAAGTTTTCTTTAAAAATGATTTCCTTTAATGTGACTGAAGTGGATGGAGTTTTCCCATCGACAGATAGTTTTCTTCCTTTCCAGCAGCCATTTGTGGTGAGTTCATTTATAGGTTTCTGACTGTTCATTCTCATGTCTCAATCCTGTAATAAGTCTGTCAGCCTGCAGTGACTAAATGACACCAACTGCAAGAAAATGGAAATAGTAGGGAGGGTGTTTTGACAGTTTAATTACCCTCAAGTCATAGCCCAAGCACAAACAGGGCTGCTTCGGTTGTGAGGACATCTGGCTTCAGAACTGGTGGAATAAGCGTCATTCTTTTCCAACGTGACGGTGCTTCTGACGTGCGGGGATGGTGATGGGACAGCCTTACAGGCCACCTCTCCCCGGTCTCCAGCCCCTGGGGCTCCAGCATTTCCATTCTGGGTTTTTTCCTGAAGAAACAGCAGGGCAGATGGACCCAGGGTGTGTGGCCTTGGGGGGTTTGTAAGGGTCTGTTGCATTGTGGGGTCTCACACTCATTGCCTGCCCTGTGCTGCCCTGGGCAGCTGCCTTCAGGATAGAGATTTTTGAGTTTATGGTTTTGCTGAAAGAAATTAACTGGAAATACTTTTTTGTTTACAAATCACCAATGCCAATCTATTCATACATTCTCATGGCTACCAGAATATTCCTTACCTGTTCATCCCTGATGGCAGAAGGAAACTGGTTGATCAGGGTCAGGGTGAGGGGGTGTGGGTGTGGGAACTGTCTTACTTGGTGACGCCCAGGAATTGAGATGGCCTCCCAATATGGCGGGCCTCCTCACCAGCAGGAATGTGTTTCCACAAAGTCCTCCAGCTCTGTGCATCTGACATTCTGTCTCTGTCTCCGTTATTCTTACGCGGCACTTCTCTTTCCAGCCCCCGTGCTGCCCCTCCCCTCCCTGTGACCTCTGCCTTGCTATTATGGTTTGCACAGCCCAGTTTGCATAAAGTGGATACATCTAGAATGTTCTGCCATACAAAAGCAGCAGCTGTTTTTTTATCCATGTGAAAGCATTTAATGTCCTTAGCCACTATAAATTATGACAGATAACACACTTTGCACAGACTGTATTTCAAGAAGAATTTTTTACAGCCTGCCCTGTTGGTAGGCAATTCCTGTTGTTACATTACTCACAACAAAGCTTGCACATCTATGATCTTTGATCAGTGGGAACAGAAACTTACAGCAGATTTAAGTCCCTTGCCCACTGTCCTCTGCTTCGCCAGTGATGGGGCTGAGGTGGAGCCGGAGCCTCTGGCCCGTCGTGGTCCACTCATGGGTGCCTGCATCTGGAGGGACACACTGCACGTACCAAGGGTCTCCCTCACATTTGCTCACGCAAGCTCTGGGTCTGACAGGTCCCCCGCCCGCCTCGCTGGCTGCATTCCTCTCCCCGTGGGAAGCAGAGCCTCCTTCAGATCCCTTGTCTCCCGAGTCTACCATTGCACTTTTCTCCCTAAATGTATTAATATTTGAAATGGCTGCGTCCGGCCCTTCCGAGGGGCGGATGAGGGAAAATGTGGGCCAAACAAGACTGGAGGTCCCTTGTTGCAATGAGGTCTGCAGCCCCACGTGAGGTCCCTGTGCCTAACACGTCCAACCTGCCGTCTGTCACTAAGTGCTCTGTGAATGTACTGTGTGCACGTCCCGTGTGCGGGCGCCCTGTGTGGGCCCTGTGTGGCGTCACAGTGCAGCCACAGGACAGCCGGGGTTATGAGGCAGCTGTCCCCGGCCTGCAGCTCTGGGATGAGGACAGGGCGACAGTGACTTCCGACCTCCTCTCATAGAAAAACGTGGGTGCTGCACCACCCAAAGTGAAAGGCTGAATTTGGAAGTCCCTTTTATCATACACATTCAGATTGCCTGTGGAAATTCAGCAAAAATATGACATGCATTTCCATTCTATCTGCCTTTTACCTTCTCAACCTTAAATCGACTTTCAGTTCTGTGTCATGTTTTCTCTTCTTTTTAGAAGACTTCTAATGACTTGGGAAAATACTTTTGAAGGATGTGAAATGGTGTTTTTGTGTCTGCTGTTTGTTGAGTATCAGTATTTTCAGCCTTGGTTCCCTGTGGAGGAGAAGCTGGTGGGTGGGGAGGTGGGCTGGCTGCTTAGGTGAGACCTGCGCACGTGATGATGATTACTGAAAACAAAGCCAGGAGCTTAATTGGGCATGTGGCCATGGGGATTTGTTATTAATTACCTTTGATCTAACTTAGGCAAAAAGGGGAGAAAAAAATTACAGGGTCACAGAATCCCAGGGCTAATCCTAAAAAAACAAACAAAAAGAAGCCCTGCACAGTTTTAAAATGTTTCCAGTAATTATGTTTCTGGGAGCAGTGCTGGTTTTGTTGTGCTGAGACTGTCTTGCATGCTGTGGGCTGACGTGGGCTTGTGCTGTTGACAGCAGGAGAAGGTGCGTACTGGATTCATGTCCCGGGGCTGCCCTCACAAAGTACTACACAGACTGGTGGCTTAAAACAGCAAGAACGTGTCTTCCCCCAGTTCTAGAGGCCAGAAGTCGGTGTGTCAGTAGGGTGGGTTGCTTTGGGAGACTCTGAGGGAGTATGAACGCATACTTGTTCACAGTATTCTAAACGTCTTTTACAGTAACCATTGTCTTTGTAGTTATTTCTCTCTCCATTCTATTTCTGGGATGCCTTTTCTCTCTCTTTTTTGTTAATTAGCTTTGCTACATGTTCATTATATTACTTCAAAGAAAAAATGTCAAAAGAATCTCAAGGCTGGATGGGATTCTCAAGGGCACCCATCCCAAGCTCACCCCGTGCGAATAATCTCCTTACTCCACACCCAGCTGGCTGGCACAGAGACCACTCCACTGAGGACATGGTGCTGTCCTCAGCAGCTCCAGCCTGCACTGCTGCTCACCCCCACCCCCCAGCGACTGTAGGTTGGAGAAGTGCGTGATGAGATCATAAAGGAAAGCACCTGTGCTTCTCTAGGTTCAGTGAAGAAAGACTGGCAAGGGGGTGGAAGGAGGCTCACGAGGATGAATCTCCACAAAGTCAAGTCTGATGTGTTTGACAGTTCCTGGGATGTCTCTACAGTAGCTCCTCTTGAAATCTAAAGCAACATGTCCACATTCTAAACCACTTTCAAAGATAGTAATAAAAGTTAAAAAGTTGGGGGAGGTCAGGGAAACAGACTAGATAAGAAACAGCAAGGAAACAAAAACAAAACATGGCAGAGGAAGATCATCCACAGTCTATATTATGGCAGTGAAGAGGAATGTGTTAACACTCCTCTGTAAGAAGAAAAAGATGGCTGGGTGCGGTGGCTCTCGCCGGTAATCCCAGCACTTTGGGGAGGCTGAGGCAGGTGGATCACCTGAGGTCAGGAGTTTGAGACCAGCCTGACCGATATGATGAAACCCTGTCTCTACTAAAAATACAAAAATTAGCCAGGCATGGTGGCATGTGCCTGTAATCCCAGCTACTCGGGAGGCTGAGACAGGAGAATTGCTTGAACCCAGGAGGCGGAGGTTGCAATGATCTGATCGCACTGTTGCCCTCCAAGGCAACAAGAGCGAAATTCCATCTCAAAAAAAAGAAAAAAGAAAAAAGGACCAACATGTTGTGTTAAAATCAACATCCAAGTATATTCTGCTTTAATGAGAGAGGCTAAAGAGCATGACATGGGAAAGTAACAGAATTCACCAGGAGGGATTAGCAAAGAAGGGGCGGGGTCAAAGGTGACTTGAGAGCCACATAGGAGAGCTTTTGGAGAGAATCATAAACCTAAGCAAAGGAACCCGAGAGAGAGCTGTAAGAGGCACTGCCCTATTTGGCCAGGGTGGGGCATTGGGATGGTGAGGACAGAGCAGGGATGGGGTCCTTCCTGGGCCCAGAGTTCATGGAACTTACTGAAGGGTTGAGTGAAGGGAAGGACCTACCCTTCATGACTCAGATTCCCCCTCTGTAATGAGGGATGATAATCATAACATGTTATCAGGATCCATAGACACTTATCAACTGCCTCGCACCTGCTGGTCAAATTACAGCCTGAAGACATGCATGGTCCCTGGAGCCTGTTAGAAATGCAGGCTCTCCCTCACCCCAGCGCCACCCAGAGCCGCTGAGTCAGGGTCTGTATTTCAGCAAGGTGAATGATGAAATAGGTGATGCAGGATGCCCCCTGCACTGAGAAGCGCTACAGGTTTGATGAAGACACAAGCATTGAAGGATGGGCTGTGCTGGCCACAGTCATACAAGTTCAGCATTAAGAATAGCGTGAGCACCTGTGAACTCTGCAGAGCCGGAGTGAAAGTTAGTGCTCGTCTCTTGGAATAACATGACTGCTTTTACTCTAATTTCTGGCAGATGCTTGAGGATCTGCTCTGTGTAATGCACTGGAATTCTCTTTATTAACACAGTTATTTTTGCTTTTGTTTTTAAAAAATCAGCAGCAGCAAGCAAAACCGTTGTCTTCACTCAGCTTCTGATTTATACAGCTAGGAAAGAAAAAGTGAAAACTTAGTGTGGGGGTTTCATTTTCTACTTAATCTTGCTCACTAAGTTTGTCTGTGCCTTTTCTTGTGGGACATTAGGGCCCCAATGTCTTAAAGCAATGTTCACATGCATCTCAGCTGTGTTTCAAGTGTATGGTCTCTGTAAACCCTAACAGGTCGGCCTGAAGGCTGGGTGCCTAATACCCACATGTTTTTAACTCCCTTCCTCCTCTTGGCCGGACGCGGTGGCTCACGCCTGTAATCCCAGCACTTTGGGAGGCTGAGGCAGGCGGATCATGAGGTCAGGAGATCGAGACCGCCCTACCTCCCTGACTAACACGGTGAATCCCCATCTCTACTAAAAATACAAAAAAAAAAAAAAAAAAAAAATTAGCCAGGTGTGGTGGTGGGTGCCTGTAGTCCCAGCTACTCGGGAGGCAGAGCTTGCAGTGAGCCTAGATAGCGCCACTGCACTCCAGCCTGAGGGAAAGAGTGAGACTCCGTCTCAAAAAAAAAAAAAAAAAATACCTCCCTTCTTCCTCTCTTCCCCAAAAGGCAGTAGCAGGAGGTTCTTTTTTGTAATGGATAATGTATGTACCTCAAGAGGAAATGTACAGCGTTATACAGTGGAAGAAGAAATATACAGTCTGCAGTCCAATTCCCTTCCTCCCGCTTATCAGTTTTTTTTTGCGTGTTCTTTGAGAAATATTCCATAGATTTACTAATATATGCATATGAAAAGGAAGTCCTTTTAATACTGATAAAAATCACCTTTTATAAAAGGTGAAGATACAATAGTCATGTCTTAATTTTCAAAGTATGTAAAACAAAAATGTAAAAATATGACAGAGTGATGGAAACTGTAGGAGTGTCAATGCATTGCTATTAATCTGATCAAAATGTAAAAATAAATGGAACATTTGAAAGAAGCGCTTAGATTTTGTACTACAAAGGTGTCCGAATACGTTTGTAGAAGTAGAAGCTGCATACCTCCGGATACTAGGGGCTTTGTTTCAAACTTCGTGCTTCTGTGGCGATTTTCGGAAAGTTGCTCAGTTCTCTGAGCCTCAAGCCCCTGAAGCTGGGATCCTAAGAGTACTTCCTTCGTGTCCCCTGCTGAGCACAGGGCCGGAGAGTCAGCACTCACTGAGGGGCAGTAGTTACTACTCCCAGTAGGACACCTGCAGTTTGTAGATGTCTGTAAATGAACAAATGCATGCTCTGCACCCACTTGGAAATAAAAGACTAGTCCCATAAATGATGTATTGAGTCAAAAAGGTGGGAGTGGAGGACCCTGCAGTGCTGGTTCTTTCCTCCGCCCTCTTTCCAGGCCCCACCTCTGTTCTTCCAGGGCTCCAGCCAGGAGCCTTGAGGCCAGTTGGCCTTTTCTCTCGACACCACCCTGGCTGCTACCACCCTTTATTCAGACTCTGATGAGAGCCTCCCTGGTGGTTCTCTTGCTGCCTCTTGCTTCCAGCAAGGCAGCCAGAGTCACAGCAGGAGCCAGGGCTTGTGCTCCCAACACTCTCATGGGCCCACTGTGCCACAGAAGCACTTTGAGAGGCCAAGGAGGCCCTCTCTTCTCTCAGCACCCCTCCTGGCTGCCCAGCGGGCTCTGGCCTCTCCTGTGGCCCCTCCTGGCTCACTCCCCTGCTGCCACTCACTGGCCTGTGACTTGTCCTGAGACCCTCCAGACAGCCATTCCTCTGCCTAAAAGTCTCTTTCTCCATGGACACGCCCAGGTACACGGCACGCTCCTCCAGTACCTGCTGCCTGCCCCTTCTGCCCAACAGTTCCATTTCCTTGAGGTCCTTCACCTCCTCATGAGGCCTGCAGACACAAGGAAGAATGGCACTGCCCTTCCCCCTCCCCTGTTGGCTTTTCATTTTTCAATTTTCCTGCTTTATTTTCATCTTTAGCACTTATCACCAACTAACCTATTTTTCTTACCTTGCTCATTGTCTCTCTAAACTGCAAGTAACGTGAGAACTGAGATTTTCAGTTTTTGTCATTGTTACATCCTCAGTGCCCAGAACAGTGCTGGCACTCAGTGAGAATTCAGTCTTTGTTGAACACACAAATGGACATAGGCATCAGTGAAAGGAATGCAACAGCATATGCAGTACATGTTCAGCCAATTTTTAGAGGTATTAATAGATTCATAGCTTTATTCTGTTAAAAGTTTATGAAAAAGCAAATGAACTGAGCTCTCCTCAAAAGAGGCTCAGAAATTAATAAAGTCACAGAAATATATAAAGAGTGGGTAAAATTAAGCCTGGGAAGTAGAGATGGGAGAAATTATAAATGAAATACAAATTAATTGTAAAAATCAGAAAAATATAATTATAAATCTAAGTTAGCAGTTGATAAAAAGCAATAGAGCAAATCACATTGCTTGTTCCCCTCCTGATAAATCTAATCAATAAAGGAGAAGAACACAAAAATAAAAGCATAAATTAAAACACTACAGATTCAAAGGAGTTGAAAATCACAAGGAAGTATTCATGAATTGGAAAATCTGGTAAGATGGCAAAGTGCGTAAGTACTTTATGATACCAAAGTGCGTAAAGACATTGAAAATTTCAATAACTCAAAAAGCAAGCAAGAGCTTGAAGACATTTTCAAAGAATTATCTCCCAGAATGTCTTTAAGTTCATATGGCTTTTTTGAAACTTTTAAGAAACAATTCATTTTAATGAATGTATCAATTACTGCAAATCATAGGAATGCTACGTATTCATGTTGTAAAGTTAGTATAACTTGGGAATAAACACCAAAATAAAATTATATCGAATCATATTTAGGAAACTGAATTAAGCAATGTGTCAAAATAGTAAACCATCATAACCAACCATGATCTTCTTAACAAAAGATCGTTTTATTTTAGGCACGCAATTAACATTGTAAGTTATATCAGAAAGCAATGATTGTCTCAGTAGGTGCTGAAGAGGCTGTCAGCACAATTTGATATATATTCCTTATCAAAACTCTCTCAAAACTAGCCATGTAAGGCCTTTTATTAATGTAATAAAGACCTCATGTAAATTCCTGGGTTCCAGGCTCAAGCCTTCCACTGTGTGCTCCATGTTACCAGCTATGCCTTTTGAACGGGAGATGTTGCATAAATAATTGTTGAGTATGCACTTTAGATTCTTTGCTAACATCACATTTGGTGAAACTATAAAATAATTCCCATGAAAATTGGATTGCTTAATATCATAACTGATATTTAATAATATTTAATATTGCTCTAAAATTTCTGGCTAAAATGAAAATATTCAACCATCAGGAAGGAGAAACAAAACTATTACTGTTTGTAAACAGTTTATCATCAGTACTTACCTAAAAATCCTGGAGAATGAGCTCAGAAATATTTCTAAGAGTTGAGACAGTTTAGCAAAATGAACAGATACAACCTCAAACCAAACCAAACTAGAAAGCTCAGAGGACACAGAAATGCCAGTACTGAGCTGGCAACACCTCTGTTGTTTGTGAAAATGTTCTCTGGAACACATGGACACAGGAAGGGGAACATCACATTCTGGGGACTGTTGTGGGGTGGGGGGATGGGGGAGGGATAGCGTTAGGAGATATACCTAACGCTAAATGACGAGTTAATGGGTGCAGCACACCAGCATGGCACACGTATACATATGTAACTAACCTGCACATTGTGCACATGTACCCTAAAACTTAAAGTATAATAATAAAAAAAAAAAAAAGAAAATGTTCTCTGGAAGAGGTAGTTCAAGGCTTTTGGCTACAAGTAACACATACCTCAATTCAGCCAGCTTCAAAAATAAGAAAGAATTGTCTCTTACGATAGAAAGTCACATAGAGGAAGGGCCATGGTTTAACTGCATGGCTCAGCAGCATCCTCGGGCCGGGCTCCTTCCATGGGCCCCTGCTGCCCCCCTCAGCTCTTCCCCCTCCAACTCTCCTTCCTGGCTGAGAGAGGTCCGCCTGGGTCCTCACAGATGCAACAGTGTCCACTGGAAGGAGAGTCCCTTGAGCACATTGTGTAATTTATTTGGACTTCCGCTTTTGAATCTGTAAAATTGAAATAGTGTGTATCTCATAGCATTCCTCGGTGGCTAGAATGACAGGCTGTATGTGAGATACATGAATCTGTGAGGAAAATGCACTTAGCATGTCATGGGACCCTGAGGTCCTGGTTCTATTCCATGCTTCCTGCACTGAGAGGTACTTGGTTGGAGGCAGGCAATCTGAATGCTCTCCCCAACATCCGGTCAGTTCTCATTTATCTTGGTCTTTCATTTTCCCTCACCCATTTTTTTGTTTCTCCCTTTCAGTTTGCAAACCATTCTCCTTGGGAGAGAATACCATTTAAGGTAGTTTCTTTTGCTATTTGTTTTATTTCTTAATCTTCTTTATTCTCTGTGCACATGCAAAGCCCCCTTTTTTGGCTAGAGTCATTGCTTCAAGCTGCAGCTCCCTTGGGCTTTTTTTTCCTGACTTCATTCTGTATTTGCTCCTGGTAATAATCTCATTTTGTAATTTTGCTCTTTAGTCACAGGGCTTCATTTGGGACACTCACATTTTTGTTCTCTTTGTGATTATTTGTGATTAAGGAGTTGAGGTTATGACTTTAAGGTGCTTTTGATTCCAGAGCCATGTGCCATATAATCATCTGTGGTTTGTGGGAATGTCTTTGCCGTGATCTCTCTGAAGTCTGTGGGCACATTCCAGACCGTGCTGGTCTTCTGTCCGCAGGCTTCATGCAGAGAATGAAGTGTCCTTGCTTTCTCTTTCCTAAATGAGTCTCTGCCTCTGTGAGAACTGGGTCCACCTTCTCTCGGTTGCTCTTCTTTGTGGGAGCCTGAATGGTAAGCATGGCCAGCGTCCTGTGAGGAGTTGTAGCCAAATGAGCAGAAGCTGAGCAGCTGTCTGGGTGGGTGCGGCCTCTGCATGCTGCTTCCGCGGCCGCGCTGCCTCCACCTGGCCGGGGTCCCTCAGCTACTCACATGAGGCTCCAGCATCCGGCCCTGCTGCCCTTTAACCTCAACTGTAGCCTCTCCAGCGTGGTCACCAATTTTTTAACCTAAGGGTTCATGTTCTTGACAAGTACACAGTTTATTCATTTTCTATCCGTTCTCTTTTATATTCCAAATACCTCTCCATCTCCATGTTCAAATATTTCAATCCCGTCCCACCAGTTCCTGGTAGGATCCATCACTGTGTCTATGAACACGAAGATACCGATTAGACTGGATGCAGGTGCTGGTGTTTCTGGTTCTGCAGCGTGAGTGGCCACATTGCAAACATAGCCTGGCTGCCTCTCTTCTACAAAGACCACACTCCCGCCCCTCCCTCACCTGCAGCAGGGGGTTGGGATCCTCCCCTCGACAGGAGCCACGGCCTTGGCACAGGCTTGCTGAGTGGGGCAGCCAGTCACTCCTGTCATATCAGAAACAGGTGTGTCTCAGGAAACCCATGCACACCCAGCACAATCTGGCAGCGCCAAAGTCCAGATCCAAGTCGCCACTCGTCCCCCCTTCAGTCACTCCTCCCGTGTATTTATGGAACGTCTGCCACATGCAAGGTGCCGTTCTGGGCTCTCAGGGAACCAGGGTGAGTGATGCTCTGTCCTCGTGTTCAGAAGGCTCAGAAAATCATACCATACTAGGCAACTGCTGCATACTCATGGACGTGCCTTGTTCTGGGTACCAGAGGACAGGGGTGCCTGCTCAGCTGGGAAGGCAGTGACAGGCAGCAAGAGGGGGCTGCCTGGTGATTCTGAGCTGAGACTGAAAGATACATGGCAATTAGCCAGACCAGAGGCTAGGAGGTGCCTGGCATGAGGTGGTCACAGGCATTCCAGGAGACACGGTTTGCATGGTGAAAGCCTGGGATATGTTATCTAGTGAGGGCCCAGAGAGGGCAGACCGGATCCAGGCAGTGTGGTTACTGCTGGAGATGGAGAATAGGGCAGGCGGTGAGACACAAGGCTCTGAAGTGGGCAGGAGCCCATCATAGCAGGCCCTGTCCCTCTGGAGAGCCCACCGTCCCATGAGTGATTGGTGGGGAGGAATGTAGGGCCAAGCCTGCCACAGCTTGGGTGGCAGGAACGAGCTCTGCCCCTGGTGCCCTGTGTTGAGGCTCCTGCCCATGGCTGGAGGAGCAGCTGGGCCAGAGGGGACAGAGCAGGGAAGCCAGGGCATGGCTGGAGAGGAGGAGAGGTGAGACCAGAGACCCACGTGCCCTGAGTTTGGAGGGGCTGACTAAAATGGTGTGGGGATCCTGGTGTAACTGGAACGCTGTCAGGAGTCAGGCCCCTGGGCCCCTGGCCTCTGTCCCTCCTGGGCCACATACTCTGTCAGCTGCCTCTCCTTCTCCCTGCATTTCCACCCCTCCCTCTGCGGCCTGCCGGACTCTTTTGCATCCCCAGGAAAGATTGGCCCAGCCCCCCCGCCCACCCCCCCGACACGCCACTGGCCAGTCAGCTGGGCTAGAGAGGTGGCAGGTCCTGCTAAGAATACAGGCTGCCTGGCCATCCCCCTGGCACCCGTGGGGCTGGGCCAGCTCACTGAGAAGGGGTGATTGTCAGTTAACATCACAGCGTGTCCTCCCAGTCTTTGCTGAGCCTGGAGCTCCCTTTCAAACCATGCCAAGACTCCCACTGAGGAGGAGATGATGACGTTCAAAGTAAAATGACTCCAGCATTGTCCAGAGACAGATGACATGCCAAGGGTGTGAGTGCAGCCCGGCTGGGAGGCTGGCTGTGGTGGCCTTTAATTCTTAGACGGCGCTCCACACGGGCCCGTGATGCCCCCAGTCTCCTGTGGCTCTCCCATCCCACCCTTGCCTGAACTTCTTCCCCCACTTCACCATCCTGTTTCAAGAGACGCCTGTCATCATAGGGAGAGTCTGACTTTCTGGTTCACTACTGGGTTCAAGTCCTGGTGCTGCTCTAGCGGTAGCGTGACCTTGGTGAGGCACTCACTCTGGCAGAGCCTCTGTTCTCCCACCCAATCCCCATCCCATGCCATTCCCCACCGTGCACACACGGCACAGGCTGGCCTGATGAACACTGGTGACGTGAGGGGCAGCCATGGTTTTACTCACCTCTCCTTACCCTTTCTACCCCATCTTGTGGAGAAAGTCTTTCTGCAACCCCAGCCTCTTCCTAGAATGTTTTGTGTGTTTTCTTTAACCCAACCATCAACCACAAACCAGAACTGAAGGGCTCCTCCCAGGGCACACCCTGTGTAGGGAAGGGAGGGGTGGTGGAGTCCCCTTGCTCCTGGCTGTCACCTCTGTGCAGATTGTCCCCACCACACCGAATCCTGCACCAGTGGGCCTGTCGCTCCTTGTCACTATTTTGGCTCCCATCTGTGACTGTAACGCACTGCTCCCTTCGTCCTTGAGGCTTTTGGTCAGTTCTCCTGTTGCCCTTTCCCACATCCCTGTCAGCAAATGAATCACCTGGACCTGCTTCGCCCGGCAGTGGAGGCTGCCGGCCATGTTCACCCACCGCTCCGCCAAACCTGTGGTGGCCGAGTCCCTTGCTGTGCTTTTCAGGGCCACACCCCACATGGCTCTGCCCACTCGGCCCACTGTCTCGGGTGCCTTCCTGTGCACCAGCTCCCAGCTAGTAGGCTCCAAGTGCTTTACCAGAGGCCATTACCCTCACCGAGCTGTGTTCTCCCCGAAAGTTCTCTCTGTCCTGTGTCTGTCCCTACCCCTGCCCATATGCGCAAGCGTTTCCATCCTTACAAAGGCACCTTCTCTTGCCCTGCGTGCCTTCCAGCTGCCACCCGTCCCCTCCTACAGTCTTCACCCACACCCTGGACTGTTTCTCCCTACTGCAGCAGGGACCTGTGTCTACCATGGTGTGAAACTGTAGAGAAAGAGCACGGGAACCCCAAGGCTACAGCCGTGCTTATTTCCATCTCTCTTCAGCTGGGGAGAGAACATCACTTCTTCCTGAAAATTCTCCCACCCCTTGCTGCCCTGGCTCCTGGTGCACCACCTCCTGCCGCATCTTCCCATTGCCTATGCATCCTTCTCATCAGCCTTAGACACTTCATGCTCCTCTCCTGGCCTCAGTGCTGCTCCTTCCTGCAGCCTTCTCCTGGACATGCCCATGTTTCCACCACCACCTTCCCACAGGAGGCTCCAGCTCCAGAGCTGCCTCCGCCCTCTCCAGTCCAGCAGGGACTTTTTCATCTGCCCCGCCCTTGTCCTGGTGCTGCTGTAGCAGTAGTGTGACCTTGGTAAGGCGCTAATTCTTGCAGAGCCCCTGTTCTCCTGTATTGCCCTGCCTGTTGGGGGGCCCTTATTGTGAGCAGAACCTAGGGCCTTTTCTTCTCAGCCCTTGTCTCCCACGCTGTGCGCTCCCCATCGAGTCAATCCCAGGCCAGTCATTGCCGACAGCCCTCAGTGCCTCATTCTCTCTTCTCCATTTTTTCTCTAATATTCAGAAGCCTTCATAATGTCTTGCTTAGACTGTTGCAATGCCCTCTTTTTAAAAATCCTTGGTTTTTTAATTGTATAACATATAGCAGGATCCAGATCTAAATAAAACATAATCTCTGCCCTTGCGAAACTCATGGTAATGGCAGTAAGTCGACTTCTAAATAGAACACACCCAAGGCAGCGGGTGAGATGCATCAGAGCAGCGCAGGTGGCATCTGTGGGACCACACGGCATCTCACTCAGGTGGTGTCTGTGGGACGGCACAGATGCAGGGCGAGGCAGCCTCTCACACAGGGTGGCATCTGTGCTGAGTGCCCTCCTGGCAGTTGAGAGCGCTCAGTGAGAGACAGTGCAGGCCTGGCCTGTGCTTCTGTTCTACATGCTCTCCTTCCGCACATGCGCAGATTCCCATGGTCTGACTTATGTGGGCTTTGGGACATCTTGTGTACCTTGATGGGCATGTTTCTAGAGTCAGAACTATATCACACTGTGTCAGGGGGAGAATTGCAAAAAAAGAAAAAAAACCCTACACAATATTCACACAGGGGCAGCTTCTTTGACACTTGAGTGTCTCCCTGAGCTAAAGGAAGCCTCACTTCAAAAACACCTGAGTCCTGTCACAAAATCAGCTATACCCAGGGAACACCCAGCACTTTCACGGTTTTGTCTGATTCTTTATTTACATATGCATAATTCTATAGTGTTAATCTGCATGATCACAGTAAGCACACTGAAAACAGCACCTCAGAGTGAGGGCTAGATTTGGGGTCGGGTGTCCAGCCTGTACCCTCCTGTCACCTTCTGTGGTGCCCCCGTGCCCTGCTCCTCAGCTTGTCACTAGGGAGTCAGCCTGCGGCTCCGCTCCTGACCCATGGAGCGTCAATCAGCTGCAGCCTGGCTATGTGTGCCCAGGTGCACGGCCTCCCTGCCTGTGAGTAACTCCTGCCCTGAGGGCACACTAGCCCGGCAGGGAGAATGGAGACCTTACTTCAGAAATGGTCACCAGCCAATGGCGTGCCCAGAGGGGTTGTGGAGCTCCTGCGATAATGCCAGGCTGAGTCGCGAAGCCTGGGTGGTCTTTGCAGCTCTTCCGATAGTTCACCGCAGACAGCCTCACCTTACTGTGGCCCAGTTTCCTCCACCCTAATGTGTGAACTGGTAACGTGGAATGTAGTCCAGTAGAATCAAAGCCCCGAGAGGGCAGGGACCTGCCTATTGTGTTGCTTGTCACCACAGCCCAGGTGCCCCCTCACCGGGCATGTTGGGTCCTTCATACACTGTCGCTGAGTGAATGACGGGGCGTGGTCTGCTGGCCCTGCAGCCTGCACATACTTGCGGTGTGATGGGGCTTTCCCTTCTGTGCTCACCTATGTTTGTCTGTCTTTCAGGAGCCCAGCAGCCGGGGCCGCCCTATTACACCGACCCAGGAGGACCGGGGATGAACCCTGTCGGGAATTCCATGGCAATGGCTTTCCAGGTCCCACCCAACTCACCCCAGGGGAGTGTGGCCTGCCCGCCCCCTCCAGCCTACTGCAACACGCCTCCGCCCCCGTACGAACAGGTAGTGAAGGCCAAGTAGTGGGGTGCCCACGTGCAAGAGGAGAGACAGGAGAGGGCCTTTCCCTGGCCTTTCTGTCTTCGTTGATGTTCACTTCCAGGAACGGTCTCGTGGGCTGCTAAGGGCAGTTCCTCTGATATCCTCACAGCAAGCACAGCTCTCTTTCAGGCTTTCCATGGAGTACAATATATGAACTCACACTTTGTCTCCTCTGTTGCTTCTGTTTCTGACGCAGTCTGTGCTCTCACATGGTAGTGTGGTGACAGTCCCCGAGGGCTGACGTCCTTACGGTGGCGTGACCAGATCTACAGGAGAGAGACTGAGAGGAAGAAGGCAGTGCTGGAGGTGCAGGTGGCATGTAGAGGGGCCAGGCCGAGCATCCCAGGCAAGCATCCTTCTGCCCGGGTATTAATAGGAAGCCCCATGCCGGGCGGCTCAGCCGATGAAGCAGCAGCCGACTGAGCTGAGCCCAGCAGGTCATCTGCTCCAGCCTGTCCTCTCGTCAGCCTTCCTCTTCCAGAAGCTGTTGGAGAGACATTCAGGAGAGAGCAAGCCCCTTGTCATGTTTCTGTCTCTGTTCATATCCTAAAGATAGACTTCTCCTGCACCGCCAGGGAAGGGTAGCACGTGCAGCTCTCACCGCAGGATGGGGCCTAGAATCAGGCTTGCCTTGGAGGCCTGACAGTGATCTGACATCCACTAAGCAAATTTATTTAAATTCATGGGAAATCACTTCCTGCCCCAAACTGAGACATTGCATTTTGTGAGCTCTTGGTCTGATTTGGAGAAAGGACTGTTACCCATTTTTTTGGTGTGTTTATGGAAGTGCATGTAGAGCGTCCTGCCCTTTGAAATCAGACTGGGTGTGTGTCTTCCCTGGACATCACTGCCTCTCCAGGGCATTCTCAGGCCCGGGGGTCTCCTTCCCTCAGGCAGCTCCAGTGGTGGGTTCTGAAGGGTGCTTTCAAAACGGGGCACATCTGGCTGGGAAGTCACATGGACTCTTCCAGGGAGAGAGACCAGCTGAGGCGTCTCTCTCTGAGGTTGTGTTGGGTCTAAGCGGGTGTGTGCTGGGCTCCAAGGAGGAGGAGCTTGCTGGGAAAAGACAGGAGAAGTACTGACTCAACTGCACTGACCATGTTGTCATAATTAGAATAAAGAAGAAGTGGTCGGAAATGCACATTCCTGGATAGGAATCACAGCTCACCCCAGGATCTCACAGGTAGTCTCCTGAGTAGTTGACGGCTAGCGGGGAGCTAGTTCCGCCGCATAGTTATAGTGTTGATGTGTGAACGCTGACCTGTCCTGTGTGCTAAGAGCTATGCAGCTTAGCTGAGGCGCCTAGATTACTAGATGTGCTGTATCACGGGGAATGAGGTGGGGGTGCTTATTTTTTAATGAACTAATCAGAGCCTCTTGAGAAATTGTTACTCATTGAACTGGAGCATCAAGACATCTCATGGAAGTGGATACGGAGTGATTTGGTGTCCATGCTTTTCACTCTGAGGACATTTAATCGGAGAACCTCCTGGGGAATTTTGTGGGAGACACTTGGGAACAAAACAGACACCCTGGGAATGCAGTTGCAAGCACAGATGCTGCCACCAGTGTCTCTGACCACCCTGGTGTGACTGCTGACTGCCAGCGTGGTACCTCCCATGCTGCAGGCCTCCATCTAAATGAGACAACAAAGCACAATGTTCACTGTTTACAACCAAGACAACTGCGTGGGTCCAAACACTCCTCTTCCTCCAGGTCATTTGTTTTGCATTTTTAATGTCTTTATTTTTTGTAATGAAAAAGCACACTAAGCTGCCCCTGGAATCGGGTGCAGCTGAATAGGCACCCAAAAGTCCGTGACTAAATTTCGTTTGTCTTTTTGATAGCAAATTATGTTAAGAGACAGTGATGGCTAGGGCTCAACAATTTTGTATTCCCATGTTTGTGTGAGACAGAGTTTGTTTTCCCTTGAACTTGGTTAGAATTGTGCTACTGTGAACGCTGATCCTGCATATGGAAGTCCCACTTCGGTGACATTTCCTGGCCATTCTTGTTTCCATTGTGTGGATGGTGGGTTGTGCCCACTTCCTGGAGTGAGACAGCTCCTGGTGTGTAGAATTCCCGGAGCGTCCGTGGTTCAGAGTAAACTTGAAGCAGATCTGTGCATGCTTTTCCTCTGCAACAATTGGCTCGTTTCTCTTTTTTGTTCTCTTTTGATAGGATCCTGTTTCCTATGTGTGCAAAATAAAAATAAATTTGGGCATGTGCTTTGATTGTTTTGTTGGGGGAGTGGGAAAGAGGGTGGAGATGAAGTTTCTAATGAGGAAGGGTGTACAGCAGATCCTTGGTTCAGTGGGGTGAGGTGGGTGGAGGATGCACCTGGTCTCAGGGGAACCAGAAACTAGATGTTATTTGAGAATGTAAGATACAAGCTATGGAGACAATTGTCCCCAGTGGGTAGGAAGACAGAAGCATCGCTGAAGTAATGTACTGTTGATACTGTAAGTTAACCTTGAGCTAGGGCTGTTTTTCACAGGTCGGGGAGCCTTCATCTTAAAACACAGCTCTGCTTGGTCAGAAATAACACTTCTCTCACAGATGCTGCTGAAGGGTGTAGCTGCTACAGTTAAACTGCATTTTAATTATTTATTTTTTATTTTATTTTGTGTTTTAGAGATGGGGTCTCACTGCGTTTCCCAGGCTGGTCTCAAACCATTGGCCTCAAGCAATTCTCCTACCCCAGCCTCTCAAGATGTATTTTAGATGTATCACTAATTGACATAATGTTTGCAAAGAAGCATTTTCTATTTTGCTTCCTTTTTGTTTTTTTAGAGACAGGGTCTTGTTCTGTCACCCAGCCTGGCATGCAGTGGTTCAATCATAGCTCACTGCAGCCTCAAACCTCTAGGCTCAAGCGATCCTCCCACTTCCCAAAGCCGTGGGATTACAGGCATGAGCCACAGTGCTTGGTTTATTTTTGCCTTCTTAAAGCATGGGTCCTAGAGCATGGTCCCTCCCCTAAAAGTCTGTAGAGCATTTGGGGATCACAACTGTGTCCATCCCTGGGAGACGGGCAGTGCACACAAGTATATTGAACAGTCTGAGAAGCATCTTAATGCTGTTTAATCCAGCACTCCCCCAAATTAGTAGGCCATACAGTTCTTTTCCTTGTAGCAGGCAGTGCTGGCAGTAAGCACACCACTTCTGCCCACCCCATATTTGAGGACAGCTGCCCTGAAAGGCAGAACAAAGAAAGGGCAGCAGTGCTCCCAACTCTGTTATTCTGCACCCTTGCAGCTGGGCCTTTTATCAAAGTGCTGTTCTCAGGCAGGGCGCCGACAAATCCACTGACTACTTGGCACTGTGTGTGGTTTTTGAAAGTCTGTTTGATTTTTTTAATATATTTTGCATCTGTTTTCACCTTTAAAAGGCAGCTGCAAATGACCCATTTTTGTGATAAAACTAACTCAGAGTACAGGTGCAACCCCACTGATGTAAACAGCTTTTGAGGCTTTGAGGTTTTAGATGACAGTCATCTAAAACACCAGCTTCTCAAATACATCAGCTTCAGGCCTGGGCTGAGCCTGAGGAGCCTCCTAGGAAGTTAGAGATTTTTGAGCTCAAAGGGCTCAGGAGAGGCCCAATAGTTTTCATGCTTCATTAACCCGAAGGCTTCCCGACAATCGTCCAAGGGTTCCTCAAATGCTCGACTACAAAATAAAATGTTATTTGACCACTTCTAGGCATTTTGTCCTGAAAAATTTAAAGCATACAGAAAAGCTGAAAAAAAATTACCGTGAACACTCATAAACCCACTACCTAGATTCTACAACTATTTATACTATAAAAACTAGTGTACTTTAAAAGAAAAAACTAGTGTACCTTTTCTGACACTTTATATGCTGTATTTTAAAGCTTTGATAGTCACTTTGATCCCAGAATAAGGTAAAAATTAGTTTATCCTCAAATACTGTGACCTGCCTCTCCCTTTTCATTGATCCTAAGCACAGTTCTAGTCAAATCCTTCGAACACTGAGATCTGACCTGCCCATTTTGCAGGAAAACATTATCTTCCCTCCTGTCCCGTGGTACCCTGGGGCTTCACTCCTCCCTTAGGCCAAAGACCTATCTCCACATTGGTGTCATTGACAGCCACTCCTGTGGGGTCCCATGCATGCTTACCTGCAGCTGCAGCTGACGCGGCCCCGCCCAGGCACTTCCAGAGGGGTTCCATCCTGGGCCACCTGCTGGGCCCATCCTCTAGCCCATCCCATAGTTGCAATCCAGTCGCTCATCCAGACAAACCTTCAGGTCCCTCCGAGGTGTGTCTGCCACCAGTAACCATGACTGTTGATCCATCTCATGAGTTTCCAGACCGTTGCACCTCCGCTGGGAAGGGCCAGGCCTCAGCCTTTCCTTGGAAGCTCCTTGGTGCCTCTGCAATTTGCCTACCTCCTCTTGGGGCAGCCAGCACTGCCACCATGGGCCACTTAGAGGGGAAGAGGGAGCTGTGGGCTCCAAAGGCCCCATCATGTTCTCCTCTCCTCCTCAGGGCCTCTCTTTTCTTTCTTTCTTTCTTTTTTTTTCTTTTTTTTTTTTTTTTTCTGAGACGAAGTCTTGCTCTGTCGCCAGGCTGGAGTGCAGTGGTGCAATCTCAGCTCACTTCCACCTCCTCCTCCCGGGTTCAAGGGATTCTCCTGCCTCAGCCTCCTGACTAGCTGGGACTACAGGCACATGCCACCACACTCAGCTAATTTTTGTATTTTTAGTAGAGATGAGTTTCACTACGTTAGCCAGGATGGTCTTGATCTCTTGACCTCGTGATCCGCCCGCCTCGGCCTCCCAAAGTTCTGGGATTACAGGCGTGAGCCACTGCCCCCAGCCAGGGCCTTTTCTCCTGTTAAAAAATGTTTTAGTTACTCTTCAGCACTTCAGTACGTATTCTGAAAAAGAAAATACCAGTTTAGCTTGTTTTATATACTGGAATCCTGCCATCAGTTTTACCTGATAGAAGGGGTGTATTACAGGAACAGGTTTGATGGATACTAATCTCATTCACGACCCTCGTCATGTGAACGGAAAGTAAGCCAGAAGAGGCTGAGCAGCTCACCTGACATCACAGCCACCTATGGGAAAGGAGACCCCACCTGGCCAGCTTCCTCCAGTAAAATGGAAGCAGACGTCATTTACAAGGCAAATGTCATGACTTGAGATGCAAATTGAATGCTCACTTTTATCTGTCCTTCCCAAATGTCATTGAACTTCAAAAAATCTGTAACAGCCCAAAAAAGTGCAAGAACAGAAATGTTGAGTAATTTTTGAAATAGGAGAAGGGAGGTGGGTTGACTGATGGGGAAGGAGATCTGAGGAGATAGAAGTTGAACTGTACACAGAAGGTGGCTGGCGAGGGAGGAGCTGTTTCTCAGAGAGGCTCCGCATTGAGGCCGGCAGGTACAGAGAGCAGAGGGGCTGTGGTAGGGACCGGGGAGATTGACCAATGGCTGTTGCGAGAATAGCTGTGCCAGGGACCAGAGGTCTCCTGCCTGACTCCCTCCTGCCCCTCACCCCATGTGCACAGAGCAGCTGGCTGCAGGAATTAAAGGCCCAGAGCTTGTTTTCTCACAAAGGGGGTGCTTTACGTCAGGGGTTCTCAACCCTCAGGCTGCAGACCAGTACTGCTCTGTGGCCTGTTAGGAGCTGGGTCATACAGCAGGTGGTGAGTGGCAAGCAAGCGTTACCACCTGAGCTCTGTCTCCTGTCTGATCAGCAGTGGCATTAGATTCCCATAGGAATGTGAGCCCTATTGTGAACTGTGCAGGAGAGAGGTCTAGGTTGTATGCTCCTTATGAGAATCTAATGCCTAATGATCTGAGGTGGAAGTTTCATTCTGAAATCATCCCCACCACCCCCTGGTCCGTGGAAAAATTGTCTTCTACAAAACCAGTCCCTGGTGCCAAAAAGGCTGGGACCACTGCTTAACATGGTAAGGCTCCTGGCATGGGTGAGGTGGGCTGTTGGCATCACTACCCAATTTTAAGTGTTTTGAACATTTTCTAATTTATCAATTAAAATGTTCATAGTTGGGCCAGGCACAGTGGCTCACACTTGTAATCTCAGCACTTTGGGAGGCTGAGGCAGGAGGATCACTTGAACCCAAGAGTTTGAGACCAGCCTGGGCAACATAGTGACATCCCATCTCTTTTTTAAAAAATTAAATTAAAAAAATAAGATGTTCATAGTCTGGGGCTCCTATGGCTTTCCCACAGCCCCTGGATCTCAATCCAAGGTCATTCACCACAATCCCAATCCCACCTTGGAAAATTTCTCTGGCACTAGAGGAAAGAAACTCAGCTTCTGGTTTCCCCCCTCAGTCCCCGAGCCTCTGCCCACATTGTGGCTCTGCATCCTTTTCTAGAGGATCTGCGTGCTATTTAAAATGCTTTGTCATAAAGCAGAACTCTTCCCTCCTTTCTGTCACTCTGTAGGAGGGGAGAGGAGTCCCTCCCTCCATTTTGACTCTGAAGTTTTCTGACTTGCACTATGCCAGCCTTTCTACCCAATTGCCCAAGCATTTCTCAGCTAAAGTGATCCTTAGTAGCTTGAATTCTTGTCACAATGTGTTCAGGCTGCTATAACAAAATACCATAGGCTGGGTGGTTTATAAACAAAGGAAATTTATTTCTTAGAGTTCTGGAGGCTGTTCGGAAGTCTAAGGTCAGGAATGCAGTAGGTTCGGTGTCTGGTGAGTGTCTGCTTCGTGGTTCATAGATGGCTGTCTTCTTGCTGCACAGTCACTTGGCAGAAAGGGTGAGGGGTTCTCTCTCTGGGGCCACTAATCCCTTTCATGAGGGCTCCCTCCCCCTCATGACTTCATTTCCCAAAGGGCCCACCTTCAAACACCATCGGAGTGGGGATTCAGTTTCAACATATGACATTTGGGGGGACACAGACATTCAGTCCATAGCGGTTCTCAGTGCCTAACATTCTTTGGATGCCAAGAATGAGAGCACAGAGTAGATGTGAGAGAGTCCCTGTGGACCTAACTGTGCATTGCTGGTGTCATGGAAAGACTGTGGGCTCTGAAGATGGACAGTCTTGCTCAAGTCCTGAGTCTACTAATTACTGGCTTTGTGTCTTCCAGCAAATGATTTAATCTCCAGTCTCAGTTTCCTCAACTATAAAATGGAGATTATACTACCTATTGTTTATACGAAGCTTGCACATAGTGGATAATCAGCAAATATTAAAAATCCTCTGCTCTCTCTCATTCTACAATTCCTTGAGAAGTTGAAGCACAGTGGGAGAAGAAATAAGCTCCCACCCAAGCTTTTGCTCATCTGTGAGGAGTCGGTCTGTGGTATCGTCAGAGGAGTGTGAAAGGAGGAATTTTCTTGAGACATTCTCCATGTAGTCTCCATCTTTCAGACTACGATCATGTAAAGGAAGCCAAGGGTTTTCACATACACCATCACCACTCCACACATCACCTACCGTTCTTGTCTTGAAAGGTTGATGTGTGTTGCCCAGTGGATGTTGAGCCAATCAGAGATAGAAGGAGAAACCTTAGGCAACCACCTCTTTTTTCCCTCACTACTTATATGGGATGAGATCTGCGAGCATCCCAGAACAAACCTCGAAGTGTAAACAGTATTTTGTACATCCAGAGAGAAGGGTTTCAAGATAGCTGACTAGCGACACCTGGCACTTCTGCACAAAGAAGGACCAAAACTGAACAATCACATAACAAGTGGAGCTTCTAAGAGAACAATGGAATTCATCAGAGAAGTGACAGGGAACATCTGAGGCTTGGAAGGAGAGGGAAGCAAAGCAGCTGGTCCAGCTGCAATCAGCTCGGAGCCAGGAGAAACCCCCCAGTGCAGAGAGAAGGTAAGCAAGAGATCTTCAGCAGTCTACATTGCCACACTGACTCTTACAGTCCTAGCCACAGGAGAGCCCCTCAGCCCTTGTGGGCCCTGAGACTAGTCTAAGGAGCATCCTCAAGTCCTCCAATGCCATTAGTCCAGAGAAGAACTTCACTCTGGGTCCCCCACACACCCCAAGATCAAGACACCTGCAGCATGGCATTATTTTGAGAGGCCAGCCTCCACCAGACTACATCCTTCCCCGGGACTCAACAGCCTCTGTATCTCCACATCCCTCTGACATCCCCTGACTGACATCTATCCAGAAGGCTGCAGCATCACAACACTGGCTGGACCCAGCAGTATAGCCAGATTCCCAGGACTCTGACTCATACAGTATTCTATGCTGCAGGGAATCAGTGGTACTGTGCACTGGGGAGGCAGTCACCAGAACAAAGGGAACTGGAATTCATGCTCCCCAAAGCCTGAGAGCTGCCTGGGTTGGGCCACGCCATTGACAGCAACCCCATCCCCCAACTTCCAGCAGCAGGGCCACTGTGCACCTGCAGATACCTTCAAGGGACCTGGAAACTGGTTTGCCAGGCACCATCCTGGAAACTGAAAACAGGTCTGCTGCACCTATCACCACCACCGGCACCCAAGCATGCCATAAAGGGGACCTGAGGATCAACCTGCCCTGCCCACCACAGCTGGCAAGTGCATGCACCATCAGGTAGGCCACCTGCCCACCACCTCTGCCCACACTAATGCATGTTGTTAAGGTGACCATGGGATCAGCCTATCCCACCTTCCACTTCTAGTGCCTGCACACACCATCGTGGGTTCTGATGACAGGCCTGCCCCCTACTCTGCCACTGCTGCTGGTACCCAGACATACCATCTGAGGGCCTGGGGATCAACCTGTTCAACCCACCACAGCCTGTGCCTGTGTGTACCCTTGAGAGAGCTGAGGATAGGTCTATACTGCCCAGTGTCATCCCTGCCAGTTGCCATGTACATTGGGGCCTGGTGATCAATCCACTCCACCTGCTGCCATTAGCATCTGCACATGCCTCTGCTGGTCTGAGAAGAGACCTGCCCAGTCTGCCGGAGTTTGCACATGTTGTCCAGGCATCTGGGGATTGACCAGCCCTGCCTGCTGTAGCCTGCATCTATGTGCACTATTGTGGGGCCTGAGGGCAGGCCCGCCCTGGCTGACACATCCCCTATCAGTGACCACATGCAATATCCAGGGTCCTGGGGATCAATCCACCCCACCCACTGAGCAGGTCATGCACACTGCTGGGGAGCGGGGGTGGGAGAGGAAGATCAGCAGGCTTGACCCACAACTACCACCACTGGGGCCCAAAGACTGCCCCACCTGGCATCCCCATCCCCAGCAAAGCCTCGCCACAGCCTCCCCAAACAACCACAGCCAATCCACTGAGGAACTCACAGATACCACTGACACTGATTATAGCTGAAGAAATATGGAAACTAAACTACTGCCCCCACCCAAAATAAAAGCCAAAGCATCCTACCCAACCAATACAATAGATACATCTATCAGGAAAAGTCTTTTCCTATGAAAGCCAATCCATAAAATTGAAAGAAGAGACAGTTACACCAGATGCACAAATATGAGTGTAAGGATATAAGAAACATGAAAAAGCAAGGAAACAGAATGCCTCTGAAGGAACACAGTAATTCTCTAGGAACAGGTTTGAATGAAAAAGCAATACATGAAATGCCCAAAAAAGAATTTTAAATAATGTTATTAAACAAGTTCAGTGCGATACAAGAGAACATAGAACAAAAACTGCAGAATACATTTTCTTGTCAGCACATGAAACATTCTCCAGGATAGGCCATATGTTTGGCCACAAAATAAATCTCAACAAATTTTAAAATTAAGATAATATCAAGTACCTTTTCAGACTACAATGGAATAAAACTAGAAATAAATAATAATACAGAGAAATCAGAAAAACAACTTATGATCTGAGTAAGAAATTCAACAGAGATAGATATCATAAAGAAAGAACCAAACAGAAATACTGGGACTGAAGGGTTCAATGAATGAAGTTAAAAATATATTGGGAGGCCGAGGCGGGCGGATCACGAGGTCAGGAGATCGAGACCATCCCGGCTAAAACGGTGAAACCCCGTCTCTACTAAAAATACAAAAAAATTAGCTGGGCGTAGTGGCGGGCGCCTGTAGTCCCAGCTACTTGGGAGGCTGAGGCAGGAGAATGGCGTGAACCCGGGAGGCGGAGCTTGCAGTGAGCCGAGATCCCGCCACTGCACTCCAGCCTGGGCAACAGAGCGAGACTCCGTCTCAAAAAAAAAAAAAAAAAATATAATCAAGAGTTTCAACAATAGACTAGACCAAGCAGAAGAAAGAATTTCTGAATTTGAAGACAGGTCTTTTGAAATAACCCAGTCCAACCCCCCAAAAAAAGAAGAAGAAAAGAAGAACAAAGAACAAAAGAGAGAGCCTATGAGACAACACAAATGAAATTTGAATATTGGGTGTTATAGAAGAAAAAGAGATGGGCAAAGGCATAGAGAACCTATTTAATGAAATAATAGCTGAAAACTTCCTACATCTTGGAAGAGATCTAGACATCCAGATACAGGAAGCTTAAAGATACCCAAATAGATTGAACCCGAAAAAGTCTTCCCCAAGGTATATTATCACTTGAGGAACATTTCAGCTTATAACTGTTGAAAGCCAGACAAAAAAAGAATTCTAAAATCAATAAGAGAAAAGTGTCAAATCACATATAAGGGAACTCCCATCAGACTAATAGATTCCTCAGCAGAAACCTTACAGGCCAGGAGAGAATGTGATAATACATTAAAAGTGCTAAAGGAAAAAGAAAACTGTCACGCAAGAACACTATACTCGGCAAAGTTGTCCTTCAAAAATTAAAGAGTAATAAAGTCTTTCCCAGCCAAGCAAAAACTGAGGGCATTCATCACCACTATACCAGCCCTACGAGAAATGCTTAACATGTTCTACATCTGAAAGCAAAAGGCTGATATTTGCATCATGAAAACATGAAACTCACTGGTGGAGCAGATACAAATGAGAAAAAGAAAGGAATCAAATGTTACCACTACAGAAAACCACCAAACCACAATGATAACCAATAAGAGAGGAAGAAATGAACAAAGGATGCACAAAACAAGTAGAAAACAATTAACAAAATGGCAAGAATAAGTCCTCACCTATCAGTAATAACCTTGAATGGGAACTGATTACATTTCCCACTTGAAAGATATAGACTAGCTGGGCCGGGCGCAGTGGCTCACGTCTGTAATCCCAGCACTTTGGGAGGCTGAGGTGGGTGGATCACGAGGTCAGGAGTTCAAGACCAGCCTGGCCAACATGGTGAAACCGTGTCTCTACTAAAAATACAAAAATGAGCTGGGCATGGTGGCACATGCCTGTAATCCCAGCTACTCGGGAGGCTAAGGCAGGAGAATTGCTTGAACCAGGACCCAGGAGGCAGAGGTGGCAGTGAGCTGAGATTGTGCCACTGCACTCCAGCCTGGGCTACGGAGTGAGACTCCGTCTCAAGAAAAAAAACAATGGACTAGCTGAATCCATTTTTTTTTAAATTTCTGTAGGTTATTGGTGAACAGGTGATGTTTGGTTACATTATTAAGTTCTTTATTGGTGATTTGTGAGATTTTGATGCACCCATCACCCAAGCAGAATACACTGCACCCTATTTGTAGTCTTTTATCCCTCACCCCCTTCCCACCCTTTCCCCGTGAGTCCCCAAAGTCCATTGTGTCATTCTTATGCCTTTCATCCTCATAGCTTAGCTCCCACTTACGAGTGAGAACATATGGTGTTTGGTTTTCCATTCCTGAGTTACTTCACTTAGAATAGTAAGTCTCCAATCTCATCCAGATCACTGCAAATGCCATTAGTTCATTCCTTTTTATGGCTGAGTAGTATTCCATCATATATATAATATATATAAAACACACATATATAATATATGTATATATAAAACACAGTTTCTTTATCCACTCGTTGATTGATGGGCATTTGGGTTGGTGCCACTGAATGCATTTTTAAAAATAACCCAACTATATGGTGCCATCAAGAAACTCACTTCACTTGTAAAGACACATACAGACTGAAAGTGAAGGATGGAAAAAGATATTCCACACATTTCACACAAATGGAAACCAAAAGTGAGCAGGAATAGCTATAGTTATATCTGATAAAACAGACTTTAAGTCAAAAACTATAAAAAGATAAAAAGGTCATTATATATGACAAATGGATCAATTCAGCAAGGGGATATATTAGATTGGTACAAAAGTAATTGTAGTTTTTGACATTAAAAGCAAGAACTGCAATTACTTTTGCACCAACCTATAACAATGCTTGATATACATGTACCCCACACTCGAGCACCCAGCTGTATAAGGCAAATATTACATCTATAGGGAGAGATAGACTTCAATACAATAATAGTTGGGGACTTCAACAATCTGCTCTCAGCATTTTTAACAGATCACCTAGACGGAAGAATCAACATAGAAACATTGGATTTTAACTGGATTTTAGTAAGAACAGAAAATAAATAAGCTGGACTTTAGATCAAATTTGACTTAACATTTACAAAACATTTTATTTTATCCAAAAGCTGCAGAATACACATTCTTCTCATCAGCACATGGAACATTCTCCAGGATAGGCCATATGTTAGGCCACAAAATAAATCTCAACACATTTTAAAATTAAGATCAAATCAAGCATCTTTTTAAACTACAATGGAATAAAAGTAGAAATAACAGGAGCTTTGGAAACTGTACAAATACATGGAAATTAAACAATATGCTCCTGAATGACCACTGGGTCGATGAAGAAATTGAGAGGAAATTTTTAAAAATATGTTTTTAAATATTTAATATGAAAATAGAAATGCAACATACCCACACCTATGGGATACAGAAAAGCAGTGCTAAAAGGGAAGTATATAGCACTAAATGCCTATATCACAAAAGCAGAAATATTTTAAATAAACAGCCTAGTGATACACCTCAAGGAACTAGAAAACCAATGACAAACCAAACCCAAAATTAGTAGAAGGAAAAGTATAGTAAATATCAGAACAAAAACAAAATAGAGACTAAAAAACAATACAAAGGATCAAGAGACAAAAAGTGCGTGTTTTAAAAAAAAGATACACAAAATTGATAAACCTCCTAGCTAGACTAACCATGAAAAAAGGAAGAAGAGTCAAATAAAATCAGAAATGAGAAAGAAGATATTATAACTGATACCACAGAAACACAAAGGATCATCAGAGATTACTATGAACAACTATAGCCAACAAAATGGAAAACCTAGAGGAAATGGGTAAATTCCTGGACACATACAACCTTCCAAGATTGAACCTGGAAGAAATAGAAAACCTGAACAGACCAATAACTGGTAATGAGATTGAATCAGTAATAAGTCTCCCAACAAAGAGAAGCCCAGTAGTGGATGACTTTATTGCTGAACCCTACCAAACCTATAGAGAAAAACTAACACCAATTCTTCACAAACTGTTTAAAAACAATTGAAGAGGAGGGAATTTTTCCTAACTCATTCTACAAGGCCAGCACAACCCTGACACCAAAACCAGAGAAGGACACAACGAAAAAGAAAGCTACAGGCCAATATCCCTGATGAACACAGGCATAAAAATCATCAACAAAATGCTAGCAAGCTGAATTCAACAGTACACCAAAAAGATAATATACTATGGTCAAGTGTGATTTACCCAAAGATGCAAGGATGGTTTAACACATGCAAATCAATAAATGTGATGACATCAGTGGAATGAAGGAAAAAACTTTATGATTATCTCAATAGATGCAGAAAATTGTTTGATAAATTCAGTATCCCTTCATGATAAAAAAAAACTCTCAACAAATTAGACATACAAGGAACATACCTCAACATAATAAAGGCCATATATGACAGATTCACAGCTGACATCATACTAAATGGGGAAAAGCTGAAAGACCTTCTTCTAAAAACTGGAACCAGAGCAGGATGCCCACATTCACCACTCTTATTCAACATAGCACTAGAAGTTCTAGCCAGAGCAATCAGGCAAGAGAAATAAATAAAAAGCATCTAAATTGGAAAAGAGTAAGTCAAATTGTCTCTTTCTGTAGATAGCATGATCTTATATATAGACAACCTAAAGACTTTACCAAGAAAAACCCTTACAACTGATAAATTCAGTAAAATATCAGAATATAATATTAGTAGTATTTTGATGCATCAATGATGAAAAAGCTGAAAAAGAAATCAGGAAGACAATCCCATTTACAATAATTAAAAGATAAAATACCTCGGATCTAACCAAAAAGGTGAAAGGTCTCTACAAGGGAAACTACAAAACACTAATGAAAGAAATAAACAAATGGAAAGACATTCCATGTGCATGAATCAGAAGAATTAATATCATTAAAATGTTTACCCAAAGTAAACTTGATTCAAAGCAATCTCTATCAAAATACTATTGTCATTTGTCACAGAAATTGAAAACAAAAATACCAAAGTTCATATGAAATCAAAAAAGAATCAGAATAGCCAAAGCAACCCTGAGCAAAAAAGAAAAAGCTGGAAGCATCACACTACTTAACTTCAAAACATTACAGGGCTATGGTAACCCAAAGAGCATAGTATTGATATAAACAGACACACAGACCAATGGAACAGAATAGAAAACCCAGAAATAAATACATATATTTACCACCAACTGATTTTCACCAAAGGTGCCAAGAATGTGTATCAGGGAAGGGATACCCTCTTCGATAAAGGGTACTGAGAAAACTGAATATTCATCTGCAAAATAATGAAACTAGACCCCTAATGTCTCACCATACACAAAAATTAAAATGATTAAAGACATAAATATAAGACCTGAAATTATGAAACTACTGGAAGAAACCACAGGGGAAATGTTTCAGGACATAGGTCAAGGCAAAAATTTTGTGGCTAAGATCTCAAAAACAAAAATAGACAAATGGGACTATATTAAGCTAAAAAGATTCTGCAAAACAAAGGAAACAGTCAACAGAGTGAAGAGACAATCTGTAGAACAGGAAAATATGTGCAAACTATTTATCCAACAAGGGACTAATATTGAGAATATACAAGGAATTCAACAGCAAAAAAAAAATCCCTTTTAAAAAGTAGGCAAAGGACATGAAGAGACATTTCTCAAAAGAAGACATACAAATGGCCAAGTATATGAAAAAATGTTTAACATCACTAGCCATCAGGGAAATGCATATCAAAACCACAATGAGATATCACCTTACCCCACTTAGAATGACTATTATTAAAAAGACCAAAAAAAAAATGCTGGCAACAATATGGAGAAAAGGGAACTCTTACACACTGTTGGTGGATATATAAATCACTACAGTCATTATGGAAAACAGTATAGAGGTTTCTCAAAAAAACTGACCACTAAATCAGACTACTAAATCCCCACTACTGGGTATTTACCCAAAAGACAGGAAATCGGTGTATCACAGGGACACTTGACCTCCATGTTTACTGAAGCACTATTCACAATAGCCAACATACGGAATCATCTAAGTGTCTATCAATGAATGAATGAAGAAAGAAAATGAGACATACTTACACAATGGAATACTGTTTCGCTATTAAAAAAATGAAATTCCGTCATTTGCAGCAACATTAAAAAATGAAATTCCATCATTTGCAGCAACATGGATTGGAACTCGAGGTCATTATGTTAAGTGAAATAAGCCAGGAAAACAAATATCACATGTTGTCAGCAATATATGGGAGCTAAAAAAGGTGATCTCATGCGAGTAGAAGGAAGATTGATAATTACCAGAGGCTGGGAAGTTGCAGGGGTTGGGGCGACACGGTGTCACGAAGAGAGGTTGGTTGATGGGTACAAAGTTACAGCTCGAAAGAAGGAATAATTTATATTGTTCAACAGCACAGTAGGGTGACTATAGTTAATAATATATTTTATAATAGCTAGAAGAGAATATTATTATACTTTAAGTTCTGGGGTACATGTGCAGAACGTGCAGGTTTGTCACATAGGTATACAGGTGCCATGGTGGTTTGCTGCACCCATCAACCCATCATCTACATTAGGTGTTTCTCCTAATGCCATCCCTCCCCTAGACCCCCATCCCCCGACAGGCCCTGGTGTGTGATGTTCCCCTCCCTGTGTCCATGTGTTTTCATTGTTCAACTCCCACTTATGAGTGAGAACATGCGGTGTTCGGTTTTCTGTTCTTGTGTTAGTTTGCTGAGAATGATGGTTTCCAGCTTCATCCAAGTGCCTGCAAAGGACATGAACTCATCCTTTTTTTATGGCTGCATAGTATTACATGGTGTATATGTGCCACATTTTCTTTATCCAGTCTACCATTGATGGGCATTTGGGTTGATTCCAAGTCTTTGCCATTGTGAACAGTGCTGCAATAAACATAGGTGTGCATGAGTCTTTATAGTAGAATGATTTATAATCCTTTGGATATATACCCAGTAATGGGATTGCTGGGTCAAATGGTATTTCTAGTTCTAGATCCTTGCGGAATCACCACACTGTCTTCCACAATGGCTGAACTAATTTACACTTCCACCAACAGTGTAAAAGCATTCCTATTTCTCCACATCCTCTCAAGCATCTGTTGTTTCCTGACTTTTTAATGATCACCATTCTAACTGGCACGAGTTGGTTTCTCAATGTGGTTTTGATTTGCATTTCTCTAATGACCAGTGATGATGAGCTTTTTTTCATGTTTGTTGGCTGCATAAATGTCTTCTTTTGAGAAGTGTCTGTTCATATCCTTTGCCCACTTTTTGATGGGGTTGTTTTTTTCTTATAAATTTGTTTAAGTTCTTTGTAGATTCTGGATATTAGCCCTTTGTCAGATGGATAGATTGTAAAAATTTTCTCCCGTTCTGTAGGTTGCCTGTTCACTCTGATGATAGTTTCTTTTGCTGTGCAGAAGCTCTTTAGTTTAATTAGATCCCATTTGTCTATTTTGGCTTTTGTTGCCATTGCTTTTGGAGTTTGAGTCATGAAGTCTTTGCCCATGCCTATGTCCTGAATGGTATTGCCTAGGTTTTCTTCTAGGGTTTTTATGGTTTTAGGTCTTACGTTTAAGTATTTAATCCATCTTGAGTTAATTTTTGTATAAGGTGTAAGGAAAGGACCCAGTTTCAGCTTTCTGCATATGGCTAGCCAGTTTTCTCAACACCATTTATTAAATAGGGAATCCTTTCCCCATTGCTTATTTTTGTCAGATTTGTGAAAGATCAGATGGTTGTAGATGTGTGGTGTTATTTCTGAGGTCTCTGTTCTGTTCCATTTGTCTATATATCTGTTTTGGTACCAGTACCATGCTGTTTTTGTTACTGTAGCCTTGTAGTATAGTTTGAAGTCAGGTAGCATGATGCCTCTACCTTTGTTCTTTTTGCTTAGAATTGTCTTGGCTATGTGGGCTCTTTTTTGGTTCCATATGAAATTGAAAGTAGTTTTTTTCCAATTCTGTGAAGAAAGTCAATGGTAGCTTGATAGGGACTGCATTGAATCTATAAATTACTTTGGGCAGTATGGATTTTCACAATATTTATTCTTCCTATCCATGAGCATGGAATGTTTTTCCATTTGTGTCCTCTCTTATTTCCTTGAGCAGTGGTTTGTAGTTCTCCTTGAAGAGATCCTTCACTTCCCTTGTAAGTTGTATTCCTAGGTATTTTATTTTCTTTGTAGCAATTGTGAATGGGAGTTCACTCATGATATGGCTCTCTGTTTGTCTGTATTGGTGTGTAGGAATGCTTGTGATTTTTGCGTGTTGATTTTGTATCCTGAGACTTTGCTGAAGTTGCTTATCAGCTTAAGGAGATTGTGGGCTGAGACAATGGGGTTTTCTAAATATACAATCATGCTGTCTGCAAACAGAGACAATTTGACTTCCTCTTTTCCTAATTGAATACGCTTTATTTCTTTATTTCTTTCTCTTGCCTGATTGCCTTGGCCAGAACTTCCAATACTGTGTTGAATAGGAGTGATGAGAGAGGGCATCCTTGTCTTGTGCTGGTTTTCAAGGGAAATGCTTCCAGCTTTTGCCCATTCAGTATGATATTGGCTGTGGGTTTGTCATAAATAGCTCTTATTATTTTGAGATATGTTCCATCAATACCTAGTTTATTGAGAGTTTTTATCATGAAGGGCTATTGAATTTTGTCGAAGACCTTTTCTGCATCTATTGAGATAATCATGTGGTTTTTGTCATTGGTTCTCTTTATGTAATGTATTATGTTTATTGATTTGTGTATGTTGAACCAGCGTTGCATCCCAGGGATGAAGCCAACTTGATCATGGTACATAAGCTTTTTGATGTGCTGCTGGATTTGGTTTGCCAGTATTTTATTAAGAATTTTTGCATTGATGTTCATCAGGGATATTGGCCTGAAATTTTCTTTTTTTGTTGTGTCTCTGCCAGGTTTTGGTATCAGGATGATGCTGGCTTCATAAAATGAGTTAGGGAGGATTCCCTCTTTTTCTATTGTTTGGAATAGTTTCAGAAGGAATGTTCCCAGCTCCTCTTTGTACCTCTGGTAGAATTCGGCTGTGAATCTCTCTGGTCCTGGACTTTCATTGGTTGGTAGGCTATTAATTGCTGCCTCAGTTTCAGAACTTGTTATAGGTCTATTCAGGGATTTGACCTCTTTCTGGTTTAGTCTTGGGAGGGTGTATGTGTCCAGAAATTTATCCATTTAGAAGAGAAAATTTTTAATGTTCCTAGCACAAGAAAAAGATAAATGACTGAGGTGAGAGCTATCCTAAATACCCTGGTTTGATCATTACACCTTGCATAATTGTCTCAAAATATGACATATACCCCATAAATGCATATAATTGTTATATGTCTATTAACAAAATTTTAAAAATAAGGACTGGATGTGGGTGATGAATAAATGAGGATTTGGTATACTATTTTCTCTACTTCTTATGTTCAAAATATTTTATAATAAGTTAAAATGAATAATAAAATAACCAAAAAAGATCTCAAAAACTACTATATTTTGTACATTCATATTACAGGCACACTTTATTGTACTTCGCTTTATTGCTCTTTGTAGGTATTGAGTTTTTTACAAATTGAAAGTTTGTGACAACCCTGTATCAAGGAAGTCTATCAGTGCCATTTTTTTCCAACAGCATGTGCTCACTTTTTATCTCTATGTCTCATTTGGTAATTCACATAATATTTCAAACTTTTTCATTAATAAATAACTGTTATGGTGATCTGTGATCAGTGATATTTGATGTTAGTGTTGTACTATAGGGTGCCAATAACTCTGCCTATACAAGATGGTGTACTTAATCAATAAACGTGTATTCTGACTGCCTTACCCTCCATTCCCTCATCTCTTTCCCACTCTCTTCCCTGACACACAACAAACAATAATGAAATTAGGCTAGTTAGTAACCCTACAATGGCCTATAAGTGTTCAAGTGAAAGGAAGAGTTGTATGTCACTCATTTTAAATCAAAAGCTAGAAATGATTAAGTCTAGTAAGGAAGGCATGTCAAAAGCTGAAACAGGCTGAAAGCTAGGCCTCTTGCACCGGGTAGCCAACTTGTGAATGCAAAGGAAAAGTTCTTGAAGGAAATTAAAAGCGCTATTCCAGTGACACACAATGCTGATATAGTCTTCAATTCTATGGAGGCTGAAAGAGGTGAGGAAACTGCAGAAAAAAAGTTTGAAGCTAGCAGAGGTTGGTTTATGTGGTTTAAGAAAAGAAGTCATCTCCATAGCTTGGAAGTACAGGGTGCAGCAGAAAGTGCTGATGTAGAAGCTGCAGCAAGTAATGCAGAAGATCTAGCTAAGACCACTGAGGAGGGTGGCTACACTCGACAACAGAGTTTACATGTAGACAAAACAGCCTTCTACTGGAAGAAGATGCCATCTAGGACTTTGTAGCTTGAGAGGAAAAGTCAGCGCTTGTCTTTAAAGCTTCAAAGGACAGACTAACCCTCTAGTTAGGGGCTAATATAGTTGGTGAGCTAAGTTGAAGCCAGTGCTCGTTTATCATTCTAAAAATCCTAGGGCCCTTAAGAATTATGCAAAATCTACTCTGCCTTTATCCTATAAATGGAACAACAAAGCTTGGATGACAACACATCTTTTTACAGCATGGTTAGCTTAGTGTTTTAAGCGCACTGCTTCTCAGCAAAAACGATTCCTTTTAAAATATTATTGCTTATTGACAAAAGACCTAATCACCCAAGAGCTCTGATGGAGACATAGAAGATTATTGTTGTTTTCATGCCTGCTAACACACATTCATTCTGCAGCCCATGGATCAAGGAGTCATTTTGACTTTCAAGTCTTATTGTTTATGACATACATTTTGTAAGGCTATAGCTGTCATAGATAGTGATTCCTCTCATGGATCTGGGCAAAGTAAATTGAAAACCTTCTGGAAAGGATTTACTATTCTAGATGCTGTTAAGAACATTTGTGATTCATGGGAGGCAGTCAAAATACCAACATTAACAGGAGCTTGGGAGAAGTTGATTCCAACCTTATGGATGACTTGAACCCCTTCATGGAGGGGTTCAAGACATCAGTGGAGGAAATAACTGTGGATGTGGTGGAAATAGCAAGAGAAATATAATTCGAAGTGGAACCTGAAGTTGTGACTGAATTGCTACAATCTCATGGTAAAACTTTAATGGATGAGGTATTTCTTCCTATGGATGAGTGAAGAAGGTGGTTTCTTGAAATGGAATCTACTCCTACTAAAGATGCTGTGAATATTGTTGAAATTACAACACAGGATTCAGAATATATCATAAACTTAGTTGGTAAAGTAGTGGCAGGGTTTGAGAGGTTTAACTCCAATTTTGAAAGAAGTCCTACTATTGGTAAAATTCTGTCAAACAGCGTCGCATGCTACAGAGAAATCTTTCCTGAAATAAAGTCAATCAATGCGGCAGACTTCATTGTTGTCTTATTTTAAGAAATTGCCACAGCCAGTCCAACCTTTAGCAACTACCACCCTGATCAGTTAGCAGCCGTCAACACTGGGAAAACACCCTCCACCAGCAAAAAGATTATGACCCACTGAAAGCCCAGATAACCGTTAGCATTTTTAGCAATAAAGCTTTTTTGTTTGTTTTTAGACAGAGTCTCGCTCTGTCGCCCAGGCTGGAGTGCAGCGGCACGATCTTGGCTCACTGCAATCTCTGCCTCCTGGGTTCAAGTGATTCTCCTACCTCAGCCTCCTGAATAGCTGGGACTACAGGCACCCGCCAGCACGCCCAGCTGATTTTTGTATTTTTAGTAGAGACGGGGGTTTCACCATATTGGCCAGGCTGGTCTCAAACTCCTGACCTTGTGATCCGCCCGCCTCTGCCTCCCAAAGTGCTGGGATTACAGGCGTGAGCCACTACATCCGGCCACAATAAAGTATTTTTTAATGAAGCTATGTACATTGTGGCTTTTAGACATAATGCTGTTGTGCACTTCATAGACTACAGTATAATGTAAACAACTTCTATATGTAGTGGGCAACCAAAAATTTGTATGACTCAAACTTTATTGCAATGTTCACTTAATTATGGTGTTCTGGAACTGAACCTGCAACATTTCCCAGGTATTCCTGTACTTCAGGCGTTTCTTTTGCCCCCTACCCCATAACTTTTTATTGTAATGTTCCTGTCTCAGATGGGCTGTGCGGAAGTGTCCAGAAAGGATCTCGTTCCACTCCTGTGCCTGTGTGGAAGGGGCCCAGTGCCCTCCTATAAATGGTGTGGTGGGTGCAAGGATGATTGTCAAGACACCCCCTACCCGCAAGAAGAAGGTGAAGGGAATTAGATTTGAGTCCTGTTGAATCTCCTCCCTAGGAGATCTCCCTCTGATGCCAGCCCTGAAGATCCAGGCTTCACTTTTACAAAAAAAGATGTATGTTCTTGTGCAGGTCTCAAGAGTATAATGAAGGAGGAGCAACGTGGCTTGGTCTGTTTTCAACAGTGACAGGAATGTTGGAGAGCACTCTCTTTGTCTTTCTCCCTGGACTCCAGAAATCACAAACAGTGCTGATATCATTTGCCACAGACCTAGTATTCAGTGCACATGGGAACAGAAGATTGATAACAAGTGTGTACCTGTGAAAACTGCCTGGGCGCAGCCCTTACCAATGACAATCCTTCATGTTTTTGTAGAAGAAAGGAATTTTGCATCTTACTTTAAAGCTTACGTGGGGAAAAGCTTTTAGATGTATATTCTTTACCAGTGCTGTCCACTAAAGGTATGATGTGAACCAGTGCATTGCTTTAAATTTTCATTACAAAGATTAATCAAAAAAATTATTTTAATGATATTCAGCCTAATATATCAAAGTATTATTTCAACATGTAATGATATAAAAGTATGTGAGTGAGAAATGTTACTTTTTTCCATATTCAAAATCCAGTTTGTATAACACATACTCAATGCACACTTCCACTTGGAGTGGCCACATTTCAAGGGCTATAAGAGCTGGTAGCGCTGGTGAGTGATTTACTGGACAGTGCAGAACCAGAGTGCATAGGGAAATGCCCAGCTCCTGGGTTCTGGGTGGTTACACAAGTTCCAGTGCTGGGTGGTCAGCCCTGAAATGGCATCCAGGTGCTGCTGGGGACACCCAAGAGAAGAGGCGGAGGACTGGTGGGACCTCAAGAACACCCCCAGGTCGGGGAGGTAACACTAGGACCAGCCTGAGGTCTCCTGCCCGAAATGTGCCCCCAGCCACAAGTCGGTGACTCCAACTCCCAAGGGGAAGCTCAGGGGTCCCTGGAAGGAGTGAGATGTTCTCAGCAAATGGAAGTAGGTGAAATGCAATCGTTGCTCGTCTTTTTCTTTATTACCATCCTTGTCAGTGTGGGTGCACAGAAATGTAAGATGCGGACAGAGGGCAGAAATCCTGGCTTCTCATCCAACCGCATTTCCAAAGGTCTGCTGACCACCTGGGTGCTACGCCTCAAGGGTGACATGTTTGTTTCTCCCCTCAAGGGTGACAGGTTTGTACTTAAAGGTCTCTGGGACCTCTGGCACCAGTGACATCCCTGATGCCCAGAAGTAGGCGTGTTGAGGGGCTGCAGGGGCCGCAGGAGGGTGGCAGGACCTACCGAGGCAGGGGCGGTAGAGGGCACAGTGCGGGGGTGGAGGGCTCCTGTCCCCTCGGGAGGCCAGGCTGCTCGCTGCTCTCCTCTCCCAGGACAGGCTCGGTGGCCAGAACGCCTCTGCAGGAACCTGGTCGGAGCTCAGCTGGCTCCTTCCAGGTGACCCCAGCCAGTCACAGGGAGGGGCAGCTTTTCGTCCAACCTTCAGCTGCCTTCAGGGTTCCCCTGCGCCTGGGGAGGGAAGGCTGGGGCGTCGTCTCCCCATCTGTCCTGCGCCCGCTGGCCGCGCCCTTCTCCGAGACCGGCCCCCCACCCCGGCGTAGTGCAGGCCTGGGCCTGGCGCTGCAGCTGAACGAGGACCGGGCACCGGCAGGCCCCGAAGCGATGGCAGACGCAGGTGGACGGGTGTCCCTGACCTGCGCGTCCCTGGAGAGGGGTTCGGACGAGGCAGGGCCGCAGTGGCGCCGCGGGAGACTGGGATGGGAGGCCTCCTGGGCCCGGAAGGCCGGCGTCCCGGTCCATCCGGGAGAAGCGCGGGCCCTCCCCGGCCGTCCCCTGTGCCGCGGGATCGGGACCGCCTGAGGCACGGGCGCCGACAGGAGCAGGGGACCCGCGGCGCTCCGGGAGCGGACACCTGCCAAGCACTTCAAGGTCTTTATTCGAAACCAAACCCATGCCTTTATTTTTTATCTAATTATGAAAATAGTTCGTGCTCATAGCAGAGAGAGGCGCAGAGAGAGGAAATGCACGCGGCCTGCCACCCTAGCCAACAGCCCGGGACCCACACGGGAGTCTCTGTTTTACTCCAATATTTTTCATGGTATTTCAACGGTCCCCTCTTCCCTGCTAAGGATTACATCGCATCTCAGTGCGATTAAACTGTTCCAGTTTATTTAACCCCCTCTTCCCATTTTGTTTTTCACTTTTAAATAAAATATGTCATTGAAGAGGGTGGGCATGTCCTGCGCGTGGCTGCGGTGGCAATGCTGCTCCTCGCCAGGGGCGCCGCCTCCCCCTCGTCCGGGCCCACCGTTGCCAGCGCCCTGGCAGCGAGCTGGGGCCGCGCTGGGCACTGGAATAGGATGCGGGAGACCTGAGTCCCCCAGACCTGGTCCTGCAGCGCTGCCAGGCCCCAAGGTCTCTCCCTTCCCTTTCTGGAGCCTGGGTGTGGAGGATCCCGCGGAGGATTCCAGGCTATGCAAGATGACGGAGCCTGAGTCCCTGGCTGACTGCGTGGAGCTGAGATCTCCTGCCAACTGCCAGGACCGGGGCTCGAGCGAAAAATCAACCTTTATTGTGGTGCCCCACAGTTTCTTGGCATAATTGTGGATGATGCAGACCAAATACAATAACATGAACACACTGTACGCCCATCCCACTTCAGAAATAGAAATGAGGTCCCTATGAATCTTTCTCATTGCACTCCCATTATTATCCCATATTTTGTGTTTATAATTTCTTTGCTTTTATAATTTTACCATGTGTTTTGTTTCATTTTGAACTTTATGATATTGATACATTTCTCCAATCTGTTTTCTTGCTTGCATTCTTGCTAATTTTTCTCTATTATAAATAATGCTTTGCTGAGCATGCTTGTCACTATGTTTTACGTACATCCACATTTATTTCCTCAGAGTAAAATACTGGATTTAAGTTGCTGGGTCCAAGTATATGTACATATTTTAGGGCTTTTGACAAATATTACCTTCAGAAGAATTATTATGAATTCTGCCAGCCTTTGCCAACACTGTTTATTATTGGGAATTATATGTGGAAAATCATTATAATGATTATAATGATTTTGAGTGAATGATAATGAATAATGGTTTTTTAATGAATGACAGTGATTTGCCATAATTACAATGAGTTGTAATTATAATGATTTAGTTCATATATAATTGCCAATTTGAAGGGAGAAAAATCAGCCCCATTTTCTGTTCTTTTATTACAAGAGTTCTTCACCACCTACACAAACCACCTTCTTGAAAGGGTCCATGGTTGGCAAAACCAAGGCTGGCAGGATTAAGCTGTCACAGAGAAGAGAGGATTAGGGAGAAAATATGAAACATAGCATTAAATCTGTATTTACAAAATTTATATGAAATATTGCACTAGAGATACATATGTATATGTACACGTATATTTATAGCATACATACTGCATTAAATGCATATGTATATGAAATATGGCATTAAACATATATTGAATGGAGAAAATAGTAGTTCTCTTAGGTATCCACTTCCCAACAACCATTCAGACAGCCCTCCTCTTGAATTGCCTTCAGTTCCTTATTTAGGTGGCGGCATCACTCTGGGGTCAGTCTCTCCCCTGTCCTTTGAGGACATACAGACCTCACCTATTGTTTAAGTGTTTGAACCAGCCCCGAACCCAAGCAACACCAGAGTCCTCCTTACATTTCTTCAGTGAGCAAACCTTACGCACCGTGAACTTGGGAGTCAAACCAGCTGTGCCCCTCACTAGCCGGGTAAGCGCAGGGAGGTATTGTGCCACACTGAGCATCAGTTCCCCAATCCGAATCAGGATAGAACAATTCCACTGTTGCTTGGTTTACCCAACTGCTGCTGTTCCTAATCTGACGCCTTGCCTGATTCTTCTATAGTACCTGGAAAAGCCACCTATCATTTTCAGTTGTCCAGTCTCCCTTGCAGCAGGGGCATCACATGACACAGTTTTGGTTGATGAATTGCACATAGAACTCCACACTGGAGCCCCTGGGGAAGATTTCACTTTTCTCATAAATGGGATAAGGGTTGCTGGCATTGCCACAAGCCCGTTCACCCTGCTTTGATCACTGATGTGATATCTAGAGCTGCAATAACTATCCTGTGACAAAGAGGGAAAGGCCAACATAATCACAGAGACATCAGCTTTTATTGCTGAACTTCTGAAGCAGTGAGCCAATTCTAGGTTTATCATCTGAAAGAATAAATTCCTGTTCAGTTGTTTTGTTACTAACCTCCTTATGAGATGGTTGTGAGAATCTTGTGAAGTAATGGTTATAATGGCTAGATACAGTGCCTGGCATTGTTAAATACTCATAACATAATTTTATGATTGTTAGTAGTACCAACTGATGTCAGTTGCCACAAGTTACTTCAACTCTGATATATGAGTCTGGCCAGGGATAAGAAGATGTTTGTTGAAGATCATCCTTGGCTGCCAATTAGCTATCAGTGACCCTGGGCAAGTTTTGAACCTCTATGGGTGTGGTTTCCTCTGCTGTTTATAAAATAATACCAAAGTTCCCTTGCAGCTCTAAAATTATTTTGTTTTCCCTAGAAATTTTTTTCCATCACAGGATGTAGCATCCAGGCTGACAGGACCAGAGAAGAATGTCTACAGCAGGGAAGGGTGTGGTATCTCTAAGTTACATGTGCACAGTTTACAGTAGTCCCTCAGGGCACACAGGACTTCCCAGCCAGCACTTCTCATGTGATGTAATATGAAGTGCCAGTATCACTGAAGTAGTACTCATATCAAAAATGTATCACCTCGGCCGGGCGCGGTGGCTCACGCCTGTAATCCCAGCACTTTGGGAGGCCGAGGTGGGCAGATCACGAGGTCAGGAGATTGAGACCATCCTGGCTAACATGGTGAAACCCCGTCTCTACTAAAAATACAAAAAAATTATCTGGGCGTGGTGGCGGGCACCTGTAGTCCCAGCTACTTGGGAGTCTGAGGCAGGAGAATGGAATGAACACAGGAGGCAGAGCTTGCAGTGAGCCGAGATCATGCCACTGCACTCCAGGCTGGGCGACAGAGCGAGACTCCGTCTCAAAAAAAAAAAAAAAAAAAGTTTCACCTGGATACCTCCACAACAGTGTTATCCAATAGAACTTTCTATGAGGATGGAAATGTTCTACACAGGCACTGCCCAATACATAGCCACTAGCTACATGTGAACACTGGGCACTTGAAATGAGGCTAGTAAGGCCGATGAACTTAATTCTTAAATTTAAGTTAATCCTCATCAAATTAAATTCATTAATAAATACCCATATGTGGCTAGTGGCTACCATATTGGACACCACAGCTCTAAAGGGTAGACCTAACTTCCTGTTTATAGGAAGTGGGAGATTGCAGAACAAGTTAAATGACACCAGAGGGAAAGAAGCAGACAAACCCATAAAGGAGAAGCTCCATACAACAGTCCTGGAGTCCTGAGAAAGTCAGCACCATTAAAAACAAAACAAAAACACCAGGTTGAGGGGATTGTCCTAGGTTGACAGAGATGAAAGAAACATAAAAGATGTACTTAGACTGGATCCTGATTGAAAAACAATACAGACCTCAAAGTCAATTGGGGGAACACTGAATATGGCTTGGATGCAACATAGTATTATCAAAATCATTGTTAGCTTTCTCAGGTGCAATACTGGTATTATGATTATGTGGCAGTTTATTATTTTTAGAAGAGGCATATGAAGTGTGTAGGAGTAAGGGGTCCCAATGTCTACAGCTTATTTTCAAATGATGCAGCAGGTATGTGTGTCTGTGTGTGTGTGTGTCTGTGTGTGTATGTCTGTGTGTGTGTGTGTGTGTCTGTGTGTGTGTGTCTGTGTGTGTGTGTCTGTGTGTGTGTGTAGAGAAAGTGAGAGAGAGAGCAAAAGAAAGAGCACACGTGCTAAAGCAGATATGACAAAATGGTTTCACCCCCTCTTCTGTTCTGTTATGCAAGATACATCTTCCAAGAGAGAAAATAGAAAATGTACCTAATAAACCCAGTGACTTATCAGGAAATTTCCAGGCAGAAGGTCAAAGATGTTGTCTGGCTCCTCCTCTTTTTACATAAAGAGCAAGAAGAAATGTCAGAGAAAGAAGCCAAAGAGAGGGCTATTAAACATAAAGCAGTCAGGCTGGTTTGAAAATTCTCAGACCTTCCAGATGGCAAATAATGCCAAATTTAAGAAATGGCTTCCAGGCAAAAATAAAACCCAAGGTACTGTCAGAAAAATATGGTATAAAGAGAAAATCAAGGGTATAGCTTGTAAAATCTCTTGTTAAGAGTTTTGTTAAGAGAAAATTCTGGGGTCATGCCTCAGACAACTGTTTAGATTTAAAAAAAAAAAAAGAGTTTCTACGAAGCTGGCAGGCATTGTGCCCCAGCAACTGAGCAGAGGCTGATGCCACAATGGGGTGAACACATGGGAGCTGGGGAGGGCAGAGTGTATTTTTCAGGTGGAGGGATATGAGTCCTGTATCCAGTTTCCAGAGTGGCCCTCAATCCTCTCTGCCTCCTGATATTTGTGCCCTTGTGCAGTCAATTCTACACTGAATACAATGCGGTAGAGGTGATGGTGTGTGACTTCTGATAAAGTGAGTTGCAATTTCTGCCTTGGACTCTCTTGGATCCTTGCCATGTCATAGGGACTCAAGCAGCCATGTGAACAGGCACACATGAAGAATGTACTGGGTTGGGCAGTGTCTCCTCAAAATTCATGTCCTTCCTGGACTCTTAGAATGCGACTTTATTTGGAAATAGGGTCATTGCAGATGTAACTAGTCAAGGTGAGGACATACTGGAATAAGGTGGGCCTATAACCCAACATGACTCTTGTCCGATGATCTCTAACTTAAGCTGATGACATGGGACAAGCCTCCAAACCATCATCAAAGCTCTAGACTACAGTAGATAAATTATAAAATAAAGAAGTTACGGCCGGGTACGGCAGCTGTCACTTATTGGGGTGATTTATCACACAGCAATAGATAAAGGGCCAGTCTTGTTTTATGGATCTACACTCCTTCTGGCCCTTCCCTGCATCATATTGAAGCAAATCCTGAACATTTCATCTATAAATATTTCAGCAGGCAACATATCAATCTGAATTAAAAATTACAATAGGCCAGGCATGGTGGCTCATGCATGTAATCCCAGCACTTTGGGAGGCTGAGGCGGGCAGATCACCTGAGGTCAGGAGTTTGAGACCAGCCTGGGCAACACGGTGAAACCCAGTCTCTGAAAAATACAAAAATTAGCTGAGCGTGGTGATGTGCGCCTATAATCTCAGCTACTCAGGAGGCTGAGGGAGGAGAATCGCTTGAACCCAGGAGGCAGAGGTTGCAGTGAGCCGAGATTGTGTCATTGCACTCCAGCCTGGGTGATAAGAGCAAAACTCCGTCTCAAAAAAAAAAAAAAAAAGGGACAATAATTCCTTCATATCTTTACAGATCCAACCAGTATTTACATTTATCTGTTTTCTGTTTGTTTGTTTGGTTTTGTTTTGTTTTTTGAGACAGAGTCTCTCTCTGTTGCCCAGGCTGGAGCGCAGTGGCGTGATCTTGGCTCACTGCAAGCTCTGCCTCCTGCGTTCATGCCATTCTCCTGCCTCAGCCTCCCGAGTAGCTAGGACTACAGGCGCCCGCCACCACGCCTGGCTTATTTTTTGTATTTTTAGTAGAGATGGGGTTTCACCGTGTTAGCCAGGTTGGTCTCAATCTTCTGATCTTGTGATCCGCCCGCATCAGCCTCCCAAAGTGCTGGGATTACAGGCGTGAGCCACCACGCCCAGCCACATTTATCTGTTTTTTAAAAATTGTTTGTATCTGATCCAAATAAGGTTCATAGCATGAGATTTCTATATCTTTTTGAACCTAAATTTTCCGTCTTTGTCCATTTTTAATTCCATTTGCTTTTTATTTTTTAGTTTATTTATTTTTATTTTTTTGAGACGGAGTCTTGCTCTGTCACCCGGGCTGGAGTTCAGTGGCACGATCTAGGTTCACTGCAAGCTCTGCCTCCTGAGTTCACGCCATTCTCCTGCCTCAGCCTCCTGAGTAGCTGGGACTACAGGCGCCTGCCACCACGCCTGGCTAATTTTTTGTATTTTGTTTAGTAGAGACGGGGTTTCACTGTGTTAGGCAGGATGGTCTCGATCTCCTGACCTCGTGATCCACCTGCCTCAGCCTCCCAAAGTGCTGGGATTACAGGCATGAGCCACCGCACCCGGCCTGCTTTTTATTTTCCAAAGAAACCGTGTCGTTTTTCTTGCAGCTTCACCCACTCTCTGGGCCTAGCCTCTTGCATCCATCCTCATGGTATTTTCCAGCATGTTCCTCTGCCCTCTGCCACTGTATTTCTTATAAATTGGTAGATAGAGAACCTTGATCAGATTTAGGTTTTTTTTTTTTTTTGGTCTACTTCAAAAGTGGTGTGTATTTCCATTAGAAGGTACGCACATCTGCTTGTCTTCAGAGAGCCACCAACGATCAGTGCCTAGACTCATTAACTGATGGGGTACAAAGCAGTACCAGTTGCATTCTATTATTCCTTCAGATCCTTGTCAGGTTGAGACACTGACAACCCACTTGTTTGAACAGGCTATAAGACACGAATATATAGCTTGTGTACACAATTTAATGCTTTGACTTTAGCACGTCTTCTGGCGTTGCTTTGCTCTCTGTCCACAGAGCTCTTGATGCTGTGATGTCACTCTCCAGTCCACTCTCATAGCCTGTCTTCCTCCACCCTTCGGAGAATGTAGATTAGTTCCATTTTTTATCCTTGACTTTGAAATGTCTGGATGCCACTCTCATAAATTAAGGTCTGATGGAACCTCTGCCCCGCAACTCTCTAGCTGTGTGACCCTGGGCAATTCTACCCACCCTCAGCCGCCTCACATGTCATAAACTGTGTCTGAGAAGCCTATGTACAGGCTTATAATAGGGCCAAACAGGATAATTGAATGCAATGATGCTTATCAAGTGCTTTGCACAGTGCCCAGCTCAATAATGGCCGATATTATTATTATACATTAGAAATGAAATGCACTCAAGCAATTAAATGCATTAAATGTATCAGAGCTTACAATAAAGAGAATGAGGAGTCCCTGTTGCTATATCCCTTGAGTAGGCCACTGGGAACATTACTGATGACTCAAAATGTGCTAATTTTAGATTAAATTCCACATCTCCCCAGAAGAGCCAGCCATGTGTGAGGCATGTGTGTGCTGAAGCTGCTTCATCTGAATGGGAAGAGCAGTTCCCTGAAGGGAGGGACTGCTATTCCCAGAAGAACCAAGGAAGTGGGGCAGGTCTGGCAGAAAGAACCAATGACCTGGGGGGTGAGGGTGGGGGTGCGCTACTGCTCTCTGATGGGGCGCAGCTACAGAAGCAAGCAGTTCCATGATTAACTTTTTTTCCTAGAAAACTGTCTGATGTCCATTACTTAATCCTTAATTTAATCTAAAAGTGGCATGTATTGAACATTTGTACCATGCTAAGTGCGTTACTCAAATTATTTAATCCTCCCAATAACCCCATAAGGCAGTATTGAAGGTGGCAAAGCCCAGATTGGAACCCAGAGGGTCTAATGCCAGAGACCACTCTTGCCATGGTGAGTGAATCACACCCTCACCTGCCCAGGCACTTTTAACTGTGCGCTTGTCTCTGGGTGTGGAATACAGGAGTTTCAGGCATCAGCAGATGATGTCTGTGACGCCCTCATGCTTTTCAAGTTGGGGGAGGTAAATCGGAGAGAGGGGCAAGGCTTTTTGGTTTTGTAGTTGTACCATAGGCCATGGCAGTTCCCACTTCCTCCCCCTTCCCTCCTCCCCAGCCATGTCCTTCTGATGCTGGCAGCCCTTGAGGCTGTTCTTCCAGGAAGGCTGTGGAGACACAGCCATCTGCAGAGCGGGCGGCTCTGTGCCGGCAAGCAACCTAGAGGCTATGGGGTCTTAGAAACAGAAAATGGTCCCAATTTGTGAACTTTTCCATTTGACAAGATGGAATATAGGCTTTCCATATAGGATAGAATCACAAAATGAAGATATCAGCAAAATAATTCCATGCGAGAAAATTTCAGAAAAGCAGAGTCATCCGGGTGTGTTCCGTGCCCCTCTTTGATCCCTGAACATGGTTTTGGCACAGGACAAGGAGGAGTGAGGGGCGTGGATGTTCTGCTCCATGTGTGACGACTGTGCCAGCGGCGTATACTCAGTACGGCTCAGGAAGAGTCCCAGGAAAAGTACTGAGATGCAAACCCTCATGGGCTTAAATACATCCGGCCTGTCTCTGGTCCTCGAACCCAGCAGGCTATGGGGGCAGCAGGTCTGTGTGCAGGCCCAGGGACAGCCTGTGCCAGGCACACGCTTGTGCTCCCTCCCAGGGTCCATGAGACCAGGCAGACCTGGGGCAAGAGGGCAGGAGACAGCCGCTCAAATGGGGAAGCTGAAAAGCAGAGGAAGCAAGTGTTGACCAACAGCTGAACAGTGAGGTGGTGGGAGGACGGAGGAATAGGTGAGCCCTGAGCCCAGCCGCTGTCAGTCACTGGAAGCGTGGCCCCAGATCCCATGCCTCTGGCTGGCAGTGAGGAGGCTGACTCAAAGGCAGGCCAGATATCAGTCAGCCCCCAGATGCCCTTTGCTAGAAAAAGTAAAACGGATGGTCTCTTGCCCAGAGTGAAGGTCAGAGTGCCACTGTGTAGGACAGGTGGCTGGGAGCCTGCTCAGCAGGAGCTGCCAACCCCAGAAACTGATGCCAGGGCCCCTCTAAAAGGTCCAGCCAGATCATGCTTCACAGACATGAGCCACCCCGGCCAGCATTTCCACTCAGCTTTTGTCCCCACTCACGAATGTTCTGCAGCTTGTCACTATGTGTACCCTCGAGGGTGGCTGATGAGCCCACATGCAGGAAAAAGCAGGTCAGATAAACTAAATGGCAAGCTGAATGCCTGGCAAGGAACGCACAAACCTGCCACCCGCTCTCACCAGCGGTGACCACGGGAGCCCCTGAGGCTACCACGCAACCTGCCTCCAGACCAGTGTCATCTGGAAGTGTGGGATCCCCAGCCAGCGGCATTAGTGTCATCCTGGAACTTGTTAGAAATACACATTCTCGAGCCCCACCCAGACCTACTGAATCAGATGCCTGCCCAGCAGTCTGTGTTTGGCAGATCCACTTGGTGCTCTCTGGCAGGATGCAGCTGGAGATCAGCTCATTCATTCTCCTCCTGGGTGCTTTCACACTTTCTCTTCTGCCTTCAATCCCAGCACCTCCGCCTCCTCCATCCTCAGGCAGCAGATGCTGCTGAGCTGGCGCCTACTTCACTGAGAACTGAAGCACTCAGAGGCAGCGCCCACTGCTCCTGTGCCAACCGGTGTCTGTTCACCCACAGCGGTGTTGGCGCTCCTGTCGGATCCCTAGTCCCGGGACACCAGCCCCCAGGCCCTTGCCTCCTTGGAGACGTCACTCCAGCACTTCCACTGCGTCCTGTGTTATATCACCCCTTCTTTCCAACTGCCCATTTTATCATTCCCATCAAATTACAAACATCCTGTTATTTTTCTGAAAAAGTTTTTCTTGACCCTATTTCGCTCACCAGCTGTGACTCTCTTTGTCCTACCTTTTCAATGAAACTCCTGTCAAGTGCTGCCTGTGCTGCCGAGGAGTTCACCGCAGACCTCCACACTGACTCCAATGACCAGTGCTTGGCTTTTGTCTCATGCGTCAGAAGCCTCTGACACAGGCGACCCCTCCCTTCTCCACACACGGCTTCCAGGGAAACAGACTCTTGTCTCCCTACCTCAGTGACTGCGCCTTCTCCTCTTCTCTGCTGCTGTGGCCCAGGGCTGTGTCCTGGCTCCCTTCCCTCTCTCATCTCCCTCACTTCCCTGGTAACCTTATAGGTCTCCTGCCTTTAAATAACATCGATAAGCAAACAACTCCAAAGTGACGCCTCCATCACAGACTTCCCTCCAAACTCCAGACTCGCCCGCCTCTAATAAACCACCTTGAACTCAATGTGCGTACAACCGGGTTCCATCTCAGCCCGGCCCTCCCAGCCCAACCTGCATGCCTCAGCCTGTGGCGCCCTGCCAGATGTCCAGCCACTGTGCCTGAGCCATAGCTGACAACTGTCTTACTCTGCCCCTGACTGCCAGGAAGTCCTGCTGGCTCCAGCTCAAGATCTGTCTAGATTCTGACTGCGCTCACCACCTGCACCTGCGTAGCCACAGCCGTTTCCCTCCCAGACCCGCTGCCTGGGTCTCTGCTCCTGCCTGTGCTCCTACAGTGATCCCTTTACAATGTGGGCCAGATAATGCCTTCCTTCACTCACAGCCCTCCAGAGCATTCTGTTTCACCCATGGTCAGAGCCAGACTCCTAAGAATGGCCTTCAAAGCCTCTGTGCCTTCTCCAAGGCCTGCGATTCTGCAGCGAGTGAGAAGTGCTTCCCCGGGGCCTTTGCCTGTCCTGCTCTGTGAGGCGCCCTGTCCACACTTATTCACCTGCCAGCCTCTTCACTTTCTCCGAGTGTTGACTTTGGTGTCATGGTTACCGTTCTATTTCAAAGAGCCTCCTGTGTACCTCCCACCATCAGTCTCCCTGATCCTGCTTGCTTTATCCTTTTTCTGTATCATTTATTACCTTATAACATATAAGAAAATGTACACACTTATGTGTACTGTCTCCAACTGCTAGACTGCAGACGCATTCAGGTGAGTGTCTTCGCCTGTTTTCTTCACTGATGGATTCCAAGTGCCTCCGTAATGTCTGGTGCTGAGTAAGCACTTACTCAGTTGGATACATTAACCAGTTGGATAAATTAACATCCTCGGAGAGATAAGACACCAAAACCAAGAAATACAAAGAAGGGCCAGGCGCAGTGGCTCACACCTGTAATCCCAGCACTTTGGGGGGCCGAGGCAGACGAATCACCTGAGTTCAAGATCAGCCTGGCCAACATAGTGAAACCCTGTCTCTACTAAAAATACAAAAAATTAGCCGGGTGAGGTTGGGGGCGCCTGTAATCTGTAATCCCAGCTACTTGGGAGGCTGAGGCATGAGAATCACTTGAACCTGGGAGGCAGAGGTTACAGTGAGCTGAGATCGTGCCACTGTACTCCAGCCTGGGCGACAAGATAGAAACTCCGTCTCCAAAAAAAAAAAAATACAAACAGGATACTATATAAAAGATACACTGATATAAAAAATAAATTCCAGAAAAGAAAAACGAAATGAAACATTCAATAGAAGGACTGGAAGATAAAGTTGAAATCTCTCAGAAAGTAAAGTAAAAAGACAAAGGGGTGTAAAACAGAAGAAAGAAAATCAGGGATTATATTAAGAGGCTTAACATCCAAATAACAGGTGTTCAAGAAAAAGAGACAAGGACAGAGGGTGGGTGGAGGCAGTAAAGAAATAACTCAAGAAAATTTCCTAGAATTGAAAGACATGAATTTACAGATTGGAAGGGCCCATTAAGAACCAGGACTAGGCCTATTATCAGATGAAAATCCTACAACTTGCAAAACAATCATACAAAGCAAGATCAAATACAAAGAAACAAGAATCCCAATGGCTATGAAATCCCCACAGGCAGCAATGGAAGGTTTAGGACAGCAGAGCAATGCCTTGAGATATCAGTAGGATAACCAGTCGAGAATCCTTTAAGCAGTCAAACTATGATTTCAGTGTCAGAGCAGATGAAAGACATCTTTCTGGCACACAAGGACTCAAAATAAGTTCCTCAGCTGCTGTGAGGGAGCAGGTACTGCAGATGCTCCCAGCCCTCCTTACAGCTACGAGGCGGCCTCCGTGGGGACTCCTCGGGAGCCAGGCCACCTCTGGCTTGCCAAGAGGATGTGTGTAGGTCACCCTCTCTTATCCTGGGGATCACACCTAGTTTCCAGCAACTGAGCACAGTGTTTGGTAACTTCCCTGCCACCTCCATTAGGAATGGTCTGAAAGGCTGGCCTTGTCAGTTCTTGGAACTTTAGGAATACTTATACACTTACAGATGAATGTGTGATTATGCTGCTCGGGACACGTTTTATTCTCCTAGGGCAATACTTTAAGAGTGGGGTAATATCTTTATCAACATGTGAGCAGCAGCGTATCTGCTGGATGATCCTATGAAAGCCACAAGTTTCTCTTGTACAGTAAGGAGGAGGGTGGAGGGGGCCACAGAACCAGGGAAAGCTCCCTGGGATGCCCAAGAAAACACCAAAGCAGCTGACACCCTGGTCTCTCTGAATTCCTGGATTTTGAATAAGCCTGAAACTGTGGTTTAGGACATCTTTGCTCCTGCAGCATCTTTTCCTCTTGAAGGATCCTGGGGCAGTTACCAATTCACATATGCATGCACACACACGCATGCACATGCACACACGCACACGCACGCACACACGCACACACACCCACGCACGCACACACACGCACACACACACACTCATGCACACACACTCATGCACAATTGTCTGAAAGCCCAGGGCTGCCAAGCAGAGGACTGACACGGGGTTGTGATGAGGCATGAGACTTTGAAGTAGGACAGATCTGCATTTCCCTCCACGATGCAGGCAGGTGAGTGCTTCCTCACATGAAAGCCAATCACCGGCACCTTCACCTGCCCCATCAGAGCACTTACACGGACTAGAGGCTTTTCCCATTTGTCATTTAAATCCTCCCACCTACCAAATAAGGTAGATATTACCATTGTCCTGATTTTATAGAGAAGAAATGGAGGCTCAAGAAATAACTTGACCAAGTTCCCACAGGGAACAGGTGAGCTCAGAGGTGAACACAAGCTCCCAGGCTCCAGAGTCTCTGCTCTTAACACACACCACCCTGGGTTGGCTGTAAAATGTAAACATGTATTTATTACTTTCTTTGTAGACCATATACTCCTTGACGACAGGGACTACCACCTTCACCTTCATGCCCACAAGGTGTCACACTGCAAGGCTGAGCTGACCCCCACTTTCCTTTGGTCCGCCTCCTGCTGTTATCTGGAAGAGGCGTACAACATCCTTCACCCAGAAGCTAGCTGTCCTCACCTCACTGCAGAGGAACACTCCGGGGTCCTTCTGAGGGAGGCCCTCTGAGTCTGAGCTCAGCTCAAGGCTTCTGCCGTGCTGCAGAGGTTCCTCAGGCCTGATGCGATGCTGACTGAGGACAGGAGCCAGGGTGGTTTTTCATCATTCCACTCACAGCACTCAGCACAATGCCTGGCACAGTGTGGATGCTCCGTAAGCATTTGCTGAGCAGAAGAACCGAGCTTCCCACCTCCAAACGGGAGAGGGAGCTGGGAACAGTCAGATTTGTGAAGCCGACTGATCTCAGGATAGCCCCAGGCATCTGAGAGCCCCTGCGCCTCAGCCTCTGGGGAGCTGCAGCCTGGGTAAAACAGGATCATAAAGGAGCCCTGCCTCTGACAGGAGACAATGGATGGAATAGCCTTCCAGAAGCGCACTGGCCGGCTCACTCGGGGCTGCGTACTGTGCTGCCTGGACCACCACTTCCTATGCCCACAGCTGTGTACCAGGAAGCAGAGAAGAGGCTGACAGGCACCAGGGACTTGGTCACGCTGGACTTTGACACTGATGTGGAAAAGTCAGGACCTGCTGGCAGCATCTTCTACCACAGGAGGGGTCTTCCTAAATGCGACGGCACCTCCTGATCCAATCCTGCTGCCATGTCCGCCTCCCACAGCACCCCCGGCTCCATGCTTTGAAGCCCGGCTGGCCCACACACACTTCTTTACCCCCCAGCCTGAAACTTCACCTTTTTCGGGTCACACACCGCTTTGAAGCGGTAATGAAAACTGGGAACCCTCTCTCCATGTCAGTAATCATATGCACACAGAATTCTGCATGCAACGTAGTGGGCTCAATGCCTCCTGAGGACCACCAATGGTCCCATCCACATTACACATCCAGTCTCTCACCAGACTATGAGGCTCATGAAAGGTAGAGCCATAGAAGTCGCGGCGCAGAGCCTGGGCGGGAGTGGAGATGGTTTGTAAAGACGTCTTAGGGAACCTGGACTTTAAACTTGGACCATTGTATTTGTAAATTTAGCAAATGAAGCAACAGATGTGAAAACTGCCTAAGCTAAAAAGCAGTTTCAATTCCGACAAATGGCTGTAGGGTCCCTCCCCACCTAGAAGGCTGTGGGGGAGCAGATATGACAGGGCCAGAGGAAGCAGCCCTATATGGTCCGTCCTGCTTTTCTGTTCACTAGCCATGTGCTCATGGTCATGTCGCAGGGCCTTCCTGGGTTTCCGTGGCTTTCCTTCTGCATCGAGCACCCAGGGGAAGAGGGAGTGGGTGCAACTTAGCACCATGAGCAGCACCTGAGTCTGACCCGACTGTCCCACACGCGGGCTGTGAGATGCTGGGCAAGTCTGGCACTGTCTCGTCTGTGAGAAAGTGTTAATTACAACAGTCCCCCTTCCCAGTGCTGCTGTGAAAACAAAGGGCCCATCACAAGGAGGGAGCTTGATAGATGTGGCTCTTCTGACCCAGGGTTCCAAAGGTCTTGTTGTTGGAATCAAAAAGAATGTACTTATAGATAGAAACCTGCAACTAGGGCTGAGCGCAGTGGCTCACGCCTGTAATACCAGCACTTTGGGAGGCTGAGGCGGGTGGATCTCCTGAGGTCAGGAGTTCGAGGCCAACCTGGCTGATACGGTGAAACCCCATCTCTACTAAAAATACAAAATTAGCCAAGCATGGTGGCTCGCGCCTATAATCCCAGGTACTCGGGAGGCTGAGGCAGGAGAATCGCTTGAACCTGGGAGGTGGAGGTTGCAGTGAGCCAAGATTGCGCCATTGCACTCCAGCCTGGGAAACAAGAGTGAAACTCAGTCTCAAAAAAAAAAAAAAAAAAGAAAGAAAAAGAAACCTGCAACTAGAACATCATAAGGCGAGCAACTGCCACTTTTTTTTTTTTGAGATGGAGTCTCCTTCTGTCACCAGGCTGGAGTGCAGTGTTGTGATCTCAGCTCAGTGCAACCTCCAACCTCCACCTCCCCAGTTCACGCGATTCTCCTGCCTCAGCCTCCCGAGTAGCTGGGACTACAGTGTCCGCCACCACGCCCAGCTAATTTTTATATTTTTAGTAGAGATGGGGTTGCACCATGTTGGCCAGTATGGTCTCATCATCCGCCCAACTCGGCCTCCCAAAGTGCTGGGATTACAGGCATGAACCACCATGCCCAGCCGCAACTGCCGCATTTTTAAGTGAAGAATCCAACCTTCGGAACAGTCGCCATTGCTCCTAACCAATGTCACTCTCAAACACGGAGAAATGAAAACGAATGACGATTCCATAGGTCATCACCACAGAACTGGCTTTTACTAACAAAACCAAAGAACCTCAAACACTTTTTGTGGACTTCAAATTCTTTCCTTCAGATTTTAAAATGACATTATGCATGTACATATTTTTAAAATTTAGACACATTTTAGAGAACACAATTGTGAATACAAATCTAAGAAATGAATGAGATGTACTGAAATCTGATTCAAACACTTATCTTAAACTGACTTCTGTCAATCCTCTGTCCTGTGAAGTAAGTCCCGTTTCTCCTTTGCCTGGAGGGACCGAGCTGGAATTACTGTCACATGTTACAGACATGAGGCAGGGGTTAATGCAGAACCACGGAACAGCACCTCTGATGACATCTAGTGGATAAGTAGGAAGGTGTCAACCCAGGTGGCTTTTAAAAAAATCTGTAAATAAAATCTCCTCCTTTATTCCACAGATTTTAATCTTTCCCTCAGTGTGTTAGAAAGACTAATAGTGTTTTTCAAACGTGTGTGGATGGACTCACCTGGGGAGACACCCGCATCCTAGGCCACCTTTGTGGCTGCTCTGCAGACACCTGGCTGCACCCGCTGCCTCCTCGTCTGAGAGGGGCTGCCCTGGAGAGCACCGTGCTGGCTGTGTTGCCTACTGGCTTCCCTTGAGAAATGGGGAGGCAGGACCTCTACTGAGTGCTGTGATGTGTTATGTTTTGATGTGGTGGGTGGGGAGGATGGGAACAATGTTATTTGGATGAGATTGGACATCGTGTGAGGTCTTCAGCAAAGCAGCTACCCTCAGCTCATTGACGACAGCATCCTGCCTGCAGGTGTGGGCTGCTGGACTGCCTGCAAAGCCCATCAACAGGCCCTGGAGGCCAGGTAAAATAGGATCAGGATGATTTCTATTCACAGAAGTCATCAATCTAACATGAAAGAAAATAATGACTCAGGAGCAAGGGTGTCTGCAGCAAACAGACTCTCCAGGCATCGTTTAGAAGCTGAATGTCACACATTTCGGGTGCCAGCCCCACACATAACCACACAAGTAAAAAGGAAGCTTTTCTCCTAAACTGACATTCTTTTTTCTCTTTTCTGAGAGGTGTGGACACTGGGGCTGGGAAATGCTCAGGCCTCCCCCTGCAGACAAGGACTGGGCTGTTAAGAGAGGCCTCTTGTCTTTCATGACACAAGCCTTAGCTCACAAGACGAGAAGTACCTAGTCCCAGACCACCTCTTCCATGATGACAGAAACCCTTCTAAAAACTGAAATCTATGTGATAGAATTAATGAAGGTAGGCTAACCCAAATTACTGCTCACATTTTTTCAAATAAAAGTCACACAAATACCATAATGTTGTTGGTTAGAACATTATGTTTCTCATATCTATAAATAAGGGCTAGTACTTTTTATCACCCAAAAGTAGACAAAAAATAGGAAATGCATTCATTCCAAATTTAGATTTTGATAACTTTCCAAAAGGTTGAAGTAAGTTTAATTGCAGGGACATGAGTCCAGTTGAGTGTCTTTCTGTTAATCTGCAATAACCCATCTGGAACTGTATTTACTTTTCTTAGAACAGTAACTTATAATGTTGATAAACTGAGGTGGAGCCTGTTTTAGTAACATATACCTGGGTAAATGTTCTGGAACTGCCAGTGCTTAGTCACTGCTGCCTACAGTGTGGCCATCAAAGGCTTCTTGGGAAAGCTCCCTTTGGGTCCAGAAGTCTCCCCAACAAAGCTCCAGCTGCCCTGGACTCTACACAAAGCACCTGAAGCCTCTGCTGGGAATGGGGCCCTGACAGAGCTGCAATGCACTCTGAGGCTTCTTTAAAACACGAAGGTGAGTGTAAAATCCAAACGGGAAGCGTTCAGCTGTGCACTCCCAAACCACCCCAGCACGCCCCTGCAGAACTGCTGGTCCTGTCCGTCCTTGGAGTGGTCGCTCCCTCATTCTCATCTGGAAGGTGCCACAGAAAAGGCTGACAATGTATTATCACTAGGATAGACCCTAGATAATCTTTCTGATATACAAGATAGACACCACCTGTTCCCTCATTTGTCAATATGGAAGAAACCCCACTTTATACATTTTATACAGAAAAGTGGACACTGCCATACATTCATGCATGGTCAGCTCTGAGCCCTCAGGAATAGAAGGGCCTTCCATTTAAAACAGCTTACACCTGGAGACAACAAACACCAAGAAACATGCAAACACTACAGAGAATCTGTATGTGAAGAAGTCATATTTTATATTGATGAGGGTGCTGTTAGAAAATGTTGATGGATGGCTTCGGTCACTCATGCTAGTCTAACCAGAGGGGCCTGTGACGGTGTCTGCTTCTCTTTCAGGATTCCCAGTTGTTTCTGTGTCAGGCACTAAGCAATCTGGTGGCTTTTGGTCCAAATGGGTATTTTAGTTGTCTTTTTGCACCTTTTAATCCCTCTTCGAAGAGTCAAGTTCAAATGCTGGAAACCGTGATGTCTCTGGTCCCAGGACATCAGAGAGAAAGTGAATAGCGCCAGCCATGCCTGCAATGTAAAATGAGGAGCCTCTTAGGAATGGCATAAGGGTAGTGTCTATAACAGTGACTTTTAATCATTTCCCTTACCAGGGGCTGCAAGCATGTGGGAAAGGTGCTGAGGACTCTAAAGATGACTTCATTAAAAACCAAAGATATCCTTATATTTAGCACCTGGCAGGTAATATAATAACACCAGTTTTCCTCACTATCTTATATTTAAAAAACTGGTTACTGGGCTTTAATCTTATATCTTGAAACTTTAAGGTGGCATCACAGAATCGCTATGGAAGTTATGGATGCTGCTAATTACGATATTCCTATACACGGAGCTTCCCCTCAGAGCCTGTATATGCTCAAAGTTGCATTTTATATCTTCTTGATATTTGAAGAATGTTATTTTTAACAAACCTCAATTTGGTCAAAATCCCCACCCCAAATCATTGCAGTAATTGAGCAGTGGGTTTTCAACTAGACTCACAGCAGCTTAGGAAGGGTGTGGGGTGGAGAAGGTGCTAGTAGCCCACCAAGGCCTCCAGGTCTCCTGTCCCCACTCAAATCAGAACAATCCTCCCTTACAGGGTTTTTGTTTACAGTTTTTCTTTTGATGTAAAATTCACGTACAATAAAACACATAAATCCAAAATGTACTTCTCTGAGGTTTGTAAAATGCATATACATGTGCAAACAAAACCCGATTAAGACCTGGAATATTTCCATCACCCCAGGAAGTTCCAAGTGCCCCTCTCCAGTCCCTCCCATCCCTGTGGTCCCCCCAGAGGTAACCAGCAGCCTGGTCTTGGTCCACCATGGATTAGTTCTGCCTGCTCTGGCACTCTTATGAGCATGGCCACAGTGTACAGCCCTTGTATCTGGCTCCTTCGTCAGGGTTCCTGCAATTCATTCACGTTCTGTGCCTGTTCATAGTTGGCCCCTTCTTACTGCTGAACAGTACACTGCAGATTGTTTACCCATTTTTCCTACTGACGGTCATCTGGGGTGTTCCCAGCCTTCTCTGTAAGTTTTTGTTTAAAGAAAGGTTCCAGAAACTTGTTTAAAAAATTAGAAAACCACTGACCTAGGAGTGCCCATGAGAAGTAAACAGGGACCCATAACAAGCCTAGGAGGCCCTACAGCAGGCCCTGCGGGGATGAGCCTGGCTTTCCTGCTCAGGTGTGTGGGCAGCGGATCCACTGGGCGGTGCACTCCAGCAGGAGTGAGCTCCTCCAGAAGGGGTGCCAGGTGCCAGTGAGCCCTCCCAGTGGCTCCTCCAGCCGGCCAGTTTGCCACAATGGCCTGCATTGCTAGGCACACGGCTTAATAATCCCTCCGTCCCCTGACGGGAATTTGGTGAGAGTCCCCCACAGTTCTGTCTGCCAGGCACTGGCGAGGCACAGGGGAAGGAGGTGACCTATTAACTTCCCGCCTTTAGGGAGCTGTACATCCAAAGCTTTTGACCCACTGGGGCTCTGAAGGTGCTATTATCAAGTTGATAAACTCCATTTAGAGTTCAGGCATTAACTCTGTTATATCTGATGCAAATGCATTGCATTTTTATGACATAGAGGACTACAACTTTTATTCTAGTAAGTACTTTTTCCTTATGAGTTCTCTGAATATTAAAAAAGATCATCTTCTGCAAAACATGTGACACATGCTCTGTTTTCTGCTCGTATTTCTAAAATATGATTTAAAAATATTACCAGTATGAAAACTAAAACAGGACATACCACTACAGACGATGCAGACAGAGGATGATAAGGAATACCAATAGCTTACATATTTGCATTTCACCACATGTACGTAATTAACCAATTTCCCAAAAATTACAAACTATGACAGCTCACCCAATATGAAATAGATAACTTGAACAGCCCTATAACTATTTTAAAAACGGAATTTATTTTAAAAGTCTAGAAAAATAAATCTCCAGACCTAGAAGTTTGTACTGGAGAATTCTACCAAACATTTAAGTTACACTAATACCAATTCTTCCACCAATTAACACAGTCTGTCCCAGAAAACAGAAGAGAAGAAGATACTTCTCAACATGGTTTATTAGGTCAGTATGACCCTGATACCAAAACCAGAGAAAGACAGCACAAGACAGGAAAACTGTAGGCCAATATCCTTCATGAATAGAGATGCAAAAACCTTTACCAAAATGTTAGCAAACAGAAAGCACGCCCATACCCACATACAAATCTAACGAATATCCGGGCCTGTTTGTGGGGCTTCTGTTTGTGCTCCTGTCTTCCCTTCCCTGCGCCCGTGGTGGACTCTGGAATCCTTGTTGCTTTCACTGCCTGCCTATCAGTGCTCCTCTTTTCAGAACTTTCTTCAATATTCACTCTTGCTATTTTTTCTACTTACTAATATTTCTAATTGCTAATATTAATTATTCATACTTCTTTATATGATATTAAATATATTTAAGTAATTATTCAAGCTTCCCATGAATACACCAATATTAAATATGCAACATTACAGATGAAATGCAGAGGAGTAAACTATTTCTTCCATTGCTAACAGCAAGCCTTCTACGTTCTGTCTGCATAGACACCTCACAAAAAACCTAAGAACACTTGGAAGACATTCACAGGAGCACAAAACAATAGGTAAGGTGAAGAGATTCAACATAATTTTCAGCAATAAGCTACTCTGCTGATTATTTTACAGTTTGGAAGTATTACTTGAGCCAGGTCAAATATGAACAGTGCCAGTCCACAAGGGCAGGAGAACCAATTTCACCCAAACATTTAATCTATAGCATTTTTCTCACTCTTACCTTCAAAGAGCGAATAGGGTCTGTCAGGAATGCGGCACCCGTGTGCTCCGTAATCTAGACACCACTCTGCAAACTGAAAAGAAAGGGATTTCTTTTTAAGACTGGAGTTTCTACCTGGTGAAAAGGCAATAAATGAGAATGCAATGTCTTCACAGGCATCAGGGAAGTGGACCCCCAGCTGTAGGGCATTCAGCGTGGGCTCCATGGGCTACTGCACCCCCTCTTCCAGGGGTGAGGCCCAGCAAGGCTCTGCTTGCGGCTGCCTCAGCTGTAGAGTGGGGTCTGCCTTACAGCTGCTGGGAAGTCCGAGGTGAAAACCGAACGGCTCAACGACACTCTGTTCTCCCTGGCACCTTCCTCCTGCCGCTTCAGCTGATGATTCCAGAAGCAACTCGAAACGCCTGCTCTATCCTGAACAAAAAACCCTGGCTCTAAAATGGCTCTCAGCAGCAGCTGCTGGCTCCCCTGGCCCCAGCTGGGAAACAGCTTCAGCCCTGCCTGGGGCGCCGCCTCTCACTGCAGCCCCTCCACAGCTGCTGCTGCTGCTTGGCAGCCTCTCCACCTTCCCAGCCCCCGGCCCTCAGCCCTCCCTGTGCTCTCCTCTGAGCTCCTTGACCCTTTCTTCTTAGACCTCTTCAATGGGTGTTTCCATATCGTTTTAATAAACTTCCCTTTTGTGCCTAAGCTATCATAATTTGAAGGGTCATTTGTACACTAAGAATCATAAGTAATAAACATGAGGAGTATCAAGTTCAGCACACGTAAAAAGAAACTCACTCTGCTTTTCCCCTCCCAATCTGCTCACTCTTAGCTTGTTTGATGGCCCATCTACCCAGTTTTCCGAGTCAGACAACAGAAAGACCTTCAGATATTTCCATCTTCTCCACATTTAAAAACATGCGTTAAATTCTGTGGGCTTTACATCATAGGTGTTTCTAAATGTCTCATTTTTTATCCCAACCTATGCTTTGGTTTATGACTCAACATTTCTTGCATTAATTACTAAACCACTATTTGGGGAAACCCAAGCCCGCCTCATTCTTCCTACTGGGACTACAGCAATCTTTCCAAAAGAGGAGTCTGAATATGGATTCCAAACCCTTCCATGAGCCCCCATCTTCCATATCAGTATCCAGTGCTAGCTGATTATTAAACTTACTGGGGGAGCTTGAAAAATATTAGTGCTGAGGCTTCCTCATTTAACTGGTCTAGAGTGAGGTCCAGGCATGATTTGAAAGCTTCCCAGTGGTACAAGGTTGAGAACTACTGGCTACAGGGAAGAACTAACTTTCTCTGGCCTCTACCCACCTGTCTGACTTTTACCTTTGGCCACACATTTCCTTCCCTTTGCATCCCAAAGGCTGAAGTGCTTACGGAGTCAGGAACACACAGAGCTGGTTCGTGCTCTGCAGCTCTGCCCAAGCTATTCTCCTTATCAGAACTGCATTCCACCTCTGCAGGCCACCCCTGCCTGGCCCACCTGAAAAACCCCTCATCTTTAAAGAACCGGCTGCGTCTCACCCCTCCTGCGGTCTTCTCGCATTGCCCATATTTGCATAGTCATCTACCATCATCACATCATCAAGGCTGGCCCAGGCCTGCGGAATCTGGCTGCTCCCCGCTCGCTGGCTCCTGTTTTGCCCCATCCCCCGTGCTCCAGCCACAGTGTAGTTCACACAGGCCCTGGGTGCTCACACCTCCGGGCCTTTGGAACAGCAGTTTCTTCTCCTTTTCACATCTTTCCTCATCCCCCTTTGCTTAATTTCGAGCTGTCCCTCAGGTCTTGGCTGAGACATCCCTTGCTGACCTGCTATGCCAAGTTGGGCCCTGCCCTCTTTGCTTCCACAGCCTCCTTCATGCTTCCATCAGTGGGGGAGCCACAGATGTGTGTGCATTTTCCAGTGCACCAACGAGGTAGGGCCCATTCCACTGGGGTTGAGAAGTCTTCAGAAAGTAATAGATGTTCAAAAAGTATAAAGAACATATCAGCCGCAATGCCTCCATCTAACAAGGGTCACTGTACACACTTTAGTGTATTTTCTTCCAATCTTTTTTCTGTGTGCACACAACTACATTTTGTGAAATGTGTACATAATAAAAATACTAGCAAACATTTACTGAGTCTTGCTCTATGCCATTCATCTTCACATGTCCAGTGCATGTTTACTGAGTTTCTACTCGGTGCTATGCACTGCTCCAAGTACTAGTGTAGAATAGTGACCCAGACAGACAAGATCAAGAAGCTTATGTTCTACCAGCCTACACACTCAAGAAACAAGCCAAAACATACAATGAGCAACTGAGTGATCATCCACTTGGGGGGTCTCAAAGATCCCTCCAAGAATGTCACAATTCAGATCAGCATGGCAAGGAGCTGAAGGAAGAGTGCTCCTGAAGGGAACAGTTAACGACAGGTCCAGCGGAAACAAGAGTGACACACTCCGTTCTTAGAGAGGGCAACATGGCTGTATTATGGCGGGCTAGAGGGCAGGGTAAGGCAAGGAGATCAGGCAGAGACACAGAGAGGGGCCAAGGTGCGCAGGGCTCTGTCAACTCAGCGGAGGAGCATAGGCTCCATCTGCAGTCAATGGGAAGCCGTGGAGGGTTTTGGCAGGACGATTACAAACAATCTGCACATTAGCTCAGTTCTGCTTGGAACATCCTTAGGAGGTGGGTAGTATTTTTTTTCTGTCTGTACAAATGAGGAAACTGAGGCTTGAAGAAGAGACATATCCAAACTCATAAAGCCAATAAATGGCACAGGTGGTAATTCTCATCACGTAGTGACTCCAGGACACATATTCTTCAGAAGCCATTGACATTTGTCCTCTCCATTCTACAGACAGGGACACTGTGGCCCAGAGAAACCACAGATAAGGCTGTGCCAGAAGAAAAAGAGGAAGCTACAGAACTGGGAGAAACAGGTTAAAAGAAGGAACAGGAGTTGTACTTCTGGACTCTGGATTCTGTGCACACTCGGGGTTGTTCAGAAGCAGTTCCAACAGAGCCACCCTCACCTTGCAAGCTCGGTAGAGGTACTTCTTATCCTGCGTGAGACGGTAAAGGGACAGGAAGGAATAGCCGTTGCCAGCAGTCCCATGGCATATCCCGTAGCCCTTCCGCAGCAAACCTCGCTGCCAAATCACATCGCTACACTCCATGGCCTCTTTCAAGTACTTCTCCTCCTTAAAGACCTGGGCAAATTAAAAACAAAGCAGTGTTAAAAAGACAGTTTCAACGATGAGTTGGCAAAATACTTTCCCTTTCTGGTTAGAATATGGCATGATATTAGGAAAACTGAAATGGCACTGGGGGTGAAAAACAGACAAACAAACAAAAAAACACCAGCAACACAGTACATAGAATCTCGCAATCTCAATCCATTAGCCCAGCGGTCTCCAACCTTTTTGGCACCAGTGACTGGTTTTGTGGAACCATTTTTCAATGGCCAGGAAGGTGAGTGGGGGATGGTTTCGGGATGAAACTGTTCCAGCTCAGATCATCAGGCATTAGTTAGATTCTCATAAGGAGCGCGCAACCTAGATCCCTCGCATAAGCAGTTCACGATACGGTTCGCTCTCCTGCGAGAATCTAATGTGGCCGCTGATCTGACAGGTGGCAGAGCTCAGACAGTAATGCAAGTGATGGGGAGCGACTGTAAATACAGTTGAAGCTTCGCTTGCTCGCTGCTGCTCACCTCCTGCTGTGCAGCCCAGTCCCTAACAGGCCACGGACCAGTACCAATTCACAGCCTGGGGGCTGGGGACCCCTGCATTAGCCTATTCCCCTTGTCCTCCTTCTGTTTCACGGTTTTACTAAAGTAATGCTAAAATTTAGTTTTTAAAATTAAAATTAAAGCTGCCATATCTTTTTGGTAAGATGTTTTCCTTGTTTCTTGGCACATACATCCCATAGCTCTAAAACTTCTGCTCTTGTAGAAGGCAATCGAGAGAGTGAGGCCCTGTTAGCAGGGCAAGAGTATCCAATACACTGATCAGTACACATCAACAGGACCTGAGGACCCTGCACCACCAGGCTAGGAAGATCCATCTTCACCCATCCCAAGGAAGCTGGCACAAAGCTTTCTGGGGTCCAGGAGCAAGCACCACCTCCCTGAGTTGTTTATATGGTCAGCTGCAGAGACAGGCAGGCTCAGTGAAGGCAAGAGACGGCAAGAAGCAGCTGTGGGTTTTCACTTCCTGAGATTCCCTTGTACATTTTCTTCTTTCTCCTCACAGGCCATGTACTGTTTTCCTGATCCTTTTCTCAGAGTCTGTTCTTAGTTATCCCTACCTGCTAAACTCATCACATTCCAGTGCAAATGGGTTTTGGACAATGAATCAGAGGCACAAAGGTCATCACTACTTGGGTGGCAGGTCAGGTCCCTCTACTTGTGACTGATGAGCTGGACACTCAGCCGAGAAGGGCTCTGAGGCCTCAGGAAAAAGGCGGAGGTTGGGGGGCAGGGCATGAGAACTGCGACCAGTGTCTACAGAGGGCACAGCGGGAAACAGAGGCACAGCAAATCACCAGGGAGATTAAATGTTCCCAAAGTTAGGCTGTTAGGGAATCAGACGCAGGACACCCTCTATCAGTCACAAAGGCTGCTAAGATGTGGGCTCTGGGGTCAGACAGCCTGAGCTGAGTCCCTACTGTCACCTTTTAACTGTGTGACCTTGGATAAGTCACTGAAAGTCTATGTCTTAGTTTTCTCAACTATAAAGGGATGACATTCCTTCACCTCAGTGGCTTGCTATGAAGATTAAAATGTGATCACATCCATGGAGCTCCTGGAACAGTGCCTGGCACATGGGAAGTGCTAGCTATTTCCTGGCTATGATTAACCATTACTCTTTCTACGGTATTGTGCCGGCACACACACTTCATCCTGTCACTTGCATCTTAAGCCTCTGAAAATGAACTGTAAAGGAAAACATGTTTTCCCATCCTAAGGAAATATTTGGTCAAAGCTAATGGGTGAGAAGATATTGTTTGAGAGGCTGTGTTCTGAAATCACACAGTGAGGCCAGCCCTAAAGTGAGCTGGAGCTGCCCCTGCTGGTGGAGCCTGGGTGAGTGATGGTCCACAGGGAAACTGAACAGGGTTCCTTCATGCCGTCCCTGCGCCTGCGAGGCTGAGGCTGCTAGAGCCATGCCCACAATGCAGCCTGCACTGCTGCTTCTCAGCACCAGCAGCCTACCATGCCCACTCCTGCCACCACATACACTCATGCTCTAAGCAAACAGCTACTTCTAACAGCGAGACATCCAAGAATTCAGAACTATAGAAAAAAGCTCCTGGACTTAATCACAGATACATCTTCTCCACATTGTATTACAGCAATCATACATGGGCTACAAAATCCATGTACTTATCCACATTACCTCCCCCAAATGGTAAGTTTCCCTGGGCAGTACAGGACAGAAAGTGTGAAAAGACAGCACAATGCAAAGGAAAACCCGAGGGCTCTGGAGTCAGAGGCAGGGCTAGAGTCCCTGTTCCACCGCACCCGACCTGGGCCTGTGCGCCCATGCTACAAAACAGATGGATCCCAAGATGACCCAAACGTCAGAAATAGGGACAAGGGTTTTAGGCAGTTACTAGAAATATCTTCAAAGATGAAAAGGGAACTATACTCATCATCAGTGAACCCTCAGAAGAGAAAGGGAGAATAAGACAGAAACAAAGGGATATTCTGGACCTAGAAAACATCAATAGGTAAAATTACAAAACTCACTGGGTGGGTTTAAGAGCAGGCTGGACATAACAGAAGAAATCATGAATGAATACAAAACCAGGGAAATAGCAATCATCTGATCCGAATTACAGAGAAGAACGAGAAATCTGGAAAACAAAAGCCTCAGGAACCTGTAGGAAAAGAGTGGCCAGTCACCCCAGTGTACTAAAAGATACACACTTACAAATTCAAGTTCAAAGGATCTTAAGCACGATAAATACAAATACATCTAGGCATGTAACAGTTAAACTATTGAAAACCCAAAATTAAGAGGAAACTGTGAAAGCCTCTAGAGAAAAAGCACATGTTCCATACAAGAGAATAGTGCAAAGAATGACCTTGAAAGAACAGAGGTGGACAACGACGGAACACTGCCTTTAAAGCACCGAAAAGAAAAAAAAGTCAACCCAGAATTCCACACCCAGCAAAACTGTATTTAAGAATAAAGGTGAAATAAAAACAAATTTAAGACAAATGAAAATCAATTTGTTGTCACTAAACCTATACTAAGTAAAATTCTACAGGATGAAAGAAATAATACCAGATAGAAATCAGGATCTTCAGGAAGAAACAAAGACCACTAAAAATGGGAAATACATAAATAAATATCAAAACTATCTTTTTTGCTTGTATCAATTCAAATAAAATATGCAGGTCTATTTAAAGCAAAATTTCTGGCCAGCCCCTATGGTAGTTCACACCTGTAATCCCAGCACTTTAGGAGGCTGAAGCAGAAGGATCACTTGAGCCCAGGAGTTCGAGACTAGCCTGGGCAACATAGTGAGGACCCTGTCTCTTCAAAAACAATTTTTTAAATTAAAAATAAAGCAAAAATTCTAACATTGTATTAGTGGTTTACAACATTCATAGATTTTATAAATATGGCAGATAGAGTGCAAAGCTCTGGAGGAAGCAGAACCACCTGCCTATGAGTTTCTTACAGTTTATGCGAAGTGGCTCAGTGTTAACTCTAAGGAGATTATGAAAAGCTAAGCATATATATTGCAACCCCTATAGCATTAGTAAAAAAAATACGCAAATAGATACAGTTAAAGAGTTAACACAGGCCCAGGCACGGTGGCGCTCACACCTGTAATCCCAGCACTTAGGGAGGCCGAGGCTGGCGGATTACCTGAGGTCAGGAGTTTGAGACCAGCCTGGCCAACACGGTGAAACCCTGTCTCTACTAAAAATACAAAAATTAGCCAGCTGGGCATGGTGGCACGTGCCTGTAGTCCCAGCTACTCAGGAGGCTGAGGCAGGAGAATTGCTTGAACCCAGGAGGCGGAGGTTGCAGTGAGCTGAGATTGCACCACTGCACTCCAGCCTGGGTGACAAAGCGACACTCCATCTCAAAAAAAAAAAAAAAAAGAGTCAACAGAAAAAAGAGAATCCTAAAAAATTTCCAACTAATCTCTCTACCTCCCTAAAAAAAAAAAAGGCAGGAAAGAAAAAGTAGAGGGAGGAAACACACAAAATGTAATTTTAAAAAATTTAAAATGGCAGAGCTGAATCCAACCACATCAATAATTACATTAAATATATATGAACTAATTCCAATTAAAACACTGAGATTATTAGACTAGCTATAACACAAGTCCCATACAGGTTGAAAGCAAAAAGATGTGTCATGCAAACAGTAATTACAAAATGCTGGAGCAGCTGCATTAATATCAGACAAAGTAGACTTCAAGATAAAGAATATTACCAGAGATAAAAGGAACATTCCATGATGATAAAAGAGTCAATTCATTAGGAAAACATAACCATCATAAACATGTATTAGAACAGAGCCTCAAAATACATGAAGCAAACACTAAGAAAATTAAAGAGAAGAAAATAAACAGTTGGGAGACTGTAAAACTCCTCCTCCCATGACTGAGTAAACAAACAGCCGAAACAAATATGTAAGGCAAATCTGTGAGGGTCAGCACACTACAAGCCCACACAGTCTGATCTGTAAACGAAGTTCCCTGGAGTGAGGTCATGATGGTTCATTCACACACTGGCTGTGGCTGCTTTTGTGCTACAATGATAGAACTGAGTGGTTGCAGAAACTGCATGGACCACAAGCCTAAAATATTTACTATCTGGGTCATTACAGGAAGTTCGCTGACCTCTGTAATTGAAGATCTGAACAATACATCCAACCATTGGCCTAACTGACATTTCTAGCACACTATGCCTGACAACTAGACCATTCAAACGCACGTGGGACATTCGTCAAGACAGACTAAATACTGGGCCATAAAATACATCTAAGTAAATTTTAAAATGTTAAATCGTACATAATATGTTCTGTAACAACAATGGAATTAAATCAGAAATCGATGAAAATATCCACACAATTCTCAAATATCTGAAAAACACACAACCCACTTCTAAATAACCCATGAATCAAAAGAGAAATCATAAGGGTAATTAGGGAATATCTAAAACTAAATGAAAATGAAAACAAGACATAAAATATTTGGGAACAGAGCTAAAATAGTGCTTAGAGGAAAATGTAAAGCTTTAAATGCCTGTATTAGAAAAAAAGAAAGGTACAAAACCTAAGATTCCACTTTAAAAAGTTAGAAAAGAGCAAAGTAAATCTAAAGTCCATAGAAAGAAATTTTATTTATTTTTTATTTTTTATGTTTTTTTTGAGACAGGGTCTGACTCTGTCACCTAGGCTAGAGTGCAGTGGCACCACCATGCCCAGATAATTTTGGATTTTTTGTAGAGATGAGGTCTCACTATGTTGCCCAGGTTGGTCTTGAACTTGTGGCCTCAAGCTATCCTCCACCTTGGCCTCCAAAAGTGCTGGAATTATAGAAGTGAGCCACTGGGCCCAGAACCATAGAAGGAAGTTTTAAAAAGAAAAGAAGAAAAATCAATGAAATAGAAAATAGATAAAGCTACAATTTATGTTTATTTCTTTGAAAGAGCAATACAACTTTGACACAGCTGCTATCTAGACTGATGAGAGAGAGAAAACATAAATTACTAATATCAAGAATAAAAGAGAGGCCAGAGTGGTGGCTCACACCTGTAATCCCAGCACTTTGGGAGGCCGAAGCAGGCGGATCACCTGAGGTCAGGAGTTCGAGACCAGCCTGGCCTACATGGTGAAATCCTGTCTCTACTAAAAACACAAAAATTAGTCAGGCGTGGTACCTCGTGTCTGTAATCGCGACTACATGGAAGGCTGCAGCAGGAGAATTGCCTGAACCCGGGAGGCGGAGGTTGCAGTGAGCCAAGATCGTGCCACTGCACTCCAGCCTGGGAGAAACAGCAAGATTCTATCTCCAAAAAAAAAAAAAAAAAAGGAAAAGAACAAAAGAGAAACTATCACTTCAGACCTTACTAAACATTAAAAAAAAGAGGTATGAATAACATTATGCCAATAAATTTGACAACTTAGATAAAATGAGAAAACATATTGAAAAACACAATTAACAAAACTGATGCAAAATGATTCTATTAATGAAATTGAATTCATAATAAAAAATTTTCCCACAAACATTTAAGCAAGTAATAACACCAATTGTACACAAAATCTTTCTGAAAATAAGAGAAAACACTTTCCAACTCATGTACGTGACCAGCATAATCCTGATACCTGATTCCTAATAAAAACAAAGATTTTATAGAAAAAGAAAATATGTACTAAGAAACATAAAAATCTTTAACAAAATATTAGCAGACCAAATGTAGCAATATTAATAAAAAGAAAAGGATAAAAATCATGCCCAAGTGAGGTTTATACTAGGAATGCAAGGTTGACTCAACTTTTAAAAACCAATCAATGTAAAATCACCATATTAATAAAACAAAAGAGGAAAACCATAGGAGCGTTTGAATAAATCCAGGAAAAAAAAATGACAAAATTCAACATCCCTTCATGATAACCAGTAATAAAAGGAAACTTCTTCAATCTGATAAAAGCCATCTAAGAAAAACAGTTAAAAGTATATTTGATGGGGAAATATTTAATATTTTTTTCTATGATTGTGAATAAAGCAAAGATGTCCACTCTGACCACTTCTATTCAATATTATACTATAGCTCCTAACCAATGTAATAAAAGAGGTAAAGGAAATAAAAGGCACAGAGGTTGGAAAGGAAGAAGAAAACTCACAGATACAATATGTGTACACAGAAAATCCTAAGTAATGTATAAAAAGCTACCAGAACTGATACGTGAATTTAGCACAGAATATAAAGTCAATATACAAAAAGCAGCTGTGGCCAGTTACAGTGGCTCAAGCCTGTAATCCCAGCACTTTGGGAGGCCGAGGTGGGTAGAACCCTTGAACTTGGGAGTTTGAGACCAGCCTGGTCAATATGGCGAAACCCCATCTCTACAAAAAAATACAAAAATTAGCCAGGCATGGTGGTGCACACCTGTAATCCCAGCTACTCAGCTAAGTCAGGAGGATATCTTGAGCCTGGGGAGGTAGAGGCTGCAGTGAGCCGTGATCACACCACTGCACTTCAGCCTGGGTAACAGAGTGAGACTCTATGTCTCCAAAAAAAAAAACGCAATTGTATTTCTATATACTGGCAATACATAATTGGAAAATGTAAATAAATAACATATCTAGGAATAAATTTAACAGAAGATGTGTTAAGACCTGTAGAGCAAAAACTATAAAGCACTATTGACAGAAATTAAAGAAAATATAAATGGAGAGATATACCACATTTGCGAGCAGAAGGACTCAACATTATTAAGATGTCAGTTCTGGCCAGGCACAGTGGCTCATGCCTGTAATCCTAGCACTTTGGGAGGCCAAGGCGGGCAGATCACTTGAGCTCAGGAGTTTGAGACCAGCCTGGCGAACATGGTGAAACCCCCGTCTCTACTAAAAATACAAAAACTAGCCGGGTATGGTGGTGGGCACCTGTAATCCCAGCTACTCAGGAGGCTGAGGCAGGAGAATTGCTTGAACCTGGGAGGCGGAGGTTGCAGTGAGCCAAGATCACACCTACTCCAGCCTGGGCGACCAAGCAAGACTCCATCTCAAAAAAAAAGATGTCAGTTAGTTCTACCCAAGTGGATCTAGAGATTCAATGATTCAATGCACTCTGACTCATAACTCCAATAGGCTCCATTTTTAGAAGCTGACAAATGGACTCTAAAACTTATATGAAAATACAAAGGACTTGGAATATTCAAAGTGATTCTGAAAAAGAACAAAGTGAGGTCTTAAGTTACCTGATCTCAAAACTTACAATAAATGCAGAATAAGAAAAACAACGTGGTAATATCATGTAGGTAAACAGGCCAAAGTAACTGAATAGAGTCCAGAAACAGACCCAGGCTTATTAGGTCATTTGATTTTTGATAGAGGAACCAAAATCAATCAAATGGGAAAAATAAATGTCTTTTCCACAAAAGGTATGGGAACAATCAGATATCCCTATGGTTAAAAAAAAACACCTCAGGCTGGGCACGGTGGCTCACGCCTGTAATCCCAGCACTTTGGGAGGCCGAGGCGGGCAGATCATGAGGTTAGGAGATAGAGACCATCCCGGCTAACACGGTGAAACCCCATCTCTACTAAAAATACAAAAAATTAGCCAGGCGTGGTGACGGGCGCCTGTAGTCCCAGCTACTCGGGAGGCTGAAGCAGGACAATGGTGTGAACCTGGGAGGCGGAGCTTGTAGTGAGCAGAGATCGTGCCACTGCACTCCAGCCTGGGCGACAGAGTGAGACTCTGTCTCCAAAAAAAAAAAAAAAAAAAAAAAAAAACCACCTCGTTTGTTACCTCATGTAATATACAAAACTTAATTTGAGATAAATCACAGGCCTAAAGGTAAAATCTAAAACAATAAAGATTAAAGGAGAGTATTATCTATATAACCTGAGGGTAGATAAGGTTTCTTAGACAAAACACAGACAGTAATTATCATAAAAAGAAAACATTGAAAAATAGATTTTATCAAAATTTAAAACTCTATTAGTCAAAAGATACCATAAAGAATATGATTAGGCAAACTACAGACAGGGAGAAATTATTTGTACGATATATATCTGACAGAGGGACTTTAACCAGAACATATAAAGAATTCTTTCAAAAATAGCAAAAAGACAAAAATAAAATAAAATAAAACAATGTAGGTAAAACACACGAAGAGACAGGCTGGGCACAGTGGCTCACACCTATAATTCCAGCACTTTGGGAGACCAAGACAGGAAGATTGCTTGAGTCCACGAGTTCGAAACCAGCCTGGGCAAAAAACAAGACCCCTACAAAAATAAAAAGATTTAGCCAGGTGTGGTGGCACGTGCCTGTAGTCCCCAGCTACTTGGAAGGTTGAAGTGGGAGGATCACCTGAGCCCTGAAGGTCGAGGCTACAGTGAGCCAAGATCCACCACTGCACTCCAGCCTGGGTGACAGTGCAAGACCCTGTCTCAAAAAATAATAATAATAAGAAGAAGATATGAAGAGACAGTCAACAAAGGAAGATACACAATTGGCCCATGAGCACATGCAACATTAATCAACCCTGGTCAATCAGGAAGATACAAATAAAACCACAATGAAATACCCACCAAAATAATTAAAATTAAAAAGACTTTCAACATCAAGTGTTGGCAGATGCAGAACAACCAGAACTTGTGGAAAAAGTGGCAATTTCTAAAACTAAACATACACCTACCCTCCGATCCAGTAATTCTACTCCTAGATATTAACCCAAAAGAAATGAAGACATGTGTCTCTAGACAGACCTGTGCAAGAATGTTCATAGCAGCTTGTTCCTAATAGCCAAAACCTGGAAACCGATGAAAAACAATGATAAACTGGCCGGACACAGTGGCTCATGCCCGTAATCCCAGCAGTTTTGGAGGCCAAGGCAGGCAGATCACCTAAGGTCAGGAGTTCAAGACTAGCCTGGGCAACATGGTGAAACCCCGTCTCTACTAAAAATACAAAAAATTAGCCAGGCATGGTGACGTGTGCCTGTAATCCCAGCTACTTGGGAGGCTAACACACAAGAACCACCTGAACCCAGGAGGCAAAGGTTGTAGTGAGCCAAAACTGCGCCACTGCACACTCCAGCCTGGGAGACAGAGCGACACTGTGTCTCAAAAAAAAGAAAGAAAAACAATGATAAACTATGGTACATTTATTTAAGTGATGCTTAAAATTAAGAAGGTATCAGAATCTTGAGTAAGGAGGAAAAAAAGTATAGCTTAAAAAAACTTTTCAAGTAATTCTGATACCCCTAGAAAAACATTCCATGTTTCAAATAATCAACTTGCAAACAAGCTTCGGGAACAGAATTTGTATGAAAGCATTTTCTGACATATATACAATAGTTGGCCACCAGGGGGCACTCCCAATGCAGTTCTCTCTGGGGCTTCCCAGGGCAGGCGTGTGGGCACAAGCAGTGATGCTGTGGCTGCTGCCAGATTCAGTTCAGCATCTAAGGACTGCACTCGTGTCACCCTGGTGGGGGTATTATATGCTTTTTTTGGACATTGCATTTACCTTTCCAAATACAATCTCATTTAACAAATGTATTTGTTTACAGTGGCTAAACCCACACAAATTCCTAATGCCCTAGAACTCAAAACGTGAATAGAAGGAAGAATTTGCCACCATTACCCATGATTTTTTGTCAGATGTAATTTGTTAGAAAATCATTCACAATTAATAAAATTCCTAATACAATGTAGAATATTGTTAAAACCTTGCCTTTTTCTTTTCTTTTCTTTTTTTTTTTTTTTTTTGAGGTAGGGTCTTGCTGTGTCACCCAGGCTGGAGTGCAGTGGCATGATCATAGCTCACTGCAACCTCCGCCTCCCAGGCTCAAACCATCCTTCCACCTCAGCCTCCTAGGTACCTGGGACTACAGGTGCGTGCCACCACACCCAGATAATTTTTGTATTTTTTTTTAGTAGAGACATGGTTTTGCCATGTTGCCCAGGCTGATCTCCAACTCCTGGGCTCAAGCAACCCTCCTGCCTTGGCCTCCCAAAGTGCTGGGATTACAGGTGTGAGCCACAGTGTCTGGCCAAACCTTTACATTTTAAGGCCATCTAAAATACCACATAACTTTAAATTAACAAGTAATACACGTTCCTACACAGAAGAGTATATACCCTACTAAATACTAACACATGATGAGCATCTACAGGGAGGGAAAATAAATTTTGTGAGTCTGGACTGAACTTACAGTTTTCTTTGTAAAGGATAATTAATAATATTTTTTCAAGTACTTGAACACTTTACACCTTCATAAGCATGCCTGAACAACTTAGGACTTCATATGCCAGGAGAAGAAAATGTTAGAGCTTGTTATTACATAAAACTTGAACATTTCCTACCTAATTTTAAGAGACAGCTTTAATAAATGGAGGCCCTCTCAACTTAACTGTAACTTGAGAGAAAACAGTGTAGAGCTGTACTTCCCTAGTTTTGCCTCCCCCACTGAACCCCCTGCCTTGGTCAAACACAAACCTCGCCCTCTGCTCAGAGACGCAAACAGATGTGCAGACTCCACGGCGCAGGGTCTGTTTCTCCGCTGGCAGAGAGCTTTAGTCTACACTTATTTTCTGTAGTTTATACTATGAAGAAGATGTATTTTTACCCCCAATTCTAAGACCATATTACATATGCTTTTTCCTTTTTAAATTTTTCATTGATATATAATAATTGTACATATTTATGGGTGCATGTGATATACATGCATACAATGTGTAATGATGTATTCAGGATGTCCATTACCTTGAACATTTATCATTTATTTATGCTGGGAACATTTCAAATCTTCTCTTCTAGCTATTTTGAAATACAAAATATATATGCTTTTTCAAATTACCACTGATGCCTTCCTACCCCCAGAAGATTCTGATATTCCTCCTCGTTCCTCATGTTCAAGAATCTTAATGTAGAGGACAGAATTAAGTTTTAAAGACTAAGTATGGGATCTTGACATCTTTGGCTCTATGCTTTCTGGAGGAGAGAAATTTGTTTTGGAACCAGCAGGGCAAAGCAAGGTGTCTGAATGGTATTCTATGCAGAAGCCCTGCCAGGAGGAGCTGGCCGCAGCCACCTGCAGCCCGTCAGTGGCAGAGCCGTGCTGGCTTGCTCCCAAGTGGCCAGCAGTGGTGAAAACAGATGGTGGCCACTGTCTGCAGAACTCATGAAAATGGAACTGCCCAGGAGGAAGGGTCCCCACAGGACAGCCTGGTTCCTGGCACCTGCTTGCTCTCCACAGGGCTCAGTTGAAACACAGTGGAAAAGCACACCTGGCAGCAGAGATCAGCCACCGGGAACACCCAGCTGTGTTGGCTGAGCCTCTTTAAAGTGAAGGGAAAAGGAGTTTGACAAAAAGGAGCTTCCACATTTTAGCAATTATATATTTGTTTTAAAAGTATCAGAGGGCCCCTGTCTGTACAGTCAATATTGTGCTCACACGTTATTGTTGGACATTTGTATCACAGATGTCCCTCTAGGACACTGAAGTTATAACTGCTCCAAAACTCTAAAAAAGGGAGGCAGTGATTTGAACAGAATTATGTTTTAATGTAAAAGTGAGGGTACTGTTAGGAAGATGCATCTTATTTTCAAAAAATACATTTCATTGTGTTTCACTGACCAAACGTCGTAACTTTCTGAGTTGTTTTCTTGAATGATCATATCTTATATATGATTTGAATATTTTGGTATTGTTGTAGGAGGACTAAAAATTTCTGAGAAATTAGCCTAAATCATGAGAGATAATTCCCCACAATTTTCCTAAGTAATTTATTACGGTAGCTGTAAAGAAAAAATAAAATTGACTCAGGTATCAGTTCTTATTATTTCCAGGTAGAAATATGAGTTCCACTCCATTAATTCCACCTATCTATCCTAAACAAAGAGAACTTGCCAAAATACTGTGTTGAACAGAGCAATCATTGTGTTACAGCTATATACTCTGATGTATGAGCAACAATCTCCAACATCAATTATTACAAACACAGATGTGTTAAATACAAAATAAAATTATAAAAGAAGCATCACTTCAACTTAAATGATAAATCTTAAATGATAAATCTTAGTCCAGGACAGAAATCAATAGCGCTCTTAATATTATGCCCAAATATATTTAAAGCCTACGAGAATTAATCAGTGAAGGTTTAGCCAATTTTCCTATAGTACCCCAGACGTATACAAATTTGAGTACCACTATGTCTTGAGAATAACATAACAATTTTAAACTCAAAAGTTCTTGGACAATCATAATCCAGCAATAAAGGCTTATTCAAGCAAGAAAATAAAATTATGTGAAAATGAACAAAAAAGCACTTTGGTTATAATCCTGTCCACTACCTTACTGGATATCCATACTCATTAGAATGAAAATCATCTCACCACTGCTCTGTCATCTAGGTTTTCTTTTACACATGAATATAAACCCTGTTAACACACACAATCACACACATACACACACACAGACTTGCAGCACTAATGACAGTGGTGATGAGTGGTAAAATACAGAGACTTTATTTTGTAAAAACAATCATTCTAAAAGGTTTTTAGTGTACAGTCAAATGGCCTTACCAAAGCAAGACCCAAAACCTGACAGGGAAACCTGGCTCCCCACACAGGGGACGGCCGTGACGGCGGAAGCACTGACCTTGTACGCCTGCATGAGCATGTGGATGACCCCCGGGGCGCCGTGGCACCAGTGCACCAGCCGGTCTGTTTCATTGCTTAATGATGATGGGTAATTCCCAGATCGGAATTTTTTGTGGCGCACATAATCAATACTGGGTTTCACCATTTCTGTCAAGGTTTCTTGGTCCACTTTTGCTGCCGGCTTTAAACAAACAAAAATGAAACACAAATTATTTTCTCTGAAGTTATTTCTTTTACATTGTATCATGGCTAACAAAACATCAATTACCTGGAAAACAAAAAAAGCACATAAAATTAGAATTCATTCAACTATCTGGTTATTTAAGACTTAGGCAAAACTTGTTTCAACTGTTTGAAATCTTAGTGTTATAGTGTATTTTGTCTCTTCTTTGGTGGATTAGGACTACACTCCTAAGAGAGTAGTAAAGGAAATGATTAAATGGCAAGTGAACCTAGGAGTAGATAGGTTTTGTTTTGTTGCTTTGCTTTGTTAAAATACCAATACTTGATTTCCTTCCATGGGGCTCACACCTCCTAAAAAGCCAGGTACCCCTCTTCTCCCAAATCTATATACTGGCTTTGTTACTTGGCCAAATTATTTAACCTCAGTTTCTTTATCTCTAAAATAGAATAATCATAGCACTCAACTCCTAAGGTGTTTGTAAGAAAAAAATGCATGCCTCACCCCTTCATCCAACAATTTGTGGCAATACTGCCTTTTACGAACTGAAAGCACTCATTAAATGTTACCTACTAGAATTTATTACTGAGTTTGTGTGTTAAAGTTTTACTACAGGGACTAAGACTAAAAACATAGTTGGAAAATATTTGCTAATTTTGAGGCACTGTTTTTTTAAAAGGACTTAAATAAAAACATTCAAAGAGTCTCAAGTTACTGTACAGCTTCCCATGAAAAAACCTGGTGAGAAGAGTCAGATGGCAAAGCTGGGCTAAGTGAGCATCTTAGGGTGGCATGCCAGCCCACACGCCATCTTAGGGTGACATGTTAATGCCACACAATGTCTTTGGGGTGACATGTTAATGCCACAAAATGACTTTAGGGTGACATGTTAATGCCACACAATGCCTTCAGAGTGACATGTTAACATCACACAACATCTCAGGGTGACATGTCACCACATGACATCCTTAGAATGACAGTGCCACAGAACATCTTAGGGTGACATGTTAACACCTCACATCTTTAGGGTGACACATTAGCACATGACATCCTTAGAGTGACATGTTAATGCCACACAATGTCTTTAGGGTGACACATTCACAACACACGACATCTTTAGAGTGACAGGTTAGCACCACACAAACGTCTTAGGGTGACATATTAGCACCACAGAACGTCTCAGGGTGACATGTTAACACCACACAATGTCTTTAAAGTGACATGTTAGCACCACATAAATCCGCATATTGCTAAAGTCTGAGATAGAGAACCCGCCTCTGGCCACTGATTTTTCACTTGGCTTTAATTGCACATGTCAGGGGTGACGTAAAGTACTCTCAAAACTGAAATAAAATATTGCATTGCTTTAAATTCTCATCATTCCATAAGCACCAAAGTTTACAACATGACATCTCCTACAGAATGAAATAAAAACCTCATTTCTTCAACAAAAAGTTAATTTTATTAAAAATGAAGGAAAGCTAATTTAAGGAATATCAATACTTCTAAATTTCATTGAAATAAAACTATACTTAGTAGAAAATCTTTAGGTGTTTTTCCTGATACACACTTAGAGAATATATTAGCTTTTTAAAAACTATAGGTCATTAAGTTTATTTCCAAAAGGCTACATGGTACTTTTAAAATTACTTTCTTACAGGTAATCAATACAGAACCACTTTAAAATGTCAAAAAATGTTGAGGAGCTTATCTCAAAGACCAACAGACCATGTCGTTCCTAGGACACAACTGAGTTCCTTTTTGTTGTGGTGGTTGTTAGCTGCTTATTCATATTACCACAGTATTTCTAAACAATCCATGCATGGCTGTGCCCTGAGTTACTGATTCTAGGTTTCCCCTTGTGGCAGATGAGGGACACTTTCCTTCCTCTGATCTTCCCAAGAGAATTTCACTCTGGTCACCATTTTTAGTTTCACTCTGGTCACCATCCATAATCCTGTGTTCTTTACAGACTATACTATGCAAATATTGTTTGCTCCTGAAACAGGAAATACACTGAATTACAGATATTCTTTTACACCTTTTAGTTTTTCCTGGAGTAACTTTCTCACATTTTATTTGCTTAGTTTTCTTTAAACCAGTACCTAAGCTTTTTCATACCCACCAACAGCTCTGTAAAAAGTCTCTCGATAAGATTTTCCACATGGTCAAATCTACTATGACTTTGCTTTCCCTGGAGGCGACTCTCCATAATTGGCTGCTTTCCAGGTCTTCTGTGACACTGCTGTCCTGGGACTTGCACCTGTCAACTTCCTGGGGATTCTGCTCCCCTGTCTTGTATGGGAGCCCCTCTTCCCTGGATCTGATCCTCCTTCTTAGAGTACTCCCTTGTTGTGGTAGACACCACACTCCAGTAGCTTCCTGAGATGAAGTACAGGGAAATTAAATTTGGGGGACAGGATGTTTTAAACAGTCTTTGCTCTACTCCACATTTAATTGGTAACTTTCTGGGCAGAATGCAACGTTAGAAATCATTTTTACTCAAAACTTGGAAGTTGGCCGGGCACGGTGGCTCACGCCTGTAATCCCAGCACTTTGGGAGGCCGAGGCGGGTGGATCATGAGGTCAGATCGAGACCGTCCTGGCTAATACGGTGAAACCCCATCTCCACTAAAAAATACAAAAAAAAAATTAGCCGGGCATGGTGGCAGGTGCCTGTAGTCCCAGCTACTCAGGAGTTGAGGCAGGAGAATGGCATGAACCCGGGAGGCAGAGCTTGCAGTGAGCCGAGTTCGCGCCAGTGCACTCCAGCCTGGGCAACAGAGCAAGACTCCGTCTCAAAAAAAAAAAAAACTTGGAAATCATTTCCATTTATCTTTTAGCTTCAATGAAACTGTTGCAAAGTCCAATGTCATTTTTGGACTTTGTACATAACCTGTTTTTTTCTTTTCTTTTTTTTTTTTTTTGAGACAGAGTTTCACTGTCGCCCAGGCTGGAGTGCAGTGGCACGATCTCGGCTCACTGCAACCTCCACCTCCTGGGTTCAAGCAATTCTCCTGCCTCAGCCTCCCGAGTAGCTGGGACTACAGGCGCATGCCACTACACCCAGCTATTTCCCGTCTAATGTTTTAAGCATTGTCTCTTTATCCCTTTATCTTAAGCTTTCACAATAACGGGCATGATGTGGATTTGTCTGTCTGCACTCATTGTGTAGGAAACTGGTAGGTCTTTCCAATATGCAACTATGTCCCTCATTTCTTTTTTTTTCTTTTTTTTTGAGACAGGGTCTCATACTGTTACCCAGGCTGGAGTGCAGTGGCGTGATCTCGACTCACTGCAATCTCTCCCTCCCGGGTTCGAGCGATTCTCCTGCCTCAGCCTCCCAAGCAGCTGGGATTGCAGGTGCCCGCTATGAGGCCCAGGTAATTTTTTGTATTTTTTTAGTAGAGACGGGGTTTCACTGTGTTGGCCAGGCTGGTCTCAAACTCCTGACCTCAGTGATCCGCCCACCTCGGCCTCCCAAAGTGCTGGGATTACAGGCATGAGCCACTGCGCCCAGCCTATGTCCCTCATTTCTAGAGCATATTTTTGTGTTATTTTCCTCCCTCCTATTGTGTGTTCTCCCTCACTAGGTCTCCCACTAGTCACATGCTGAACCTCCTGGATTAATCCTCTTTCTTACGTTTTCCTCTCCCATTGTCTATTTCTGCCTGCTTTCTAAGATATGTGACTTTGCTTCCCATTTTCATGAACTTATTAAAAATTCAGCTATTATATATTTTATTTTCAAGAGCTCTCTTTTTCCCTCAAATGTTTGTTTCTTGGATGCAACAGCTTCTCTTATTTCCCTGAGGATATTAATTATGAATTATTATTTATTCGAAGCTTTCTTCCACTTCCTGCTTTCTCTTTGTTTTTATTTCTACTTGTTCAGGTCTCCATCTTTCAAGCTGGGGCTTTTCTGCCATGTCCGCTCATCGGCTACTGGTCTGTGCTCACGCATAAGGCACAGCTCCTCGCTGTCCTCAGTGCACCGGAGGGGCTGCGGAACGGTGGGAATCACTGTGGAGTGGCTGGATGGGGGATTGCCAGGGGTCTCCAAAGAAGTAGACCAACGGGATGTGTAAAAGTAGAGAAAGAGATTCACTCCAAGGAACTGGCTGCAGAGGCTTCATGAGTCCACAAACTGCCTGGGGTGGCCAGCAAGCTGGAGACTCAGGAAGGAGCTGCAGCTGGAGTCTGAAAGCAGAGTGCTGGAGAATCCTCTCTTGCCTGGGGGTCCAGCATTTTGTTCTAGTCAGACCTTCAACTGATTGACAAGGCCCACTCACATCCTATGGGGCAGCTGGCTTCACTCAAAGTCCACCAACTTAAATGTAAATCTCATTCAAAAACGCCCTCAAAGAAACATCCAGAATGTCTGACCACATGTCTGGGCACCAGGGCTCAGTCAAGTTGACACATAAAATTAACCATCATGGATGGCAGACTAACTTTTTAATGGGGGCTTTCAAATACCTGTACTTATGAAACTTTTATCTGAGCTACTTGTTTCTTCGGAAAAGTGACTTCAAGCCCCGAGTGGGGTGGAGGTGGTGCTGCCCCTTGGGGTGAGGGAGAGGTGACGGTGCCTGAGGCTGGCGGTGACAGAGAGGCAGTCTCACCCTGGACCATGGACACTCACTCTCGCCCCCTATTTTTAGTTCTGTGCTTCACTCCAACTCTCTTCTACATCTGGCTTTCCTGAATTGAAAAGAGCCTAGTCAGTTTTTCCAGACCTAACTCCTTTTGTCTCCAGCACGAGTTGAAGGATAGGCAGTTCCCTCCCTGTGCTGGGTGCAGGTGCTCACAGAGGTCCAACCACTGCACATGCTCAAAGAAGCCTCCTGTGCCAGAGAGTCCCCCAAGCCCACGTATGGCAATGCCTACTGGGGACATGGCACTTTCCCCTCCTGAGTTCTGGGGTTCTGTAGAACAAACTGACTTGCTTCTCGTGGGCACCGTCCCCCTCGGGCACTGACGCCATCTTTCATCCCAGCAGGTCAGCTGTCATTCTTTTGCCTGCTTCAGTTCACAGGTTTGCAGCTGGAGCTCCAGATGTCCCCTAGCTTCATCAAAGAACTTCGGTTTCTGTTTTGTTGTTTTTCTGGTTGTTCTGAGATTATTTTCAAGAGGCGAACTGTTTTTATTCTGCTATCATGAAAGTGGAGTTCTTTTTAAGTGATATTTTAAGAGTTTTTGCATATATTGTTCTGATAGCCTTCCAACGACACCCTCCAGTTGAAACTACCACTTTTACATGACTAAACTACTAGACAATGAGAAATAAGAACCAAATTCTAAGCCCCCAACTCACTGAGCAGACCCTTTCTTGGCCAAGGAAGCCTGAGGCAACCTTGAAGCTAAGCTCCCAGTCATGACAGGCTAAGAGGTGGGGCTCACCCTGCTCTGCCCGTCCCCTGCTGACCCCATGAGGCTTTCTGCCCTAAGGGCTAAGCGGGAACCAGATCTTTCAGCCGACTCTGCACTGCCAGCGACAACCACCTGACTGCTCCCCCATCTTCTGTGGCTTCAACAACCCAAGCAGCCAGCACTTGTTCCTGAGAAGGCACCAGGGACGCTCTGGCCAGCCTATGAAGGACATGCAGGGAGGGGTTTTGTTCCTCTGCTTCACCTTTTGACTCAGAGGGTGGAAAATGCTACCCTTGGATCCCGCTTGTGCCACCATTTTCTGAACATGGATCTCAAGAAGGAGCACGAAGTCCAAGTCTGCAGGCACACACTTCTCTAGCAACTACTCCACTCCTCCTGCAGCTCACCGACACATACATTCGGCCACCTGGCTTGGCATACGTTCCTGCTCCCTTTCCACTCCCTCAGAATATTTCTGGCTTCTAGCCCAAGGCTACGTATGATTAGCTGCAGGCTGTAACCCTGTATGAGAAACAAAGCCCTCCTTTCCACATTTCTGAATCGTAGTTCTGCACTGACAACAGCCACGAACCGTGCAGCAGGGAAGAGATGCGGGCAGCTCCCCATGCTGGCTCTACCACGCCACTGCCTAAGAATCTTGAAAGAAAACCTGGCTCAATCTCTAAGTCAAGTACTTACTACATAGTGTTCCAAGTTCCTCACTTTAAAAGCAGATCAATGGAGTATTTTATGATTTGTATTCCTCCCAAGGAAGTCCATAATATACAGCAAAATCAGCCTAAACACATGAAAGACACTGGCATGGTTCTTACATTACTATGTTCCCCTAAGGGAATTAGCATTAAAAAAAAAAAGTTCCGGCCAGGCATGGTGGTGGACGCCTGTAATCCCAGCACACTCGTGGGGCTGCAGGAGAATCACTTAAACCCGGGAGATGGAGTTTGCAGTAGGCAGAGATTGTGTCACTGCACTCTAGCTTGGGCAAAAGTGAGACCCTGTCCCAAAAAAAAAAAAAAAAAAAAGTTCCTGAACCACTGTTAAAACATTTTCCCGGGAAAATACAGAATACACTATGATAGATAATTTTATGTGTCAAATTAAACATGGTGTCTGGGTGTGTCTCTAAAGGTGTTTCCAGTTGAGATTAGCATTGAACGGTGTGGACTCAGTCAGGCAGATGGCCCTCCCCAAAGTGGGTGCACCTCATCCAGTCCCTCCAAGGCCTGAACAGAACCAAAGGCAGAGAAAGAAAACATCTGTTCCTTCCTGCCTGCCGGCTTCAACCAGGGCAACAGTCTCCTCCTGCCCTTGGACTGGGATTTGGCTCCCCTGGGTCTCAGTCTTCTGACTCGGAGTGGAGTTACAGCCCTGGCATTCCCAGGTCTTAGGACTGTAGATGACAGATGATGGGGCTTCTGGGACTCCATGGTTGCGTGAGCCAATTCCTTTAAGAAATCCCATCTCATATATAATATTTATCTCCTATTGGTTGTTTCTCTGGAGAACCCTAACACATACACAAAATCTAACTGTTCAAAATAACAGTGCCATTTTTAAATGAGGTATGGAATTCTGGTTACTTTGAAAGCATGTACCTGCATCATGAAGAAAATTCACAAGCCTGTAATCCCAGTACTTTGGGAGGCTGAGGTGGGTGGATCACCAGAGGTCAGGAGTTCGAGACCAACCTGGCCAACATGGCGAAACTCCATCTCTACTAAAAATACAAAAATTAGCCAGGTGTGGCGGTGCATGCCTGTAATCCCAGCTACTCAGGAGGCTAAGGCAGAAGAATGGCTTGAACCCAGGAGGCGGAGGTTGCAGTGGGCTGAGATGGCGCCACTGCACTCCAGCCTGGGCGACAAAGCAAGATTCCATCTCAAAAAAAAAAGAAAAAAAAAGAAAGAAAATTCACAAAATGAACTATATGCATATATGCATGTTTTACTTTCAACAACAATAAACAAAGACAATAACTAGAAAAAGTTTTAATCCTGTGTAGGTATGAATTTCCTGGTTTCCTTTAGTGAGTGAGAACATGAGGCAGTAGGTTAGACATAAAAAGAATCTGAAGTAAAATTTTAAAAAGTAATATATAGGTTTTCCAGTCTAAGATATCTAAATTCTAATCCATATCCTTTGACTTACTAGTTTTGTAGTTTTGCAGAATAAAGAAAGCTTAAATTTAAAAGAAGAAGAAAGAAGGAGGAGGAGGAGAACAGTGGGCAGGAAGAAAGGTAGAGGAGGGAGGAGGAGGAGAAGAAGGAGGAGGAGGCGGTGGCAGAGGCGGCTGTGCGCTTGGCAGGGAAGAGAACTTAGGCCACAGGCTAGGCTGAAGCCCTAGGCTTATGCTCAAGCCAAGCACAGCCTGAAGCAATGTTTAGTTATGGGGTCTCTACTGGCCTGATAGAAGAGTCAGTACTCTATCGTTGTCAGGGATGTTTGAGAGACAAGATCATAACCACAGCAATAAACTCATCAAAAGCACAGAAGACAACTGACAGCAAGCAAAGTTATCAGGACATGACAAAGTCTCTGCCTCAGTTGGGTTCTGCAGGCCCTGTTGCTCCCTGAAGATTTTTCCCCATTAAGAGTTCCTACTGCAATTAACAGGAAGACAAGCACAGAAGAAAAGGGTGGGCAAGCCAGGCACGGTGGCTCATGCCTATAATCCTAGCATTTTGGGAGGCTGACGTGGGCGGATCATGAGGTCAGGAGTTTGAGACCAGCCTGGCCGATATGGTGAAACCCCGTCTCTACTAAAAATACAAAAATTAGCTGGAGGTGGTAGTGCGCGCCTGTAGTCCCAGCTGCTCGGGTGGCTGAGGCAGGAGAATCACCGGAACCTGGGAGGTGGAGGTTGCAGTGAGCCGAGATCACACCACTGCACTCCAGCCTGGGCGACAGAGTGAGACTCTGTCTCAAAAAAAAAAAAAAAAAAAACAACAAACAAACAAAAAAAACCCAGAAAAGTGTGGGGAACAGATAACTAATCTGCTTTAAGACTCCATACCGAAAGAAAATTGGAAAGGCTCCTCCTCTCCCTCTCCCTCCTCTCCCTCTCCCTCTCCCTCTCTTTCCACGGTCTCCCCCTGATGCCGAGCCAAAGCTGGACTGTACTGCTGCCATCTCGGCTCACTGCAACCTCCCTGCCTGATTCTCCTGCCTCAGCCTGCCGAGTGCCTGCGATTGCAGGCGCGCGCCGCCATGCCTGACTGGTTTTCGTATTTTTTTGGTGGAGACGGGGTTTCGCTGTGTTGGCCAGGCTGGTCTCCAGCTCCTAACCGCGAGTGATCCGCCAGCCTCGGCCTCCCGAGGTGCCGGGATGGCAGACGGAGTCGCGTTCACTCACTCAGTGTTCAATGGTGCCCAGGCTGGAGTGCAGTGGCGTGATCTCGGCTCGCTACAACCTCCACCTCCCAGCTGCCTGCCTTGGCCCCCCAAAGTGCCGAGATTGCAGCCTCTGCCCGGCCGCCACCCCGTCTGGGAAGTGAGGAGCGTCTCTGCCTGGCCGCCCATCGTCTGGGATGTGAGGAGCCTCTCTGCCTGGCTGCCCAGTCTGGAAAGTGAGGAGCATCTCTGCCCAGCCGCCATCCCATCTAGGAAGTGAGGAGCGTCTCTGCCAGGCCGCCCATCGTCTGAGATGTGGGGAGCGCCTCTGCCCTGCCGCCCCGTCTGGGATGTGAGGAGCGTCTCTGCCCGGCCGCCCCGTCTGAGAAGTGAGGAGACCCTCCGCCCGGCAACCGCCCCGTCTGAGAAGTGAGGAGCGTCTCCGCCCGGCAGCCACCCCGTCTGGGAGGGAGGTGGGGGTCAGCCCCCCGCCCGGCCAGCCGCCCCGTCCGGAAGGGAGGTGGGGGGGTTAGCCCCCCGCCCAGCCAGCCGCCCCATCCGGGAGGGAGGTGGGGGGGTCATCCCCCGCCTGGCCAGCCGCCCCGTCCGGGAAGGATGTGGGGGGGTCAGCCCCCCGCCCGGCAAGCCGCCCCATCCGGGAGGTGGGGGGCGCCTCTGCCCGGCCGCCCCTACTGGGAGGAGAGGAGCCCCTCTGCCCGGCCAGCCGCCCCGTCCGGGAGGGAGGTGGTGGGGTCAGCCCCCCGCCCGGCCAGCCGCCCCGTCCGGGAGGTGAGGGGCGCCTCTGCCTGGCCGCCCCTACTGGGAAGTAAGGAGCCCCTCTGCCCGGCCAGCCGCCCCGTCCGGGGAGGGAGGCGGGGAGGTCAGCCCCCCGCCCGGCCAGCCGCCCCGTCCGGGAGGGAGGCGGGGGGGTCAGCCCCCCGCCCGGCCAGCCGCCCCGTCCGGGAGGTGAGGGGCGCCTCTGCCTGGCCGCCCCTACTGGGAAGTGAGGAGCCCCTCTGCCCGGCCAGCCGCCCCGTCCGGGAGGTGAGGGGCGCCTCTGCCCGGCCGCCCCTACTGGGAAGTGAGGAGCCCCTCTGCCCGGCCACCACCCCGTCTGGGAGGTGTACTCAACAGCTCATTGAGAACGGGCCATGATGACAATGGCGGTTTTGTGGAATAGAAAGGGGGGAAAGGTGGGGAAAAGATTGAGAAATCGGATGGTTGCCATGTCTGTGTAGAAAGAGGTAGACATGGGAGACTTTTCATTTTGTTCTGTACTAAGAAAAATTCTTCTGCCTTGGGATCCTGTTGATCTGTGACCTTACCCCCAACCCTGTGCTCTCTGAAACATGTGCTGTGTCCACTCAGGGTTAAATGGATTAAGGGTGGTGCAAGATGTGCTTTGTTAAACAAGATGCTTGAAGGCAGCATGCTCGTTAAGAGTCATCACCACTCCCTAATCTCAAGTACCCAGGGACACAAACACTGCAGAGGGCCGCAGGGTCCTCTGCCTAGGAAAACCAGAGACCTTTGTTCACTTATCTGCTGACCTTCCCTCCACTACTGTCCTGTGACCCTGCCAAATCCCCCTCTGCGAGAAACACCCAAGAATGATCAAAAAAAAAAAAAAAAGAAAATTGGAAAAAAAAAAAAAAAAAAAAAAAAAAGACTCCATACCAAATGTACTCAGGAACTCACTGGACTCTTAGAAATCCACTGCCTGTGGTTTATGTGGCAGAGTTACGCATCAGCGATTCAAAGTAGGGTATTTCAATCCAGACTGCTTTGTTTATATGCAGGATTCATTTCCCATTTCATGTTTGATCAAATATACTGTAGTGTGTAAGAGTATTCTTACCTACCTGCATTAACATATAGTAAATTCCAGCCATGCCATGGGCTGCTCCAACGTACTGCTTCCGGTGCCACTGGTACAACAGCGGGCAGCGCTCCGTTTTTCTTTCTTCCCTTGACAAAGTCTTACCCGATTCAATAATAGCATTGACTACCTACAGAGATAACAAGACAGCATAAATCTAAAACTGTATATGTACCCTGTTGTAGTCTAATTAACAGTATGTCATATATATATGACATATATAGAGAGAGAGGCAGAAGCCTTAATCTAAAAGTCTTTAAGCAGTTAGCAGCTAATATAGTTATATTTATTTTATAAATTAATAAATGCAGGCAAAAAGAAATCAGGAGCCAATGTCAGAGTAGGAAAAGATACTGTCTAAGAAATAAAAAATTCTTTGCATAAAAAGTCAACGAAAAATCTAGAAAAACTTCTTATAAAACTGTTTTGGATTTCTTAGTTGCTTCGTAGCTGCAGTATTTTTCCCAAAAGAGCAGCACATACACCTATCAGGAAAGGCTGGAGGAACTGGCTTTATTTATAAAAGGCTAATGATATGAGGTCTGCTGTGGCATGAAGGATTTCAGTTAGATCAACAGAATATCATGTCTGGGATGACTGTTTCCTCACGTCTATCTCCTCTCATCCTTTTTGGGAAAGTATTCCAAGTTTTAGCTGGGCATCTGGCTCCCTAGTTAGAGACAGCTGAACACAGACACTTGATGAAGTTCTGGCACTGGGATGGGAGCAGAAGTAAAGAGGGCAACTTGGAGACTGAGTCCCTAACAAGGAAGCTGCGTTGCCTCCACCTCCTCTTTTCCCTTCATAGGCTGAGGGGCTAAACTAGCCTTGGTCCTGCAAATAAGGGTATGCCCCTAGGATAAGGCAGAATGAGACAGAAGAAGCTGGTCCCCACTCATACCAGCCTGAAATGCTTACCAGCTGAGACATCTCACGAAAGATAAATAAACATTCTAACTTTCTGAAGCTGCTGCTGTTTAGCTCCAGTAAAAACTGATAAATTAATACAAGATGAAAGAGAGTACAGATTTTTTTTGTTAATGTTCCTAGAAAAAAGCAGGGACTATTTCTTACTTTTGATGAGTTGCTTTAAAAAAGTAATGCTACCTAGAAGTAAAGTCCAGCTGTTAATACAACTCAATGCTAGCAAATAGGTTTGAATGGTAGAGACGCCCATAGTTACCCATACCCCATAGTACCTCTTTAATAGCTGACTCACACACGGTGCCTGGACCTATCTCTGTGTTCAGGTACAGTAAGGCATACAGATAACCTGCCCGTCCATAAAGCAGCTCATCAGGAAGGTCTGATTCTTGGCAGACAACCGATCTCTGGAGCTGCAAAAGTCTAACCAATAAGAAAAATTAATTTTTTCCCAGTGGAAGTCTAAAGTACTTCTTCCTGAAACACTAACCCTGTTGCTTTAGGAATTACCTATTATTTATTTTACATTTAAAACAATTATTTTTAAAAATACTCCCAAATCCAGAACACAACAAAAACGTCTCCAGTTTACTAGTCCCCTTTTGAATGTCAAAATTAAAAACAAAACATCTTTCTGTTAATTTCTACCTTTACATCTATTTTAAACCATAAAATTTTATTTTGAAATCCAGAAGTAAAAGAAAGTGATTTAAAATTTAAATAAAAATGGTACTGCAGGCCGGGCACGGTGGCTCACGCCTATAATCCCAGCACTTTGGGAGGCCGAGGTAGGTGGATCACCTGAGGTCAGGAGTTCAAGACCAGCCTGACCAACATGGTGAAACCCCGTCTCTACTAAAAATGCAAAACTAGCTGGGTGTGGTGGCACATGCTTGTAATCCCAGCTACTTTGGAGGCTGAGGCAGGAGAATCCCTTGAACCCAGGAGGCGGACGTTGCAGTGAGCTGAGATCGCGCCATTGCACTCCAGCCTGGGCAACAAGAGCGAAATTCCATCTCAGAAAAAAAAAAAAAAGGACTGCAATGTCACCAATGCTTGGGAATTAGACTGTCATTCTGTCTTTTTTTTTTTCTTTCTTTTTCTTTAGAGACAGGGTCTTGCTCTGTTGCCCTGGCTGGTGTGCAGTGACAGGATGATGGCTCACCGCAGCCTTGAACTCCTGAGCTCAAGTGATCCTCCTGCCTCAGCCTCCCAAGTTAATGGAACTACAAGCACATGCCACTATACCCAGCGTCATCCTATCTTTCAACAAACATTAACTGACTAGCACGTGCCAGATACTCTACCAGACCCTAGGAATGAACCGTGATTTCTGCTTCTTCAAGGAAGAACGTAAACCAATAGGTGCAATAAAAGCTTACATTCCCTAATTGTTCCATCATTAGCATATCTAATCAGTTACTTAAGGGTTGAACCTAACATCAGTTTAGTTATTATGGTGAATCTAAAGCAGGTAAGCTAATTTTCATGCATTGAAGAAAACAAAAAATTGCTTAGGAAACATGGTTAAAATAAGGAAATATATTTATTCTTCCCAAAATTAAGGCACACACATGCTTGGATAAAAAGAGGGCATATGATCCCACCACTATGCTCAAGATTAACATTTTGGAGTGATCTGTTTACAACAATGGATGAATGGAAAAATAGTTTCCTTTCTGAATATCTTTCTACAGCAAGAGCTTCCACTGGGAATTGGGAGAAAATGTTTCCAGTTCTAAAACTCACTTTGTGACACATTCCTGGGACTCACAGTCACTTCTGAGTTTGTGATAAATCACAGCTCCAACAGCCAGGGGGCCAGCATCCCCACAGAGGAAGGTGACCCTGCGGCCATTCAGATTCCGAAGTGTTCTTTTTACGTAATCCAGGGATCGGAGCAGGTAGGTTTGGTCACATGTGACCCGGTACAACTGCAGGTACAAAAGGGCTATGCCTGGAATAATTTCCCACCCCAAAAGAAAAGCATTATTATCTTTTCCTTTTATCTTCAGGACATTATTTATAATTACATGAAATACCTTCTTCTACATAAATCTATGTTTCCAAACGGGTAACACCAAAACAATACATTTCATATATTTCTTAAAAATGAATAAACAAAATAAAACCAAGACAGAGAAATCAGGGAGGAAAGAACAGAAACCATGTTTGTACATGTTATCTTGGTGCTTGTCCTGGCACAGTGATTTAATACCTCTTATTCACAGACAACAGAAGATACATCACTTCCTACTCATCCTCAGTTAATTTTCATTCATTCCAAGGTTGTATTCATTCTCCCTTGTAGATCCTAACTTGGATCTTCTTCTTTTTACTTATTGTAAAATCATTTCTCCTATGTTATCCCAAATGATTGCTTTTCTGAACTTTATACTCCCTTCTTCCTATTTTTTTTTCTATTTTTCCCAATTTTTCAATGTTCTTTAGTGAACAACCCTACAACTGACCAATGAACTGGTGAGTGAACTCGCCATTTCTGGAGCAGCCACACAGTACAGAGTAAGGTGATCAGTACAAAGGGCGTGTGTGGTTCACCACCCACCAACCTTTCCATTCTAGATAAAGAACAGACTCAGGTCTTCAAATGAATCTGAGAATCTCCAAAGAAGGGCCTATATGGCTTCTTAAAGAAGCATGTCCTTACATCTGGGTTCGAGAAGACAATATGACAGCTAAGTAAAAAAAAAAAAAAAAAAAAAGAATCAGTATAAATATGTATTTACTGAAGTCTTTTATAGGAACCAACATTGACAGAGATGACATGCTGGTGAAAAGGGCAAATGAAATATTTCTTTCATGTTTAAGTTGAGGTTCTTCAATATTCTAGTCTTTGTCTAATAATATCCTACTCTGCTTTTACTATTTTTCATTTTGCTTTTTTTTTTTTTTTTTTTTGAGACAGAGTCTTGCTCTGTTGCCCAGGCTGGAGTGCAGCAGCACGATCTCGGCTCACTGCAACCTCTGCCTCCCGGGTTCAAGTGATTCTCCTGCCTCAGCCTCCTGAGTAGCTGGGATTACAGGCACATGCCACCATGCCTGGCTATTTTTTGTATTTTCAGTAGAGACGGGTTTTCACCATGTTGGTCAGGCTGGTCTTGAACTCCTGACTTCGTGATCCGCCCACCTTGGCCTCCCAAAGTGCTGGGATTAACAGGCGTGAACCACTGCACCCAGCCTCATTTTGCTTTTTAAATTTCTCCAAATATCTAGCTTCTTCTTTCTTCAATTTTTCTATTCAGGGTATATAACTTCTCTTTCAAATTAATCCTTAACACTTTTTGAAGTCTTTCATCATTATCCATTTCTTTAAAGATGTTGAGTCAAACGGATATGAAAGTAGAATATTTGGAAGCTCTGAAAAAAAAATTCTTCAGCATGAGTTGCTTATCATCTCCCTGAGAGCATGTTTTCTGTATTCAAAAAATATAAGCATACAGGAAACAGACAGTAAAAGTTAAATACTTACAAATTTCAAACATAATAATCACTATAAAGGCTTACAAATGAGTATTCCCTGATTTACTCAGAAATCTCTAAAAATAGGATGTTGATCTGATTAACCTATGAACCTAAAAACTTACAGTTATATATACTTAATGCTTCAGTATTTTAAAGCAAATGGTAAAAGGTAAAGTAAAAAAAAAAAGGTCATCATGCTTTGTCGTTTTTTGTTGGCAGGCGGACACGTTGCACTAGGTAAAAGGAGCTGGAATGAACAGGCCCTTAGGGATGTGGTGGGAGGTGCTGGGGAGCACGCGCCTGTGAGCAGGCTCAACCTTCTGGCCAGCCTGTGCCTTTGGACTGTGAACTGCACCAGTGCCTCCCATCCCCACGCCCTCAGTTGGCCAGGATGGCCAGCAGAAGCTGCAGCTGATCATCTCCCTTCCCCAATGCTGAAAGCTAGAACCAGCTGGAGCTAGGCATCTCCCTTGCTCCGGGTAGGCGGGGCTGCGATAAACCCTTTGCAGGAGAGGCTCCGGTGAAGCAATTTCTCCAGAGGGCAGGGCTTGTCAAGAACTGAAGGCTCTGATGGAATTCAGTATGGTTCCTTCCCCCGAACCTATGAGAAGCATGAGGGGAGTTGTCTCTGATACTCACCATGAAGACCTGGTGGAGCTCCTAGAGGTAAAGTTCACAAAAGTGTGAGAGCCCCCTATGACTGGGTCCCCATTGAGTTTTTAGTCTCTCTGGCTTGCCCACACTGAGCCCCCACAATTCATATTTAAAGTTTAGGTCAACAACAAACTGCATAGGCATAGTCCCATAAGATCGTAATCATAATACCATATTTTTACTGTACCTTTTCTATATCTATGTTTAGATACAAAAACACCATTGTGTTACAATTGCTACAGTATTCAGTGCAGTAATGCTGTACAGCTTTGCAGCCTAGGAGCAACAGGCTATCTCACAGAGCACAGGGGTGTAGTTGGCTACACAATCTAGGTGTGTGTGAGCACCTCTATATCTGCACAATGAAACTGCTCAATGATGCGTTTCTCAGAACTCATCCATGATGTGAAGCGATGCATGACTGTAATTCTCGGCATCCACCTGTTTCGCCAGTTTTTGGTGGAGCAGTTTGCCCCTGTGACCTCACTTCTCTGATGGAGCTAAGAAGAGCTGTTTAGTTTTCACTTTGTTCAGCTTTTTAGTTGCTAGGATGCAATGGTGACTTGTAAACTCTTTATATGCTAGACTGGAAAACTGAAGTCTCTCTTTATCTTTCTTTCTCTTTGATTTTTTTCCTTGATAGTTTCATTTAGTCACTTATTTATTAAGCAAACATTTATGACACCCTTCCTAGACACAAGGACACTCTGCCCCGGTGCTCTCTGTGGGATCAGCTCTTTCTTTGGCTCCTTGCGCTTTGGTTTCATTTCTGAAATGATTTTTTATCTTTTCTTTAAATTTCTTTTCTTAGTCTGTCAATTCTTATTTCACATGCTCTTACTGTCTAGCCATCTCTGCTCTGAATGTCTTTACCTCCGCTTTGTGAACTCACTGCTTAACTAAGTTACAAAATGAATGTTGAAAGTACTGCCAATTTTTCTCCACTTTGTAGTGACATTTTCCTGGTGCGTTTTTCTCCCTCCACTGAGAAATTTTTATTTTTCTTCTTTATATTATGGATAAAATAATTATATTTTTTCTTAAAATTGAATTTTTCTATATCAACTATTAATAGGACAAATCCCTGGAAGGGGAAAATGGTTAATGTAGCTTTCCCAACTTTTATCCCAACAGTGTCCTCTTGCTAAGTGAAGAACAGTGTATGTTACATACAGGGAGTCTGGTGGCCAGATTTCCTGACTCTCAGACCCTTCCTTGTATCAGGAGTGCCCACTGCTACTGCTTCCTTCCTTCCCTACACTGTCAGCGGGGGCCAGCAAGGATGCCGCTCCACCTTGCAAGCTAAACCTGCTTCTCCGCAAGCCATGCCTGTTCTACAGCTCTCCAACCCCATTCCCTGTGCACTTTCCATGCCTTTATTCCCAGCTTCTCCTGGCACACCGCCTGCCCGCTCTGCACTCAGATGTGCCCACAGAAGTTCCCACTGAGGCTGTGGCCCACTCTGCCTGGAATAGCTATTTGCTGATTCTGGGAGGGTGGGTGGGGTCGGAGTGATTCAGCCATGCCTGGACCCTGGGCTTCCTCTTTGCACACCATGGCTCTCCACACTTGTTCTGGATGCTGCTTGTTTTTTACCCAACATGACTTGTGTGTTTTCTGTCTCAAAGTTTTGCTAAAGGGATAAGTTGTGGGTGCTTCATTCATTCTTCTTCTTCTTTTGTTGAGACAGGGTCTCACTCTGTCACCCAGGCTGGAGTGCAGCAGTGTAATCATGGCTCACTGCAGCCTCGACCTCCTGGGCTTGAGCCATCCTCCTGCCTCAGCCTCCTGAGTAGTTGGCACTACAGGTGTTTACCACTGTGCCCAGCTAATTTTAGAGATGGGGTCTTGTTATGTTGCCCAGGCTGGTCTCAAACTCCTGGCCTCAAACCATCCTCCCACCTCCATCTCCCAAAGTGCTGGGATTACAGGTATGAGCCACTGTGCCCAGCCTTCTTCCTATATCGTATACACAGTTTAGGGGAGGTATGGATCTAGGTGGATTCCATACATCTACCTGAACCCCTAAACCCTATTATTTTAAATCACTGAAACCAAATACTTCCATGATGATTCCTAAAGACAGCAATGGCTAGGGATTTTTAAGCAATACTGATTTCTGGAACCCACCTCTAGAGTTCCTAATGTAACTCTTCTGGGCTGGAGGCTGAGAACTGTGGTTTCTTACAAAGCTCTCTTGGTAATTGTGATGCATAGCCAGTTTGGAACCTAACGATCAGGGGTTTAGAAACCCTTTCTCAACAAGCGAAAAAGCTGTAAATAAAAGGCTTGTTAGGGGAAACCCGTTGAGACTAATAGCTATGTTATTTTCCTTCCAAAATATCCTTATTCTTTGTATTTTACTTCAGGTTAGCCACAATTATCTAATTTTATTACATTTAAGATATCTTTGGTCCTGTAAGTGAACTGGCTCCATGTCTGTCTGGGTTTATAAGTGTGAAGTTTGAAGTAAGTTTATAAGTTTGAAATATGTAATGTCACTATGTAAATGTTGCATGCATAATAGGCAAATAATAAGCATCACAAAAACGAATGTAAATATAAATACAATATTCACAAAAATGAATGTAAATATAAATACAAATACAATATTATCAAGGGCCCATGTTTGGTTCATGGTGGCTCTAACATGTATATCTCTGTCTATGCTGTTTTTTTTTGGTTTTTGGTTTGCTTGTTTTTTTCTTTTTGAGACAGGGTCTCACTCCTGTTGCCCAGACTGGAGTGTAATGATGTGATCTCAGCTCACTACAACCTCCGCCTCTGGGCTCAATTGATTCTCCTGCTTCAGCGTTCCCAGTAGCTGGGACTATAGGCCCATGCCACTATGCCCAGCTAATTTTCGTATTTTTAGTAGAGACAGGTTTTGCCATGTTGCCCAGGCTGGTCTTGAACTCCTGAGCTCAAGTGATCTGCCGTCTTTGGCCTCCCAAAGTGCTTTGGATTACAGGCTTGAGCCACCGCACCTGGCCTATGCTGTTTATTAATTAAGCTACAAGAATTCAGCAAGAAATCACTCTAAATCTGTATATAAATTGTCATTAGCAATTTGGACTTCAGTCTAATCCCTGAGAACAAGGTTATCTTTTATATCCTTTATATTCCCCGAATAATTATTAGAATGTTCTGAATACTGGGTAAAATAATAAGAATGCAAAGATTAGTTAAGGCAAGTTAATTTTTCAATTACATTTTTTGATGTGAAGTGTATTATTGGTTGTTATCATTAAAATAAAAATAAAAACATTTATGTGCACAAATGAGTCAAATGAGTACAGGCAGTAGGGTAGTTAGTTTATATCACAGAACAGAGAGACCACTCACCACAGCCTGTCACAATGACCAGAGCAGCAAAGAATCCTTTAAAACTGACCCTAGGGAAAGTTTGCTCTTAATAGTTACACATTTTCATAGACAGCTATATATTAGGTTAAATAAATAATGTTATAAAAAAAAGACACACTAGATATTAAAGTTTAAACTTCAGGAAGAAAGCATTTCTTTAGAAATAAAATTCCAAATCATCTCATCATTGAAGACATAGAGCAAGACCTCAATTAAAAGGTATAAAATCAGCCAGGCTAGTGGCTCACGCCTGTAATCCCAGCACTTTGGGAGGCTGAAGCAGGAGGATCGCTTGAGCCCAGGAATTTGAGACCAACCTCAGCAACAGTGAGACTCCGTCTTTACAAAAAATCAAAAAATTAGCCAGGTGTGGTGGCATGTGCCTGTGGTCCCAGCTACACAGGAGGCTGAGGCAAGAGGATGGTTTGAGCCCAGGAGGTCAAGGCTGTAGAGAGCTGTGATTGCACCACTGTACTCTAGCCCAGGCAACAGACACTGTACTCTAGCCCAGGCAACAGAGACTCCGTCTCAAAAAAAAAAAAAGAAAAAAAAAAGATATAAAATCTTTACCATTTTATTTTTTTCAGATGGAGTCTCACTCTGTGGCTCAGGCTGGAGTGCAGTGGCACAATCTCGGCTCACTGCAACCTCCGCTTCCCAGGTTCAAGCAATTCTCCTGCCTCAGCCTCCCAAGTAGCTGGGATTACAGGTGCCCGACACCACACCTGGCTAATTTTTATATTTTTAGTAGAAACGGGGTTTCACCATGTTGGCCAAGCTGGTCTCGAATTCCTAAGCTCAGGTGATCCACCTGCCTCGGCCTCCAAATGTGCTGGGATTACAGGCGTCAGCCACCGTGCCTGGCCAAATCTTTACCATTTTAAAAGAGAAGAAAATTTCAGTCAAGTCTTACATCTCATAATCTAAGAATAAAATGTATCAGTGATTTAGACCCCACAGCCTCACCTGTCCAGCCAGTATAAGCAGAGCAGTCATGGGGATCAGCTGTCTTCAGCCCTTCTTCCATTTGCTGCAGAAGATCTTTAATTTTGGTCTGGATCCGTCTTATGAAATTATGAATGATCTGAGATCCAAAAGAAGAGATAACTTTAACTTCACAAGAATGGGACAATGTTGCAATAAATACTTTAAAGTCTAAGTTGTACAAACATAACAGACAGAAGTTACTTTCCTTGGACCATCTCAGTGCATCATTGGTTGGAGTCTATCTTGGTTTTTATAAGGTTACTTTTTTTAATGAGATAATACCCTATTTAGACTATAACTCATAAGTAGAATCACAAAAAACAACAAACAACTTGCAGAAATCAAAGAATTAAAAAAAAAAGGAAAAATGGATGGATTTAACTATATAAACATTTCAACTTCTGTAAGATCAAGAACATCAGAAAGATGGTTTAAAAGTTAATGACAAAGGGGAAATACATAGAATATAAGATATAAATCAACAATAAACATAATACATAACTAGACCCCAAATTATTAACATCTTCATACAAAAGAAAAAACAAATGATAAGCATACACAAAAAAAGTTCAGGCCGGGCGCGGTGGCTCACGCCTGTAATCCCAGCACTTTGGGAGGCCGAGGCGGGCGGATCACGAGGTCAGGAGATCGAGACCATCCTGGCTAACACAGTGAAACCCCGTCTCTACTAAAAAACACAAAAAAATTAGCCGGGCGTGGTGGCGGGCGCCTGTAGTCCCAGCTACGCGGGAGGCTGAGGCAGGAGAATGGCGTGAACCCGGGAGGCGGAGCTTACAGTGAGCCGAGATCGCACCACTGCACTCCAGCCTGGGCGACAGAGCGAGACTCCATCTCAAAAAAAAAAAAAAAAAAAAGTTCAATCACTCAGTAACTAATGAAATGCAAATAAAAACAAGTACCATGGATTTCTTACCAGATTAAAAAATATATATATATAAAAAGAATTAAGTCCCAAGACTAAGAGCAAACAAAATAGGTATTCTTATTCATTGTTGGCAGTCTCTCCAAAGAGAAATACGCAATATTCTTAAATAATGTAGCTTAACAGTGTTGTTAAGATCTTTCCTACCTTTGCTGATTTTTTTTTTTTGAGACAGTTTTGCTCTGTCGCTCAGGCTGGAGTGCTGTGGTGTGATCTCAGTTCACTGCAACCTCCACCTCCTGGGTTCAAGAGATTCTTCTGCCTCAGCCTCCCGAGTAGCTGGGACTACAGGCGCTTGCCACCACGCCCAGCTAATTTTTGTATTTTTAGTAGAGATGGGGTGAGACAGAGTTTCGCTCGTCACCCAGGCTGGAGTGCAATGGTGCGATCTTGGCTCACTGCAACCTCTGCCTCCTGGCTTCAAGCGATTCTCCTGCCTCAGCCTCCTGAGTAACTGGGATTACAAGCACCCGCCACCACACCCGACTAATTTTTGTATTTTTAGTAGAGATGGGGTTTCACCATGTTGGCCAGGCTGGTCTTGAACACCTGACCTCAAGTGATCCACCCACCTCGGCCTCTCAAAGTGCTGGGATTATAGGCATGAGCCACTGCACCTGGCCCACCTTTGCTGATTTTTATAAATCTACTTGCTCTATTAATTGGGAGGTTTCCCCTTATGACTATGGAATTATTTCTCCCTTTAACTCTCTCTCTCTTTTTGCTTTCATATATTTGGAAGTTCTGTTATTAAGCATAGGCAAATTAATGGCTAGTACGTCTTCCTGACAAACCGACTCAGTTTCATAATGAAATGTTCTTCCGTGAGATTGTAAAGAAAATACTTTTAGGTTTCTGCACAATTAGGGCTTTGAGGGCAAATTCTACTGAAATTTGGGATTCTGGACTAAAAGTAAACCTTAGGAACTAAGGCTTGCAGCGTGTGAACTCCAGAGAAGTTTCCTCAATCCTGGATGTGCATGTTTACATTTCAAAGTGCCATGAGGCCCCAGAACCAGGAGACATTTCTGACTTGTAAAACTGAAGACAATGGGCTCATCTTTTCCATACAGATATTTATGTACATTCTGAAAAGATTAAACAAAGATGATGCTAATGAGACTCTCTCAGAAAGGGAAGGGGAGACAACTGCCTTTTCCCCTTTTATAAAAAAGCACAGACAATTTACTTTCCTTCTTTCCTTATCTACAATACTGGCTTTGCTGATGAAGGCCATCATACCCTACCTGCACTGCATTGTACCACAGATAAGAACTGGGACCCGGGAACTGCCCACTGGTTATTTGTTGTCAGGTAAATAGGAAGAAATTCCTGATTCAAAAACCTTTTGCTACACTCTGGACAAAATTAATTAACATAAGTATCAAAACTGAACACCCTCTTTACCTGCTCGCCCTAAGAGCTATTTTATGGGACATTTCACACAGTCACTAAGTTTTCAGATGCCCACTGCTTGCTTACTTGGCCATCCATTCACTTTCAACCTTTTTCTTTATATTTAAAGTCCATCTCTTGTGTAACATACAGTTAGGTCTTTGTTAATTTATTCTGATAGTCTTAGAGTCCCTCAGTGGACATAAGCGGAACCCTCTTCATTGGCAGGATGACCTAAGAGAAACTGCAGTTCAGTCAACCCCGAGTGACACCTTTTCCAGTCCCACTGTGGGACAGACCCCATTTATTCCTGCAGACTCACCTCTAGGCTGTATTTTTTAAAAACTGGAATGAATTCAACCCCCAGATCCTCAAAAACAAATGTCTAACTTTCTTGTGTAACACAGCATGGCTCCTATGCAGAAAAACATCAAATTCGCTTCCTTAGTCTTTTATAACCAAAAGCAGCATAAGGAGGACAGGGCAAAGAAAAGAAAAAGGAAGAAAAAGAAAAACATACAAACAAGAAGCACAGGCAGGCTCAACTGTTGGCTGTTCTAAAGCCCCCAGCCCCCTCCAGGTTTCCCTAAGGATACTCCTCCAAATGACTGCTACCAGTGGAGAGGGTCAGGCCACTCAAAGGCAAACGGCCCTCAATGAGATAAACGGGAAAAGCCCCACTTGACTTGTGCCCTCTGCCACAAGCTCAGCCACTGTAAATGAGGCCTGAGGACCAAAGGGCTCCCAGGACAGAATCCCAACCCCTGAAAGCCTTGAGCTGAAGGGGCTCTCTGCTCCAGTTGAAAACAGCTCACCTTAAGTGGTGACTTGAAGAGATGGGAAAAATTCGTCCTATACCATGTAGGTCTGAGATGTCAAGGCTCTCCCTGACTGATGGAGATAAAGGATAAAGGAAAGTAGTAAAGGGACTGGCCCTGCACCTTGCAATGGCTGGATGGTTCACAAGTCCTCCTGTAAAGCTTAACTCTTTCCTCTCCATTCCTTTCTTTAACAGAGTCTCTCTGTTGCCCAGGCTGGAATGCAGTGGCACCATCTTGGCTCACTGCAGCCTCTGCCTCCCAGGTTCAAGCCATTCTCGTGCCTCAGCCTCCCAAGTAGCTGGGATTACAGGCATGCACCACCACACCTGGCTAATTTTTGTATTTTTAGTAGAGACAGAGTTTTACCCTGTTGGCCAGCCTGGTCTCAAACTCATGGCCTCAAGTGATCCACCTGCCTCCGCCTCCCAAAGGGCTGGGATTACAGATGTGAGCCACAGTGCCCGGCCCATTCCTTTCTTCTATTTTCTTCTTTTTCTGTTCAATCCAGGGGTCGAGCCTTAAAAGAGAAAAAGTCTCTAACATCCTAACCCCTGATTTTGTCATTTTCTTTAAAACTCCAGCTGGTTACATATTATGGCCCGTTTTTGTGCACATTTTAAACTGATAGACAAGCTACAAGAGAAATTCAGAGCTCAAATGGTTAACCTACAATGTAGAGTTATGTAGAATTTTCTAAAGCTCTCTTCCCCTCTTTCTTCCTAACTGCTTTAAATCTGTTGTTACCAAGTTGCTGGTGCTAAGACTCATTATTTATGGTGCAACTAATATGTAAACGTTGAAAACTCATTTAAAGTTAAAGAAGAAAAGGAAAAGAGGTATTTTTAGTAAGGAAGGGTATAATAAGAAATTTTACAGAAAAAAATCTTCTATGGTAAATTATTATCTTAAAGTAAGGTTGTTTTTTAAAAAGGATATTTAGAACAAGTCAAAGTCCAAGTATGTCATAAACGGTCTGTGTAAGTCATGAAAAGGTTCATGAAGGAGAATTTATAAAAGGAATTTTGTATGTAATTAAGTTGGTTATAATTTTAAAAAATTATTTAGGATAGTCTTTGTAACATTAATCCTCTATGTTAAAACAAGGTTTTCTTAAGGTATTAATCTGCTCTTAATAAAACTGCAAAAAGTTTTACTCAGAATTTTATAAAAGTTTCTAAAAAAAAAAAAAACCAAAAAAAACTCAGAAGCATATATCAGAAGTTCAACGTTTGCTGTGTCCCAGTTTGCTGTGTCCCACTGCGTTCAGCTTTTTCTCCCCTGGAGGAGGCCTAGGATAGTAACTCTCTTCTGCAGTCTTTGTCAGTTCCTGTAACTTTTTCCACCAGTTCTGTTATTGTGGCCTAGTGCTAAAACGTTTCTTTTTGAAGGTCAACATTAACCAATGTTTTCCTCTAACATAACTTAAATCTGTACTCCTGGATTTTCTTGACATTTATCTAAATTCTCAATGTAATCAAAAACGTCTCACACTGTTCCTATGAGTCATGTGTTCCCCTGCTATACTCATAACCTCCTAACCCTAAACACACTCTTCCTGTGTCTAATTAAATTCAAACACTTTTTCATCAAGTTTAACTTCCAGGTTAACTAAATGGACACCCCTCCAAAAAAAGTCACACTGCAAAAGGTTTTTCTTTGCGTTTTTGGTAACTGGCTTTAAAAAAAACCCAAACTTTTATCTTCTAGAGTTCATCAGTTTCACCTTCAAATGATGCTGCAAATTGCATAACAATCTCTCCCCAGTAATGCCTGCTACCTTTACGAATTTCCCTGGGATTCAGCTGAACACCAGTTTCACCCTAACATAATCCCCATCTCTAACAAGTCCCTTTCTCCAGCAAGGTCCAATATCCTACATTCCACAATCCAAAACAGTAACCCACGTAACTTCTCAACCAACTAACAATCCTAGTAGGGCCAGCTCTATGACCTAGTCAGCAGGAAGCAGCTGGAAGATGATACCTTCACCCACATGCCAAAGATCTGTCACTGTTGCTCTGTCATGGGGGAAATGTGGAGTCCTAATTGGGGAAAAGAAGTCATGCTGGTAGGAGCAGTGGGAAGCAAAAAAAAGCCGGATAAGCTAAAGTCCGTCTTTCTTCAGGGTCCAGAACATGTAGCCCTCCTGTGCCCAACTTACGACCAGACACCTACAACTTAGCTCACAGCAGCCTTGGCATTACTGGTACTGCACAAAGCTCTCCAGCACACCCCACACCACCATTCTGTAAAACCAATCCCAGCAAGCCTTTGTTTCCATACAGTCATGTTGCGGGAAGTCAGGGACCCCCAAACAGAGGGACCGGCTGAAGCCATGAGAGAAGAATGTGGATTGTGAAGATTTAATGGACATTTATTAGTTCCCCAAATTAATACTTTTCTAATTTCTTATGCCTGTCTTTACTGCAACCTCTAAACATAAATTGTAAAGACTTCATGGACACTTATCACTTCCCCAATCAATATCCTTGTGATTTCCTATGCCTGTCTTTGCTTTAATCTCTTAATCCTGTCAGCCGAGAAGGATGTATATCATCTCAGGACCCTGTAATAATTGTGTTAACTACACAAATTGTACAGCATGTGTGTTTGGGCAATATGAAATGCGGGCACCCTGAAAAAAGAACAGGATAACAGCAATTGTTCAGGGAATAAGAGAGATAACCTTAAACTCTGACCGCCAGTGAGCCGGGCAGAACAGAGCCACATTTCTCTTCTTTCAAAAGCAAATGGGAGAAATATCGCTGAATTCTTTTTCTCAGCATGGAATGTCCCTGAGAAAGAGAATGCGCACCTAGGGGTAGGTCTCTGAACTGGCCCCCACAAGGCGTACCTGTCTCTTATGGTCGAGATTGCAGAGGTGAAATAAACTCCAGTCTCCCATAGCGCTCCCAGGCTTATTAGGAAGAGGAAATTCCCACCTAATAAACTTTGGTCAGACCGGTTGATCTCAAAACCCTGTCTCCTGATAAGATGTTATCAATGACAATGGTGCCCGAAACTTCATTAGCAATTTTAATTTCGCCTCCATCCTGTGGTCCTGTGATCTCGCCCTGCCTCCACTTGCCTTGTGATATTCTATTACCTTGTTAAGTACTTGATGTCTGTCACCCACACCTATTCGTATACCCCCTCCCCTTTTGAAACTCCCTAATAAAAACTTGCTGGTTTTTGTGGCTTGTGGGGCATCACGGATCCTACCAATGTGTGATGTCTCCCCCGGACGCCCAGCTTTAAAATTTCTTTTGTACTCTGTCCTTTTATTTCTAAAGCCAGTCGACGCTTAGGAAAATAGAAAAGAACCTACATGATTATCGGGGCAGGTCCCCTGATACAGTCAGCTTCTCTTCCACTGGCCTGTCACCTCCTTGCAACATCTTTTCCTTCTTTCTCTAATAAATCTGCCTTTCTGTACTCAACAACTGTCTTGGTAAATTCTTGCACCCCCACACCACCAGCCCAGAAAGTCGCCACTCACCCACGACAGTTTTCATCAGGTATCACCTCTGTTACTTTTTTTTTCAGACGGGGTTTCACTCCTGTCACCCAGGCTGGAGTGCAATGGCATGATCTTGGCTCACTGCAACGTCTGCCTCACAGAGTCAAGCGATTCTCCTGCCTTAGCGTCCCAAGTAACTGGGACTACAGGTGTGCACCACCACAACTGGCTAATTTTTGTATTTTGTGTAGAGACAGGGTTTTGCTATGTTGCCCAGGCTGGTCTCAAACTCCTGGGCTCAAGCAATCCTCCCACCTCTGCCCCACAAAGTGCTGGGATTACAAGCATGAGCCATCATGCCCAGTCTGCTGTAACAAATTATTTTACATGGTGGTGGTGATGATGGTAGTGTTTTAATCTTAAAATGTCTTTATTTGCCTTCATTCTTGAAGGATATTTTCACTGAAAAAAGAATTCTGGATACTAGTTTCTTTCAGGACTTACATGTTATTTCATTCTCCTCTGTCTCCATGATTTCTAACGAAAAATCAGCCGTCAGTAAAATTCCCTATATATAATGTGTTGTTTTCCTCTGCTCCTACCAAGATGTGCTCTTTACCTTTGTCTTGATTTGGGCTTCTTTGTGTTTATTCCTCTTGGTGTTTTGAGGGGCATTCTGCATCTATAAATTTCTTTTTTTTTAATTAATTATTTTTTTAGAGACAGAGTCTTGCTCTGTCGTCCAGGCTGGAGTGCAGTGGCGTGATCTTGACTCACTGCAAGCTCCGCCTCCCAGGTTCACGCCATTCTCCTGCCTCAGCCCCCCAAGTAGCTGGGACTACAGGTGCCCGCCACCACACCCGGCTAATTTTTGTATGTTTAGTAGAGACGGGGTTTCACCGTGTTAGCCAGGATGATCTCGATCTCCTGACCTCGTGATCCACCCGCCTCGGCCTCCCAAAGTGCTGGGATTACAGGCGTGAGCCACTGCACCCGGCCCTGCATCTATAAATTTCTATCTTTCATTCAATGTGCAAAATTCTCAACTATTATTTGTTCAAATACTTTTTCTGTCCCACTCTTCCTCTGCTTCCCTTCTATGATTCCAATTACCAACAGCTGGATGGTTTGATGTAATTTAACAGGTCCCTAAATCCCTGCCTTTCTTTTTCCCTTCATTTTTTTTTTCTGTTTTGCACACTGGATAATTTCTATTGATCTATTTTCAAGTTCACTAATTACTAATTCTCTTCCCTCTGTCTTGAAACCACTCCTGCAAAAATTATAACAGTGAAAAAATCATGACAGTGAAAGAGATCTGACCTAAGGGACTCTATCTTGCTTCTAACCTCCAAGCTGTCCTTGTTTATTCCTGGGTGTTGGCTGAATTAACTTTGAGAGGAATTTATTTTATTACACATATATATATAGAGAGAGACGAAGTCTCACTCTCTTGCCCAGTATGGAGTGCAGTGGCATTATCTGGGCTTACTGCACACTCTGCCTCCCAGGTTCAAGCGATTCTCCTGCCTCAGCTTCCCCAGTAGCTGGGATTACAGGTGCATGCCCCTATTATAGGAGTTATTCAGAAATTATTTTAGGCGATAGGATAAGGGGTCTTTGGCAAGCTGTTTTTTTCTTGTAATAAAAGCAGCTCCAGAAATGTTTATTTTCTAGCAGAAAAACGGCTTGAAGGGCTAGGCTAGCAAGTACTGATATGCTAATGTGGATTAAAAACTAGATCTGCCCAACATGGCCACCCCCAGATATCTCCACCTGTGCAGGACATCATAGTGGCCCACATTTGCATATTAAAAGGCTAGGGTGGGAGGGCCAATTACTTTGAGGGCTATGTGAATGACATACATGGTCAAACCAATCCCCTGGGCCCTATGTAAATCAGATACTGCCTCCTCCAGCCTCCCAATATAACTGACCATTCCTCCTCATCCACCACACATGGGGTTTTCTCTCTCTGCTTGGAGCCTCCCTCCCTCTGCCTCTGTAAGGAGGAGCTTCTTCCTTCCTTCTTGCCTATTAAACTCTCTGCTCCTTAAAACCACTCCACATATGTCTGTGTCATGTTATCTATATCAGCGTGAGACAAAGGACCCTGGTGTTCCTCCAGTCATCAGAGCTGTATCACCACCACGTCCCACTAATTTTTTGTATTTTTAGTAGAGACGGGGTTTTGCCATGTTGGCCAGGCTGGTCTGGAACTCCTGACCTCAAGTGATCCACCCACCTTGGCCTCCCAAAGTGCTGGGATTACAGGCGTGAGCCACCATGCTGGCCAAGAGGAATTTAATTTACGGTTTAACTTTGAAACAAAGATAACAGCCCTTTCCCAAAACAAACTCCCTTCTTGCCTGGGGACCAGAATGCCTTTTAAGACTAACAAATTAGCCACAAGATTAGAAATTATGGTGTAGGAGTCATGCAACCACAGGCCACAAGATTCCAAACCTCCCCAATTGCTCTTCAGGATAACATCACTACTGTAAAACCTAAGAATGGTGCTTGAGATATATTTTCAGACCCTGCCTTCTGATGCACCAGCTGGTGCCATCCAGCCTGGTAACAGGGCTCAACCAGTTCTGTGATCCCACCCAGGAACAGAAGACAGCAAGAAGAACCCACTGTGACCCCTAAGATTTCATCTAGGATCCGACCAATCAGCACTCCCACTCCCTTGTCCCCTCCCACCAAATTATCCTTTAAAAACCTCATTCCAAGTTTTCAGAGACACTGATTTGAGTAAAAAAACTCCGGTCTCCAGTTCAGCTGGCTTTGTGTGAATACAAATTGTGATTCCCGTCTTGATAAGGCAGCTCTGTGTGGGCAGCGGGCAAGCAGAACTCACAGGACACTGACAGTCTTCTCCACTCCCCTGCTAAGGCCATGCAGTAACTTTTAAATGCCATATATTGTATTTATCAGTTCTAAAATATCCATGAGACTCTTTTTTTAATGGTTTTTACTTCCCTACTGAGATTTCCTCATTTTTCATGAATTGAAAGCATATTTTGTTTTATTTCATGGAGGAGGGTTATAGCAGTCAGTTTAAAATCCTTGCATACTAGTTTCACTATCTGGTTCTTTTCAGGATTGGACCCAGTTAATGTTCTTTTCTTTTGAAAATGTGTCTTTTATGTAGAAAAGCAGAATATGCCTCCTCAAAATCATTCATTTTGACATAAGGATGAATTTGAACTGAGAAGTAGATGCCAGAATAGCTCTCTCCCCTCCCGCACCTACCTAAAAGCAGGACTTAAAAACGGTGTCCCTCCTTCCCTCCCAACCAGCGAAGAAATCTCTGGAAGGCATCAGCCTGGAGAAGGCACCAGAGAAATCTACATCACAAACCTCATTTGTTTGCCATTCTATGATTTGCATCCCAGACACTCAAAGTCCCTGTCCTTTGTCTTGTCACTGCTCTAAAAACGCATTGCTCTTTGCTGAAGATGAGATATAAGCTGGGTTTGTTAAGCCATCTGTGTGAGATACACTCATTCCCTGGGTACGTCCCATGTATATATGAAATACACACATTAAAACACTTATTTGTTTTTCTCTTGTTAATTTGTCTTTTGTTACAGGGGTCTGTCCCAGCTAAAAACTCCGAGGGGTAAGAGGAAAACCTATTTTTCTCTCTCACACTATGTTCCTGGTTCTACAGATAGCAGGTAACTTTGCCCTGCATCTGGAATGTTAATTTGTACACTGTTTTCTTGCTTGTATTGAATTGCAAATTCTGTTTCTGGGGCAGCAGCTCTCCTCTCAATTTCTATCTTTCGTCTTTAGCTAAGCTTCTTTGGGTCTGTTCCAGACACGCATTGTTCAGAATTTGATTGGATACGTACACAGACAAGATTTTTGGATCCCTCCTCTGGCTCATCCCTTTTCCTCATTATCTCATCAGCCTGTTATCCCATCTTAGATTTCTGGTTCCCGGAAAATGTGATTTTGCCATAGGCAACCCCTGCCGCCACTGAGTGCACCATGTAAATGAAACTTAGCTCCAGGATAAAAGACGTGGACACAGAAACTTCCTTCACAGGGAATGCACTATAACATACCCTACAGAAATTCACTCCTCCGCCCAGATATGGTGGCTCATGCCTGTAATCCCAGCACTTTGGGAAACCAGGGTGGGTAGAACACCTGAGGTCAGGAGTTCAGGACCAGCCTGGCCAACATGGTGAAACCCCATCTCCACTAAAAACACAAAATTAGCCAGGCGTGGTGGCACACGCGTGTAATCCCAGCCACTGGGGAGGCTGAGGCAGGAGAATCGCTTGAACCCAGGAGGCAGAGCTTGCAGTGAGCTGAGATGGCACCACTGCAATCCAGCCTGGGCGAAAAAGAGCAAAACACCATCTCAAAAAAAAAAAAAAAAAAGAAATTCACTCCTCCTCTGATCATGCACTGTAACATACTCTATAGAACCTCCCTCCTCCTCCAATCATACACTGTAACACGCTCTACAGAACCTCCCTCCTTCTCCAATCACGCACTGTAACACGCTCTACAGAACCTCCCTCTTCCTCCAATCACACACTGTAATGCACTCTACAGAACCTCCCTCCTCCTCCAATTACTCACTGTAACGCACTCTATAGAACCTCCCTCCTCCTCCAATCACGCACTGTAACATATTCGATAGAATCTGGACATAATACAAAAAACCAATTACACTGCAGTCTGCTTAGTCTCCAGTGCCTTTGAGTAGTTGCTTTTTATATTATATACAAGTTTTATAGTTGTTTTATACAGGGAGTCCTCCACCAGGGTCTTAGCCCATCATTAAAGTATAAATCCCCTAAAACACCTTTTAAGTTAAAAAAAAAAAAAACAATGCAGTATATGTACCTTCTTTTGTTGCACTCCAGCTGCATATTATATACCATAAAACCTCCATCCTTGTCTACATTTTTAAGTCATTGAAAGTAATAGCTAAGCATTCAGAGATGGGCAAATCTATTTTGAGACCAACCAATTGTGCCAAAGAGGATTTCAACGTGCATATTTACAGGCATATATTTTTGCTAAAAGTACTGAATACGACTTTCCCCTTTGACATTATATTTATTAGTTGCCCAAGACTAAAATAGGTAGGCAAGACAATGAATTCTATTAAGTGACTAAAACATACCATTAGCTTTCAAAATTGTATCTTTTCATTAAATGTTATTCAAGGTAATAAGTAAATTACGATAATTCCTACTCAACCATGGTGGTAAAATACCTTCCCTTATAGCGAAAGCTGAGTTAGAAATCTAAGGCCAAGGAGAGCTTCATGAAAATCTTCATAATTATGCTCACTTAAATGATAAAGATGGCACACCAAAAAACACAGTATCAATATTTCACCCACCTTAAAGGTGATATTATGAGTTAACTGGACAAACACATTCACTTAACAATCTTTACTTACTAGCAATGCTTTCTGGATTTGCCATTCCCTATTGTTTTGGTGATGTGCTTGTAAATGTATTTAACTTTGCTTCTGTTACTGAATGCACCAAAAAGAGTAACTGTCTGGTTCTCCATCCAACTTCTTAAAAACTTTTTGACTCCATGTTAGTAACTTAGGCCTCCTGTGTCTTGACCTTTGGTTTCTACTGTAATCAAAGAGATGCAGAATCATTTGCATGAGAAGGAATAAATAGGGGATACCTCTTTAATACCTGCAGTGGCAGAACCCATAAGGTAGTTCCTAGCCCGTATCTAGTCCCCACACCCTTCCTGCTTGTTAACAGAAATCTGATTATATCCAGAATAGTAGGGCATCCAGCCCCAGAAGAGACACTTGATTTTCCAGGCCCCGTTATGCACAAGGGTGGCCACATGACACAGTTCTGACCCATGAGACCTAAATGAAAGTCTTCTAGGAGGTTCTGGGAGGTTCTTATTTTTCATGATAAAAAAGACAGAACTTCCCTAATTTTTCTCCCCTTCTGCCTGCTGATTAAAGTACGTTTAAGTTGAGTTTTCCAGGCCTAATGCACACTCACATGCCGTCTTAGCTCTATCATGGTAACCTAATTCCAAAGCATATGCTACTAACCCTTCATTCCTCATAAATGATACTGGAGTTTTGTTTTGTTTTGTGTTTTTTGAGACGTAGTCTCGCTCTGTCACCCAGGCTGGAGTGCAGTGGCGTGATCTTGGTTCACTGCAAGCTCCACCTCCTGGCTTCACACCATTCTCCTGCCTTCACACCATTCTCCTGCCTCAGCTTCCCGAGTAGCTGGGACTACAGGCGCCTGCAACCAGGCTGGCTAATTTTTTGTATTTTTAGTAGAGACAGGGTTTCACCGTGTTAGCCAGGATGGTCTCGATCTCCTGACCTCGTGATCCGCCTGCCTCGGCCTCCCAAAGTCCTGGGATTACAGGCGTGAGCCACCGCGCCCAGCCTACTGGAGTATATTTTTAAGACTTGTGATTGCTTCCTCCAGTTCCCTTTAATATTTGCCAGAATTTAATTGCAAAAACCTTTCATTTCTCTGCCCTTTGCCATAAGGTACTTTTTATGGTTCCCCTTTTCCTATTTCTCATAAAAGAGGATTCTAATTTGTTTATACTGGAACCAAATTCTCATGTACAAAGAAAATTTATTATGCTGTAATTCTATTTACATTTGATGGAGATTACTGTACCAGGAGAAATTTTAACTGGTTTGTCTCACTAAATAATGGTATTTTATTTACATACACACACACACACACACACACGTATACATATATATACACATATACATATATACATGTACATATATATACGCACACACACTTTTTCCTTTTTTTTGAGACTGAGTCTCACTCTGTCGCCCAGACTAGAGTGCAGTGGTGTGATCTCAGCTCACTGCAACCTCCTACCTCCTGGGTTCAAGTGATTCTTATGCCTCAGCCTCCCGGGTAGCTAGGATTATAGGCATGCGCCACCATGTCCGGCTAATTTTTGTATTTTTAGTAGAGACAGGGTTTCCCCATGTTGGCCAGAATGGTCTTGAACTCCTGGCCTCAAGTGATCCACCCACCTCAGCCTCCTAAAGTGCTAGGATTATAGGCATGAGCCACTGCACCTGGCAATAATGGTATTATAAAGATAACTAACAATTACTGAGCACTTACTATGTACCTGGCACTAAGTGCTTTACGTATTTCAATTAATCGTCACATCATTCAGTTTTTTAGGTAAGAAAACCAAGGCTTACTTGAGGTCTTATGACAATTGAGAGATAAAGCTCTTGAAACTCTGACTAGACTGTCTACTTCTAAAGTTCCTGGGCTGTGCATTCTCTGCTTACTGCAAAATTTTTTGCTTGATTCTATATTTACATTTTACCTTTGGATGTTCAGGACTTACAGCCTTCACTCAGTCATACCATATGAATAGAAATATGTACCTGCCACATAGCCCAGAAACAGCAGGAGCAGTTAAAGAATTTTGGAGGTTTTATCTCTTGATTCTGAGATTGATTTTTAGCAATTACATTGCAATCGGGAAGAAAATGTTCTTTTCCTACATGGTGAGTAGGCAATTTTCCCAAACAAGAATGCCCAAGTGTATTATAAAGCAGAAATATATTGGAGTAGATATTAATCACTGGTTGTAAAACCCCTTGTGAGGTGTCACTGCATCTATTATTCCAAATGATACACAAGGCACATTTATGGCAAGATTTATTTCTCTTCCTCACAATGTTTTCATGGTAATAAATCTTAGAATCAAATAAAAAAGCTTTTTTCCTGGGGACGGGAGGTTGGGAAGACGAGACAGAAGAGGAGGGGGAAGGGGGAATAGGGGAAGGAGACAGAAAGAAGAAGAAAAAGATAAACAGATGGCAGACAGACACTGGGTGATACTGAAGCATACAAATTACACCAGTTATATTCTTGAAAAACGTTTCAAGAAATTAAATTCCTTTTTATTCATGATATTTTTTCCATGTACATCACAGGAATAATTGAGGGGTATAATTTATTTCCTAATTTGTCATTTGCTAGAACATATACACATATTCTGTACCTCTCTGCCTCAACTCTAGATTTTAGAGAAGGTATGGGTTCAGTATGTTCATAAGCTACATTTCATATTGCATATGGAAAAAATAAAGGGTAGATTTTATAAATTTTTACAATTTTACAAATATTTTAGATGATATAATCAACACTCTAACAACTGTTACTGAAGATAAAGGATGAAATTTCTTTATCTTGGCATGAAGCGTAGCAAACATAATATAATTGGCATATTAACAACTTCATATATGATAAAATACCCAGCACTATATATATTTTTCTAACTTTCAGATACCTTTGAAATAGGTGAGGAAGAAAGAAATAAAATGTAGATGATTAGCAAATTTTGAGTATAATATTAGTTATTCTTTTGAAAAACAAATAATGCTTTCCATGTGCCAGGCACTGTTATTGGGACACAAAGCTGAATAAGACTGGGTACTCCCCAAAATGTTCCTGGTCTAATGAGACAAACGTAAAAATAATTATGATTGCATATAATAAATGCCTGACTAGCAATATCAAATATGGTATACTCAAGAAAATATATAAATGTATGTAGACTGATATCCGAAGACAATCTTACTTCACCCTTGTGGAAGGCATTCAGGAGTTTACTGGGATTGTTATCAGATGCCCACTCACAGAGGCAGGCAAGTGTGTAGCTGGGGAATTCAGAAGGGTGGAGAGGGGATGGAAAGGCATCGATGACCACTGTGAGCCCGTCAGGGGGCTTCCTGGTGGACCTAGGAGACCCTTTCTTTGATGAGGGAGTACCGTCAGTGGGGCAATGTGTGGACTAGAAGGCCCTGAAAGCTTGCTCCTCAATGGGCTAAAAGCTGAGGAGCTTGCTTTGCAGGGCTGTCCATGCGGAGTCTGGTGGATCCTGAGCCCCATGAAAGGAATGCACTGACTCTGTCTAAGACTGTTGCTGCCCTTCACTACTATCATAAAAACTCTACAGTAAAGCTACAACTATTACCCCCATTTTACAAATGAGAACTATGAAGCACAGGAGAGAGGTAAAGTAACTTACCAAAAGTGATATCAACAGTAAGGGGCAGACTGGAGTTTAAACCCAGGCAGCCACTCCAGACTACAAGCACTAGAAACCTTTATGGTAGGCAGAATGGCCCCCAAAGATGTCCTGGAACCTGAAACAGGTCACAGACCACAAAATAGGGAGAGGATGCTGGATTATCCAAGCGGGGCCCATCTAATCCCATGAGCCCATAAAAGGAGAGAAACTTCTCCTATTTAAGTCAGAAATATAGGGCAGAAGGTGAAATCAGAGAGATGTGAAGTGTGAGAGTGACTTGATCTGCGGCTGCTGTAAGGACCATGTGGAAAGCATGGGCAGGGCTCAGGTGGCATTGAGGAGCTAAGGCCAGCCAGCAGGGAAGTGGGGAACACTCCAGCAGCCACAGTGAACTGGATTTGGCCAACAGCTTCAATGAGCTGGGAAACAGATTCACCCTCAGGGCCTCCAGGAGAGAAGGCAGCCTTGAAGATGCTTTGACTTTGGCCTTATGAAATTCTAAGCAGAGGAGCCAGCAGAGCCAGACTGTACCTGGACTTCTGACTTCATTTTAAAGATGATAAATAAATAGGTGCTGCTTTAAACTGCAAAATTGGTGGTATTTATGGCAACAACGGAAAAATACAACTTTCTTAGCTAATCCTTCAAGTGGCTTTGGAATGGCCAAGCAACAGAGTCTGCCTGGGCAACTCTGAGGAAGACCCTGGAGGAAGAAGCCTCTCACAGGCGTCTCAGAGAAAGACAGGAGCTCGCTGTGTGAAAAGCAGGGGGGCATTCTGTGCTGAAGGACAGAGATGGTATTTAAAATGCATTTAGGAGAATGCCATGGGCATTCCTGAGGAAACAAGTCATTCCATCTGAAAACTACGGAATATGCAATCATTCTCTTTCTAAAATACTTGTGTTCTTCTGTATTTTTTATGATAAATTTAGTGCTAGTTTGAGGAAATACAACTGCTATACATAAAAATACAGAAAACTTTAAAGATTTGACAATTAACTTGTAAAAAATTATGATGATCTTAACTACAAATAGAGGAGAGTGAAAAGTCTAAAAACAAGTGTTCAACATGCACATAATAAATAGCTCCTAAGAAGAAAAAGGTACGTTTTGAATAGTTATGCATAAATTGAACATTTAGGTATGAATAATACTTGAAATGCATCAGGAGAGCTTAATAAAATCATCTACTACACTCCTAATAAATGGGGTATTTGAGACACTTAATCTAACTTAATCCTCTTGATAATCCTAAAGCAGCATTATCATCATGGTACACATGCAGAAACTGAAGCTAAGAGAAAATAACTTGCCTACATTTTAAAGATGATAAAAATAGCTTTTTGACTCACATTTTACATATGTGATGATGTGCAAACTTTGCAAACTGTATACCATAAAGTAATTCTTTTCTTAGGAAAGATTTTAACAAACCCTTCTGCTGAGGGGTATGGGTTGGGGAAGTGCATTTCCTAATTCAGCTCTCCTAGGCTAATTCACTTGTAATGTTAGACACATGAAGATGTGATGTGATGTTACATACCTAGCAAGAGTGTGGGCTTGCTTTGTTCCATTTTGCAAACAAAATGAATAAAACAAAAGTCCCCCAATCCTTACCTCAAAGCTAATTACTACATGGGAAAAGCAGGCAGGGGTGGGGAAGCTATATCTTCTGACAGTAAAGAATTAGATGGTAGTGAAAACATCTACCTTCACTAGTGGTATTTTCAATAAACAGGTCCTTACCTAAACTGACTCTATCAAGATAACGCTATTTTGCAGAGGTGTTTGAAAATAGTTCATTCTGCTAAAAATAGTCATAGATTTACATAATCTGGTCTGCTTCTGTTTTCTTATTTCAAACTCAGTAATATAACAGAAAATATTCTAGATTACATATCCTAAGCACACACACCTCAATCCAATTTTGATGTGTATCATAAAAATTCATCTGCTATGTATGCTTCGTAGGGGATATATGGCATAACCACAAGGAAGTTTACAATTGCAATAAAGAACCAAGGACAAACTGTTAAGTGACAATGTATTAATAAACTGCAAACAAGGGCTCAAAACATATGTAATTACAGTTCAAGAGACAAGGAACCCATGGAGATAGCAGGATTTTGTGGTCAAATTATCTTTAATTATGGAAAGCTCTCAGTGAAAAGTTAGGTTTCATTTTGATTAAACAATTGCTGCATGGTACTAACTAAAATCTATAAAAGACAGGAACATTTTCTGAAAAAGAAACTCGGTTTGTTATATGCAATTCTATTCAAGCAAAATTTGCTCAAAACCTAGTCTGGCCCTAGCCAACTGCTAGTTGTCCTTACAAAGCACACTCCTCACCCAGAACTCCCAAAGCATATTACATAGTTCTTGACTTACAGTAGCCTGGAATGTCATCTAAGAGTCCAAGATGTAACATTCTAGATACAGAATAGCTTTTAAAATACAAAATTGTATCATTAAATAAAATGCAAAAAATGCCTCTCATAAAAAAATTTTTTTAATTTCCATAGATTTATTCAGTCAACAAACATTTACTACCTACTGCGTTCTTATTTCAGTATCAAGCAGTGAGGATGTTTAAAAATAACTCCCTGGGTGCAATGGCTTGCACCTGTAATCCCAACACTTTGGGAAGCTGAGGCAGGACAGGAGAATTGCTTGGGCCCAGGAATTCAGGACTAGCCTGGGCAACATGGCAGGACCCCATCTCCACACACAAAAAATTTAAAAATTAGCTGGGTGTGGTGGAGTACACCTGCAGTCCCAGCTACTTGGGAGGCTGAGGTGGGAGGATCTCTTGAGCCTGGGAGGTCAAGGCTGCAGTGAGCTATGATTGTGCCAGTGTGGTCCAGTCTGGGAAACAGAATGAGACCCTGTCTCAAATAAATAAATAAATAAATAAATAAATAAATATTTAAAAAATTAAAAAATAATAACTCAAGTATGTTCAAGAAAAAATTCCTGTTCTCAGAAAGCAGTAAAGTTAAGTGGGAAAAAGAAATAGAAATGAATTATAGTAAGCCCTTGGTAATCATGAATTAAGTGTTCAGAGCTCCTGTTTGAAGTTTCAAGCATAAACTTACGAATCTGGAGACCCAGGCTATGATAGATGACAATTTTCAATCTTGCTGAGGCCCAAAGGTGCACAGCATGAGCTGGTAGGTTCTACTGTGGGTAGAATTCCCAACCTCCATATTTCCAAGTGGTTTGGTTATTCCTTATCATCTCACCACCATCAACAGGAGTTCCATGCCCTTTCAGAGATGATGAGAGGAAGAATGTATGTGTATGGAATTCAGAAATCTGGAAACTATTGGCAATCTGAGGATATAGCCATATAAATATTGTACATCTAACCATATTTTCCTTAGGAAAAAAAGGAGACAATAAGCATTTCTTTAAAGAGCAAAAAAAGTAGGTTTTTTTTCTGTATTCCACTGAAAATATAAAATGTAAACAAATTTTTCATTATCACATTTTATACTCTAATACAAATAAGCTATGTCTATAATAATGCTAATAGCTATCATTAACTCAACTCTTACTATTCACCTATGTATCAGTAACTATGTGTACCTAGGTACTAACTGTACTCAGCACCGTTCTGAATGTTTTAAATGTATTAACCTAATTAGCCATTATAACAATCCAGTGAGGAGGGGGTGGTTATATTACATCTACATTATTAAAAGCTTTAGCAAATACGTTATATTACAACTATGTTATATTAAGAACCTCAGTTAGCCTTTCAATTTAACCATTTACATCAAGTTGATGAGGTAAGAAAACCAAGGTTCAGTGTGTGGTTAAATAACTTGCTCAAAGTCTACAAGTCATAAATGGCAGAAAAGTAGGAGTCAAACACAAGACTATTAAAACTGTTACCTGCTCTATGCTACAATTTATTTCCAAAAGATGGAAAATGCTCATGTATAATATCTTCTTAGTTCCCTCTCCATAATCTTACCATTACCCTTCCACGTCAATATCTTTCCACATCAGGAACTGAAAACTGGCTGGAGGTTAATTAAGTTCATATTAAAAGAAAATTTAATAAAGCTACATGTAGAACAGTTTTCCTCAATGCTTCTCAAATTTATGAGTACTCTGGCATGAGGATCTTGTTAAAATGCAGACTGTGGTTCCTTGGGTTTGGAGTGGGATCTGCATTTCTAACAATCTTTGAGGAACTGCTTATGATTTAGGTCCACAAACCTCACTCTGAGAAGTTGTAGAGTATATTACCCCACCTTCCACCTGACACACACACACACACACAATTTAGTTCATTTTGAATAAAGAGAAAAAAATTACATTTCTCTGGGTATTAGGGTAGTACTGATTTCCTTATGCTTCCATGATATATTATGAGGTTAAACAAATTTTAAAGCTTCAAAACAAAAATATGGAAAATTAAATAATTATAAACTGAAGCATTTCCAATAGCTTAAGATTGTATCAAATTACAGACAAGTTTTCCTGATTTTTTTCTGTGGAAAAAGTTGTAAAGTCCTTTGGATTGACCAGAAACTATAAAACTCCTACAAGAGAACATGGGGAAAAGCTCCTGGACACCGGCCATAGCAATAATTTTTTGGTATGACACCAAAAGCTCATGGCACAAAAGCAGAAATAAACAAATATTACTATATCAAATTAAAAAGCTTCTGCACAGCAAAGGAAACAATTCTTAAAATGAAACAGCAGCATATGAGCTGGGAAAAATTCCTTGAGCCCAGAAGTTTGAGACCAGCCTGGGCAACATGGTAAAACCCTGTCTCTACAAAAAATACAAAAACTAGTTGGGCATGGTGGTACCTGTCTGTGGTCCCAGCTACTCAGGCAGCTGTGGTGGGAGGATAATTTGAGCTCGGGAGGGAGCCACAATCATGCCACTGCATTCCAGCCTACAACAGAGTGAGACCCTGTCTCGAAAAAAAACAAAACAAAACCCAAAACTATACAGAGATAGAGAACAAAACAGTTATTACCGGAGGCAGTGGGTTGAAGGAAGGAGAGGAAATGGTCAGAGGATACAAAATGGAAGATATGCAGGACAAACAAGTCTAGAGCTCTAAGGCACAACATGAAAACTACAGGTAATAAAAATGCACTGGATGTGGGATTCACGCTAAGTGAATAGATTTCAGCAGCTCTGGCCACAGAAAAAACAATGGGTAATTATGTGACATTGGGAATATATTAATTTGCCTCTCTATAGAAACCATTTTACTACCTATATGTATCACATAACACCATGTGGTATACCTTAAATATACAATTTTAAATTTCATTTTAAAAGAATCCTTCCAATCCATCAAGTCCTTCAGCATCAACTCCAATCACTGTCTTCGGCCTCAATACTCCCCAGTGCCATTCACGCTCCCTCTTCTCCAGTCATGCCGTACTCCTTGATATTCTCATAATGTGGTATCCCTTAAGTCCTTGCTCATGGAGTTCCCTAACTGAGCCTAGAAAACCCCCACTTAATCTTTCAAGGACCATGAAAGTATCATTTTAGTCTAAAAAGCCTTCCCTGATGCGAATGGGCAGAATTAACACGTCTTCTTTCTTCTCTTGTGCCCCCAAGATATTCTTTACATATTGTCACTTACTGTAATACTCATTGCAGGGTTCTGGAGGCTACACCTAGCAATGGTGCAGTATCACAGCAATTTCTCTCCCAACCAATGAGGTATGGCAATGACCTCTCTGACAAGTTCAAGATTTCAGCCCTGGCTGAGGACTCTACAGTTCATGGTATTTATGCTCCTGTATAACCCCTCCACTTGAGCGTGGGCTGGATTTACTGTCTTGCTTCTAATAGAATACAATATGGCAGGTGTGATGGTATGTCACTTCTGAGATTACATAATAAATACAATGACTGCAGCTTCCATCTTGGGTGCTCTTGCATACTTTTCTCTTTGATCACTCAGTCTCAGGGAAGACAGCCACTATGTCATGAGGCAGCCCTAAGGAGCAGCCCATGTGGTTAGACACTGAAGCCTCCAGAAAACACATAGCAAGGCCGACTAACCACCATGTGAATGAGCCTGGAGCAGATTCTCTCTCCCAGTTAAGCCTCAAAATGACAGAAGCCCTGGTTCAGAGCTTGAGTGCAGCTTCTCCAGAGACCGTGAGCCAGAACCACCCAGCTAACCTGCAGCTGGATTCCTGACTCTCAGACACTGCATGAGATCGTAAGTGTTTATAAAGATGCTAAGTGTTGGGATAATTATTACACAGCAACAGAGCTAATCACAGGGGCCTTTACTCGAGTGCCCTCTCAGCCCTAGGGGTGGGGCTGCTCCTTCTGTCTGCTATTCCTACACTCTTCAGAGTTCTCTTTCCTTCTCATGAGACAATCTCTTGTTACTCCAGTCTCACAGTTCATAACAATTCTTTAAGTTAAACTTTCCCTATTAAACTCTGCATGGTACCCATCTCCTGGTTGGACTTGAACATCAGTTGAAGCTGCTGCTGCTGCTGGTCAAAGACATTAATCATGATTCAGCTCCTAGAGCTGGGCTCAATTCCCCTTAAGTCCACGGCCACAACAAAATCAAGTAAAAAGGAGGAAATGGCTGTTAGATGAGTAACTAAGAGTGTCTGCGTCACAGGCTTTCCATAATTAAAAACAACTGCTACTACACTGGTTCACTGCTTTTCATAATATTGGCCCAATATTGTAAAAAATGTTATAAATACCAATTTATGGAAATATGGCCCAGAGAAGCCGACTTGAGTGGTTTTAGAATCAGAGGATAATTTTATTGACTGATCACACCACATACCTAGGCAGCCAAACTAAAATGAGATAGAGTGAATGACTTAAAGAATACTTAGTAATAAAATGTTATTGTGTTGGTAGATTTTTGTAATCATTACTCGGTAACATCATGGAGAGAAAATTATTCAATGCTTAACTTACAAATTAACAAGTTACCCTAGGGATACCACAAAGTTCAACAAACTGGGTGGCTTAAAACCACATAAATTTATTTTCTCATAGTTCTGGAGCCTACAGCCCCAAAATCAACGTATCAACAGGGCCATGCTCTCTGTCAAACTTACAGAGGAGAATCCTTCCTTGCCTCTCCTAGTTTCTGGTGTTGGCTGGCAATTCCAATCTCTGCCTCCATCATCACATGGCCATCTTCTTTCTCCCTATGTCTCTTTCTTCTCTTTTACAATTCTTTTTAAAAAAGAGACAGGGTCTCACTATGTTGCCCAGGCTAGTCTTGAACTCCTGCCCTCAAGTGATCCTCCTGCCTCAACCTCCCAAAGTGCTGGTATTACAGGCATGAGCCATCATACCTGCTTCTCTTTTCTTCATATAAGAACACCAGTCATATTGGATTAGGGGCCCATCATATTCCAGTATTACATCATCTTAATTACATCTGCCATGACCTTATTTCCAAATGTCACATTCTGAGGTTCCAATGGGTTAGGACTTCAACCTTCAATACCTTTTTTTCTGGTGGGGGACACAATTCAACCCATAACACCCTCATTTTCATGAAATTTCATGTCTATCAAAAACAGTGCATAGTGTGATATCCTCAAATTGCATTCTTAACAGATTTTTAAAACCAAAAATTTAATGTCAATCATAAAAAATATTAATAGGGAAGACAGTGTTCAACTCATATTCATTTTATCTGATGACTTTCCAATAACCAAGAAGCAATCTTTCCACCTTTTAAAATCACTATCCATCTCTCCCTTCAACGTGCTCTCATTTTCATATTCAAGAATAATATGATGTCCATTTCTTTCTTTAGCATATACTCACAACCACTGGCATAGGTCCCCACCCCAACTTACATTTCATTGCAGAGATATCACAAGCCCCATTAGTTACTTGTAGTCTAATTTTCTTTTCAACATAAATCAGGTATATAACTGAGGTCAAAAATCACATTTATCCAGATACAAAGGCTAAAAAGAAAAATACCCAATTTCAAAACTTTGAGTTGAATTAGTGTTTATCTCCTGTGAGGCTGCAAATGAAACTCACCTGCTTCCCATGTCTCTAACATTATTTTTGTTATTCTCATGTCAAGAGTTCATTTCATTCATCTTTCACTAAGCATTGCTGTAACCTACCTACTCCAAGGATAGTACTGAGATGGCCACTGGTAATAAGAATGAATGATGCAGTTTTTTCAATGCTTGCCAGATTTTTATTTTTGTTATTAAAAAATGAAACACTAAGTCACAAATGAAACACATATTTGTATGTAAAAATAGAAGAAATCTAGAGAAAAACCAATATTGAATATGAATCTAAACCGTGTAACTTAAATCATCAAGGGGAAGAGATTAACATTTATTGAGGCCTTTCTTAAGGTACCACATCAGGCAGTTTGCTAGGCAATTTATATGCTTCATCTAATTCAGACACATCCCCATCAGTTAGGACTTGTTCCCACAGGTTTGCTTGCTTTTGGTTTTTGAGACTGCGTCTAGCTCTGTCGCCCAGGCTGGAGTGCAATGGCGCAATCTCCACTCACTGCAACCTCGACCTCCGAGGCTCAAGCGATTCTCATACCTCGGCCTCCTGAGTAGCTGAACAGGCGTCCACCACCACGCTCGGCTAATTTTTGTATTTTTCTTTTGTAGAGACGGTGTTTTGCCATGTTGGCCAGGCTGGTCTCGAACTGCTGGGCTCAAGCAATCAGCCCGCTTCGGCCTCCCAAAGTGCTGGGATTACTGGCGTGAGCCACCGCGCCCGGCCTGTTTCGAGTTTTTAACCACATTCAAGAAGAGAGAGGTTTACAGAAGTCACTTGCCTTAGATTCCATATTCAGACCAATGGCTCTTTCAAAATTACCTTCTTAGTTTTAGCCAAATATGAAATACATGGAGATCCAAGGAGGTGAAGTGGCCATTGGAACACGTACCTCAGTGGAAAAAGAAAACCTGGTAAAGGTACGGTTTTACCAAGCATGAAAACAGTTGTGCTGATATTCAATCTTCTGTTTTATTCCCACTTTTTGCCTCCCACGTTAGATTCTGTTCAGATAGCCCGTGAAGGGTGACAGGGTATGCCATCCCAAAAATATGTCTCTGGCATAAGGATTATTTTAAGCTAAAAGCACTTGAAAAACAGAAGAGTGCTCTAAACTGCCCCCTTTTCTTCATGAAACAAGAGAAAACTCCTGTAAAACATGGCCTCCCTACACCAGGAACAAAGAAACACTCGGCACCAGAGCCGAGCAAGGCGGAGATTTCTACCTAGACGTGGTTCAAGCAGTTCCATCTTCCATTAGCCTCCCCGCACACTTTACTCTCCCACAGCTGCCGCTCTTGGTTCTGCCTAGCACAAAAGTATTTGGGTTTTGCCATTTCTTTGTGTCTTTTTCACGTAAAACATATTCAAGAGATGTATGTTTTTCTGTTGTTAATCTGTTTTATGTCAATGTAACGCTCTGACCCACCTCGCGACACTAAGAAAGTCAAGTTTGGCCTCCCCTTACACCCGCTTCCCATTTCTGGGCACACAGACAGTACGGACAATGCTTCTTTGTCGGCGAGAGCCCAGGGACCAGATATGGCCAAGGAAATCCAGCCTCCAGGCCACTTCTGAGGAGCAGGTAGCCGGCGGAGCGCTCCGCCGCGCAGGGGCGGGAGGTGTCCGCGGGCCTCACGAGTGCACAAGCCCGCATTGCGAAGCGCCGCTCGGGCCAAGAAGGAAAGCGCACTGTCCGCGTATTTCAAAGGCGCGTTGGGGCCAGGAGGGCCGAACTGCTGGAACGTGGTTCATGCAGCTGAAGCCCACGGACCCTAAGCGCGGCTCATCGGGAAGGCCCGGAGACAGGTGCTAGGCGCTATCATCCCGCGCCCTCCCAAGCCCGGCGCGCGCCTGTGACGTCACGCCTGGCGGAAGGTGGACGCTACCACCGCCGCGCTCCCCCTCCGGCGCCTCTGCGGCCAGGCCGCCGACTCACCTTCCCGTCCTGATGAAAAGGGAGGCCGGGCTCATCCGTGGTCGCCGGGGGACGAACACAGCCTGTCTCTTCGGCCGCTCCGGAGGCGAGCAGCGCCCCGGCGGCGGCCTCGTAGTCCGGGAAGGGGTTGACGAACGCCCGTTCCTCCATTTCTGCCTCCCCTCCCAGGTGGAGCTTCAGCCTCTTTGACATGGTCTCGCCCATCTCCGCCGCGGTACGGCGCGCGGGCGGGGACAAACCTCCTGTCCCGGCGCTGCAGCTCGCCCCGCCGCCGCCTCCTCCGAGGGCCCGCGCAGAGAGCGTCCTCTAGGAGGAGCGAGGCCGCGCGCTGGCGGGAGGAGCGGGGCGTCTGAGCGTGCACTGCCTCGTCGCGGGCTGCTCGCACATCAGGCGGCCGCAGAGGCGGTGGGCGCTGTGCCTCTGCCCTGTTCCTGGCGCCTTTGCCCTGCTCCCGACGGAGAGGAGCGGGCTCGCGGGAGCGCCCAGCGGCTCACAGCCTGCTCGCGCCTCCTCGCACCTTCCCCGTGGCCCGCAGAGCCCGTCCGCGGCGACGCGCACGGCCGGGGCTGGAGTCCCGGGGTGGGGATCGCTGCGCCCGGCCAGCCCCCTCCGCGATTTCCAAAGAAAACCGAACGCCCGCTAGGGCCACGCTCCCGCGGGGAAAACCTGTAGAGAAGAGGTCGCTGTCACTCAAGGTGTGTGCGCGTCGCCGACCGGGGCGAGCTCAGCCCCTGGCGCGCCGTCGTCAGCCTGCATTTCACCGGCCCCTGCTGCGCCAGCCCAAAGGAATAGCAGCAGTTCTTTGTTTGATATTAAGAAGAAAAAAAAAATCTCTTCTAAAGAACAGAATTTCAAAACAGTCTAAAACACTGCAAGGCTAGTCTCCGAGGGATGGGGGAGGGAGACAGTCCCTCCTATTCATCACTGTTGGAGGGGGGTGTCTGGGAGGAGGAGCCACAGGCCTTTTTTTTTTTCTTTTTATGTTTTATGTTCACTCCCTTTGTTTTGAATAAATGGACATCTTTGATACCGGGACATAAAATGAAAGCATACTTAATTATCCAAACATTTTATCGACCAGAAAGAGTCCTCCAGTGTTAATTGGCAAAGATCATAGTATGTATTATAAAAAGGACACAAGCAACCAGATCTTTACATTTATGTAATCGTGATGTGGTTTACTTCAGTCTTCATTGGTTCTCTTTATTTTTATTTGTTTGGACCAAATACGTGTAATGATTTCTGCTCCTTGAGGAAAATGTCTTATTTCCGTTTTCTTCCGCTCAGTAAACGTTGATTGAGCACCAAATGGTACTAGGTGATGAAGAAATAAGAGATTAAAAAGATAGTTTTGGCTCTCTGGGGATTCCCAGTTATTGGGTGAGAAAAGCAAGGATTACAGCATAGCTGATGTAGGTGCTTTTCTGGAAGCAAGCAAAAATACACGTTAATGTAAAAAGTGACATGATGAAGAAAAACACAGTGCCGAGCACAGGGAAGGCTCGGTTCCTCCTGCCTCCGTGGCCTCGGTGGAATGATGTGGGAAAGTCTGGCTTCCCACTACCTCTTCTAGTGTCCCCCCAACCCCACAGGGCTGGACATGTGAAACACACCCCACCAAGAACATGACCATGGGAAGGTACAGTGTAGAAGAAAATCATTTTAAAGGGGGTACTCAGCATAACTATCTTCAAAGTTCAGGGAAACAGAACAGATACAACAGGATGAGTGTTATAGCAGCATCCCTTAGCTCCACTTTCCTGCTTTCCCCTTTCCTGGGGTCTTTTCTCCCACCAAATTTTCATACCTAGACGGTGTAGGAAAATCCACTCCAGGAACTACTGATGCCGACATGCTCTAGGAGCCATCCTTATCCCACCACAGGGACTTAACTAGACAAAATAACCCACGGTGATATTCCCCAAAGTCTGGGGAACTATCACGCCTTGGACAGGTACAGCAGAAACGTCCACTGCGGGCTTTGTTAGGCTAAGCCTAGTGAATTCTCAGCTCTCCCTACCCAGGAGGGAGGTGAAGATTGTCTCTTCTTCCTGCAGTCTGCTGGTGGATAACTGGCAACTGTTGGCAAGTACAGAAACCTGTCCTAAAGAAAACCAATATTTTCAAAAGCTGAAAAATCGAAACCCAATTTAAGGAGTCGGCATATTTTCCTAAATGCTCTCTTATCGGCAGATCCCCTGCCCTCCTGGACAGCTCACTGACACTATTTTATGGAGAAGTGGTAGGTTCCCTTTCTTCAGCCTCCTGTCCCCTGGGGGTTTTTTAATGCAGAGCACAGGGGATTCCCTTCTGCGGCCCTTTTACACCCAGGGCTATCTTCCCCCGTGGCCACTCTTGAGCTCTTGAGTAGTACAGAGACCTTGGTCAGTGCCTTGAAATTACAACTTTATTTTCCTTAGGACAAGCCAAATTCTTAGGACACCCTCCCCACTCTTCTGTGTAAGAGAAGGGCAAGAGGACATACATGCCGGCCCAAAGCACACCCAAGGAGTCGTGAGGGCCCCTGGCAACTGACCTTTCAAAGGAAGACATAGTCCAAGGACACGATGTGCGAGAGGGCGGCATTGTGGCACCACGTTGAGATCTGGGGGGGCACTGGGCGGAGCAGCACCTGGGGAAGCCGCCGGGTGCGGTGCTTGGGTCACGGCCCTCCGGGGAGGCCACCGGGTGCGGTGCGGGGCAGGGCCCTACGGGGTGGCCGGCGGGTGCAGAAGTTGCTACCAGGGGAGGGTGTGCTCATCCTTGAAGATCTGAGTCAAAATAGGCAGTGTCATCCTCTTCCATTCCCCAGCACCTAACGTGGCTGCCCCAAAAGCCGCTGAGCTTGAGCTCCCTTCTAAAGCCAAAGCAGGCAGCAAGGCGGAGAGGAACCCCGGAGGTGGGAGGTCACTGGGGGGCGGGGAGGGTGGTTTCGGGGCACAGGGCAGCGGTGACTGCCCGCAGGGGCAAGCCCGGGCTCCCCGCCTGCGGCGGCTCCCCACCAAGTGGGGCCTGAGACAGGAGGAGCTGAGGTGGGGGCGCCTCCCTGAGAAACGCCACTTCTTATCTGGAGCGCCCCAAAGGTGAGAGGAAGACGATGGAAAACCTGGGGCACGAGGGCTCTCACTGTGGGGTTCAGCCATCGCCGAGCCCTGAGGCCCCGCAGACAGCCCCGGCTCTCCTCTTTACCCCAGAGTCAGGTACCAGCCTCTGGCCCGGGAACCAAGCCTCAGGTGCTTGCAGGGCTAGAATGTGTGGTTCTGAGAACTGCGTGGTGCTGGGTCAGAACCACGTGGGGCCTGTATTATGTATTTCAAAACTTCACGCTTCCCTGCAGCCTCAACACGGAAAACAGGCAGTGAGCCCCCCTCTCCCCCACCCCGCCCAGGTGACCAGATGCCCCAGTGTGGTGAGCTGGCCCTGCCACAGTTCCCCTTCCTGCCCTCCCGGACTGTGACCTAGTGACAGAGATTCTTTGTTCTACCAAACTAGTCAGGTTCCTGAATCTCCTCCAAGGCCCATCTGCACACTTCCTTATAAAATCCAGTTTTAGCAAACAGCCTTGCTAAGTCACTTTAGGAAGAACCACCCCCTAATATGTGATCACCCCCATTATTTGACCAGGTTCCCTATCCCTCACTATCCCCTAGGTGATGTTGGATCAACCTGGCCTGTGTTCAGCAAGAAGCCTATTAGGTAAGATTAGTCAGTACCCACCTTCCCCTTCATGTTATCTCTTAGTAATTTTCCATCCAGTCACCCCCACCTTGCTTCTTGGCTATCCATTTCCACTTGTATTGGGAATTAAGCTCAATCTTTCTCCCACACTGCAAAATCCCATCGTGGTGGTCCCCATACCGTTAAGGTCTCAATAAAGTCAGCCTTACCCTGTGCTGTGAATGGTGTGAATGTTTTTCCTCTCTAAAAGTCATGTTGAGACTTAATCCCCAGTGTGACAGTAATCCATTCGTGGACGAAGGGATTAGCAGGTTGTCTCGGAGTGGGACTGTGGCTCTATATGAAGAAGAGAGACCTGAGCTGGCACACTCAACCCCTTACCATGGGGTGCTCTGTGCTGCCTGGAAACTCTGCAGAGACTCCCCATCAACAAGAAGGCCCTCGCCATGTGTGGCCCTTTGACCTTGGACTTCTCCAACTCCAAAACTGTAAAAAATAAATTCCCTTTCTTTATAAATTACCTAGTTTCAGGTATTATATTATAAGCAACAGAAAACAAATTAAGACCCTGTGCTTTAACAGTTGACATTGAATAATTTTCCTGTAATATTGAGACGCTCAACACACCGATGAAGCCCCGCCTGCTTTTTGCTTGTGTCCACCCTGACCCCCAGTGACAGCATTGGCCCACAGGTCCCCACTCCCTCTGCTCTCCTTCCACGTGGTGGAGCCCCTCCCTTTGCAGGGTGGCCCCTTCATGGTGCACAGTGACTGCCTCTCTAGGACCTGGAAGCACAGTCAACTTTTCTGTGCCTCCCCCGTGTCCCCATTGTGGCCGCACCTGACTGATCATGAAAGAATAGAAAACAGGGTCTCTGTCCACAGTACCACCTGTGGAAGGGTGGTAGCAGAAGAGAAGGTACTCATGCTGAGTGAAGGAACTGCTCTGCCAATAACTACATTTTCACCACCTCACTGCAGACCACATGTATGGGGACTCTGAGGGTTCTGGTGCTGCGGCCATCATGCCTGTCAGCATGACAGAGACAGTATGGCACCCTGAAGAGCAGTGGCAGCACTCAGGGAGTAGACCTGTTCATGAACATAAGACACATACCAGGACAACTCTTAAGATTTGGGAGGAGACTGGTTTGCAGGCAATGAGCCAGTGCAATATGAGTTACTATGCTACTGTTCACAGTATACACAGGTTAGTGGGATCTGCTTTACCTGGCACAAAGAGCAGCTGCAGCGGTCAGATCTTTCCTCTAAAACATCCAAAAGTATTTTTCCTTAACAAGTGCCATAAGGTACTGCCTCAGGTCTCAGGTTGCTGTTTCTGCCTTTACCTACATGATTATTTTCTTTTCTTTTCTTTTCTTTTGAGGTGGAGTCTCGCTCTGTTGCCCAGGCTGGAGTGCAGTGGCACGATCGCGGCTCACTGCAAGCTCCGTCTCCCAGGTTCACACCATTCTCCTGCCTCAACCTCCTGAGTAGCTGGGACTACAGGCTCCCACCACCACGCCCAGCTAATTTTTTTGTATTTTTAGTAGAGACGGGGTTTCACCATGTTAGCCAGGATGGTCTCGATCTCCTGACCTCGTGATCCACCCATCTCGGCCTCCCAAAGTGCTGGGATTACAGGCGTGAGCCACCGCGCCCCGCCTACGTGATTATTTTCTTACTTCTCCATGCAAAGAAATAGGCTTCTTTTGACACAGCCTGGACTTCATTTGATGCAGCTTCTCCTTTTATAAAGAATGTGCTGGCTAGCTACTTCACTATCTGGTGTCCCAAGCAGATAATAGCACAGAAACCATCCCCCTGCCTGGCATGTGTCCATCTCTCATGGGATGTTGGGCTTAGTGTGAGGCATTTTGACATTGTTGAAACTATGGGTAAGGCTGCCCTCTAAGAATGGGTGAGAATTCCTCTTAAGTGAGTGGATGTCAGTCTTACTCGTCTTCCAGCTGGACCATATAGACAGGAGTGAGGACTCCTGCCCCACTCAGAGCCCCACCCTCTTGGTCCAGACATGGAGGAATCCAGTTATGTCTGGTGGGACACTTGGATGGCTCCTGCCTCATGGAGGCAAGTCTGCAGCTAGGCTGGAAAGGGATTATGACAGGACCCCTGTTTAAGGGGAATACATTGTACATTTTAAACCACATTATTAGGTGTGTGCTATCTTGATCTGTTCCCATTTTTCTTTGGAGCCTGATAGAGTTTGAATCCATGTCCCTGCCCAATTCTCTTACTGAAATGTAATCCCCATTGTTGGAAGTGGGACCTGGTGGAAGGTGATTGGATCGTGGGAGTGGATTTCTCATGAACAGTTTAGCACCATTTCATTGATGATGTCCTTATGATAGTGAGTGATTTCATGAGATCTGGTTGTTCAAAAGTGTGCAGCACCCCACCCCCCCTTCACTATCTTACTCCTCCCCTGGCCATATGACATGCCTGCTCCCCCTTTGCCTTCTGCCATGATTGTGAGCTTCCCAGGGCCTCCCCAGAAGCCAAGCAGATCATTATGCTTCCTGTACAACCTGCAGAACCGAGAACCAATTAAACCTCTTTTCTTCATAAATTACCCAATCTCAGGTATTTCTCTATAGCATATGAATGCAGACTAATACAAGCCTTACTAAAGTCTTGTTTTAGCAATTTCAGTTTGCGCTCACTCATATCACAGGAATGGAGCCCATCTGGGGTCAGAGCATCAAAGGGAGGGAGCTGTGCCCAGTCTGCCATCAGCAGGGGGCAGCCATGGAAGTTAAGAAAACCCCAGAGGGTGTAAATCTTGGGGAACAGGAGTTGGAGACACACGATCCAGTTACCCTCCCCATCTGGTGCTTCTCCATTTATTTTCAAGTTTGGAGGATCTGTCCTGGTTATTTCAAGGATACAGTGAGTTCCTTAAACTTCCTAAGAAGCTGTCCTGTGAGTGTAGGTCCTAAATTGTTCTCTTCTCATAAAGACCCAGTAAGCCACCTAGGAGAAGAATATAAAAGGTAGAGGCTCCATGTCTGGGTATATGCCCAAGAGAAATTAAAACATAAATCTACGGGAAGACTTGTACATGAATGTTCATAGCAGCATTACTAATAGCAGCCAAAAAGTGTAAACAATACATACATTCTTCAACTGATGAATGGAAAAATAAAATGTGGCACTGTATGTCTCTACAAGAGAATATTATTCAACACTGAAAAGGAATGAAGTATTGATACTTGCTATGACATGGATGAATCTTGAAAACATACTAGACCAGGAAGCCAGTCACAAAATGGCAAATATTGTCTGATCCTGTTTATATGAAATGTCCAGAATAAGCAAATTCATAGAGACAGAAAGCAGCTTAGGAGTTACCAGGGGCTGCGAGGAGGAAGAGATGGGGAGTGACTTCTTAACAAGTCAGGGTTTTGCTTTAGGAATGACCACAATGTTCTGGAATAGGTAGTAGTGATGATTGCATAATATTGTGAACAAACTGAATGCCACTGAATTGTACACCATAAAATATTTAAAATGGTGAATTTTATGTTATGTTTATTTTACCACACAAAAGGGAATGCAGTATCAATACATGTGATAACATCGATGAACCTTGAAAACACTGTGTTAAGTGAAAGAAGCCAGTCATGGAAGATCACACATTGCATGACTCCATTTCTATGAAATGTCCAGAATAGGCTAATCTATTAAGACAGAAAAAATAGCCAATATCAGGAGCTGATGGGAGGAGGATGGGAACCGATGGCTAAGAGGTATGGGGTTTCTTTTTGTAGTGATGAAAATGATCTAAAATGAATTATGGTGATAGTTGCACAACTCTGTGAATACACTGAAAGCCACTGAATTGTACACTGTAAAGAAATGAATTATATGGTATGTGAATTATATCTTAATAAAGCTGTTACACACACACAAATCAAGGGACTGATGACCAGTACCTAGATAGTAGGGTGCCATGATTTGCCTATGAAATAATACAGATAGAAAAAAATGGCTGATCTAGCTTGTATAATACTAGGTGAGGTGGAGAAACTCAAAACACCTGGGCTCCACACTAGGACATTTTTTACTAATTAGAGGACGAAAAGAAGGCTTTGGATGTGAGCATTAGATGCTTCCTTCAAATGTGCTATGACTTGGCCCATGAGACTTAGTGTGCTGGGCAGAGGAAGAAAGAAGGATAAAGAGAAACAGACATGGATGGCATAATGTCACTCTAGGCTCTTCCTCAACAATGTCCAAGTTCTTCTCCCATCCCTAGGATTGGCCACGCCTGGCAATGCCAACTGGATGGGGTGCCCCAAGCCCTATGGGACATACAAGGGTTTGTTCCCATTTCTTCCCTTTGGAAAACTCTCCGTCCCTCTACATCCTGCCCTGCAGATACCCCAGAAGCTCTAGAACTTGTATCTCTGGAGTTTTCCTGGGGTATCTGTAGCTGGAACTTGTGGGGTTTTCCAGGAGAGTAGCCCGGAGAAAGATTAAGCCACAAGAATGGTGCTGTTACAATGACTTGGGGTGATTCAAGCTGTTTATGTAAACAGCCGCCCTTCAAAACATTATTTGTCCTAGGCCCTACACAGCCCAGTGTGTGCTCTCCCCAACTTCAGAAATAATGCCAGTGGGGAAGGAAGAAGAGCATGTTTACCCCCGTTGCTGTGCCACAGTCAAAGCCCTGCTGGTTCTAAACCCCTCAGTAACTGTTTGCCTCCCTCCTATGTGATGCCTGGCATTAGGAGCATCAAAGGCGCTTACTGTGTGGGAGTTGATGAGCCCCATCAGTGATGAGGATGCTTTGAGGAGAAGCAGCAAGTGGGCAGCCACTGCTGTGATTTAAATAAGGTGGATTTAATTATCTTCAGCAAGTCAAATAAAACATTTGCTTGCTTGCCTACTATTTATTTATATTTTTTCTAACTATAAGTGTTTCTGTGTTTATAGAGAAGTATTTGAAAAAGATAGAAAGGCACAGGAAGCAAATAGAAGACATCCATAATTCTACCAATTCGACACAACCTCCTGTTGACACTTGGATGTTCAGCTGATTCACAATATCAAAGAGAATTCCTACTGGAAAAAGGCCACCGAAAATAAATTCAGTTATATTGGGATGGAAATCTCACCATCTCTAAAAAAAAATACACTGTTGTTTTCCATTTTCTTTGTAAACATACTGAAAATAAGTGGTGGGCAGATTATAAAGGATCTAACATGGCATACTAAGAAATTTGTACTTTATTATGTATTGTATGAAATAAATCACTGAAAATTATCAAAAAATAAAAGTGTGTCACTTATACGCCTTGCTGTTTTATCCATTCTCAACCATTTAATTGGAATGTTTAGTCCATTTAGGTTTAGTATAATTATTGAGATAAATGGATTTAGGTATAAAATTTTGTTGTTTTTATTTGTCTTATCTGCTTTTTGTTATTCTGCTCCTCCTTTTCTGCCTTCTTTTGGGTTAACTGAATTTTTTTTGGTATTCCATTTTAATTTCCCCCATAGGCTTTTTAGCTATGCCTCCATGGGTTTTTTTGTTAGCTTATTTTTTGACAGAGTTTCTCACCTTGGCATCATTGACCTTTTAAACTAGATAATTCCTTACTGTGAGGAGCTGTCCCGTGCCCTGTAGGATAGTTGGCAGCATTACTGGCTTTTACCCTCTAGATGCTGGTAACAATTCCTCCCCACTAAGTCCCCCACCCAACAGTTGTGACAATAAAAAAAAAAAGTCTTCAGATATTTTTTGCCAAATGTTGCCCTGGAGAGAAAAATCACCATCAGATGAGAAGCAACGCCTGAGGATCACAGCATGCATCTTTTTCCTTTTCTTTTTTTTTTTTTTTTGAGACGGAGTCTGGCTCTGTCGCCCAGGCTGGAGTGCAGTAGCGCAATCTCGGCTTACTGCAAGCTCCGCCTCCTGGGTTCACGCCATTCTCCTGCCTCAGCCTCCCGAGTAGCTGGGACTACAGGCGCTGGCCACCATGCCCAGCTAATTTTTTGTATTTTTAGTAGTGACGGGGTTTCACCGTGTTAGCCAGGATGGTCTTGATCTGACCTCATGATCTGCCCGCCTTGGCCTCCCAAAGTGCTAGGATTACAGGCGTGAGCCACCGCGCCCGGCCTACAGCATGCATCTTTAGTTTAACATGGTCTACTTAAGTTAATGTTGTCCTCCTTCACATAAAATAAAGGCATATAGGCTGGGCGTGGTGGCTCACGCCTGTAATCCCAGCACTTTGGGAGGCCGAGGCGGGTAGATCACAAGGTCAGGAGTTTGAGACCAGCCTGGCAACATGGTGGAACCCTGTCTCTACTAACAATACAAAAATTAGCTGGGCGCCGTGGTAGGTGCCTGTAATCCCAGCTACTTGGGAGGCTGAGGCAGGAGAATCACTTTAACCCAGGAGGTGGAGGTTGCGATGAGCCAAGATCGCGCCACTGCACTCCAGCCTGGGCAACAGAGCAAGACTCCATCTTAAATAAATAAATAAACAAATAAATAAATATATATATATATAAAATAATGGCATATAGCTCAATATACACCTCCTGTAAATTGCATTATTGTTAGCATATACCTAACACCTACCTGTTATAAACATCACAATGCACTGTTATAATCTTTAAACATGTCTTTTTTTTTTTTTTTTAAGATGGAGTTTCCCTCTTGTTGCCCAGGCTGGAGTGCAATGGAGCGATCTTGGCTCACTGCAACCTCCGCCTCCTGGGTTCAAGGAATTCTCTTGCCTCAGTCTCCCGAGTAGCTGGGATTACAGGCATGCACTATCATGCCCAGCTAATTTTTGTATTTTTAGTAGAGACAGGGTTTCTCAATATTGGTCAGGCTGGTCTCAAACTCCCGACCTCAGGTGATCCACCTGCTTTGGCCTCCCAAAGTGCTGAGATTACAGGCATGCTGGGATTACCTCATTCAGCCTAAACATGTCTTCTAAAGAAATTAATAAAATAAAAAAGAATTCCAAACCTGGGTGTCTCCTTGACAGAGATCCTGTCTTTGGCCAAACTCTAGATAGGCTCCTCTGAGTTCTTTTTGGACTAAGACCCGTCCTTAGGCCTTGTCCTCAAGAGCCCAGTTGTAGCAAGAATCTCAAGTCAGTTTACTGTCACCTTCAATAGCTGATCAAATTCCTCATTCTCCACCAACTTCCCGGTGACCTCTGATCACCCTGGCCTGCCTTCAGTAGGAGTCCTGTTAGACCTCTGTAACCAGAACCCCCTTGCCCCTGATGTTTCTTCTTAATACTTTTCCATCCACTGACCTCCACCCTGCTCCTTGGCTATGTAAACCAAAAGGTATCAGAGACAAGGCTCAATCAATTTAAAAGTTTATTCTGCCAAGTTTAAGGATATGCCTGTGACACAGCCTCAGGAGGTCCTGACAGTATGTGCCAGGGTGGTTTGGCTAACACTTGGTTTGATACATTTTAGGGAGACATAAGACATCAGTCAATACATGGAAGATGTACACTGGTTCTATCTGGAAAGGCAGGACAACTCAAAGTAGAGAAGTGTGTTGCTTCTAGGTTACAGGTGGATTCAAAGAAGATTTCCTGATTGGCAATTGGTTGAAACAGTTTATCTAAAGACTTGGAGTGTCTGGGTTAAGAGAAGGGATGTGGAGACCACGGTTCTTATTATGCAGATGAAGGATTCTGGTAGCAGGCTTCAGAGAATAGCTTATAAATGTTTCTTATCAGACTAAAAAAGCCGCCAGACTCTGTTAATTCTCTCCTGGATCAGGACCAAGACCTGGAAATGGAAGGGGATTCCCTACAGAATGTAGATTTTTTCCCTACAAGAGATAGCTTTGCAGGGCCATTTCAAGATATGTCGAAGAAATACATTTTAGGGTAAAATACTCTGATTTCTTTCAGGGCCTGCTGTCGGTCAGGTGATGCTATACTAGAGTCAGGCTGGAATTTGGTATCTTATTGCTACAAAAAGTATTAAGATCTCTGTTTTTATGTTAATGCTGGTCAGTTGTGCCTGAATTCCAAAGGGAGGAAGGTAATCAGGCACATCAAACCCCCACTTCCCATCATGGCCTGAACTACATTTTCAGGTTAACTTTGGAATGCCCTTGGCTAAGAAGAGGGGTTCATTCAGATGGTTGGGGGGCTTAGAATTTTAATTTTTAGTTCACAGCTGTAAATTCCCACTTGTCTTTGCTGTATTCAGACTTGAGCCCAGTTGTATTCTGAGGCTCCTTTCCCCTATTGCAATAGTTCCTGAATAAAATCTTTACTGCTGTAACAACTGTCCAACTCTAGTTTTTCTTTAACAACCTGCAGTGGGAAGTAGATGAAATATCTATTCTTTTAGTTTTCATTTGTTACTTTTTTGCTGGCCCCACGGGGATCTTCCCCGTGTTTATGTAGTGAGGACTAAGCTCTGATTTTTTATCTTGCCCAACTTCCTACCTAAGGGGTCTAGGGAGTCATGCCCTACAAACCATAAATTCTCATCAGACGGGTTTTGACCCTATATATTGTAACTTACTTTTTAATCTGACTCTGGCATAACATTATGAGACAAGAAAAAAACATTTAACCCCAAAATATATTTCCCTGCCATACCTTAAAATTGCCCTGCAATGTCTCTTGTGGGAAAAATCCACATCCTATAGAGAATCCTCTTTCCCCTTTGTTTTCCTTCCTTTCTTTCCAGATCCAGGAGATAATCAACTAAGAGCCAGGCTCCCTTTTAGGTCTAATAAGAAACATTTTACAACCTGCAGTCTCTCTGAAATCCACTATCTGAGAGATTTCTCTGTGCTGCAGAACTTGGTCTCCACAATCCTGTATCTTTTTTTTTTTTTTAGACGGAGTGTCACTCTGTCACCCAGGCTGAGGTACAGTGGCGCAATCTCGGCTCACTGCAACCTCTGCCTCCCGGGTTCAAGCAATTCTGCTTCAGCCTCCTGAGTAGCTGGGATTACAAGCATGTGTCACCATGCCCGGCTAATTTTTTTTTTTTTTTTTTTGAGACAGAGTCTTGCTCTGTCACCCAGGCTGGAGCGCAGTGGCGCAATCTCAGCTCACTCAAACTCCACCTCCCGGGTTCAAGCGATTCTCCTGCCTTAGCCTCCCGAGTAGCTGGGATTACAGGTGTACGCCACCACGTCTGGCTAATTGTTGTATTTTTAGTAGAGACGGGGTTTCACCAGCCAGGCTGGTCTCAAACTCCTGACCTCAGGTGATCTTCCCTCCTCGGCCTCCCAAAGTGCTGGGATTACAGGCATGAGCCACTGCACCCAGCCAATTTTTGTATTTTTAGTAGAGACAGAGTATCACCATGTTGGCCAGGCTGGTCTCAAATTCCTGGCCTCAAGTGATCTGCCTGCCTCGGTCTCCCAAAGCACTGGGATTATGGGCATGAACCACTGTGCCTGGCCCACAATTTTTTTTTTTTTTTTTTGAGACGGAGTCTTGCTTTGTCACCCAGACTGGAGTGCAGTGGCGCAATCTAAGTTCACTGCAAGCTCCGCCTCCTGGGTTCACACCATTCTCCTGCCTCAGCCTCCTGAATAGCTGGGACTACAGATGCCCGCCACCACGCCCGGCTAATTTTTTGTATTTTCAGTAGAGATGGGGTTTCACCGTGTTAGCCAGGATGGTCTTGATCTCCTGACCTCGTGATCTGCCTGCCTCTGCCTCCCAAAGTGCTGGGATTACAGGCGTGAGTCACCGTGCCTGGCCAGAACCAAACCAATGTATTTCTTAAATGTATTTGATTGATGTCTCATGCCTCCCTAAAACTATGTAAAACCAAGCTGTACCGCGACCACCTTGGGCACACGATGTCAGGACCTCCTGAGGGCTGTGTCACGGGCCATGGTCACTCATATTTGGCTCAGAATAAATCTCTTCAAATATTTTACACAGTTTGACTCTTTTCGTTGACTATAGTTTATCAAGTCAGCCCAGAATTTAGGCGGAGCTTATAATCAGATGTAAGGGTTTATTTCCTCTGTGGTTTTCTCCTTTCCAGGATTTCTTCATAACTTTCCAGCTGTTCTGCCAGTCTAAATTTTGTCATCTGACACATCAAGCCAGTAAGACTGAGGTTTCCAGCTGCACTGAGCTCCGTGTGAACTGGGGAGGACCTGGAGGCCAAATGCTGCATATGGCAAATCTTACACACTGTGGTTCCTGATTCTCATGGCCTGACTCCACTCTAGTTACTGCCTGCTTTTGGTCATGTTCCAGTGCCTGTAATCAACCTAAAATAATAATAATAATAAAAAGGTCAGACTCTAGTTTAAAGCAAGTTTATTCAAGTGCAAAGATTGAGGACAGGCCACCCAGGAAGCCCAGATTTCAAAGAACGGAAGTCAGTGCTCCAGAGTGTAGAAGTTTGGGATCGTTTACATGGACAAAGCTTAGGGCGCTTTAACAGAATTTCAGTGTCTTTCTATGGAAGACTTAATGTATAGTTAAAATACAATGATATGATTAGTCCAGATGGTACGTTTCTTTCAGGGAAAGGTATATTTAACATTCCACCCTGAAGATGTAACTGTCATGGGGTCTTGGGTGCCATTGGTCTGGGTTAGGAACTGGACAATAAAGACAGTTAATCTATAACAAAGATCAGTGATTGGAAGGGGGAATATCTGGTCTCTGGTCTCTCCTAGGCATTTACAGGAAAAGAGCAATGAGGAAGAGGGTTAAGCTATAATCTAAGAAGCGAAATTGCAAACATGCTACTGTCTCCAGAGCTTAACTTCCTTCCTTGGCAAAATAAATTTAGAGGGTCCTGAAATTTTATTTTATACTACACATTTTTGTCTTTTTACCTATTATGTTCAAATTTTATCATGTTATCTAGCAATAAATCATGAATGTTTTTCTGTCATTAAATACTCTTCTGTAACATAATTTTATTGGCTTCATATGCCATTGTATGATCTACGAGAATTTATTTTATCTATTATTAGACATATAAGTGTTTGTTTGTTTTAGTAAATAATGAAAAACAAGAAGATCTCAATAGCTACCACGTGGCTGCCAACTGCCCGTGTGGAGCAACACTGCCCTTCTTGGCTCTGGGCAGCTGTTCACACTGGACTGTGCAGGAGGCATCCCTGGGAGCACAGCTGAGGATGTGTGTGGTGCTCCCTGTGCTGCACTGTGCTAGGCCATGGCTAGCAGCCCCTGGGACCCTACAAGGGAAAAGGAGGACATGAAGTGCTTGTGTGACCAGAAAAATGTCCCAATCCAGACCCCAAGAGAGGGTTCTTGGATCTCTGCAAGAAAGAATTCCAGGCGAGTCTATAGAGTAATGGGAAAGCAAGCTTATTAAGAAAGTAAAAGAATAAAATAATGGCTACTTCATAGGCAGAGCAGCCCTGAGGGCTTTTGATTGGCCCTTTTTTTTTTTTTTGATCCACAGTCTCACTCTGTCACTCAGGATGGAGTGCAGTGGCGCGATCTCAGCTCACTGCAACTGCCGCCTCCTGGGTTCAAGTGATTCTCCTGCCTCAACCACCTGAGTAGTTGGGTCTACAGGGATGTGCCACCATGCCCAGCTGGTTGATTTTGTATTTTTAGTAAAGAAAGAGTTTTACCATGTTGGCCAGGGTGGTCTCAAACTCCTGGCCTCAGGTGATCTGCCTGCCTCAGATTCCCAAGATGCTGGGATTACAGGTGTGACCCACTGCGCCTGGCCTGACTAGCCATTTTTATGGTTATTTCTTGATTATATGCTAAACGAGGGGTGGATTATTCATGAGTTTTCCGGGAAAGGGGTGGGAAACTCCTGGAACTGAGGACTCTTCACCTTTTCAGACCATATAGGGGGACTTCCAGATGTTGCCTTGGCATCTGTAAACTTTCATGGCACTGAAGACAGTGTCTTGTAGCATGCTAATACATTATAATTAGCATGTAATGAGCAGTGAGGAACGACCAGAAGTCACTCTTGGTTTTGGTGGGTTTTGGCCGGCTTCTTTACCACAACCTGTTTTATAAGCAAGGTCTTTGTGACCCGTATCTTGTGGCGATCTCCTGTTTAATCCTGTGACTTGGAATGCCTAAATTCCTGGGAATGCAGCCCAGTAGGTCTCAGCCTTATTTTACCCAGCCCTGTTCAAGATGGAGTCGCTGTGGTTCAAACACCTCTGATACTTGTAGGATTCCAGTGAAAATGTGAGTTGAAGACGCAGAACTAAATAATTTCTTGTTAATACGGAAATTATTAGTCATGCCCTAATTATTTGTCACAGACAAATAGTCTATCTAAAGCTGCTGTTGCTGAGGGAAGCGTGGATTACACGCATTTCTTTTTCTATTCATTTCTGCTTTGTGCCTAGGTGCTGTTGATGAAAAGAGTCAAACTCTGCAAAATATTTTAAGAGATTTATTCTGAGACAAGTATGAGTGACCATGGCCCATGACACAGCCCTCAGGAGGTCCTGAGAACATGTGCCCAAGGTGGCTGGGGTACAGATTGGTTTTATGTATTTTAGGAAGGCGTGAGACATCAATCAAATACATTTAAGGAATACATTGGTTTGGTTTAGAAAGGTGGGACAAAAGCGAGGGCTTCCAGGCTATAGGTAAATTTAAACATTTTCTGGTTGACAATTGGTTGAAGTTGTCTGAAGACATGGGATAGATAGAAAGGAATGTTCAGGTTAAAGATAAAGGTTTGTGGAGACCAAGTTTTATCGTGCAGAGAAAGCTCTTAGGTAGCCAACTTTAGAGAGAGCGGTTTGTAAATTGTTTTTTATAGAACTTAAAAGGGTGCCTGGCTCTTAGTTGATTATCTCCCGGATCTGGAAAGGAAGGAAGAAAAACAAAGGGGGAAGGGGATTTTGTATAGAATGTGGATTCTTCCCACAAGACATTTTGCAAGGCAATTTTAAGGTATGGCAAGGAAATATATTTCTGTGGTTAAATATTTTTTTCCTTGTCTCATAATGTTATGCCAGAGTCAGATTGAAAAGTAAGTCACAATATATAGGGTCCAATAAAACCCATCTGATGAGAATTTATGGTTTGCAAGGCATGACTCCCTAGACCCCTTAGGTAGGAATTTGGGCAAGACAAAAAATCAGAGCTTAGTGCTCAGTGCTTTTGTCCCTTTGATCCCTTTCCCTTGTCCGATCATACTGGCCCCTTCTTCCTCCACTGCTCTCAGTACTTGCTGCAGTCAATTGGCAGATATTGTGTAAGTCTCCCTGCTCAGAGATGGCAGCTTGGCAACAGGGTGTTTGCAAAAACTTGCCTAGCGAAGAGGAGAACATGCTTTACTGCTGATTTAAATTTAGGAAAACCCTCCTGCTGGGTAGAGCTTGTGTTAGAAGAGAAGGCATCTTCACAATAAATTACATAGTTACAGTTTCTTTGCTGACCTGGATATTTTAGAGATTCTTAGTTTGCTTGAAAACCCGTTAGATATAATGAGACAAAAAAATTATTTATACTCCTTTCTAGGATAATATTTTGACTGAAATTTTATACATAAGTCTATAAAAATAAAAATAAAATCCCATCTGTTGGAAGGAAAGAAATAGAAAGAAAGAAAACAAAACAGAAAGAGAAATAGAAATAAAAGAGAGAAGGGAGGAAGGAATGAGGGGAAAGGAGACAAAGAAAAGAAGGCCTGAAAAGAAGGGAAGGAAAAAATGAAGGGAGGGAAGTAACTCCCATGGAGTCCTGGAGTCACTGAGCTCTGTCTTCTGGGTGGGGCCAGCTGGGGTCCCATAAGAAAAACCCTCGATGTGCTGCTGTCTTTTCGAATGAGTGTTAATATTGCATTCTTATGAGCGACCACAATTTTAGAACGCTAATCCCTCATAGACACAGTTTTAGATCTTTTATCTCTCCATCTGTCAGCAAAAGAACTGGCAAAGGTAGTGGTGAGTCATATGATGATAATTTCTTCTAGAGTTGTGTCATTTCCCTGGCAATATGAATATCACAGACATTCTATCTGCTTGGGCAAAAAGTTTCTCTTTATGGACTTTTATTATTATTTTAGTAAATGTTACATATCCAGAATGAGTTTTTAGGAAGAACTGAGGTTTAACTGACATTGGCTTCATCCATATTGGGTCCTGTCAACTGTGGATTTTCCCTCCTCCTGGGTAACAAAATCAAAGATAGTGAAATAGCTTGAAACAACCGATCAGATTAATAAGGTAACATGCAAAAGAAAAATGATAGGTTGGCCACCATGGATCTCACTAATGTAAAATTTATTGTGGCCGGGTGCGGTGGCTCACACCTGTAATCCCAATACTTTGGAAAGCTGAAGCGGGCAGATCACCTGTGGTCAGGAGTTCGAGACCAGCCTGGCCAACATGGCGAAACCCTGTCTCTACTAAAAATACAAAAATTAGCTGGGCATGGTGGCGGGCACCTGTAATCCCAGCTACTTGGGAGGCTGAGGCAGAATAGCTTGAACCTGGGAAGTGGAGGTTGCAGTGAGCCGAGATTGCACCACTGCACTCCAGCCTGGACGACAAAGTGAGACTCCGTCTCAAAAAAATAAATAAATAACATTTATTGTTACCACCACCAAGGGGGTACCCATGGCTTTTTTGGGTTCACAGATTCTTCAGACATTTTACCAGCTAACACCAACATAATACCTTCTCGTATAACTGAAGTGGGCAGCACAGAGGAGCAAGGCTAGCTAAGGTTGTACATCATGACAAGGCATTATTTAAATCTGAAAAAAATACTCCCATAAGTTAAGTTTGCAAAACCTTTTCCCATCACCATAACAACCTACACCTTTGGACAAGCTCTGGGAACATAATTAAAAGATATGAAGATTGAGCCTACTCGTTTGACTTTGTCTTGATTCCTGAGATATTTATCCTTAGGAACTTCAGCCATAACTACTTCTTGTTATCTTTTGCATCTTGTGATATGTAGCACTGAGAAACATACCAGGGGCTCCTGGTATGTTTTCAAAAAGCCATCCTACATGCCCTCTTCAGGTTTGGTATCAGTCTATAAGTTAAATGCCCTCATTATATAAAATCCAGTGCCTCCAATGGGGGTCAGGTGGAGTCATTAAGAGTGTTGGCTCTGGAGTCAGACTGCCTGGTCTGCAGAGCAGCTCTGTCACTTACTAGCAGTGTGAATAACTTTAGGCAAGTTACTTCAACAGTCTGTACCTCAGCTTCCTCATCTGTAAAATAATAATATTAGTAATGGCTAAATGAGATAAGACATTTGAAACTCAGTAGGGTGCTCAGTATATCACAAATGCTCAATAAATTATAGTTAGTGATATTATTAGTATATTATCATGCAACCTATTTCCCGTAACTTTTTTTTTAACCACCTTCAGACATTAAAGCAATCCAAATCTTTTTTTTTTTTTTGAGGCAGAGTTTCGTTCTTGTTGCTTAGGCTGGAGTGCAATGACGCCATCTTGGCTCACTGCAACCTCCACCTCCCCGGTTCAAGTGATTCTCCTGCCTCAGCCTCATGAGTAGCTGGGATTACAGGCACCCACCACCATGTTCGGCTAATTTTTTGTATTTTTAGTAGAGTCGAGGTTTCGACATATTGGCAAGGCTGGTCTCGAACTCCTGACCTCAGGTGATCCGCCCGCGTTGGCCTCCCAAAAAGCAATCCAAATCTTAATGTAGTCCCATTATGGTTAGTGCTATTTAATAATGAGGAATTGTTGCCTATCTCAAAGCCATAAAAATATTTTCATATGCTATCATCTGGAAGCTTTATTATTTTACCTTTCACATTTACATCTATAACCCACCAGGAATTATTTATGTGCACAGCATGAAGAGGGGAAACTTTTCATTTTCTCCAGTTGACTATTCAACTGGCCCAGCATTATTGCCTTTACTCATCATTCTGCACTGCCAGCTTTGTCATAAGTCAAGTACGTGTGCCCAGGGGAGTCTTGTTTCTGTTCTGTATTGTTTCCTTTGGTCCATTTGTCTATACTCACCCCAATACTGTTTCAATTGTTGTACTTTTAAACTGAGTCTTGAAGTTGGATGGAAAATTCCCACAATTTGGTTCTTCTCCTTCAAGATTGTCTTGGCTATACTAGGTCATTTGCAATTCCACATACCTGTCCAAATCCACTTGTCAGTTTCCAAAAAAAATGGGGAAACAAAAAACCCTTCTTGGATTCTGATTGGGATTGTTTTGACTCTATAGATCATTTCTGGGAAAACTGACATTCTTATAATACTAAGTCTTCCAATTACATGTTTATTTAGGACTTTTAAGTTTTGTTTCAATATTGCTTTGTGGCTTTCTGTGTAGTGGTTTTGCATATCTTGCATTAGATTTACTCACAGCCATCTGAATTTTTGAGGCTGTTTGTAATTGTTTGTTGCTGGCGAATAAAAATACAATTTGTTTATGGACTAAAAAAGACACCACTTCTGAGTGTAAAGGTGAGCCATAGGCTGGGAGGAGATATTGGCAGCACCTTATACTGACCAAGGCTTTTATCTAGAATGTATACAGCTCCTATTAAAGAGAAAAAAACAACACAGTGGAAAAAATGGGGAACAGTCCTGAAGTGATTCTTCACCAAAAAGGATGCTGAAGTGGCTAAACAGCCATATGAAAATTGTTCGACATCATAAATTCTCAGATAAATGCAAATCAAAATTATACAGTGAGATTCCACTGCAAATCCATCAGAAAGGTAAAGTTCAAAAGAATTTCAATACTAAGTGTTGGCAAGAATATGGAGTAGCAGTGTAAACTGGTATAATTTTTATTTTGTGGTTTCTTTTTTTTAACCAGCATTTATTTATACTACCATTTATTCTGTCCATGCTGGGGGTGAGGGGGAAGGGGTACAGAGAACCCCACAGACGAGGAGCGTGCTCCTGCAGGAAGACTGCATTTGGAGGCCAGTGGGCCCTGGGGGCTGGCGAGGGGCTTCTTTGGTTCTCAGAGGTAACGGAGTCCAGCGCAGGGGGCGGTAGGTAGGTTGCAGAAGCCGGCTCCCACCAAGCAGGCCAGCTCCGAGAGCCCGGGAGGCGTGTCCAACCTACGCTAGGCCGCGTGTGGCCGTGGCCCCGGCTCCTGTTCGGGTCTGTCCGGTCCCTATGCCCCAGGAGGGAAGCCAGCGCCGGGCCCCTGCTCTTCTCAGTGGGGAAGGTACTGTGCAATTCATCAGGTTTACATTAAAAATAATACAAATAACAATATAGAATTTAAAAAGCCTGTCTCAAACTTGAGACCAGCCCACCCGGCGCCCCGTGTGAGAAGCAGAGGCGCCTGCCGCAGCCCGGAGCGGAAATGAGGGCCTGGTTGGAGCCGCGGGCGGGTGCGAGGGTCTCTTGGCGGCTCGGGCCGTGGGGCTGAGGGGCGGAGACGGCCCAGGGCTGCGGGACTGGGGGCTGCAGAGAGCGGGGCGGGGACGCGCGCCAGAGGCCAGGGCGGGGCGCGGGCTGGGCTGGGCGGGTCTGCTGGGCGTCGCGTTCTCGGCGTCCGCTCATCCCGCTGCTCTGAGCTGCCTGGCCTCGTGGAGATGTATGGCGCTGTTTTGGAAGAGGCCTAGGGCGGCAGGAGAGGCGGGCGGGCGCCAGCGCTTGGTCTTCTCGGACCTTCCAGATAGCCGGATGCACGCAGGCGCCGCGCCCCCGCGGGAGCTGTGCTGTACATGCGTCTCTGGGTGAGATGTCCCACGTGGTCGGCCGTGAGGCTCCGCAGAGAGCACTTATAGGGGAGGCCCAGGCGCTGGGGAGAGCGCGGACTCGTCCACCTCCGTGCTGTGGATACCCTAAGAGGTCACAGGCCGCTCTCCAGGCGGTGCGGGTGACGATGGTGTTGGTGCCAAGCGGAACACGTTCAGCAGGACTGCCTGCAGCTGACGCTAATGTCGGCAAGAAAGCCGTCGGTCTTGACGAAGGCGTCGCGCACCACGTTCCTGTGGCCGCGTTACCGGGCCAGCTCCAGGCCGTGCGTGGTGCAGGGCGCCCAACAGTCCAGGGCATGGGTCCCAGTGGGGAGGCGTCCCCCAGAGCTTTCTCAAACGTCCTCACGAAGCCCTCCAGGCGCTCCTTCCGCCGGCAGGTGAGCTCAGCGACCTGATGGCGCCGCGCAACCCCGGGTCTCCCAGCCGCCCCCAGTGGCAGCAACTCCTCGTTGCGGACATAGAGCTCGACGAGGACACGTGGGACTCGGTGCCGCGGGACAGCAGGTCCTGCAGGAGGAGTCCTTGGGCTTCTTCTCCTTGGCCGTGAAGAAGACGGAGCGGTGGGTGTGGGACGGGGAGCCGTTCTTGAGCTGGGCCTGGGTTAGCAGGAGCTCCTCAAGGGGCTGCACAGGGCGGCCTGGTTCAGGTTCCTCACCGGGGGCTGCTCCAGTAGCTGCACGAGAAGCTGGTCCCGGCGGCCAGCCTGCCCACCAACTCCTCCTCCCGGGACACATCCTGTGGCCTCGGGGATTCCCAGGCGGCTGAGCTCTGGGAGGGTGTTCGTGGCAGTTCAGGTAGAGGTTTTCTCCGGGGTTGCCGGTCTCAGGTCATCGTTTCCTCTTTCAGCGCCTTCTCCATAGCCTCCTGGTGGCGCAGAACGGAACACTTCTGGATGAACAGGTTGAGATGGCGTTGGCGGATGACGGTGGTGACTGCCCCTAAACTCTTAGGGGATAATGGGTCTCTTTACACTCTGTAAGGATGGACTGTGGGCGAGTCGCTTACGGGTGATGATGGTGGTGGTCTTGGACGCCATCCCTCACCACCTGCGGGTCTCAAGCAGCTGGCTGAGGGGCTTGGGGCCTCACTGGGGGTCTGGCTGCAGCTGGCCACGAGGGTTTTCTGTAGGGGCTGCAGCCAAGCGGGTTTGGGGACGTGGGCGATCCTCTTGGAGCGAGGACGGCTCTCCGCTAGCCTGGGGGCGGCCTGCAGCCAGCTCACCTACTTCCTCTGCGCGTGCTGGGCCGGCAGGTAGCCAACTAACTCCTGCGCCGGTGGGCGGGGCACCGCGGGACTCCTCCTCTAGGGCTCCGCCTCCTGGCCTTGCTTGGAAAGATATCATCCTCTTCTGAACAGAGTGGTCAGACCCGAAGGTCTCTTCCTTGGGGGGCTGAAGGCCAGTCGACCTTTGTCCTCCGTGTTGACGCTAGTGGACTCGTCGAAGATCCACAGGCACGCCTCCAGGGGGTCGGAGTGAAGTCCACCTCTTTTTCTAGGGCTGAGTAGTCCACATCCTGCCCGCGCTGGAGGAGAAGGAGGAGGAGTAGGATGGGCCGGGGAGTGGGGCGGGGAGTCCTTGAGCCGCTTGGGCGATTTCTGAGCCTCCCCGAAGCCCAGGCTGGAGACCGAGTCTAAGTCCCAGCTGAGGCTGGGAGGGCAGGGGCCCACATCCTCGGCGCCACAGATTCCGGGGCCTCGTCCTCACTCTGGTCTCCGAAGAGATCAGGGTGGCTCAAGACCCGCTTCTTCAGCTTGGGGCGTCCTGGGAGGGGTCTAGCGAGCAGGCCTTCCACTCCACCAGCTTCCCTGCAGGGGCCTTCGTGTGCTTCCTGTCTGGGAGGGTTGGGGCAGCAAATGGACTTCGGTGGCCGAAAATGGCTTCTTACTGGTCGCTTCCCCCGCTCTGCCTTGCGGCAGGGGCTGCTGGCCTGCAGGCCCTTCTTGTCCACACCGGGCATCTCCCCGGGCTGCCCTCAGCCCTTGTCCTTGGTCTTGTCCTCCTCCTGGGCACCATCTTTGCGGCTGGGGTCCCGCTTTTCTTACTCGGGTTTCCCCTCTTAGAGGCAGCTACCATCCTGCCAGGCCAGGCCTGGGGAACTGGGTGTGGCCGGGGACTCCCCAGCAGCCGGAGGTCCCCCACGTGGCGCTGCATGGCTATCTCCTTGGTCACCCGCAGGCCGCCCCCCCTCAGCCTCCAGACCCTCCCTGGAGGAAGGCTGCCTGGCGGCTTGGCTCCCGGGGCTGGCCCTGGCTTTGAGCAGGGCTGGCCATGGCGGGCTCCTTGGCGGCATCAGTTTTTGAGAGCAGAGTAGAGGGCTCACTGCCACGGGAGCCCGGGGCCGCTTGGTGGCCTGTTGCTTCCGGGAGCTGGCAGAGCTGAGGTGCCAGGCCAAGCAGCTGGAGAGCGGCCTGGAGTTGGCCATCACCTAGATGCCGCTGGGGACAGGGCGGCTGTGCCGCTGGGGCTGGCTCACGGCCATGGGGACCAACTCCGTGGCGTCGCACCACCTGCGCCTCTGCCCTGACCCCTGGACTCCTATACAGAAGATAGAAATTATTTAGGTTGATAGGGTGCAAGAGTCCCCGGCAAAAACTTTCCTTTTAACAAAAAGCAGCTCAGAAATTACTTTCTTTGGCTGGGCGCAGTGGCTCACGCCTGTAATCCCAGCACTTTGGGATGCCGAGGCGGGCGGATCACGAGGTGAGGAGATCAAGACCATCCTGGCTAACACGATGAAACCCCGTCTCTACTAAAATTAAAAAAAACTTAGCGGGGCGTGGTGGCGGGCGCCTGTAGTCCCAGTTACTCGGGAGGCTGAGGCAGGAGAATGGCGTGAACCCGGGAGGCGGAGCTTGCAGTGAGCCAAGATTGCGCCACTGCACTCCAGCCTGGGCGACAGAGCCAGACTCCGTCTCAAAAAAAAAAAAAAAAAAAAAAAAAAAGAAATTACTTTCTTTTTAACCACACACAGTTTAAAGAAATTACTTTTTTTCTAACAAAGAGCAGTCTGGAAGATTGGGCTATAAAACATAAATAAGCACTTCGACAACAGAGGGGGAGCTTCCTGAATAATCACCAAACTCCACATAAATACAATGAGTCCCAGTAAAAACAGTGGACCTTAATGAGCATATTCCTTTCCCTATTTTGGGCACACTAAGATAGGGAAGCAGAAAGCTTGCATGGATAAAGGCTAGCAGCTTGCCAATAGACTTGGGGGCTGGGTGTGTTCAACATGGAGGCTCCATTCCCCCCCCCCCCGCCTTTTTTTTGTTTGTTACCACAAAAACTAGGCAACGGCCAGGCGCCGTGGCTCATGCCTGTAATCCCAGCACTTTGGGAGGTCGAGGCAGGTGGATCACCTGAGGTTGGGAGTTTAAGACCAGCCTGACCAACATGGAGAAAGCCCGTCTCTACTAAAAATACAAAATTAGCCGGGCGTGGTGGCACTTGCCTGTAATCCCAGCTACTCAGGAGGCTGAGGCAGGAGAATTGCTTGAACCCGGGAGGCGGAGGTTGCGATGAGCCTAGATCGTGCCATTGCACTTCATCGTGGGCAACAAGAGCGAAACTGTGTCTCAAAAAAACAAAACAAAAACCAGGCAACATGGCACCAGCCATGTTAAAAAACCTATGTGCATAATAAAATATTGGGGTGGGGCAGCCAACTTCTTCACGGACTATGCAAATGGCACACCTGGTTCAACCAATCTTTCATGCCCTATGTAAATTAAACACGCCTTCTCAAGCTCATCTATAAAATCTGCATTTCACCATGGAAGTGGCAACACATTTCTCCAGGACCTCTCTCTCTGCAGCAGGGAGAGCTTTTTTTCTTTGGCCTGTTAAACTTTCACTCTAAATCTCAGTCATAGGGTCTTTACAGCTGCGATTGAGCCAAAGATCCTGAGAGAAGGAGACGACCAGAGGGGCCCTGAATGCCCTAAATGCAATCACGTGTCCTTATAAGAGGGAGCCGGAAGGAGATTTAATACAGAAGAGGAGGTGGCAATGTGGCCAAGGAAGCAGAGGTTGAGTGGCCACAAGACAAGGGCTGCTGGCAGCTCCCAGAAGCTCCTGGAGGTGAGGACTCTCTCTTAAAGCCTCTGGACAACTGTGGCCCTGCTGGGACCCTGGTTAGGGCCCAGTGATACTGACTAAGCATTTCTGGCCTCCAGAACTGTGAGAAAATAAATCTCCATTGTTTTAAGCAGCTAAGGTTGTAGTAATATGTTATAGCAGATAATAGAAAGCATACACCATGCAATGGTGTGTAAATAATAAATAGGCCAGGCATGGTGGCTCACGGCTGTATCCCCAGCCCTTCGGGAGGCAGAGGTGGGTGGATCAGCAGGTCAGGAGATTGAGACCATCCTGGCTAACATGGTGAAACCCCATCTCTACTAAAAATACAAAAAATTAGCCAGGTGTGGTGGTGCACGCCTGTAGTCCCAGCTACTTGGGAGGCTGAGGCAGGAGAATCGCTTGAACCCGGGAGGCAGAGGTTGCAGTGATCTGAGATCGTACCACTGCACTGCAGCCTGGGTGACAGAGCGAGACTCCATCTCAAAAAAAAAAAAAATTAAAATTAAAAAATAAAAATAAAAAACAACTAAAAATAAATGAAGTACTCTACACACAGCACAGATGAATCTGAAAACAGTCACATTGAATGAAAGAAGGGAGAGTCAAAAGAGAACCTACCATATGATTCCAGTCATGCAAGGTTCGAAGTAGTCCAAACTCATCTTTGTTATTAGAAGTCAGGATAGTGGTCACCTTCTAGAGAGGAGCAGTGACTGGGAGGGGCATGAGGGGTGTCTGGGGCTTTGGTAACATTCAGTCATTTATGTGCAGGGCTGTGCTCACTTTGTGATGGTTCGTTGGACTGTGATCTTACCATTTATGCACTTTCTGTATGTGTTTCCCTTCAACAAAAATTTATTTAAAAAGAAAAGCCTGAAGGAAATCTGCTGCAGTCATATTTGATGCAATCGCTGTAGTAGGAACAGGGCTACCATCTGTTCCTTTATTACCCTCTGCCCTCCCCTTCTGGGCCTACTCTTGCTTGGATTGTTTCAGTTTGGTGCTGGTTGGTGGCTTCTCTGTTATGCTGTGTATATGTAGATGGCGTATGTGTTTTGGTGGGAGGGACAGTGTTCAGCTTCCCCCTGACCTACCCTTTATCACAGAGAATCCCCTCAGAAAGGGGCTGCTGTGTCTCCCTTTAGGCACACAGCAATCCACATCTACAACATCTCTTCAGTGTGGGGCTTGCCCTGTCTGGCCCTGTGCCTTCCTCCAGCATCTGCTCTTCACACTGCGGTGGCTTATGCCCTCAGAGCTTCCAAGACCTGGGACAGATGAAGAAGCAAATCCCTCCTGCTCTTGGGCACACCCCACAGCGGGCCCTTCTCATCATGCTGGCCTGGGTTCCTCTAGTGAACTTCCCGCTTGCAGAAAGGATCATCCAGGTAGAGAGAGGCCAGTCCTTCTTCCAGGCACCTACAGTCTCCATAAATGATTCCTCTAGCTGCCCTCTCCTCTCTTGGCTTTGAGTTAGTGGGTGAGAGAAGCACCTCTTTCTTTTTCATAGAAGGAGAAAAGAGAAGTCTCTTACTACCAAACTGGGCAAAACCACAGGATAACTCAGTGACCCCCCACCCCCACCCTTCCTCATTCTACTCCTTCTGGTGATGCAGGTGGAGGGGTGTGGTTGAGCCTCTTTCTTCAATCCAAGGCTTTGGGGCTGCTATCTTTCTCTAATTGTAGTGGGGGTACTGAGTGTCTTTCCGTCCACGGCTTTGGACTTTGTCACTAACTCTGGGACACATGGAAAAGCCCCGCTCAATGATTTGTCATCCCAAGGTGCCTACACCAATCTCTGCAGACAGAAGAATACTCTAGAGATGGACCCAAACAAAGCATGCAGACAAGCATCCCTGGTCTGAAGTATGCAAGGATGCCTGGCAGGTTGGCTCTAACTGTATTTTCTAAGCTTGTATACTTTTTTTTTTTTTTTTTTTTTGAGTCGGAGTCTCTCTCTTTTGCCCAGGCTGGAGTGCAGTGGTGCGATCTAGGCTCACTGCAACCTCCACCTCCTGGGTTCAAGTGATTCTCCTGCCTCAGCCTCCTGAGTAGCTGGGACTACAGGCGCGCACCACCACGCCCAGCTAATTTTTGTATTTTTAGTAGAGACGGGGTTTTGCCTCATTAGCCAGGCTGGTCTCGAACTCATGACTTAAGATGATCCACCCGCCTTGGCCTCCCAAAGTGCTAAGATTACAGGTGTGAGTCACCGCGCCCGGCCAGTTTGTATAGTTTTGTCTGGTTGGGCCCCACTGATAGTTTTGTAAGTGGAGGAAGAAACTATCTTTATATTTCCTTGATCCCTGGTAGTTTGCTTGTAATTGAAGACAATAAATACCCATTCTACCTGTCTTTATCCATATTCTTACCCTGAAAAGGTGAAACTTTTTTTCTCTTATTTTTTGATCATTTGTAATTTTTTCTTCATGCCAAGGCAGTTCCTTCTCTCTAATGAGTGGGTGATATCCTATCACCACCCGCTAGTTTGATATTTTGCTGCAAGTACTCACCCAACTCAGCAATCTGCCTAACAACGTGACTTGGCCCGAGGCATGCACAATTATCACAGAAGATAGCTGGATTTGTTCTCTCAACCTTCATTGCATCCTCTTTATATTGGATATAGTTGCCAAGCTCAGATTACATCCCTTCAGACCCCTTGCTGTGTAGGAAGCGGTACAGTGGCACACGCTCTGGGTGGAGACAGTGAGGTGGAGGCCACCATGTTTTCAGGTGCTGGTGGTCAGAGTTGGAAATGAGAGACTTCTGAGCAGCACACCCTGTGTCCCTTCTTCAGCTGTGGGAAGGCAAAAGGCAGTGGCTGAATTGGCATTTTCTTGTCTTTTTTCTTTCTTTCTTTTTACATTGACATAGAATTTATCTAGAGTGATATACACAAAGGTTAAAGAAGTTTTACATACGTTCATACTCGTAACCACCGCCTAGCTTAAGATACAGACATTTCCAGTACTGAGGAAATGGAATTGAAAACAAATTCTCCTGCTAACCCAGAAAGCCTCTCCACAAGTTTAGAAGAGAAAGAAAACAGTTTTATCACTGAATACACACTAAGCTCATGTGACACATATCACAGGCAATCCATGAAAGAGATTGCAAAGATAGAAAAAAAAAGCCACGTATATAACCTGGCAGATACAACTCATTGCATACTTGTTCTCAAGAAAAATAACTAGTCCTTAAGTAAGAGAACTTGGCAGCACCGTTTGTCACATATAGTTCATACTACATTTGATATGGACAGGAGGCAGGGAAATGCTGGGTAGAAGAGGGAGGTTCCCCAGCAAGGGCCCCATCCTCAAACCTGGAAACTCAAAGCCCTAAATGGGAACAGGCATTCCTGTTTTCATGCCCAAATATTGCCTTTTGGCCTACCACACCCTCCTATCCTGTATCCATATAAACCCAAAACACCAGGCTCCATAAGCAGAAGAGCAGGGGAACAGAAGAGTGGTAGAGTTGCAGAGAAGGGGCGTCTGAAAGTTGAGAGGAGTTCAGCTGGTGACGGTTGGAGAGATCAGTTGCAGGATGGATGAACTCCAGGGGAAGATCAGCTTCCCACCTCATCCCCTTTCCAGTTCCCCATTCATCCTACTGAGAGACACCTCCATCTGGCAACAAAATCCTCCTCATTTAGCATCCTTCAATTTGTCCATGTGACCTGACTCTTCCTGGATGCCGGACAAGGACCTGGGTACCATGAGGGCACTGAGCTGGTTAACATGTAAGCCATCTGTGAATGGCAGAGCTAAAGTAGCACTGTCACATGCCCATTGGAACTTCGGGAGTTGCAGGCACCCACCCCTAGACACTACCGTGGGGCTGGAGCCCAAAAGCACTCTCCCTGGCTCTTGCACCTGCCTGTCTGTGGGCTCCCCCTCCTAAAAGGGATTTGAGGGTGTGGTAGCCTAACAGATGAGCCACACCCCTGCTGCAGGTCTTGCGAGGGGGGTCAGGAAACTCTCCTGTTTCATATTCACCTGGTAATTGGAGTGGTCACTTGTGCTTGCTAATTGCCTTTATCCAAAAGAAAATAAAATGTCGAGCCAGGTGCCTGCAGAAGTTGGACTCTTACCCTCCCCTGGAATCTGGGGATAGGGAGTTCTCTTCCTTGATGTTTACATTGCAAAGAGATAGCTCCCAGGTACTTGAGAAAAGCATCCCTGGATTGTGAAACTGGCAAGAAGCTTATTTAGCTTTTAGAAAGATTTGCATAAATCTATCTGAAAAGGAGAGAGAAAGAACTTATGATGAGGCATTTTCTAAAATAAATCCTCTAAGCTGGAGGCCATTATTCTGAGAGAAGTAACTCAGGAATGGAAAACCAAATACCATATGTTCCCACTTCCAAGTGGAAGCTAAGCTATGAGGACACAAAGGAATACAGTGATATAATGGACTTTGGAGACTCAATGAGGAAGGTGGGGGATGAGGCATCAAACACTACATATTGGGTACAGTGAATACAACTTGGTTGCCCTTTACACTAAAATCTCAGATTTCACCACTATAGAATTCATTTATGTAACTGAAAGGAAAATATCTTGGTCCCCCAAAATCACTAAGGAAAACTCAAGCTGAAAACGACTTAGGGCAAACCTGCCTCCCGTTCTACTCAAAGTCACCCCTCTGCTCACTGAGACAGATGCATATCTGATTTCCCCCTTTGGAAAGGCTAATCAGAAACTCAAAAGAATGTTTGTGCATCACCTATCTGTGACCTGGAAGCTCCCTCCCTGCTTCCAGTCTTCCTGCCTTTGCTTCAAGATGTCCCGCCTTTCTAGACCGAACCAGTGTACTTCTTACATGTACTGATTGATGTCTCATATCTCCCTAAAATGTACAAAACTAAGCTGTGCCCCAACCAGCTTGGGCACATGTCATCAGGTCTTCCTGAGGCTGTGTCACATGCGTGTCCTCAACCTTGGCAAAATAAACTTTCTAAATTAACTGAGACTTGTCTCAGATTTTCTGGGTTCACATAACCAAAAACCACTTATACCCCAAAAGCTATTGAAGTAAAAAAATTAAAAAATTAAGTAAATCCTCTAAAGAAAGAAATGGGGAGTCTCTTTTGCTTCTTGTACTGGAGAAAATTCAAGTTTCCTTTTTTTACATTTGTCTTTGCCGTTACACCAGAACCCGAGAAGGCTCCCATAGGCCCTTTTGTTTTGGGGTCCCATCCCTAGCTGGATGCCTTGCTGAAGGTCAGATGAATCTGACCCAAGAGAAAGTTATATTGTTGGTTAAAATGGGTTGCAGCACAGCTTCCAGTGCAGGAAGGCTAGGGAAGGCCGGCACAGGCTTCTAAATCCTCCCTCTGCTGCTTGCTCTCCAGAGGCAAACCACAGACACCTGTGTCCACCAGGCACACCCACTTGAATCCTGCAGTCCAGAGTCCTCATAGGAAGCTAGTCGCATGGACACGAGCCTGCTGTGTGACAGGCTGTGATTGAAGTTGAGGACATCAAGTCTTCATGTTTATGTGAGACACTGCTGACTGAACATTCTGCCCCCGCTGCTGTAGGACTAGTTATATTTCCCAGTAGTGCTCAAAACATAAATGTTCTCTAACTAGCATCGGACATCTAAATAAGTTACCTAATTTCACCTGCTGTTAATATTTTGCCACCTTTTCACTAGCAGAAAGTATGTATATTTGTATGTATTGTTAACCCAAAATATCTGAGATAGGTCTCAGTTAATTTATAAAGTTTATTTTGCCAAGGTTAAGGACATGCCTGTGACACAGCCTCAGGAGGTCTGACAGCATATGCCGAAGGTGGTCAGGCCATAGCTTGGTTTTACATGTTTCAAGGTGACATGAGACTTCAGTCAATATATGTAAGATATTGGTTCGGTCTGGAAAGGTCGGACAACTTGAAGCTGGGTTGGGGCTTCCAGAACATAAGTAGATAAGAGACTAATGGTTGCATTCTTTCGAGTTTCTGAATAGCCTTTCCAAAGGAAGCAGATATGCATTTATCTCAGTATGCTGAGGGGTGACTTTGAATAGAATAAGAGGCAGATTTGCCCTAACCAGTTCCCATTTTGACTTTTCCCTTTAGCTTAGTGATTTGGGGGTCCCAAGATTTATTTTTATTTCAAAGTGTGTTTGTTTATATGCATATATGTGTCTATATTATATGTTAAAAACTGCTAACAATGTGTAAGTCATGTTACTTCACATGCTTGTCTTAAGAATTATGTTCTGTATAACAACACCGTATTCAAGTTCCCCAATTGTCTCAAATATATCATTTAAAGCTTTTTTTTAAAAAAAAATCCTGGATCTAATCATGTTCATACATTGAAACTGGTTTAATGAATGACTGTAAATCTCTTGAAATTTTTCCTCCTGTCTAACTGAAGCCTTACATCCTTGGACTGACATCTTTCCAGACCATCTCCCTCAACCGCCCATCCCCCTCAACAACTCAACCCCTGGTATCCATCATTCTATTTTTCACTTCTGTGAGTTCAACTTTTTAGATTCTACGTATGAATGAGACCATGCAGTGTTTGTCTTTCTGTGCCAGGCTTATTTCACTTAATATAATGTCCTCCATGTTCATCTATGTTGTCTTGGATGACAGGATTCCCTTATTTTTTTATATGTCAATTAGCTAGATTTAGTTATTCCACAATGTATATATACTTCAAAACATCATGTTGTACACAAGAAATACATGCAGTTCAAAGTGTCAATCTAAAAAGTAAAAAAAAAAAATTGTGTTGTTCAATGTGATGTTTACACAAATTTTTTAATGGTTTAAGTGACAGTTTTGTACATCAGCTTTAAACATTTTTCTTTTCCTTTTTTTTTTTTTTGAGGCAGAGTCTCGCTTTGTCGTCCAGGCTGGAGTGCAGTGGCTCCATCTCGGCTCACGGCAAGCTCCGCCTCCCGGGTTCATGCCATTCTCCTGCCTCAGCCTCCCGAGTACCTGGGACTACAGGCGCCCACCACCACGCCTGGCTAATTTTTTGTATTTTTAGTAGAGATGGGGTTTCACCGTGTTAGCCAGGATGGTGTCGATCTCCTGACCTTGTGATCCGCCTGCCTCAGTCTCCCAAAGTGCTGGGATTACAGGTTTGAGCCACCGCGCCCGGCCTAAACATTTTTCAAGCTACAAATCTTATAGTAGAACTTTGGGTATTTTTTCTCCCTTTATTTCTGTGTTTGAGCAGAAGCGTAATTATATCTTGAGGAAAATCTTCTGTAAAAACGATTCAAGAACCTTTTTTTTGAGACAGAGTTTCACTCTTTTTGCCCAGGCTGGAGTGCACTGGTGCAATCTCGACTCACTGCAATCTCTGCTCACTGCAACCTCCGCCTCCCAGATCAAGCGATTCTCCTGTCTCAGCCTCCTGAGTAGCTGGGATTACAGGCGCCTGCCACCACGCCCAGCTAATTTTTTGTATTTTTAGCAGAGACGGAGTTTCGCCATGCTGGGCAGGCTGATCTCCGACTCCTGACCTCAGGTGATCCGCCTGCCTCAGCCCCGCAAAGTGCTGGGATTACAGATGTAAGCCACCATGCCCGGCTCAAGAGCCTTTAAAATTTCATGTTATTTGATCTACTGATTGTACTTATAGGAAGACTTGTAGAGGAAAAATTAGACACGCAAAGAGTTACAAATGTTTTCCAAGTTTTAGTAGTAACATGAAAAATAAATATAACTTAGAGTCCAAAAATTGGGAATTACTTTTTTTTTTTGAGACTGAGTTTCACTTTTGTTGCCCAGGCTGGAGTGCAATGGTGCCATCTTGGCTCACTGCAACCTCTGCCTCTCAGGTTCAAGCGATTCTCCTGCCTCAGCCTCCCAAGTTGCTGGGATTACAGGCGTCCACCACCACACCCAGCTCATTTTTGTATTTTTAGTAGAGATGGGGTTTCACCATGTTGGCTAGGCCGGTCTTGAACTCCTGACTTCAGGTGATCTGCCCACCTTGGCCTCCCAAAGTATTGGGATTACAGGCATGAGCCACTGTGCCTGGCCCAAAAATTGGGAAATTCTTATGAAGTGTTTGCATTAGAAGGAATATGACACAATGACTAAAGTCACATTTCGGCAGACTACAGCCCAGCTTGGGAAAATGCTTACGATGACATGTTTACAAATAAAAGTCAGGATATACATCTATATTCATTTTTATAAAAGCAGATAATAGCTGCACAACAATGGTAAAAGCTAAACATTTGATGAAGGAACAAAAGACTTGGTGAAGCAAAAGCAAAAAGTAAGCATTGTGCCTCCTTGGGCTTTTTGGATAGATAATTAGAACGTTGCCATATGTTATAATATGTTCTTTTAGAAGAGAAGAATATGTAAGAATTAAACTAGCAAAAAAATAGACGAATAATTAGTAATATTGCAGTTCTGGAATTCTTGGGCAAAACCATGAACAATTTCTCATAGATTATTGAATAAATAAATAAATATGAAGTATTAGTCTTAAATCCAAATTACAAATGTCACCAGCAGAAAAAATCAACACCAGATACTGGCAAATATTAAAATTGCACATAAAAAATTTTTGTTAGAGATTTTCTGAAACTGAGGGAGGGGGGAAGAAAAAAAAAGAGATTTTCCAGAACTGAAGGAAGAATTGTGATTTTTCTGTAAGTCTTGACTTTGTAGAAATTGGCAACAAAAGGTGAACTCTGAATTTCTAGAGTTTTCCACAAAGACTCAGTTTCTTTTAAAATGTGTCTTCAGTTTTCTGTTGATGTAAGAGAATACTACAAACTACATAATTTATAAAGAACAGGAGTGTATTTGGCTCTCGTTTCTGGAGGCTGAGAAGTCCAAGAGAATGGCACCAGCATCTGGCAAGAGTCATGCCATGGTATAAGGGCATCCCACTGTGAGAGAGAGAGAAAACGGGGGCCAAACTTATCCTTTTGTCAGGAGCCCACTCCTGTGATAACAGCATTAGTCCATTCATGAGAGTGGAGATTTCATGGCCTAGTCATCTCTTAAAGGCCTTACCTCTTAATCGTGTTACAATGGCAATTAAGTTTCAAAACAGAAATTTTTGGGGGATACATTCAAACAACAGCAGGTGGGAAATAAACTTTTTCATGATCAGGTTTTAAAAAAGTTTATCCCCCAACTAACTGGAAGGATTAGTTTTATTTTATTTGTAGACCCTTAAATAGCAGGGCCAGTCTTCCAAGCCTTTTCTTTCCCTGAACAGTGGGCAGGAGCTCAGAGGGGAGCATTCACAGGGTGCGCGTGGGGAGAATGGATGTGGGAGAGTTGTCAAGGTGCCCCACCTGAGCAAAAACTCCATAGCACGGGAGAAAGCAGAGGAAACGCCCACCTTCTCAGAGCCAGAGTGACAGGAGCAGACTGTAAACCAATGGACTCTTCTGGAATGATCTGGGTCATCTGTGCTATCTGAGTAGAGGGGATGCTACCTGTGCTGGTGATACTCTGTTCTTCCCCACCCAACCTCTCAGTCCACTCTCCACCCTCTGTTTTTCTGCTCTGTGCTTTGGGATGCCGCCTCCTGCGGACATTGCCCTCCTGCTCTCATGCCCTTGGATTTCCCAAAGGGTTGGTCAAGGGGAAGCACTGACTGATAGGGGGTCAGAGAGTGGGAGGGGAGGGAAGTTGGGTATGTATTTTTCTTTCTTTCTCCCTGCTTTGGCATGGTTCTGGCAGGGAATGCACCCTCTATGCGTAGATTCTTCTAGAACTCTAGCTTTCACCCAGGCTCTGGTAACACCATTGCCTGGGAGGATAAAGCTTCCCACGGTACCTCAGTATACCCTCTGTGTCCCTTAACTCTGCCCAGTCTGTGTAATCAATCATTCCCTTCATTTAAAAGTGTCTTCAAAAATCCCACATGACTGAATCACTGGCGTAAACCCCGAGTGAAAGCACTTGGTTCCATCTGAAGAGACTTCTAAAGGGCATGATCACATCACTCACAAGTGGATCAGCTTGCATTGATGGCACCACTTCTATGCTAGAAAGAAACTCGGCCATTAAGGAAAAAATCTTCAAAGCATGATTGTTCTTTGTATGCTTGGCTGTTGTCTACCTGCCTTTGCCTGCTTTAAAACTAAAGGATATTCTGGGAAACTGTGGGAGCTGTCATATCACAGGACTTGCTCTAAACCAATGATCCTTTGTGCTTTCTCTTTAGAAATTGGTACCAAGCAAGCAATCTTTCTTTCTTATAGAGAAGCAATGGAGCTTCTCCATGCAGCAATGCTGCCTCTCAACTAAGCAAAAATGGAAATTATGTCTTCAAAAATAGGGCATTTATTCCTTCTCTACAGCATGCAGCACATTCATTTAGACACCTAAAATAAACTCAATGTATCTATGCAGAGCTAAGATGACCAGAGTGAAAAACAGCGAGAAGCTGTTTTTATTGGAAAACATTCTGATTTCTATGAAGCATATTGAAAAGAAATTTTATTAACTGCTTCTCTAGGAAAAAAAATGTTATTTCAGGAAAGGAAGGAATGAGAAACTAGCTTAATTGCAGTGGAATGATGTTTGGACCTCTGAATGCCTCTTTATGTAGGAATCTTAATTTAGCCAAAATTCCCACAAACAAAATTTTACCATTACTATCAATGACAACAAATACTGGATGTATTAATTTAACCATGGATTCTCTAAGGACAGTGATTTGATAAAAGGGTAGCTCACTGAATTTTGAGCCAACAGTCAAATTTAAATGGAGTTTGAAATAACAAAACTGGAGATTTTTTCATGTATTTAATTACACTTTTATTGACTATAAAGGAAAAGCCTAGAGATTTTGGTGACATTTGAGATAATAAAAAAGATTTTTCATGATCGCTATAGTTTGAATGTGTCCCCCAAAATTCAAGTGTTGGACACAATTCCATAAAACAGTATTGAGAGGTGGGACCATTTAGAGGTGATTAGGCCATGAGGGACCTGCCTTCATGAAAGGATTAATGTTATTATTGAGGGAGTGGATTCACTGTTGCCAGAGTGGGCTTGTGATGGATGTGAATTGAGCTTGCCATCACCCTCTCTGGCCCTTCTGCCTTCCACCACGGGATGACACAGCAGGAAGGCCTTTGACAAATGCCAGCAGCATGCTCTTGGACTTCCCGACCTCCAGAACTGTAAACCAAATACATACCTGTTTATTATAGATTACCCAGTCTGTGTGTTCTGTTATAGCCACCCAAATGAACTAAGACAACCACTTTTAAGTGTCAAAGGTCAGAAACTACTAAAATTCAAGTAATGATGTGTAACTTTAGTTTGTTTTTTGAATAATATATAATAAAAGCCAAAACAGCAATCTCTTAAGCTAAAAAGGAAAATATCTCGGCTGAGTGGGCAATGTGTGTCCTCTCAGGACCCTGACTCATACAGCCCTCAATTGGTACTTCCATTTTGGCTGCATGAGGCACTGAAGCAGATTCAATATGATGTACAGAAGAAAAACAAATGTACTATTCACAATAATCCATTCCAAATAAAATATTTTCCATGAAATAAAAATGAAAACAAAGAGATGGAAACACTTTATGTGTTACATAAATTATCAATGAAAATAGATCAATGGATTTTGCTTTGGTAAATGTTTTCTGAAGTAAAATTTATCAATAGTTATATAATTTTCAATAAGATGTTTGTGTTCATAATCACAGAGTCAAAAATCCATCAGGCTGGAAAATAGTGGTATCAAAATGTGCTGTATCTATACAGAGGTTAACATAAAACCTTACTTTTCTGAACTCCGTGCCATCCTACCGTTTCTACCATTAGAAATGTGAATAAAGCCAAGAGCAGCGCATACAGAGATACTGGGCTCACCCGGTGTATTAGCCCATTTTGTGTTGCCATAAAGGAACACCTGAGGCTGGCTAATTTATAAGCCATGTTTATTTGGCTCATGGTTCTGCAGGTTGTACAAGAAGCATGGAAGGCCAGGCACAGTGGCTCATGCCTGTAGTCTCAGCACTTTGGGAGGCCGAGGCAGGTGGATTACTTGAGGTAAAGAGTTTCAGACCTGCCTGGTCAACGTAGGTGAAACCCAGTCTCTGCAAAAAATACAAAAATAGCTGGGCATGGTAGTGTGTGCCTGTGATTCCAGCTACTTGGGAGGCTGAGACATGAGAATTACTTAAACCTGGCAGGGAGAGGTTGCAGTGAGCTGAGATCAGGCTACTGCACCCTAGCCTAGGTGACAGAGTGAGACTCTGTATCAAAAACAAACACAAAAACAAAAACAGCAACAACAAAGAAAGAAGAAGCATGGCACCAGCATCTGCTTCTGGTGAGGCCTCAGGTAGCTTCCAGTCATGGGAGAAGGCAAATGGGGAGTAAGTATGTCACATGGTGAGGAGGGAGCAAGAGAGAGAGGAAGAGGTGACAGGATCCTTTAAACAACAGCTCTCATGTGAACTAACAGAGCCCAAACTCACTTGCTATCATAGGGAGGGAGGATACTAAGCCATTCATGAGAGATCTGCCCTCATGGCCCAAACACCTCCCACCAGGCCCCACCTCCAACATTGGGGATCATATTTCAATATGAGATTTGGAAGGGACAACTATCCAAACTGTATCACCCAGTGGTAAAGATTTTAGAATGGGCCACCATTAGTACACAAATAGGTACAGAGTATGGAGGAAAAGATGAGCTATGTTGTACTGAATTGAACTCTAACGTGGGCAAAGAGTGTAGCAAGGAGGTTGGTTAAGTATGTGTTAAGAAAATGTGTTAAAATGTATTTAAATTTTTACAAAATGTGTTAAGAGTGTTAACACTAAGTGGAAAACTTGGGTAGAAAATACTAGAAATAAAGTTGCATCTGTTTTATAGTGGCAAAGAAAGAAGGTTGCCCTGTCACATTAAAGACAAAGTGCCAGATTTGAGCAGTCTGAGGCTCTGTATACCAACCAGTCCGTGTCCTGTCTGAGGAAGGCTATTCTTCGAGAGCCACAGGACCAGCTGATGAGGTCAGGGTATATATTGGCCTCCAGGACCATCCTTCCAAAGCCTGGCTAGCAGTCCTTGGCCTGGCAATCAACGATGAGGCATGCCAATCTGATTATATCCCAGTGATGTTGAAATTCAGACAGAAACTCAGTTTCTTGGGGAAATTGGACTAAGATTCATTTATTCTTGGGTGCTGAAATGGCCATTTTTAGGCATTCGGAAGTGGAAGAAGCAGAGATAACTGTGGTGGAAGGCACAGAAAGCAGCAAGTAGAGGCGAGGAAATCCCTCAGGCAGGGGAGAGAGCATTGCCCTGGTCTGCCTCCCTGGTTTTCCTTTCTACTCGTTGTGTGTTCCATATGTATTTCCCTTTGTTTCCACTCACATCTATGGATAGCCTGTTTATTAACTCCACCCACTTCCTCTACATGCTGAGCATGAACAGGTCTCTGTCACTATCGGTAGGATTTTCAAATAAATCTATTGACATGGATTGGATTCAAATCCGCTTGTGCATTATCTATGACATCCAGAGATCTAGGCATCATGGTAGGAACTTCTGCAGGATTGCTCATTAGCTTAGCAATATTCTCCCACACACCAGATTGAGATTTGTGCCTTGCAGGGGTGCAAACTGGAGTTACCGAGGAAGAGCTGAAATTGCAAATGTTTACCCCATGAATGCCAAGATTTCAGTGTGCATGTGTGCGTGTGTATATTTATGTACATATGTATTATACTCAGTGTTATAATACAGTAGGTTTCACTAGTGGAAGGATTGTTGTCAATTTGAATTTTTTATTTCTTAAGCTTTTGATAGTCAGCATGTATTATTATTATATTTTAAAAAACAACTGCTACCTTATTCAAGAAAAAAGTAGGTGAGCCTGAATTGGAAGATCTATGCAATTAATGTATAGAGCCTGGGTTGATTAAGAAAATGTGCATCTGTAATTTATACAAGCTGTGCCAATAATTTTACCATGAGGTCTGCATACAATGTCACATAATAGCTCTGCTTGTCAATGCCTGTGTGTATGTTCTCCTGGGGAGAAATCGTGGGAGAGTAGAAATGGAAGAGAAGGCAACAGCAGGAGCTGACTTCTTGGAGGAGTCCTTCCCTCTAACTGTGGCGGAGCCAAATGTCAAGGGCCTCTGTTCGTGGAGGACAGGTGCTTGCTGGCTCACTTTCCTCTAGTGAGCGCCTTTTTTTAGACTGATGTTGGAATGCTACGTATTTCAGAGTTAGCATAAAATAATGAAAATTACCATCACAGCGAATGCTCCCTGATCTTGGGGACCAGAAACTCTCCTGTATGAGCTCCATGTTTAAAATAACATGACCTCCCCCTATGCCAGGTTGTTTATCTGGAAAAACTCCCTCTTCCCCAGCTTGTGTTATGCTTTGTAAATCAGGTCCAGAGGAAAATAATATTTGGAAATATTTTATTCTCAGATCTGACTTTCTTGGCTCACACTCGGTGGCAGACCCAGAACAGATGTCCTGTGGGCCCTTGGCCAATGGCTTCATGGCTGGCCGTCTGTGAGTCCTTACATCTTGGCTGAGGTGACAGCCACCTGACGTTTGTTTTAGCAGGACAGTTTGGCATGAAGGAAAACTCACTAACTACTGTTTCACATTAAATTTTCAAACAACTTGGAGTTTCATACGTGACTATTGTTTCTTGGCCACCAGTCTAAGAAAAGACAATAACGGAAAGAGGAATGAATTGCTTTTCTTAGCAACAAAACCAATCAATATTGGAAGCCCAGGCCACCCTCCTTTCACTTTGTTTCCTGGTAAAGTGAGAGGAGAGGGATCTGGGTTTGTGGGTATAGGACCCACAAACTATTCTTATTGCTCAAAGAGTGCCTTAGCGTCCTTAGATGCCTACTGATCATGGGTCTCTGGAATTTGCTGCCAATACTGTGGGGAGCCAGAGTCTGCATCCTGCTGTGGGTGCTGAATTCCTGCCACTGCCCCCCAGTAGTGCCCTGTATGTACCTCCTACTCTGGCAAGACCACCGGCCTTAGCAAAACACCAGGCCAGGATGCTCCTGCTGCATTTCCCTGCAGCATCACTTGACTGGAGCTCTGTTCAGCAACTGTACACAGGCTGAGTCAGCTTGACCCGTTTCCCTCAGAAATAGCTCATACTTTGGAATTCTGGAGAGTACAGTATCACAGTCACTAATATAGCAGAGTTGGATGTGTCCCAGGGGCCAGAGAGGGCCAAGTACGTGTGGTTTCCTCAGCTTGCCAAGTGCCGGCCAATCTGTTTACTCCATAACTGTGCTCCTGCTTTCTGCCAATCATGGCAGAAAATAGTATGTTCTGCTGGCAGTTTTGATCCACATTGGCTGACAGAAAGCATTGCAGTGATGTTGCCAAAGGTACTACAGGGTGAAAATGCTGGGGCGACTTGAAATGCAGGTTTTGTGTGATCTTAACAAGTTTATGTGAAATCAGAAATTTGGATGACTAGAAGTCCTTTAACATTTGAGAGGGATTCTTATCCATCATTCAGCTGGCGGAGTGACCATCAATTGGTGGACGTAAATGGAAGGAGCAGTGGGAATGTGCTTCACTGCTGCAGGGATCTGATGCAAAGGAGGTTTTGGGGATGCACCCGTGTTCTCATGACCGAGGGGGCTCCTAGCACCGAGTCATGAGGCCTCTCACTCCCAGCAGAAAAGCTTTTCGCCCTAATGGACAGTGCCAGGACTCACAGCATGGCCATTGTTCTGAAACTCCAGCTCTGCCACGTGTCACCTCTCCCTGCTGCCCACCTGGCCGCAGGTGAGCACCATCTCCTTGAGCATGGCCAGCCCCAGCAGCCTTCTCAAGGACTCTTTAGACCAGTGGCCCTGCTTCCTTTCTTCCTCTCTTCCTTTCACACTCCACAACAGGATTTTAAAATGCTCTTGAATACCTTCAGGTTGCCATTTAATATTTTAAAATTTAGGTTTAAATAGGTACTACAAAGGAGGGAATATCTTACATAGTATAGATATCGGCATTATGATCCATGGTCTCTAATCCGTGAGTCAAATAAATGTATTGTTCATCTTCCAATGTGGTATTATTTTATTATTTTGTGGCATAATTTTATTTGTTATTTGTTTTAGATTTATTTGTATTTTTGTCAAATAATGTGAATGATATAATATCAATCCTTTGAATGTTGTTGGAATTTGCTTTCTGGCTTTTATTTCCTTTACATTTAAAGAAACAGACTTAGTTTACATTTTCTCAGATGTTACAAATGTACTTAAAAAGAATGTATTTTTTAGGCAAATCCATAGAAACAGAAAGTATTAATAGATCGGTGATTGCCAGGGGCAGGGTGCGGGTGGGGTGAGAAGGGAACAGAGAATGACTGCTAATGGGTATGGGTTTCTTTTGGGAGTTGCAAAATGTTCTGGAATTGGATAGCACAACTTTCTGAATACATAAAAAACATTTTTAAAAGCATGAATTTTATGGTATGTGAATTATTTTTCAATTAAAAATGTATTTTCTTCAATTATTGATGCAAGCTTGTTAATTATGTTTTTTTCCTCTGTCCCAAGAAACAGGAGAAAATGTTAATTAAGTTTTAAGTATTCTATATCTTTCTAATTTTATGTCTCCTTCATCTATTAAATATGTTTAAATTGATGGTCTTGACAACATTGAAAAAGAAACTGGCTGGGTGCGGTGGCTCACCCCTGTAATCCCAGCACTTTGGGAGGCCGAGGCAGGCGGATCACCTGAGGTCAGAAGTTGGATAGCAGGCTGGCCAACATGGTGAAACCCCATCTCTACTAAAAATACAAAAAAAAAAAAAGAAAAAAAATGCTGAGCATCGTGGCGGATGCCTGTAATCCCAGCTACTCGGGAGGCTGAGGCAGGAGAATTGCTTGAACCCAGGAGGCAGAGGTTGCAGTGAGCCGAGATCGCAAGATGCTGTCTCAAAAAACAAAAACAAACAAACAAAAAACTTAATTACTATTGGAGAATGCTAGTGAATCAACTCGTTTTTTTGAAAAGTGGCACGTTAAAAAGTGGTACATAAATGAAAGAATCAAACCTTTAACTTAACTTCGTTCTGTGTACTACAGCAATGGGCAACCCAGACAGCAAAAGAGAACATTTTCTTTTTGTGGATGTATGTCAGCTAATAGATGAAAAATGAGGCCAGGCACGGTGGCTCACTCCTATGATCCCAACACTTTGGGAGGCTGAGGTAGGTGGGTCACCTGAGGTCAGGAGTTCGAGACCAGCCTGGACAACATGGTAAAACCCTGTCCCTACTAAAAATACAAAAATTAGCTGGGTGTGGTGGCACATGTACCTGTAATCCCAGCTACTTGGGAGGCTGAGGTGGGAGAATCGCCTGAACCTGGGAAGCGGAGTTTGTAGTGAACTGAGATCATGCCACTGCACGCCAGCCTGGGCGACAGAGAAAGAAAAAGGAAAGACTGGATTAGAATGTTACCTTTTCATGACCAGTAATGCCAGTAATGAATTAAGATAGCTAGGCTTTGGATATTAATGGTAGATAACTTCATATATATATATATATATAGAGAGAGAGAGAGAGAGAGAGAGAGAAAGAGAAAGAGAGAGTCCTACATTATATGTTCCTCCTGGAAGTACACAGCAACACCTATGAAGAAGTTTGCAAAAAGGTGGATCAAGTCTTCAATTACCAATTTGCAGAAAATAACAGAAGACAGAGAAATATGTTAAATGACACCTCAGTGATTCAATCAGATAAATCCATACTAAGGTGAACATGACACCATGAAAGACTTGGTTTCTTCAATAAGTAAATGTCAAAGAAAAACAATATGAAGGGGAACCTTATAGATTTAATAGACATATTAACCAATCTGAACATGTGAACCTTATTTGGACCCTAATTCAAACAAATTTAAAAATATTTATGACATTTATAGATAATTGGTCACCTAAATACTGATTGGATATTTGATGCTACTGAGGAAATTAATTCTTTCTAAGGTGTGATATTGGTAACATGACTACATTGTAAAAAAGTGCCCTTATCTTTTTATTTTATTTTATTTTTTAATGCTTTAAAAATTTATTTACTTATTTATTGTAAGTTCAGAGGTACATGTGTAGGATGTGCAAGTTCATACATAGGTAAACATGTGCCATGGTGGTTTGCTGCACAGATCATCCCATCGCCTAGGTATTAAGCCTGGCATCCATTAGCTATTCTTCCTGATGCTCTCCCTCCTCCCACCCCCCACTCTCCAACAGGCTTCAGTGTGTGTTTTTCCCCTCCATGTATCCATGTGTTCTCATCATTCAGCTCCCACTTATAAGTAAGAACATGGGGTATTTGATTTTCTGTTCCTGCATTAGTTGGCTGAGGATAATGGCCTCCAGCTCCAGTCATATCCCTGCAAAGGACATGATCTCATTCCTTTTAATGGCTGCATAGTATTCCATGGTATATATGTACCACATTTTTTTTAATCCAGTCTATCATTGATGGGTATTTGGGTTGATTCCATGTCTTTGCTATTGTGAATAGTGCTGCAATAAACATACATATGTCTTTATAGTAAAATGATTTATATTTCTTTGGGTATATACCCAGTAATGGGATTATTGGGTCAAATGGTATTTCTGTCTCTAGGTCTTTGAGGAATCACCACACTGTCTTCCACATAGGTTGAAATAATTTACATGCCACCAAGAGTGTAAAAGCATCCCTTTTTCTCTACAACCTTGTCAGTATCTGTGTTTTTTTTTTTTTTTTTGGCTTTTTAATAATAGCCATTTTGGCTGGTGTGAGATGGTATCTCGTTGTGGTTTTGATTTTCATTTCTTGAATTATCAGTGATGTTGAGCTTTTTTTTATGTTTGTTGGCCGCATGAATATCTTCTTTTAAGAAGTGTCTGTTCATGTCCTTTGCCCACTTTGTAATGGAGCTGTTTGTTTTTTTCTTATACGTTTGTTTAAGTTCCTTGTAGACTCTGAATATTAGACCTTTGTCAGATGGATAGATTGCAAAAATTTTCTCCCACTCTGTAGGTTGTCTGTTCACTCTGATGATAGTTTCTTTTGCTGTGCAGAAGCTCTTTAGTTTAATTAGATCCCATTTGTCAATTTTTGCTTTCATTTAATTGCATTTGGCATTTTTGTCATGAAATCTTTGCCTGTGCCTATGTCCCAAATGGTATTGCCTAGATTTTCTTCTAGGATTTTTATAGTCTTGGGTTTTGCACGTAAGTCTTTAATCCATCTTGAGTTAATTTTTGTATATAGTGTAAGGAAGGGATCCAGTTTCAATTTTCTGCATATGGCTAGCCAATTCTGCCAGCACCACTTACTGAATAGGGAATCCTTTCCCCATTGCTTGTTTTTGTCAGGTTTGTTGAAGATCAGCTGGTTGTAGGTATGTGGTCTTATTTCTGGGTTCTCTATTCTGTTCCATTGGTCTATGTGTCTGTTCTTGTACCAGTACCATGCTGTTTTGGTTACTGGAGACTTGTAGTGTAGTTTGAAGTCAGGTAGTGTGATGCCTCCAGCTTTGTTCTTTTTGCTTAGGATTGTCTTCACTATTCAGGCTCTTTTTTTTTAGGTCCATATGGATTTTAAAATAGTTTTCTTCTAATTCTGTGAAGAATGTCAATGGTAGTTTAATGGGGATAGCATTGAATCTATAAATTGCTTTGGGCAGTATGGCCATTTTCACCATATTGATTCTTCCTATCCATGAACATGGAATGTTTTTCCATTTGTTTGTGTCCTCTCTGATTTCTTTGAGCAGTGGTTTGTAGTTCTCCTTGAAGAGATCCTTCACTTCCCTTGTTAGCTGTATTCCTAGGTATTTTATTTTTTTTGTCAAAAGTGCCCTTAATCTTTCAGAGTTCATACTAAACCGTTTCTGGATGAAGTGACATAATGGTTGGGATTTGCTTTAAGACAGTATGGAAGAGGGTAGAATGAGTGATGAAATAAGCTTGGCTATGGGTTGCTAATTGTAGTTCAGTGATGGGTGCGTGAGGGCTCACTATACTCTTTTCTCTATTTGTGTTTAAGCTTTTTTTTTTTTTTTTTTTGAGATGGAGTCTCACTCTGTCACCCAGGCTGGAGTGCAGTGGCATGATCTCAACTCACTGCAACCTCTGCCTCCTGCCTCAGCCTCGCGAGTAGCTGGGATTACAGGTGCCCACCACCAAACCCAGGTAATTTTTGTATTTTTAGTAGAGATGACGTTTCACCATGTTGGCCAGGCTAGTCCCAAACTCCTCACCTCAGGTGATCCACCCGTCTTGGCCTCCCAAAGTGCTGGGATTACAGGTGTGAGCCACTGCACCCAGCATGTTTAAGCTTTTTAATAATCCTTATTTGAAATGGGAAATGGAAAGCATTTGATAGGGATCTTTTTTTTGAGACGGAGCCTTGCTGTGTGTCACCCAGGCTGGAGTGCAGTGGCGGAATTGTGGCTCGCTGCAATCTCCACCTCCAAAGTTCACATGATTCTCCTGCCTCAGCCTCCTGAGTAGCTGGGACTACAGGTGTGGGCCACCACCCCTAGCTAGTTTTTGTATTTTTAGTAGAGATGGGGTTTCACCATGTTAGCCAGGCTGGTCTCAAACTCCTGACATCAAGTGATCTGCCTGCCTTGGCCTCCCAAAATGCTGGTATTACAGGCATGAGCCACCACGCCTGGCCACTGTTAGGGATCTTACTACTATTCTTTGGCTTGATCTTCAGTATCCTTGGTACCTCTGTTTCTATATTATAAAAAGAGGGATAATAGTTAACCCACTTATCATGCATTGCTGCTTCGAGTCATGTGCTTTATTTATGTGATAATGGCCTGTAAGAGCCCTGAGCCATCTGCAGCAGGGCAGCAGGTAATTTCCATGCCTATTCAGACTTTTCTTTCTTTCTTTCTCTCTTTTTTTTTTTTTTTTGAGACAGAGTTTCACTCTTGTTGCCTAGGCTGGAGTGCAATGGTGCACTCTTGGCTCATTGCAACCTCTGCCTCCCGGGTTCAAGTGATTCTCCTGCCTCAGCTTCCCAAGTAGCTGGGATTACAGGCATGTGCCACCATGCCTGGCTAATTTTGTAATTTTAGTAGAGACGGGGTTTCTCCATGTTTGTCAGGCTAGTCTCGATCTCCCGACTTCAGGTGATCCGCCTGCCTCGGCCTTCCAAAGTGCTGGGATTACAGGCATGAGCCACCACGCTCGGCCCCTATTCAGACTTTTCTAGGGAGTGACTGAAGAGGACGTCCTATGGAGGGTGCCTGGCTAGGGTCTGGATGCCAGCTTTTGGGACGGACTCTTCAGGGGCAGCTCTGATGATCCTGCCCATGTCTGCTTTTCACATCCCTGCCTCTCTCTCCTCCCAGCAAGACCAAATGTAGTTGAGAAAAGCTTCCCTTTTAGGGGATATCACCACCAATCCCACAGAAATACGAACTACCATCAGAGAATACTATAAACACCTCTATACAAATAAACTAAAAATCTAGAAGAAATGGATAAATTCCTGGACACATATACCTTCCCAAGACTAAACCAGGAAGAAGTTGAACCTCTGAATAGACTAATAACAGGCTCTAAAATTGAGGCAATAATTAATAGCCTACCAACCAAAAAAAGTCCAAGACCAGACAGATTCACAGCCGAATTCTACCAGAGGTACAAAGAGGAGCTAGTACCATTCCTTCTGAAACTATTCCAATCAATAAAAAAAGAGGGAATCCTCCCTAACTCATTTTATGAGGCCAACATCATCCTGATACCAAAGCCTGGCAGAGACAGAATAAAAAAAGAGAATTTTAGACCAATATCCCTGATGAACATTGATGCAAAAATCCTCAACAAAATACTAGCAAACTGAATCCAGCAGCACATCAAAAAGTTTATCCACCATAATCAAGTGTCAGCTTCATCCCTGGGATGCAAGGCTGGTTCAACATATGCAAATCAATAAACGTAATCCATCACATAAACAGAACCAATGACAAAAACCACATGATTATCTCAATAGATGCAGAAAAGGCCTTCGATAAAATTCAACAGTGCTTCATGCTAAAAACTCTCAATAAACTAGGTATTGATGGAACATATCTCAAAATAATAAGAGCTATTTATGACAAACCCACAGCCAATATCATACGGAATGGGCAAAAACTGGAAGCATTCCCTTTAAAAACCAGCACAAGACAAGGATGCCCTCTCTTACCACTCCTATTCAACATAGTGTTGGAAGTTCTGGCCAGGGCAATCAGGCAAGAGAAAGAAATAAAGGGTATTCAAATAGGAAATGAGGAAGTCAAATTGTCCCTGTTTGCAGATGACATGATTGTATATTTAGAAAACCCCATTGACTCAGCCCAAAATCTCCTTAAGGTGATAAGCGACTTTAGCAAAGTCTCAGGATACAAAATCAATGTGCAAAAATCACAAGCATTCCTATACACCAATACAGACAAACAGAGAGCCAAATCATGAGTGAACTCCTATTCACAATTGCTACAAAGAGAATAAAATACCTAGGAATACAACTTACAAGGGATGTGAAGGACCTCTTCAAGGAGAACTACAAACCACTGCTCAACGAAATAAAAGAGGACACAAACAAATGGAAGAATATTCCATGCTCATGGATAGGAAGAATCAATATTGTGAAAATTGCCATACTCCCCAAAGTAATTTATAGATTCAGTGCCATCCCCATCAAGCTACCAATGACTTTCTTCACAGAATTGGAAAAAACTACTTTATAAGTTCATATGGAACCAAAAAAGAGCCTGCATTGCCAAGTCCATCCTAAGCAAAAAGAACAAAGGTGGAGGCATCATGCTACCTGACTTCAAACTGTACTACAAGGCTACAGTAACCAAAACAGCATGGTACTTGTACCAAAACAGAGATATAGATCAATGGAACAGAACAGAGGCCTCAGAAATAACACCACACATCTACAACCGTCTGATCTTTGACAAACCTGACAAAAACAAGAAATGGGGAAAGGATTCCCTATTTAATAAATGGTGCTGGGAAAACTGGCTGGCCATACGTAGAAAGCTGAAACTGGATCCCTTCCTTACACCTTGTACAAAAATTAATTCAAGATGGATTAAAGACTTAAATGTTAGACCTAAAACCATAAAAACCCTAGAAGAAAACCTAGGCAATACCATTCAGGGCATAGGCATGGGCAAGGACTTCATGACTAAAACACCAAAGCAATGGCAACAAAAGCCACAATAGACAAATGGGATCTAATTAAACTAAAGAGCTTCTGCACAGCAAAAGAAGCCACCAGCAGAGTGAACAGGCAACCTACAGAATGGGAGAAAATTTTTACAATCTACCCATCTGACAAAGGGCTAATATCCAGAATCTATAAAGAACTCAAACAAATTTACAAGAAAAACCCATCAAAAAGTGGGCAAAGGATATGAACAAACACTTCTCAAAAGAAGATCTATACAGCCAACAGACACATGAAAAAATGCTCATCATCACTGGTCATCAGAGAAATGCAAATCAGAACCACAATGAGATACCATCTCACACCAGTTAGAATGGCGATCATTAAAAAGTCAGGAAACAACAGGTGCTGGAGAGGATGTGGAGAAATAGGAATGATTTTACACTGTTGGTGGGACTGTAAACTAGTTCAACCATTGTGGAAGACAATGTGGCGATTCCTCAAGGATCTAGAACTAGAATTACCATTGACCCAGCCATCCCATTACTGGGTATATACCCAAAGGATTATAAATCATGCTACTATAAAGACACATGCACACGTATGTTTATTGAGGCACTATTCACAATAGCAAAGACTTGGCACCAACCCAAATGTCCATCAATGATAGACTGGATTAAGAAAATGTGGCACATGTACACCATGGAATACTATGCAGCCATAAAAAAGGATGAGTTCATGTCCTTTGCAGGGACATGGATGAAGCTGGAAACCATCATTCTCAGAAAACTATCACAAGGACAGAAACCAAACACCGCATGTTCTCACTCATAGGTAGGAATTGAACAATGAGATCACTTGGGCACAGGGCAGGGAACATCACACACCGGGGCCTGTCAGAGGAGGGGTCAGGGGCTGGGGGAGGGATAGCATTAGGAGAAATATCTAATATAAATGATGAGTTGATAGGTGCAGCAAACCAACACGGCACATGTATACCTGTGTAGCAAACCTGCACGTTGTGCACATGTACCCTAGAACTTAAAGTATATATATATAGTGGGACTGATTGAAATCAAGAGCCTCCTGATATGATGCACTGAAAACACAGCATCATCTACTTAGTATGATTGTCAAAAATATTGCACCTAAATCTAATCATGAGAAAACAATCCAATTTAACTTGGGGGACATTCAACAAAAAAATCGGCCTCAATTTTTGAAAAATGTCGATGTCATAGAACACAAACACAAAGCTGTAGAACTGTTCTGGATTAAAGGAGACTAAAAGAACATTAAAAACTAAGTGCAATTGATTAGATTTTTGGATAAACAGCAACAAAAAAGCTATGAAGGACATTACTTGGACAACAGGGTAATGTGAATATGGACTTAATTAGATAATCATATTAAACTTCTTTGGTATGATAATTTTACTGTGGTTATGTAGAAGAATATTTTTGTTCTTAGGAGGTTTATGCTGTATTATTTAGGAATATCTTGATATCTGTTATATATCTCTATTCAGGAGAAAAAGAAAACAAATGTGGCAATATAAAAAACTAATGTGCACAAGTATATATATAATATACATATATATAAAAAACATATTAAAAAATTCCCTTTTAGTTGCAGTGGCACTTCTTACCTGGGGTCCAGCCAGTTTCTGAGGCCTGAAAGGCTGAGGCAAGGGTCATCTGGTGGTTGGCTCAGCTCAGCACCTGAGCACATTTCAAAAAGCACCGCGCTCCCTCAACTGCTTTCTGGTTTCTCCAGCGCCTTTGTGATCGCTGACCCTACTGTTGTGATGATGTCACTTTAAAAAAGATGCCCTCACTGGGCGCAGTGGCTCATGCCTGTAATCCCAGCACTTTGGGAGGCTGAGGTGGGCGGATCACGAGGTCAGGAGATCGAGACCATCCTGGACAACATGGTGAAACTCCATCTCTACTAAAAATACAAAAATTAGCTGGGTGTGGTGGCGGGCACCTGTAATCCCAGCTACTCAGGAGGCTGGGGTAGGAGAATTGCTTGAATCCAGGAGTCGGAGATTGCCATGTGCTGAGATTGCGTCACTGCACTCCAACCTGGCAACAGAGTGAGACTACATCTCAAAATAAATAAAATAAAATAAATAAAAAGGATGCCTTTTTTATTTGGTCCCAGGGGCCACTTCAGGTTGAACTGGCATTGGCTCAGGACATAGTCTCCACACTATATTTGATGCATGTGGCAGGACAGCAGGGCTCCCAAAGGACAGCTCTTTGTGAGCAGCTGGACAGCCATCAGGGATCCGAATGAGCTGGAGGCGTGTGTATAAGTAAGGGGTTTGGCTTTTTCCTTAGGATTCAAGAACGGGGCAAGCGGGTAAGCTACAAGGTGAGACAAACCTCCCTGCCCTCATCCTGTTTGCTGTAAATTCCCCTCCAGCTGTGATAGGAAAGGTGATGCCCTGAGGACACCCTGTGGGGTGAGCCGGGGGAGGACGCTCAGGAGGAGGTGGCGTGGTGCCCAGGGCCTGACAATAGGAGCTGTCTTGCGCTTTCCTGCCAGGGCTCTGCTTCTGGCTGAGGAGGGCCCTTCATCACTGTCTGAGGACCACCTTCAGTGATACAGAATAAATGAGCCCAAACTGGCAACTGAGTCAATACATGAGCCAAAATTGAGCGCAACTTTATTCAACTACTTCAAATGCCTCATGGAACAAGGAAGGACCTGTTAAATACATGAATAAACACATTTAAAATATCCCTTTTAGGAAGCTGAAGGTCAACCTTCAGGCTGTTCTATACGAGGGTTGTTCTATACAAGATTTAGTAAATAAAAATACTGGACACCCAGTTGAATTTCTGATAAACAATGGGTAAGTTTTTTGTGTAAGTAGGTTTCATGCAATATTTGGAACATATTTATATTAAAAACTTATTTGCTGCTTATCTGGTATTTAAACATAACTGGATGGACTGTATTTTATCTGACACCCTACTTCTTATGTAATTTTTCAGCTTTTTCAACTTTCCAATTAAATTGTGACCAAGAGACAAGACAGGCAGCCTGTGAGCTGTGCGGTCTTTCAGGCTGATGAAAGGAATGGGATACACTTTTGCTAAGTAATGGCAGAGAGGAAGTTGCATTTTCTTCTTAGAAATTTTTTTTTCTTTTAGATGGAGTCTTGCTCTGACCCCAGGCTGGAGTGCAGTGGCGGGATCTCGGCTCACTGCAAGCTCCGCCTTCCGGGTTCACGCCGTTCTTCTGCCTCAGCCTCCCGAGTAGCTGGGACTACAGGTGCCCACCACCACGCCCGGCTAATTTTTTTGTATTTTTAGTAGAGATGGGGTTTCACCGTGTTAGCCAGGATGGTCTTGATCTCCTGACTGCGTGATCTGCCTGCCTTGGCCTCCCAAAGTGCTGGGATTACAGGCGTGAGCCACCACCCTCAGCCTCTTCTTAGAAGTTTTTATATTTTTTTATTAATTATTTTTTTTTAATTGAGACAGAGTCTTACTCCATGGCCCAGGCTGGAGTGCAGTGCATCTCTGCTCACTGCAATCTCTGCCTCCCTGCTCAAGTGATTCTCCTGCTTCAGCCTCCCCAGTAGCTGGGATTACAAGTGTGCACCACCATGACGGGCTAATTTTTGTGTTTTCAGTAGAAACGGGGTTTCACCATGTTGGCCATGCTGGTCTTGAACTCCTGACCTCAAATGATCTGCACTCCTTGGTCTCCCAAAGTGCTGGGATTACAGGCATGAGCCACCATGCTGGGCCTCTTCTTAGAAGTTTTTTTTTTTTTTTTGAGATGGTATCATGCTCTGTCATCTAGGCTGGAGTGCAATGGCGCGATCTTGGCTCACAGCAACCTCTGCCTCCTGGGTTCAAGCACTTCTCCTGCCTTAGCCTCCTGAATAGCTGGGATTACAGGAGCGCACCACCATACCCGGCTAATTTTTGTATTTTTGGAAGAGATGGGGTTTCACCATGTTGGTCAAGCTAGTCTTGAACTCATGACTTTGTGATCTGCCTGCCTCGGCCTCCCATAGTGCTGGGATTACAGGCATGAGCCACCGTGCCTGGCCTTCTTAGAAGTTTTGTAAGTTTTCCAATTGACCCGTTCCCTCTCCATTTCACACATGGCCAGCTTGTGCCATTTTACCAATTTATTTGGTCCCTGGAAACACAGTGAGCAGTGTCTACAACATTAAGAGGTTCCCGGGAGCCTCAGAATAGCACTGGCACCTAGATCCAGCTGCAGATGCTCTGACACCTGCACTAAATGGGCACAGAGAGAAATTGCAGCACCCCTGGAAGGCCCAGCAGGCACCTTTGACAACATGGTATGTGAGGCTCACCTGGAATAAGACCTCGTGGGCATGATGCTGTTGTGTGGCACCAGGCTGGGGAGCTGCTCAAACTGCTCCACTGCAGACAGGCAGATGAGATTGCTTGCCCCGCACCCAGGAAGGCTGCTGTCATCTCCAGGACTGTGCTACAAAGGGGTGGGCCAGACCCTCCATCCCATTTCTGGAACTTGGCTAGCTAGTTTCACAAGGAGATGTCAAGCCCCTGCCTGAAGGAAGTGACATTCCAGTCAGTAGTGTACCAGGGTGAGGTGTGGACGTATCTGGAAAATCTGAAATGTATTAAAGATCAGCACGAAATGCAGAACCCAGAGGATGGAAGAGGAAGATGTTCAAAGGATTGTGGCTGGGCCACACTTCCCTCCCTAACAAACAAGTGTTCCAGGAACTCAGGGTTTGCAGATGAGAGGCCGCTTCCTCCTGTTCCTCCAACTCTCCTTTCCTAACCTCGAATCAGTTGTATCTTGCCACCAAATCTAGACCTCACTTTGAATTCTCCGTTTCAGTGAATGATCCCATATTTGCTTGAACAAATGTTTATGTAAAACTCAGCCATGTCCTGGCACCGCGTTACCTGCTGCTTACGCCAGAGATCATCCTAGAGTGCCCCTCCCCTCTCCCCGCAACAAGCCGGCCTCGGTCCTGGGGAGCCTACCTCAGCATTGCTATGTCACCATCTGCATTCCCACGCTTAGTTGAGGCCCTCATTTCAGCTTCTTACATTCTCTGAATATATTTTGCTACTTCATGCTGCACAGATATTTTACATTTGCTTTTCTCTTTCCTTCTTTATTTTTACCCAGTTTATTTTAACTCAGCCTTTAAAAATCAGTCTAAGCTTCAGTTCCTTTGGGAAGCTGACTTTGACCTTCCCCTCCAATTTGATCTGGGTCCCTGTGTGTGTGTCCAACTTGTGAGCATAAAGTAACATCAAATCCATTACACTACAATGGTTAATGCACTGGCCAGTCTCTTCCTAGACTCTAGGGCCTTCCTTACCTTGGACCCCCCCACCTCCCTCCCGGACGGGGCGGCTGGCCGGGCGGGGGGCTGACCCCCCCACCTCCCTCCCCGACGGGGCGGCTGGCCGGGCGGGGGGCTGACCCCCCCCACCTCCCTCCTGGACGGGGCGGCTGGCCTGGCCGGGGCTGACCCCCACCTCTCTCCCGGACGGGGTGGCTGCTGGGCGGAGACGCTCCTCACTTCCCAGACGGGGTGGCTGCCGGTGGAGGGGCTCCTCACTTCTCAGACGGGGCGGCTGCCGGGTGGAGGGGCTCCTCACTTCTCAGACGGGGCAGTTGCCGGGCAGAGGGTCTCCTCACTTCTCAGACGGGGCGGCCGGGCAGAGACGCTCCTCACCTCCCAGACGGGGCGGCGGGGCAGAGGTGCTCCCCACATCTCAGACGATGGGCGGCCGGGCAGAGACGCTCCTCACTTCCTAGATGGGATGGCGGCCGGGAAGACGCGCTCCTCACTTCCTAGATGGGATGGCGGCCGGGCAGAGACGCTCCTCACTTTCCAGACTGGGCAGCCAGGCAGAGGGGCTCCTCACGTCCCAGACGACGGGTGGCCAGGCAGAGACGCTCCTCACTTCCCAGACGGGGTGGCGGCCGGGCAGAGGCTGCACTCCCGGCACTTTGGGAGGCCAAGGCAGGCGGCTGGGAGGTGGAGGTTGTAGCGAGCCGAGATCACGCCACCGCACTCCAGCCTGGGCACCATTGAGCACTGAGTGAACCAGACTCCGTCTGCAATCCCGGCACCTCGGGAGGCCGAGGCTGGCGGATCACTCGCGGTTAGGAGCTGGAGACCAGCCTGGCCAACACAGCAAAACCCCACCAAAAAAATACGAAAACCAGTCAGGCGTGGCGGCGCGCGCCTGCAATTGCAGGCACTCGGCAGGCTGAGGCAGGAGAATCAGGCAGGGAGATTGCAGTGAGCCGAGATGGCAGCAGTACAGTCCAGCTTCGGCTCGGCATCAGAGAGAGACTGTGCAAAGAGAGGGAGAGGGAGACCGTGGGGAGAGGGAGAGGGAGAGGTCAACTTTCCAATGAAATACTTAGGATGGACCTCATTATCTTTTCCTTCAAATCCTGCCTTCCTTCGTATTTTCTAGCAATGGTCGCCGTGTTATCCACCCAGCACCTCAAGCTACAGTCAGCCCTGACCTCATGCCCTCCATCCCTTTTCAAATATGTCACTAATATCTTTTGATTCCAGCTCCAAGACACATTGTGAATCTGTCCATATCTCTTCACATCCCTTGTCCCCACTTTAAATTGGTGCTTCTCAACTATAGGTGATTTCCCCCAACGAGGGACATTTGGCAATGTCCAGTGGACATATTTTTGTGTGTCATGACTCGGGGAGGGAGCTATTGGCATCCAGCAGGCAGAGCCAGGGATGCAAAGCATGCTGCCGTGCACAATACAGCCCTCACAGCAAAGATCAATGAGATGCCAAATGTCACTGATGTGGCTGTGGAGAAACCTGGCTCTGCAACACCCCTTCTTGCCTGCCTGGCGAATTCACCCAGTAACCAACTCACTGCGTCCATTCTTGCTGCACCTCTGACCTTCCTTCACAGGGCCTTTATAAATGCTAATTTGACCATATTACCATTCTGCTTAAAATGCTAATGATTTCCCAGGGCTTTCAAGATAAATCTCAAAATTCTGAACGTGGCTCACTAGCCTTGCATGGTGTGTCCCCTGCCAAGGTCACTGTCCAGCCTGTGGCTCTCTTCTCTAGCTGCCTGTGCTTCAGGAGTGCTGGTAACTGCCTCCTTCGGTTCCCTGGCTCCCACCCTCCATAGGTCCTTGGCGCTTCCTCTTCCTTTTGCCTGGCAGGCTCTCACTTTCCCTTACCTCCCTTCACTCTGCTCCTGCAGCTCCTGCAGATTTTAGTGCAGAGACCTTCTCACCAGGGAGGCCTTTCTGCATTTCCCAGACTGACTGGGAACGCCTAGTTGCAGCACTATAATTGTGATTAACCAGTAGTGTAATTGGTTGTTGGAAGTCTGAATCTTATGTGAAAACATCAGCTCTGCAGTGGCAGGGGCTGTATCCCCAGAGCCTATTGTGGGGCTTCCACCTAGAAGGGCCTCAAAGGACTATGAGCAAATGAATGAAACATGTGGTACCTAACGAATACCACTTCTGGTACACAGTAGGCACTCAGTAAATCCTTGAGGAATGGCTGACTATGTAAATGTCCTTGCGTCTACATTTTATTCAGCTTGAATGAATGAGATTTTCAGAATCTGTGTCCAGTTCCTGTCCTAGCAAACCAGGTCGAAGGCATCATGCTCTTCTGAGAGGTGTTTCTTCACTTTCCTTCAGTTTCAAATTTATTTGTAATGACAAGTAAAGGTGCTAAAACCACTACTACCAGAGTGCAGCTGGGGATTTTCTATGGCTCTGACTTCAGACAGCAAATTTAGATACTCCCTGACTCCTGAGAAATAACGGTTCCCATCCACACTTCATTTTCCATTCCTTTGACACTGACTTTTATTGGACAATCTTAATTCTTCAGCATTCCTGATGGCGTGTTTAACAGGCTTCCTGGTTTCTTGAGCTCACAAAGCAGAGCAGCCAAGTCACAGATGGAGTGACTTCTGAGCCCCGACTTAGTGTGGGCACCAAAGGCATGGGAGGAGGAGCACGGGACTCTAACCGAGCTGGAGGAACCGTGTCTGGAAGGTTGAGGCCCAAATGTGCAGGGGCCAAAAATGTAGAGGTCAAGGCAGAAAACCAGAGTGAATATCATGTTCGTGGTAGGAAATGTCCAGTTGTGTCAGTGTGAATCACACAGAAGGTGTGGAGGCAGTCAGCTCCAGACAAGTGGGCTAAAGTCTCTGAGCATGTGTCCTCACCTGTAAAACGGGGCTAATGAGCGCCCACTGCATGTGCTTGTGAGGATGAAATGAGCTGGCGGCTCAGGCCTGGTGTGGTAATGAAATGAGCTGGTGGTTGAGGCCTAGTGTAGTAATGAAATGAGCTGGTTATTGAGGCCTAGTGTGGTAACGAGCGCCCACCGCATGGGCTTGTGAGGAGGAAATGAGCTGGTGGCTCAGGCCTGGTGTGGTAACGAAATGAGCTGGTTGTTGAGGCCTAGTGTGGTAACGAGTGCCCACCGCATGGGCTTGTGAGGAGGAAATGAGCTGGTGGTTCAGGCCTGTTGCAGTAACCAGCACCCACAGCATAGGCTTGTTGTGAAGATGAAATGAGTTAGTGTTTCAGGCCTGGTACACAGTAGGTGCTATTTAGGCATTAGCCATTACTGTCAACTCACGTTTAGCTTGCATTTGGGGGAGTTTCAGCTTCAGATTAGGAAGGTTATAACTCCCAGGAGGAAACAGCCCAGGATAAATGATGAAACCTACAATCAGGGATCACAAACTACATGCAAAAAGAGGCCAGGAAGCCAATATGACCAAGCCAGAGAGCCAGGTGGAAACTTACACAGGAGAGATGCATGCCTCCCTCAGGGGCAGCAGCTGCTGAGCCCAGGAGACCCAACACTCTAGGGAATGTGGGCCCAGCAGGGTCACAACTTCCAAATTTTCAAGAGCAGCTGGGAATCCTGATTTTATATGAGGTCCTCAATGTTCAATGTTGGCAATAAATTCAAAGTTGTCTTGTTACTTTGGAAAGATATAAAAGTAAAAGTTGCTTTGTTACTTTGGCAGGGTTGCCAGACCATGATAGGCATGGTCTGGATACGGCCAAGGCTTGCTAGCCTGTGACCGCCACTGAGAGATTATCTGGTTGCTCTAGAGGTCTGACCCAAAGGAATTTCAGACACTGAGCAGCTGAACATACTAATGACCAGACGGCTTTCAACACCAGAGGTATTTGGAGTATGTGAGTTGCTCAAAGATGAGCAAGTGTTTCCCTTGATAAGAGAGGAGATAGATTTTATATAATATAGTTGGGAGATTTGTAAAATAGTTTAGCAATGAATTGCCTGTCTGTGCTTAGAAAAGCAAGAAGTGGCTAGAATTTGGCATTGGATTTGATGAAAAACTATGCAAACCAGCTTTTTGTTTCTTTCTTTGTTTTTTTGTTTTCGGACACAGGGTCTTGCTCTGTCACCCAGGCTGGAGTGCAGTGGTGCAATCATGAATCACTGAAGCCTCAGTCTCCCATGCTCAAGTGATTCTCCTGCCTCAGCCTCCCAACTACCTGGGACTGCCTGTATGCACCTCCACAGTCAGCTAATTTTTGTATTTTTTATAGAGACGGGGTTTTGCCATGTTGCCCACACTGGTCTCGAACTCCTGGGCTCAAGTCTCTGCCTGCCTCAATCTTCCACAGTGCTGGAATTACAGGAGTGAGCCACTGTACCTGGCTCCAAAGTAGCTTATTTCCTTTTGAACCCAGTTTTAAGATCAAAAGATTGGTAGAATGAGCAACACTGACACTGAAATTCTGCAAGGCATTTGATCTTTTTACTTCGTTTTGTCCACATTGCCCCTTTGGATGAGAGGGAAATGCAGGTTAGACAATGATGCAATGGGCATGAGTGTTGAGCAATAAAGTCTAAGTGCATGTCTTTCTCAAAAGGTAGTCTAAGGCCCAGGGAACATCAGGGAAAACAGTACAGGGAAATTGCTCTCAAGAAAATAAGAGTTTAAAGAAAAAATGAAGAAAAGTACATAGAAGGGAAATTCAAACAGAAGAGGATGGGTGTGTGGTGGCCTTTCAATAGTGTGTGTGAAGGCCTCTTCCACACTTTCACTGGAGACTTCAACGATAGTATATCTCAGGCCCAGTCTCATTTCCCAGCTTCTGCCTTCTCCACTCCTTGCAGCTACCTCCTGCTGAATTCCACGCTGCCCTGTCCTCCCAGCCTCTGGACCAATCCCCTCCAGGCAAGCTCATCAGCAACTGCTTGCTCCTGGACTCCAATCAGAAAGTGCTGAGCCTGTAATCCCAAGGCCTTGCCCAGAGGGAGCTCTCCCTGGTTCCAGTTTGCTAGGACTGGTTTCCACTGTGCCTCCCATCTTGTTCTCGCTAGCTCCTCTTCCAGAGACTAAGCCCTTTCTTTCCACATTTCAAACAACTGTAACCCCTAAGAGAGCTCTCCTGAGCTGTGGCTTCTTGTCCACCAGATTCTCAGTTCCTTCCCTCACAGCCCCCTAGAACAGGATTCCACCGTCTTCCTTGAGAAATACCAGGGCCATCTGTGGCCAAATCCATGGATAAATTGGTTGTGCTCTTTGGGTTATGCATCTCACTTGCTCCTCCTGGCTCTGCGTCCTCTGGGCCTCACCTCCCCTCTTGGTAAAAGTCATTTCAGGTCCTGGCTTCGTCTTTGACCCTGCCTGCTCCAGGGTGCTCTAATGAAGCATCACACCTCATGCCCTAATTCTGAGATATGACTGACAGAATCTACATGGTTGTTACACTTGTAGATTATATTGAGCTATGGGACAAAACCAGGGTTCGTGAAGATAGTAACAGGTAGGAGTTAGCAGAAAAAGTCCTGATCTTGATCCATAGACCCACTTGCTCAAATGCAGAATGAGGAATATGTCACTTTGTGGCATCTTTTCCTAAATAAACGTACAGATTTTTAGTGCATTTATTAAAAAGTTGTCTCAATGTGAGTCATTGGTTTGTGAGGTACCTGCCAAAAAAAAATGAGCTCAGACTGCATTAATCCAAGAATAGAAGTCAGCAGGCAGAGAGCGATAGCTCCACTTTACTTTGTGCTGGCTAGCCACACCTGGAATAGTGCATTCATTTTTGGGAGCCACATGTTTAGAAAGCTAAAAATAATCTGGAACACAAAAGTATGAGTCAGGTGATGAAACTAAAAACACGCCAAAGTGAGAATTTACTGAGGGACTAGGGAACATTTCACCTTCAGGAGGAAAGGTTTGAGGGATAAAAAATATGTCATCAAGTTTATAGAGGGCTAGCTATCATGTGGAAGACTTTTTTGTATGATCCTAAGAGGTTGACACTGAAATGATTTGTCAAGAGCTTCAAGGAAGACCTGCCCCAAAATCAAACTGACCCCAAAATGAAATTGTCTGTTTTGGCAGGTGGAGAGTATCTCTGTCATTGCAGACATTCTAGCACTGGCCAGATGACCACTTGGTTGGGATGTGGTAAATGCAGGTCAGGGATCAGGGGAATCTGGGGTTATGGGACCTTTATAATCCTTTCTCACTCAGACATTTAAAAACATTTTTATTTTAGATTCAAGATTTGTACATGTGCAGGTTTGTTACATGGGTATATTTTGTAATGCTGGGACTTTGAGCTTCCAGTGTACCCATCACCCCAGTGGTGAACATTATACCCAATAGATAATTTTTCAACCCTCATCTCTCTACCTTCCCCACTTTTTGCCTATTATTTTCCCCCAGTGTCTATTATTTCCATCTTTATGTCCATGTGTACTTATTGTTTACCTCCCACTTATAAGTGAGAACATGTGGCATTTGATTTTCTGTTTTGGAGTTATTTCACTTAGGATGATGGCCTACAACTGCATCCATGTTGCTGCAAAGGACATGACTTTATTCTTTCTCATGGCTACATAGTATTCTATGGTATATATGTACCACATTTTCTTTATCCAGTCCACAATTGATGGATACTTAGGTTGATTCCATGACTTTGCTATTGTGAATGGTACTGTGATAAACAGAGAAGTGCAGGTATCTTTTTTGTGTAATGATTTCTTTTCCTTTGGTAGATACCCAGTTGTGAGATTCCTGGGTCAAACAGTAGTTCTATTTTTAGCTATTTGAGAAATCTTCATACTGTTTTTCATAGAGGCTATAGTTGCATTCCCACCAACAGTGTATATTTGCATTCCCACCAACAGTGTATAAGCATTCCCTTTCCTTTGCATCCATGCCAACAACTGTTATTTTTTGACTTTTTAATGGTAGCCACTCTGACTGGTGTGAGATGATATCTCATTGTGGTTTTAATTTGCATTTCTCTGATGGTTAGTGATGTGGAGAATTTTTTCATGATTTTTGGCCACATGTATGTCCCCTTTTGAGAAATGCGCATTTACATCCTTTGCCCAGTTTTTAATGGGGTTGTTTACTTGTTTTCTTGTTGAGTTGTTTTAGTTCCTTGTAGATTCTGGAGATAGTCCTTTGTTAGAGGTGTAATTTGCAAATATTTTCTCCCATTCCATAGGTTATCTGTTTACTTTGTTGATTATTTATTTTGCTGTGTAGATTTTTAGTTTAATTATGTCACATTTGTCTATTTTTGTTTTTGTTGCATTTTCTCCCATTTGGGAAGGGAGGAAATATTTGCAAATTATACATATGGTTAGGTACTTTTATCCAGACAACATAAAGAATTTTTACAACTCAGTAATAAAAAGACAAGTAACTCAACTAAAAATGGACAAGGATTTGAATAGATATTTTTCAAAGGATATATATAAATGGCCAATAAGCACGTGAAAAGATGCTTAATATCATTAGTCAATTAGGGAAATGCAAATCAAAACCACAAAGAGATACCATTTCACACCCTCTAGGACTGTAATCAAAAAAGATAGATAACAAATGTTGGTGAGAATATGGAATAATTGGAACCTTCCTGAACTGCTGATAAAATAGGGCAGCCACTTTGGACAACAGTCTGGCAGTTCCTGTGGATATGACCCAGCAATTCTACTCGTAGGTGTGTACCCAAGGGAAATGAAAAGCATGTGCACACACAAAGGCTCGTATGCAAATATTCACAGCACCATTACTCATAATACCAAAATAGTATAAACAAGGAAAATGTCCAGGAACTGCTGAATAGATGAATAATATGTTTAATATCCATACAGTATGGTATTACTTGTCAATAAAAAATAATGAAGACTGATGCATTCTACAACATAAACATTGACAATACTATGCTAAGTTGCAGAAGACAGATGCAAAAGACTACCTTTTATATAATTCCAGTTACACAAAATCTTCCGAATAGGCAAGTCTGTAGAGACAGAGAGTGAAGTAGTGGCTGTCCGGGAAGGGTTTGTGGGGTGGGAATGAGGACTGACTACTACTGCATATAGTGTTCCCTTTGGAGGTAATAAAAATGTTCTAAAGTTAGATTGTGGTGATGGTTGGACAACTCTGTGAATATACTAAAAACTACTAGACTTAAAATGTAAAACCCTTTAGATGGAGGAATTTTGTGGTATGGAAATATTTCAATAAGGCTGCTAAAAGAACTAAGACAGGACAGTCAGACAAGGAGGAGGAAAGAGAATGACAAAAGAAAAAAGAGGAGAAAAGGGAAGGGAGAAGAAAGAGTGTCTCCCTTGTCTTTACAAAGCCTCGGTAAACCTCCCTTCAGATGCCCTTAAGAAGGCCCTGCAGTGAGAAAGACCAAGCTGAAAATCACAGGAGGTGTCAGAACCCTCATGTTGAGGGCATCCAGATTTGCATCACAGCCGTGGAACCCCTACTTCAGCAAACTAAAATCTTTTATTTATTAATCTCTTCTTTTCCTTTCCTTCTTTCTTTCTTTCCTCCTCCTTCCCCTCCCTCCTCTTCCTTCCCCTCCCCTGCTCCTCCTCCTCCTCCTTCTTCTTTCTTCTTCTTTTTCTTTTTTTTTCTCTCTCTCACTCTCTCCTTGTTTCTTTTGATTTATTATACAGGCTGCTAGCAAACCTATCTGACCTTTGCCTTAAAGGAAACATTATCATTCTGGACAGGTAATCAAACTATTCTGTGCTCCAGAGTGAGACACCATCACTGTCTTCCACAGCTGTTCATATACAAACATCTTTGAGAATGTAACTGGGCAGCTTAGCAGCTGAGCCTTAAACCACACTTTAAAACTTTCTTCTTTCCCCTTTTCTCTTCGCCCACTCCCTTGTCTCAAGATATGACTTTGAGACAAGCTATGTATATGTTCATCTTGTACTACAGCCTCAGAAAGTGCTGTAACCTCCACTTCCCATCCTTTTCCATTCTATGCCCCCATGCCTTATGCACACTTATTTACCCAGATGTTTGTTAAGCACACACCATGCTCACCTATCTGGCCATCTATTTCCTTAGAGGCTTCAGGAGTGGGATCCTCATAGGGACTAGACACCTCCAGAATTCTCTCTCCAACAAAAGATTACTTCAAGGCTGGAACCCACTCCCAGCTGAAGAGTGATACAAGATTAACTGTGATTAATTTATAACCTGGTAGGATCCATGATGATGCCAGCCCCTTCACCAAATTGAATAATAATTCAAGATGAGTGATCGGAGTGGGTCTTGCTGCCTGGCACCTCCTAATCACCAACTCTCACCCCTACCCCTCACCTCTTCTGCATTCCAAACCCTTTCTTTAAAAACCCTTGCATTCCCTCCACAACTCATTATTATTATTATTGTTGTTATTTTATTTTTATTTTCTGAGGCAGAGTTTTGCTCTTGTTGCCCAGGCTGGAGTGCAACAGCACGATCTCAGCTCACCACAACCTCCACCTCCTGAGTTCAAGCAATTCTCCTGCCTCAGCCTCCCGAGTAGCTGGGATTACAGGCATGCACCACCACACCTAGCTAATTTTGTATTTTTAGTAGAGACAGGGTTTCTCCATGTTGGTCAGGCTGGTCGCGAACTCCCAACCTCAGTTGATCCACCCGCCTTGGCCTCCCCAAATGCTGGGATTACAGGCGTGAGCCGCCGCGCCTGGCCCTCATTATTATTTTAACTTCTTTCTACAAGCAGCTAGCAGCCCGACCCTTTTGTAGGTCACAAGAAGACCATCCAGAACAAAGCTCTGCTTGCAAGACATACAGAAACGCAAGACACCCCTGGAGAATTCTCTCCTGGAAGGGCTTTCAGGCTATCCATTTCTGGACTGAATGAGCTTTGGTAGTTTGTGTCTCTCAAGTACTGTGTCCACTTTATATAAATTGTCAAATTGATTGTTATACTATTGCTCACGTACACTAAAAATAAAATCCTAAGTCCCCCACTGACTGCATGGACCCCCCTGTTGGCCAAAGGAGACTCCACATAAACCTTGGAAAACTGAGTTCTCAGCCTTGATGGGAAGGGAAGTCGAACACACCTTGTTACCTGCCGTCCCTTTTGGAGTTTAGGCACAACACCTGAGCAGCATTAGTGTTAAAGTAGAGATCTTAACACTGACAGAACACACTCTTTGTGGCAATAAGACACCAAATTAAAAATAAGACCTAAGGCCATGTGGCGCCAGGGTTAAGTCACCTGCAGGCTGTCAGTCTTGCTACATGGCATCCTTATCTTAATGTAAAACATTGCTTTCTGCTGACTCCAAGTTTTAGTCAGAACCTTACTTTTTTAATAAATTGCAAACTAAGGAATCTCTGAATCCTGGCTCTTTGGCTGAACCAACGTGTATCTTCCATGAGTTGATGTGTATCTTTGCCTATAACTCCTGCTTCCTTGAAATGTATAAAACCAAACTGTAATCCAATTACCGTGGACACACTTTTTCAGGACTCTTTGCGATTGTGTTTCCCTGGGTTGTGGTCACTTGTGTTGGCTGAGAATTCCCTCTTTAAAATATTTTACAGAGTTTGGCTTTTCCATTAACACTCATGATACTTTCTTTTAATCTCTGAATTTGTAATGATGATACATCGCTTATTCCTAATATTGGTAACTTATGTCTTCTCTACTTTCTCCTGATCAGTCTGGTTAGAGGTTTATTGATTTTATTCATGTTCTTTAAAAAATGTTTTTGATCTCATCAACTATATTTTTTTCTATTCCATTGATTTCCACTCTAATTTTTATTATTTTCTTTATTCTGCTTAGTTTGGGTTTAATTTGCTCTTTTTTCCCTAGGATCTTAAAGCGAGTTGGACCCATGATTTCCTCTAACATAGGTGTTTAATGTTATGAATTTGCCCTAGAGGGCAATGCTACTTTAACAGCATCCCACAATTTTTGTGTGTTTTCTTTAAATTTTCATTTAGTTTAGAATGATTTCTAATTTCTCTTTTGATTTCTTCTTTAATCGTATGTGTTATTTAGACATAGGCTATTTAGCCATGCACAGTGGCTCAGGCCTGTAATCCCAGCCCTTTGGGAGAACAAGGCAGGTGGATCACCTGAGGTCAGGAATTCAAGACCAGCCTGGCCAACATGGTGAAACCCTGTCTCTACTAACAAATACAAAAATTAGCCATGCATGGTGGCGCATGCCTGTAATCCCAGCTACTAGGGAGGCTGAGGCAGGAGAACTGCTTGAACCTGGGAGGTGGAGGTTGCAGTGAGCCAAGATCATGCCACTGCAATCCAGGCTGGGCGACAGAGCAAGACTCTGTCTCAAATTAAAAAAAAAAAAAAGAAAGAAAGAAAGAAAGAAAGAAATGTGCTATTTCACTTCCCAGCACTTTGGAGATTTGGAGATTATCCAGATAACTTTCATTATTTGAGATTTTATTATTTTTAAGCTTTATTGAGTATGTTTAGATATATAAAGAATTGCACGTATTTAATGTAAACATTTTGATGAGTTTGAACATATGTGTTCAAACCCATAATACCATCACCATGCTCAAGGTACCAAACATATTCATCACCTTCAAAAATCTTCTTTTGTTTCTTTGTATGTATGTTTTAATCTTTATTATATTGTTGATTTCTAGTTTAATTCCATTGTAGTTGAATGACATATTTGGTAGAATTTGGGTTTATAAAAATTTACCAGTACTTGCTTTACGACCCAGAATATGATTTATTCTGGGTATACTTCAAAAGAGTGTATATTTTGCTGTTGTTGCATGGAGAGGTCTATAAATGTCAATTAGGTCAGATTGGATAAAAATGCTGTTCAAGTTTTTTGCATTCCTATTGATTACTATCTATTTGTCCTTTTGATTACTGAGAGAATGGTGTTGACATCTCTGACTATAATTACTGATTTGCCTATTCTTTCTGTGTTATCAGTTTTTGCTTCATGTAATTTGAAACTCTGTAATTAGGAACATAAACATTAAGATTGTTATGTCCCCTTGTTAGGTTTTTGTTTTTGTTTTTGTTATGTTTTTTGAGACAGAGTCTTGCTCTGTCGCCCAGGCTGGAGTGCAGTGGCATGATTTCAGCTCACTGCAACCTCTGCCTCCCAGATCAAGTGATTATTGTGCCTCAGCCACCTGAGTAGCTGAGATTACAGGCATGCACCACAACACCTGCCTAAATTTTGTATTTTTAGTAGAGACGGTGTTTTGCCATGTTGGCCAGGCTGGTCTTGAACTCCTGGCCTCAAGTGATCCACCTGCATTAGCCTCCCAAAGTGCTGGGATTACAGGCGTGAGCCACGACGCCCGGCCCTCCTCTTGTTGAATTCACACTTTTGTCATTATGAAGTCACTCTCTTTGTTCTTCACATTATATTTCCCCTGAAAGTTCTCAGATAATATTTTTAAAATGACAGAGCCTCTACAGCTTTCATTTGATTACTGTTACTGTATCTATTTCCGTCCTTTTTCTCTGTGTCTTTATATTTAGCATAGGTTTTTTATAGGCCGCACACAAGTTGTGTCTGCCTTTTTAAACATCCAATCTGAAAACCTTTGCCTTTTAATTGTACATTTGGCTCATTTACAGTGTGAAAGGAAAATAAGTCTTGGGACTCCAAAAATCACTAAGCTAAAGGGAAAAGTCAAGCTGGGAACTTCTTAGGGCAAACCTGCCTCTCATTCTATTCAAAGTCAACCCTCTGCTCATTGAGTAAATGCATATTTGATTGCTTCCTTTTGAGAGGCTAATCAGAAACTCAAAAGAATGCTACCCTTTGTCTCTCACCTACGTGTAACCTGGAAGCCTCTTCCATGCTTCCAGTTGTCCTTCCTTTCCAGATGGAAGCAATCAACTTCTTACATATATTGATTGATGTCTCATGTCTCCCTAAAATGTATAAAACCAAGCTGTACCCCAACCACCTTGGACACATGTTGTCAAGACCTCCTGAGGCTGTGTCACAGGTGCGCATCCTCAACCTTGGCAAAATAAACTCTCTAAATTAACTGAGATCTGTCTCAGATATTTGGGGTTCACATTTTGGTAACCACTGAGGGATTCTGAGTGGAGGTGCCCCTGACCTTTGACAAATCTCCCATCGGTTCTTGGTACCAATTTGAGTTATCTTTATGGTTCGAATGAGTAGGACAATTTGCTGAGGCCTGGAAGTACCCCCTCCAGAGAATTCCTGATCTCCCAAAATTTGGTCAAGATCTAAAGTTTATTTTGCTGTACAACTTCCTCTTCTCTGAGTTTTACTTGCTTCTAACACAAGGAAGGCAAGTTTTCCTGCTTTGATGTTGAAGGAAAGCTCCTTCTGGACTCCTTTATGGAGTTTGAGCTCTCTTCCAACAGGGAAGACAAGTTTAAGTTTTCTCCTGCATCTAGGATAGTAGAGAGCAGTCTTCGGCCTGAGACCCATCCCTAGGTAAGTAACTGAATTGGGGTTTGTCTTGGCTAAAATTTAATTTCTCCTTAGTGTTACAGTGCTCAGTAATAGTATAAGTTGTGGGATCATTTGTTTTGCTTAACTGGTTTTTTTTTTTTTTTTGGTTGGTTGATTGTTTCTGTTGTTCTTGTTGTTTCAGTCTTTCTTCCATTGGGTTTGACCAACTCTATTTGACTTGATCAAATCTGAAGGGAAGTTCCAAATTATGGGAACGAGGACTCCCAAGTGGCTAAATTCCCATACACACACACAAAAAGGTGGTGAGGTGGGGGGAGAAAAATGGCCAGCAAAAGGGAAACAAAAAGGAAAGATTTTTTATTTTGAGTACTTAAGGGTCTTTATTAACATAACGAGGCCACCTTTTTGCTAGCCAGGCCAAACGGAAAGAGCAATGGCTGTCGCCCCGTGCTGCAGTTCCATAGCTAAAGTTCTGCCTTCTCTTTTCACCACAAGAGCCTGGATTTGGTTCCCAAATCAAGCCCTTTCTCATTTGATACTTGGTACTTCTGAAATAGCAGGAATTTGTCCTAGCGGAAATATGGTAATGAGATTTTAAAAGATTTTTTTAAAGGAGCTCAACTGGACTAAAGGTCAGCTTAATTAAAAGCTAACATCCAAGATTCCTCTGTGTGTGTGTGTGTGTGTGTGTGTGTGTGTGTGTGTGTGTGTTTGTACTTAAAAGGCCTTCATGTTTTTGTTTTTGTTTTTTTTCTCCTAGGACCTTGTTTTTTTTCAGCAAAAGTTTTTTCTTCTAGTTGAATGAATTCTGTTTTCTTCATTTACTTCTGCTGTCTCCCCTTTCTCTTGCACCCTCTGCTGCATGAGAGACCTAAAATAGTTTTAGTAGATTAGATTGGGATTCCTTAAAGAAAACAGAAAAGGTGCCAGACTCCCTTTTGGGGAGAAACCTCTGTTTTTCCTTATGGAACCCCAAGAGTGTAAACAGACAAGTTCATCTCAGCTCTTAAACTGCTTGCTTTTGTATTGTGTTACCTGATTTTTTTACTAAAATAGCTATTGGAACAGAGACTACTCTTGTGTGTTTTTAAGGAAGAGTGTAGTTTAGACACTTATAAATGTTTTTGTTTAAAAACATTTTTAAGTGCACTGTAGCTGGGCACGGTGGCTCACGCCTGCAATCCCAGCACTTTGGGAGGCCAAGGCGGGCGGATCATGAGGTCAGGAGATCGAGACCATCCTGGCTAACACGGTGAAACCCTGTCTCTACTAAAAATACAAAAAAATTAGCCGGGTTTGGTGGCGGGCGCCTGTAGTCCCAGCTACTCTGGAGGCTGAGGCAGGAAAATGGCATGAACCCAGGACGCAGAGCTTGCAGTGAGCCGAGATCCTGCCACTACACTCCAGCCTGGGCGACAGAGCGAGACTCCGTCTCAAAAAAAAAAAAATTTTTGTCTCAAAAAAAAAAAATTTTTTTTTAAGTGCACTGTAAAAGCATCGTGTGGTCTAGCCTCATAATAATTCTCCCTTTTTGGAGACCCAGGATTCCAGTGATGGCTCTGCCCAGAGCTCAGAGATCCAGTTAAAATATAGGTAGTCTCTATCTAAATAAATTGGTCTCCTTAGACAATCCTATGATAGATTTCTATAATTTTATGTTTGATTTGGCATACATCTTTAATCTCCCTCTAGCACCACCAGACTTTTTCTCTCTGTACCTTGAGATGTAAATTTTGCTGATTTTTCACCTAAGAATTATTTCCTTCAATATGCAGACTTAGGGCTATTTAACTGACAACTGCCAGAGTAATGAAACAGGTTATCAAGAGTTTGCAAGTCTAAGATAGGAAAAAAAAAAAAAAGAGAAGGTCTTATGAATCGATAAGATGTACTTCTACTGTTATGCCTAATACTGTTACCGGTGGAGGGTCTTGACTACAAGTTGTCCAGGTTCTTGGCATTTTGAACAAAGAATTGAACAAAACTCACAAATAAAGTAGCAGAGGAATGAAATGCAGGAACACAGCAGTGAAAGCAGGAATTTATTAAAGCGAGAAAGCACTCCACAGGGTGAGAGTGGGCCCCAGCAACAAGCTCAAGGACCCAGTTACAAATTGTTTTGGGCTTTAAGTACCCCATTTGAGGTTTTTTTTTTTTTTTTTTTTTTTTTTCCGGAGTTTTGCTCTTTTGCCCAGGCTGGAGTGCAGTGGAATGATCTCAGCTAACTGCAGCCTCTGCCTTCCGGGTTCAAGTGATTCTCCTGCCTCAGCCTCCCGAGTAGCTGGGATTACAGGCACCTGCCACCACACCCGGCTAATTTTTGTACTTTTAGTAGAGACTGGGTTTCACCATATTGGCCAGGTTGGTCTCAAACTCTTGATCTCGTGATCTGCCTGCCTCAGCATCCCAAAGTGCTGGATTACAGGCATGAGCCACCCGGCCCATTTGAGGTTCTTATTGGCTACCGCTTATCTGGATTTGGTCTATGGCTAATTTAAGGCTGAGGTGAATTGGCGCCCTGTGCAGATGAAGGGAAGGTCCCCTGCTTGGCCCATAGCCAACCCAAGGCACTCTCCTTTTCCCCCTGAGACGTGGCGGAAGTGGGAGGGCTGTAGCAAGAGTAGCCTTTGATCCTTTGTTACCTGGGGTGGGGAGACAGGGTTTTTCTCTTTTGATTTAGCTGTAGGAAGTTTGTGTTAGTTGGCCTTAGGTTACCTGCCCACAGACCCAGGTGTTTTCCTTTTATCCAGCTTTGGGAAGTCAGCTTGAATGGGCCTTAGATTCCCTGCCCCCCAGGCCTTGGTGTTTTGTCTTTTTTTTCCTTTTTCCTTTTTTTTTTTTTTTTTTTTGAGACGGAGTCTCCTCTGCTGCCCAGGCTGGAGCGCAGTGGCGTGATCTCGGCTCACTGCAAGCTCTGCCTCCCGGGTTCACGCCATTCTCCTGCCTCAGCCTCCTGAGTAGCTAGGACTACAGGCACCCACCACCACGCCCAGCTAATTTTTTGTATTTTTAGTAGAGACGGGGTTTCACCATGTTAGCCAGGATGGTCTCGATCTCCTGACCTTGTGATCCGCCCACCTCGGCCTCCCAAAGTGCTGGGATTACAGGCGTGAGCCACCGCGCCTGGCCTTCTTTTTTTTTTTTTGAAATGGAGTTTCGCTCTTGTTGCCCAGGCTGGAGTGCAATGGCACGATCTCATCCCACCGCAACCTCCGCCTCCTGGGTTCAAGTGATTCTCCTGCCTCAGCCTCCCGAGTAGCTGGGACTACAGGCACCCACCACCATGCCCACCTAATTTTTTGTATTTTTTTGTAGAGACGGGGTTTCACTGTGTTAGCCAGGATGGTCTCAATCTCCTGGCCTCCTGATCCGCCCACCTCGGCCTCCCAAAGTGCTGGGATTACAGGCATGAGCCACCGTGCCCGGCTGTGTTTTTTCTTTTAGGAAGTCAGCACAAATGGGCCTTACGTTCCCTGTCTCCTACCCTATTCTCCTGGCTCAATATGTCTATGTATTTATGTGTTGCATACACAATGTTTCACTATTAAAAATATATAAAAGGGCTCTAATTAGTTGACTGGTTAGACAGTGGGTGCAGCCCATGGAGGGTGAACTGAAGCAGGGTGGGGCATCGCCTCACCCAGGAAGCGCAAGGGGTCATGGAACTCCTTCCTTTAGCAAAGGAAAGCTGTGAGGGACCATGCCGTGAGGGATGGTGCATTCTGGCCCAGATACTATGCTTTTCCCACAGTCTCTGCAACCCACAGACCAGGAGATTCCCTCAGGTGCCTACACAACCAGGACCCTGAGTTTCAAGCACAAAACTGGGCGGCTGTTTGGGCAGCCACCAAGCTAGCTGCAGGAATTTTTTTCATACCCTAGTGGTATCTGGAACATCAGCAAGACAGAACTGTTTATTCCCCTAGAAAGGGGGCTGAAGTCAGGGAGCCAAGTGGTCTAGCTCAGTGGATCCCACCCCCATGGAGCCCAGAAAGCTAAGATCCACTGGATTGAAATTCTCACTGCCAGCACAGCAGTCTGAAGTCGACCTGGGATGCTAGAGCTTGGTGGGGGAAGGGGCGTCCGCCATTACTGAGGCTTGAGTGGGCAGTTTTCCCCTCATAGTGTAAACAAAGCCACCGGGAAGTTTGAACTGGGCAGAGCCCACCACAGCATGGCAAAGCTGCTGTAGCCAGGCTGCCTTTTTAGATTCCTCCTCTCTGGGAAGGGCATCTCTGAAAGAAAGGCAGCAGCCCCAGTCAGGGGCTTATAGATAAAACTCCTATCTCCCTGGGACAGAGCACCTGGGGGAAGGGGTGGCTGTGGGTGCAGCTTCAGCAGACTTAGATGTTCCTGCCTGCTGGCTCTGAAGAGAGCAGTGGATCTCCCAGCACAGTGCTCAAGCTCTGCTAAGGGACAGACTGCCTCCTCAAGTGTGTCCCTGACCCCCATGCCTCCTGACTGGGGGACACCTCCCAGCAGGTGTTGACAGACACCTCATACAGGAGAGCTCTGGCTGGCATCTGGTGGGTGCCCCTCTGGGACAAAGCTTCCAGAGGAGGGAACAGGCGGCAATCTTAGTAGTTTTGCAGCCTCCGCTGGTGATACCCAGGGTCTGGAGGGGACCTCCAGCAAACTCCAGCAGACCTTCAGCAGAGGGACCTGACTGTTAGAAGGAAAACTAACAGAGAGGAATGGCATCAACATCAACAAAAAGGACATCCACACAAAAACCCCATCTGAAGGTCGCCAACATCAAAAACCAAAGGGAGATAAATCCACAAAGATGAGGAAAAATCAGCGCAAAAAGGCTGAAAATTCCAAAAACCAGTATGCCTCTTCTCCTCCAAAGGATCACAACTCCTCACCAGCAGGGGAACAAAACTGGAGGGAGAATGAGTTTAACGAATTGACAGAAGTAGGCTTCAGAAGGTGGGTAGTAACAAACTCCTCTGAGCTAAAGGAGCATGTTCTAACTCAATGCAAGGAAGCTAAGAACCTTGAAAAATGGTTAGAGGAATTGCTAACTAGAATAACCAGTTTAGAGAAGAACATAAATGACATGATGGAGCTGAAAAACACAGCACGAGAACTTCATTAAACATATGCAAGTATCAATAGCCAAATCAATCAGGTGGAAAAAAGGACATCAGAGATTGAAGATCAACTTAATGAAATGAAGTGTGAAGACAAGATTAGAGAAAAAAGAATGAAAAGGAATGAACAAAGCCTTCAAGAAATATGGGACTATGTGAAAAGACCAAACTTATGTTTGATTGGTGTACCTGAAAGTGACAGGGAGAATGGAACCAGTTTGGAAAACACTCTTCAGGATATTATCCAGGAGAACTTCCCCAATTTACCAAGACAGTCCAACATTCAAATTCAGGAAACAAGAGAACACCACAAAGATACTCCTTGAGAAGAACAGCCCCAAGACACATAATCGTCAGATTCACCAAGATTGAAATGAAGGAAAAAATGTTAAGGCAGCCAGAGAGAAAGGTCAGGTTACCCACAAAGGAAAGATGATCAGACTAACAGTGGATCTCTCTGCAGAAACGCTATAAGCCAGAACAGAGTGGGGACCAATATTCAACATTCTTAAAGCAAATAACTTTCAAACTAGAATTTCATATCCAGCCAAACTAAGCTTCATAAGTGAAGGAGAAATAAAATCCTTTATAGACAAGCAAATGCTGAGAGATTTTGTCACTACCAGGCTTGCCTTACAAGAGCTCCTGAAGGAAGCACTAAATATGGAAAGGTGAAACCGGTACCAGCCACTGCAAAAACATACCAAATTGTAAAGACCATCGACACTATGAAGAAACTGCATCAACTAATGGGCAAAATAACCAGCTAGCAACATAATGATAGGATCAAATTCACACTAAACAATACTAACCTTAAATGTAAATGGGATAAATGCCCCAATTAAAAGATACAGACTGGCAAATTGGATAAAGAGTCAAGACCCATTGGTGTGCTGTATTCAGGAGACCCATCTCACTTGCAAAGACACACATAGGCTTAAAATAAAGGGGTGGAGGAATATTTACCAAGCAAATGGAAAGCAAAAAGAAGCAGGGGTTGCAATCCTAGTTTCTGATAAAACAGACTTTAAGCCAACAAAGACAAAAAAAGACAGAGGGGAGGGCATTACATAATGGTAAATGGATCAACGCAACAAGAAGAGCTAAGTATCCTAAATATATAAGCACCCAATACAGGAGAACCCAGATTCATAAAGCAAGTTCTTAGAGACCTACGAAGAGACTTAAACTACCACACAATAACAGTGGGAGAAGTTAACACCCCACTGTCAATATTAGATCAACAAGACAGAAAATTATCGAGGGTATTCAGGACTTGAACTCAGCTCTGGACCAAGCAGACCTAATAGACATCTACAGAACTCTCCACCCAAATCAAAAAAATATACTTTCTTCTCAGCACCACATCGCACTTGCTCTAAAATTGACCATGTAATTGGAAGTAAAACACTCCTCAGCAAATGCAAAAGAATGGAAATCATAACGAACAGTCTCTCAGACCACAGTGCAATCAAATTAGAACTCAGGATTAAGAAACTCACTCAGCTCACTCAAAACTACATAACTACATGGAAACTGAACAACCTGCTCCTGAATAACTACTGGGTAAATAACAAAATTAAGGCAGAAATAAATAATGAGAAACCAATGAGAACAAAGATAAAACCTACCAGAATCTCTGGGACACAGCTACAGCAGTGTTTAGAGGGAAATTTGTAACACTAAATGCACACAGGAGAAAGCAGGAAAGATCTAAAATTGACACCCTAACATCACAATTAAAAGAACTAGAGAAGCAAGAGAATTCAAAAGCTAGCAGAAGACAAGAAATAACTAAGATCAGAGTAGAAATGAAAGAGATAGAGATACAAAAAACCCTTCAAAAAAATCAGTGAATCCAGGAGCTGGTTTTTTGAAAAGATTAACAAAATAGACCTCTAGCCAGACTAATAAAGAAGAAAAGAAAGAAGAATCAAATAGACACAATAAAAAATGATAAAGGAGATATCACCACTGATCCCACAGAAATACAAACTACCACCAGAGAATACTATAAACACCTCTATGCAAATAAACCAGACAATCTAGAAGAAATGGATAAATTCCTGGACACATATACCCTTCCAAGACTAAACCAGGAAGAAGGCGAATCCCTGAATAGATCAATAACAAGTTCTGAAATTGAGGCAGTAATTAATAGCCTACCAGCCAAAAAAAACCCAGGACCAGATGGATCCACAACCGAATTCTACCAGAGGCACAAAGAGGAGCTGGTACCATTCCTTCGGAAATTATTTTGAACAATAGAAAAAGAGGGACTCCTCCCTAACTCATTTTATGAGGCCAGCATCATCCTTATACCTAAACCTGGCAGAGACACAACAAAAAAAGAAAATTTCAGGCCAATATCCCTGATGAACATTGATGCAAAAATCCTCAATAAAATAATGGCAAACCGAATCCAGCAGCACATCAAAAAGCCTGTCCACCACGATCAAGTCGGCTTCATCTCTGGGATGCAAGGCTGGTTCAACATTCACAAATTAATCAACATAATCCATCACATAAACAGAACCAATGATAAAAACCACATGATTGTCTCAATAGATGCAGAAAAGGCCTTCGATAAAATTCAACACCCCTTCATGCTAAAAACTCTCAATAAACTAGGTATCGATTGAACATATCTCAAAATAACAAGAGCTATTTATGACAAATCCACAGCCAATATCATACTGAATGGGCAAAGTTGGGAAGTGTTCCCTTGAAAACCAGCAGAAGACAAGGATGCCCTCTCTCACCACTCCTATTCAACATAGTATTGGAAGTTCTGGCCAGGGCAATCAGATAAGAGAAAGAAATAAAGGGTATTCAAATAGGAAGAGAGGAAGTCAAATTGTCTCTGTTGGTAGATGACATGATTATATATTTAGAAAACCCCATTGTGTCAGCCCAAAATCTCCTTAAGCTGATAAGCAACTTAGCAAAGTCTCAGGATACAAAATCAATGTGCAAAAATCACAAGCATTCCTATACACCAATAATAGACAAACAGCCAAATCATGAGTCAACTCCCATTCACAATTGCTACAAAGGGAATAAAATACCTAGGAATAAAACTTACAAGGGATGTGAAGTACCTCTTCAAGGAGAATTACAAACCACTGCTCAAGGAAGTAAGAGAGGACACAAACAAATGGAAAAACATTCCATGCTTATGGATAGGAAGAATCAATATTGTGAAAATTGCCATAATCCCCAAAGTAATTTATAGATTCAATGCTATCCCCATCAAGCTACTGCTGACTTTCTTCACCGAATTAGAAAAAACTACTTTAAACTTCGTATGGAACCAAAAAAGAGCCTGTAAAGCCAAGAGAATCCTAAGCAAAAAGAACAAAGCTGGAGGCATCACACTACCTGAATTCACATGATACTACAAGTCTACAGTAGCCAAAACAGCATGGTGCTGGTACGAAAATAGATATATAGACCAATGGAACAGAACTGAGGCCTCAGAAATAACACCACACATATACAACCATCTGATCTTTGACAAACCTGACAAAAATAAGCAATGGGGAAAGGATTCCCTATTTAATAAATGGTGTTGGGAAAACTGGCTAGCCATATGCAGAAAACTGAAACTGGGCCCCTTCCTTACACCTTATAGAAAAATTAACTCAAGATAAATTAAAGACTTAAACATTAAAATCTAAAAGCATAAAAACCTGAGAAGAAAGCCTGGGCAATAACATTCAGGACATACGCATGGGCAAAGCCTTCATGAGTAAAACATCAAAAGCAATGGCAACAAAAGCCAACATTGATGAATGGAACTTAATTAAACTAAAAAGCTTCTGCACAGTAAAAGAAACTATCATCAGAGTGAACAGGTAACCTATAGAATGGGAGAAAATTTTTGCAATCCATCCATATGACAAAGGACTAATATCCAGAATCTACAATGAACTTAAACAAATTTACAAGAAAAAAACAAACAACCCCATCAAAAAGTGGGCGGAGGGTATGAACAGACACTTCTCAAAAGAAGACATTTATGTGGCCAACAAACATATAAAAAAAAGTTCATAATCACTGGTCATTCAAGTTTCATGCAAATGAAACTTGAGTGATTACACCAATCCCTGATTTTTGGAGTTGGTAAACTCAAGCAGAATTACTTTACAATTTAGCAATGCCTTACTCTTGGGGTAGTTTTTAGCAATGCCTTAGTCTTGGGGTAGATTTTGCTTGTCTGGTGTTGTTTACTGGTAATCTTCTGTGTTTCATACTGATTCTGTAAACCAAAAAGTATCTGAGACAGGTCTTAATCAATTTAGAAGTTTATTTTGACAAAGTTAAGGACATGCCCAGAAGAAATACACATGAAATCACAGAAACAGTCTATGCTCTGTGCCTTTCTTCAAAGATGATTCTGAGGGCTTCAGTATTTACAGAGAAAAAGTGGGCTGGAGGGGAGAGGGAGAGGGGATGGTCACATTATTGAATGCATATTTGTAAGAGGAAATGAGCAGGTAGGGAATAGTCAATCACGTATTCCTCTTATGCTCAGTAAATCAGCTCTTTACATAAGATAATGTGAACATACAGTAGCTACTCGTGGAGATATTTAACCTTTAATCTGTAGCTTTCTGCTAGGAACAGGAGGAAAGGCAGCTTCTTGCAAGACTCAGCTTTCAGTTGAATTTTTTTTCTTTTGGTATAGTGAATTGAGGTCCCAAGTTTTTAGTTTCCTTTCACAATCCTCAACGTATTCTGGTTCATGCAGAACCAATTCTTTCCTTGGACTTGAGAAAATAAATATATAAACTGTAGAAAAGCCTCAATATCTGTCTTCAGTTGTTTTAAGTTAGCAGCTATAAAACAATTTTCAGTGCATCCTGCTGAAGGTGGTGGCATGAGCTCTGTGGGAGCGTGGTAGACTTCACAGGGATGCTTCACCCCAGGTGGGAGGACATAGCAGGACCTCTGGGAGGCATCTGCCATTCAAATAGCTTCCCCTGAAAATGGTGAGATGCTGGATCATAATCTCCACTTCAAGTGCATCTTGTAAGCGATGATGTGGCCATCTGCTCCATTTCCCAAGCTCTATTTTCATTCTGGTTAGTTACTGCATGTAATTGTACAATTATAGAAGGTGGCACTGTCTGTCAGTGTCTGCTCAGTAAATATGTGAGCAGATTGGGGTTTTGTATTTTAACTACTTCACACTCAGAGTTTCTAAGGTACAACTGAAATTCTATGCACTGTGTATTCTCTGTAACTTCTGTCTATATACATTAAAACACACGATCAAGACCCTGATAGAAGAAAATCTTCAGCCAAATTAAATTTAAAGGAGTTTAATTGAGCAATGAATGATTCACAAATGGGGCAGCCTCCTGAGCCAGAATAGGCTCAGACTTTGGCACAGCCATGTGGTGGAAGAAGATTTATGACAGAAAAAGGAAAGTGATGTACAGAAAATGGAAGTGAGGTACATAAACAGCTTGTCATTTGCCTTACTTGAACATGGTTTGAACAGCTGGCTACATTTGATTGGCCAAAACTCCGTGATTGGCACAAGGAGGTGTCTCATGACACCTCCGCTTGTTATAGTTCATGATGTACAGAAAAACCTTTAGGCTGAACTTAAAATACGTAAGGAGGCAGCTTTAGGCTAAACTTGATTTAAAAACCCTAAATACTTTACTCAGGGCACAACTGATATTAGAAAACAAAATTTCTTGATATCTTTACTATTTTCTTGTTACAATAACTTAATGATTATTTTTATAAAAGCTTTTACCGAGCTATAAAATGAAATTTATCCTTCTGTTGGAAACTAGTCTTCTGCCTGTTGGTAGTTTAATGATAATGCAACCAAGGAGCTGTTTGAATGCTCCTCTATGACAAAGTTGGCTACAGTAAGATAACAAGCACACAGCGTCATAAGTCACACACTACAAGAACCTGTCATTTAGTTTGACACAGCAGGGTCGACAGGTTTTCTTTTGGTATAGTGAATTGATGTCCCAAGTTTTTAGTTTCCTTGAAAAAATACCTCTGCACACAATGGAAGTTGGCTGGAGTTCCAGGCAGGACTGACATAGAAGTTTGCTTCTGGTATTCTCAGCACTGCTTTTCTACAGCTTTCTCCTGCCCTGTTATATTCTTCTCCTGCTCACCCTCCTCCACTTAGGTGCTCAGAATTTTTCTGTTCCCCATTGACACAAGAGATGACTTTTTTTTTTTTTTTTAATTTTGAGACGGAGTCTCACTTTGTCATCCAGGCTGGAGTGCAGTGGCACAATCTCGGCTCACTGCAACCTCTGCCTCCTGGGTTCAAGTGATTCTCCTGCCTCAGCCTCCTGAGTAGCTGGGATTACAGGCATGCACCACCATCCCTGACTAATTTTTGTATTTTTAGTAGAGACGGGGTGCCGTGTTGGCCAGGCTGGTCTCTAACTCCTGACCTCAAGTGATCTGCCTGCCTCAGCTTCCCACAGTGCTGGGATTACAGGCTTGAGCCACCACACCCAGCCTGAAGAGAAGGCTTGATTTGCTGCTGCTACTTCTGCCATACAATAGCGTGTTTAAATTTCAATCACTAACTTAACTGAACTAGCTTAACAGTTAACATTCAGGAAGGTTGTTTTTTTTTTTTTAATCTATTAGGACTCTGAAATCACAATGGACTTATTAATGAGTGCCATCTCTAGGAGGAACTAGAGAAAACTTTTCGGGGGCCCAAGGCATCACCTGAGAAGATGCCCCACTCTTCCAGAGTTAAGGTGGAGTGGAGTGGTTTGCAGGAACTGTGGGAGGAAAGAGAAGACCTCAAACAAGTGTCTGCCAAGGCAGCAGCTGCACACCAAAGCCAGAGAGCCTCTCAGCCAACCGTTTGCTCTCTAGTCTCCTAGGAAAGATCTGTCACTCCTTAGCCATCTCCAGTTGTTTCCCAGCTTCTCTATTGCTTCCTGGGGGTTGTGGGTGGAATCTTTGTGCTAGTGTTTTTTTTTTTTTTTTTTTTTTTGGAGATGGAGTCTTGCTGTATTGCCCAGGCTGGAGTGCAGTGGTGTGATAGCTCACTGCAACCTCCGCCTCCTGGGTTCAAGCAATTCTCCTGCCTCAGCCTCCCAAGTAGCTAGGATTACAGGAATGTGCCTCCATGCCTGGCTAATTTTGTATCTTTAGTAGAGACAGGGTTTCACCATGTTGGCCAGGCTGGTCTCAAACTCCTGACTTCATGATTCACCCATGGTGTTGGCCTCCCAAAGTATTGGGGTTACAGGCATGAGCCACTGCTCCTGGCCTGTGCAAGAGTTTTTGTGAGTAGTTTTGCTAACAATTTTAAAAGGTGGTAAATTGAATATCTAAAGTAGAAGAATTCCTAAACTGGATATTTAGAACTTGTAGGTCAGTGTTATAGATAAAATGTAAGTTCTCTTACATTTAAGAGAACTAATAACTTAAGATTTCAAATTAAGAAACACAGAGATTTGTGGATATCAGAAAGGCAAACTCTACTTCCTCGAAACACCTCCTCTCTTTATAGGAAATTTAAATTTCTAAGCTAAATTTTTGGCTTACTTCCTTTAATATATATCCAACGCACAAAATTATTTTATACTAATTTGGTTAGATGATCTTTTTCGTTATTATGAACAAAGATAAGACTTCTTAATCTTATTATATATATAAATGATAAAAATCAAAGATTACTCATAATCCCACAAACTAGAACAAATCACTGTTAACAGTCCTTCCTTCATCCCTTCATCTGATTCTTTCTGTCCTTCCCTGCCTCATTCTGTTTCCTTTAAATTATGCACAGTATGATTGTATGATACACACTCTTTGGAGCTGGTTTTTGACTTAACCGTATATATACATTGGATACCTTACCATGTAAACACATATTCTTCCTCTAGATAAGTTTTAATGTCTGTATAGTATTTTATTGTGTTAAAGTGAATTAAATATGGCCTGAGAAGGACTTCATACTTCTATATTTAAGTCCTTGTTGACAAACTATAACCTAACTTAATAGGTAGACAAGATTGAAAACCTAACCTAGGAGTATGCGGCTATAACAATTGCTGAGTCTTGGCCAATCCCAGCAGCCATACTTCAACCACTCATACGCTGCTGAGTGTTCAAACTGTGTTCAAATAAGGCAAATGCCAACCTGTAGCCAATCTGGCTGTTCTGTACCTCACCTCCAATTTCTGTACACCACTTCCCTTTTTTTTGTCTATAAATTTGTTCTGACCACCAGGCATCCCTGGAGTCTCTTGAATCTGCTGTGATTTTGGGGGCTGCCCAATTCGCAAATGATTCATTTCTCAATTAAACTCCTTTAAATTTAATGTGGCAGAAGTTCTTTTAACAGATGGTGTCAGAAGTGGGGTAAGGTAGAGCTTTGATGACCCCAGGAGTGCTGAGTGAACAAGCAAGGTGCCTGCCAGTCCCACTTGTGTCCACTGATCTCTCGGAGTGGCTGGTAATTGTGAGTAATTCTCTCTTGGATTTCGGAGCTCCATGGATTTGTGCTTTGAACTCTCTGAGTTTCTTTGAGCAAATTTCTAATCTGGGACCTGTAATCCTGGCACTTTGGGAGGCCGAGGCGGGAGGATCTCCTGAGGTCAGGAGTTTGAGACCAGCCTGGCCAACATGGTGAAACCCTGTTTCTACTAAAAATAAAAAGTTAGCTGAATGTGGTGGCATGTGCCTGTAGTCCCAGCTACTCAGGAGGCTGAGACAGGCGAATCACTTAAACCCAGAAGGCAGAGGTTGCAGTGAGCCGAGATAGTGTCACTGCACTCCAGCCTGGGTGACAGAGTGAGGCTCCGTCTCAAACAAACAAACAAAAAACCCTTAAAAACTGGCAAATGAAAAATCTTACAACTACTGGATCTTCTGTCTTTCTCTGTGTGTAGTTATATATGTGTTGTGTGTGTGACGTTTATATAAAGGAGCTCTAATTAATTGGTTTAAAGAAAAATAAGCACTTAAATATTTTGAAAGAAGAATAAAAACTGTAATGTCTCTTAGTTCATATAACTTTAGTAATCTTTGGGAAATAAAAACAGCTTTAAAGATTATTGGTAAAATAAAGACATTTCATCTAAATTAGGCAGGTCAGATATTATGTTTACTAAATGCTTTAAGGTTATAAATTGCTTTAAGTTATAAAAATTGTTCAACTTGCCTACTTTACAGCTGGGTAAGGCCTGGGGACATGTGGAGTTAGCCACATCCCTAGCTATGCTGGAAAGAGTCTTATCTGCACTTCTGTGTAGTACCCTAGGCTCCATACTTAGGTACATAATTAAAATAACCATACCTACACTCCATACCTAAGTACATAATTAAAATAACTTACTAGGTTTTTCACCAAAATTAAAAATTGCCAAGAGTTACGATTATCACATGTAATTGAGACTACTACAAAAATAGTTTTACATGCAAGGTGTGTTAGAAAAGTAAAATGTGTTTTAAGTAAAAGACGGTAAGAAGGCATGGGAATGTAAATTTTTGCTTAGTTTAGAGGGTTAAGGATTGTTTTAAATTATGTAAGATAAAGCCAAAGATTTGAACAAGTTGTGGACGGTTTGTGAAAAATTAATTTTGTGAAAAGAAATTCTGTGTGGACATTGGCTAAAGTTCCAGGGGAATTATTAAGGTTTTCTGTAAGTTGAACATTGGAATAAAAGCACAACAGGTTTTTCTTACAGCACTGCTCATTCTTTAACAAAAATTGTTAAGGGTTATAAAAGGTGTATGAGAATCTCACCTTATGGTCAAACTGATTAAGATTGATAGATTTGTCTATAAGGTTTTATTAAAAATTGGGGTTGACATTAATAGTAAACTAATGCAAGGGTAAAATTTGGCTTTCTCTCTTGAATGAGATTTTCATGTAATATTAAAGGATAATGACAGATTTTTGTTTGCCTGTTAAATAAACTACAGGAAAAAAAGAGGAAAGACAAGAGACAGATTGTATGGAAAGCTAAGGCTTCCCTCTATCAATGCCTTTTTAAAAATTTTTAAGTGGCCGGGGCGGTGACTCACACCTGTAATGCCACCACTTTGGGAGGCCAAGGCGGGTGGATCACCTGAGGTCAGTAGTTCAAGACCAGCCTGGCCAACATGGTGAAACCCTGTCTCTACTAAAAGTACAATAATGAGCTGGGTGTGGTGGCAGGCACCCGTAATCCTAGCTACTTGGGAGGCTGAGGCAGGAGAATCACTTGAACCCGGGAGGCAGAGGTTACAGTGAGCTGAGATCGTACCATGCACTCCAGCCTGGGCAACAAGAGTGAAACTCAGTCTCAAGAAAAAAAAAAAAAAAAAAAAAAAAAAAAAAAGTTCTGTAGTCCATGACTTATTATGGAAAAGATAGAATGATCCAAATTAACCATATATTGGTGTGATGACTTCTAAATTGCTAAAATAGTTTATGACCAATGTTTAGTTGTCACTAAACATTGTCAAAATGTTTATTTTGACAAATATAAAAACCATATTCCTGGGAAGACAATCAAAACTTTAGGTACATTTGACTACTTGATGGGCCATTTAAACATTTATAAAGGGATTTCATTCACTTGTCATTTTCAATGCATGTTTTCTGGTTTTATAAATATGTTCCCATGCAAGAGGGCTGATGTTACAACAGTAGCTTATTATGGCACAGTGTATTTTCACAAGGTAAAGAAAGCTTTTTATGGTTCACTGAGGACAAGCAACCCATTCACAGTCTAGAACCTGATGATTGGATCTTCTGGGAACATCAGAGAAAGACTGCCCTTGCCATCCACACTGCAACAAAACTTTGGGTCCTTGAAACTTGGGTTCGTAATCTCACAACTGAGAAGGCTTTCTCCACACTGTTGGAACTGTACACCCATTAGAACCCTTAAGGTAAAGCTAACCAGGGAAGTTTCTCCCCAGACGAAGATGCCATCCTTGATGTGAACAGCTTTTCCCAAGATCACGGATCAAGACTCTTATCTTCAAATATTTTTTTTCCTTGCTTATACCTCTATGAACAATAGAAGTGAAAAGGGGGTCTGTTATTTGCACTTACAGAATATACTTTTATTTGTGAAGGATTTTGCAGCCAGCCTTATTCATGGATAACCTTATACTTTGATAGATAAAAGATGAAGGCCCAATGTAGGTGAGAAACTTTAATGGTACATATGTTGCCACATAATCAATCAGAAACAAAACATTGATTGACTCCTCTTAACCCATATAATGAGTTAAGGAGAACATTGCTAGGAGGCCTCACTCTTCTAGAAGGGCATCATTTGTTATGTCCTTTTTCATGGTTTAGAGTAAAAGAGGCAATGATTAGAAATGTATCCCTCATAATAAGCTCTATAGAAAATTCTACTGTAAAGGCTATGGTTACACAACAGATTTTAAATTCTTTTATGAAAGTTATGCTAAACAATAGAATTGCTCTAGATTACTTACTGGCTAAATAGCAGTATCTGTGAAGCTGCTGGCGCTTATGGCCTATGGAGAAAACATGGGGTATTACAGAGATTCAGTTGTAGGGGTTGAATGAAAAGACTGCTTAGTTAAGCGAGTAGACTCTTTATCTAGCTCATTCTTTGATCTATTTAATTTTAGGTGGTTTGGTTTATGGGGACCCTGGGTAAGGAGCATACTCCAAACTCTCAGTATTATCCTCCAGATAGCCATAATAGTAATCTTCCTGGTGCTCTTCATTCCCTCAAAGGTTTTAAATGTTTACATGCAGCCATCTCTAGAATGTCAAATGGTCTGTCTTCAACTGGAATGACAAGAACTGAAAGGAATCTGCAACCATGGGGACACCATAACCTATGAATGACGTGCTGAGGCGAGAAACCCAAAATGATGGTAACAGAGTGGCACTAAGGCCCAAGTTTTAGTCACACTCTCACCTAAGTGAGAACCTAAGTAAAATTTTTAAACAAAATCATGAGAAGCCATTGTTTTAGAGCTTATGCACTAGGCTCCAACAGACCAAACCAAACAAAAATGGAGTCGCTTATGCTAAATGTGACATAATCAAACTAAGTCTTTAAGGAAACACTTAGGTCCTAGAACAGACCAGGTTTTGTTTTTCTCTCTCTACAGGATGTTCCAGCATAAGGAGCTACCCTCTACTCAGTCCTTGTTCCTACCTTCGCAAAACTCACTGTTCTACTGTTCCCCAGTGGGCTTCAAGGCTGAATAGTACATTTACCTTGGTGATAATGACATCAATGACTAAAATTTTGGTCAATCTCTGAAAATTGAGAAAATGACTAAAAGGGGAGAATAGTTAAGGTTAATTAAATATGGCCTGAGAAGGACTCCGTACTTCTATATTTGAGTCCTTGTGGATGAACTGTAACCTAACTTAATAGGTAGACAAGATTGAGAACCGAACATAAGAATATGCGCCTGTAACAATAGCTGAGACCTGGCCAATCCCAGCAGCCATTCTTCAACCATTCATGCACTGCTGAGTGTTCAAACGGTGTTCAAATAAGGCAAACACCAACCTGTAACCAATCCAGCTGTTCTGTACCTCACTGCTGATTTTTGTATGTCATTTCCCTTTTTTTGACTATAATTTTTTTCTGACCACAAGGAAACCCTGGAGTCTCTCTGAGCCTGCTGTGATTCTGGGGACTGCCCAATTTGTGAATGGTTCATTTCTCAAATAAACTCTTTTAATTGGCTGAAGTTTTTCTTTTAACAGTTGTATAATTTACGCAATTTCCAAATTCGCACTACTATAAATAAGTGTACAATGAATATTCTGTTTTCTTTTTTCTTTCTCTTTCTCGTTCCCTTTTTTTTTTTTGAGACAAGTTCTCACTCTGTCACCCAGGCTAGAGTGCAGTGGTGTGATCTCAGCTCACTGCAGCCTCGACTTTCTGGGCTCAAGTGATTTTCCCACCTCAGCCCCCAAGTGGTTAGGACTACAGGCTTGCACCACCATACCTGGCTAACTTTTGTATTTTTTGTAGAGACTGGGTTTTGCCATGTTGTCCAGGCTGGTCTCAAACTCCTGAGCTCAAACAATCTGCCTGCCTTGGCCTCCCAAACATATATTCTTGTTGACTTATTCACTTCTAATCTTACAACAAATTCCTACATATAAAGTGATCATATGACATTTTGAGGGCTTTTGATGAACACTGCTGAGTTGCCTTTCCCAAGGACTTTCCTACCTGTGGGGGATAAGGGGTGGGGGTGAGGCAGGGGAGGCTCCTAAAATCTTGCCAGGCAATGGCTACAGCTTCTGAGCCTCCCCTGGAGAGGATCATTCTGTAAGGGCCTCTCAGGGGTGGATCTGTCTGAGGCACTTGGAGAGGATCATTCTGTAAGGGCCTCTCAGGGGTGGATCTGTCTGAGGCACTTGGAGAGGAAATCAACAGCCCCATGTCAAGTTCATTGCTTCACATCTTTCCTCTTGGGGCTTTCCTTTCTTCCTCACCCGGGCTGAGCTTTCTGGGTCTGGGTCTGCAGGAGGGGGTTGGTGGGGTGGGAATGACCCACTTCTTCCCATCTCAGGGAGGTCTGACCTCCCTGGGCAGCACAGGAAGAAGGCAAGCCTGCCTGGAACCCCCAATAATTAGGAACCACTGCCATCTAGTGTCGGCATTGCTGTGAAGATTTAAATATTAAAACCCACTCCAAGCCCTGAAGAGCACCGCCTTCCCCATGGGCACCCCTCAGGGACCCTACAGGCTACAGCAGTGCAGGCCTGAGCTAGAAAATGCTCATTAGGAGAATTAAACATCTGGGGAAGGAATATGAAAATCTAATTTAGAATGGCTTGGGACTGCCAGAGAGGAAGTGGGGAGTCCAGAGAGAAGACTGAAGAGAAATTTTCTTGAAAGATAGATCCCATTAATTAGAGGGTGGCAGCAAATCTAGCGTTAAGGAAGAAACAAATATCTGGGGAAAACACTTCTTGGGATGCCTAGGAGGTGTACGGAATCTCCCATGAGCCTCAAGACGGACCCGAGGCTTGCAGAGTTAAAAGAGCCCTCCCAGCTCACTCAGGCCACTTGGGAAGAGCCATTGGTGCTGCTGTCCCCAGGACTCTGCTCTGAGACCTGCCCTGCATTCCAGCCTGGGCCCTGCTCTGAGACGCAGCCTGGGTTCTTCTCTGAGATCTGCCCCATGTTCCAGCCTGAGCCCTGCTCCAAGATCTGCCCCGTATTCTAGCCTGGGCCCTGCTCTGAGACCCACCCTGTGTTCCAGCCTGGGCCCAGATCCGAGATCCAGCCTGGGTTCTTCTCTGAGACCTGCCCTGCGTTCCAGCCTGGGTCCTGCTCTGAGACCTGCCCTGTATTCCAGCCTGGGTTCTTCTTGGAGACCTGCTCTGTGTTCCAGCCTGGGCCCTGCTCTGAGACCTGCCCTGTATCCCAGGCAGTGTTCTTCTCTGAGACCCGCCCTGTGTTCTCTACTGGGTTCTGTCTCTCTGACTCAAAATGGCGGTGGTAGTGCAGTTTCTTGGGCGGCGGGGGAAGAGGTTAGAGCTGTTCAGCCCTCGGGCTGCTGACACCACTGTGGGCTACAGGGGCAGCTTTACTCCGGGGATTCAAACCCCATTTCAGCCACCTTTTTATTTGTTGTGGAAACTTAGGTAATTTCTTAAACCTCTCAAAGACTCAGTGTAATAGGGTGAATAGTGACTCTCAAAATCCATCTCCACCCAGGACCTCAGAATGTGACAAATTTCTGTATTTGGAAATAAGGTCTTTGCAGATATAATTAGTTGAGTTCATCCTGGATTTGGGTGGGTCTTCAAATGTGATTTATAAGATGACAGAAAGAGACGCAGAGACACACAGAGGGGAAGCCCGTGTGCAGGAGGGGCTGGAGCGATGCGTCCACAAGCCGAGGAGCCGAGGGATTGCTGGGAGCCACCGGAATCTCAGAAGAGGCAAGGGAGGATTCTTCCTGGGAACCTTGAGAGGGGGCATGGCCCTGCTGATGCCTTGATTTGGAGCTCTTGGTCTCCAGAACCCTGACAGAATACATGTCTGCTGTTTTAAGCCATGGGTTTATGGTAGTTTGTTAGAGCAGCGGTGGAAACAAATACACCTAGTTTCCTGAGAAGCAGAATGGGGATAGCACCACCTCGGAGGTGCTGGCGATGAAGCCACGCATTATTTCATGAATGACTGGGAAGTCACCTCCCATCGCTGGGCCACAACGGCTAGATGGTGGAAGGCCCTCACTTTCTGCCAGGTGCATGGTAACCACTTAACAAACGTTAGCAGTCATCACTTGGGCTGGTTCTTTGCTTTTGAGGGTCTGCATGGAGACAGCCTGGTCCTGGGGACTTCCTCCCCTTCCATCTTGGGTAGCATCCCTGTAGCCCTTCCACTCCTCACCCGGTTAGCAAATCCCTCAGGCCAACACCTCTCTGGCACCGGGGCACCTTGATGGCCCTTTCGTCCATTCCTCAGTGCACTGCTGCCCTGGGGAACGTGGCCTCCTTTCAGCTCCTCAACCACCCCTGAGGTCCCAGGGCACCCCCTCCCTGGGGCTCCTCCAAATGCTGCCTTCCCATCTCTCCTGAAGGGCTGGTGGACATTCTACCTGCATTATAGACTCTGGCTGGCTAGAGGGGACCCTGGGAGCAGTGCCCCATCAGTATTTCAGTGAGTAGCTGACACCCACCACGTGGCCAGGACCCGGCCACAGAGGGACTGGAGCAGCCCTGGAGGTTAGGCTGCGTTCCATTCCCACTGAGCCCTGTCGTCCACATCTGAAATGAATCCCAGTGTCTCAGCCACAGCCAACCCCCTCACAGACACCCACACTGTCCCCTCAGAGTGGAAGTCAACTCCAATACCTGCTTCCAGACAGTCTCAGCCTCTGCCCCCAGCTCCCATCTCTGTCACCAGGTGAACACCTTGCCCACACAGTGTCATCTGTTTCCTGCAGGCAGAGCAATACCAGACATAGGATAGATGTCTTGGAGTCCAGAGTCTTCTCCGTGGGTTTCTGAGGCTGCCACGGAAACAGGCATTGGGAGCTGAGTGAGTCAGGGTATAACATGTTTACGCAGCACCTCCCATGTGCCAGGCATAGTGCTATGTTATGGGATTTTAAAAATAAGTGAGAATCTACTCTGTTGCTTTGCTGGTGAGACTGCCAAGTTGACCTCCATCTCTCCTTTCTGTGTGAAAAGTTCTAGGAGCTATAATTTTAGAAACTCAATGGATTACAAAATAATTTTACCACTGACCATCTATTAAATACCTGGAAAACTTCACAGCTTCAGGCTCACTGGCATGAGTCTTTCTGTATCCAAGAGGTGGAGTTTATATGTCCTTTTTAGTTCAGGTGGTTTTTAAACATGTCTGAGAATTCTTTGACACTCCTTCTATCAAGTGTTGGGGGGGTCTATGTCTCCTCCCCTGTGACTTGGTTAGCTGGGGCTGCCAGAAAAAAGTACCAAGGATGGAGTGGCTTCAACAATAGAAATTTCTCGCAGTTTTGGAGGGTGAAAGTCAGAAAGTTCTGGAGGGTGAAAGTCACACCAGCATGGTCAGGTTCTGGCGTGGGCCCTGCCTGGCTTGCAGACAGTGGTTTCTCACTTTTTTCTCACATGGCTGAGAGAGAGAGAGAGGGAGCAAGCTCTGTGGCATCTCTTTATAAGGGCACTGATCCCATGATGATGGCCTCACCCTTATGACCTCATCCAAACCTAATTACCAAAGACCTTTACAGAGTCTACGTAAGAACCCCATGGCAGGGTCTAGCCAGGCCCCAGAGCTGCATGTGGGTCATAATGATAACAAATGATTATTATGGTTTATGCCACATGGTCATAGATACCTAAAGCAGCAATCGCCACTGGCTGTTTGTTTAGCTAAGGCCCTTTCTACCATATCCTGACTTGAGTGGGAATGCTCCCTGCACCCCTGCATGCCTGCCTGCATTGAAAGAAAGGGCTGCAACTTTGTGTCCCTTCACCAGGCTTACACTTAGCCTCAGCGACAGTCAGATTGTGAAGCTCTTTGTCTGTAGCCATGGTTCTCAGCCGCAGCTGCGTATTAGAATCACTCGGGGAGATTTTCAGAATTCTTATGCCTAGGTTACAACCCAGACCAGTTAAATCATAATCTTCGTGAGTGTGGCCCTGAAATCAATATTTTTCAAAGCTCTCCAGGGATCTGAATGTGCAGCCCAGCTAGAGAATGACGGAGAGAGTGGGTGAGGCTCAGGCCCACCCTGCTGTAGAAGGGCAGCCTCCCCCACCACCAGGCGCAGTGATGCCAGCACCCCCTCTCTGGAGGGGCACTGGAACTCTCACAGGGGAAATAGAAATTTGGGCACAGGGATCTATTTACTCTTCTCTATTTCGCGTCAGTGAAGTATGTCATACCTGAACCAGCTTATTCTTTTACCTAATGCCCTCCTCTCTTTTTATCATACCCAGTACCCGTTTCCTTTGGGAAGGGTCTTCTGGTCATTCCAGGTGTATCAGTTGTCTTTCGCTGCACTACAAATTACTGCAAAACTCAGAAGGTTAAAACTGCAATAAACATGTATTGTTTCATCCCATTTTGTGGGTCAGGAATTCAGGAGGGCGTAGCTGGGTGGCTGTGACTTGGAGTTGCCATTCAGATGTCAGGGAAGAGTGTAGACACCTGAAGGCCTGCCTGGGGCTGAGGGAGCCACCTCCCTGGTGGGGCACGCATGTGTCTGACACGTTGATACTCGCTGTTGACAGGCAGCCTTGGTGCCTCACCATGGGGGCTTCTGCACAGGGTTGCTCAGTTTCCCCACAACATGGTGTGTCAGAGCTTGCAATCCAGAGAGACAGAGGGGAAAGCTGCAGTGTCCTTTTATGACCTGACCTCATAACCCACACATGATCATTTTTTCAAGATCCAACTGGTACACAGGCCAGGCGCACTCACTGTGGAGGCAGCTCCTCAGGGGCATGGCTAACTGTTGGTGGGAATCCCTGGGGGTCATCCTGGAAGCTGGCCCTCCCACCAGGCCCGAGTCACTTCCCTCAGATCTGCTCTCTGCACCAATAGAATCCTATGAGAAACTTCTAAGAGCAGAGATTCCCAGATGCTACTTGTGATGCTGTGATTCCATCAGGCCCAGAAATCTGTATTTTAAAAGGTTCTTAAAGCAGTTTCGGTGATCACATGGGAATCTGTAACTGTAGAGTTTTGGCACTCTGTGTCTGGCCAGGTGGGGTCCTCTTTGGCTTCTTCTGCCATAGGCCGGCCCACATTAGGGGAACCCTGCAGTCCAGAAGAGGGGCCTGGTGTTCTTTCAGGAGCAGCCATTGCATCCCTTGTTCCTTTTCTGGCCACACCTGTGTTCCTTTCTTGTCACAACCATGTATGGCCAGCAACCGTGTGTGGCTGCCAGGACATGGGGCTGTGCAGTGGGAAGGGAAAGGGATTTGGGTACCCCTGACTCTTTCCATCTGGAGAATAAAAGTTTTGCAGATGAGCTGGGGAATCCTCTATGTTCTGAACCCTCTCCATGTCCTGCCCTTGCCTGCATTTTAGTGTAGTGGTTGAGAGCCAGACTTCCCAGGTTCAAGTCCTGTGTCTTCTAGTTACTCTCATGATTTAGGGCAAGTTATTACAGTTTCTGTGGCCCTACATCCTGAGCGAGGCAGCTGGGTGGGACTGGTTCTTGCTCCTGTTTATCCTTCATCGTCTGTCTGCTCAGGGAACTGTGGTGTTCACGGGCTCAGAGAGGCGGCTGCACGCCTGGCCTGTTTGGCTGCAGGCTAGGGGAAGGGGTTGTGGATCTGGAATTCATGAAGGAAGAGTGAGCATGACTTGCTGCTGAATTCCAGCAAGAATTTCAGCATGTATGGGAAAGACAGCAGTTAATAAAGATTCCTCGGGTTTTGCTTTGAGACAATGGGGAAAATATAGGTGTAATCTGCTGAAATGGGGTTGGCTGAGGGAACAAGCTTAAGGTATTTGGTAAGAGGTTGTTTTGATTTTTCTGAATTTGAGACACCTACTAGACATCTAAGTAGGCATTGGGATATTTGAGTTTGGATTTCAGGGAAGATGTTGGGGCTGGGAATAGACATTTAGTGATCTGAACATTTGGCTCTTATTCACATCAGGGGTGGGTGGTGGATGAGAGAGAGGGGAGGGCCGGCAAAGGGTCCTGCAGGGAGCTGCCACGGAGGGTGCAGCAGCTCAGGGGGGCATGGTCTAGAAAGGTGGGAGATACTAGAACATGTTGTGTGTTTATGGTAATAATTGGGGTGGTGTCAGCAGATGGGGGGAACTGATGATGCCCAAGGGAGAGGAGATAATTATAGGTGCACAGTCCTTGAGTTGACACGAGTGGGAGGGACTGCTTGAGGAAGGAGCGAGGGCTTTCGCCAGCAGCCACAAAGTGGGCAGGGCCTCACCGGGCCCAGGTGCAGAACATCCTGCAGAGGTGGTGGCACTAGAAGATCATTGCATGTGCACACTCAGCAAAGTAAGAAGTGATGCCGTGGTTGGAGAGTGAGGAGAAGGGAGGGGTGTGGGGAGTTTGAGCAGTGAGCGGTTGTGAAAAAAATCTTCAGGGGAAGGGAGAGCAAATGGATTCTAGAAATATGGAGGGTCACTGGGCAGGGTGGTGGGCCTTGGGATTTATGGCTATACAGCCAGCGAGGCTGCCAGCACCAGCAGCCTCTGATGAATTCTGTTTCGTGTTCAGTCCCTCTCTCCCTGACAGGATGGCTTTCCCGAGAAGGAATTGCCGAGAAGAGGTGAGAATTGGCCTTCATCCTAAGAACCCAGAAGAGAGCTACAGGACGGGAAATCACACTGGGTGGCCAGGACAGATGTCCTTTGTGTGTGAACACATGGAGCATCCCTGTCACTGTTGCCTGGAGCCCAACTGCAGTGATGGCAATGGCGGGAAGGCTGCCAGGACCTGTCCAAGGGCCCAGCATTTCCCCTGCTCAGGGAAGGCACCATCAGCCGGGGTAGCCTCCTGCACAAGTGCGGGAGGAAAACAGTGAACCAAGCCAGACACGGTCCCCACCTTCCTGGAGCTCGAGTGGGGTCAGGCTGCTTTCTGTGAACTTCTCCCGGGCGGCTCCCCTGCTGACTGTCTGTCCAAGGAAGGTTCCTGGCTGCAGCCCAGTCTCTGACATCCCTGGGCATTTGGAATTGGAAGGCCCTCTTCACTCTGCCCACTTGATGTCCCCAAACCATGGCCCAGTTGTCAAAGTGGGTCCTGAACCAGGACCTTGCCTGTTGATTTTCTTCAAGGTTGGTGCCAGCAGTCCTGACTTCTTCAGTGAGGGAAGATGGGCTCCTGGCCGTAAAATCCACCTTACAGGTCTGCAGGTGTCACATAGCAGGGACCTGACCTTCCATGCCGATCCTGTCTGACGCTGGGGTGTCTGACAGGCAGTCAGCGGCAGGCACAGCAGGCCCTCTTCTTTTAGCATATAGAGTTCAGGCTACTGATGTGTTCTCTCAGGTCCAGAAAATCCGAGTACCAGGAGGGAATCACCCTGGGAGATATTTACCCAGAGATCCTTGCCGTCCTCACTGCAGTCTGTTCAGGCTTCCATGACAAAACCTGATAGACTGGGCAGCTTAAACATCTGACATTTATTTTCTCACAGTCCTGGAGGCTGGAGTAGTCCAAGATCAAGGTTCCAGCAGGGTTTGGTTCTGGTGAGGGCTTTCTTCCTGGCAGACAGACTGCACCTTCTTGCTGTGTTCTCACATGGTAGAGAGGGAGAGAGAGAGCTCTGACATCTCCTCCTTTTTTATAAGGACACCAGCCCTATTGGGTCATGGCTTACCTTCATGACCTCAGTTAACCTTAATCACCTGGTGATAGGCCCGGTCTCCAATACAATCACGTGAAGAGTTAGGGCTTCAGCAGGTGGAGTTTTGGGAGACACAGCTCAGCCCATAGCAGTCCTATAGCTCCATCTTGGCCCAAGAAACCCCTTATAGAGTCCCAAACAGGCTCTGTCCAGCAATATTTGGTTGTACTTCTGGATGACTGGATTTCTGAGGGTGGCACCTCAAAGCAGGCATGTCCTGCTGTCTGGAGTGAGGAGCTTGGGATAAAGGGCTGATGTTCCTGATTCTGAGGCTCCAGTCCTTCTGGAGGGAAACGGCATTTCTGGAGTTTCTGCTTCTCTGGCTATCTTGGCACCCTGAGGCTGCCCAAGGCACCTGATGTGCCTCATGTGAGGTGGCAGCTCCCCCTCCCTGCCCCAGTGGCCCAGCCCATCTGGCATAGCGCCAGGCCTCGTGAGGATGCTCTGTCTGCTGCCCCCAGGTTCATTGTTTCACATGAACTCTGGGGAAGGGTGTGGGAGCCGGGGGGCTGTGCTCAATATATGTCCTAATTTTAGAAGTAAGATTGGCAGATTTCCCTCTGTTCTAGCTAGGACTAATGATAGAAGTCCAAATACAATCAGGTCAGGAAGAAAAGGGTCCTTCCTGACTCTCAGAACTAGTTTAGTGAGTTTCTTCAGCAGCAGTGGGGTCAGGCTGTCAGTGCCTGCCAGAAGTCAGCCTCCCGCCCTCTCAGCTCTGCTCTGCACTGGCTGGACCTTCCCTGCTGTGGAAAAGATGAACTCCAGCACTCCAGGTGCACACAATTCCTGCAGTTGGCAATTGGGTAAGGAAGGAGAATTTTGTCCTCGAATGTCCTCTCCCCTATTCATGGACGTTCTGGTTGCTTTTGCTTGGATCCTATTCTGTGGGGTCTGGAGGCATGGGGCACCCTGATTGGCCTGTTTTGTTTATGCAGGAGGCTGTGGCCCTGGGTTGTCAGCCTGGCAGCACTGTGTCTGGTGCTGGGGTCTGCACGAGGAAGCTGCACGTGGACACAAGTGCAAGTTTGCCTGCTCCTCAGCCTCTCCACGGCGTGCATCTGAGGTCCAGGCTTGGCCGCAGTGCCCACACTTAGAAGAGAACATCAGGAACCTTCTGCTGTCAGGAGAACTGGACTATGTGCCTCCCATTTCCAGGTCCCAGCATGCTCTGGCTGCCTCTGTTCAGCTGTGGCCTTCCTCTCGTGCAGCATGCTCTTCCCAGCGCCATCACTGCCTTTGCAGGCTGATCAGCATGGTCACGAACATGGGGCTACACAGGGGGAGCTGGTGTCCCATGCCCGGCCTCTCCTTGCGTGAGGTGCTTGTTGGCCATAATCGTGTGGCTCTTTGGCCCACCCCAAGGTGGCCTTCTGTCAACATGCTTTTGACTTTCTGGCAAGTCGTCCTTGTCTTGCCTGTGTTTTTTTTTTTTTTTCCCATGTGACTTTTTCTCCAGCATGTCCTCACCCCCTTCAGGCTCCACCCAAGCCTGCAAGGAGAGGCCAGGAGAGGTGGGGATGGCAGCTGCTACAGCTTAGTTTCCTTAAAGTTGTGTCCTTGGCTTCGTGGAGCTTGAGGGGAGGTTTGTAGGCTTTAAATATTTTTGCTCTTTGGATGGAAACCCAGGGCCTCCCGGTGGCCTTCTCCTCCACTGGAGGGTGCTGTAGTGTAGGAGGAGTAGTTGTGAAATTGATTTAAAAGCTGTTTGTTCCAAGTTCAATAAGAGAACCATGGGAGATGTCACCACGTTAGACTATGGGGTGGTGGTCTTTGGGGATGGTGGTGGGAGAGGGAGTTCCCATTGGCCATCATCCCAAGATGCCATTAATGCCGGGACAAGAAACAGGGCTCAGGGAAGTGACCCCGAGACAGGAGTGAGGACAAAGCCCTCATCTCCCAGGGGTGGGGTGTTTGTTCCAGGCTCTGAAGTTTGGGAGGCCTATGTCATATTTTGTAGGGTGTGGGGGTGCCTCAAGGAGGCAGTTAAGGCCCAAGGTGGGAAACTGGTCCCTGGGGGATGGACGAGGGTCTCAGCCCCCATGTAGCTGCACAGAACTCTGAGGCAGGGCCTCGTGGTCAGGTGTGGGGTCCAGAGTCTGTCAGACCCAAGGACAGGCTGGTGGTGTTGTGTGTGCTCAGCCTGGGGGGTCTATGGTCTTGGGGGTCCTGAGGGCCAGGAGGGTCTAGTGCTGGCATGGAGGTGTGGAGTGTGTTGGGCAGCCTGAGACAAGACCCCGGAGGAACTCTCAGGAGAGCCTGGGCACATTTTGAAGCATATCCATTGCTGGAAAGGAATATCCCTGTGGGGGTCTGTGGGACCAGTCTGTGGTTTTCCCCAGTTTAATCCTTCAGTTCTGGCATTCAACAATAGATTTTTCTGGCTCCCAGATTATAGCTCTGTTTTCTAAACTCTAGCTCAGTCTTTTCCAAACTTGGTTGGTGGTAGGCTTTGGAAGAACAATTTCACCAAACTTCTCCAAGATCCAAGTGTCAGATGATGAAGAGCAGAGCTCAGGAGCCAGAGTGGTCCTCTAGCTTCCACCAGTCACCCAACATGTAAGTTACCACCACAGGGGCGGCTCTGAGTGAGTGTCTCCTTAGTGGTTTCCTTAGTGGGTGGAAATAAACGAAGACCACCCAAGCAAGGACAAAGGCTGTTTATTCAGAGCTGCTATAGCAAGGGGGTCCGCGGCCATCACTTGTGTCCTGACAGACTCACAGGCAGGTGAGGAGTGGAGAAGCTTCATCATGGAAAAGGGGAGGCTTCAGAGGCCTGTTGGAGGCTGTGGGCCTGGGGAAGCCGGAGGCGGCTGGTGAGAAGTGGGCATCCCATGGGATTGGCTAGGGGACATACTGGGCTTTCTCTGGTTAGTCCTAGATTGGAAGCAGGGACAAAAAGTAGGAAAACTGTCAGTTATTATTCAAGTCCTGGCCCTTTGGGTCTGATTGTTAGAGAATGTATTGTTTAATTTCCCATATTATTTCTAGAGATAGCAATCTGAATTCTTACCAGCCTGGCATGGAGCAGGCTGGCCTCCCAGGCTGGTTCCTGTAGATGATGGCTTGGCTTGCTGAGTTGGTTCCTGTAGATGTCAGGTTGGTTCCTGTAGATGTCAGGTTGGTTCCTGTAGATGTTGGCTTGGCCTGCTGGGCTGGTTCCTGTAGATGATGGCTTGGCCTCCTGGGCTGGTGGCTGCAGGGGGTGGGTGGGAGTTCTACTCTTATAGATGCTCTGGCCATTGTCCATTTGTGTACTCAGTCTCCGAAGTGCTCGGCCATAGTAAGCACTCCCTAAAAAGTAGCTATTGTTGTCTCTCCCACCTGATGATGACCAAATTATTCACCTGGACTGTCTTAGAACTAAGTCCTGCCCATGTCAGTGGCTGCTTGGCACACACGCCCTGGGCCATCTCCAGATCTGGCTGACTCTGGCCTCATGTGGTCTTTCCATGGCAGCTCTAGCTAGGGGGCTTTGGCACATAAGTGCGGTCAGATGACATGGTGGAAATATTTGTTGAATGGATTGCTAGACTCCTTTCCTAGAGGCTCAGGGTCCACAACCAATGTCGTCATATTGTATGTGCTTTGCATTTTAAATTCTCTAACGTCATAGTCTTCCCCAGGCCAGCATACATCCTTTACAGGGAATAAGGCACTTTCAGAATGTCTTATCAGTCCCTCCCTTCGCATTTCTTGATTTCTCTTTCTGTCCTTCTCTCCCTCATTTCCTTTGGTATGTTCCCTTGATCTCCAACTTTTCTTTAGTTTCTCATTATTCTGACTATTCCCTAATTTTCACAGCTTCCAAAATATTTCCAGAATGGGAGATTGTATTACTTTTTCCTATTGCTGCTATAAGGCTTAAAACAACACAAACTTATTACCTTAGAGTTCTGGAGGTCAGAAGTCTCATGGAGCTAAAATCCAGGTGCCAGCAGGGCTGGTTTCTTCTGGAGGCTCCAGAGGAGGATCCATTTCCTTGCCTTTTCCACTTTCTGGAGGTCACATGTATCCCTTGGCTCATGGCCCATTCCTCCCTCTGAAAGCAAGCAGTGTAGTATCTCCAGGTCGGTTGGCATCTCTCTCCTGTCCTCTCCGACCCCTGCTCTGTTATCACCCCTCCTTCTCTGACTCTGGCCCTCCTGCCTCTCCTGGAGGGACTCCTGGAGGGACTCTGTGATTACACTGTGCTACCTGAATAATTCAGGATAATCTGCTCATCTCAAGACCCTTCCTTGCATCTGCAGAGTCCTTTTGTCATGGAAGGTGACAAATTCATTGGTTCTGGGATCAGGACATGAACAACGGTAATAGGCTGAACTGTGACCCACCCCCCCTTTTCATGTTTAAAGTCCTAACCCCCAGAACCTCAGAATGTGATGGTACTGTGAGATGGGGCCTTTAACTAGGCAATTAAGCTATGAGGTCAGTAGAGCGGGCCCTAATCCAACCTGACCAGCATCCATATAAGAGAAAATTTGAACAAGGACACGTATAGAGAAGAGACTGTGAAGACACAGAGAAGACAAGCATCTTGGCAGGTCTCAGAGGAAACCAACCTGCCCACACCTTGACTCGAACTTCCAGCCTCCAGAATTGTGAAAAAAAAGAATTTCTGTTGTTTAAGCTGCCCAGTCTGTGGTATTTTCTGTGTTACAGTCTGTGTTACGGTGGCCTTACCAAACTACTACGACATCCTTGGCTGGTTATTTGTCTGTCAACCACAGAGGTTATAGCCTACATGTTGCCTAAGTTTAGTTAGTTTTAGAAGCACTAATACTTCTTATTTTACTTGACAGGCATAAGAAGCCAGGGGCCTACCTCTGCCGAAATACTTAAATGGGGTGAGAGGGTGTGAGCCTCTCAATAATTGAAAGTCTTTGGCTTCTAAATTTGACACGGCCCCTTTCAAAGACAGCCAGGAGGCAACAGGCATTTTCCATCAGAAGGTTAGGACTGGAGTGGAGTCAGGCTTTTCAAGCACTGGCAGCTTGTCCAACACAAAGGGACACTGTCCTAATGGAGATGAGAAACTGTGGACCCAGCCTGGAGAGAGTGATCGGGAGGTCTGTGTGCACGTGGACGTGATCCATCCTGGAGTAAATTCAGGAGAGTTTACGGACGATAATAAAATTGACTAAAGCACATTGTGGATCCCCAAAATCTGAGACAGGTCTCAGTTAATTTAGAAAGTTTATTTTGCCAAGATTGCAGACACACATCTGTGACACAGCCTCAGGAGGTCCTGACGACATGTGCCCAAGGTGGTCAGAGCACAGTTTGGTTTTATAGATTTTAGGGAGACATGAGACATCAATCAGCATATGTAAAATGAACATTGATTCAGTCTGGAAAGGCGGGACAACTTGAAGTGGGGAGGGGGCTTACAGGTCATAGGTAGATAAGAGACAAATGGTTGCCTTCTTTTGAGTTTCTGATCAGCCTTTCCAAAGGAGGCAATCAGATACACATTTATCTCAGTGAGTGGAAAGGTGACTTTGAATAGAATGGGAGGCAGTTTGGCCCTGAGCAATTTCCGGCTTGACTTTTCCATTTAGCTTAGTGATTTTGGGGGCCCAAGATATTTTCCTTTCACAACACGCACTTTTTATTATCACCATGGACTAGAAATTCTACACAACGTCAGTGCTGAAGGACTCCTGCCCGCTGCTGAGGAGGAAGCTCTTCCACTGGGGTGGGTGGGGAGGTGAGGGCTCTCTCTCCGTCCTCCAAAACTGCTGCGAAGGCGGCCACATGGTGTTAGAGGAAGGAAGAACACCGAAGAAAAGTGACTGTGTCAGAGGATCACAAAAATAATTGTGCAGTTATTTAATGTATTTCTCCTCCACTGCCGCACAAGCACTACGAGGGCAGGGTTGTTTTTGTTCTGATGATTACAGCAACATGGCCTAGCATAGTTCATGGCACACCATAGACACTCAAAATACTTCCTGAATGAATGAAGAAATTCTGCCTGGAAGGGACTTTGTAGAGTCAGGTGAAGCTGACATCATTTGTACATTGCCTTTCAATTTTTTTTTTTTTTTTTTGACAGAGTTTCACTCTGCTGCCCAGGCTGGAGTGCAGTGGTGCAATCTTGGCTCACTGCAACCTCTGCCTCCCAGGTTCAAGTGATTCTCATGCCTCAGCCTCCCGAGTAGCTGTAACTACAGGTGCACCAGCATGCCTGGCTATTTTTTATATTTTTAATAGAGACGGGGTTTCGCCACGTTGGCCAGGCTGGTCTTGAACTCCTGACCTCAAGTGATCTGCCCGCTTCAGCCTCCCAAAGTGCTGGGATTACAGGCATGAGCCCCCGTGCCTGGACTGCCTTTCAATTTTTAAAGGATGTTTACATTCATCTCATTTGATTCAAATATTCGAGGTTGTCAGTATCTGCATGGCTATGATGACAGTGGTCCCTTCAGGGAGGTAAAGGGCCTTGCACACACCCTGGTGTGACCCATGGGAAACTGGGATTGGAAAGCAGCCTTCAGACTCTGAATCATCTTCTTCAGCTTCTTACTTTCTCAGATAAAGAAACAAAAGCCAACAGAGGTCAAGTAATTTTCACAAGGTTATACAACTTGCTTACATAAAAACAAAATCATGGAGAAAATCTGTACGTAAAGATAAACAGTATTTTTCTCAATTATTTTCCTGCAGTTCTTTTATTCTAGTCCAAGGCAGATTTCTGAGCCAATGGGTAAACACGCCTAATGGCTTCTTTTGAGAAAAGTCTGTTCAGATCCTTTGCTTGTTTTTAGATCAGGTTACGTGTTTTCTTGCTATTGATTTGTGTTCCTTGTATATTTTGGATGTTAACCCCTTATCAGCTGTATGGTTTGCAAATATTTTCCTCCCATTTCACAGGTTGTCTCTTCGCTCTGTTGTTTGTTTCCTTTGCTATGCGGAAGCTTTTTAGTTGGATGCAATCCCATTTGTCTATGTTTGCTTTTGTTGCTTGTGCTTTTGCCATCATATCAAAAAAGTCATTGTCCAGACTGATGTCAAGAAGCTTTTTCCTATGTTTTCTTCTAAGACTTTTACAGTTTCAAGTATTGCATTTAAGACTTTAATTCATTTTGAGTTTATTTTTGTATTTGGTGTGACATAAGGGTCTAATTTCATTCTTCTGCATGTGGACATCCAGTTTTCCCAACAGCATTTATTGAAGAGACAGTTCTTTTCCCATTGTGTGTTCTGGACACATTTGTTGAAGATCAATCAGCTGTGAATGCATGGATTTTCTTCTGGACTCTCTGCTCTGTTCCATTGGTCTGTATTTCTTTCTTTTTTTTCCTTTTGTTTTGAGACGGAGTCTTGCTCTGTTGCCCAGGCTGGAGTGCAGTGCGTCACTGGAGTGCATCTCTGCTCACTGCAACAACCTGTTGAACTGCAACAGGTTCAAGCGATTCTCCTGCCTCAGCCTCCCAGGTAGCTGGGATTACAGGCGCCTGCCACAGCCTGGCTAATTTTTGTATTTTTAGTAAAGGCGGGGTTTTGCTATGTTGGCCAGGCTGGTCTCAAACTCCTGACCTCAAGCGATCCACCCGCCTCGGCCTTCCAAAGTGCTGGGATTACAGGTGTGGGCCACCTTGCCTGGCCAATTAGTCTATATCTCTGTTTTTAAGTGACCATCATGTTGTTTCGATTTCCAAAGCTTTGTAGTATATTTTGAAATCAGGTATATGTTTCTAGCTCTGTTATTTTTGCTCAAGATTATTTTGGCTATTTAGCATCTTTTATTATCTTTTATTTAGCTCCATGCAAATTTTAGGATTATCTATTTCTTTGAAAAATGCAATTTGAATTTTGATAGGAATTGTATTGTAAATCACCTTGGATACTACATTTTGACAATGCTAATTCTAACAATTCATGAACATGAAATACCTCCCCACTGATTTGTGTTTTCTTTCATTTCTCTCACCAGTGTTTTATAGTCTTTAGTGTACAGCTCTTTCACCTCCTTCCTTGGTGAAATTTTTCTTAAGTATTTTATTTTTTGGTAGCTATTGTAAATGGGATTTTTTTTCTTGCTTTCTTTTTAGACAGTTTGTGATTGGTATTAGAAACCTTACTAAATTTTGTATGTTGATTTTGTATCCTGTAACTTTACTGAACTTGTTTATTAGTTCTAACAATTTTTTTTGGTGGAGTAGTTAGGATTTTCTGTATATAAGATCATGACATCAAATGGAGAAAATTTTACTCCTTCATTTCTGATTTGAATGCCTTTTATTTATTCATTTATTTAGCCTAATTATTCTGGCTAGGACATCCAGTGCTATATGGAACAGAAGTGGTGAGAGTGGGTTTCCTTGTTTGCTCCTGATCTAAGAGAAAAAGCTTTCAGCTTTTCACCCTTGAGTATGATGTTAGTTGTGGGTTTCCCATATATGGTTTTTATTATATTGAGATGCGTTCCTTCTATATCTAATTTGCTGAGCATTTTTTATCATGAAAAGATATTGAGCCAGGCACGGTGGCTCACACCTGTAATCCCAAGGTGGATGGATCACTTGAGTTCAGGAGTTCGAGACCAGCCTGGCCAACATGGTAAAACCCCGTCTATTCTAAAAATACAAAAATTAGCCAAATGTGGTGGCACATTCCTGTAATCCCAGCTACTAGGGAGGCTGAGGCAAGAGAATCGCTTCAACCTGGGAGATGGAGGTTGCAGTGAACCGAGATTGCGCCACTGCACTCTAGCCTGGCTAACAGAGCAAGACTCCATTTCAAGAAAAAAAAAAAAAAGAAAACATACTGAATTTTGTCAAATATTTTCTCTGTATCTATAGAGATAATCATGTACTTTTTATCCCTTATTCTATTAATGTGGTGTGTGACATTTATTGATCTGTGTATGTTGAACCATCTTTGCATCCCTGGGGTGAAACTCACTTGATCATGGTACATGTGTGTACTATAAAATTCTGTTTGCTAGCATTTTGTTGAGGGTTTTTGCATCTATGTTCATCAGGAATATTGGCCTGTAATTTTCTTTTCTTATAGTGTCCTTGGGTGGCCTTGGTATTGGGGTAATGCTGGGCTTGTAAAATTAGTTTAGATGTATTCTGTCTTCTTCGGTTTTTTTGGAATAGTTGGAGAAGGATTGGTGTTAATTTTTCTTTAACTGTTTGGTATAATTCACCCATGAAGCCATCTGGTTTAGGGCTTTTCTTTGATGGAAGGGTTTTGATTACTGATTCAATTTTCTGACTTATCATTAGTCTGTTAAGATTTCTCTGTTTCTTCATGATTTAGTCTTGGTAGGCTGTTACATTTCTAGCAGTGGGTCCATTTCTTCTAAGTTATCCAATTTGTTGAAGTACAGTTTTTAATAGCAGTCTCTTACAATCTTTTTTATTTCTGTGGTATGCATTGTAATGTCTCCTTTCTCATTTATAATTTTATTTATTTGAGTCTTTTCTCTTTTTTCTTAGTTAGCCTAAGGGTTTGTCAATTTTATGTTTTCAAAAAAGTAACTCTTATTTTAATTGATCTTTTCTATTGTTGTTCTAGTCTTTATTTCACTAATTTCTGTTCTGATCTTTGTTATTTTTTCCTTCTGCCAAGTTTGGACTTAGTTTTTTCTTCTTTTCCTAGTTTCTTGGGATGCAACCTTAGGTTGTTTATTTGAGATTTTTCTTTTCTGATGTAGACATTCATTGCTACAAACATCTGTCTTAGAACTGTTTTTTGCTGCGTCCCATAAATTTTGGTTATGTTGTGTTTTCATTTTCCTTTGTCTCAAAATATTTTTAATTTCCCTTTAAATTTTGTATTTGACCCATTGATTGTTCAGGGGTGTGTTTAATTTCCATCTATTAATGAATGTTCTGGTTTTCCATTTGTTCTTGATTTTTACTCTCATACCATTATGGTCAGAAAAGATACTTAATATGATTTCTGTCTTCTTAAATTTGTTAAGACTTGTTTTGTGGCCTGACATACAATCTTTACTGGAGAATGTTACATGTACACCTGAAAAAAATGTATATTTTGCTGTTGTTGGATAGAATGCTTGTGTATGTTGGTTAGATTTATTTGGTCCATGGTGTTGTTCAAGTCAAGTGTTTCCTTATTGATTTTCTGTCTGAATGGTCTGTCCATTGTTGAAAGTGAGTTGTTGAAGTCTTTTACTATTATTGTATTACTGGGTATTTATTCCTGCAGTTCTATTAATATTTGCTTTATATACTCAGGTGGTCCAATGTTGGGTGCAGATTTATAATTGTTATAGTATCTTAATAAATCGATGACTTTATCATTATATGAGAAACTTCTTTGTCTCTTATGACAGTTTTGAACTTAAAGTATATTTTGTCTAAATATAGCCACTCTACTCTCTTTTGGTCACCTTTTGCATGTAATATCTTTTTCCATTTTTTTACTTTTCACCTCTGTGTGTTTTTAAAGCTAAACCAAAATCTCTTATAGGCAGTATATTGTTAGATCTTGTTTTTTTTTTTTTTTTTTTTTACTCATTCGGTATTCCACATCTTTTAATTAGAGATTTTAATTCATTTACCTTTAAAATAATTATTGATTAGGTATGGAGTTATTATTGTCATTTTGTTACTTGTTTTTAGTTCAGTCTTTGTGTTCTTTAGGTCTAGAATTTCAGTTTTTTAAAATGGTTTCTATCTCTTTATTTAACTTATAATTATGTCCATGTACTGTTTTCCTGATTTGGTTTAGTTGTTAATTTGTGTTCTCCATAGCTCACTCAGCTTCTTTAACATGATTATTTTGAGATTTTTGTCAGGCAGTTAGTATATCTCCATATCTTTAGAGTCAGTTACTTTATTTTTTTCCTTTGGTGGTGTCATGTTTCCCTGATTACTTGTGATATTTGCCTTGCATTGGTGTCTGTGCATTTGAAGAAGTAGGTACTTCTTCTAGTTTTTACATCCTGGCTTTGACAGTGAAAACCATTCACCAGTCAGCACATCTAGAGATTTTGGGTGGGCCACCTTGTGGGGATCTGTGGATAGGATTGTTGCTGGAGTCTTCAGGCAGTTTGGCCTGGTTTTGGGTCATCAGGTGGGTGAGCCTGTTTCTTGGATTTACAGGGGACTTGCCTAGTGCCAGGGTCCACTACAGTAGGCCTTTTGACTCGGTTTTCAGGACCAGACTTGGAACCCATGTCTGCAGGGCCTGGCTGGAACCCTGGGTCCACAGGAGAAGATCTGGTACTGGAGTGGAAATTAAGCATGAGTCTGCAAGGGGATGACTTGGTGCTGGGAGACCTGGTGTCTGTGTCCATGGAGATTAACCTGGTCCTGAATCTGTGGGGGCTGGCCTCACACTAGGGTGAACTTGGGGGAACCTGGCATCTGGCCCCTGGGGGCAGGTCTGGTGTGGGAAACCATGGAGATGGGCCAGGAGACTGCATCCTTAGGCATGGTCCTGGAGCCTGGGTCCATTGGGGCCAGCCTGGAGCCTAGTTCCATGGGGGTGGTCCTGAAACCCGAGTCTACAGTGACTGGTCTGGTGTTAGGGTTTATAGGGGAGGGCCTGGATCTTGAGTCCACTGGAGTGTGTAGCCTGAGGGCTACATCTGAAGTTTCCTTCCCACTGAGGGGCTCACCTGGTGTTGGAGAAGACATGGAGCCTAGGGTCATGGTGGGGGGGACTTGGGGTCTTGCACTAGAGGAGCTGATCACTGGGGCATTCCTGAAGTCTGGGACCATGGGAGTAGGTCTGGTGCTGGGGCCAGTCCAGAATCTGAGGTGGGCCTGGAGCCTGAATTTGCAGAGTTAGCCTGGAGCCTTGGACTTTGGGGTCTGACTAGGCACCAGGTTTTACTGCTAAGGTCCACAGCAAAATTGGGGGCTCACTTCACTCTCCCTTCCCCACATGGAGGGTCTCTTTCCAGGCTGCACTGCCTGGGCTTGGGGGAGGAGTGATGTGTGTCATCTGAAACTGTCCTTCCTGCCCTCTTTTCTATTTCTCTGCTGCACCCAGGTGCTGAAATGTCTCCCTTGGATTCCTTTGCTCTTATGAAGGTATTTTCACGCATGAATAGTTGTTCAAATGGATGTTTCTGAGAAGGCACGGCTATGGAAAATCCTATTCCGCCATCTTGCTTGGGAGACTGACTGACCTTTTGAATATTTTTACTTACAGTAATGCTATTTAAGGAGTAGATGATTTATCCAAATGTAGATGGAATGGGATTAGTCCTCTCTATCAATCCCTCTCCCCTCAAATCAAAGGAAATAGCAATCAAGAGGCAAAAACTTTGATAATCTGGTTCACCTTCTTTGTGTTATTGTATTCATTTCTGTTAGCCATGTAAACATAAAGTTTTAGTGCCTTAATGAAACATCTTCAGTTTTTCCCCTCTTTCATTTTTCCAGGGTCCACATTCCACAGAGAGACACAATTTTGTGGGTATAGCCCGGCCTGGATTTTAGTCGTCTGTAGTCGTGACTTGCTATTGCTTATATTAAAAAGTCCTGTGCAGTGGTGCTGGGAATGTCATGGTTGAGGTGCCATTACTCACAGCAGGTGGAGACACGTGGTGGCACAGTGCACAGTGCACAGCATGCCCTCAGCAGCAGTAGCAGCGGAGGAGGCTCCCCGCAGTCCCCAGTGCCGATGCTGCCCCCTCGCCCCTTCTGCTCTTCCTCCCTTCACTGGCACCATGGCTGATCAGCTGACCAAAGAACAGATTGCTGAATTCGAGGAAGCTTTCTCCCTGTCCTATAAAGATAGTAATGGCACTATCACAACAAAGGAACTTGGAACCATCATGAGGTCACTGGGTCAGAACCCAGCAGAATCTGAATTGCAGGACATGATCAATGAAGTGGATTCTGATGGCAATGACACCATTTAATTCCTCGAATTTTTGACCATGATGGCTAGAAAAATGAAAGACACATATAGTGAAGAAGAAATCGTGAGGTATTCCAGTCTTTGACGATAGTGGCAAAGGTTACATCAGTGCAGCAGAACTACGTCATGTCATGACAAACTTAGGAGAAAAACTAATAGATGAAGAAGTAGATGAAATGATGACAGAAGCAGATATTGATGGAGACAGACAAGTTGATTATGAAGAATTAATACAGATGATGACTGCAAAATGAAGACCTACTTCCAACCCCTTTTCCCTGTTCTAGAAGAATCAAATGGAATCTTTTACTTACCTTTTGCAAAAAAAAAAAAAAAAGAAAAAAGAAAAAAGTTTCTAATTTTTTGTTTCTGTTTCTTTCTTTCTTTTTTTTTCTTAAAGACAGAATCTTGCTCTGTCACCCAGGCTGGAGTGCATTGGTGTAATCTTGGCTTACTGCAACCTTTGCTTCCTGAGTTCAAGCAATTCTCATACCTCAGCCTCCCAATTAGCTGGGATTACAGGCGTGAGCCACTACTTTCAGCTAATCTTTGTGTATTTTAGTAGAGACGGGGTTTTGCTATGTTGGTGAGGCTGGTCTCAAACTCCTGGAGTCAAGTGATATGCCCACCTCAGCTTCCTAAAATGCTGGGATTACAGGCGTGAGCCACCATGCCCAACAGATTCATTCTGTTTCTGTATAGCAAAACTGAATGTCAAAAGTACCTTCTATCCAAACACACAAAATCTGCATGTATTTGTTGGTGGTCCTGTCCCCTAAAGACCAAGCTACACATCAGTTTTACAATATAAGTACATGTACTACCTTAATAATAAGGACTCCTCAAAGTTCCATTTAGTCATGATTAATACACTGTTTGGGCCGGCCAGTTTTTCATGCATGCAGCCTGACGACTGAGAGCAGTCAGCCATTTGTATTTAAAAAAAAAAAAAAAAAAAGGAGAAAACAAATCCAAAACCTATTCAAATGGATTCTGGTTCAATTTGTTTAGTATAAATTGTCATAACTGGTTTACTGAAAACGAACATTTAAAATTGGTTTATCTTAGGATGATGTGCAGAAAAATGGGGTGAAGGATAAACTGTTGAGACGTAGCCCCACTAGCGGGATGGTCATCTTGTACTTCTGTGTGCTGTGACCCATGGTGACGATGACATACCCTGGTGGCATGCCCACGTATGTTGATTTAGCGTTGTCTGCATTGTTCTAGAGTGAAACGGCTGTCACTGTTCACACACATTTTTAACAAAAAACCTTTACCAAGGGAGCATCTTTGGACTCTGCTTTTAAAACCTTCTGAACCATGACTTTGAGCCAGCAGAGTAAGCTGTGGCTGTGGGCTTCAGCACAGTCATCAACATTACCGTTCAACAAATTACAGTTTACTTCCATTCCGAGTTGTAAATGCTAGTTTTTTTTCCCCAATAAAAAGATGATTAACTTAAAAAGAAAATTCTAAGGAATCTACAAAATGACCACTAGAGCTAATAAAAAGTTGCAGTCTATATGGTTATTATGCAAAAATCGATGTAAATTTAGTATGCTAACAGTACAGAATTAGAAAAGGAAATTTTAAAAATTATATTTACTGTAAGAACAGAAACATGCAATGTTTTGCAATAAATCAACAAAAATGTGTAAGACCTCTATACTGAAAACTACACAATGGTGGTGAAAATATTGAAGAAAACTTAAGTAAATGGAAATATATACCATGTTTATGGCTTATAAGAGTCACTATTATTAAGATAGCAGTTCTTCCCAAATAGGTGTATACATTCCGTGAAAGCCCAGCAGGACTTTTTGTGGGAATTGACAAAATGATTTTTTAAAATCTATATGGAAATGCAAAGCACCTAGAATCTGCAAAGCCATCTTGAAAAAGGGGAAAAAAAAGTTGGCAGGCTTACATTGCCAGCTTTCAAAACTTATAGAAAGCCGGCCGGGCGCGGTGGCTCACACCTGTAATCCCAGCACTTTGGGAGGCCAAGGAGGGTGGATCACGAGGTCAGGAGATCGAGACCATCCTGGCTAACGTGGTGAAACCCCGTCTCTACTAAAAATACAAAAAATTAGCCAGGCGTGGTGGCGAGCGCCTGTAGTCCCAGCTACTCAGGAGGCTGAGGCAGGAGAATGGTGTGAACCCGGGAGGCAGAGCTTGCAGTGAGTGGAGATCGCGCCACTGCACTCCAGCCTGGGCGACAGAGCGAAACTCTGTCTCAAAAACAAACAAACAAAAAACTTATAGAAAGCCAATAAAGCTGCAGTGATCAAGACAATGTGGCACAGGCATAAGGATCAACAAACAGATAAAAGGCATAGAAAGCCCAGAACTGGGCCTGCTATTACATGACTATACCTAATTTGGGAACAGTGGTTATCCTTGTGATTATGGATATAATTACAGATATGATTATACTCAACTTGGGAACAGTTTTTTTTTTTTTTTTTTTTGCCTATATTAAGTGTTGTCAGGTCAAGGAGGTATGTACTGGTTGAAAAAAGATCCTGATTTGTAGGAAAAGACACAGCACATGGTGATGTTTTAGAGAGTTAAAATTTGGAGCCATTCTCCATATTCATTGGATAGAATCATCATCCCTCCTCTGCCTTTCAGCCTATATAATCAGTAAGAATTATATGGCAGATAAAAATCTGGCATTGAAGGATCAATCAACTATTAGACAATTGATCTCATTTTCTCATGTCGTCTATCTACATCTCTCATGTCATCTGGCATATCATATGTTCTAGGTCAGTCCTGAGTTCAACTAGTCTGTCCTGTGATTTTCACTATTATTTACACTTGTTAGGTCACTATCGTGGGGTTCAGAATATTGGTGTGAGGTGGTGGCATGGGTGCTTTTTTTGGAGCAGTTGTGGGGTGGAATCCCTCCTGCATGACCTGAGGCCACAAGAAACCCCTTCCACCACAGGTGTATCACACGTAATAAACCCTCGTGTGCCTTGTTACATGATAAGCACTTTATATACCTTAGACATTTTAACCTAAATCAACCCTAAAAGGCAAGGTTATTTTTTCTACTAAATTTCCAACAACTAGGTGAACTAAAAGTAGGTTGAAAGACCAATTCTTATGAAAGAATGATTGTCAAAAAGAAAAAGATAAATTCTTCTGAAGAGACGAGAGACATAGGAGCAACTCAGACAGGAAACTTTTAATGGGTTTTAATCCAGGGTTTACAATGTTTTGAATCTGCAATTCTGAAATCCAAAGCAGATCTGGAAATTGAATGTTTTTGGCAACAAATTGGGTGGCAAAATCTGAACTATTTGTAGCTCTGTGTGCTGACGAGCATTGTGAGTGCCCTAGAGGGGCATCAAGCTTTTGCCCACAAAATCCTTTCTTTCCTTGGAGCATCTCAGTGGAGTTGTGTTTTGAGAAATAGTGCCTGACATAAGTTCGGTATTGCTACGTAAGACCTCTTTATTGTTTTTCTGCATAACTTTGGATTTTCCAATTCAGTTTACTTTGACCCACTCTTTACAGTTTAAGCATGCCAGGTGGTAACTCGATGGCTTCGCATCTTAATGATCGCATCTATGTGCATAATTCTTTGGGGTTCGTGGAGCAGTTTCACATTCATTATCTTGTTTGGTCCTTAGTAAAACTCCTTCTTTATTTTCAGCACTGAAGAAGTGGAGTCTCAGAGGTCACACAGCTGGCATGTGGCAGAACCAGCCACGCCATGCCGCCATGCCGCTTTGAGGACCAGTGACCCTCAGGGACTTAGCAAAATGCCATCTTCAAAACAACTTGTCAAGATCCTCACGGGCAGTCAGTGTCATGTTTTATATCGCGTACAACCTGCAGCACAGGGCGCAGCAGGCGTGAGTGCCACTGTCTAGGGACTCTCCATACCCTCCAGCCTTCAGACGCAGGAACGGGAATCTCAGCCAGCTGTCTCCTCTGTCCCAGGTTTCTCTCCAGTCTCACCTGAGGTCGAAAAGTCCGAATGAAGTAGGTGATAGTCCATTGATCTGAAGGGCATAGTGGCTCATGGGATTTTGCTGAGTCTACACCAGGTGTCAAAGAGTCTGGTGCCCAAACCTTGGCAAGTGCACGTGACTGATTACCTCATTGTCAGAAAATGTGGGAGCCCGGCAGCGCTTGGGACCACCTGGCTCAGACTCTTCATTCCAGACCAGACCACTGAGGCCCGGGAAGCGGGGTCCACTTACAGGACGTCGGAAGGCAGTGGGCAGGAACTGGGCTCCTTCCTGCCGGGCCAGCTTTTCGGAGGCTGGCACTGGGGCTTCGGGACTTGAGGACCTGATCGCTGCGCAGGCCACGCGCCACCCGCAGAGGGCACCCGCGGTCCGCCGCGTTCCAGGGCGCGGGCTCTGGGGCTGGCCTCTCTGGCGCGCGAGGGTTTGCTGAGATTTAACAGAGGGCCGTTACACTCACAGTGTAAGAACAGACTGACAATTCCAGGGCGCTGGCTTTTATGAAAATAGGAAACGCCACGATGCACTCTAACGTGGAGATGGGTTCGTCTGTGACAAGAGGAAGCCTGTTTGAAAGGCAGATTTCGGGAAAATGTAGGGAGGCAAGAGCGTTGGCCGAGCTCCTCAGAAGTCCCTGAACAGTTCTGTTTTCCAGGGCGCCGTTCACACTGAGATGAGACAGGTGGAAAAGAGAGCTCGCCCTTCTTGCATTGTCACACGGAGCGGCCCTCTCCCTGTGCAGCGTGGAGTCCCCTGGGCGCGGGCGAGGCTCAGGCGGGACGCGGCGGAGACCGAGCTTGTCCCTGTGTGGACCCGGGCAACTGCCGGTGGGCGAGGCCTGGATGGTGGCCAGGCCGCAGCCACCCGGACGTTTGCGAGCGCCGAAGGTGGGCCTGGAGGCGGGGACCTGGCCCTGCGGGGCCGGTGCGTGCGGGGCCCGGCTGAGCCGCCGGCTCCACCGGCAGGGAACCCGGCTCCCGCCTTCCCGGCAGGGAACCCGGCTCCCGCCTTCCCGGCCACACCGGGAGTGTGTGAGGGGGGACCCTTGGCCGGCAGGGGGCGCTCTCGGCCACTCCATCCGCCCGGTCACCGCGGGATCCCGCTGCTCCATCCCGCCGGTGCCGCCGTCGCGCCTCCTCCCGCAGCCCAGCTCTGCCTCCGCCTTCGCTCCCCGACTCCTCCCTTCTCCCTCTCAGTCCCGCAGGGAAGCTGGGCTGGGCGAGAGGGTGTCTCCTGGGTCCACCGTGGAAGCCCGAGGCGCGGGTGCGGAGCCAGCCCAGGGCTGCCGGCGTGAGCTGCAGGGCTGGCCTGGTGCTCATCCTCTGCCCGGGGCGCGGGAAAGGCGAGGGACGCTGTGCTGGATCTGTGTGCTCAGTGGCCATGCGTCGGCCTCAGGACTGGGAACGAGGCGAGAGACACAGATGTGGGTGATTTCCCTGTGGAAGCTGTACCCGAGGCCGTGGGAGTGGAGGGCACTGGGCTGCGAATGGAGACAGGATGCCCCGAGGGCCCGGGAGCGGGAGGTGGAGCGGGTCCCAGACGGCAGGGGCTCGGAGTGGGAGGCAGCGGGACTGGGAGAGCCGCGCTGGGGCCGCAGGGGTGCGCAGGGAGCTTCCTGCCCTTTGCACCTCAGGCTCCGGGAGCTGATTTGTTTCACCTTGGGCAGGTGCAGGATCTGCGCTTGCAGCCACCTTACTTCGTGGGCTGTACCTGAGGTGACAGGCAGGGTCTTCTCTGATGAAGTTACCCACACGAGTCACCACGGGATGACGGTGAGCAGGTGCCACGGAAGGTAACACTGAGCGCATGCGGTTAAAGGACAAGAGGGAAAGGGTGAGGGCAGACCAACGGTCATTTTCACAACTCTTCTATGTTAGTCAGGGTTCTCTAGAGGGACAGCACTGATAGGATAGACCTATATATGAAGGGAAGTTTATTAAGGAATATTGACTCACACGATCACAAGGTGAAGTCCCACAATAGGCTGTCTGCAAGCTAAGGAACAAGGAAGCCAGTCTGAGTCCCCAAACCTCAAAAGTAGGGAAGCCAACAATGCAGTCTTCAGTCTGTGGCTGAAGGCCCGGGAGCACCTGGCAAACTACTGGTGTAAGCCCAAGAGTCCAAAAGCTGAAGAACTTGGAGTCCAGTGTTTGAGGGCAGGAAGCATCCAGCTCGGAAGAAAGATGGAGGCGGGAAGACTCAGCCAGTCAAGTCCTTCCACGTTTGTCTGCCTGCTGTTATCCTACCTGCACTGGCAGCTGATTAGATGATGCCCACCCAATTGAGGGTGGGTCTGCCTCTCCCAGTCCACTGAAATGAAATGCTAATCTCCTTTGGCAATACCCTCACAGACACACCCAGGAACAGTACTTTGTATCCTTCAATCCAATCAAGTTGACACTCAGTATTAACCATCACACTCTGCAAGGAAGGTGTTTTATGTCCATTTTATAGAAGAGAAACTGAGGCTCAGAGAAGTTGTTATTTGTCCAAGATTACAGAGCCAGCTTCTGGCCAACCTTGAGCGATTCAAAAATTGAAGCCCCTTCCACTAGGTCCCACTGACATCTGGATTCCACCTGACTACTGGCTGCACAATTTCCCCTTAAGTCAGTTCCTCTGTGGTTGTGCCCAGCTGCCCCGCTTGGTAGAATTATCCAGTAGACATTTTTCAGTCCTTGTCTTCCACACCATCCCTCTGGTGTTTGACCCAGATCGTGCACTCCTCACAATGTTCCTCTCCTCTGACTCCTGCAAAGCTGCCTGCTTGCTTCTCTGCCTATTTCTCCTCAACATGTTTCATTGGCTTTCTCCTCACAGTCCACCTATGGTTGCTAGTGCTCTCAAGGTTATGTTCTTAGATATCTTCTCCTTTAACTTCACATGAAGAAGCACAAACCACAGTGGCATCATGGGCATGGAGGGAATAGTAACCTAAACAGCCAATGAATGTCAGATCCAGGAGCTGCTGGAAGATGACACAGATGCATGGCCCAAGTGAGGGGGTGGTGGGGAGAGAGGGTAGGAGCGTTTGTGAGCAATGAACCAAGCCATGTCCAGACGTGGGCTTAGGCAGAAAAATGGGGAATGTGGGGGTCCCAGGAAGCTAGCCCTTAGGAAATTGTTTTGGGTGGATTGGGGAATTTGACATGCGGAAGCTTAAAACTTACATTACTAAAGTCATGCCCTTAGGTTAGGGACTATTTTGAGTAGACACTTCAGGAAGCCTGAAGTGTCAGGGCAGCCATCAGGAGCTTGCTTTCCGTGGAGCTCTTTGAGAAAGGGCCCAGAGGGTTTGAAGTCCAACAGTCAGGATTCATAGACACTGGGGATAAGATTCATGGATCACAGTGGGACAATAAAAATTGCTTTTCCCCTGGGGCATGAGGGAGAATCTCTAGGAATTTGCAGAGAGCACTTACAGAATGACACATGGTAACACTCACATGCCATCAGCCCAGCTCCAGAAGGACTTAAACTTTTTCACAGAAAGAACAGAAAATTGGAAAGAGCAAAGCTCCCTTTCAGAGGCAGCTGGAAGCCTCTCCTCCCAGTCTGCAAGTCCCTGGGGCTCTTCCTGTCCCTGCTGCTCTGCACTGGTGTTCCAGAGGCAAACATGGCCCAGGAGCCACATTCAACCCACCATCTCCTCTGGCCAGCTTTTAATAGAGGGTGTTTCAGCTTAATTTTTAGTCAAGAGCAGGCCCTGGGACCCTGAGATCACTGAATGTATTTGGCATTCAGTTATGAAATGAGCCCCTTTAGACAGACCTCGGACTTCTTAGTGGCATCCCAGGCCCTCTATGCCCTTAACTTAGGCTTGTGATGAGGTATCCTTGCGTCTGCTGGTCTTCCTAAAGAGGACCAGCCCCTGGAGGCAAACCTCATTGACTAATCCAGGTACTCTTTCCAATGTGCGGGAGGCCCCCACTAGGCTGCAGTTCTCAGCTGACTGGAACTGACGCCTCAGAGGAGATGTGCTGACCCACTGAGCCCTAGATCTTTCTAGACGTGTTTTTACTCCACCCTACCTTCTCCAGCTCTCTTTGCTCTTGATTTCTGATTTGTGGCTTTGGGCTCCTAACTCTCTATTTTTTCATATTGTTGTTTCTGCCTAGAATGCTCTCCCCATCACCCGACAACTCCTCAGGTCGAGAGTACCTTTTCAGACCTCAGGCCTCTGTGACACCAGACAGTGGCACAAACTCATGCTTCCCTCAGTTTCCACAGAAAACCATGGAATCAAGGAAAGACAAACATGGGCAAAGGCACAGTAGGGTAAAGCAAAAGACAACCACACCCCAATCTCCAGGAAAACTTTCACTGATGTCAAGGTGAATGGTAATCAATTGCCAAGTGTACCTCAGCCTCCTGAGTAGCTGGAACTACAGGCACAAACTACCTTTAGAGATGGAGTCTCATTATGTGTCCCAGGCTGGTCTCGAACTCGTGGCCTCAGGCCATCCTCCTGCATATCTGGGATTACAGGCACAAGCCACTGCACCTGGCCCTTCCTTCTTAACTAGTACAGGAAGGTGGAGAACTTGGGGACACATTCCCAACCAGCAAGAATGCAGTCCATGTGGGCTGGAGACATTCTTCATGCCCTGTTTTCATACATTGTGGCTAGCCCAGAGAGATCTCTCCACTCAGGGATGAATGAGCACATCTTTCTTTCACCTACCAATCACCAATCACCCGCTGCAATACACCATGCAATCTCTGGTGTGTTTTAAGCACAATGATTCAGCCCACCCTGACATGGGTCCCCCCAAATCTTTACCCAAACAGGTCCACTCCAAACCACGTTAACAAGCCACGAGACCTTTATCAGGGATTTTGTAGGTGTTCAGTGTAGAGGGTTTATGCTGCAAACCCTATGGTATAACTTCACTTAAAAACCCTCCAGGCCGGGCGCGGTGGCTCACGCCTGTAATCCCAGCACTTTGGGAGGCCGAGGTGGGCGGATCACGAGGTCAGGAGATCGAGACCATCCCGGCTAAAACGGTGAAACCCCGTCTCTACAAAAAATACAAAAAATTAGCCGGGCGTAGTGGCGGGCGCCTGTAGTCCCAGCCACTTGGGAGGCTGAGGCAGGAGAATGGCGTGAACCCGGGAGGCGGAGCTTGCAGTGAGCCGAGATCCCGCCACTGCACTCCAGCCTGGGCGACAGAGCGAGACTCCGTCTCAAAAAAAAAAAAAAAAAAACCCTCCAAATATATCTTTTCCCCTGGATTCTCTCCTGGAGTCAGCTGCCTCGTTTTCCTCCTAAGAATCTCTGTGTCTGGGCCTCTCTGGCTGGGCTGCTGCAGCCCCTGACTTCCCTGCACAGTTCCTCTTAGTCTCTCCCATTTGCGTCTTCATCCTCATTTGCTGCTGGCCTAACATAGATTGTCCTTGGGATTTGACCCTGTGCTGGAGGCTACTGGCACTCTCCCATGCCTGCCCTCCCTTCTCTCTACAATAATGCATTTGGAATTTTTAGTTGGGTGAACAACCACCCAGAGTAGACTCTACTTCCCAGTGAGGTGTGGCCGTGTGAATCACTCCGATGGGACACGAGTGACATGTGGACACCAGCTCCTAGAAGGGCACTGAAGAGCAGCGACACACTCCTTCCCAGCCCTTGCCTCCTTTCTCCGGGAATACTGTGGTTAGACTCAGGACAGCCCCCTGGAGGCTGTGTGCTGAAGCTCTGTGCCTGAGCCGCAAAGAAAAAATAGAACATGGGCCCCTGATGGATGATTCGACCTTTTATTTCAACTTAAAAAAATGTTTCCAAGTTTTCTCTGTTGTATTTTTTTCTACATGCATTATTTTTTTACCATCCGTAAAAAAATAATTTGAGGCCTATTTTAAATCTTACTTTATTGACTTCCATGATTTTCTCCTATCACAGAAAAAATAAAATAATTGATAACTAGATTCTGAAAATATTTTACAGTTTTGACAACAGGAGTTTGGAGTCCTGGCAGCAGAGGTCCCATTTGGGCCCCTGATTTTCTCTCTCCAGGTCTTCAAGTCTTTAACTGAGCCTTGCGTCTACTGGCCCTGCTCTCCTGCAAACTATTTGACCGTAGGATTTCCCTTCACCACAACATGTGAGGAGCAAAGGAGACAAAGTGAGGGGAGTCAAAGGGTGGTGTTGGTAGAGAGAGAAGAGTCAGTTGCTCCTGTATTCCTGCTTTTTGAGGAGCCAATAAAATGTTTTTTTTAGGCGGAAGGTAGTTACTGGGCCTTCTACTCATTCATGATCAAACCTGGACAAAAACCTGAAGTGCTGCCTCTGCTTCTCATCCTTGTACAGGGCTCAGAGCCCAGGTCCAGGCTCTTTGACTGCAGGAGTGGGAGCTGGGGTCGAGGAGACAGACTGTACTGTATGCCGACCTCCACATTATGAGGCCTGCTCCACTGGAAATCGTCTGGAGGGAGCTGTAGTCACAGCTCTCAGATGGCCAGGCATGCCTCCTTCCTTTGCAATCTGCACAGTCCTCTCCTGGAGGAATGTGGAGAGATCGCTTTGCCGGAGCCTCCTCACTTAACCTGAAACTCGGGTCATGGTCTGAAGGAGGCAGTTCTGCGTCACTCTTAATGATGAAACCAGAGGAAAGAGGCTCTTACTGCTCTAGTTTTCTAAATTTCAAAGATGCAAAGTCTCAGCAAACTCAGAATATAATTGAGCTTCCCCAGGAAAAAGTCTGCGTAGTTCTGGTTCTCTGGCTCTTCTTGATCTTTCTACCCAAGGAGGTCCTATTCACAGAACCATATATATCTCTTGCTAATCTCTCAAGTTAAATGATAAATATTATTTAATTACAAACCATTGTGCTAGCTGCCCAGGGTAAAGAGTTTGTTGTCTGCAGAAGCTCATGACCTAGAGAGAGACAGTCACATGAGTGAATATAAGGGCAGGAGCTACCACAGATATACTAGCAGAGTTCAGCAGGCGTGTGGCTAGTTTGGTTGGGAGGAGGAGGATGCTTGGGTCTATGGAAGCTTTATAGAGAAGGACTGGGTTGTGAGCCAAGTCCTATGGGATGGATGGCAATAAAGACATCCCAGGCAGCAGAAACAGCTTCTGGAAATAGTGAGCCAAGCAGACATTGGGATATGAGGTGCATGAAGGATGATGATGGTGGTGGATGTCATCACACAAAACTAGAAATCAGATGGGGCTTCGAACACCACAGTCTATGCAAAGGATAATTCTGTATAATTTCAGAAAACAAAAGTGACATGTAGGCATCTGTGTGTCAGATGAAAGAGGAAAATGCAAAGACCATTTAGGAATGGTGCTGGCGAGTGCAAAGGAGACCACAAGGGAAGGACGTGCAGAAGACCTTCCGCACTCGGCCGGCGGGTGCAGCGATGGTGATGGTGTGGACCAGCTGAGAACCTGCCCTGCTGTGCCAACCCCACTCCACTAAAAAGGGCAGCCAGTATTTTCCTCCCACACGCTTTGATTGCTTTTGATATAATGACAATTCGTAATATTTTTATAGAGTAGAAATATTCAGTCCTTTCTTTACTAAGGTTGCTCAAAATTTTGTTTCTTTTTATTTCTTTGTTTGTTTTGAGACAGAGTCTCGCTCTGTCACCCAGGCTGGAGTGCAGTGGTGCAATCTCGGCTCACTGCAACCTCCGCCTCCCGGGTTCAAGCGATTCTCCTGCCTCAGCCTCCTGAGTAGCTGGGACTACAGGCGCCTGCCACCAGGCCTGGCTAATTTTTGTATTTTTAGTAGAGATGGGATTTCACTATGTTGGCCAGGCTGGTCTTGAACTCCTGACCTCGTGATCCACCCGCCTTGGCCTCCTAAAGTGCTGGGATTACAGGCACGAGCCACCGTGCCCGGCCCAAAATTTTGTTTTTTATTGATAGTGTAGAAAAGGAATGGTTTTATTTTTGCAAATTTTACAAAAATATTAGTCATGTGAATTTAAGGCCAAGGGCTTGGAAGCCACCCATGCCAGTGAGGGCCTTGAGACCTCTGCTTTCACTCCTCTGTATCTTTCTTGAAAACTACTGCAAGGCTGTAACCTGGCAAAAACAAATAGCAAATTTTAAAAAGCTGTGCGATCCAGGAAATAGTGGATCTAAACCAAGAGAACTCTGAAGAGAAGTTCCTGGAAGACAGTAATGCACCAGTCCTAGGAAGCAGTGAGTTTTCCTCAATGTGGGAAAAGCAGAGCTCTTTCCCCAAACACACAACACAGCTATGTGAAGATACCAGAAGGCTCCCATACAGAAGCTCAACTACAAATGGCCAGTCTATACTTAGGACTCATAAAAAGGTCACACCATGAAAAGAAACTACATTTTTCAGCACAGAACTGCTAAGATGGAGAGGAAACCTGACCCCAGCTGGCACCCTGCTATCTCTGATAGCTAGGAATCCTAAATTATGAATCAGAGCAGAAAAGGGATTAGTGCAGTGATCTGGTAAATATTTTATTTCCCATTTTGACTTTGATTAATAAATAAACAGTGATTATATTTTATAAAGAAATAACTTTGATTTTGGAAAACTTATGTCTGCCCCCATGAGCCTGACAGTTTTGCAATACCTAATGACTTCTCTGATGAGATAAGCAGTGGCATGAACAGATGTGATTTGTGGTATCGTATAATGAAATGTGACAACATTTGAAAAAATTCATAACTCAAGGATCCAGTATTTTCCAAATGACCAGTGCATTTTGCTACAAAATGCTGCTTGAGTAAAAGATCTATTCAAGCTGCAATGGATATGAGTGTGACAGAATAAGAAGCCTTAATTGACATGGTTTCACGTTCCACATCGCAAGGAACCTTTGATAAACTACTATTTTTGCGTTTTGGTGTAATATCAAAAAGAATATCCACAATTACCCCAAAAAGATGAATACTCTTCCCTTTTCTGGATTTTATGCAAATATTTCAATCATGATAGCATACCACAACAGATTAAAGATATTTGTGAAAACATAAATGTGCCACTCCCCTTACTAAATTTTCATTTGAAAATCATTATTTTTTAAAATAATTTTTTCATTTATGTTAACGTGTAGTTTATTATTGTTATTTTAAATGAATTAATAAATACTTGAAAAGTTTCTTACCTTTAATTTCTACTTCAGCGAGTACTGATAGATTTAAACCACATAACCAAAGCTCTTTGGAGTCTTTAGTAATTTTTTGAATACATTTTATTTAGCACAATCTCTACCATTTAAAAATTAGGTGTTTATTCCCACCATCCTCACCTCTATTACTGTTTTACTTACAAATACTCCTAGAAACCTCTGGAGATTCCTTGTATGCCTCCTCCTGTAGACATATTGCACTGACATAGCATTGAAACCCCCATGTAGGGTCATGTGGGGAGAAGGCTCATTGTCCCTCCCGGGCCTCAGAGAATTGCAGAGGCTGTCATTTTGCAGACACACAGGGGCGTGTGGTGCTATTCTTGACATGGAGCTTCAACAACAAAGCTCGGCAAAGCACAAAATGCAAAATAATCATGTAAAACATTAAGTGGCACATTATCAAATCACAGCTTGTAAATAATGCTGTTATTGTAATTCTCAGGTTCTCAGAGAATCATAAGTTCAACAGAGGAAAATGGCTCATGAGACAAAAATGTCCATGTGTTGCCTGCTCTGGTAAGATCAAACAAGTATTGAAGCCAAGCAACAGGGTTGGTCCAGTTTGTATTTGTGCTGACAGGTGGGGAACGTCAACTCCGGGAGCGCTGGAGTTTTCCCATGGTTGGTTTCTGTGCCATTAGCATGCCCTTGCAAGTGATCACAACTAGAATTGTTGTTACTGCTCTTCACGGGGTCTTCAACATGAGTTGTTGAATTGTGATAATGGGCCCTGTCAACTGAGTTTAGTTCAGGCGGGCACATAGCTGTCTGATCTAAAACTGAGGTTTTTTTTTTTGTGGTTTTGAAAAGGTTCATTAAAATCAGGGCTGGGTGTTGTGGCTCACACCTGTAATCTCAACGCTTTAGGAGGCCGAGGCGGGCAGATCACCTGGGGTCAGGAGTTTGAGATCATCCTGGCCAACATGGTGAAACCTTGTCTCTACTAAAAATACAAAAATTAGCCAGGCGTGGTGATGCGTGCCTGTAATCTCAGTTACTTGGGAGGCTGAGGCAGGAGAATCGCTTGAACCTGGGAGGCAGAGATTGCAATGAGCTGAGATTGTGCCACTGCCTTTCAGCCTGGACAACAGAGAGAGACTCCGTCTCAAAAAAAAAAAAAAAAAGATTCATTAGAATCCAGACTTGCAAAGTGTGTCAACTTATGGCAAAACATATGACATCCATCTCAAAACCCTGCGTTTTCATTCAGTAACTTTGCAAAGCACTGCAGTAGTTGATGTTGTAGGGTTAGAACTTTGTTCGCGTGATACTGCTCAGCTCCTTTGGGTGCGGCCCATCTGGGTTCTGACTCATAGCGGGGCTCTGAACTCCTTCCTCTTGGCATTTGGCTGATAGGCATTAGATATTCTTCTTATTAGGAAAATTCTAGAAGTGACTGCAAAATAACTCCTATAAACTACAAACTGAATGCTGATCACAGGCTGAGCCCTTTCTGATGAATTGCAGTCACAGTGATGAGGGTCGGCTGAATCACCAAGGCAGTGAAGTGTGGAATCCGGGCACCAGGATACACATTCCACGCTCAGCTGGACTGCAGTCTGGAATACTGCCTGGGTTAGAAGCAGCACATAGCTGGACTTGAATCGCAAATAGCCCACATAGCCTGCGTAGACTTTGGTCATATAGTGCACGAGAGGTCAAGAGCCTGCGTTGATGACTGAGGAGACTTCCAGAGCCCACTCTCCAGGAGACTCCAGTTGATTTTCACATAGCCCACTGCACAGGCAGCCACAGCCCTACCAAATGCTTCAGTAGCTTCTGTGCCCCGTTATAGGTATAAGAATATTGGGGTGGTGCTTTGCAACCTCATAGGACTTGAACATAGTTCAAAGCTAGGTTAAAACCTGTGGTGGAAAAAGCCCACCGTGGGGATTAGTAACAAAGGCCTCTGAGGAGTAACACTACTTCAAATCTTGGAACCATGGAACACGAACTTTCAGAGTCACTGTTTGTGGCACTATGCTCTATGGGCCGTCATCCAGGTTCCCCGAAGTGGTGGGCTTTTCCCAAGTGGGTTTCTCCCCTTCGCAGCCTAGTGCTTCACTCTCATGAGGTTCCTTTAACCCTGCACACAGGCTTGGGGACTTTATTTCTTTGCTGGGTTTTGCATGGAAAAACATTCTTTTCTTGGGCATTGATAGAAAAAGTGAGAAAATGAAGGCTGTGGAGGCAGAGACTATGGCTATGCGATGAGGTAAAAGTGTGACCCATTCTCCAGGGATGCCAAGCGTCAGCCTTCATGGGGGCCGCTGGGTTAGCTGTTAGCGTGACACTCCTACAGTGGCCTCTCACTTCCTGACAGTGTCTCAGGGCTGACCATGCTCATGGGTTGATAGAGTAGGCCACCTGGGAGTCAGTGAGTATCCTGGAGGAGAACTCGACAGCCTGTGTAGTCTTCATCCCTTAGCCCAATAAGAGCAGCAGCTGGGGAATGATGAAGCAGAGCCCTTATGAGAGGGTGATGGGCTTGTGGTGACTCAAGAGCACAGACACCGGGAGCAGAGTGTATCCAAACAGGAAGGACCTCATCCGTGATCTCTGCGCTCGGGTTTTCACTTGGTCCAGATAAATATGGGATAAGGAATGATTCTGGGGGTCTTGTCATGGAGAACAATCCGAGTAAGCAGAGGAGCATAGTGAGATATGTTGAGGAATTGCTTGGCAAAGTTCTGAAACCATCCACAGCTGTTTCTTCCATGCCCTGAGTTTCTTTCTTTCTGGAATCAGGCCTTCAGATCCAATTTCTGCTCATTCCGGCTACTGGCTGCTACAAATCCCAGACACAATGCCCTTTTCTCCTGCTGGAATCTCTCGTACTCCTTCACGTAATAATTTTAAAGCATGAACAGGGATCTTGAGATCAAAAAGTTTAAGAATTGCTGTGTTGGACAAGTATGCTTGGAGGAAAACATTTATTTTCTTCTTGACAGATTCTTCAAAAACATTAATTTGTTAATAAATTGGGAGTCTCCTAGGGTGAGAATTGTTAAATCAAACTAAATTTGGCCTGAGGCTGCCTCTGTACCTTGAGTTTCTAGTGAACTGCAGGTTTTCCAAAATTTTAGTGTTCATTAAAAACCTTGAATTTTCTCATTGGCAACTAGAGTTATTTTCTTTAAAGCAACAGGCCCAGTTTGTTCATTTCTGAGCACATGTCTGCCTAACATCCAAGTGTAAATAACATATTTGTCTGTCATTCATTCTTTAAGTGAATTTGGTATTCCATGAAAAAGCTGGCTAGCTTCGCTTGTAAATCAAATTTAGCGGCCGGGGGCAGTGGTTCATGCCCGTAATCCCAGCACTTTGGGAGGCCAAGGTGGGTGGATCATGAAGTCAAGATATCGAGACCATCCTGGCCCAACATGGTGAAACCCTGTCTCTACTTAAAATACAACAATTAGCTGGCGTGGTGGCACATGCCTGTAGACCCAGCTACTAGGGAGGCTGAGACAAGAGAATCGCTTGAACCCGGGAGGTGGAGGTTGTACTGAGCCAAGATTGTGCCACTGCACTCCAGCCTGGTGACACAGTGAGACTCCGTCTCAAAAAAAAAAAAAAAAAATTTAGCACAAGTGCTTTTCCTTAGGATGATTGCCATGGCTCAGCATTCAGCAGAAGTACTTTATGCATGCGTTTCTCCAAAGATGATATACAAATGGCCAAGGAGTATATGAAAAGATGGTCAGCATCACTGACCACCAGGGAAATGTAAATCAAAACCACAAGGAGCTATCACCTCACACCTGTTAGGATGTCTAGTATTAAAAAAACAGAAACAACAAAGGTAAGTGCTGCAAGGATACAGCACAAAAGAACTTCTCTACTTTGTTGGTGGAAATACATTTGATACAGCCATTGTGGAAACATCATGGAGGTTCCCCAAATATTAAAAATAGAACTGCCATGTGATCCAGCAATCCCACTACTATACACCCAAAGGAAATGGAATCAGTGTGTCCAGAGACACCTGCACTCCCATGGTCACTGCAGCACTACTTACAACAGCAAAGATACGGCATCAACCTATGTCCACCAATGGAAAAGTGGAAAAGGAAAATGTGGTGCACATACATGAGACAATGTGACTCATCCTTCAAGAGAAGAAAATCCTGTCGTTTGTGACCACACAGATGAGCCTGGAGCACATTATATTAAGTGAAATAAGCCAGGCACAGAAAGACAAATTCTGTATGATCTTACAGGCAGTCTGAAGTGGTCACACTCATAGAAGCAGAGAGCAGAATGGTGGTTACTGGGGCTGGGCAAGGGTGAGATAGTCAAAGGCACACAGTTTCTGCTGTGCTGGCTGAATAAATTCTGGAGATCTAATTTACAGCAAGGTGTCTGTGTCTAATAGCTCTGTACTGAGTGCTGAAAATTCACTAACAGTGTAGATCTTACATGGAGTGCTCTTGTCACAAAGAAATCCCCAATAAAACAGTAATAATAGCAAAGGGGCAGGAGGAACTTGGGGAGGGGATGGATGTGTTTATGGCCTTGGTGGAGGTGATGGTTTCTAGGCTGCATGCGTATCCCCAGACACATTGTGATGTACACATGAAATATGCACAGCTTTGTACAAGTCCATCAGCCCTCCATACAATGGTTTAAAATAAGACAATGAAATTAATAATTTTTGGCACTTTGTCAAGAACATTCTTCAGTGGACTGACCTTCTTTACTATTGTTGTTGCTATCTGATTGTTGACTACGGTGCATGCGTTGTGAAGAGTGCAGTGCCCACCAGAACAGCGGGCACCGAGGCCCTGACTTCTGCAGAGGCCCTGGCGGCCATGCCCATCAGGGTGAGGGTCAGCATGCGACCTTTCCACCCTTTATTCTGTAATTACTAGTTGGCATTCAACTTGAAGGAAGTCCTTTCACTTTTATTTATTTGTCACTATGGACTCATGAATCCTGTTTACCCACTGGTTTATAATCTTTTGCCATCATCATTTATTTGGCTCTTCAGATTGTTACGAATTTGGCCAGAAAGTCCTGTGGAGCTCACCCTTGTCTGCTGCTTTCCGCCCCATGTTTCTGCCTCTGGCTGCAGACGGGCCTTCTGTGCCTGTCACCAGCTGGCTCCTATCTGGGCATCAGGCTCTGAAGCCACAGGGCTATATGGTGGCTGGGCCTGCCGCAAGCCCTCCCTGTACCCGGCCTGGAAAAGCTGAGCCATGAGGGAAGAGGTCCTGCTCCCTCACTTGGCATTTTCTCTACCTTCAGTTTCATTTGGTCTCTGACTGGAATGGGATGAGTTTGTAACACAGTGCAATATTTTCATTTCAGGACATTCAACAATATTTATAATATTGTACAATTTTGGCCCATGTACTACTGAAAAGTTGTTTCAAAAGTTGTTTCCACAGACTCAACAAAAATGGAGATGCATGTCTAGAAGACACTCCCTGGCAGGACCCTCAGGGTCACTCCTAAAGTCTCCTTGGCACTGACATTGGACAGGGCATTGATAATATATTGACTGCTATAGCTGCCAAGCCAGAAGGGCAGTCTCTGTCTTCGTGGAGTCCGAGTTGTAAGTTGGACGAGAGATACAGTAGATCCACACGAAGAGGAAAACATTGGATTCATGCATTTTGTTCTGATTTTGCCCTTTTTGTTTGTTTGTTTTTTGTTATGTATTCCTCACTGACGTCTGAATGGACAAGGATAAAGAAGTAGTGACAATAGGGAAGGGAGAGCACTACTGACCGGCACTCACTGGGACCAGGCCTCATGCTAGCCTTGTCACACTCTCTCTCACTCAGTGTTCACTATGAACCTGCGAGGTGCGTGCCCGTGACCCCTCCTTACAACCACTTAGGGCTAACCCCCTGCTTTTACAGCTTTTCCTATCACAAATAAGAACCTACGTGGCAATGACTAAAATTTGCATTTACAACTGCTCCTGGGACTCACAGTGGCAGAGGTGCCATGCCTGGTGGGGTTGGCCAGCATTAGGCAACCCGTCCCTGTGATAGGAACATGACTGGCTGAACACGAGGCAGGAAACCTCTGCTTTCAAGAGTGTGTGATCAGATGCAGTGACTCCGTGTTCCTCTGAACCACGTGTTATTTCAGCAGGAGGCACACCTCTCTTCTGCGTGCTCAAGGACAGGTGGGAGAGACATCCCAGGTGGTCAGTGGGAGCAAAGGACAGGGCGGTGGCTTTCAGCGGGCAACTGGCTGCTGTAACATCAGTGACTGAGGAGGTGCAAGTGGCAGCCCTGTGATGACGCAGCCAGCAATGTCTCACACACATCTCCTGCAGTCTGTCACGCCAGTCATTGGCGGCATTATCTTCATTTCATATGTGAGAAAAACACAGTGCAGCAGGGTAAGTCAATTGTCTGTGATCACAAGACTGCCTCGGGTTGAGTCAGGATTCCAGCCCATGTGTGCCCAAGGCCAGTGTTCTCACTGGATCACACCAGTGAAGATATATTTAAAAGAGAGAAAAACCGAAAAGAAGAGGCAGAAGGAGAAAGGCCTGAGCAGGTGTGGCAGGGAGGATGAAGAGGAGCAATCAGGAAAACATGAAAATGAGGGGGTCTGGGTGACTGGCCAAAAATTGCCAGAAGTCATGTCTCTCTTCTTTGCCTTCATGGGTGAAGAAAAGGAACTTCCTCATCCACGAACTCAGGTGTACTGCTGTAAAAGGCTTCAGCACGCATCTCTGCCTGGCATTTCGTGATTTACCCTGTTTCAGGCTTGCAGCAGGAGGGCGGAGCAGATTGATCTGTTGACGGTGGGATTCTCAATTCTTCACAGCACAACGAGCGCAAGCCTGGCATCCGTCCGGCAAGACTGAACACCTGCGGCCCCCTCCCTACCCCCTGCATCTCCATGGACAGAGCCACCTGGCTCTCCTGTCACCTTGCCGAGACACTTCTGACTCCAGAAAATCTGCTAATAAAGCTCAGCCTTGTTCCACAGTCTCAGCTGGAACCCTAGGTGGCTGGTCTAGCACCACCCTGGAAGCCAGTGGCTTTTCGCTGTCCTGGGCAGGCACTTGGCCTGACATCCGCTTCTTCCCCGCTGCTGTGTAGAACACCCCTGACATAACTAACTCCAGCCTAGAAAACACTCCCATTTTATATTTCACAAACACTCTGCCAACAAGGATAAGACGTTTTGTCTAAATAAACAAATAAAAAACAATAGACAATAAAACAACAACATAAATAAAACAAAAACATGAATACACAAAAAATAAAGACTGCATCCAACCAGATAAGGGCACAAACACTAAGCCTTTGGCAGCTCCAAATGGTCATCTTAACTGACACTGTCTTGCAGTCACTCATGGTGAGAACTTGGCATCTGCCACTGAAGGCTCTGCCACCTCTAAGACTCTTCCTTCCAAGACTGATGGACCACTTGGCCCAGAAAAGGACTCTTTTTGTCTTCTTCGCTTCCCCTGGACTGGCTCGTTAACCCTTTTTACTATCTCCTTTTCCTCTTGCTGTTAAATGTTACTTTGTTTTTTGCAGAATATGGACCCTGTAATATTTACAGATTGATGAAGTATGGTTTGCAATATTGTCTGACTGGTGGAGTGGCCTGAGCCTGTGTGCCCATAGCTCTGACTGCTGAGTGAACAAGGTGTACTAAGGAGAATGCCTCCTTGGGAACTCCATGGAGCTCCTGGCTTTAGTGACTGAAATAGCATCAGTAGAAGTCTGATATTGTGGAAAGACACAAACGTGCATGGACCTGGTTATTTCTAACCTTGCACTGCTCATGACATCTGCTCTCCACTCCTTGACCAAGTGGACTGAGGGAGAAGGAAGGGAGGGAAGGCACAGGCAGCCACTGCGTTTTGTTTTTCTCCCTTTTGGCCCCTTGTTCTGCTGCCATAATGTGGTTATTGCTTTTCACCAGAATCTGAGTTGTCCTATGAGGCGGATACACTTGGTTCCCCAAATTGAAATCCAAACAGCTGTATGTCTTTTCAGCTTATGCTTCTTTCCCACTTATAAAAGAGACTCACATTTTACATAATACTGTGCATGGCATTGGGGGACCCTTATGGTTTATGGTTTTTCTAATGTTTGGGAACAGGCGAGAGCACTGTGGGCATTCTATAAAATATTTACCTTGAATTGCTGAGAAGAAAGCTGTGCCTGCATATTAAAAAGTCCTATTTCCTTCTAGATGAGTTATTTAAAAATTACTAAGCTCATTTCCACAGAATCATTACAGATTTTTCTATGTGACGAAGCCACCCCAACTGTCGGGTCTTTATTTCATGTAGGTGTGTAAAAATCGCTCCAGTGGTGAATTGGAAACTCGCAGTGCCAGGAAGTGCTTCCACAGGCTTAATGCATCTCTGCTCCTCTTTTTTCATAAAAATTCAAAGGTAAGCAGAACTGCTCCTTTTCACCCTCTATGTGCAGCTCATCACAGAAGTGCAGCCATAACTGAGTCACTTGTCAATCTTTTTCCTCCCAATTACAGTGTTTAGACGGGGGATGCTGAGAGAGAAGCCGGTTTGCTGGGAGGTGCGAGCCCAGAGCACACGCTCCACCTAGACTGCGGGCAGTGCCCCACCATGAGGAGCTCAGCAGTTTCTTCACGTGGTGTTTTCCACCATGCAAAAACATCCAAGATCTATTGTTTATGTAGCTTGTACTTTGGGTCAGGCCCCGGTTCAATTCCTAACAGTGACATTTTGTATTTGTGTGACTAATACACGTGTTATTAAGAAAGTTACTACTGTCTTTAAGATGCAGTTTCCTCATCTGTGAAATGGAATATTTGTGTATTCCATATGTTATATAATATTACTGTCTGCTTAACCTTGGCATAGTGTTTGAAGGACACAAAGCCTGAGTCCAGCACAGAGCAGGTGCTTGATGAATATCCCAGACACGGAGGAAGGCAGCATCTCGATTCCAAGTTCTTTTCCTGTATATACATTTATATCTCTCTGAATAGGCATCTGCATTTGTTTCTTTTATTATAGACAGGTTGTCTGATCTCAATCCGTTAGAGATGGGGTAGCCTTAGGGACCCTCTGGTCCCACATCTCACTGTACAGGGGATGCAGGATTTGCCAAGGTCCTACCCATTAGTGAGTAGCAGAGCCTGGATGAGTTCCTCGGATCAGGAGGAGGTGGTGTGCTCCTGTCCTCCTGTGAGATGAAGCCATTCTTAATCAGAGCCTCGGATCAGGAGGAGGGGCTGTGCGCCTGTCCTCCTGTGAGATGAAGCCATTCTTAATCAGAGCCTCGGATCAGGAGGAGGGGCTGTGCGCCTGTCCTCCTGTGAGATGAAGCTGTGCTCAACCCCGGCCTCAGATCAGGAGGAGGGGCTGTGCTCCTGTCCTCCTGTGAGATGAGGCCATGCTCAATCCCAGGACAGGTGCAGGCGATTGCTTTCACCTTCTAACTTTAGAATCTGGAGAGTCCGCATAGCTCCTACTTTCGAAGCTGCCTCAGAGAGTCTTTGTTATTGCAAAATGCGTGTGGGCAGGCTGGACCAGGCAGTGGATCTTGTTGTTTTGTTAGGGAGAAAGGAAAACTGAAGTTCCATCACCTGCCAGTTAGTCTTGGTCTACCTCCAACCCAAACTTGGGCTCAGTGAAGCAGATTAATAAAGCAATGGGGCATCTCTGGCTGCTGCGAGCACCATGAATATGCATGCAGTGCAGGCCACCGGCTGGAACGCTTTTCCCACCCTGGAATTCGCCAGTCACGTTTCTACTCTCTGGGTTTCTTTCTAAGTTGAAAGATTCTGGAATTGTGGAGCTGGAAGGGATATTAGTGAAGACCATCTGGTCCAGTGTCCTCATTTTACAGATGAGCTAACTGAGGCCAGAGGGGAAGGGCCACTCCAGGGCACACTGCGAATGGCTCACAAACCCAGGACCAGGCCAGATCTCGCAGCTCTTGCTCCAGAGGATGCTTAGTGCCTGCAGTGCTTAGGGCACTCATTTTTTTGCTGAATTTTGTTTATTGAGACCATATGGAAAGCGAGTTGAGGCTGAAGTTACATGCATTCAGGACCAAGAGAAATGCAATTGATCACAAGATCCTTCTGTGTTGGGCCGCTGAGCAAATCGTGGGGTCACCCTCTCTCTTAGCAGTACAGGCTATGTCGATATGATGATATCACCTTAGAGCTAATGAAATGCATTCCTGAGAAATAAAATGATCGTTTCTGTTTTCTGCAGAGCAATTCCAAATGAGAGAAGCAATAACACTTTTTATGACCTATTAAAATCACTCTCATTTCACTAAACAACCTTCACACCTGTGGCAGTCCTTGCTTCCCTCGCAGGGGAAATACCCTGATGTCGGAAAAAACTATCCTTGAGTGAGGCCTGACACTGTGCCTGTGATGATGTGAGCCATCTGCAAAATTCACCGTGGAGGACAGAATGCCACTTAGGCTAAAGCAGGAGGAAGGGGCTTATAATTCTCGTCATCTTTTGTTTGAATGCAAACGAAACTACAGCCCAGGAAATAAATTCAATGTACTTTGACAAAACATGGGTAATCTTACCAGCATAGTCTCAAGTGGAGAAAGGTGACCACCTAAACTAAGAATCAACAAAAATCAAACAAAATGAAACATGTTGCTTAGAAATGCATTCATTTGTGATAAAACTGTTTTTAAAAAGCAAGAACATGATAGACACCCAATTTGGGACAGTGGCCATGTTTAGAGGGCTGCAGGGGGGATGCTGTGTAGGAGAGGCACAGAAAATTGGTGTTGTTTGTAAATTCGGGGGTGAGTTAAAAAAGTAGGGAAGAAGGAAGATACCAAACCAACTTCTGGACAGAACTTCTGACTTTGTAGCAGCCTTGCAGTCTTTATTAAGCAAGATGCGTTATGCCAATGATTTCAGATAATTTACTAGCAAGAGGATACTCAATTCTATCTTGTTTACGAATGAAAACTCCAAAATAAATGAGGCTCTGTGCCGCGGCACCTCGTTATTTCTTGTTCTGCAGTGAATGACCACTGTGATTATTCACTGTTCTGTGCTACTAAAGGGAGGAGCTGGAGAGACTGAGGGGGAAGAGAGTGGAAACAGAGCAAGCTGGGAAGGACTAAGGAGTCTTAAGGAAAGGCTCCAGGTAACAAAACTAACACACTAGGTGCTTGGCATCCCTCCTGGTTGCAAGATGGCTGCTGCACCTCCAGGCAAACGTTAGAATTCTAGGTGGGAAGAAGGGGGCAGGGAAAAAGCAAAGGGGTTCCAGGTCCTGGCCATGGGGCCTGAAGCATGAGCGGTCTGCAGGGCTCTCAGGCCTTCCACACCCCAGGCTGCCCCCGTGAGTGCAGCGCTCCCACAGGGAGTGGAGGCGATGATGCACAAATAAGCCAGAGAGTGCCCAAGTCTGGTACAATGGAGAAAATCAAACCCAAATCAGGAGGCTGGGCCGGGGGTCATGGTGAGTCAAGAAAAGAGGGTATTCTTCCCCACCTTCCCGCTAGAGCCACCGCAGGCCTGAAGCCCCTGGCACAGAGCCCCGCAGGGTTTGGGGTCTGCATGACTGAAATGGGGTGTGGAGGAGGCCTGAGGACTGCATTACCTGCACTTCCCAGGCTCTCCCTCTGCAGCCGGGCTGCCTTAGTGCAGGTCAGCTGCAACTGCAACCGCAACCGCAACCTGGTCACTTCCGGCAAGGGCAGAGCTCGCTCCCGCCGGGTGTGAGGTCTAGAATCGGCCTTCCTGCCCTGATCTTGTTCCCAGAACTCCTGGGGCGCACCTGGGAGCAATGCGGAGCCCCTCTATGTCTCCAAAGTCACGGCTTTCCTCTGTAATGCTATGACAGTGAAACAGCAAAAGAACACAACTCCATTTTTAAGGGGTCTTTACCCATTCTTGCACGTAGGGGAGGATAATTTTAGAGTACAGAGAAAATTAACAGCAATCATGTAGTTTTTAAAACTAGCTTTGGGACTAAAGGAGAAGTATGTAAACAACTATGTTTTGTGAAAGATTTCCAAGAGCACTGTGACCTGACCAAGAGCACTGTAACCAAGAGCACTGTGACAAAGCCATTCTCCACCTTCTTGGACCCGTGCTGGCTCCCAGGTGTCTGCGGTCCTCCATTACCTCTTGATCCCAACCCCCTCCTCTGTCTCCTGCCCTTAACATAAAATAGCCTAAAGTTTGTAGCGACTCGAGGTGGTGCTGTAGGATGCTAGTTGGCCATCTTCTTGGCTTGCTGGCACTCTTTTCCTCCCACCAGTTCTCTCGTGTGTTTGGATTCGAGCAGCGAGCAGCGGACCTTGGGTTTGGTTACCTCCGCCTGGAGCCCTGCCTGGGCTGCCCCGTGCCTGTGAGTTTCCTCCCGAGGCTGCTCTCTAGGCCTTCTCTTCACCCTCCTGCTCCTGTTTCCCAGGGCCTTCCTGATGGGTTGGACTCTGCTCTCTGGGCCCCCATTAGCCCCCTGGTGTTCTGCTCCACAGAGCTGTGGGAGTGTGACATCCCTGGCATCCCCAGAAGCCTGGGAACGCACCCTGACCCACTGCGCAGGCTCATGTCCAGCCTCCATCTCCCACCTTGCCTGACGGAGGCTGCGATGGGGCCCCGACCTCCAGCCTAGAGAGTGTGTCCACTGCCGTGGCCCTGTTCTCCCTTGGGTTTCTCCTGTGTGTGCCCTGGGTACTGTCTGCCCAGCTACATTTCTTCCCTCTTATTTTCTGCTAACAGTAGCCCCAGCTGTTAGGGTCATTGGTGGAAACCCTTAATCCCGGGAGGGTGACCTCCTCAACCCAGGTTGGAGGAACGCGGCTGCCCTACGAAACTCGGGCAGCTCTCTTTATCTGGGGCCAGTGACCTGGCAGATGATACACAACCCGGCGTCTAGGTTTTCTGATCCAACGGGGCTGGGTTCACTCACCATTCCTCTCTCCTCGTCCCTCATCTTCCTGCCTGGAATTCTAACTTGTCAGCTGAGGGGCAGCAGCAACCTTGCAAGCTGGTACGATGATGAAAGCTGGCACAGTCAGGGCGGTGCCTCTGGGCGATGCTGAGCTCTTCCATCTGCCCTGGGCTGACTCCCTTGGGGCTTATCCTAAGTAAGGAAATTAACCCCTTTTTGTTTAAAGCGTGAACGTTTTGGAATCACATTGTTTTCTGTGATTTGTGCCAGATTCATTCCTAAGTGACCTTCTCCCTTCCTTGTTGACCTGGGACTTAGGCAGAGTGTTCCTCAAGGTGCAGCCCAGGTGAACGTGTCAGATGCCCAGCAGAGACAGACAAGGACAGAGGAAAGAGTTCTCTCCTGTGGAAAAAGGGCAGTAGTAAGAGGTCTGCCCAGGCTCCAGAGAAGTGGGGAGTCCTAAGGGGCTTCCCAGGCCTGCGGTGGGTGAGGGAGCTGGCCCTGGAAGAAGAGAGGCCTGGTGGTAGGGCTGATTCTTCCAACAGGGCTGTGGCAATTCTCTGGGAAAGATTGTGCAGGCTGTGACCGAGCCCGCCAAGATTTTCCAGACCCTTGCAACCACCCGCTGCTGCTAGTTCTCTGCCTGGAAGCACCAGAGAAGCATCTTTTAGAGCTGTCCAGGGATTGCATGCATCTCCCACCCTTCAAGACCCAGGTTGCTCCTCGGTCTCCAGGTGCCATGGGTGGTGGGAGGCTTTTCTTCGCCAGAGCTAGAAAGTCAGGGCCTGCATTCTGAAGGCGGTGGGGGCACTGGGAATGCTTCCATCCACCTTTCATCACACGCTGAGATGCTGGGAGCAATAGGCGATTGTAAGGGTGGACGTGAGCAGATGGCAATGAGGATGGCAGGCCTGGCGGGCTGGGACTTGGGCCTGGAAATGCCAACTGAAGGTTGGGCCTGGAATGAGAGAAGCAGCCACATTGGGGGCAGCCAGAGGCAGTCTTCTGCTGGAGTCATGAAGTCAAAAATGAAAGTTCCCTGGAGCTAGACAAGAATATGGGAGAACATTTATGTCTATGGGGAAAATGAGGGCCTTCTAAAGCAAGATGTACAAAGCATCACATTTATCAAAAAATAAAGTTGATGTAAAAAATTTAAAATTACATTTTACCAAAGATAATATTTACAATGTATAATCCATGTGATCAGAAAATTAAAAATGAAAATCCAGAATAAATAATGAACTTTTATAAGTCAATAAAAAGAGAAGGCTGGGCACAGTGGCTCAGAACTGTAATCCTAGCACTTTGGGAGGTTCAAGTGGGAGGATTGTTCAGAAGTTCAAGACTAGCCTGGGCAACATAAGGAGATCCTGTCTTTACAAAAACTACAAAAATTAGCTGGACGAGGTGGTAACTGCCTATAGTCCCAGATACTTGGGAGGCTGAGGTGAGAGGATCACTTGAGCTCAGGAAGCCGAGGCTGCAGTGAGCTGAGATCCGCCACTCCAGCCTGGGCAATAGAGCAAGACAGTCTTGAAAAATGAAAATAAATAAAAGGAGTGAATTCTCCATCTTCAACTGACATATCCAGGTTCTTACACTGGGACTGATTGGGACTGACGAGATGTAGTGCTCAACCCACAGAGAGCAATGAAGTACAGGGTGGGGTATGGGTCTCCTGAGAGTGGCAGAGCCAGGGGAGCCCCCAACCCAGCCAAGGGAGGTGGTGAGTGATTGTGCGACCGTGTCTGGGAAACCATGCTTTTCCCATGGATTTTTGCAAACCTGCAGATCAGGAGATCCCCTCGTGAGCCCATTCCACCGGGGCATTAGGTCCAAAGCACAGAGCTGTGTGGAGTCTCAGTGGAGTGGCCACTCATGCACATGTGGAGACCCAGGAGTTTTGCATACTCTAGCCCCGGTAATTCTGGCAAGGCAGAATTCCCCTAGGAAGGGGGCTAAATCTAGGGGAGCCAAGTGGCATCATTCTGTGGCCCCTCTGCTGCACCTCACAATTTAAGACCCACTGGCTTGACATTCTAGACAGCTAGTGGCAGCAAGCTGGAGACTGCCTAAGATGGACTGAGTTCCCCAGGGGGGAGTGGCGGCCACCATCTCTCTGGTTTGAGTCAGCTGTTCTAGCCTGCTGGCTCTGGGGAGCCTGAGTGGTCCAGACTGAGAGGCGCTCCCCACAATGCGGCACATTGCTATGCCAGACTGTGGCCAGACTGCTTCTTTAAGTGGGACCCCGGTCCATCCCTCCTTACTGGGCAGGGCCTCCCTGTGGGAATTTCAGCAACTCTAGCTAGGGTTATATGGACAGAAATCTGATCTCCCTGGGATGGAGCCCCCAGGGGGAGGAGCAGCCTCTGTCTCTGCCATTGAGCCAACTCTTAGTTTTTCCAGCCTCCTGGTTCTAGAAAGTCCAGACAGTCTGCATGAGGGAGGTTCCCTTCAGCACAGTGCACCTGCTCTGCCAAGGGGCAGCCAGACTGCTTCTTTAAGTGGGTCCCTGATCCTGTTCCTCCTGACTGAGTGAGACCCCCCAAGAAGGGTCTCCAGACATCTCCTACAAGACTGTTTGGGCCAACATCAGGTCAGGGTCCCCCTGAGACAGAGCTCCAAGAGGAAGGAGCAGGCTGTCATAATTGCTGTTTTGCAGCCTTCACTGGTGATACCTCCAGGTGCAGGAAGGACTGAAGCAGCTAGGTCTGGAGTGGACCCCTAGCAAACCACAGTAGCCCTGTGGAAAAGTGGCCTGACTGTTAAAAGAAAAACAAACATCAACAACATCAACAACAAAAAGACTCCATTCAAATGTCAGCAACCTCAAAGATTGAAGGTAGATATGCCCGCAACGATGAGAAGGAATCAACGCAAAAATGCTGAGAACTCAAAAAGTTAGAGTCCCTTTTTTTTTCAAATGACTGCAACACCTCTCCAGGAAGGGCACAGAACTGGGCTGAGGCTGAGATGACTGAAATGACAGAAGTAGGATTCAGAAGGTGAGTAATAAAAAACTTTGCTGAGCTAAAAAAGCATGTTTTAACTTAACACAAAGAAGCAAAGAATTATAATAAAACAATACAGAAACTGAAAACCAGCATTGCTCGTTTTCAGAGCAAAATAACTGACCTGATGGAGCTGAAAAACACAACACGAGAATGTCACAATGGAGCCACAAGTATTAATAGAAGAGTAGAATAAACCAAGTGGAGGAAAGAATCTCAGAGCTTGAAGACTGTCTTTCTGAAATAAGACAGGCAGAAAAGAATAGAGAAAAAAGAATGAAAAGGGATGAATAAAACCTCTGGGAAATATGAGATTATGTAAAAAGATTGAACCTATGACTGATTGGGATACTTGAAAGAGATGGGGAGAACAGAAGCAAGTTGGAAAACATATTTCAGGTTATCCAGGAGAACTTCCGCAACTTAGCAAGACAGATCTACATTCAAATTCAGGAAATGCAGAGAACCCCAGTAACACACTCCATGAGAAGGTCATCCCTAAGACACAATCATCAGATTATCCAAGGTTGAAATGAAAGAAAAAATACTAAGAGCAGCCAGAGAGAAAGGCCAGGTCACCTACAAAGGGAAGCCCATCAGACTAACAGTGGACCTCTCAGCAGAAACCCTATAAGCCAGAGGAGATTTTGGGGGCCAATATTAAACCTCCTTTTAGAAAATGATTTCTGACCCAGATTCTTATTCAACCAAACTAAGCTTCATAAGTAAAGGAGAAATATAATCCTTTTCAGACAAGGAAGTGCTGAGGGAATTTGTCACCACCAGGCCTGCCTTGCAAGAGCTTCTGAAGGGAGCACTAAATATGGAAAGGAAAAACCATTACCAGACACTACAAAACCACACTGAAGTACACAGACCAGTGACACTATGAAGCAACCACATAAAAAGGTCTGCAAAATAACCAGCTAGCATCATCATGACAGGATCAAGTTCACACATAACAATGTTAACCTTAAATGTAAATGGGCTAAATGCCCCAATTAAAAGACACAGAATGGCAAACTTGATAGAGTCAAGACCCGTTGGTATGCTGTCTTCAAGAGACCCATCTCACATACAAAGGCACATGTAGGCTCAAGACAAAGGGATGGAGGAAAATTTAACCATCACATGGAAAACAGAACAAAGCACGGTTGCAATCCTAGTTGTGACAAAACAGACTTTAAACCAACAAAGGTCAAAAAAAGACAAAGAAGGGCATTACATAATGGTAAAGAGTTCAATTCAACAAGAGCAGCTAACCTAAATATATATGCACCCAAAACAGGAGCACCCAGATTCATAAAGCAAGTTCTTAGACCTACAAAGAGACTTAGGCTCACGCAATAACAATGAGAGACTTTAACACCCTGCTGACAATATTAGATAGATCATTGAGACAGAAAATTAACAAAGACATTCAGGACCTGAACTCAGCTCTGGATCAAGTGGACCTGATAGATGTCTACAGAACTTTCCCCCACAAAACAACAGAGAATGCATTCTTCACATCACCACATGGCACTTACTCTAAAATTGACCACATAATTGGAAGTAAAACATTCCTCACCAAAAGCAAAAGCACTGAAATCATAACAGTCTCTCAGACCACAGTGCAATCAAATTAGAACTCAAGATTAAGAAACTCACTCAACACCACAAGACTACATGGAAATTTAATGACCTGCTCCTGAATGACTCCTGGGTAAATAATGAAATTAAGGCAGAAATCAAGAAGTTCTTTGAAACTAAGGAGAACAAAGAGATGGTGTGCCAGAATCTCTGGGACACTGCTAAAGCAGTGCTACCAGGGAACTCTATAGTTCCCTAAATGCCCACATCAAAAAGCTAGAAAGATCTCAAATCAACAACCTAACATCACAACTAAAAGAACTAGAGAACCAAGAGCAAACAAACCTGAAAACTTGCAAAAGACAAGAAATAGCCAAGATCAGAGCAGAACTGAAGGAGCTAGAGACATGAGAAAACCTTCAAAAAAAAACAAACAAATCCAGGAGCTGTGTTTTATTTTATTTTATTTTTTATTTTTTTTTTAGACAAAGTCTTGCTCTGTCACCCAGGCTGGAGTGCAGTGAGGTGATCTCAGCTAACTGCAACCTCCCCTCCTGGGTTCAAGCAATTCTCCTGCCTCAGCCTCCCAAGTAGCTGGGATTACAGGTGCCTACCACCACACAAGGCTACTTTTTGTATTTTTAGAAGAGATGGAGTTTAGCCATCTCAGACAGGCTGGTCTTGAACTCCTGGCTTCAGGTGATCCGCCTGCCTTGGCCTCCGAAAGTGCTGGGATTACCAGCATGAGCCACCATGCCCAGCTGGAGCTGGTTTTTTGAAGAAATTAATAAAACGGATAGACTGCTGTCTAGACTAATAAAGAAGAGAAGAGAGAAGAATCAAATAGATACAATCAGAAATAATATGGGGGATATCACTACTGACACCAAGGAAATACAAACAACCATCAGAGATTACTATGTACATAAACTGGAAAATCTAGAAGAAATGGATAAATTCCTGGACACATCTACCCTCCCAATACTGAACCAGGAATAAATTGTATCCCTAAATACACCAATAACGAGTTCTGAAATTGAGGCAGTAATTAATAGCCTACAACGAAGAAAAGCCCAGGACCAGACAGATTTACAGCTGAATTCTACCAGAAATACAAAAAAGAGCTGGTACCATTTCTACTGAAACTATTTCAAAGAATTGAAGAGGAGGGACTCCTTCCTAACTCACTGTATGAGGCCAGCATCATCCTGATACCAAAACTTTGCAGAGATACAACAAAAAAAGAAAATTTCAGGCCAATATCCCTGATGAACATTGATGCAAAAATCCTCAACAAAATACTGGCAAATTGAGTCAAGCAGCACATCAAAAAGCTTGTCTGCCACAATCAAGTAGGCTTCATCCCTGGTATGCAAGGTTGGTTCAACATATGCAAATAAATAAATGTAATTCATCATATAAACAGAAGTAAAGACAAAAACCAATGATTATCTCAGTAGACACAGAAAGGGACTTCAATAAAACTCAATATCTCTTCATGTTAAAAACTCTTAATAAATTAGGTATTGAAGGAACATACCTCAAAATAATAAGAGCCATTTATGACAAACCCACAACCAATATCATCGTAAATGGGCAAAAGCTGGAAGCATTCCCCTTGAAAACCAGCACAAGACAAGGATGCCCTCTCTCACCATTCCTATTCAAGATAGTATTAGAAGTCCTGGCCAGGGCAATGAGGCAAGTGAAAGAAACAAAGCGTATTCAAATAGGAAGAGAGGAAGTCAAACTGTCTCTGTTTGCAGATAACATGATCCTATATCTAGAAAAATGCCTTCATCTCAGCCCAAAAGCTTCTTAAGGTGATAAGCAACTTCAGCAAAGTCTCAGGATACAAAATCAATGTGCAAAAATCACTAGCATTCCTATATGCCAACAACAGGCAAGCAGAGAGCCAAATCATGAATGAACTCACATTCACAGTTGCTTCAAAGACAATAAAATACCTAGGAATACAGCTAATGAGGGAAGTGAAGGACCTCTTCAAGGAGAACTACAAACAACTGCTCAAAGAGATCAGAGAGGACAAAAACAAATGGAAAAACATTCCATGCTCATGGATAGGAAGAATCAATATCATAAAAATGGCCATACTGTCCAGAGTAATTTATAGATTCAATGCTATTCCCATTAAACTACCATTGACATTCTTCACAGAATTAGAAAAAACTATTTTAAAATTCATATGGACCCAAAAAAGAGCCCAAATAGCCAAGACAATCCCAAACAAAAAGAACAAAGCTGGAGTCATCAGGCTACACAACTTCAAACCATACTACAAGGCTACAGTAACCAAAACAGCATGGTACTGGTACAAGAGCAGACACTTAGACCAATGGATCAGAATAGAGAATTCAGAAATAAGACTGACACCTACAACCAGCTGATCTTTGACAAACCTGACAAAAACAAGCAACGGGGACGGGATTCCCTATTCAGTAAATGGTGCTGTGAGAACTGACTAGCCATATGCAGAAATTGAAACTAGACCCCTTCCTCATACCTTGTACAAAAGTTAACTCCAGATGTATTAAAGACTTAAATGTAAAATTCAAAACTATAAAGCCCTTAGCAGAAAATCTAGGCAATACCATTCAGGACATAGGAATGGTCAAAGATTTTATGACAAAGACACCAAAAGCAATTACAACAAAAGCAAAAATTGACAAATGTGATGTAATTAAACTAAAGATGTGATGTAATTAAACTTCTGCACAGCAAAAGAAACTATAATCTGAGTGAACAGACAACCTACAGAATGGGAGAAAATTTTTGCAATCTATCTATCTGACAAAGGTCTAATATCTAGTCTACAGGGAACTTAAATTTATAAGAGAAAAAACAAACAACCCCATTAAAAAGTCAGCAAAGGTCATGAACAGCCACTTCCCAAAAGAAGACATTCATATGGCCAACAAACATAAGAAAAAAAAATCAACATCACTGATCATTCGAGAAATGCAAATCAAAACCACAATGAGAAATGCAAATTAAAGCCACAATGAGATATCATCTCATGCCAGTCAGAATGGTAATTATTAAAAATTGAAGAAACAACAAATGCTGGTGAGGATATAAAGAAAAAGAAATGCTTTTACACTGTTGGTGGGAGTGTAAATTAGTTCAACCATTGAGAAAGACAGTGTGGTGATTCCTCAAAGATCTAGAGGCAGAAATACCATTTGACCTAGCAATCCCATTACTGAGTATATACCCAAAGGAATATAGATCATTCTATTATAAAGATACATGCACATGTATGTTCACTGCAGCACTATTCACAATAGCAAAGACGCGGAATCAACCTAAATGCCCATCAATGATAGACTGGATAAAGAAAATGTGGTACATATACACTATGGAATATTATGCAGCCATAAAAAGGAATGAGATTATGTCTTTTGCAGGGACATGGATGGAGCTGGAAGCTGTTATCCTCAGCAAATTAACATAGGAATAGAAAACCAAACACCACATGTTCTCATTTATAAGTGGGAGCTGAATGATGAGAACATGTGGACACGTGAGGTGGAACAACACCCACTGGGGCCTGTCTGGGGTTGGGGGATGGAGAGCATCAGGAAGAACAGCTAGTGCATGGGGGCTTAATACCTAGGTGATGGGATGATCTGTGCGGCAAACCACCATGGCACACGTTTACCTGTGTAACAGACCTGCACATCCTGCACATGTACCCCAAAACTTAAAATAAAAGTTGAACAAAAAAAAGCACAAGAGGAGGAATATCAAAGAAAAAAAAGACAAGACAAATCCAAAAGGAAAAGGTCACAGAAGAAATTTCAGTGGGTAATAAAGAAAAAATATTTCAACATGTTAAATTTTATACTATGTAAATATAAGCATATTTTTATATAAAAATGAGAAACAATGCCCATTTTCAGTAGGACAAGGCAAAAACCAAAAGAAAAATCCTTGAAGGGACACAAATTATGAAATTTGATAGTATTAAGCATTGGCAAGGATGTGAAGAAATGGGCCCCCTTATATCATTCAGCAATTTGAAAGTATCTATTGAAAGTACAGCATCTCCATACCCCTGGACAAAGCGAGTCCTCATTGTGGTGTTTCCGAGAGAGCATTTGGAGGTACCCAGGAGATGCAGTTATGTTCACTGCAAAATTATTTATAATAGTGGAGACAGGGGAAAGGCTTCCAAAGGTCTATCAACAGGGAAATAGCTGTGTAAAAAAAGTTATAGTCACACTGTAGAGTACTATGTGATATTTACAAAGAACAACCTAGAGTTTTATGTTGTAAACAAAGGTCTCCAAGGCAGTGCTGAGGGAAAACAGCAAGATGCAGAATTATGATGGAGTAGGTGTCCCTCTCCACCAAAAGAAGATCCAGTAGCATCTATGACATTGCAGTTGTTAAGAAGAAGGCTGTATCCTTGTACAGCCTATGTTACATGGATGTGCATATCCAAGACTGTAGGCGAGACTGCAGCATTTAGGACAGTACAGAGTGGCAGGAGGAGGGTGTCCTGCCACTGGGGATGGGTGTAGGGTACTGATGGGTAAATGAGGTGGTCCTGATGCTGCTCAACAGACGGAGACAGGATTCAGGCCCTTTCCTGATGAGGGGTTTTAATTAGATTTGTGCTGGTCATTTCATTTTGCTGAAAGTCTTCCCTTTGATCACTGAGAAGTTAATTTCACAAAACAAGGAGAAAGTCGCTACAGGAGCTGCCCTGTTCTGGATCTAAGTGGAAGGATTGCCTGTTCAGTAAAAGACAGGTGCAGGCAGGAGCTGTGCCAGAAGGTGCAGGCAGTGGCTGTGCTGGCTCAGTCATCAACCCTTTATGGAGCACTTACTATGTGCCGGTTGCTGATCCAGGCACCAGAGAACTAGAGAGTAATATGACACAGTCCCTGGTTCCAAGGAGCCTTTTTCTAGTCCGAAAAAAATCTACACAGTGGGATATTCAATATTGACACGTCATGTGAGGATAGAAGTACAGGGTGCTATGAAGGCTCTGAGAGGCGGGGCTTAGCCCCACCTGGGGTGCAGAGGTGGCTTTCTGTAGGTGATGGCACCTGTGCTGGGTCTTGATGGACGAGTAAGAGCTGGATAGGGTGAGGAGGATGCTAGCGTATGGCACAGACAGGACACTGAGGTGTGGAATGGGCGTCCAGCTGAGGAGCTTGGGCTTTATCCCCAAGGCAATGTGCAGTTGAAGGAGGTGAGAGCTGTGGTGAGATCTGGGAAGGGGTGGTGTGGAGGAGGGATGTGAGGGACCCACTTGCAGAGTCAGGAAGACAGGTTGGTGGGCTCACCCAGGGGTCCAAGTGGAAGATGATAGAAGGTCTGCATTGCTTTAGTTTGTGATAAAGAGCGAGGGGAAGTCGGGGTTATTTAGATAATACTAGACCTGGCAAGGTGGAATTCTTTTCAAGAGGAGAGAGGTGTGACCTTCTATAGGAAAGCTCAATGAGGAGTTTTGGAAGTATTTAAAATAAGCAAATACATCCCTGAGAAAAACAGAACCATCTAAAGAAAGCAATATGGCTATTCTGGAACTCCATGGTGACTTCAGGCTCACATTTTTAAAGTCCTGTGTGTCCAGGAAAGAGAGGGACATAGAAATAAGCTGCAGTTTCCTGGTAGGGACAAGGCTTTGCTGGCTTTGTTCCCATTCAATTCCCAGTGTCTAGCATAGTAGCGGGCATGTAGGTGCTTAGTAATACTTATCAAGAGAATGCACAGATAAGTGAACAAATGGATGGATGGATGGATGGATGGGTGGGTGGATGGATGGGTGGATGGCTGGCTGGATGGAAAACTTCCTAGTGGCAAGATATGAACAAGTAGTGTTGACCTGGCTAATATCCTAGGTAACTTTTGTAGAAAATGCTCAAAAGGAACAAAGTAGATGTTTAAAGCTATTTTTGGAAAGAAAGAATTGCCATCATGAATGGGTGCTGAAAGATGACAACCCCTTGAGTCAACAGCCCCCTGCTTTGGACTGAAAATGCGAGCCTGTGCAGAAGTATAGATGTAGTGGAAGCAGCAGAGTGAAGGGACAGCAAGCAGGCCCAGAAGAGGAACCCTTCAAAACGCAGGCTCTAAGCCACATCCATGGGTCACGGCAGAAGCCTGAAATGGGCCCTCTCTGTTCCCATCTGCACACAGGCTCCAGCAGTCATTAGGACACAGGTGGCATCTGCACTGCAGTGTCCTGGGAGTTTCCTGTGTCACTTCCTTTTCAGCCTGTGGGTCAGAGCGAGTCACGTGGCCCACCTGCCTCTGGGGCAGGGAAGTGCGACGTCCCATGTGCAAGAAAGGGAGGCACGGCGGGGAAGCTTGCGCTCTAGCAGACTCTGCCAGGAGTACAAAAAAGTTGGTTTAAAATGAGTGTCCTTTTCCCCTTAAAGTGATTTTTAAAAAAATTCTTTATTTTTAGAGTGGTTTTAGGTTCATAGCCAAATTGAGCAGAAGGCACAGAGATTTCCCATACAGCCCTTGTCCCCCTATATGCACTGTATCCCCCTTATCAATATCCCGCCCCAGAGAGCCTCATTGCTTACAATATATGGACCTATCATGATCTCCCAAAGTCCACGGTTTACATGAGGATTCTCTCTTGGTGTTGTATACTCTGGGTTTGGACAAATATATCCACCATTACAGGCTCATACAGAGTAATTTCCTGCCCTGAAAATCCCCCGTGTTCAGCGGATTCATCTGTCCCTCCCCGCTGGCTCCCTGCAAGCATGCATCTTTATACTGCCTCCCCGGTTTTAGCTTTTCCAGGACCTCATTAAGGAGATCTTTACGTTTTTCTAGACACAGAAGTATGCTGCTTTATCTTCTGTGTTATGTCTGTACTTTTTATAATGAACAATGCTGTTTTAGAGCCCATGCTGAGTTTTTGATTCGTTCTTTAACATGGAAAGAGTCAGCCTCTCCTCCCACTTTGTTTTCTTCTGTGGTTAATTATTCTTTTCTTTAAAAATTAAAAAACATCAAACAGTCTTCTTATCAATCTTTCTCTTTATGCCTTTGGAGTTTCGTGTTATGCATTAGGATCACCTCCCCTTCCTAAGATTCAAAAATATTCACATACATTTTACCCAATACTTTGACAGTTTACCAGGTTGCAGGAGCTCAGCCTGGTGGTCACCAGTTGCCAGAATCCTCCTCTGTCAGGTGAGGGTAGGGTTATCTCTGCCCAGGGCTCCTCGCCAAATTTCGTGTGTGTGTGTCTGTGTGTGCGCAGGTGCATGTGTGCACATCTGCGGGTGTAAAGGTTTCTTTTGGAGCACTGGCCTAGGTATTTCCGCAGTGCTAAACACCTGACTTGGCACAGAGTAGGCCAGTAAATGTGTGCTGCGGTGGGCTAAGCGTCTTCAGCGCATGCTGGCATAAGACTGTGGGTCTGATCGCTCTCAGGGAGCCCTGGGTCCTGGTCTACCCCAGAGCTGACTGGTTTTAGTTTGGGGTTGGTGTCCAGGCAGTGTGGTAGCTGATCTCCAGGAAATATCCAGCTGTGGAGGCATTGGTCCCCAGCAAGGTTGACCTGACTTTTCCCTATTGAATTTCTTAGGAAGGTAAAACACTGATGTAGTAGATCTATGCTACTGTGTCCAAAATAGCAGTGTAATATTGCACTTTAAATGTTTCTTCATCTGTAAAGTGGAAATAATAATTTCTGTCTTAGATGTACACTCAGGACAGTGTCTTGTCTATATTAAAACTCTCCCTCTCTCTCTATATAATCACTTATTATTTCCTTAGTTGTAATTCTTTCACTGTTCAATTAGAACTTTACTAAATTATTATATGTCTTTCTTTTGGTTAAGGTAGTAGATGAAGTTTGAAATCATCTTTTATTCTGGAATGCTAGTGGGCCTTTCTCAACTAAGGTCCCAGGAGAGAACTAAGCCCTACAAAAAACAAATAGGTGACCGTTGTCTCTATTCCCCCAAGGATGATGCATAACTAGCACAATTCTAGAAGGGTAGGAGAGAAGGTATTAATTATTTTCAGTAGATTCCTGCATGCATCAGGGATAAATTCTCTTGTGGGACTGAGAACACCCAACACCCTGCTGCTTCAACTCCCTTTTAAAAGCACATTGCAGAGTTGCCAATTAGCCTCTCCCTCTCCCTCTCCCTCTCCCTCTCCCTCTCCCTCTCCCTCTCCCTCTCCCTCTCCCTCTCCCTCTCCCTCTCCCTCTCCCTCTCCCTCTCCCTCTCCCTCTCCCTCTCCCTCTCCCTCTCCCTCTCCCTCCCCCTCCCCCTCCCCCTCCCTCTCCGTCTCCGTCTCCGTCTCCCTCTCCCCACGGTCTCCCTCTCATGCGGAGCCGAAGCTGGACTGTACTGCTGCCATCTCGGCTCACTGCAACCTCCCTGCCTGATTCTCCTGCCTCAGCCTGCCGAGTGCCTGCGATTGCAGGCACGCGCCGCCACGCCTGACTGGTTTTGGTGGAGACGGGGTTTCGCTGTGTTGGCCGGGCCGGTCTCCAGCCCCTAACCGCGAGTGATCCGCCAACCTCGGCCTCCCGAGGTGCCGGGATTGCAGACGGAGTCTCGTTCACTCAGTGCTCAATGGTGCCCAGGCTGGAGTGCAGTGGCGTGATCTCGGCTCACTACAACCTCCACCTCCCAGCCGCCTGCCTTGGCCTCCCAAAGTGCCGAGATTGCAGCCTCTGCCCGGCCGCCACCCCGTCTGGGAAGTGAGGAGTGTCTCTGCCTGGCCGCCCATCGTCTGGGATGTGAGGAGCCCCTCTGCCCGGCCGCCCAGTCTGGGAAGTGAGGAGCGTCTCCGCCCGGCCGCCATCCCATCTAGGAAGTGAGGAGCGCCTCTTCCCAGCCGCCATCACATCTAGGAAGTGAGGAGCGTCTCTGCCCGGCCGCCCATCGTCTGAGATGTGGGGAGCGCCTCTGCCCCACCGCCCCATCTGGGATGTGAGGAGCGCCTCTGCCCGGCCGAGACCCCGTCTGGGAGGTGAGGAGCGTCTCTGCCCGGCCGCCCCGTCTGAGAAGTGAGGAGACCCTCTGCCTGGCAACCACCCCGTCTGAGAAGTGAGGAGCCCCCCCGCCCGGCAGCTGCCCCGTCTGAGAAGTGAGGAGCCTCTCCGCCCAGCAGCCACCCCATCTGGGAAGTGAGGAGCATCTCCGCCCGGCAGCCACCCCGTCCGGGAGGGAGGTGAGGGGGGGTCAGCCCCCCGCCCGGCCAGCCGCCCCAACCGGGAGGGAGGTGGGGGGTCAGCCCCCCGCCCGGCCAGCCGTGCCATCCGGGAGGGAGGTGGGGGGGTCAGCCCCCCGCCCGGCCAGCCGCCCGGTCCGGGAGGTGAGGGGCGCCTCTGCCCGGCCGCCCCTACTGGGAAGTGAGGAGCCCCTCTGCCCGGCCAGCCGCCCCGTCCGGGAGGGAGGTGGGGGGGTCAGCCCTCCGCCCGGCCAGCCGCCCCGTCTGGGAGGTGAGGGGCGCCTCTGCCCGGCCGCCCCTACTGGGAAGTGAGGAGCCCCTCTGCCCGGCCAGCTGCCCCGTCCGCGAGGGAGGTGGGGGGGTCAGCCCCCCGCCCGGCCAGCCGCCCCGTCCGGGAGGGAGGTGGGGGGGGTCAGCCCCCCTGCCCGGCCAGCCGCCCCGTCCGGGAGGTGAGGGGCGCCTCTGCCCGGCCGCCCCTACTGGGAAGTGAGGAGCCCCTCTGCCCGGCCAGCCGCCCCGTCCGCGAGGGAGGTGGGGGGGTCAGCCCCCCGCCCGGCCAGCCGCCCCGTCCGGGAGGGAGGTGGGGGGGGTCAGCCCCCCTGCCCGGCCAGCCGCCCCGTCCGGGAGGTGAGGGGCGCCTCTGCCCGGCCGCCCCTACTGGGAAGTGAGGAGCCCCTCTGCCCGGCCACCACCCCGTCTGGGAGGTGTGCCCAACAGCTCATTGAGAACGGGCCAGGATGACAATGGCGGCTTTGTGGAATAGAAAGGCGGGAAAGGTGGGGAAAAGATTGAGAAATCGGATGGTTGCCGTGTCTGTGTAGAAAGAAGTAGACATGGGAGACTTTTCATTTTGTTCTGCACTAAGAAAAATTCCTCTGCCTTGGGATCCTGTTGATCTGTGACCTTACCCCCAACCCTGTGCTCTCTGAAACATGTGCTGTGTCCACTCAGGGTTAAATGGATTAAGGGCGGTGCAAGATGTGCTTTGTTAAACAGATGCTTGAAGGCAGCATGCTCGTTAAGAGTCATCACCAATCCCTAATCTCAAGTAATCAGGGACACAAACACTGCGGAAGGCCGCAGGGTCCTCTGCCTAGGAAAACCAGAGACCTTTGTTCACTTGTTTATCTGCTGACCTTCCCTCCACTATTGTCCCATGACCCTGCCAAATCCCCCTCTGTGAGAAACACCCAAGAATTATCAATAAAAAAATAAATTAAAAAAAAAAAAAAAAATAAAAGCACATTGCAACTCTTTCTGTTGCTGGTTCCTGTAAGCAATACATTTAAAAATATTATTTGTTTCTTAGGATTTAAAATGTGTTGTATTGAAACGTTGACCCATCATGGCTGAGACTTGGATCAGTATCTCACTTCAGGAAACAGGACTCAAGCTGGGCGCAGGGGCTCACGCCTGTAATCCCAGCACTTTGGGAGGCCGAAGTGGGTGAATCACACGGTCAAGAGATTGAGACCATCCTGACCAACATGGTGAAACCCCGTCTCAACTAAAAAAGCAAAAATTAGCTGGGTGTGGTGGCTGGTGCCTATAGTCCCAGCTACTCTGGAGGCTGAGGCAGGAGAATCGCTTGAACCCAGGAGGCGGAGGTTGCAGTGAGCTGAGATCATGCCACTGCACTCCAGCCTGGCGAGAGTGAGACTCCATCTCAAAAAAAGAAACAGGACGCAGACATACATTCTAGGTAATTCTTGGCTGTCCCTTACGCGGTTGGGTGCATATACTTTGATTAAAGTCCTCTATCATTCCTTTTTCTCTTGCAGCCTAAAATAAAGACACCTCTCTGTTATGGACTGAATTGTGTCCCCCCCAAATTCATATGCTGGAGCCCTAATTCCCAAGGTGATGGTATTTGGAGATGAAGTTTTTGGGAAGTGAGTAGGGTTAGATGAAGTCATGAGAGTGGGGCCCTCAGGATAGGATTAGCATCCTTTTAAGAAGGGACACCAGAGTGCTCCCTCTCTCTTTCACCAGGAGCCCAATCAGCTAGCATCTTGACCTTAGACTTCCACACTCTAGGACTGTGAGAAGTAAACACCACTGTGTCAGCCACTGGGCCCACAGCACTCTGTGAGGGCAGTGCCAGCTGGCTGATGCCCTCTTACACCAATGGGGATCTCACCCCTGTGCCTACATGGGCCGTCCTGGTCTCCCAGGAGCCAGGGCATTCCACCTGAAGTGGTCCCAACAGGAAACACACACCCCACCACCTCGGCCCACTAGGCCTGCATCGCTTCCACTCAGGGCTCCTCCCACAGGGAGGTGTGCAGCAAGGATTTTGTTCTGGGGGAGAGAGATCAGGAAGAAGAGAAAATTAAATAAGAAATTGCTAAATGTTCTGTTGCAAGTGGAAGGAAGGGGAAAGGCCATGAACTGACACATAATATTTTTCCTATTACAATTGCAGAAGTAATATATATTCATTATAAAAATTCAAGCAACAGAAGTGTATACAATAAAAAGTAAAATTTCCTCTTTGTCATTTCATCATTTCACATTCTACTCCTTACTCACTAGAGGTCTCCACCATTAGTTAATTGACATTAATATTTCCAAGAGGTTTTCAGATTGTACACACACACACACACACACACACACACACAGACATATACACAAATAGAAGCTTTTTTTCAAAACAAAACTATTATTCAGTAACTTGTTTTGCTTCATTTAAAACTCTCTCTCTCTCTCAGATATACCTCCATGCTATTGCAGATGGATTTATTATTATTATTATTATTTTTGAGATGGAGTCTCGCTCTGTCGCCCAGGATGGAGTACAATGGCATGATCTCGGTTCACTGCAACCTCCGTCTCCCAGGTTCAAGCGATTCTCCTGCCTCAGCCTCCCAAGTAGCTGGGATTACAGGCGCCCGCCACCACGCCTGGCTAATTTTTGTATTTTTAGTAGAGATGGGGTTTCACCATGTTGACCAGGCTGGTCTTGAACTCCTGACCTCAAGTGATCTGCCTGCCTCGGCCTCCCAAAGTGCTGGGAATACAGGTATGAACCACTGCACCTGGCCAGATTTATTGCTCTATCAACTGCACAGACTTCTATATTATGATGTTCCATGACTTATGGGATAGTTTCCCTTTCGATGGACATTAAAAGTTTCCATTTTTTTCTCCATTACAAACTGTGGTTTAGTGAACATTCTAATTTATATATCTTTCTATAGTTGAATATGTTAACAGAATTTATCTTTACAAGTGAAGTTGCCATATCAAGAGGATACACAAATGTAAAATTTTGTTTGCCCTTCAAAAAGTTTATAGTAATTCACATTCCCACCAAAATGTGGGTGAAAGGTTATCATTCTGTTTTAAGTGGCATTTCTTTCATTGTTAGTGAGGTAGGCTATATACTTATTAGTGCTATTTGCCGTTTGTATTTTTTCCATAAATTGTCCATTGATACACTGTTAAAGTTTTAATAGAGTGTTTAATTTTTTTACAAATTCATTGGAATACTTCACATTTTAGGGTATTAATTGTTGATATATCTTAAAGTTTTTCTCCCTGTATATATATTGGCTTTTCTTCAGTGGTTAGTTATTTTTCCTTTAAAAACTGAAAAACATTGGATTTCCTTCTTGTCCATCTTTTTCTTTATGCCTTTGGGGTTTTGTGCTATGCACTAGGATCACCTCCTCTTCCTGAGATTCAAAAATATTCACATAGATTTTACCCAATACTTTGTTTTGGCTGTTATGTTTAGATCTTCGGTCCATCTGAAATTTGTCTTTGGGTAGAGTGTGAAATAGAACCATAATTAATTTTCAAATGTATAGGCGTTTTCTCCAAAATCATTTGCTGGGTAGTCTGTCATGTCCCCCATCTGGAGATGTCCTCTTTATCATGGACACATTCCTATGCACACGTATCTGCTTCCAAACTATGTTTCCGTTAATTACTGTGCTGATTTAGTTATTATTTTTATATAGTATATTTTTGTATCATTCCTTCACTACTCAATTGTTTTCCAAATGTTGTTGGCTACTGTGGTACATTTTCTATTCTAGATTCCAAATTCTAAAGCTTATACTCCCCAAAATAACCACTGAAATTTTCATTTGAATTGCATTGAATGTATGTTATATTTAGGGATAATTGGTATCTTTATAACATCGTCTTCATGTCCATGAATGTAATATATCTTTTTGAGTCTCCTTTTATGCCTCAGAAAGGATTCTTAGTTTTTGTTTTCATATTATTCTCACACATTTAAGTTTAATTCTAGATATTTTGTTGTTTTAGTTGCTATTTTAAATGGAATTCTTTTCCATTATGTTGTCTAATTAATGATGGATGGTATGTAGAAAAACTACTGATTATATTTCTATGTGCTTACCCTACTGATTTTCTTGTTTAATTTTGTTTTCAGTTAATTATTTTGGGAGAGGCAAACTTTTGCTGTAAAAAGTCAGACAGGGAATATTTTTGGCTTTGCAGGTCAAAGGATCTCAGTTCCAACTACCCAACTTGCCACTGTAGTATAAAAGCAGTCATAACAGACAATACATAAATAAGTAGGCATGGCTGTGTCCTAATAAAACCTCATAGAAATAGGCTGCTGACTAGATTTGGTTTTCTGACTATATTCTAATGATGCAAATATATCATATTTAAGTAATATGTCTTCTCTTGTCCCCCAAAACACTGGATTTCTGGAGTGTTGAATAATAGATGTGATAATAGTTATCCTTGTCTTGTTCTGATTTAAGGTGCTAGGTTCTTGGTATTTCACTTTTATGTTTGATGTTTCTTATTAATTTTTGACAGATACTTTAATCCAATTAAACATGTTGTCCTCTATTCCCAAGTGACTAAGAGATTTTAACAGCAATGTGATTGGGCGTTATTGATGCCTTATGAACATGAGTTAATATTAACATTTCACCTATTATTTTCCTCACGTGTATAAACAAAATGAGCTATCTTTTAATTCCTAGAATAAATAATTCCATTTCCTACATTTCATTTAGGATTTCTACATCTACATTCATGAATAAAGCTATAGTTTTCTTTTTCTAGTATCTCTCTGATTTTTAGTGCTATTCGGACCTTGTAGAATAAACTGAGAAACTTCCCATCTTTTTGTGCTCTGAAACACTTTAATACAAAAATTAGCTGTTCTTTGAAAGTTTGCAAGTGTGCTCCAAAACCATTTGGACCTGGCAAACGTTTCAGCAATGGGGCCTGCCCTTCCGGCGTCTTCTGTGTCATTGATCTACAGGAGAAACGCTGTAGATCACACATCACATCTCTTTGTCCCTGACCCCTAAAGTCTGTATGTGGCACTGGCCAGTGTTCCCTTAGACTTGCCCTTGAGAAGCCAGTCAGCCCAGGCAAAGTGCAAGTGCAGAGAGAAGCGTGCCAGCACTTGAATATCTTGTGGGTTTGTCACTGCATTTCTGCTTGGGTTCAGGAAAGGTTAGATTATACAAGAGAGAAAGATGGAAGGAGAGGGGTCTGGAGAAGCTGAAAGGGTGACAGAAGCAACCTCTTTAGAATGAAAATAGTCAGTAAGGGGTGGCCCCAAGCCATCTGGAGTGAGAGAGGGATGGCTTTCCCAGGTCCCACCTCCACTCCCTCCGAGATAGAGCTGCACTGGAGGTTTTAAGGACATTACTGGTTCAAATAAGGGACTATGCAGTTTAGAAAAGTGAATGGGTTTTTAGGCGCCTGGAGGCTTTGGGCCTCCAGGTTCCTGTTGGGTTTTCAGGTGCCATTTGCCTGGGCAGTGCCGCCTTCAGTCCTAAGTGACGTGGACCCTGGCTTGCAGAGCCCCTGGCCTCCCCAGCCCCCCTTCCCCATATATGGGCTACACCCTTTCCCTGGGGGTGGGCAGAAAGGATACAAAGCTGCCAATCTGGTGCCTGCCCCTCTCTTTTCTGGGCCTCGCTCAGGTGCTGGGAATGTGGGGAGTCCTTGCCGAGTGTCCCCGGGCTGTGAGCCTGTTCAGAGCCTTCAGTGTGCACACCTAGAAGCTCAAGTTGTAGCCCAGGGGTGGCCTATTGTGGGGCAGGATTAAGCGACAGTTGAGAACTGAGAGGTGGGCGGTACAGGCTCACTTCAGATCTATGTGGGGGCAAGGAGCTGAGGACCGGGAATGCCCTTTGCTTGAGCTCAGAAGGGTTGACTCTCAGGAGCAGGGTAAAAAAGAGGTTTCTATTTCTTTTAGAACCCAGTCTCTAGGTTTCCTAGCCCTGCGTCCATGTAGAGAGAAAGATGGAAGGCAGAGGCCACAGAAGGCAGTGAGGGCAGGGCTGGCCTCCCCGGGGTGCATGTCCCCGGGGCTCAGAGGTGATGAGCACAGAAGGGTGAGGGTGCTTCAGGGCACACATTTATAAATTGCAGACATCTGCCCATGGGCTCCCTATCATGCTTTGTTTATTGTTTTTAAGACTAGGGCAAATACCAAATGTGATCTTGCTGCTTCTCGACCTGAGTGTTTAAAGGTCCTTTCTGGAGCAGTGGGACCTGAGCCCTATGAGGGGTGCACCCAAGGCCCGACAGGAAGAGCAGCTCCCTCCTGCACGTTGGACTCTCCATTCTAGGGAAATCGCCCATCTCCCCAGACAGGTATGATGACTTTTATAGGATTACTGGCCCAAAGGGAAAACCTCTTCCAGCTGAAACCCCATCTGCACCCAGCTTCAGCTGGAATCGTGACGGTCAGTGACAAATCAGTGGTGCCACTGAGTCTGCCCTGAGGTGAAGGCTGTTCAGTGGGATGGCCGGCCGTGGCCTCCACTTGGGGGAACATTTCAGGCTCAGAAAGCCAGCACCTCAGAATGCTCCCCATGCTTGTCTCATCTGCAGAATCTGGACTTCCTCCATATGGACTAAACCCCCTAATTGAAGGCTTTGATTATATTAAACCTGCATGTGCCTGAGGTGTTCCCAGGCAGCCAGGGTGTGGAGGCTCAGGAGCTGAGAGAGCAGTGGGTGCGGCGGGTTCCGATATGGGATGCTGGGCCTTGAGCAGAATGCTGGGAAGCTCCGGATTTTCTCATTGTTCGTGGACCTGGCTATCCTGAAGTCCTGCTTCCACAAGGAAATGTGGTTTACTCTCAGCCCCATGTTTGTGCATAGACAACGGATGGCATTCACCAGGAACAGCACAAAAGCAAAGCTGCGATCTTCCTGGAAACAATTAGAGTCAGCGCTGCGAGCATTAGGGGTGGTGTGAGCTGGCACAGCCTGCTTCCTGCCCTCACTTCTGTGTGAAAGAAACAAGGCAGGGCACTGTGCAGCCACCGGCTGGTGGAGGGAAAGGCGCCGGAGGGAGACGCTTTACAGAAGTCAGAGCCACCAGGAGCCCCAGGGCCATCCCATCAGGAGAGAGGAGCTGCGTCTGGTGCTGGTCCACTCTCTGATGCCTGCAGGAGGCACCCTGCCTGCCCTCCTCGCCCTGTGCATCCCCACCCAGCCTCCTGGCTGCTCGGCCCTTGATGCTGGGTTTTGGGAAGCTGTTCTCTCCTCTTTGGTAGCATCATCTGCTTCATCAACAGGTTTGCTTTTTCTCAGGTGTTGAGTTCAAATCCCCTAACTCTACTTTTACAGCTAGAACTGAGAAAACTATCTGTACTCATTTATCTGTTTAAGCGTTTAGACACAGAACCTGGGTTTTCTATAATGTGCCACATAACGATGTTCACATGGTCCCATATGATTATAATACCACGTTTTCACTGTGTCTTTTTAACATTTAGCTATGTTTATATACACAGATCCTTACCATTGTACTGCAGTTGCCTGCAGTATTCAGTACAGTCCCAGGCTGTACAGATCATTAGCCTAGGAACAACAGACTACGCCGTATCACTTAGGCTTGTGCTGGGCTGTGCCATCTAGATGTGTGAAGTACACTCTGTGATGCTCGCACGGTGATGACATCTCCTAATGATGCATTTCTCAGAACATGCTCCTGTGGTAAGGAAGCCTGACTGCAGTCTGAGCTCGGACTCCCTAGAACCCTCCCCTGCCACACCGTGGCTATTCCCGATGTGCAGGTAGTGGCTTCATTACATTAAACACGGCAGTGAGAGCTCCTGCCATGAAAGTTCTGGGTGGAGGGTGGGACCACCCACATGTAAGAGAGGTTGGCGGTGAGTGGGGCAGCTGAATGGGAGGCCCCTTGCCCATGCTGGGACCCACTTAATTCCTCTGATTTTTAGCAGAATCAGGGCAAACTTCTAATTATTTTGGTACTCTGAAGAAATAAAACCTGGGCTTGCCATAGAAAAATCTGTTCCATCAGGGAATTCCCTCTTGGCTCTGTGAAGGAGAAAAACTATGAAGAGATCTTTGGAATGAGGGGTCTCAAGGGCACTGGAAGGCTCTGGCATGTGAAGAGCTTGAGTTGGAATGCATCTGAGAGCCCGAGGGGCTGGCCCAGACACAGGAGGAAGCCTCCGAGCTGGCTTGGATTTTTTTTCCATTAAAAAGTTCTCTGGTTCCTGAGGTGCGATGGTGATGGTGGGAGAGGCTGGTTAGCGACAGGGGGGGCTCTCTGAACTTTCTGCTTAGTTTTGCTGTGAACCTAAAACTGCTCTAAAAATAATTTATTGATTTTTTAAAAAAGTTATCAGGAAAGAACACCTACAGTTGGTTAGATATGATTAATAACTAGTACCAACATGGCATTGTTAACAAAGAATACATTATTATTATTATAAGGTACTCAGGAGTAAAGAACAATGAATAATATACATCTAATTTTTTAATACTCAATGCACAATCAACATTTCTGATCAACAGTATAAACCATATAAAAGAGAATTCTGCTTTTCATTTGTACAAATACTGCTTTCATCATTGCAAAACTTTCAAGGTTAAAACGTACCATATGTTGAAGCTATAAAGCTATTGCTTGAATGTTTCTAAAACGAAGTTATTGCTGTCTGTTGTTAATCGGTTACATTGTCACCTCTAATACCAGTCATCAAATCCATAGGATCTCTTAATTTCCAAGAGATTGTATTGTACAGCAAGATTATTTTTGTGGCCAAATCAGGTCATAGGATTCCTTTTTTTTTAAAGATAAGTAAATGCATCCAGAAATGTATGCACAGATTTAAGTTTTCCCCATAGTTTTATCTGCTAGGTGATAGGGTGGAGCTTCTTAGTGCTTCTGCTGGGAATTCAGATAGGACAGACTTGCAGCCTCAGAGGACACACTGCAGGTAGTGCAGAGAGACATGGAAGGAAAACACACTGCCTGCTACATAGTTTTTATCCCAGGTATAATTTGTGAGGAATGTATAACAAATGTTTCTTAAAGCATGAATCCTCTTCTTGAATTCTTGTTTTTATGAAAGCCATCCAACTACTTACTCAATCCTCTTGAAATCTGCCTTTTGTAATGTAACTGATAGGCCAGCGTTTTCTTTCACTGTGGGAAATAAAGGCTACTTGGTTGCTTTAGGGAGGGCAACAATGTCAGCTGCATAAGCAGCAAGAATATTATATTTTATTACTAGTCCACCCTTAATAAAGAGAGAAACCTTAGGAAATGGAAAGAGGTGTCTGTTTTATATTTCCTTTGCTTTTCAACCATTGTTTAGACACTCTCCCTTCTAGTGCTTGGAGAACCTTCATGGAAACTCTGTTCAGGTTCTTGACTCTCAGCGACAGATGTGGAGGTCTTTGTGTCTTAGCTCTCTAGGCCTGAGAATCACATACACCTGCAGAATTTGCCTCCAAGTCCATGTCCTTGTGGCTAATCCCTAGGCCAGTAGTTCTCAACTTTGGCCGCACATTGGAATGACCTCAGGAGCTTTAAAAACTACGAATGCTTGGGTTTCAGCCCCAGAGATTTGCGTTTAATCGGTCTGAGGTGTAGCTGGGCTTCAAGCTTTTAAAAGCTCCTCAGGTGATGTCACTGCAGCCAGGGCTGAATAACTTCTCTAGGGTGGCTGGGCCCAGGCTTGGTAAGACTGTTGGTGAACTAACCAAAGTGTGCTGAACATTATTAGGCTCTCCAGACATGTCTAGTTTATACTGGTAAATGCATATCAATTGTAAATATAAAAATAAAATTTGCATTGAAGTCACATTATATATATAAACCAACAAAGTGCTATGTTATTGCTTTTCTTACATGTACAGGGTTACACTGGCAGATGATGAGAGTATGGCATGCAACTGGATTTTTCTAGTAGTAACAACAGTGAGCCCTTTCCATTAACACTGCCCCAACAGAACCTGCCTCAGACCAAGCTAAATGTGCTTTCCATCATCTTTTAAAATTTCCTAAATATAAAAACGATGCTTCTCTTCTTCACCATGACAATGACCTAGCTTAGCTCCCCAATGAGGTTGTGCCTTTTTATAAGAGAGAGAAAGGGCTTTCCTCTTGCCTCAACTTAACCCTTTTAAACAAAGATTTCAGTTTCAAATTTTGATTCTATTGCAGTCTCTCTAAAGTAAACTGTGTTTGTTTTAGTAGAAAAATGAGTTTCTAAAAATATATTGTACAAAGTTCAGTGCTACATAAAGAGAACTATATCCCGCAACAAAGTTACAAAAATAGATTTACATTTAAAAATCCTGTCTGTGTCTTCAATAGTACAAAGCTGTACCCCTGGTATGGCAGGTGTGGCTGGTGAAAGAGGCAAGGATTTCTGTTCTGTAAGGTTTTACAGCCCCCAGGCAAGGAAATGTGAGCAGATCATTATGTTGCAATAAAAGTGTGTGCTTATCACAAGAAAGAAATGCAGAGTAGACATTGAGGGCAATTTCAACAGGTGTTGCCTACGTGGAATAGCAGCTCACTCACAAAGGAGGGAAGAGACTGGTTTCTATAACTTACTTAGAGAATGCAGAGGGTCCCAGGGCGTTTTCAAAGCTCAGGTGGGGGTATTTGCCCCTTTCCAGCTGAACTGCTGGTGAGGATGAATTGAACGCTTTTGAAATGAGCCAAGTCTCAGGCTTATCAGTGACTGCAGATTGTTCTCTCCACTGCACATGGGAATCTCTACCCTACCCAGCCTTTTATTCTACTCTGACGGGGGCTCTGGTACAGACCCACAGTCTTGTACAACTGAAGACCCTAGAAATAAGGGTTTCAACCCTGGTTGCCCATTAGAATCATGAAAGAGCCCCCGAGATTTGGGTTGAATTGGTCTGCAGAGACTCCAGGCCCCTTCTTTTGAAGCTCCACAGATGATTCTTTTCTGCCTGAGGGGAGGTGCTGAGTTCCCATCACCCACCAGCTTCATCCTACACAAGTGCAATCAGAGGCCTAGTGAGAGTGGCACTGGGGGGTGGCCCCCCAGCGAGTGCCAAGTAGATCCCACCAGGCCCTTCCTTTAGGCCAGAGGTTCTAGAAACTTTGATGAATGTTGCAATAACCAGGGGGTGCTCTGAAAAGGCCCTACGGCTGGGCTGCACCTGAGAAAATCAAGCCACAGTCTTTCTGGTTGGGACCAGAAGATTCCCAAGGGCAGCCGCCCTTGAGAACCAGTGCCTTTCCTGCTAAGCAATCCATAGTCCCCTTATGTCTGCAGTTGTGAGGCAGGGGTGGTAAGTCACAACATCAAGAACTTTCAGCAAACACCTAAGCTTTGGTGTCATCAGCTGGAGTGCAATAGGATGCATCCACAGTGCTCCCCCTTACAACCTGGACTCACAGCGAATATAGAGTTTAGAAGACTCATCCCTTCTCTGATCCCTCATGGGGTGACGGGCATGGTGTAATTAGAGGAGCTCCTTAGAGATGATGCAAGAAGATGCACGAAGGCTGGCGGCACCTATGAATGTGAGCTCTCAGCTCCTTACTTTCCTTCGACCTCTGTTTCCAAAGACCACATCTGAAGCTGGGGTCATGGGGTAAGGTCTTCCAGGAACTGACTGAGGAAGAAACAGCCAATGGACAGGCTTTCTGTAGGGTATTAAGGCCAGGCTATCAATCAGGAAGACCTTCAGGGATGGAGTCCAAGCTTTGAGTACTGACTGATCAGGGCTGTTAGGTGAAAATCATGGGACTTTGGGCAGCTCCTCTCCTGACCTGCCCATCACAGTCGCCAGATCCGTGAAGAGGCTAAGGGCTTTGCGGCTTCTACCAGACAGAACTGTGCCTCCCTGGACAGATGAAGTGAGAACTATTTTGGGAAGCACAATCTTAAAATTAATAGAATTTAGCAACTAAACTTTATGGTGGAAAATTAAAATATGAAGAAGAAAGCTAGAATAGCTTTTGCTCTTTTATTAAGTTACTGTTTCAAACTACAAAAATACTAGAATTTAATGCTACAATGTGACTCACTTACAACTGACCTGCCTCATCGATCATCTGCTTCTTGACACATAAGTGACAGCAGAATGTAGGTCCTTCTGTTTCCCAGTTCTGACTGAAATATTTCTGCATGTCCTGAGGTGAATGAATAATGAAAGTGGTTAACTGACAATATAAAATCTCAGATTCTTAGAAATGTTGTGTAGTCTTCTCACTAAGCATGTGCAGAGATGATAGCTCAAAATCCCCCTGGGGGCTGCAACTTTTAGGGAACTTGTGGGATGCTCCAAGCTCATCCCCTGGCTTAGAGGGAGCAGGTTGTTTAGGGTGACTGACCTCAGCCTTATGTGGACTTTAGCAGTGGAGGCCTCTGGCAGCTGTTTCCTCGGTCAGGGTGCCCCTGATGCACCTGCACTTTCCACCTCCCCGCTGACTGAGACCTGGTCATCCTCCTGTGAGGCCTCCCTTCCAGGTCTCCTCAGGCAGGACCCAACCTCCCTGCTCTGTGCTCTCACAGTGCCTGGCTGATGGGTCCTGTCTGGCATTTGTCACGTTGTTTTAAGGTTAGCATCTATGAGTCCATTTCCTTTGCTAAATTGTGAATTTCTTAGAATCAGGGACTATGTTTTATTTATCTTTGTATCTTTCATACCCATACCAGGCTAGTATAGATGCTTAGGGGTATTTGAGAGCATAATAGAGTGGAAATGAATATAGTTTTATTTTCATTGAGACAAAAATCAAATACTTTCTTAACAATGCTGTAGGGGCTCTGACTGATCTGGGAGTCAAAAATTACTTTAAAAGCAAAAGGAACATTTTGTATGTGTGTGTGACTGAACATAACTGTAGGCTGAAAATATTTTCTGAACCATTTCTTCCTTGATAAATTGGATGGGGTGGATATTGACTAGGAGAGTTTAAAACACTGTTTACAAAGGACTGCTGTTAACCAGTCAGGTTACAGGGCACACACAGATTAGGAAAAAAGGTGGGCTCCTAACTAGCTGAATCTTCCAATCTTCCAATTGTAGAGAAATTATTTTAGGAAGGAACTTTTTTCCTTCTAAAACATCTGCAAATGTTGTGAAAGCATTATCAATTTCAAACCCTAGTTTCATATTTACTACCTGAATTCCACACTACTCATAATGCTACTGTCATTCGCACCTGTAAAATGCCCTGTTGTGGCCAGAGCTGTAAGTGCTTGAATAGATGACTCAAGGCAGAGACACTTTTTGTGTGACAAAGCGTAAGGAGGGGGTTTGGGGGCAGCTGACCTGGAGGGAACATATACTCTTTGAGTAAAAAGCTTTTGAAGTGAAGTAAAAGGAGAAAACTATCTTCCATAAGTAACACAAACTAATTTTGGGGGGTTGGGGTGATGGCTAAAGGAGATTTCAGAGCAGCTTCATTTTTGTAGTCTTCTGATCTATGCCCCAAAGGACCTGATGCATTTCATCTGAGCCTCAAATTAGGAGATACGTTTTTGCGAGAACAAAAGCGGTGCTATCCTTAGGTATTCCACATTCTCAGCTGTGGGCTATTGGTCCAAATGCTGATGAATCCAATGTGGGCTGGAATCCGAGTTATTATTTGATGTGTCATCCTCTCTTGCTGATTTCATGACAGCAAGACAGGGGCAGCATACTGAGTTTCAAAACAATGGAATGGAAGACAAACAAGTCAGTCTAACGCTCATGACTGGAAACCACTGGTCCATCAGTGGGGAGTAAGTACCGTGGGGACATTTTTACAAAAGTAAGTCTAAGGAAGAATTCCATCCCCTCCGTTTCTTCTTTGCCCAGGAAGGGACAGAGTGGCTTATCCTACTGTACCTGCCATGACTTGATACAGTACCGATCCGGCCTGCTGGGGCCATGAAGGCCTTCTTGGATCTTTAGTGTTTTGCAGTGGAAGCCTTGAAGCAGAACCACTGGAATCAAGCATCCTCTGGAAGACTTGTGGCTTGTGCTCCTTGCTCACAGTTGGGCCTGGATGAACTCAGGGTAGCAAGTGCTACCAGCAAGCTTCTTCCTTGTTGGAAGAGCCCATTGAAGTAAAAATCAATAGCGACAATGAAAAACTCCAAGATCCCCAATCAATAAAAATCCTCACATATACTTTTTTTTTTTTTCAAATATACCTCTTTGAAAGATAAATTTCTGCTCAAAGGGACAATATTCTTGCTGGATGCGTTTCTGTAAATGCTTCACAGTTTGAAGACAAAGGAATGCAACTTCCCAAAATGTGCCCGAGGTGGAAGTACTTCCTGGCTAGTCGGTGTAAACGTTGCAAAACCAGTCTGTGGGTCTAAGAGCTAATGCGGGCATGGCTGTTGGGATGGAGGACCTGCTGTGGCTTGGTCCTGGGTATCGAAAGAGTCTGGATTTTTAGGGCTCATACTATCCTCCGTGGTCATGCTCCAATAAATTCACTGCTTTGTGGCGCGACCCTTAGGTATTCTGCATTTTCAGCTGTGGAGCCCTTAAAGATGCCATTTGGCTTGGCTTCCTTGGGAAAGAAGTCCTGCTGGTAGTCAGGGTTGTCCAGGCTAATTTGGTGGCTGCCTTTCTGGGCCCAGTGGGCAGGGCTGTCGAATGTGCTGTTGACACAGGTGGGCTGGACAGTGTTGAGATACTCGGGGTTGCCCACTGCAGTGCTGTGGGGGTCCTGGTAGTGTGGGTCTCTGCTGGGCGCGGGGTTCAGAGGCTGATTGTGATAGACAGGATTCTGCACAGAGCCAGCGGGCCTTTTGGGAACGGACTGGTTTATGTATTCTGAAAGTGGAAAGAAATCAGAGGTGAAGTAATCAGCAAAGCACCATCCCATGCAGGATCCCTGGGTTCTGAACCCTGTGAATGTCCTCAACAAGGAGACTTATGACAGGGAGCAGGAGCCTCGGGAGGGCCCTCTTGCTGTTGCTGCAAAAGAAAGTGGGTTCTTTCCTGTCCTTCTCAAAGTAATGGACATATGTGTCTTTTGTAAATTTAAAGTTCTCAGAGGATAAACTGCCTTGAGGAGAGTGTGTGTATGTGTGTGTGTATGTGTATGCATGTATACATATATGTGTGATGTGTATGTGGTATGTGTGTCTGGTGTGTGTATATGTGTGTGTATGTGCACCGTGTGTGTGGTGTATGTGTGTGTGGTGTATATTTGTATGTGTGTGTGGTGTGTGCATGTGGGTGTGTGTGGTGTGTGTGTACGTGTGTGTATATGTGGTGTGTGTATACGTGTGTATGTATGGTGTGTGTGGTGTGTATGTGTCTATTGTGTATGTATGTGTGGTATGAGTTGTGTGTGTGTGGTGTGGGTGTGTATGTGGTGTGTCTATGTGTGTCTGTGGTGTGTGTGGTGTGTGTACGTGTGTGTGGTGTGTGTATGTGTATGTATGTGTGGTGTGTGTCTGTGGTGTGTGTGTGGTGTGTGTACGTGTGTGTATGTGTGGTGTGTGTGTGGTGTGTATGTGTGTGGTGTGTATGTGTGTGTGTATATATGCGTATGTGTGGGGTGTATATGTTTGTGTGTGTGTGGGGTTTTTGTGGTGTGTGTGTGGTGTGTGTATTTGTGTGTGTTGTGTGTATATGTGGTGTGTGTGTACATGTGTACATATGGTGTGTGGTGTGTATATGTCTATATGTTTATGCATGTGTGGTGTCTGTGTGGTGTTGGTGTGTATGTGTGCATACATATGTGTATGTGGTGTGTATGTGTGTGTGTGGCGTGTGTACATGTGTGGTGTGTGGATGTGTATGTATGTGTGGTGTGTGTGTGGTGTGTATGTGTGTGTGGTGTGTGTGTACGTTTGTGTATATGTGGTGTGTGTGTACATGTGTATGGTGTGTGTCGTGTGTGTCTGTGTGTATGTGTGTGTGTAGTTGGTGTGTGTAGTTGGTGTGTAAAGAGGTATATCATCTGCCTTAACTTGCATTTTTCTAATAGCTTATAATATTGATAATCTGTTTATATTATATTAGATAGCCAATAAACTATATATTAGATATTACACTAACATATATATAACTTACATATGTTATATATCTAAATCTTTATATACATATAACATATGTATAAAGATTTCTACATATTTTTATATATAAAGATTTTGATATATATGACATAGATATTAGATAGCTAATAAACTACATATTAGATATATAGATATTAGATATTACATCAACATATATATAACATATGTTTTATATATATCTAAATCTTTATACATGTGTGTGTGGGGTGTGGGTGTGTATATGCACATACATATGTGTATGTGGTGTGTTAATGTGTGTTTCTGTGGTGTGTGTGGTGTGTCTACGTGTGTGTATGTGTGGTGCGTGTATGTGTGGTGTGTGTGGTGTGTGTATGTGTGTGTGTGGTGTGTGGTGTGTGTGTGTATGTGTGGTGTAGTGTGTATATGTTTGTATGTGTGTGCGGTTTTTGTGGTGTGTGTGTGGCGTATGTGTGTGTGGTGTGTGTATGTGTGGTGTGTGTGGTGTATGTGTACGTGTGTATGTAATGGTGTGTGTAGTGTATATGTGTCTGTGTGTATGTATGTGTGGTGTGTGTGTATGTGTGCATACATGTCTGTAGTGTGTGTACGTGTCTGTGTTGTGTGTTGTGTGTACGTGTGTGTGGTGTGTCTGTATGTATGTGTGGTGTGTATGTATGCATGGTGTATGTGTGTATATATGTGTGTATACGTGTGTGTATGTGGTGTGTGTGGTGTGTATATGTGTATGTGTGTGGGGTTTTTGTGGTGTATGTGTGGTGTGTGTATGTGTGTATACATGTATGTGTGTGTGGTGTGTATGTATTTGAGGTGTGTGTGTATATGTGTGTGCATGTGTATGTGTCTGTGTATGGTATGTGTGTGGTGTCTGTGTATGTGTGTGGTGTGTGTATATGTGTGTATGTGTATGTGTGTGTATATGTGTGTGTGTTAGCAGGTTATGAGTATCTGGATAAAGCTTAAAATTTATTAATATTAACTAATATTTAATTAGTTAAATATACGTTTCACAGGTCAAGATAGAGCCAGCAGAGAGAACAGGGATCAAATCTGTCACAAACACACACATACACACACACACATACACAGATGTACACACATCATGAACACTCACACACACAGATGTGTATGTCCGTGATTTGCTTCATAAGCTAGAAATTTTGCAGATTCATTCTTACAACAGAGGTACAGCAAACAACCAGACACAACAAAGAGCTTGTGCAGGCTCGGTCATGTGTTTATCTGCTCCTTACGCCCTTCACTGTGTCTGCAAATCTGCCACTGTTTCCCCCTCTGGAGATGCTGGAGGGAGCACCTGGCTTGGACACTGGAGACTGGCTGCTGCTGAGTGGGTCGAGGAGGTTGAGGAGCAGGACTGTTTCCAGACAAGCCACTCACCAGGCACTGGGAGGAAGGTGTCGTCTATGCTGTCCTCAGTCAAGGCGCCTGTGGGGTCTGAGCTGTATCGCTGCAAGAAGCTGTCTTCCTTGATGGGACAGCTTTGCAGCTGCAGGAGGAAATGAGGGAAGGTTACTCCGGTCAGGGCTGCCCCAACTTCAGTGTTTGCAAAAATCACCCGAGATCTCCTTGAGATGCTGGTTCTGATTAGTAGGTTGGGCAGGCCTGAGAGTCTGCACCCTGGTGGGTGCTGGTGCTACTGGGCCACAGGCTGCAGGGTGGGCAGCAGGGCTGTGCTGGGTGCTGTACAGCAGAACTTTCCGCAGTGAGGGAGGTGTGCTATGAGCGGTGCTCTTCAATACGGTCACCACTAGCCACGTGTGGCTACTGGACACTTCACATGTGTGAGAAACTGAATTTTATATTTTATTTCATTTTAACTCATTAACATTTAAGTTGAAGTAGCCACATGTGGCTAGTGGTTTCTGCATGGCACAGTGCGGTCTAGACCACGGCCTCACACTTCAACAGACATCAGCATCACCTGGAAAGTGGCTCAAACATAGACTACTGGGTGCCACCCCCAGAGGTCCTGATTTGGTCAAACTGGGGCAGTGGCCTGAAAAATGGCGTTTCTAACAAGGCCAGGCGATGCTACTACTGGTCCAGGAGTCACGCTTTGAACGGCACTGTGAGGCGTGACAGCCGTGCAGGGAAAAACCCACACAGGAAGAAAACTCAAGATTATCTGGGTTAAAATTATTTAGGTTAAGGCATTTTCCATGTAAAATAGAGCCATAGTGGAGAGCTGTAAATTCTGGCTTATAAGGTGTTCATACATACCCCATTTCTATCAATGCAAGCCACGGTGGAATTGTTGCTGGTTGCACTCTGAAAAAGAAACAGAGAAGTTGCCCATGGAATGCTTGTACCACATCTCATCCACTTTTCCTGAATGCAGGTGGTGTGCCTCATGGAGGGTATATTGTGAAGGTGTTTAATTTTTGTCTTAATCGTTAGTTTTAGAGCAACTAGGTTTAGTTTTGATTTAATTACATTCCATAGTGGACCTAAAAGGCTTACAATCAAGTTGTTGCAATGCAACAAAATAATTAATACACTTAATTTATTTTGATTTTGATTTTACCATTTGGTTAAAATTGACTTCATATCCATGTGAGTTTCACTAGATGGTTATTTTCCCTAAAATTCAATTTGTTCAAATGAGTAGACACAGCTTGAGAGAGAGAGAGAGACAGAGATTTCATACCAGAGAGCTCAGGAGGGGAGTCCGTGACGTGGAGGGGCTGCTGAAGAAGCCCTGCTGTGGGATGAGGTACTCGTCGGCATCCACCACGTCGTCCATGTCTTCTTCATCCATCAGGGCACGGTAGAAGTTGGAGTCTGTAGGACTTGGCAAATGCATTCTTTCATCCCCCTGGTGCAGAGATTTTGAGGCTATTAGAATGGCCCGTAGAGATGCTATTCCACTTCTTGGCTATAGGAGCAGGGGTCTATTGCCAGCAGGTGCCTGTGTGTTTGCCAATTTTGTTATAATGAAATCCCCCTTGGTTCTCTAAATTATAGCTGCCTCCCCTCATGACATGATGTGGGTGCCTTAAAATAAAACATGAACCATCCTTTGATGCTTGAAAGCCCCTACATGAGATTCAAATAGCTTCTGAGGAAACAGAAAGGGAAGAAGCTGCAGCATTCATCGAGTGTGCACCTTGCTGTGAGGTGTTAGGGAGCGTATTTTGCAACATATTTTATTGAATCTTTGAGACAATCCTGTGAGCTTGGTTTTGGTATTCCTGTGTTATGGAAGGAGATAGGTGGATCGGCTGCCTGGGTGATGCGAAGAAGTGGAGAGTCAGGGGTGTGAAGCCACGTCTGCCTGACACCAAAGCCCAATAGACCATGCTTCTCTCTTAGACCCAGCTGAGGCTTTGGCTAGCCGGACAGTGAGGACGAGCACCAGAGGAGAGTTCAGACGGGGAGGGGGAGATGGAGTTGGGTGGGCCCCACTCACGGATGCTGCTTAGTTCACGATGTGGCCTGCGCCTTACTGAGGCTTGCTCTAATGCGCTGGAGGGTTTAATAATGCGATCTGGGACACAGGGAGGCCAGGCTGGCATGTGACAGAACACAGTGACATGAGATGCTCATTAGAGGGACTCTTCCCAATGGAAGCACAGACTGCAATTTGTACCTGAATGACAAGGTAGCGCTGGGGGTCTCGGGCCATTTTGGAGAATTCGATGATCAACTCACGGAACTTTGGGCGACTATCTGCGTCTATCATCCAGCCTGGGGAAGGAATGAGAAAAAACAGTGCAATTAGAACACTGGAAGAAATGATAAAGATGGCATTGCTTAAAGAAGGCATTGGTGATGCGACACTTCCAGTCAAATAAGTGATGAAAGAACCAAGTCTTTGTGGTAGACTTTTCTGTCTTGGCCAGCTAGTACTGGTTACTGTTTAAAGACCATGCCAGCACTGTACATTTGAATCAGAATAACAATAATGCCCTCTAGTTTTTCTACGCCCACTCTTCCTGGGGTCAGCATCCTGTGTTACGCCTGAGGGGATGGAGCAGTGTGGGTCTGTACAATTGCTCTCCATGAACTATCCTGACTGCAGGGTGCCCTGCACCAAGGTCCTCACTCAACATCCACCCTTAGCATTCCTTCAGGTAGGAAACCAGATGCAACTTAGAAAAATAGGCTTTAAAGAATTTGGGGTTGGGACTGGGCCCCTACCCCCGGCGTCTCCAGTACAGCACATACCCAGTGGGCATGCATGCAAGTGAGAAGGCTGGTGGGCATGCATGCAAGTGAGAGGGCTGGCTGTGCTGGCAACTTCCACAGGAGGACACACTGTTAACTGTGCTGCTGCATGTGACTACCCAACAATCTAAATCCAGATTAAACAATTTGGAGGTATGGCTACTGCCTGGAAATCCTCATGCCTCTTGAGGGATCACATTTATTTTCCATCCACAGCATATCAAGCTATTTTAGGCCAGACTGCTATGTGACCTTAGACAAATCACGTGGCTTCTCTGGATCACAGCTTCCTTAGCCCAAACCAAGGAAGTTAAAAAAGATCAACTCTGTGGCCTAGAGTTCAGAAAGGCATTAATATTTACATTAACTTGGCTCTGTCATATTCCCTATACAACTTTCTTTTGCAAATGCTCATCCCATGCATGTAATGCTACCTCCAGAGCCCACTGCACTCGTGAATCTGGTAGAATAATAGCATCAATCAAATTACACACTCTTATTTAGATTGAAATGTTTAAATGCCACACTGCAGAGACTTCACATAAATCCACTGGTTTAAAAGGTTTAAGTCAAAGCAGAAATGTTGACTCTATTAGCCTTATGTTGTTACTCACTGCCATGCATTTAAAAACATTCAGTCTCTCTGGTAACAGGCTTCAAAATATAGGGCAACTCGGTATTTCATTGAGTAACTCAGCGAATAGAATATTTTGGTGTAATGGCTTGCGGAAGACTTTAGTTTTATTTATTTGCTTGCAAACATGGGCAAATGTCAGGTCATACTGCCCAATGAGTCAAGAAGTGTCTTTAAAAGAATGCTTGAAGGGGTATTTACAGATGTTTCTGGATTTGTGTGCCTGCCTTAAGTAATGTGATGACATTTCTCCAGGGATGCAAAGGCCTCAGCTGTTTGGCTAAGAGCAGCCACCAAGGCTCAGCTAGGCAGTGTGGACAGACCCACCAGTCACTCACACTTGACCATGATCATGTAGACATCGATGGTACATATGGGTGGCTGAGGGAGGCGTTCTCCTTTCTCCAGGATGGAGGAGATCTCGCTGGCAGGGATTCCGTCATATGGCTTGGATCCAAAGGTCATCAACTCCCAAACAGTCACCCCTGAGAGGATGAAGCAAGAAAAGAAGGCAGTGGGATCATGAATGAACAATCACAATCCCTTGCTTTAGTCATCATTACTGGTTACTGTTTCTTGATGTTTAGAAACCTACATTTCTGTAGTCTTGGGCAATTTGCTTCAATGCTGGAAGCCTCAGTCTACCTCTCTATAAAGTGGGGTAATAGCAGTATCTGTTTCACAGGATTGCTGTAAGGACCCAACAAGATAATACAACTGAAATGCTTAGTGCAATGCCCAGCAAGTAGTAAGTGACTGATAAGTGGTAAACTTTGGTAATTAACAATAAAGACAACAGTAACTCTACTAGCATAAGTATTATGCTCCAGACAGGATACACACTCAGTCACCTGCTCTGAGGGACCTGTATCTGCAGAATGAGGAAGATGCAGATTCTGAACAGGGCTGTAAACTGCACATTTTTAGATCATAAAAAAATTGGAAATGAAAAAGCTTAAGTTCCATTTGATAAAAATAAAAACCTCAGGAAGAAACTGAATCCCTGAACAGACCAATAATGAGCTCCAAAATTGAATCAGTAATAAATAGCCTACCAACCAAAACAAAGCCTAAGACTAGATGGATTCATAGCCAAATTCTACAAGATGTACAAAAAAAGCTGGTACCATTCCTACTGAAACTATTCCAAAAAAATTGAGAAGGAGGGACTCTTCCTTAACTCATTCTATGAGGCCAATGTCATCCTGATACCAAAGCTTGGCAGAGATACAACAAAAAAAGAAAACTTCAGGCCAATATCTCTGATGAACATAGACATAAAAATCCTCAACAAAATACTGGCAAATCGAATCCAGCAGCACATCAAAAAGCTTAAGCCACCACAATCAAGTCGGCTTCATCCCTGGGATGCAAGATTGGTTCAACATATGCAAATCAATAAATGTGATTCACCACACAAACAGAACTAAGGACAAAAGCCACATGATCATCTCAATAGATGCAGAAAAGGCTCTCAATAAAATTCAACATGTTTAAAATTCTCAATAAACTAGGTATTTAAAGAACAAACCTCAACATATTAGCCATCTATGGCAAACCCACAGCCAACATCATATTGAATGGGCAAAAGTTGAAAACATTCCCCTTGAAAATTGACACAAGACAAGGATTCCCTCTCTCAACACTCCTATTTAACATAGTATTGGAAGTCCTGGCCAGATAAATCAGGTGAGAGAAAGAAATAATGGACATCCAAACAGGAAGAGAGGAAAACAGCTATCTCTGTTTGCAGATGACATGATCCTATATCTAGAAAACCCCATAGTCTTGACCCAAAACCCCTTAAGCTGATAAACAACTTCAGTGAAGACTCAGTTGTACAAAATCAATGTACAAAAATAATTAGCATTCCAATATGCCAACAACAGTCAAGCTGAGAACCAAATCAGGAATGCAATTCAATTCACAATTGCCACAAAAAGAATAAAATACCTAGAAATACAGTAAACCAGGAAAGTGAAAGATCTCTACAATAAGAACCACAAAACACTGCTTAAAGAAATCAGAGATGACACAAACAAATGGAAAAACATTCCATGCTCATGGATAGAAAGAATCAATATCATTAAAATGACTATACTGCCCAAAGTATTTTATAGATTCAATGTTACTCCTATCACACTACCAATGAGATTCTTCACAGAACTAGAAAATACAATTTAAAAATTCACATGGAACCAAAAAAGAGCCTGAATTGCCAAGGCAATCCTAAGCAAAAAGAACAAAGCTGGAAGCATGATGCTACCTGACTTTAAACTACAGGGATACAGTAACCAAAACAGCATGGTACTAGTACAGAAACAGACATACAGACCAATGAAACAGAATAGAGAGCCCAGAAATAAGGCTGCACACCTACAACCATGTGATCGTTGACAAAGTTGACAAAAAAAAAAAAGCAATGAATAAAGGACTCCCTACTCAATAAATGATGACTAGCTAGCCATGAAGAAGATTGAAACTGGACTCCTTCCTTACACCATACACAAAAATAAACTCAACATGGATTAAAGACTTAAATGTAAAACCCCAAACTATAAAAACCCTGGAAGACAACCTAGGTAATACCATTCTGGATATAGGAATGGGCTAAGATTTCATGATGAAAACACATCAAGCAATTGCAACAAAAGCAAAAATTGACAAATGGGATCTAACTAAACTGAAGATCTTCTGCACAGCAAAAGAAACTATCATCAGAGTGAAGACAACCCACAGAATGGGTGAACATTTTTGCAAGCTACAAATCTGAGAAGGGTCTAATAACCAGCATCTATAAGGAACTTAAGTAAATTCACAAGAAAAAATTAAACAATCCCATTAAAAAGTGGGCAAAGGACATGAGCAGACACTTTTTAGAAGAAGACATACATGCAGCCAACAAGTATATGAAAAAGAGCTTAACATCACTGATCATTAAAGAAATAAAAATCAAAACCACACTGAGATACCATCTCATACCAGTCAGATGGCTATTATTGAAAAGTAAAAAAAAAAAAAAATCCCAACACATGCTGGTGAGGTTGTGGAGAAAAAGGAATGCTTTTACACTGTTGGTGGGAATGTAAATTAGTTCAATTATTGTGGAAAAGAGTGTGGCAATTTCTCAGATAGCTAAAAACAGAACTACCATTTGACCCGGCAATCCCATTACTCAAAGGAATATAAATCATTCTACCATAAAGACATATGCATGCGTATTTTCACTGCAGCACTATTTACAATAGCAAAGACATGGAATCAACCTAAATGCCCATCAATGACAGACTGGATAAAGAAAATGTGGTACATATACACCATGGAACACTAGGCAGCCACAAAAGAGAATGAGATCATGTACTTTGCAAGAACATGGATGGAGCTAGAGGCCATCATCCCTAGCAAACTAATGCAGGAACAGAAAATCAAATACCGCATGTTCTTACTTATAAGTGGGAGCTAAATGATGAGAACACATGGACACTTAGAGGGGAACAACACACACTGGGGTCTATAGGACGGTGGAGGATGGGAGGAGGGAGAGGATCAGGAAAAATAACTAATGGGTACTAGGCTTAATCCCTGGGTGATAAAATAATCTGTGTAACAAACCCCCATGACACAAATTTACCTATATAACAAACCTGCACATGTACCCCTGAACCTAAAATAAAAGTTAAAAAAATGTCAGGTACTAAAATCTAAAAAATACGAAACCACAATATAGATATAACAAGCATAGAATAAAAACCCTCATGTTTTTCCTTCAAAATCAAACAACTATGATGGTTAAAAACAAGTGAAAGCAGTGATAATTTTAGAACCAGTGTTTTTTCAGACAACCCCGAGTTCTGATGGCCCTCCCATCTCTGGGTAACAGAGGCCATTCCCAAACGGAACCACCTGAATTAATACACAGAATACAAGCTTAACATTGGAAGGAAAGCAATGGTTTGGGGGCAAGAAAATAGATTCTTGTGTCATCCCCTGCCCCCAACTCATAGTCTATATGGATTTGTAAAAGAAAGACTGTCTCATTTCCAGATCTATGCAGTCAGTTTAACTACTATTTAACTAGGTTTTTAAACATGTATGATGAATTCTAGTGGGAAGACAGGTTATTAGATTTTGGAACAAACAGCGAGAGAGAGGAGAGCCAGTATAGCCAGTGTTAGGTGGAGAATGGGCTGGAAGGTGTTGCGAGTTCTCTCTTTTTAGCTCCTTGGTACAACACACTAGGCCCCTAATTTATTAAATTGAATAATTCACCTTGACTAGAGACTAGAGAGTAGAGAAAACAGGATATGATTTTTAAACAAAAAATTCAGGCTCATGGTCTGGTAGTTCCAGTGGGCTGCCTAGGCCAGTGATTATAATCTGCCGTGGCAGCCTCAATGATGTTGAAAACACACAATGTTTTCAGTGGGAACGGACTTCCTGAGAATGGGTGTGACCACATCAAGGCACTAAGCCACTGACTTTGAGAGGGCTTCCACTTGTGCATGGAGTGTGGGCATTGCGCTGGCACACACAGGCTATGCCTGGAGCGTGACGGGAGGGGGACCTGGTGGACGGGAGAGTTGCCAGGGCCAGATGGCCCAGCAACCCATCAGTCATGGCCAGGTGCTCAGGTTTTATCTGAACATACCTGGAGGACCAAAGAAAGATGTTGAGCAGAGAATGAAAAGTCTGATAAAGTTAAAAAATATGCACTTTGGGAGGCCGAGGCGGGCAGATCATGAGGTCAGGAGTTCGAGACCAGCCTGGCCAACATAGTGAAACCCTGTCTCAACTAGAGATACAAAAAATTAGCTGGGCATGGTGGTGTGCGCCTGTAATCCCAGCTACTCAGGAGGCTGAGGCAGGAGAATCACTTGAACCCGGGAGGTGGAGGTTGCAGTGAGCCGAGACTGCACCACTGCACTCCAGCCTGGGTGACAGGGCAAGACTCTGTCTCAAAAAAAAAAAAAAAAAAGTTAAAAAATATATGTGGCCTCTGTCTGGAGCATAGATGAGGGGGAGCAAGTGGGAAGAGGGGAGACCAGCAGGAGACCGGGCTGTGCCTGGAGTGGGAGGGGCGGGCTGCTTGAGGACAAAATAAATGGCTTGGGGCAGGACCCTGCAGTTCCCTCGTGGAGAGGAGATACATTCTGAAAATGGCTGTAAATAACAATGCATCAGCAGACCTTTATTTCCTTATCTGTTCCATTAATTGAGGTGGCTCAGCTCACAGGTGCACACCAAACTTCACTTATTCATGGACACAAATCTCTGCCTTTGTATCATAAATCTTACATTTTAACAGAAGAGATAAAGACTCAGGAAATTTAAAAATGTGTATGTATTTGGAAAATCAGAAAGTTAATAATGCTATAGGAAAAAGAAAAAATACTAAGTAAAAAAGGACGATATCCCAAATAATTTTGCTTTTGTAATACTGACTAGATTATTCTTGGAAATTCATTTCAATAGTGTTCTCCTCAAATACACATTTCTAGAGAGGTGAGGCGACTCCTCCCTTGCTCCTGTCGCTGTAGATGGCTGGGGTAACTTATTTTCCTCAGTGAAGGGGTAGGTTCATGGGTTCCAGCCTTTCAGTAAGTTGCTGGGTGAAATTCAAGGACCAAGTGCGGTAATTCAGCAGAAAATGCCTGGCACAGCGGTCAGAGACAATGTGTCAGCAACACTTTCTCAACATGGGAGGCCCCTGTAGGCTCAGGACAGGGCAGGGACCTAGGGCCGGGTGAGGAGAGCGGCCCTCGTGAGGATGGGTACAGGCCAGTGCTGGGCAACACTGGGATTCAGAAGAGGAAACAGAGAATCCCCAGGGCCGGACCAGATGGTCCTCCCGAGAGCGAGAAGCAAGGGTCATCTCCCTTTCTTCTTTTATCCCTGCAGACATCCTCAGTGTGTGTTTGTCAAGCCGTTCTCTCTGACACATAAGGGCCAGGGTAGTTCATCTTAAGCCTCATTTCTCTACCGGAACTATTCCCCATTAAGCTTCTTCTGCCACCTCCCTCTGGTTCACTTCAAATTCATGGCAACATTAATGGTTTGGTTAACGTTAAAGTTTGGTTGGACTTTGCAGGGAGAGCCGTTTCCTAAGCTCTTTCCCTCCCATACCCCCCACCCTGCCAGACGAGCTCATTGCAATCTCCAGTGACTTTTGGACGGCAGCTGGACTCGATTTCCTCTGCCGTGTTTTCTCAGTACAATAGATAGACAGCAATGATTACATTATCATTAGTCATTATCTCGAAAGAAAATACTTGCATGTCAGAGGATATAATGTAAATTAACTAACAATAAAAGCCAGCTTGGCCTCAGTACAAACTCATTAGCATCAGGATTATGACTCACCGTAGCTCCAGACATCACTCTGGTGGGTATAGATTCTGTGTAAAATTGATTCCAATGCCATCCACTTGATAGGCACCTTGGGATGGTGAGAGATGAGGCAGTGAGACAACTATTAGTTTCCCTCTGTTGGAAAAAGTTAACTCACTCTGGACCTAATTACGAGTGACACACACAGACGAGCCAGATCACCCCAGGACCCGTCCCCCAGGCCCGGCGCCTCCTCCCGGCAACAGGGGATTTCAGTCTGACGGAGTTCAGGGCTGCTCTGGTAGGTTTCTGAGCACCCTCTGTGTCCCAGGCTGCTCTGGTGAGCTGGGAGCCCTGGTTGTGCCCAGTGGCCTCACTCATCCAGGTCTGCGTGTGTTTTCAGGGCCCAGCATCATGGGTTGGTGGCTGCTAGGAGCCAAGCAGGCCAGAGTGAAACCTCAGAGGGGCCTGGCTGTGGGAGGGCATTCGAGGGCCTGACAGGGGACGCGCACCCCTTAGTGCTGTGAGGGTCCCTAAGAGAAACCGAGCCAGTGAAGGGAGAGAAGGACTCCATTGCTGCCTGTCCCAGCCACGAGCCACAGACAGCCCTGGGAGCTCGGGTCCGCATGGGGCCTTTCCTGTTCCTTAGGTGTCCTTGACAGCAGTGGACCACCAAGGCAGCTGTGACCTTTCCCAATTGCGCTATTGAAGGGGACTTATATATCCTGCAGGGAGAGACTGAAACCTAACATTTGCTAATGATCACCTGGGGATAACATCCTCATTCACTGTCCCAGCAAGTACTGTTCCCAAAGCAGCTCTGGCTCACACTACCAGGAGACCCTGGCTGGACCCAGCTGCCAGCAGCAGCTGCTGCGAGCTCACCCAGAATGTCTGGAGAGCATCCTCCCCTGCATGTGTTAAACAATACAGCTAGTGGGAAGGCAGCCTGGTCCCTGGTGTCAGGAAAATGCTGGCTGACCTAAAGCCACCTCCTTACTTTGCCTCCTTCTGCATGGTATTCTTTCTCTTCCGCACCCAGCAGTTTGGCCAGCCCAAAATCTGTGATCTTGACATGCTGCGGTGTTTTCACCAGTACGTTCCTGGCTGCCAGGTCGCGGTGCACCAAGCGACGGTCCTCCAAGTAGTTCATGCCCTGAAACAGAGAAGACCCTGCTGTGAGGGACAGATCATCATGGGAAGAAGCTCTGCATCCGAATTCAGGGTCATGTTCATGCCAGGCTCTGAGCCTCTCCACGTCGAGGACTTATGGCTGGCGAACGTTAGTGACTACTGATCCAAAGAATGGAAAGGCGCATGAAAGAAGATGTAACCCGCTGCTGACCATTAACTTTTCTCCATCCAGTTCCTCAAGTTTTAAGTCCAGAGGTGCTCGTATATGAGGACAAAGAAGAGCAGGAGCTCTGCTGCCCAGTTGAGACCTGGGCTTGAACTTACTGGACTTGCCAGGCTGACCTTCCTGCATGTGGTTTATCTGCAAAGTGGGGGTGGGGGGTGGCGGGGACCATGCCCTCCTCACCAAGCTGGTGCAAAGGAATGTCGTTCAGGGTTTTTAAGCCACACTCTCATTGTGCTTTCTTGGACTCTCTGATATGGTTCACTGCCTATGAAGATTTTTGTCCTGTTTTACTTTTCACTGGTTTATTATTATTATTATTACTGAAACCACATGGATACTGAAAATGCTTTTAGAAGACACCACCCTCCCCACCTCCCTGGCTGCCTCCACAATCTCGCTGCAATTGAAATCTCTGCTCTGAGAGTAAGAAAGGAATAATATGTGAGAAGCAGCCAGCACAGCGCCCAACAGAGTGAATTCCTAGAAATGCTACCCTGACCCTGGCTGATCCTGACCCACGGCCTCTGGTGTCCTTGTCACATGCACCTTTCTCCCTGCTGGCTGCTGGGGTCACTGCTGACCCCTGCTCCTCCTTGCTTGACGGATGCCTACCTTGCTGAGCCCAACTGTCCCAGGCTTTGGCCTAAGAATGGCAGCCTGCATCTCTCTGCAAGGGCCAGGCTGGCAGGTGGGAGAGGCTGGGAGGGGTCAAGTTCTGCAGACTTCTTATTATTGTTTCTACCACACTCTCTTCTCTCTCCACCAAGAGGGTGGGCCACCTTTCTAGTTCCCTTTATGGCTGATGTTCATGTACTTTCTAGTACAGAGTGGGCACGACAGAAATGCTTGCTGCGGTGCAGCAAACAGAAACAAACAGGCATCTCTAGCCTGCTCCACTCTGCCGCTCCTGTATGGAGGGATCCCACTGTAGTGTGACTGCAGGGAAAAGCTGTAGATGTGGATGGATTCCCAAGTTTTCTGGCAAATTGTTTTTTTTTTGCATGAATATTATGTGAAAATGATTTGTTGAATTGGCATGTCAGAGCAAAATTAAAATTTTTTCTTTCTCAGGCAAAACCAGTCATCATAAGAACCTAGGGTCTCGCAAAGATGCTATGCAGAATTAGTCTTTGGGCGCCGTTTGTGAGGCCTTTAATGTTTTTCTCTTTTGGAAAAGAGACGCTTGCCTGACACCCACGTCTCATGACTACATGGACTGTCCCCTCACCCTGCACTGCCGAGAGCGCTCCTACGGGTTTCCGATGCTGCTGGACGTTAGTGCTTCCCTGCCTACTTAAGAGGAAATGAGCAGGTTCTTCTCTGGACAACACTTCCAGATTAGGAAGTATTATGTCAGGATGGTGGGTGGAAAGGGAGAGGAGAGGGGGGGCAGAAGCCGAGGAAGCGCTTCCCAAAAGAGGACTGGCCCAGACTCCCTGCTACTCTGGCAGCCTGGGTCTCCTTCAGAGGCAAGCTCCCTGCCCCCGCTGTCTGCCTCGTTTGACTCCTGCGATGCTGACTTGCTCTCTGCCTGGTACCCTGTCTCTTACAGAGCAAGGCCTCTGTTTATTAAATATCATGAACTCCTGCCCATTCGAAAGGGAGAGTTAGGCTCAGCCTCTTGCTGGTTCAACTGAGTGTCTACCTTCTTGGCTGTGTGAACTCCCAGGCTATCTCCTCTTCTCTCTTCTCTGTCCCTTGATTTCTCACCCTCACCCTTGCTTTCTCCTTTCTTTCTACCCTGTTCGTTCTTCACATTTGTACCTTTTGTTCGTTCTTCACATTTGTTGAAGGCGTCCTCTGTGGTAGCTGTTGAGCAGGAGTGGCACAGGCCTACAGTAAAGAGCCACACACAAGTCCCCATGCAGAGGACCAGGAACCTCTCCCTTTCTCCCTCTCTATTTAAAATGCGTGGTTTCTACATATTCATTAAGCCCACAAGGAGGCCCTCAGAGCACATTCCCAGCTTCGTTTCACCACCACTGCTAACTTTCATTCTGCCTCTTTAAATGCTTAGCGGAGATTTTGGTATACTGGGCACATTTTTAAAACGGCCTGTTGAAGAATGAACAACTGAATGAATGAATGATTGAATGACTGGTGATAGCAGCTGACAGTGCTGAGCACTGGCGATGTGCCAGCCCTTTCACACACGTCCGTGCAGACACCTTTTCTATCCCAGTCCCCACACGACCACCTCGTTAGATGACCTGGGGTCCAGAGACTGAAGCATGTGGCTGCACAGACCAAATACCCTGAGACCCCAAGACCACTACTGGGACCATGGCTTTAATTGCCCTGCTGGGAAATGCACCTGCTAAGCCAGAGGCTGCTTGGGGTTTTATATATATGCATATGTGTGTATATATATATATGTATATGTGTATATATATATACACACACACACACACACACATTATGTGTGAGAGCATGAGACAGCGTGAGCATGCACCTTGGTCCCGTGCCTCTGGGGAAGTCCGCGTCACTCTGTCAATCTAACAAATCCAGCTGACCTCTGGCCCAGCCCTTCCCCACTCCTCACACCAGGGCTTTAAAGGACCTGAGCCATTTCTACACAGTGTCTGTTTCCTCAGAACACCGGTCTTCACCAAAGGCGTGGGAAAGGGCAGAGAGCACAGGACATATTCTGGAATTCAGGTAATCAGTTGGAGGGTTTTAAGTCAGAGACAGCTTTGGGACAAGGAGAGAATCCCATGTGAACTTAGAGGAGACTTGACGCATGGGTCTCCGTCCCACTGCCGGCACATTTGAAAGGACAACTCTGTGCCTGGCGCAGTTATGCTTTAACTGGTCCCCAAAGATAAGAGCTGCGATACGGCCTGTGAGCTCCCAGGGTCCGAGCAGAGGTCGCAGGAAGAAATATCAACAAAGCCTCAGCGGGGCCTCTCAGGAAACTCAGTTCCTGCTTCTTCTCCGAGACCCTCACTTTAATTGAAATTAAAATATTTATTTTTGTTAATTACTACAGGAAAACTGGAATGAATTTTGAAATACAGCACTGAGGTTAAAAGGGGATTTGAAAAGCCAGCCTGGAACTTCCACTTACAAAAAAGAAGGCTCTGCTCCACATGGCTGTCGGGGCTTATTCTGGCAGGGTACCCCAGAGTGAGGGGCGGGGGCTGTGTTTGACCTTGAAGGGCTGGGTGTTCCCAGGGGCTGCCGCACCCCACGAGTCTTGGGAGGAGTTCAGAGTGAGAGGCGGGAACTGGATTGTTTGTGTTCTATTTTGTAAATCTCCTGTGGAAGAGCTCATGGAGCAGTGACTTAGGAAGGAAGTGGAGGAGGGGAGGACGAGAAGGCCGCGTGGTTCTGGTGGAGTGGAGGGCTTTCCTATCAACACTATTCTGTTGTTGCTGTTGTTCAGAAGTATTTATTTAAAGCAAGATCAGAAAGAGGCTTAAGGTTCATCATCTTCAAAATAACCCACCTCTACCAGAACCATGCTGAGACCAAGACCACCATCACCCTTCCCCTGGGGGCTGGGGCTCACCTCTCACCTCCACTTTGGGCTGGTCCTGAGGCAGGCAAGGCCAGACACTCTTGGCCACAGCTAGGGAGAAGGTGAGGGGCCCCGCAGGGCTTTCTCAGGCCTCATCTTCCAGGATCCCCCTGTACAAATGATGGTGTTCTCCCCTCAACCTTTTAGCCCTTGGGGTGCTGGTGGGGAGGGCAGCCCCACCCCAGAGACCCACCTGCAACTGGTAGAGGTAAGGGATGGGGTTCAGGGGGGCTCTGAAACTACGGATCTGATGAAGTTTTTAAGCAGAGTGGTCACCAGGAGAAGCCTCCGCTCCTGTCTCTGGACTCCAGATCTCAGAGCATCTGTGGCCTTGAGCTCCCTAAAAAATGGAAGAGTCTGTTCCTCAGGCCAGCTTGCCACCTTCCCAGGCAGGCATAGAGTAAGTGCTAGACCTCGGAAGAGGCAGGAAAGTGTCAGAATGTCCTATTCCTAGACAGAAGTGGTGCAGCACGGGCACCCTGCTGCTCAGGGAGGGAGGGCTGCTGGGACCCCTGTCCTGAGAGTCATGCTCTGAGCTGGGGCATCCATGCAGGCTGAGAGGCTGCACCATGGAACCAGGCCACCTGGATCAAATCCTGAGATCTTGGCAAGTGACGTAAACACCGCATGCCTTTGTTTCCCCATATGTAGAATGGATTAATCAGAGGGTGGAATGAGTTTATGTAGAGATAGCACCCATGGAGAGTCCCGGGTAGGTGCTCATGATTGTCACCATTTCCTCCAAATGCCAAATCTATTCTCTCTTCTCCATTCCTTTTGCAGCGACCTTGAATTTGGCCACCATCTTGCCTTTGTGATGAGGCTCCATGTGCTTGGCCCTGAGGGGTCCACCCCTCCTCCCCAGTGTCCCTTATCTGGTGGTTTCCTCCCTGTCCTCAGCATCTCCCAGTCAGAGTCACTTCCCCACCCTCAAGTGCCTTCACGCCCTGTCCGCAGCCAACTCTCACCCACAGAGGCCTCCTGGACAGGGAAAGGACCTGTCACGCTGTTTGGTCTGCAGGACTCACGGCTCTGGAGGGTGAGGGGCCATCTGGCTTGTTCACTGCTATCTTCCCAGAGCCAGGGGGCTTGGCTGACAGACCCATTCCATTCAAACTTGGAGCTCACCCTCCCTGTGCCTTGCATGGTGGCCTCACTATAGCTGCGCCTCCTGCTCTGACCTGCTTCCCTTCCTGCTCTGTATTTGTTGGCAAACTTGGGGAGATAAGAAATTTTGTCTTACTTCTATATGTATTTCATGTGATGCTTAACACTAGCAGGTAAATGCTTAAGAAATAACTAGTCAAAATGTCTAAAGATGATGAATGTGCTTCAACAGCACTGTGAGCTTTGTCTTTTTAGTGATATACTAAAGTGATCATTAGGTTAAGTTTAGCTGCGACCCTTTGTGGAATACGCAAGAACAAATAAAAAAAATAACTCACATAACTGAAATCTCTGGTCCTTGGACCTAGGAATCCACAAAGCTGTGTGATGTGAACGTGCTGGGTAAGTCATCCTCTCTGGCCCAGTGCAGACGGGATCAGGAGGTGCAGGGCTGAGTCACCACCCTGGGGCCACAGTTAGTCAGCAGGGGTAGGCTCTGCCGAGTCCTCATCTGAGGATGGGAAAGCCATGAGGGGAGGGAGCAAACCTGGATGACGAAGGCCGGAGCCCTCTGGGACCTGCCTTGCAGTTGCATTGGAAGCAATGTAGAGCAAGCCAGGGTCTCTTCTCCATGACAGCCTATCTCCACCAACACACTGTGGCCCTTCCTCAGTGCTCCACCCAGTGTCACTTTCACTCTCTCACAGTCCTGCTTGTGTGCTATGACACGCACACAGCACGATCTGTCAGCGTGGTTTTCGTGACCTGGCACCTAGGAATAGGCCTGAGTGGCCTGGAATGTGCTGGCACCACCAGCTTGGAGTCTCCTTCCCTGTCTCCCGGTGTGGACGGGATAGCCCGGCCCACTCAGCTCATCTTCCTCTCCCTCCCATTAGCAGCTCACAGGCACTGGGGCTTCTTGTCAGTAGCAGAGCCGTGAAAGCACCTAGGGCTTTTTAAAATGGACTTGGACCAAATTAAGTAGCCCACGTACTTGTAAAAAGGAGCCTTTGACGTTTTCTTTGATGTTCATCTGCATTAAATTTTACCTCATAGATGGAACTAAGTGTAGTTTGGTGCTTATACAGTTGTGGTCAGAGAGTGCCATGTGTAAGCCAGTTTCATTCTGAGAACCCTGCCCCACCGCTACCGTGCGTTGTTCACCAGGCCTGGCCTCAGGACTGTAAACTGATATTGTTTGCTGTACTACAGAACCACATCAGTGTCTGCCTGAACACTCAATTCTGTGAGACTGTAATCTGCATTAGGTGATGAGAAAGCTCTGTTGTCCAAATAGTTTGGAAGAATGTGAGATGAGTTGCAGTCTGAATGGCAGGACTCTGCAGTCCTGGGCATGGGAGGCTCCACGGGGAGAGGGTGGCACAGGAGCAGGGCTTTCCAAACGGCACGGATGACGGGATCTTTGGATGACTGTGCCGTGTGATTTATTCTGGGATTTACTAGCTGGCTTGTAAATCCCAGGAAGAGTAGACAGGCTTTCTTAAGTCTAACTTAATCCCAGTGCATGAAAGCCACTGTGAGCTCCTGTGTGGGGAATTTAGGAGGCACCTGCTCTTTCTGGCTAGTAAGCAAGTGGTGTCTCCGCAAGCTCCTGAGATGGTTTTGCATATGGAGAACAAAATCCATTTTCCTTGTAGATGGCAAGGGATGTCTCTCTCATGGTCTACTGGTCTCATATGGATTCCTCCCAAGACACCTCTGTTTTTTTTCCTTTTTCCTTTTGTCTAGTTGATATAATTTTATGTAATCTCTTTGGCAGTTTAGTCAGGACAATGAAACTTGCATAACAGTGGCCAGCTCTCCCATCAACATTTAGAAGAAAACTTACCTAGATAGTTTGTGCCTTTGTGAGTCAACACAGGACATTTATAAGCCAATAAATCCCATTTTGAGGATGCCAGGAGTTTAGTTTCTGGTCAGCCACTAAGTGTTTCTGGGTAGTTTTACTTCAAACGTTTAAAAAGAAAATTTTTTAATACTCAGATACATTGTAAGTAACCCAAGAGCAAATTTCTATTGTCACAATTTGGGGAATCACTGTTTTCATTTCCCTCCAGGGACAGCTGTTCCATCATTGCAACTATTCAAATACAGAGGAATGAGGTTTCTCTTGTGAACTAAAAAGCAAATCTAACAGAGACAAAGCGTTAACTGCCCGTAATGTAAAAGGACTTCAAATCAAAATAAAGCTAATCAAAGTACAACAAACACAAGAATGGCTTTAAATAACAGATTGAAATTGTAGGTAATATTATGCAGAAAACTGTCATGGAAAACTTTCAGGCCCTGGAAACTTAAACTCAGGCTTTCAGTAACTTCTGCTTAAATGGGACACGCACTAAGTTTATTCTCTGTAATGGACACTATTATATTCGTTTGTAGAAGGCTAATTTTTGGGGTCAAATAAACCTCCACTTATCTAGGTCAGGCCAACTGGAATGTGAGCATGAGAAGGAGCGCTGGAGAGCAGGTCATGAGCAGCAGAGATCAGGAACAATGGCGGGCATGTGATGGTCATGCTGCGCCAGGGAATGAGGGTTGGCACAGATGTAGATTAGGAAGATGTTTCTGGGTATATTTTAGTGGCTGCTCCAACCTAGGTCAGCCAAAGGGGATCAAAGGAGGAAAAGAACACTCAGTGGGGATCAGCCATGTGCTGGGCCTGTGGTGGGCGATGCGAAGGGGCTCACTGCCCTCCCTACCTCCCAGAAAGACAAGGGGCAGAACACACTCCACAGTCGGGAGACGAGGCGCAGACAGGCCAGCAACGTGCCCCCGTTCACACGGCGAATGCGCCAGAATCCAGATCTGAATCCACAGTCCACTGGAGTCCTGAGCTCATCCTATATTGAGCGAAACCTGCCAAGACTACGTGCCCCTTAAGGAAAACGGTCACATACACATTTCACACGGATGGCCCGACCACCTCTCCACCATGTAAGGAGTCACCTTTGTGGAGCTGGGGGTTACTGGGAGATGATTAAGAACAGCTGTGGACTGTTGGCCCCCTCTGATGAACGGAGGAAGGGCAGCTCCCACATGCAGGGCCGGGTTTGGGGAATAGCCAGGGCTCACCTCCCGGTTGGGACAGGTAGGCACAAACTCAAGTAAGCCATAAACCAACCAGATATTCTGGGGCAATATGTGCTAAGAAGAAACTAAAACCAGGTGATAGAGACTGCCTGGGCAAGGAGGGCAGTGCTCTCCATTCCCTGCTTCAGATAACCAGGAGGAGAGCTGGGGAAGCAGGTCTGGGTTCCAGGTCAGGGCATGAGTGGATGTAGCTCCACACCCAGCAACATCTGCCCCAGGCTGACCACCCCCTCCCCAAGACAGTGGGTTGCACAGTGTCTCCACATTTCACGTCTACCCAAAACTGCAGAATGTGACCTTATTTGGAAATGGGGTTTTGCAAATCTAGTTAAAAGTCTTGAAATGAAATCATCCTGGATTTAGGGTGGGTCCTAAATGCAATGACTGGGATCTTTTTTAATATATATATTTATGGAGTGCAATGTTTGTTTTGACATTTATACACATAGCGGAGTGATCAAATCAAACTAATTAATATATCTACCACTTCACATATCTGTCATTTTTTTTTGTGCTAAGAAGATTTACAACAGACTCTCTTAGCAATTTTCAAACTCAATGACTGGTATCTTTATTAAGAGAAAGGAGAGGGGCCTGTGGTTGCAGAGACACAGGAAAAGGCCTTGTGAAGACGGAGGTTGACATGGGGAGGTGCAGCCACAGCCCAGGGATGCTGGAGCCACCAGAAGCCAGAGAGGCAGGAAGGATCCTCCTCAGAACCATTGTGGGAGCATGGCCTTTTAGACACCTGGCCTCCAGAGCCAGGAGGGAATAAAGCTGTGCTATGTTGAGCTACCAAGTTGGTGATGATTTGTTGTGGCAGTCTTGGGAAACAAATGCAGCCACACACAGAAATAACAAGCACCTCCCAATAAAAAGAGGCCCTGGCATCCGAGGCACACAAGACCCTCTCCCAGGACCACTGTCTAACAACAGTGATAGGAGTGTTCTACTCTGTGGCCCGGGTTATGACCATGAGAATGGCAAAAATATTCAGTGATTTTTGTGCTCAGAGAAGCATGAGCGCTCCCCACTTCCTGGGGTGCTGGGGGCCGCCTGTGGCTGCAGCTGAGATATCAATGCCCGATGATGCTGGAGTAAAAGGGGCTGTGCAGGGTGTGCTGCTATCTGGTTATCCTGGGAGGTGGTCCCTGCTTCTACAATGCGTCCCAGGAGCTCTGCCATGGGAAGGAGCTTACCCAAGCACCACGGCTCCCAGCAACAGCCTGCCTGGTGGTGTCAAGGGCAGATGCTGGCATAAGAGCGCTCCAGATGTTTTTGTTTGTCTTCTTGTAGGTCACCTTTTACATCTGCCTGGAGTTGGGTGAGCGCCTCACGAATGACTCGGCAGGACTGACTGCCACTGCTAACCAGGCGGATGCAAGCAATGAGGAGGACCTGCCCAGGCCGGGTGGGTGTCTGCTCCCTCCCTCTGGTCCCTGGCACATCTCTGGACCCCCTGCCCTGCTGTCGGAGAGAGATGACGGGCAACGGCGTATTCTCAGAGACAGGGCCTGCCTGCAAATCCTTTAAAGTCAATGGGATGAAATGTATACCCATTGTTAGAAAAAAATAGGACTTAGCAAGTTGAGTGCAAATAACTGATGCAAGACTGGGATGGAGATGGGAGGGGTTTGGGGCAAAAGCAGAAGTCTTTCTGGGTCCGCACCAGCTGTGAAATACCTGGCTTGTTGTTCTGTGCCTGTCTCCAGCACCCAGGCAGGGCTACCTGACCACTCTGCTCTCTCAGCCCCGCCCTGGCTCTGGAGCGAGCCTGTGGAAAGGGGGACACTTAGCCAAGGCCCCAGCCACATAGCAGCAGCAGCTGCGCCCTCTGTCAGCTCCTTGCACCTCCTCACTGGGCCTCCTGCAAGGCACCTGCTCCACTCCACCACTATCACCTGGGTCCTCCTGGCCTTGGCCTGGCTTGCTTACCTTGTTATCAAGTCCTGAATGGGGGAAGCAATATTCCTTCTCCACTACAAATCACCACAGTATTCACAAAGAATTCCAGAGAAATAAGAACAGAGACATCAGACCACACTGAGCACTCAATAAAGAGAAAATTCTTCAAAGGTAGCTGATTGATGAGAGTTTCCACATGCAGATGGGACAGGCACTGATTTGTGCACAAGAAGATCAACTTGATTGAATCCAAAATAAAGGAATGTGTGTGTGCTGCATGCACGCACACACATATCCCCATGGCAAACTCTTGCTATCCCAGGAGCGCAGACCGCATGTGAGGATCCTGGCTCCTTATCTCCCCTCCCCGTATCTCCCTTCCCTGATTACCTTTGCGATCTGCACACACCAGTTGAGCAGGTACTGGGAGCCAATATTGTCTTTGTGTTCCCGGACATAGTCCAGGAGGCAGCCGAAGGGCATGAGCTGCGTGATGAGCTGCACGGTGGAGGTGAGGCAGATGCCCAGCAGGCGGCACACGTGGGGGTTGTCCACGCTGGCCATCACGTAGGCTTCCTGGAGGGAGGGAGAGGCACGTCAGTGTGGCTTCGCATGGTGGCCAGAAGGAGGGGCACATGGACCCCTTCCAGGTGAAGACGCATGAATGCGATCTTGAGTTTCAAAATACGTACTCATGGAGGAAAAGCTGTGCCTGCAAAAGACCTAGCACAGGGACGTTTACGCAGGGCTGTGAAGTGACAGATGCAGTGGGAGAGGGCCCCTCCTGGGTGCATCTGGGGATTCCCCATGACAGAGAGGCCCAGGCAACAGTGGCCATGAGGAGCACATTGGATAAAGGAGGAGTCGGAGTCACCTGATCTCTGAGTTTGGGAACTGATAGTATCTTTGTTATGAAGACCTCCGCCTCAAGGTTGAGGATGCTGTGTTTTAAAATATCATGAGGGCCTGTAGGAATCTGTGTGGGGTCCGGAACACCCTGGGTAATGACTGACCCTGCACATCAGGAACGCTGGCTGTGGGTGCTGCAGAGGACAAGCGATGGAGAAGGCATCCGGGGAGCACCGAGCCAGCAGGGAGAAAGGCCTCCCTTCCCCACAGGCCAGGCTTGGCCCTGACTGTGCTCTGGGAAATGGGTGGGCATTTGGGCTGGGGACCCTGCCCACAGCACCTCTGCAAAGAGTAGCTGGATAAGCTCTTTCAATAGACCAGTCCCAGGTTTTGAAATGGACAGAGCATTCAATCTACAGTGACTAAAGGCTGCCTGGCTGCCCGGGACCCATTTCTAAAGAGAAGTGGTCTCTCTGTGCTGTGCCCCCAGGCTCCCTATGGGAAATCCATGCTGCACTGAGTCAGGCATCTGCTGCCCTGCTAATTCCGGCTGGCTGCCAAGGCAGGGGCCTTCCTTTGACAGAGCCATAAATACAGACTTTATTTTAACCCTTCTGCTATTCTTGGGCTGAGGAAGCTAAATTTATTTGCAATCAGGCACACAATGGGGCCCTCTTTTCTGTCTGACTGAGAATGAGGGAATCCCCAATTTCCACCCATAAATTCTCTTTCTCTTTAAAATACAAATGGTGGTGACCTTTTATTCAGATATGGAAAAGAACACACAGACTGTAGCAGAAAGCATCCACAGCTGCTTTTCACATCTCAGCAATGCCTATGTTTTGAGTGTGGACTTGGGCAAGTTAGTTTCTCTGCAGAAGTGAACACACTGAGCCAGGCTCTGAGATAGGGTGCTGCTCCAGGGTGCCCGGGCAGGTCAGGAGCAACAGGCTGGCGGGAGGCAGGGTGGAGATAGGAGACAGGAGACAAAGGCAAGGTGGGGCGAGGGGACACAGACAGTGGACCCTCAGTATCTGGGGAATTGGTTCCAGGACCTCCCTTAAATATCAAAATGTGAGGATGCTCAAGCCCCTGATATAAAGTGGCACAGCATTTGTGTGTAACCTACAGACATCCTCCCATCTACAGCATCTCCTGATTACCTATAGTACCTAATACAGTGCAAATGCTATGTGAATAATTGTTATGCTGTATTGTTTAGGGAATAATGACAAGAAAAAAAGTCCGTATATGTTCAGTACCGATGCAATTTTTTTCCCCAACGTTTTTCATTGTGGTTGATTGAATCCATGGATATGAAACTGCAGACATGGAGGGCAAACTGTAAATATTTACTAAAATACAAATATGCTCACACGCTTTCCTTGCCCTAAACCCTGCCCTGGCCGTCCCTGTTCCTGGGAAGCCCCGAGGCTGACTGCCCTCCTCCCTCCAGCCTCTGGTCCTCCTGCCCACCTTCTCCCCAGGAGAGCTTCCCTCCACCCTTACCCACGGGAGAACCTCTGTCCCCAGAACCCACCTCCTCCTTCCTTAGCAGACTCTTTCTCAGAGGAGCCTTCCTCGACTCTTCAATCTAAATGAAACTCTCCTGGTATCTTGCAGTTTTTCCTTCAGAAAGCAGCCTCAGCATTGCCTGGGAACCTTTTAGAGCCACACATTCTTGGGTCCCGCCCCCAGGCCAAGAGGGTGAAATGCAGGAGACAGGCCTAGCCTTCCATATGAACAAACCCTCTGGACTCTGAAGCTTGATGAAGCTGAAGAGCCACTGCTTTGAGGCAGTCATCATAATCTGTACTTAAATATTTGTGTGATTTTAAAAATACCCTCCCCACCAAGTTTTTGAGGAAAGAACGGCTTGGTCAGCCCCTAGCACACGCTTAGGGTCTAGCTGGCGCTCTGCAGTGTCGGATCACCCGGCACACACTTGCTCTTACGTTGACTCAAGTCTCCGCCCCGTATCTGTTGGCAAGTACGTGGCAAGTGCTCTGAGGGCCTGGACCTTTGCTTCTTCAACATTCCAGCAGGGACTAGGGCAGATCTAGGCACATACCTACTTCAAAACTGTCAGGGTTGAACTGTACTGAAGTCATGAAGGTCAAAGACTCAAAGCAAGTCAAAGTCCAGGCCACTTGCATTCAAGACAAACAAACAAAAACTATAGCTTTAAATATTTCCTGCAGAGTGTTTAGGCTCTCTATTTTCAAGGAGAGTGTGTGTTATTTTCCTTTTATATTCTAAAGATAATGCCACAATTTTAAAGAAGAGAGGAGATATTTAATATCTGTGGACTCAGTAGATATTGAAAATATCCCTTTAACTTGGATAAGTGCTTGTTTATAAAAAGTCAGAACTGGACAGGGCCAGGAAGCGTATTTTGTCTGAGGTCACTGTAGTCAGAGGGTAAGCTGAGGCTGACGAGGTGAACGGCCCACCTGAGGCCACCCTGAGCAGGGTCAGGTCAGGCCCACAACCAGGTCTCCTGACCCTGGCTCCCTCCATGGCCCACTGCTCACCCCAATGGGTCGGAGGCGCCCCAGGTCCTCTGTGTGAAGGCAGCCTGTGGGGCCTGTTGGGTGCTCCAGTTAACAGACTTTAGACGTGGGAGACACACACACAGTACACCTAGAAATCTGTTTTGCGTTCCCTTCCATTGCCTACCCTAAATTTAAACTGGAAAGCCTATGAAAATTTAATACGCCATGGGATTGCCAGAAAGCACAAATCACATCTCTCCCCCGGAGTCTGGGAAGCTGTACAACCATAACACCAAAGAAACCCTCTGGCTCTTCCTATTTTCTCAAGATCTGGTTGAGACTTGAAAACATATTGTATTCATTTGAGAGGGAAGAAAAATCTGCAAACCAGAGCAGTTTGAGCAGCCCATCTGCTGCAGGGCCTCGCAGGGCTGACCTGGGGCTGGGAATGGGGAGCAGAGCGGGGGGCGTGGGTGTCGGCCACACAGAGCCTGGAGCCCCGCCAGGCCCCATCCTACTAACATCTGATAGACCCACTGGGCCATCACTTCCTCCCCACCCAGCAGGCACAATGGGAACGCTGTTCAGTCGTGTGTCCCGTTCGGTGTACGCAGAAGCTAAAGCGAGCTTTGTTCTCGGCTGTTTGTCTTGGAAGTAGTAAACGTGCACCGTGACCTACAGCAAGCATGCTTGGTATTCCACAACAATCTTCGTGGAGCCCCAGCACCCACAGGCTGGCAGGCAGAGCGCACAGTTGGAGCCCCCATGGCTCCTAGCCCAGTCCCACCGCAGGAGTGTCCCTGAGGCTTTGTGACCTTGAAAGCCTGTTATTTTGTCCTAACTGCTGACATGACTTTTGGTTCCTTCCTTCTGGCTTGTCTCTCTCATCTGTGAATGGCTCTACCGTATGAATTGGGATTCCACTAGCTCTTGAACTCCTTAAGGAGAGGTGTACGTCCAGCCTTATGAATGAAGGGCAGGTGTCCCCTGCATTTTAAGAACTTTACTCATTCACTAAGCCACTGCTAGCAACATGGAACTGGGGCTGCAGTGTGTGTGCCGGCTGTGGGGGCCTGGTGTCTGCAGGGGAACGTGAGTATGGAGTCATTGCTGCCGTGCATGCGTGCATGTGAGTCTTTCTAAGAGCACACATGGCCCCATGAGCTGTCCTGCCACAGGATTAAGGTGCTATTTAACTCCCTGTTGAAATTGGCCTGGGCACTGCTGGCTTTTGCTTTCTTTACCAGAAAGTGCCTCCTCCAGCTTCCCCCTCTCCATCCCAGTGTGGTGCCCTGCCCGCCAGGATTGCTGGTGAGGCCTGGGCAGCCTGAGCTGCAGGACAAACCACAAACCACAGGCTTCAGGGAACACTCCAGGCTTGTCGCCCTCTGACTGCAGCAGACATGACATCCATCATTGGAGAGGAGGGGGGACATGGCCGCAGTGAAGAAACATGGGGCAAGGAAATAAAATGATGGAGGGGGAAGAGGGGATGAGGAGACAGGACAAGCAGGAGGCCAAACTGAGCTTTCTTTTATTTCTTTTATTTATTTAATATATTTAGGGATATATATATATTTAGAGAGAGATATATATATATTTAGAGAGAGATATATATTTAGAGATATATATCTCTAAATATATATAAAATATATATAAATCTCTAAATATATATCTCTCTAAATATATATCTCTCTAAATATATATCATATATATTTATATATCTAAATAACTATATACAGAGTATATATAGATATCTATATTCAGATATATATAGGTATCTATATTAATATTTATATCTAACTATTTTTTTGAGCAGGGTCTTGCTTTGTCACCCAGGCTGGAGTGCAGTGGTGAGATTTTAGCTCACTGCAGCCTAGATCTCCTGGACTCAAGCCATCTTCCCATCTCCTGAGTGGCTGGGACTACAGGCATGAGACACCACACCCAGCTAATTTTTTATTTTTTGTAGAGACTGGGTCTCAGTATGTTGCCCAGGCTGGTCTCAAACTCCTAAGCTCAAGGGATCCTCCTGCCTCAGCCTCCCAAAGTGCTGGGATTACAGGCGAAAGCCACCATGCCAGGCCCATGGACGCTTCAGATGTTGGGTGCACTTAACTTTTAAGCCTTGACCTTATCTATCTTCTACCCCATTTCCAACTCCACAGAAGCATATTTCCTCCAATTAAAAGGTCCTGGGGGCACTTTTCAGTGAACACTGCTTCCTTCCCAAAGCACAACTATTGTCTTAGAATACATCCAAACCCTCCTCACACTGCATTTATAAATACCACTGAAATTCACATTTCAACATGATTTTGTATAATTTATTAGAATGTGTTGAATGAATAAAAAATGAATTAAGGAAGCAAATTGTGCACAAAGATTTTCCTACACAGCACAGGTGAGGGGCCAGAGATTGTAAGTGAAAGGCTTCACAGATTGCCCGTCTTCCTGTATTTCTTGTGGTTATGTTAATAGACTTAACATTTTGTTACTAGGACTTGACTCAATTTGTAAACCGTTAAAATGAAAGCTAATTTTTCTTGATAAGTATATCATCAATTTTACAGATTTTTTATTGTATTATATCAATTCATCATCTTTCATTTAGAAGTATATCAACATGGGATTTCCCCTACTATAATAAAAGGAAGAAAAGCTGCCCAGAGAAAATTAAACTGTAGATTTCCTCCAATTAAAAAATTGTATCTTAAGACATTTTTATAAAGGCCCATGTTCTCTTTACTTGCTATGTATTCTGTGGGTTAGACATGAGGCGGAGGATATTACTCTCTGGCTTTTGTCCTTCTTGGCTGTAAGATCAACTAAATTCTCTAGAGTTTTGAGGTAATAAGTCAGCCATTTTTCCTTTTCCTCGATTCTGCTTCCCTAGTCCGCTGCCTGAGCCCCTTGACCTCCTCTTTCACTTGCTCTGTGTTGGGACAAGAGCAAAGGTTTCCACCAACTCACAGCAAGCCCAGGCCAGTGTAGAAGAGGCTCTGTCAGACTCCAGCCAGCATCTTCCCACCACTGGCTGGGGAAGGCCCAGAGAAGGTGGAGAAAGTTCAATAGAATTGGTAGTAAGAAGATAACAATAATCTTGTGGAATTTTCCAAGAACTTATTCCACAAAGTAACAATCAACAGACACTGGAGAAGAATGTGAATTATTCTGAGAGAAAGTACAGAAGGTGGGCAACAGTTTATAGACTGCACGCCATCATATTCTAGGCACCTTTAAAAAAAGCCATTTCAAAGATGAGATAACTTGGTGGAGTGAATTGAATGCAAGTTTCAGAGTCAGAAATAACAAGGGGCTTAAACCCTATCCCAGCCATATAAGGGTCAGCCAATTTCTTTATGCCTCCATTTCTTCATCCAAAAAATACCAAAAACAATACCCATGCTCCAGGCTCACCAAGAGCACTCACTCATCATGCGTGTCAAGAAACTAGTGCTGGGTAGATGCCAGTAATTGCCTGTTTCCAGCCTTTTGGGGTGGATACCAGCATGGGAGAGGCCAGTGCTGTCTCTAAGGGGAGGGAGTTATACCCACTAGAGCTAGAAAGGGAAAGACATAGAAAGTGAACATTTAGGATGTGGAGATGAGCAGGGTCTAGAGCAGAGCAGCTGCCAGACATGAGAAAAGGTGGGCCTGAGGTTCAGAGCCATGGACCCCCACACAGCAAAGCAGAAACTCACATCGAGGATTTCCTTGTTGGCTTTCGGAGATGTTGCTTCTCTTAATTCCTTGATAGCGACGGGAATTTTAACTTTCTCACCTTCTGGGATCCAGAGTCCCTATGACAGAGAGAGAAGGAAGACGTTAACTGGCAATTGTGAGATGGTGCCACATGCTGCCCAGTGATCTGGGTGGATGTTACCAGCGATGCACCCCGAAGGTGAGGGACACTGGGGCTGTGGAGCCGCACCTAAGGCTGATATTGCTGGGGGCTGTGACGCCCCCGCAGCCCTGCAGCTGTTGGGCTCCACGAATCACACTGATTATTTAGATAAAAGAATCTCAAGCTTGTAAAGCCTGTTATAAAGTCCGTGTGGATCATTTCATCCAGAATTTAATGATGCTGCGTCTAGGCCTAACTGAAATCAGATTTCATGCAAAGAGGATCTAGAAGAAGCAAACGAAGATGAGCCCATTTCAGCTGGGCTGCATTCTGATGCCGTGCGGTGAGAGGCGGCCCTCCTCCCGCCCTGTGCTGCACCCCATGGCAAGGTCAATGGCCCCTTTCATAAAAATGCCTTTGGTCTGTGAATTGGTCTCACAGGACCACTGATTACTGTGGTTATAAAAGATTTCCTCTCAATAACTTGGGAAAAACACTGGAGTTTCCCAAACACTCAGTGAAACAAAGAGTAAAGTAGATGATGGAAATATACAGCTTGCAAGGACTCTGGGCTCCCCACCAGACCATGAGAGGCCCTGCGGCCCAGCCCAGAGGCCTGTGCCAGGGACCTTACCTTATACACCGTGCCGAACGCACCGGAGCCCAGCACTTTGATCTTTTTGAATTCAGTTTCCTTCAAGATCCTCAAGAGAGCTTGGTTGGGAGCTTCTCCACTGGGTGTAAGAGGCTCCACAAGCTGGGGGGGACAAGAACACAGAGACAAGGGTCACCTCAGCCCTCACCATGCTGGAAAGCAGTGCCAGACATGGCCCAGCAGGGGGACCAGCAGCCACGGCATGGGCTTGGGTGCCAGGACACGGCACTTGCCAGCTCATTTGGAAGGACAAATGTACGCCTTCTCTACAGAGCTTGACAGAAGTTGGTAGAAACACAGGCTCTGATACAGGTGTTCTTTAACTGAACAGCTACCTTTCAACAAACACAATTTCTATGTCTGTTTCCACGCCTATTAACTGGATTGAAAACTCCGGTAGGGAAGTTGTGCATGGCGGTCGTTTGGTTGGGGCACATCACACGCGCTTATGCTTATGAGCCGCTGGGTTGCTCTTTCCAGAGAACATGGCTTCCAGCACAGGACTGGGCTGTGGCGAAGTCCATCATGGACAAAGCCACTGTGTGGACAATGGTGTTTTCCAAAGCAGGAATCTCTCGCCTTCGCCACAGTGCCAGCATGGGATCAACAGCCAGGCTTCCTGGCCTCCCTCCTATGCACACACAGGCACCGGGTCCTAAGCAGATGCCACACAGCTTTGTGGACATTGAAGGGTGCAGCCTAGAAACATTGCCATTTCCTCGGATGGATGTACCAACATGTCACCAACTGGGTATAACTGCACATTCAGAGATTCTTTCTGCATCATAATACAATTATGTATCTAACATACACAACTGCTAATGGCCCGTTCTCGGGGCTGGCCCTTGTTCCTGTCGGGGTGCGAGGGCTCCTGAGCCCACCCAGGACTGGCACTCACCTCCCTCTCCTGCAGCAGCCTCCGCAGCGTGCGCTTCCGAACGATGTGGCGCCTTCGCATGAAGAGGCCGATCCCCAGGGCCACCACCAGCAGCAAGAGGAGGGCCCCCACCATCCCAGTGGCGATGGACGGGATCTTAGGCCTGGAATGAGGTGGAGGAACAAGGAAGGGTGAGGTTGCTGACAGATTCCATGGCCTTGGCACTCAACACGCCCCTGCATGTTTCAGTGCACTGACATCTTGTAGAATGATCTTGGAAAGTGAGACACTATGTAGCTTCTAAAAGGAGAAAAAACAGGCTTCTAAGGCAACGTTTCCAACTTTCTCAAGCTCTCCCCAGTCCCCTACCAGGCACACTTTTCCTCATTTTTTAAAATTGAGGCTTTATCTGGACCTCTCCATATAATGAGTATTTTTCAATTTGTTGATTAACAAAATATGATTCAAAAAATAACTTAGACTTCAATAATGCTTTTTCATGGATTGGTATTTTGTTCATTCCAAGAGTATTTCCATGCAATTGAAGTGCCATAGTCCATACACATGGACCAGGCACTGCCTCTGGCCAGGCTGGGTGAAGGGACTTTTTGGCAATGCTGAGACTCCTCTGGGTCCTTGGCTTTTAAGATGAGCACATGGATTGTGTGAAATACTCTCTGAACGAGCTTGAAAGGGGTTATAAAGGAATAGGATTCAGACATAGAAAGCATCATTGTGATGAGTGATGTCATCATGCAGCCTCAGACTGTAGGGTGCATTTAATCCTCCCTCCCACAGAGGTCATGTCTAGTTCCAGAGAGAGGAAACCAGAAGCCACATGTGCCAGCTCACTAGAATACCGTAAGATATAAAGAATCATTTGCTATGGAGCGCATATCCATAGGGCGCCACAAGAGTAAGGGCGGGTGAACAGGAGGAGAAGAAAAAGATGGAAAAGAGCAGATGTAAGAAGGAATGGCCATGACTGGTTTCCAGGTGGAGACATGGTGGAAAGCCCCGTGACTAAGATCCCTGAGATTGCAGTGTGGAGTGGGGAAGTTCTGCTGGGTGTCCTAGCAGCTCACTGAAGAGATGGGAGTGGAAGGGGACCCAGTCTTTTTGAAGTTGCCTTCTTCCTCGATCATGTGACACTGGTGGCAGGAGAGAGAGCTATGGCTGTCAACTCGGGGGCGGAGGAGCATGCCAAAATGAAGGAAGGGCAGTGGTGAGGAAGGGACTTTGTAAATGTTACCAGAGATGGCAGAGGGGCCTGGAAGTTTGGTTCATGTTTGGAAACATCCAAAATGGCAAACAGGTGCTCGGTGTATAATTCCATGATTCCTGGCTAGACGCCATCGAGAGTAACACCACTCTTTCCTGGTGAGTTTGAATAAGACTTTTCAACCTTGCTTTTCTCAGGGCTTTGCTCTGGCAAACTGGCCAGAGCTGATGTTGAAGGAAGCCCTTTTGCCTTTGCTGGGCAGTGTGTCTGGGAAAGAAAGCAAGGAGAAACACTCCCCTATGCTGGAGGTTGTCATCGAACAGAAAGGCCACTCACACACAGGCTTGTGATGGGACCAATGGGGTAAGTGGACAGAAAAAAAGAGGAGCTAGAGGCACAGAAGGACCCAGCAAAACCAGTGGAACCAAGGAATTCAGAGGCAGGCCATGCATCGAGCAACGGCGGAGCAGGGAGCAGCCCCAGCACTGTGTGTCCAACTTTCCCTCCACTGAGGACAAAGTTGGCACGTGGAGCCACGTGGAACCAGCTGGGCAGTCTCTGCAGAAACCCTGGCTGAGGGTAGGCTGGCCCAGAGCCATAGAAACTTGATCAGGACAGAGGACAGTCAGAAATGCAGGAAAGCATCTTCACCCACAGCAGTGTGGTCATTCTTGACGAGGTCCATGTGACACAGAGCTGTGAACACTTACCCATTCGTTGGACAGCCTTCAAGACCTGGCCCAGTGCATCTGTAGGAAGTGAAAGAGAAATATACATTTTTCTCATTCTACTTCTTTGGCATATATTTTGGAGATTTTTAATTAAATCATAAAGCAATATATGCTAAACTACTCTTAAATAATTAAAATCACTATGTGTCTGGATGTTGGATTGGTGGTTAATTATTTATTATGCATTTATTCATTTGTTCATTCACTCAGCAAATATTTTTGAGTTTCTACTCTGTGACAGGCGTTGTTCTAGCATTGAACAAAGCAGCCAGTTTGTTATTGAGATGTTTTCACATCTGGCTTTTGACACAGATAATTGTCCCACAGCTGGCTCTAGAATTTCAAACAGAGGGGCAGAAGGAACCAAGGCTAGAAGCATGGACTGGGGCCATGCTAATTACGGAGAAGGCTGGCAGCATGGAGTCCCTGCAGGTTTCTGACAAATTCTGTGCTTTGAACAATCATCTGGCAGCGAGGAGGAAGAGGTCAGTCCTGGGGGTGATGGTTAGCTACTAGTTGGGGTGAGAGGCACTGGCAAAGGGAGTGGAAGGAAGGAAATGGGTAGGATACTCTTGGGAACCTGGCGGCCCACGTGCAGGGGTGGCAGAAAGGAAAAGCGGGGGGAACAGACACGTGAAGGCATGAGGCTCAGTGGCAGGAGGAGGCCGTGATGATCACAGATGCAGAAGGCCAGGCATGGAGGTGGCTGCATCCACCCCAACCCAGCTGAAACTCTGACGGCAGAAGAGAAGGGATCCATCCTAAGCATGACTCCTGAGCAGCTGGGCTCCCGCTCTGGTGGGACACGCTGCCATCATTACTTTGATTACAGGATGATAGTTTAAAAAGGCAGAATAACATGGCTTTGAGACTCTCATTTCCTGGCCTGGAGAAAGATGGACAAGTACATTTCAATATGTGAGAGGCCTGGGGAGCCCTGGTGTAACACTATAATCTGATCCTAACAGTTTCTATCTCTGCTCTCCAGGTCTCTGTTCTCTACACTGCTCTTCTTAATTTGGGGGTCTGGGTGCTCCCTCTTTTCCATGGTGTCATGTACTGCAGTCTTACCCCTGTGGTGCTTTTGAGCTTAGTTCATAAACCAAACACACAGGCTTCGTAGGGGTGGAATATACAGGAGACCTCGTTACTGCCCACCCCACTACCTCCTACAGACACCAAACAGTCTGAGACAGAAAGCAGTCACTCAGGAACAGACCTAATAGCAGTCTCTCCCTGCCTGCTGAATGCAATACAATGGGAACACCCGGCAGAGGGAGGGCAGATTGAAACTGCAAATTTTCTACAAGATGCAGTCTTATGCAGGCTCTGAAAATGCTTTTGGGCAACCATAGGGATTGCTAACAAGAAGCTGTGACAGACTTGTAGGGAAAGGTAGACCAGTTGACCCTTGAAGAGAAGCTGGACAAGGACAGTGGCAGGACGGGGCTGCAGGAGAGAAGGATGTGAGAGCGTCAGAAGGCGAGGGGCTCCTGCTGACGCTGATGAGGCCCTCGGTAACTCTGCAGAAATGACTATTGAGTATGAACTCAAGCAGCTATAGCATGTTATTTAATTCTGTCAGAAAAATTATTCTCTGGCTCCCACTTGATTCTTTTTTTTTTGGTAAGGAATTTATACATATTTGCAATTATAGCAGTAACTAAACTTTGTTACATATAATTAAAATAGGCAAATTTTCATATTATTTGGTTTATTAGGATAAAGATTTCAAAGCAACTTTCTCCTCACCGTGTACTATGAAAACACAGTTCCATTTAAAAATAGATATTCCTGCTGGGCGCAGTGGCTCACGCCTGTAATCTCAGCACTTTGGGAGGCCAAGGTGTGTGGATCACTTGTCAGGAGATCAAGACAAGCCTGGCCAACATGGTGAAACCCTGTCTGTACTAAAAATACAAAAATTAGCCAGGCGTGGTGGCAGGTGTCTGTAATCCCAGCTACTCGGGAGGCTGAAGCAGGAGAATTGCTTGAACCTGGGAGGTGGAGGTTGCAGTGAGCCAAGATCACGGCACTGCACTCCAGCCAGGGTGACAGAACAAGACTCCGTCTCGACAAAAAAAAAAAAGAAATAGCTATTCCTCCAGGGTTCCTCCCCCTCGTCTGGGTGGCTGCACCTGCCCGGTTGGAAGGTAGGGCTTTTGGAATCAGCAGCTGCTTATGCTGTAGTCTGGGCTCTGATGCTGCTGTTCACAAGTTGTTAAAGAAACCCCTGTAAGTGTTTCTTTAACAATAGAAATGGAGAAGGCAATACATCCCATCTGAGAAATGAGAGAGACAATATATTCAGGAATGTTGTGCACGTCATAAATACTCAGTGAAAGAAATTAAAAAAATTTTCCCTCTCATCAACACTTGGCCGTATTTTAAAAATTAAACCCATTTCTATCGTGTAATTCCTATATAATTAATGGCTTTGGGAGAAGACACAGGTGGCAATAACAAGATTATATCAAACTATATACTCATCTAAAAAGGCTCAGAATCAGGAATGTAATCACACATACTAAAGAAAATATTTATAAAATTCCATATGTCAAATGAATAGTGTCAGGACTTTATTTGAAGCAAAGGGAGAAATTGAAATTGTAGAAAGGAAATGCAGTTTTAGTGGGAGACTAAAGTCAGACAGTGAAGATTTATTAGGACCTGGGAAAAAATAGAAAGACATTAGAAAAATGACCACTAACATTTTTAATTTAAATCTTGACTAAATCCCCTCTTTCTATATTTGGCAAACTATTTCTTATACAAAGTAAGTGTATTGAAAATGCCAAAACCCAATCACTTTCTGGACCTCCCCTAAGCCCAGCAACATATGCTCACTGACACAGAGATACTGATATAGAGATATTGATGCAGAGATACTGATGCACATCTATTCCAGAAGAAAGAAAAGGGGGAAGATAAAACATTTATTCTATACAGATAATATAATTCTGTTTCAGAGGCTTAGCTCCAAAATTGCTTATAGAAATAGATTACGTGAAACACTAGCAAAGCATCTTTTATACCATGCTTCATCGAGCTCACAAAGTGGCCAACAGAGCTGGCATGTTGGTATACCCAAAGGCGAAAATATGAAGAATCTTACATTGTTCCCAGGGAAATATTTGTTAAAATTCAAAATCAATTCCAGATTTTAAAAAACAGTTAAAAACTAGGTATAGGTGAGTACTTCCTTAACTAGATAATTAGTATCTCAGACTAATAGCAAATGTTGTTTTTCACGCTGAGACATTAGAGCTATTCCCATTACCTTTAGATGCCAAGCTCTGATGTCCACTGTCATTATGTCTGATATTATTCTGGAAACTTGGCCCTTATAATATGATCTGATACTTTTGGAAAAGATATTAAGATATCACTGTTGGAGATTATATGATTGTTTTCCTAGAAAGTTGACAAATCATCATCATGTCTCAATCACCGTCACTGCCACTGTTGTTACTCCCACGTCCTCACCACCATCATCGCCACCACCGTGACTTCCACCTCCTCACCACCAACACCATCATCGCCACTACCATTGTGACTCTCACCTCCTCACCACCATCACCACCATCAACACCACCACCACTGTGACTCCCACCTCCTCACCACCATCACCACCATCAACACCACCACCACTGTGACTCCCACCTCCTCACCACCATCACCACCACCACCATTGTGACTCCCACCTCGTCACCACCAGTAACACCATCATCACCACCAACGTTGTGACTCCCACCTCCTCATCACCATCACCACCCTCATCACCACCACCACTGTGACTCCCACCTCCTCACCACCATCACCACCATCAACACCACCACCATTGTGACTCCCACCTCCTCACCACCATCACCACCATCAACACCACCACCATTGTGACTCCCACCTCCTCACCACCATCACCACCATCACCACCACCACCATTGTGACTCCCACCTCCTCACCACCATCACCACCGACACCATTGTGACTCCCGCCTCGTCACCACTGTCAACACCGTCATCACCACCACCATTGTGACTCCCACCTCCTCATCACCATCGCCACCATCAACACTGACACCATTGTGACTCCCACCTCCTCATCATCATCACCACCATCAACACCACCAACATTGTGACTCCCACCTCCTCATCACCATCGGACCATCAACACTGACACCATTGTGACTCCCACCTCCTCATCATCATCACCACCCTCATCACCACCATTGTGACTCCCACCTCCTCATCACCATCACCACCATCAACACCACCAACATTGTGACTCTCACCTCCTCACCACCATCAACACCATCATCACTACCACCATTGTGACTCCCACCTCCTCACCACCAACACTGCCACCATTGTGACTCCCACCTCCTCACCACCACCACCACCAACACCACCAACATTGTGACTCTCACCTCCTCACCACCATCAACACCATCATCACTACCACCATTGTGACTCCCACCTCCTCACCACCATCAACACCATCACCACCACCATTGTGACTCCCACCTCCTCACCACCATCAACACCACCACCACTGTGACTCCCACCTCCTCACCACCATCACCACCATCAACACCACCATTGTGACTCCCACCTCCTCATCACCATCCCACCATCAATGATGCTATCATTGACTCAGTATTCACCATTTTCCAGGCACCATTTTAAGTATATGACATATCTTAACTCATGGTCATAAAAATCCTGTGAGCTATGCAGCATTATTATCCCAATTTACAGAAAAGAAAGTGAGGCACAGAGAAGGTAAGACCCTTGCCCAAGGGCACACAACTCATACAGATGGATTCAGAGAAAGAATGAGTAACAGTTCCAAACAAAGCTGAGGATTTTGAGAAACAGAAGTAAGTGTGAACTACTATATGACAGCTCAACTTCTCTTTCTGATTGTTGAGTGGGATCCAGTTTGATTGACAGCTTTATTATTCCAGTAAATAAGATACACACAATCAGAGTGCTTCTGCTAATTCCAGTCAAAGTAGCTTTTTTTTTTGTTTTTGTTTTTTGCGACAGAGTTTCGCTCTTGGTGCTCAGGCTGGAGTGCAGTGGCGAGATCTTGGCTCACTGCAACCTCTGCCTCCCGGGTTCAAGCAATTCTCCTGCCTCAGCCTCCTGAGTAGCTGGGACTACAGGTGTATTTTTAGTAGAGGTGGGGTTTCACCATGTTGGCCAGCCTGGTCTCAAGCTCCTGACCTCAAGTGATCTGCCTGCCTTGGAATCCCAAAGTGCTGGAATTACAGGCGTGAGCCACTGCGTCTGGCCCAAAGTAGTTTTAATTTAAGTAGCAACAGCTTAACAATCAACTAGCTTTAAAAAAGTGTCTTTAAGCAACATTCCAGGCAATGTTACCTTTTATTCATTGCAAAACAGCTAATCCCCATGTTAACCTTAGAAATCTGGAGAGAAACGCAAAAGCCCCTGGAGACTGTGGCAGCTGCCAGGACCTGTGCTCTTTTGTCCCCCTACCCTCCTGTTGTGATGTGCAGCATTGCACAACACAGGCCCGGCCGGGGACACGGTGCATGGCAGAGTCATTCCCACTGCACTGAGGCCTGCTCACAAGCAAGTTGCTACTGGCATGGCTGTGGGGACCAAAACACCTTAAGTAACTGACTCAAATACAAACCTCGGCAATTTGTTGCCGGAAAACTTGGGAGACATTTTTGATCTCTGAATTTGCAAGAGAGGAAATGTTCTGTTCTCCTTCACTTTCCACTCACCCGTAGGTGCAGTTTGGATGGCACAGGTGGCACACATGGCCGGCGTCTGCGTACTTCCAGACCAGGGTGTTGTTTTCTCCCATGACTCCTGCCGGGCAGGTCTTGACGCAGTGGGGGCCGTCAATGTAGTGGGCACACTGGATACAGTTGTCTGGTCCCTGCACCAAGGTGGAGAAAAATGTTCATGCATGTCTCTTTCTTTTCTCTTTCAAAATGGAAGTAACTTTTTACTTAAAATATTTAGTGTGTGTGAGTGGGGAAAGCCAAATGATAGAAAAATTCTTAAAGGAGAAAACCAGTTATTCTGTGATTGCACCTGCTTGATATGGTCACTGTTAGTTGCTTAGAAGTTCTCCCTGTTTTTGAATGCATATGATATACACCAGCATGAAAGAAATGATATTCTCTACATTATTGCATTCTGCTTAACCATTGTGGGCATCTTTCCTTGGCAAAACCATCTTGATTGGCCCAAATGTGTATTTATGGTCAGATAGTCTTTCTTGCATATTATAGTTGAAGTTAAAGGGAAGCTCAGAGGGAGGCAAATTTAAGAAAACCCACATGAGTGTTTCTCCAGTGACAGGAAGGTGGCAAGTCTCTGTGCAGTGGTTGGCATATCAAGGACTGAGTCATACGCTACCTTCTATTTGTAAAACTTGGAATAACCTTGCAAAACTCAAATAAAAGCATTGGGACTCAAATAAAAGCACTGCTCAGGTTGTGTGCCCCACACTTCAGAAGTAGCAGAAATAAAACCAGCAGGGAAAGGCTTTCCCCTTGGCTAAGTTCTCTCATGTTGGTTTTGTCCACTCAAGGGCTGTGTGTGCCCAGAGCCAGCATAATTAGATGACTATGTCAATATCGCCAATTATTTTAATGACAGAAATTTAACCCAACACCATGCAAACCTATAAACCAAGTCTTTACTTTGTAAGCAGCCACGCTGGCAGCCTATCCCTCAAAACACAGTCCTGTCATCTTCTGCCCAATTTAGAGAATGTCTAAAAAATGTTTTCAGTTAGTAGATTTAGAACTGGCTGTTGAAGCTCACAAGAAAACAGAGCTCCCTATATAATAACATTGAGAATTAACAACATCAGGACATTTGGTGTGAGAGGGGCCCGAATTCTCACTCATATTCTTTAAAAGATTATTGTAAAGAATATTGTATCTATATGTTATTGAACATATAGATACAAAGTTGTGCAGTTTAAAAAGTTTTGCTAGCAATTTCTTTAAAAATTCTTCAATTAATTACAAGCTAATGTTAAGAATTTGAGGATGTTTGATGAAAGCGATAAAGCAATGCTGACTAGGTCAGGGATGGGGGAAACCAGGTGAAAACAGCCTCCGTTAAATGTGAGGATTTGATAAGCTTAGATAAGGTTGGGGGTGTCAGCAGAAAGAGTGAATGTTCATCGCAGGCTAATGTGTGTGCTAATGTCACCGACACCCTGCCCGGACAGCGCTGTCAGCGCCTGCCGTCTCCTCTGGGAAGTGGCTCTGATGGCCGTCCTGCCCACACAGGATGCCCTGGGCCATCATCACTGTTCGGCTTCTGTGAAGGCCCTTCCCATGAAATGGACGTGGATAGCAGCAAGGGGCTCTTACCCGTCCTGTGCAGGTGATGTTCATGGCCTGAGGCAGGCACTCTGGGTGGCACTGTATGCACTCAGAGTTCTCCACAAACTCCCTTGGCTCACTGAGAGGAGGAAGAGGAAACCCGTCAGCCCACCCCTGAGACATTATTGCAGGAACACAAATCACCTCTTCAAAATTCCAAATAACTTGAGGTAATGGTCAAGGAGTTGGGACTCCAGGACTATATAGTAATATAATCAGCTGATTTTGTTAACTGAATCCTGGGTCATCTTCTCTCTGAGTAAACACAGGAGCTTCATTCATAATCAAGATATCTTTTCTGCTTTTTCTACAGCATAGTTTTTGCATATTGGGTAAGCAAGCCAAATGATAAAAGAAAAGATAGTCCTGAGGAGGTGTTCCCTGCCTCTAATACCAGATTCATGGTTATCAAAATTAAGCTGGAAAAATGATAATTTTAGATTAAGTGATAGAAAAAGGAAGGAGGGAGAATGAACTCGCTCAATGGTTATTACTAAAAATGGTGAGTGTGGAACACAGGTATGAAAAACTTAGCTTACAATATTTTGACATCCCTCAAGATGTACACATCAATGTTAAGCAAGAAGCTGATGTTTGATTGAAAAGACAGAACAGATGTACGGCTGTTTGTCAGTAAGACTGGACTCTGCCTAGTAGTCAAGCATAGTTCTACCCTCCAGCAGCGAACAAGGAGTGTTTATTCTCCAAAGTGTGTGCCTTGGCTAGGTGCAGTGGCTTATGCCTATAATCCCAACACTTTGGGAGGCCGAGGCGGGCAGATCACTTGAGGTCAGGAGTTTGAGACCAGCCTGGCCAACGTGGTGAAACCCCGTCTCTACTAAAACTACAAAAAATTAGCTGGACATGGTGGTGCACACCTGTAATTCCAGCTAGTTGGGAGGCTGAGGCAGGAGAATCACCTGAACTCAGGGGGCAGAGGTTGCAGTGAGTTGAGATCACATCACTGCACTCCAGCCTGGGTGATGGCGTGAGACTCTGTCTCAAAAAACAACAAAAAAGTGTGTGCCTTTCATCCTCCCCTTTGGTCAATGGCACCATTAAACAAAATGTGATACAGGGTTGTGTCTTCTGTGCTTCTTCTCTGGGTCACTGCCCTTGCTGAAGGGGGCTGGGCTTGCAGAGGGAGCAGGTGCTGCTGGACACCAGGTTTCTCTACACTAATGGAAGGACATGGGGCTCCCCACGTGGGCGTTTTCATCACCTTGCCTCTTAAGAAACACTTGAAAACTGAAAACATGAGACCACTGTCCATTTGTAGCTGTAAGGATTGCATCAATATTCCTTACTTGAAGTTGAAGCAGCACTATCAATTATGTGATTTGTTCTGAGCCTATCAGCTAAAGGATTCCTATAGAATTGAACTTGGTCCTCTTATCCTGCTCCTAAATATTTCTGGATCCAAGCTGTGGTCCATGCCCAGAGAGTAAAACAGGAAGAATTCCTACAGCCATCTGTAATTCCTATGGTGCTCACCAAATTTCCCTTTTTCTTTAAATCTTCTAAAACATGGCCTTGGCCTCTATCCTTCAGTTTTACTTTCCTATTTATGTTTTGTCCTCATTTGTCGTTCAAAGCCTTACATCAATATCAAGAACCTCAGAGCATTCACAAACTGCACTTTTTATTGATTGCAACTAAATTCAACAAACATCATTATGAATTATTTCTTTGTCCGTGGGTATATTTAAAGTCCCTGGTACTGTTTGATGTTCAACACATGCTGGGGGCACATAAAACAGATATTAACTTGGCAATATAATTTGTGTTAATTTATTTTCACACACCAGGAATCGGGCACTACAAAGAAAAGCCCAAATGGCCACGGTGTTGGCTAGATGAACCATTGATGACTGTCTCATTTGTCTTAGGAACTTTTTGTAGCTTAGAAAAATTTAAGATACTTCCAGGAAAAGAGATTCTATAAATTATTGGATTATATTAGGCAATAATACTTGCTTATTTCCTATTGTGCTTAAATTTGCCAAAAATAACGCAATCAAACAACTTCCCGTCTCCCCACAGAAAACCCAAAACCTCCAAAAGCCAAGGGCAAAGAATAAAAGGAAGAGAAAATCAAACAGAATGCCTGTAAAGCTATAACAACAACCTGGAGCCTTATTTTTGATCAACGCAAGGGGATTAAAGAAATAACCTCCTACCCCTCCAGAAGGTTGCACTTGTCCACGCATTCCCTGCCTCGGCTGACATTCCGGCAAGAGACGCAGTCCCTGGGCTCCGGGCCCCAGCAGCCCTCGGGGGAGCACAAGGCATGGCAGACCTGGCCTGTGGCCTCTGCGGAGACAGAGTGGGTCACAGCAGTCAGTGACAGAGCAGGGACCCGAGGGGCCGGAGGAGACGGCACCTTCCCGGGAGGGGCCCTGTGCTCCATGACCTTGGGTGACACAGACATGCTGGCTACCCCTGAAGGAGGAGGACACAGACTGGGCTTCCCAGAGGCCGACCGTGACTGGAAGGACAAAGTAGTTGTGCTGGCTGCTGGGAAGACTGAAATGTGCCTGACAGTGGAGGACAGGTCTTCCTCCTGGTGGGAGCCAGGCACCCTGGCACCCGAGAGGGGGTGCCGTGAGTCCTCCCCTTTGGCAATGGCATCAATTAAACCAGATGGGACTCCATGTTTTCTGTGCTCCCACGGCCACTGCCCCTGCTGAAGGAACCAGGTGTGCAGAGGAGCAGGTGCTGCTGGGCACAGGGTGTGTTTTGATGGTACCCAGGGCAGCCTGGAGCAGAGCTGGTGGTGTTCTGATGACAAATCCCACAGCTGATAGGAGCCATTGGGCCATTGGCTGTGTGCTGTGTGCTAGGCACCATGGAAGGGTTTTACACACAGGAATTTCACTGAATTCTCTCAAAGCACTACGGCGTAGGAATCATTCATATCTCCATTCTATGGATGAGGAAGCCAAAGCCTAAACAGATTAAGGGAATTGACAGAGGCTCAAAGCTAGGGAGGCCAGACCAGCACTTGACTCAAAGCTGACGCTGCCCGTGGCCAAGGCCCAGCACAGGCCAGGCTCTCACCAGCTTCAAAAGCTGAGGCTCTAGAGCCAGAACAGGAAGTGTTGATGTAAAGTGCTCATTCCATTCCTCTGTGTGTGTATGTGTGTAGCTGTAGTCTTTACAGGCTGAAATGAGCAGAGAGTGACCTACAACTAAAAGGTAATATAACTAATACTAAATTTAGTTACTTACATTACAAATAATTGGTAGCCTAAACCTCAGGGTAAATTCATCCCATTGAATGGTAATGATCTGGAAAAAGTTTTAATGGAATTCACATGGTAATTTCACAGTTAGGAATCTTAAGATTTTAATTTGCTTCTTAAGGAACTGAAAAAAGTAATTTAAATGGGAATAGCCCTTCAATATTCTAAATACAAATAAAGGACCCATTAGAACCAACTCCATAAACTAAACAGAAAGCGGTGACTTACTGCAGCTGTTTTCACCTCTGTTGCTTATAATTTTGGTTTTCTGACCGGAGGTCCCAAACAGTTTTTTCCAGTTTATTGTATTTGCATAGCACAAATTTTTGTTTCCTGAAATTATCACATCTCCATCACTTATCTCCTTGAGGGAGCGTAATCCCAAGGATGTTATGTTCAGGCTGACGACTGCAAGAGAAAACTGACCACTACATTGGAGAGAAGAAAAATCATGTGGTGAAAAATTATAAAAACAATGTATCCCTGAAAACTTTGTTTCTCCAGACCACCTTTGATTGACTACAAACTGCTTTCCAATGATGGTAGGTCATGCTGTGGGAGGCACACACTGCACCTTTTGAAAACTGCAGGTGTTTTTAAAGTTCCTCCAGGCAAAAGATAGTTCCTTGTTTATTTAGTATCTTTAACCCAGTGGCAGATGGGGAGGATGAATAAAATGCCTTAATGTCATTATATTTTCTCCATTTTCATTTTGCCTGGAAATTGAGAACATATTCTAACCTCTCAAACAGCCAAATACACTTCAAAGGTGTGGGTTCATCCATCTATCCACCACCCAACCTGTCCCTCTATCCATTCATATATTTATTGAACAAACACTAGAGGTTCTCTGTCCCAAATTCTGTGCAGGTTAAATATGTTTCCTCCTCTCCAGGACGCTTGATCTGGTGGTGACACAACCCCGTAAGCAGATCATTTTGAGCCGGTGTGAAGAGCACAGTGAGTGTGGGCAACATGGAAGCAAAGAGCAGGGGCCTCTGACCAGGTCTGGGAGGGATGCCTGGGAAGTGGGGCCTTCCTCCAAAAAGCTATGCCCAAGGTTGTGAGGCCCTGAAAGCAGTAACTGTGGCATTTTCTTCACCATCCAACATGACACTAGGATGCTATTGGGTGGTCCAATGTGTATATCAGATGACTGGATGGAAGTCATTCAGACCGAAGGGGGGATGTCCTCAGCCACCTGGAGGAGCAGGAAAGCACGCGGTGGACATGAGAACCACTAGCCCCAGCCAGACCACGATGGGTGTGAGAACCACTAGCCCCTCCTGAACCACGATGGGTATAAGAACCACTAAGCCCCTGCCGGACCACGATGGGTGTGAGAACCACCAGCCTCTGCCAGACCACGATGGGTGTGAGAACCTCTAGCCCCTACAGGACCACGATGATGCAGGCTGGGAGGGCTGGGCTGGTTTGGGGAGGGAGCACAAGGCCAGAGTGCACCTTGTGGAGGAGCTGTCTGTAATTGAGAAGGAGCCACAGGAAAGAGATCTGCATTTGCAGGAAGCTCTCATCTGACCCCAGGCTGGGGGCTGGGCCAGCTGAGAGCACTGGATGAAGAGACTGATGTTCAGGTGTTGGATGGCAGGGGGTTAGAGTATCATCCAGAGGCTTCTCCTCTCCCTGCTGCTCTTCTTTCCCCCATCTTTTTCCTTTCTCCTACACAGATGAGTGGTCTCGCATAGGAGCCTGTAACCAATACCATTAGGAATTCTCCCCCACATATGCCCAGGGAGGCCAGGACACCAGGGCAGAGCCAGGTTTTCCTTGCAGGGCAGGTCTGGGGCCTCAGTGAGTCACACCCTGGAACGTGTGGCCACCCTGTCTCAGTAGGAGCTGGAATCACCAGACTTCTCATTAAATGTGAAAAGTAAGTAACCCTTATCTTGTTTAAATCCCTACAACTAAGCCAACTGGCTCATACCAGCCATCCAAGAAAATTGCTCTAAATCTCTTATTTTTATAAGAATCTTGGTCAAAGAAAGCATTCCAGAGAATTCAGAGCAAAAAGGCCTTTCTGGGAAGCAACGGTAGCCACATATTTAGTATCAGAGATTCAGAGCCAAGGGAGTTTATGGGAGGCAATGCATATTTCACGCACTCTTATTCTCTTTAATGTTGCACAGTATTATCTAGTGCTTTAAGAGTCAAGTAGGGGCAGCAGTTCTCATAACGAGGCTGCTTCCAAGGCGGGTTTCACTAAGAGATTCCCATCTCCTCCTCCACACCACTAAACTGATGATTACCATTACCATATTAAAGATGCTTGTGTGTGAGCACCTGCATGTCTATTCCACTGTCAAAGCTGAAAAAGTGGAAATTCTTGAAGAGTGGTGCTAAAAAGTCTCTCTGGTCCCTGTGATAAGATGTGCATAACCTCAATTGCATCCTGAGAAAACACCAGCTGAACAGACATGGTTAGACAGTGTGCAAAGTACCTGACCCACACGTTTTGTAAGTGTCAAGGCCGTGAAAGACAAGGAAAGACACAGGAGCTAATATAGGTTAGAAATGGACTGAAAAGATTTGACAACTAAGTGCAATGTGGGATCTGGAGTGGACACAGAAGCAGAAGCACTGGCGAGCGCTGAGAAGTCTGTGGTTTAGCGGACAGCCTGTGCCAGTGGTCGTGCAGTCTTGCTCCCTGTGCCTGCTCATGTGAGATAGCATTTGGGAATGCCGGCGAGAGATGCAGGAGCTCTGTGCCCTATCTTAGCAACTCTCCTGTTAAGCCTAATTTCCAACTAAAAAGGCAAATGTAATCTACCAGGCTTTGGCTGTGGTCAACTTACTGTTGCTTGGTCCTGCCGCGTATGATTTCTAGGTTCTCAAAGGCATGGAGGTCCGTCCTGTTTTCAGGCCAAGCCTGAATCAGCAAAAACCCTGTAAGGCAGATGAAAGACTTCAGACACACACCACGTAGGAGTTTCTTTTTTGTATGAGACATTACTCTAGACTCTCAGGGACTCTGTATTATATGAACAGTAAGTGGGAAAATTGGATTTGCTTTCTTTTTCATTATCATCTTCTCTGAGTGTACATGCGCAGGGCGGACGCAGGCCGAGCCACAGTTCACAGCTGCCTCCCGCCTTCCGCTGCGATTCCGCATGTCTCCCGCCGCCCCCCTGGCTGTGGCCCTGAGACCCCTGCTGCGCCGCGTATCTGATTACCCCGAAGAGGCTCCTGCTGCGATTATCTGCCAATTGTGGATCTGGTATCACATACAAGGAGCTTTACAAATTTTCCTTATTTGATTCCAACCTTAAAACAGTCTTGTTATTTTGGTCTAATCTTCCCATTTTAGAGAGGAAGGAAGCGGAGCTCAGGCGGCAGTCATAGACCCGAGGCTTGCCCGTGGCCCCACAAGGCTCTGGCGTCCAGTTTCAAAAGCCTGAGGCCCAGGCTGCCTGTCACCTACCCCTGTCCCCTCCCTCTACCCTCAGGGGTTATGGGCCACCAAGGCAGCTGGCTGGGGCCGGGCGGGAGGGAGAAAGCGTGTTTACACCGCAGTGAATGACCCAAGCCTGGACTTAACGTGTCCCCTTTTGCCTGCAGGAGAAACTGCACTTTTGAAAAATATCAAAACATCAGCCATTAACGGTAAAATTTCAGAAGAAATGTTTTTATTCCAAGGGAACAGGAAATATGTCGAAAAGTTCTCTCTCTAAAACACTGATTTCCCATTTATATTCATGTGATAATTCAGCTCAAACCTGTGATTTCCTTTACGGTTTTCAGAATATCCAGTTCCTGTGGATCCAGAGGAGGAGTATGTGTGAAGGAGTCACTGAAACAAACAACAGGGTGATTATTGATCACCAATCTCTACCAGTTAAAAAGGCAGATTTTGTTTTTCTTTATACAAGCAACTGAACCTGTGACTCACCCCCTAAATGCCACCGGCAGGATGTGGAGATCGCCACTGATGGAGGTGCAGTTTTTGAAGTGTTTAATATTCGTAGCATTTATGGAGAGTGAGTCTTTAAATTCACCAATACCTATTCCGTTACACACTGCAGAGATAAGAGAGACGTGTATTCCGTTCACATTTGTTGGATTAAGAATAGCTAGGGATCCACAGGCAGAGGGAAGCAGGAAGGAATTCCGGTCACCGGAACCGCCACTGCCACATCATCCTTCATTCACTCAACAAACACTGAAGGGGCTGGGGAGAGTGCAGGCGGGAAGGGGGGACACCAGGACCTATAGTACACTTTGGGGCTACGGCGGTGTAGGAGATGCCATCCCTGTCACCTCACACTGACCTTGCGTTCTCCTCATTATTTCCCATGGGCCGCTTGGAGCTGCACTGCTTCCAGCTCTGCCTTCCCTGGATTCTCCCCAGGGCTGGGCACCTGGCAGCTGCTGAGCGGGGCTGGCTCTGTGACTGTTCTCATCAGAGCCCCCCACCCCGTCACAACCTTCAGTGCCTTCCCATTGCCTAACCTAGCTTTACAGCTTTATCTTCTGTTTTAAAGAAACGATATGTATAGTTGTTTTTTAATGAGAAGAGGAAGATGTGTTCCTTTGGAGGTGGCATGAGAGCCCAGCCTCAGCAGCCGAGAACAAGCCTCGTCCGCACACCGGCGGGCTTCCTACCTTTGCGGCAAGGCCCTTCGCACTTCTTACACTTGCGGACGCCGTCTTCCTCCATCTCATAGCTGTCGGCCCCACAGGCTCGGACGCACGAGCCGTGATCTGTCACCACATAATTACCTGGGGAAGAGAGCATGAAAGGAAGGTGATGACGGTGGCACCAGGTGCTCGGGCCTCACACAGGCGGTCCAGGTCCTCTTGAGGGGTGATGGAAAGGCTCCATCCTCCTTTGGCTTTATTTACTTTAAGGACAAAGAATGAAAGGTTGCAAATAGAGAAGGAATCCCGTTCAAGAGTTTAATAACATTCTAGGCCGCAATGTGGACAATACAGGTGTTTCATCATGGCAGGAAACACTGGGTCCCTTGAGGGGCCAGCTGTTTTGCGTCCCAGCAGGCACCTCAGCCCTCTCCTCCACCTGCTCTCACCTTTAAAGTAATTCATTTGTATTAATAGCAGACTTCTGCGTTATTTTTAGGAGCTCTATGTCTTCCTTTTTTGTTTGTCTGAGATGGAGTCTTGCTCTGTCACCCAGGCTGGAGTGCAGTGGTGTGATCTCAGCTCACTGCAACCTCCGCCTCCTGGGTTAAAGCAATTCTCCTGCCTCAGCCTCCTGAGCGGCTGTGATTACAGGCGTGCGCCACCACGCCCGGCTAATTTTTGTATTTTTAGTAGAGACGAGGTTTCACCCTGTTGGCCAGGCTGGTCCCAAACTCCTGACCTCAGACAATCCAGCCCCTTCAGTCTCCCAAAGTGCTGGGATTAAAGGCATGAGCCAATGAGCCACTGTGCCTGGCCTGTTCCTGTTTTAAGTTCCCCAAGAAGATCCTCAAAAATATTTATAGGACATTGATGATTCTTCTGTGAACCATCTGCTCTTGGTATCTCAGGCTCGAAGTGTTTTCCTATGGATTTTAAAGCTCTGTTAAGCCCTATCTCAAAGATATATCTGTGTCATCACTGTGGCACATTTTTCTTTAGCTTTGTTTGTCATTTACCTTATAATGGCTTATTATTTTGTGTTTTTTTTTTCCATACGGAATGTAAAATTTTTCATGTACACAAATCTGGCAGGGTAAAATCTCCCCCTCATAATTGTTCTTTCAATTTTTTTTCTCAGTTAATCTCCCCTTCTAGAGATCAAGAGTGGCTTCTAAAACTCTTTCATTAGACAAAGTTTTGCTTTCTCTGTCAGGAATTATTTTATGTCACAATTTCCCTAAACCCTGGAGCCACCAGTACAAATGTAAGTACAAACAAGCAAAACTCAAACCCAAACCATTAAAACAAAACAAAATAAAAACAAAAACAAAACCTCTGCAATACTCCTAAGAGGCATAACTTTCACTAGAATTTTAACCACTCAAGAAGGCAGGTCTTCTGATAGACTCTCTGATTTCGGTGTATTAAATACCTGCTTGGCACAAGCACTAAACAGTGGCATGCCCACGGCTTTGTGCCCAGCAGACAACTGAATACCCACGGCTGTGGCTGCTGGATGAGTGGTGAGGGCTGAGCAGCAGGTGTTTCTCCTGTGAGGTGGCCTGGCCACCCAGATCTGCCCTGTGCACTGAGCAGCCCCCATGGGTGGAGATGGCCACCACCTGCCCGCTCCTCGGTAGCAAGCCAGCCCCTCCCCTCGCCTGTGTGCCTGGACGGGCACAGGGTCGCCTCCTCCAAGCAAGGCAAACACATCCACCCAAAGACTCTCCAAGATGGGATACTCCAGGGCTCAGCAGGAGACAGAGCGGGACAAGGATGCCTGACCAGTTAGAGGGCCCACAGAGGAGGACTCACGGGGACACTTCTTCACGCAGGTGGCACCAAAGCTGTATTTGCCCTCGGGGTTCACATCCATCTGGTACGTGGTGGGGTTGTAGAGCATGAGTGGGGGGCAGGTGTCCTTGCACGTGGCTTCGTCTCGGAATTTGCGGCAGACCTATGGAGGAGAGAGGACACGCTGGGCAAGTGAGGTAAGTACACTCAGCGCCACACACGGAGGAAGCGCAGCACGGTGTTGACTCCCGTCAGAAAGCCCAAGTTACTGTCTTTGCAGCCTAGTGTTCCACTAGTGTGGGAAAACCCAGCTGGCGCCCTCTGCAGAGTCAGAAAGACCCTTCTCTAAAAAGTCCATTTTTTTCTTAGGTGCACTGTCCCACCTATCATAATTTATGGATTATGATAAAAATACGTCTGTTTACTAACGTATAGATGATGGAGTTCACACATTATAGCGGTGACTATGGAATGAAATTATGTTTAATTTCCCTTATAAAGGACATTGGGCTTCCCTTATAAAGTACAATTGAGGGTATATTTTATAATGTATTGCTGAATGGCAGAAAGCCTTGCTAGAACAATGCCGTGTAAAGGAGCCAGACCCAATACAGCGAGGGCTTTTCCTAGGACCAACCCCACGCACAGTCTTCTCCCTGGGGCTCACATTAGAAACAGCTCAGGCCAACCAAGTCACAATTCCTGGGTCTGGGTCCAAACTCTGGAATTTAGGAATCTTCTCTGAAACCACAGAGTGCTCTGGATTTAGTCTTAGGAAGGGCTTCGTCACACCAGCTCCCACTCCAGGAGTCACATCCACCAGCCTTGGCGTCTCCAGGACTTCCAAGACGCTTCTGACCTGTACCCTCCAGTGCTGCTCAGAGCCCGCTGGGGCAGCAAGGCTTCTGCTGGCACTTTCTGGAGCAATGGGGCGACAGTGAGTACTTCAGGACCCCTTGAGGGCAGGGTGCAGCTCAGGAGGTGCCTGAGCAGTGGTGGAGGAGCCGAGGGATCCGTGTCAGGAGGCCCTAACCCAGCCCCAGCCAGCAAGACCTGTGTGGCTCTCCATGGGTCTCTTAGGGACCTCACAGTGTCAAGTCTCTAGAGGTATAGCCGAAGTCAAACAATAAAGAGAGTGTGCTGCTGGCAACAAGGCACATTCATGACAAATACTTGCATGTAGTATTTAGTGCTTGTTCTGTGCCCAGGTCCTAATGACGGACATCACAGGCATCTCATCATTTAAGCATTCAACTGGGAGAGACTTTGTTATGCATCATTGTCAGGTAAGGAAATGGAGGCATGGTAGTCCCATCATTTTCCCAAGGTCTCAGTGAGTGGTGGAGGCAGGATACTAAAGATACTTTGTCACCAGGCAGAGGGCAATATCCTGTCTGTTATGACAAATGCTAATTGACAGCTCCCCCACAGGAAGTCTTCTGTCCTGGTGTGGGTGGGGCGGGTGCAGCCCCAGCCTGCTCCAGGGAGGCTGCTGGAGGGGCATCTTACCAGGCAGTCGCTCTCCCGGGGGCCTGTGCAGCCTGCAGCACACTGGTTGTGGCAGCAGTCACTGGGGGACTTGCCACGGCAGCGCCCGGAGCACTGCTGGGCACAGATGATTTTGGTCACTGAAAAAGAGCAAAGGTTCCCTGTGAGCTGAAGAGTGAGGGTAGGATCATTTCCCAGGGATGTCGCAGAGCACTTGCAGACTTTTTCATGAAAAAGTGAAGACACATTTGCTTCCAACGAAACCACATTCAAACTAAGTCAAACCATGCCCTTTTCTGATTGCCTCTTTTTTCTCCTGATTTATTTTTAATCACTTAAGAGAACTCATGAGATCAAGTCTAGACTTTGAGACCTGCTAAATAATTAGATGCATCTTGGGCAATGCAGAAAGCACATACAAAGAACAAAAATACCTGCTGGGAAGTAGTGTTTAGAAGGGCCTAACAGCCCCCCCACAATTCAGCTTAAGGACATAGTGTCCGTTTTTGAGCTCATGTCCCCAGGTTCCTTGGCCACTGAGAGGCTGAGCCAGACAACCATACCTAGGAGAATGGCCCTCTCCATCGTAAAGCAGGGTCCACATGGAAAAGTCCCCATGAGAACCCGTGCTCAGGCTTCTGTGTAGGTGGGTACCAAAGAAAGCCAGGGAGGGAGAGGAAACAAGAAGTCTGGTGACTGCTGTCAACAGGAGCAAGTCTTCCATTCCTGGGAAAGTGTGCTGTGTTCAGAGGACAGGGCTGGGGTACTTGCTGATGTTCACTTATTGTTGTTGTTGTTGTTGTTGTTGTTTTGAGACGGAGTCTCGCTCTGTCGCCCAGGCTGGAATGCAGTGGCACAATCTCGGCTCACTGCAAGCTCCGCCTCCCAGGTTCATGCCATTCTCCTGCCTCAGCCTCCCGAGTAGCTGGGACTACAGGCGCCCGCCACCACGCCCGGCTAATTTTTTGTATTTTTAGTAGAGACGAGGTTTCACTGTGTTAACCAGAATGGCTCGATCTCCTGACCTCGTGATCCGACCGCCTCCGCCTCCCAAAGTGCTGGGATTATAGGGGTGAGCCACCGCGCCCAGCCCCTGCTGATGTTCACTTATTTGTGATAGGCTGAAGCTCCCAAAATAGCCCACCCTGGATTAACTGCATGCGGTGAGATTTGCAAGACTGTCCTTCACCTACTGGTTCACATCTGACCCTGTAATAAAGTAACTCTTTGGAGTCTTCAGAGGGAAAACAAATCCAATCACCTAAGCAAGTGAAGGAAGAGAGGGGCGGTCACACATGGGTCTGAGGCTGTTCACTGACTTACGTTTCTGGCAGTTCTCCTCTCCTGCACCCCAGCAGCTCCCATTGGGACAGCTTGGATCACACTTTTGGCCTGAAATGTAAAAGTAATAGATGCATATCTCAGTGAAATGATGAGAAACTGATGACGCCCTTTCCCGGGCCTGAGTTAAGCACATTCAATAAATGAAGACAATCTTTTCAACTTATTCTCTGATTGTTTGGCTGGCTGGTTTGTAGAATCACTTGAGACCCCGATAAGAAAAGAAGATGAACCATGAACTGCTTTTATTTACATGTCAGCTGCGGAAACTGAGGCAGAGAGTAATTACTGACATGGGCCACATAAGCAAGAATTTTTCATGAATTTGAGGTTCCTTGTTTACAATCTGCTTAGGCTTGGAGCATTCCCTGGCATCTCCTGCCACAGCTAGAGTGTCTCGTCTGGCTGAGCCTTTGGCATGGACCCACTACTTCCTTGCTGTGTCCAGTCTTGAGTGACTGCATGTGTCAGCCGTTCTGGGATTGTTAAGTCATAGCCTGTAAATAAAACCTTCTAGACTCCAAACCAGAGAGAAGCACAGAATGGTGCACAGAGGGTGAAATGTTAACAGTGCAGATCACTTTCATGACTGTGTAAAACCTTAGCTATCTGGTCAATTTTTGCAGTTTTTATAATTGGCCGATTACAAATTATAGCTGCAAAGGTTTTCCTGTCATCTGTCGTGTTTTCTTTTTATCAGTATTGAGAAGTCTGAAGGTCGAAGTGCTATATCTATATAGAAAGAGTAGGTTAACCACCAAATTTGTTAAAGAGTCCAGTCATGCAGATATCTTTTACTGTGAAGACATAGTAAACTAGAGGTGTTCATGGGTCCCGAGGTCCCCTGCAGTCAGGAAGAATTTAGATTTCAAACAGAAAAGCTGACGATTGATCTCCCATGTGACTGTGAAGCCAGAATACCACCAAGGCAAAGGGCGCTAATTGCCGCGCTGGTGCTCCTTAGAGACATGAAGGCCGGGGAGGCTGGCATCACGACAGTGACCGCGGGGGATGGACGTTGTGAGGAGGTAGGCAGAGAGACTGCAACAGAGGTCTAGAGAAAGCAAGGTCCTACGCAGGCGTGCTAAAAGCAGCTAGATCTGTAGCGTGCAATCCCATTCTTTCAACTTTTTACCCTGTACTCACATATAATTTTCAAATTTCTATTATAAGCTTGTAATCATTGTATAAAATAAAAATATTTAAAAGAAAAATGCATCTTTTTCTAACGGGAAACATTTGCCAATAAACAAACAAGATCTGTTTATGATTCTAGTATTGACCATCTGTTACAAAAAAGAAATGCAGGCACATCGTATAAAATATGGATAATAGAAGAAAGCAAAAAGAAGACATGAGACTCATCCAGAGTTAATCAATATAGACATATAAGTCTATGTATATACAGGAATTGGAATCCCACTATACATTGTGTTATAACCTTAAAAACCCATATAAAACATGGCAATTTTTCCATGCCTTTAAATATGCTTCTATCTAACATGATTATCAATAGCATGGCTGCTGCATAATTTTTTCAACCAATCTCTTATTTTTAGATATATAATTTGTTCACAAAATTTATTATAAATAAGGCTGCAAGGAATTCTTGTATAAGAATATGTTTCTACATCTCTTATGATTTTCACTTTCATTATTTCTTTTTCTCTTATTCCGAAATGTGATATTGATTGGTCAAAGCTATACATACTTTGAAGCTTTAGATACATATTGCAGGCATATTGCCAAGCTTGGTTTTATTAACATATATGCCCACAAGCAGAACGTGAGAATTTCTGTTTCTCGACACCCCAGCTGACCCAGGTGTTTAAAAGCAAAAGGAACCCAAATACTTTGCAAAGGAAGGTGTGATGCTTTCTTTTTCTATTTTGACCTACTTATTACATTAGAAATAACATTTTACTTTATTTCTTGGCCATATTTGTGTGTGTGTGTGTATGTGTGCGTGTGTGTGTGTGACAGAAAGAGAGACAGTGAGAGTGAGAGAGAGAGGCTGCTCATGTTCTGGGCCAGGTTTTTATTAAGAGATTCATCTTTTTCTTAGTCTTTTAAAGATGACTTCACAGAGTGATATAGCAAGGATATTAACCCTCTTCATGGCAATCAGACATTGCACAATATTTTCCTGGTAGCCATTAACATATTTTACTTGAAAGTTTTCTTTTATGATGTCAGATTTTGGCTTTTCTTCAACTTGATATTACAAAATATTCATATTTATGTTTCCTTCTGGCACTTACATATATATTAAATATTTTATTATATGTATTTAATATGTATTTGGAATTCATAGTACAAGGAGTGGGTGATGGATTTAATTTTCTCTGAAGTAAACCCATTCATTCTAACTTCTAATGCCCAACTTCAACATAAACATAAAAGCTAGGCACACTGTGAAATTTTTCTGAGTTTTAGACATCTTGTCCATAAAACACTTAAATCATCTCATGAGATTTTTTTTTTTGGTGAAGACTAAATGAGATCCATTCTGAGCAGGAACGTGTAGCCATAAAGCACCAGTCAAGAGAGGAGCTTCCTTTACCACAGGAGCCTGGCAGCATTCCCAACTTGCCTCTAGATGGTAAGGAGGAAATTTCAGGTATCAGGTCGATGGTGAATTTGCACTCTCCAATGCGACTAACCCAACATACCTAATTCCTTTTTAAAAACCCTTTATAGTTCTCTCACTTTGATATTTTCACCCCTAATAGTTAAGTCATTCCAGACAATTTATTGAATAAGGAATTATTCTCTTATTGGCTTGAAATGTCAGTTCTTTATAGACTTTTGATTTTGCTAGGCTTATTCTTACTGTCTTATTTTTTGTTTATTCTTAAAGCAATGCTATATTGGCCTATAGTTCAATGCCCTGTAGTATTTGAATCTTTTTACTGCATGAACCTACCCATCATTCCCCTTTCCAGCACTTTCTCTGTGGGTCTTTCCCACAGTTGTTGTACAGAACATGGAGACCTGCCATTGTGGGCTGCCTGACCTGATCCATGGCAAACACTGGCCCCATAACCGTTCCAGGTTCATTAAAAAAAAATAAAATGTGCACAGTTTAACCTCCCCATTGTCCACCAGACAGCTGAGGAAATGCTAACCTTGATCTCATAATATGAAATTTTGCAATGTAAAATAAAGCTTTCAGTTTCTTGCAAACATAGTAGGTGTCAGGATGGGTATCTGGTGGAATAATATGTCTATAAAACAAAGAGCCTCAATACCCATGTTCACAGCAGCATTATTCAAACAGTCAAAAGATGGAAGCAACCCCAGTGTCTGTAGATAGGTGAATGGACAAACAAAATGTAGTGTCAACATACAATGGAATATTATTCAGCCATGAAGAGGAAGGACATTCTTAACACGTGCTACAGCATGGATAAACCTTCGGGACATTTTGCTAGGTGAAATAAGCCAGACACAAAAGGACAGATACTACATGATTCCACCTGTATGAGAGCCCCAGAGCAGTCAAATTCATAGAGACATCAAGTGGACTGTTGCCTGCCAGGGCCAGAGGCTGGGAAGGAAGGGAGAGCAGAGAGTTACTGTCTAATGGGTAGAGTTTCAGCTTTGCAAGATAAAAGAGTTCTGTGTGTGGACGGTGGTGATGGCCACACACCCATGTGGATGTATAATGCCACTGACATTGTAACTTACAATGGTTAAGATGGAAAATCTTGTATTACGGGCATTTCATCACAATCCATCCATAAAATGAAAATAAAACAAATACACAAAAATCCAAAGCCCTGTAGTTGATGATTTTGAAGATTCACGTCAGCTCTATTTTTTTTTTTTTTTGTTCTGAGGGCAGAAAACAAACAGGCATCCACTGCACAGTTGTGGAGAAACAAAGAAGCAGGAAATGGTGATCACTTCTTACTCTAAAGAACAGAAAGTCCAAGCGATCAGGAACGGGCGCAGCCCAGGGGAGCTGGGTGAGTGTGAGCTTGCGTCTCAGAGTCCCCCATCAGTGCTGGCCTGAGTCAGGGCGCCACGCTGACCTGCGCCTGGTTCCCTGCCAGGCTTCCCCACAGGCTGCCTCACTGGGGAATGGGACAGGGACCAGGCCACCAGTATTCAAGGAAACATGGACAGACTTCCTCTCCATGGCAGTGCCCAGCTGTGTGTGTGACTCCATGTGGCAGTGTTCATGCCCTCAGCTGGGGGTGGATTCAGCCCTGGTGCTTCAGGAGGGCCGGGTAGCCTCTGGAGACTCAGAAGCATGTAGGAGTCTGGCCAGTGTCAGCAGGGCAGGCTAGGAGAGGCCCTGGTGCTGCCAGCCCCATGAACAGCAGCTCTTCTCAGGACACAAGTGCTCTGCTGTCCCTGCAGGGGATCTGCCTCCGGTGGCCTGCACTGCCAACCAGCTGGGCTGCCACCCGCCACAAAAAAACGATCTCTATGTCCGTGGTAAATACATGCTTTTCTAGTGGTCAGATATTTTGCTTACTACTTTTTGTTTCTGATTAATGTGACTTACTAAACATGGCTTCTCTCCCCTGCCCCAGTGCTGTAGAGCTGTCCCCCATAGGAGCTGGAGGCAGAGATAGTGTGTATGCGACACTTACAGCTGCCCAGGTGGTTCTGGAAGTCCATCGACATGTTGCTGAGAAAGTCACTGCTGACTATGTCCCGCCACTGGATGCTCTCCACGTTGCACAGGGCAGGGTTGTTGCTGAACCGCACGGCGCCATGCAGGATTTCTGCGGGAGAATGGAACTGCGGTGAGCACTCTTTCCAGCTCCTTTAAATTCCCATGAAGGATGCATGTGCTCTTCGCATTTATGTTCTGCTAAAGAGATGCCATGGTGCGAACAAGAGTCCCGCAATTAGCCCAGTGAACTTCCCGGGGGGCGGCCAGATAAAATTGTTAATGATGGTGCCATGGAGGAGCTAGGGTTTTCTCTGAATTGGGCTTTGAGCAATGATTAGAAATTTAGAAATATGGGGAGGAAGGAAGAGAATGGTTTAGTCAGTGGTCACAGCATAAATGATATGCATGTGGTAAGCTGGGTCCCAAGGGGCTGATTGGCTGGACTGGAATGGTCGCATGATGTAGGGGGTAGGCAGGGCAGGGAGGCAGTTCCTGAGTGCTACAGCCCTGGATGCCAGGTGAGGGGCTGGCATCCAGGGCTCCACCTTGCATGCCCAGGCGGAGCTTTTCATTAGAGAAAAGGATATGAGAGTGACACGAAACAAGAAGAATCTGAATGTATGACAGAGACAGGTAGACTCCAGGGATGCACAGGATGGTGAAACTGTACAGCTGTTTCCAAAGAAGAACTAACAAGATGTGGAAAAGTCAGGGATGAACACATTCAAGTCTTTACAAAGTGGGAGTGTTCCACTGATGACATTAAACATGAACATTGACAGAATGACTTATGTGTACAAAACCCTGTGCAAGTGCTGTGGGCGCTGCGAGGATGAATGAGATCCACTGGCTTCGATCTGGGAGCTGACAGGCTTGGGGACAGACATGTCACACACTCTAACCACCTCATGCCCAGGGAGACCCTGACACAGTGAGGCTGGGTACCTTGCTGGCTGATTTATAAGCACTATCTTCATTCATTCTCACAATGGTGCAATGAGCATCTGTGACTTTAATAGAGAAAAAATTGACCTCTGATTCATGAAGCAATGCCCAGCTCCCCAGGCAGGGAATGGGCATGTTGTGTGTACAGAGTACCAACGTGGGAAAGGAGGGATTCACCCCTGAAGATCCTGGAGGCTGCTAGGAAAATGAGCTTCCCCAGAAGGGCACAGGCACACATCTTAGAGGAGTGTGGAAGTGAGGGCTGAAGGCTTCCTGCAGACAGGAGACCCAGTGCAGGGAAACAGTGGAACAGGCTTCTTCAGTGGATGCACAGAAGCAAGGAACTGAGGAAGGAAGCTTGGGGTCATAAGGGCTGAATCGTGGTGCTTTGTTTATCAGGTTGGAGATGACAGCAGAACCATCCGTGAAAACACTCATGAAAAAGCCATGCACAGGTGGATGGAACTCAGGAGAGGACAGGGCTGGAAACACCAACAGGGATGTCCAGGCTGCTGTGGCAGCTCGGACAACAGACCAAAGACCTGAGAGAGAGCAGGGGGCGGGGCGAGGAGAGCACAGAGGCACAGTCAGAGCTGGGCCTTCAGCACACCACAGGCAATGACTGCCAGAGGAGGGCCAGCACACGTGAGGGAGGCTGCAGGAGCCGCTTCCCGGTGGCTTAGGGGAGGCTCACCCTGCAGCAGGCACTAGGTTAGCTATTAATGGTATCACATTAACTAATCTGCATCTATACAATCCCAGCCTTGGTTTAAAAAACAATCATACCAAGGAAGTGGAAGGAGCTGCTGAGGCCTGTTCCTACAGTCACTTAATTTTCTGCACCACCTAGGAAGTATGTCACCATTTTTTAGCAGCTATGCCATCCACATTTTTGAAGATGACGAAACAGAGACACGGAGGGATTGGAGAATGTGCTCCCGAGCCATCTGGCTGCTGAGGGACGGGGCCAGGCAGGAACCCAGAGGGTCTGGCTCGGAGGTCCAGGCACCCGCACAGGCTGCCTCCCTCCGAGACAGCGTGTGAGGCGCACTGTAGGAACCGGTGTACCAGGCCATCTCACAGGAGGCACGCACAGCACAAGCATGTGCGCGGCTGCTCTGAGCAGCAAGGGGTGTGGGGGAACCACACAATTTTATAGGCGGTGAACTGAGGAGCCATGACCAGAGGTGCTGGCTTGGGTTCCAGCGCTGCACCCCTGTTGGGCTCCTGTCACTCCGGATATGACTCCCTCTGCTGGGCACCCCTTTCATCACACCCCTTTCCTACCAGCACTGCCTCCCTGTCAGAACTGCATGGCACAGGAGGGGCGTTGAGCGCCCTGGGGCAGAGAGTGGTGGCCATAGCTGGCCTCTCCATTCACTAGCTGGGGCCCTCAAGGGAGTTACTTGACTTCCATTTATTTATTTGTACGATGGCAGAGCACAGCCAGTCCCCGGCTTAGCATGATTTAACACAGATTTTCGACTTTGCCATGGTGTGAAGGCAATATACATTCAATTAGCCCTGAAATCCGACCTAATGACGCCTTCACCCTCGGCGGGGTCCAGCCAGATAGGATGCCATCATAAGTCAAGGGGCATCTGTACAGTGCCTACTTTGAAGAAAGGTTGTGGGCGTTAAATGAAGTTACCAATTTAACATTCCTGGCCCCAAACCCACTGCACAGTGAGGCACAATCACTGCTATCTCCAGTTTTTTAAAATCAATTTCCCTTCTTTTCTATCATCCTTCATTGTTTCCTCTCACAGGAACCTCACGAGTCCTGCTCACAAAAATTCAAAGTTCTAGAACACCTCATTCTCTATCCTTAACTTACACAGGGCTTTCTGTGTAGCAGCGCGACTCTCGAAACTGTCCTCAATGTGGGTTGATTTTTACTGTATGTCTTTTATCCTTGAGGTCCAGGTAATAAGACTGGCAGTTTATTCACTGCCTACACACATAGATTCACGATTCCTGCTCAGCTTGTTTGGTCATACTCTCTTTTACTCAGAATCTTTACGATTTCTTACTATCTCTCAGTATTTTTTCATGTCCATGTAAACACTGGTACCCCGCTTAAATCTTCCCATTCCAGTATCTGCCATCTTCTCAGTAACTTCCCCTGCAGTATCTTACACACAGCCGGCACTCAGTGCACGTGTACTGGGTAAAAATAAAAGCCTTCTCCGAGGTGGAATTGAGTGACAAGCTCGCTGGGAGCCATCGGAACTGCTGTCTGCATTTATGAACCCCCAGCCTTGGCATCCCAGCCTCTCACCCTGTAAATTTCTCATGGGCAGCTCCTTCAGTCCGGTTTTATTTGCATCATAGTTAGATAAGACTGCTAAGGCATAGGAATTTTCGTAGTACATATTTCCTCTGATGATCTGCAGGTTTTCCAAAGGAATTCGCTCCACTGTGTTGAGGGCAATGAGGACATAACCAGCCACCTCCTGGATGGTCTAAGAAGAGAAAACATAAATGCGTGATTTCTCTTTTGAGGAACTCAAGAACTCAAGGTCTAAAATGGGTCCAGGGAGCCCTAGGACGCCCAGTTGAACCCTAATGCACACGAGTGCTCAACAACTGTAAAATAGGTAGACGATTGCAGTCATGGACACAGGAGGCAGCATGTCCACGATCTGCAACAATCCCTGCACGTTAGCCTTTGACCCCTGTGATAATGAGCAGTAAGCATTGTTCTGGAACACTGTGCTCTCATGCCTCACGGGGTTCAACACTCTCCAGTGAAAATGGAAATTAAAAAGAATTACTTTGTATCTGTCTTGCATTATTTCTTATTTAAAAAGGAAAGGTAAAAGAAAAACAGAAGAAGGCTAAGTAAACCCCATCCAAAATTCAGTGAAACTCTGAAGCCTTCAGAGCTGGCTCCTATGGGGTCATTAGCGCCTATCGTGAAATAAGAATTCTGTGACCAGCTGAGTGAAACTTGGTACCTTGAAATCAGCTATAGTAGGAGTATTTACACTAAGGGAATAGGCAAATGGTGCAAAGCAGGGCTTTTAAAAAAAGTTTTTAAGAGCGAGTATGGCAGCACATCATGACTGAGGTAATGGTCAGGGATAAACGTCAGTGTCTATGATGACATGGAACTCCAGATTAGCCTGTTTCTATTTGATATCCTTTTCTAGTTATTACTTGACATTAGCTGGTAAAATGGCTTTCTCATAAAACTCTCGTTTGTAGCTCTGTAAGACTTGTCATTGCCATAGCAAAAATAAACACACTTCAAGTGGAATTCTGCCCAGGCCTTTCTCCACTTAGATTTTCTCCAATTTTATTTGTGTAGGAAAATCAAAGTCACCAACCTTTAAGAAGGAAAGATCATAATTCCTCTGCACATAGGTAATTTCCAAATTCCCAAGGACCACCTCACAGTTATTGAACATCCTCTGGAGGCTGAGAAAATGATCTTCAAAAGTGCCCAACTGCGTGAGCTTGTTACTCGTGCCTTGGCAAACTGGAAGAAAAAGACAGATATCACATGAAATACTGAGAAATGCAGAAAAACTAAAATAAAACAATCCCTCAAGGTCCAGGTATTAAGGGTAGCAGTTTCTTCACTCTCTCCACACAGAGACTCACCCATTCCTGCCCAGGTCATCTGGGCGCAAAGCTTACTAACTTAGTGAGCTTTAGTGACTGATAATACAAATTCTCACTAAAGGACACAGCAAAGAAATTTGTGATAAAAGATCTTTAAGTTTATATAAGGTGCAATTCATAATAAGAGATAGCTTGTCCCTATAATGCATTGAATTGCATTAAAATGCCAAAATAAAAAAATGTTGAAATTTAAAGGGGTGGGTGGTAGATGAAAATTCTATGAAAATCTTGAAGACAGGATTAACCTGTAAGAGCTCCAGTAGGCAAAAAATAAATTTCACAAGGTATTTCACGAATATAACTGTAGGGTTGAGTTAATAACTATATAATGAACTTTTTACTTCTCAAAAATATTGTGAGTCACATTGTTGTGCGTGCAATGAATGTTTACAAACATAACATACACTGGGCAGTAGTGTACACAACACTACACCTAAAATCAGGGACAAAAGTGTAAATTAAAAACCTAACTGGCTGGAGATTAAAAATATTATTCAAATGAATGCATCAAAGAATAAATCAAAGGTCTAACTGTAGAATATTCAGAAAATAACAAACATCAAAATACAACATTTAAAAACACTCTCAGCTAGTGAGAAACCCACACATCCCTATGCTCGTCCACACTCCATGTTGATCCACCCAGCACAGGCGGAGGCACAGTTACTTCCCTCACCACCAGCATACAATCTTGTATGCTTGAGTTCCTAATGTTTCAAGGCATCAAACTTAATCCAAGAAAAAATTTTAAATTAAGGGACAAAGTTGGACCATAGAAATGGACGTGGTGATCCATTTTTAAAAGCAAAGGAGAGGTTTATAATAAAGTTGTATTTACAGAACTAGTTCTTTGAAAGGCATGTTTAGGCAAGCATAACAAAAGAGAGTCTTGGGCCTTTTGAGGCAGAGAGTGTGTAAAGGGACTATAATTTGAACCCAAATTATCTTAAGAGTGAAGAAATATGGCCTCTGGCTTTGGATGTTGGATTGAGCCTTGGCCAGGTTCTTCCTCATCTGCAAAGGCACTTCTGCAATCACAGTAACCAGGTGGTAGAGCACAAACCATGGCCAAAATCAATACACTGGCACTTTCTTCAATGCTTTTTACATGTGCATTTCTATTTTACAGGCTTCTTTGTTCCTTCCCCATGGGAATGATTCTAAAGAGTATCATTGGACTGTCTGCCCTCTCAATGAGCCATGGAAATGAGCACATGTTCAGACAGCACATAACCAACCCAAAGCACTTACACAAACATTAAACATGAAGCAATCTTCACATCCTCTTTAACTCTGTGGGGATTTCCCTGTTCTTCCCTTCTGTGTTCTCATTCAATTTCAGTGATAATGATAGCTTTCACATGGGAACCATGACAGTTGACAAGATGGAGTCCCTCTCTCCTATCACCAGGGGCAGAATTATTCCATCATTTTTCCAACCATAACTCTGGATTGACCCAGCGTCTCTGGTCTGCTTTTCCTCAGGAGTATGGGGGAAATGAGGTTGCTCTGAATGCAACCTCAAGTTGGAACAATTGTGTGGTTGTCGGCTACACATGCAGATAGGGCTAAACTGATTTCCCAATTCTAAGGTTCTTAAAGATGTCAGCACTGATGTAGGTACCAGGTTGTGACAATAACATGTGGCCTTTCGGTTGGCACACCTTGGAATAAAAGCTGCTTTCCCAGCTGACAGACTATGGCCTCTAACTCTCATTCCAACTAGATTGGCTGTCGTCCAGGTAGCCGCAAGTGTTAGTTGGGCCCCTCGTGCCAAACAGATGAACAGGGTCAGCTAGAACCTAGGGCTGGAACACGTTGCAGAAGAGTTTCCTCAGGATGCAGAGAGATGAAAACAGGCAGCTGCTTTCATTTTAAATAATCAAGGACGTCAGCTTGCAAGTTTCTCTCAGCTGAACCAAAGAATTTTTATTATTCAATCACAGAGTAAGTAACTTTTGTCAGTAAAATAAAGGAAAACATGCCATTTAAGATTAATCTATTATAGAAAACAGTATTTTAAAAAAACTGTACTTGTGCTTTTATTTATTTATTCAAAAAGTGCTAAATAAGCCCCAAATGACCCCCCAAAAGCCCCTTCAGGGCTTATTTAGCACTTTTTGAATAAATGAATAAAAGCACAAGTATTAGAAGCACTTCATTATCTATGAGGATAATGACCCTTCATTGTCTACAATTAGCATGTATAACTTTTATATTCAGAAAAAGATCCTGTATTTGGGAGACAGTAACAACATTACATATTCTTGATGTAAATCTTAATTCACAAAACATTTTGGGAAGCAACTGGACAATTTGTTTAAACAAGTAAGTATGCTTAAATTCTACGTCATGATGATTCCACTTTGGGAAACGTATTCTGAGGAAACAGACCTTATGCAGAATGTTGCTCATTAATTTTGTTAATAATGGAAAAAATTGCAAAGAAACTTAAATGCCCAATTACCCAACATGTCTATACTTGAGAATAAGAAGGCAGTTGATATGCTATTTGATTCAATATAAGGCATGTCAATCTTGAATACTATCCTGGGTTAATTACTAAAGTATCAAAAGAAAACACATAAGGTTGTTTCTTCTGAGGCTTTCCCCTGTCACATACCCAAAAGGAGACAGCAGCATTTAACTGAAATCTAGGATGAGGATCACAATGACTTGGTCTAGGTTTTCTAATTAAAACAAGGTATGATCTTGGTTCCATCCTTATACCAAATATCTCATGTTAGAAATATAAAGCAATGAGAAAATTTAATGTGAGACCACTTATATGAGTAAATTACTTAAAAATTACAGTCACAAATTAGGTAGATTTAAGACAAAACTGCAAAGAGCAAGAGGTTTTTAATTAATTTAAGATAAGGTTTTTGTTTAGCCACTTCCTCATTGGGTGACCTTGAAGTACTTCTCCAAGCTCTCTGTGCCATGCTTTCCTCAAATATGAAAATGGTGACAATAACGTTGATCTCTGCTGTGGTTTGAATGTGTTTTCCAAAGTGCGTTTATTGGAAACTTAATCACCAATGCAACAGTGTTGAGAGGTGGAAACTTTAAGAGGTATTATAATTAGGTCATGAGAGCTGTGCCCTAAGGAATGGATTAATGCCATTCATGTAAGAATGGGTTAGCTATCACGGGAGTGAGTCCCTGATAAAAGGATGAGTTAAACCCGCTTTTTCTCTTCCCCACCACCTCACATGCATGCTCTCTTGACCTTCCACCATAGATTGACACAGCATGAAGGCCCTCACCAGCTGCCAAGCAGATGCCAATGCCATGCTCTTGGACTTCCCAGCCACCAGAACCATGAGCCAAATACATTTATTTTCTTTATAAATTACCCAGTCTGTGATATGGGTATAGCAACATAAAATTAACTAAGACAACCTCCCAGAAATGTTTTGAAGATTGAAAAAATATATAAGCTTTTGACTTTCTTTTATTAAAGTTAACTATTGAGAATGCAACAGAAACATAACATAACATGCATCTGGACCCACGTTAGGGGATGTCAGCCACTCTATATTGTCTTAAGTTATTGTCTAAACTGAGATGTTTGGATCTGCATATGGACTTACTCAAATGTTGGCCATTAAACACAGTTACTTTATAGAATATTTATCAAACCAGAAAAGAAAGAAGAAAGAAAAATGAATACATAGTACTTTAAGGATTACATAAAAATATTTATTTAAGACTAGGTATTTCAGTAGTTGATTCAAAGAAAGAGTTGATATTACTTTAAGTCTATACATTTGAAAACCAGACAATTAAAAGTATTTGCATCAAGTTCCATACAAAATGCTAGTGGTTTGCCTTACCCTTTGCAAATCTGAAGACAAATTCTACTGCATCAAGAGCAGCAGGCCCTATGACTTAGGACTTCAAAGCACTAACTTTTTGTCCTAAAATTTTATTATGATTTATAAATGTATAGAAAAGCTGAAAGAATTGTACCGCAAACATCCTTATGTTAGCATTTTACTACATTCACCTTATCACATATCTATTTTTCTGTCTGTCAGATATGGTCCTCTAGTCTGCCTTTGGATGCATTTTAAAGTAAAGTAGAGATATCACTATACTTCACATTGGTATATCACTAACCAGAGTTCAATATTAGTTTGCAGTCATCATTGTTGTTTTTAAGGTAACATCCACAAACTGTGAGAGGATTAATCTTAAGTGTAGCATTTGATGAGCTTTAACAAATGCACATGCTGGAGTAATCTGAATTCCTGTCATGATCGAAACCCTAACTGTCATCCCTCATGCCCCTCCCAGTCGATCCCTGCCCCCATACACCAGAGGCAACTGCTGTCCTGATCCATTTTCACTACAGAATAGCTTTGCTTGCTTTAGAACATAGATGGACTCACACCACACTGTCCTCTTGAGCAAGCCTTATGTCACAGCACAGTAGTTTTGAGGTTCATCTCTGTTGTTGTGCTCCACTTGGCTGTCAGGGGCAGGTTCAGGAAAGTGGATATACGAAGTTATCTGTGCATTCTTGTTGGACATCTAGGGCGGGCCGGTGGTCTCGTTATTATTTTTCTTGAGAAACTCCTCACTTTATTTTAACTGAAAATAAAAGCAATCTGCCTCCTTTAAGTTTTTAAATGCCTCTGGTTTTGTAGGGTAGGCCCTGTGGCCTTCCTCTGCTATTATGGGGTGTATACCACTCTGCCCACAAGCCTGGGCAAATCTATATTACTTATTAAGACACAGTATTAGAACAAGTTTCTCCAGATTTGCCCAAATCCACTTAGACACTTAGAATCGTCTAAGTAAACTATAATTGTTTTAATTTGTTGTTTTCTTAGCTATGCATTAAAGGCTGCTGAGGTATGAGCTGGGCTGTTGTCAGTCTCTCCCCTTGGCCTCCAAGTTGTCTCTGCTTCCATCCCCAGCCCAGATCTTCGCATCTTTGCTTCCTTTGCATCTTCGAGGTACGCTTAAAGGCCTACCCTCTAGAAAAGCCTGTTCTGCAACTACATTAGCTTAAGTACCCACCATTACATCTGTCACATTATCCTGCATTCTCTGCTCCCTGGCAGTGATCACTACTTATTATTAAGTAGGAATAACTTAATAATAATCATGAAATTATTATTTGCCTATGAATTTGTTATCCATCTTTCCCTACCAGATATACAGATGGTCCTCAACTTTCCATAGGGTTATGTCCTGATAAACCCACCCTAAATTGAAAATAGCAGTCGAAAATGGCATTTTGTAGACATGATAGGATTCAAAAACACAAAACACAATATCCCCAAAATGCTGGTGACACAGTCCACTGTATAGTATCAGCTGTTTAGCCTCTTGATTGCATGGCTGACTGGGAGCTCTGGCTCCCAGCCATTGCCTGGCATCGCAAGAAAGTAACATATCAGACATCAACTAACCCAAGAAAAGATAAAAAATTCAACATTAGAAGTATGGTTTCCATTGAATGTGCATTGCTTTCACACCATCGTAAAGTCAAAAAATCTTAAGTCAAACTGTAGTAAGCTGGGGAGTGTCTGTAAGGATGTGTGTGTGTGTGTGTACACATATGTGTATATATAGATAGCTTATTGGACCTACTGGTATGAAATGCACACACACATGTTGGATTTATATTTTTGTTGTGAAAGCAATGGATGGCCATGTGACCAAAGTCTTGGATGACTTGTCCTGGGTTTCTCTGCCTTTCTCGTTTCCGTGTGCCTGAGGGAGATAGAGGAGGAGGTGGGCTGTATGGGAAGAGTGACAGTCCTTGCCACTTTCTGGTTGGTCATTATAAAATATTTCTAGCTTAGTCATATATTTAATTAGGCTTTAAAGGCCAGAGGAGGATTTTTTTCCCGCTTTCTTGCTGAAAGATTTAAGAAAATCTCAAATAAGATGAATGGATAGTTCATTTATAGGATGAACTTAAAAATATGTAAGGAAAATATAGCGAGTTTGCCAGAGGTTTCATTGAATCAGGACCGGTCATTTCTTTTGCTATACTAAAATCTCAAAGTGAACATGTATACACATCTCAAATGTGCTCAAATGCACGGAAGCATGACAGGAGGAAGATACACCGTGTTGTTAACAATGACCTTTTCTGAATGGTAAATTTCTGGGTGTTTTTCTTATTTACTCTTCATAGTTTTTGTGTTTTTATGTTTTCCATAGTGACCATGTATTACTTTATGCTAAAAAATTACCAAAAATTTAAAAAAATCTGTAAAAAATTTACAAAAATCAGTGTTAAAGAAGGCTAAAGAAGGCTATCTTAAAAAATACATTCCTTAAAAATTGAGAAATAATCATGTACATCTATGAAGACACTCAATTTACCACATAAAAAAATTTTATAAATTGTGACTATAGAACTAGACTAGTCTATGAAATTGATTTAAACCACACAATAGTTTGTAATAATGGAAACTAGAAAACCTATAGTTGTGAGTCATAATGAAATAAGTGGTTAAACCAAAGTAAATACACTTATTTAAATTTTCATTGTGGGTTTAATCAAAACTTTTGTGGGATGGAAAAAGTCATAATTTTGAAGACAACTTTTATTCACAAAGCAAATTTTATGTTTTTTCCTCAGTTGTTCCTTATTTTACCCTATTTTATTCCACAACTAATAAATAGTTCTTAACTGATAGGCATCCAAAGATACCTGTCAAACTGAATGTGAATCTATATTGGAACTTGAAAATACACATGTGATACTCAAAAAGTCCTTTTGAATTTCTGACAATCTTCCATGTACATTATAATATGCCTTCTGGACTAAACATGCCAAGCTGCGGCATGCCCAGCACAGCTGCAAACTCATGTATCTCTAATTAAGTTAACAAGCAGAAGACTTGAAAATAACATCTCTTTATTTTGAGTTAGGGAACAGAATACCCAAACTGGTGGACTTCCAACCCCATGATTCTCCTTCTAGCCATTAAAAGAATCCAAAGCCAAGCTTGTGATTTGTAAAATATACACTAAGTAGAGTGAGAATACCTCTTGGGAGTTCCCACCCTCTTGGGAGTTCACTGATGCTTCTGATCACAGGAAGGCCAGTTCACAAGGGACTGTGGAATATGCTTCCAGTGACATCATCAAACTTCTACAGTGTGAAGATTGTGATGGTACCATTATGGGATGATCTCTAGCCAGTTATCTCAACATGCTGGGTCTCAGTGCTCAGTGTACTCTGATTGACATGGGGCCAGCTCGGCGAATTTCACAGGGCAGTTGTGAGCAGTACTGAGATCATGGACATGAAAGGGCCTCAGAAATCATAGATCTCTCTAAATATGGAGCATGACACTGAGGCTTCACATGGCAGCAACTATTGCAATCTATTTCTGCCTATGTGCCTTCAATGATAACTGTTTTACCTTCATTGGTTTTTAAACTAATAATCTTAAATCACTTTCCATTTTTTATGGGCAACTGAATGGCTAGTAAATCAGAAATGAATTTGACCTGTTATTGGACTATAAGAAACAAAATTGGGCTAAAAAAGATTTCAGAAAGCAATACCCGTTGATCTGTTATGTATTCAATACAATAGTTTCATTTTGAGTCCCTACTGTGTGCCGGGCAGCACCCTTTGCCCTGGCAGGCAGTTTCTCATAACGTTTCCATTTTAAACACAAGGACACACAGGAAACAAGGCTTTTGGACGGAGGAAGGCAGATGATTTACCTGGAACTGAACCTGGATATGGCTGGGGTGGGCCTCACTGTGTCCTGAATCCTGGAACTGGACCTGCATGTGGCTGGGGTGGGCCTCGCTGAGTCCTGAGTCCTGGAACTGGACCTGTGTGTGGCTGGGGTGGGCCTCACTGAATCCTGAGTCCTGGAACTGGACCTGGATGTGGCTCGGGTGGGCCTCACTGTGTCCTGAATCCTGGAACTGGACCTGCATGTGGCTGGGGTGGGCCTCGCTGAGTTCTGAGTCCTGGAACTGTATCTGTGTGTGGCTGGGGTGGGCCTTGCTGAGTCCTGACTCCTGAGCAGGGGACATTGGAGAAAGGACAGGATGCTGGCTTCGATTCAAAATCCCTCTGTGTGAGAGGATAGATAGCAGTGAGCGTGCTGGGCCTGGCTTTCCTTCCTAGACAGAGGGTGAGTAAACGCCTCCTCTCGGGCCAGCATTCTACTTGTCTAATCTCTGCGCTGAGACTTTTGCTTACTCATGTTCAGGGGCTCTCTCTTTACACACAGGCATACTTTTGAACTGAATAATACCACTTCCCCTCCAAAAGTCTGTGGGCCAGGCCGGTGCTTGCACTCTGTGCCTCCACTGTGTCCAGGGCATCTGCCTTGCTGCTTCAGGGCCGTGTGGCTCCTCCAGTGGCGCCTCAGACCTGCCAGAGAAGGGCAGTGCAGAGCCAGGGCGGCAGGAGCCCCAGCAGAGCTGGCCTCTCCCTTCCTGGCTCGCTGGGGAGCCGACAGCACCACAGAACCCGGGGTGGGACAGAATGGGGCAGTGTGGACGTGGGGATGACGGAGATTGCATGATTATCACCAAAGGTGAGCTCAGAGACATCTGGTAGAAGGTAGGGGGAGATACAGAATTCCTAAATGGGGTTGGCATCAAAGATCACTGCTGGAAAATCGGCTTCAAAACCCGGCCAGCTGACTTCAGGAAGCCAGCTCTTTGTTCAAAGTCAAGACTGCCCTGTGCTACCTCCCTTCCCCTCTGACTTCACGTCCCTCTTTGTTACTGGAGAGCTGGTGAGCACCAGGCAGTAGAAAGGTGCCAAGGGCTGCTGGGGGCTGCAGACTGCACAGCCCAGCCCAGCCTCCACCACCCCAGCAGGCTCACTGGGCAGCTCACTCTTTCTTCCTCAGCTTTGCATGAGACAGCTCAGTGCTGCCTGCCAGGGTGCAACTCTTCTCTTCCTAGACAGGCCCTCACAACCGAAGGCACCCTAGCAAGGTGATGTGCAGGTAAAGACAGGCAGGGCTGCCGGGAGTTCACCTCGCTGGGCGCTGTCTCACCCAGTCCACACACCTTTTCTCCTCTATCTTCTATTCAGTTCAGGCCCGTGACTCACTCCTTGATGACAAAGGCTGAGTAATATTTCCCATATGAAGCTGTTTATTTGCTGGTTGAGCTGTCGCCCTAGAAGTCATGTGAATACCAAGCATGGCTGAGAAGCTCCGTGGCCAGATGGAGTCAGCCACAGAGGTTGCATGATGACCCTTTGGCCAGGCTCACTCCACCCTGCTCTGAGATGCACACCAGGCACCAAAGTTGCTTGTTCTTTTGTTCATTAATTCAACTACAACATATCTAGTAAAGTAGCGCGAAGGTAGCTGCTAAGGATGAATCAGAAGTACTCACTGCCCTGAAGGAATATGTGAGTCCTTTGGGGAGGCAACTTTACACATGAAACAGTCACAGGACATCTCAGAGCCATGCAGTGTAGAGGTGTGCTAAAGGAACACACGTCAGAAAGAGAAGTCAGTCAGCTCGAGAACTGGGACGAAAGCACCAATATTCCTCATTACCAAGCAAATGAAAACATAATACTTCACATTCAGATTAGAAGACTACCTTGCCTACAAGTGCCAAGTGTTGGGCTTGGTGACTTCACCATACGTAAAATACATAGTCCCACCATTTACCACTAAAAATAAAGTTTCTTCCATTTCTTTTTTTTATGCCTTCCCATCCTCTGGATTCGAATTGGGGGATACAAGTTATTATCCTTCCTGGTTTGTTCATAGTTATCTGTAAGAAACACATCTTCATTCATTCTTCTTATAGTCAAAAATCCTGAAACAGATATGTAATTTGCAAGGAAATAAAAGATCTCTGACTCAAAAATTGGGATTGGAAATTCTTTTTGCAAATGTTTATCTGCAGAGAGATTTTGTTTGGCTTCCGTGGGGTGGTGCATATCCACCCCTAGCCCAAGATGGTTTAAATGTTCTTTTAAAATTTTTCTTCAATTTTTACCCATGTTTTTTAAAAAATCAATCTCTACTGCAGAATTGCGATTTAAAGCCATCTCTATAAACATACACACATTTACATTGGTTTACCCATGAACATTAGGAAAAAAGCATAAAAGCCCCTCTTTCAAAAAAAAAAAGACAACCAAAAATCGAAAGAAAAGAGCAATCACAAAGACACCAGGAGCAGGTCAGTGCACCAGTGTGCTTCTTTTTTTTTTTTTTTTTTCTGAAAGCAAAGATGCTCCCTGCGCTTGTCCCTTTGACCTCTGCAGCACTGGGCCACAGAATGGCCACGTCTAGCTGCTCCACTGTTCCATGACAGCTGTTAGCCTGGGAGGCTGTGCTGTGTGAATGTCTCTGAATGCTGACAGCGCAAGGGGTCAGCAGCAGGGACCTCAGAGCATGCTGGACACCCCAGGGCCTCTGGACTTTTCCCCCGAGGGTCAAACATGCAACTCTCAGTACTGACAGGAGCAGGACAGCCAGTGAATTGAATTGCTGGGGGGCAGAGGGCGCTCAGTGCCTTTGGGGTAGCTTGGGGAGAAGCAGCTTCGAGAGGGAGTGTCCGAGGGGCCCAAGCCGCCCCGCCTGTGGTTTCTAAGCCGACCCTAAGGTCTAAGCTCGCATGGTGCTGCTTCAGGCTGGAGGTGTTCCCTGAGTCGTCGTCATCTTGTCCTCTTTACTGCGGGGAACAGATGAGAAGCAGTAAAAGGAAGAAAAATAACCTTCCTAAAAGATTACTGACTCAATTTTACCAATGAGCAGTCCACTGCTTGCTTTTTTCAAGTTATAGAAACATGTCATGTTGTCAGCAGAACGATGCAGCCAGTAGTTTATGTTCATGTCATAAAGTGTTTGAAGAGTGAAAAAAAAAAAAAGAAGGTGGAAAGCCAGCCTCTGCCGGCAGTTTAGTCGACAGAACCACAGGCAGCTGCACTGTTACTGGCACATGTCAGTGGGCACTGGGCTCAGTGGAGTCCATGGTTTGGAATCCTGGTGCCACCCCTATGAAGGCAACATCTTAATCATGTTGGGTCTGTTTTCTTCATTTGTAAAACAAGGACTCATGTACCTGTGACTCCTGGGAGGGAAGTGAGAGGGGAGAGTCCCTGGTCAAAGCACCTGGCCCCTTAGTCAGACTTGAGTCTGAGTGAGACTAGAGGGGTTGCACAGGAGGAATCCCGTCCCTTTCTCTAAGCACTCAGAGGTTGCCGGCCTGCCCTCCTGCTCACATGTTGTGATGACCTCACCATGGAGCGGGGAAGCTGGTGCTGACCGCAGCTGACCAGCCCGCCTGGACACAGGGATGCGTCTGCGGCTTGAAAGGAAGGCAGCTGGCCTTGTGTCTAGCAGGGATCCTGTGCGGGGCACATACAGCTGAGAATTCCCTTCAGGGAACCCAGCATGCTCTCAGAACAGTCTCCACCCCTGTTCTTTTTCATTTAGAAAAGGGCCTCGCCTGACCCTCTGTGATGGTTTTGTAAGCGTGGTTGGATTTGTGTGCTCTGAGTGTGTGTGGGTTTTCATTTAACGCTTGTTTTAAAATGAGCCCTCTTCTCACTTCCTACTCAACTGAAATCCTCCTTTTAAGTTTCATTTTAAAGTGGGTGAAGGGATGTAGCAGTGTGAAGACAGACCTTGTCCCGGGGGCGGGCGTGAAGCTTTCCCTTTCCCTGGCTACCCTGTAATCCCAAACTCATTCCTGGGGTCGTTGACAAGGAAAAACTGACTCAAAAATCACTAACAACTACCAAGTTAACTCAGGAGAAGCCCCAGCCAAGTTTCTGCCATAGAAGAATCTTAATTTTGGCTCAGGACATTCTTGCAATAGGGCCGCACTCCTGTTTCTAGAATATATTATCCCTTCCATGAGGAGAGCTGCTAATTAACAGACCAGTTCCTGCACGTAGGCACTTGACATTAGATGGCTCCCCTGCCTGAAAAAATGAGTGAGTCGGGAGTGCTATCCTGAGCTGGCTCTTTACTGCCCCAGGCCTGAATCTAGTGAAGCATGAGCCTGAAGCAGCGCTTGCCATGTCTCAGAGAAGGGCTCAGTAAACCTCCTCTGAATACAGCCAGAGAGTAAATGTTTTCAGCTTCACCCATCATATGGTCCCTGTCCCAATTATTCAACTCTGCTGGGATAGTGTGAACGCAGCCACAGACTGTAAGCAAATACATATAGTCATGCTCCAATAAAACTTTATTTGCAAAAACAGGTGGCAGGCTAGGCGTGACCCACAGGTTGTGCTTTGCCAGCCCCTGTTTTAGGGAAAGGCCTAGCAGGAGGTCAGGAAGTATGTGATGAGGAGCCCTTTCATCCTATACTTTCTAGAAGACAGACCTGGTTGGAGTGATTCATTTTCCCCCAAGGCCAAACTCCAAAAGGATTTTCTTAGTGCTAAGCTCTTCCTATTTCATCATCAGCTAAATAAAGGAATTGAAGTAAGATACAAGGTCCTGAAACCGGAGAGGGAAATGCAGGGGCTGGGGATTGTTATTTGTGTGTGTTTGTGTGCAGGGCAGTGTTGCAGCTCCGTGCTGGGCACAATTTACTTCTAGATTGGGATACTCACTCCCTACCCTCACCACTCCCACCCAGGGCCCCTGCCTTCCCATACTCTACCAAATGGTTGTCCACTCCTCCTGGACCATTCTGAGTGACTAGGAGTGTGTGAAGAAGCAGTCTACTCTTGTTATTGACAACCCTATCACATAATTGTTCCTTATGTTAAGCTGAAACCAGTCCCTTGATAATTTTGTTTGACTTAACACAGATGCAACGTATTGCTTCTCTACCTTACAGCCCTGCAGATATTTTAAGACAATAATTGTTTCTCATCACGTTTCTCACCCCAGTGCTTTCCTGCAGATTCCCCGCCTCCACAGCCCTCCTGGGAATTCCACGTGTGTGGCCTCTCCACACAACTACATCCTCTGCAAAGGCCTCCCCAGCTAGATCTGCTTCTTGGCTTCTGTAGTCCCCACGGCTTTCTCTCATGTATGAGCACTCACTCACACTTGAGTGCTGAAAGCATTCTATTATTTCACAGCACATTTTGTCCTTTAAAGAGATAACATGTCATCTGAGAACAGCACAAACATTTTGTTTTCTTTAGCTTATTATTTTGAAAAATTAGCAAGCAATAAAAAGATAAATAAAAATTGTTGAATTACTGGAATGCATGCATGAACATCATATATAAGTTTTCAACAGATGTGATTCCCTTTTCTGTACAGTGTAATAATGAATATGGCAGTTGAGTAATGAAAATGGAATCTGTATTCCATCTATTAATAGTAGGCCTGACGGTAAATTGCTCTCAAGTTTGGATGAGGAAGTATTTTTCCTTGCTTTGGTCTCCCCTAGGTTTTAGTTTCCTATCACATCCTACTAGCTTAATAGAATTATATTTGCTATTGACTACAGATATAGAATCTTGTAGAAAACCCATTTTCTGATTGAATATATTTGAGATCTAACTAGAGTGATATTTTCCAAAAACATGGAGTCTTCTAGAATACTAGACAAGAAAAGATATCATTGCCATGCTTTGCTTCATTATTAATTACTATGCAAGGGAATACACACAAATAACTTGCAGGGGTGAGTCACAGAACACACGTCGTATATTCTTTAAAAAATTCCTACTTTCAACTTTTCTCTTAGGTTTTCTTTTGCTTTTTGAAAATGTTTTGTGATTCTCTTCTTTCATTAAACTTTTTAAAATAGCTTTCATATTTAAGGGCAAACTTTCTTAAATAGCTTTCATATTTAAGGGCAATGACTAAGGTGAAGCTGCTCCGCCATGACAGTAATTTTAGACCAAAGAATATTTCAGTGGATTTCTTTAACTCTCAGTAATAAACTATTTGAATTTCTCCTCCTTGGGGACAATTAGAAATGAACCGCAAAGGGACACATCAGCTGCTTTGATCAGCAGAAGTGTCTTTCAAATGCAGGCATCGTTCGGTGGTCTAGGAGACTCGTGGTAATGAAGCAAGAAGAGGAGTGGAGCAGCAGGGCTGGGGCCAAGTCCCTGGGTCTAGAAAGCCACTATGAATGAACGCTGCTTGCACCCATTATAGGTCTAAGCACCAATCCAGGCTCAACCGCTCACTCCAGGAGGATGGGAAGCCTTTGTTTTGGTTCCTGTGCCAACTCTGGCTTCTCTGGCTGCCCCATTCAATCTGACAGAACATGTTGACGGAGATAAGGTTATTACTGGCTCCCGCAAGGCCCTACCATGTGAGGTGGTTTCCAGTGGCCTTTCCCGGGGCTGAGAGCGGGGCCTGGTGAAATGGACATATTATAAGAAGTCTGCAATCTGTAATCTGAAGCAAGCTTTTGTTTTTCTTTTTAAGTTGACTGCCTGGTTATTGAGGCCAGTAACCAGAGAAGGGAAAAACTGGAAGTGTGTACTTTGTGTCTCAACTGAATTCATCCTGAAGTTGTTTATTCTGGCCCACTGTCAAGTCTTTATAAGGGGGGTGTTGGCGGCAGAAAGGATTGGTCCTAATGGCTATATGAGTGCCTTCTACTCAGCTAATTTCTATGCTGTTGAACAGCCATTCAAAGCGTATTATTTTTCCTTGAAGCCGAGAAAGTTTCTATACAAGCATTCCTTTGAAAGTGCAATTAACTTTTGTAACAATTTGTGCTTTAGTTTAAGAATTGCAGATGTTGTGTGGGTGGTGGGGGGTGAGGGGGTGGGAAGGAGAGGATGAAGGAGTAAGGATATAGATGCCTCCCACTTGGAAAATGTGGTAACACTTCCTTTCGTGGAAAAAGCGCATCAATTTTTAGAATTACTAAAACATTTAGATGGTTGGTGAAACAACTGAGAAGGCCGTGATGTTTGGTTTGGGGGAGGTTGGACTGGATCATCTCCCAGCTTCCTCTCCTTCCTAATGAGACCCAGATCTTTGTGACAGAATTATCTGGAATTGTGATTTTATGCTTGGAAACTGTCCAAAGGTTGGGTAGCAGAGCCCTGCCACTCATCAAAAATGCTAGCTCAATTTGCAAAAGAAATACAAAACCCAAAATGTCACATCACCATTGGGATGTAAGTATTGATGTGCGTGGGTCAGAGGAGCTCTTATTAACTAGATGGTACATTAGTTTTCACTGGGGAATGGTTTTCACCATTAGAAATACACTTGCACTGCCCCCAAGTCTATTCCTTATTATTTAGTGTTAGTTTGAGGTTAAGCGGGGGTGTTTGGTTTCACTGAATGTTTGTGGCTATTTCATACTACGGTATGATCCTTAGTAAACCTTCTACCTCAAAATCCACACTACTTTTTGTATAATGAATATCTCACTCATCCCCTGACAAACAAGATAACATTTATAAAATACTTTATAGTTTGCATTTGCTAATAATCTAGATTTTCTAATTCATGTATATCCAGTACTTAAACTATTAACAGAAATCAACCTAATAAGGAAACTATTGAGATTCAATCCCACTAGAATTAAATCCCTTTTATATGTGTGACTTCTAGGAAAGCAGTTAATCAGAGGCAGTGCAGGAGCATTTCTCTCCCCCTCACTGGTATGTGGGGATGAGGTGTGCAGTGGGGGCACCTGGCATGGTCTTTGAATGCATGGGTCCTGGCTTCACAAGCCTGCGTTTGCACCCAGCTCTGCCAACAGTAGTGGGGTCCCCTTGGGCAAATGACTTCTCTTTACTAGCTTCACTGTCCTTGTCTGTTAAGTGGGAGTAGAAGAATGCCTCCCTCGTGGATTGTTGCAAGGATTAAATTGTTAATATTTGCACAACACCCAGAAGAGCATCTAGGTCATGTAAGTGGTTGCTGTTGTCATCGTCCTTTTAGGATTAGTATGTGCAAAAACGAACAGTCCTGGGACATAGCATTGACTGGAACCAATGCTGTTCCTGCCCTCAGGAAGCTTACCATCCAGTGGGGAGACAGACATTCACTGAATCATCACAACATCACAACTGTGATTATGCCATGGGGATGATCTAAGAGTGCAGAAACCTGACCTGGTCTGAGAGGTTCTGGAGGGGTTCCTTCAGGAAGCAGTTCAGCTGGGCTTCTAAGGACAAGCGGGGCCCCGCCACATGTGGGGAAGAGTTGGGGGCAGGGGACCTTCCTGGCAGGGCAGGAGGAGAGGGACTGTGAAAGGCTGCCTGGCTGAACAGAGCCTAGCAGAGATGAAGCTGAGAGTGTGAGGGGAAGTGGGATGGAGAGGTTCCTGCTGCAAGGCTTGTAAGGACTTTAGATTTCATTTGAAAGGCACTGAGAAGCCACTGACAGATTCAAATGAAGAGGAACATGTGCAGATGTGTGTTTTTAAGAATGCCTCTGCTTTTTGGAGGGGGTCCTAGATGGCATCTGGAAGTGGGCGTGTCTGTGACAGCACAGTGCAAGGGGCCCTGTAGCGCACAGGTGCTCTGGACTTCGCCTGGGTCAATGCCTCATCCTGGCTGTGACGCTGCAAGACGTCTCCGTGGGGAAAGCTGGTACGCTGGATTTATCCGCATCATTTCTTACAGCTAGTATGTGTGAATCTACAATTTTCTCAAAACAGACAGTTTAATTACATAACTTCTTGAGATGTACAAGCTGTAGGGCAGAGCCCTTGCAAAGAAATATCATCCCTAGGTATGTGTTTGCTTTATGGGAGGAGCTGGCACCCCAAAGCTGGAGCACCCAGTGCTGTTGGAAATGAGCCTGGCTTCTGGCAGTGCCCTGGTGACAGGTGACTCTTCTTCTCTAACTGAGATAAATGGAGTTAGCCATAATAGCTTGTAACTTTCAAATACTATGATTTTTTCTTATAATTTTTTAAAGCATGTGGTTTCAATGTTGCATACTCAACTTATGACTAATAATTAGTTTTCTCAATCCCATGTTGCACATTTTAGTATTAAATAATCTCCTTCTCCCAACTTGAAACACAAACACAAAAACAGATCTTACTGCCATGTGGAGAAGGGCCCATTAGGCCTCCAGGGAGTGTGGAGAAACCCCTAGGAGGCGACAGCAGAGCCTGGAGTCCCACCACTGAGAGTGTCATCTGCAGCACAGCAGCGGGGACATCCCCAGGAGCCTGCTGGAAATGCAGCCCGAGGGCATCCCAGATTTGCTGAATCAACATCTGCACTTTATTAAGGTTCCCAGGTGACGCTCATGTATGCTGAACTTTGCAAAACAGTGCACCAGGGAGATGGCAGGGTGAAGGGGCACAATGGACACCCCGACAGGGGTTAAAGAGGGTGAATCGACAAACTTGGGGATGGCTTAGCTACAGAAAGATAGAAGAGAGTGGCATCAAGTAGCTGTTGACATCTCCAGGTCAGAATCGGGAATGTTCGAGTGAGTATGGTAGTAGGAGCACTGGAGGCTCAGGTTTATAGACTGTGAATTTGGTGTGGAGCAAGGCATGTGGGGCAGCCAGCCTGAGATAGTGTCTGGTCTTTCAGCTAGGGCTGTAGAGGAAATCAGGGCACCCAATGGATGATCAGAAGGGAACGGATCCTGACTGTTGTCATCTTGGCTGGAATCAGCCAGTTGAATTGCCCCCGAGGGATCCATCCTTTGGATCAGTTATGCCCCATCTAAACTTGCAGATGATGATAATGCAGATTTCATGAAAATCCTAAGATCCACAACTCTTAGCATAAAGCCCTCTATAGTTTTTCAACCATAAGTTGCAATCAAAGAATATCATACACAGCACCATGATTTTAGAGCTTAAATTTGTAATTTTGAAAATCTGAAAATTTAAGAACTGAGTTAAGCAAGTCTCCAAGCCTTGGCCCAGGCTTATTCATTTTTTATTTTGAATAATTTAGTCAATTTTATGGCCAAAATACCTCTCCAAAAACCTGGTAGAAATTTGAAATATACTCATATCAATAAAACATGTTGGAACAAAGGTTTTAGATTTGATTGAAGTAGTATGGAATGTCATAGGGACATTTTCTGACAATAGCACTGGGAAACATATCAAGTCTGAACATTTTAAAACCATGACTGATAGGGAGAAAAGTTTTTCCTATAATTTAAGCTATAGCTTTCTTGTTAATTTCCCTATTTCTTTATGCACTTTCTCTAACTAGACTCTAGAACTACACGCATACATTAATACACACACATACACCAAGCACACATGTACATTCACACTTTTATGTGCATACACACATACTTGCAAACAGATGCATAAAACACACATACATGTACACAATACATGCCCACACACGTATACACACTTACTTGCACACACATGCACACACACACACATCCATTTACACACGTGCATGCATGCACATACGGGCACATTCACATGCACACACACACAGAGATTTAATTCTAGTTTGAGTTAAGAAAAACCTGCTGCTCTAGTCTTTTATTACTCTCCCCTCCTGCTTGATTCCTCTAGGTTTCTTCTCTTCTAGGCTTTCCCCCTCATAAACTGCCACTGGGATTTGAATTGACATTCATATCCATGAGATATTGTAGCTCTAGACCTCCTCTTGCAAAGCCTCATGCAATAAGGCATATGATAAATGTGAGATGGAGACCCTCAAGCTGCTGCCAGCAATTGCTTATGTGCACCAGTAGACTCTGAAGATATTTCACAAGGAGGTACACTTAGCTATGAAGAAATGCATTTCCTACAGATGCTACACCAAAAAGGAAGACCAGAAAGGAGAAAAATATATCCTTTCTGGGATATATAATCTGAAAGAGATATGCAGTATTTTTAGTTAAGTTTTCTTTATATTTGTTTGTAAAAGGAATGATATATCAATTACTCTAAGCAAATAAAATTTGCAAATTAATTTCTTAATTGATTGCACAGATATTTGTTTCAAAGAATGACTCTTTAATCACCTGGCTTTGACCGCAATATCACCACAATACCTTGAGTTAATCTGAAACGTACTATGTTGTACCAGGAAAGGTCTGTAATCACATATCACATTTTCTTCCCCCAGACGTGATATTTAATACACAACCTGATAAAATAAAGGTAATTAGGTAGATGATTTTCAATATCTTCTATAGCAAGCCTGTAGACAAAAAAAGAATTCCTGACCTAGTCTTGTTGATTTTTTCTTACTACAAACTAGCCTGGTCATCCTTCTAAAATATCCCACCATGTGAATTATTTTGATGAGATCTTTGCATTGAAGGTTGCACTGTGCTAGTGTGAACCATTAATTAATCAATTCATCAATTAATCAGCTATATACTGAATACAAGACACTGCACGCTGGCCCCAGCACTGAGGGAACTCAGTTGAATGGCAGAAAAGCAAGTCAGCCACTACCCCACATTGTGACAGATGCTGTTGTGGCAATACTCATGAGACATGCTGGAAAAGAAGTTGAGGCAGCTGCTGATTTTCAGCTAAGAGAGGATGAGGGACACCTCATCAGACTGAACAACTAAGGAAAGTGTCCCAGAGGATCTGATGCTTGAGCTGTCCTGTGATGGATGGCTTGGAGGTAGGCAGAGGAGAAAAGGGGAGAAAGGGCAAAGGGAACAGAGAGTGAGAAGGCACAGAGAGGGGAGGCAGCAGGAGGAGTCAGCACATCTGTGAGAGAGTGAAGATCCCATGCAGGTTGGAACGGCTGCTGCCAAAAGTGAGCGGAGCTCAGAAGGGCAGAAATGCGCAGCCATGGCTGCCTCTTGAGGGCGAGGGTAGGAGGCTGTGCATTTCTTCAGCAGCACACAGCGTGGCTGTGCGGTTCCCCCCACTGCCACCAGCAGCCCATTGAGGACACATGCTGCACTGGCCCAGGCATGGACTTTGCAGGTTGGGCAGTAAGAGGGGAGTGAGGGAACACTAACGATGTGAGGCTGTGTCATGCAGACTGGACAAAAAGAGGGAGTGAGACCAGATGGGAGCTGCCAGGTGAAAAATCACGTTACCAAAGGCCAAGGTCGACGGAGGACTAGAGTGCTCCATGAGCAAGGCTGAGAGTGCTGGGAAGACAGCAGGCCAGAGAGAAATGTGGCCCGAAGACTGGAGAGGTAGAGCCTTCCCAGTTATGGTGGGGTCACAGAGGCTCCTAGAGAGCAGATCTCTTCAGTGAATTGACTTGTTGCACAAAGATTATCTAAATAAATTGTTATCATTTCCTTCCAGAAGTGGGCTCAGGTCTCCCCTCCAAGTCTTTTTGGATAGTGAAGAATCAGTAAAGAGCCCCTAATGCGGATTAAAGAGAGATGCCCAGATCCACTGGACTGAACTGGGCAGCAGGGAACTGCCTTTGAAGAACAGGCCCCACATGGGACAGCTTCATTCCCAGTCAAGGTCACTGTCGCACAGAGGCCATATATATTTGTTAAATGACTGAATTACTTATGGTACAAACTTGACTGCATCACTTAAATGCTTTTCGATTCTAGTAAGAGGAAGTTCTTCTAATATTAACTTCGATTTAGTGGAAGTTACCCAAGAAAGCTCAGTAATCCAAAATAGAAGACAAAGTCACCATTATGTGATAGAGTGTTGTATGTCTAGGGGTCTGTTTTTTATGGTAATTCTCTGAACCAGGAGTTCCAATGGAGAGAACAAAACTATAGTGGTGGTGGCTGGGCAGAAGGCTGACAGGGAGACAGAGCAGAAGACAGCACAGTCACGCTGCTGGCTACTAGGACAAATGACAGCTCTCGAAGGGCAGTACCTCACATTCCTCTCATCACAGAAAATGAGAAGGTGTGTAGGACATTCTTCTAATGGCTGAGCTGTTACCTAAGAAGGGTAACACACAATGCCACTGAAACGCCATATGATATCTGCCAGAGGCACGGGGCTCCCATTGACTCCTCCTCTGTTGAAATGGATTCTGAAAGAGCAGCAGCAATGAGAGAAGAGAGCCGCCTTTTCCTGGGAATGTCTGCCAAAAAATGTTTACCTTCTCTTCCATATCAGAGTTTTATCCCTCAATCTATGTATGGTTGTAAGCAGCTAAGCATTCAGAAGTTTGGATTGTATGGGCTTTCTGAAGAGGACAGTGTGAGGAGCTCTTGTTTTCATGCTAAATTGGAGACTTCATCCCTGCACAGTATGACACACTTCCCTGTGTTGTAAGACTTGGATTTAGTTCATGGAATCTTCCAGGCTTTCAAAACAGATGACCTCTCACTAGAAGATCCACTTATCTCTTTCCCCTTGGCCCTGTAAACCAGCCCAGCAAAGTCCCAACTTGCAACAAACAGGCAATTCACTCTACCGGAAAACAGTTATCTAATCTCTCAAAAATGACACCTGGCCAGTTTCTAACCGTAATGCCTTTGGACTCATTTCCATCAAATGTCTTCCTATAAGCAATGTTAACAATGTCTTTATAACTGTAGGTGCTGTAACCAGTGGAGAATACAATTAAAAATAGGAATATGCAGCCCGATGAATGCCCTCCACTCCAAACCAGTGTTATGAGATGTGTCAACAACGTTCCCAGGAGAGCTAATCTGTTCACCATTCAGCAAGTGCTCACTGAGCCCCGGATGTGTGCCAGGCCCTGTGTGTGCTGTGGAGATACCAACAGTCTCCGCCCGGATGGAGCTGACAGTCTAGGAAGGGGGATAGATGTTAAATACTCTGGTGAATATTTCTCCCACCACCACCCATTGGCTGATTTAAAAGGAAAATGGGGGATGCTTTGCAGATGGTTCATTTCCATGTAAACGTCCTTGTGGTTGTAATACATTGCTTTCTCTACTAACAAGAGTTAACTTTCAAATGAAAAAATGGAGTGATTATTTGTCAAACCAAAGTGCTTTCTTCATTATTAATAAAGTTGCTCAACATCCCTTTAGTAAGTGAAGTTATTCACACAGGGTACCAGGAAGTGGAGATAGTCACATATTAGCCCTCTTGGGCCCTCCACGTGTAGGCAGATGAACAGGAACCACGAGGGTGGGTGGCGTCCCCCAACACTGGAGAGCAGGCTGTGTAGAGTGCTCTTGGTCATCCTGTCTGCAGTCCTCCTGCCAGGGAGGGCAGCACCTGATCACAGAGAGACACAGCGATGCAACAGAAACACTGAAAAAGAGTAGCTTGTCCTGGCCCACGTCAGCGGCCTCGGGTCCATCCAGGTTTGCAAAAAACAGGAAGGTTTTCACTTGTATCTGGCTACCCAGTCAGCATACTGGCCTCAGCACTATTTGTATGTCAGGAACTCATGAGACCAGTACTTCTCAAACTCTCATGGACATAGGAGTTACCCAGGACTTTGCAAAAATGCAGATTCTGAGATTTTGGAGGACCTGGCCAACTGCATCTCTAACACACTCCAGGGATGGTTGTGCCCATGGCCCTGGGGAGGTGAAACAGATTTGGGGCAGTGGTCACCTGCTGCAACAGAATGTGTCCTCCAATAGAAGGACCTTTCAAGACACTGATAAGGATGGGTCAAGAGGAGAGGTGAACCAGGGCAGGGTGGGTTCACGCAGCCCAGGAAGACAAAAGCATAGGACCGTATTGTCAAATGCAGAGGGGCCAGGCCACGCCAGAGCGAGGGGAATCCCACAGATGTAGCTACAAAGGGATCCTTGGGATACCTTTTTTTGAACATTTCCTAGATCAGTTTCAGTAGAGTGGCTAAACAGAGATATTACATTCTGAACAAATTCAGGCTTTAAACAGGAGAAGATACACAGTGAGACTCTCTTCCCACAGCATTTGCTAGGGTAACACCAACTCCAATTATGCTGAAATTCTAGTTTCCAAATAGTTGATGGTTGTTGGGGATGTACAGCATCAGAGCCAACATTATCCCCTATATGTTTCTGGAACCACTCGGAAGATTGTGTTGGTTTCAGGCTCTATGTCATGGCTTATTGTCTTAAACCAGGAGAGTCTGACATCCAGTTCCAAGGCTGTAATCTCTCTCTGTTACACCTCATGGGAAAAGGGTTTGTAGGTCATGATAGACACTGTGTATGGAGAAATAGGTACTCAATTCATTAGGAGGGCACTCTCTCAAAAGGCCTGTAGTTATTGATCAAAAATTAATTTTATAGCTTTCACATTCTTCTCAGATCAGATGTATTAGAAAATTAAGGTCTTGATGATGCCTTCCTCTTCTTGCCAGGATAAATTGAATGGCACTTGAACTGTAAAATGAGCAGGGGAAAGAGCAGAGTTTTAGGCTTACTTGGTCCATTGTTCACTTCTATTCTTTTCTCCTTGACTTTGGAGGAAAGGTAGGATTTGTTAATAAAAATGTTTTTAAAATTTATTTTTAAAGTTAAACTAGCTTTCTAGTATGAGTTTTTTAAGTAAAATAACCAATTTTCCCACGAGTTTGCTACTGAGAAAACACTGAATGGGAAGATTTGGGGGAGCATTTCAGGCTGATGGGCTGACTTCTTATGTGTCACTTCACCCCTCCCTGTGCAGTCCTGGTTCCCGCCCGCCCTGGGACACTTCTCTGTGGATCTGTGAGATCACAGCTCCTTTGTCGGCCCCTGGAGCTGTCACCCATGGCTCTGAATGACTTAGTGACTTGTCATGTGCCAGTGGACATGACATTTCTGGAGGGCAGAAATGGTGTCTATCCAGCTAGCCACAGCCAGTGCCCAGTGGTGGCCTGACACATAGTGGACAGTTGACACGTGTTTGTTGAATGACTACCCCAAAGGTGGCAACCTTCCACACAGCCGGGGAGTGGGGGAGAAATGTGTTCAGAGGCTGGTCCACCTGCTTCTACCACTCTGGTCTTTGGGATGGTGCCTTCAGGTACCTACTGAGCCTATCTTACTCTAGTAATCTTTTAAAGTATTTGAGATTACCAGTGCTTCTCAAACTCCAATGGACATAGGAATTACCCAGGACTTTGCTAAAATGCAGATTCTGAGATTCTAGGAGGGCCTGACCATCTGCATCTCCAACATGCCTCAGGTGATGGTTGTGCCCGTGGTCCTGGAGAGGTGACATAGATTCAGAGCAGTGGTCACCTATTGCAACAGACTGTGTCCTCCAACAGGAGGTCCCCATTAATTTCAGAAGCACTGGCAAAATGCTCAAAAGGGTAATCTCCATCTAAGCATTTTATGAATAAAGGATTCATTAATGAAAAATTAACTTGTGCTGGGCACTTTAAAAACCACTAAAATGTCAAAGTGTAATTGTAACGCAATTCTAATTTATAGACACGCCGAGTCTGAGTGGTGTCAGGCCCTACTCTGGTCTGGATTCCCTTCCTTCTCCTTTTCTGGGGGCCCAGTTCTGCACAGGTGCATGTCTCAAACTAACTCCAGTCTTCCCAGCATCAGCACTGAAGTTCTAATTGCAAATTTTCAGTGTTTTGGCCTAGGAAATCTAGCCTTTTCAAACTTCTGAAGCCTCAAATATACACTTTACCAATGCTTTTCCGCAGCCCTGACTGTGTCATTCACCATGACTGCAGAATCACATACACATATGCAAACCCTCGGGAGACTTGGTCTTCCTTGCTCCTTCGTTGAGGGCACTCTGCACAGGGTCTATGGCGCAGAAGGGAATACCGCCTAGGACTTGATCGCAGCAGTATGCCCTGGTGGCTGCTTTGGGATTATTTTTTATAACAGAGATCTATTAAAGGGCCATGTTCCCTGGAGGAGTTCTCCCATCATTCCAGGTGGTTTCCTCCAGGGTTGCCCCAGCTCTGCTAGTATCAAATATCCTCCTAGGGCAGCAACCATGGCCAAGAGCCGTTCCTCTTTGACAAGCTGCCTCGTTTTCTGCAGCTTACCTATAACATGCTAATTGAATGTGGGAGTTACAGAGTGTGGGTCCCCCCCACCCCGGGAAATGCCCCTCCTTGTAGACTGCTATGTCTTTCATTGGGTACCATTATTTCTCATCTTTTCTTGCCTGCATTCAACAAACTTTTACCGATCTAAAAAGGTGGCAAGACAACTTTTACCCACATCTCTATTCCACTTTATAAACTATTTGAATAAAAAGATTAAATATATTTCCCTTCAAATTTGCTGAATAGTTAAGTAATTGATATGGAAGATGTATGTGGCAATCTTTGGGGGTTTACTGTGAGCAATTAGGAGATGTTTTCTACTGCTGGTGGTGTATAATTTGCTATAACTGCGCTGGAAAATGTTTTGGCAATATCTTTCAAAGCTACTAAAGCGACCAGTACCCTCTGACCCAGCAACGCCACTCTGAGGTACCCAACAGAAATGCAAACAAAAGTTCACCAGGGACACGTGGGACAATATTCATAAACTTGTAACTGCAAGAAAAGAGAAAGAACCCATATGTCCATTGGCGGTAGAATGGACGAACGCAGTGTGGTATTCTCCTATGATGGAACTGCCCAGTTATGGAATGCAAGAAATACAATTTTGCAGCACAGCATGGAAAAATATCAACACATAATGTTGAGTGAAAGAACCTGACCCAAAGGAGTACCTACTGGAGGATTCTATGTAAGCAAAATTCAACAGCAGGCAAAGCTGGCCCATCGTGCTGGCCTTAGGATGGTGGTAGCCCTGTCCCAGGAGGCAGCACGGGGTGCTTCTAGGGTGCTGGTATGGTCAGCTGTCCTGATCTGGGTGCCACTTACAAAGGGCTAATTGGTTTGTGATATTGGCCAAATTACACACCTTTGACTTGTGTGTGTGTGTGTGTGTGTATGTGTTTTTTTTGAATTTAGTTATACTTGAAAGTTTACTTGAAACATTTCTAGAAGGCTGCTCCCTCTGAGCAAAGCTGCCTGGGCAGCATCGAATTCCCAGTCAGGAACTCATGTTTTTAGAAGGGAGTTGTGGTGAGGCTCTTAGGAGTACATAAATGAGAGGTGCAAAAAGTGGGGTGCTTGGTGCAACTGGATTTCTTGTGGACAGCGGCCAGGGGTGGGATGTGCGCATTGCGTGGGCACAGGAATCTCAATAGCTGGCCCCAGAGCAGAAGCAGAGAAGGTGTGAAGGCCTGGACTCTTCTGAGCTTGAGGTCAGGGGATCTACTTGCACATTAGAGTTATTTAAATGAGGAAAATGCATGCCCTTTTTGAATCGATGTTGTCAAGCCTTTCTTTTCCTAGGAGAATCTTTCGATTCCCAGCATGGGGAAAGCATGTTTTCAGGTATTAAAATGAGTAAGGTTGTAACAGTTACCATGAATCCACATGTTGTGCCCCATTCTAAATCAAGTATGATGATAACAAACACTGTAACCCGTGCCTAGGAACACTTGTTTCAAACTTCAGACCCCTCTCCAGTTACATGGGAAGCATGGCTGTGGGCATGCATCTCTCTCCGCATAATCTGCGGTCGCTTAAAACTTAAAGTTATGGCAAACCATGTTGTCCTGATGATTATAGTTTCCTGATGTCACTCCCCATTCCAGTTCTGCAATCCCAGGGACATCCAGTCCAACTACCCAGCAAAGACACCTGCCTGCTACTGTATGACGGCATTGGCTGAGTTTGAGGAGGGCACACAGGAAGCTCCAGGTGCTATCTACAGCCTCTGCATAGGTAAGTCACTGGGTCCTGAGAGCAGACCGGGATATTTGCAGGGAGCTCATGGATGGGAATGTGAAGCTGAAATTTCACTATACCTTCAGGAAGGCTTCCAGGAACCCCTTGAGATTCAGAGAACTGCGAGTTACTCTCCCTTACTGCCATTGATTATAAAATCTATTTTTAAGAGAAGGAATAGCTAAAATCTTAGATGATAATAAATATAACTTCTTAAATCCAGTAGAGGACAATAAATATATGTTAAAACGAACTCATGAAAATAGCAGCCATTGACTGAATATTTAGTTTGTGTAGGCAATGTGCTTGGCGTTTTTACAATAATCCTGGCAGGTAAAATGAAATGTAAATAAACCTTATTCACAGGACTATAGTGAGGTTAAGAGATCATGCCTGTCTCACTTTTATAAACTATAAACTATGTGAGTGCCTGGCTCACTTTTCTGATACTTTTGTCTGAACAGAGTCTTGGTGATATTTTAACTTATGGTATTTTTTGAAGCCATACTAAATTCTCATGTGAATTTAAAGAATAATATAATGCCTGTAATCCCAGTGCATTGGGAGGCTGAGGCGGGCAGATCATGAGGTCAGGAGATCGAGACCATGGTGAAACCCCGTCTCTACTAAAAATACAAAAAATTAGCCCGGCGCGGTGGCGGGCACCTGTAGTCCCAGCTACTCAGGAGGCTGAGGCAGGAGAATGGTGTGAACCTGGGAGGCGGAGCTTGCAGTGAGCAGAGATCGCACCATTGCACTCCAGCCTGGGTGACAGGGCGAGACTCCATCTCAAAAAAAAAAAAAAAAAAAAGAATAATACAAATACAAGTTGCAGTGTTTCATTATTTCTACACAATGTCCTTCTCTCAAAAGCTGATATTTATACAGGCGGTAACAATATATTTAGAATTTTTTGTAATGCCAGAAAAATAACAAAACATAAACACATTGATTAATACTTTAAGTCCATTGGACATGGATACTATAGGAAAGAATGGATTCCCCAGTCATCTCAAAGCCAAAGGTTCCTTGTTATAAAAAGTTAGAAATACAGATTTTTTTAAAAATAGTATTTTTAAAAAGGTACTAAAAGTCCAATATTAAGAAACTTAAAAATTATTGTATACATAGATATAAAATTGAGTCCTCTAATAATTAAACATCATGTATTTTTAAATGTTTTAATTTATTTATTATTTATTTTAGAAACAGGGTCTCACTGTGTCACCTAGGCTGGAGTGCAATGGTGCAATTATAGCTCACTGCAGCCTTGAACTCCTGGGCTCAAGTGATCCTCCAGCCTCAGCTTCCTGAGTAGCTGGGACTACAGGCATGTGCCACTACACCTGGCTAATTTTTAAGCCTCAAGTGATCCTCCTGCCTTGCCCTCTAAAGTGTTGGGATTATAGGTATGAGCTACTGTGGCCAGTGTAAACATCTTTTAAAATATTAAATGGTATAGGAAATATCTCAGGATATACTGTTAATGAGCAAAAACACACACTAATATATTAATAATCATTGTTCCTAAATGACAAAATTCTGTGAGCCTTTTATTTACTATAACATGCTTTTCTATATTTTTGTAATATTCCAGAGTGCCCATGTCTTACTTTTTACATTGAGGCTGTGAAATGTGAGAACACAGGAAGGAACCTGGTTTTGGCACCTCTGTGGAGCAGTGCTTCCCACCCTGGCCACAAGTTAGAGTCACCTGGCAGCGTCCAAGCCCCTGCCACCATGGCCGTGCCCATCAGAGTGTCGGGTGAGGCCTGGCTTGGCAGCAGCTGCTCAAAGCCCCCAGCAGGCTCCAGGGCTGCTGCAGGAAGGCAGGCACCTACTTTCTAGAGGTCTGTGGGTTTTGGATGGGGCTTGAAACCATATCAAAAACTCCCAGAGCCCAAACACAGCCCTGCTTCTTATCAAATCACCTTGGAATCTCTGTCAAAGCTAAACATTCAGGGATGTTTGTATCAGAATTAAAGTTCTGTGCACTCATAGGGCAAGAGTGTTGAACAAAAACTAGAGTTCTAAGCTATGCTTTTGGATGAAATAGTGAATCTAATTGAGATTGTCAATGATTTTTTTCCTTATCGATCCTCTATTGAAGGAGGTACATTGACAAAACATTGGGAATGTGAAGAGAATGTGGTTTACTTGTCTGTGGGGGGAAAACATCACACTTGTACACATCAAAGATGGAGGAACCAAAACCACCATCCTGCAAACACATGGGAGAGGGGAATTGCTGTCAGGTGTTTTCAACTGTATATTTCACCTGGGAAAAAAAAGAAGGAAATTTCCTGGGTGCCAGGTGATTTGAATAGGACATTTTTGTGGGATTATCGAGGCAATACCATGTTTACTGAAAGCGTACTGTGTAGCAGGCACTCACATAGTCTCACACAGTCAACACGACCATGAGGCAGAGCTGGCAGGCTTGGCAGTGTTGGGTCATTACTAGAATGTTTAGGGAAGGGAGTTGTTTTCATTCACGGAGCTTCCTATTTAACAGAAGGTTAAGGAACAAAACCTCTTTCCAAGGTGACTTTTGAAAAACTTTCTACAACATACAGGAATCGCTGCTCCCCTGGCAGACAGCCTGTCGGTGCCTGTCATCCAGCGTCTGGTACAGACATCTCCTCCTTTTCATTCTCAAAAGTGTCCTTGTGTGGAGGGAAAATGATATGGTCACTCTGAGTCTAAGGGGATAATTTAATCTTCCTTGATGACTATCTCTGGATCGTCAAGATAAGGTTGATTCCCATTATAAAAGACAAAGGCTGGAACCTGGGAATCAGGTGTTGCACTGGCACTTGACTGTAAGGCTGTATGGGATAAAGAAAGGTGCACAGTCCTGGAAGTTGGGGGTCTGGGATTCCAGTCCCTGCTCTACCAATGGCTACCTGTGTGACCTTGGCCGGTTACAGAGCCCTCCGACAGCAATTCCATAGTCTACAAACTCACTGCCTTGGTATCACAGGGCAGAGGGATTCCCATCCAGCGTTTCCTACTTGTGCATTCCCATACTGATCTCCAGAGGCCGGCAGGAAGACCCTTCCTCGCTTCACAGGAGGCTGCTGAGGCTCGGCCAGCCACTCCACAGGGCCTTCTGAGGGGGCAGCCATGGCCCTCGGGCCACACTTCCTGTCTACTGTGAGATCAGCCCCTGGCCACACCAGGCCTGATTCTGAGGCCATGTCTAGGCGATGTGAAAACTCTTGATTGAAAGTGACCACCCCAGCTAATCATCTGTTTGTTTTGACTCCAAATGATGGGTTTGAGCAACGTGCCACCCCGGGCAGCTGCCTCAGTCGCCTGGCTGCTGTGTGCTCATGGTTGGCCTGAGACTTTTCACCCACCATGCAGGGCATGAACTTCTGGAATTTGAAATGCTTGGGCAGGGGAATGACCCTGAGCCACAGCACTCATCAAATCACTACTGAACCACCCTTAAATCGTGTGGCTATCAAAGTGAGTCACAATGAGACCCGAAGGGGTGAGACGCCGACTGCAGAACTGCTGTCTAAGCTGGGTATCGGTTTGCAGTGGGGACCTCTGTAGGGGGACCTTGCTGCCCTGCTTCCGGTGAGTCCTGTGGGTCACTTAGTGAGGGCGTCGTGGGTGAGGCTGGGTAGCCCAGGTGTCTGCCTCAGTCACGCCAGGAGTTCCAGTCCCAGCTCTGGCACCCATCAGCCAGAGACCCCAAGCCCATCACGCAATCCCACCCTGGGACCCCACCCCACATCAGCCATCCGTCAGGTGGTGACTGCTGGTTAAACGAGATGCTGTAAACAGTGCCTGGCACACAGTGATGTAGAAGCAAAGGAATATGTTTCACCTCCTTCCTGTTTCAAAAAGGTCTCCATTAATTGGCATCATCATAAGCCCTCCTAAATGTGGTATTTACACGTCATTTATCTGCTGGGCTGCTGACATAGAAGGACAGGTCTTTACAGAGGAGCTGGCTATCATAACATCCAAACACTCCTCAGGTGGGTGCTCGCCTGTGCACCATCTCATCTTAGCTCACTTAACTGAGCCCACTCACTCCCGAGCCAATGCCAGCTTGCTACATATCAAGTCCAGGAATTCATTTCTATAGGATTTTATTCAATCTAGAAAGTAACATGATTTTTAGTGTTTTTTAGACAGTATTTTGAGCAATTTAAAACCCCCTAATACAATCACTGCTGCATTTTATTCAGGAAGCCTGGTGGGTTCTGCTTCAAGCCTGTCTAATCAGTGGCACAAACAGGCTCAGGAAACTGGAATCCAAGTCTAATAAATAAAAGGTGTGAGGTTTAGAAAAAAAAAAAAACAAAACGTCTAGCAAGCGAGATGAAACCTGCCTCGCTGGGCAGCTGCTCTGAAACCGGTTACTGTGGATTGCAAATCATACCCTGGCTGATTGAGCCCTAAACCACAAAATGTCTAAAGAATGAAGCAAAACACTTTAGTTCTAGTGCACTTTGGTGTAAGAAGGAATCCATTAGAGTTAGAGGACTCAGCGGGCCAGGCAGAGAGAGCACACACCGCGCGATACCCGAACCCAGCTGGCAGGGTTTCTTGGGAAGAGTGCAGTCAGCTGTCTGCTAGCATTCAGCGATTCCAAATCCAATTTCTATGGTTTCTGAATCAGTTCCTGGGATATAAATGGAAGGGGGGAAAAAGCAACAATGATGCTTCCAAGAATAAAAGCAGTTGCAAGTCTGGAAAACCCCCAAAACTCCATTCGCTGGAAGGAAGCTTTTCTGAAGGCACTTGAATCCCCTTCATTTCTGCATAGTGTCAATGGAAAATGAAATCACTCCCATCTTGGCCCTGAAATGCTTCTCCAGCGACTTCACACCTGGGCCCAAGATCTGCCAGGGGCCAGCTGGTCATTGTGCAGAGGCTGGTGGCTAATGGCCAGCGAATGGCAAGAGAAAGGAGAGCGGGGCTAAAATCGGTCCCAAATAAAGCATGAAAAGCAATATTTGAAATTCTACTTCCGGATCCGAACAGGAAACAGAATGGAAACCCAGTAAATCACAGACTGGAAAGTTGCTTTGCTCCTTAATTCCCAGTCACACAGTCTCCTATGAACTTCCTGGTTTTGGACACATGCTAATTGAGCTATAAATAATTTAATGATCGTAAGACATTTAACATGGGAAACAAAGGCCTATAAATCATCGGGGTCAGTGCCAACGAAAATTGGGGGCTTTGCCCAGCCTCTGTCCGCCTTTCCCAGTGTGTGGGGTGGGAGAGCTGCCCCATGTGTGAGGACGCCCCGCAGACCGGGCAGGCTTGGCTGCAGCAACCTGGATACATGCTTCTGCTTTATTATCTTCTTGGGTTAGCAGTGATCAAGTCACAGAGACATCCATGTCTGCAGAGACCCCTTTTCTCTCTTTTTGGCTACATTCCTACTGGCACAGAATACATAAATAGGAAAAGAAAATAGATATTTATATTTTCCATTATGCTGTTTTAAATCTACTATGTCTAGAATTTTATAGCATGGGATATGTTACATATTCTTTTAAAAATAAGGTAAATTTTCTAAATTAAAAAAAAGCTCAAAACTTGTTGTCTCTGGAAATTCTCATAAGATTCCTAGGAATCTCCTCACTTCTTCCCTCCCCAGCAGTATCTCATCATGTGATGCCTCATAACAACATACACTGTGTGTTTATGCTGTTATCTCTCACATTTTTCTTTCTGTGCCTCCTCATGTACTTTCTTACTTGGTTATCCGGATAACCTTCTCAGCGCGGAGAGGTCGCCTGCCGGAGGGAACCCACAGCAAATGCACAACCAGCCAGCAGCCCAGAGCTCCCTCTTGTTCTGAAGTCCAGTGGAGAACTGTTTTAGAGCTCATTCAAAAGGAGATGGGCTTTATATTTTTGTTTTCATTTGCTGAAACACCAGACAGGCCCTTTTGTCATGGAAATAAATGCAATCCTAGGCCCAAAGGAATGATAGAATTTGTCCTGTGAGTCAAAAGTTTATACCTAAACCAGGAGAGGATATCCCTTTAAGAGCAAATTTGGAATTAAGCCTCTCTGCAAAGGTAATATTCTGACTAGCAATGACTCACATGGGAAAGCGAGGAAGGCTTTGAATTACTGCTTCAGAACCTGTCTTGTCTTGCTTTCTGCTTGGTCGCTGGCAAAGAGGAGCTGCCCTAACCAGTAAGCAGCAAGCATTGCAGTCGGCTTTGTGCTTTGTAGCAGGTCCTTGATTTTTTTTGGAGAGGGCCATGAGGCCACACCTCAAGGGCCAAATCAGCCTGCAGTCATTATTACCTGGGAACACATCCCAACACCCGATTCTTCCATTGCTGTAGATAGTCCTTAAAATTTTCCAAGAATAAAAGCATCTCAGTTTAACTATAGAAAGACTTGATGCTTGGGAAGAAGATGAGGGTATCCAGACCCCTTTTGTTTAGGTTGCATTAATATGTTTTATGTGGAAATAGATTTTAAATGACTTTGCAGATCACATAATTTAATCCTCTGTGCACATTAATCTATTTCCTTTCTGATGTTCAAGGTTTGGGAATTTATTTGCCTAAGGAGGCAATAAATTCTTCTTCCTATGGGACTGTGCTGCTCATTCTGCTAAATGCTGTCCCTCCCACCTTCTCCCTTGCAGCCCCCTCCAGCGTATCACTCTATTGCAGTCTCACTGAGCAATGACCGTCCTCACAATGTATCCTGCTGATTTATATGTTTACATAGGCATTTCTCTTTCCCCACTAAGATGTAAGCTCCAAAAGAACAGCAACTTGCCCAGCCTGTGTTGAGGTGCTTAGTTCATGTTTGTGGAGTTCAAATCACTCCTTAGGAAGTTGCACATGAAGTCAAACTTTGGCCCTGTTTCGCTTCCACCCATCCATTGCCTCTTATTCTGCCACCTGGAGTCCTACAGATTAAATCGAATTTCGGTTTGGAGTGACTGTGCTTTGAGAATGGAGTCCTACAGATTAAATCGAATTTTGGTTTGGAGTGACTATACTTTGAGAATTTGAAGATGGCCCTCCTACCTGCAACTCCCTTCCCCATCTCTCCTGTCATGACTAACTCACGCCAGTTCTTTCAACTAGTGTTCATGAATTCCAGGCATGGCGACTTGCCTTCAGCCTACTGCTATTTCTCAACTTCTGAAAATGTAGCATGTAAAACTCACAAACCTCTGACCACAGATTTCACTTCCCAAAATTATTCCACAGACACTCACTCAAGTACCTAAAAATGTGTGAACAAGGATGCTCATGGCAGCCATTTATGGAGATAACCCACACATTCGACAACAGAGGAAGAGACAGTCACTCTCGGACCCCTCTGCACACCGGCACCCAGGGCAGCTCTGGCGGAGTGATACGGCCCCTGTGCGTGAACATGGACAGTTCCGAACATGAGTTATAAGTTCTAAGTCATGACTAGAACATAAGCATGATTCTATTTTTGTTGAAAATTCTGTGGGAATGGCCTATGGCCATTTCTTATCACTCAGGGCTTTTCTAGGCTCTTGCATGACAAATAGACTAACTCAGGGTCAGAGATTTCTGCATTTGGAATGAGTCACACTGCAGCTAAAAATCACCTTTCAGAAGTTCTGCCAACTTAAAAAGAATAGAACTTTTGTCTCAACTTCATCTTTCAAACACAATAACTAAAGAGGAAATACAGATTTTTCTAAGGCATCCAATAGGAGCCAGAAAAAAGATGGTTCTTTTATACAGCAGTGGAGGTGTTCATGAGCTGTTCTGTGTTTCTTCACATTTTTATACATAGTATAGTACCATTTACATGAGATTTAAGTATTTTCCTTAGTTTGCAAACCATTTATTTTACAAGTAGGCGTGTCTTTTGAATAGCTTGTGCCAGATAACGGGGGAACAGGGGGAAGATAATGCAGAGTGGGCAAACTCTATATAGCATATAGGCACTTGTGCAAAAAATAATCTTCCAATTTCAAATGCAAATATTGTTCTGTCCTCAAATCTGTGGCCTTGAGAATTTGGAAGTCAAATGTGCTCTGAACAACTGGAATTCACTGCCGTGATCTGCAGCATTCTCTGCCTGGCAGGGCAGTGCTTGGGACATGCAAGATGCTGGAAGAGATGAACTCTGTGCAGATGTCTCATGCCCTGCAGCATCCACTCTTCACAAATTTCCTCTATTTGGGGTTATACTGCCAGTATTTCACATGAAATTCATTAGACGTGAACATCTGAAATAATAGATTTTTTATATTGCTTAATTCCATAGGTGCCACGGAAAACAAAAAAAGAAAAATGGAAAAACAATAGGTCTCTGTCATCAAATAACATCAAATAACAAAACCCAATGGGCATTTTTCTTGATTGAGGGAACAATATTCTTCGAGTGATCGTTTTGCTTGTCATGTGGCTTGCCAATGGAAATAGGAAAAAAGTACACACCTACTATCAGGAAGAAAAAAACTGGGGAGGGAAAGAAGGCAAGGAGCAGGGAAGAAATACATAATTGTTACCACATTAACTAGTCTGTATGCACAATCAGAACGTTTGAGTTCCAATAAACCAGATGCTGCCAAAATATGCTGCTGCTTCTATCTTTTCTGAGTGTGTATGTGTATACACACACATACACACACACATATATTTATTTATGGGCAAAACAAACTGACTTTTCCTGTATTTTAATTTTGCTTGGGAAGGCACAAAGTTGGCAATATATATGTTTCTACTTACATATTTAGGATGTTTATTGTGAAAGCCAATTCAGGAATATTTGAACTGTAAGAGTTGAAGACAATTCCATGGGTAATAAGGTAATGTCTTGACTTGATAGATTTTTACCAGGATCTCTAAATATGATTTTTTAAAACCGACTTTAAAATGTACACTTTACAGTGTACATTTTACAATGCAGCTTTGAGGATAAATGATAAACCATCACATTAAGGATAAATGTTGATAATAGGATACATCAGACTTCCAGAGTTTAGGAGACATGTCTTAGAATTAGAGTCAGGACTAGCCTTTTGCATGAAATAATTAATTTGAAGAGTTTTACTTTAAGTCTCTACATCAAAGATAACATTTCCTTCAGGCCTGTGGATTGTGGAGTGCACAGGCAGTGCAGGCCTGATTTTTGGAGGGATATGTAAAGGAAACAGAACTGAAGATTGATAAACAATCCCTGGACATATTGGTGCCCAAGGAAAGCAGATCCATTTTGCATTGAATGAGCAGGGCAAAACTGATTAGGAAATGAAGGCATATTGCCACAGAATGAAGGGAAAAGGTGGGCTTGCCCCACTGGAGGGACTTACTAGGGTTCTCAGAAAAGGGAGGATGATGACAATATTGGTGGCTTCTGACCCAGAATGGTTTTGTGAGTTAGGGCGAGGGGCCCTACAGACACCTGGACGCACACTGTTCAACGTACTGCTGGGGGAGCAGTGAGCGTGTGCGTACCTGACACATCCAAATCCACTCCAGGATTGCAGGCACTGTACTATCAGCACTGCCCTGCACTGAGCTGCTGCTGGGTTTTTGGAATAGCAGTGGCTGTGAGTTTCTGCTGATGTCATCCCACATTCAGCCCTTGCCGCTAGGCTCCCAGACCTGGGTCTCTAGGTCTCCTGGGGACTCTGCACTACCTGATACAACTCCTATACCAAATTCTTAAATTTTGTTGTTTTCAAGTAAGCACACAGAAATCTATGTGTGTCAGCCCTTCTCATGTTATGCTTAAAATTTTGTCACATTCTCCACATCTGAGTTATCTCACAGGAAAGAATAAAAATAAGTTGTTTCTAAAAGCTTATCAAATAGAACATTTGTCTTAAATTATGTCTTATCTACCAAACAGATGTGTTTTTTTTAACAATCAAAACAACTAAATTAAAATAGTTAATGCATTTGGAACAATGGTTAATATAAATAATCTTTAGGATGAAATCAGAGTTCTTTCACTCTTTCTATATAAGCCCTGATTAGACTGATGTTTTGTGATTCACCCTGGATGTTGTCAAACCCTGTAGAGTCAGATGTGTAGGTGGTCTCAATTTGCACTAAAGCTCCCTAAATGCTTCTCCAGTTGTGCCCATGGCTAGTTCACAAGGCTATCATTTGTGCAGAAGCTGTTTTCATGAAGAAAAGGAGGGAAACAATTAGTGTCCACGTTAGGATACTGGAACTACTAGAGCCTGGTTCTCTTTGATCATGAAAGACTCTGTTTTATCAGAAAGTAATAGAGTAATTCCCTCTCTGCCAACAACAGAAAACCATTTTAAAATCTTAGCGCTGACTTTGAAAAGCACTTAGAATGAGAATAAAAAGCAACAGCAAATGATCTAGTTTCATCTCAAATACTTGAAGTGATGAAGGCATAATCTTTCTGCAGTTTTCCACTTGTGCATTCCCCACTCTTCTCAGCCACAAACCACACCAAAAGGTATGTGGTATATTTCTGAAGGAGCCACATTATAAATGAATGTATCATTCTTGCCTGAGCATTTGACATCAGGGGAGATGGCTAAAAATAAGCAATAAAGGCAGACATGTAACAACCGCAAGCTCCTCTAATAATAATTTAGAACATTCATTAGACTCCAAATCCAAAATCAAAAGCAAACATCCATTGTACAAGCACTTTATAAAGGGGCACCCCTGCAGCATAAAGTGACTATATCAGGCAAAAAGCTTGCTATTAATATTCCTATCCCTGGAATTCTTACTCATCCAGATTTCCCCCTTCAGTTACTTTTTCTCTTTCACTTGAGTAGTTTTCTGAGTGCAGCTGATCTGCATTGGATCAAATGAAGCCAAAGCACAAGCAATACATGACTATAAATCACTTTTCCTGACAGTCTGCCCACTTCCTACTGCGTTGTAAAACAACAGAAAAAATGTGGGGCAGTAACATGAATTTTTGGATGAAAAGAGTCAATGCCCCTCAGAGTTACTGAGGCAGCCTAGCCTCTTACAGTGGGTTGGGAGAGAGGGGAAGAGGGGCAGTGCCTAGGCACTGGATCAAGCCAGGCAGGGCAGAGCTTTGGGACTTCACACGCCGACATATTTCCACTAAGAACATAAATCGCTCCTCATCATTTGTGAAACAGTTACCGCATGCGGTAGACAGTGCCATATGCATCCCTGGAATCCTTCAGATAACCCCCACAGATAGGCTCTAGGTTTTCTTAATTGAGAGATGAGACAAATGAGGCTCACGAAAGTCAACTTGCCAAGGTCATCCAGCCAATAGGCAGCTAGGGCAGGACTGAAACCCGGCCTGTCTCAGAATCCATGGGGCTCCACATCTGCATCTACCAGGCATCATCCAGCACAGTAGCAGCGACGGCGGAGTTGGGAGCCTACGGAGGACGGTTTCAACCCAGCTTGGCAACCTGCTCCCTGCACGGCCTTAGGGAATTCCATGGCACTTGCTCTCCATGCCTCGGTCTCCTCACTGAATTGCCTGCAATGCCTTTTGCCACACAGATTGTGGATGAGGGGCCAAAGCACTCGGGATAGTGCCTACCAGACAGGAGCATTCGAGAAGCTGCTCCTTTATCGGTAGCAACAGGTGGTCTATCCTACTCAGTGCTGCCCAACACTGCTTCTAGACAAAACAGGCACACGCCCTTTATAACTCCTATAAATTGGATTTGAGTTGGGCCTCGATTGACATTGCTGTTTCTTAATATGAGCACAGGAACTTCTACCCTTCTGGCATGGAAAAATAAAAATGAATATAATGCAAGTAATGAATTTTTAGAAACAATGTCATTTCAGAACAGTTTCAGTCTTGTGAATTAAAAGATGTGAGCCTTCTATGCAGCATCCTTTATTCTTAAACCAGAGATGATGAAATCTGTATGAATAGTCACATGTCATGTCTGGTAGGCATAGGTTCAAGTATATATAAGGATGTGACAAGGAAGAAACAGTTTCCAGAATATTTAAGAGTCTTTTACAGGTCATATTTCTACAGACTCTTATGTTTGAAAGAATGTGGCCCAATGTGGACCATCCAATATCCAAACACCCACGACATCATTCTTTGGTTAGATTTAACTACCACCACCCACAGGCACATCATTCCCTCCCTAAGCATTACCCTTCTGTAGCTCCTTCTAGACCAGCTTTCTTCCTTAGCTTGTGCTTTAAATGAAAATCTGCCAGCTTTTCACTTAGTCTCTGAATGCAATGCTGCAGGTTCATAAATGGTGGATCACATTCTGTAAGGGTATCTTTACAAAAGTATATTACAGGGTGTTAGGAAGGGAGATATATTTGAAGACATATTATGGTTATGCACTTCTGCAATGAGACTGTCTAGTTAACTAAACCATAATATTAATTAAGAAATCAGTTTAAAAAGCAACCCTCCCAAATCCCTTTCCATGTATTAAGCACACAATTCAGATTTGCTCAGAGAGGACACACACTGAAGGGCTTGCAGAGACTGGGAAAGGTCATCAACTTCATAAATGGATGCTCTCAAAGTTCACCAACAGAGGATGCCTCAAAGAAGGGGAGGACATTCGGAAGCAGCTCACCCTCCTGAGGAAGAAAATACTGAAACTGCACTAAGAGTTCTGATGCAAAAAGATAATTCATGACCCATATGGGGAGTCTATTCTTATATCTTTCTCCATCTTCCCAAACTCCCCAAACTTCTTCAAAGGAAGAAGAAACTATACAGAAGTATTTTTAAAATCTACAGAAGTCAAAGCACGTGGCCTTCTTATTACATTGTCTGAAATGTTCCTCTTTCAAAGATGTTAAGGACTGCAGAATCTGCAAGATTTAATTTTTCCCTCTCCTCCATGCTTTAAACAAAATCTGATTTCACCATCTAGCTAGGTATATCAACCAACAGTTACATAGTGTGCCTCCTGAGAATGTTTATCAGGAGTTTTAAAAAAATTTTTAAAATTTCTATTTAAGATATATAAATGAACAGATACTTAGATAAACATACACATTATACATGTGGTATATAAATTTCATTGCTTAATTCTGACCCTAAAGAGTTGAAAAATGTTTTTTCCAAAAAGCATTTTGACGCAAACATCAGGGGAAAACCATATATTGTTAACATTACTTTTGGTAAAAAAAATTGTTACATTGTTTTGCTGAAATCTTATTCTTTTGACGAGCTGGGCCACCAAGAAGCAGCAGACGCTGCAGTTCAGTGTGCATGTCCAAGTCCAGTTCAACTTAGTGAGTGAACAATATGCAAAGAGCAATGTGTTAGCTGCTTTTAAAGCAGAGTTGAGTTAGACATAGTCCTTCACCTGGAGAGCATGGCTCAGGTAAGATGAGCCAGACAGACCAGGAGAATGTGGAGTGGAGTGCCCTGCTGGAGGTCGAAGGTGGCTGGGGTTCCTGGAGGGAGCAAAGCCATCTGGCTGAGAGATGGGGAGAGGAATTTGGAAATGTCCTTGGAGATTAATCTTGAGGGGCAGGTGGGAATCTTTCCAGTAGGGGTCTTACAGGTGGGAGTGGGGAGCTGAGGCTCTGGGTGAGGGAAGGTGGTGATGAGTGGGGGTGGGTCACATAAGTGGGCTTCTGTGGAGCACAGGGACCTGCAGGGCAGAGGCAGGGAACACGTTCAGAGAGGTTTTCAGAGCCACACAGTGACAGGCTTTAATGCCAGAGTGACAAGTTTGATGGAAACTGAGGGTTTTAGTCAAGAGAATGTCATGATCTGAGCCGAGCTTCGATACAGAGTTTCCCGACATAGCACAACCTCTTCCCCTCACCACGTGATCCAAGGCTTCTGGGCTGCGTGGAAAAGGGATGGGAAGAAATTAAGTCAAAATTGCTGAACCTCCGTTGCTCAACCTTAGAAAATCCTAGAATACACAGTATGCTGTGGAGAACTGTTGACAGGCAAACTTGTTCTAAGTTTCAAAATGGGAAAGAAGATGGAGATATTATAAATACCTATCTCAGGAAAAAATATAGACAGTTTAAAAAAGTTGCTGTATGTGCATGTACAGACAGACTTGTTACTCCTAAATGCAGGTCATGTGTGGCTAACCTGTTTCATAGCTGGGCAGTACTACAAAGCGGACAGGTCAGGGCAGCAGCCTCAGCCAATGCTGTGCCCGGACGCAGCATGTGCGGCAAGTTTCTCCTGATTCAACTGCACCTTAAAAGGAAGTATGCAGGCTGGCTGATAGGATTTCATGGATTCGTGACAGGTTAAAAAAAGCACAGTGATAAGAGGATGGATTTCTCAGTAGGTGAGAATTAAAATGGTGTTAAAATACAGAACTCAGCCTCGCTCCACATCCTCACGGTAATTCAGTAAATAGAGCGACAGAAAGAACACGGGGAAATGCTGGAGCAGAACTGTGTCTGTACCGATGGCATATCACATCTGAGTGTACCTCAGTAAGCTGGAAGGAAGTGCTGAGAACAGTAGGAACTGCAAAAGGAACAAATGACGAGGACTTAGGTCCCAAAGCCCAGTGACGCAAGCGTAAAGTCTGGTGGACAGGACAGGGCAGGCTTCCTCGAGTTTCCAGTCTTCCTGGATACCTTCTGCCCGGGCCCCTTGTTCACATCTGGCAGCCCTTGCAGAGGTTGTCAGAAGGAGCAGAGTTGTCAGAGGGTTGCTCGGAGGAGGCTGCTCAGCCGCGGGAGGAGAAGAATCAGCTGTCTGCAAGCCCAAGGCCAGCACGAGGAGAAACAGTTTTGTGTGGTGGAAAAGCACCAGGTAAAGGTGAGGCAGGGACGCCGACACTGGTATTCACAGCAGCAATTTTTTATGACAGTTTAAAGAAAAATTGTTGGAACTGTCAAAAAAATGGAGCATATTGCCTCTGGCAGTGGCAAGTTCCCTGTCATCCAAGTGTTCAATTGACTTCAGGGCCCCGCCAGCCCTCCAAGACTAACAGTGATGTGTGACGTGAGGCTTGGCAGCTGACTCTGGATAGAGCCTCCGAGTGGCTCAGGTGGCCGGCTTCCTGTCTGCGTGTCCCAGGAGTGGCCCACCCCAAGGACGGCGTGTGGAGATGACAATGAGGCCTTGGCAGGCGTGGGTCTCCAGCACGGTGCTCCACCCAGGGCGGAAGTGGAGGTCCCCTTTCAAAGCCTTGGGTGACCACAGCTTTGAGCAGGGTCACTCTGCAGTAAACAGCTGCAGTAGCTCTTAGATAACTTAGAAAACAGACCTCTCGTAGGGGAAGAATTTCCTGCAGACATTTCTCCCTCGAGGGCCTCCCACCCACCTCAGAGGCTGCACCCAAATCCTGAGGATCTGGCAAGAACCATGTTTTTGAGATGTAATTAATACAACTGTTTACACACAGCATCTGCTGGGGCAGAGATGGCGGTTGTGTGCAAGCCACAGCTGTGATTGGAGCAATCTGATGACAGTGAGCTCATGGTGTCCCCAAGGAGGCCTTTGTGAAGTGCCTGACATAATTAAAATTGGGAGGAAAACTAGGTCAGGTGACCCAGGGTGGTTTAGGTGAAAGGGCTTCAGAGCTCCCAGCTCTGCCCATTCCCTGGGCACTGTCAGGCATCGTAGAAAGGATGCGTGCTGAAAGGCAAAGCCACCACAGTCTCCGCTGAGGAGCAGTGCCTCAGAGATGCTGAGAGATGCTGCTTTCCATTCAGAGTGGCCACCACTGACATCTCTGACAAGACTGGCGGCAGTCTGCTGGCTGGGTCTCTCAGAACAAAAATTTAAAAAAGGATTGAAACCATAAGATGCAGCCCCCCTTGTATTATCTGTAAACACCAGCACATTTGATGCATCGGTTCTGTCTCAGATTTCAAATTCAATTCATTAGCCTATCCTTTTCCATTAAAAAGTTTCCACTTACAGTGTTGAGAATTGGGCCCCTTTCTTTTTTTTTTTTTAATTGCACATCTGTTCACAGAGGTTGGCAAAAGACACTGGAAGTGATTGTGAAATCCACATTGTGATTCCTCAGGAATCAGATCCTAGAAGGGGGTGCCCAGAGCTGTCGGCACACCGTCCCAGGAGTCTGCCTGTGCAGCTCCCAGCCAGGCAAGAAGCCCTGAAGGCAGAGTCCCAGGTGGACACAGCTGGACGCCTCTCTGACAATGGTGGCTCTGGTGGTGAACCCCTCGGTGTCTCTTCTGCACCTCTCAAGGCTGCAAAGTGCCAAATACTCTTTTCCAACCAGCTCCCGAATTCCCCCCTCCATCTGGGACTGCATGTCCTGCTTAGCGATTTCAAGCAATGATTTCACCTTTTCATAGACAAGGACATTGTCCTCATCAGGGCTTGCACCATCACTCTGATTTCCAATGCTGACAGCCAAGTGGAGGTTTTTAATTCTTAAAAGAATGTGGCATTAAAAAGAAAAACTCACCCATCTCATGGTCTAAAATAAAGCAAAACAAGTCAGATGGCTCTGCCTAACCCAGCACAGCATCTGTTACATAATCTGAAACTTCTGTGTAATTGAGTGAGATGTGGGAGAACTCAAGCACAGTCTTTGTAGCATTCTGGGCATGGAATCCTGATCCGTTAATTCCAGAGACTGAATCAACAGAGGAACACAGAGAAAGCCACCACCACGATGTGTGAAAAGGAGAGATACGAGAGAGCACACAGAGGGCTGTTTTAGAAATTGATTTTCATCTTCTGTTTGAGGCCCTGGGAAAAGAGTGAGAGAGTAGAGGGAAAACATGGACGTTTATGAAGAGCTGCCAGAGGCCAGGTTCTCATCACTTTCCAGGGCCTCTCAGGAGAGGCCACCTGAGGCTCCTGTCTGACTCCCCACTGCTTCGAAATCAGAAGACTCGGGGAGTCAGAATCAAATCACTTAATTAGCTCACAGACAACACTGGACACCTTTTAGGGTTTACTGGTTCACATACTATTTCAACTACTTTGTTGAATCTTTTTAACAAGTGGAGGAAACTGAAGCCTTGAATCACAAAAGGCTGGCAGTGTGGAGGGCCAGGTTTGCCTGTTCTTACTATCTGTTTGATGACAAGACAAATTAGTTATTTTATTTTTATATTGCCGGAGTAACTTGTTCTTTGAAGCAAAATTAGAATTATAGATAAGCAAACAGAAAAAATACTTAACAACAATATGCATACAGTACTTATATTTCTCAGGATTCTTTTTATGCATACGTAGTAAACAGGTATATTTATTTACAAAAGTGAGATTTTACTGCACATAATTTCTGATGCCTTAAGGTTTTTTTTTCATTTAACAACATATAGTAAAGTTTTTTAAAGCAAATATTTATCCAAAAATACATTTTACTGGCTGAAGAGTATTTCATTCTATGGAGTTGCCATCACGTCTCTGAGCAGTTCCTGACTGTGGGAAGGTCATGCGTGCTGTCGGGTCAGACCACCCTCAGGAGAGAGCAGTTCTCCCCAGTCCCCCTAGCCCCATCCCTGCCAGTCCTGGCTGCCGAAGGCTGCAAATTAGTTATTTGGAGAAACACAGGCTATTTAGGTTTTGAAAAAATCAGTGAGCTTTCAGTTTCTAACGAAGCTACCAACACCCTCATTTTTTCCCTGTCTTTATGGTCTGCAACCAGATGGAGGCTAAGGATAAAGATTATTTTCTCCATCAACTACACTGTCAGGCAAAGCAACTCTGGGGTCTGTATGAGAGGAAATATGGATTTTATTTATGTTAGCAGTAGTTACTGTTGTGAGGCACTATTTGAGTATTTTTCATTATATTTTAATTTTTTTGAACTTCCTATGATAAAACCATCTACACTTTTCTAAGTAGGAAAAATAAGGGAATGAGTGTCATGTTTTTAAAAATTTGGGGAAAGATCAAGAGTACAGAAGAGCATGGGGCAAAAAAGAAGTTTAGGTGCATTTAGGTGACATCAATAAAGCCCAGTTCTTTTTTTTTTTTGACAAATGGGATCATCCTATAGACATTGTTAGGCAAATTACAGAATCTATCTGCGCTGTCCCTAGTTGGGCACAACATGCTCCATGGCAATCTGTCTTGCTGCTGTGCAGTCCTTCCCTGGGTGGCTGCAGGGGCAGACACAGGGTTTGTAGGTCCTGGGTCTTATAGAAATCAGGTACAAAGTGACACGTATATTTAGAAGGAGAAATTGCACAAATGAGACAAAATGTTTTCCTTATGCAAATTTCATAATATAAATTATAGACACTGCCAGTGCACTGTTAGGACTCCCAGGGCCTTGGAAGGGGCTTCAGTATTATTGGCTTTACAATAGATCTGGTCCAGGTGAATGTGCGATGATTTACTTCTCCATTTTCTCTTTGATGGATATTTGGGCTGGTTACAGTTTTATTGTTTCCTATTAAAAAACACTGGGGAATAAGTTTTATGGGGGAGGATTTATCAGCTGAGGTTACTATTGCGATGACTGTGTGACCTTCCCTTCCCCTGTAGATCTGAGAGCATCCAGGCCATTAGGCAAGGAGGATAGAGGAGGCTGGGATTCTGCGTTCCAGGCAGTACTGCCTTGAAGAAGTGCAAAGACACCACCAGAATCACCTGGGGGTGCTTGTGAAAACTGCAGATTCCTGGGCCGTGGAACTGGGGCAAGGCACAGAAATATGTATTTTGACAAACATCCTCAGTGGCTTCCTCACAGGTTAGAATTCTAGAGCCAGTGACTTGGGCTTCAGAAAGAGCACAGGTATGCAGCCTCGGGCAAGCCACAATTTCAATTCAGTCTCCTTACTAGGGAAAGGGAGCCAGGGATATGCGTGTGGAGGACAGGTGAGGAGCTGGGGGGGTAAGGAACGGACAGCACTTTCATTCCACTACTGTAGCTGCATTCCCCAAGCACATGTGCTAGCCTCTGTATTTTAATATAGAACCTCGGCTGCACCTCCCATGACTCCAGGAGGGACCCTGTGCCCTTCCCTGGCTCCAGCAAGGGCACAAACCGCTCTGCGCCTGCGCCCCTGCAAGCTGGCAGGGGCTGACAGGTGCTGTGGCAGGGCCTCTGCTGCAGCGTGAGGGAGCCATGGGTGGGGAGTTTCTTTTCAGTGGGACCAACACGTGTCCACTTCATAAAAGTGGCCGTGCGGCAGTTCCCACAGGGCTGCGTGGCCGGGAACTCCTGGTCAGTCACTTTATTTCAGAGTGGAAAAACATTTTGGCTTCCTAGATCCCTGAGATCCTGACACTTCCTGTCTTCCTAGAAGTAAAATGGCCATAAACAGAACTTATCACAGGTGACCTCTGGCATCGTATCCCCATCGCCTGATGTTATTTTTACAAGGCAGCCGAAAAGATAGCAGGATTTCAAATCTGGCCCTGCCGTTCTGCATTGCATGTGCAGAGGTCTAGTCCACAGGCCGCCACAAAGTTAACTCAGCAGCAAATTTAAACACATGGGGTACACATCACGGAATTCTTAATCATGACCAAGCACCTGGTGAACACAACCGGAGAATTAAAAATCTGAGGTATGTGTATCAGTGTGCCTGAGAAGATTTTGAAGAGAAAAGGCTTAGGTGGGGTCTGGGAATGAGGTAGAAAGGGCTGCAGTTGGAGCCAGAGGGCCTGGGATACGCTTTTGTGCTGAACTCACCTCAAATCGAATCTTCACTTTCTCTTCTATAAAAAGTGGAGAAAAACAAGGCTTCTTTCACTCCTCCTGAACTAGCTAATATTACTTTATCTTTATCTCTTTCTCCTCCTGAACTAGCTAATATTACCTTATCTGCACGTGTGTGCCTGTGTGTGTCTGTGTGTCTCTGTGTGTGCCCGTGTCTGTGTGTATGTCTGTCTGTGTCTGTATCTGTGTCTCTGTGTGTATCTCTGTGTATTGTATGTATGTCTCTCTGTGTGTGACTGTGTGTATCTCTGTGTGTTGTAGGTATGTCTCTGTGTGTCTGTGTGTATCCCTGTGGGCTGTGTGTATGTCTCTCTGTGTGTGTGCCTGTGTGTATCTGTGTGTCTCTGTGAGTGTGTCTCTGTGTGTGCCCATCTGTGCGTATGTCTGTGTGTGTGTGTGTGTGTGTCTGTGTGTATCTCTGTGTGCTGTGTGCGTGTGTCTGTGTGTATTTCTGTGTATTGTGAGCATGTCTGTGTGTAACTCTGTGTGTTGTGTGTATGTGTTTGTATCTGTGTGTGTCTGCATGCAATCCTTTGAGTCTATAATTAATTCTCTCATTGCACATATCAGAGAATTGTGGTTCTAAAGGCGAAACTGGCCCACACTCCCAAGCTGCCCTGGGCAGGGAGCTGTGTGTTGAACCAGGACTGTCTCTCCCAAAGGACAGGGCCTAATTCAGGACCCACTGAAGCAGCTTCAGTAAAATGACTGTGGCACGCCTGCCTGTGAGAAGGCAAATAATGACAATGACAGTAATAACTGTCAACCTCATTGGGCCACTCTCCTCACTTAATCCTCACAACAGTCCAGTATCTTCCCCACTGTACAGAAAAGGATGCTGAGTTTTGAGAGGTTAAGTAACTTGAGCTTTTGAATGTCACATGGTGGAGGGCCAGTCGGACAGCAGAGAAGAGGGAAGGTGACCTGGCTTGCAGGGTTGCTCTGTGTCTTGCGGGACCTGCAGCTTTTCCAGCTTTTGCACTTAGACCAGAGCCCTGCAGGAGTGGCTTGGGCATGAGCTGTGCTAGCGTCAGGGAGAATCCACCTCTGTGTCCTTGCTTTCTTTAAAAGATGAATCTTTTAATCACTTTTATTAGGAGAAATAAAAACCAGCGATAAGAGAGCCCTGACATAAGGCTGCCGGTGCCAGGGATCACCTGGGTTCAGCACCTATGGAGAGGTTTATGGTTGCCGCTGCTGCACTGGGGCCTAACTGCCAAGGTCCAAAATGGTCCAAAATGTTTCTGTTAAATTGTTTTGGGTCTTTCTAGGTTTTAAGAAATATTTGTTTTACCTGCAAAAGAGCAGGATCTGTCTAGAGTCTGTACAGTAAACACAAGTGAAAATGTAATCCCATATCAATTAAGATGTATAGAAATACACCTAAAGCACTATGTATTTATTTCTTTTTACCCTACTTCTCTCAAAGTGGATCTGTGATGTCCATGTAAATGCAAAGTCTTGGAGTATCCAGCATATGTGAAAGGAGAAGTTAGAAAGGAAGTTGCTGGACTGTCTTGTCGTAAATTCCTCTTCTTGTTTTCACTGTGGACTCCTAGTAGAAACCCATGACCCAGATGTTCTCACTCCCTCCTCTGAGGTCACCTGTAATCTCCAACTCAAGGACTCTCCAAAAATCTGTGGATCAACTGCCTACATCTTAGGCCCTTGAAAACGTCTGGGCAACTGCGTCTCCTGACAGGATAGGCCAGTCTCCCCAGATGATCAGTGGGTGGCAGGAGGCTGCACAGTGAGGCCCCCCCTGCCCCCCGACCTGGCAGCCCACAGCTCAGGAAGAGTGCTCTGCAGGCTGCACAAACTTGGCTCTTGCACCAGGCAGCTGCGTGGATGACAGACCAAGAGCTATCTCTCCCAGGATAAGAAGCTGGATGCTGGGTGAAGCCAATTCATTTTTCTCCTCATCAGTCAGTGGAAACTCACTTCCACAGATTGATTTCCAAAGGAATAAATGATATCACCAGATGTCATCCTGTCAAGCAGCCCCCTTCAGAAAAAACTTTTCCTTGGTAATGGGGGAAATTTGACTTCAAGGAGGCAGTACACAGCTGTGTACAATGGGTTTCATCTTTTTACGTTACACACGCTCTACTGTGAGTTCTCAGTGGCTGCACTTCCCATCTCGCCTGCAGCTTTGCCACCATCACAACATAACTGATGCTTTACGAGGCCAATTTCATAGTGTCTGCTGGCACCTCTGCACTCCCTGAGCTACCAGTGACAGTTACGACAGGACCAGCTGGCTAAGCACCTGTGGCATCCAGGCATGATTCAGGCAGCCACACTGCCCGAGAGAAATGTATGGAAGTGAGACCTCGGATCACAGACTAGTTTCATCTCCCTAAATTAAGATAACTCCTTGCAAAACTAAGACAAAACAAAATGCCATCCACCAGCTAAAAGTTTCCATCAAAATTGGAATGAGTCTAAGTGCAGTTTTCACCTCAAAAATGACTTCCTTGTTATTTACAGTCCACAGATATGAACAGAAATGACCATTTCTATGAAAGAAGATTTTATGATAGGAAAGGACAAGGGAAGTAGGGCTGAGGCGCATCACGGTCGGGAGAAGGTCCTCATTCTGTTTACCATCACTGAGGACTGAGACGCGGGGCGAGCGGTGGGGAGGGAGGGCATGAATTCGCTCACACAGTCACCATGCCATTCATTGCTCACTCTACGATACTGATTTTTGGCTATAAATTGGCCACATTAGTGATTCCAAAACGAGGTAGAGTAAAAATGAACAGCACAATTCCCAACACAAAAGCAATTCCATTTTTAAAAAGCACAGAAAAATGATTTTCATCATTTCAAACACGGAAATCAGAACAAAAAAACATGGAAGGCAGTATCTATTCTCATGGGACATGACTGACAAGTGCATTTAAAGCTTGGTTCCAGCAGGAAGAGCTTACAGGCTTAGGCGCTGGAAGGAACCCAGCGGACCCCTGAGCTCATATTTTCTTCTAGATGTCAGTTAAGGAAATCAAGACAAACATAGGCTGAGTTTTCAAAGCCTCATTTCATTCTGGATTCTTTTGATTAAAATAGAAAGGCTCTTGTTTTGAAAATGCAGGGCAATCTAGGAAGAGGCACATAAAGTAGCCAATTACATGAACTCTGTCCATGTGGCTTTCAGACTTTAGAATCAATACTCTAATTGGTTATTCTTAAAAATGCTAGCAATAAAAAGCCCTCCAAATTCCTAATGTCTAATCCAATCTTGAAAGGGACAGATCTTTAGTAACATCATCAGAACCATATTTGTTATCTGCGAATTGCTGGAGATACGGTGCCGGTCCCACACCGCCCGCTGGCCCTGCCAGGAGCGGCTGACGCCGGGGCAGGCCGAGCTATCATTAGCCGGGCACAGGGATGATGTTCATCTGCCTGTCATGGTGCTCGGTGACATCTAATACTACGAGCTTGTTTTGATCTGGCGGAGAAGATATATGAAGTTGATTCCATAAAGCTATTTTGTTAAATAAAACAGCTTTCTTCAAAAACTGTCTTAACAATAATGTAATAAATATAGAAAAGAGGTCTAGGGAATGAAAATCAGAGTCATTTTATTTGCTGCATTTGTGGGGGTGGGTAAAATGTAAGAGGGTTGGGCTTTAAGCCTAGTTTTGATTGCAAGTGCCCTACACTATGAAATCACCAGGAAATTGGAGCCTGAATGTGGCCACTTAAGTGCAGGCCTCCAAGTGAGGCAGGGACTAATACCACTGATGCAAATCTTGCCAAAGTAATTAAGGCAAATGTTCAACCTGACAGGGAGCCACCCAGTCTCATCCTCTAGGGCACTCCTGGGCTTCTCAAATACATTGTAGGACTCAGCATCTAATTGAATTTTCAGACCAAATGCAAAAGGAAGGGAGGGCCGGTTTACAAAATTTCACTTGCCAATATTGTGCCGCAGAGCCTGTTTTCCTCCCCATTCTGTCCTGAGCAGAGCAGGAACCACAAGCAGCATGGAAGAACAGAGGTAGCCCGCATTAAACAGTTCTCTGAAAATTACAGCCTGCTATCCATTAAGCAGCTGTACAATCAAGTTAGTGGGCTGCAACCAGAATTTTTTTTTAAGGAGATAGAGTGGACTAGGAAATGCTAGGAGTAGATTAATCATTAATAAACCTTCATTAGAGCATGTATTATTTTGCCAAACTTTAGTTCTCTCTCTTTAGTTATCTCTCTCTCTTTCTCTCTCTCAGGGTGTGTGTGTGTGTGTGTGTGTGTGTGTGTGTGTGTGTGTGTGTTTACAGTGGGTCAGGGTTTGGATAAGTTGCTCTACGAGATGCCCTCTGCTTTGAAATCCTCTGAGTGTGAGTCTCCCCAGCTGCACACAGCTCCTCTGAGGCTGAAGTATCCTGCCAGCAACACAAGCCTGCCATTGTTTAAGTGCTACTCCTGGGCCCGGCTTGCCACTAGTCAGGACCAGATTTTAGAATGTAGTAGGGACTTGTATTGTCAATTAATGGAACTCTTTCCACCAATAGCTTCGACATGACATTTCTCAACTTATTCAACTCTCCCTGGCCTTACTCTCTGGAAGGTAACCAGGAAGCCTGTACTGTCGAAGGGAGGTGGGAGGGGTGTGGATAACTGCAGGCCCCACCCCCAACCCAACTGTGGCCTCCCCACACCCAGATGTGGCCCCCGCCACCAGCTATGGCTTCGCCTCTCATTCCCTGGCTGGTTACAAATCTTTGACTTACACATCTTTCACTGCATTAGGAACCACTATCACCAGAACCTTTCAAGATGGTAGTTTTCATCACTTTTTACCCCATAGTAGATAATTACAGATGAAAGACTGACTTATTTATCATATTTCATCATTGTAGCGCTTTTCCTGACATGACTGATCCTTTTCATTCAAAAGGCCCATTTTGCAAAGTTGAGGGCATCCTCTTTCAGAACGTGAAATTGTGCAAATCCAATACAAAACAAAACTAGAAATCGGGGTCTTTAAATTAGAAATTGGGGTGAAAATATTGTCACTATCACTTGCCAACTCAGCGATCTTGCACACTGGTACCTCTCAGGGACAGCTGAGAAGTCAGATGAGGTCAGGACAAAGTGCTAAACACAGTGCCTGACCCCCGGAGGAACATTGTATGTCTTGAAAAAGCAAAGTCACATTTAATAACAATCTCATATACAAAAGTATATTGTGTACATCATAAAATACCCAAATATAGGTTGGGTCCATCAACATCAGAATGCATTTTTCAGTTCTTCATGGTTAAAATGAGGATTTCTTCCACAAGTAGGAGTATTTCACTTTTTACTAGCCTCATTCCTGAAGCCAAGATGATTGTCTTTAGAAGAAAGATGTTTTTAAAATGATAAGATATATTTTGAATTTCCAAACAGTTAGTTACATATGGCTTTCTCAACAGACAAGCCTGGCCATTTTTTGGCATCTCAGGCTGTATGTCTGAGCTCTGATTTTCAATCAGGGTTTAGTACGGTATTTTTTAAGAGATTAGGTGAAACTTTCAGGTCATAAGATTTATGGTTTTAGTAAATCATGTGCTTTCTACCCTTTTAAATGCCTTCATGTTATGCTTTAACATCTATTTTGTTATTATATCTGAATCCTAAATAATATGGCCAAGTCAAGAAAATCTACACATAGGACCTTGAAGAAGATTCATGTGGCAGCAAAAGACCCAGGGTCTGGGAAGGGGCCCGAGGTCAGGGGCTTTTTGGCTGTGTGACCTTGGCTGGTGGCCTTTGTACTGCCAGCTTTTTCATCAGCACACAAGCGCTGTGTACCCTGGAGATCATTTGAAGTTCTTTAAAAAACAGAAAAAGGACCTGGTCATCAAAACTAAAAATGCACGTACAGCTCCTGAAAACATGAAGCACTTTGGGAAGCCGAGGTGGGTGGATCACGAGGTCAGGAGTTTGAGACCAACCTGACCAACATGGTGAAACCCTGTCTCTACTAAAACTATAAAAATTAGCTGGGCGTGGTGGCACGTGCCTGTAATCTCAGCTACTGAGGAGGCTGAGGCAGGAGAATCACTTGAACCCGGGAGGCAGAGCTTGCAGTGAGCCCAGATTATGCCACTGAACTCCAGCCTGGGCAACAGAGTGAGACTCCATCTCAAAATAAATAAATAAATAAATAAATAAATAAATAAATAAATAAATAAGTAGCATCACCTAGGCTCACATAGGTGAATTTGAACTGAATGAGTCCTTTGAGCAGCTTGTATTGACAGGAAAGAGGGCATCCTGCATAGCTGGTTAGAGGGAGGCCCCAAGAAGCAAATCCCGTGTGGTGGTCTCCAAGCCTGGCTGGAAAGAAACATGGGCTCCGGCAGGTTAGGGAAAGGTGAGAGGTGGGTCTGACTTTTGGATCATGTTTCAGACAAACCACAATGGAAAACACATTTTTGAGACAACTGGAGATGTGTCAGTAGGCTGGTTGTTGGGTAACATAAGAGATTTATGGCTAATTTTTAAGTTCGATGACAGCATTGTGATTATGTTTTAAAAATCATGCTTTTAGAGATTCATAACCATGAAACGGAGATAGTGTTGTGTGAAAGGATGGGATTTCTTGGATGAGACATGACTGGCCTTAAAATAGTTCAGAAATGGAAGGACAGATGTGGAAGAAAACAAACTTGATGATTTGGGGTTCTGGATATATATTAAAACTTATTCAAATAACTGAAAATTTAAAAATTCCTCCATTGAAAATCCTATTTGAATGGCACCCTCTGCCAGGCCTCCCTAGCAAGCCCTCCTTTGCGTGCACAGAGAAGTACGTATGAACAGTGCCCAGTGTACGGGCTGCAAAGCCCAGAACAAGCTAAATCCCCTTTTTAGTGACAGCCTCACAGAAGATGAGGGAGCCATTACATGCATAGGCTGACTTACACGTACTTCAGTTCAAAAAGCTCTCAAGCAAAGTAAAATTAAGTTAAAAAAAAGCAAGAGGCAAAACAATATGTATGAATGACATAAGCTCATATATACAAAAATATAAACAAAACCTAAATGATCGACCTTTATTTGTACATATATTTGTATGTATGTAAAATACACAGAAAAAATGCTGGAAGGATTCTTCCACAACTCTTGACAGTGGAGTGAAAGCATGGTTCTTGCTTTTTACCCTCTAATTTCCTGAAATCATTATACTTTTTACAAAGAGGAATATTTTTGCATGATGTACGTAAAATACAGCCAAATAAATAAGTAAGTAGAGACAAAAAATGATGGAGGGCGTGGGAGATGAGGCAGGGAGGCTGGATGGCCAGTCTCCAGAACTTGATGTTTTCATCGTCAAAGGGACAGGACTGAGTTGGATAACATTTTGGTTTCAATTGCGAAGGCCTTTCATTCCAGAAAGAAAACAGTGTCAGCATTACAGCCATGGGTTGACACATGGTTAAGGTCCCATTAGCAGCACGATGGAAGCTCCCCTGATAATCACAGGGAAAGCCAAATGACGGGAAAGGTCGCATGCCCAGAGGAACTCCCCTGTAATTTGTATTGTAATGAATTATTACCTTAACACAAGCATGTGCCAGGCATCTAATTTGCAAGTGCGGATGCCTGGCAGTTGACTTTAAAATCACTCTGGAATTATCCCTGTATAATCTGAACAACCAGAAGTGTGACCAGGGCTTTACCAAAAGGGAGTTGCACAAAAGGGTAAACTGCAGACTGGGAAGTTCCATGAACATGGAGGTACTGGACGCACCACGCTCTTTTTCAGGAAGAAGTCCTACACACATTTTCTGCGTCTGTTTTATAGACTGGACTGTGCACTCTTTCATGGGGCTCTTTGTGCGAAGGGGGCCTCCCCCATCCGCTCCTACCTTCAGCGTAGGGCCAAGTCCAAGTGGAATACAGCCTCTGAAAACATGGCTGCTTCTCACACTCCTGGGAGCCAGACCACTGCTCCTTTCCATGTACCTCAGGCTTTGTGGGGGCTTTTTATTCAGGTGGGAGAGAAATGGGCACTGGGGCAGGTGTGGTAGATGCCAAAGAAGTGAGAATGTGTGTGTGTGTGTGTGTGTGTGTTTATACCCTGAATTATATCAGAATGGAAGAAAGGAAATAGTATGTCCATCTGTTATCTCCTCTGTGGGCCTACCTCAATTAGCCACCAACACACATACACACCTGTGCTGCCTTTGATGAAGGAATTAAGAAGGCCCAAAGTGACTCATGTCACTTCCTTTCTGTGGCCTGCAACTCCAAAAGGAGAAGAGGAGAGGACGAGGGAGGGTGGGAAGGCCATTGCTCCTGGTTCCGGGGTGCCTCTCCCCTTGCCTGCTCAGGTTCCTGTAGGCCTCAGCTGTTGGTCAGTCCTTTCCACATCTTCGAGGAGACTCTGCCTGACAGGGCTGGCTAGAAGCTGGGTGCCTGGGTGTTCATGCTCTAATAAACCCAATCGGGAAGTTTCCAACTCATCACAACATCACAAAGAATGTGCAAGAAAATGCCGACTCTCTTATTTCTCCTTCAAAGTTTGATTAATGATTCTAGGAGGAACCAGAAATCCTTGGTGCCAATCAAACACATTTTGCCATACCTTTTAAACATTTTACACACAACCCATGTTTCATGAAAGCATGGCTCTTATCCCTTCGGGTGCATAGAATAAGACTGCCGGATAGAATGTTTCTGAGACCTGCTCTCTAATATTCTAACTCAGTAGGCCCTACGCAGGGCCTGAGAATGTGCATTTTCAGTAAGTGCCACTGCTGATGTTGATCAGTTCTCTAAGAAATTCTGGGTTAGCTATGGGATTATAAGCATATCCTCAGAGTACAGGTTTTTTTTTTTTTGTTTTTTTTTTAACAATTGAGAAACTACTTAAAGTGAACCTAAAATGGTGTGAGCCTGAAGTGCTTGCTGGGCAGCAGACAAGCTTTGCCAGCCTTGTGTTCTCAGTGGAAATGCAGCATCCGAGCCATCCTCTCTTCCCCCCGCTTGTGGTCAGCTCTAAATAGCACACTCACAGCGCGGGGGGAAAATATTTTTCCCTGTTTCAAGTGGGCAGTGGAAGTAGTGAAAGCCTAAGTAAACTCTGACCAGTAGATAATGGGCCATTATAACTCTGGATGACTTCCTGAATGACCCTGAAAAATGACTTCTCATTTCCTGCCTGCAGAAAAGAGAAATATTAAGATAGTGTTGTGTGCAAAAAAATGCAAGCTTGCAATGAGAGATGCAGAGCGTGAGGGAGAGAGGCACGAGGGGGTGGAGAAAAAAGACAGAGAATTTGAGGTTGACTCACGGCTTTGAAGGGAAAACAAGAAGAGGAAGAAAGTCTGTTCTCCCATGGGTCGTCAAACCCCACACTTCACACATCTTTCCCATGGGGCTGCCAGCTGCCGCCACATCACAGCTGTGCTGCCACCCAAGTGTGCCGCCTCCACAGCGGGAGCGACCTAAGCGTGGCCACCTCTGCCTCTGGAGGGCCTGCCTGCTGGCCAGCGGTGGCCGCCCCAGACCCGGGTGACTGGGCAGCACAGTAGCCCGCCTGGGCAGGGCATGAAATTAACGAGGCAAAAGAAGCCACAGAGAGATGAAAGCATAGAAGAAAAAAAGTCACCCTGCAGCTCAAATTAAAACAGAAAACTCTGCTGCTATACTTGGTCTTATTCCAAGAAGCTGCCAGGAAAGAATTGACTCACAGAAAAGCCACAGCTTCATTTTTTCCCATACTCAAGTGATATGTCTTTCCAGGGCTTTTTTCTTCAAAGGGAAAGGGAGCAAAATAACCTCACTTTTCTGCATTACCATAGACTATCTTATATAATTTTTTTACAGCCTGTAATGGCTGGTTGAGATACCAGCTGACAGTGTAGTGGATGAAGGCTCCGGGGTGCAAGCCCCTGGCTGTCCTGGCCAGCTCTTTAACTCGAGCAAATTACTTACTCTCTCTGAGCTTCCCTTTCCTCGGCAGTAACATGGAGGTATTGAGCAGAGAAATTGTGAGGCACTGTAGACACGAGATAATTCACAAAAATTGCACGGCACGGGACCTGGCACATAGTCAGCACTTCACAAACAGTGGCTCTCATAAGGTAGTTAATAGTGGTTTCAAACTATGTGTCAAATCTAAGGGAGGAAGAGGGGCTTCTAGGGGGTGGGGATGGGAGGGAATGTTCCAGTACAAATCTTGGTATTGTCAAACTTGGGGCAGCATGCTCAGGAGACAAAACACGGAGGCACATCTGCACAAGCTCAAATTCTACTTCTGCCACTGCATCAGTTGGGCCACTGTGGCTCCTCATTTCCTTATTTTTAAAAGAGCTGATGTGAGAACGAGCTGATTTAATGTGTAAAATACCTAGTGCCAGCAGACAGAAGGTACCCGCTACACACCAGCTCTGTACTCTGCCTTGATCCTTCGCAATTTTCGTTAGCAGAATTCCACCACGCACTACTGACTTTATGGTATGGCTAAAACCAGAATTCTAAATGTTCAAGGATTCTTGTGCAGTTACTTCAGCAGGAGTTTTCAGAAAGTGGGAGAAATACTATTTATGAAGCACCACCCATGTGCTTTAGTCTTTCTACATTGTTAGGTTTTCATGATAATACTTTAGAGATAAGAACACTCCTCATCTCATGGACAACGGAACGGGCTCTACAAGAGGGCGTGCACAGTGGACCTGGGGTCTGACGCCCACCCTGCTCTCTGCACCTGGAGCCCACCAGCATCCTGCTCCCCATGCTGCCTCCCCTGGAAAAAGAGACACATGCAAATGATGAAGCATGCAGGAGCCACATGGAGGTTTTATAAACTTAAAAGGATTTACATGAATGCCTCAGAGAAGGGGCAACCCAATGTCAACTCTGATACCCCAGGCATGATACCACTGACAATGTGTCTGCTGGCATCAGTTGGAAAACAATGCAAATATCCTTCATGTGATTAAACACAACATGCCTGTGACATTGTTTTTTTTTCTAGCCAGGCTGACTGTTGTCCTGTAGGCTTCCAAAGGCTGCTGGTGCCCTGACCTTCAGCTCCTAAATTACCATCTGAAGGACAAGGACTGGGGAAGGGAAGGAGAATTTGCATTTGAGCGTACCATTCCGTAGGTCATTCCAGAGAAACTGTGCCTTCCTCCCGGTTGACTCTCCGCTCACTGAGTGTGACAATATGCCTGACTATGGAAGATCACGGATGGGGCTGTACTGCCCTGCTACCGAGAACCTGGACAGAAGACAGCAGGTGAGCCCTGGAGGCTGGAATGAATGGCTAAGAGCATCTCAGGACTCCACTTCTCTGAAGGCAAAATCCAATATGCCAAATTCCTCTTCCTAATAAAAGCCCTTTAAATATTTGAAGACAGCTATTATAACTCCTCTTAGTTTTCTCCCAGATAAATATCCACATTTGCCTTCATCCGTCACTTGACTTTTCTCAAGTGTCTTCCCCATCCTCTGACCATTCCAGTTTGTAAACATTCCTCCCAAGTGTAGCCTTGTAACTGAACTCTTCTAATCAACAGAAGCTTGTCCAGCTTTATTATATCTCTTAATGCAACTTGACCCAAATGCATGATAAATATCAGTCCCATGGTTAGGTTATATGGCAAAGTTGAAGTTGTGCAGATGTAATTAACATCCCAAATCAGCTGGTTTTGATTTAATACAAAATGAAGTTATCCTGAGTGGGCCTGACTTAACCAGGTAAAAGCCATGAAGAATGGACTGAGCCCTCCTGGAGGCACATGCTTTCCCACTGGGCCTGGAGAAGCAGGCGGCCATGCTAAGAACTGCTTATGGAGAGGGTGGCCTCTAGGAGCCAGGACCTCAGTCCTACAGCCTCAAGAAACTGAATTCTGCCAAGAACCCTTATGAGCCTGGAAGAGGACCTGGAGCTCCAGATGAAAACATACTTTGTGAGTCCCTGAGAACCCAGACCCTGACCCACAGAAACAGAGATAAGAAGTGTGTGTTGTTTTAAGCTATGACATTTGTGGTTTTGTGTGCCAACCTCATAACTTGGGCTTACATCTCATCATGGTAAGCCAATCTCTATCTTTCATAGGGGCATTTGTTAAACCACCTTTCTTCCACTCAGGATATTTGTTACTGATTTGGCCTTGACCCTGTTATTAATAAATTCCCTGATTTTGTTCCATTCATTTGGGTCTGTATTTTAGGATCCCAATCTTGCTAACCTATATGTTCTAATCCCTTCCTCTTGATTTCTTGTATTCCAAAAACCTGAGGCACTCATTTAAACTGGCCAATCATTCCCAGGATGTTACTTCTTGACTCATCAAAGTAATCAACAGAGACAATGGGTTTCATTTTACCAAAAACTTCCAGTATATTTAAACATTAATGCATGTCTGCATTATATTAGTTCACATATTTTTAAAACACAAATTCGACTAATAAGTAGCCATTTTTTTTCAGGAAGAAAAAGATTCGCTTTCTTCAGTAGATGCAGCAAAGATCTCCCCTTGGCCTGAAAATAATTTAAAACCATGATATTAATTGTACACACATGCGCACAGTGTGCCTCGCCATGTGCCTGTTTTGGTTATACTGCAGACAGGCTTTCATGCCCTTCTAAGAGTGACCAACCATGTGTTTTCTCATAAGACATTCACCAAAGATGACATTCAGCAGAGAGGTCTAGACCACTGACGTCAGGCGTCTGTTACAGTCCTGGATGAGGGAGGCCACAGTGGAGTGAGTCAAGAAGAAAATCCCAGGGAAACCCTTTACTGGAGTTCAAGGCTGAGTTATTGTCTAAAGAATACCAAGGAAGTGAACATGATGATTGAAATACATTCTGGAGATCATATGCTTCAGGCTGTCAGCGATGCTGGTGACATTGCCATGGTTAATGCTACTAAATAAAGTCAACGTCTCCAAGAACGAGTGCATAAATTACTATGTGTCATCAGTTGGATTGTTCAATAAGGTATGTTCAAGTCCTAACCTCCAGCACTTGTGAAGTAACCTTATTTGAGAATGGGGTTTTTGAAGATGTAATGGAGTTGAAATGAGGTCTTACTGGTATAGAGTGGGCCCTGATTCAGTGATGGGTGTCCTCATAAGGAGATGGAAACACAGACACACAGAGAGGAATGTGAAGGCACAGAGACAGACATGCAGGAGAACTCACTGTGAGGATAGAGGTGGAGATCGGAGTTTTGCATCTACAAGGCAAGGAATGCCAAGGGCTGCTGGGAACACCAGAGGCTGGGGAGAGGCCAGGGGCATCATCCTCAGCAGGTTTCAGAGAGAGAGACTCTACTGACACCTTGATTTTGGACTTCTGGCTTCCAGAGCTGTAAGCAAATAAATCTGCAGCTTCTTAAGCCATGGCAAGGATGGTGATCTGTTAGAGCAGCCCTGGGGAAGCCACACACTACGGCTGCCCTGCACGAGATGTCTCAGGAGGGTCTCAGATGAGGCTGCTGCCCGGAGCCACAGGGACGAGTGGTCTATTGTATGTCTACACTGGAGCGAAAATGAACCATGAAATGAAAAAAATGAAAACCCTGGGTAATAATCCTTATGAGACAGGAAGAAACAAGAAACAATCATAGTAAGATGCTGTCCTGCTTTCTCCCTTGGGTGGTTTTGTGTCTAGGCAATCTCCTTTTTAGCCTTGGATGCCACCCACTGAGTTTAAATACAACTATTGCTGTGAGTCTCCAAAAGGCTATAAAGTCACAGGTAGGAGACAAGGGAAACAAACAAGCCAAAACACCAAAGCTGCTTATGAAGAAAATGTGGGCAGGGGTGGGGTACAGAGGGGAGGAAAGGAAAGGGAGGGGCATGTAGGATTGTGCATCCTTTACAAGTAGGAGGTGTTCAAGGACTACCTTTTTTCTCTTTGAGGTATCAGGAATGACCCAAGTTCCTTCACATATCTGACACTCTAACAGCTTTCTCATCCTGATATCACTTGGTAAGATCAAATAACTTTGGTTTGATCACTGATCCACTAATGTCCCCAGTTACCTACTTTGTACAGTGAGAGGAAGGCCCTAGATTGGGATTTCAAACTGTGGGACACCACCCAGCCTGCATTGTGAAATCACTGGAGTGGGTCACAACCAGCATAACAAGGAACAAAAAGAAAAATAAACAGAAAAGAATAGACAATATCAGAGTGATATCGTAAAGGCAGTATTATGAAAGTTTAGATACAGCTGTATGTGTGCCATGATATTAAAATGTATTTCTTACTTTGGTAAGGTCAAAAATGTTTGAAAGCCACTGAAATAGATGTTATCTGGGAAACTTTCCTGTGCTGCTTTTTGTGAGCCTATGATTAGCTCCAGAATTCCTTACAGAGTAAATTAGAACACACTGACAGCACGTTTTGGAGAGAGAAAAAAGCTTGCAAATAAAAAAAAAAAAACCAGTCTAAAACAATCTCTTCCTGTCACAGACACTGATGAATTGTGCAGTGATGGCCCCTCCTCGCCCAGGGTTAGTGGGTGATTTGGTAATAGCCTGCTTGTCCTGGGAGCACGGAAGGATGGTTTTGCTTTAGCTATGGAGAGACCGAGGGGCAGAATTCAGGGGCTGCTCTCACCTCTGCACGATGGCAGGTGGCTGAGGACAGGTCAGCTCAGGCATCTCAGGCTCTCGCTCACAGACACCACACTTTACCACCTGGCCTTTGTCGGGAGTCTGCAACACTCATTGCGAAGAAGAAAGCCAGGTCCAGTCTAAACAAGACTCCTTCGTGGCAGCAGTGTGAACAGTCTAGGAAAAGATGCAGTTACCCTGCTCAGCACAGCCCCCTCCAACCGTCCACAGAATAGAGTATCTCCGTTACGGTGTGTGGCCCTGGCCCAGACTGTACCAAACAATACAGTTCCTTCTGCCGCCAAAAGTCCATGATTGATAATTGCCCTGTTAATCATTTCCATTCTGATCTGCAAGGAACCCTGCCAAAAGTATGTTTCAAAATGCTTTCTGTTCAAATTAAATTGCTGTTGTTTTACATGAGGAAAAATACTACCTGGGAAAATGTTTGACAAAAATGTGGCAATTAAGTGCACTTTTGAAGCACTTAAAATCCAGGATTGAGCTTTCAATCTTTGATGTGCACCTTTTGCAGGGCATTTCTAAGTAGTATAGTGGCCAAAAGGAAGCTTTATCATCCTGACTGGCACCCATACGTCCTGATAAATGGCTAGTGTCACTAGATCACCCCTGGGTCCTAGTTGTACAGGGAGGGCTATCCCACACCTGTCCCCACCACATCCACGACAAGTGAATAACATTTATTTTATCTTATTTTTAAATTTACATAAAGAGACAGTATATATTTATGGTATACAACATGATGTTTTGATATATGTATCCATTGTGGAATGGCTACATCAAGCTAATTAATGACTGTATTACTGCACATACCTTTTTTTGGTGTGGTGAGAACACTTAAAATCTACTCTCTTAGCAATTTTCATGTATACAATACATTGTCACTAACTACAGTTACCATGATGTGCAATAGATCTCTTTAACTTATTCCTCCTGTCTAACTGAGATTCTATGTCCTTTCACCAAATCTCCCCAAGCTCACACCTTCCCAGCCCCTGGTAACCACCATTCCACTCTCTGCTTCTCTGAATACAATTTTTTAGATTCCATGAAGGAGTGAGATCATGCAATGTTTTTCTTTTGGTGCCTGGCTTATTTCACTTAACATAATGTCCTCCAGGTATGCAAATGACAGGATTTCCTTCTTTTTTTTTTTTTAAGACTGAATAGTATTCCATTGTGTATGTATACCACAAGCAGTGACTGGCAGTTACTAAAAACAAAACAAAAAGAAACAAAAGCTCCTGATTATTATAACTATTAAGTCTTGACATTGGCTATCATGTTTTCAACAAATGGTGCCAGAGCCACTGAACATCACAGGCAAAAAAAGAACCTTGACCTCAACTCTTGTGCAAAAACTAACTCAAAATGGGCCACAGATTTACATCTAAACAAAATACTATGAAACTTGTTGAAGATGACCTAAGGGAAAACCACAGGACATACTTTGGTGCAGACTTCTCAAACCTGACACAAAAAGTATGATCCATAAAATAAAAAAATTAAAAATATATTAGACTTCAAAATTTAAAACTTTTATTCAGCAAAAGAGCCTGGTAAGAGGTTGGAAAGATAAGTTATGGACTGAGAGTAAATATTTGCAAACCACAGATCTTTCAAAGGCGTCATATTGAGAATATAAGGAATGCTCAGCACATACAAATGCCCCTCCTGGCAAGAGCCTACGTGTGTTCAGCTCTGCTGCAGACACCTGGAGTGGCGGGACCCTGGATTTTCACGGACTACTGGGCTTGTTTCCTTCCTTTCTGTCCTCAGGTCTTAAGGTTCCGTGGGAATGATGAGAGCTATGAAGCCAGCAGGCCCGGGCCTAGGGTGGGGCACGTTCTTGGGCCCAAAACTTAAGACGGCAGCAAAGGACCCTGTCTTCACGATAAACCGTGCAGTATTTTGAAAACGAACAAACAAACAAACAAAAAAACGCCATAAAATCCATGCTGAACAAAATCTCAAAATGTAAATGCAGACAAGACCCAGTGCGTGCCTGTCTCAACCATCACTCCAGTCCTGGCCCTGGAAGGAAAAAAATTCAAAGAACACGTATTTGGGAGAAACAAAGTAAAATGTGCAATCCTAACACAGTCCATTTCTTTTTGTAAGTGCTTCTCACCACACCTTCAGCACGCACAGAGCAGGCCGCAGCTCCTGCATCTTCAGCAGCACGCCGACCCGCCCCTCTTCCCCGCTGCACAGGCCACCTACTCTGAGTGTGCATGCCTGGCTCTGGGCGGAGCACCTGCTCCAGCTCTGCAGGCCGCCCACACCCCGTGCCTGGCCTCTCCTCTTCTGACCTTTCCTTCCCCATCTCGAGTCCCCTGGTGGTAAGTTTTCCCGCCCCCGCCCAGCCTTAGCGGGGCTTTCCCTCCAGCCTCAGCCCATGCCTGCCTCATTCCAGGGCCTCGCAGCTCGAGCCCCTCCTGGCTCCTGAAGGCTGTCCCTGCTGCCTGCCCGGCCCACGGGAGAGGAATGGACGAGAACTCCCTGAACTTACGTTCTCTTTTCCCTTCTGAAGCCAAACGGAATAGAAGTACCCGCCTGCTCCCTGGGGTGGGGAAAGAGGTCTGGAGGGCCCCGGGCACCGGGAGTCTCCACCCCAGACGCGTGCCTGGCCGGAGACAGGGGAGTGGGGGCTGCATGGGGAGTGGAGAACCTGAACTTTCTGTCTCAGCAACGCCACTCCACTGCTCCATGGAGAAAGTGGACGCTCTGGGGACATGCACAGGATCCGCGGGCTGCCCAAACCATCTCAGGATGTCCCCTCTCTGTCCTCCTGAGCACAGCCACAGACCGTGGAGTCACCACAGCGTCCACTCTCTCACCAAAGCGACTGGGCCCTGCACGTGGGATCTGCATGGGCAGTAACTCGATCCCACAGATGATCAGTGGTGGTGCCCGTGTGGCCCCCACCCTGACAAGTGCACGTGGACATTTTCCTGCACGTGCGGAAGGACGCAGGTCAGTCTGGGCAGCAGTTCCCCACGGGGGACCAGCTCAGAGGGAAGGAGGAGGACGCACATAAACCCTATGCACCGAGGCATCCCAGGGTTGGTGCAGCTAGCACACATGCTTTAGGAGTGACAAACACGAAGTGAAAAATAGTGTCTCTACGTGGCGTGGTACCCTGGGGATGGGGCTGGAGCCTCAAGATACGGCTGCGTCGAGGCGGCTTCCTGGCACCGCTCTGGGCTGTGGCGGTGGGGTGGGGTGGGGGGTGTCCCAGGACAGTGAGGACGCGGGACGCGGGGCTTGGGGTGTGTGCGGGGCCCAGGGCCTGTCCCATGGACAGGGTGGTCCTCATCCCCTCCCTGCCGCCTTGCTCCTTCTCCCCTCCCCACACGCCACACACCCAAATACCCCAGGACAGGAACACGGCACGGTGGACAGGAGCAAACCCTGCACAGTGCCCAGAAGGTCTGCAGGAGCTTCTTCTTCCCTTTGACTCGCGCACGTTATTCTAAACTGTTCCTGGGCGTACCTTACCCCAAGAGGGCCAGCCACTGCCTCCCCCTCCACACCCACGGCGTCACCGGTCCCTGCAGATAGCGTCTCCCTGGTGCAGCATTACACCCTTGCAAAGCTCCGCTCGCCAAACAAAGCTGCGCTGACGGCCTCCAGTTCCTGCTCAGGGTTCAATGTCCAGCTCTTCGGAGCTGCCTCTGTTTAAAAGAAAAGACGGGCCTGCATCTGGAAACTACCTCTCCCAGGTTTCTTTTTTAAGAGCATTTAACCCATTTTTTCCCCAAGCACCAAAGAGTTTCTGCAGCCCCATAGAAGCCTCCCGCTCTTCCATGAGAGCCTGGAGTTCTTGCACCGCCTGTTTCCTAGTTCTCTAGCAGTCTTGGTCTTTCGGTGCAAGCAGCTGCCCTACCCTGAGTTACCCTGGCTTAGTTCCACTTGGAAGTAAACATTTCTGTCATTTAATTATATCATAATCATGCTGGAAGGAATTAGACCAGCAAGTGTGAGGCAGGGTGTGCAAAAGGGCACACAACACACACACACTTTTCACTGTCAGAGAAAAAAAGGAGGACACATTTTTACTTCCAATGTAAAATGACAAGATCAAGATCAGAAAATTTAGTGATGAAATTGTACTATGATTTATATTGCGCTGAATTTTATTCACTATTTTAGCCACACAGGAAGATAATTTCACAGCCTTAAGATGATATTTTTTGCTGAAATTTTATTTAATTATTATCAAGGAATTTTTCTGTGTGCTTGAGGCCCTGTGCTAGGCACACTGATGTCTCAGTTTAAAAATACCACACCCAGCAAAGAATAGTAGTCAATAAAACTGCCATATTTTCTGCTAGGCTTACAAAGGATGAAGATCTGACCGAAATACCATCTTTGGAATCTTTGGGGTCTAAATAATAATCTGTAATTGACCTCATGAAGACATTGAATGATTTACCAACTCATCCATTAGTACATGGTGTTCAATAGTTGTACTCACATATTGGGATTGACATGGATTTTTGTATGGCTTACATTCTGCCTTTGTGTATCTTATGACTGTAGTGAACTCAGTTTTCTAATGTCCAAGCAGAGGATGGCTTAGGTCTTTGGCTGCTAGTCAATTTCCCTCATTCCCTAACTGTTTTATTTGTCATATATTTATTGATAGCCTACATGACAACAGCTAATGATGGAGTGGCAGGCATTATGAAAATAGATAAGCGGGTGGTCAGAGCTCTGATGGAAATTATGTTGTAGTATATATATTCTGACATACGAAGAACTCTTCAGGAGTGAATGAACCATGTGCTCTACTAATGAAGTTCAAAGGGAAAGAAACTACAGTATTCCTCAGTGGGGGTGGGTGCCATGCACAATAAGTAGGTTTCATTGCAATGAGCATTGAAAATCACCTAGATGATAATAGGCGAAGGGGTGTGAGTATGTTGTTTTGTTTGCTTGGCTACTTTTGGTTGGTGTGTATGTGTAAAAATAGGCCTATCAGATGATGGAATAAAAAGAGGAATCTTTTTCTGGACATTAGTTGTGTTTCTAAGTCTAGGCCACAGAGTGTCCTAAAAATTGTAATCATTAAAGTTAATATGCCTAACAGTGCTTATCAGGATTTTTTTTCCAACCAATGAAACTAGATTTTACTGGTGCCCTTGAGTCTTGATAATAAAACTCAAGGACATCAGTCTTGTATTTGCCTGCATTTCCCATTAGATTGAAGGAAGTTACAAGGCTTTCTTGGGTTTTAAGAATATTTGACATGCGTTACCATTTCTGTTGATTTATTCATTTGTACTGAGAATCATATTTTAATTCAGAATTTCAGCAAGGTGTAGGCTTGAAAAATAAAGCCCTCATGCAGCTTGGATTTCGTATTAATACATCTCAAGCTTGTACAACACTACTAACAGAATGTTATAATAAACCATACCAGTATCCCAAAGAGATGCTTTAATACCAAATGTCTCATTTATAACAAATTACTAATGGACAATTGCTAGGCTGGACAAGTGAACAAGGACAATTAATTGAGGTAAACAGGCTTGGACATTTCCAGTTGAATGGAAATTTCCACGCGATGTGCTTGCTTGTCTCTTTGTAAAGAACTGTTGTGCAGAGTTCCACTATTGCACCCCCACCCCTTGAAAGCCAGCCCATCTAATTTAATGCTCTTTTTAGCTCAGCAAATTCTGATTTGGAGAGTTGATGTGCATGGATTTTTGTGCAATCTTATTTACAAATCAACTGAAAAAAAAATAAAGAGTTCCAATCCCAGAGTACACTGTGTAGCTCTGAGCGTGCCAGAGAAGGCAGCTGTGGTGCACTTGTGATGGCCTCTGAGGGCTCTGGGTGCTGTCCTCACTACGGTGGTAGGTTCTGCTGCCTGAGTGTATCCATTACAGGAACTCGAGCTTTGGGTGGCCCATTATAACCCAGCTCAAGAGGATGTGTCTCCAAGTTTCAGGAGGAACATAGCTGTACATCAGCTGCAATGTTCCTGTGACCTAATCTAGGGGGAAATTCAGATTGGTAAATTTGTTCCAAAACACATTGTTGCATTGTTGTGGTAGTGGTTGCTAAGTCCATTCCCCAGTGAATATATTCTGAAATTAGATATAAACTATCTATATTATAAAAGCCCTAAAACAGGAAATTCTGTCATGTTGGTCACAGCTCAATTAATAAAATGACCTCCATACAAAGAAGGGTTCAGAGTGAATGAAAAGTGGCCACCGGTGTGGAGGAAGCTGGAGGCCTTCACAGATAAGTTAGGCCCAAACTGTCCTAGGTAGTATCCTCTGGTTGGTGGAATTCTTTGAAACATTTTTTTTTTTTTTTTTAGCTCCTGCTTCAACTTTAATTTGCTCTGCCCTTTAGAAGAATGCAGGCTGCAACCGTGGCCCCTGCCCTGGCCCTGGCTGCCCACTGATGGTCTGGGCTACCTACACACCCTTTGGCCTTCTATTCAGTTACTTACAAATGCTCTTTAAAAGTCTTAAGAAGATGACAAAGTGATTTTACTGGTATTGTGAGTTATTTTAGTTGCTCTTATACTGATTTTCCATGAATGTGATTGTTTTAATAGTAACCTTTGCCAAAGATTTCTAAAATAGATTTCTAAAATACCATGCAATCTCAAGGTTCAAATTCTGGATGAAAATAATGTTTTGTTGAAATGATCTTCCAAAGAGAACACCGTGCTTGGTAATTAGAATGACAGGTTAAGCATTATTCTTCAACTACCATAAGGAAAAATAATCTTGTCTTTGCCACCTAATTGATTTGCTTACTAATTGATTTAAAATGTCCTTTCACTTTAATGAGTCTGTCTATTTACAGTGGTAGTTTATAAGGTTAAAGTATGCATTCCCAAATATTAGATATTCTTTAATCATGTCGTATATCCAAGTTGAAAACAGTAGGTATTTGGGGAGCAAGCAAGACGATATTTAAAATAATTAGGTATTTTTTAAAAATTCATATTATTCTCAAAAATAATTCTGGAAAGACTTCGGTGGCCTTTCACATTGAATGAGAGAATATGATGTCACCACTTACACTTTCTGTTTCTGTTTTATGTTCACAAACCAGGCCAGGGGGCCAGCTGTAAACCCACATTCTATTTTGATTACATTGTCATAACTTTCAGTTCTAACTGGAGAAAGCCAGAATTTAAATCTAGCCAGAGTATTAATGCTGCTCAACCAGGAGGGAAATGAAAGTGGGATCTCAGAGTGAACATGTGGTCCTTCCGAATTTCCTCCTGGACCTGGACAGGACTCATGGTCGAACCCGAGATCCTGAAACATTTTCACCGTGACTCAGAGTGAGCAGGAAGGGTGGGGCTGGCCTCTTTGTTTTCTCACAAGGTTAATAGCGTGTACCTTAGAATGAGCCAGAGCGCAGCAGGGGTAACAGCACATGGCTTAGCCTTCGCGAGGCAGATGTGGTGAATGAGCCGTTGAGACCGCCCCTGACAACGTCAGGCTGTTTGCAGTACCCATGGGCCTCGCCCTCTCCAGACTAGGGGAAGGGTGTGTCTGAGATGCAATCTAAGAAATGATCATTCTTTAAATTCTAAAGGTGAAGAGATGTAAACAGCATTTTAATTATAATTTGCCTAAAATGTGTTTCTTGTAGAGGATAGGCATCCCTGTGCACATGCAAAATCTTGGAAGAAAAATATATGTTGAGAAGGCTTGACTAAGGGACAGAACAAATAGCACGCTGGTTTTCTGTTTTCCTTAACGCTGATAAGGTCAGAAGAGCTGTGAATGTCTCTATGTAATTAACAGGGTGCAAAAGAACAGGAACGAGATTCAGGGGACTCCAGAAAGAACTTTAATTTCTGTTCCTTGGTTTCCTCATGGGACACATGGGACGAAGTATTAATAGCTATAAATGCCCATAACAACTGAGATTTGATAGTAAATTCCAAATTAAGTTAACACTTGAACTTTATAAAAAATACACACTTCATTTCCCTATGGGCCATATACAAAATGTGAGCTGCAATCAAAGTCCTGGCTAGGGAGTTTCTGGTAACGTGTCTGTATTATGGGATGTACACACTGAGAAAAGCATTGATCACTGCACCTGCAGAAGCCTTTCCAGCATGTGCCTCACCCACATACTGCCTGAAAGTCTTCTGAGAATCATTCTATAGTCACAAAAAAATCCCCTGGGAAGGTCCTACACTCATACCTATTTTACAGATTGAGGAAGTGGGTTGAGAGGCTTGATAACTTGTGCAAGGCAGCGTGGCTGGTAAGCAGACACTCTTCACAATTGCACTATGCTGTCTGCAATATCCAACTGCCCTTTCCTTGATCCGGCACATAGTTTGAATTGAGGGAAGTCTTTCAGTATTTAGAAAAATCACAGATGACTAAATGGTAAAATAGCAGAAACAATGAGTGAGAAGTTAGATATTTGCTTCATTCCAAGGGAAGAGAAACGACAAAGTAGTCAGGTAGTTAGCCAAAAGCTCAGCCTCCAAGAGCAGTCAGATATAGCAAAGCCTGAGAATTCCTTATCTAAAAGTAGTGAAATGTGAAAGGCTAACATGAGAAATTTCATCCTGATTATAAGGAAATTTTCCAGACAGTGAAGTGAATTGAACTGTAATCATGTACCTAAAAAGAAATCATGAAAGTCCTTTGTGTATGGCATTTTAGAAACTGACAAGCACACAGGAAAGAAGGCAGGTTCACTGACTCCAGACATCTTTCCATCTGCACTATCTTTTTAAGGATTACTTTAAGGACCTCAAAAGGAGACAAAACAGCAGACTGTTAAAAGCAGCCGTCAATATTTATCTAAACACAATGAAGCAACTGCTTGTGCTACGACAAGCAGTAATAAAATGATGGGACTACCACTGTTGGTCCTATTAGTGGAAACAATTAATAGAAAAATGGGCCAACATGAAACTGTTGGTAACTTTGTAAGGGAAAATCACTTCCCTAAAAAAGGGAACGGCATCAGCATCACCACTCATGAGAGCAATGATTGACACTTCACATGCACCAGCAAACCTCATCCAGCCCGCAGCCCTCTGAGGAAAGCACTGCTGACAGCTCCATGGTGCCCACCAGAAAATGCAGGTGCAGCTGCTTCAGGAGCTTACTCAAGTCCCACAGCTGGTAAGTGGGACAGCTGGGATTTGCACCACATTCCTCTGACTCTGATGAACGTGCTTTTGTCCGTGATATAATGCCACAAATAGAGCTCTAAAATCCACCTTGAGTAGGCAGTATACTCCAAAGTTGTGCAGAGTACAGACTAGTAATAGGTACAATTGCTAGTAATAGCTACAACGCTTAAACTGATGTTGCATACATTTAAAATTAAGTTTGCATTTGAACTTGATAAAACGTGTGCATTTAACTTACTTCCCTGCAGGTCACATACGAAATGAGAGCTGGATTCCAAGGCCTAACCAGGGAGTTTCTAGTATTACTGTGGCACACAGTGGACGCTGCACTGACCACAGTGTGTGCGAAAGTATTTCAGGTCTCTCTACTCCATTTTCTCTGCAGTACTCTCTGACCCAATCCAAGAGAAAAATGTGCTGCAATATTGGCTGTCTTCTGTTGGTGTTGCTAAGTTACTGAATATTTTGCCTTGCCTTGCCCAGAAACTGTGTTAATTGTCTTTAAAGAGATAAGCTACATTCTGGAACATCTTTGTATATGCCCTAAATGTACTGAGTATTTTTGTAAAATAAATTTTGTTCTATTCTTTCTCTCTCAAATATAATTTGGAGAGAACCATGTGATTCTGTACTAATTTGAAACATAAATCTCTAACATATTATTAGTATATAAGCAGAAAAATATCTTTTTTTAGAGTCCTTGGGAGCTGTGCGTGTGCCTACGCAGGCACACCCATGCATCCTGGTAAGACTGCCTAGAAAGGAAGAGACCCATGCTCTGAAAGGGATGATGACATTGAACAGAGAACATGATGGATCACAATTCTGCCAGTGAAGGCAGGGCAGGTGGAGAGGTGGGTGCTGGTCTGGTCCCTGTGTTTAACACAGCCAGGCCATCTGTTTTAGTCCTCTTTTCAAAAAACACATTTTTGAGAGAACTTAATTTATTTCTTGAAGGTTCCGAATAATGAAAAAAGAATAGGCAAAATACAATTTTATATAACAGAAGGCAAATTGAAACACATATTCAAAATGCTTGCTTCTTTTCTTTTGCCCCTAAAGTCTTCACGTGAAAATATACAAAGGCAATTTTGGAAATCAGCATATGTGTTCCTATCTTCTATGAGTTCTCTACCTCACGCAATTAATGGAATGGGAATGGGGGCAGAAGCCTTCCAGCTCTTGAACAGTAACACCAACCCTCCAAATTCCTTTCTACTTCTTCCTAACAGTGGTGGAAACTTGCTCAGTGTCAGGGCTGGGCTTTAGGGAGGTCCTGAGACACCGGAGCCACAGAAGGGCCAACGTTCCACCTCTGGGGCTGTCTCCACGTTGTTCCTCCTGCTAGCGGCGTTTGGCACAGGCCTTACCTGCTCTGAGCCACTGAAACAGCCGGTGGGATGTGTATACCCATGTTGCCATGGAATAAAGCAAAACTTTACAAAGCTTGGATTAAATAAGATTCTCCTAGGATCTGCCGGCTTTATTAATTTCTTTTTCTTTGCTCCACTTCCTTTCCTTTTTCAAGACTGGTATAGGGGAAGGAGACAAATTTAACAGCTCAGCAATGGTTCTGTCTACGGATAGAAATAGCAAGAAACGAGGAAATCCAAGCTCTAGGATGTGTGATTTCTTCTTGCACATGTTTGCAAATTTGCTTCTACAATCAGCCCTGGCTGCGAATTAAGACATAAACTGGGGGACTCAGGGCCGTTTGCAAATAATCGCCTGCGCACATCCCAGTCGTCTAATCTGTGACAGGCAACTGTTGGACTGGAGGATGGCAAAGTCCTCTTCCAACTCCAGGTCTTGTCAATGTTTCACAGGCTGCTGCTGCTATTATGTACGCATGTTTGTATGTATCTATGCATTTATTTGTATCCCCGAACTAAACAAAAATTAGATAAATAGTCCAACACATTGGTTCTTTTCCCACCGTAGTTGGGGCAATTTGTCCGAAGATGAATGACCTCACTATATTTTAGGCAGTGGAGGTTTGCTGAGGCATGAAAGTTAGTGATTTTTTGTGAATATTTAACAGAGAAGAAGTAAGCTGATGATACCAGGGGACTCAGAACTTATCCTGTCTAACCAGGAAGAAAGAGAAGTATTGTGCCCTGAAAAGCAAGGAAAAAACCCAGAGCTTTCATTGCTCGGAAAAGATAGATAGCATATTCCCTCTGAGTTTTCTTAGATGCAGCCTGGGATAGGGGAGAAAATGTAACATTCAGAGAAAGGTGGGATACAGCATATAGCATTGTTCTCCTTTTTAAATTAATTAAAGCTTTTTTTCCTAAGTATGTTTGTATTCATGTACTTTTCAAGTGTGATGTTCAAAAAACAATGCAACTTTTTACTAAATTTAAAGATACTTCAGGTAATTTCTCAGTTTTGTACATGATGTATTCCTGAAGGCTTTTCTGAAAGTAGACTCTCTGAAAATTAAGCAACAAGGTTGTGTGTATGTGTGTGTAAGTGTGTATGAGAAAGACAGAGAGACAGAGAATGATGATTAGTGGGTTATCACACTTCTATGACCACTGGAGACAGCAGTTAGGTAACTATGGGGGTTCCTTGTAAGGATTCTGTCTTTAACACTAGAGTCTATGCAGGCATCTTCCTGAGTTCACTGCATCTACCAGCCCTGCTGTGGGTGGTCTGCTATTTAAATGCCTGCTGACACTGTCAAAGGGACCTGAAGTTGGGAGAATGGAGAGGAGTGTGTCTTTGCTCATCACAGCTTCACGACCTAGGAGGTCACCAATCCTGGAGAGGAGGACAAAAGCCAAGCTGGAGTCTGGTCTTGGGGGTAAAGTACGTGCTGGGTTCTGTGGCTCCCAGGACTGAGCAAGAACCAGGTCTGATGTGCTTGGTCACCAGGGCCTGTGAGGCCCCATGGTGGGGAGCTGGGATGCAGTAGAACAAGGGGTCTTTTTAAGCATGACCTTGTGCCCACTGTCTTTCTGTCTGAGGCTGTTTATTATTAGCTCAGCAGATACTTGCTGCACATATCCCGTGTGCAGCAATCACCACACGAGCTAAAAAGTATCCCTTGCTGGAGGATCATCAACGACTCATTTTGCAGCTGAGGACAGGCTGTTTGGCACTCAAGGGCCACCTCGATAAAATTCCTTTTTACATGAACAGCAGTTTCAGGAGAATGAATTGTCTTAATTATCTGAATTTTAGAAAAAAATTAACCATAGAGCATTTGCTAGGTTTATTTGCATTTAGTGAATTTCACTTAAAAATACTACAATAATGCTTCATACTCATCTCTGTAATCAGTCTGGTACTCAAAGCCTCAAACTGCTTTGTAAGAAGACTTGAGTATCATGACTTTTCTCTGAAGAAATGGTTGCAAAAAGAAGTGAACACTGTTCCCAAAGTGTCCCTGCAATTCAATAGTAAAGCAAGACCTCCTACTCCAAATACATGACCAGATGCCTTTTCCCTGTGCCCTCCAACTGCTCTGCCCACCACTCACCCCTGTCCCTGACCCTTCTTTCTACACATTCCTAAAGTTGGTGTGGATGAGGGCTTTTCCTGTGAAAAGTCATAGGAGTTTGATAACCTACTAACCATGCATTCTCTCTCTCTCTCTCTTCTCTAAGGTTATTCCAAGTGTGTTCTTAGATGTGGACAGACTATTGCCTCCCGGTCACTGGAGCGTTCTCAATACTTCAGCCATCTGTGCATGATGGGTACAGTAGGAATTGAATTGTGCCAGTTGGTAACGGCTTCAGTAAGGGCTGCAGAGAAGATACAGAACAGAAACGACCAGGAGCAGATCCTCACGGAGCCCCCCGGCTAGTGATGAGGATCACTGTGCCCTGGACACGCAGACACAAGCAATCTTCGCATTGACCTTGTTCTGGGGCTCACTCTAAGCTATCTCTGAAGAAAACCATTGCCTAATCTGGAGCTGCTACTACCAGAAATAACCATAGTCAAGGAAAACTCTACGTCCAAGTAAACTCAAGATATCAGGAAATAAGATTAAAAAGGAGTGTGGGGCTGCCACTGACATTTTAAAATCTCCTCTTTGTATTCTCTATTTTCAGAAAACAATTTCAACATCAAGCATGAAGTTTATGATGAATATAGGAAATAGAAGGATGGTGAGGATTGAGGATTTTGTCTGTGGGAAATTATTATTGTTCTGATATTTTAAAACAGAAGAGCCAAACCAAAACAACTGTTCTTTTGACTAAAAAGGTGATGAGAGATTTTTAGTGTCCCCACCACACATGCACACACACACACAGGCACACACATACACACCTGTGCACACACACACACGTATGCACACGCGTACATACATGTACACACATACACATATACACATACACACAGGCACACCTGTGCCCACAGACACACATATACACACATGCACACACACGTACACACGTACACACATACCCATATACATGCATACACACGTGCGCAGACACACATACACAGGAACACACACGTACACACATGTACACACACGTATACACAGAGACACACAGACACACACAGGCGCACACGTGCACACATACACACACATACACGCACATCCGCGCACACACAATGGCAACTATGGGTGGGTTGGATGTGTTAATTTCTTTGATTGTGGTAATGAGTATACAATGTACGTGCATATGAAATCATGTTCTACACCTTGAATATACACAATTTTTATTTGTCAATTAAATATTTTAAAATTTAAAAATATTTCCCCTCAGGAAAAAATTAATAAACAAAAGTAGCAGATTGGTTCCTTAGCAATGTGAATATACTTAACACTACTGAACCGTACACTTAAAAATGGTTACAGTAGTAAATCTTACGTGTATTTTACCATAATTCAAAACTTAAATGTTTTTAAAGTGAAAAAGAGGCAGCAATGGGGTTCTCACTTTAAGCTTCTCACCTCATTTACCAGTAGGTAACTTGTTGGGGCTTTCCCAGTCATTCTGCGTTGTCTATGCAGGCAACTATTTGCTTGAATGTCCGTTTTCCAACAGATGCCTTCCAACACGTGGAACACTCTGGAGTCATTTCCCCATGGGCTCCGGCTCTCCCTTCACACTGTGCTTCTGAATAGTCTTGAAAGCATTGCAGGAGACGACAGCACTTTCCTGCAGACACAACCACCTTGAGGGTTTCTTCTGACCTTTGCTCCTGAAATCCTTTGCTGACCTTTCTGACTTTTGCTCCTGCAGCTGTGCTCACGCAGGTGCAGCCCAATGGTTTTCTGAAACTGCGCCCTACCTCCCTCACCCTGACAGCAGTGCTGCAGGAGAGATGTCACTGTCCCACCAGGCAGGTGAGGAGCCGAGGATGCAGGACTGGCCTAGGTCACCTGGCCAGCCACTGCATGGTGGGGCTGAGGCATAAACCAATGGCAAGGACGCCTGCCTCCCAAGTGACCAGCTCAGCATCCAGTTCTGTAATTCCATGTCTCTGTGGATGCATGGTTTACTTTTACGTTTTGGAATATCTATATGAAATCATGGGTTTTTATGTAGCTGTATCATTGTCAAGCTTGAGAAATGCACACATCAAAGACTTTGTTCCCGTCTATCTCAGAGGAGGAGAAGCTAGGCAGCTGACCTCAGGGAGCAGCCAGAGGCTTGACCTGAGGAGCCTCTTGCTTACTTGTGAATCCACAGCACCCCTGGTGACAAAAGAGAACCTGCGTGAACCCCACCCCACCCCAGCACGGTGGAAGGAATTCAGCTGACTTTCACAATAGCAACCAAAGCTTTTGAACTGCCCTTTTTGTAACCAAGCAAACCAAACTCGACAGTGAAAAGAGATGCCTCTGTGATGTGCGAAAGATAATTCGTTACAGTGAGTTAGAAACTGATTTGCTTACAGAAATTTTGGTTTTATATTTGATTTACTTGTGTGCCGCAGGCTGACGGTAGCCCTGGCCGGAGGAATTCGAGGCTACAACCCAAGCTCCCTTGCCCTGTCGCCTCTGCTTGCACCAGCTCCCGGGGAACATTTCACACCAAATATTTCTTTGTATTTAAAAAAGGACTGTAAATGTCTGAAAATAATAGCTGGCACGACAGTGCCTCATTAGTTATCAAATGCCACACTATTATGACCACGGTATTAATTTTTTAGTTTTCACTTACTGGATTTTTTAAAAATGTAGGCTGTAGTTTTCAGAAATGTCAACTGCCAGAACACCCCCTGCTGACAGGGAAAGAGGCTTTGCAAACATGGGAGGAAAGGACGCAAGAGGGGAGTGCGGCTGTCCTGTGCAGGGGACTCTGTCACACACCACGAACGCCTCAGTCAGACACCTCCTCTGCATGGTACTTTCATCACGTAGTCACTGCGAGGAAAAACTGTGCTAGAAACAACATGCAGCTTTTTGGAAAAGTTTATCTTTGTCAGGATACATAATAGGGCCAGGCTTCAGGAGGCCTTCTCCAGGGTTCTAAAGGAAGGCAAGAGCGAAAGGAATGCAGCCGTAGAGAATAGTTTTGGAATGACAGAGGCCATATGACTCAGCTTCACTTGGCAAAAAAAAAAAAAAAAAAGCCACTTAGTCACTTACTATGTTGTCCCCTTCCCCTTGCCTTCAGCTCTGCCATGCATGTCAAAAGCATGTTAGTGAAGAGGGAAAGTAAAATGGCCACTTTTCTCTGGGGAAACACAGCCATGTCCCTAATTCCCCCAACACCTTCTGGGGACGCTTGAACTCATCGCTGGTTGAATTCACAGCCATAGCTAACATGTTTACAACATGATTCACTGTGTCATGATCTCAAGCCATTTCTTATTCCTTCTGCAACCAGAACCTTTTAATAAATACTCTTGAAAATGGGAAACTGGCTGTCAGTTTTTAGTGACTTTCCAGCTCTTGCTTTATATTTTTAATCTTAAAATAAAACTGATCTTTTTAAAGACACAAATGTGTTAGTAGCCACCCAGATACTTCTAGTGAGTAAATTACTCTTCTGGAATAACAAATTAGAGGCTTTTGAAAGTGCATTAACCCTTTAGACTCACCCTGCGCAGCTCACTTGTGCAGGGAGTTTCCACACAGCGCATGAGTCACCAGCAAAGCTTACTCCTCGTCCACCCCTCTCCTCCCTAGGGAGTAATTTCCTTAGAACATCTCAGTGTTTATGCATTAAAGGCCCAGAATGCAGCAGGAATCTCCAGTAACACTAAGAAATTCCAGAGTTGCACATCTGAGGAAGTGGGGAGGAATCTTCATCTGGCTCTCCCAGTATTAAGCGAGCAATCATCAAAAGTGTCACTTTTCAGATAACTTGAGTTGACTTCTGGAAGCTTCGAGAATGCTTTTTGAGATGCTTTTCAATACATGCCTCTAAAAAATTCACTATAGTGTGCCTTCTGATTTTATTATATTTGGTTTGTGGTATGGTGAGTGGCAGACCTCTTCCAGGAGGACGCAGTGTTGTCACCTTGACCAGGAAATGCAGGGACATGCCCATCTCTTGGGCTATTGGTATATGTGGCAGGTTATTTGCTAAAACAGAAATGATGGAGCCAGTAGGTTTGTGTCTACTTACCATTCTTTTATTCCCTGATTTTCCTTTGTTTTAGACTTTGAAATGGCAATTTCTAAAATTCAGAAGGCTAAGATCAATGAGAAAATCCATCCTTGTATTGTTAAGAAGCCTTTATCTTGTTATATAATGGTTTCACTATCTTTTCTTGGGGCTGTCATAATCCTTTGTGGAAATACAAGAGCTTCTGGTTTCTAATTAGGTTTAAACCGTATCTAAATTAAGAGTAAATGCGCACTGACTGAGAGTTTGAAGAACCAAAGAGAAAAAAGAAGTGCATAAATGTCAGTGGAATCACTTTACAATCTCTGTTTGGTTTGCATGAATGGGTGTTTGTGTGTGTATTTCAAAAGTGGGGAAAATGGACTCTGAAACAGTAAAGGATCCTTTCTGGATGTCTGGATACTAACATATTCTCCTTAACAAGGCAACACAAGCTGCTCTGAGAACAACAGCCAATTCTGGATAAGTGAAATTGCAATGAGTACTCCATTAAATTATTTTCCATGTGTGAATGGTGAAGCTTGCATAATTGGCTTCTAGTGGGGAAGAACACGACACAATTATTATGAATTAAAATTACATCTATTTGACAGTCAAACATGACCTGTGGATACTACATACAACCTATTTTTAAGCATTAATCTATAACTTTGCATATAAACTGCAGGTATTTTTTAATTAAAATTCTAGTATCAAGATCATAGTTTAAGGAAATGTATTATTTTGTATATCAAAAATAGAGGTTCTCTTAGGTTTACAAGTTTTCTTTTAGTCCATGGAAGACTTAACGTGCTTAAAAAAAATCTATTATGTTCAGGCTAATAAATCTACAAGACTTTATATAATTTTTTTAATTAGATTTTTACCACCTGAGGGTTTTGTGTGGAGATGAGAAGCCAAGAAGAGACATACACAGTATCAAGTGAGTAATCCTAAGAATGACTGTACTCATTTCACTGGAATTTTTCTTTTCAGAAGTGAGCAGCTGGCATTTGCCCTCCAGGACGGTCCTCAAGCTGTGGAGCGCACTGATGGTCTTCCTTTCATTTCTGCCTCCTTTCTGAACAGCATACCTTCATCTGCCACTCCATCCTTTTGCTCCACTCCTCTCGAGGTGCAGACCTAGTGTTGACACCAGTATTTACGTCCATGCCCATGACGTCCTTTGTGTTAGTCTGGCTGATGCTGTGTGTTGTCTGTTGGATTCAAGATGGCCCCATCTCAGAAAACTGAGAAAAACTGCGTGTGCTGATGGTAAAATGCTTTGCGAGAACCTCATGGGAAGAGAACTTTTTCCATGAGTGCAAGTTTAGTATTCATTTAAAATACTATTTTTTGTTCATTATATTTCCTCCCATACACCTGGTCTTTTAATCTTAAACACACACACTAACCCCTCCATAATTCTATCTCTGTCCAGAGAATTCCACATCGTTTCAATCACATCAGCACATGTGGTTCGATCTAAATTATGGACCAAAGTAAAATAAGAGCCTGAACCTAAATGACTTCACCAGGGAAGAGGATTCAAACGAGATCAAGGAGGAAATGCGGGGGAGAGAAAACTTGGCCAAAAGGCAGAAAAAGATGTGAGAGGAGGTGAAGGGAGCCAGTTTAATGAGGTCGGTCGTTCTTGCTTCCGGGCACATATTTCTTCATTTCTCTTATTTTCTGAAACTTGACCCCCATGTGTTCTTTCCATTTGACCCTCAGTGAAGAGAATGGAGATGCAACATGAGGTCCTGGAGCAGGCAGACTTTGGAAGCTGACAACCCTGAGCTTGCCTTTGGGGTCTGTGAGTTTGTGGAGAAAGACTCTCCATCTCTGATCCTCTGGTGTTTCCTCTCCTGTAAAAAGGGAACCGTGGTGCCTCTCTCGAAAGCCAATTTCAAGCACTGAAATAAACCAATGGGCTTAGAGCACAGTGCCTGGCATGAGACGGGCATCCACCACATGGTAAGATTCATCTCGTATGAGCAGCAAGGGCTGCACAAACTTTGTATTAAAAGCACATTTTCAAGTTCAGAGCACAGCAGCACATTTTAAGTAGCTTTTCAAAGATGCCACAAGTCCGTTTCTGATATTTTCAAAGAACTGGGGAGGGGAAAAAAGGAAACTGAGAATTCAGAACAGCCCCCAGGACCACCTTCACATAAAATAGCGATGGGAACGTGCAGTAATATGGGACTCTTTGGTTGCTTATCAGTTATGATCCAAATGGCACAAATATAATGGAAGCAAGCACCATGGAGTTATATTCAGAAACCCATGCACATTTTTCCATGCAGATGAGCAGCAATGAAAGAGAAAACATGCTCACAGAAGCACTAAGGTATAAATGATCAGTAGTTAATTATTTTGCAAGCTATTTCTAGGGCTGTGATCTTAATTAAAGGGTTAAGAAAGGGGTACATGGGGGTCGGGAGTCCTCCATGTCTCTACTGTTTAACCTTTTCAGTGCTCACGTGTTACTCTAATTTTAATCTCTATGCCTCCAAAGCCAACACTCCTGCCTCCAACACAGTGGCCTATGACGCAAGAGAGTGTGCCGAAATCCCTGCCATGTCATTGAAGACTAATTTTAATTCAGAAATGAAGTTTCCTTCTCTAGAAAGTCTTGAGAGCTGCTGGTGCTGAGATTGAGACCCACTTCCAGAACAGTTCCACCCTCCTTCCCCATCTTTCTAGCCTTGGACATCTCTTGTTTCTAAAGATAGACTTCTTACTCTTCACTTATCTCCTGGGGATCGAGTTCCTCTCCTGGTTAATTGGAGTTTTGGTTTGTGCTCCAGGGTCCCAAATTTCCCTGAAACTGACAGTAGAGTTCCATGGCCTTGAGCAGTTAAATGGCCCTCCCCACTCTGGCCTCCAGCGATGAGCGAACCTCAAGCGCTTGGTCCTTTGATGAACAGTCAGCCTAAGCTGCTCACCTCCAACAATGCTGCCCACTTAGCAGCTGAGCCTTTGCCGTGCTGAAACAGGCTTGCTTCTGGGTGCTGCAAAAATTAGGCCATCAAGTTATAAATTGCCTGGTAGGTTAAGTAGATTAAGTCAGAGTCAGTCTACCTTTCCCATCTTTTAGCTAAGTTCCATTTGTCTCGGTTCCAAAAATTCACATATGGAAAATGAAGTTTCACAGAGATATATGTTTACAGTCTCTCTCTCTCTCTCTCTCTCTCACACACACACACACACACACACACACACACACACACATCCCTGGAGACCGTCATCCGTGGGAGGGAAGACTTTGCCTTTCACACAGCAAATGTGGCTTATAAAATGCTCGTTTAATCAGAGCAAAGAAATGCATGCAGGGCAAGAGGTGTGAGACGAGGAGAGCTGAATGAAAGCATATTCTCTGTCCCCTTTCCCTCTGTGGCTTAAAATTCACATTGACATGGGAGAATTGTACTGATACAGACACAAACTGGGATTATGTATATGGGGGCTAATTGGAAGCAGCTGACAACAGTGGGAAGAAAAGCTACCCACATTTGGACAATTGCTTTCCTTCTCGTGGGTGGGCCAGTTTGTGAAGGCCTGGAGCCTTCCCGGGGCTGGGACCTGAAAGCTGAATTGCAACACATATCTTACATAAAAGGCAGAATCCTTATCCACACAAGAGACCTACACGTCTATTACTAAGTGGCCAATTACATAAAAGGAATGAAATCCATTGAATTCCCCTTAAGTAGTTCCCACTGGGGCATGTGATTTGCCAATACAAATATTGCTGGTACAGATACAGTCATGAAGAGCAGGCGCATGGGCTGTGTTTGCACCTCATTTAAGCAGATGAGGAGCATCTCCCAACATGCGGTTCACCTTCTGTGGCGTCACTTTCAGACTGGCAGGTAGCAGAACATAAAGTGTAGTCAACTTGGCCATGTCCAAGTAACAATTAAAAATAATAATTTGTTGAGCTCCCACTCAGTGTTAACCAGAGCACGTCCATGATTTTTGACGCTCACATGGTTACACAGTTGGAAACAGGCAGAGTTGGCATTGAGCCCTTGTCTCTTCAGGCCACACGGTATCCAGAGCCCCAAAACCTACTCATACCCTTTCACAGGGAACTGCATCGTTATACTGGGAGCAAGGCCAAATAGCCATCTACATGCTGGGTCTATCCAAAGCCAGTTTCCTGCCCAGAACCATCTATGGCTCCCAAAACACAAGATGAAAAGTCATTTCCTGAAGGGGAGGTAAAATAATGAGAAACTCACTTTGGCCATACTGAAGAAGGATACTGATTATATCTTGGGTTCATGAAATAGTCTAGATTCTACAAGCAAAGATGGAAGGAAAAGATGCTAGGAAAAAATCAACTTAAGATGTTTGTTGTTTGTTTTGCCTCATTATACTTTCTTAGAATGTGAGACTTTGAGAAAATCAGCATTATACTGTGAAATTCAAAAATTTACCACAAGAATCCAGCGATTTCACTTCTTGAACTAGATACTAAGGAAATAATCCAGAAGGGAAACGTAATTATGTATAAAACTACTGAGGCACTACTAAAAACAAAAATGTCAGGAAACCACACAAATTCACCCAGTAAGAACAGCTGAACAAACTAGAATATATTAATGAAATATAACCATATAATCTCACATGACAATTTGGCAGTTAAATGCATATAAAACTGTACACTTGGGAAAGGTCAGAAAATGCAGAGTGACAGAAATAAATTAGAGTTAAATTGTTCTTTTAGGGGCAGAGGGTGTCCCTGTGAGCCTTTCTCAGAATCGTCTGTAGGTTTTCCCCACGTGGCATAACACACATCAGCTCTGTGCCCGCTGGTGGCTGCCAGCAGAGGCCCAGTCCACACTGAGAGGACCTCTCTGCCTTCAGTTCTTCCGAGGTCCTGGAAGTTGGCACTGGGTCTCTGTGTCTCCAGCCCTACTTCCACCCAGCCCTTATCTGGGTCAGAACATGTCCAGTATCTGCTCAGCACATCTCGGTGAGAATGACTGCTTTCTTATAAGGACGATGTAACGCATAAGAAATCCTGCAAGACTGATTGATTTTTCCTGCATTCATGCAAGTATTTATTCATTGAGTATTTACAGAAGTCTACTATAGACTATTATTTTATCTTATTAAAATATGGTGTACATACAATAAGGCAGAATAAGAATAAATCCATTCAGTCAAAAGTTAAATGGTTGCCACAGTTTGGGGAGGGTGGGAAGGAGGAGTGAGCAGGTGGGGAAGGAGGGGACTTGTAGGGCCAGGAGACGACTCTGCGTGATATAGTAATGGTGAATGCATGTCATTATAGATTTGTCCAGACCTGAAGAACGTACACCACCAAGAATGACCCCTAACGCAACCTGTGGGCTTTAGTGAATAATGTATCAATATTGGCTCATTAATTGTAACAAATGTGCCATGCTAATGACAGACGTTAATAATAGGGGAAACCTGCAGGGACCATGAGAAAGAAACAGGGGCCGTGCTGGAACTCCCTGAAACTGCCACTCAATTTTTCTGTAAGCCTAAAACAGCTCAAAAAAGGAAGTTTATTAAGTAATAAAAGAGAAAGTTCTTTCACTCTTTATTTCAACTCTAGCTAGCATTGAGGATGAATACCAGCTGGTGCCAAGGAGATAACAGAGATCTAAGATCTGCTTCCTGGTGTGTTTTTACTTGGAAATCTGAGTTGCACATTCTGTGGCTGGAAGTCTTGTTGCACAGAATTTTAGAGGTGACATTTAATCTTTTGTTCAGTTTAGTCTTTTGTGCTGGTGCTCACAGGAGGCCCACATTCACCCACAAGTGTGAAACCCCAACACCAGGTCCAACAGAAAAAGGATTACAATTCAGATTTTTCCCCATTTATTTCAGCCTTACCATCTCTGAGAAACTTATTATTTATTTTTTTGCTAGAGCCATCCAGACACATATTTTTAGATCATTAAATGAACATTTACCAAGTTAAATTCTTAATTGAGAATTTTATTGCATAGCATCTTTTTAAAAATTTTTTTAAGTTCAGGGGTACATGTGCAGGTATGTTAAACAGGTAAACTTGTGTCATAGTAGTTTGTTGTACAGATTATTTTGTCACCCTGGTACTAAGCCTAGTACCCCAATAGTTATTTTTTCTGCTTCTCTCCCTTCAACCCTCTACCCTCAAGTAGGCCCCAGTGTATCCTTGTGTTCTCATCATTTACCTCCCACTTATAAGTGATAACATGCGGTATTTTGTTTTCTTTTCTTATTCGTTTGCTAAGGATAATGACCTGCAGTTCCATCCATGTCCCCGCAAAGGACATGATCTTGTTCTTTTTTATGGCTGCATAGTATTTCGTGGTATATATGTACCACATTTTCTTTATGCAGTCTATCACCGATGGGCATTTAGGTTGATTCCACGTCTTTGCTATTGTGAATAGTGTATATGCAAGTGGTTCTTTTTTTTTTTTTGAGACAGAGTCTCGCTCTGTCACCTAGGCTAAAGTGCAGTGGCTTCATCTCTGTTCACTGCAAACTCCGCCTCCCGCGTTCAAGCAATTTTCCTGCCTCAGCCTTCCGAGTAGCTGGGATTACAGGTGCCTGCCACCGCGCCTGGCTAATTTTTGTATTTTTAGTAGAGATGAGGTTTCACCATCTTGGCCAGGCTGGTCTTGAACTCCTGACCTCGTGATCCACCCGCCTCGGCCTCCCAAAATGCTGGGATTACAGGCGTGAGCCACTGTGCCCAGCCATGTGTTTTTATAATAGAATGATTTCTATTCCTTTGGGTATATATCCAGTAATGAGATTGGTGGGTCAAATAGTATTTGAATAACATCTTAATTGAGATATGATTTTAAATATACTACATTAAAGCAGCTCTTGTTTCGGCTAATAACAAAAACTAACACTTCCTTTTGAAAGTAACTTTGATCAACCATTTAAAAAGAGCACGTTGCTTTTGTGAGATGAACTTAGTGCTTCAGTGTCACAGATCTCACAGTCTAGTATTTCCCTGAAAACAGAGGCTATCTTCAGGCCTGAGAGGCCTCTGCCTCCGCTAACCTCACTTAAATGTGAGAACAATACCGCAGAGATAATGAGCTGTCAGAATGTAGAGGACAGACCATGGGAACTTCAAAATTCCCCTCTCAATCCCATTTTATGTTAGAAAATCAAGTACCGAGAATGTTAAGTTAAATTATGTGACCAAAACAAGGAAAGAGGCTGGTAAAACTGCATTTTGCACAAAAGTGTTGATTCAACATGAAGTCAAATAATATGTTCTAATGAAACCACACCTCTCACACACATATCCTTTCTCTCAAACCTCGGTGTTACTCTGGCCAAAAGTCTTAGGTTTCTTGAAGTGTTTGTGGAAGAGTAGATGGAGTTTTATTTAACATTATCAAGAAATCCAAGCTGCAGACCCACACATAAATAAAGTGACTTCTTTGAAGGGCTGGGTTTTGTTCACTTATGAGATGCTTAATTAAGAGGTGCTCAGTGTCAGGGAAGTCCACGTTTCTGGTGATTGCGGGTATGGATTGGAAAGGAGATTACTCACAACTGCCCGTCCCAACTTTGCTTAAGCAATTCCAGGGTGAGGCATTCGCAACTTTATAAAGAGCAAATTCCATTTTAGGATTGCTCTAGCTTTTAAAAAATTCTTCTTAAAGTTGATCCAAAATTGGCCTCCCTGTAAGCTTCTGACCGTTTGTCTGAGTTCCGTACTCTGGAGCCAGGAGGGTCAATCTACTTCCCTCCCTCCATGATAGCACCTTCAGTACCAGAGGATGGCAGTCGCACCACCTATAAGTCTGTCTTCCTTGCTGCGCATCCTTGTGCCTTCAACCACTCTGCGGGGATTCTGACTCTCTGCTCTGTTGGCTGCACTCCACCTTACAAGCTGCAGCTCCCTGTGGGCCCCTGAAATGTGCCCTGGGTTACATACTGCACTGCACACACCGTCTGAGCTGCACAGGGCATGGGCAGAGCATTACCTCCTGAATTTAGGACACTGTTCTTATTAATGTGCTCCAGCCTCCACACCACGCTGTTGTTGGCTCATGTGGAATTTGGATCCAATGAAAACACCCAGATCTTTTTCACACTTACGCAACTGGCGTTTTTCATTCCGTCAGTCACTCAACAAATATTGCCTTCAAGAAAATTATTTCCATACCAAAAGCTGAGAATTTTCCATGAGATGACTGAGAGACAAATAGACTAACAAAACACGTGTACTTCTGACCTATGGTTGAACCTGAAATTATATTTTTCCACACATTTAAAAGCTAACTACATCATTTATCAGTTAGTGGTTAAAGGGCAAAGCCACCATGCAGAATTCTAACAATATGTGAAATGGGAACCGCAGTTGGCAAATGAGTAAAATTCTATCATGTTCTAATCATATTTTCAAATGAGTTTGTTGAGAAGAGCAGGAAGTATATTTCTGAGGAAAAAAATCAGACATAATACTATTTTGAAAATCAGTAGAAACAAAATCTTCAGTTTCTGTAAATTCTATAAATAGTATTGGCTACCTGCTTTCCTGACTAGAACACATCAGACAGGTTCTTTCATGTTCCAGATGCGGGCCTTCACATACACAGAGGCTCACTATCCATTTTACTTCAATTCCAGAAATACTGATGATTTTTCCATAGAGTTCTTAAACCACCAAAATTGCTGCAGAATCATAAGAGGCCTTTCATTCAATCTTCCCTCACCTATCTGATTTTTCAGGTTTTGAGGAGCATCTGCTGGGAGCCAAGGATGTTCACCTTTTGTACCCTCTCTTTAATTGGTGAAGTGTTGTGGAACGAATGAATCACAGAGCAAATGCACTCTCAGAGCTGGAAGAAACCAGATGGACCCGCCAACCCAATGCCTTATTACCCAGATGAGGAGACTGAGGATCTGAGAAGTCGCCATCCATGCATTCAGGCATGTTGAGCACTGTGGTGAACATGGCAAGTGGAAGACGCTCAAGGAACTGACCTCAAGCAGGTGAACATCTTGAGAAGAGAAAGCAGAGGTGCACAAAGGAGTAATGACTCACACTCGAAGGAGTTCAAGATGAAGTCCAGGGTAGATGGCATCGACCCTGGTGTGTGTGGTGTGTGTGTGTGTGTGGTGTGTGTGTGTGTGTGTGCGTGCAAGAGGGAGACGGCTGCAGGGAAAGAGGATGAGACCTCGAGAGAGGAAGTTGGGCAATCAGTGTGAGTCAGTTCGTAGAAGGACTCACATCTCATATATTTTGAAGAAAACAATAACCTATGCCATTATGCATATGATATGTTATATACAACAGCAGAAAATGGTTCATAAATCTTGCTGGTGGGCTGAATGTGTTAATGCACAGTTGAAAATGGGTGCACTGAATGCGCACATGTTCGGTTTTGAACTTTAGATAGAGAAAGCCAAAGAAGACCACCTAAAAGGCTGGTAACATGACCAGATCTGCACGTTAGAACAGCGATACTCAACTCTAGCTATGCATTACCAACTGGAGAGCTTTAAAAAAATACCTGTAGGGCCCCATCCCAGACCGATTGTAATAGAATTCTTGGACCAAGAGTTAAGATTTTTTTAAGGGTCCCAGGTGATTCTCAATGTGCGGCTGAGGTTGAGAACCACTGATTTAGAGATTCTTTCAGCAGCACTATAGAGAGACTCTAAGATGAGCAGGGGGTGGGAAGGCAGTTAAAGCCCTTCTCACAGGGGCTGGTACGGGCCGACCCATGTCAGTTATTATGGGGACCCAAAAGACAGGATGGATGAAGTCAGGGAAACCCCCCATCGGGGAAATGAGGCAGTCCAGGATGGCTCCAGATGTGTGACTCAGGTGCCGCTGTGAACAGGAGGGCAGCTCCCCAGTGAAGGGCAGGAGGGTGCATCTCGCCACACGGAGCTTGGAGTGGTTCTAGGGCCTGCAAATGCAAACATGGGTGCGCAACGAGGCTGGGCTGCTGGTGAGTGCTCTGCCTCTGCAGGTCACGGGGACCTGTAGCCACAAACATGGGAAAGAGCATCTGAGGGAGATGGTTGAGACCTGAGGAAGAAGCAGCCATGCCAGAAGGAAGCAGAGGCACAGCCATGTGAGTGGTGTGAACGGAGGCACGGTGCTGCCCACTGCCCCGCAAGGGGTCCAGACCTTCCCGGCAGGTTTCACACATTCTGCACTCTCTGTGGGGCCATGGTTCAGAGAGAGTGTCTTGCTTTTGAACACAAAAGACACAGCCAGTGTTTAATGAACATTCTGAATTCCATGTTTGCTGACCTGTCTGGAGCAACTGTTGAGAGACGAGGGAGCGTTCCCCTCTTTCTGAGCTCCAGGCCCCGCGGGCGCGCCAGGAAAAAGTGGCATTAAAGGAGCTGCTGCCACGGCATGGCCAAGTTAGAGCAGTGCTCTGCCCAGACCCACCCCACTCCTGTCTGAACAAATAGCTTTTCCCGCTGTGTTAAAAGTGGTTTTCCAGCTTCAAGTGATGTTTTCCAGGCAAGCTTAACTTAGTGCTGCATATCCCAAAGGGAGAGTGACTTGGAGGTGGAATCCTGAGAAACTTGCTCAAGGTCACTCAAGGTCGAGTTAGAGGTAGAATGATAGGCTGAGACACTGGGCATGACAGTCAGGAGATCAGAGGGAGCGAAGCGTGCAGTGCCAGGTATAAGCAGGAGCCTTTATACCTTCCAGAAAGAAGGCGGGTGGGGAGCCTGGGGCAGGGAGTGAACAAGAACGGGCAGACCATTAGGCAGGGCTTTCCTCTTTGAGGGTTGACAGAAATTCCTGGCATCTACCACGCTCAGCCATTGTTAACACACATGGAAAATATTCTACGGAGAGGGAGGGAGGGAGGGACCTGACTTTTTTTGCGAATTGGGGAAAATGAAAACTCTTCCTCAGAGACTGAAGAAATCATCACTGTCTCCTGACAATCGGGTTTGTCTGCTTCAAGCAAAACTGGTTCATCGCGAAGCAGATTGGCTAAGAGCTTCAAAAATAAAAGAAAAAAGAATGTGAGCTCAGGTGATTCACTGAAAGGAATGGCTGGGAATCGGATGTCCTCCTAGGAAACACCCTGCCCTGCTGAGGTTCCTGCGACAAAGCAGCGGCTGGGTTGGGGAGCGGAGTGCTGCGGGCCTGGCCCGGCAAGGGCTAGAAGCCTCGGATTCACCAGCCTTCACTTTGTGTGGTGATGGCCCTGGGAGCTGTGTGTCCTCCTGGTCCACAGTGTTGTTTCTAAGTGGAAGACACAGCAAACTCAGCTCTCATGAAACAGGCATTGCTCCGCAATTTCTTGGAGGAACTCTGGGAGTAGAACATGGGCAAAGGAGGGATGGCAGCTCCACTGACTAGCCAACTTAGAAAATCTAAGAGAAGGCCCAGAGACACCAAGGTCACAGAATGGTCTTCACAAGTTGCCACAGGAAAATGATTTCCCACGTCCCTGGCTTAGACCAGGCCCCATCCTTTGGACCTGAGATCACACACGTTTATGCAGACAGTGTCAGTGGCATACTTAGCCTTATTTCTAGAGATGCACCCTCCTTTCCAGAGGTCGAGGACATCTCCCCAGCCCCCTGAACTGAATCAGCTGTGAGTTAGAATACTGAAGCACGTCAAGAAACCACAGGGGTTTTCCTTAACTAAGCAAAACATACATTAAACTAGTAATAATTAAAAGAGTCTGTCCCGAAGAATGTGCAGCGGGCAGCATTTTCTTCCTGACCTGAGAAAGACAAATCTCTCCTAAGAATCTAAAAGCCAAAATAACATCTCTTCATCAAATCTGGATCCCTAAAACATTTGAAGGGTGCTATTTTCCGAGACTCAGGGGAGCAGGGAGTCTCCCAATGCTGGGAATCAAGGTCTTATTTTCTGTGCTCCCCTCCCACTCATGACTTCACTCTGTCTCTGAGATCACGAGAGAGTCGACCTGCTTGGATGAAGCAGGAAAAAGAAGTCAAGATGAGTCAAGAGCTGTGCGAGCTCCTGCCTTCTTCTTTTTCAGAACGGCTCCTTCACCTTTCTCAGTCACATTACAGTGCTCCAGAAGCCAGCATCAGCCCCCAGCTCCATTCCCACCCGGAGCCCTTGACTCCCCTCTCCTACGGGGCCCTTGCTCCTTGACTGTGTCAACCACTGTGAGCAAAAGCCTGGCCAGCTCTTCACAGATGCTGATGCAAGTGATGGCAGGGCATTTCTCTACCTGGCTGCATCCCTTCCTCATTCCACCAGGCATCCATGCACCTGAGCTTCGCAAGCTTCCTGAGGCTTCTGGGAAGGGCAGCACTTAGTGTGCCTTCAGCAGGACACAGCCAGCACGGGCAGGGGCTCACTCATGATTATTATCACTGTTGATTGGTTGATTGATTGATCGATTGATTACTGAAACTATTGAAAGAAAAGTCTGGTTTCTGAAGAACAGAAGGGCTCTAAAGTGGGCGACTCAGGCAGGGACATCAAAGACAGAGGCATACAAACAATGCTGTGGATGCATCATCTCCTGAGAACCCACTTCTCAATACATATTTAACTCATGAATAACTGTGCATGAAGAAGGGAATGTGTGTCTCATGCAAGGCAGGAAGCTGACCCTTCCTGGTCATAGATGTGCTGCACTGGCTCAGTGCCTTTTACATGAGTCTCCCAGAATACCCAGGAGAGGGGAACTTTTCTCATATTTTAGATAAGGGAAAACTAAAGCCCAGGAAGAATAAAGGACTTGACCAAAATCACACAGGTGAAGTAAGAGGCTGTGAGGCTGGGATCCAGGGTCCTCTCATCCTCCACCCTGTGGATTTTTTCAATCAAACTGCTATACAGTTCTGGACTCAGTGGGCACATGGGTGAAGGAAGCGAAGAAGAACTCTGCCCTCCTGGAGTTGATAGTCTAGCTGGAGAGACTATTTGAAGAGCAAACTAATAATTCTGCAAGATGAGAAGGAACCTACAACTAAAGATTTGTGGGGGGAGTTTTCCAGGCAAAGAAAAGGTTTTGCAAAAGCTCTGAGGAGGAAAACTTCAGTTTGAGAAACTAAGCAGTGGTCAGCGTCTGTGTGAGCCAGTGGGTGATAGGGTGGCATGACCCTGGAGAGTAGCTGAGGGCCAGATCATGTTTGGACTGCTCTTGAAAAGTTTCCTTTAACCTTGGACTGGCAGTCTTTAAAGGTTGGTACCCTAACTTGATGAAAGAAGATTGTCTTAGTCCATTTTGTGTTTCTATAACAGAATACCACAGACTGGGTAATTTATAAAGAAAAGAAATTTGTCTGGCTCGTGGTTCTGAAGGCTGGAAAGTCCCAGGGCATGGTGCCAGCATCTGGGGAGGGTCTTCTTGCTGTGTCACCCCACGGCAGAAGGCAGAAAAGCAAGAGAGCATGGTAGCCAGCAAGCAAGAGGGGGCTGCACTCAATTTTCTAACAAGCCCACTCTCACAATAGCTAACCCACTGCCTCACTAAACATGTTAAGCCATCCATGAGGGCAGAGCCTTATGACCTAATCACCTGTGATTAGGCCCCACCTCCTAACACTATTGCATTTGGGATTAAGTTTCCAACACATAAGCTTGAGGGACATATTCAAACCACAGCCCCAAAGATTCAACCTCTTCTTTATGAAAAAGCCTCCCTGGGCCATGCCTGCCACACATGTCACTTCACTGGTGACTAGAAGAAACTTGTGCAAAGAGCAACAACCTCAGCAGCAACTGGAATCTGCAAAAGTATGCCTTACCAACAGCTCTCCCATGGGCCAGCACCAAAGGCACTCACTTGCAGAAGTTCTAGCATGGTGCCGACCAGGATTCCCAGAATGAATGGATGCTGTGCCCACCCTCCAGAAGGAGCTCAGGTCCTAGAGGGGGCACACTCACACACACAGCCCACCGCAGGACAGCTGTGTGGGCACACAGGAGGTGCTGCAGGAACAGTGAGGAGTGATTCTGCTTATGGAGGAAGGGCCATGGAGGGGGCGTGTGCTGCAGACTATGCAGACACCAGGACAGTTGGGATCTCTGGGTTTTTTGGGTTTTTTATTTTTTGAAAGAAGAAATGAGAGTTCATCTGGTAGAGATGATGGAAGGCTCATGCTCCAAGATGAGAGAGCGTGAACAGAGGCAGAGGGCTATGGCAATGCAAGGCCTAGCCAAGGATGACAAGCAAGAAGACTGAGCAGGGCTGGCGGGAGAGACCTACAGGGGAGACTGGCCTTTATCCCACTGCTGGGGAGCAGTGGAAGGTTTTAAGCTGGGGAGTGACTTGATCAGATTTGGGCTTTAAAAGACAAAGGCATACAGCTATGTTCATAGCAGCGTTATTCACAATAGCTAAAAAGCAGAAGCAACCCAAGTGCCCTCCCGTGGATGAATGGATAAATGAAATGTGGTCCACACGTACAAAAGAGTACCATTCAGCCTGGAAATGGACAGATGTTCTGCCATATGCTGCAACGTGGATGAACCTTGAAGACATTATGGAAAGTGAAACAAGCCAGTCACAAAAAGACAGATACATTGTATGATCCACTTATAAGAGGTGCTTAGAGTAATCAAACTCACAGAGACAGAAAACTGAGGATGGTGGCCAGGGGCTGGGGGAACGGAGGAAAACAGAGCCATTGCTTAATGGGGACAGAGTTTCAGCTTTGCAAGATGAAAGGAGCTCTGGAGATGAATGGTGTTTATGGCTATAGAACAACGTGAATGTATTTAATGCCACTGAACTCCACTTTTATACATGATTAAGATGGTAAATTTTATGTTGTGTATATTTTGCCACAATTAAAAATATTTTCAAAAAGAGAGAGGAAGGGAAGAGCTGAGGAGAGGAGGCTTGGCAGAAGAGTGAAGAGGTTGCCTTGACTATCTACCTGCAGGGAGATGAGGCTCTGAGGGTGGGGGTGAAGGTGATGCCAGATGCCATGTGTGTTTTGGAAGACAATGTGGGAGCCCACAGATGTGAGGTCATGAGTGGAAATTCTGAACTTAAAGATGATTCTCAGGCTAGAGTCTAGATCAGGGACCAATTTTAAAGAATGTGCCCCCCATGCAATCTGTAAGCAAGGGATTTGTGCTCCTCTGATCTTGGGGACACATAGTCTAGATTTTGCTTGAGTTTATAATTTTATAAATAAAAGAGCACAGCCAGCCCCTCATTGGCTGTTCCTGCAATAGGCTGTGCTGGCAGTCCTCAGGTGGAAGGAGCATGAAGCAGTCATCAGAGAGCTGGAGAGGGGAGGGGAGGAGAGGGTCTGCAGTGGGAGGAGGAGGAGAGAAGACAGCAAGGCCCCCCAGATACAGAACACCTAATCCCCAACTGTCAAAAATGAATTACCAAAGAAGGATCCCATTTCCTTCTCCAGAGATGTTTAAGGGCTGATACAAGCACTGGTCTGTTTGAAAAGCCTAGGCCTAACCCTTTCACTGCTGAGTGCAGTGGGAGAGACTGGCAGCTGAGTTCTCTATAGATTTGTGCTTCAGGAGAAATAATGAAGAAAGAGGCGGTTTGGTAATGAAATGAGTTGGGGCAGGAGATTACGGTCATTTCAAGTTATATTCAAATTCTCTTCTTTTTGTGTCTCCTGCAGGAGCTTATAAACAGGCGGTAGAGCTTTCTGGGCAGATACCAGTGGTCGTTATTCCTATGTCCAATCTAGATGATATTATAATTTATAATTTGGATGCAATACAGAATTTTACTAATTTGAGTATAAAAAATCCTGTAAAACTGTATTGCATCAGCAAAATCGAAGTCCTTCGTGTTGTCATATGCATACTAAATGTGCGTTTCCATTTATTTTAAAGGATTGAAAGTAGTTTAGAGTGCCATCTTTGATGCTGCTGTAGGGCATCTGTGCTTCCAGTTATTGAAGTGCACCCACTCCACTGAGTCTGTGCCATATGACTATTTTCATGCTGAGAACTGAGCTAGTTGGGCTCTGTTACCCTTTTAGAGCCATCAACACTCACATGCTCCTTAAATTCTTAGAGTCATTCAAAAGAAGAAAACTTTTCTAAGTTATTCAGTTTATTTTACTCCTCAGTTGAAATTTGAATCAGTGGCTACTGTATTTTATCTAGCCGTGCCACAGACAGTACCATACAAGAGCAATGAACACCTGTACTAAGCTGCCAGCACTCTCTCATTCAATGTTCCTGGCAGCCCTAGAAGGGAAAGGCTCTGTCCTCATTTTGAAGTTGAGTAATCTGACACTTGGATCATACCCAACGTCACACAGCCAGGGAGAGACACAACCTCAGTTTGAATCCAGTCTGTGTATAAAGAGATGCATTTAACCAATATATTCAATTGGCTACTGTGAAAGTCTATTAACCGAAAAGCAGACAAAAACACTTTGAAAGCATCATGGAAGGCCCTATCAGGGTAAAAAAGATGCAGGTATGCATCTCTAAGGGTAAAGTTCAGTGATGTCCAAAGTCACCCAGAGGCCATGGGGCATTCCCAGCTGTGTTTACCTAAACTTCGCCAACCTCACCAGCGCTTGTAACTCTGTAAGAATCAGTAAGGCCTACATTCTGAGCAGGGCCCTGGAAATGCTGGGAGCCTGTACACACAACACATATGTGTCACCCATGCAGATGCCTCGTCCCAGAGCAAGGCATGTGTCATTTAAAGATATTCTTATAAATATCCCTAATTCCTAACTGAAAACAAACCGAGGGGGGGTCTAAGGATTTTTTTATTATCATCTTTATTAGCAAAAAACAAGCACATCCTCCTAATAAATGATTAGTTATTTAATGTAATGTACATATACTAGTGCACTAATATATTTGAGCACTATAAAATATTCACAAAAGATGTAGAAAGTGGTGAGATAACCATTATTTCATATTATTTATATTTATATATTTTTTCACTTATATATTTATATGTGAAACTGAATTCACATTTGTCTAGATATAGAGGTTATAGTATTACTTTTCTGCTCACTCCCCAGTGAAATACTTTCCCAGTTTACGAACATGTTGGAAATTTTTATTTGCATGATTCTTCTCTAGCCGTGTCATGAAATGTGGTTAGGTGATACAGCACACAGAGTTCTTTGGCCCCAGTGTTTTTTTGTTTGTTTGTTTGTTTTCGAGATGGAGTTTCACTCTTGTTGCCCAGGCTGGAGTACAATGATGCGATCTCAGCTCACTGCAACCTCCGGCTCCCAGGTTCAAGTGATTCCCCTGCCTCAGCCCCTCAACTAGCTGGGATTACCGGCATGCGCCACCAAGCCTGGCTAACTTTTTGCATTTTTAGTAGGCATGGGGTTTCACCATCTTGGTCAGGCTGGTCTCCAACTCTTGACCTCAGGTGATCCACCTGCCTCTGCCTCCCAAAGTGCTGGGATTACAGGTGTGAGCCACCATGCCCAGTCCCAGTTTTAATCTTTTAAAAGCAGCAGGCCAGATCAAGTACACACAATATGTTTTCCACTTAAAAACATTTTGATTGAATGCATTAGGCTACTCTCTTTTCAGGGCATTTTTAGGAAAAAGTTTTCCTGCATAACAATACTCCAGTAATGCTTCGTCCTCTAAACTGAAATTCGTGTACTAGGTGTTCTGGGTGATACCCCCAGGGCTGGCCTTGTGTAACCACCACTCAAGGCAGCAAATGGCCTGCAATCAGGACCAGGAACCTGCAGACCTTGCCTGCAGCCATGAGGCTCAGAGCTGGTTTCTGGGCCACCTTTTCTCCCAGAGCTATCTCCTCTTCTTTATGACTGTGTTATCACCACTTTACAGCTTTGTTGGAATGGCCCTATCGTACCGGTAACTTTTACAAGGTGTCTCAACTGTTTTCAGGAAATAGACTAGTTATAAATACATATAAATCTAAGGCATACATTTTGTGATTTTTATGTTACTTATCTAAATAAGGCACATTAATTTTTAATATCACCGGACACACCAAGAGTAAGAACTGTACTATTAATTAGATGTGGACACACTTGCAAAGCAGCAAGTACCCTGCTTTCCCCTGCTGTGGTCTGAATGTCCCTTCCAAAACTCATGTGGAAATCTAATTGCCATTGTGACAGCATTGGGAGGTGGGGCCTTAAGAGGTGATCTGAATGTGAATAAACTCAAATCTATTTACATTTGAGCAATTGTGGGTTGTGGCAATATTAGACAGGGCTCTGTATTGCAGGACTTTCCAAAATCTTTAATATGAAATGTGTACGAGAAGCGTAGTGCAGATTCCAAGCTTTCTGAGCATGTTTGACCTCAGAATGCTGTTTTTTTTTTTTTTTTCCAAGAACATCTATTAACACTAACACATGTCTAAGGAACAGAGCCGAGAAACACTGGCTTAGGACGCACCACGCCAAATGCTGCCCTTTATAATGACTCCCAGAGCCATGAAGGGCAGCCCATACACAAGGTCAGTGACACTTCCACAGTGGGCTCTCTGAAGAGTAAGGAATTAGGCCTCACTTCATTATTTTGGAAGTAGGTTTATGTGTACATAATATCCCCTTGTAGAGAGCAGAATGTCAGAAAGAAACTGAATTCACATTTCCCTAGATGGTTATTCTTTTCAATCTACTAATGCCAAGCCTTCAGAGAAACACAGCCGCAAAAGTAAAAAGACTGAGGCCCAAGAGCCAAGGGCTGGAAGTAGAGGAGACTAGGAATACTTTAAGGTTCTAAAAGAGCATGCGACATGTTTCTGAGAACCTCCCCACAGATACTACCCATAGTACTGTCTAGAGCGCTGCTGTCCAATAGAAATGTAATACGAGATGCATACATAATGTCACATTTTTGAGTAGCCACACTAATAAAAAAAGTAGAAAGAAACAGAAGAAATTAATCTCCTGTTTTATTTAACTCAATATGTCCCAAATATTTTCATTTCAACATGTAATTAATTTAAAAGTTATCAATGAGATTTTATTAACATTGTTTTCCTTGTCCTAAGTCTTCACAATCCAGTGTGTATTTGAGACTCACAACACATCTTAGTTTGGACTAACCATATGTGAAACACCGAACAGCCAACAATTGTGGCCCATGGCTACCCTATTAGAAGGCAATGTTCTAGAAATCACATCTATAAGAACAGCTGCAGCAATAAAATAGTTGGTATTTATTGAGTACTTCCTGGATGCCAGGCACTTTTCACTTTTCACACATTACCTTTCTGAAGTCTCAACAGCTTTAGGTGCCATCATGTTGACACTCGACAGGTGAGGAAACTGAGGCACAAAGAGATTGAGGTGTCTCCACTCAATCACACAGCCACTTAAGTGATGGAGCTGACTCTGAGGTCCCAAGAACCCACCGTGAGTATAGTCTAGAAGCCTCTCTTCAGGCCACTTTTGTTAGAGACGGAAGGAACCTTAGCTGTCATGAAGTCTAACCCCTTCTGTTCACAAGTGAGAAAACTGGGGTCTTTTACTAAGAACAAAAAACCTGTCATAGAAAAGCAAGTGAAGTTCAATCAATTGTTTAGCTGGATATAGTCAAATTAAACTTGATTAAAATATACGTAATTTATTTTAAAATTCTCATTTTGGATCTCTAAAACTTATTAATTTATACAGAGAGGAGCAACTGCATTACAGACATAAAGAGAGAGCAATAACTCATAATATATGATTAATAAACTTTATTAAATCTTAGTGAAGTCAAAGATTTGAAAATGTTGATTTCACTATTTTAAAACTAGTAGTTAAGCTGGGGTCTCCAACTCCATAACTTACTTATTCTCTTGAGTTTCTCAACTGGAGGTGATGCAGGTTTTGTGCAGTCAAAGCTTAAGCAGTTTTGGAAGCTCTTTTAAAGAAAGCTGGACTCAGGATCATGCCAGCTGGATGGCTTGTCTGCATGCCTTTCTAGATGGCCGGAATGTCTGCATCAGGACTTTCACGGAGCCAAGAGAATCACAGGGCCACGTAAACAACAAAGGCCATGAACACAGCCTTCTTTCTTAGACAATCGCAGAACCTCTGTGGACCTCGTTAAATAAGAGAGTTGGACTAAGATCCCATCTAGTTCTGAAAGAATTCATTCACTTAACAAACATTTATTGTGCCCCTGTTGTATGCCCGCTTATAGGCATAAGTGACTGAAGTTCAAGAAATTATTGTATTTTAGGACACACGAGTTATGCGGGGGGCGGCGGGAAACAAGTGTTACTGGACTCTAGCTCACAACCAGATTTGCTTTTCAAGCTGGACTTCAGTTCCAACAAGACCCTTGGTCACCTGCCCTGCCCAAATGCCAAGGGGACACCCCGCAGGTGTGCTGCTCTGTTCCAGGACTCTGGTAACTCGCTCGAAGCACCACAAATGCATGGTGACTTCTCAGCTCTGGGGATCTGGGCAGCTGCTGAGTCAGGTGCCCAGCTCCAGGCCCGTAGTGACCTCTGCCTGGCAGAAGGCTTCCTTTTCATTTCTTTTTCTAGGTTGTTAGGTATAGTAATCTAAAACCTTGGCACAAACAACATTATTTCAAAGTCCCATAAAGCAGAAACAGGCATACATTTACTGTTCACTTGTGTAATTCAAACTATTAAACACACTTTCACCCTTGGGCAGGCTGCTACCAAAAGAAAGAATAGTTCAGACTGGAGCAGCTGCCTTCTCTCCATGACAAAGCTGGGTTAGAACAAGCTGGTTTCTCTTCTGGCTCTGCAGGATTAGTGTGGTGAAGGATTTCTTTACCTAATGGCATCCTTGCATTGCCAAGACAGGAAAAAGTAAGAAGAAAAAAGAAAAGCACGTGTTTTATGTTAAATTTATGTTGTTTCTACAGCAGTGAAGGAGCCAGTTTCTAAGGCCAGGGCCCCACTGATTCCTTTCTGAGCAAGTGTCTGGGTGGGTGCATATAACTAAGGCGTCTTCACGTGGCTCTTGCTTTCACTTGGTAGGTTTTCAGGTTGAACAAGCTGAGGCAGGTGAGGTTGGAATGCTAGGCCAAGTGCAACTGGTCAGGAATGCCATCCTGCATGCTGGCTGTTGCTCTTCTGGGCACTTAGAAAGTCCAGGCAAAGGATCATTAACTGCAAAGCAAGAGGAATGAAGAACAGGACTGCATTCTTATGCAATTTTAAAGAAGATAGATAAGTTGACTTGGCTTAACCTTGGGTTTCTCAACCTTAGAACTATTAACATTCTGGGCTGGGGATTCCTCTGTATGGTGGGGGCTGTCCTATGCATTAAAGAATGTTAGCCTGGGCACGGTGGCTCACACCTGTAATCCCGGCATATTGGGAGGCCAAGAAGGGGGCGGTTCTCTTGAGGCCAGGAGTTCGAGACCAACCTAGCCAACATGGCAAAACCCCGTCTCTACTAAAAATGCAAAAATTAGCTGAGTGTAGTGGTGCACACCTGTAATCCCAGCTACTACTTGGGAGGCTGAGGCATAAGAATTGCTTGAACCTAGGAGGCAGAGGTTGCAGTGAGCTGAGATCACACCACTGCACTCCAGCCTGGGTGACAAAGTGAGACTCTGTCTCAAAAACAAAACAAACAAACAAAAAAACTTGTTTACCACCATCCCTGACCTCTACTCACTAGATGCCCCAGTGTGACAACCAAAAGGTTCTCCAAACATTGCCAGATGTCTCCCAGGTGAGATGAGGACAGGATTGTCTCAGTTAAGAGCTACTGGTTTAGACCTTAACATTCCGAAAATCTATTAACTTGATTCACAACTCAGCTCGTAGGCCATATTTCAGATACTAACATTGAGTCTACGGCCATGCCACCTTGAACGCGCCCGATCTCATCAAGTATTAACATTGAGAGCAGTGCCTTGAACATAGCAGACAGTCATTAAATAGCAGTTTGAAGGATAGGTACCATCCGATTTGAAAGAGGTGGAATATATATACTTATAGAGGGCTGTGCTTTATAACTTCAAGACATACCAATTTAACATAATACATGACACATCTAGACGTGAGAGTCTATCGTAAACACAGCGAAAGGAAATTCACAGATAGCTTCTACCTCCTCATGAAGTCATTTGCAATGCTAATTTCCATTTCCAGAGGTAAACTGAGAAAGCATCATTTGTTAAACTTGTAGATGCAAAGTCAAGACAATACGCATCTCCAGCCTCACGTGGGACCGCAAAGTTTGACCTGTTATCATTATTTTACTCAGAGATTTCTTTTGATTCCCCTATATGTTATGTCTTCTGGTTGGATAATTAAAAAAATCACCTGGTTGGTGAGCCCATATTTTCGAGCTTTATAACGACCTCGTGCACATACGTAGAGTGACCTGCATTAACCCCCTTTGCAGAGGAGACTTTTTCCCACATCCATGCTGCATGGAACTATAAGTAGAAAACAGGGGCAATCTTGCAACCATGTACCAAGTGTAAAAAAGCATAGGATACAAAGGATGTGGGTCACAGAACCAAATGGACATGGATTTTCTTGTCCGTGAAATTCCATTTTCTTTCTTTAAGTAGTTCCTCATTTAGCACCTATGGTCTTCCCAGCCTTGTGCCAGCTCTGGGAAGGTTCAATCAGACAGCAAGGATGTAACTTCTACCTCTTGTCATTACTGGATAACCACCAGTTATTTGACTTTTACAAGACATGTGTGGAGCAAACTGACTCTTCATGGTGTTTCTTGAGGTTACCAGTTAATAGCTGTTTCCAAGGTAAATGAAAGTCAAACTTATTTTTCTTTGATGTAATCTTTAATGGTTGTCATGGTTAAGACTTTTTATCAGGCACTTAAAATCACTTTATCATATTTCATGCAAAAATAATCATTTCTTTTAATTACTAAGGGGACTCAGAAGATCATATATTACTCTGACCTGCCTGTCAATTTATACTAACTTGAATTTAAAATACATATACAGAGAAAGAAATATATGTCTCTGAGCTTTTTGGTGCTGGTGAATGCTGCAGAAAATTCTTAGATCCTTCTATATGAAGAGGTTTAATTGTGATTACATGAAGTTAAGGTATAGTTTTCCTTAACAATGATTCAAGTTTTAATCCAAGTACTGTTTCCTTAAACAGTACTTTTAAACTAATGTACTTTAAGGATGAATTATCTGAAAAGTAAAATAAGTAAGAAAACACTTGTCACGCTCACCTGTTTCAGATAAGGCCTATTCACTCCTTTGGACATAACTGTTTTTCTAGGTATTACAATTGAAGTATACAAAAGGCCAATGAGAAAACTTATGAATTAAGATCATTATAATCTAATCATTCACTAGTTTAAACATGTTTGTTTTTAAATACATTGATGCTCGTTAGCAAATAAAGATGTGTTAGGGCTGCAGATGTGTATTTGAATGCAACGGTGCCTACATATATATGTTTGTGGCATGCAGTCAATGTATTTATCTGGTGTCCACTCTGTACATGGTACGATGTGTATGGGCTGGATAAATGGCACCTTGGGCTCACTCCACGTTTTTATGTAAAACTTCTTACTTCTTTTTTTTTTGCGATGGAGTGTCGCTCTTTTGCCCAGGCTGGAGTGCAATGGCGTGATCTCGGCTCACTGCAACCTCTACCTCCCAGGTTCAAGAGATTCTCCTGCCTCCGCCTCCCGAATAGCTGGGATTACAGGCATGTGCCATCATCCAGCTAATTTTTGTATTTTTAGTAGAGACGAGGTTTTGCCATGTTGGCCAGGCTGGTCTCGAACTCCTGACCTCAGGTGATCCACCCGCCTCAGACTCCCAAAGTGCTGGGATTAAAGGCATGAGCCACTGCGCCTGGATTTTATGTAGAATTTCTATCCATCATCACTGACTCTGACACCACCTGTGTACTGCTAATGCACTTATTTACAGGAGACACACAGATTAAATTTACAGAGTCCTCTACTGCTGTGATCCAGAGTGATATTTTTAGCTTGCGGAAAGATCATCAAGTTGTCAGGGTTTCTGTGATTTCCACATAGGACTCCACATACTATTTCTTGCATAGCTAATTTTATTCTTAAATAAATTACAAACATCTTCTGATGTAGATGCAGTAGCTTTCACCTGATAATTATTGAAATGTAGAGTGGAATTCTAAATGTTTCAATGACCTCTTACCTAGTTAATTGAGTAAAGTATATACAAGGTTAAAATTTTCTTGTGTTTCTATAAACAAGATCAGATAAACATCCAGTGCCTATTTAATGTTAACCTGAGATTTTCTGGGAAAAAGGCATGTTGTCACAAAAACAGTAGTTCAAAAAACATGTTTATAAGTAGACACTGAGAAATAAAAGCAAGAAAAGTCTTTCCCCAGTCATTTCATAACCCAATGATAAAATGCAGAGTAAGAGTTTAGATAAGCACTTTAAAATATTACTTTGTAATATTTTCAACCAGCTCTGAAATAAAAATACAGCAATGAGTAAAATAAATTGCCTAGGTTTAATCTGTCCATTTTATATTAACCAAAGCTCCTTGCTAATGGAAAGAATTTTCCAGTTATATCAGAGGACTATAATCATGCAGATCTTCCAACCCCACCTTCCTCCTATTAATTATCCCTAAATTCTACTTGACTTTAGCTGCAGGTCTCAGGATTAATATCGCTTTGAAAAAATGTAGGATATGAATACTGTCATTCTGCAGAAAGTTTATAGGCAATATAGCTACAGAGGCATAATCCACTTTTCATATTTTTCTTGAGGCTGCGGGTGGGGGATCCTCCTTCTGACCTCCACAGAGCCCACTTCCAAGCCTGATGCAGAACTCAAGGCTCCCTGCAGCAAAACTTTCCAATAAGCAACTTTCCTTGTTGGAACAAGACTCAACTGTCTGATCCTAATCCACAGCAAAGCACAGTGGCTTTCAAACCGGGACACATGCGGGGAATTCTGAATTTCTGCGTCACCATCAGTGTATAGTAAGAGAACTGTCAGTGAAGAGAACAGTAAGAGAACTATGACTACCAGTGTATAGTAAGAGAGCTATACTGCTTCAGTGTTTAATTAGCTGTTTTAACAAAGAGAAAGGTATCGGCACAGAGGAAACTCAAAGAGGACCCCATTTCTCTCCCCAGCGCTCCCTCATTATCAACAGCTGAGAAGAGATTCCTGGTGTGCTTGCCTGTCTGGGATCACAGTTCAGTTCACGGACTGCTTTCTTTGCAGCCACTGTGACAGCCCAGGAAAATGTGGAAAGAAATGGGATGTACACAATTTATTTCTTAATTACCGATACACTCAAGTATCCACAGACCTTCTCTTCTCACTCCCTTTATAAAAGAACCTCACTCTAATCACAAACCCACAAGCGACTGCCTGGTCTCTGAATGCCTCCAGCCATGGAGGAGCTCTCCCTCACCCAAGCACATTCCTTTTGGGATATGGGACCTGACATGCTCTGTGCCTCCTTGTGCCTTTCACCACCTTTTCTCATCACAAACCCTCTTCTCTCTGCCAGTCTTGAGCAGCAGATATGGGCGTTAAAGGTCCTGGTCTTCCCACTGGGTGTCTTCAGGTGTTCAGCTCTCCTGCAGGCTTCCACCATCCTGGTCATCTCTGCACTCCTCCACCTAGAGGTTTGAGATTCCCCTTACAGCATCACAGGACAGAACTTAGAATCCTTAGTTTATCTTTGCTCCCCAAATGTCAACCAAGCATTGAAGGAGCAGGTCATAGAAAGCCTTACTGATGCCCTTAGTAAAATACGTTGAGCAAGGTGACCAACTGATTTGCTCTTCTGAGCTCCCACTGTATCCAGGGCCTACATTCACTTAAAGTGATGGATCTCAAATTTCATAACGCATGGGCCCTTTTCACCAAAAAATAATTTCCATGGGTTCCAATTGAGTAGCATTAACTGTGGAACTAACGTTCCATGTTATACAAATTTCATCCACAGACTTCCACCTCTGGCAATTACTAACTGGTACCAGATCTACCCTCCTCTGCCACTGTAAACAATCAGAAAACTGAGCAAAATATTGGAGGCAACCATTTTCAGGCAAGGGACAACAGGCAGTGCAGAACCAGAGCACCTGCCGGCAGGGAAGCAGCTGGTAAATATGTGGATACATACAAAACAGCAGCTTTTCTTTTGTCCTCTTAATTTCCTTAAGATGCAAGTGGCTATTTAAAATAATAATATTGCAAGGTGAGGTTTACATACACACACACACACATACACACACACACACAGGAGGACTGATTTATTACTATAAAATGGTGAAATCTATACATAAGTTCAAAAGAATTTAGATTCTCCTCAATGTGAATAAACAAAAATTTAAAAATCTTATAAAATTCTCAATCTTTTCCAAGTGGATACATTTGTCACTCCCAGTTTGAGAAAATGACTTTAGAGCAGTTTCATAACTGTTCCACCCCTGCCTATTAACCTGAGGGCAGGGACCACACGTGTGTTTGCATCCCACAAGCACACAGTAGGTGCTCAATGAAACAAGCGAGCCTCTGGTGGGACAAGCTTCATCCAGCAGCAGTCACCATACCTGGCTTCTCACTAGTCCACATCTTCTGTCTTTGGGAGGCTGCGCTGTTTTAGGGGCCACGTGCTCCAGGCAGGGTGAGACTCCTCCAAAGTTTCCTCACACATCATTTGCACACTACCACCTCACTGGTGTCCTCAGAATCAAGTTAGCAGCCTTCAAACTGGGGCGAGTGTGTCTCTGTGGGTCCACAAGGACTCGGCATGAAGCATGTGAACGACAGATCAATTTCCAGGGTTTCACCTCCAGTTTGTACTATTTCCAAAAACGGATCCACCTGAATGTACTGTGGCTCCACCCCCCCGCTTTCCTATCTCCCTTCTATGGCTTTTCAGACCAAGGTTTTGAAAAACCTCCCCCTATCTGCAGTCGTAAGTGTTTTAGGACTCCAGTATAGGGACAGCCCAGAGTACACAACTAACTGGGCGCCGGAACACCGGGAGTGCAGAGGCACCCGACTAACTGGAAATGCTGGAGTGGAATCGCGGCGTGCCTCAGTACCCCTCTTCCCAGCATGTAGCCAAATATCCTTCTTAGTTAGAATCAGCATTCAGAACTGAGATAGATCTCCTGAGGAAGGTGTTAAGTTTTTTAATCAGAAAAAAAGAAGTCAGAATCTATTATCTGGGAGAAAGTAAATCTGAGTTGACTAATTGCTTTGACAATGAAGGTCAGGTTTACCAAATAATTGAAATTACATCTCTTCAACTATTAGGATTTTATGGTAACCGATTTTTGATGTCAACTTAGAAATGTGAAGAGACTATAAAGATTTTTCAAGGCAAATTTGGTCTTCCGTGAGCATAGAAGTGTGAGGCTTGCTGTCTACTGCATCACTCCATGAAGAGCTCACTGAGGGGTATGAGGCTATCCTCACACAAGTATTCAAATGAGACACCGCGTGCGGAAGGCTCTGAGGAAGCTGTGAAGAGTGCTGCAAAGCTACGTTATGCTTAATCATATAGACACATTTTAGCGAACCCATTCCGGCTTCTCGTGACCACCTTTCCAGCTCTTAAATTCTCGCAAACCACATTAGGTAAATTCTTGCTTGGGAGAATGGGATGGAAAGAATGGGGATCTGGATTACAGGCTCCTTAGGGGTCAGAGGCTACGTTTTCTATCCATGTAACCCTGTACCCAGCAGCTTTTCAGTGCTCAGTCTGCAGTAGACATTTGACACATGCCTATTGAGTTGAATTGAGCTAAAAATCCAAGATGAAACATGCAGATAAGATTCTGCCAAGTTATACCAATCTATTAAAATAAACTGTCCCCGCTGGTACAGCAGACATCATTTATGGTTGCATAATACAATTAGTGTAAGGATCAGGGCTCAGAATGCTCGGTGAGCTGGGAGGCCCTGGGAGCTCCCACAAACAAGAGTACCCATGTTTGCTCTGTGAATTGGGAGCTTTCCTTCACCAAGGGGTTGATTTTCTCTTCCCCCTCCCTATGTTGCTCTGAATATGGCTCCACAGAAGCCTGACAATGGGAGGGAACAGACAAGGAAGGGAGCTGTGTTATTCCCAAATAGCCCTGTCCTTCTGCAGTTTCTGCAGTTGGTTAATGCCTGTTAAGAGAGGAGGTGTTCCTTAGAGGTTTTATCTGTGTAATGGAGCAGAGGTATGTTACTTTGTCGCTACAGTATTTCAAAACCTATTTTTATATAATTTGTAATTAAGAGTAAATTGCAGTAACAGTAAGATGAGGGCCACTTTGAATTTAAGAGATCTTTTAGCTAGTTATATCAAAAGAAAGAATAGATGCATTGCCTTGACTTTAAAGCCAATACCTCCGTCGAGAAGCTGAATTTTCTAATAAAATCTTAGCCTCCTCTGTAGGTTTTCTATCTTCTCTACCAAATGGCTGGGGATTCAGGTGAACCATATATATTTTTAAGATTTATATAATGGTATCATATACACATAGGAAAATGTACAAAAGTGTGCACTCCCTGAATTTTTCAAGAAATGAATACATTTGAGCACGGAACACCTGAAACGGGCAACATGGCCTCACCAGCTTTCCAAAGACCCTCATTTAGGACACCTATCCTGAAAATAAAGAAGGCAGAACAGACCAAATACAGGACAATAAATATAGGATGGGTAGAGTGGTACACACACACACCCACCCCCCCCCCCCCACACACACACAAACTTGACCACTTGTGATCTGAACAGAATATAAACTTAGCTCATGTAAGTTAATCCAAAAACTATAAGGAAGTATCTGGTTTGTTCAACGAATCAGTGGATCTCCCCATCTCTGTCTTTATCTATCTTAGCTCTCTCTCCCTCATCCCATTTCTCCTCATGCCTCCATGGCCTCCAAACCTTAAAGACCAAAAACATTTCACTTAAGAAAATTAACTTCCAAATAATGCTGTGAAAGGCTATGAGTTCTATAACACTGCATCACTAGATAATTAAAATAGTGGGCTTTTGGCTTAGGTTAATATTAGATAATGATGTCAAACTTAGATAATGATATCAAAATAAATATACAAAACTTTGCTACTAAGATGTTACTACTGGAGGAGGTTGGGGGAAGGGGGATAGGACCTCCCAGTAGATTTTTTGCAACTTCCTGTGAATGTGCAATTCTTTAAAAATAAAAAGTTAACAAGAAAATTTGCTATCACAGCAAACCACTATTTCTATTTCTATAAGGTGGTCAGCATTCTGTTTTGTTTTTAGTATGATTTCTTTATCCTTTTTTTTTTTTTTTTCCGAGACAGAGTCTTGCTCTGTCACCCAGGCTGAAGTGCAGTGGTGCAATCTCTGCTCACTGCAACCTCTGCTTCCTGGATTCAAGTGATTCTTATGTCTCAGTCTCCCTAGTAGATAGGGTTACAGGCACACCTGCCACCATGCGTGGCTAGTTTTTTTTTTGTTTTTTTTTTTTAGTGAAGACGGGGTTTTGCTATGTTGGCCAGGCTGGTCTTGAACTCCCAACCTCAAGTGATCCAAGTGATCCACCTGCCTTGGCCTCCCAAAGTGCTGGGATTACAGGTGTGAGCCACCACACTCGGCCATTTTTAGTATAATTTCTAAGTAATACAACTATAAAAAAACTCATCCTGTCTGTTAAATTAAAAGAAATTGAAAAAATAAGATCAAAATATTAAGTCCAAATAAATAAAATGTGTTTTGAAAGTGAATAACAATGCTTAAAAACATTACCTAGGGAATGTACAACAGTTAACTTTCTTCTTTCTTCCTTCCTAACCACACAGTTTTCCCTGTTCCTAACACCTAAAAAAATGCTTATCCTAAAGTGAATATTTAAAGAGAATAAAAGGTTTTGCCTCCCAAGTCTTATGTGTTAAGCTCGAAGGCCACTTCCCTTCATAGTTTCCAGGTTTCCAAACAGAACAGGCACTCTCAAGTGTGTCACATGCCACTACTGTGCTGTACAACCTCTAGGATCTCATGGAAGGTAAACACAGGACAAAGGTTAGACCACCCTTCATCCCACTTGCAAATCAAATATCTATTAAATCCTCTCACTGTTTAAAGCAACTATGCCACTAGTGATGTCCATAAGATAAATTATTAACTTTGAACCGTTAGCTTTTCCATGTTTGGTGTTTCTTGCAGCAAAGCAATTTATTTTTACTCACAGATTTAAAACAACTTTAAAAATAACTTTTATATGCTGCTAGTAGGAAACAGCAAGTCTCCAGCATGCATTAATTTATGATCAGTCTATTAACTTGCAACTTAGAGAACAATGATAAGTAATCAGATAAAGAGGAAGGACAGATGGTTGGCGCATTTTTTACAGTTCCATATAACACGCGCAGGCCTTATTACACACTAGGTGAAGAGACAGGAATTTCTGAGGATGGACCTCAGAAGACAGTCACAGTCCTTGGGTGTGGGTGTGTACTGGCTCAACACCAGTCATCAGTGAATCAAGCAATTCCTGCAGTAGCTCAGTTAATTCCAGATCAAATAATAATGGGCACCTGGCCAACATGGTGAAACCCTGTCTCTACAAAACATACAAAAATTAGTCAGGTGTGGTGGCGGGCACCTGTAGTCCCAGCTACTCAGGGGGCTGAGACAGGAGAATCACTTGAACCCGGAAGGTGGAGGTTGCAGTGAGCCGAGGTCGGGCCACTGCACTCCAGCCTGGGGAAAAAAGTGAGACTCTGTCTCAATACAAAACAAAACAAACAAACAAAACAAAAACAATAATGCAGAGGGGGAATACAAATCCATTCTTTTCTCACTTGAGGAAGCCAAAACATTGCCGAAAGGGCCAAGTGCTCCAGGCAGGGTGTGTTTGCCTCCCTCCTCACAAGATGGTCCAGGCACCTGGGGAACCATGAAGATCTACAGCTGGACCCTTGGAAAGTGTGCATGGCCATCATTGCCATGTCTGCTTTAGTGATGATGGGGGAGAAAGCAGAGCAAGAGAAAAAAAACAAGAAATGGGCCAGTCACAGTCGTCATAGTAAAAGTCCTAAGGTAAAAAGAGCACAGGAAGAAATCATCAGGGTTTCTGAAGTGAAATGAAGAGGGTTATCAAAACTGGCCCAGGACTATGCAGGAAACAAAAAAGCAACACTCTTGAGGGAAAGTGAGACCCACCAGGGAAGCAAAGTGAGGGTTGGTGGGATGTCACCTGAGAGTCCCGCCATGGAGGCAAGGGATGGTCACCAAAGAGGAGAGCCAAGTGGAGCCTTTCTCCTGTCTGGCTCTTGGCGACTTCCCAGGGTCCAGACCACGGGAAGGACGTCTGGGGCAAAGTCATGTAGCCATGGAGAACACAGGCTCTCTGGTGAGAGCCCAGGCCCGCCTCCCCTAGTTGGAAGGCTGTCGTGCACACATGGGGCACGCTCCAGCCTCTACACCACCCTGTCACTGAATCCCCTCTGCGACCCTATGAAATAAGCACCAGGCCTACCCTCATTCTGCAGATGAGGAAACTGACACCCACAGGCATTGCTCAGCATGGCCAGCATCCCCTGCAGTCCCCAGGGGGCCCTGAGTTCAAGGCCAGGGCATATGGCAGAGTCTGCCCTGTGCACATCACGTCACCTCCCTGTGCTTCACAGGGAGCAAGAGGCTAACAAGTCACTTTAATGAAAACAAAACAAAACAAAAAACACCACAAGGCAGGTCTTAAGATTTTTTCGGTACATTTGCTTTGTATATTCATATGTTAGTCCCATGTCCACATTTTGCTTTTTCTACTTACAGAGAATTTACCCTCAAAATAGAGAGTAAATAGAAAGTTGCTGCTTTTTCTAGAATAAAATAGTCATCTATTGAATGTTAATGATTAGTTCTAGAATCACACTGACCTATCTCATTCTTTAGCCTGCTATAAAAATTTTCAGATTGAGAAAATCATTCATAGACATGACAATTTTGGACATACTGAGAACCAGTGGAAGTTTTCAAGCATTGTTGAAGACTTTGCTTTAAGAGCATTGTGATTCTAAGGGCTTTGAACACTTGGCACTGGTGGCTTATTTTGACTTCCAGCGTGGTGAGTCCCCTTTACCCTGCAAAGGTAGTAAATTCCTGGCTGAAAAAGTGCCCTGAGTATCCCTTTTCCCTCTCTGAGTCAAGAAACTCCTGAACATTTTCTCCATTTTTAATAAATGACATATATATTCTATCTTATGGCCAGAAAAAAATACAAAGGGACACTGATTTGTTAGGAGAATCAACTCTATGCCATCCAGGATGCATATATGATTGAAAAATGAGCAGAAATATCTGCTGCAAAATAGTAATAACAGAAAGCATGAGACAGTCAGAGAACCAGGCAAAGATGGAATCATCAACTTAACCAGCCAGCAAAGCTAGCTGTCCCTGATCTGGGAGTCAGATGTGTCAAACTGTGAACACGTCCGGGTCATCTGCGTCCTCATTCAGTTCCCCAGGATGCCAGGCCGCTGCCTGCCACACATGCAAAGGCTCAGGAAAAGTGTGTGCTGGTGCCGTTCTACATAGAGAGTGAAAATTCACGGGAGCAAACTCTTTTTGAAATAAATTGCATCTTCAGATATCATTTTTTCCCTTAAGGCCCATTTAGCCTCCACCATGCTGTGCTAAGCTGCGTCCTCAGACAGAGATGGGCTGAATGATTTAATCATCCTCTGTCTGCCTCTAAGGATGATACCACTGAATTGGTATGTTTGATGTCTACATTTCAAAATCACTGGGTATTAATTAGTTATCATCTGTTACTTTTGAGACTTCTCTTAAACTTAACTGGGCCTTTTATGGCTTGGCAGAACATCTTGTGAATGGGACATAGGGCGATTGTGAGATCAGTACTACTGTTAATAACATTACGTGGTACCTAGAGGTTCTCTCAACTAAAAATCAACCTTGAAAACAGTGTTCAGAAGTCACCAAGCCTGCAAAACTTCTACTAGGTGACCAATGTGCAGTCAACATGCCTGTGCTCACAACAGCCCCTCTCACCTGTGACCACCACCTCATGCTACCTCTTCCCTTGTCACCTAGTGAAAGAAGACAAGTGTGGGAGGAAAAAGAGTGCCCAATGTCTTCTCAATATTAAGTCAGAGGAATGCTAATATTTTCCTTTTCCAAAATGCGAATAAAAACAAAAAACCCCGAAGAATATAATATTGGCAACTCTCTTTGCCTTAGCACCCAATTCTCATCGGCTCCATCAGCAGAATTTAGGCCTTGAGTTCGTGACTACTTATCTCCCTGGCTATAGTTTGAATGTCTTGTTTTTGCAACTGAGCAACATTATGAACATTTAGTAGCCATTGCCCAAAGAATCTAAAAGCCTAGAATTCCTAGCCAAGACTTCAAGAACTCTGTCATGTGATAAGGAAAGATGGACTCAGATAATCACCCAAGTCTTCTGCCCTTCTGGGACTTTTCTCATTCAACTCTCTCCCTGACACCAGGCACGTCACTACTCTGCATCTAAACAAGAATCTCTAAAGGTGGAAAGTGAAGTGAAAAAGTAGGCAACTCACCTGATTCTTCATGTTGTCCCACTTCATCAAATTGCTGAACTTTCTGTTCTGCCTTGGCCAGGTAGATTTTTGTTGACTGAAGGTAAAATAATGATGCTTTTGCCCAAGTAACCTTTGCAAGACTTACAGGTTCAGTGGCTAAAGCCACCCTGAAATCAATATACTAACTGTCTGTTTACTGGAAGGGTTTACTTATTCAACAAGAGATACGTCATCACAGGCCTGAAAAATCGATGTGTTCTCCTGGCAATCCTCTCTAAACCTGCAGCACCTAGATAACAACTGGAGATCCATTGCTCAGCTGGAGTGCAGGACTTTTTCCTTTGCTACTTTATAATCATGAAATAGAAAATTGCTTTTGGGAAATTTCTGCCAGAGTACTGAAAAGTTTCCACTATGTTAGGAATAAACAATAACAAAACAGTTTCTTCCTTTCTTGTGGAGGAAAATGAACACTGCATTTTGAAATTTCTTCTGGGAGAGGCACATCACCGTCACTGAGAGATCTACTCACTGCCGCACTCTCCATTCCATTCCTTCAACCCAGAAAGTGCCTCCAAGTGAATAATTTGATGTGTGAAACCATCTCTTCTTAAAAGCCAATGCTTGCAAGTAAATCCCAGCCAGAATAGCTTATTACAAATGGTATGATATGGAAAATGAACACTCTTGGAGGGCCACACTGTTTCTTAAGTTTGTCTCTTTTTGTAAAAGCTGTTTCACACCCTAAAGAGGTTAAGTGTATGCCTTCATTTAAATCATAGAAATGAGTCTTACAAATCTATGTAAGGGAATTACTACAGCTTGCCATAGGCATTGCTAACTGACCCAACTGCTAAATCAAGTTGCCTTCTCCTTTCATTTTTTTTCTGCAAGTATTTATAGGTCTGGAAAATTTACAGAAGTTGATGACACAACGTTGAAAAGTCATACTTCTCATTTCTAAAGTAAATATTTTCAAGGCTCACAAATTCACTGCCCTGTATCTTATGGAATGGGCAGTTATAACACATACAGAAGAGACTTGAGTCTAAAAACTACTTCATAACAAAAAAGAAACCTGGGAAAGGAACCAAAACAGAGCAGAAATACACAGAAATATACAGAAATTGTGAGGGACATTAAGCATTAGTAACAGAAGTATAACAAATTTTGAGGAATACTTTATTTAGCCTTTGATTCACAAATAGAACTAAAAGTGATGGGGCATCCATAGCTAAAAAACCCAATGACGTCTTGAAGGAGGAATAAGTAACCTTGACCTGCATGTTGAGAGACAGTGCTGTGTAGCAGGAGAGCACCCAGTGCCCACTGATCACCAGCCTGGTGATTACGGACAACAGCAGAATCGCTCTGAGCCTGGGTCCCTCACCTCCCAATCTGGAAAGCTATCCCAATCCTGTGGGGTTGTAGGAGGCTGAGAGAGAAGAATGTTAAGGCATTGTGTAAACTATGAGGTGCTGTACAAATGCGAGGTGTTGTTATTATTATGACATCAATGTTTTAGCATCTAAATTATAGGGACAGCACACTTATTACCAGCATGTTTAAATACATATCTTGCATACATTTAGATTTGTTTTTAATTTTACAGATGTTTTCAGCTGGAAGGAGTCTGACGATCGTCTAGTTTAGCTGTTTTATGGAAGGTGAAACTGAGAGGGGAGACTCTAACCTGTTTTCTCTCCCCATTATAACTAACAACAAATTACAGAAAAAAATATGTTAAGCCGCGTACTAAGAAAAACTCCCTTAACAACACCACTTTTCAGGGAGCAATACATGTGTATGCATACTTGTATAACCATGAATACTGAGTGTGTTTGGTACTTTCTAACTTTTGAAAATTATATAGTATATTTTTACAGTCATTTGACAAAGTTTTTCATCTGCAGTCCTTTGCAAAGTTTCATTTCCAGTTATTTATAAAAATTTTTCTTTCTCTGTGAAGGCTAATTCATAACAGCTTGTAAAAAAGAAGGAGCGAGGAAGAGAAAGAAGGAAGGGAAGAAGAAAGAAAGCAAGGAAGGAAGAAGAAAGGGGAGTAAGAAAGAAAACAGGGCAATACACTATTCTCACTCATAAATGTCACCAGAAATTAAAAAAATCAAGAAACATCTATAAGGATAAGGTTTCTGATTCTCTATTAACATTGTAGCAAATTGAAGCCAAGAAAAAGTTCTATAGTGCACTCTATTTAAAAGCCTCTCAAAATTAGTACATTAAAAAACAACAGGTGACACAATAATTCTCCAATGACCACTTTTTTTTTGTTTTTTGACTGAGTCTTGCTCTGTCGCCTAGGCTGGAGTGTAGTGGTGTGATCTCAGCTCACTGCAACCCCTGCCTTCCAGGTTTAAGTGATTCTCCTGCCTCAGCCTCCTGAGTAGCTGGGACTACAGGCACGTGCCACCGCACCCAGCTGTTTTTTTTGTATTTTTAGTAGAGGCGGGTTTCACCATGTTGGTCAGGCAAGTCTCAAACTCCTGACCTTGTGATCCGCCCGCCTCGGCCTCTGAAAGTGCTGAGATTACAGGCATGAGCCACTGAGCCCAGCCAACCATCTTTTGTTTATCTGTCATATGTTTGGACTTAATCAAAAGTGGATGACATCTGACATTGGGGTTCCAGGGTTTTTGTTACCTATAAACAGATAATTGCTTAACTTTCTAATAATATATTAAAATATACTTTATTTTAAAAATCTAGTTGGAGCCATTAGATCTTGCAAGTTAGCACTAGAACAAACTTAAAATAGTTTGTCTAGTTTATCTTGTTCGGCACAATTTGAAGCATTTACAATGGCTTACAGTGTATGAGAATGAACTAGGAGATAATTTTGTAAGTGAATAGAAACCATTGTAATAAAATCTCCTGAAAGCTTTCAGGTATTCAATGATTGCTGGTAAATAAACAAAACCAGGTTTTTGAAATTAAAAAAATGTTTTTGAAAAAGTTTCTAAAATTTGGTATACAATGATCAGAAAATCTCAGGACACCTTTGCCTGTCCTTAAGGACCTGCACAAATTCACTAAGTGGTTTGTTTTTATTCCAGCACTAAAATAATGGATAATTTGAGTATCAGCAGAGACACTAAAACATGCACAGTTTTTCACATACAAATGCCAGTTTGTCTTATCAGAGAGACTATGTGCAATGCATCAATTTTATCCAAAACCTGGAGTAAAGGAAAGAAATTTTAGCAAAGGGTTGTAATGACATCATAAGTAAAACGATAGGACTGCTAAAACAATCATGACGTCATCTGCTGTGCACTGGCCTGCAAGCATGTAGTGGTAAAATCGTCAGATATCACATTTCTGCTTATAAAATAAAATCCTTCATGAATGCTCTTAAAACAACTGCAAAGCAAGCAGTGGTCTTTACCTCCATATGTGTGTGTGTGTGTATATATATATATATATATATATATATATATATATTTTTTTTTTTTTTTTTACATAAAGGCATGAATATACAAGGTAATGTCAGCAGCTGTACTCCACTCTTTATTTGTTGCAAATCTACCTATTTGTTTCCAAAGGATGTCTGCAAATAAATAGGTAACATTGTACAGCTTTCAACAGTGGATCAGAACATAGATGTCTCTTCTAATTCACAAGTACCAATGGCTCAATTAATTTAAGGGACATTTTCTGAGTTGTGTGATTTCACATGTATTTATCGTGTCTAGAACTGTGCAAACTTTTGTTTCATTTCTCTCTTAGATTTCTGTAGGAAGAGTTAAAGGATGTGAAGTAGTCATTTTACTTATTCATAACACATTTTAGGGAAAATTGTGCTGTTGCTGTTGGGGAGAAAGTTAAAGCTATCAACTATAACCTGGACTCCAGTCCAATTTTTCACATCTGGTTGCTACTTTTAAAAAGGATCATTTTAATTTTTAAATGCAGAATGTGTTGCACTTTATCTTTGACATTCCAGGTTTCCTCATGGTCATTTAGAAAAATAAAGCAGGAAATTCTAATGCCTTAGCATCTACTTTAATAAGATGTTTGCATTTATAAAAATAACAAGAAACTGAGGGTTTTGCTGAAGGAGCACAGGGCCTACAAGTATTTCCTCATTCCTGTCCCTGTGCCTGGAGGCCCAGCTAAGCATTCTGTTTCTGAGAAACTCCCCTTGTCACAGAGGCTGAATTAGTCAGTCCCTCTTTTGGGCTCCCACTGAAATCCCAAATCACATCTGTTATAAAACATTGCATTACAGGGAGTGATCTTGTATGTGTCTCTCTTTCTCAGCCCTTCCAAAAGGTAAGTCGGTCCTCAGAGGACAAGTGCAGTTATTTTGTTCCCTTGGTGTATCTAGATCCCAGCATGCGATGTGCCTGGAGTATATCAGCAGTTCTCAAAATCTGGCATGCATCAGTCAGAATCTCCCTGAGGACTTGTGTGCACAGACCGGGGCCTGCCCTTCCAGTGTCTTACTCAGAGGCCAGGGTGGGGTCCAAGAGTGTGCATCTCCAACAGGTTCTCAGGTGCTGCTGCCATGCTGGGCCCGCTGAAAGCCACTGCAGAAAGCTTTTTTTTTTCCCTTTTTTTTTTTGGCAGTTAAAGAGAGGTTTTCTTTAGTTAAAACCTGGGAGGCACTCCTGGTGAATTTTGGTCAAGAGCGCTTTCTCTTACAGACTAGGAGTATATATTGGTTTTAGGGTGAGGGAGATTATCAGAATTTTGGAATGTTCCTGTTTGAGGGAGAAGTTTTATGGCAGGGTTGGAATATCTCTGGGAGGAGGCAAGTTTATCTTGGGGCAGGCATCTTTCCGGCCAGAGAGAGGTTATCCCGAGACTGGCATCTTCCCTGCTGGAGGGGGGTTATCTCGGGACTAGCATGTCTCTGGTCGAGGAGGAGTTTCGAATGTTTCCGGTTGGAGATGTTATTTGTGGTTTATGGTCATGCTGACCTTAGCCATTAGGCTGATGCAGTTTGAATTTAGGCAGTTTTTTATTAAGGTGAACTTTAGAATGAGGGGCTTGTCCAAGATGGCGATGCTCCTGCTCTGTCGAGCCAGACCCTATAGTTATAAAAAGGAGGAGGGGTGGAGTGTTCTTTCTGGCTATTTCCTCACTGCAGGAAACTTTTAATGGACTAACTTGTGAAATAAAATGTGACTCTGGAACTGATTTACTAATGAAATATGCAACTGTTTCTGGATCTCGAAGGAGCTCATGAGATGAGTAAGAAATGGGGGTCTGAGAGCAAAGACAAGATTTCTTTCGTTACGAGCTACATACAACATGTAATCCACTCCTCAGAATTGCCAAGGGAGCTTTAAGAAATGTGTGTGTGCCAGGCTCCATTCCCCAGAAATACTGATTGTCCTGGTCTGGGGCACAGTAAGGCACCCTCTTTTTCAAAAGCCCCTCAGCTGGTTAGAAAGCATGGTCAAGGTTCAAAAGCTACTGCTTTAAGAAAAAAGAAAAAAAATCATCTCCTACTTTTTTTGGTTCAGCCACTAGCGTACAAAACCAAGTAATGTGATGTGGTCTTAAGCAGGGAACAAGAGATCCCCATTCCGAGTATTTGCAGCAATATATAAACATGACTTCTGGTACACTTATATGCACAATATATTATATTACCAGTTGCTGATAACTGCAACTAATCAGCTGCTGACTATAGCAGCCTCACCTAGAGAGAAGCTGGTATCCAGAACCCCTGGTGTGGCTCAATTTCGATGCTGACGGTGAGCATGAGACAGGTGGAGCCAGGAAACTGTGAGAGGAGAACTTGTTCTGTGATCTAAGACAAGTAACTGACACGGAAATATGTGAGCAAATGACAACTCAAGCCACATTGCTCTCCTGTGCTCTGGACCACCGTATTCTACTGCCTCCTGGACTTCTCCATCTGAGCACTTCAAGCTCAACACATCTAAAAGCTGAATATTGATATTGGACCCTCCTGCCCTTCCTCTTCTCCTCCCTTCCCTTCCCTTCCCTGCAGTCCCATTGACTTCCCAGCCTTTGTGATTGCATTCAGTATCTATCCAGGCTTCCAAGTGAGAAGCCTGGGTGTCAATCTGGGATTCTTTCTTTCTTATGCTGCTACATATACTTATCAACCAGTTCTGCCTCCTGATCAGCCCCGGAGTCCCCTGTCCTGAATCTTCCTTGCTCCTGCTTCATCCTCTGTCTCTGGCAATAGTCATGAACCTTCCTGTTTCCAATGCCACTCCTGCAGTCCATTCCCCAAACCGCTGCTGCAGCCATCTTTCTAAAACACCAAACACAGCATGTCAGTTCACAGTCACTTCTCTTTCACACAGGACAAAATCCAAAGCCACAGTGAGGATGGAGCTCTCTGTGAACTGTAGGTAGCCTTACCATTTATTCCTTCTCTTCCTGCCATTTGAATTACTAGCACTCTCAAGAACTTTGCTGCTATTGGCACTGCTTGTGTAATGCCCTGCACATCCTATTCTCTGGGGAAATAATCATATAACCAAATAGCTCAAATGAGTAATCCCTTCCATTTGTGGCTAAACGTGCTCTCCTCCCCATGTAGAATTAAAGGCAAAGACTGAACTCAAAAGTCATCCTTTGTCCTGGGAAGAGTTCCGTCATTGATTCTGTGACATTGTTTCACACTTATTATCTCTAGCTCTCTTTCCCCAGTTGACTTCCAGACACTTAAGGGCAATTACCAAGTCTAATTTATTCTTACATCTCAACATATGGATGCAACAGTGTAAATCACTCATCATGGCTCAAACATAAAGAAAAAAAAGCCTAAGTTGTAACAGGTACCAATACTTGCCCTTCTATGCAAAGGGCAAACAATCATGGTTGACTTACGTAATTATTTAAACTAAGTCAGGGCCATGTGTGCTGCCGCGCTAGTAATGGTGTAATTGCAGGTGTACTTAGGGCTGCCTGCAAGGCATTCTCATTGGGTGCCTTGTCCCCTAAATTATAACTTGAGTCTTTTGTTAATGAGAAGTTCCAGATATATTCAGAAAGGACACTTGGACTCCGAGTCTCTCCTTGAAAACCCACCAGAATGAGATAAAACTTGGATCAGAGAGAGAAATTCTACTCCCCCATGTTAGTGTTTCCATACTGCTTGCTAAAGCAAGCTGCTGAAACTGGTAGGAGTAAAATTTACTCTAAGCATATGCAATTCACAGATGCTCAGTCCACAGGACCAGTCATTTGATACTGAACTTCAGGGCCTTCAGGGATTGAAATGTCAAATCTAGCACTTACTTTCTAGGGGCTCAGTAAACACACCCCCAATATTCCTGGCCCCAACTACCCCTCCTGCTCCCAGCTGGCTCAGGGAACTTTCTAGACAACTGGATTGAGTGTATCTATCTAAATGTGTAGCAAGAAAGCTTTATCAGATGACTCTGAAAAAGTGAAAATTACAGGCAAACTAGTTATTTGAATAAGTTCCAATGCCTGGATTCTTGCCCAAATTCAAACTGGCCAGCTTGTGCCTATGGGCCCAATGGAGGACAATCTAGAGATGTCGTCCAAAGAGCCAACTGCTGGAATTTTCTTAGAAAATTCATTCCTGTAGGAGGAAAACGAAAAAGAACGAATGAGAAAACACTATGATGTTTAATGGGGATGGCCTACAGGAACAAGTTAAGATTTACACTCTATTCTCTATGGATTAGTGGTTCAAGAATAAACCAGTAATAATTAACTGAGACTAACAATGTTTATTACCATAATTTCAAATGTCCATAAGTGATAAAGGAAAACAAAAATGGAATGGATCTGAGGAACAGAATCTGTTTTTTTTTTTTTTTTTTTGAGATGGAGTCTCACACTGTCGCGCGGGCTGGAGTGCAATGGTGCGATCTTGGCTCACTGCAACCTCTGCCTCCTGGGTTCAAGCAATTCTCCTGCCTCAGCCTCCTGAGTAGCTGGGATTACAGGCACCTGCCACCACGCCCAGCTAATTTTTTTTGTATTTTTAGTAGAGACTGGGTTTCACCGTGTTGGTCAGCCTGGTCTCAAACTCCTGGCTTCATGATTCGCCTGCCTCGGCCTCCCAACGTTTTGGGATTATAGAGGTGAGCCACCATGCCCGGCCCAGAATCTGGTTTTAAAAATTATATTTACAGGGAAGCAACATGTGGGTGAACCATATTCTAAAACTTTGAAATTTTCTCAACACATACCCCTATTAGTAAAACCCAATGTTAAATAAGCTCATAACTAGAGTACTTATGAAGTCAAAATTAAAACACGCACACACAGACACACAGGCACACACACAAGTCACATGGCAAGGGCCACACTGTGTTGCAGGTGGGTTCTGCAACAGGCGAAATGTCCTCAACATTGTGACCCATCCCTATTCCGGGGCACCAGCCTGGGGTTACCTTCCCTTCAGTGCCCATAATCATCAATTGCCTTTAATATTAGAGTTGGTTTGTCACTCTCGTCAAAAAAGTTTCAGATGCTAGCTGCTAGTCTTAGAGCTTAGATCAAAGAAAAAACAAAGAATATTTTCTTTTCAAACAGGGAGGAATCCTTCATCTTTGCTGAGACTACTTCTAAAAACATTTCAGAACATGTTAGTGCTGTCACGTGGACCAAGTGTAATTATGCAGCACAATGGACTTTCGGCAATCGGTGTCTTCAAACCAGAAGTTTTTGAAAAATCATGAGTTATGAAACTAAATACGTGAAGCCAGAAATTACTGTTAAAAGCCTATTGGAGCTCTCAGCCAGTTTCTTGTATTCTGTGCTACGGCAGTGTGGGTCTAACACACAAACCACTGGTGTCCTTTCCAGATTTGAAAGCAATCTGGAAGCAAGAGCAGAAACCCTTAAAACTCACCCCCCCTTCAACCTTTAGCCCAGAATATCTAGCATATTCTATGCACTCAGTAAATATTCACTGAATTCAGAAACAACAGCTCAGAAGCCTGAAGGGTCAAAGTGACTTGTCCACCTTCACCCTGGGCTGGAGTGAGAAGAAAGGTCCCAATTGCCAGGCCGGGCTTGGGCTTTCTTGATCTGACCTCCTTTGAGGAGGGAGGGTGGGGTAGATCTCACTTTGGATACCATTAATATCCCCACTTTGGTTTCTCTTTAAGACAGCTCGGACCTACTGAATGGGAACGTCTCCAGAAGTGGGGCTGGGCGGGCTTATTTCCACAAAGCTCCCTCAGTTGGGAATTCGACTCGCCTTGGAATACTTTCCAGTGTCCCTTCTGGAGAGCACCTTCATCCTGTAAGAGGCAGGGCTTTGCTCAGCACCCCTCAAGCAGTCTCCACTCCATGCTCACTGAACTGAGGACTAAGCTGCCTCTATGGAAGGTGACCCAACAGAGGGCTGAGGAACTCGGCAGGAATGCAGACTGCCGGACAGCCCGCGTTGAAGCTTCAGACAGGCTCATCGTCATGAGCCGGCTCCCTGGGCCCTTTCCCCTTGCCAGCTCTGACATTAGACATTTGCACACACCTGATTTGGATCTCCTGAAACCAGAACTCGGACAAGGCAGTGGAGTTTGGAAGTTGAGAGAGGGATCTGGAGTTGGAAGCCCCTGGTGTGAATTTCCCGTCTGCCTCCCACCAGCTGTGGGAAAGTCACTTTAGTTCTTCGTACCTCAGTTTCCCCCATAGGAGGAGAGTGTGCACCTCTTATGCTTAATGTGGGGATTAGGACTCATGAAATGGTGTCTGGCAGTCATTACCTCTAAGAGCAGCAAGTCTAGAAGTTAGCATGTCCCAGAACCAAACAAAACTCCCACTAAACAAAGTGCATCTTGAATAAAATCCACTGAATTTGATAGACACAGGCCTTAAACAAATTTCTGTTAAAAGAGCTCATCTCCTATTTTAATAATTTGCCCCTGAAAATCCAGTCTTTTATGTTACTGTAATGGAATAGCGTCTGTTCTCCTACTCTCTCTCTTGTCTTCAGGAGCATTCTGTTTTGAGTGAATGCGGGACAAACAGGCAAATTAAGTGGTATTTATATTTTTCTCAGGAACAAATCTCCAACTACTAATAGTGGTGTTCAAACAAGTAACATCAAAGAATGAGAACACCAATGGAGGGAGAAAAGTGATGCTTTGGTGGTGCTCTGAGGGTTTAATTTAAAATAAAGAGAAGAGTCTCTTCGGCAGAGACAGGGCTGACACCTGACTAACAGGACCGGCAGTCAGCAGTCTCCGGAGCAGGCCCGCGTCTCCCGGGCACCCCAGGCAGGCAGGACGGGCCTGCAGGCTCAGCAGAGAAGAAACCTTTCCACCAGTTCCTTCAATGAAAAGCGGAATCCTTTATTATTGGAATCACACTCTACCTTTTCCCTCTTTCCTATATTTGGCAATATTGTAACAATTCCAGATGTCCTCAAAGAGCTCTTAGCATTGGCAAGTAACATCTCCGGAGACTTTAACAATCCTTCTTCCGTCTAGTGATCCCCAAATCTGGCTGCCCAACAGATCACATGAAGAGCATTAAAAAAAATCCCAAGTCCAGGTCTTGCCCCATGCCAATTAAATCAGAATGTCTGGGGGCGGGAGCCAGACACTGGTTTTTGTTTTGATTTTTTTTTTTTTAATCCCAGGTAATTCCAATGTGCAGCAAGGTCTGGGAACCACTGTTCTATGCCTTGCCCCTCCCCCAACGACCGCGCTGGGCACCAAACCCCAACTCCCCAAGCCAATGACATCAACAGCAAGTACGGGCCTGGCTCTTGGAACCCGCGCAGCTCAAGGTTGGAATTGTGCAATTAAACCTTCCAAGGCATGTTTCCCCTGTCAAGTGGGTTTATGGTCGGTAGTCACGAAGCCAGACTCGCTCATGTTCTGTCTGCACACTTGGCACACTTGAACCAGGGACAGCAATCCGGTGTGTGTGTGTGTGTGTGTGTGTGTGTGTGTGTAAGACAGGTTTAATATTTTGGTTGGCTCAAATTCTTCAAACAGCAAAAAGAGACATCCAAGAAAGAAAGTCTCCGGGTTTTGAGGAGAAGTTTGCTGTGAGCCCCATTTTGAAACACCATGGTGTTGGCCAGGATGAGCTCTGCTTCCGGGGCTTCCGCTCAAGAGTCCCGCGATCCCCCCCTGCAGTGGCCGGACAGCCGCGTCCCGCTCCACCGCGAAGCCCAGGCGCGACCGAAGGGCTGCAGGTGGAGCAGACCCGGACGTCTCCGCGAGGCGGCCATCGAAGGAGAGCCTGGGGCTTTCGGCGCGGGCGCCCAGGAGGGAGCTGGGGTCCCCGGGAGGTGGGGGGCACTCTTGGATAGGCAAGACGAGGGCGCACCGGGCGAGGCGAGCGGCCGGGGTCTGCGCCCAAGGGGCGGGTCGGACCCCACCTGCCTTTTGCCAACGAGGAAACTAACCGCCGCCAGCACCACCCCTCCCCGGGAGCCGCAGGTGGTGGTAGACGAGTTCTCCCAGCTCCCAGGTCGAGGCTGCGACTCCACACTGGGGAACGAGGATCGCGGGGACCTGGAGAGGGGCCGGGGCCAGGCTGGCGGGCGCCGGCTTCAGTTTGAGACCTGCGCGGAGGGCGGAGGCGGGGAGGTCCTCTCAGAAAGCCGCCTGTCCCGCGGGGTCCGAGGGGAGGCTGTATTTTTGGGTTCCTTCCTCAGCTTCCCTAAACAGTGCAGTCTCGGCGGGTGGGCAGCGCCCGCCCCTCGGGTGCGCGCCAGGACCCCGTCGCGCCCTGGGAAGACAGCGCGGGGCGCACGTGCGGGACCCCGGCCCCAGGCGCCCACCAGCACCCGGCTTTCGCCCACTGACGCCGATCCTGCGCAGCTGGGCGGGGAAAGTGAGGGAAGAAAGTTGGGAGCGGTTCGGGGCGCCGGAGGTCCCGGCGGCCGTTCCCCGCCTGGCCTGCAGCCCGGTGTCCCACGCGTCTCCTCCTCCGCCCGCCCCAGACTCTCCCGGCCGAAGAACGAAACGTCCCGTTCCTCCCGCGGTCCCGGTCGGCGGCGCAGCTGATCTCAAGGAAACAGGAAAGGACGGGCGGGGGCGCGGGCGCCGAGCCGGTGCGCCGGTGCGCGGTTGGGCGGGCTGCGGGGTCCGGGGCGCGATCCGGGGGCGGCGCGGGAGCCGGCGAGACACGCCCTTACCTTTCTTTTCCTCCAGAGCCCGACTCGCCGGGCAGAGCGCAGCCAGCAGCGCCAGGAGCGCTGCCCCGGCCGTCCCGGAGGGTCGCATCGCTGCTCCCCGAAGAGCTCGCTCCGGCTCTCCCGATCAATACTGGACGGAGTCAGGGGGCCGTGCGCGGTGGTTGTGGCGTTGGCGGCGAGGCGGGGACTCGGGCGGACGCCGACGAGGTGGCCTGTCGTCCGGTCTGGGCGGCGGCGGCCGCCGGGGCTAGCTCGGGACTCCGGCCGCCTCGGCCGCGTCGGGCGCTCACACCGTGCGGGGGGCGGAGGCTGCTGCGGCCGCGCTGCGCCGGGGGCTGCCCGGACGTCTAGCTCGCGCGGGCCGAGGCGCGGGGAGGCAGGGCGGGAGGAGGAGGGACCAGGCGGCGGAGGAGGGATCGGGAGGAGCAGAGGAGGAGGAGAATGCGAGGAGGAGGGAGGAGAACCAGCAGCGGGGACCCAAGGCCAGCGGCCGCCGGAGGCGGTGGACAGCGGTGGCCCCCGCGGGACCTAGTCTCCGGCGGGAGTGGGGCGGCGCATGGGAGGGGAGCGGGTGCCCTGAGGAGTTAATTTCCGAGAGGGGCGTTCCCAGCACTGCCCCTCTGGACCCGGTCCCCGCGGACTTGCAGGCCCAGCCTATGTCCAGGTCGAGCCAAATCTGTGCCAGGGTCCCCTTCCCCCTTTCCCTTCTTTTGTTTTACAAAGCAAACTTGTACCAGCTTTAGACAGACTGGCCGAGCCTTAGAGCCAGCGTCGGATAATGGCACCGACGGGGAAACTGCTCCTTTATTCGGGTCCCCACCTCCCCTGCAGCACTACGGGACCCTCTCGGGGATCAGAGGCTGGCCTGGCAGCTGAGGAGGTCGCCGTGCCCGCGCGGCAGGGGTGCCAGGCGTCCGAGGTGGTGCTCTAAAGTCCGAGGGTCCTTCAGATCTTGTCAAGCACCCTCGAAATCATCTGAAATGAGGGCACCCAACTCCGGGTGCAGAGACAGGCCTCCTTAATGTTTATTGCAACCAGCCATGGGTACTTTGAAGCCAATGTGTGAAGCACATTACTTCGCAAAAGTGAAGCTCTTGGAATAAAGGCTTGACACAAACAGCCGTGGAGGTGCTTTTAGAGAGGCTAAGTGTCCCACTGCCCCTGTAGCTCCCGCAGGAGAAATGCCAGGGAAACTCGCGGAAGCTTTGGCCAAAAGAAACTGAGCTTTTTTGGGCTGCAGGAACTTGAGCTATATTCCTTTGGCAAGTCCACCCCATCCCCACTGTTCCTTCTCCTGCAGTAAAAATGTCCTCTAGGTCCATGTTACAGCCAGACCCCTCCTCTCTTCACGAGATTCACTAGGACCTTCAGGCCTGGTTCAACAACCCTGATCTCTCGGCTCTGTCAAAAATCACAATCCTGAAGTAAGTGAAGCTACAGACCTGCCCTTTGCTGTCTCTGAAGGGGAGCAACCTTACATCTTTCCTCCTCATCCAGCAAAATGTTTGTGCCTGGGTCTCGCACCCTGCAGCCTGAACGGTGGGGTTTTTCACCAGGGCAAGCGCAGACAGACACAGGTCTGCTCACTGCCCGCACAACCTGGAACTTCCCTGTGAATTAGGAGAAGTAATCTGTTCCTTTGTTTTAACAAATCAGTACAGCCACTGTGCGTTGAAGTCATGCCCTGAATGCAGAGGCCATGAAGGCTCTGCAGGCATGTGTGTGCTTCCTGCACACCTGGGCTGAGAGCAGTCCGTAGAAACACAGAAAACAAAACTAGAGAAAGGCAAATGGGAAGCACAACAGTGGAACATAAAATGAAGACAGGAGTGAGTCTTACAATAAAAGACCTGAATACAATAAAGTCCTGTGCATTCACTTAACAAGGGCTGCAAATTTGGTTTTAAACTATATTTTCTGTCAAGGGAATGTGACCTGTGTGTACAAGTCACAACACAAATCAATTTAAGCTACAACTGATTTGTAAGACTGTACAGGAATTTCTTTGAGTGCCCAAAAAGACAGCATGTAAGAACATCAGTTCTCACTACGTTAGGACTATATGAGACAACAGCCTTCATAGTACGGCTTGTATATTCTTCAATGTGATCTGATAGCATCACAAGAAACAGAGCTTTTTGTAAAGAATTACTAGACACACACATAGCACAATACTGGGATGGATTCCAGGGAACAGAGAAGAATGGGTTTGCTGAACATCTTCATGGGACATCTATGTAAAGTTTGAGTTTCTCCTTTGAGCTTTTGATACAAAAGCTGACATTCACGTTGATTTTGTAGTCCTTGGCTAGTACCTGGAGTGTGCTGATAACTGTGTTACTTGGTAAGTAAAAAACTGTATGGCCGAGCAGGCACTAATGAAGTCCTCTTAAGAGAGATAAGTAGCCTGGCATAGTTAGGGCCCTGCACAGTTAGGGCTCTAGCTCACAGCCTCTGTGGAGGGTGGTCCTAGACCATGGCCCGGACAGAGGCTGGGTGTGTGTGCCACCACCACAGGAATGACAATAGTGGCCCAGTTGCTGTGTTAAGCATTGGTCAGACTAAGCTTATCTGATAACCTGTGAGCTGGTTAATACTTGTATCTGCCTTTTATAGCAATGTGATGCTGTGGCCGGGAGAAGTGACCAGGATACCAAGGTATACTTGCTAGTATGAGAGGCCAACTTTGAATCCAAGGCAGAGCCGTGTTTTACCCCTCTTGTCCAGCAACGCTTCAAAACCTGAGACAAATGGTGATGTCAGGACCTAAAATTCTATTTCATAATGTCTTGGAAATTTGTTAGGGTGAGTAATACCAAAATTTCTGCTTGGCCAAAAAAATTATAGATAAAGCCTTCATGTATGCTATATTAGCAAGTATGTACTAAGACTCTAGTATTTCCCTTAATAAATCTCATAAGCGTCTGTCAATTTTAATAACACAGATGGTTCCATCCCTTTGCCAGCTGTACATGAGAAACTTTTTTCCTCTGATGAGTGGTTATCCTCTTAGAAGAAGTTTCTGAGTATGTTGAATAAGAGTTTAGTCTTGTCTATAAGGAATGTGGCTCTGAATTTCCTAAAACCAAATGCTCTGTGAAAGGGGAGGAGAAACACGTTATTTGGCAGGGTGAAGATCTGAGGTCTTCAAATATTCTAAGTTCCATCTTAGGCAAAAGGCATTTGACCACCTGTTTTCTCTGGCTTAGAGGTCAAAGTAAAGATTGATTAGGAAAAAAAAACATAGTGGCAGATTTTAGACTTTCAAAAATATGTTTTATAAGTTATTGGAGCTAAGTAAAAGTAGAATAAGCTATGTCAGAGTGGAAAGGGCTTTTTTGAGAAAGATTTTTGTGCAAGAACAATAAGTACTAATGGAGGTTGTGAATTAAGGACTGACACAGGTTCCTTCCAACCCTAAAGTTCCTTAAGAAAATGCACTTCTAAAATAGGTTTTCACTTAAACATGTGTTCACTTGACAGCTCTTCTAAGGATATATGTTAAGGAGATACAAGAATCTGGTAACAGCTTTGCCTCTAGGGAGGAGAACTAGGTAGCTCGGGGTCAGGGGTTTAGAGGGAGACTTGTTTTTCAATTTGTCCTTCTGTACCATTGGGATTTTGTACCAGGAGCATGCCTCACCTATTTCTGCAAGGTAAGTGTGGCCCCTGCTGAGGTTCAGGGACACTCCTGGGGGCAGGCTTTCATGGTTTCTGAGACTGTTTATTCCTTCTCCTTGAAGGAAGTCATTTGCCTTGAGCTCTGAGTTGAGACCCATCTCTTGCAGAATGTGGAAGAAGCAGCTTTTTCAAGGGGTAATGTGCTGACAGAAAACTGCTGAAGCATTTCTCCTTTGTCATTAGTATGCTTCATCATCTCTAGAGTTGAGGGTTACATGTCACTATAGGAGGCACTATTGGCGCTCCATTCTAGCAACAAGTAGAAAGCTGAGCAAACCGAAAAATTAACACCTCTTCTTAGCTCTTTCAGAGAATTGAGGTCATTGGGCAAACCACTGCCCCCCAAATTGGAGAGACAGGCAAACACAGAAGCACAACCTCCAGAGGAAGAAACCAGCAGACAGAAACCTCCAAGGACCCAGTGCCGGCTGGGAAAGTTTGCCCTGTAATTGAGAAATTGCGGGAGGCTCAGTGTGGGCAGTTCTGCAAATTAAGAACTCCAGCAGAGCCCAGTCATGGTGCAGGGTAGTATGAGACACTTGAGAGTGTTACCTCCTGGAGCTCTGCTAGGTCCTTACCACGAATATTAGGGGGAAAATCTCATTATGCTTCTGGCAGTGGAAGGAGAAGAGGAACCATTTTGAAATAGGTTGGAACATTCTATTATTAATAGAAGGTCTGCCCTCAGGAGAAATTATTTCACCAGAGGCCTAACCTGGTGTTTTATCAGAGGGTGACCTACCCAGAGCAAGGGAAATATACAACTCCACCCCCCTCCAACAGTTCTGTACCATCTAAGGGGCTGGGGAAGCTGAGAAGCAAGCATGAAGTTCACAGTCCAGGGACACAGGCTCACTGGAAGACTGTGACATGCGGCAGGACTGTGCAACACTCCCTCTCCCCACAGCTTGTCACTACGTCACTAGAAGCCTCTTTACTACAGCTCCTCTTACCCAGTATATCATTTCCACATTGCAAGGCACACTAAAAGGCAAAGACGCAGTTTGAAGAGACTGCACAAGCATCAGAACCAGAATGAGACATGACACGAACGTTACAACTAACTGCTGTGGTTTGAATGTGTCCCCGAAAAGTCCATATATTGGAAACTTAACCCGCTGTCCTCATGAATGAATTCACATGGCTCTCATGGCGGTGGGTTAATTCTTGTGGGAGTGGCTATGTTATAAGAGTAAGCTCTCTTCACACGTGATGCCCTCTCCCATGTTATGATGAAGCAAGAAGACACTCATCAGATGCTAGCACCAAGCTCTTGGACTCCCCAGCCTCTAAATCAGCCTAAATCAGCTTCTTTTGTTTATAAATCACCCAGTTTGTGGCATTCTGTTATAACCACAGTAATTGGACTAAGACATTATCACATCGGAGTATTAATTATAAAAAAACTATGATTAATAGGCTAGGAGTTTTAATGGAAAAAATAGGCAACATGTAAGATCAGATGGATAATGTAAGCAGAGCCATGGAATTTTTCTTTTTTTTGAGACAGGGTCTGGCTCTGTTGCCCAATCCAGAGTGCAGTGGCGTGACCTTGGCTCACTGCAACCTCAACTTCCCAGGCTCAGGTGATCCTCCCACCTTAGCCTCCTGAGTAGCTCTGACTACAGGCATGCATCACCATACCTGGCTAATGTTTTGTAGAGATAGAGTTTCACTATGTTGCCCAGGCTAGTCTTGAATTCCTGAGAGATGAAAGTTTTAAGAAAGAATTTAAAAATTCTAGAGATCAAAAACACTGTAAAAGAAATGTAGAATACTTTTGAAGTACACATTAGTGGGCTGAACATGCTTGAGGAAAGAATTTCTGAGATTGAAGATACGTAAACAGAAACTGCCAAAACTGAAAAACAGAAAGAAAAACGACTAACAAAAAGAACAAAACAAAACTTTCAAGAACTGTGAGATAATTACATGTAATGGGAATACTGTAAGTCAAAGAAAGAGAAAAAGGAGCAGAAGCAATATTTAAAGCAATAATACCAAAAATTCCTCCAAATTAATGTCAGACAACAAATCACAGATTCTGGAAGTTCAGAGAACATCAGGAAGATATATGCCAAGAAAACCCAAACAAACAAATGATACCTAGGCATAACATATTCACACTTCAGAAAATCAAAGGTTAACGAAAAATTCTTAAATGAAGCCAAAGGGAAAAAACACCTTACCTGTAGAGGAGCCATAAAGAAAATACCTATAGAGAATATTAGAATTACATCCAACGTATCCTCAGAAACCATGCAAGCAAGAAGAGAATGGAGTGATCTGGTGTATGTCTTCATCTTTTTGGGCTTCTGTAACAAAATAACATAAAATGATTTACTTGTAAACAACAGAAATTTATTTCCCATAGTTCTGGAGGCTGGGAAATTCAAGATCAAGGTATTTGCAGATTTGATGTCTAATAAGGGCCCACTTCTTCATAGATGGCCATAATTTCACAGTGCCCTCACATGGCAGAAGGACCAAGGCAGCTCTCTGTGGTCTCTTTTATAGCACTAACCCCATTTGTAAGGCCTCCACCCTCATGACATAATCCCCTCCCAAAAACACTCTCCCCTGATAACATCATTTTGGGAGCTTACATTTCATCATATACATTTTGAGGAGACATAAACATTCAGTCCATTGCAGTATATTTAGACCACTAACATTTAAGGTAATTATTGACATAGTTGGATTAATAGCTACCATATTTATTACTATTTTCTATTTGCTGCCCTTGCTCTTCTTTTCTTCCTTTCTTTTTATTTATTTGCTTGTTTATTTTAGAGGCAGGGTCTAACTGTCTTCTAGGCAGGAGTGAAGTGACATGATCACAGCCCACTGCAGCCTCAAATTTCTAGGCTCCGGTGATCTTCTCATCTCAGCCTCCTGAGTAGCTGGGACTACAGGCACAGTCCTAGCTAATGCCTGGACTTTTTAAAATTATGTTTGTATAGATAGTGCCTTGCTATGTTGCTCAGGCTGGTCTCAAACTCCTGGCTTGAAGTGATCCTCTCCCCTTGGCCTCCCAAAATGTTGGGAGAAAAAAATCTAGGGCAACTGATTTTAAAAAGTTAAAGACTAAAATAATTGCTATGCTAAAAAGAGGAAATCGAATTATACAAAATGCTGTGTAAAATCCACAGAGGCAGAAAAAGTGTGGAAAACAAAAATAGAAAAAATGAGCAAGAGTGTGGTGGCTCACGCCTATAATCCCAGCAAGAAAATCAGCAAAACCAAAAAGTGATTCTTCAAAAAATCAATAAAATTTATAAGCCTCTCACCAGGCTAAGAAACAAAGAGAGAATACACAAATTATGAATATCAGAAATGAAAGAAGGAACATCACTACTGATCTCATGAACATTGAAAGGATAATAAATGAATATTATGAACAGCTATACCCACGAATTTAACAACCTACATGAAATGAACCAATTCCTTGAAATAGAATGTACCAAAAGTCATACAAGAAGAAATTGCCAATCAATATAGGCCTATATCCACTATAGAAATTGAATAAATAATTAATAACCTTCCAAAACAGAAAGCACCAAGCCCAGATGAGATCAGTGCTGATTTTCGTCAAACATTTAAGAAAGAAATTACATCCATTCTCTACAATCTCTTCCAGAAACTAGAAGTAGAGGGAAGACTCCATAATTAATTTTGTGAAGCCAGAATTACCTTAATAGCAAAACCAGACAGAGATATTACAAGAAAGGAAAGAAAACTGTAGACCGATATCTTTTATGAACATAGATGTAAAAATTCTCAAGAAAATATTACAAAATCAAATGCAACAAAGTGTAACAAAGTTATACATGATGACCAACTCCGATTTATTCCAGATATGCAAGACTGGTTCAACATTTGAAAACTCAATTAATGTAGTTCATCACATCAACAGATCATATCAATAGATAAAGAAAAATTACATGATCATATCAATAGATACAGAAGAAAACATTAGGCAAAATCCTACACCTATTCATGATAAAAATTCTCAGCAAACTAAGAATAGAGAAGGATATCCTCAACTTAATAAAGAACAGCTACAAAAACCTATAGCTAAAATCAGGAACAAAGCAAGGATGTTTCCTTTCACCAATGCTTTTCAACATTGTATTAGAAGTCCTAGCTAATGCAATAACACACAATAAATAAATAAAATGAATACTGATTGGGAGGGAAGAAATAAATCGTGTTTGTTCACTGATAATGTAATTGTCTCTTAGAAAATCCAAAAGAAACAATAAAAAAGCTCCTGGAACTAATAAGCAGTTATAGCAAGTGAGCAGGATACAACGTTAACATACAAAAGCCAATCACTTTCCTATATACCAGCAAAGAACTAAGGGAATTTGAAATTAAAAACACATTACCATTTACATTAACACCCTGAAATGGAATACTGAGGTATGAATATAAGAAAATATGTATAAGATCTATAAGAAAAAAACAAAAAAACTCTGGTGAAAGATATCAAATAACTAAATAAATGGATCAATAGTTTGTGTTCATGGTCAGAAAGACTCCATAATGTCAAAATGTCACTTATTCCCAACTTGATTTATAGATTAATCCCAGTCAAAGTTCGAGCAAGTTATTTTGTAAATATTGACTAATTGATTCTATGGGCAAGCAAAAGACCCACAATAGCCAACTCAATATTGGAGAACAAAATTGGAGGATCAACACTACCTGACTTCAAGACATATACAACTACAGTAGTCTAGACTATGTGGTATTGGTGAAAGAATAGACAAATATATCAATGGACCAGAGAGATCAGAAACTGACGCACATAAATTTAGTCAATTGATCTTTGACAAAAAAGAAACACAATACAATAGAGCAAGTATAGTCTTTTCAACAAATATTGCTGGAACAAATGGACATCCACATGCAAAAAATGAATGTAGATACAAACCTTACACACTTCATAAAAATTAACTCAAAACTGATCATACATATAAATGTAAAATGCAAAACTATAAAACACCTAGGAGATAACGTAGGAGAAAACCTAGATGACCTTAGGTATGACAATGACTTTTTAAGTACAAAACCAAAGGCACAATCCATGAAATAAATAATTTATAAGCTGGAGTTTATTAAAATTAAAAACTTCTGCTCTGAGAAGGACAATGCCAGGAGAAGAAGACAAGCCATATACTGGAGAAAAATTTGCAAAAGAAATATGTGATAAAGGATTGTTATCCAAAATATGCAAAGAACTAAACTCTTAAAAGTTAATAATAAGAGGATAAATAACCTGATTTAAAAATGGGCCAAAGCCCTACACAAACACCTCATCAGAGGATACACTGATGGCAAGTAAGCATATAAAAAGATGTTCAACATCATATGTCATTAGGAAATTGCAAATTAAAACAACAGTGAGATACCACTACACATCTGTTACAATGGAAAAAATTCAGATCAGTGACAACACCAAATTCTGATGAGGATGTGGAACAATAGGAAGTCTCATTCATTGCTGATGGGAAGGCACAATGGTACAGCCACTTAGGAATGCAGCTTAGCAGTTTCCTATAAAAGTGTACATACTCTTACCATATGATCCAATGATTTCTCTCCTTGATACTTACCCAAATGAGTTGAACACTGTTGTCCACATAAATCTGCTCATGAATATTTATAACAGCTTTATTCATAACTTCCCTAACTTAGAATCAACTAAGATGTCTTCATGTGGATGAGTGGATAAATAAACCATGGTACATGTGGACAATGGATTGTTATTCTGTGCTAAAAAGAAATATGCTATCAAGCCATGAACTGACATGGAGGACACTTATGTGCATGTTGCTAAGTGAAAGAAGCCAATCTGAAAAGGCTACATACTTTATGATTCCTGCTGCAGTCATGTGCCACGTAATGACATTTCAGTCAACAATGGCACCCATATACAATAGTGGTTTCATAAGATTATAATACCATAATTTTACTGTACTTTTTCTATGTTTAAATACACAAATATTTACCACTATGTTATAATTGCCTACAGTATTCAGTACAGTAACATGTCAGATAGGTCTGTAGCCTAGGAAAAATAGACTATACCATATAACTTAGATGTATAGTAGGCTATATCATTTTGGCTTGTGTAAGTTCACTCTGTTATGACCATACAATGACAAATTCACCTAATGACACACATCTCAGATCATATTTTCATTGTTAAGTGATGCATGACTATATATGACATTCTGGAAAAGGCAAATCTATGGAGACGGTAAGGTGATCAGTGGCTGCCAGTGGTTGGCGGGAAGGAGAGATGAATAGGCAGAACATAGAGGATTTTTAGGGCTGATAAACTATTCTATACCATATTTCAGTGGTGGATACCTGTCATTTTACATTTGTAAAAACCCATTGAATGTACAACACCAAGAGGGAACCCTAACATAAACTATGGACTTTGGGTGATAATGATGTGTCAATGTTGGTAATCAGTCGTAAAAAGACACCACTTTTGGGGGGATGCTATGTATGTGTGTGCACAGGGGTATACAAAAACTCTCTATATTTTTAGCACAACTTTTTTGTGAACCTAAAACTGCTCTAAAAATAAAGTTTATGAATTAACAACAACAATAAAAAAACATGACTGCATGTTTGAATGCTAGTTTCAGCATCGTTGAGATGTTTGTTAATTACTTTGCAGAGGGATCTTATAGAAGGTTTCTGTATCCTTCACAATGCTTCCCCCCTAGTGACAATTTTACAAATGAGCTTAAATAATTTTGTTCAAGGTATTGTAGCTTGTTTCAGGGACAGATGTTACTAGAAACACTAGCCTGGAGATTGTAACTGGTGGTCTGAAAACCAAGTTCAGGGTACAGATGTAGTTTTGTGAAGTCCATTCAATGTTCCTTTTAGTTTAATTAATGGCAACACTTAAAAATCAGAAGGTTTTACATTTAAACTGTAGACTTTGTGTTTCTCTCGGAAAATGGGAATTGTTGGCTAACTGTGTTTGCTTTCATGGAAGATGGCAGGTGGCTAAATGGTAACTGTCCTCTTTAGGAGGTACATTTGATCTCCAGTTCACGCTGGAGCTGCCATCCTGATTCTCTTGTTCATGGGTCTGTGAGGTCACTGTAGGCATTAGAGTTTGTAACTCATCCCCCGTGGTTAAATCATGATAGTGCCACTTTATAGGTATGCTTCCTATCTCTGCTTTTCCCCTCTCCTTATCTTTCTTTCTTCATTCGTCTCTCTCTCTCATCTCATATATGTGTACATATGTTTTTGTTAACAGGTTTTTGTCCAGATGCCATAATACATTATATATCATGATAGACATCTCTTTAAATTGCCTATTTCAAATATGGAGTAATATTCAAGCACAAATGTTTATCACAGCTCATGATTATCCTTATAGGCAGACTTTCTAAAAACCAGTTAAACATTTCTGGAAGCAAATTCAGTTCTGTTGCAGAACAGAGAAAAAAGGATCTATCCATTAATTTATGGTACATGTGGAATGACCATGTTCCATGAGTTGAACATGAGTTGGCTTTGCAGGTAATCACGGGTAGGAGATGGAGGTTTAGGAAGGTGGCTGGAGTCAACTTCACTGCCAATCCTACAAAGCAGCAAGTTTTGTCTGGCTAATTTGTCTATAAACTGTAATAAGTGAGAATGAGTGCTTATTAGGACACAACTAAAGAGACATTTTGAAGCATTTTAGCTATGTCTGATTTCATTATTTTAATTATTGTAATTATGTCTCATCTTATGTAATAAAGGTCCTGGAGCAAAGACCTATTCTCAAGCTTATATTCTTCCAAGGAGAAACTCAAGGCAGGTCACCAACTGAGAAAATTGTGTCACTTTATTTATTTTTTTTCACAAGGAATATAAACAGAGGGAATGAAGCTTCCACATGTACTATAGAAGGAAATAAATCGCTTTTGAGAGGAGGTCTCCAGAAGCTAGATTTCAAGTGGCATTTTTAGATGGCAGAAAATCTGGAGGGTCTGCAAGGTCAAAAATATGTAGGCTAAAAATGACAGGGCTAGAGAAATCCAAAGCAAATTGGTGTTCTATTTCTGCAATTGAATGGAAAATTAGAGTTTCTAGGGCCCCTCCAAAAAATCAGCAGAAATTCTTGCAGTTGTTACTTTTAAGGGACTGAGCTTACAAAGCCTCAGTCATTGAAACAAACCTGGGAGGGACCTCACAGATAGTTCTTCGCCATTTTTTAGATGACAAGGTAAGCACCTTGTCCAAATTACTTGTTTCACAAAGAGACAAAGGATTAATAAATAATATTTTATTAATAAAATAAAACACATAGGAGTTTTCAGGGTTGTTGGCTATTTGATTAAAATTCAGAGTTGGAGTAAATGGCATTTACTCAACACTCATTTATCAAGAGCCAGAGGTGGCAGGATATATGGGGTCACTCACTAGTTCCTGCCTTTGCAGAACTTACAGTCAATCTACAAAAGGTCACCTAAGCTAACCAGGGATGTGTGTGTGTGTGTGTGTGTGTGTGTATGTGTAAGACGAAAAGTCTTTCTACTCTTCCATAATCAATAATTTCACTGGTTTCTCAACACCATAAAAAATAGGATGTTTTGCTATCCACAGTTAAAATAAATGTCAAACACAACTAGTTAGTGGTGACACAAGCATTGGAATCCTCAGTGCCTGCATTTAGGGCAATTGCTGTGTCACTGGAGATTAGGGAGTTGTTCTGACATTGTAGCATTTAGTTTTGTCACCTGCTAAGATCATTTGGCAGGTGTGCGCTGCCTTTCCTTCTTAGTAATCTCACCGAGGCCAGTTAATTGTAGCCTAAAGGAGAAGCGTAGACTGCTTCTGTGATCAGAAGCATCTGTTTTTTCTCCCCATTGGTGGATGGTTCTTGGCGGTCCTTGGAAGTCCGCCATAGGCTTGCATAACCTGCTGATGGTAGGACTCCTGTCACTCTGGGGCAGAGGCTCCCTGAACCAGGCCACGCCTCCCCAGGTCACTTCCTCCTCCCTCTTGTTGGCCAGCGACCTCCTCCTCAGCCTGGGAACAGAGGGAGGGGAGCAGCCCCTTGGGCCGGACTCGTAGGTGGCATTCTAACGATGGGTGTGTAGAGAGAGAAACACCCCCTCATTAGGCTCACGGGAGGTGCAGGTTGTTTGTCACTCATCATATCACAGCACACCTTAATGTATACAAGAAGGTAGTCAACCCCTTGTTAAATATTTAAACGGTATATTTTATATATGCTTAAGATTAAATTACTTTGTTTAATATATAAACATACATTATATTATCATACATTATATATTTCTATAATATGTTCGTTGTACACACACTCATTCTATGTATTTGTGGAGAGGAGAGCGAGATAACATGGAGTATCCAAATGAACAGGGACCCAAAAATGCCAGGGCCATTTGCCATTAACTGTGGCTTTGAGCACATGATATTTTTTCAGTCTCTCCAAGCAACAGCCTTGTGTGATCTTCTGTGGACTGGCGTACGTGTTTGTACACAGGATTGCTCTGGCTTGAAATAATGCAGGGACAGCACCCGGCACGTGGTGAATTCTTGCCAGAACCATTCTGCACAGGCGTTTTTTCCAGCTGAAAGGTTGCCTATATAAAACCCTTAAAGGGTTACTGTTCTTTCCTTTCCCTGAAAGTTTTGTGAGCAGCTCCATATATGCAGATAGAGCAAAAAAAGCCTGAAGTGGAGTCCAGCCCATTAGATTTCTCCTTTAATTAGTCGTCATATGAACAATCAAAACATAGAATTAGTCATTAATTTTTTTAAGAAGAACCCTTCAAGCCTCCAATGGCGCAGCTTAGCAACTATGACTTTTCTCCAAGATTTCTCATTATGAACTTTGAGGACCACACTGTTCCTTCCCTCAAAAGAACTGCTATTTGTTGCAGCAGCTGCGAGGGAAAAAGGGCCGCACGGGCCCCAAAGCGGCTGGCATGGGAAGGCGTGTCCTGCTGTCGCAGATGGACACGCTAATAGGGGCCTGGGACCAAGGCGATTAACTGGCCTGTCCTGCGCGGGCTGGGGGGCCTCCGGGCCAGCGCCCTTTCACAATAGCTCTCGACTGCATTTCTTCAGGGTCGCTGTCAATCCTGCGTCCCTTCGCGTGGGGTGGGGATGGGGGACTCTGATCCTGCGCTGAACCTGGGGTTTCAGAGCAGGTGGCGGTGACTGTGAGCTGCGTGCTTGCGCGCGGCCTTCTGCGCCTGGCAGGGGAAGGTTTCCAGCGCCGGGGGAGGGCTTTGCCGAGGCTGCGGGAGGACCTGGGGCACTGGGCCAGGATCTGACTGGCATTTCACAGGGCTCTCGTGGAGCCCGCAGGACGCGGCCCTGCCTCCCAGGCCTCTCAGCCTCCGAGGCCGTGCTCGGGGAGGCAGTGAGTTCCGATGTGGCCAGAGTTCACTGCCTGGCTCTTTACCCGGCCTTTGCTAATAAGCTTCGGTTTCTCACTGCTTTGTCTTACCAGTTTGGCTCTCCCCCTCCCCCCGCCCCAGAACTTTTTTGTTTATTTATTTTAAATCTTTCTGTCTTATTTGAGGACTTGGAGGCCTCACTGGCCAGGGTGGGTTGATTTCTGCGGGATGGGGCAGGGGTATTGGATGCTTTTGCGTCCTTTCCTTTTCTGAATTTGGGATGTTTCTAGAATTTGTTTTTCTAATTATTAGGTGGTCTGCAGTGGCTTTGCCCAGCACCTGGCACAGAAGCCAGCGGTCGCACAAGTCGCCCTGGAATCTGGCTGGGGTCTCCCCACCGTGGGCGGCAGGGAAGGGCAGGTGCCTCAGCCCTCGGGGCCGGGACGCAGGAGCGGCTTCAGCGCCCAGCCCCACTGTCAGGGCCAGGTTCTGACACGGTGACTCCGCAGCCAAGCCCTGAGATCGCCTTCTCCTTCTCTCTAATGGGTCTTTCTGAGCTAGGGTTTCCGCGGACTGAGCGAGGGCGCCTGGCCAGCCTGCCCGGGCACAGTGGTCCCTCCTGCGGACTCGGGGCCTCCGCGCGGGCCTCAACCAGGCCCGCCCTGCTCCCCGCGGCCGCGGCGAACCTGGACCCCCTGCTCTGGCTGCGCGGGGCTCACAGAAGTGCATCCAGGAAATACCATCCTTGGGTTCGTAGGAGGGGACACACCAACGTCCCTCCAAGCCACCAGATTTAACTCATTCTCCAAGAAGTGTGAATAGGCAGACCTGGTCCTTTGACACAGTGCTAAGAGGTCCTCAGAGAAGTGCCCCACAGGAGCCCGAAAACTCAGTTCCACAGCCCGTCTGATCCGAGGGCGACCTCACGGAGGCTCGAGTTTCCCTGAGAAGCTCCCATCTTCCAGAGGAAACACTCGCCCCTGAGCTGCAGGGCCGGGAAGGGAAGCTGCCCACACGCACGCTGGCGGCTCCACACTGCAGGGCCTCAGGGAGCTCAGCTGGCTGTGTTCACTCAGGCAAGGCCTTTACTTGGCTTTAGGAGACCTAAAGACCCCAAGCTCTAGGTCAATATGAAGATAAATTCTGTGTCATGGGACAGTTTCAAGGACCAGCGCTGGTCAGTGCTGGATTTTGCACAGGACCGAAGGCTGCTCAGGGGGTGGAACAGTGGGAAGCCTGTTCTGGGGATGCAGACCCTCTGCTCGCTGGCGAACTCCAGCAGGCCGAATCCCCTGCGGGACCGCCTTCCCCATCATCTCCAAGCCCAGGGTTCTGGTTCTGGCATGTTGCCTGACCCAGGGCACAGCAGTAGTACCTCTGCCTTGAACAGACTGTTAGCTTGACCCAAGAGCCACCTCAGGAGGCTGCGTCCTCAAGGCTGTTCATTCACAGAAGCCACTAAGTCCTTTTTATCTCCAGAGGTAGCCTGGATTCTCTTCTGGTCCCACTCAAGAAAGCCGCGAATGCTCATTGATCTGTCACCTCTCACAGGAGATGTGGGGTGTGGACCTGTGCAGAATAGACATTTGCCTTGTTTCTAGGTCTTGTTTGGGGTTAGGGAGAAAAGTGAGTGGGAGATGGCCTTTAGCTCGTTCCAGTTCGAGGTGAAGCCGTTTCGTTTGTGTAATGAACGCCTCAGTCTTAGGTGCATTCGTGAACATGGTTGACGGACTTTGGCATTGCTTGCTGTCCAAACCCCAAATTATTAAAATAGTGCCCAGCACATATTCCAGTGGGTAAAAAACTGTCAGTAAACAGCCAGTATTCATAGATATTATGGGATAGGTGCTATGCAGAAAAATGAAGGAAGGGGAACAGAGACGGATACCTCCTAAATAAGATGCTCAGGGAAGGGCTAAACGAGAAGGCTGCGTGTGTCTGGGAGGAGCTGCCTTCCCGGTGTGCAGGACTCTACCTTGTTTACCTAGAGAACTGCAGGGAGTCCAGTGTGGCTCAGTGGGGGGGGGGGGGAATGGGAGGGGGGGAAAGGGGATGATGTAGGGGAGGGGTCTTGTAGGGCCTTGGTAGGCTATTGTAATGTTTTCAGCTTCTATTAAAAAATAGATGGAGGTGGTTTACACCTGTAATCCCAGCACTTTGGGAAACTGAGGCTGGAGGATCATTTGAGCCCGGGAATTTGAGACCTGTCTGGGTAACATAGCGAGACCCTGTTTCTACAAAAAATAAAAAAATAGCCAGGTGTGATGGCACATTCCTGAAGTCCCAGTTACACTAGGGGCTGAGGAAGGAGGATTGCTTGAACCCCAGAGGCCAAGGTTGCAGTGAGACATGATCATGCCACTGCACTCCAGCCTGGGTGACAGAGCTAAGACCCTGTCTCAAAAAACAAACAAATAAAAAATAGATGAGAAAAAATTGGAAGACTGTAACAGACAAGTGTCATGCATCATCAAGTTGGTCTTAATGGGATCCTTCTTCCAGTTGTGTCCAATAGGAAAGGAAGGCAGGTAAGAGGCTGCTGCAATAGTTCAGGTGAGACACAGGACTGGCTTGCAGCTGTGGAGCAGGCAGAGAGGTGTGATTGGATTCTGCTTGTACTTTGGAGAAAGAGCTGACATGAATTCTTGACAGATCACATCAGGGGCGTGAGGGACAGACAAGCCAAGGGTGACTCCAAGGTTTTGAACAGCAACTTGGTGATGAGACTTCACTGAGATGAAAAACAGAGAGGGAGGAGAGGTTTGGAAGGAGAAAACCCAAGAGTCTCCTGTGTTTGAGGTACTTTTTAGACTTTCAAGTGGAGGTATTGAGCAAGTGGTTGAATATATGAGCTTGGTTTTCAGGAGAGAGCTCCAGGCAAGAGGTAAAAATTGGGATCATTAATATACAGTTGCTATTTAAAGTCTTGAGATTAAGCCAGATCATAAAGAGATTAGATGAGAATATAAAGGGCATGGAGAAGAGAATCGAGTCTTGAGCCCTGGAGCCCTGCGAGGGGAAGAGACCCAGGAGATGAGGAAGGAGCAGAGGCACCAAAAGGGAGGGATGTGATTGTCCTAGAGAAAGGGGAAAAGCCGCCATTAATCAGCCTTATCCAAAGCTGCAGATAAGTCAGTGGATTCCAGCAAATGGAATATCCTTGGTGTCCTTATCAAGGAAAAGATTCATGGGAGTGATGAGGAAAGAGTCTGATTTGAGTGGGGTTTTAGTTGGAATTTTAATAATCTATTGGAATATTTAGGAATGTTGATATCTTTACAATATATTTTCTGTACCTCCTTATAATATTAAATCTTCATATTGCCTTCCCATTGATGTCTTTTTTTTTTCCATGTCTTTCCTAGGCAGACATCAAGAGAAAAGTTTGCTGTGCCAGGGATCTGAAAGGTGTCTGTGGAAGGAGGATGGCAGGATAGTGCTTCTGCAGATCAGGCGACTGCAATGGGGAGTGAGGGTACTGAAGGGGTGGGCATCAAAGCAGAGTGTCTGAGAGTGCCAGGAAGGAGGAGGAAGGGAACATGGTGGTTGGCAGGCATCACTACCAAGGCTTGCCTTAGAAACGGTGAATGAGACGGACCCTTGAGAAAAGTCACCTGCTTCTGTTTATGTCCACATGTTTTATTAATTTAATTTCATTTACAATTTGAATACTTAATTCACTTGGTTTGAAATTAGTTTTAAAACTGTACAGTGAAAAACCCCATCCCATCTCCAGCCATCACTAGAGATGATCACGCTCATCAGCTCCTTGGGGGTTTTAGTTTGATTTCTGTTGCTTATAACAGCATACCTGAAACTGAGTAACTTATAAAGAAAATGAATTTATTTCTTACATTTATGGAGGCTGGGAGGTACAGGGTTGGGGAACTGCATCTGCTGAGAGCCTTCTTGCTGGTGGGGCCCTCTGCAGAGTCCCCAGGTGGTGCAGGGCATCTCATGTTAAGGGGGCTGAGCGTGCTACATAACATGCTAGCTCAGATTCCTCTTCTTCTTATAAAGCCACAAGCCTCTCTCTCATCATAACACATTGATTCATTAATCTAATATATTAACCTCTTAATACTGCCACATTGGAAATTAAGTTTCAGCATGAGTTTTGGAGAGGACATTCAAACCATAGACGGGTCCTTCCAGAGATAGTCTCTATACATACACTGTTATTTCTGCACTTAAAAAAATATGTAATAGTATATCCTGGAGCTCATTCCATATCAATACTTAAGTGTTACTCATTATTTATTGCCCAGTATTTTTTTTCTTTCTCTCTCTTTCTCTTTCTTTCTTTTTTTCTCTTTCTTTCTTTCTTTCCTTCTTTATTTTTCTTTCTGTCTTTGTTTCCTCTCTTTTTCTTTCTTTGTTTCTTCTCTTTTTCTTTCTCTCTCTTTCTCTGTCTCTCTCACACACACATTCTCTCTCTACCTATCCATCATCTATCTATCTATCTATCTATCTATCTATCTATCTATCTATCTATCTGTCTATGTAGGACACTCTAAATAGATCTGGCTTATTGTATGTAACTATACCTCCATTAAGTTGAAGCTAATTTATTTACCTGGCTTCCTACTGAAGGACACTTAAAGTATTTCCATACAATGCTAACTGAATAACCTGTAATACAATTTCACACATTTGCAAGTAGAATTTGAGTGCTTTGTTTCTAGTTTAAAAATTTTTTATTTATATTCTTTTTAAAAGATCTGCACCTTTAAAATTAAGATAAATTTCTATGCAATAAACTTCAGGCATGAAATGGTTTTATCTTGTTTTTGCATTTCTTTATTGTCTAATGGCATCAAGCTTTGTTCATGTACTAATTAGCCATTTATCTTCAACTTAATCAAGGTATAGTTTACAAGCAAAAGGCTGCATTATTTAGAGTGTCCATTCACTGTGCTGTGACACCATGAGCACTGCTACAATCAAGGCACAGGATGTTTCCATCACCCAGAGAGGTTTCCATGCTACTTTGCAAAACTCTCTGCCTCTGCCGGTGGCCTCCCACAACTAGTGATCTATCTGAGGTCACTACAGAATAGTTTGTATTTTGTATAAGTTCATAAAGAATCTAGATTTCAAAAAGAATCATTCAGTATGAAGCATTTTGTGTTTGGCTTTTGTCACTCAGCTCAATAATTTCCCTCCATGTTTCTGCATTTATTGGTAGTTTGTTTCTTTTTACTGCTGCATAGTACTCCATTGTGTGGCTATACTGCCTTTTGTTTATCCATTCACCACTAGTTAAAAAAGAAGGTGGTGACACATTTCTCTAAATAGTGTTTTATCTCATCAGACTCTAAAACTTTGGCACAGTGATGCTTTTCTTCAGTGTTTCGGGCCTTGACTAGTTTCCCTTTAGGTAAGATCTGGAAGTAGGTTTGGTTGGATAACCGTGGTGTGCCTCAGGAAGGTGTGTGCCCTGCCATCTCTTTGCCGTGCCTAAACCTGCATGAAATGAAACAACAGAAAGTTATTTCCTAGTGGCTATCACTTTGTAGTCAAATATATTTGATTGATGAAGAATACAAGTCACCTAGAATTTATGAGAAGTGTACGTCTCTTGCCTACACCTTATTTAAGATGGAAACCATGGTATTAATTAGTAAATTAAAATTGGATACCGATTTCTCTTCTTGGGTGGGGATGGGGGCACTTTTTCAGACTTCTTGGAAAACCATGGGGAGACTAAATGCTAATGAAATTGCACTGCCTATTTCTCATAAAAAAGCTAATTAAATTACTTTAAATGTTTAGCTGTAGTTGAAATAAAAATCACAGAGATGTCAGAATTTACAATTAAACTAATAGAGATTAGAAAAAGTGCACACATAATACAATGTTAATTACCAATCCAATAGGAGCCTTAATATTTTTGATTTGTTAGGTATATAAATTACAGTAATCTATTTGAGAGGGCTTAAAGTCAATGTGGTATTTAAAAGATATTTAACACCTATCTAATATAAAAATATAAAAGTAAATGGAGCCTAATTCATATATTTTAAAAAGCTATGATGGAAAAAGATAGCAGAGAATGACAAGAGAATAATCTAAACCAAATTATAAATGACAGTGAAGAGTGAAGCAAACGGCCTCAAAATAAATGGACACGAGGCTGGGGGCTCGCATCTGTAATGCCAGCACTTTGGGAGGCCAAGGCAGATGGATTGCCTGAGCTCAGGACTTCAAGACCAGCCTGGGTAACATAGTGAAACCAAAAAATGCAAAAACATTAGCTGGGCGTGGTGGTGGGTGCCTGTGGTCCCAGATACTTGAGACGCTGACATGGAGGATGGATGGTTTGAGTTCAGGATGTGGAGGCTGCAGTGAGCTGAGATTGCACCACTGCACTCCAACTTGGGTGACAGAGTGAGATCCTGTCTCAAATAATAATGATCGTAATAAAAAATGGACAAAAAGTGTGAATGTTTAACTCAAATAGGAGTAAAACAAATAGAGATTAAAAATATTTTTCTTTCTTAGGAAACAGAGAAGAGGAAACTTAAATTATTTTTTAGTAATATATATATAAATATGTAAATATGTTATATATATAATATATGTTTATATAATGCTGGTGAGGTCAAGATGAAACTGGACATATTCCTTGCTGGTAACTTTCTAAATTTTTGAGACCAATATGGAAAAAACTTCAGGATCCACAAAAATGTATCCTTGGGCCCACTGAGTATACTATTAAAGCTATTATTTAGGAATAGTCCAAATACTAAAGCTAATGCTCTGCTAACTTTTCAGTACATGACTTAAATCTCCTTTCATCATGAGTTTGCACATCTGAATCCACTTCAGGATGTGCACTGTGGCAACGAAAATAAATTTTTTTTATCAAAAGTAATTTTAAGCATGTGTTTCAATATTGTAGATTGTATTAGGTTAATTATTGGCATAGAGATAAATTTATCAGAATTATTTGTTCATTTTCCTTACTTTAAACTAAAAGATCAGTTTTTAAAATACTGCAAACCAACTTAATGACCAAAAAAGAGGTAATGGATAGAAAGAAAGATAAATGGAGAGTTGATACAGACAACTTGAATTTGGGGTAAATGAATGAAAGTATTGTTGAAAACACTTTTAACTATGTATTCTGCATTGGTAATAAATTCCACCTAAGGCAATGACAAAAATATTACTAGTAAAGTCTAATATATTTTCTAGTTATGGGTGTTCAACCTGACAGTGTCAAACAAATATAGCATTTTAAAATAAATTCTTTTTATCACATTTCAGGCTTTTAAGTTAGTAAATTTATAAGTAACTGTTTTGGTGTTTCTATGTATGAATTGTTCATATTAGTGTTGAAACATGCATTCAGTCCCAGCTTCACCACAGTTTACCAGCTAAGGTATTATCAAACTTTTTTTTTAATCTTAGCAAATGTGAAAAGATTGCTTAAGCATTCATTTCTATTAGTTTTTGTTTGTTTGATTGTTTTAGATTTCTTAGCTGTTTAAGCAAAGAAAAGAGGGAAACTAAATCCCAGATACTAAACATGAAGAATAAGAAGTTCAGGACTCTTTCACTTACAAGTGACAGAAAAACAAAATATCCAGAATTGGCTTAAGCCAAAAAGAGAGAGAGAGAGAGAATTTACAGGCTCCATTTCTAAAAGCCTAGAGCGAGTGGCAGGTGCAGCTTGTGACAGCCTGTGAGCCAAATCTGGCCTCTGCCTGATGGAGGGCCAGCCAGCTAAGGATGGTTCCTACACCTCTTCAATGGTTGGGGGAAAAAAATCAACAGAAGAACAGTTTTTCAGAGCATGTGAAAATTCAAATGTCACCGTCCATAAACAAAGTTTTATTGGACATAGCTCTGCTCTTTTGTTTACACATTGTGCTGCTTTCATGCTAGGATAACAGAGCTGAGGAGTCGCAACAGAGACCGCATGGCCCACATGGTCTAGAAGATTTACTAGTTGGCCCCTTAGAGAGAAAGTCTGTGGCCCTGCCCTGGAAGCTCAATGGTGCCAGCACTGAGCTACATCCACTGGCATCTTTCTACTTGCCCCCACTGACTTCCTGTGTGTCGGCTCCATTTTCATACTGTGTGGGCAAGAGGGTGGCAGCATCACACATGAGCTTCTGGCCCACTCAGCAGGGGAAAGGGGAAGGAGAAATTCTCTTTCCCACTCAGCGCAAAGAACCGAGATTGAGTCCCATTGGTCTGGCTTGGATGTGGTGTCTGTCTCCATGGCAGAGTGCTCTGATGGTCCAGGAGTGGGTCACTCACCACTCCTGGAGCTGGGAACCCACCTGTCACTCCCCAGTCTCATAGATTGAGCAGGGGTCAAGGCAGAAGTCGATCATGCAGGGACACATAGACCATGTTAAAACTTGAAGTTTTATTCTATATTTAGTGGGATCATGTAATCAGATTTATATTTTAAAAAGATGTCTCTCCTGGCAACATAGAGAATGAACTGGGGGGGCGCAAGAGTGGAGGTGGAGAGGCTAATCAGGGGTGGTTCTGCTGGAAAAAAAACAAAAACAAAAACAAAACAGATAGTTTATTTAACCAGGATGGTGGCTAGAGAGAAAGAGATATGGGCAAAGTCTAGAGAAGCTTAGAAGTTTTAAATGGATAGGTTTACATCTGAGGATTGAGGGAGAGGGAGATAATGAGAATGCATACTGCATTTCTGGCTGGCACAAGTGGGTAGATGGGCTCATTCTCAAGTTGGGACTACTGAAGAAAATGAGGATCAAGATGATGAATTTGTATTGGAAATCCTTACATTTGGGCTTCTCTTGAAATATGCAAGAAGCAATGCCAAGTAGGCAGTAAGAAAATCAAGTCTGAAGCTCAGAGGTGTGGTGTAGGATGGAAAATAAAATTTTAAACAGTCATCAATCTGTCAATAATATTTAAAGTCAGGAGAATGAATGAGTTTATGGGGAGGGGGGATGCAGGGGGAGAGGAGAGAGATGGAGAGAAAGAGAAAGAGGAAGTCTCACATTGATCTTGGAAACCACATTTATGACTGAGGTGGAGGAGGATGAAGTGGCAAGTAAGATTGAGATGAAGCAGACAGATAGGTAAGGAAGACGGGGAAGCCCAAGGTAAACAATGATTCACAAAGGCGGAAGTGCTCAGAATGCCAATGCTGCTGAGAAGCCACGGAAGAGAAAGATAAAGTATTACCCATTGGATTTGATTATGTTGAAGTCATTAGTGACCTTAGTGAGTGCTGTTTTGGGAAAGTTTGGGGGTGGAAGAAAGATTTAAGTGGGCTGAAGACTGACTCAGATCCTGTTTTTATGGGACTCTTGTCTTTTGATTCTATGTTTTTATGATTCCACGTCTGCTCTTTGAACCTGGTCTCTCTGTTTTGACGTTCAGACTTGACTCAGCCCCAATCTACAAGGTTTTGCTCCAATCTTAATTATTCCCTTTGGAACCCAATTATTGGTTCTGGCCCACTGAGCATCCCTGACAACACATGAGCTAGCCTTTAAGTGAGAGTAATTGAAGCTTACCCATCCAAGTCATGGCATGTGAAGCTCAGGCTTCAGCTCAGCTTACCACTAATTGCATAAAACTGGAAAGTTACTCAACCTCAGTTTCTTCCTCAGTGAAGTGAGACCTAATCACTCCTGTTTTACTATATCATTGTGAAAATTAAAGCTCTTGGTACATGATGGTTGCTCAATCAATGTTGGTTACCTCCTTCCACCTTTCCTGTCCCTCTGATAAATGAATGTCCTTGTATCTATCTTTCTGTGGAGCATTTGTAGATTGAAATGAGTATTTCTAAAGTGATGTATTGTAATCAAGGAATGTAAATGCTTCTCAGTGACATTTCTTTATTCATCCAACATTTATTTATCAAGCACCTTCCATGTGACAAGCACAGAGCTCGGATGGGCAGCCAACCATGAACAAGAAGGACACGGCCACGTGCCACATGCACGGGAGGTAGGCAAGTGTGGAACACAGGAGAGTCATGAAGAACATGACTGTGAACTGTGATAGGCACTGGGAAGGAAACAGCAGGGGCTGAGAAACAGAATGAGGGCCTCAGGATGCTTCAAGCGAAGCCATGGAGGAAGGTTTTTCTGAAAATTTGATGTATAAGCTGCTATCTAAAGGGCATGATGGAACCAAGGGCAGTCGTCCTTCTTGGCATTCATTGATAGATGGAGCTATCTGTGGAGACCCCCGAGAAGCTACGGAGGTGCAGGTGTATTCGCCTCTACATTGATTCTACATCTGGGTGGCTATGCATTCACTAACTTATAATGTTTTTCTTTCCTTTTCATCATCTGCCAGGTGAGCAAGTCAATCATCACCTTTTAAACACTTGAGATTTCTAATCTATTTGTGGCTGAGAAATCTAACAATTGTGCTGGTTAGAATTACATAAGGATGACATTGGCTTTGGATGAGGTCTCTCCTGTGAGTGTCGTAAACCAAACTTCAGAGCCTGAGCTGTGTACTAGTGCACTCATTAAACTTCTCAGAGACCAGTTTTGTTCCTGAGATCTTGGTTAAGTTCTGGACAAGTGAGGTTCTAGGTAAGTGGCCTCTGGGCAAGTGAGGTGTTGCTGTGCAATCCTAAGCAATTATGACACAGGTTACCTTTGTAAATTAGGTGGCCAAAATCTGTAGGGCCCTAGGGTGTACGGGATTCACTGTAGGCCTGGGAGAGCCCTGGGCAAATGGACTGACGAGCTCTCTATCTGATGTGGTTTTCTGTCCCTCCACTGATGACTGCCCCTTCTCCCATGCGATAAGGTGTTCCTCCCTCGTCACCCAAATGAGGATCTCTATCTTTGCATTCTCCAGGACAGACACCCCAGCTTAGGAGCATTGTGTTTGATGTAAAAGGAAATGGGGTGGAAAAATATGCAAGTGTCTCATCTCTCCTGTCAAGTGCATGGCTACTTGGTAAGCACTGATTTAGAAACTTGGAGATCTTTTCCATGTATTTGACCTTCAGCTTGACTGGGCACACAGGAGAAGGAACAGAAGAAGAGTGTTTTTATAGCAACTTATCTTCCAGGGATGTCACTGTTTCAACTGAAATTAACTTTCCCCTCCCACAAGAGAGTTTGATGGTGGGTAAAAGGGAAGCAAATTCTAAAATGATTTTGTCTTTAAAGAGAATCAAGAGTGATTGTGGTTCCGAGGTCAGGAGGTCGAGACCATCCTGGCTTACACGGTGAAACCCCGTCTCTACTAAAAATACAAAAAATTAGCTGGGCGTGGTGGCAGGTGCCTGTAGTCCCAGCTACTTGGGAGGCTGAGGCAGGAGAATGGCTTGAACCTGGGAGGCAGAGCTTGCAGGGAGCTGAGATAGCGCCACTGCACTCCAGCCTGGGCGACAGAGCGAGACTCCATCTCAAAAAAAAAAAAAAAAAAAAAAGGAGTGATTGTGTTTCTTGCCTCTTTGTTATAGTATCTCTAACACAGGAGTCCTTTTTTATCATTGTAGATTACATCCTCTACCCCAAGAATGCCACCCTGCTTCAGATCACTCCACTCCAGGGCCTACTGGAGAGACAGAAGAATGTGGGAGAAATGCGAGCTTGAGATGATTTTGCTCTTGTTATTAAAATGCTCTTCTCATTGTGTGGTAAAATTACAGAAAATGTCTTTCTCTTCAGAAAACAAAGACTTCAGCCCCAAAGAGGGCCCAAGAGAGTTTTAGGACAAATTTGCATCTCTCTGGCAGGAACTATGTATGAATTCAAGACAGAAAAGGAATATTTACATAATGTATACTATATTTCTGTTATAGCTTTCCAGAGAGCTCCCTAGCAAGAACTGGGAAGAGGTATGAGGGGCAAGAAAGCTCCAAGCAGCCTCCCCTACTGAAAGCTAATTGTAGTGGCACTGATTGAAAGGTGGTGGAAGTTGTAGAAAGCCCTAGAGAGCAATCAACAGGCTTAGGGCAGGCTGACCCCAAGACCTTGGGTCACTGTGTGGCTTTGAGCAAATTGCGTAATCTATTTTGGCCCTAATTCTCTCTTTTTAAAAATGAGATTGCACACCAGCAACTGTTGTTGCTCTTTCAGCTTGGAAGTGCTGTCTTTGTGGGTAAATAAGGCATTTTTAAGGCTAGTCTAAATTTACAAGTGAACCTGTGGAGGCCCTGGAAATACACTTACATATTTCACATAGGACTACTGTAGTCACTACAATGAGAAAGAATTTCACTTCCTGCATTGGATCGGGTGGATTAGAGTTGGTGCATATAAAGCAGCTATGACATGAAAATATTCCACAGATGGTAGTCATTGTTATTTTTTTTTTTATTTTTTTTTTTAGATAGAGTTTTGCTCTTGTCGTCCAGGCTGTAGTGCAATGGCGCAATCTCAGCTCACTGCAACCTTCACCTCCTGGATTCAAGCAATTCTCCTGCCTCAGCCTCCCAAGTAGCTGGGATTACAGGCGCCCACCATCATGCCCAGCTAATTTTTATACTTTTAGTAGAAACAGGATTTCACCGCATTGGCCAGACTGGTCTCGAACTCCTGACCTTAGGTGATCTGCCTGCCTCGGCCTCCCAAAGTGCTGGGATTACAGGCATGAGCCACCACGCCCAACCTTGTTATTGCTATTGTGACATTTATAATTAAGATGACATTTTGTATAAAGTCATCACATAAATTGTACATGGAGTTAATGACAACTTTGAAAACAAGACCCCTTTACAGAGAGGGAAAACGCTGAAAAGAAATGTACTCTTAAAAACATGGTTGTATTTGTACAATGGCACTAAGAAGTGATTGTTTTCTTTTTTCTACTTCTCTGCATTTTTATGTTTTTGTTTAAAGAGTATTTACTGCTTTACGATCAATAAACACTAGTTTATTTTGAAATACTTTGTATTTAAGCACAAGGTGAATTTCTTCCTAGGTCCAACAGTCATAGTAGCAAAATTATTACAGCACCCTGGACATTTTAGTGAATTTTAAGAAAAGCTTCACATCTATTTCTAAAAATTTGCATTAGATATTTAATTTCTACACCAAAAACTTGCTTTCAGTAAAAAAAAAAAAAAAAAAAGAAAGAAAGAAAGGAAGAAAAAAAAACGGAGGCACAAGCAGCACTGTTTAATAGCCTTCGCAGAAATATTTTAATCTAGGTGACTTGTTTGAATTTCATACGCCACAGGTGCAACAGAGGAAGAAAACACGAAAATTTAGGAAATGTTAGCTTTTACAAAAGAAATACCCCATTACCTGGAAAACTCAGCAATTGAAATGGTTTGCTGGACTTTCAGCATCAGGCACATATTAGTTCCTTTCTCACGATGAGAAATTGGAAGAACTCAGTTCTTTCCAGCAATAAAAGAATTATTAAACCCTCATTTTGGTTTGAAATTCGTCTCTTTTTTTTGTGTTTGTATTGGTTTTTACTGAACACTTCTCTCACTAGATTTCACATGACCTCCGTTCTTGTTATCCTGTTTCTAGCTCCAACCCCCTTCCCTGCCCCTTGCCTTTTATCAAAATGTGAAGATTGGGTCCGTTCAAGTTTCCAGTCGCTGGCTGAAAGGCTCACTGAGATCTTCTTGCTCCCTGGCTTTCTGTTGGGAAAATGGCTTTCTCTCTCTTTTCAGGAGAATGTATTGAAAACAATCTCTGCCCTGCCCACTGGGATAGCGGAGAGGATGCCGTGTGGGAGGGAGAGGGTCGTGGTTTTCTGGCAGAGACGGAAGTCCCGGATGGCCTGTGTTTGATGCCTCCCGATGGGTGGACGCTGTCCTGATGTGAGCTGGCGGCAGGAAGCCTGCCATCACCTTCCACCCAGCGGCCCTTGGAGTTGCAGCCCTTCCCGAACCAGCATCACTAGTGCGTCTGCCATTGGTGGTTCCCTTGGCTCCTAGCAGCGGCCATTGCCTAATGTGTCTCAGCTTTCCGAGACTCTCATGAGAAAGCCAGCAGCTGCCATTATTTGGAACTTGGTCGTGCTCTCTGCATTTCTTCACGCACTCTTACCTCTTATGTTACTTTTTACACCAATACAATGATGCTTGGAGAGCTCGATGCGATTCTCAAGGGCAACCTTCAGCTCAATCCATGAAGGTCCCTATGGTGATCTCTTGCTACCATGTCCCTTTGAAGACTGTAATTTGTTTATTCATTTTTCACTCACTCATTCACTAACAATTGTTCGTTGAACATCAGTTATGGGCCAGGCACTCTGCTAAGTGGCAAGGATGCCCAAAGGAATGTAAACATTGACTGGACCTCTGAGGAGCAGACTAGTATAGAAGATCCAAATTGAAACAAAACAAGGCAAAACTGTGAACCTGATTCGATAACAGCAGAATGTGTTTGGACAAACCATAGGGTACAGAGGACACAAAGATGAACTCTGCTGCCCAGATCCTCTCAGAATGGAGGAAGCACATTTTCAACCATGTTAGAATGGAGTTGGAGAGAGAGCAAGATCACACAAGGCAAAGAGGTATGAAGCGGCCTACGGGCTGCTCACTACTGTTAGAATGTGAGTTTCTAAGAACAAGGAATTTGCTGGGGATAAGGCTGGAGAGGAAGACAAGGGTCATGTTGAGTTGGGCATTATATAGCCCTGGCTAAGGGCTTTCTCTATGTTCTTTGGGTACTGCCACTGCAAGAAGGAAATAGAAATATTTACTCTAACTCCAAAAAGTAACTCTAAAAGATATTTTGCTGGCAATGCAAACGGTAGCAGGCAGAAGGAGATGCTTGAGTATTTAATGCCTGGGGTTATTGCAAAGGCTTTGCAGCTTTGGAAGTCCTGGGAAAAATGCCTTGGGTAGGGCACATTCTCTCAGAAGAGTAGGGACTGAGGACTCGCAGAGCCTGTGAGACCCAGGGAGATGGAGGAGTGAGGGGATAGCCGGAAGTAACAACACAGGTGCCAGGTCACAGAGATGTGGGCATCCAGGTGACACAGGCTTGTTCTTGAGCGTGCATTGGGCCTGGATCCTTTGTGAATTTCTTAGGCAGGGCTGAGTAGGGGTGTGTACGCTGAGAGCCCACGCAAGATAAGAGGCTGTTAGAATTTGATTTTAAATTCTATCTGCCAGTTGTGAAACATCTGGGGATGGCTGTGTTTTTGTTCTGAGGCTTAGACATAATGTAAGTGAATCATTTGTCATACAGTAGAGTCTTAGTCCCCTCATATGCGATTTCATTTCCTACTGACAAAGAAAGTAAAACTCAGAGACACAGAGTAATTTCCTCAACATCACAGAACAGCACAATTACTTCTTGTCTAAGAAGAGAACCTCAGCATCTTGGCTTAATTTCCAATTCTCCACCCCTCAATGGCAAGTTGTTATTGAATTTCTACTGAGAGACAGTAGTTGCTTGTCATGATGAAATTCAAATATTATTCCTTAATGAACAAACATGGCAACTTTCTATCATAATATTTGTGCAAAAATGTGGCTTTTACAACCAGTCACTACGGGGTGAGACAGGTCTCGGTTTTCTTCCCCACCCTGTTCTACTCATTTTCAGAACCATAAAAAAACAGAAGCACATAAGTTCCAAAACCCATAAAAATACATTTACATATACAATCAGGAGATACAACATGAGGTTTTAATAAACGTTACTCAGCTATGTGACATGTATTCTGAGTTAAATACTCTACAAATGTCATCACATCTGGTTTTCAAAAATGACATCTCTTTTATGTAGTATGTGGACAATTTTGCAATTATATGTTGCTTGTGGATTATTAACTTGTGAAAGTGGTTCAAACCATATTTTCATTGTTATAAAAAATGGCACTAACTACCCACATGTGTGATGTGTTATTGCAGACACTTGAGAAGAACTGTGAAACTAAAGCTGGCATTGCCAGTGCTACAGTTCATAAGCAATGGCTGTACCTAGCCAACATTCCAATATGCAATTCAGTGAAAAAAGGGAAATCAATGGAATTAGCAACATTAATGGCATCACAATATATTGATGTATTCTTCTCACTCTCCTCCTGCAGAACTCACACTCCACCCTGGGTATTCACTGCGCAAGCACGAGCTCCCTAGAGGCTGGTGGATTATTTAAATCTCTCTGTTTTATTTGAACTAAAACACAGAGACAAGTGTGTAGTCAGGTGTTGATGGCTGTGTTGCAAAGGGAAGGTCCATGAATTACTGATGTGGAAGCCCTTGGGGCAACAACAACAACAAAAAAAACCAAGGACTGTTTCATGTTTGGTGGTGGTGGTGGTGGTATTTCCCAGATTCTATAATTTATTCAGCAAAGAACTCTGCAAAGAACTCTCACCACCCCATTCTTCTTTCACATGATTGAGATAGTTATTGTCATTTGCAATCTACAGAGCCTTCCTGAACACAAATTGTGATAGTATAAAATACACAAGGTATGTCTATAGAGATACGAGATCAATTCCACTGGCATATTTCTGTCTAGATTGTGAAGAACTAGTTTCCTAAAACTACTCTACTGCTTACTCGGTAGCTGAGGGACCATGTTTCAGGAGAGCTAGGACTGTGGGTGAGATTGGACTGATGAATGTCCACCTCCATGATTTTATGATAGCCAATTACCTTATTACACAATTAGGCCTTGTAAATAGATGGGGACATGCTCAGTCAACTGTACAAATATTAGACATAGATTTGGTGAAAGATTTAGATTATGTATCCCTGTGAGTACAAGAGCTTTTGGTGTGGTGTCAAGTCCTGAGGAAAAATATGTGAATTGTATATTCAGAGATTAAGAAGATAAAGGGACAAATTAATACCTGCTATTTAATGATTAGAAAAATTGCCAACTAATTATGAAAATTAATAATCTGTAAGCTCATTTATTGTATGTATAAGTGAAAACAGTAGGTTACTAGCATACTGCAGTGTTTGGCCTTAATAGCATCTTTATAAAGATAAAAATAAATGATAGTTGAAATAATAGAAATGAATTTTTGAAAAGTGTCTTATTCAAGTAAAGCTCTGCTTATGAAAACTGTTCTTTATTACAAACAAAAGCCCACTTTTTGGCCTTGAAATCCAAGCTTTTCTACTTACAGTTTTTACCTTTTATAAAGTTGTGTCAATAAATCATCAAAACTAGCCAAAATGGATTTCATAGCAGAAAGTCTGACTTGAAACCATTTTTACTATGGTGTGATTTTCCAGCCAGAACTTGTAAAATTACCAAGAGTGACTGTTTTAAAAAACAGTATTGTAAATGCTTCATCAGCCCTGGGCAGCCTTCTTTAACTCCTGACTCCAGGCAGCTTGAGCTTCTTCCTTCTCTGTGTGTTTGTGAAGACTTTGACCTGCCTTGTAAATCTTTGTTTACATGCTTGTCATCATTCTGGACAATGATCTCCTCAAGGTCAGAGGGTGCTTTTTTATTGGTGGTTTGTTTGTTTCCTGGTTGTTGTTTATTTAGGGTTAAACATAACACATATCCACGATAAAAATCAGATGTTTAAAAATATAATAAAGAAAGTTTAAAAATTTAGATCAAATCCCATTAACAAGAAGTAATCATTCTTGGCATTACGTGCAAAATTTTCTAAGTCTAGTGTCTGTGTGTAGTTGCAGATATCAAGAAAGAAAAAATGGGCAGAAATAATTGTAGAACAATAAAATCAAATTACATGTGTTATTTTGAAATAAATTATATTACATTTAATTTTACTTGAACTTAAAAGAAACTAAAGTGAAATTAGAACAACTGAAATTTATTTTTATCTTGATTCTAAATTATCTCTTTAAATTTAAGCAAAGGTTATAAAAACCTTTAAAAGACCATTATTTTGATTAACTAAGCATTTTAGCATTAGGCTTTAGTTATTTATTATCCTATAACTCCCCATTTTTCTTATTTATATTGTTATTTAATTTTAAAATTTTTATTTTGAGATAATTATAGATTCACATCTACAAAGAAATATATGAAATAGTACAGAGATTCTGTTTAGCCTCCATCCAGTTTCCTTCAAAGATAGCATCTTGCATATATACATTATATAGTACAAAATCACAACCAGGAAATCAACTTTGATGCAATCCACTGACCTTATTCAGATTTCATGAGCCTTATATGTACTTATATGTGTATGTGTTTAATTCCATGCAATTTTATCACATGTGTAGATTTGTGTGACCACCACAAACCAAGACGCAGAATAATTCTATCACCAGGATTCTTCAAGCCTTGGCACCAAGAATGTGTTCTCCATCCCTGTAATTCTGTCATTTCAAGAATATCACATACATGGATTCACATATTAGGTAACTAACCTTTTGATACCGGCTTTTTTCACTCCACATAATCCCCCGAGATCCATCCATGTTGTTGCATGTATCAATATTTCATTCCTTTTTATTGCCGAATACTATTCTGTGGCATGAATGTGTCACTGTTTGTTTAACCAGTCACCTGGTGAAGGATATTTAGGTTGTTTCCAGTTTTAAGGTATCACCAGTAGGCATCTATGTACACTCATGTGCAGGTTTTTGAGTGATTTTCAGGGACCCCCCCCGAATAGACACATGTGAGTACAGTTTCTGGGTTGTATGATATGTGCAGGTTTAGTCTTTAGAAACCGCCCCACTCCAGGATCAGTGGACTATTTTACATTCCCACCCGCAATGTGTGAGCCATCCCATTTCTTTGTGTCCTTACAAATGTTTGGTATTATATTAAGTGCTCATGGTAATCACAGTTACATCCTTTTCTATAATCACTATTCACCACAATTATTTCTTTCCATAGTTATATACTTAAATGTATTGAATACTCAGTACCATAAATGCTGTGTTTGGATTAGTGTAGGGATCTTATGAAGCACTTTTGTTGCGCTTTGTGTTTAAAAATCTTATTTAAAAAAACTATTGATGCAATAATCTCTCTAGATTCTTACGTGTTTGAGAACTTCTGTGGCCTTTCTACCTGAAGGAGAAATTTACTGTGTAACAATTCTGGTGGGCAGTTTCATTTATCTTCTGGCATTTCTGGTTACTATAGGAAACCCTACTTCCTCCCCAAAATGTAACTCGCTTTTTTTCCCCCTGAATACTTACATGATTCTTCATCCTTGAGATACAGTAATTTCACGGGCTGTGCCTTGTTGTGTGTTCTCCAGAATGTGTTTCTTGTGGGTTAATCTGCATTGTGAAATATTTCCTTATTCCAGAAAAGCCTTCTCATAGCTTTGAATATTTTCTGTTTACTTTTTCCTGTTCTCTTCATAAGAAATAACAATTCATTTAGCCTCTGGCAGACCCTCTTGGCTTGGAGTCCATAGGAACAGCATTTGACACAGCTCTCCCTAGCATCTCGTGGTGCTGTTGTGGTCTTCAGGGGACACTCACTGTCCCTAAGACCTCAGGGCATCTTACAGCTCAACCTATGGCTGACATCTCCTGACTGGGAACCCTCTGTCCTGCTCAGCCACACTTGAGTCTTGGCCCCAGACAGGCAGTGGCTGCCAGGTGAGCTTCACTGCTTGTCACATGGGTTTGTACATTTCTTTGAATTGTTTATGAAGGGTTCAAGGAGGGGGAATAAAACAAAATGACAAGGTCCATCTGAATAGGAGAGCTCGGCCCTCTTCACCTCGCTGTCCTCCTGCTCCAGGCAGTGTTGACGCAGAGCTGGATAATCCTTATGGAATGTTTGGACAAATGAGCAGATGCAGAAGTGATATTCTGCACCAAGCAGAGTCATCGAAGATGAGAGTGGCTGCAATCAGCTAAAAGAAATCACCAAGACTGGCTCTGACAACTGTGACTGAGTGAGTCATGAAGAACTCATTTAATATTTTTGACCATTTCCTGAATTGCCCACATACAAACCCAGTAAATGATTCATTGTTATCCATTCTCATTGTGAAAATTGCTGAAATAAAATGATCATTATGGTCCAATAATTTTGGTTGCAGCACTATTCACAACAGCAAGAATATGGAATCAATCTAAGTGTCCATGAACGGATGAAAGGATAAAACAAATGTGGTATACACACAATGGAATATTATTCAGCCATGAAAACGAATGAAATCCTGTCATGTGCAGCAATATGGATCCTATCATTTGCGGTAACTGGATGTTAAGTGAAATAAATCAGGCACAGAAAAACAAATATCACATGTTCTTACTCATATATGCAGATAAAAAACTGGATCACCTGAAGATAGAGAGTAGATTGGTGGTTATCAGAGTCTGGGAAGGGTACATGGGGAGGGAGAGATGAGAGAGAGAAAAAAGAATCTGAACATAGTTATTACCACTCAACTGTACTCTTGAAAATGGTAAAGAGGGGATCCCATTGAGTTAAAAAAGCTTCTGCACAGCAGGGGAGACAGTCAATAAAGTGAAGGGACAACCCACAGAATGGGAGAAAATATTTGCAAACTACCCATCTGACAAGGGATTAATAACCAGAATATATAAGGAGTTCCAACAACTCTATAGGAAAAAGTCTAATAATCAGATGAAAAAATGGGCAAAAGATCTGAATAGACATTTCTCAAAAGAACACCTACAAATGGCAAACAGGCATATGAAAAGTTGCCCAACATCACTGATCAGAGAAATGCAAATCAAAACTACAATAAAATATCATCTCACTCCAGTTAAAATGGCTTTTATCCAAAAGACAGGCAATAACAAATGCTGGTGAGGATGCGGGGAAAAGGGAACCCTTGTGTGCTGTTGGTGGGAATGTAAATTAGTGCAACCACTACAGGGAACAGTTTGGAGGTTCCTCAAAGAACTAAAAATAGAACTGCCATATGACCCAGCAATCCCACTGCTGGGTATATACCCAATAGAAAGGAAATCAGTGCATCAAAAAGATATCTGCACTACTATGTTTATTGCAGCACTGTTCACCATGGCCAAGATTTTGAAGCAACCTAAATGTCCGTCGACAGAGGTAGGGATAAAGAAAATGTGGTACATATACACAGTGGGGTACTATTCAGCCATAAAAAAGAATGAGATCCTGTCATTTGCATCAACATGGATAGAACTGGAGGTCATTATGTTACATGAAATAAGCCAGGTGCAGAAAGACAAACTTCACATGTTCACACTCATTTGTGGGAGCTAAAAATGAAAACAATTGACGTCACAGAGATAGAGAATAGAAGGATGGTTACCAGAGGCTAGGAAGGGTAGCAGGGAAGTTAGAGAAGTGGGGATGGTTAATGGGTAAAAATATGTAGTTAGAGGGAATTAAATAAGATCTAGTATTTGATACCATAATGGGGTGACTACAGTCAACAATAATTTATTGTACATTTTTAAATGACTAAAAGAGTATAATTGGCTTGTTTGTAACACAACGACATGAGAAATGCTTGTGGTGATGGATACCCCATTTACCTTGATGTGATTATTGCACATTGTATGCCTGTGTCAAAATGTCGCATGTACCCCATGAATATATACACCTACTATGTACCCATAAAATTAAAAATAAAACATTTAAAAATAGTAGAGATGGTAAATTTTACATATATATTTTACCTCAATAAAAATAAAATTAAAACAGCAGCAATGAATAAACAATATAGCTATAAAGAATATAGCTATCTTCATTAAGTTTCTAGGGTCTGCCAGATTTTAGCTGTTACAATTACTATTGGAATTTTATAGGTAAGAAGAAGAAAATGACTTTCTAGGTGGCAAGCATTCTATGGCCACAATAGCATCTCGTTCTGTAAGTTTTCTGATTGACCCTGTTCTTAGTGTTCAACGTGGGACTGAGAACGTGGGTAGGACATCAGGGCTCTAATTTTCTGCAGATGCTGATAAAGTCTTGGTAAATAATTGTAAAGTTTAGAATCCTGAAATTCTTTTGTTTTAGTTGTCAATGTTCAAGTAAGTCTTTATTAAACGTAACAAATGCTGAGTTAAAAGAGAAAAAAAAACAAATGAACAGGGAAACTTTAGACATTGCTGCTGGGAATCAAAGAGGTACAAGTATTGGAAATGGAAACTATTTGTTAAAATTAAAAATTTATTTCCTGTAAACCGGTAATTTAACTTCTAGATATAGAATTAACAAATTCAAGCCCACATGTGCCAAAAGACACATACAAAGGATTATAGCTGCATTGTTTGTAATTGTTGCAAATTAGAAACAACCAAAATGTCCACCATGAGTAGAATGGATGAGTAAATGGTAATTCATATGAGTAAAAGCTATCTATTAATTAAAAAGAATTAACTAAAGCTACATGGATCAATCCACAAACGTAATTTTCAGTGAAAGAGGTCAGGCTCAGATTAGTGAATGATGCATTATTCTTTTGACAGAAAGTTTGAAGCCAGGCAGAATGGACCCCTGGCATCAGAAGTCGGCATGGTGCTACCTTGGGTTGAGGCAGGGGGCACGGAGCTGCTGGGTGCTGGCTGTGTTTTAGTTCCTGGCATGTGAAAGTTACGTAAGTAGGTTTACATTTAATCATCAAGTTGTTCATTTTTGATGTGTGCACTTTGCTGTTCAGTAAAAAGTGAAAAAAAAAATGTAAAAACAAACCAAGAGGACAGATTTTAACATGGGAGTTTGGAAACAGAAGAGGAAATAGCAGTGGAAAACAGACCTCTGTCTGTCCGTGTATGAAAATTGACAAGACTAAACATCTTAGGAGTAGGAAATGAGGACTCTTGAAACCGAGACACATGTGAAGGGAATCCTAACAAATGACCAACATATTAGCAAGGTATTGGAGTTGCCTAGGGCAGCACAGAGAGAGCGGTGTGTGAACAAGTTTTAAAGATCACAATGGGATGAAAGACTTAAGCGGTGGATCTGTTTTAGAGGCAACCTCTTATTGTATGATCAGACAGTCTCGTCGTAATGATACAACGAATTTCATGGAGGGAAAATAGTAGGTCCCTTGTTTTAAAAAATAGTCTCATCAAATGCATCTGTCTCTGAGAGCAGAGAAAAGGAAAATTACAATTAATGAAACGGAAATATACAGAGGACATTCAAAATAATCATGTGGAAAATCATATGACAAACATCAAAAAAAGTCAAAAACAAAAGGAAGAGACAACGGTATAAAATAAGCCGTAAATAACATACATGTTATGATTGGATAACATCAAGTGCATTCGTCACTACGCTAGGTGGGGTGGGTGGAGGTCATCCCCACCTCCTGGCCAGCGCACATGCGTGCAATCCCCTCCCCTTCGTGTGGGCTGGGCCAATGACTGGTTTCTAAGAATGGGACACAGCGGAAGTGATGGCTGTCACTGCTGAGGTTAGCGACATGAACACTGCAGTTTCAGCCTTGGGCTGCTGTCTCTGCGCTGAGGGGAGCTGGCTGCCATGTCCTGAGCTGCCCTGTGGAGAGGGTCACGTGTCAAGGAACTGATGTCTCCCACTGTGGAAATAAATGAAGACCACCCAAATAAGAACAGGCAAAGGCTGTTTATTCAGAGCTGCTATAGCAAGGGGGTCCATGGCCATCAGTTGCATCCTGACAGACTCAGGCAGGCAAGGAGTGGGGAAGCTTCACCGTGGAAAAGGGGAGGCTTCGGGTGCCCTGGCAGGGGCTGTGGGCCTGAGGAAGCCGGGGGCGGCTGGTGAGAAGTGGGCATCCCATGGGACTGGCTAGGGGACATACTGGGCTTTCTCTGGTTGGCCCTAGATTGGAAGCAGGGATGAAATCTAGGAAACTGTGAGTTATTAATCAAGTCCTGGCTGTTTGGGTCTGATTATTACAGACTGCAATGTTTAATTTCCCATGTTATTTCTAGAGACAGCAATCTGAATTCCTACAAGCCTGGCATGGAGCAGGCTGGCCTCCCTGGCTGGTTCCTGTAGATGAAGGCTTGGCCTCCTGGGCTGGCTGCTGCAGGGGGTGGGTGGGAGTTCTACTCTTATAGATGCTCTGGCCATTGTCCATTTGTGTACTCAGTCTCTCACCACTGAGAGCCAGCAAGGACCCAAGGCCTGGAAACAACCTGGCGAGGGGTCTTGGTTGTGGGTCCTCCCCGTGAGCGTAGAAATGACCGCATACCAGATTCAACTAAAAAATAAAATCCAGCTATTATCTGTTTGAAAGAAAGATTTAAAATATGATCAAAAAAGGTGGGAAAAAAAGATGAAAGTATTAGGTCCAGGAAATGGATGGGGAAGGGGAAAACATATATGTGAAACTATAAAAATATTTAGCTTTTTTGGCTACAAAGTAAAACATTAAAAGTAAAAGTTATTAGTCCTCATTTCTCACATGATGGGTGAATGTTATTTTCATTTTCATAAATTTTTGCTTTCTAATTTTCTTACGCTGAACGTCAAATTTCTGATCAGGAAATACAAGGAAATAAAGTACTCCTCCATTTTTCCTGGGTCCTTCCTCCTTATGCCTCTCTCTTCCTGTCTAAGCACGGGGTCCCAGCACCGCCTCTGCGGGCTCCTTTTCTCAGCCCCTCTTTTTGGTGCCTGTTCCTTCCTGCTTGCAGCCTTTGGAAGCCGCTGCTCTTCCGCCCATGTCTGCGCTCCCTCTGCCCGTGGATATCGCTTGCCTCTCTCTTCCTGGCCAATGGGGTGGCCCTGCCTTCATAGCATCTCCGGTTCTCTTCCACGGCGCCCGAGGGCGTCCTGGGGGGAGAGGCCTCCTGGGGATAGGCCTATGTTGCTTCCTCCCTGACACACACCCTGGATCCCCGAATGCAAACTATGTACATGGATAGGCTAAAAAACAAGCTTTTGTAAATTAGTAAATAGTGTTTGAGTCAACTGGAAGTCACAAAATAATGTTTGTTTAACAAAACTAAATGATTATCCTATTTATTCAAATATAAGACTGTCGGAAACTATTCTGGGAAGTTCAGATATTGTAGCCAAAACATATACAAAGGTAACATACCGGCACAGTAATTGGAATGCAGTCATACTGGCATGCCCCTAGACAATTAAATCAATGGAACCAATAGGGTTTGTAATTATAATTATAGACCAATGACATATTAGAGTATAATAACTGATTATTCGGGCTGGTTGCAGTGGCTCATGACTGTAATCCCAGCACTTTGGGAAGCCAAGGCGGGCGGGTCACCTGAGGTCAGGAGTTGGAGATCAGCCCCATCAACATGGTGAAACCTCGTGTCTACCAAAAAATACAAAAATTAGCCGGGTGTAGTGTTGCATGCCTGTAATCCCAGCTACTTGGGAGGCTGAAGTGGGAGAATCGCTTAAACTCTGGAGGCAGAGGTTGCAGTGAGCCGAGGTAGCAGTGCACCACTGTACTCCAGTCTGGGCAACAAGGCGAGATCCTATCTAAAAAAAAAAAAAAAAAAAAAAAAAATTATTCAAGGTAATTTAAAACACCTTGAAAAAATAAATAGGTACAAGATTAGAGAAACTGGCTAGCAAATCATTCATTCAATTACTTATCTAGCTATTAATAACAAATGTGTATTAAACACTTCCTGCTAGTCTGTTTTAAGCTGTAGGGTAGGGATAAGGCATTGAACAATAGATACAAAATCCCTGCTGTCACAGAGCTTATATTCTGAAGTGAGAAAAAAAAATTTAAAAATTATAATTTATTTAAGATTTGAATAGAAAATGAAATGATTGGAAAACTATCAGAAAATGTGATAAAGAATTAGTTTTGATCATTTATTACTCTGATAAATTGTGAAGAAAAAACAGATTTCATTATATACAATATTATTTTCTTATTTAAAACTTGTCACTTTCTCTGATCATAAAAATAATGTTTGTTTATTCCAAAAAATGATAAAGTGAGATTTCAAATTACTAGGCAGATGATGTTGGAAACTAAAATAATTGGTTTAAAATGTAGACGCCACATATAAAATAAATTCTGCTGGAATAGAATTCAAAATTTTTTTTAAAAAAATTAAAAAACATAAAAGTGGTAAGAAATAAATAGGTTGTTCCTAGGATTTGGGGGAGAAAGCCTTCCTAAATAGGTCAATAAATCTACTACAAAGGGAGAGAAATGGCAGTTTTAGCTACATAAAAATATGCCAATCCTATACCATCACGTATACACCATAAAGAAGTTAAACTAAAGATGTGGACTCCAATGAGAACACCAAGGGAAGAAGGTATATTTGCAAGAGGGAAAGGCTGGTTTGTTTAAGTTATTCTAGTGTTCACTGACTGTCTAGGTGAGGAGGATGATTCTGCAAAGAAGACACAGAATCTCTTGCAGAGGTAACAACAAGACAGTGTGGCTCATGGAAGCTAAGAAAAGTGTTTTCAGAACGGGGAGAGAACTGAAAAACAACTGTTTGACTTGGCAACCCCACAGCCCTTGGCGGTCCTGGGACATAATGCTCTCCATGAAGCCACTGGGGTGAAGGCGGCTTGGAATGCATTGAGGTATGGGCAGGTGTGAGAGACAACAAATAGAGACAACGCTAGGTACGTTTCTAAGGGGGAGGAGAGGTTCTTTCATAGCAGGACAGGAACAGAGATAGAGGTGGATTTGCTGTTTTTGAATGTATCCTCTCTGAGCTGATGGGAAGGATCCTGCCATAAAGCTGACTTGCAGTGGTCCTGGACTCACAAGGCCCTGCCCTCGGGTTAAGGCTCTGCTGCTGCCAGCTTGAAATTCTTTATCACTTCTGAGCCAGCTGTTCTGCATTTTCATTTTGCACTGGGACCCACAAATTATGCACCTGGTTCTGCATTACTGAGAGGGAAAAACTTACTACACAAACGCAACAAAAGCTTCTATACTAATCAGTGGGGTGGAGAAGCTCCAAAGCCTAGGTGAAGAGATTGGAGAATTGGCAGTGTCTTTTGTAATAGGAAGGAAGTGTGACTACACAGGTTAGTTTTATCAGTTTCTTGTCCAGGTGACAAAGGTGTGTTTTATTTTTAAAGTAAAAAGTGTAAGCATTTGTTGTAAGTGCTGAGGATGAGGGTGGCGTTGTTAGCTGGGTAACAGCGAAACAGATTTGAAGCAGTAAGAGTGAGATTGGAGGAGCCAGAACGACTGAGGGCCTGTGAAGACTGCTCAGTCAGAGTTTATGTAGGAACCTCTGAATTTTTATTGAACCTTCTCTATACTTGTTGCCTGAGCAAAGGGATTTTTCCAGGTGGGTAGAATATAATGAAAGACCGTTTAAGGTACTAACAGGAGTGCCAGTGACATGACAGACCAAGGAATCTAACTGAGAAAATGAAAGAAGTTAAGAAGTGTTATTTGGAAGGTTGGTATATCCCTATGTGCATATGGGATATTTTTAGGGAGATAAATATTAGTGATACACATACATATTAGGGATTTTATATATATATAGTTGTTTACTGAGCTTTATATAAATGTTATAGTACATACTGTATGTAATCTTTTGAAAATTGATTTTTTCAACTTTGTATTTTTAAGACTCATCAATATCAATTCCTGTACCTATAGTTTATTCATTTTCACTGATACATAATATTAATTATACAAATACACTGATATTTATTTAACTATTCTTCTGTCTAAGGACATTTGTGTTGTACTGTATAAACATGCTGGTACCTGTCCCCTGAGAAACATGCCCAAATGTTTCTCTAGGTATACCCCTAAGAATTGAATTGTTGTATTATAGGGTACGTGAATGTTTGGATTAAAAAAATTTTTTTTTGTATAAATTTATGGGGTACAAGTGTAATTTTGTTACATGGATAGATTGAGTAATGGTGAAGCCAGGGCTTTTACTGTATCCATCACCTGAATAATGAACATTGTACCCATGAAGTAATTGCCCATCATCCACTCTTCTCCTGCACACTCACCCTCCCGTGTCTCCACTGTCTACCCTGTATGTTCATGTGTACACATGTTTAGCTCCCACTTATAAGTGAGAACATGAGGTATTTGTCTTTGTGTCTAAGTTGTTTCACTTAAGATAATGGGGTCCAGTTCCATCCCTGTAAAGACACGATTTCATTCTTTTTATGGCTGAATAATATTCTTAATATGGCTGAATAATATTGTATATATGTACCACATTTTCCTTATCCAATCACCTGTTAATGGACACTTACATTGATTCTATATCTTTGCCATTGTGAATAGTGCTGCAATAAACTATGAGTGCAGGTATCATTTTGATATAATGATTTCTTTTCTTTGAGTAGATACTAAGTAGAGGGATTGCTGGGTCAAATGGTAGTTTCATTTTTAGCTTTTTGAGAAATCTTCATACTGTTTTTCGTAGATTGTATTAATTTACATTCCCACCAATAGTGTATGAGCACTCCCTTTTCTCTGCATTCTTTGCCAACATTTGCTATTTTTTGTCTTTCTGATAATAGCCATTCTGACTGGTGTAAAATTATATCTCATCGTGGTTTTAATTTGTACCTGTGTGAGAATTAGTGATGTTGAGCAGTTTTTCATATGCTTTTTGTCCATTTGTACATCTTCTTTTGAAAAATGTCTATTCATGTCCTTTGCCCACTTTTTAAGGGGATTGACTTTTTGTTGCTGAGTTGTTTGTTGTCGAGTTGAAATTCCCTTGGAATTTCCCAAGGAAGTCCCCTGTTGGATGCATAGTTTGCAAATATTTTCTCCCATTCTGCAGATTGTCTGTTCACTTTGTTGGTTATTTCTTTTGCTGTGTAGAAGTTTTTAGTTCAATTAAGTCCTACTTGTGTATTTTTTGGTTTTTGTTGCCTGTGCTTTTGAGATTTTTGTCATGAATTCTTTACCTAGGCCCATGTCCGGAAGAGTTTTCCCTAGGTTTTCTAATACTATTTTTAGATTCCAGTCTTACATTTAAGTCTTTAATCACTCTTGACTTGGTTTTTGTATATGGAGAGTTAGAGATCCAGCTTCATTCTTTTGCATAAAGCAATCCAATTTCCCTAGTACCACTTACTGAAAAGGTGTGTCTCCCCAGTGTATGTTCTTGTCAACTTTGTCAGAATCAGTTGGCTGTAAATATGTGGTTTTATTTCTGGGTTCCCTATTCTGTTCCATTGATCTCTGTGTCATTTCATACTAGTACCATGCTTTTTTGATTAATACCAGTTATTCCTCAAAAAATGATTGTACCAATTTACGTACCCATTGGAAACGTATAAATTCTTGTTGAATCAACATTCTTTCTAACACATGGTATATTGGACTTTTAAATTTTTACCAATTTTGAGTAGGTATAGAATGTTATCATTATTTTCTTATTTTGACAACAATGTCTTATTGTGTCCTTATTTTGAAAATAAAATAAAACATCTTTAATTACTAATGAAGTTGAGAAACGTTTCTTTTCTTCTTCCTTCCTTCCTTTCTTCCTTGCTTCCTTCCTTGCTTGCTTCCTTTCGTTTCCTTTTTCCCATTAGTCTTCCATCTATTCATGTCTTTTGCCCATTTTTCTATTTTTTTGGTCTTTTTCTTGTAGATTTATAAAGTTATTCATATATTCAATTTGTGAATTATTTGTGGGATATTGTCACAAATGTCTTCTCCCAGATTGTGGCTTGTCTCTTGAATTTCTTTCTTTTCTTTTCCTTTTTTTGTAAGATCTAGTAAAACATGTATTTCTCTTTCAACTTTTTTTTAAAGGTGTATGTAACCACGGGTACAAGTGCAATTTTGTTACACTGATAGATTTCATTGTGGTGGAGTCAGGGCCTTCAATAAGGCATTCATCACTGGAGCAATGCACATTGTAACTGCCAAGCAACTTCCCGTCATTTTTTTTCATTTTTTTATGATATATACATCTTAAAGCTTAAAATTTTGCCTTTCATGTTTTGTTTCTCAATATATCAAAATTGTTTTTGTGTAAAGTAGGGATAAAGTTTATTGATTTTTTCCAACCATTTCTCCCAGCTTCATTAATTCTATAGTCCCTTTTTTCTTAATTGCCTATACTTCCATCTCTATCATATATAATATTTTCGTGTATTCATTAGTCTGTTTCAGGGATCTCTATTCTGCTCTGCTGATCCATGTTTCTGTTCCTGCACCTGTACCACACTGTCTTAATTACCAGAGAAACCTTATAGAAAATCTTGAAATCTGATGGCCAAGTCACCCCTTTTCCACCTGTCCTTTCTCTTTCTCATCCTCTTCCTTCAGGAGCATGTTGATTGGTTTATTCTCACATTTTTTTTCCCATGTAAAACTATAAAGCAGCTAGTCAAGTTCCAGGACAAGCTCTAGAGAATTGTGATCGGAATTTCTTCCACTCTATATTTTAATTTTGAGAGAAATAATATGTTCACAATACTGAGTTTTTTAATCCAAAATACAATAATTACTTATGTCTTTCTTAATGTTTTAAATTAAGTTTTTGTAAATTTTCTCATAGAGATCTAACACAATTTATGTTAGACTTTTTCTTAGGTGACTTAAAAATTTTGTTATTATTTTTATTATAAGTATGTATATAGCTAAGTGTATATGCATCTGGCTCTGCATATATATGTAACATATACATATAACGTACATATGTACATATAACATACATATGTGTATAACATATATAACATATATGTTACATATATAGGCATGGTATTTTTTAAGCCATACATTTTCTGATTGTTGATGACATATATAATGCATTTACTGGTCAGCTACTTAGTAAACACTCTCATTATTCTAATAATTTTTTCATGCATTCTTTTGGATTTCATATGCAGAGAGTTATATCCAAATAATGAGAGCTTTGTTTTTTATAATTGTTATGGCTTTATTTCTATGTTTTCCATTACTGCTCTGGGGAAGATCTACAGTGCAAGGTTGAATGAGATTGTGATAATGAATACCCTATCTTGTTATTGATTTCTTTTTTTTTTTTTTTTTGAGACCAGAGTCTCACTTTTTCACCCAGGCTGGAGTGCAATGGTGCGATCTTGGCTGACGGCAACCTCTGTCTCCTGGATTTAAGCGGCTGTGCTGCCTCAGCCTCCCGAGTAGCTAAGGTTACAGGTGTGCGTCATGACGCCTGGTTAATTTTTTTGTATTTTTTTAGTAGAGACAGGGTTTCACCATGTTGGCCAGGCTGGTCTCAAACTCCTGACTTCAAGTGATCCACCCACCTCAGCCTCCCAAAGTGCTGGGATTACAGGTGTGAGCCACCATGCCTGGCACATTATTGATTTTAAGGATATTATTTCAAAGATATCACCATCAAGACTGACGTTTTATGTATAACCTTTTTGTAAATAACTCTTCATCAGGCTAAAAAAGTTTCTTTCTATTCTGAGTTTGCCAGAAATTTTTTTAAAAAATCATGAATAGAGATGGATTATCAAAATTTGTTCTGCATCTATTGGTGGTCATAAAATATTTGCTGTTTAAGTATTTAATGTCTTGAATGGTATTTATAGTTTTTTTTAATGTGAAAGTACTGGCATTTGCAATTTGCTCATGATATATTATCTTTGTTATATATTATTGGATTAAGCTATGATTTTAATTATTTATAAATTTTAGTTATGATTTATTTTATGTATATTTGTAAAGAAAAATTAATTTAGATTTTTTCATTTTTATACTGTTCTCTCTAGTTTTATTATAAAGTTATATTGGCTTCATATGAATTATAGAGTTATGGAATATTTTCCTTTTTTTCTCTATTTTCTGGGAAAAGTTTTATAAGTTTGAAATAATCTGCTTCTGAAAAGTTTGTTTAATTTGTCTGCAAGAAAGTTTGAGTCTAAAATTTGGAAACATTATTTTAATTTCTTTCTAATTATAGGAATATTAAGGTTTTTAAAATTTCGTCTTGAACTTGTTTTTGTTTAGCTATATTTTTCTAGAAGTTTGTTCATTTTACTTGTTTTCAGATGCATTGGAATAAGGTTATTTTTAGTAATTTCATTATTTCAATCTCTTTCCTACATGTAGGCATGCCTCCCTGTTCAGTTCTATCATATACTAGAGTCTGTTTTCTTGGCAATCTCATGGAGGTTTACCTCTTTTATTAAACAGTCTTTTCTAAGATCCTGCTTTTTTGTTGTTCTACTTATCTTCTCTATTTTATCTTTGTTTTCTATTTAGCTGATTTCTGCTTTCAAATTTCTTGTACTTCTTTTTTATTGTAAGCATTTAGAAATATACATTCTGGTAGTATGTGCTTGGTAAAATTTTCAATTGTTTTAGTTTCAACTCTTCTGCATTCTTATGATTTAGGCAAGCCTTTTGCAAGCCACATAGAGATAGACTCATTTTATTCTTATTTTTAAGCCAGCCTGACATCCTCTATATTTTAGTGGGAGAGTTTAGATCATTTATATTTATTGTGGTCACAGATATATTTGAATTTGTTTCTCCCATTTCATGTTTTTTGCTCTTCATTTATTCTGCTTTGCTGTTTCTTTTTTCCTCATTTTAATTCTGTTTGGTCTTCAGTGTGTTTGGAAGTTTAAAATTCTATTTCTCTTTTTCTGGAGGCTGAATTTTAAAATGTTACGTTGTATATGGAACTAAGTCTAAAATTAATATCTCAACGTCTCTACCCACTGCTGTGGGATACTTGCAACATTTTAACTTTGAATACTCTTTTTTCCTTACATTTATTGTTGCCCAAGATTTAAGTTTGTTTTACTTTTTAACTCTGAAATTAGACATTATTTTTATTACATCTTAGAAGTTTTGCTTGTTTAGATTTATACATGTTTGCCAATTTCTTTTCCTGCCATTCTTTTGTATCTGATAACATCTTTCTAAGTTTATTTTCTACATCCTGAAGAACATGCTTTAGAAATTTCTTTAATGTAGATGTATTGATGGTAAGCTTTCCAGTTTCTATTTATCTAGAATTTTTTTAAATTTTACTCTGGCTCTTAAAATATGGTTTTTCTGGTTACACAGTTCTAGATTAATAGTTGTTTTCTTTCAGCCTTTTCAAGTATTTTTCTATTGTTTTTATTCTCTTATTGTTGAGAAGTCTACTATCAGTCTTACAATAATTTCTTTTTAGGTGTTTCTTTCTTTCTCTCTGAACAGTTTTAAGACTTTCTATTATATTTGGTATTTTGCAGTTATTCTCCAACATATATGGAAATTCACTTTTTAAAATTAGTTCTGATTCCCCCCAGAAATCAGAGCCTAACTGACACACAGTCTTGAAGGCAGGTAGTTTATTTTGGGGAAATAGAGGCCAGGGAGAGGAAAAATGAGATTGGAAAAATAGAATAAGGATGTAGGGAGACCCAATGCAAGGGTACGTTATTGATCTAATCACTTTTGTGGAAACTTGGGGCTCAAGCCCTCTGGGACGTTCTGAGTGCTTTTTAGAATGTGCTTCAGAATTGGCTGTGTGGGCATGCACTAGGGGAGGGAGCATTTATCCACCAGTTTCTGTTCCCCAGTGGTCAGGATTATTCTATTAAATGCTTACCTCCTTGAATTTTCAGGTTTGGTGCATGTGTGGGTGCCTATCAGGTTCCCATATACATCAGAGAAGTACCGGACAAAAAGCAAGGTATATGAGTTGCAGCTGAGGCATGATGCTGCCAGCTGTCCCTGCAGAAAGATGGTTGCTGCAGCAATTATTATAGTAAACAGTAGCCAAGAAGATGTGAGGCAGGGTAGAAGACGTGTCCTGTACATTTTACTTTTATTTTTCAGTTTAATATATGTTTTGCATCATGAATCTGTATATTTTTCCATAATTTCTGAAAATTCTCACCCATTTCCTTTTCAAATATTGCCTCTCCTTCATTCATTTTCTCTCTGTCTCTCTCTGTGTCTGTCTCTCACTCTCTCTCTCTTTCTCTCTGTGTGTGTCTTTGATCTTTCTAATATCTTCATGCTCATTCCTGATCATCTATGCCCACTTCCTGCAGGGTGAGAGTCTGCCGTCTGTGCCTGCTACTGCACCTCTCTCGTGGCTCGCCTCCTCGGGCTTTGTTGGTGTTGGTTGTGGGCTTGCTGCTTGATCTTCATGTGTGTGAATCCTGCAGGCCTCTACGGAGGATGTGTTTGTCCAGAGAGGTTGTGCATCTGCCTTGATCAAGCCCTGGGAGTATCACAGGTATAGGGGCTACGGCAGGCAGAATACTGACCCCCTCCAAATATTTTCCACACTCTGATCTCCCGTACCTATGAATGCATTAACTTTACATTTTAAAAGGGACTTTGCCCCCATGATTAACTTACAGATGCTGAAAATATTTGTATAATCTAGGTGGGTCCCATGTAATCACAGGGATCTGTAGAAGTGGACAAGAGATTCAGAAGGATGGGAGATGGCCGCATGAGGAAGATGCAGCCTGACACTGCTGACTGGAAAAAGGGGCCGTGAGCCAGGGCGTGACGGTGGCTTTCCTCCAGAAGCTGGCAGAGATGAGACAAAGGACTCTTGCCCAGAGCCTCCAGAAGGAGTGCAGCCCTGGTGACACCTTGATTTCAGCATAGTGAGACTTGTTTTGGATTTCTGACCTCTGGGACTGTAAGGTGATAAACGTGTGCTGTTTTGAGGCCCAAATTTGTAGTTAGTTGTTGTAGCAGCAACAGGAAATTAGTTCAGGGACTCTGCTACCCACCTAGAGAGCCTGACTTTGTCCGGAGCCCACTCCCCTGTCTCTGTCGCCCTGTGCTCAGTGTCCTGATTGCCCTGAAACTGGGTGCCCACCCTCAGGGCAGTCCCGCCCATCTCCTTTGCCCTTCATCTGCCTCTGGCTCCTTCCCCAGCGCACCAGCGGCCGTCCCTCCTGCTGAGGAGTCTCCAGAGGAGCAGCGTTGCTCAGAGTGTGAGTGTGGACCGGAGCATCTGGCTCTCCATACCAGTGGAGCTGTGTATGTTGTAGCTTCGTCGTTAATATTGCTTACACGTTTTGTAGATGTTCTATGTCTTTTAATAATATGCAGAATAAACCTCAGAAAAATATTTAAAAGTTTTTTCCTATAATTTATAGTAAGCCTATTTAAGGAAAAAAGTATTTACTCTTTTCAACATAGTTTGCCTCTCTTGCACTTCAGGGTTTTTTAGTTACAGAATACATTAAATTTTTCTCAGAACTATGACTCTATTGCAGGATATCTTTGATGCTTTCATTTTTAGTTAAAAAATTTATTCAGTCTTTTCACATGCATCTTCAGCATCAATATCTTCTTCACTACTACAGGCAAGAAGACATTTGTATGTCTTCTAATGTCATGCTTCAGAGTGTGCCAGATTCATTTAGCGTCTACCAATAAGTGGTTCACATGATGCCTGCTTTCCACACCACACTGAGTAAGGACCGAAAACCTGATAGAGATTGGCTTGGAGGGGAAATTGACATTCACTGAATTTACACAACCAGGTCAATGATAGCTCAGTTTAGAAAGAAAAAATCTAATCAGAAAAAAAGACGGAAACAAGCTTTTATACAAATGTAACCTCTTGTACACACTTGAGTTTCACACCTCCACACCCCACCCTCAGCAGGCTGATGGGAGGATCCTGCCCCTGAGCCCATCCTCCTGGGCGACAAGTGCAGGGATGAGAAGGGTGAGCTCTAGCAGCCCCTCATGTCCCCTCCTTCCACGTGTGGCCCTGGCGGTCCTGACAGCGCCGCCACCCCACTAGCTCCTCTTGGTGACTGTCCTTCCTCTAGAGGGATTGTGGGTCTTTCCTTCTTCAGTGTAATCTTCTCTTAATCTTATTTCACCAATATTCCTCAAATGATTCATCATATTAGTCATTTGTCATGAGTTTTTTTTTCTCTTAGTGGCTTCTTTTATACTATTTTTTAAGTGACAAAAATTGTATGTATTTATAACATACAGCATGTTTTGAAATGTGTGTATGTTGTGGAATGGTGAAATCAAACTAATTAACATGGGAATTACCTCAAAAACGTATCGTTTTGTGGTGAAAATGCTTGAAACTTACTCTTGTAGCAATATTCAGGAATATAATACATTGTTGGGAACTATAGTCATCATGTTGTACAATGGATCTCCTGACCTTACTCCCCGTGTCTAACTGAAATTTGTATCTTTTGACCAACACCTCCCCAGCCTCTCCCTGCAGCCTCTGGTCACCTCCGTTCTGCTCTCCATGCACGTGAATCCACCCTTGCTACATCCCGCGTGTAAGTGAGATGATGCTGTCATTAGTTTTAGGACTGTGTCAAGTATGGGAGCGTGGGTGCTGCAAGAGGTAAGATCTCCCAGTGACTCCCAGTCATGAGACTATACAAATCATTAAACATATATGAAAAATACCTATCAAAAGGAAAAACAAATAACTTGGAAAATATTTTTGGCTTATACAGGAAAATGTATTTGTTATTCAAACCAATGAGAATTGAATGAGAGCTTCAAGTTTAAGTACAGAAAATTTGCATAGTAGGAAATATTTTTAATATGCAAACATCAAATGATGATTAACATTGTGATGTGTGAATGAAATTATATTTAGAAGACTGATAAGATACCTTTTACGATTAATGAGGTGTCAGCAGTGAAGGAGGTGTCCCCCTGTGACATACCTGACGTAATGAATGCAGTGTTACTGAAGCCACGTTTGCAGCATCTGTCCTGTGAAAACTGACAGAAAAACATACTGACAAGTAAAAATACCTTTGATCAGGATCCTACTACTGTGACTTTATCTAAAAGTAAGAAGATGATCATTGTGTATTTACATATAATAGCAAATTATTGGCATCAACCTTAATATTCTACCATAAGATAAAAATGGAAATAAATTTTAAAATGCAGAACTTAAAATAATAACTGTGGAGTTTATGCAACATAAAACATATTCAAAGTTAGCATAAATACAAAAACAAAATATATACTTATTTTCTATGTCAAGGTTATAACTATAGAGGTGATGTTCTTTTTTCTGCAACAGAAAAGTGGAAATAGTTTGGCATTTGGGGATAGCAGCATCAATGTAATTGAGCAACAATTAAGCAAACACTAATTTTAAAATGTACTATTGTTACTAAATGTTGCATAGTCAACATGGCAATACTTTCATTCCTTGTGATTAGTAGCGGTTGTATTTCAAGGCTTTGCAATTGTCAGTCCCTGTCTCTCAACCCCAACCCCAAATGGCCACCGGCAGTTTCAGCCCTTTCGAGCCTGCAGCAGAAACACCTGGGCTGTACTGACAGCTTCCAGAGTGAAATGAAGACCGCATGTGGTGCTTTGCCACAGGCCTGGGAATCGAGCTGGGCAGTGCTTGTAGGAACACTGGGCCGGCTTCCTTTCTCCCCACCACCAAGTATGGCCAGGTTATTTGACTGGCCTGCCAGGTGCTAGGTCTTGGTTCACACTTGCAGTCCTCTCCCTGTATAAGCTTCTGCTAGATTCTTCTGTGTTTAAAAGAATGTATTATTCCTCAGAAGGTTCATAAGAGCCTCCCTTTTCTGGGCTGAGAATGCCCACAGGATATCAAGAACCACCACTGCTCCCTTCTCTTCCACTTGGGAGCAAATTCCTTGGCTACCAAGACCATGGCAGTCTACTGTGTCACATCTGTTGGATGTATTTAGACTTCGGGAAATCATTGACCTGGTCATAAGTAGACCCAATGACTGCTCTATCCACTGTCTCTAAAAAAACCCTGAACTAGATACCATGGCTTATCCTGGGTCATTTATTTATTTCCTTGTTAGCCTTCAGTCTGAATAATCCTTACTTATGGATGTTCACCACGTGACCTGAGGTGGAGGATGGTGGCCTGAGAACATGAGGTGGCCCAACATGTTCAAGCAATGGGATCGAGTTGTTTTGTTCTTGTTTGCTAAGATACGTGTGGGGAACTCTGGATACATAGTTGGAATAGTTGGCATCCCTACAGTTTGGAATGTTTGTGTCTCACGCATTCCAAGGACATGCTCAGGTGTGCAATTGCCCGGGCTGTCGCAATACAGAGAAATGGGCCATTCAGCTTGAGTCAGAATAATCATAAACAATGCAAAGTACAAACTTCTCATAAACTTGAATGTGTCTCTAGACTTCGCACGTAGCTATTGAAGGTGAAACCCTCCTCCTCCAAAAAACAAATGGACTAAATCAAGGTTATAGAAGAATGAGCATAAAGGCACTTTATAACAGGGCTATGTTGGAATGTCACTTGGAATTCAGGCACTTGTCTGAAACTTGGCATCTTAGAATTGGAAGAGAAAGACTGTGAAAGGAATATTTAATTTGCTCCATTCCAAAACTTGACATCCAAACACTATTTAAAGAAACAGTTTTGATAATCTGTAAACTTGACATTTTGAACAGTCTTGTTCATTAAACCCCTTCTCTTTTCAGCCATGTTTATGAATCTCAAAAGCAGCACATAAACCTTCACTTACTGACATTTATTGATGTTTCATTTTAATTTAATACTTTTAATATAACAACTGCTGTTATGGTCCAGACACCAAGCTGAGCAATTTACGAGGTTTACCTCATTTAATCCTCATGACACCCCTATGACATGGTTACTATTTCTATGTGCATTATTCAGAATAGAGACTTACACAGGTTTGTTAACTTGCCTTCGTAAGTAAAAGCTTTAGTAAATTCTAAGACTTAATAAATTCCATAGCTCTCATGTAAACCCAGATGGCTTTATTTCAGAGTCAACCCACGTACTTAACACCACACTATGCGATGCGTGCCCAACACAAAGAAAACTCAAGTCAGATGTCAAAGCATCCTAGCATGATAGTTTATATGCTCTTCTCACAAGGGTGACCCTAGTGTCTTGATTCCACTCTGTCCCCTGACCTAGCTCTCATGGTTATGATTCCTTTTTCACCTGCCTTAGGTAGTGAAGGTGTTACCTAAAGGAGGGTGAGTGTGTGGCTCAGTGACATTGCTGAGATGTCACAGGCTTATTCTGAATAATGCACATAGAAATAGTAACCATGTCATAGGGGTGTCATGAGGATTAAATGAGGTAAACGTTGTAAATTGCTCAGTTTGGTGTCTGGACCATAACAGTATTTGTTATATTAAAAGTATTAATAACAAGCTTATTTTCCTGAACACATCTCACCCTGTTTTGTATCTATCTCAATGGGTAGAACATAACTATTGTGCCCAAGGAAGCTGTTCATGAAATAGAGGATGTAGTTAATACCATGGTTCCAAACCTTCTAAAGACAGGTAAACTTAGCTCCAGAACAGTTAAAGTCATTAGACTGTGGTTAGAATCAATTGTCATTCCTCCCTTCCCAAGAAAAGTATCCTATAATTACATTTAAATATAAGAAAAGGCTTTAACTAAGTTATTGCTGACTATATCTTATGTCCAATGAGATAATGAAAGAAAATGAAAACTTTTATTGTTTAAAATCGGTAACAGATTAATGGGTACAGAGTTTCTGCTTGGGGTATGGAAAGAATTTTGGAATGAGACAGTGGAGATGTAATTAATGCCACTGAATTTTACACTTAAAAATAGTTAAAATGGCAAATCTTATGTGATATATATTTTACCGTAAAGCTGTTTGTTTACTTCAAGGTGAGTATAGTCATCCTTCAGTATTTGTGGGGTATTGGTTTCAGTATCCTTTGCAGATATCAAAATCCACAGATGCTCAAGTTCCTGATATAAAATGGCATAGTATTCGCATATAACCTACACACATATACCTTTCTCCTCCATACACTTTAAATTATCTCTAGGTTATTTATAATACCAAATACTATGTAAGCACTATGTAAATAGTTGTTATACTGTATGTTTTATTTGTATTATTTTTGTTGTTGCATTGTTATTTATTTATTTTGAATATTTTCAATGTGGAGTCAATGAAATCCATGGATGAGGAACCCACAGATATAGAGGGTTGACTATAATCCAAGAAAGGGAGAGATGAGAAAATCACAGTGTCCTTTATAAACTGGTCTCTGAAGTTAGATATCATCACTATGTTTCATTCTATTAGTTACAAAGGAGTCAGTAAGTCCAGCTCACACTCAAGGGCAGGGGAATTACGTTCTACCACAGTACTGAAGGGGGAGTATTAAAGCCTTTGTGGTCGTATTTGAATTTCACCACATGTGGTGAGTTATAATGAATATCTTTCAAGTATTAAGCTACTATTAACCTCCTAGAATAAATTTACTTGGTAATAATGTATTTTTTGTATATTGTTATATTTGATTGCTAATTTTTATTTAAGAGTTTTGCATGTATGTATTTTGTAAGGTGCTTGTAAAGTCTTGGTATCTAAGTTATTCTGGCCTCATAAAATACCTAAGATTCTTTATTTCTTTTCCTATTACTTTTGGAATTTTTTTCAAAGAATTTATTCATCTGTTTCATCTAAATTGGCAAATTCTAGGTTGTAAAGTTGTTTATATTATACTCTTGTTACCTTTTTAATAACTGTAGGATACACAGTTATGTTTCTCTTTTCATTCCTAATATTGGTAATTTGTATTTTCTCCTTTTCTCTTCCTTGATCTGTCTTGCTAAACTTTACTGATTTCACTAATTTTTTTAAGGAAACAACTTTTAGCTTTGTTTTTCTTTTTCTTTTTAACAGCTTTACTGAGATAGAATTCATATACTCACCCATCATAAGTCTACCACTTGTCTCAACCATCTTGGGCTGCTATAACAAACATTCCATAAACTGGCTGGCTTACCAAGAACAGAAATGTATTCCTTCTAGAGGCTGGGAAATTCTAGAGGCTGGGAAGTTGCAGATACAGGCTCCAGCATATTCTGTGTCTGGTGAGGGCTCTCCCTTCCCTCCATAGATGGCACCTCTTGCTGCAGTCTCCAGAGTGGGAGGGGCATGCATGCTCCCCTGGGCTCTTCTGTAAAGGCACTAGCCTCATCCATGAATGCTGCACCGTCATGGCCTGATCACCCCCAAAGCCCTGCCTGTTAATACTAGTACATTGGGGATTAGGTTTCAACATAAGAATTTGAAGGGGACACAAACGCTCAGACCATAGATCCATTTAATAACTTTTAGTAAATTTTAACCAACCTCACAACCCAGTTTTAGGACATTAATAAAATGTTCATCATTGCCAAATATCCTGAGTGACTTTCAACCAAAACCACTAAGCTAAGCCACTCCCAAACCCTCAAACCAAAGAAATCATGAGATGATGAGTGTTTGTTGTTTTGTGTCTAAATATTGGAGTGATTTTTATGCAACAATAGACAGAATATAGATCACCACTCTTTTCTAGCTCTTCTATTTATGCTTGCAGACAGACTTCAGTATCATTTAATTGTTCCCCACCCAAAATATCATTGTTACTTTAAGTCAAGAATTTTCTGTAGCATATTGATGTACTTGTCAGGGTTCTCCAGAGAAACAGGATTTGTATTTATTTACTTATTATAAGGAATTGGCATGTGATTGTGGAGGCCAAGAAGTCCCAAGATCCGCAGTTGGCAAGGTGGAGACCCAGGAAGCCAAAACCCTGAGAACCAGGCGAGCGAATCTCCTAAGTTCTAGACCAATTCCGAGTCTGAAGGCAAGTGAAGACCAAGAGCACAAATTCTCTCTTACTCAGACTTAGACTTTTTCTTCTATTTAGGCCTTTGATAGATTGGATGAGGTCCACCCACAGTGGGCAGGGCAAGGTACTTTATTCAGCCTACCAATTCAAATGCTAATCTCATCCAGAAAAACTCTTATGGACACATTTAAAATAATGTTTCACCAAATATCTGGGCACCCCATGGCTCAGTCAAGTTGATACATGAAATTAATCATCACATATGGTAAGAGCACAAGCTTTGTAAACAAAGTGAACAGGATTCAAATTCCTGCTCTGCCATTTATCAGCTGTGAGGCCTTAGTAGTTATCCTAATTTGCCTTACAGAAAATGTTTTATTAAAAACAAACTTTAGCTGTATTCATATTGTGATGGACTCTAACTCCCAGCCTGACATGTGAATTATTGGTGTTCTGGTTACACCTGGAGCCCTGTTGTCCTCAGAATTCTGGCAAAGTCTATGATCCTTGGCAGAAATGTGTTGCCTCTTTGGAAACACCAGGTTCCAACACTTTGGAAACTCTTTATGCTTACCCTTGACTTACTTCCTGATAAATACATGGGAATGATTTCCAGATTAGCGCATGGCTTCCAAAGACAATATGAACACCCTGCCAAAACTGCTGCCCAATGCCTTTAAAGGTTGCTTTTCAGTTTGAGATTAATTTTTTATGTAACAATAGACAACTAATATAGGTCACCACTCTTTTTTCCCCCTATCTAATTTTTTATTATACTTTAAGTTCTAGGGTACATGTGTACAATGTGCAGGTTTGTTACATATGTATACATGTGCCATGTTGGTGTGCTGCACCCAGTAACATGACTAAAACACCAAAAGCAATGACAACAGAAGCCAAAATTGACAAATGGGATCTAATTAAACTAAAGAGCTTCTGCACAGCAAAAGAAACTATCGTCAAAGTGAACAAGCAACCTACAGAATGGGAGAAAATTTTTACAATCTACCCATCTGACAAAGGGCTAATATCCAGAATCCACAAAGAACTTAAACAAATTTACAAGAAAAAATCAAACAACCCCATCAAAAAGTGGGCAAAGGATATGAACAGACACTTCTCACAAGAAGACATTTATGCAGCCAAAAGACACATGAAAAGATGCTCATCATCACTGGCCATCAGAGAAATGCAAATCAAAACCACAATGAGATACCATCTCACACCAGTTAGAATGGCAATCATTAAAAAGTCAGGAAACAACAGGTGCTGGAGAGGATGTGGAGAAATAGGAACACTTTTACACTGTTGGTGGAATTGTAAACTAGTTCAACCATTGTGGAAGACAGTGTGGTGATTCCTCAAGGATCTAGAACTAGAAATACCATTTGACCCAGCCATCCCGTTACAGGGTATATATCCAAAGGATTGTAAATCATGCTGCTATAAAGACACATGCACACGTATGTTTATTGCGGCACTATTCACAATAGCAAACACTCTTTTCTAACTCTTCTATGTATGCTTACAGATAAACTTTAGAATCACTTAATTACTCCTCACCCAAAATATCATTGTTATTTTAAATCAAGAAATCTCTGCAGAGTATTGATGTATTAGTCAGGGGTTCTCCAAAGAAACAGAACCAATAGGATATGTATTAGCAGGATATGGATTAGGATCCTGCTGCTAATTAGGGTGTGGATAAGCTATAGAGAAGAGAATAAAATTATTTATTTATTTTTCCTTCTGATCCTTTTGCAATGAGTTTCCCTTCTTAGAGCTTGAGGCTGGTAAGGATTATTTTTTTTAACCTCACTTTCGAGCTGGTGGAAACGTGACAATGGCGGCATATATTTGCCAAGATGTGGGTGGTTTGTATGTGTTGTCGGCCCCAGCTCTGAGCCCAGGACAAAGAGCAACACCAGGCTAACAACCCAAGTGCTCACTACCCAGGCATTGCCTGGCTACATGGCCTCAGGGATGCAAAACTTTCAAAAGTTTTATAGCTTGGAGTTTGTTGCTTACTTTTTTTTTTTTTTTTTTTTTGAGAAGGAGTCTCACTCTGTCACCCAGGCTGGAGGGCAGTGTTGTGATCTGGGTTCACTGCAACCTCCCCTCCCAGGTTCAAGCAATTCTCCTGCCTCAGCCTCTGGAGAGCTGGGATTACAGGCGCACCCCCACCGCACCTGGCTAATTTTTGTGTTTTTAGTAGACGGGGTTTCACTGCATTGACCAGGCTGGTCTCAAATTCCTGACTTCAGGTGATCCACCCACCTCGGCCTCCCAAAGTGCTGGTATTATAGGCATGAGCCACCATGCCCAGCCTGCTTACACTTTTAAAATAAAGCTTTCTATTTTCATATTTATATTCAAGTGTCATAAATGATTTATGGTGAGGGTGAAATGACTCATCAGAGATGACAATGATTATGAAATGAGCATAACAAACATGAAGGGTCTCAATTTGAGGCTGCCGTGTTATTACCTGATGTGGGCTGGTCTCTAAGGGCAGAAATGCCTCCGAATAGAAGGAAAGAAAATTTAACTCCTTGTTGCTACTAGTAGAAGAAATTAAGAATTAGCAAATATTGGGCTTTCAAAATTATTGTTTTCCAAATTTTAGAGGTGGGTGTGTGTGGGCAGGAGAGTGTGTAATACATAAACATCTAGACATGAATTTGTATATAAAGAATTGTAACTTTCTTGTTTTCTTTTCTTCCTTCCCTCCCTCCCTCTGTCCTCTCTCTTTCTATTTTAAACACTAACTCAATTTCCTTTTTAACTCCATCTTGCTATTTGACAGAAACCTAATTTGGATTTGTGTCTCACTTCAATTCCCGGTGTTTCGCAGATAGTCAGGGGCTTGCATAGAAGCAGCACAGATCATGGTCATCGTGATGCTGGGTGGGTGGGGGTCATCTGTGTAGGCAGGTCCTTGACTTTACCCATCCACTCTGACAATGGCTGAAAATCCATTTAGTCCTTGGTCCTAGGCTCCTGAGGGTGGCTTGCTGCTGAATCACACTTTGTTTCAGTATTGTTAGGGTCAAGGAGGATTTCGTTCTGCTTCAGTACCATTCTCAGGCCCCTGGAGTCAGTTGCTTCCTGGACCATGGTGGGAAGGGAGCCCTGTATGACTATTACAGCCATTGTGACTAATCACATCCATATATACTTTTGGGCTAGTTCTTGCTACCTCCCTTGGCTCCACCTACTTAAGGGGCATAATTCCCCCTTGCAATTGGACATCCTCAGACAATGTGACACTTCTCCCCACCAACTGCCTGAGTCATCATTTTCTCAGGAGTCCACCGATACTGCCTGCATTGTCTTCATTTCCTTTCCAACTCTGTGCCATCCCCCTGAAGAGGAAAGCCTTTCTCTGGGTTGGCCAATGAGGAAACTGCGATTTCTCATCACAGCTTCTAAATGGGTTGCTACTATGTTTTATGAGACTTTCCTTTTACTCAGAGACTAGACTTAAAAAAAAAACAAAAAAACAAGGACAGGCTGTTGCTTTTCCCCCAATCATGTATCATCTGCTTCTTCAAGCAAATCAGCCTAGATTATCCTGACTGCTTCCCACAGGCAGAGGAAGGCGAGTGGGAATGGGAATGCAGGGGAAAGTCATGCCTCCTGCGTGGAAGCCAGCTTTGGAGGCTGGAGGTGTCATATAGGGCGCTAAATCAAGGTCAATCGCCTTTCATTCCTTCAAATACAATGATGGAAATTGTGGTCAAGGAACTGTCGTTTCCATGTGATTCTCCTGCTTTATCTCTTTGTTATGCCAGGATGCTGGGTACTGTGGCCCTCCCTGTCGCTTATGACGCTCCTCCACCTTGGCTTCTTTGAAGGCATTCTCCCCTCTGGCAGGACCTTCACTTTCCAGGCTGTTCTCAGCATCCCCCCTTCTCATTTCTCCTGAAGTGCTGAGGGTCCCCAGGCCTCACCCTGTACCCTCTTCCTGGATGTCCTCATCCCGGCCTGGCACTGCTGTTTCGTGACTTCTGGTGATCTCTTCCAGCTGATAAGCAATAAGGAAGGATTGGTGGAGTTGACTGTTAGCATCTTTTCACATCTAATGAAATAATAGGTTGGGCCCTTACCACCAGTGTCTGCTAATGTCAGAAAGGTGAGGCTAGCGGGCTTCTGTGCCTAGTGCTGGAAGTGCTGGCATCGCATGAGGGCAGGCATCCCTCAGCATCTGCAGGCACTGCTTTCAGGGCCCCCGTGGGTGCCAAAATCTACAGATGCTCAAGCTCCTGATAAAAAATGGCTTCGTATTAGTATGTAGCCTACATACATTCTCCCATATGATTTAAATCACCTCTATATTACTTATAATATCTAATACAATGTAAATGTTATGTAATAGTTACAATATTTTATTGTTTAAGAAATAATGACAAGAAAAAAGAAGTCTATACATGTTCAGTACAGACACGATTTTCTAAAAACTATTTTCTATCTGCAGTTGCTTGAATCCATGAGTGCAGGACACACAGATATGGGGGGTTTGTTGTATTTTATTGCTAAAAATTTGAACGTGGATGTGATAAAATATCTAGATTGAATTACCAGTTAACAGGAAATATAGGAGACAGGGCATCATTGGGATACAATCAGCAAAATGTAGACTATATAAAATTCTACCAACAAACTACTCACTTTCTTCAACAAATAAATTGAGAAAGAGTAAGGGAAGAAGGGAGGTAAAAAAATGGAGAGAGAGAGAAAGATGGCAGGAGAAAGAAAGAGAGAGAGAAAGATTTTAGAGTCTGCAAAAACCTTAAGAGACATCCTGGTTTGAATTCTGATTCAGATTTTAAAAATACGTATTAGTCAATGGGAAAAATTTGTACATAACTGGATATTTGATAATATTAAGAAATTATTGCTAATATTTTGGTGTGATAGAGGTATTGTGTGTTTAAAAAAATCTTCATTCTTGAGACATTTATGGATGAAAAGATGTGATGTCTGCTATTTGCTTCAAAATAGTTAAGGTTGGGCATAGGTGAGGGCATAGGTAAAACCAGATTGGCAGTGGAATGACAATCTTGGAAGCTTGGTGATGGATACGTATAGGGTCCACTATCTTATTTTCCTAATCTCGGCATATGTTTAAATTTTTTAGAATAAACCAGCAAATAATGAAGCTAAACATCATCCATATCTGAGCTCCAGACCCATCTAACCATACACCAGGTAGTCACAGAGACGTCACTTCTATTTCCCACAGGCACCTCCAGGTCATTGATTCTAGATGCCTTTTCCTCTGCCTAGCGCCTGGCCTCTGTTTCCTCTGCTAATGGCACTGCTATTCCTCCAGCCATCCAGGCAGCACCCCAGGGCTTCATCTGAGTGGCTTCCCTCCTCCAGCCCCCACCACATCCCGTCAGTGTCCGCCTCCTCAGATTCCATCCCTCCCCTCACCCTTTTTTTTTTTTTTTGAGACTGAGTCTTACTCTGTCACTCGGGCTGGAGTGCAGTGGTGCAATCTCAGCTCACTGCAACCTCCGTCTCCTAGGTTCCAGTGGTTCTCCTCCCTCAGCCTCATGAGTAGCTGGGATTACAGGCACCCGCCATCATGCCCGGCTAATTTTTGTATTTTTAGTAGAGATGGGGTGTCTATGTTGCCCAGGCTGGTCTCAAACCCCTGACCTCAGGTGATCCGTCCACCTCGGTCTCCATAAGTGCTGGGATTACAGGCATGAGCCACCATGCCCAGTGATGCCATCCCCTTAATACCTCTCCTATCAACCTTGTCCTCCTCACTCCATGGTCATTGCACTAGCTCAGCCACTCACTGTTTCTCACTTGAGGTCCTGCAGAACCTCCAAACATTCCATACTTATTCTTCAAAACTTAGTTTTCAGGGTCATCTCCGCTAGGAACCTCTGCCGACCTCACCTTTAAGGGAGCTTTGCTCTGTGCCTGTGTGGCATCCTGCATGTCTGCTTCACTGGCTGCATCACCAGTCCTGCCATGTTCTCATTCTTTATAGCAAGAAAGAAAAGGAGAACTGACAAGGTGGGAGGAAGGGGCTTCCTCTGCCTGTCAGCATTTCCCCCACACCCCATCTCCTAGAAGAGCCCCATTTTCTGCCACAAAACCTGGCCTGCATGCAACCTCCTCCAGAAGCTCTCCTCATCCCGTCAGGCTGAGTTAGGCGAGTGCATTCCATGCCCCACTGCACGTTGTCCATCCCTGTAACACGACACAGGGGCATGGGCTTGTTAGCACCAGTTAGTGTTTAAATCATCAACACCAGGGGGTGAGCATTTTGAAAAGTGTTTTGGGATCCAACACTCAGTCCCTGCTCAATTTTTTTCATGCTCCTCTGCTGCAGGAACTGTTTTAGAAATTGGAGATAGAGCAGTAAACAAAACTGCTCCTTAGGGAGCTTGCATTTTACTGCATGGAGGCACATGCTGACCCCATGCAAGAGCTGACTGTGAAGCATGCTGAAATGTCATAAGCACTTCAGAGAAATGAGAGAAAATGAGTAGGGGAGAGGGAGGATGAAGAGGCGTCGTGACTTTTCAACTGTCAGAGAAGGCCACTTGAGAAGGCGACATCTAACACAGACTTGAGTGAGCTGATCCCTGTGCACTTGTGAGGGAAGAGAGCTGCAGGCAGAGGGTCCCCAGGGAGGGCAGGCCCCAACTTGGGGCCCGCTGGGGAGGGAGACGTCCAAAGGAGAGCAAGGAAGGCTGGGCGGCCAGCCGGGTGCCAGTGCAGCTAGAGCCAGAGATGAGCTCTGTGGGCTGACGGTGACCTCGATCCTGTGAGGCCTGTGGACCACGGGGGAGATTCAGGTCATATTTCTCATCTGTTTGGGAGCCTTTGCAATATTTTGAGCAAGGACCTCTCATCGTTGACTCACATTTTATAAGAACCATTGTTGGCTGCTGCCTGGAGAACAGATAGCAGAGGTAAAGAGTAGAACAGGGGCTGGGCGCGGTGGCCCACGCCCATAATCCCAACACTGGGAGGCCGAGGCAGGTGGATTACCTGAGGTTGGGATTTTGAAACCAGCCTGGCCAACATGGCGAAACCCCATCTCTACTAAAAATACAAAAATTAGTCAGGCATGGTGGCACGCGCCTGTAATCCCAGCTACTGGGGAGGCTGAGGCAGGAGAATCACTTGAGCCCAGGAGATGGAGGTGGCAGTGAGCCGAGATCGTGCCACTGCACTCCAGCCTGGAAGACAGGAGACAGAGTGAGACTCCGTCTCAAAAAAAAAAAAAAAGAGTAGAACTGAGCACCCAGTTGGCAGAGGCGCTGATGGCTCCAGGCAGGTTGGAGGCAATCGAAGGAGGGTTGGATCCTGAATACACATAGAAGATGGGGCAGGATTTGCAACAAGTAGGATGTGGGTGGGAGAGAAAACTGGGAGTCGAGGTTGAAATGACCTCCCATAAGATCAGCAGGTAGTAGATACACATGTGTATTTGTTGAATGACCTAGCATGCATCGCATTCTGATAGATTCTTCATCTCTGAATTGAAATATCCTTGAGGGCTGGGATCATGTTTCACCTGACTTTACACCACCAACACCTTGTGTAGACCTCATACACATGAGGACCCACCACATATTTCCTCCATAATCGAATGTCATGGCTTCCAGGATGCAGGGGGAGGAACATGGCTTCATTCCTGCTCTGAGTCATCGTCACTGTTCCCACATCCACTTGGTGATGAGGGACACACATCTCAGCTGTGAAGCTCACAGAACTCACTCAAGAGCCACAGATCTATTTCGAACGCATTTGGAGAGTTGGTGTGTGCAATCCGAACAGTGAGTGCAGTGGGAACTGAACACGCAGAAGCAGATGCCCTACTCTCTGTGGGTTGCCAAGAGTTCAACTGAGAGGAAAGGGAGCACAGCCATTGTCTCTTGAGGAACAAAGATGAATCTTGCCCAAAATGAAGAATAGGCAGAGCTCTGATTCTTAAGGTCTCATTCAAACAGCCCTTTATGTGTGGTGGGTACAGATGAAGGCACTGAGTGGGAATGGCCAGGATTCCAACCTGCCGACTAAAACTGGTCTGGGATGCCAGCTGCCGGGGTTGACTGGAGTCCAAAGTGCTGGACCCAGAGAAAAAGAAATCCCAGGGGCCAGCACTGGCCTTTTAATTTTTTTTTATTTCTGCATCCCAGAATGGCAGAACCCACAATTGGCAAGATTTGCAATTTCCCTGCTGCTTCTTGTTTTCTGCACTGTGGCAAATGCAGCTTCCTTCAAACTTTCTTTTAATTGACTTTATAAAGTTACCCCAGAGTTAGCTCCTAAGAGGTGAGACTGGTGTGGCTGCTTTCAGCACTTGGGAAATAAAAAAAAATTTCTTCTAGCCATACCAAATACATCAACAGATAGTCTAAATATTATTTGTAAAAGGGCTAAATTTGGTGTCATGACTGGAAAGCACGGATAAAAGTAGTTCATGTATTATGTGCCAACTATGTGGTTGCACATGACCACAGCAAATAGCAAACACAAACCAAAATGTACTTATGGAATCTCTCTTTTTCTCTGTCATATCTATGTATATAATATAGGTATAAGATTGCACACACACACACACACACGCACACAACCTCTTGTAATCTTGCACAGAATTTGAAGCTGTTTTCAATGTATTTAGTTTAGTTACATGAATAAACATCTAGAACTGTGAATAACAAGTTACCAGTGAAAAAATTAAACTGATTCAATAGTTCCAAGGTGATTGAATAATTTGGCTCGGATATAGTAAGTACTTGGGAATTTTATTCCTCTTTGCTAAAGCTGATTTAGTATTAAGGAAATAAATGAAAACAATCTTGGCACATGTTGACCTCTGTTACAAAGTGCAACAAATAAATTCTAGGGCATTTGAATGCATGTTAAGTCAATTTTGTGTCCTATTTTATTAAAAAATATTCATGGGTCATTTCATTTGGTTGGTTGCTCTTCATTTCGACACATGGAAGTCATAAAAGCCTAGAGATTTGTTGACTAATTTGCAATAATACCCTCTGAAATGTGGATTAACCGTAAGCTCCACGTCCCAAATAGAAGCCTTCTTGAAATAAAAGGGATCACAAAGCTTCTCATATAGGTGCCTCCTTCATACAACCTTCTGACGTCTACGGCCCCAGATCTAAAGGGATGAGGCTCCATCAAAGTTCAGCATGATACTCAACAGATTTCAGTATCTTGAAGCCCAGGACTGTATGTCTTTATTCATTTGGACTCACTCTCACTTATAAGAGAGAATCTATAGTAAGAAATGTTTCTCAAATTGCTCTTAGCTGCTTCAGGAGCCTGCATGGGTGGCTGGTCCATGCTAAGGTTGGGGAGGGATGGCCTCTTGTGCTGTGGCTGGAACTGGACATCTGGGGTCTTGCTGTTTCATGTGGACCTTTAATCCACCCCTTCCTTCAGCCACATTCCAAGCCCAGCCTTTAGAGGTAGCTCTGCTGCCAGCTGTGGTGCCTTTAGAGATTCCATGGGCCTAGACTAGCTTGTTCTTTCTGCTGCCTTCCCCTCCTTGCCCCACTGCAGGGTGACCTCCGTTCTCTTCCTCCTAAGCCTGTCCACATGCCTCAGGCGTCTTCACACAGCTGCCATCTCTCACCTACCATCTTCCCTCTTTCATTTTCATTTTCCTTTTGGAGAGATTCAGATAGAGACATCAGTTTTTAAATTTCTTGAAAAATGTCTTGGGATTTCAGGAAGTCCTGGAGATAAATACAGAGTTTCTATCTGTCGTGCCTCACCAGGGTGTGTGTTGAAGTTCAACCTCAGGCCACACTCTGGTTTCCCTTTTGCAGGTCCAGTCAGCCAAGCTCAAGGGCTGATTCAATTCCTGTGCAAAGGAGAGATCTGGCCCCCTCCTTCTCATCCAAGGGGCATGTGCTTTTGCCTTGGGTAATCTCAGGAAGTGACCCAAATAATAGGAGATGCAGGACATGGATTAGGGATAGCCGCATTGGGTAGATCACTATTGATTTCATTTATTTCAGATTTTAGCATTTCTATATAGAACAATGCTGTTCATTTAGTCCTTACAATATTATAGAACTGGGCAAATTTAGTTTTGTAATTATCACAATGAGACAAAGAAATTATACATCCTTACAAACCTTTGTGGGATATTTTATTTGTAGCTAGAGTAGAAAGTTTAAATTTTGGTTGCCTCATTTATAGCTGCTTGGTTTTATGTTCAGCTAAAATTTTATCAGTACTTATGTAAGCTGTGTATTCCTTTGGAATTTTTATTCTCAATCATTTTTATCTGATAGCAGCTTTCCTGATCACCAGAAATGTTCATGTTGACAGTTGACATTCTGAGAAACAGAGACAGTATAAAGATATAAGAAAAGGAATCCATAATTCATGGCCTAGGACCAGTTATTATCCATAGTTTGGTGTATTTCCTTCTGCATGTAAATATTTTTCTGTATGTGTGCACATACCTTCTCGCTTATAGTGTATATCATGTTGTATATACAAAGTTATACCCTATGATTAATTAACATTATATACACGTATGTTTATTTTGTATGAAAATGAAATATTCTGCACATATTGCATTGCAACATGCTCTTTTACGTTGCAAAGTACAAAGATCATCTTGTCTCCCCAAGTGTCTTATTATTTAAATTATTTCCTAAGATGGATACCCCATTTTCCATGATGTGATTATTACACATTTGAGTGCCGGTATCAAAATATCTCATGTGCCCCATAAATATATACACCTACTATATACCTACAAAGATTACAAAAAAAATCCTGATTTTTATCAGCTGCTTATTATGTCATCTTGGATTTGCACATCTTGGATTTTGCTAATCTATTTGGGAAGTTTGCAGTTTTGTCTGTTTTACACTACACTGAATATCCACAATAAAGATTTACTTACATCTCCGAAAAAAGAGCTGTTCCCTAATTTAATAATAAAATCATGGTATTTATACTTATTTTTATGTGTATTTATTTGTTTATTATTTAGGGTGACATTTCAAATCTTATTGATCATTTTTTTCTTTCTTTTTTAATTGTCTGTCTCTGGTGTTGTGATGGTTAATACTGAGTGTCAACTTGATTGGATCGAAGGATACAAAGTATTGATCCTACTTGTGTCTGGGAGGGTGTTGCCAAAAGAAATTAACATTTGAGTCAGTGGTCTGGGGAAGGCAGATCCAGCCTCAACCTGGTGGGCACAATCTAATCAGCTGCCAGCGAATATAAAGCAGGCAGAAAAGCATGAAAAGGAGAGACGGGCTTAGCCTCCCAGCTTACATCTTTCTCCTTGCTGGATGCTTCCTCCCCTCGAACATTGAACTCCAAGTTCTTCAGTTTTGGGACTCCGACTGGCTCTCCTTGCCCCTCAGCTTGCAGCCTGCAGACAACCTACTGTGGGACCTTGTGAGCATGTAAGTTAATACTTACTAAACTCCCATACACATATATTATATATGTATATCTCCTATTAGTTCTGTCTATCCTATCTAATAGGATATATATGTATCCTGTTAGTTTAAGTTCTGTCCCTCTAAGAGAACCCTGACTAATACAGATTTTGGTACCAGGAATGGTTCTAGAGAAACAGAATATTAAGGATGGAGTTCTGGAGTTGGCTGTTTAATATGATTACACCCCAAAATGCTAAGAACTCTACTTATAGTATGGAGAACACTGATAGTCCTTGGTGTAAACTGTTTAGAGAGTTATGCAAAATAAATGCATTTGAACCTCCTGATTCACCACTCATGAGAGGCAAGGAGTTTAGTGACTCTAAACATAATACCTTTGATCATATGTGGAGAACCAAGGAATATAATGAAGCTGGTTGGTTGCTCCTAAATCCTGTGAACACAGCGATGAAAGAAAATGATGAACTCAGGGATTCTGTCTCCCAGCTTCAGAAGCAGACACTGAGCCTCAAATCTGCTAAGATTTCCCTGAATGAGAGTCTTATCTCCTGTAGAGAAAGAACTGAAATTGTGGAAAAACAGACATAAGCTGTTATCACGCGAGTGGCTGACCTGCAATGAAAGGTTTATGCACTGCCTCACCAGGTGTCTACTGTTAAAGTGAGGGCATTGATTGGAAAAGAATGGGATCCTGCAACTTGGAATGGGGATGTGTGGGAGGACCCCGATGAAGCTGGGGACACTGAGCTTGTAAACTCTGATGAACTTTTTTGCCAGAAGGAGCAGCTTCCCCATCCCCAGTAGTGACAACATCCCCTCCCTGACGCATTCTGCCATGAGCCTTTCCACCTTTGTCTGGGGAGATAAACCCTGCACTGCTTGAGGCAAGAGTGATGGCCTCCCCTGAGGCAGTTGCCAGGCAAGATAATGTTGATTCTCCTCAGAAGCCACCCCCAATACATCTGTTTGCTTATAGACCTATAACTAGACTAAAGTCCCAGCAGGCCCCTAGAGGTGAGGTTAAGAGTATGACCCATGAGGAGGTGCCCTACACTCGAAAAGAACTGTTTGAGTTCTCTAATTTACATAAACAGCAATCTGGAGAACAGGCATGGGAAATGAATATTATGGGGATGGGATAATGGTGGAAGGAACATAGAGTTGGATCAGGCTGAATTTATTGATTTGGGCCCACTAAGTAAGAACTCTGCATTTAATGTTGCAGCTTGGGGAGTTAAAAAAAGTTCTGATAGTTTATTTCCTTGGTTAGCTGAAATATGGATTAAAAGATGGCCACTGTGAGCCAGCTGGAAATGCCTGATCTCCTTTGGTTTAATGTAGAGAAAGGGATCCACAGGCTTAGGGAGATTGGGATGGTGGAGTGGATTAATCACTTTAGACCTACTCATCCCAGATGGGAGGGGCCAGAAGATATACCCTTGACCAGTGCCTTGCAAAATAGATTTGTGAGGGCAGCACCTGCATCTTTGAAGTGCTCTGTAATTGCTCTTCTCTGTATGTCAGATCTAATGATGAGAACCTCAGTCACTCAACTACAAAATTTAAATACAATGGGAATAACTGAGCTGGCAGGGGCCAAATGGCAGCACTCAACCTTCAAAGGCAAGGTGGGCATAGCTGCTGTAATGGACAGCAGAGGCAAAGCGGCAATCAGAATAGTCTGACTTGTGTAGAGCTCTGGTACTGGCTAATTAATCATGGTGTTCCTAGAAGTGAAATTGAGAGGAAGCCTACTGCATTCCTACTTAAGCTATACAAACAGAAAACTTGCAGGTTGAATGGAAAAGACTAATTTGAATTACAAAAACAGAGAGCAACAGCCCCTCTACCAATTTCCAGACTTGAGCCAGTTTACAAACACAGAACCCCTTGAATGAAGGGGAGGCTGGGCCCCCTTGAGGAAGGACCTCACTATATTACCAACAATTTATGCAGTGAATCTTTCTCCCATCCTTCCCCAAGGAGACCTCTGGCCTTTTACCAGGGTAACTGTGCACTGGGGAAAAGGAAATGATCAGACATTTCAGGGACTACTGGACACTGGCTCTGAGCTGACTTTGATTCCAGGGGACCCAAAACGTCACTGTGGTCCTCCAGTTAAAGTAGGGGCTTATGGAGGTCAGGTAATTAATGGAGTTTTAGCTCAGGTGCAACTTACAGTGGGTCCAGTAAGTCTCTGGAATCATACTGTGGTCATTTCCCCAGTGGCAGAATGTATAATTTGCATAGACATATTTAGCAGCTGGCAGAACGCCCACATTGGCTCCCTGACTTGTAGGATGAGGGCTATTATGGTGGGAAAGGCCAAATGGAAGCCATTAGAGCTGCCTCTACCTAGAAAAATAGTAAATTAAAAACAATATTGCATCCCTGGAGGGATTGTGGAGATTAGTGCCACCATCAAGGACTTGAAAGACGCAGGGGTGGTGATTCCCACCACATCTCTGTTCAACCCTCCCATATGGCCTGTGCAGAAGACAGATGGATCTTGGAGAATGGCAGTGGATTATCATAAGCTTCACCAAGTGGTGACTCCAACTGTGGCTGCTGTACCAGATGTGGTTTCATTGCTTGAGCAAATTAACACATCTCTTGGTACCTGGTATGCAGCCATTGATTTGGCAAATGCCTTTTTCTCCATTCTTGTCTATAAGGCCCACCAGAAGCAATTTGCCTTCAGCTGGCAAGGACAGCAATATGCCTTTACAATCCTACCTCAGGGGTATATCAGTTATCTGGCTTTGTGACGTAATCTTATTTGGAGAGATCTAGATAACTTTTCACTTCCACAAGATATCACACTGGTCCATTACATGGATGACATTATGCTTATTGGACCCAGTGAGCAAGAAGTAGCAAACACACTGGACTTTTTGGTGAGATGTTTGCATGCCAGAGGATGGGAAATAAATCTGACTAAAATTCAGGAAACTTCTACCTCAGTAAAATTTCTAGGGGTCCAGTGGTGTGGGGCATGTAGAGATATTCCTTCTAAGCTGAAGGATAAGTTGTTGCATTTGGCCTCTCCTACAACCAAGAAGGAGAAACAATGCCTAGTGGGCCTGTTTGGATGTTGGAAGCAACACATTCCTCATTTGGGTGTGTTACTGTAGCCCATTTATCAGGTGACCCAAAAGGCTCTCAGTTTTGAGTGGGGTCCAGAACAGGAGAAGGCTCTGCAACAGGTCCAGGCTGCTGTGCAAGCTGCTCTGCCACTTGGGCCATATGACCCAGGAGATCCAATGGTTTGAGGTATCACTGGCAGATAGGGATGCTGTTTGGAGCCTTTGGCAGGTTCCCATAGGTGAGTCTTAGCGGAGGCCTTGAGGATTTTGGAGCAAGGCCTTGCCATTTTCTTTTTTTTTTTTCAGTTTTTTTTTTTTATTATTATACTTTAAATTTTAGGGTACATGTGCACAACGTGCAGGTTAGTTACATATGTATACATGTGCTATGTTGGTGTGCTGCACCCATTAACTCGTAATTTAACATTAGGTATATCTCCTAATGCTATCCTTCCCCCATCCCCCCGTCCCACAACAGGCCCCAGTGTGTGATGTTCCCCTTCCTGTGTCCATGTGTTCTCATTGTTCAATTCCCACCTATGAGTGAGAACATGCGGTGTTTGGTTTTTTGTCCTTGCGATAGTTTGCTGAGAATGATGATTTCCAGCTTCAATCATGTCCCTACAAAGGACATGAACTCATCATTATTTATGGCTGCATAGTATTCCATGGTGTATATGTGCCACATTTTCTTAATCCAGTCTATCGTTGTTGGACATTTGGGTTGGTTCCAAGTCTTTGCTATTGTGAATAGTGCTGCAATAAACATACATGTGCATGTGTCTTTATAGCAACGTGATTTATAATCCTTTGGGTATATACCCAGTAATGGGATGGCTGGGTCAAATGGTATTTCTAGTTCTAGATCCCTGAAGAATCGCCACACTGACTTGGTTGAACTAGTTTACAGTCCCACCAACAGTGTAAAAGTGTTCCTATTTCTCCACATCCTCTCCAGCACCTGTTGTTTCCTGACTTTTTAATGATCGCCATTCTAACTGGTGTGAGATGGTATCTCATTGTGGTTTTGATTTGCATTTCTCTGATGGCCAGTGATGATGAGCATTTTTTCATGTGTCTTTTGGCCGCATAAATGTCTTCTTTTGAGAAGTGTCTGTTCATATCCTTCACCCACTTGTTGATGGGGTTGTTTGTTTTTTTCTTGTAAATTTGTTTGAGTTCATTGTAGATTCTGGATATTAGCCGTTTGTCAGATGGGTAGATTGCAAAAATTTTCTCCCATTCTATAGGTTGCCTGTTCACTCTGATGATAGTTTCTTTTGCTGTGCAGAAGCTCTTTAGTTTAATTAGATCCCATTTGTCAATTTTGGCTTTTGTTGCCATTGTTTTTGGTGTTTTAGACATGAAGTCCTTGCCCATGCCTATGTTTTGAATGGTATTGCCTGGGTTTTCTTCTAGGGTTTTTATGGTTTTCGGTCTAACATTTAAGTCTTTAATCCATCTTGAATTAATTTTTGTATAAGGTGTAAGGAAGGGATCCAGTTTCAGCTTTCTACATATGGCTAGCCAGTTTTCCCAGCACCATTTATTAAACAGGAAATCTTTTCCCCATTTCTTGTTTTTGTCAGGTTTGTCAAAGATCAGATAGTTGTAGATATGTGGCATTAATTACAAATCTTGAATGTCATAGATTACTGCATCAGTAGACTATTATCTATATAAAGTCACATAATTTTAGAAACTCTGTTCATGAAGTTGGCAATGCAAACATTGCAATAACACAGTAAGTGGTTATTTTGGACACAGTTTATGTAGGTAGTTAAAATGCTTTGTCAAAATCAATGAACGGTAGAATTACATACCACATACTCCCAACATCTAACCATCTTTAAGCAGTCCTTTTTTAATCTCGCTGGGATGGTAGCATTTCAAAGGCCTAGGGCTAGACTGCAGTGAAAAGGCTATTACCCTGCCCCTGTAAGCATAGCGTGAGCATCAGAATCCTGAGTAACCACTGAAGGACAAGATTCTCCTGACACTTGGTCTCTGTCTCTCACTGTTACGTGAACAATGACAAAACAGAGATTCTTAAAATTTTGTTGCTTTAGTTATACATTTAAAAAAGCACACATAGATATTAAAAAAATAAAGAATAAACAGTAGATACCTATATATTCAAGCAGGAAAATAGGAAATGTACTTTCATCTGTTTTTAAGTTCTAAGACAGAACCTATTTTTAAATAATGGCTGTCAAATCATTTTGACTTATTCAAAGAAAGGGATTAACTACCTGGATACAGATAATCAAATAGCATGCACCCTTTTTCTTCACTTTCCCACCCTGCCCCCAGTCTCAGGCACACCCAGAGATTATATATAACAACGTTTTTTTCCATTAGATCTTCTGTAGACAATCTCGCTGAGAAATCAGGAAAACCAAGCTTACCACATAGTGAGTGAAATCTTTCCTTTTATTGGATTTGGCTTAAACTCAAGCTTTTTGAGCAGCAAATTTGACAGGGGTTCAGGAAAAGTCTCTGCCTGGACTCATCCTGGAACACTGGGCCACACCTCATTTCAGAGTTGTACGGCCCAGGTATGTACAAGGTGTGGCAGGCAGAAGTGAGCTCAGTTAAATAATGAATTCTGTATTCCTAGCTTCTTCTTTGATGCAGTATTTTCTTCTTACTGGAACTTCTCTATGACCTAGTATTTTCCTCCTTTCTTTTTATTCAAATTACTGTCAGAAAAAAAGATTCGATAAATTCATCAGCTCCACAAAACAAATGAAGGATCAGTTTAGGTGAATACTCCTTTCAAGAATTTTTAAAATTTTAACAGAAAACAAAACGTTAAGCTAAAGGTCTTTTATAGAGTTGGTGTACAAGTATGGCAGGCTAGAGGAATGTGGTTTGGGCTAGTGTGTTTTTCCTGTTACCATAACACCCAGATACCTTTTTAAAGCAAATATGAGAGCTTATATATCTCATGCCTCAGTAAGGGCCTCCTAACATGCCATCCTCCCAAAAGAGCAGCATGTGACTGAATGTATGACATTCCTTGTCAACCAATCAACAGAAAGATCCTCAAAATTCCTTGAAGGTTTCTGTACTTGTGTCTATCCCATCACAGAGTACACGCATGCACACACACACCTTTCTCTTATCAGCTCCATTATATCCTTACTTTAATTCAGTCTTGTTTCATTTCTAATTCAATCACCTGCATGCAGGACCAGGCCCTGATTCGCACCTTCTTCTGAAGGGTTGTGGTCTCTCTGACACAGTCATCTCTCCAGTTGCCATTCCCCAAGTTCTCTTGAATCAACTCTGCCATTTTTATGATCTCTAGAAAGTTGATGGCTTTCTATTATTCAATTATGTCGTTTCTATCTTGAGATCTTTCTATGTAGCTTGGTTTAACTAACACCCTACTTTTTTTTTTGGTTATTGACTAACCTTGTATCATATTGGCCTCCTAGTCTTAAAACTATGATGGCAAAAGTCATGTAATATGTTAGCTTTTTCTACTAATTAATACATTTAATATAGCTTTGATCTTCAAAATCATCTTATACATATATATATATATATATTTTAGTTTTGTCGTATAATTTGCTTCCACTTTCTTGCATCATTTTATTTCTCTTAATTCCTACTGACTTTTTCTGATTTTCCCATGAAACTTTCATACTCAACAAGGCCATTTGATAGGAAAGCTTTTGCTATTTCTTAGATGCAATTACTGTTTTTTTTTGCATTACCATCCATATATATATACATATATGTATATACATATATGTGTGTGTGTATATATATATATACTTTAAGTTCTCAGGTGCATATGCAGAACGTGCAGGTTTGTTACATAGGTATACACGTGCCATGGTGGCTTGCTGCACCCATCAACCCATCATCTACATTAGGTATTTCTCCTAATGCTATCCCTCCCCTAGCCCCCCACCCCGCTACAGGCCCCCATGTGTGATATTCCCCTCCCTGTGTCCATGTGTTCTCATTGTTCAACTCCTGTTTATGAGTGAGAACATGCAGTGTTTGGTTTTCTGTCCCTGTGATAGTTTGCTGAGAATGATGGTTTCCAGCTTCATCCACGTCACTGCAAAGAACATGAACTCATCCTTTTTTATTGCTGCATAGTATTCTGTGGTGTACATGTGCCACAGTTTCTTTATCCAGTCAATCACTGATGGGCATTTGGGTTGGTTCCAAGTCTTTGCTATTGTGAATACTGCCGCAATAAACATACGTGTTCCTGTGTCTTTATAGTAGAATGATTTATAATCCTTTGGGTATATACCCAGTAATGGGATTGCTGGGTCAAATGGTATTTCTGGTTCTAGATCCTTGAGGAATTGCAAGACTGTCTTCCACAATGGTTGAAGTAATTTACACTTTCACCAACAGTGTAAAAGCATTCCTATTTCTCCACATCCTCTCCAGCATCTGTTGTTTCCTGACTTTTTAATGATTGCCATTCTAACTGGTGTGAGATGGCATTGTCATCCATTCTATCTCATTTTGTTCCGGTTTAGAAAAATGCTTCTCATTTTCAGTGTTGCCATCCACCTTGACTCAATGTGTTCACATTTCCTGTAGGATCTTTATTCATCTCTTCATTCTTGTATGCATCAACTTCCTTGAATTCCATGATATTAATTTTTATTCTACTTTGCTTTTATTATTTTTATGCTTTCCTTTAAAAATCTTTATATAATAGTTGTTTTCAAGTCCTTGTCTGTCAATTGCATTATCTCTGTCATTTCTGGGCCCATTTTTATTCATTGATTTTCTTCTGATTATGAGTCCTAGTTTCCTGTTTCTTCACATTTGGGTTTTTTTTTTTTAACACTGTGCAATGTGAATATCACATTACTGAGGTCAGGATATTTTTCTTTTAAGAGAACTGAGTTTTGTTTTAACAGGCGGTTAAGTTTCTTTCGGATCAGCTGGATTCTTTAAATGCTTTTGAAAAAAAGCATTTTTTTAAAGCATTTTAAAAAAGCATTTTTAAATGCTTTACAAAAAAAAAGCATTCTGTCAGGGCAGGTTTATAGTTCCCTATGCTAGATACTTCAGCCCTACTGTTAATTCTTGACCTTTCTGAGTGCACTTTTGAATGCCTTTGGTGTTTAACGAGCTTTCTACATTCTGCCTGGTCAGATGCCAATTATTCCTCTGCCCTGTGCAAGCTCTAGTGAGTGTTCAGTTTTAGTTTCCTAGTAGATGTTCTTTCCCCTATAGTTTTGTGCCTAGTCTCACGGATCCATACTCTAACCATGCATAGCTTGGTGTTCAGCCGAAGACTCCAGTGAATGCTATGGTGCTCTTTCCCTGCCTTGCTCACTCTTTTCCAATACTTTTTGCAATTCCAGTGACTTTAGACTAACTGAACTCCAATCACTGTTTCTTCAACTCAGTGAAGCTATCATGCTTTGTTTGGATTCTCTCCTAGTACTGTGTGTATGTGTGTGTGTGTGTGTATATATATATGTGTATATATATGTGTGTATATATATATGTATATATTTAAGTTTTGTTAAGTTTGTGGATAACTTTTTATCCACAAACAAGGTATATTCCTCCATTTTCTAAATTCTATTTCACGTCTTTAATAAAGGTTTATAATTTACTTCCCAAAAGTTTGTGTATCTCCCTTGTTAGACTTATTCCTTGGTCCTTGTGTAGTTACTGTATATTTTATCTTTTTTAGTTTTTTAAAAATTCAAACTTATAGAAAATTTCAAAATTATATAAAAGTTGCAAGAATATTAAAAAGAACTCCCATACAATCTGGAATTGACAATTTCAAACATGATCATGTTTATTTTATCATCTTTATCCATTTCTAGATACATAGACACAATGGCAAAATTTCACGGAACCATTTGGCAGTGAATTGTATACATTATGTACCTTCATGCCATAAAAATTCAATATATATATTTTATTTTTTGAGACAGAATCTCATTCTGTCTGTCGCCCAGGCTGGAGTGCAGTGGGGCAATCTTGGCTCACTGCAACCTCCCTATCCTGGGCTCAAGTGATCCTCCCATCTCAGCCTCCCAAGTAGCTGGGAGCTGAGACTGCAGGCACGCACCATGATGCCCAGCTAATTTTTGTGTTTTTTTGTAGAGACAGGGTTTTGCCATATAGGCCAGGCTAGTCTCAAACTCCAGGGCTCAAGTGTTCCCTCTGTCTCAGCCTCCCAAAGCGCTGGGATTACAGGCGTGAGTCACCACACCTGGCCTCAATGTGTATTTCTTAAGAAAAATGATATACGTACTTTTAGACATTTACAGTTCAGTTATAAAATGCAGGAAACTGAATATTTATAATACACTTTTATTTAAACTATAATCTATATTCTAGTTTTGTCTCTTACATCAATAATTTTTCCTTTACAGCAATGATTTTTCCAGTATAGAATCCAGTTCAAAATCATGAACAACAACAAACAATTCTATGGCAATTGTTTGTTGTTCATGCCATTGGCATGTTTGAAGAATAAAGGACAGGTATTTTACAGAGTATAACTCAATTCGAGTTTGTCTGATGTTTTTCTTACATTTAGATTTAGATTTTAGATATTTTTCCTAGAACGTTGCATAAGTGATGTATGTTTCTTAAAGACACATGTGATAATCTTTTGCCCCTTAGCAATGTTTATTTTGATGACATGTGGAAGGTTTTGTCTGACTTCTCCACTGCTTACTTACTATTTTTTGTAATTAATAAGTATATATTATTAATCTAACAACAAATTAAATCATTTCTTCCTTCAAATCTTTCTATTCTGTATTTGTATCTCATATTTTTTTTGCCATCTTACTGCACTGAATACACAGTAGTAATACTAAGAATCAGCATCCTTGTTCTCTTCCAGTTTTTGATTACTTCCTTCCTTCCTTCCCTTCTTCCTTCCTTCTTTCCTTCTTCTTCTTCCTGCATTTTACTTTGTATTTCTAGAAATCTATTTAAAAAAAGAAATCTATTTAATTTTTTGAGTCTATATTGTGAAATATATTTTTTCTGAAAAACTGAATTTTACCTAAGTTTTCATTTTTGTAAAATGTGACTATAGTATTTCCTTCCATTGTAATTCTGTATAGATACCTAGTTATGTCCCGATTTTATTGCTATCATTATTTCTTTGTTTTTTGTCTTTTTGTTCTTGGTCAATCATGCAATAGGTTTAAGAATTTTATTAGTCTTTTTCAAGAACTCAGTTTTAGTTTAATCAATCTTTTCTGCTGTATTCATTTCCCTCCCTACTTTTCCATATGCTCTCTCTCTTTTTTTTTAACTATGTTATGGTCTAATTGACAAATAAAAATTACATATATTCAAGGTATGCAATGTGGTGTTTTGATAGACCTATATATTATGAAATGGCAACCACAATTAAGGTAATTAGCATATCACCTCACCTAGCCACTTATGTTGTTGTTATGTGGTGAGAATAGCTAAGATCTACTCTCTTAGCAAATTTCAAGTGCATAATATGTTATTATGAAGTGTAGTTATCATGCTGTACATTAGGTTTTCAGATCTTATTCTGCAAGTGTGTACCCTTTAACCTTCTTCTCCTCATTTCTCCCAACCCTTCAGGCCCTCATAACAACCATTCTGCTCTGTGCTTCTATGTATTTGACCTTTTTAGATTTAGATTCCACATATTCTCTTCCCTCAGTTTTCTTTAAGAACACTCTGCTGCTTTTCTTTTCTTTTCTTTTCCCCTTCCTTCCTTCCCTCCCTCCTTCCTTCCTTCCTTCCTTCCTTCCTTCCTTCCTTCCTTCCTTTCGTTTCCTTCTTTCTTTCTTTCTTTCTTTCCTTTTTCTTTCCAAGTTTTGCTCTTGTTGCCCAGGCTAGAGTGCAGTGGCGCGATCTCAGCTCACTGCAACCTCCACCTCCCGGGTTCAAGCCATTCTCCTGCCTCAGCCTCCCAAGTAGCTAGGATTACAGGCATTTGCCACCACGTCTGGCTAATTTTGTCTTTTTAATAGAAACGGGGCTTCTCCATGTTGGTCAGGCTGGTCTCGAACTCCTGACCTCGTGATCCGCCCACTTCCACCTCCCAAAGTGCTGGGATTACTGGCATGAGCCACCACACCTGGCCTCATTTTCTAACTTGTTAAGCTGGTTTTTGAGCTTTTATAAATAAGCATTTATGAATATAAATTCCCCTCATAATACTTTGACTATAGCCCATACATTTTGATATGCTGTATTTATGTTTTGTTCACATCTAGGTATTTTAAAATATTTGTTATATGTAATATTTGATCCACAAGTTACTGAGAAATGCATTTGTAAGTGTCCAACTGTATAAATTTTAAGTTATTCTTCACTGATTTCTAACTTAAGTCCACTTTTCATAAAATATGCCAGTGTGACGCTTGTTGAGATTTGACTCTTTCCTTACTTTGCCATTCCACATCCTCTCCTCCTCACAGGTTCACACAATAGCCTGCAGGCACTGCGTGACTTTCTCTCTCTCCAGTGTTTACCTTTTGGTCTTATTCTCCTGCCACTAGGTCATCCTCTAAATCAACACATTCTAAAAATATTGGCCCATTTACTGTTTCTTGGACATGCCCCGTTTAAGGCCTTAGAAGTTGTTGTTTCTTCTGAAATACTCTTCCCTTAGAAATCCAGATGTCTGTTCTTGCTTCTTCACCCCCATTAAATGTTGCTCAAAAACTACATTTCCAGGGAGGCTTTTCCTAAACACTCTTCAGCAAGGCCAACTCCCTCCCTGTGTTCCTCCTTTGTCTTCTATTTTTCCATAGTACTCACCCCCACGGAATACCATATACATGTTACTAGAGTATAAGCTCCATGAGGGCAAGCATTTTTATGAGAATTCATTTTTCTCTTTGTAGCATCCCCTGCAACTCAAAGAGTGCCTGGCACATAAGAAGCAACCTGTAACTATTTGTTCAAAATTTTTTTCTCTTTAATCTCTCATGTGCTGTTAGATTTCTCAATCTACCTTCTTGATTCTGTACATTTTTTCTTTATATTTTTGAGACTATGTATTAGTTTTATACAAGGTTGAAACTGTTGTGTGTTATTGGTTAATTTAATGTTTTATGACATAATCTTATAATCCTTTTGCCTAAAATTTAATCTATCTGACATTCTTACCTCTGACCCAGATTTCTTTTCATTAGTATTTAATGAGTTTATCTTTTCTCCATTCTTTTACTTTCAACCTTTCTGTGTAGTAATTTCAAGTGTTTCTTTCAAGTATCATTTAGTTAGACTTTATCAAAATCTAATCCTACAAACTCTGTGTTAATGTGTTTATCTCATTTACATATATTGTGATTAATGGTATATTTGCATTTCTTCTGCCATGTTATTTTATAGTTTCTAATTGCCCTGCTCTTTCTTTCTTTTCTTGTTTCTTACTTTGACTTAATGGATTTAAACTCATTTCATCATACTAGTTGGGAGCTTATATATTCTACCCCTATTGTTAGGAGCTACTCTTACATGTTATGTTAAGCTACTCTTAAACATAACATACATACTTGGCATAAACTCTAAAGTTACTTTATATCTACTTCTACCTTCCTTGAAAACAATTATTACTAAGGTTTCATAATACTAATACTTGTTTAGATTTACCAGCCTGCTTTCTTTTTTAAGATCTTAAAAATTAAAAAAAAAATTTTTGTAGGTACATAGTAGGTGTATATATTTATGGGGTACTTGAGATACTTTGACAGGCATGTAGTAAGCAGTAATCACATCATGGAAAATGGGGTATCCATCCCTTCAAGCATTTATTCTTGGAATTGCAAACAATCCAATTATACTCTTTGAGTTATTTTTTTCTGAAAATCATCTATTTACTATAATACATATAAGACAATCTTAAAATTGTAGTCTGAATTAAGATAACATTTACCAAAGAATTTTTTTCTTTACTACACAAAATATAACCTAGTGAAATTTGCCTGTGCCACCTATTCTGAAAATTTTATCCATAATTTATTGTTCTGGTTATATCTTCACTAACAAAATGTTTACACCCAAAAGCAGCAGTCGTTTATAGTAATTCTGGTGCCAACATCAAAGGAAAAAAATTGGCTTAAAAATGGTGCAAAAGCCATTTTGGGTTTTAGGATAACACATCACAGGAAAGAACATGAATACAAATTTGTAACATAAACACTCCGAAGAGTTTGTCAGTACCCAAAGTATTTTTATTGGTTTTTTGGATATGTTTTTAAGGGCCACATAAAAATAGACACAAGGAACAAATTAAATTGAAGTCTTAGATTTAAATGTTTGGTTTAAAGAATTTTCTACAACAAATTTCATGTTTATGTATGAAAAGTTATATAAACTTAATGCAAATGTCATGAAGTATTTTCTACACTATACTAAATGTGTTCTCCAAAAGGGAAAAAATTAAAATATCTAAAATATATTAGATTAAGATTATAAGAACATCATAGATCTTTTGACCATGCATCTATTTACAGAATTAACAGTCTACAAAATGTTTATTTCATTATGGACCAGAAAGAAATGAGTTGGTGACAACTATCCTTTGCACAATATTATCAACTCACTTTAGTCACAAGCATGTCCTTGGTATGTGTGTAAAAGAAATAGGTTCATTTATCCTTCATCAAATCATCCACAGGTTTATTTGTAAGTAAAGATGAAGGTACAGAAATGTGAAATATGTCAAGTGTATTTTTTCTTTCTTTCAAACAACATCCCAAGCATGGCCTCAGTAGCCTGAAAGTATAAAATACTTAACTGGGCTTTTACTTATCTACACTGACTGCCAGAATGTAAATTAAGTTGCCCAAATTAGCACATCAAATAACAAAATCGCCAGAAAGCAGGCTGAAAAGCATTAAATGTTTCATATAGGTGAGTTTTTAAATCATTTAATTTCTATGGAAAAATTTTATTCACAACATAATGTGACAGAAATTGTCACAGGAATGATATACTGATTGCAATAAGGTTGCATGCAGCAGCAGCTTTGTATTTTATAGCTATTTTTGTTTATAAAAATTAAACCTCTCCAGTCATGCCTATCACATAGTCTTAGATTTGTAATGTAAGTGAATAAGGAATACCATCTAGTTCAAAGAGAAAATGTCATTTTGAATGTGAATTATCTGTATGAAATATGAAGTATACTACTGAACCCTGAAACATGCATGTCTAGATTTGCTTTTTGTCCAAATCCAGCCTGTTTGCAATTACTTCCTACTCATATAATACCAAGAGGTTCCGTTTGTAATTGTGGTTGTATCAGCTGAGGTTGCAATGGTGGCGGCAACTGAAGTAGTACCGTTGGTTCCACCAACTGTCCTGGGTTTGAAGGTGGTGGAGGAGCCACAGTGTTTGTCGTTTCTACAATTTCTCCATTGTAAAAGAAAAACTGACACTGTTGAATGAATGTTTCAACAACAGATTGATGAATCTTAGTAGTAGACAGAAACTCTTGATTTTCAAAATCAGCTCTCATCAAGGTTGGCCAAAAACAGATGGATTAAGTTGTCTGCTGTCATTAGGTTGATTTTATTTTGCTGACTAACCCTGTTCAGATGTGTTATCATGTATCTGAATACATCATAGTTTACAGGATGAAATTTCTTAGCAATTTCTTTCAAGGCATGAAGACATTCTGTTTTATCTGGGATTTTTGCTGTTTCCAATAGCTCTGGATGAAGAGAATATGGTATTAAAGGAACTGGCAGATCTGCAAAGAAAGCTTTAAGGGCTCCAGCTACAGCATTTACTGTTACTTCCATTGACACTAGATTGATATTATGATCTTGATCAAACTGCTTTTGAATATTGTCTTGGTCAGTTTCGTTCCTGCTAACACGGTAGAGTCCTTCAGTACATAACCCTGTATCTTCAATAAATTCCACACATTTCTCAACAAATACTGGTATGGGCTTCTCAGCTGTAACCAGATCCTGGAGGGGCATCCCAAAGTAATTACTTTCCCAATTTCTACATGTTGGTGGATTGAAGGTCTTAGTTTTCTTTTTCTGCTTTTTATCTCCTTTCACTTTGCGGGTTTTCTTCTCCATCTTCTTATCATCTAACTCCTGGTCAGAAGTGATTGCAGGATTACCAATACCTAACCTTTCCAAGTTTCAACAGGAGAAAGAAGTGGATCTTCTTCACTTCCACGATGTCTTCCTTTTCTTTTTGTTTTAGAAGTGGTGAAAGCCTCATCATCACTTGCATCTGAATGTGTTCTCCTATAGTATGACTTGGCTTTACTAAACATGATTTTAGACTTATATTTGTATTTTGAAGGCCTCCATTCCCCGTGATTTTTTTGAGGTTCTATCAGAAAATCCATTTTCTTCATCTCCTTGGGTGTTATTTACAAGTGAGTTTTGAATTTTAATGTGATTTTGACTATCATCTGGGACAATATAAATCTCATCAGAATAGCCCTTCTGTTTGAAAATTGTATCAATGGGTTCCGCATAGTTATCTGAAGGATTCATATCTTCAGGATGTGCCAAAGGCACCTGGGAAGTCCGCTTTCTTGGATTTTTACCAATACCAGCTTCAATTGTTTTTAAAATGTTTGGATCCATTTTTTTCACATTTGTCTTAGGTACAACTAGTTTAGGTTTAATAGGTGGAGGCACTTTATGGTTGCGTTCATGGTCACGACAGTTTGGGGTACTATGAATAGAATATTCATTTCCTTGCAAATCTAATCTGTATCTGGAATGGTCACTAGGTGTTGGAAGCAACTGTACATCATCCCCAGTTGGACTATAAGGAGGTAGTGCTTCTGTGTCATCATCTGAATCAGGGTAGTTGTTATAGGGAAAAAAGTCTCTGGGAGATGGTAGAAAAACATCTTCACTTTGATGGGTTGATTCCCTTGTATTATCAGACAAATAAGAATTTTCTATCATATGTTTTTTCTCTAGAACATCACTAAAAAACAGAATAAAGATCTCAGTTTGCTGATGATACTGAGATAAAGAATACAATGCTGTAAATTTAGCAGTGATCTCAGTTGCAATGTGTTCTTCAGTCATTAATTCTTTGATAGCCTCGTTTTCAAAAAAAAAATCTGCTTGGCTATCAGTAACTGCCACCAGCTGTACAGGAATGTGTTTTGAACTTCTGATAGAAATGCTCGAAGCATTCCCATTGATGCTTTCTGTTTTGCAGAGTAAATTAATATATACCCATGAACTAGTTCATCTTTTCTTACTCCAATTGAAGAGTGGTATGATAATATTGTGGTCTGTATTCGCCTCCTTTTTTCACCAATGATTTTATCAAGCATTAGGGAATTATTCTGTCCAGCTTGAGCAGCACTGCAAGAATGAGAATCAGGGAAGGGTGAGGGAATAAGATTCACACTAAATGGATCTCCATACATGGCACACATGACAATTCTCAAGTCAGCTTCTGATATGTCCTTCTTGGCAGAAACTGGGCTCACCACATCCAAATTGGGTTTAACAGATTCCAGTACTCCTCTTAGAGCTTGCTTTATTTGGGTTTCATAAAAATTATGAGGATATGTACCAGCAGGTACATCTACAAAAGGACATTGTAACTTGTCTGCCCTTGGTGCCTGAGAATTGGTAGATTCTTACTAATGGAATCTCTCTGATTAGCCAGAATTAATGTAAATGGAAGATTAGCCAAGTATTTATCTTTTCTGATCTGAGAAGCTTCAGTTCTTATTTTCCCAATAAATTCCCCCAATAAAACTCAATGACTTAATGGAATTAAATACACAGAAGCACCGATGTGGTTTAAAGGCAGCAGTCCATAACTGACTCAAAAGGTAAGGCGAACTGGCCGAAGATCAAGTTCATAAATTTTCCATCTAAGGCATACTCATCATCAGTGGATTGTGTCCTTATCTCATTTGCTAGTTCTTGGGCAAGGCCAACCTTCCCTAAAATAAAAAGGTTAATTTTATCTATATTGGTACTATCGTGATATAATCTTAAGCAGCCGTGATCCAACTGTAAAAGACTGCTAGCAAGTAACTGCTCCACTTTAATGTCTGTACAATTTTGGTCACTAAGACACGTTTCTTTAGTGGGATGATAAACAAATCCTATATGCTTAAGTAGAAGAGAGTCCCTATCAGGTGCAAGTTTCTGTAAAGCTTTATATCTAGGTTCTTCACTCAGAACTGTATGAATTTCACTCATTTTATCTGAACTAGGTGTTGCATTAAGATCTAAATCATAAAAAAGTTCAGAATGCTCAAAAAGCATTTCTTGAAACTTTTCTTTGGATTTTCAACTATTTATCACTGATGCCTACCATATGCCTCTTTGCTATCAGCCTCAGTGATATACTTGAAGGCTTCATCCTCCATAACAAAGCACATAACTTCCTCCCATGGCTGTCCAGGTGAAATGACTTGAATTTTTTCCAAAGTCTTTTTGAATTTTTCCTTCATTTCTACCCTCCTCTTCTCGGATATTGGATGTTGTACATGGTTCTGACAGACTTTTTCAGCTTCTAAAGTGCTCAGGAGGTCAAATGGAATCTGCCTGTCATTAATTTTGTCTATATGGTCAGTTTCATCCCAAGGTGTTTTTTCTAGCACCACAAAACATAACTGGAAATCTATTCTCTTTTCCATTAACTTCAAAGCTTCTGACCAATTCAAATGTTCAATCTCTTCTAGACTTGGCAAGAGTGTTAAAAACTCTTCTTGGTAAAGTATTTATATACTCTTCTCTCCTTTTTCTTATAGGTTCCTGTTTAAGTTGTTGTATATGTTTTGAGAATGTATTTCTGGCCTTTCTTGTTCCCTCTAAGTTGATGTATTCTTCATAATCAGGATGATTTTTTAAATTTATTACTAACAGTTTTCCAAGTTGCATGATAATCTCTCACGGTCTGCACAAGTTTTCAAACTTATCTGTTGCTGTGACAAGTTGTCTCTGTGTTTTATAAGCATCCAAATAGGGAATAATTTTAGGCTTGCTACGAGTTTTATCCAACATTTGTACCAGTGCAGTGAAACACGTTTCAATGTTGACATTAAATCCTGCTGATGTTTCCACTACAAGAAGCTTCTTTTTGTTTGAAGCAAATGCCTGAACTTCTCTAAGATAATGATCCACGCATTCATCACATTTAGTTGCCGCTATTATTACAGGTATTTTTGATTTTGATAACTGGACAAAAAGGTTATTCACAAATTTAAGTTGATCATCAAATTTCCTATTGCATCCCTGACTTACATCAATGCATAATAAAAATCCATCTACATTGAGCTTCCCTTCAGGCATTTGCTTCTGTTCAAAGTCTTGTTCTAAGCCTAGTTGATCAGTGCAAATGTACATTAGTTTTTCTGCTGACTGCAATCTAGATGCAGCTGCACGTTTTATATATGGTTGCAAATTCATACTCCGATGAGGCAAGAATGTCTGGTCATCAATGAACTGTTAAATGACATGAATTTTGCATTCTACTCCAACTTCACCATTTTGTGTTATGTCACCCCAGTAGTACAAAAAGTGATCACTGTTTACGACTCGTCCTCCAAAGTCAATGGTGCTAAGCACAGAAGTATGCTCTGGATAATATTTATCTGCTTTTGAGCGTGCAAATCTATTGCACAAACAAGACTTTCCAACTCCACAGTTACCTTTGTCTTTTTCAGTCCCAGAGAGTCCAACTACACTGATAGTATAGGATGGGGGACAAGGCTCTTTGTTTTTTGCCATCATAACTCTCTTCTCATGCCTCTACATTCATAAATGTAGATATGAAACCAGATATGCTTCTCATTCTGAAAATAAAATCATCTGAAAATACAGATCCCAAGTTTCAGAACTGTATTTGGTTCTTTGTATTTCCCTCATTTCTGTGCAGAAACATCTTCAAGATCATAGAGATCATTTTCCTAACAACGTCGGTCTCCTCTGTCTCCTCCTCAACCACAGCGGCCCTGGCTGTGGCTGCGGCAGCAACATTCCTGGGTAGCGCTCCCGCCGCCGCCTCCTCCTCCACTCTCTGCTCGCCTCTCCCCCGGCGCGCTCACCGAGCGGCGCGTCCCTTCAGGCACCTCCCTCCGCCCTCCCCGACACACACGCCCGGAAACCCTGAGCCCCACGGCCCCCGCAGCCTGCTCACCCACCCTCCCTCCCTCTCTGCCACCAGCTGCGGCCCCGTCCCTCCCCGCTCTCCCAGCGCCAGCCGCAGCGCCAGGCTCAGTAATGGCGGCCACCCGGGCTCCCTCGCGCTGACCTAAGTTAATTTTTAATGTACAATTAAAGTATTATTGACTATAGTCACCCTGTTGAGCTATCAAATTCTGTCTTATTCATTCTAATTATATATATATGTATGTATGTATGTATGTATGTATGTATGTATGTATGTATGTATGTATATGTATGTTTTGTACCTATTAACCATCCTCACTTCCCTCCTTCACCCCCCCACTACCCTTCCTAGCCTCTGGTAATCATCCTTCTACTCTCTATCTGCATGAGTTCAATTGCTTTGATATTTAGCACCCACAAATAAATGAGAACATGCGAAATTTGACTTTCCAAGTCTGACTTATTTCACCTAACATAATGACCTCCAGTTCCACCTATGCCGTTGTAAATGACAAGATCTCATTCTTTTTATGTCTGCATAGTACCCCATTGCGTATATGTACCATATTTTCTTTATCCATTTGTCTGTTGATGGACACTTAGGTTGCTTTCAAATCTCAGCTATTGTGAACAGTGCTGCAATGAACACGGAAGTGCAGATATCTCTTCCATACACTGATTTCCTTTCTTTTGGGTATATACCAAGCAGTGAGATTGCTGGGTTATATGGTGGCTCTATTTTGAGTATTTTGAGGAACCTCCAAACTGTTCTCCACAGTGACTGTAATAATTTACATTCTCATCAACAGTGTATGAGGATTCCCTTTTTCCACATCCTCATGAGCATTTGTTATTGCCCATCTTTTGGATTAAAGCCATTTTAACTGGAGTGAGATGATATCTCATTGTGGTTTTGATTTGCATTTCTCTGTTGATCAATGATGTTCATCTCCTTTTCATGTGCCTGCTTCCATTTACATGTCTTCTTTTAAGGAATATCTGTTCAGATCTTTTGCCTATTTTTAAATCAGATTATTATTTTTTCCCTATGGGGTTGTTTGAGCTCCTTATATATTCTGGTTATAAACTCCTTGTCAGATGGGTAGTTTGCAAATATTTCCTCCCCTTCCGTGGGTTGTCTCTTCACTTTATTGACATTTCCTTTGCTGTGCAGAAGCTTTTAAACTTGATGTGATCCCATCTGTTCATTTTCGCTTTAGTTGTCTGTGCTTGTAGGATATTACTCAAGAAATTTTTGCCCAGGCCAATATCCTGGAGAATTTCTTCAATGTTTTCTTGAAGTAATTTCATAGTTTGAGGTCTTAGATTGAAGTCTTTCATCCATTTTGATTTGATTTTTTTGTATATGGTTAGAGATATGAGTCAAGTTTCATTCTTCTGCATTTGGATATCCAGTTTTCCCAGCACCATGTATTGAAGAGACTGTCCTTTCCCCATTGTATGTTCTTGGCACCGTTGTCAAAAATGAGTTCACTTGAGATGTGTGGATTTGTTTCTGGGTTATCTGTTCTGTTCCATTGATTCATGCTTCTGTTTTTATTCCAGTACCATGCTGTTTTGGTTACTGTAGCTTTGTAGTATAATTTGAAGTCAGGTGATGTGATTCCTCCAGTTTTCCTCTTTTTGCTTTGGCTATTCTGGATGTTTTGTGGTTCTATGTAAATTTTAAGATTGCTCTATTTCTGTGAAGAATGTCTGGTATTTTTATAGGGATGGCATTGAATTTGTAGATTGCTTTGAGTAGTATAGACATTTTAACAATGTTGATTCTTCCAATCCATGAACGTGAAATACTTTTACACTTTTTTGTGTCCTCTTCAATTTCTTTCATCAGTATTTTATAGTTTCATTGTAGAAATCTTTCACTTCTTTTTGATTCCTAGGTATTTAATTTTATTTGTGGTTATTGTAAATGGAGTTACTTTTTTGATTTCTTTTCCAGAATGTTCACTTTTGGAATATAGAAATGCTACTGATTTTTGCATGTTAATTTCTGTGGTATCAGTTCTAATGTCTTTTTTTTTTTCCAACTCTGCAACTTTTCTGAATTTGTTTATCAGTTCTATACTTTCTTTGGAGTCTTTGCAGATGATATCAGCTCATATCATCTGCAAACTAGGATAATTTGACTTCTTCCTTTCCAATTTGGATGCCCTTTATGTCCTTCTCTTGTCTGATTGCTCTAGCTAGCACTTCCAGTACTATGTTGGATAACAGTGGTGAAAGTGGCATTGCTGTTGTGTTCCAGATCTTAAAGGAAAGGCTTTCAGTTTTTCCTCATTCAGTGTGATACTAGCTGTGGGTCTGTCATATATGTCTTTCATTATGTTAAGGTATGTTCCTTCTATGCCTGTTTTTTAAGGATTTTTATCATGAAAGGGTGTTGAATTTTGTCAATTGCAGCACCAATTAAAATGATCACATGGTTTTTGTCCTTCATTCTATTGATATGATGTACGACATTGATTTATTTGCATATGTTAAAGTGGTCTTATATCCCTGGGATAAATCCCATTTAGTCATGATGAATATTCTTTCTAATGTATTGTTTAATTCAGTTTGCTAGTATTTTGCTAAGGCCTTTTCTATCAATATTCAACAGAGAGAGTGTCCTGTAGTTTTCTTTTTTGATGTGTCTTTGTCTGGTTTTGGCCTCATAGAAGGAATTTGGAAGTATTTCCTCCTCCTCTACTTTTTAGAATAGTTTGAGTAGGATTGGTATTGGTTCTTTAAATGTTTGGTAGAATTCTGTTGTGAAGCCATCAGGTTCCCAGACTTTGCTTTACTGAGAGACTTTTTATTACAGCTTTGATCTCATTGCTTGTTAATGGTCTGTTCGGGTTTTGGATTCCTTTATGGTTTAACCTTGGTAGGTTGTATATGTCTAGGAATTTACACATTTCCTCTAGATTTTCCAATTTGTTGGCATACAGTTGCTCATACTAGCTACTAATGATCCTTTGTATTTCTGTGGTATCAGTTCTAATGTCTCTATTTTTTTCAACTCTGATTTTATTTATTTGGCTCCGGTGTCTTTTTTTCTTAGTCTCCCTAAAGATTTGTCAATTTTATTTATTGTTTCAAACAACTAAATTTTCATTTCATTGATCTCTTGTACTGTTTTCTTAATTTCAAATTTATTTATTTCTGTGCTGATCTTTATGTTTTTTTCTACTACTAATTTTGGGTTTGGTTTGCTCTTGTCTTTCTAATTTTTAAAGATGCATTCTTGGCTTATTTATTTGAAGTTTTCTTTCTTTCTTGATGTAGGTTTTATAGCTATAAATTTCCCTGTTTTTGCTACATTCCATAGGTTTTGGCATGTTCTGTTTCCTTATCATTTGTTTTAAGAAAATTTTCAGTTTCCTTCTGATTTCTTCATTGACTCACTGATCATTCTGGGCCATATTGTTTAATTTCCATTGTGTTTATATAGTTTTCAAAATTCCTGTTGTTATTGATTCCTAGTTTTATTCAACTGTGGTCAGAGAAGATGCTTGATAGTATTTCAATTTTTCTGAATGTTTTAAGACTTGTTTTGTAACCTAACATATGATCTATTCTCGAGAATGATCCATGTGTTGAGGAGAAGAATGTGTATTCTGTGGCCATTGGATGAAATCTTCTGTAAATATATATTAAGTCCATTTGTTCTAAAGTGGAGATTAAGTCTGATGTTTCTTTGTTGATTTTCTGTCTGGAAGATCTGTCCAATACTGAAAGTGAGGTGTTGAAGTCTGCAGCTTTTATTGTATTGAAGTCTATCTCTCTCTTTAGCTCTAATATTATTTGCTTTATATGCCTGGGTGCTCCAGTGTTGGGTGCATATATATTTACAACTGTTATATTCTGTTTCTGAATTGACTCATTTATTATTATATAATAACCTTCTGTGTCTCTTATTACATTTTTTGTCTTGAAGCCTATTTTGTCTGACATAGTGTAGCTACTCCTTTCTTTTTTTTTGCTTCCATTGTCACGCACTATCTTTTTTCATCCTTTTATTTTCAGTCTATGTGTGTCTTTATAGATGAGGTGTGTTTCTTATAGGCAACAGTCATGGGTCTTGCTATTATGTTTATTCAACCACTCTATGTCTTTTGATTGGAAATTTTAGTCCATTTACATTCAATATTATTATTAATAAGTAAGGACTTGCTTTTGCCATTTTGCTATGTGTTTTCTGGTTGTTTGGTGGTTGTTTTGTTTTTTTCTTCCTTCCTGTCTTCCTTTTAGTGGAGTTGATTTTTGTTGGTGGTATGATTTAATTTCTTGCTTTTTATTTTTTGTGTGCCCATTGTGTGTTTTTCAATTTGAGGTTACCATGAAGCTTGAAAAACGATCTTACAACCCATTATTTGAAACTGATGACAACACTAATTGCATAAACAAACAAATAAGCAAACAAGCAAAAATAAAATGAATAAAAACTCTACACTTCAACTTTATCCACTCACTTTTTAACATTTTATGGTTTCTCTTTATGTCTTATTGTACTCTCTACATCTTGAAAAGTTGCTGTAATTATTATTTTTGATCGGTTCATCATTTAGTCTTTCTATTTAAGATAAGAGTATTTTACATAACACAGAGTATTATTATATTCTGTGTTTTTATGTGCTATTACCAGTGAGTTTTGTACGTCCAGATGATTTCTTATTGCTCATTAATGTCATTTTTTGATTGAAGAAATCCCTTTAGCATTTCTTGTAGGACAGGTCTGGTGTTAATAAAATCCCTCAGCTTTTTTTGGTCTGGAAAGGTCTTTATTTCTCCTTCATGTTTGAAGGATTTTTTTTTTTTTGCCGGAACTATTCTAGGGTAAAGTGTTTTTCCTTCAGCACTTTAAGTATGTAAGTATGTCATGCCATTCTCTCCTGGCCTATAAAATTTCGACTGAAAAGTCTGCTGCCAGAAGTGTTGAAGCTCAGTTGTACATTATTTGTTTCTTTTCTCTTGCTACTTTTAAGATCCATTCTCTATCCTTGATCTTTGAAGAGTTTGATTATTAAATGTCTTCAAGTAGTCTTCTTTGGGTTAAATCTGCTTGGTGTTCCACAACCTTCTCGTACTTGAATATTGATATATTTCTCTAGGTTTGGGAAGTTCTCTATCATTATCCCCTTGAATAAACTTTCTACCCCTATCTCTCTCTCTATCTTCTCTTTAAGGTGAATAATTCTTAGATTTGCCCTTTTGAGGCCATTTTCTAGATCTTGTAAGCGTGCTTCATTGGTTTTTTTTCTGTCTTCTATGTGTATTTTCTTTTTTCTTTTGTCTTTTCTGTGTATTTTCGAATAACCTGTCTTCAAGCTCATTAATTCTTTCTTCTGCTTGATCAATTCTGCTAGTAAGGGACTCTGATGCATTCCTCAGTATGTCAGTTACATTTTCCAACTCCAGAATTTCTGCTCAATTTTTAAAAATAACTTTAATCTCTTTGCTAAATTTATCTGATAGAATTCTGAATTCATCCTCTGTGTTATTTTGAATTTCTTTGAGTTTCCCCAGCACAGCTATTTTGAATTTTCTGTCTGAAAAGTTGCATATCTCTCTTTATTCAGGATTAATCCTTGGGGCTTTGTTTGGTTAATTTCATAGGTCATTTTTTTTTTTTTCCTGCATGGTCTCGATGCTTGTAGATGTTAGTTGGTGCCAGGGCATTTAAGAGTTAGGCATTTATTGCAGTCTTCACTGTCTAGGCTTGTTTGTTTACACCCACCCTTCTTGGGAAGGCTTTCCAGGTATTCAAAGAGACATGGGCTCCAAACCCAATAACGTTGTGGTTCTTGTAGGCTCAGAGAGGTACCACCTTGGTGGTCTTGGACAAGATCTAGAATAATTATCTGGATTACCAGGCAGAAACTCTTGTTCTTTTCCCTTACCTTCTCCCAAACAAAGTCTCTCTCTCTTTGCTAAGCCTCCTGGAACTGGGGGTGGGGGGACACAAGAACCCTGTGGTCACCAACACTAGGACTGTGCTACTTTAGACCTGAACAGCCAAGCCCAGCATTGGGTCTCACCCAAGGTCCACTGTAACCACTACCTGGCTACCACCTAGTTCACTCAAGGACCTAGGGATCTATGATCAGCATGTGGCAAAGCTGGCCATTACTTTGTCTCCTTCAGAGCAGCAAGTTCCCCCAGGCCCTAGGTGGGTCTGGAGATGCTATCTGGGAGTCAGGAATTGAAGTCAAAAACCTTAGAAATTTATCTAGTGTTCTATTCTACTGTGGCTAAGCTGACACCCAAATAACAAGACCAAGTCTTTCTGACTCTTCTCTCCCTTTTCCATAGGCAGAGGAGCCCCTTTCTGTGGCCACCACCACCACTGATCCATGTGGGGTTCTGCCAGGCCACCACCATTGTTCACTTAAAGCCCAAGGTCGCTTTAGTCAGCTTGTGGTGAATGCTGCCAGACCCGGTACTCACCCTTCAGGGCCACTGGCTCCCGTTTGGACCAAGGCAGGTCCAGAAATGTTGATCAACAGCCTTGGCCTGGACTCAGGGACCCCAAGAGCCTGCTTGGTGCTCTACCCTATTGTGGTTGAGCTGGTACTTAAGGTGCAAGACTGAGTTCCCTTCGTTTTCCCCCCTACTTTTCTCAAACAGAAGGAGTCTTTCACCATAGTCACCACAGCCGTGGATGTGCTGGGTCACCCCTGAAGCCAGCAAGTCTTAGAGCCCTAGGCCTGTGGTGTATTACCTGGGTATCACTGTTAGTTACTCAGGGCTGATGGCGGAGGGGCTCTATAGTCAGCAAGTGATGAATCCTGCCAGGTCTCTGCTGTGCCAGGGCAGCACTGAGTTCAAAGTAAGGTCCTCCAGTCACTGTGCTCTCCCTCTCCCAACACATAGATTTCTCCATGCTGTGCAACACTCCCTTAGCCACCCTGGCTGGTGTCTCAGTAGGTCACATGCCCCTCCAGTCCACTGGCCCTGAGCCCCACTCAGCACTAGGACTTGCCTAGAAATTGCAGTCCTTGTGGCCTAGACTGCCCCTCAAGTTTACTCAGGGCCCCAGAGCACTCAGCCCACAGTGGTGAGGCTTGCTGGAACTCAAGCTCTGATCACTGGGATGGGTGATTCCTCTCTGGCTAGGGCTGGTCCAGATGCTCCCTCCATGGGCAGATGTCAGTTGAGTACAACCTTGTTCTGCTTTCCACTGTGACAAGGCAGCAGCGAGTTCAATGCAAAACTTCACAATCACTGTGCTCTCCCTCCCTTAAGTGCATAGATTTCCCAGCAGGAGAGAACGAGGGAGGGAGAGCATCGGTGTGTGGAGGCTGTCTTTCCTGCCCTCTTCAACATCTCTTTCTGTGATATGAAGTTAAAATCATGTATGGAAATTGCTCACCTGATCTTTCATTCTTGTGATAGTGCTTTTTGTGTGTAGTTAGTTGTTAAAATTTGGTGTTACTGTGGAGGAACAAATGGTGTAAGGCCTCTAGTCCATCATCCTGCTCTGCCCCTCCCTTTCTAATTTCTTTGCACGCCATTACCTCTTGTATATCAGTCCATCCTAAGAATTGAGATCACTAAAGAATATCCTTTTCCTTAATAAACTACATATTTTAAAATTCCTTTAATAAATTAGGTCTGTTAGTGGAAACTCAGGTTTTATTTGAAAATGCATTTACTTTGCCCTCTTTCTCTTTTTTTTTTAATTATACTTTAAGTTCTAGGGTACATGTGCACAACGTGCAGGTTTGTTACATAGGTATACATATGCCATGCTGGTTTGCTGCACCCATTAATTCGTCATTTACATTAGGTATTTCTCCTAATGCTATCCCTCCCCCTGCCTCGCAACCCACGACAGGCCACCACGTGTGATGTTCCCTGCCCTGTGTCCGAGAGTTCTCATTGTTCAGTTTCCACCTATGAGTGAGAACCTGTGGTGTTTGGTTTTCTGTCCTTGTGAGAGCTGGCTCAGAATGATGGTTTCCAGCTTCATCCATGTCCCTACAAAGGACATGAACTCATCCTTTTTTATGGCTGCATAGCATTCCATGGTGTGTATGTGCCATATTTTCTTAATCCAGTCTATCATTGATGGACTTTTGGGTTGGTTCCAAGTTTTTGCTATTGTGAATAGTGCCACAATAAACATACGTGTGCATGTGTCTTTATAGTAGCATGATTTATTGGGTATATACCCAGTAATGGGATCTCTGGGTCAAATGGTATTTCTAGTTCTAGATCCTTGAGGAATTACCACACTGTCTTCTACAACGGTTGAACTAGCTTACACTCCCACCAACAGTGTAAAAGCATTCCTATTTCTCCACATCCTCTCCAGCATCTGTTTTTTCCTGACTTTTTAATGAACACCGTTCTAACTGGTGTGAGATGGTATCTCATTATGGTTTTGATTTGCTTTTCTCTGATGACCAGTGATTATGAGCATTTTTTCATGTGTCTGTTGGCCGCATAAATGTCTTCTTTTGAGAAGTATCTGTTCATATCCTTTGCTCACTTTTTGATGGGGTTGTTTGTTTGTTTCTTGTAAATTTGTTTAAGTTCTTTGTAGATTCTGGGTATTAGCCCTTTGTCAGACGGGTAGATTGCAAAAATTTTCTCCCATTCTGTGGGTTGCCTGTTCACTCTGAGGGTAGTTTCTTTTGCCATGCAGAAGCTCTGTAGTTTAGTTAGATCCCATTTGTCAATTTTGGCTTTTGTTTCCATTGCTGCTGGTGTTTTAGTCATGAAGTCCTTGCCCATGCCTATGTCCTGAATGGTATTGCCTAGGTTTTCTTCTAGGGTTTTTGTGGTTTTAGGTGTAACATTTAAGTCTTTAATCCATCTTAAATTAATTTTTGTATAAGGTGTAAGGAAGGGATCCAGTTTCAGCTTTCTACATATGGCTAGCCAGTTTTCCCGGCACCATTTATTAAATAGAGAATCCTTTCCCCATTTCTTATTTTTGTCAGGTTAGTCAAAGATCAGACGGTTGTAGATGTGTGTTATTTCTGAGGCCTCTGTTCTGTTCCATTGGTCTGTCTCTCTGTTTGGGTACCAGTACCATGCTGTTTTGATTACTGCAGCCTTGTAGTATAGTTTGAAGTCAGGAAGCATGATGCCTCCAGCTTTGTTCTTTTTGCTTAGGATTGTCTTGGCAATGCAGGCTCTTTTTTGGTTCCATAAGAAGTTTAATTTTTTCCAATTCTGTGAAGAAAGTCATTGGTAGCTTGATGGGGATGGTATTGATCTATAAATTACCTTGGGCAGTATGGCCATTTTCACCATATTGATTCTTCCTATCCATGAGCATGGAATGTTCTTCCATTTGTTTGTGTTCTCTTTTATTTCATTGAGCAGTGGTTTGTAGTTTTCCTTGAAGAGGTCCTTCACATCTTTGTAAGTTGGATTCCTAGGTATCTTATTCCTTTTGTAGCAATTGTGAATGGGAATTCACTCATGATTTGGTTCTCTGTTTGTCTATTATTGGTGTGTAGGAACGCTTGTGATTTTTGCACATTGATTTTGTATCCTGATACTTTGCTGAAGTTGCTTATCAGCTTAAGAAGATTTTGGGCTGAGACGATGGGGTTTTCTAAATATACAATCATGTCATCTGCAAACAGGGACAATTTGACTTCCTCTTTTCCTAATTGAATACCCTTTATTTCTTTCTCTTGCCTGATTGCCCTGGCCAGAACTTCCAACACTATGTTGAATAGGAGTGGTGAGAGAGGGCATCCCTGTCTTGTGCCAGTTTTCAAAGGGAGTGCTTCCAGTTTTTGCCTGTTCAGTATGATATTGGCTGTGAGTTTGTCATAAATAGCTCTTATTATTTTTAGATACGTCCCATCAATGCCTAATTTATTGACAGTTTTTAGCATGAAGGGCTGCTGAATTTTGTCGAAGGCCTTTTCTGCATCTATTGAGATAATCATGTGTTTTTTGCCATTGGTTCTGTTTATGTGATGGATTATGTTTATTGATTTGCATATGTTGAACCAGCCTTGCATCCCAGGGATGAAGCCCACTTGATTGTGGTGGATAAGCTTTTTGATGTGCTGCTAGATTCGATTTGCCAGTATTTTATTGAAGATTTTCACAACGATGTTCATCAGAGATACTGGTCTAAAATTCTCTTTTTTATACCAGGCTTTGGTATCAGGATGATGCTGGCTTCATAAAATGAGTTAGGGAGGATTCCCTCTTTTTCTACTGATTGGAATAATTTCAGAAGGAATGGTACCAGCTCCTATTTGTACCTCCGGTAGAATTCGGCTGTGAATCTGTCTGGTTCTGGACTTTTTTTGGTTGGTAGGCTATTAATTATTGCCTCAATTTCAGAGCCTGTTATTGGTCTATTCAGATATTCAACTTCTTCCTGATTTAGTCTTGGGAGGGTGTATGTGTCCAGGAATTTATCCATTTCTTCTAGATTTTCCAGTTTATTTGCATAGAGGTGTTTATAGTATTCTCTGATGGTAGTTTGTATTTCTGTGGGATCAGTGGTGATATCCCCTTTATTATTTTTTATTGCATCTATTTGATTCTTCTCTCTTTTCTTTATTAGTCTTGCTAGCAGTCTATCAATTTTGTTGATCTCTTCAAAAAATCAGCTCCTGGATTCAATGATTTTTTTGAAGAATTTTTTTGTGTCTTGATGTCCTTCAGTTCTGCTCTGATCTTAGTTATTTCTTGTATTCTGCTAGCTTTTGAATGTGTTTGCTCTTGCTTCTCTAGTTCTTTTCATTGTGATGTTAGGGTGTCAATTTTAGATCTTTCCTGCTTTCTCTTGTGGGCATTTAGTGCTATAAATTTCCCTCTGCACACTGCTTTAAATGTGTCCCAGAGATTCTGGTGTGTTTTGTCTTTGTTCTCATTGGTTTCAAAGAACATCTTTATTTCAGCCTTCATTTCATTATTTACCCAGTAGTCATTCAGGAGCAGGTTGTTCAGTTTCCATGTAGTTGTGTGGTTTTGATTGAGTTTCTTAATCCTGAGTTTTAATTTGATTGCACTGTGGTCTGAGAGACAGTTTGTTGTGATTTCTGTTCTTTTTGCTGAGGAGTGCTTTACTTCCAACACACATAGGCTCAAAATAAAGGGATGGAGGAAGATCTACCAAGCAAATGGAAAGCAAAGAAAAGCAGGGGTTGCAATCCTAGTCTCTGATAAAACAGACTTTAAACCAACAAAGATCAGAAGAGACAAAGAAGGCCATTACATAATGGTAAAGGGATCAATTCAACAAGAAGAGCTAACTATCCTAAATATATATGCACCCAATACAGGAGCACCCAGATTCATAAAGCAAGACCTTAGAGACCTACAAAAAGACTTAGACTTCCACACAATAATAATGGGAGACTTTAACACCCCACTGTCAACATTAGACAGATCAACTAGACAGAAGGTTAACAAGGATATCCAGGACTTCAACTCAGCTCTGCACCAAGCGGACCTAATAGACATCTATAGAACTCCCCACCCCAAATCAACAGAATATACATTCTTCTTAGCACCACTTTGCCCTCTTTCTTAACGCACTACACAGCTCTGCATAAAATTCCAGGGTGTCATTTATTTACACTAAAGATATTATCATGGCTTTTTTCCTCCTGCAGTTGGTAATTCTTGATTATGGATTTATATTGTGCAGGATTTTATCTGTGGCAATGTGGGTATCCTGTACTGGCAAGGTGAAATCATGTACTGCAAAAAGGACTTGATTTTGTTTTTGCCAAGTGCTCTATGACTTAAAATCTGGCACTTCAGTTTAATTTTGTAATGTGTGTTTCCCTAGATCACACAAGCAACATAATCTGGATTTCAAATTCACGTGGAGCAAGTCTATAGTGAGAAAGTTTTAGAGAAGAAGAATTTTTATTTTTTATACAGAGTAGACAAATTTCCCCAACATCTGTGTGCCTCTTGGGAAGATATTTTTAGGTTCACTGTTTCACTGAGTGAAAGAGTCCAAATTGTCAGGAGATTCTCAGGGTTCATACCTCATTTGCATAGTTAAAATATTTGTTTCCTGATCTCTGCAGCTATTAAGCCAACCCTGGTGGTTCCAAGATCAGCAGAGGCCCAAGACAACTGTAGCATCAGCATCCATTCATCATTATATTTTCAGCCTCTTCGATATTTTTGGATGCTGGGAATTTTCATTTTTCGAAGACTTGGCAATACATTTGAGATGTTGTTTATTATATTTTTACTCAGTATTGTTTTATAGTGAAAGCCTATCAGATTTTGTCATTTGTCTTTCCTCCTTCATGTTTTTGAGGGAGGAAATGTTACTCTAAGATAACATTTTAAGCATATTTCATTATACTTGGTTTACATTAATAAGAATTATCTTTCTCTTCCTCCATAAGTTTAAGTTTTTATTATCTCTTTCCCAAATTATTTTACAAAGTATTTAATCTACTACCGTCTAATTTCTCTGCTCCCCTTCTTTATGTAGAAACCAAAATGTGAATTAAATCTCATGCTTTTTGCTCATAACTTTTTATATTTCAAATTTTCTACTTCATAAAATTGTTCAGATTCTTCAGCATGGCATTCAAGGCATTCCAACTATTTAGCCATAATTAATATCAGAATATTTTTCTCCTTTCCTTGGGCTCCTACTCTATTTTATTATGTATATGATTGAACATAACACGGTGAGTTTTATTATAGTTGCATTCCTAAATCTTTGCCCATCTACTTCACTCCATGCCATTTCCCTGCCCAATCACAGTCTTACCAAAGTCTAAAAATCACTTCCTGAAAACTTTTATGTTCTATAGTGCTTATTCAGATGCCGAAATATTTTTCCTATATTGAACTTAGTTCTGTAGCAATCTATTTGCTGTGAAGCTATTGTTTAGGCTAATAGCTGAATTCTACTATGTAGCAATAGTAATTATCATTGTTTCAATTGGCATTTCAGAAAAATCCTATTTAATGAACATTGCTGAATGAAATCTCACAACTTTAGGTATTACAATTATCAAATTATGACATAAAGAAATTCGAATTATGTTACATTTTCTCAAAATAACAATAACAGAAAAAAATTCAGCTGAAATTATTCTGTACCATTTACTAGAATTCTGCAATCTTTACTGAATTCCTATTGTGTTCAAACTAGGAGCAAACTGTTTTGCTTACAACTCATTCACTTAAAGGCAATTTGCTTTTGGGTTAATGGTACATTTATTTCAAGTTTATATTTACCCCGTGCTGTATTTATACCTTATCTTTATTTTATATGCAACAGAATTGCTTTAGCTCACTTTTAAACTTTTTAAAAATTTGACTATTTATATTTTTCTAACCTCTGAACATTTCAAAGATATTTCAGCCAGTTTTCTAAGGGTATTATCCCTTATGATTTGGATTTTAAAAATTAGTACACATATTTTAATTCTTGTCACATTACAACCTTGGTTTAGCCATTTAAAAGTATGTTCGCATCCTTGGATGTGCCTTTTTTTTCTGATTAGCACACTTTTAAACCTTTCTAGAATTAAGAAAAAAACAATGCGTTGAGTCACTCTTAAAATTTTTTTTGATCTTTCTAAATAGATCTTTATAAAATTGACAAGAGTTTATGTATGATTTATTAAATCATGTCTTTTAAATATTTTGGATTATTTTGAGGAGTGTTTAGAACCTTTCTACATTATGCAAAATAATAACCAATAAAACCATGCTTATTGTTTGATTTCATTCTCTGTTCTTTATTAGCATGTGAATTATACTTCTTGTTTTACTTTTCTTAGTGTTGCCCTAGAGTTTGCAATGTACATTTACAACTAATCCCAGTACACTCTCAAGTAACACTACGCTGCTCTACTGGTAGTGTATATACCTTATAATAACAAAATAATCCTATTTCTTCCAACAATTATTTGGCTATGTATACTGATGTATATATATGTGTGTATACATAAGCATACATATATACACACATATATATATAAGCATACATAATCAAATAATTGTTGCTGTTAGATCAATTAAGAATAAGAAAAATGAAAGGTTTTATTTCACCTTCACTTATTTCTTCTCTGATACTCTTCCATTTTTTATGTAATTCTGAATTTCTGATCTTTATCATTTTCCTTTTCTCTAAAAAATTTCTTTTAACATTTCTCACAACAGAGTTACTGGCAACAAATTCCCTCAATTTTTTGTTTGTCTGAAAAAATATTTATTTTTTCTTCATTTTTGAAGGGTAACCTCACAACGTATAGAATTCTGGGTTTGTGAATTTTTTATCTCAACATTTTAAATATTTGACTACATCTTCTTTGTGGCTTGGTTTCTGAGAAGTTGGATCCAATTCTTACATTTGCCCTTTTATAGGTAAAATGCTTTTTTGTCCTTCTGTGTTCTTTCAGAATTTTTTCTTTATCTTTGATTTTCTGTAGTTTGAAAATAATATGCATTGGTGTAGATTTTTGGAGTTCCTCCTGATGGTGTTCTCTGAATTTCCTGCATCTATAGTTTGGTATCTGACATCAATTTGAGAAAATGCTTAACCCCTATTGTTTCTGTTCCTCTCTCTGTCTTTTGATTCTGATACTCCCTTTACATGTATGTTATACCTTTTGTAGCTGTACTACAGGCCTTTGATATTCTGTTCTGACACTTTTCTGTCTTTTCGTCTTTGCTTTTTCAGTTTTGGCAGTTTCTACTGAAGAATCTTCAAGGTCAGAGATTCTTTCCTCAGCCATATTCAGTTTACCAGTAAGCCTAGCAAAGGCATTCTTCATTTATAGTAAGTTTGGCCTTTAGCATTTCTCTTTAGTTCTTGCTCAGAATTTTCATCTCCCTTCTTATAAGGCCCATCTGTTCTTGCGTGCCATGTACTGTATCCATTAGGGCCCTTAACGTGTTAATCACAGTTGTTTTGAACTCCTGGCTGGATCATTCCAACATCCCTGCCGTATCTGACTCTGGTTCTGATGCTTGCTCTGTCTCCTCAAACTGTGTTTTTATGTTGTAGTATGTCTTGTAACTTTTTCTTGATGGCAGGACATAATGTCCCAGGTAAAAGGAATTGCTACAAATAGTCCTTTAGTCATGCTAAAGGACTTTAGCCTTTAGTGGTAATGTGTGGGGTAAGGAAAAGCATTCTAGAGTCCTGTGAGTAGGACTCAGTCCCTGGTAAGCCTGTGTCCTTGGACTTTAAACTTACAAGTGCTTCTCAGTTTTTCCAGGTGAGAAAGAGACTGCTAGAATGGGCTGGAGTTGTGTATTTCTCTTTCCCCAGGTTGGTTAGGCTCTGATAAAAACCCAGCAGGCCAGGCATGGTGGCTCACACCTGGAGTCCCAGTACTTTGGGAGGCCGACAGGGGCAGATCACTTGAGCCCAGGAATTCAGGACCAGCCTGAGCAACATGGTGACATGCCATCTCTACAAAAAAATCCAAAAATAAGCCGAGCATGGTGGCACCTGCCTGTAGTCCCAGCTACTTGGGCGGCTGAGGTGGGAGGGTTGCATGAGCCCAGGAGGTCAAGGCTGCAGTGAGCTGTGATTGCACCACTGCACTCTGGCCTGCATGACAGAGTAAGACCTTGTCTCAAAAAACAAACAAACAAAAACACCCCTGCAGGTTAGGCCTCTAGTAAGAAACTTCCTCCTGAGGGTTGACCTCGTTAAGAACAGAATGCTCCAACCTATTTCATTTCCCCTTTCTCCCTCCCTCTGCCAAAAGCGATGACTGGGGCTACATCACATCCCGGTCACTTTCCACCACACCTGTTCCACCACTCCAAGGGCTCTGACTTCGGTGTTTTGCCGTAGATTAACTTGTTTAGAACTTCATGTAAATGGAATCATACAATATACACTCTTTTTTTTTTTTTTGTAAGGCAACATGTTACTGCATGAGATCTTTTCATTTCCTTCTCAATGCTACATACTGGTTGTTGAAGCTATGAATACATCAAAGTTTGTTTATCCATTCCTGCTGATGGACACCTGGTTTGCTTCCAGTTTTTGCCTATTATAACTAATGTTGCTGTGAACACTTATGTACAAGTCTTTTGTGATTACATGTCTTTCTTTCTAGGAGTGAAATTGTTGGGACCCAGGGTAGATGTATGTTTAGTTTAGTACAAAGCTGCAAGCCTTCTTCCATAATGGTTGTTCCATTTTTACTGCCACCAGTAATACTCAAGAGTTCCAGTAACTGTCCTTTTATTTTAGCAATCCTAATATGTGGGTTGCGATATCTGATTGTGATTTTCACTGGTATTTTCTTGATGACTACTAATGATTTTGAACAGTTTCTCATGTCCTTATTTGGCATTTGTATATCTTCTTTGAAATATCTGTTCAAAGCCTTGATAACTTTACAGGCAGAAGTAACTTATTTAAAAAAGAAACTAACGTATTTCATTAAATGCCATAATGTATAAAAAGCAATAGTTTTTAAAAAGAGAGGATTTATTATGCATAAGTAAATAAGAAATAGACAGATAAAGAAAACAACAGACTTAGTAATTATGAAAGTTAACTTTTAAAATATATGTAATGGAAAATTGTCTGCAGAATAAATGGAGAAGTAAAAACATGAACATTAGAAAATACAGAATAAGAAGAATTTGTAAAAATTACAAATAAGGAAGTGAATATAATCTACATCATGTGGGAAATAGTTATAGGAATGCTATGTGCAAATGCATGCTAATAAATCTGAAAATTTGAATTAAAAGATGATTTTCTGATACATTAAAACTATCGAAATTAACACTTCAAAACCAGAAAAATGTCATTAACTATGAACACAGGAAGGACAGTTTCAACTTTATCTGTCAGGTGTAAGCACTTTCTTATGATCACAAATTACATCAAACATTCATGCAAATATTTGTCTTTTAACACAGAGAATTACTCCTGTTTCTCCATCCTTTGCAGACTTTGAACCCTTTCTACATGAGTTAACCTAGAATTAATCCAGTGTATTTTTTATACACATTTTGATTTGGCACCTGTATTGCACAGTTTATTTTGCCAATTGTGCACCAATAGCTGCATGGAGTTCCGTTTAGCAGTTTTGCTGGTTTGGGACTGAGTCAGAAGGGCATGTGGAGTGTCAGGCAGTCTGCTGCACCAAGGCTTCTTGCACCTTCTGGCCACCGTTGGCAACAATGACCTATCCCTTCCAGCTGATACCCTTGGAAGGTTTGCAGAAGTGTAGGAACTATTAGGTCAAGGAGCTCCAGCTTCACGACTAGGACTTTGGCTTGTGGGTTTACTGTTACGAAGGCCACTAATGTGAACACATGTGAAAATGACCCTGAACTGTCTTTACTTTTCTGATTGTAAAGAAACTTTCCCAACAATAGAGACACATTTGAAGGTCCTCCCAAATATTTCTGCAGCTACTATAGAACTTCTCCTGCCAAGACCAGATGGAGAAGCCGATGTTGCTGGCGACCCACACTCAATGCAGCTTATGCCGTGGAGCAGGTACGCTGTCAGGCTGAGGACCTGCAATTCTCCCGCATCAGATGGAGACACGTTATCCACACCCTGTTATCCCAAGTGTGCTGCCATACAGCTGAGGCTCTGCTCAGGTCTCTGTCAGGAGAATTCAGTAGAACTGGCCTGAGGAAAGGGTGTTTTGTGAAAGTTAGAATGAGGGCTTTTGCCTCTAGAATGAAGTAATTTTAAGGTACGAAGTGATCGACTGGTGGACCAAACCCTTTTTCAACATTGTCAACTCCATCACAAACCCAAAGCTTCCCTGCTTTGAAGTAAACTCAGGCCCAGTTGAAGTGGCCAATGACCCATAAAAGCATTCCAATGGGTGAAAGGATAAAACAAAAGGCTAACTGTCATTGTAGCCATTGTAACACCCTCTAAACATATTCCCTAAAGCTACCTTTGTTGACATAACCATCCCTGATAGAAGCCCACCTTCACCAAAGATCTATTAAACTGAACTAGGAATATGATAATACGGAAGAATCCATATCAGCACTGGAAACGTTTCAGGAAATATAAGGAAACTCTTTCAATACAGAACAGCTTAAGCAAAATGAGCAAGGAACCCGTAATTATTTTTAAAATATTGCTTAGTAAGTGAGTGGAAAATACCCTCAGGAGAACCTCCTTAGGACTTCTAGCACTGAACTGCAGATGCAGGGCACGTGGGCAGTGATAGATCGATTTTTGGCAGGGCAAATCTTGATTATATCAACGTTTTTGAGAAGGGCTTCAGGTGCTGGAGATCAACTAGAAGGAAGAATCCGCAAAAAAAAAAAAAAAAGAAAGAAGGAAAGAAAAAATGAAGCAATAATTCAAAGGTTGAGAAAAAACAATGTCAACCCAAATGGATAGACTCAAGCTTTCCATTTTGAGGCATGCACTAAATTCATGGGTAAATTAACTGCAATACATGCTCAAGAACATCAAAAATCATAAGTGATATTACCCCATCCTATTAGTGTCCAAGTGCTGCCATAACAAAGTCACATAAATGGAGTTATTTAAAACCACAGAAATGTATTGAATTACTGTTCTGGAAGCTATAAGTTCAAAATCAAGGCGTTGGCAGGACCATGTTTCCTCTGAAACTTAGAGTGGAATCCTCCCTTGCCTCTCCAGCTTCCGGTGATTTGTCGGCAATACTTGATGTTGCTTGGCTTTCGGCAGAAGCACTTCCACTCTTGCCGCCTTCTGTCATGGCCTTTTCCCCTTCCATGTCTGTGTGACTGTCCTCTCTCCTCCTCTACAGGAACATGAGTTATATTGATTTAGGGCCCATCCTACTCCAATATGAACTCACCTTAACTATTAGGTTGGCCTAAAAACAATTGCAGGTTTTGCCATTAAAACTAATTGTAGGCCAGGCACAGTGGCTCATGCCTATAATCCCAGCACTTTGGGAGGCCAAGGCAGGTCAATCATCTGAGGCCAGGGGTTCATGACCAGCCTGGCCAATATGGTGAAACCCCATCTCTACTGAAAATACAAAAATTAGCCAGGTGTGGTGGCACATGCCTGTAATCCAACTACTCAGGAGGCTGAGGCAGGAGAATCACTTGAACCCGAGAGGTGGAGGTTGCAGTGAGCCGAGATTGTGCCATTGCATGCCAGCCTGGGCAACAGAGACTGTCGCAAAAAAAAAAAAAAAAAAAAAAAGTAATTGCAAAAACTTAGTATATCTTCAACGCTTATTTCCAGATAAGGTTATATTCTGTGGTTCTGAGGTTTAGGACTCCAACATATCATCATTTGGGGGCATCAGTTTAATCTATGGTAACCATGTGTCTTTGAAAAAAATACTTAAAAAATTTGTCTTGCAAAGAGAGAAATTAACAGCAATTAATTAAAAGAAGTGAAATGAGGTATTTAAAAGAAATGATACTAAGCAATTAAACCTGTTATAGCTAAAAAAATTGTCAATGTTTTTATAAAGCAACACATATATTAAAAATAATTGTTAAAAGTGAAGATGATTTTTATAAAAAAGAAAAACTGTACATAAAACTGCAGACAAAATCTGTAAAATACTGGAAGGTGTGCTGAAAAATAGAAGGTATAAAGGCATCCAACATTTTCATCTTTCACAGTTGGAGATATTAGCTGTTACATTCTTTACATTAACATTATTTCTCAAATTTATTATTTTATATTTAAAGTGAATTACAAGTCGAAAAAAGAAAATAATTCTTAACTTTCAAATAAGAAAAAGAATACAAAAGTGTAATGAACACATTATCAGTAGAGCAACAGAAAAAGAAAAACAAGGTGAGGAAGAAGCATGAAAAAGTATAAACTTAACTCAGGTAAAACTAAACATATCAATATACATACAAATACATATTAATGTTCATATTAATACCTATGAATGGCTAAATTCATATTAAAGCTACATATTGAAAGACAACACAAAATTTGACTGCACATAAGAGAAGCACCTAAGCAAAATGATAGTTTAATAAAAAAAGAAGCATGCAATAATATACTGAAAAAATGCAAAGCACAGGAGAGCAAGCAGAGGAGTTCCAGTGGTAGTGGAGGTAATTTCAGGAGCAGACACAATAGAACTCAGTGGACAGAGCACAGGGATTTCAATGGAAATAGCACAGAGGGTTAGCTCATATTAACAAAAGGTAGTGGATTTATAATTGAATTATGACATTTACTAACTCTTATATGAAACAATATAGCATCAAAATAAAAATAAAATTCTTGAAAACATAACGAAATTGACAAAACCTCAATTGCAATTTGCTACTCCACCATTCGTCTTATTTCTTTATTGATAAGCAATAATAAATTAGGATAGAGAGAATTTGAAAAATATAATTGATAAGCTTGCTTTAGTAGGCATGCTTAGAATTTTGCAGCTGATGAGCAAATATATATTTACAGACTTGCAAATATATATTAAATATTTATAAAAACAAACCTTAATTCTTAATGAATTTTAAAATATTGAAGTATTACTAGTTACATGTAATAACAAAAAATCTATACATCAATTACAAAAGTTAGCCTAAAACAAAATCCAAACAATCAGAAATTTTAAAATAAAAACACCATCTACAACAATAACTATCATATGTAAATATTAGGTAAAAAGCAAAATTAAAACTTTCCTTCCAGACTATTTAGAAAATAACTATTATAAAAATACTTACTATCTAAGATAGTTAGATGTAAGAGGCGTGTTTTAGTAATCTTTTTATTTTATTTATTTATTTTTGAGACCGAGTCTTGCCCTGTCGCCGAGGCTGTAGTGCAATGCCACAATCTCTGCTCACTGCAACCTCCACCTCCTGGGTTCAAGTGATTCTCCTGCCTCAGCTTCCCAAGTAGCTGAGATTACAGGCACTCACCACCACTCCCGACTAATTTTTGTATTTTTAGCAGAGACGGGGTTTCACCATGTTGGCCAGGCTGGTCTCCAACTCCTGACCTCAAGTGATCCACCCGCCTCAGCCTCCCATAGTGCTGGGATTACGGGTGTGAGCCACCACACCCAGTTAGTAATCTTTTGTATTTTTAAGGGGATAAATATAAACTAATTAAATATTCATCTCAAGAAGTGAGAAAAAGTGAAATCAACCAAAGGAAATTAGGTTAAAAGAATTAAAATTACAGAAGAGAAAGTAATTAATCTGAAAGGAAAATTGAATAAAATAAATAAAATTCATAAACTTTTGGCCCAGAGTGGGGTCTATCATACATCTAGATCACAAACTTACCCACAAGGCTCTAAAAGACTTATTCCGAATTTTCCACCCCAGCAGATCCTGATTGCCCAGTCAGAGCTGAAAGCTTCATTATTTTAAACCAACTCTAGAACTGATGCTGATGTGTTTCTCACATGACAGTAAATGTGAACCTCCTCTAAATGGAAAAAAAAAACCCTCAATGTACCTATTATTATTTTATCATAATTATTCTATGTTATTTCCACTATTTTTCTTATGAATTCCTTATATTTATAATACATCTATAAAACCAAACACTTTAATAAGTAAATACCATAGAACTGTCTAGAAAATCATTGTGTCATAGTGGCTGGTAATGCTTTGCTGAAGCTAGAATGTTGTTGAAATTCAATGTTGGGAAATTATATTTTGCATTTTACATTTTACTTTCTTAACTCTTACATTTGAACATGCACGACCGTCATCCAAGGCATCTTCATTATCATTTTAACCCCTGTTACATTATTTAGATTTAATCATCAACTCAGTAGTGCAATTCAAAATGCATTATTAATTTTTTTAAAATCCCGTTTACGAAAACTCTTCATTGCCTATTCACTAGTATCCCTACTGCTAAAATATGTTCCAACCTGGCACAAAAATGGATAAATTCTGCATCGGCACAGAAAAGACACAGGCTCTCAGTTCTTGTGGCCTGCTGATGCTGGCCTGCCCTGCACGCTAACTCGGTTCTCCCACTCCACTGTTCTATTTCAGTGACTTCAAAATGTCCCTCAGTACAATGTGCTGTAATATCATTTGGCCTGTACTTGCCTCAAGGGCAGTGTCCTGCATTAAGTCCACCTCTGCTCTTTCATCATTAGCACACAACAATTAGAGCAACACGTTTCACCAGTGCAATAAGCAGGGCTCGTAAATTCAAACCAGGATCTCAACCAAGGAAGGTACAATCTTGCATTGTGATAAGGTTTATCAATGGAATATTTTCATTGCAAGAGAGAAGTTTGTCTTTACAACTGGTAAACAATTATTGTGTTCCTGTAACAGTGTCACGTTTTCTTGAGATTTTTTTTTATGTTCCTTGAAGTCTTACATTGCTATATTCTCATTTGAAGAAGCAATCAACTCCTCTAGTCTATAGTGATGACTTCAGGAGAAAAACAGCTTCACTAGCCAGCCAAGCTAGGGACTCTAGTAGAGATCTCTCAGACATTTTTCCATGGATGTACCTGCTTTACTCCATCATGTTCTCTTTTCAGTGGACTTCATGCCTTCTCTCTCTATCCTGCAAAGGTGGCTTGGGTCCTAAGAGCCTCCTGTTTATTTTCCCTGGGACAGTGCCCTGAAGCATTCAAGGTTGAGCACCTTTCCCCAGTCCCTTTGAGTCTAGTAGGCTCTCTGCATTTGTTCATGCACAGTGTGCAGAAACTTGCCTGTGCCATTTTGGCAGGAGGATAGGGAAGGTCATGTGGAGTGCTGGCGGCATGCACCAGCTAGCTGAGGGGTCTGCTGGTAATGGGTCCCAGCAGGTTTTTGAGCAGGCCTCCTGGTGGAGTTCAGGAGGCTGTTAGTGGAAGCTGCAACCTTTGTTACTGTGGGTCCCCTACCCCTTTTTCCTGCTCCTAGCTCCTCCTCCCCCATGACTCAGCTGTGTTGATCCCCTCAGTGTTTTGAGTAATCTTTTGGGCAGCATCCTGTATGGCTGGGGAAGCCCAACCCTTGTTACATTCTCTTTCCCCCGTCAGAGAAATAAATCATGGACCAATGGGCATTCTCTAGGCACTTTGTTCTGCCACCTTGCAGGAGGGGAAAGGCAGGCAAAATCAAACTGTTCTTCTTACCTTCCTCAATGTGTTTACTCTTGAACCTTTTCCTCCAGTAGGGTATTGGGCTCCCTCTGCCAGACTGCCAGCCTCTAACAATGGTCCTCTTGTCTTGGGTATGTCAAGATCCCCGTTTCTGCTGGGGAATGAGGATTGAAAGCTTCTATCCAACATCTTGCTGAGGACACTGTCCTTCAGTATTTGTTTAGAGGACACAATTCATCCCTCTACAGTCAAAATGTATTGTCCTTTTTATATATTGCTGGATTTGATTTTCTATTATTTTATAGAGAATTTTTGTGTCTAAGTTCATGAGAACTCTGTCATTTTCTTATAATGATTTTTTCTGATTTGGAGATTAGGGTTATTTTAGTGTCATAAAAAAGTTGAAAAGAGTTACCTCCTCTTCTACATTCTGTAAGATATCATATTTAATTGGTATTATTTCTTCCTTAAAAATTTGCTAGGATTTACATGTGAAGCCACCTGGGCCTGATATTTTCTTTTCTTCTTTTTAGTTTTAGGGGACTGATATTTTCTTGTTGGAAGGTTTTTAACTCTAGATTTTACTTCCTTAATAAATAATAGAACTACTCATCTAATCTATTTCTCATTTATTGACTTTTGGTAGTTTGTATCTTTCAAGAAATTGGTCTATGTCATCTATGCTTCAAAATTAATCTTATAGGTTTATTAATATGTACACAATCTGTAATGATGTATTCTCTTTCATTATTGATATGGTACTTTGTGCTTTCTGACTTTTTTCTGTGATAAGTCTGTCTAAAAGCTAATCAACTGTATTGATCTTTTCAAATAAGTGGATTTTGGTTTATTAATTTTTTAAAAATGTATATTTTCTAAATCTGGGGTTCTGTTCATCTTTATTATTTCTTCTTGTTTTGGGCTTCATTTTGTCTTCTTTTCCCAATTTCTTATAATACCAGCTTAGAGTAGTCATTTGAGATTCTTCTCTTATAATATAGGTATTTAAATAAAAATGTTCCCCTAAGAACTACTTTAGTTAGATCCTGCAAGTTCTGATGTCACATTTAATTTCCTCTATACTTTAAAATAATGTTTACTTTTAGCTGAAACTACTTTGACTCACAGGTTATTTAGTCATGCACAATTTTATCTCCAAATATTTGGAGAAATTTTCCAGATATATTTTTGCTAGGTTTTTTCCAGTTTAATTCCATTATAATTATCGATCACAATCTCTGAGCACACTGTATATTTCTATTTATTTAAACATGTTGAGATTTGTTTTTTAGCCCAGAGTCTGGCCTGTGTTAGTGATTGTTCCATGCACATTGGAAGAGTCTCTGTACTCTTCTGTGGGTGAGTGGACTCTTCCATAGGCAGGTGTCAATTGGATAGAGTTGGTTGACGGTGTTGTTCAGCTTTTCTGTACTCTCCTTGACTTTCTAAATACTTGTTCTATTAATTATTGACAAAGGAGTGATGAAATCTTAAACTATAATTGTGGACTTGTCTGTTTTACCTTTCATTTCTATCAGATTTATTTATATATTTTAAAATGTATTGTTAGTTGTTAGGTGCACACACACACAAAGATTTGTTTCTCTTTATACCTGATAATGTTACTTGTGTGTTGTGTTTCAGGGTGTCTGTTTCTTCATTCTTTCTGTTTGAACTCTTGTATGTGCAGGTGGCTGTCTTGTGACAGCCTATAGTTTTGTCTTGCTTTTATACACACTCTGTCAATCTCTGTCCTTGAATTGGTGTGTTTATGCTGCTAAAATTATATTTGTTGCATTTTGATTAACATCTGCCATCTTGCTAGATCTCTATTTGTTCCATCTATTTTGTTTTTTTTTAAATTTCATCTTTCTGATTTCTTTTGAGTTGATTGGACATATTTTATGATTTTATTTTATCTTCACCTTTTGACTCATAATCTATAATGTGTTTAATTTTTGTATTGGCTGCCACAGAATTTACAGTATACATAATCAGAGTCTGTCTTCAAGTAATATGATATTGCTCTAGTTTATTTCTTATTCATTTCCTGAATGTCTCTGATAGCTCTCTGGTCATTTCAAGATAAATTTTTCATTTTGCATTTTTCCAGTTCTCAGTGGGAGTTTTGTCTGCCTCAGGCAGGCTTGTCATACCCATCCTGAAAAGAAGACCTTCTGAAGACTCATCCTTAGTCACTAATATCTTTGGAGAGAGAGAAGTACCTGTGAAACAAGAACACAATGATATGAATGAGAAGCAAGAAACAAACAGCTCTGGGAAATTAAAAACATGATAGCAGAAACTAAAACTTAATAGAAAGTTTGGAACTTAAAGTTGAAGAAATAACCTTAAAAGTAGAGCAGAAAGAAAAAGAGCTGGAAAATAAGACATAAAAGATAAGGCTATTAGAGGACCAGGACAAAGTGTTTGACATCTGAATGGTAAGCCTTTCAAAAAGAGAGAACAAGAGGTCAGGAGATCGAGACCATCCTGGCTGACACGGTGAAACCCTGTCTCTACTAAAAATACAAAAAATTAATTGGGCGTGGTGGTGGGCACCTGTAGTCCCAGTTACTCGGGAAGCTGAGGCAGGAGAATGGCATGAACCCGGGAGGCGGAACTTGCAGTGAGCCGAGACCACACCACTGCACTCCAGCCTGGATGACAGAGCAAGACTCCGTCTCAAAAAAAAAAAAAAAAGAACAGAGGAGAGGACTCACCAATTAAATAAATTCAAATTTTTTCTAGAATTAATTTATGCAGCCAAACTGAAAAATCCCATTGCTTCCATGAGAATAAAATAAAATATTCAAGCCATGCATATTCTCATGACATTTTCAGAATACGTGGGCCAAAGAAACTGTAATATTATATTTCAGCAAGAAATAAGATCATAATTAAAGAATAAGAACTGATAATGTTTTGTCTTCAACACTAGAAACTAGAAAATGGAAGAATGCCTTTAATATTCTGAAGGAAAGGTATTTCCAGCCTGAACAATTGTATCTGGGCAAACAACCAATTAAGTTTGAGAACGGAATGAAGTCTTCATTATTTGCGGATTCTGTGTTTGTGAATTTTCTTACTAAAATTTATTCGTAACTCTCAAATCAGTATTACAACACTTTTGCAGTCATTTGCAGACATGTGGTAAACAATTTGAGTTGCCCAACGCACTTTCCCAGTTGAGGTTAAACAAGATGACATGGTTTGTTTAATGCAGCTTTCATACAGGAACATATCCTTCTCATGGTCTATTTAGTGCAATTTTTTCTTTGGATTTTTGTGCTTTTTTGTTTGTGGTTTCTCCACTTAAGATGACCCCCAGGTGTAGTGCTGAAGTGTTGGCTAGCTTTCCTTAGCACAGGTGGGGTGTGATATGTGTGGCTAAGCTTCATTCAGGCCTGAGTTACAGTGATCTCGGCCATGAGTGCAATATTAATGAATTAACTGTATAGAAAATAAGGTGTCTTTAAACAGAAACACACATCAAACAGGGTAATGTATTGATTGGTAGATGAAAATGTTGTGAACAGAGACTGGCAGGAACCTAATCTTGTCATTTCTCTGAGAGCAATGGCTCAGTATTTGCTAATTCAGTGTTGGTGGCAACTTTACAGGACATAACTATGGCAAATAATGAAAATCAGCTGTAAATATACTTTCAGGCACGTTTTCTCCCAAGTAATCTCTTCTCAAAAAGTTTTTGGAAGACAGGTTTCACCAAGACAAGTGAAAGCACTAAAGAAAAGGAAGACATAGGAAATAGGAAAGTGAAGATGTAACACGTCAGAGAAGCAAAGGGAGTTCCAGGATGATATTGAGGAAAGATCCCAAGGAGAAAGCATGACACCAGAGCTAGTGAGCAAAAAAATCCCAATCGGAGCAGTGTCACTCATAGGTGATAGTGTGTAGGAAGCGGTCATCTGCGCCGTCTTTGCCATCAACACATGGCCTTTCTGCGTGAAGGTGGAATGGCGGTGTGTCCCGCCAGACTCATCAGTGCACAATGCTGGTGGAGCCTCTGTTCCGTCTTCTGTGCCTGCAGCCCGAATCCGCTGAGATCATCCACATGGCACCCACGAAGAGCTGTGCACTAGTTACCCCCAAGGGTTAGAACTTGGCTGTGTTGAGCTTAGAAGAAGAAGACAAACCCTGTTCCCACCACACCCCAATTGTATTCCTGCTGGACCACACTGCAGCCTTTCTAGAAGTTCCAGCTTTTTCACAGGTTTTCACTTCTGTCCTTGACCACTTGTTTTCTCAAATGGGGCTATTGTAACTTCTCAGGAAAACTAAGGCCAGACTGTGATCCCGAGAGACACAGATCCGCTTCTCTTACCATGGAAGCTTTACTTAAAAAATGGCCCTTTCCTGAGATCAACTTTGAAAATATCTAAATAGTACATTTGTTATACACAGCCATATGGGGAAAATAAAAATAAAACTATATGAGGAATTAATGACAAACATTCAGCATGGTGGTTACCTCTGGAGGGACAGAGTAAGGGGGATAAAATCAGGAAGACGCTTTCAAGTTCTGTTTCTTAAGCTGGGCAGTGTGTACACATTATTTGTTTTATTGCTATTCTTTATGCACAAACACACACACACATACATACAAGCACATATACTATACTCTTTTATATATGTGTTATATGTTTAAAAACACAATTAAAAAAATTAAAGTCTTAAAAGTCACCAAACAGAAAAGCTGAGAAACCCTACTAGACATCTCCAAAGGCTTGTTTTTGTTTAACTGTTAGTGTTGCTGGAAAAAGGGGTCTTGTCCCAGATCCCAAGAGAGGGTTCATGGATCTTGCACAGGAAGGAAATGTGAGTGAGTCTCAGAGTGCAGTGAGAAGAGAGAGTTTATGGAAAGCTACTCGGTTACAGAGTAGGGCATCCTCAGAAAACAAGCTGAAGAATGTGCCATCAGTGCTTTAAATTCCTCTTGTATAGGGGTCTTATGTATGTAAAAGCTAAGGTGCCCACGGGCTAACAGCATGAAAAAATTGATTACTTTGTTGATATGGAGAAGGTTATCCTTGGCATTTGAGTGCGAAAGTACATCAAAGCATGCTATGATCATCTTAGAAGCACATACTGTTATGTGATATTGGGACATCTGAACATTCTTCTGTCCTAGGAGCTCGCCCTTGCGGGCATTACTAAATTGCTTCCTTAGCTGTAAACATCTTATGACCACGGGGTGTGACTGGCAAAGAATGTGACTTGCTAGTTTTAAGATGGAGTTGATTTTAAAATGGCGTCAGTCAGGCTCACCTACGTTCCTGTTTCCCAAACATTATTGTAGTACTTTTTCATTGACATTGATCTCTTGTTATTAAATATAAACTCTTTTTATATTTAATAACAAGAGATCAATGTCAATGAAAAAGTAACGGTGAAAAACGAAACAGTAAATATGCTAATATAAAGCAGGAAAAAATCAGGTCAGAATTTGGATAGAGGCATTTAGTTTCATCATAAATCAGGTCATTGGTCTCATGCTAAGAACACTTAGGGGTATCCCTTTCCACCAGGGACCTGTTTTATTTTTTCTTTCACTTTCTTTACTGTTTTTATGGCTGTTTGCTTACTGTAGCAGTTTCTTCACATAAAGGTTTGCTTCGATTTGATCAAAATCCATTTTTTCCCTAGTAGACGGAGGCAAAGGAGAAATATTTTCAAAGAAAAAAACAATACAGATGACAAAACCAACACTGGTTTTCTATTACAGAATATAGAAAATCAGAACTAATTAACGGGCATGTCTATACAAAGAAACACACTAAAAACGATGCTACATTTTGAATCAATTATTAAGAAGTCCCAGTTTATACAAGATAGAATGAAATGGCCATCAACTAAAGTTGTGAAATACTCTGTGTACTCATCATTCTCTGACAGTCTTCCCTGACCTCAATCCTCAAGAGACATTTTAGTCTTCTTTTTTTGCATGTGGAATTAATTTGGATTTTGTAGGAAGCAGACTGTGTCATGTGAGTCTCTTATTTCCCAAGTTACAGCTGATGTGCAGCTTCTGCTCTGGTGTCTCATTCGACGTCAATGAGTAACAAGAGAATACTCCGTTCTTTAGAAATGAAGTAAGTTCAGGAGTATGTCCCTAATACTGAAAATTACTCTCTCGAGGGCTAGGTCAAGAGGGTATGTTTAGTGACAAAGCAGCTGAGTCAAGTTTTGGAATGAACCGATTTGCTAAGGAGGCTGATGAATGAATTTGCCCTTGATGTTTTGCAGTTTTCATATCTTCCCATTCAAAAGAACACCTTACCTAACTTCTTCATTATTATCACTTTCTACATTGAGGAGACCCATCCTAATTGGAGGGCTGAGAGATCATGAAAATTCAAACATTCCAAGAAAAATAACAATATTTGAATGATCCCTCTGAAAGAGATTTATCAGAACCTCTCCTGTTCTCTTCTTGCTAATGCCTCTGTTTGTCATGGTGAGAAATGTTATGATGATTTAGAAGTAGTCTGAGGAAAGTTTGTTAGCTTCAAAAGGGCAAAATAAAATTTCCCAAATTCGCAAAGCCAAAGAGGTCTTTTTCTTTAAAGTGTGACTGTGGGGCCTTTGGTACATCAGTTTTAGAGAAATAAAGTGTTTTTTTTGTGTTCCTATATAAGTAACACATGCATTTTTAAAACTCTATAGAAAATGTGTTATTTTCAATAAATGATATGTATAATTTTTTAGTTATCTCGATATGACACTTACCTTCTATACTTTGAACACCCTCTCATGAGATACTGTACATCTTCTTTGCATATACTTACATTTTATATTGTCTGCCTTCTCTGCTCGTCTATAATTTCTGTGAAATCAGAAAATGGCTCTCATATCCCCACTTTCCAGTCACTAGTGAACTCCCCAAATATAATTGAATATATGAATGAATATTAAATAAGACTTACTAAATTCATCATGACAATATTATATATGTCTTACAAATGAAAAAACCAAAATTATGTTTTCTATTCGGGACTAAGCTTGAATCATTAGAGTGTGACATTTCTGAAAGTATGTTCTACAGAAAATTATTTCTGGAGGATTTTAATAATCAGCAAAACAACCTTCCTCCCTTGTTTAATAATTAAAGTAATTTGGAGAATTGAAAGTTGCTACATTAAGCAAAATTAGGTTACTTTACCACTAGACATAGAAATACATTAATATGTATATAGAGCGTGCAAAGCTCTGGGTGGGGATTTAGACTTCTCTGACTGGCCGGAGGTCTTCTTAACAAGCTTCCTGCAGGAATAAAATTGTCCTTTGGGACCAGCTGTGTTAGAACATGGCATTTATGCTTGTTTCATTGAATACTCCATTTTGATCAGTCTGCCTTTTGACCTGATAAAATTTATGATTGCATATGCAATGTAGATGTAGCAGATAGGCAAAAACTAATTGAGAATCTCTTATGAACCCTTGTCTAGCACTTGCAACAATCCTATGGGGAAAGCCCTATTATCCCCACTTTGTAGATGAGGAAGCTGAGACCCAAAGCGGTGAAGTGAGTTTCGGGGCCAGCACAGTAGCGCTTGTGAGGAGATGGTGTCTCATTCCGGTTGGCCTGATTCCAGTGTCCAAGCTTGTTCTGCCGACTTCATCAAGTTTCCAGCTTCCATGGTACCTGTCCTCATGCTGACCCAGGCCTTTCCATGGCACTGGCTGCATCCCAGAGTGAGGTTCCTGGGTGGTCCTGCCTCCACAGCTCCTTGTTAGAAAACCTGTGGATTTGCTGCTCCTCAGAGTTTTTCTTGTTCTTTTCTCAGGTCCAGTTGCTTGTGAGACTGGCTGTGTTTTCTGCTCTTCGATTCTTTTAAATATCCCTACTTCTTTATGATTATTCATCCTTAGACTAGTTTGTGTAGGTTTCTCCTTTTGCCGTCAAACTACTCTTGTCTAAGACAAAGCTTGAAAGAGGGAAGATTCTGGTGTTGAGCTTTGAATGAATGCCGGGCACTATGTTAGTAAACTTCCTGTGTGTGCAAAGGTGTGTTCACGTGTGTGGAGATGTGAGCCTCAAAACAACCCAGAGAGAATATGTGATGATAGCTCCGACCAGCAACTGAAGCTAAGTCCGAAAGAGATGGCCGTGGACGTGAATGGAGGCTCCTCACCATATTAGTTGCACCAGAACACAATCACCAACTAGTCATCAATATTAGATGATTGTGTGAGACAAGGCTGTCAGGCAAAGAGAAATTGGGGAAGAAAGTTGTGTAATGCTAAAGTCACCACCAGGGTTTGAGTTTGCACCAAAGATTATGCGGGTGGCTCCTTCCATGCTCTTCCCCAGCCGTCTCTTCCTGTCCTGCAGCACCTTTTGAATGGAATGTTCACCTTCCCCTTCCCAGTCAGGAGAGTCCTTTCACCACAAAGATTATCAGCCACTTGTATTTTGTGTGCATTGTATATATTTACCCCTGTTTATTTGCCTTTTGATTTTGTAAAGGGATTTTTAAGCATACATAAGATTTAAATTATATTAGACTATAATAGCTATGTGTGTATACATAAATATATGTATTTTGTGTATACATAAATATATGTATTTTGTGTATACATAAATATATGTATTTTATACACACATGCATATATATTCATATATACACATATACACATACATATATAGTCCCTTAGAGTTTCTCCTAACATGTTTATTCTTGTTTTTTTTTTCTTAGAAACTCAGTCCATTTAGGCTTAGTTTAAAGCTATATTTCCCTGACTTATTTTTAAAGATATTTTATCAGGTAGCTGCTTTAAATGGATTTTAGGACAAGTCTGAAAATCATGTATGTGTAAATAAATAAATTATCAAGTATAAAAATAAATAAGCACCATATTCTCCCAGATGCCATAATCATTTCACATTCTTGGCACCTAGGGGTAGAGCCCGGCATGCCTCAAGTTCAGTGGGTGCTGTTTGAGTCAAGGGTCAGTAAATGAATCGTAATATATTACAAACAAGGCTTCTAGAGGCTATCCTTCCTGCTCTTATAGGTTGTGGAAGAAACTTCTATTGAAGTAGTGCCATATACAGGCATGCAGTAAAAGTTCTCTTTTTTCTTCCTATCTGGCCAAAGAATCACATTTTTTCATACATGAAAGAGAGAGGCAGCTTCTTTTTCCATCAGTTGTGTAAAAGTGCCTAAATAGATAAAAATTGTGTTAACTTTCATTGGGATTTTTGTTTCTACCTAGAAGAGCTTTCCAGTAATGAAAGTTTCAGTCCTTTTCATATATTCAAAAGGTTAAATTGCCATATTTAGCCAATTAAAGGACAGGATGCCCAGCTAAATTTGAAAAATAGCTCTAACTGCTGAATATTTGTAATTGATTGAAGAAAGCTTCATACAGGACGTTAGGACATGCTGCCAAAGTCACTACAGGATGTGGGGTGAGGACACAGGAGCCCAGCAAGCCTAGCAAAAGATGGCCATCTCCAGTCGTGGCTCACACCTATCATCCCAGCACTTTGGGAGGCCGAGGCGGGAGGATCACCTGAGGTCGGGAGTTCAAGACCGGCCTGACCAACATGGAGAAACCCCGACTCTACTAAAAATACAAAATTAGCCGGGTGTAGTGATGCATGGCTGTAATCCCAGCTACTTGGGAGGCTGAGGCAGGAGAATCGCTTGAACCTGGGAGGTAGAGGTTGCAGTGAGCTGAGATCGTGCCATTACATTCCAGCCTGGGCAACAAGAGTAAAACTCCATCTCAAAAAAAAAAAAAAAAAAAGAAAAGAAAAGAAAAAAAAAGATGGCCATCCCCACACCCCTGAAATAGGTCTCCTGCATAGAACCCACCAGAAGCCCCCCACTCGCCTGCCCACAGTGCTGCACTAGATGCTCAAAAATGGTTCTTTCTGAGGCACTAAGTTCAGTACATTTATTGAAGTCTTACTACATGGGAAGCACCTGCTGAGCTATGAGAGATGTAACAGTGACTGAGAATTGGTAGTATCTTCAACAAGTTTAAAAAGAGACAAATCTGTACACAACCTTCAGGGATCATGAAAAGCACCATGCTAAAATAAAATATTGTATATAAGTAATTAATTTTAAAAAATGTTCTCTCTTCCCACCTCTTCATCCTTATAAAATGTAAGCTCCCTGGGGCAGTGATTTCTTGTTTTGCTTACACTTATATTTCCAGTACCTAGAATGACATCTGGCACTTAGGAGACCCTCTGCAAGTATCTGTTAAATAAAAGGAAGGATTACTGAATGATAAAGAGGAAACGGAAATGAATTCCAAAAAAAAAAAAAAAAAAAAAGAAAGGATTACAGGTGGTTCCATGAAGGAACACTGGTTATGAAGCTTTGTATGGTAGAGATGGAAGAACGACGATTTCAGTCTGAGAGAATAGGATAAGCAAATATGGAAGTCATGAATTTTATGGAAAGTCTAAAAACAGAGGACCGTGTTAACTGAAGTACAGAGATTTAAAAAGTAGGTTGGATTTGTATTGTAGAGAAACTTGAAAGCCATGTTGAGATATTTTGAACTTTCTTCTATAAGTTAATATTAAGAATTAAAATGGACCAGGCACAGCAGTTTATGTCTGTAATCCCAGCACTTTGGGAGGCCCAGGTGGGAGGCCACCCTAAGCAACATAGGGAGACACAGTCTCTACAAAAAAATTTAAAAATTAGCTGGGTACGATGGTGTGCACTTGTAGTCCCAGCCTCTCAAGAGGCTGAGATGGGCAGATCACTTGTGCCCAGGAGATTGAGGCTGCAGTGAGATAGGATTACACCACTGCACTGCAACATGGGTGACAGAGCAAGACCCTGACTCAAAAAAAACAATTAATTAATTAAGATGGAAGTAAGATGATAATAGGTGTTTCATGTAAATGATACTTTGCAGCCACATAAATCTGGAATATATTGTTTTTCACATGACTCTTAGAGATCAATGCAGACAAAACAGCCCCAAGGATGCCACAGCAAAATCCAACTTTCCAATCAATCACATGCAAAAAATGGCTGTTTACTTCTAGTTAATTCAATGAATTCTCAAACTAATTTGAGCATGGAGCCCTTTTCTCCAGGGCCATATTTAACTGTGGATAGACTGATTCTGCTGAGCCTTGTTTTTCTCGGGTAACTGGTTGTGTGGACATGTGACTCATGGCTTGGCTTTATTCAGTCTATTCTGTCAAATGACAATTTCATAAATGCAGAGTTAATTCAGAGAGACCTGCGTTCTAGTCTAGCTTTGCAACTAAATTGGGCTATTTATCCAACTTTCATGAGCATTTTTTAAAATTTTGCAACTGTAAGATGAACAATCTGAATGAGACTATCTTTAATTTTTATGATATTATGATCAACTCTCTTCTTACACAGCCAAGATTCCAGCTCAGTAAGAAAATGTCCTTGAGATCCAAGGACAGGATGACCTCAGACGTGGGACGATGTTGAAACTTCCTCAGAGACACGTTCCCAGGCTTTTACATTTCTTCCTCTCTGGACACATCGTTTATGTCCTGATGTTCAGCAATCAGATCTGTCTCCTATCCTGGCCTTATCCCTGGAGAAGCAGGTCGTGCTCGGTCATAAAATTTTGCCAATTAGTTTTTAACAAAACTGTTAAGGTCAAGATTCTTCTCCAGATGATGAATTTTTTCCGCATTGCACTCCAATTTTTTGAAATTTTGAGGGTGTGCGATTCTAATTATTAAGATTAACATATAAATATGGGCATGCCAAATAAGCATTATGAGAAATAACACTAGTTTAAATTGTTTAAAGCAAGCAATTACACCTGATAATATAGTCAAAGGACATAAAATAGTACAAGAGCCCTTTTAAAAATGTAATTATCCTCTGCGCCTTTAATCTACCAACCTGGAAACATGTGGCTTTTGTGTTTATGTATGAAGGTAGGTAAATTTCTCACCAATCAAAATTTGAAAAGAATGCGGAACAGTGACAATTTGTTCTTTCCACCTCATGCCAAAGCTGCATATTTTCTCTTTACAAATAAAGCCAACGTTTAGTTCTGCCTTACATAAAATACTTTATACTTCTATATACAAGCAAATAACTATTTACTTCTCCAACTTTGTGCCCTAATGCTGTCATTTGTTCTGAGCGTTTGGGAATGTGTGTATTGATATTGAAAAGATAGAAGTTATGACATCCAAGATTATCATGAATGTGATAATTCCCTTGTGATGCACATTCCCTTGTGATGACTCTAGCATCTAAATCTCTCAAATCTAGCACGTCTCTCCAACCTCCTTGTCAGCTGCCCTGTTCAAGCCATGTTATATGTTTCCTACACTACTTCAGGAGCCCCTCATCCAACCTTGCTGCTTCCAGCCCTGATTTTTCCTATTCCTTTCCAGCCTGCAGCCAGACTGGGCTCCCAGAAAGCTATTAATATTTCTGATTATACTGGTCCCCAGACCAAAACCCTTTCATGGTCGTTCCTGAGTTCTTCATTCTTTAAATTGTTTTGCAAGACCTAGAAAAATGTGGCCTGGGTCAATTTCTCCAGTTTTTTTTTCATTCCCAATCTCGTGTTCCATACTTCACTCATCTTTTCGATCTTTATGTGAAACTGGCATTCCTCTTGAGTCTCATATTCTGCTGAAACAATTTGTCTTTCCTCCTCCATTTTCTATTCTTCTGAAAAGCTCTTTAGGATCCTCAATAATTTTTATGACCATAAAGAGATCCTGACACCAAAAAGTTGAAGAATTTCCATCCTAAGGCAAGGACTTGGCAAGGAAAACTGAGAGTGAACCCAGAGCCAATAAGTCTACACGTACCACAGGGCTTCCAATCAGCGGAAGAATAGAAGCTCCAAGAAGAGAAGAACCACATTAGGCAGAAGAGAAGAAATCATGAAAGCAATGATTCAAGAAAAGTTTCCTTTGCTCTATCTTTCAATCTTTCTAGCTTTCATTTATGTTATCACATATTTAACTTTTCAGAGCTCTTTTTGTTCTCTGAATATCCTGCCTTCTTCCTTTTTTAAACAGTATTTCTTGTTATATGTTTCATGCATTCTGTAGCTTTTTTATGATCTCTCAAAACATATTTGTGGTTATTGCCTTTGAAGTTTTCTTCTTCCTTCCAAATTTCTGATCTTATATTTTCTCTTTCTCAGAGCTCAGGGACATATTTCCAGGTTAAAGGCACACTGCTCTCCAGCACTATGTGAAAATAATCTCACACAAACATACATCATTGCAGATTTTGAAAATGCTAAGAACAAAGTAAAAGATGCCAATTGCTTTTAAGAAAGGGAAGAAGTAGGTTTTAAATGAAGAATTAAGCACAGAATGGGATCGAACTTGTTAACAGCAACATCGAAAGACAGAACGTAATGGAATAACATCTGGATGGAACATCAATATTCTGAGGGTGATGTTTTCAACATGCATTTTGTGCAACCAGACTCTTATTTAGTGTGAACATAATATAAAGACATCCCCAGGCATGCAGGGTCTTTGAAACTCAGCCCCAGGCATCCTTTCCCAGGAAGTGAGGGGAGAATGTGCTCTGCTAAAGCAAGAAGATAACCAAGAAAGATGAAGTCAGGGGACCCAGTAATCGGGGAAATCAACATGAAAGAAAGGCAAAAGAGGTCTCCATGATGGTGATAGAAGCCCTGGGAGGAATGCTGAGCAACCAGGCTGGAGCTGACCAGAGCCAAGTAGGACAGGGTGGAAACTCCAACAGAGGCTCCTTTAAGATGTTGGGATTGTTAGACTCCCTCCCAAGGGGTCGCTTGTATATAGGGGTTGCAGAGGACGGAGGGAGACCACAGACTCTGGAGTCAGATCACATGGGTTGGAATAAGCTCTTTCATGTATGAATTGTGAATTTGTTCTCTTCATGTCTCACATGAAATATGAGGATAACAAGATAACTACCTGTTGATGTTGTAAGCTTTCAGTGAATTTGGAAGTGCTTGGAATAGTGCCTGATACACAGGAAGTGCCATGTTTATGTTACCTTGAAAATAGAGGAATTGATAGTTTGATAGATCAATAGATGACAAATCTATAGAGGGTAGAAAGAACATTACATCACAGGGGCTATGTTTGGGTGATAAATTAAGCATATAGAAAACTGAGCAAAACTGAAATAAACACTACTCCAGAGAAAATAAAAATTGAGTACCAAAGAAAAAATCAGTATTGAAGGTTTTAGCTGTATAAACACTGAATATTGACTTAACAAAAATTATGGCATAACTCTTATCAGTGGAACAGAATACAAGAAGTATGAGTGAACTGGTGGCATGTGTGATAAGAGCTGTATCTTATTCTTCCATACTGAGATGCCAATAAAAATGCCTAAGATTGGAAAAAAATAGAAAAACTAAAATATAAGCATGTTATTTAGCAACATAAAACTAAAACTCCAAATAATCCATCAATAGGAGAGCATAGTTTTTCCTAGTAAGCTTGTATAGCTGTCTTATTTTAACTCTTTAAAATATGTGAATATATATTGTGTTAAAAATTAATGGGCAATAGAGAAAAGGAACAGGATGAATCAAGACAGGGAGGAAGAGAAGATTAGTTTCGAGAAAACATAATCAAAGAAAGGCACAAGAACCTAAAAATAAGTTTCAATAATATCTGCAGAAACATTTTCAGATTTAGTGAACAAGTTTGTAACATGAAACAGATTGCTTTGAAAATAGAGCAAAGAAAATTTCTAGTAACAAAAAAAGATTGCCAAAATAAAGTATTTAGTGGTAGGCGTCAGTAATTGATGGCCAGATTAGTAAATTGGAAGATAAAATAGAAGAAATATCCCCAAATATGGATTAAAAAGTCAAAATGAAAATATTGCAGAAATTTTGAGGGAGCCCAGGACAGTTTTAGGAGACTCAGTGTTTGTTTGATAGTTGTTTGAAATAGAACAGAGAGAAGGGAGAGAAGGAACTAATCCAAGAAGTAATGAAGTAAGCATTTCCTGGAAGTCAATGTAAATCTTCAGTTGGAAGTGGCCATGAGATGCTGAGGAACAATAATGTACTATCTGGGAAAATCTTGATGATATTTCTGATTTCCAATGATAAAAAATCTAACAACTTCTCGAGGGGAAAAGCCCCTGAAGAACTAGAGCAAGACTGCAATGAGGGATCTCTGGAGATGTCAACCTGGTGATGCTTTGAACCTTCTTATGGGAAGAGAGTTGTACTCATCCATCACACTATTCCATGCTTGCAACCCAAATCCTTTCACACATGTAAACACTTGGCTACCCCTCTCTGGGGAAAAAAAAAAAAGAATTACCCTGGGTTGTATTTTAACAAAATAAAAAAAAAATGAACCCAACCCAGGAAGTAGATATGTAATACAAGGAAGGCTGGTGACAGTGAGACGCACAGTGAGTTCCAGTCATTGCTGGTGATTTTGCTAAAGCTTTTTTCTTTTTCTTTTTCTTTCTTTCTTTCTTTTTTTTTTTTGAGATGGAGTCTCACTCTTTCGCCCAGGCTGGAGTGCAGTGGCACAATCTCAGCTCACTACAACCTCCGCCTCCTGGGTTCAAGTGATTCTCCTGCCTCAGCCTCCCAAGTAGCTGGGATTACAGCCATGCACCACCACACCCAGTTAATTTTTGTATTTTTAGTAGCGGTTTCACCATGTTGGTCAGGCTGGTCTCGAACTCCCGACCTTAAGTGATCCACCCACCTTGGCCTCCCAAAGTGCTGGGATTACAGGCATGAGCCACTGTGCCTGGCCTTGCTGAAACTTTTTATACAACAGTTGAGAATGGATTGTTACAAATGTAAAATATATAGTATAAAAATATTGACACTAAAATGCTGCATGATTTTAACAAGTTATCGTCGGTGTGGAGAAGAGCTAATGAGGAAAACTGCAAAAATGTCTCCCCGGTCTTTGAGGGTTGCCCAGCTATTGGTTAATTCTCAACATTGAGTAGAAGGTACATTTACTGACAGTTTGAGGTCAACCACTAAAAGAGAAAGAGGATTTATGACTACAAAAATCACTAAAAGAAAAAAATAGAAAAAAAATCAATTCAGAAAAAAATCAAAGGAAAACATGAACTTGTTTTTAGATCTTAAAAGAAGATTAGTGTTCAGTTACAAAAAACAAAAAGACTATTTTTAGTTTCAACAGCAATACATGAATCTATCATTTTCATTTGTCCTTATGTAATGCTTGACATTTTCTTATTGCTTTCCTATTCTTCAGTAGCAATTAGTTTATCACATCGTTGTGTCTGGATGCAGTTTCTAAGAGTCTACTTGGTTATCTGCCAGACTGAATTTCATAAAGACCACCCTGGAAATGAGAAGAGGACACCGGCTGTCGTCTCCCTCCTTGTGTCTTCACCATGGGCTCTGTTCTCTCATCCCTTATCAGGATTTCAACTGCAGAATACCCATATTACACAATTAAGAAAAAAACCCTCATCTTTAATGAAACAGAGAAGTAGCTAAAAGTGCAAACTTAAACACGAATCATGCAAAGGATGTGGCGTCACGAGCAGGAGAGTGCAAGGAAGCTGAAGAGTTCAGCCCTGCTGGCTCAGACTCCACGCAGGGAAAGTTTCTTCACAGGTGGCATCATCTAGGAAGGCCCATCCAGCAATCTTTTGAGTAGATAAAGGTTTAAGGGCATGAGCAGGCCACGGTGAGTGGAGAACCATCCTGTGGAAACAGCAGGAGGCCTGATGCTGAAGGAAAACCCAAACTGACACTTTACACCTGTATGTGACCTGGCCCACGGAGGGTGCAGAGGTGAGGGGGTGAAGAGAAAAGAATCAAGGGCTCTATTGTAGCCTACCTACAGTCAGGCCAACTCCTAAACTTGAAGGAGACAAACTCAAAAAGAACAGAAAGTAGCAAACTTGGTAAGAGTGAGTTTGAGAAAAAAATACCAGAACGAAAGCTCTAGATGGCCGCAGCCCTATATTTCCCTGCTCCTCTCCACAGCTAATTATCAAAACTCGCTGACCCCTGCAAAGAGGAATGCCACAGTTAACAAGAAATGAACAGAGGTACTGCAGAGGGAAAGAGGCAAGGGACATGAGCAGCAGACACACAACGATCGCACACTGCATGAAAATTACCCTGTGGAAGAGGAAAAGATTCTCCAGAGTCTCAACAAATTACTATGTAATCTCTTAAAGCTAAAGAAAGAAAAAAAAAAGACCCATGTTTTCAAAGTAGAGCTTATACAGCAGAGAAGAGATAAAAATGAGCTGGTCTGCTTAACCTTGCTAGTAATTAGTGAAATGCAAATTAAAACACAAATGAGATATGCTTCAGAATCACATTTGACAAGAATTAAAAATCTGAAAGTATTAATGTATTCTTGCTAAGGGCAAAGAAAACTTGTAGCATTCTCCTAATGAGTGGGGGAAATGGTATAATCATATCAGCGGGCAGCACCTAGTCAAGTTTAAAATGCACAGACCTTAAGATCTAGCAATTCCATTCCCAATTCTACAGCCTAGAACAACTCTTGCTGAGGTATACAAAGATTGACATTCGTGGGTATCAGGGTGAGTGTTCATGAATGTTAATGACAGCATTGTAACAGGGAAAGATAAGAAATAACCTAATTGTTCATGATTAGGAAAAGGGGTAAATAAATTGTGACATATTCTTAAAATGGAATTATATAGAGCAGTAAAAGTAAAACCTGGAAGTATATATTTCTATGTAAATATCACAGACAATGAATAAAAATAAGTGGCATGCAGATTTGTACACTTAAAAGATATGATAAATAAATTTATTTTTTCAGCAATTAAATTGATGCTTACTCTAGCCTCTGAGGCTATAACAGTGAATAAGACACAAAAATATCTTCCTTTATGGAGAGTCTATTCTAGCAGGGGAAGCCAGACAATAATCAAAATATATAAGCATGTTATTTAGTGTATTTGAACAAGTAAGTGATATTGAGAAAAAATAACCTGGGATGGAGGAGATGGAGGGCTGAGAGTGTTGCAGTTTTGAATAGGATGATGGGGCTAGGCATCCCTGACAAATGACACTTGAGCAAAGCTTGAAGGAAGTGAGAGAGCTGACTGTGCAGCTATCTGGGGGAATAGTGTTCCAGGCAAAAGGAAAAGTAAGTGCGAAACCCTCAAGTCAGGAGCCCCCTGGGCTTTCTCAATGAATAGCAAAGTGTTCCAAGGGGGAGCTGGGTGGAAATGGTGGGGAGTCTCCTAGGAGAAAGAGGAGGACAGGTTCTGAGGAAGTAGGGGGACCTGGAGTAGACCTCGTGGGCCATTGCAGGGGCTCTGGCTTCTCTGAGATAGGAGCATTGGAAGGTGTGCTGTTCTGCTGTGCTGAATGACATATCTGCTTTTCTGAAACTTTCGTTTGGAAATAATTTCAAACTTATAGAATAGATACAAGAAAAAGACTGGTATAAAAATACCTATATATGTCCTTCAACCAGCTTCACCTATCGTTAACCCCATTAGCTCCATCATTTGTGCATATGTGCTCCCTCTATATACAGACATGCACATAGGTGTCTTTCTTAAAAAATAAAGAAAAAAAGTACATGTTTAGAATAGTGCTTATAAAACAAGAGAAGATAAACAAGAGCTGGAGTGCTATTTTCACCAGTAATTGAGGAAAATTAAAACAAAAATAAGATACATTTTCACTACCATCAGATTTGGAGAAGAAATTAATTCTGGCAATAATGTTATTGATGATGCACAATAAAGGAAATTCATATATATGTGTCTGGGTGTGTGCGTGTGTGTGTGTGTATATATCTATATATATATGCTCCTATATATGTGTATACAAACATATATACACACATGTTTATATGTATTGTGTATATATGTATATATGTGTATATAAACATATATATACTACACACACACACACACACACACACACACACACACACACAATTTTCCCCCCAACATTTGAGAGTATGTCATGACCTTTACTCCTAAATCTTCAGTGTGTATTTCCTAGGAATAGAAAATATACAACCACAATACAATTATTAATAATCTACTGTACTACTGTACATATTACAATTTGTCAGTTGACCCAATAATGTCTTTACAGCATTTTTCTGCCCAGGACAAGATTTGGTCTAGGGTCAGCTATTGCTTTTAATTAGTAGAGAGGGCAGAAGAAAAAGAAATCATAGAATACAAATTGGCAAAAATTATTTCAAACACACAAAATAACACAATATATGTGAATGGATTAAATTTCCTACTTTAAATACAGGGGCTTTTAGATAGGACTTGAAACAATTATGAAAGTTAAAGTCATAAAAAGTGTATCTTAAAAAGAATAGACCTAGAAAGGACAAAAGGTATTCCAAGTATAGTCTGACAAAAATAAAAGTGCCAATATCAATAAGATACATGTAGGAAAGACTAAGCATAAAATATGAAAAAGTAGGATAGTATTCCTTAATAAAAAGCAATTCATCAAGAAGGTGATAGTAATCAACCTTTGTGTCTCAAATGAGAAGATTAGTATTTATAAAAATAAATGCTTTTATCTACTCAAGGAATTATTAACTGATCCACAATCAGAGTGGAGAGAAAAACTCTTAGAAACTGATGGTTCAAGTAGAAAAACAAGCTTACAAAGAATTTGAGCAACATTATTAACAAACTTGTTTTTTGGATTTTTATGCCAAACTTTATTCTGAAACAAAAGAGCACATTTTTTTCTAATGCCAATGGATTATAAAATAATTTTCATCCTGTTATCAGGCTATAAATAATGTCCACACATAGTTAAAGATACATAAATAATAGAGACTATGTTTTCTAAACTAAGAAAAATATAAATAGATACATTAACAAAGAATAGTAACAAAAATCTATCCAATTAGGGATTAGATATGAAGTTAAAAAAGAAAGAAAGGAACTAGTTAACATTTTTGGCAGATGCTGTGTTTATATTAGAAACTCTGAGTATAGCAACAAAATAGAGATTAAAATAAGAACAACAAATAAATATTATTCCCCTGCATAGTGACAATATCCAATTATAAAAATGTAATACAAAACAATTCAATTTACAATAACAACTCAAACTATAACATTTCTAGAAATGAACACAGTAGAAATTTTACAAGACCTCTATGTGGAAACTACACAATTTATGAAAGAAAAAATTAAAAATAAATAAATAGCGGCTTGGTGTGGTGGCTTACACCTGTAATCCCAGCACGTTGGGAGATTGAGGTAGGGACATTGCTTGAGCCCAGGAGCTTACTGCTGCAATGAGCCATGTTCATGCCTCTGCACTCCAGGCTAGGGGACAGGGTGAGACACTGTCTCAAAAATAAATTAACAAAATAAAATAAAAATAGAAAACAGTGTTCATGGAAAGAAAGATTTATTATACTAAACATGCCAATTAATTTGGAATTACCTTGTAAAATTAGCCTTAGACAAATCAAAATTTTAAGGTAGTTTTGTGAAAATCTAAATTGGGCAAGTTATTTAACTTATTTGTCCTCAGTTTCTTTAACTGTAAAATGAGGGTAATCCATCTTCATAGGACCGCTTGAGGATTAAAGGAGATAATGTGTACAAAGGGCATTGAACAATACTGAGTATATGTTGAATGCTATGGAAATGTGTATTGTTATTTCCTTTTCTATGTAATCGTATATGGTATGTTCTATCTTATTCTCTATAAATAATTTACTATTATTAAGATGTATTACTTTTATAAGATGCAATAAATGAATGGAAAGGATCCATATAAGAAGAGAGGAGAAAGAATGGCACTAACTTTTATTGTGTATCTAGCATGTGCAGTGATGGTTCACGTATAATACATTGTGTCCTGGGCTGAGGCAGAGGAGGGGCAATGAGGAGGAGCCGGGCCTAGCAAGGACGTTCACTCCCTTGCCTCACATCTTGTAGGATAGTCTTTAAAGAAAACAGTTTATGCTTATTTTATTAAAAGAAAAGGAAAGGTACATTGCAAATATGACTTTACAATTGATAATACAATAGGGTGGGGTTTTTTCTTATCATCTCCTTTATGTTTCCTTAAAAAAGTGATCCTTTTTGTTATAGAGCCCCCACTGCAATTTGATAACATGTAATAATAATGCCTATTTTTAAATTGCATTCAGCCTAAGTGTGATATAGCTACAAAACAATCTTTCTATCACTTTCTACTACCTAACATACAACTTCTATGAATCCTGTTGGCGTATATTTTAACCTGATTTGCATATGAATATTTTGTTAGTGGTATTCAGTGTGAATATGATTTTATATCTTAGCTTTAAAACTCAGCATATTATAATCACAAATTTTCTGTTCCTAAATTATTCTCAAAGCTGTAATTCTGCAATGCTGTGACCCATGTGGCACGGGTCAGTGGGGTTATAGGAAGCTGTCAGGGTGGAGCCTCCTCCGCCCCCACCATCGCGGAGGTCCTCCCGCCTGTGCCCTGGGAAGGGGAGCTTGGAAATCCCGCTGCAGTGATTGCGAGTCCGAGGGGACGCCACGGCGTGCTGATGGGTGTTTTTGTTCTTTTCTTCTTTGTCCTTCAGTTAAATAAGAAATCAGGTCCAGAGCCGAGTTCAAGGCATTCGTGGCTTCATGTGTAGCCACTGCCTGTCCGTCTTTGACGAGCACGGCCCTGGGGAGAGGGACAGTGGGGCTCTGTCCGCGCTCCCAAGAGCAGGTCCCCGCGGCCCCGCCTCGGACCCTCCTGGTGTGCGCCCAGTGCCAAGTCCGTCTGTGCTCTCTTATTCAGCCGGAACAAGGACTGTCTGCAGCTGCTAATGATGTCGTGTCAAAACTGAAGCGAGGACACCATAGTGATGGGAGGTGGCTGCCAGGGAACCCACAGCGTGAAAACCCTGCATGAAAGGACAGGAAAGTGACACTAACAAGTTAGTGCCCAAATATCCATTAGGTGGAAAACAGAGTGTGCTACGGATCAATATAAAAAGAGAGAGAAAATGCAAATTAGTCATCCTTGGGTGACTAAACAAATTATATTAAACCAACAAATAACCGCTCTTCCCCGTTACTTCCAGCCCGCTCTGCCGGGAGCTGGAAGGAGGGCCTGGAGAGGCGGGCAGAATTTCTGCAGAGCGCGCACTGCGCTTATGTCCCAGCTCTAAGGTGTGGACATGAAATTTTGCAGTCATACGTTTTCTTGTGAATCTGTTATACATTTGTAAAATACATTTTAAAAGTTTGCCTTAAATGAAGTGTGGGAAAATTAATGAAAAATCATATATCAAGTGCTGGAGACATCATGAATGGGCTTGTTCTCTTAGGAAAAGAAGACAGTAAGAAAGAGATTAAGATATTTTAATAGAGTGTTAACCGATGTTCATGACTGTGACCCTTGAAAAGTGTAACAGTTGACATGCTTTATGAATTATAAGAGAAAAGCTGATTTCTGTTTGTCTAGTTTTGAATTATTTCATGATGTTATTCCTGGCAGGGACTCTATTTGGAATATGCATCATATCATAAATATTTAATTATCTGAAAATTAAACTAACAAGGATTCTATCTTATTCTCAATGAATCATTTACTATTATTAATTTTAACATAAAAGTCTTTTTTTCCTGGTTATTTCTGATTATAAAAGATTTGTGTACTCAGTAGAAAGTTTATGAATCAGTTAAAACTATAAAAATGCAGAGACAAAATGTCTATAACATATCCACTCAGGAAACCAATACTAACACATCTGGAATATTTTTCAAGAGTTTTCTTTATGTATTTTTTAGAATAACTGAATTCATATTATATATTTTTAAAATTTTGCTTTGGATACAGTGTTATTTAAAACTATAGGAGACGTGCTTAATAAATTTAATTTTAAAGATTGTATAATATTCTATTATTGATATATTGTTATTTAATTATCTGTTATCATATTATAGGGAAGTTTAAATGTTTTCCTTATTAAAGGTAATCCTAAATTGAATATACTTGACTTAAATATTTGTCTATCTTTCAGATTATTACCTTAGAATAAATTACCCCAGCAGTGGAATTGCACTGTCAGTAAGTATGAAAAATAGTACCATTCTTGTTAATATTGTCAAAATTCCCTTTAGATAAGTTTCTGTTTTACTCTCACTAGCAGTAGCTGAGATAATGAGCTCCATCCATTATCCTCATTTCTTTAATATTCGTTACTTTAACATTGAAATCATCTCATATGAAATTGGATTTTTTTTTAATAGGAAGCTGGTATCTTTCGAATGTGTACTAACCAATTACAATTCATTTTATGTTGTGTTTTATTGGTTCATGGGCTTTGTTTAAAAGATGACCTTGCTTATGTGAAATAAATGGGTAAGTAATTTGGACAAACACTTCCACTAAAAGCAGCTAGAAAATATGGCAAAATATCTGTTAGATACCATGGAAGAGCCAATAACTCAGTGAAGCACTGGGCCAGGGTGAGTGGAGAAGTGAAGCCAGGCAGGTGGCTGTGGATTAAGGAGTCTTTATCTCAGGAGTTGTTTGCTGGTGTCAGAGGAAACAGCTGAGAGGCTGAGCTGCAATTTGGGCAGCCTCAAGGGGACAGAGGATCCAAGACTCACCAAGAGGAAAGATGACTGGCAAATCTGGGCCTCACTTTTGATTGGTACCCTGAAGAGCTGCTCCCAGATAGTGAACTATAAGTCAGTGGGCCTTACCAGATACTGTAGCTCAGCTGGGAATCACCTCGGTTATTCACACTGGATTAGGGTCATCTTCAGGTGCCAGTGTCTCCAGGCCTCTTGCAAAAACAAATTAAATCCTCTCTGGGGAAAGATAATGTCATAGTAGATCTGACCTTACTTCTACAGGCAATTTTCCAAACACAATGTCTGTATCTGACACTTCTTTTATGTCTCTTCAAATCTTCCCAGTCCTCACTCTTAATTTAGCCACTGTTAGCATGTAGTACATGCTGCTGTAGAAAAGGCTCCATTTGATATTTGTTAAATAATTTGTGGTATAATCATACAATGGAATTTTCTTCAGCAACGAAAATAAACAGCCCTAGGTACATGCAAAAACGTGAATGGCTGGGTGCAGTTGCTCATGTCTATAATCCCAGCACTTTGGGATCCTGAGTCCAGTGGATCACTTCTGCCCATGAATTTGAGATCAGCCTGGGCAACATGATGAAACCTCATCTCTGCCAAAAATACAAAGTTAGCTAGGCATGGTGATGTGTGCCTGTAGGACCAGTTACTCGGGAGGCTGAGGTGGGAGGATGGCTTGAGCCCAGGAGGTCAAGGCTGCAGTAAGCCAAGATCGCACCACTGCACTCCAGCTTGGGTGACACAGCAAGACCTTGTCTCAATAAATAAATAAATAAATCTTACAATCTTAATATTGAACAAAAGAAGTTGGACATGAAGGATACATATTAAATCATTCTATGTATATAAACTTCAAAAACAAGCAACCATAAACTCTAACAAAGTAAAGGAGAAAAATAATGGCCATTTCAATAAATGCAGATAAATCATATGATAAAATTCAATGTTCCTTAGCAAACCTAAAGCAGTGAACATATTCATTCGTGATATATTGAAAGTTTTTCCTTTTAAATTGGATGCCTACTACCAGAGGTCCCTTGCCAGTAAAATAAAGAAAGATAAAGAAATAAAATATATGAAGATGGCAAGAGAAATAAAATTGCCGTTATTTGCAGACAACATGATTATGTGTGTAGAAAATGTAGATGACCTATTAGAATTAATGAGTGAATTTAGCAAGATTGCTGGATAGAATTGAACATGTAACACACAATTTTAGGTTTATATGTCATCAAGGATTAGATAATGAAATTAAAAGTATACTGAATAGTATTACAATGACATCATAAAACATTAAATATCTAGGGATAAATCTAACAATACATAAGGCTTCTACACTGGAAACTTGAAAACAGCATTGAGATAAGTTAAAGAAGACAAATAAGCAATGCTACATACCTTGTCCTTGAATCAGAAGACTGTATATTATTAAGATGCCAGTTTCCTGTGAAATGATTAAATTGATACAATCCCTACTTAGAAATGGCAGCAGTTGTGTGTATGCATATGTGTAAACCGATAGGATAATTCTAAAGTTAATACATTTAGTCTCAAGATACACAGGAAGAAGAATTAAAAATTTGAAGGATTTACACTCTGGATATAAAGATTTATTATTAAACTGGAGTAACTAAAAGACTGTGTCATTGGTGCAAGGATAGAAAAACACACCAAATGAACAGAACAGAGAATAGAGAAATAAGCCCACATGTATACAGTCACTTGAGTGGAGAGTAGTGGCAAAAGGACAATAAATAAATGATGCTAGATTAGCTGCATATCCATAAGAAAAAGTTTAATCTTATCCTCAATTCACACTCTCCACAAAACCAAAACCCAGGTGGGTGATAGATCTAAATGGGATAAATAAATCAATAAAATATCTAAGGACAAAACAGGAGAATATATTTTTAAGAGTAGGGAACATTTTCCTAAATGCCAAAAGTGTTAACCATTAACCAAAAAAAAGTAATTATAGGAAGACTATATTAAAACTAAGACACTTAATATGAGCCAAATGCAAGCCACTGAGTCACAGAAGATATTTGTTGTGCATATAACCGACAAGGGACTTGCCCCGGCTGGAGTGCAGTGGGGCAATCATAGCCCACTGCAACCTCCAACTCTTGGGCTCAAGTGATCCTCCCACATCAGCCTCCTGCAGTTAAGACTACAGGTGTGCACCACCATGCCTGGTTAATTTTTTAAATGGTTTGTAGAGATGGGATCTTGCTGCGTTGCCTCAGCTGGTCTTGAACTCCTAGGCTGAATTGACTCTCCCACCTCGGCTTCTCAGCACACTGGGATTATAGGTGTGAGCCACTGCACCTGGCCTAAAAATTTTTAAATGCCTAAAATCTATTTTTAAAATGACAAACAACCCAACAGAAAAAGTGGGCAAGATATTCTAACAGGAAATTCACAGAGAGGATATACAAATGATCAATACACGTATGAAAAAGTAATCATGCTCATTAGTCATTAGGGAAATGAAAATTAAAACCACAATGAAATTCTGTTATACACCAAATAGAATGGCTAAAATTAAATAGGATGACAGTAGCAAGCACCTATGAAAATGCAGAGCTCTCATATGCTGCTGGTGATAGTGTCGACTGGTAGAGTCATTTGGAATACTGTTTTCTATTGTATATTAAAGCTGAATTTATGCATGCCCTAAATCCCTATAATTCTACTTCTAAGTTTAAACCCAACAGAAATGTATACAGTTGTCAAAAGATGTGTACAAGAATGTTTTATAGGAACGTTATCTTTAATAGACAAATACTAAAAACAAATCAAAATTCCATCAAGATTATAATGAATGAATAAGCTGTGATATATTCATACAATGGAATACTATTCAGTAATTAGGATGAACTAATTATGGCTGCACACAATACAACACCATAAATCTTGCAAACATGATACTGAGAGAAAGAAGCCAGACACAAGAAATGCATACCACATGATGCCATTGTGTAACAAAGTTCAAATGAAGATAAACATAATCTATGATGTTGGAAGTGAGGACAGTGGTTGCCTTTGGAAATGAACACAGGGTACCAATAGTAAGGAGATTAAGAGGAGCATATGGGGTTTGGGATTGTTCTAACTCTTGGTCTGGGTTCTAATTTCACGATAAGTGCCTTTGTGATAATCCTTCCTGCTGTGCACTAACATAATATACTTTCTCAGTGTGTACTATTTTTCATTCAAGGTATTCCTAGGACGGAAAACAAGTCATTTACAGGTTTATGAAATTAAACATTCAAGGTTAGAAGCAGCTTCAAGCTCAGTCAGATCTTGTTACTAAGAAATCTTCATTAAATGTGCAAGTGTAATGCTGGCAGCAATGTTAAGACGCTGACCCAGGGTTTGGCCAAGTGCCTTAAGTTTATTCAGTTGGTTTCCCATCTTGGCCGTCCTTCATCACATCTTTACTTATTATATTCCGTGGGTAATCCCAACTCATCCTAGCCTGTGGTGTTAACTACTGCCTCTGTGTTTAAGCCTGTACACCAAGTATAAATTGAACAATTATAATAATTCCCTCAGTCCTGTCTAGTCAAGGGTGATGTTTTTGTTTCTATGGGAAATAATTTGTTGTATTTCACATAGAATTGCATAACAGATATTGTTTGGTTGATGCGTGGTCTCATGGATTGTAATTTGGTTACAATTAGTTAGCTATTAACTAATGATTACTGATCAATGAAATATACCACCTTCTCCCAGCATGGATTATAGCTATTCCTGCCATCCCTTAAGAATCATTCTTCTAAGCCAACTAATGCCCAAACCATCTTTCCAAGGATGTTTGTCTAGCAAACAGCCAGGCTGTGTGGAAATAGTATCTCTCTGGAGCAAGGGGCAGGCTTGTTTTCTGTGCAGTGTGATAAAGATGATGTCTCCTTTGGGGAAAAGGCAAGTAGGTTTACTTACAGGTCCCTTATAAAAGATGGGGGTTTCCTGAGCTTGGGGTTCTTTGGCTGTGATGTATGCACAACATCACTTGCTTGCCTCTTCATTCCCCTATGGAAATTGCGGGGTGAGGGGATTGAAACAAACACAGAGCTCATGCTGCCTGCTGTGCTGTGAGCAAAAAAAGTTGTCTATGACCTGGGAGTCTTGTATCTCCTGCCAGCATCCGTGAAAATGTGGCAGGCTAACCTGTTTGTCTGCAAGGAGAGTAAAATTTCAGACCTTTTGTCATTCTTGAAAGAGATATACTTGGCTTCATCTAGTGTTGCTACTATGTTTGCAATACAATCCCAAACCTAGATTCTGAGTTTAACAGTATCCTAGACAAGTACCAAGATATAATAGGCCTAAATTGCATAAGTTGGACAATGACCAAACAGCTCTCTTCATTCCCCCTCTGCCTAGGGTGTGGGCTTCACACTATTACCTCCCAAGTAGTCCAGGAGCCTCAGCTTCGATTTGGGGCAAAGAGTCTTGGCCTGTGTTTTTCTGCAGCAGAATAGTCCCTGGAGAGGAGGTTGTGCCAGTTCCCAAACACTGACCAGTGTAACTCAAAATGAAATACTCAATGGCTGATAAGTGATTTGTGTTGATGGTGCTCCCAAAATGGGTAGAATAATAACTCAGCACGGAGTTCTCTTCCATGCACTTCAAGAAATGTTCTTGATCAGCTTCCAACATTGAAGAATGAGGTGTCTCCATTTCCTCTTCCCTATAATCCTCATAGTCTCTGGCCCTGTTTTTTAAACAATCTTTCTCCTTAGGCTTTCATCTAGTCTCTTATACTGAGAAGAAGTGTTACTGTCCAACCATGCATCCAACTCACCACCCTTCGTTTTGGCTCTCATACAACAGACTCACTTCTTGGCCATGTGGCCTGGAGTAGCAGAGTCTGGATACACTGGGGTACATTTGAAAAGATTTAAAGAAAGTTTTTTCAACTTATTTTCCAGTCATATTTGTATTTCCAATCCAGCGTCTTCTTCCGACATTTGGAACCATCTATTCAGCTGTATGATGGACATCTTCACTTGGGTGCCCTCAGGAATCTAAAGCTCAAATGCAGGAGATGCAGCTCCCTGTGTTCACACTCAACACACTCCTCCCCACTTTGTGGACTCTAAACCAGTGATTGACATTCAGGCCTATTCAAAATAGATTGTGTGTCAGCTCTCACTGAAAGAGGGTGATTAGAAATGCTAATGTCAAGTTCCCTTTGAATCTTCTGAGTGCAAAAGGGAACTAAACAACAAATGTAGTACTTGGCTTTCAGAACTTTGTCTTAATGAATGAAAATGAAAGACACACACAGTGAATATTTTTCCACTTGGGAGGATTTATGTGTATTTTATTTATCTCAAGTTGCAACTAACAATTTTGATGGTTCTTATTGTAACTCTCCTCAGTGACTATAGTATAAGACAACTCCAATTTTTAGAGGGGAAAAAAAGATTTGCAGTAAGAAACATTGTGTTCACTGCCTCTTACCTCTACTTGTGACTCATACTTAACAACATTAAAAGTAATGTATATTTGCAGGTTTCAGGCAAGGAATAGACTCTATTAGGAATTCCATCCCAAAAATATATTAAGAAATATTTGTACTTATTTGAGTTCTTTCTGTGGATTCTTATTTTGAATATAATTAACATAGTGCAAGCTGAGAGGCCTGTTTGGCATTACTAACACTGGCTGATGGGTATCGTCATTGGTTCTGATAAGATAATTGTTTTAATAAAAAATTGTTTTAAAAAATAAAAGTGCAAAAAAAGTAACTATTTTGCTAACAAAACGTTGTGAATTTTAAAATGTCATATTAAGGTGTGCTGGCCTCAATGGAAGAGTAATAAAACAGCACGAAGTTTAGGGATACATTAGTCAGAAACTCCTTTGACCTTGCCCTTCAGGAACAAACTCATGTCACAGGAAAAAAAAGAGCAAAACGAATTGAATAAAAGCCAAATAACTTAGTCAAATTTTGGTGTTTTTCCTCTTTCCTACTGCTAGAAAAACCACCCTTAAAATTTTGCTAAAATGTAATTAAATAACAGTTGATACCTCTAAGGGAGGAGACCACCCCTCATATTGGCTTATGCCCAATTTCTGCCTCCAAAGAAAGAAGAAGTAAAAACTAAAAGGCAGAAATGAAATCCACAGGCAGACAGCCTGGCGCCGTGCCCTGGGCCTGGTTAAAGATTGACCCCTGACCTAACTGGTTATGTTATCTATAGATTCCAGACATTTTATGGAAAAGCACTGTGAAAATCCCTGTCCTGTTCTGTTCCGTTGTGATTGCCGGTGCATGCAGCCCCCAGTCACATACCCCCTGCTTGCTCAGTTGATCACGACCGTCTCACACAGACCCCCTTAGAGTTATAAGCCCTTAAAGGAGACAGGAATTGCTCACTTGGGGAGCTCGGTTTTTGGAGACGTGAGTCTTGCCGAAGCTCCTGGCCGAATAAAGCCCTTCCTTCTTTAACTCGGTGTCTGAGGGGTTTTGTCTGCTGCTTGTCCTGCTACACCTCTACCTACACTGAGATTTTTTTGCTGCACAGACCTTCAAGCTTCAGAAGTTTACAACAGTATTGGAATAAAAACACAAAAGATATGCCTCTGATGTCATTCTCAACACCAGAGCACCGTCTATTACATTGCTCTCCTGTCTTGTGTCTTATTCCCCAGTATTAAATCCCTTCATTTTTCTCTATGTAATCACTGAAGTGGTCTTTCTAAATGTGGAATTTACTGTATCACTTCTCTACTTATAAACTGCTGTGGCTCTTGATTAGTCATAAGTTAAAGAGCAACTTCTAAGTATGTCATTCAAAGTCATTCACAAGCAAGGCCTAACCTATTTCCAGCCTCATCTCCTGACCCCACCTCCCCCAACACCTGGGCTTCACCATATCCCACAGTTATGCTTTAGTGCCCAGCCTTCCCTGAATCTCCACACCCCCCATGTCAGTTCCGTGGCCCTGTGCTCTCTGGGCCTGGGCTCTGACCTCTCTTCCTCAACTACAGACTATCTATCGCTGAAGATCCTCTAAGGTTCTGCTCAAATGTTACCTCTCAGCCGGGCAGTCCCTCTCACCCCCAAGGAAGAGTAAATTGCTCCATCTCTTAGCCTCCCTTGAAACATTGCATTTCTACTAGCGGGGTGTACACATCACATAACATTGTTGAAATGTGTGAGTTGTCCGTACTATGATTTGTCTATCTCCTGGTATCTCCTAGAAGGAATTTTTGTTTCTCGCTCGCAGGGTGTAAATTTGTTTTTATATAAAAGTTGTGACCAAGTATCTTAATAGCATTTATTGAATATTACCAGACAGAGTTATTCAATCATTGTTCTCTCATTTATTAGGTCTATAATTTGGGTAAATTTCTTTATTTTTCTGAGTATCATGCTTACTCATCTCTATAAATAGAAATGCCAAGATAAATGGGCAAATGGGTGAATCTAGTGGGCCTGGGACTTGAGCAGAAATGACACTTTATGACTTCCAAGGCTAGGTCATAAAAAGTCAGAGTTTCCTCTTTTTCCTGTCTCTGAGGACACATGCCTTGGAAGCCCTTAGGTGACATATAAAAGATCAGCTACCCTGAAGCATGCTAGAGAGACCACATGGGGAGGCCACATAAAGATAGCGATATCCAAGAAGCCCTAGCTACTATAACCTGCAGCGGTTTGAATTTTCCAAGTATAACCCACCAAAAATATGAATGAGTGAGCCCTTAAGTTATTTCAGTTCTAACTTTTGAGTAACCCTAGTCGACATGGAATAAAGCAAGAGTGAACAGTCTCTTTGGCAGAAGTTCTGCCAAATTGCAGATTCATGAGCAGAATGAACATTGTCATAGAGCACTAAGTGTTGTGATTTTTAATACAATCCTCCAAAATTATTATTGCATATGTGTTTTATAATTGAGAGCAATTAATATGCTTCTTTAATTTTGAAATTCTTAGTTTAAAATTATATGATACTGGTAGACAATTTCCAGAATTTTGGCATAATAACCTACATGTACCCTCTCCCTAGTGAAACAACCTAATTGGTGAAACTGAGAAAAGAAACCCAAACATTTTAAATCTTTGGAACTTGTTCTATGGGCATACAGCATAAAAAGAAACATTTATTTAAGAAAATCTACCAAATTTTGCTAAGAACAGTGAAATTTGAGCTACTTCCTGTTCTTTCTTTCCCCATCCAGCTCAGCAAAATGACAGCTCTACTCTGCATAGATGCAGGCAAGATCAAAGCTCTTTCCCATCGGCCAAGAACATAGGCCTTGTATGACTGTTCCAAATAAAGTCAGTCCCTTAAGTATCTCCATGAGAAGTATCTCTATGAGAAGGGCAAGCTACCAGCTCAGTGCTACAGAGACTCTGTTTGAGGCAAGAACAATGAGAGGTCTGGGGCTTCCTTTCTCCACCCAGCTCCCACTCATACCCCAGGTATGGCAGGCCAAGAATACTGGGGCCCTAACTGCCCTCACCTGTAGCTTAGAAAGCCAAAGGTTCCTCACAAAAGGAGGCAAGTTGAGAAGACCAGAGGCTGCTGCCTCAATCCAGTGCCCTGCTTGCGAAGCAGGGGTGCCACTCAGAGAAGTAAGCCACTATCCTGGTCCCTACCTCCAGAGCAGCGACACAACGGTTTTGCCCAACTAGATACGTTGGTCCTAAGAGGAGAAAGCTCGAAAGCTCCACTTAAGGAACTGACTTTATTTGGAACAGAAAGTAAGGGAAATTCGAGCCTAAGGGCTTTCTGGGAAACAGTGGAGGTAAGCAGTGATTGTAAGTAATTAAGAGAGGGCTGGTAGTTCCATGACAGGAGCAAGCTGCACTACAAACAAGGTGGAACTTTGGCAGAGAAAACCAGGAAACAGACAGCTAAAAAGAGCCCTCCTGTGGTTGGAACAAACCTCAACAGTGGCCTCAAAGATAGGAAGCAATTTAGGCCCAAGGGCATCATCAAAAACAATGGAATAATCAGCTAGCAATTGATGGAAGCTATAATAATAGCTAGATATAATACTGAGACAAGCAGACAGCTTAACAGAATGACTGGGAAGGAGAAAGTCAAAAACAGCCCTGCTAAATTCACCATTATCCCTGGTGACTATGCACATGGCCAAGGCCACATCCTCTGAAGAGTGACTGAGAAATTGCACAGTACAAAAATATAGACTTTCTTAAATAGTTCAACAAGGTCACTAAACACATAAAAAAAAAAACAACAACTCTACTGGGGCGTGTGTGTGTGTGTGTGTGTGTGTGTGTGTGTGACTATTCACTGTTGCTACAATAGTGTATCTAAAATGATATTTTTAACAAAAAATCACAAGATTTGCAAAAGCAAAAAAGGAAATCAATCTATATACAAGAAAAAAAGCAGGCAACACCAACTGCCTTTGAGAGAGTTCTGTTTTAAAATTTAGCAGACAAAGACCTCAAAGAAGCTATTATAAATGTGCTCAAAGGGGCTGGGCATGGTGGCTCGTGCCTGTAATCCCAGTACTTTGGGAGGCCAAGGCAGGCGGATCATAAGGTCAGGAGTTTGAGATCAGTCTGGCCAAAATGGTGAAACCCCATCTCTACTAAAAATACAAAAATATTAGCCAGGCGTGGTGGCACATACCTGTAATCCCAGCTACTTGGGAGGCTGAGGCAGGAGAATTGCTTGAACCCAGGAGGCAGAGGTTGCAGTGAGCCGAGATCATGCCACTTCACTCCAGCCTGGGCAACAGAGCAAGACTCCATCTCAACAACAACAACAACAACAACAAAAATGTGCTAAAAGAACTAAGGTAAAAAAGGCAAAGGGGTAAAGGGAAAGGAAAAGGTAAAATAAAAATGAAAAGGTAGAGGGCATAATGACAATGTCTTATCACTGTGAAATAGAAAATATCATTTCTGTATCTCACAAGAATAAAGTTAGTATAAATCCCAAGGATATTCTGACAAGTTAAGATGTATGTGGTAAGCCCAGCATACATAAAATAATTAAATATATAATAAAAAGGAACTAAAAGTTGCATAAGTTCATTAAAGGAAATAAAAGTCACACTAGAAAAATATTTACTTAATGCAAAAAAGCGATAAATGAGAAAAAGTAGAATAAAAATGACACGAGAAATATAGAAAAAAGAAAGATAAAATGTAAGATATAAATACAGTTTTATCAATAATAAAAATAAATGTGAAAGGATTAATTATGCTGATCAAAAGCATAGATTGACAGTCCAGATATAGAAAGATCTGTCTTAGTTCATATGGGATACTATTACAAAATACCATAGACTGGGTGGCTTATAAACAACAGAAATTTCTCACAATTTTGGAGGCTTGATAGTCCAGGATGAAGCTGCCAGGAGATAGAGTGTCTGGTGATGGCTTGCTTCTTTATAGACAGCTGTCTTCTCATCATAACCTCATGTGATGGAAGGGAGAAGGAGTCTTTCTTCAGCCTCTTTATAAAAGAGTACTAATCCCATTTATGATGGCTTTACCCATGTAACATAATCACCTCCAAAAGACCCCAATTACTAATACTACCACCTTGGGAGTTAGGATTTCAACATAAGAATTCGTGGGGGGACAAAAACATTCAGATTATAGCAAAATCCACCTTTATGTTCACTACAGGAAATGCACTTCAGATTCAAAGATGCAATTAGGTTTAATTAATAACAATTTCATTTATTAATACAATAGCATCAAATAATCAAATACTTAGGAATAAATTTAACAAAAAAGTAAAAGACTTCTACATTCAATAATACAAAACATAACTGAAAGAAATCAAAGTCGATCTAAATAAATGGTAATCCATGTCATACTTACAGATTGGAAGACTTAATATGGTTAAAATGGCAATATTCCCCAATGTTCTCCAAATTGATCTACAGATTCACCACAATCCCTATGAAAATCACAGCTACATTTTTTGCATACATTGATAAGCTGATCCTGAAATTCATATGGAAATTTGATGGGCTCACAATATCTAAAATTATCATAAAAAAGATGGGGGTTGGAGAACTCGAACTTCTCAATTTTAACATTCAATAGAAAGCTATAGTAATGAGTACAGTATGGTATTAGCATAAGGATAAAAATAAATATCAGTGGAATAGAGTTTATAGTTCAGAAGTAAACTCTTACATTTATGGTCAATTAATTTTCAACAAGGATGCCAAGACAATTAAGTGGGGGAAAGAATAATCTTTTTAACAAATCTTTTTTAACAACCAGATATCTACATGTAAAAGAATAAAGTTTTCCCTCTTCCTCACACCATATAAAAATATTAACTCAGAATGGATCATAGATTCAAAAATGTAAAAAACAAAAGTATAAAACTCTTAGAAGAATATATAGAGGTAAATCTTTATAGTCTTGGCTTAGGCAAAGCCTTCTTAAATATGACAAGGAAAATACAAGTAACAAGAAAAAATAGATAAATTGAACTTTACCATAATGCAATTGAAAACTTTTGCTCTTCAAAAGATGTTAACAAGAAAGTGGAAACATAATCCAAAGAATGAGATAAAATATTTGCAAACCATGTATTGAATAACAGACCTATATTTGTAATATATAAAGAACTATTAAATTCAACAATAAAAGACAATCCAATTAAAAATGGACAGAGTTTAAATAGATATTTCTTTAAAGAAGACATACAAATGTTCACTAAGCACATGAAAAGATTCTGCATATAGTTAGTCATAAGGGAAATGCAAACAAAAACCACAGTGAGCTACCACTTCACGTTCACTGGGATGGCTATGATTTAAAAGAGGTAATATTTGTTGGTGAAGATGTGGAGAAATAGAAACCCTCATAGATTGCTGATGGGAGTGTTAAATGGTGCAGTTCCTTGGGAAAACAGTCTAGCAGTTTCTCAAAAGTCTAAACATATAGTATATGACCCAGCAATTCCACTTTTAGGTATATACCTAAGACAAATGAAAACACATATTCCTATAAAACCTTATAAAGAAATATTTATGCTTTTCCAGGTTTAATTGGCTATTTTTATATTCCTTTTTCATCTCTACTATTGGCTTATTATTTCCACATCTACTAAAATTTTTTAGTGATTGCTTTAAAGTTTGAATGTATATTCTTAACTTACCATAGTCGGCTTTTAAATTACATTAAACAACTTCAGATATAATGTAAAAACCTTACAAATCTTCCATTTCCTCTCTTCCATTCATTATGCTATGTTTGTCAAACTTTTAAATTCTACATGTGTAATAAAACCGTATGTTTTATTATTATTTTTGTTTTAAGTAATCATCTTTTAAAATGACTTAAGAAAAATGTACTTTATTTGTATTTACCTTTGTTTTGCCATTTACAGCACTTTTTATTAATTTGTCTAGTTTCACATTTTGATTTGCATTATTATTTACTTGGTCTTAAGAGCTTCTTTTAACATTTCATCGCTGCATGTTGTTTTCCTGAACATTTTTTATTTGATCTTCCTTACTGAAATATATTTATTTTCACTGCATTTAGAATTCTAGATTAATGGATTTCTTTTCTTTTCTTTTCTTTTTTTTTTTTTTTTTTTTTTTTGAGACAGAGTCTCAGTCTTGTGGCCCAGGCTGGAATGCATGATCTTGGCTCACTGCAACCTCTGCCTCCCAGGTTCAAGCAATTCTCCTGCCTCAGCCTCCTGAGTAGCTGGGATTACAGGTGACTGCCACCATGCCCAGCTAATTTTTGTATTTTTAGTAGAGATGGGGTTTCACCATGTTGGCAGGCTGGTCTTGAACTCTTGACCTCAGGTGATCTGCCCACCTCAGCCTCCCAAAGTGCTGGGATTACAGGCATGAGCCACTGAGCCTGGCCTGATGGATTTTTTTTAACTTCATTATTTTAAAGGTGTCAATCCATTGTTTTCTGGATTACATATTTTTAAGAAATTTGTCATCATCCTTATCTTTGTTCTTCATGTAGTCTTTTCTCTGGGTGCCTTTGGTATTTACTGTATCTTTGGTTTTCAGCAATTTGACTATGATGTATTTGGGTATGTATGTATGTATTTGTTTATATGTATGTGTGTTTGTGTGTATCTGAATGCTAATTGTTGTTCTCTGAGTCTATTAAATTTATGGATTTTATTCATTTGGAAAATTATTGGCCATTGTTTTCTGAAGTATTCTGCCATGTTTTCTTTCTTCTCCTTTGGGGATGCCAATTACATACATGTATGTTAGGCAACTTGATATTGTCACACGAATGTTAGATACTTTGTTCTGTTTTTCATTCACTTTTCATTTTGTATTTTAGTTTGAATAATTTCTATTGACCTAGTTTGCTCAATGATTCGTTCCTCAACTTTGGCCAGTCTGCTAACCCATTAAAGGATTTCTTTATGTTTTATATTGTATGAGCCCTTTTTTTTTTATTTCTACTGTTTGTACTCAAAACTTTTATAGTTTCTATTTATCTTCTGAAAATGCCCATCCCTTCTCTGTGTTGTTTGGGTTTTTTTTGTTGTTTTGTTTGTTTGTTTTTGCTAGATCCTTCAGCACATAATTCATAGTAAATAGAAAGTTCCATGTGATAGTTTTGTGGTTCTAACTTTGTCCATTCCCTTTTCTCTTAACAATGAGTTGTCTTTGTTTGCATTTGTTGTGTCTCATAATACTTGAGTGATTTTATAACATTGTGAGTAGAAGAGAAAAAAACAAAAATAAATAGTATTCACCCTGCAGTGGGCTTACCTATGCTTCAAGTCACTAGATCCATACATCCATGCTTATTTTACTTTCAACAAATGTTTCAAAGTAACTCAATGAGGGAAAATAGCATCAAAAATGGTACTGGAGTAATTGGACATCAATTTTTTTATATAAAAAGAAGGAAGAAAGAAAAGGAAACATGAAAGAAAAGAAAAAAAGTAGAACTGAATTCTTATCTTGTCCTACATACAAAAAAATTAATGCATAATGGATCATAAACCTAAATGTATGAGATAAAAATTTTAAAACTTTAAGAATTAAGTATATGAGAAAAATCTTTGGAACTTAAGCTGGGCAAATATTTTAGAGCATAAGCACAAACCATAAAAAGAAAAATACTAATAAATCAGACATTAACAAAAATTTAAGTTATGCTTTTTAAAAGACATTGTTAATAAAATAAAAAGACAAGCCACAGATTAAAGACAAGCCACAGATTGGAAGAAAATGCTTTTTTTAAAAACCCATATATATGGTAAAAAATTGTATTCATAACACATAAAGAACATTCAAAATCTAATAATAAGAGACAATCCTATTTAAAACTGGGCAAAAGACTTGGACACTTCACGAAAGAATGTATATGAACGGCAAGTAAGCCCATGGAAAGATTCTCCACATCATTAGATTGTTCACTATATCGAATTTTAGAAGTTTTTGAAAATACTTCGTCATGAGATATCTGTGGCAGAGCTCATGTGTGTGTTACATAAATATTTTCATTGTCTCTCTCCATGCCATAATAAATTAGTGGAAAGATTCTTCTATATCTTAATGGTCATTTTTGTAATAGGAATTACCTTGTTGATATATTATACTTTGTGAAGATCTGGATCATTAGATGTTGAGAATCTTTCCATGAGCTTACTTGCCATTCATATATATTCTTACATTAGATTCATTTGGGAAATACACATTAAAACACAACAATCTACTGGTTTGGCTAAAATGAAAACTATTTTCAATATTGATTGCTGGCAAGAATAAGACATAGTATTTGCTAGCACAATAGGGTGACTATATTAAAAAATAATTTAATTGTACATTTAAAAATAACTAAAAGAACTTAACTGGATTTTTTGTAACACAAAGGATAAATGCTTGAAGTGATGGATATGCCATTTACCCAATGTGATTATTATGCAGTGCATGCCTGTATCAAAATATCTCACATTGCCCATAAATATATATATACACCCGCTATGTACATACAAAAATTAAAAATTAACAACAACCAAAAAACCACACCAAGAGAAGGAACTCATATTTTGTTTGTCAGAAGTCAAACTAGGACAGACATTTTGGAAAACAATTTGGCAGTTTCTTATAAAGTTACACATTCAGTTAACATGTGACCCACCAATCTTTATTCTAGGTATTTGAAAACACACTCTAGAAATGAAAACACATGTCTACACAAAACCCTGTATATGAAAGGTTATTTTAGCTTTATTCATAATAGCCCCAAACTGGAAACAACCCAAACAATTATCAAGTGGTGAATGTATAAACAATTTGAGTTACAACCAGCAATGTGCTCAGTAATAAAAATAAAGGAACTACTGATACATGCATCAACAAGAATACATTTAAAAACCATCATGCTAATGGAAAACATGAAATGCTACGTATTCTATGATTCATACTGTATTATCATATCTACATGACATTCTGGAAAAGGCACAATTATAGGGACAAATATCAAGTCAGTGGTTTCCAGGAGCTGGGATAGGAGAAGCGGACTCATGGCAAAAAGGGCATGGGAAGTTTTTAGGTATGATAAAAGTATTCTGTATATTGATTATGAGGGTGGTTACATGATGAAAACTTCATTTAGAAGATATTTAAAATACATTTTATTTTTAGAGCAATTTTAAATTTACAGCAAAATCGTAAAGATAATACAGAGACTTCCCACATACCCTGCATCCAATTTTTCCTGTTAACATCCTACATTAGTCATTTCATGTGTTACAATTAATGAACTGATAAGATCTATACTTCTTTCACACTTAGTTAGTTTTCATGTAATGTCTTTTTTTTCTGTTCTAGAATTCCATATAGGGTATCACATTACATTTATTTGTCACATCTTCTTAGGCTTCTCTTGGCCTTGATTCTTTCCAAACAAGTTGAAATTTCATTTTTAAGTTTTAAAACTTTTTGAAAATGACTTGTTTTAATAGATAGCATGAGCTTTCAGAAAATTGTAACAATAGATGTAATTAAAACATGATGTTTTAAAATCATGGCATCATAACAACTTAAAAATATGACTTCACCTGGAATGAGCTGATTTTGTATATTCATTTAAAAAAATTATCTGCTTGACAACATGCTACTCACAGCTACTTATTTTAAAATATCAGCAAATGCACAACTAGTATTGAAATGTAGAAGTTTTTGAAAATACTTTGGCATGTCTGTGGCACAGCTCATATGTATGTTGCATAAACATTTTCATTGTCTCTCTCCATGCCATTATAAATCATTGTGAAGATTCTCCTATATATTAAAGGTCATTTTTGTAATAGGAACTACCTTGTTTACATCATATTATACTTTGTGTACTTCTGGATTCAGTTTCTTCGCTGCAACACTTTGCTTTCAGGCCACAAAATGAATGAATTCATGAGTGATATTATTTCTATAACCTTATTCTATGATCCTTATTTATATCTAGTAAAATCGACCACTAATATTGGCTCATCTCCACACAGTTTTTAATGAAATATTGCTTTCATCTTCAAAAATAATATTGAGAATATGTCTTTTTTCAGTCATCTTTATGACTCACAAGAAGTTCTTAATTTACTGTATTTTTGAAAAGAATCCAGTAAATATCATAAACCTGATATATGTCAAAACATCAGCACTACTGCACAATAAAATTCCTAGAATTTGTTTGTTCTAATACTTATTACTTCATATTTTCAGCAATATTTTCTGTTTTCTACATATATTTGTTGACAAAGATAAGCTTTTGGCTTATTGTATTATAATCATCATTTATCATTTTAACTATCTTTTTCACTGCAGTGGTAAGAATAAACATTAAACCTGAATATGTGTCATTTTGTCTTTTATTATTAAATAAAAAACTTAAAATGAGACTTCTAAATCATTATCATAGCTAAGTGAAATTTTTCAAACTACTGGATTGAATTACCTTTGAATTAAACTTTGTTGAAAAACAAATAGAAAAGATTTATCTTCATTCTGGATGCCTAGTTTTAAAGTGTCTTATAAAATGTGATGAATAATGCCTTGACATCACTTAGGGGAAAACTATTCAGGGTGTATTTCATTGTTAATGCGCTTGATGAAAATTTGTCCTGGCAAGAGCAGTCTTGTCATTTTGTAACTGTTTGTGTTCTTTATTAGTATTCTCCTCAATATTAATTTTCTTTTCAGGAGTGTCTATAAGTCACTTATCCATTTGTGACAGTTAATAGAGTTAAAAGCAGATTTTAAAATCCACAAATCCATCAAATGGAGCATATCTAAACTGCACCAGGTTGCAATTTAGACAAAACAAATGGATATGTGTAGAAGTCGAGGGTACTGAGGCATCATGCTTAGGGAGCTGGAGACAAGGCTCTGGAGAATACTTCCTGAGAGAGTTACTCTACAAGAGATGATGCTTGACTGGTCTTAAAAGAGAAGCAGGAGATAGTATTTAGGTTACAGAGGGAGAAAAAAATAAATTTTAATACCTGGAGAGTGAGCCTTGTCAGGAAAGAAGAGATCTGTGCAATGAATTGGAGAAGAAAGTACTTAGTAAAAGATCTATGTCTTAGTCCATTTTGTGATACTGTAACAAAATATCTGAGAGTAACCAATTAATAATAAACATGAATTTATGTCTTATGGTTCTAGAAGCTAAGAAGTCCAAGATCAAGGGGCTAGCATCTTGTGAGGGCCTTCTTGCTGTGTCATCCCACAGTGGAAAGGCAAGAGCCTATGCACGCATGAGAGTGAAGGCGCTGAACTTGCCCCTTTATAATGAACCAGCTCCTGCAATGAGAGCATTAATCCACTCATGAAGTGGAACCCTCATGGCCTAATCACCTCTCATCAGGCCCCACCTCCCCACACTGTTGCATTAGGGATTAATTTTCCAACACATGCTTTTTGGGGGACACATTCAAACCACAGCAACCTACTTACTGGGGACTTCCTACCTGAGATTTATAATTCTGCTTTCACACTGACTTCTTTAATGTATTTAGCAGCTAAAGTTCTGAGGGAAACCAGAGCTTTCTGTTGAGAGGACCGGGAAAGGGGTTCCTGTGAGCAAATCTCAGATAGGAGAGAGCTGGAGAAGGGAGTCATCTAATTCTGTGTACTAGGTGGGGCAGAGCCCAGACTCATTCCTGAACTGTACCTGTGCAAGACAGAGCCAAGGAGTATAGCAGCAACATTGAAAACTAAACCAATATCAAAGAAGGTGAGAAAGAACTTTCAGTCTAAATACAACTAGGTGAATTGTCTGTGAAAACAAATAATTAACATTCTCCAGAGGATATTAACAGGATTCGGTCTAGACACTATAATTTTGAAAATGTTTAGAATACAAAGTAATATTACTTGACCAGAAAAAAAATTATGAAAAGGAACAAAGTAAAAATTTTACAACTAAAAAATATAATATCTGAAATTAAAGAACTATTTTATTAGCAGAATGGAATTTTAAAAAGGAAAATAATTGGTGAACTTGACAGCATATTGTAGAAATTACCAATCTGAAGAATGCAGAGAGAAAGGAATTTTTAAAATCCCTTTTAAAAAGGATTTTTAAAAATCCAAGCCAGCAGCCTTGGGTTGTGCTCCAGACACCTATGGTATCATATCAGAAGAACTAACATTTATGTCTTTGGAGTCCCAGATGAGAGGAGAAAGAGATTGGTGCAAAAAACTATTTAAAGAAATATGTTTAAAACTTCTGAAAGTTAATGAATTACATAAATTTATAGGCTCGAGAAGCCCAGCTAATCCCTAGTAGGATAAAGTCAAAGAACACCATCTCCAGAACTGATTAGACTGTGAAATGTTAGCTGTTTATAATGCAATCCCTAGAACAACTAAAATAAAATGATGTACAGACCCAAATCCAAAGTGTAAATTAAAAATAAAAGCAAAAAAAAAAAAAAGTAATTGGGAAAAGGAGTGAAAAAATAAAAAATGGAAGAGAAATAATAAAGTATACTTTCAAACACATCAATAATTACATTAAATTAAAATAGTCTAAACATGCTAATTAAAATTAGGTTGTCAGATTTGACTTAAAAAATGAGCCCCAACTATGTTTAATACTTCAGAGCAAGAACCTTTATCAGGGATAAAGAGGGATATTACATAACGGCAAAAAGTTTAATTTACAAAGAAGATATAACAAACCTAACTATGTATGCACTGAACAACAGATCTTCAAAATATGTAAAGCAAAACCAGATAGAACTGAAAGGACAAATAACAAAATCATAATTATGCCTGGTGACTCTTCTTTCAGCAATTGTTACAGCAAGTAGATAGAAAATGAATAAGGGCAGAAAAGACCTGAACAATATGATCAACCAACTTGACCTAATCGATATAAGTGAATACTCCATCAACAACAGATTAGGCATTCTTATTAAGCACATATGAAACATTTACCAAGATGGCTGATATACTGAGCCACACTTGGCTCTGGCCTCCTACTAGCATTTCTCCACATTGGGAAGAGGTACCTGCCTTCTCTCTGGAGCATGCTCTAGGAATCCAGGGCCTGGGTACCCAGGAACCCACTTCCAGGGGCCTGGAGGGGTCTATCACAGGCTTTTCCGCAACAGTGTGACACCTTAGGGGTAGGGATCACCAAGGGGTGGTCACTCACGGAGGTGAGAACAGAGTTTGGAACTGAAGGCCATGTTGACCTCATAGGTGCACACCAGGCCTGACTATGAGGGCACGGGCTGGGACAAGAGGAGGGAGGCCACAGCCCAGTTCTGCTGTGCTGCCAATTCCCATGCAGTCTTAGGCTTCTGAGGAATTCTCAAACTCTAAATTGTACTCAGCTTTCAGATAATTAAGGAGGTACACTTGTCAAGACAGGAGAATGAAACACACCTTATTTAAGAGTTAGTTTGGTTTAAAACTATAAAACATTTAAATGTATATTATGTGAGCCTCCGTTCATACTCATGCCTAGGCCTGGTGATGTGATTCTACAATCCTACATAAGTAAGTTCCTACATAAGGTACGTTAAACACGCTAGTCCCTTAGTTGGTCGGTAGTCATAACTGCTTTGTGCAGTGGCTGGTTTGATGGAACTTGCCTCTACCGTGGGGCTATTGAGAGAAGCTGGATCCTGCTGATATTAGCAGTGTCTTGCACTTACTCTATTCACCTTTAGCAGCAAAAAATGATTTAGGTATTTTTAAATACCTTTTTAAAAAATCCTAGTTCTAAAAGTAATACATACCAACTATAGTCAATCTTGAATTTTATAAGCTTATATAGAAAAATGTATTTAAATAGCCCATAAATTTGCAATACAGATGTGAAAATTCAGATATTTTCTGGGAATTATTTTTATGTGCATATACACATAGATATACATAGCACAAACACATCAACCACTTATTCCCTGATAAAAATTTGTAATGTATCTAGGATCATTGTTTAGATGGGATTTTGCATTCCAATATCTTTTCTTGTTCAACATAAATATTTCTTTATGTCATTATTTGCATTTAAAAACAACCTTTTATATAGCTTCTTAAAATATCATCATTTTAATAAACAATATGTTCTGTATGGTTGGATATTTATTTCTAATTCTTCATTATTATAAATAATGCTGTAATAAAGATTTTGATACAGAGTTTCTACCACATCCTTAATATTAGGATCAAATTTGAAGACCCTTCTCATCAAATAGCTTGAGACCGGGTAAGAATCACCAGCCTGCTCTCTACAGATTGCACAAACCTGAAAGACTTTCCTGCTTAGTGTCACTTCATCCGAATGAAGAAAGAGAAATGCACTGATTTCACACAGATTACTTGAAATGCTGTCTGCCTATAAAGGGAAGATTCCTCAAGACCAAGACTTTTTCTGTACATCGTCGGGCAGAGCCCTGGGCCCCTCTGTGCCACTTGAACAGAGCCGGGGAGAGTGACTTCCTGAGTCTGTCCATGTTGGATTAAGACCAAGACCTCTTTGCCCAGGCTAAAATCAGCTGTGTGGTCCAGTCTGTGGTACTGGTCAGTTCTAGTAAAGTTACAAAAGAATTTTCTTGCCACACTGCAAGTAACATTCAAACACACACAATAATTCTAAATTAAATCACCAAGCAGCAGGGCGCAGTGGCTCACACCTGTAATCCCAGCATGCTGGGAGGCCAAGGTGGGTGGATCACCTGAGGTCAGGAGTTTGAGACCAGCTTGGCCAACATGATGAAACCTTGCCTTTACTAAAAATACAAAAATTAGCCAGGCAAGGTGGTACACGCCTGTAGTGCCAGCTACTCAGGAGGCTTAGGCAGGAGAATTACTTGAACTCAGGAGGTGGAGGTTGCAGTGAGCCGAGATCACACCATTGCACTCCAGCCTGGGCAACAGAGCAAGACTCTGTCTCAAAATAAATAAATAAATAAATAAAATAAATCACCAAGCAATATAGTTGCTAATAATATCGTCTGAGCTTGGAAAGAAGAATTTAAAGTAGTATGTAAACTAAGATTACAACTGTGTAAAATATGTATTCATGTAAACAAAGAGAAACTGAAAAGCATAAATGGCAATTTTCTTAGGGTAGATGGACCATAAGACATTAAAAAATAGTCTAATGATATTATTTATAGTAAATAAAATATATATTGTCTTGATGTGCTGTTATTTCTAGGTAATTATTTTCCTTAATAGAAAGCAACATGATATCCTGTCTTTTCCATTACGGCTACCATTTGATGAATATCTCTGTCATCTGGAGTAGCCTCTTTGTTTAAAGGAAACCACATATTAACTCTTAATGATACACGGTTTATGTTAACAATGCGGCTAGCCTTGTGTCCACGCTTTGGTTCTAGCAGCTGTGTGTACAGAATCAATTAGTCATTTGTCAATAGTAGGGCAGCGAGGTCACTGCAGCTTCTAATTTGGTCCTTTTCCTGCTGTCACAGTTTTGCTGTCCTCAAAATATTTGCAGTAGGCCTTGAAATCTACCTTATTTTACTGAAATACTGAAACCCAAGATGCCTAAAGTTGTCAGTAAACAAGAAAAGAAATTCCAACTTGTGACTGGAAGTCAGGTCTTGATTTCATGTTTGACGGTTCACTTGAAGCATGCATCACACTCCCGTTCATCCACTGGAAACAAAATGAACAGCACACTTATCTGTAGACATTTCTCAGAATTTAGCACTTGAACTTCCACCTTCCCTGTTCACTGAAGGACGCCATATGGTACAGTGGGTGGTTGAAGCAATAAACTAAGAATCAATGAGAAGGTCTGATTCTTGGTCTGTCATAAGGAAGCTGTGAGATCTTGGGGAATAACCATGCATTGCAGGACCTCAGTGTTTTTACCTAAAAGATACACTAGTTACATTAGATGGCCTCCAAAAGTAGAGGCTTTTTAGGCTGCCTAGCTTATTTGCAAAGAATGATGCCAAAGAATCCAAGAAGTCATCCTCAACAGAAGATCCCTCTCCTTGCTATCAGTCACCTCAGCCATCTCTGTCCCGAGTGCACAGCCCTGGCTCAGGAGTGACGGGCTCACCATGGGGCTGCCGCAAAAACAGCCTGAACTGCAGGTCCTACCCATGCTGCAGTAACAGCTGGGTCTTTATACACAAAGGAAAGCATGTGCTTGTTGGAAAGATTGTCTTAAACGAATCTCAGTGCTCCTTTTTTATTTAAGATAGGAGAAACAAGGCACAGAGATAAACCCAGACGTAATTTACTTCAAAAGTACATTTCTGAATAACACAGTCAAAATAAAGAAAAAAAGAGGAGGAATATTTCCTACCAGCTATTGACATAGTATCAAAACACTGCAGCATTGGCAAGAGAACAGACAAGTAGGCCAATGGAACTGAATAGACCCAGAAGAGAGGAGGAGGTGTAAGTGGGAACTTAATATACCATAAATCAAATGGGCAAGAAAGGACTGTTTCATAGATTCCATTGGGAAAACTGGCTCGCTATGGGGGGCAAATCAAAATTGAATACCAGATGAAAAGGTGGATTCCAGATGTATTACAGCTCCAGTTGTGAAAGGTAAAATTACAAAGTAATAGAAAAAAAATAGGAGAGCATCTTTTTACCTAGGGACAGGGAAAGTCTTCTTGAAAAATATTTGAAAGAACAAACACAAAGGCAAAACAACAGATAATATTATGGCATCCAAGTTAAAGGTTTCTGTTCAATAAAGCACAATTGTGGGTAACTGAAACATGACAGGATGAAAAAAGATATCTATGATCTCTAAAAGTGATATGCAATTTCCAGTGTCTGGTCCAACATATAAAGATGTTGAACATCATCCCTTCTGTCTTCAGAATGAGAAAAAAGCTAAACAAATGGAAAATCAACAACTTTTCTTAGCTCCATAAGAGAATTGAGGTAACAGGACAAATTGCCACATTGAAAATTGAAGAGACAACCAGGCAGATACAGAGAATCACAGCTTCCTGGGAGCAGAAGCTGTCACTGCAGCCTACAGCTAGCATATGGAGCTTGAGTGTGGACTAGCTTGAGTGACAGGATCTCCTGGGGACCTAGGCTTGCTTTTGCCCCTAGAAGCCCCACCAGGTTATCAGGGTGAAGGTAGAAAAATGTCCCCTCATGCTCTGGCAGAGGAGGGAAAACGAACTGAGTTGAAACCCACCCAGAGCATTCTGTGCTCCTTCACAAAGACCTCCTGCAAGAAAAACCATCTTGACAAAGCCCAAACCACCTGGGTTTTGCCAGTACCTAACTAATGTGGGGTGGGAAAATAAAACCACAAACAATTCCAGCCTTGTCTAGCCTTCAAACTGAGAAGAGGAAAATGCTAAACACCATATCCCTCTAGCCCTTCTGTCTGCCTTCAGGAAGAGAAAAAGTTGAGAAGCACTTGTGAAGATCGCAGTCCAGGGACACAGGCTCATTGAGAAACTGAGACTTGATGACAGGTATGTGGAATTATTCTCTTCCACTGCACACTCTCCTACCACAGCAATGGGTTCCTGCATAACAGCAGGGATGACAATGGAGGAGCTGCAAGGCTAGACTCTACTTAAGAAGTCTTTAGAGAAACCCAAGACAACAGGGGAGACAAAGACATGGATGCTAGAGGAAATTTTGGCCTCTGACATCTATAGCTACTTAAAGAGTAAACACAGCCTAACTCCTAGCCATGAAGACACTAAAAACCTATGTACCTCAGTTCCTTTTACCTAATACATCATTTCTAGCTCTCAACTAAAAATTACACAGCGTGCTAAAAGGCAAAAAACTCAGTCTGAAGAAACAAAGCAAGCATCAGAACCAGACTCAAACATGACAGACATTTGGGAATTGTCAGACCAGGAATAAAAATAACTATGATTAATATGCTAAGAGCAAATGGAAAAAGTAGACAACCTGCTAGAACAAATGCGTAAGGTAAGCATAGAGATGAAAATGCTAAGAAAGAATAAAAAGGAAATACTAGAAATTAAACACATGATGACAGGAATGAAGAATGCCTTTGATAGGCTCATCGGTAGACCAGACACAGGTGAAGAAAGAACCAGTAAGTTTGAAGATACATCAGTAGAAACTTCTCAGAGTGAAAAGCAAAGACAATAAAAAGAAAAAAGAGAGAGAGAAACGGAATATCCAAGAACTGTGGGACAATAACAACAGGTGTAAAACTGATACTAAGTTGCTATCTAGAACATAAAAGAAAATTCTGCAAATCAATAAAACAATAAAAATAATAAAGTATCAATCTCTATTTTTAAGAAACTGGCAAATTATAAGAACTAGAAATACAGAAAGGGAAGATGACACAAACAAGAACATGAAGAGAGGCCCAAATCCATTAGTCGTCACTAAAATTGAAATATTTTTAGATGAAATATCACAGTATTTACTGGATTGGCCAAGACTAGAAAGCTGCATAATGCCAAGTGTAGGCAGGGATGTGGGGATGTAGAAACATTCATGCAGGAATGGAGGAAAGTGGACCGGCGCAGCCATTCCAGGAGTGAGCTGGTGGTGCTAAGTCAGATGAAGAATGTATGTATCATGCATACTGTACTTTTACTTATACATACCAAAGGACGCGAAAGGACATGAGGTAAATGCGTATAGATATTCATTTCAGCATCAGTGTGATGGCAAGAAGGAAGCACAACCTGAGTGACATCATGGAAGAGGGGACGGGAAAACCTCTGTCTACATGTCATGGAAAGCCAGCGTGAATCACACTGAAACAGAACACAACATTGCCTACCTAAATGAAAAGCCATGACCCCCCCATGCACATTCTTCAAGACACATACAGATAAAAATGTACACATTTACCAAATGAGAGTGGCTGATCCTGAGAAAAGTGGGAGTTGGCAGTGGGGAATGGAGGTAAAAGAACATTTTACAAAAACACAACAGAAGAGGACCTTCAAGCATCAATAATGATAATGTGGACTAAGATTAACTCGTCCATTTGCATCTGTGTTAAAGAGAAAATAGTTAACAAAAAGTTCACAACCAAGGCCAGTGAATACAGGGAAGGCCCCTGAAAGTTACTAGGGACTTACAATCTAGAACAGAAACTGGGCTCAACTGTGTGTATCAATTCACATCCTTGTCCTCATTTTTTATTAAATGGGCCAAAATCACTCCTAGTGGCCATACTTGAAAAGAAAAAGATTAAAGGTTTCTAAAATTCAGCTGTTAAAGTAATTCAATTCAGTGCTGTCTCAATTCCAAACACATGTTTCCAAAAACCTACTGGATGTTGTCACATGGATGTCCTGAAGGAACCTCAAATTCAATGCTCCAAAAATTGAACACATCAGCTCCCCTTCAAAGTGCTTTTCCTCCTGCTTTGGTGTGCCTCACTCACTGAGCTCCCCTCTTCTTTTCCCACATGCAATCTGTCTGCTGGAGGTCACTGAACCCTCCCTTCCTCTGTTCTCTCTGGCCCTCCCTGAAGACTCTTCTCTGGATAGCTACAAGAGCACCCATACAGGCTTCCCAATCACTTTAGAAACCACATTCACTCTTGTCACACCCCTACTTAAAAATGAGCTCCATTGCCTGTGGGCTCTTCAGCATATCAGAAAAGACTCTGTGATATGATCCTACTCCCCTCCATAAACTTGCTCCCTCATTGCCCATCATACAGCCCCAGGGTGAAGGGAAGGGGAGCTCCCTGAAAACACCACACTCTCACATCTTTGTGCCCTCTGTCTGCAGAGAGGATGAGTCAGGGTAGACTGGGGAGCCAGGCTCTGCCGAGGCAACAAATCTCCAAGGGTTATAAAAACAAATGGTTTCTTTCCCACTCATGTCTCATGTCCTTCATGGGTCAGCTGCCACTCTGATTCCTGTCACTTTCACTCTAGAACAATGGCTGATGGAGCCACCTCTCTGACCCTTTTTAGTTAGAGAAAATAGAGAGCGTGGCAAGCTACAAGGTGGCTACTAGCACTTTCTTCAGAAATGCTGCATGCCATCTCTGCTTGCACCCCACACGTCCAGTCTAGCATTCATGAGATAGGAAGAAAGTCCCAACCCTGCCCCACTCCAGGAGGGGAAAGCAAATACTGGAGATGAATGGACGCCTATTGCACAAAGGTGATTTCCTTCTGACTGCAGTACTCTTCCACACTTACCTCTGCCTGTAAACACCTAGGCTGCATATTTTAACCTTTCCTTCCTCTGCTGCTGTATGTCCAGCTTTGCCAGGTAAAGTGAACTCTTTTATTCCTCTGTGTTCCTGTAGCATGTGGGATGTGCTTTTACACTAACATGTGTTCTGGGGTAATTGCATATTTCTCATGTTTGTCTCCCCATTCTGATTTTGCGCTCTGCAAATGTAAGCATGCAGTCTTTATCATTTTTGTGTTGTGAGCATGTGTCCTTTCATGTGGGCAGAGCATGGCACTTGGTGCCTAGTTGCTCAATAGTTGATTGTTGTATTAATATTTATCGAACACTGTAGTAGCCATGAGAATGTGTCTGACAGACTTCCAAATACAGATGGTGTAACTGACCCAAGGACTTTATCTGATGTGCTCTGAAATTCACGGCTGCAGTACACAGAGGCAAACCTCTTATGGACGGCTCCCAGCCAACAGCTCAGTGCAGCAAGGATGCTAAGGCAGGCCCATTGCTGGGAGATGCAGGACTTCTCTAATGAACTCTGCCTCGAGACTCCCCAGTAGCCTCACAAAAACTTCCAAGAATGGCACAGCATATGAGGAGGCTCCCAATCTCTCTTTCACCCAGGGTAAGTCTTGGATCATGGTCTGCCCATACTCCGAGCCTCTCTGGCCCCCGTCCCCAATTTCTTTCCCTGATGTTTCCTCCTAATGAAGTTCTTGCACATTTAATCTCCACTTGGCATCTGCTTCTCAGATGACCCAGCCTAACATAAGATTTCATTATTATAATTGCTACTGGTAGAATATGATAAAACTTAAGTGGGGGTTTAAAAGTGAGAGCTAGAACAATTGGTTAAGGAAATCAGGAAATTGCTTCATGCTAGAAGTGGATTTGAGTCAGGCTTTGCAACATGGATGTGACACTGGTGTTGGCAGGATCTATATTGGAAAGAGGAGGAGAAACTAGCAAGAAATGGGAAGGGGAATCATTCCAGACTTAAGCCTTCTTTCATTTACACATAATAGACATTATATTTTTTAAATCTCCAGACTCAGATTTGTTTTTAACATTGGGAAGAGAATTTTCTTTTATATATTAATTTATTTTCTTTATTTTTCCCTTGAATTATTGATTCTATTCATTTTGTTTAGCTTTCTCCTTTGGGAAGACTAGCTACTCAACATTCAGGTTGTGCAAACTTTACTCCCCCTCTAATATCTTTCTCTGTCATCATTTTCATTCATTCGCTCCATGTTCTGAGATTACTTCCCAGTTTCTTCCTTACATCAACAATGTGACAATCTGCAGTGTCAATAACTATTCTCTCTTTCCAACAAACACTTTAATTTGGGTCTTATGATTTTGGTTTTCATGGAATCTCTTCTTGTCTCAGCTCAAAGTTGTTTTTTTGTAAGCAATAAAACAAATATATGTTAAATTTTTCTTCTGTTTCCTGCAGCAAATTTATTTCAGAGAAAGTTTTTCTTTTAAGTCCTTAAGTATCATTCCACTTCTCTTGGGTGGTGGATCTTTTGCTGTTGGTCTGCTCTGTGGTAACTTGACCCTGCCCTACCAGTGATTGAGGTCTATTGCTCTGGACCTGGGCTGAGATGCAGACAGGAGGAAGCCCCGCTTATTCACAGCCCTCAGTGCATGAAGACAAAGGAAGGGGAAGCCTTTGTTCCTGTGGAATAAGCCTGTGTGAGAAGTCAAACAATGAAATGGGAGACCTGTGAGAGGAGTGTGTGATTAGGAGCCCATGGGACAGAAACCAGATGAAAAAGCATCAGAGGTGGAGGCAGGGCCTGGAGAGCTCTCCTCAGCCAAAGAGTCTGTCAATAGTGACTTTTCACAGAGGGCCGGCAGGCTTGGCATGAACAGGAAGGAAGTGATTAGGAATACCAGTCCGGTCTAGACATGCATGTAGATCATTAGGCTTATTTATTCTGCCATGAAGAGAAATTCTTTCAGGCCACTTTTTTTTTTTTTTTAACAGTCATCATATATTGAGTCTCCTTAGCTCCCTCACAGACCAGCAGGTGTGGCTGAGGCCCTGGCAAGTAGTGACCAAATGTCAAAGGAACTTTCAAGCCCTGCAGACAGGCCCACTCAGATTTAAGCCAGGAAGGGGATAACTCACTACAGCAGTACTGCAGTTCAGCGGGACAGGAAGGCAGAAGAACATGTCATCCAGCAAAACCAGGTCGAAGAGCTCATTCAGTAGAGCCCAACCACCAACCACTCCCACCCCACCTCTTATTCCCAAGATGTGAAAGGGCAAAGGTGTGCTTGATCCTGATGGGATTCCCTAGGTTCTTTCCCCCATTTGCCTCTCATTTCTGCCTTCCACCTCCTGTGTTCGTTCAGCTCCAATAATCAAAACATGGGTCTGTCTTTATACCCACTGCCTAGTATTCAGATCACTTCGGTTCTTTCCCTTTTAAGGAATTCCAAAATTTTAAGAACATTTGCTAACTTTATATTAATGGCACAGTTTTTATGACACTGGTTTGCAGGCCAAAAAACAGCCCAAAGTGCTGAGGGATAGACCCCTTTGCAAGTCCATGGTGACTGCCTCCCTAGTAGGGGCTGAGGTCAGGAGCTGTGGGGTCAGTCAAGGCTCCTCCGACTTTCTGACTTCACCACTTTGGCTCAGGGAGCAAAACACATGTTGTCCATTAATGGCGTTTTTAAAATCTGGTCCAACTGGTGATTTATTTAGTGAAATATCCTCCAATTTTTGGTATATGTTGACTATTATCTTTAGTTTCCAATACTGATGCAGGCTTTTCCCTATTTGATTTCATGAGTGTTTTAATGAAAACTGGATGACACCTTTTTCTTTTATTTCCTAGAATTTGAAAATATTTTTATTAAAAATTTTATTTTAATGAAAACAAAGAAAAATCTGCTTTGAATTTTTAAAAAATGTCTGTTTTTCACAGAACTCTCAGTGCTTCATATTACTATATTACAAACCATTTGAAGGCAAGGGTTGAATCTTGGACAACTGACATGTAATGGAAAGACTTCTGCTCATTAAATTAGGAACACCGATTCTAATCTCTGTTCAAAGGCTCTTAATCTCCTGAGTTAAATAGTAAAAGGAATGGTATAAAGAGCTGAAATTTTATCTTCTAAGTTTTTCTATCAGACTGGCTGTCAAAACAACAAAAAGTTGGAAAAGATAAGTGAAAGTTATAAACTGTTTTATTTTTATTAAGCCTCAAGAAGAAAGAATAACCATTGGACAAAATTCAACATTCTTTCATGATAAAAATTCTCACCAAAATAAATATAGAAGTTGCCTCAACACAGTAAAGGCCATATATGAGAAGCCCACAGCTAACATCCTACTCGATGAATAATTGAAAGCTTTTCTTCTGAGATGTGAAACAAGCAAAGATGCCCACTCTCATCACTTCTGTTTAACATAGTATTGGAAGTCCTAGCCAGAGCAATTAAGCAAGAGAGAAAAATAGAAGGCATCCAAACTGTAAAGAAAGAGGTGAAATTGTCATTGTTTGCTGATGACATGATCTCATATATAGAAAATTCTAGAGTCCACCCAAAAACACCGTTAGAACTAATAAATGAATGCAGTCAAATTACAGGATACATAATCAACACACAAATATCAGGACACTAACAATGGGCAATCAAAAAACTTAAGATGGGCAAGATGCCTGAATAGGAACAGCTCCAGTCTGCAGGTCCCAGTGAGAACAATGGAGAAGGTGGGTGATTTCTGCATTTCCAAATGAGATACCTGGCTCATCTCATTGGGACTGGTTAGACAGTGGGTGCAGCCCACAGAGGGTGAACAGAAGCAGTGTGGGGCATCGCCTCATCTGGGAAGTGCAAGGGGTCAGGGAACTCCCTCCCCTAGCCAAGGGAAGCCATGAGAGACTGCGCCATGAGGGATGGTGCACTCTGGCCCAGATGCTATGCTTTTTCCATGGTCTTCACAATCCGCAGACCAGGAGATTCCCTCGGGTGCCTATACAACCAGGATCCTGGGTTTCAAGCACAAAACTGGGTGGCCTTTTGGGCTGAAACTGAGCTAGCTGCAGGAGTTTTTTTCATATCCCAGTGGCACCTGGAACACCAGTGAGACAGAACCATTCATTCCCCTGGAAAGTGAGCTGAAGCCAGGGAGCCAAGTGGTCTAGCTCAGTGGATCCCAACCCCACAGCGCCCAGCAAGCTAAGATCTACTGGCTTGAAATTCTCGCTGCCAGCACAGCAGTCTGAAATCGACCTGGTATGCTCGAGCTTGGTGTGGGGAGAGGCGTCTGCCATTACTGAGGCATGAGTAGGTGGTTTTCCCCTCATAGTGTAAACAAAGCCACAGGGAAGTTCAAACTGAGTGGGAGCCCACTGCAGTGCCACAAAGTCGCTGTAGCCCCACTGCCTCTCTAGATTCCTACTTTCTGTGCAAGGCATCTCTGAAAGAAAGGCAGCAGCCCCAGTCAGGGGTTAATAGATAAAACTCCCAACTCCCTGGGACAGAGCATCTGGGGGAAGCAGTGGCTGTGGGCATAGCTTCAGCAGACTTAAACTTTCCTGCCTGCCGGCTCTGAAGAGAGTAGTGGATCTCCCAGCACAGCACTTGAGCTCTGCTAAGGGACAGACTGCTTTCTCAAGTGGGTCCCTGACCCATGTAACTCCTGGATGGGAGACACTTCCAAACAGGGGTCAACAAACACCTCAAACAGGAGAGCTCCGGCTGGCATCTAGCGGGTGCCCCACTGGGATGAGGCTTACAGAGAAAGGAACAGGCAGCATTCTTTGCTGTTTTGCAGCCTCCACTGGTGATACCCCAGCAAACAGGGTCTGGAGTGGACCTCCAGCAAACTCCAGCAGACCTGCAGCAGAGGGGCCTGACTGTTAGAAGGAAAACTAACAAACAAAAAGGAATAGCAACAATATCAACAAAAAGAATGTCCACACACAAACCCCATCTGAAGGTGACCAACATCAAAGACCAAAGTCAGATACATCCATGAAGATGAGGAAAAACCATCACTAAAAGGCTGAAAATTCCAAAAACCAGAACGCCTCTTCTCCTCCAAAGGATCACAACTCCTCACCAGCAAGGGAATAATGAGAATAATAAGAGAATGAGTTTGATGAATTGACAGAAGTAGGCTTCAGAAGGTGGGTAACAACAAACTCCTCCAAGCTAAAGGAGCATGTTCTAACCCAAGGCAAGGAAGCTAAGAACCTTGAAAAAGGGTTAGACGAATTGCTAACTAGAATAACCAGTTTAGAGAAGAACGTAAATGACCTGATGGAGCTGAATAACACAGCACAAGAACTTCGTGAAGCATATGCAAGTATCAATAGTCAAATTGATCAAGTAGAAGAAAGGATATCAGAGACTGAAGATCAACTTCATGAAATAAAGTGTGAAGACAAGATTAGAGAAAAAAGAATGAAAATGAACAAACAAAGCCTCCAAGAAATGTGGGACTATGTGAAAAGACCAAACCTACATTTGATTGGTGTACCTGAAAGTGACAGGGAGAATGGAACCAAGTGGGAAAACACTATTCAGGATATTATCCAGGAGAACTTCCCCAACCTAGCAAGACAGGACAACATTCAAATTAAGGAAATACAGAGAACACCAAAAAGATACCCCTTGAGAAGAGAAACCCCAAAACCATAATTGTCAGATTCACCAAGGTTGAAATGAGGGAAAAAATGTTAAGGGCAACCAGAGAGAAAGGCTGGGTTACCCATAAAGGGAAGCCCATCAGACTCACAGCAGATCTCTCTGCAGAAACCCTACAAGCCACAAGAGAGTGGGAGCCAATATTCAACATTTTTAAATAAAAGAATTTTCAACCCAGAATTTCATATCCAGACAAACTAAGCTTCATAAGTGAAGGAGAAATAAAATCTTTTACAGACAAGCAAATGCTGAGAGATTCTGTCACCACCAAGCCTGCCTTACAAGAGTTCCTGAAGGAAGCACTAAATATGGAAAGGAAAAATTGGTACCAGCCACTGCAAAAATATACCAAATTGTAAAGACCATTGACACTATGAAGAAACTGCATCAACTAACTGGTAAAATAACCAGCTAACATCATAATGACAGGATCAAATTCACACATAACAATAATAACCTTAAATGTAAATGGGCTAAATGCCCCAATTAAAAGACACAGACTGGCAAATTGGATAAAGAGTCAAGACCCATCAGTGTGCTGTATTCAGGAGACCCATCTCACGTGCAAAGACACAGACACACATAGGCTCAAAATAAAGGGATGGAGGAATATTTACCAAGCAAATGGAAAGCAAAAAAAAAAAAAAAAAGCAGGGGTTGCAATCCTAGTCTCTGATAAAATAGACTTTAAACCAACAAAGATGAAAAAAGACAAAGAAGGGCATTACATAATGGGAAAAAGATCAATGCAACAAGAAGAGCTAACTATCCTAAATATCTATGCACCCAACACAGGAGCACCCAGATTCATAAAGCAAATCCTTAGAGACTTACGAAGAGACCGAGACTCCCACACAGTAATAGTGGGAGACTTTAACACCCCACTGTCGATATTAGACAGATCAATGACACAGAAAATTAACAAGGATATTCAGGACTTGAACTCAGCTCTGGACCAAGTGGACCTAATAGACATCTCAGAATGCTCCACCCCAAATCAACAGAATATAAATTATTCTCAGCATCACATCACACTTATTCTAAAATTGACCACATAACTGGAAGTAAAGCACTCCTCAGCAAATGCAAAAGAACAGAAATCATAACAAAGAGTCTCTCAGACCACAGTGCAATCAAATTAGAACTCAGGATTAAGAAACTCACTCAATGCCAGGCACAGTGGCTCATGCCTATAATCCCAGCACTTTGGGAGGCCGAGGCGGGCGGATCATGAGATCAGGAGATCGAGACCATCCTGGCTAACACGGTGAAACCCCATCTCTACTAAAAATACAAAAAATTAGCCCAGCGTAGTGGCAGGTGCCTGTAGTCCCAGCTACTCAGGAGGCTGAGGCAGGAGAATGGTGTGAACCCAGGAGGTATAACTTGCAGTGAGCCAAGATCACGCCTTATGCCACTGCACTCCAGCCTGGGTGACAAAGCTAGACTCCATCTCAAAAAAAAAAAAAAAAAAAAGAAAAGAAACTCACTGAAAACCACACAACTACATAGAAACTGAACAACCTGCCCCTGAATGACTACTGGGTAAATAACAAAATTAAGGCAGAAATAAGTAAGTTCTTTGAAACCAATGAGAACAAAGACACAATGTACCAGAATCTCTAGGACACAGCTAAAGCAGCGTTTAGAGGGAAATTTATAGCACTAGATCCCCACAGGAGAAAGCGGAAAAGATCTAAAATCGACACCTTTACATCACAATTAAAAGAACTAGAGGAGCAAGAGCAAACACATTCAAAAGCTAGCAGAAAACAAGAAATAACTAAGATCAGAGCAGAACTGAAGGAGATAGAGACACAAAAAACCCTTCAAAAAATAAGTGAATCCAGGAGCTGGTTTTTTGAAAAGATGGACACAATAGATAGACCACTAGCCAGAATAAGAAAGGAAAAAAGAAAGAAGAATCAAACAGACACAATAAAAAATGATAAAGGGGATATCACCACTGATCCCACAAGAATACAGACTACCAACAGAGAATACTATAAACACCTCTACACAAATAAACTAGAAAATCTAGAAGAAATTGATAAATTCCTGGACACATACCCCCTCCCAAGACTAAACCAGGAAGAAGTGGAATCCCTGAATAGACCAAGAACAAGTTCTGAAATTGAGGCAGTAATTAATAGCCTACCAATCAAAAAAATCCCAGTACCAGATGGATTCACAGCTGAATTCTACCAGAGGTACAAAGAGGAGCTGGTACCATTCCTTCTGAAAGTATTCCAAACAATAGAAAAAGAGGGACTCCTCCCTAGCTCATGAGGCCAGCATCATTCTGTTACCAAAAACTGGCAGAGACACAACCAAAAAAGAAAATTTCAGGCCACTATCCCTGATGAACACCAGTGTGAAAATCTTCAATAAAATACTGGCAAACCAAATCCAGCAGCACATCAAAAAGCTTACCCACCACAAACGAGTGAGCTTCGTCCCTGGGATGCAAGGGTGGTTCAACATATGCAAATCAATAACCATAATCTATCATATAAAAAGAACCAATGACAAAAACCACATGGCAATCCCAATGGATGCAGAAAAGGCATTCAATAAAATTCAACAGCCCTTCATGCTAAAAACTCTCAATAAACTAGGTGTTGATGCAACATATCTCAAAACAATAAGAGTTATTTATGACAAACCCACAGCCAATATTGTACTGAATGGGCAAAAGCTGGAAGCATTCCCTTTGAAAACTGGCACGAGAGAAGGATGCCCTCTCTCACCACTCCTATTCAACACAGTATTGGAAGTTCTGGCCAGGGCAATGAGGCAAGAGAAAGAAATAAAGTTTATTCAAATAGGAAGAGAGAAAGTCAAACTGTCTCTGTTTGCAGATGACATAATTTTATATTTAGAAAACCCCATCATCTCAGCCCAAAATTCCCTTAAGCTTATTAGCAACTTCAGCAAAGTCTCAGGATACAAAATCAATGTGAAAAAATCACAAGCATTCCTATACACCAATAATAGACAAAGACAGAACCAAATCATGAGTGAACTCCCATTCACAATTGCTACAAAGAGAATAAAATACCTGGGAATACAACTCACAATGGATGTGAAGCACCTCTTCAGGGAGAACTACAAACCACTGTTCAAGAAAATAAGAGAACAAACAAATGGAAAAACATTCCACACTCATGGATAGGAAGAATCATTATCATGGAAAAGGCCATACTGCCTGAGTAATTTATAAATTCATGCTATTCCCATCAAGCTACCATTGACTGTCTTTACAGAATTAGGAAAAATTACTTTAAATTTCATATGGAACCAAAAAAGAGCCTGTATATCCAAGACAATCCTAAGCAAAAAGAACAAAGCTGGAGGCATCATGCTATCTGACTTCAAACTACACTACAAGACTACAGTAACCAAAGCAGCATGGTATTGGTACCAAAACAGATATATAGAACAATGGAACAGAACAGAGGCCGCAGGAATAACGTCACACATATACAACCATCTGATCTTTGACAAACCTGACAAAAACAAGAAATGGGGAAAGATTCCCTATTTAATAAATGCTGTTGCGGAAACTGGCTAGCCATATGCAGAAAGCTGAAACTGGACCCCTTCCTTACACTTTATACAAAAATTAACTCAAGATGGATTAAAGACTAAAACCATAAAAACCCCAGAAGAAAACCTAGGCAATACCATTCAGGACATAGGCATGGGCAAAGACTGCATGACTAAAACACCAAAAACAATGGCAACAAAATCCAAAATTGACAAATGTGATCTAATTAAACTAAAGAGCTTCTGCACAGCAAAAGAAACTGTCATCAGAGTGAACAGGCAACCTATGGAATGGGAGAAAATTTTTGCAATCTATCCATCTGACAAAGGCCTAATATCCAGAATCTACAAGGAACTTAAACAAATTTACAAGAAAAAAACAAATAGCACCAATCAAAAAATGGGCAAAGGATATGAACAGACACTTCTCAAAAGAAGACATTTATTCGGACAACAAACACTTGAAAAAAAGCTCATTCATCACTGGTCATTAGAGAAATGCAAATCAAAATCACAATGAGATATCATCTTACGCCAGTTAGAATGGCGATCATTAAAAAATCAGGAAACTACAGATGCTGGAGAAGATGTGGAGAAATAGGAATGCTTTTACACTGTTGGTGGGAGTGTCAATTAGTTCAACCATTGTGGAAGACAGTGTGGTGATTCCTCAAGGATCTAGAACCAGAAATACCATTTGACCCAGCAATCCCATACTGGGTATATACCCAAAGGATTATAAATCATTCTACTCTGAAGACACATGCACACATATGTTTATTGCAGCACTGTTCACAATAGCAAAGACTTGGAACTAACCCAAATGCCCATTGATGATAGACTGGATAAAGAAAATGTGGCACATACACACCATGGAGTACTATGCAGCCATAAAAAAGGATGAGTTCATGTCCTTTGCAGGGACATGGATGAAGCTGGAAACCATCATTCTCAGCAAACTCACACAGGAACAGAAAACCAAACACTGCATGTTCTCACTCATAAGTGGGAGTTGCACAATGGGAACACATGAACACAGGGAGGGGAACATCACACACTAGGGCCTGTCAGGGGGTGGGGAGCTAGGGGAGGGACAGTATTAGGAGAAATACCTAATGTAGATGTTGGGTTGATGGGTGCAGCAAACCACCATGGCACGTGTATACCTATGTAACAAAGCTGCACATTCTGCATATGTATCCCAGAACTTAAAGTACAATAAAAAAAAATTAAGACAACAATCCCACTAACAATAGCTACAAAAAATACACTTAGGAATAAACTTAACCAAGAAGTGAAAAACCCATATGCTGAAAACTAAAAAATGTTGATAAAAGAAATTGAAAAAGACACAAATAAATGGGAAAATGGCCTGTGTTCATGAATTGGAAGGATTAATATTGTTTAGATGTTCATACGATCCAAAGGGATCTATCTACATATTCAATGTAATCTCTATCAAAATTCCAATGGCAATATCTTAAAAATATTCTAAAATTCATATAAAACCAGAAAAACTCCAAATAGCCAAGTCAATCATCAGCAAAAAGAACCAAAGCTGGAGGTATCACACTACCACATTTCAAACTATACTACAAAGCTATAGTAATTAAAAGAGCATGGTACCAGCAAAACAAACAAACAAAACAAAACAAAAAACACACTGGTCAATGGAGCAGAGTAGAGAACCCACACATGTACAATCACTTGATTTCTTACAGAGGTATCAAGGATGTACAATGGGGAAAGGATAGTGTCTTCAATAAATGCTGTTGGGAAAACTAGATTTTTTTCATGCAGAACAATAAAATTGGACCCATATCTCACACCATATATACAAATTAATTCAAAATGGATTAAAGACTTAAACATAAGACCAGAAACTATAAAACTACTGGTAGAAAACATAGGGGAAAAACTATACCACATTAGGCTGGGCAACAAGTTTTTTGGATTTGACCCCAACAAATGCCAGCGACAAAAGCAAAAATAGACAAATGGGATAATATCAAACCAAAACACTTCTGCACAGCAAAGGAAACAATTAGCATTATACAGAGATAACCTATGGATTGAGAGAAAAGTCATACATCTGATAAGGGGTTAATATCGAAAATATATAAGGAGCTCAAACAACTCAATAGCATGAAAACAAGAAACCCAATTTTAAAAATGGGCAAGGAGACGGAATACGCATTTCAAAAGAAGGAATAGCAACAGAAAACAGGTATACAAAAAGTGCTCAAAATCACTAATCATTAGGAAGAAAAAAAGCAAATTAAAACAACCATGAAATACCATCTCACACCTGTCAGAATTACTTTTATAAAAAGACAAAAAAAAACCTAAGTGTCAGCAAGAATGTGGAGAAAAGGGAATCCTTGTTCACCATTGGTGGGAATATAAATTAGTACAGCCATTAGGGAAAACTATATGAAGGTTCCCCAAAAAACTAAAAATAGAACTAGTATACGATCCACATTTCCACTTCTGAGTATTTACCCAAAAGGTTTGAAATCAGTTTGTTTAAGAGATATCTGTCTGCACAGCCATGTTTATCGCAGCGCTATTCATGATAGCCAAGTTATGGAATGAGCCTATGAGTCCATCATCAACAAGTGAATAGCTGGTCTGTATACACAGCAGAATACTAGACAACCTTAAAAGAGAAGAAAATTGTGTCATCTGTAACAACATGGATGGAACTGGAGAACACTACACCAAGTGAAATAAGCCAGGCACAGAAGGACAAATACTGCATGTTCTCACTTATATGTGGAATCTAAAACAACTCATAGAAGCAGAGAGTATATTAGTGGTTACAGAAACTGCAGGGTGGGAAGAATGTGGAGATGATGGTCCGAGGGTACTAAATCTGTTAGACAGGAAGAATGTGATTTTTTAAGTTCTATTGCACAATGTGATGAATATAGTTAATAATAGAGTACTGTACATTTCAAATTGCTAAAAGAGCAAATTTCAAATGTTCTTACCATAAAAACTGTTAAGTATTTGAGGTGCTGTATATGTTAAATAGCTTGATTTAATTATTCCACATTTTATTCAAAATCATAACATTCTATATCCCTTACATTTACATAGTCTTCCCTTGGTATCCATGGGGAATTGTTTCCAGGACCCTCCATAGATCCCCAATCCCATGGATGCTCAAGTTCTTTATATGAAATGGCATAAGTAGTAGCATATAACCTACACACATCCTCTTGTATACTTTAAGTCATCTCTAGACTACTTGTAATACTTAATACAATGTGAATGCTATGCAAATAGTTGTAATGGTGCATTTTTATTTGTATTGTTTTTATTGTTGTATTGCTATTTTTAATTTTTTTCCAAATTTTTTTGACCTGTGATTGGTTGAATCTTGGGTGTAGAACATTGTATTGCTATTTTTAATTTTCTTCCAAATTTTTTGACCTGTGATTGGTTGAATCTTGGGTGAAGAACACACAGATACTGAGGGCAGACTGAGCAATTATAAACTGTCAATTTACAATTTACAAAAAGGAAAAGAAGAAAAAGACCATAACCTAGCCTAGTGGTTTTCAAAGTTTGTTTTAAGAAAATCAGGGATGGGAGGAGTTTATGTATTTACTATACTACAATTTTATCATTATTTCAGACTGTACTTATACAAAAAGCCTCAGGCTGATCCCTCAGGAGGTATCTGCGAGAAGGCATTGCTGTCATAGGAGATGGTAGTTCCATGCCTGTTATTGTCCCTGAAGGCCTTCCAGTGGGACAAGATATGGAGGAGAAAGACAGCGATATTGACGATCTTGACCCTGTGTAGGCCTAGGCAAATGCGTGTGTTTGTGTCTTAGTTTATAACAAAATTTTTTAAAGTAACAAAAAAAAAACCCCAAAAAACTTTAAATAGAAAAAAGCTTATAAAGAATATAAAGAAAGAAAATATTTTTATATAGCTGTACCATATGTTTTAAGCTAAGTGTTATTACAAAAGAGCCAATAAGTTAAAAATAATAAAAATGTATAAAGTTAAAAAGTTACAGTAAGCTAAGGTTAATTTATTATTGAAGAAAGAAAAACATTTGTTATAAATCTAGCATAGTCTAAGTTTACTATTTATAAAGTCTATCATGGCCCAGACCTTCACATTCACTCACTACTCATCCACTGACACCCAGAGCAACTTCCCCCGCTGCAAGCTGCATTTATGGGAAGCGCCCTGTAAGTGTACCATTTTTGAATCCTTTATATCTTATTTTTACTGTACTTTTTAATGTTTGGATGCACAAATCCTTGGCATTGTGTTACAATTGACTACAGTATTCAGTTCAGTAACATGCTGCATAGGTTTGTGGTCTAGGAGCAACAGGCTATACCACCATGGTGTGTAGAAGGCTGTATCATCTTGTGTAAGTGCAGCCTATGATGTTCACACAATGACAAAATCACCAAACAATGAATTTCTCAGAACATATTCCTTTGGTTAAGCAACACATGACTGTATTACTAATATGTTATTTGTCTTTTCCACTCTCATTTTGTCATGAGTGATTGAGGGGGGTTTGCAAAGCCTGCATTATGTATGACATCACAACAGATTGAATGCAAAAGCAGATAGAAGAATCCAGTTTTATTCTATTAACCTAGACATTAAAGAGATTTGCAAAGGCCAGGCGCAGTGGATCACACCTGTAATCCCAGCACTTTGGGAGGCCGAGGCAGGTGGATCACGAGGTCAGGAGTTCGAGACCAGCCTGACCAACATGGTGAAACCCCATCTCCACTAAAAATACAAAAATTAGCCAGGCATGGTGGTGCGTGCCTGTAATCCCAGCTACTCAGGAGGCTGTGGCAGGAGAATCGCTTGAACCTGGGAGACGAAGGTGGCAGTGAGCCAAGATCGTGCCACTGCACTCCAGCCTGGGGACAGAGCAAGGCTCCATCTCAAAAAAAAAGAGATTTGCAAAACTGTGAAACAATGCTACCCTTCTCACTAAATTTTTTGTTTAAAAAATGTAGTTTTGTAAAGAAAATTTATTTTACTATCTAATGGGTGTATTATTGATATTATTTAAATGAATTAATAAATAATTGTTTTAAGTTATCAGTTTTAATTTTGAATATAGAAAATATCAATACCTACAACCCACATAAGGAAACACTCTTTGGGGTCTCCAGTTATTTTTAGGAGTATGAAGGAGTCCTGAGACCAAAAGTTTTGAGGACTGCTGACCAAGGCTAAAAGGTTTAGAATTAACCAAATATTAGATAGTTATGCAACTTCCAACTCTGAAATTCTAAAAGATCAATGGTCAATTCTTGCCCATTTTAAAAAAACTATTATTCATCAGGCATTATTGATTCAAAACTAATTGTTTATAATAACTAAGAGGGATGTGTTTTTCAGATTGTTCTGAGGCTCTCTCTACATTTTTTAAATTACTATGTTATTACTTCCCCCAATAGTTATTACATATCAAGAAATTATATTAAGCATCTTAAATATGTAAACTCATTTACTCTTCATAACAACCAGATTAAGTAGGCAGCACAGATTTCCCTATTGTATATGGGAGAGAGCTAAGGATTAGTATGCTAAAGTGACTTGCCAAAGGTCATCTTGCTGATAAATGGTGGAACAGGGATTTCTTTTAACTAAAGTTTAGTCAATTTCAGTACCAGGGTCTATTTCCACCATCTTATCTTATTGTCTTTCAAGCTAGTATTATTGACTTTTAATGCCATTCATTATGATGTATTTTAATTTCTTATGTATGGTCATCATTTGCCTTTAGACCAATACCGTATACAAACGCTGACTGAACTGAATGTCCTAGCATCATGTTTGACCATGGAAGCATGGGTCCAGCTAATGGCATTTAATCATTCATTCATTCATTTGTTCATTCCATAAATATGTATTGAGTGCTACAACCTACCAGATGCTGATCTGTTTTGTTCAAACAGAGCGGACAATAAGCTCCACTTGCTTAGAGAGCTTACATTCTCATCAGGTAAGATAAATAATAAATACTACACAAAAGATAATAAATATACAAATCATATGGGGTGCTGGAAGTTATAAATTCTGAGGAATTCACAGAGCAGGCTAAAGAGAACTATTTTCGTGTGCAGGCAGGGCATGGCGGGGTCAACAACAGGGAGCCTGCGGGTTGAGTGGCATGAGTGAGGAGGAGAACAGGAGGAGACGAAGTCAGAATCACAGGGAAGCAGTGAACCTGCTGCCTCACACCCATAGGAAGAAAGGCCTTGAGCGAAAGGAATAGGATTTGTAGATGGCAGATGACATGGTATCACTTACATTTTGTAAGGATCACCTGGCTTCCCTGTTGAGAATACTGTGGACAAAGGTGGCAATTTAGGAGACAGTTTAGGGAGTTAATGCCAAAATCCAGGGGAGGCATGATGATTTGGCTTGGAGCAGGATTTAAATTCAGGGCCAGGGGTTTTATTTCACAAGTGGTGAGAAGGAAAGTAGTGAGAAGTGGTTGGATTCTGGATACATTTGAGAGGTAGAAGCTGTGAAACCAAGTTTCACCAAGGGACAACTCTAGGTATCATAGAGCAATTGATTATTACTAAAGTCATCCTTGTATCATGTCATCTACCCTAAAATGAAAGTGAAATGACTACTTTCTATTTATATTGTTTTATTTCTAGAATGCTTTGCTTAGAATCCCTTAAAAGTTGCAGGTATGAAAACTCTAGGAGCTGGTTAATAGCTGTCAATGAGTCATTACTACATTATTCATGGATTAAAATGAATATGTGGCTTAGGGCGATTGAGCTCGACTTAAATGACTACCAACAAGTGATTGACAAATGATTTAGGAGACTTCAGTCTGATAAAACGTTTTCCTAAGACTTTAAATTGACTTCTCAGCAATTTTTGCAGCTACTCAAATCCAAGTAAAATTGTTAGCCCTGTCTAGAGAAAGGTCAATTGCTCAAGGTCAAAGGCAAGTAAATACATAATTTAATTGTTCTTGTTTGCTCTGAGTTTTTTAAAAGGGCAGCCTAATATTGATTTGAATTAATTTAATGAGCATGTTCATTTTAAGAGAGAACTAATAGTGTTAAAAGAAATGATTAAAATCCCAGGAAGTTAAACCACCAGGGTTTAATTCTTACACCATTCTTTACCTTCAACACATTATTTAACCTTTGTTTTGGTTTCTTCTTCTGAGCGCAGAAATAATCATAATAATAACTATGCCTTACAGGTTTTGAAGTTAAGCGAGCTTATGCTTGTACCAAACAAACAATGCACAATGTAAGTGCACGATAAATGCTATTGTTATTAGAAGGCTACACAGAAAATGTCAAAGAAAACATCTTCATTGATGCCTAGTATAACACTAGTTCAGTAATGGATCAATTACTTCTAATCTCAATCACTATGAGGGCCATAAGGCAAAGGATTTATGGTTTATAGCTAAGAAACCCAGCAGTATTTTGTGTAAAGCAAGAAAAGCAACACCGTGATACTTACAATTCATTTATTGATATCTGAAAAATTTCCCTATCACTAAGAGTATTCCATTCATATATTGGAGAAATAGCACCATTCCAATCATAACTACAGTAAATATCAAGACAGATATTCCTTCCATAGGAAAAAAATATCTATGAAACTTAGATAATAGAAAAAAATAGAGGAACATCTTCCAAAATCTACATAATTTTCTAATTCATTCTTTTCTATCTAGTTCCACATTTGCCTTCTCTTGGAAAATACTTTTCCTTCACACCCTTGTCAGTTCAATATTTCTACAGAAAATACACCTTTACAAAGCAAAAGCAGATTCCTCTTCATATTAAAATTAGTTGTACTTTTAAAAAAGTTTTTGTTTTCTGGCTGTGTAAATAATGTTCTCCAGAAACAACAGAGAAAACTCTCAATGAGACCACATATTACATGTGTTTGAAAATCAGAAATAGCCCGGAATTTCCTGAGTATGTATTTATGACTGTCTATGTTTCTGCTATAAATACCCAGATATAATAAGTTATAGACATTATGTTGACATATTTATATGTAACATGCCATTGTGTACATGGCAATATTATTGAAATTATCCTTGAAAAATAAAAAAGTAAAACAACTAAACAACAACAGCAAAAGGGATGTTAGGAACGATAAACATGCTTACATGGGACCAAAGACAATTGCAGTGCAGTAAAGCCTTGATCAGGAAAGAAAGCACATTTCTCCTGAGCAGCTCCATGAATGTACAAAACAGTGGTGGTATCTTCTTTCAATTACTGCTGGTGCCATGAGCCAAAAGATTCCGAGTTTGTTTGAGCAAAGCCACAAAGGAACTGCTGTCAGGAATCAATTTCAGGCTGTGGAGAAAGCCCTCCAAAAGCCAAAGAATTTGGTCTCATGCAGGGTATGGGATTTTGAAGGCATATTTTGTAGTGTGGGAATGAGTTTATCCTGACGTGAAGGAAATGGGGAGTAAATGGGAAAGTATTTTTCCTATGAGCTGGCTAAAACTTCAGTAACCTGATGCTTTTATAAATCAATCAGATGCAGCATCCTGTTTCTTCACATGACTGTTTTTCTTAGATGATTAGGCCCCCTTACCAAATGGATTTGAGTTTTAAAACGCAGTAAATGCTAAGTCAATTCGGTTGCAACAACCAGGCTTTTGTGTCTGCCTGAGCTGTTTAGTTACCCTTGGTCCTTGTTCACTTGTTGAGGCCAAACTCTTTTCATTGTGAAAGACCAACAGTTTGGAGAAGAGAAGCTCAAATAGTACTTTCTTTCACCTAGAAGGTTATCGTTTGAAAAAGTCTTATTTCCAAGAGTAATATCTCCCTCTGGGTGCAGGAAAGCCTACAGTTTTCTGGACTCTCTGGCTTCCTTCAAGTTTGGCAGACAACCTGGTTTACTTTGCGTCTCCAGTACACATAGGAAATGGAGGAAAGAGAATAAAGTGCTTCTGCCAACACTGCTGCAAACCAAGGCCACTGACCTGCTGGCCTTGGCTCTGTGTCCTCCAGGGGGCGTGACATATGCACTTCAGTGTGAATGATGTGCAATATTGTACTGTAAAATCCCCAAAATTTATAGCATGTCTCTCTGACAGTTATACAAAAGTGACCTAGTGTGAAAACTGACATTCAGAGTCATCAAAACGTATGATACTAATGATACTAGTGGCTTTATTTTTTCCTCTTTAGAAGTTCTCAGATATTACACATACCCAGAGGAGGATTTGTGGTATTAATGTTTCCTGAAACGTGTTAGACCACAGAGCCCTTCTTCTGTGGAACATTATGAGACTAATGTCCACAAACTATTCTTTGGGAAACACTATTACCAGAATGCATGCACTTAAACGCAAATAAATAGCAATGCAAAGATGTTTGTCTACATTACCCTTTCAGCAAGTTAGAGAAAATTTTCAAGTGCATTGGTCAAAGCAAAACATATGACAAAGCATTGAGTTAACAATGTAAAACACTCAGTTAAAATATTTCTATTTCCCTTGGGATCCTCTAGAGAAATTAACAATCCATATGTCTACCAATTTTACTTTCAACTCTTTCTCTAACATCATAAACTGTTTGTGTCTTTTTGTCCTGAGTTAAGATGAAAAATAGAAAATTACTGAATGAGAAAGATTGAGTAGCTTCTCAGGGTGTCTCCACCACACTAAAACCATTAAAATGTAAAGTAAAATATCTGAAGTATCTGAAGGGACATCTTCAATGATAACATAAAGGCACAAAGTAAAAATGTCAGTGTAAAAATGAAAATCAGGAATTCAGTGAATATTTATGTAGAGACATGTTCCTCATCTCGTTATCTTGCATCTATACAGATGTTCTTTAATTTCCATTTAATTCTCGTAAGCTCTTGGAGTATGAATTTGTAATCCTGAAGTATTGAATGATTCTTATTTTGTTCTTTCTACTGTTATTCAGTTTTTTTCAATAGACATGCATTTTGTATAATTATGTGTAGATTGTATTTCTAAGCACCATTATATAAAATGTAGATTACAACAATTTTCTGTATCTCAATTGGGTACCATATATTTGCAGTTCTCTTGTTCCTAAAGAAGTTGGCAGACCAGAAGGTAAACAGCAGCTCTCTGGGTGGTGGGGACATGGCGGAATTTTGAAAATATTGTAACTCCTTTTAAATTTCAGATTTTATACATGTGTTTGTTACTTTTTCAACAGAAAAAAAAACATTTTTAGCTTTCAAATGTATCACAATCATTTTATGAATGGACTATAACGTCCAGATCGGTAGGGTGTGAATCTTAACTTCTCCTCTTCCTCTCTGTGTGGTCCTGGGCAGGTCACTTAACCCTCTGTATCTCAGTTTTCACATCTGTAACATGGGGGGAAATAACAGAATCTACTTCCATAGGCTGTTGTGTGGAATAAATGAATCAACACTTTGAAAGGACCTGGAGCAAAGTCAGTAGTCTGAAAATGTTATCCTTGATGATAATTATTTTTTAACTGCTGAAGTCTTTTATTGATGAATTTGGAAGTATACCATTATTAGAAGGACTTTCCCAAAGTAAACACTTTAATCCTGGAGGGGGGTAGTTCCTCAAAAATGTTGTACTGCAGCTTGGAATCTAATTCTGCTTAAATGTGGCTCTTTTGTCCTTGTTTTTCCTCTGACTGTGAGGTGCTGGGGGTGTGTCATGACTGCTGTGCCTACTGTGTTGCACCTCGCATTGTGTATGCAATAAACGTTTGTTAAATACATGGACCCAGGCATCAGAGAAGCCTAGGCGTCTTAATCAATGTTTCAGGGAACAAGGGCCTTGGTCTCTGCCCCAGCAGTTCTGAAACATTTGCACACTGCAGCCACTTTCCGTGAACTGGTGGGACTGCAGCAGTGGCTTCCTCAGTGTGCTGCAGCATCAGCATCACCTGGGAACCTGTTTAAAAATGCACATTATCAGGATGCACCCCAGGCTGACTGAATCAAACACTCTGGGGCTGGGGCCTGGCAATGTGTGTTCAAAACAAGCTCTGCAGATGAGTTTGACCCACATTAAGCCCCAAAGAGTCTGACACAGCAGGTCACTTCAAAGGCCCTGACCAAGCCCTGCTGCCAGGATGGCCACTGTGCCCACCAGAGGGAGGCAAAGGGCAGGGAGCAGAGGCAGGCGGCCACGAGGGAACACCCTGCAGCCCTGGCCAAGGCTGTCCCAAGCCAAGTGCAGATGCAGCCTGCAGATGGGAGGGTATCCCCAGGGTGGAGACCCGATTACTCATGGAAGCTGTCGGGTCAAGCTGGGGACACAGGGCGTGGGTGGACCCAGGGAAGCAGAGCCCTGAATGAAGATTGAAATATTGAAGGGGAACCAAATTAGATGTAGATCTAAGCCCGTAAAGCAAAGCACAGCCTATAAGACACAGTAAAATAATGACTGCAGTGTGTGGGACCCGAGTCAGATTTGCCTGTTTTCTCCTGGGGATCACCCCACCTCCCAGGGATCAACTGTGTTCATAAGCCCAGTTGCAGGACTTGTGTTTCTAATTCTTAACTTGACAGGTAACATCTGAGCTAGGTTTTGAAGTCATGTTCTTTCTCCTGTTCCCTCTTACTGAGTCCTTGGGTGTCCAGCAGTGAGAAGGTTGCGAAGAATACAGTGTTGGACTATCATCTGAAATTCTGCTTTCTACACCTTACCAAGTGCCTCCTCTGCAATCCGGGCAATGGTGCTTTAGTACCATCATGCTTATCAAATGAGGCATGGATGTGAAAGTCCCTTGTAAACTGAACTTTGTCCAAATGGAACCTATATTTCAACCAGGGCTCTCTGTGACTCAACTTTGCCTCCCCATGTCCCCAAGATTGGTCCACCAATTCTTCTGATAGATGCATTTATTTTGTGAAAGGTGATGCGGTTATTAGAACAGAAAATAACAGACTCAATTCCACCTTAGCTTCGTCAGTTACTAGCTCCATGACTCTAGGCAGATACTTACCCTCGTTAGCCTCTAAAATAAAGCAGAGATCATAAAATCTAACAGCGGGATTAAGTGGGAGGATAGGCCTGGCACACAACCACACTTGCTGCCTTTTTTTTCAATGACAAGACAACCGAGGTCAAGAAAGAGCTCAAAGAAGAAGCCAGTGATGAAGTTAAAATTTGTGCCGTTTCCCTGTTCGGAGTCCTACAGTGACGTCCCATCTCACCCAGAGTAAGAGCCAACATCATTAAAATGTCCCTTAAGGCTATTCCCTTAGACAGTTTGGGCTCTGCTATCCCTGGCCCCATCTCCTACTCCCTCCACCGCCCACCTCCCAAACCCCTCAAGGCACTGCAGCTGCACTGGCCTCAACTTTACCCAGCTATCACCCTTGGGGGAGGCCTTCCTTGCTACTTTACCTAAAGTTCTCACCCTCCCCAGTATATATACCCCTCCTTTTTGTTCTGTTTTTCTCTTGCATATCTTTTTATCTAATGCACAAGTTATTTTACTTATTGGTCTTGTTTATTTTCTCCTCCCTTACTACAAGTTCCATTAGGTTGGGGAATTTTTATCTGTTTTCCTTCCTTTATCCCCAGGGCCCAGAATGTTGCTTGGCATGTAGTAGGCACTTATAAATTATTTGCTAGATGACTCAAGATGAGAGCTCTGTCAATTATACTATAAAAATAACTAAGATTTATATAGCTGTCTGGATTGACAAGTGCTTTACATGCATTATACTGTTCTATCCAAGAGTGGATGTGCAATGATTTTGAACAAGAGTGGGCTAATTCAATGTATATAATTTTCCAAAACAATTCCTGTAAATCCTTGGCATTGTATTGGTTTTTGACTGGAGGAACATGCTTGAATGTTCAGGGATCATTTACAAAGGCTTCTGGTGTCTTAACTTTTGCTGCAGAGCGGAACGGGGGTGCTCTGGAATGTCAGTGTGGATCAAGGACACTGCAGTGGGAATTGGAGTTCACGTGGCGTGGGCTCCGTCAGCTTAATTCTGAATCCCTAGCTCAGGAACAGCATCAATGCAACATCGCAAATACACTGAAGTGTGAGGAGGCTCAGGGGCACCCACACCTACAATCCTTCATGTAACTCATGAAACTCTACTCACTCTGCTCGACAACAACCATTTAATTTGTTGTTAGAAACTTTAAGTCCTACCTGGCCTGGACACCTATTCCATTCACTCAGAGCCTGTAACATCTCTATGTGAAGGCAGGGCCTGGCCGTTCTGCTGAAAAGCAGTCTTCAGGCAACAAGGACGATTAGCTTATTTTCCACCAGCAAAAACAGTATTATCTATCGTTTTTGCTTTGAAATACAGAGATTTGTTTAACTGAAATATCCCAAAATATCTGACTAGCTTTAATCTTTAGTATTATAAAAAGGCAAAGAAAACAAAGCAAAACAGGCCTCAGGACTCTGAAAACTCTGGCACATGTGACACTAGAAACTCAAAATTCATCACGTGATGGAAAAGTTGTGCAAGATTCCTAAATTAGGGCTCTCTGGCCAGCGGTTGTTTTCTGAGAAATATTTTCAAAATTTCCATTGCTCATTACTACTGTAAAGTCCCACACTGGGATGGTCATCTGCTGGACACCATAAACGCATTCTGAGCTCTCTCTCGCACCGTATCCAATGCCCAGTTAGCGTTCCCAGGCAGGTCTGAGAAGCCAGCTGCCCCAGTTAAATGCTGTGTGTCTGGGTGCTGGGCACCTCAATGGCTGCGCCAAGATGTGTGCAAGGAATCAGGTTCTGGGTCAGGCCACTGGGTCACTTTCCTCAGGTCAACATGAAAGAGAATGTGTGTATTTGTGTGTGTGCGTGTAAGAAAGACAGCGAGAGAAAGTTTACACTTACTATAGCGCAGGCATCTATTTCCACTGGGAACAGGGTGATCGAGTGCAAGGTTTCAAACTACGTTCCTATCCATTTCTTAGGCCAGGGTGTTTTTGCCGCTTGAGGAGTCTTATCTGTGATCAGGCATGTTTCCCACCAGAGATCCCTAGACGTCCATCTCTGCCTCAGGGTTGGCAGCTATTCCTGTCGGTCCACCACTCTCTGCCTCGTGAATTTCTCAGGAGGAGGAGAAATGGGAGAGATTACTCAGTCTGCACCAAGGCACCACATTGCTAACATCACGTGCTGGGTCACAACCCGAGGATTCACTTTGTCCTGACTGCCTACCCTCCACTAAGCACAGCTGCACTGCGTGACCCCACTGAGTTGTTCGCAGGGTCTCTGGAAGAATGCTCACCCTCACTTGTTCACACCCCAGCCTGAACAAGAGGACCCCAGGATAATCTGTCTGCCCTTCTTATATTCCGAAATTGTGCCAGGAACCTAATTAGCATGCGGTCCTCATTGGCTATGTTGGCTGCTTACCCTTTTGCTGTCTATCAGTCACAGTTATGAACCCAGGACTTGCGGCAAATTCTTTAATTTTTACATAGCTTTTGATTTATTCATTGTGACACTGTGGAAAATTTGAATAATACAAAAAGGGTAAAAATAAAAGAAAATAAAACAATCAACTACCTAGCATCATTCTTTATTTGGCTACTTTTCCCAATTGCTTTCTGTATATTTTTTGCACAGTTGAAATAATTTAACATGTAGCATATTAAATTTTCTTCTTATCCTCATCCCATAAAATGTTTCCAAAGTAAAAAAAAAAAAAAGAAATTCTCAGGTACTATTTTCATGGCATCATAATATTCCATCAAGAAGTACTTGATAGTTTATTCAATTATTCTCTAACATAGGATATTTAGCTTGTTTCCAGCTGTTTCTGTGCAAATAATAATTAAATTTGTATTTAATCTTTGTCTGCCTTTCTGATTACATTCTTGTAATATTTTCTTAGAAGAGGAGTTATTAGAGATAGGAGTGAAAACCCTTTTTTTTTTCTTAGAGACAGCATGTCACTCTGTCGCTCAGGCTGGAATGCAGTGGCACCATCATAGCTCACTGAAACCTTGAACTCCTGGGCCCAGAAGATCCTTCCACCTCAGCCTCCTGAGTAGCTAGGACTACAGGTGTGTATCACCACATCTGGCTAATTTTTAAAACTTTTTTGTAGAGATGAGGTCTCAATATGTAGCTCAGGCTGGTCTCGAGCTCCTGGCCTCAAGCAATCTTCCCACTTTGGCCTCTCAAAATTCAGGAGTTACAGGTATGAGCCACCATGCCCAGGAAAACCACTTTAGGACCCTTTTACTCTGTGAAAGCCATTGTGATGGGCACTGGCTTCACGGAGTAAAAGGGTCCTAAAATGGTTAGGCAAAGATTCTCAGCCTCTTGGATACTATGTTCTAGCTAACTAGAAACTCTGTAAGTTTTAAAATAGGTATCTTTAGTGCAGGAGTCTTGCTTAGTGAATTGTGCAAGTTTTATTCAACACACATTTTTGAGGACCTCCTTTGTGCCAGGCAAGGTGTTAAGAGGCCAGCAAAGAGAGAGGCAGTTCGGCTAGGTGTGGTGGCTCACGCCTGTAATTCCAACACTTTGGGAGGCTGAGGCGGGTGTACCACCTGAGGTCAAGACCAGCCTGGCCAACATGGTAAAACCCCCCGTCTCTACTAAAAATACAAAAATTAGCTGGGTGTGCGCCTGTAATCCCAGCTACTGCCGAGGCTGAGGTAGGGGAATTGCTTGAACCTGGGAGGCAGAGGGTGCAGTGAGCCGAGATCGTGCCACTGCACTCCAGCTTAGGTGACAGAGCAAGACTTCGTCTCAGAAAAAAAAAAAGAGAGAGAGAGGCAGTTCACGACCTTGGCATTTATCCTCTAGCAGAGGGAGGTGCCAAAGGGATCTCACAAATGCAAGCAAGCTTCCTTGATAAATATGATGCTGAATTGCTGAATTGCTGCATGGCGTCAAGGGACTTTATGATGGACGGAACTGACTTAGGTCGGGGCAGTGAGGATTGAATCGGGATTTAAAGGAGGCAGAGGATGTGTTGCCTTGCAGCAGATTTGAGGGAAGTTGCAGAGATGGGGATGCAAAAACTCTGGTCAAAGACTGTGCGGTGAGCATGAGGACAGGACGGAAGGTCACTGTACAGGGCATGAAGTGAGGCAGGGGACACAGCAAACATAGGGCCTGGTGAGAGTTCTGAATTTAATGCACACACTGAGGGTGGGAGCAGGGTGGGTGGAAGTCCATAACTTCCACCAAGGACATTATGATAGGCAAATCAGGCGCAAGACTCTGCCTGCAATTAAACCATTGCCTATCAGCCCCAAACCACCTCTCCGCACTCCGCAGTAGTGATTTTCCGGCAATGTCACTGCCAACTCAATTTCTCCTTTGCGGATTGGTCCCTGTTCGCTTCCGCCACTGGGACACTGGACCAGGCACTGGGAGGCGGGAGGAGAGCCGAGGGGACTAGGGCTGTGGCTCCCTGTCCTTCCTGGTAGGGTCCCTCCGCAAGGACGCTTCGACCTGGCAGCAGCAGTTGGTCATCCTCTTCCAGCAGTTCCGGAAGCAGCGCCTCTATGGCCCCTGAGACGTCTGGGGCCCGCCCTGGGCCTTCAAACCCGAGCGGTCCAGGCAGAGAGAAGCAGACGTGCCGCAAAGGCCACATGGTGAGCTTGACGCTAGGGCGCCCCAGCCAAGGCTCTCAGCCTCCACTGCGTGTTAGAATCGTGGGCTCGGGGCCGGGCGCGGCGGTTCAAGCCTGTAATCCCAGCACTTTGGGAGGCCGAGGTGGGCGGATCACGAGGTCGGGAGACCAAGACCATCCTGGTTAACACGGTGAAACCGGTGAGCCGAGATCGCACCACTGCGCTCCAGCCTGGGCGACAGAGTGAGACTCTGTCTCAAAAAAAAAAAAAAAAAAAAAAAGGAATCCTGGGCTAGGAAGCCTGCAGAGTCAGAATCCTAGGGCAGGAGGCCGGCCCTGTAGAAACGGGTGGGAGCCGGCCACCCGGGATGAGACAGGGTCAGCCAGGAGCCAGGCCCCAACCATTTAGCTGCCGTCCAGGCACCCTCCGGAAGCTTCCCTGCGCCTGCTTTGAACCCATGGTTGCCAAGCGCGGTTACTCATGCCTGTAGTCCCAGCACTTTGGGAGGCCGAGGCAGGCGGATCACGAGGTCAGGAGTTCGAGACCAGCCTGGCCAACATAGCGAAACCCCATCTCAACTAAAAATACAAAAATTAGCTGGGCGTGGTGGCAGGCGCCTGTAATCCCAGCTACTCAGGAGGCTGAGGCAGGAGAATCGCTTGAACCCGGGAGGCGAAGGTTGCACTGAGCCGAGATCGCGCCATTGCACTCCAGCCTGGGGACAGAGCAAGACTCCGTCTCAAAACAAACACAAACAAAGACAAACAAACAAAAAAGAACTCATGGCTGAGAAATGCCGGCCGGATCTCAGCTCCTCTCGGCCCGCGTGTCCAGAAATCGACACGGATTCTAATCAGGGGTTGAGAGACATGAAGAGCCCACCCCCCTCCATCCCACCTGCCGCCAGCACCAGCCCGCACCGCTCTAGGAGCCGCCACCGCTGCGGCCACCGCTGCGGCTTCCCTCGCATGGCCGCAGGGCCTGGAACCAGTGCGCGCCTCGGATGCAGGCTTCGCGAAGATTCGGCAGCCGCAGGGCCGGGCGCCTGGCCACCAGCCTGCACTGCTCCTGCTGTGTTGTGCCAGCCTCAAGCCAGATTTACGTTGCTTCTGGAAAAGAAACGCGTCATTACTCATCCAGGCTCGGAAACAAGCGGCACTTCAGCCTCGTCGCCGTCCCCTGGCTGCACAGGGCGGGCGACTTGGGCCGGCGAGGCCAGGGCTGGACACGGTTCGGGATGAACGCTCCCTGACCCACGTCTGGCCTGCTGCCCACTCAGCCCTGCATTATGGAAGAGTCACTCAGCGTCGCTGCACGCCTCGGTGCCCCTATTCACAAACCTGCAGCCCAGTCCTGGGCTTCCTCCCCCAGATGGAGCAGGCAGGGCTCCAGGACCAGTCCTGTGTGAACCCCAGGCCAGCGAGGTGCAGTCCTGGCCCTCTTAGGAGGAGAATCCTTAGGATCACCTTCCTCTACTCTGCGCTTCTATTGAAAAACCGCATTGCAAGAGGGAAGTGGTGGGGCAGGGAATGGGGAGGCTTTTCTACTTTGTTTGAAATGGCATTACAGCTTCTCTGATTTTAAGAGTAATACATTATCATCGCAAAAAACTCAAGGCAAAAATAATTTCTGTGATATCAACTTCTAGAGATAATTTCTACTAGTATTTTATTGTATTTTTGAGGTACATATTATGAAAAGAGAAAGAGGATAGGTGTATTTTAAAACCAACAATGATTTAATCTTTTTAATGATGTTTAAATGCTTTAATGCTATTTTGTTTACTTTATTTCCATCTGCTATAATCTTTTAACTACTGTTTTGTAAAAATACTCACTAAGATAACTCCTAACACCTTTTCTACTTTATATTTTTTGTGTATTTTTTCAGTGTTTGAAAGTTGTATGGTATATTTTAGAGGACGTGGAATAGATTTTTTAAAAGAATATGTATTGAATCAAATGGTGCACTTAATTCAGCCTAATGTCTTCAAGGTTTACCCATGTTGCAGAAATGTGTTAGAATTTCCTTCCGTGTAAAGGCTGAATAATATTCCATTATATGTGTATATCACATTTTCTTTTTATGGTAGTAAACATTTTATTTTTATTTATTTTTTAGTTGACAGAAAAATTGTTTGTATTTATTATGAACAACATGATGTTCTGAAGTACAGTAGTCTTCCCTTATCTGCAGTTTCCTTTCTGCGGTCTCAGTTACTTGTGGTCAACCATGGTCCAAAAGTGTTAGATGGAAAATTCCAGAAATTAAGAATCAGTTTTAAATTGTGTGCCATTCTCAGTAGTGTGATGAAATATCATACTGTCCCGTCCATCACACCCAGGATGTGAATCATCCCTTTGTCCGGCGTACCTGGGCTGTTATACACTACCTGCCCATTAGTCACTTAGCTGTCTTGGTGATCAGACTGACTGCCAAGTATAGTGTGTAAACCAAAAAGTATCTGAGAAAGGTCTCCATCAATTCAGAAGTTAATTTTGCCAAGGTTAAGGAAATGCCCGCAAGGGAGGTCTGTGCCTTGCTCCAAAGACGATTCTGAGGGCTTTGGTATTTAAAGGGGAAAGAGGGAAGTTGTGGTTACATGACTGAATCCATGTGTTGCAAGAGAAAAGGAGCAGGTAGGGGAATAGCCTATTATGTGTTCTTCTAGCTCTCAGTAAATCGGCGCTTCACTTAAGATAAGGTGAGGGTACAGTAGCTACCTGTGGAGATGTTTAACCTTTTATCTGTACTACTCTGCTTGGGAATAAAAGGAAAAGCAGCTTCTTGCATGACTCAGCTTTCAGCTTAATATTTTCTTTTAGCAGAGTGAAATTAGGTTCCTAAGTTTTGGTTTTCCTTTCGCAAGTATATGTAGGGTTTGGTACTATGCATGGTTTCAGGCATTTACTGAGGGTCTTGGAATGTATCCTCTTGGAATGGATAAGTAGGGACTACTGTATATATACATTGTGGAATGGCTAAATCTAGCTTGCATTATCTCACATAGTTGTCATTTTTGTGGTGGGAACACTTAACATCCTCATTCAATTTTTACACGCAGGTACTGAGTGTCTACCATGTACCAGATTCTGCTCTGATACTGGGGACAGAAGAGAGACAGGCCACACCCTGAACCCACGGAGCCAGGAGCGATGATGAATAAGAAAACAAACAAAAAAAATTGAGCAAGATGATTTCAAAGTGTGGCATTAGGTAGTAATAAACAAGATGATGAATGAGTAGGCAAGGGGTGGGAGAAGGTTATTCAGATAGGATGGTCTGGAAAGGTCTCTGTAGAGGTTGTGTTTGATCTAAGAGCTGAAGGATAAGAAAGACTCGGGGATAGAAGGGACTTGAAATATTACAAGAATGGAAGGGAGGCTAAACTGCTGAAATACCCGTGTGCATGTATGTGTACGTGTGTGTGTGCATGCATGTGTGTGCATGCATGTGTGTGTGTGGTGATGAAAGACAGATGAGGCTAGAGAGAGCCTTTTATTATTGCAAAATATTATGTTTGAAGAGTTTTAAGCTTACGAATGAGACAACCTGATTATTAGATTTAAAAAGATGGTCCTGGCTGCTTTATGAATTAACATTTGTGTAAAGTTTTACAGTTTACACAGTATTTTCCCATTCATAGTCTCATTTTATCCTCATTCCAGACTTTTGAAAAGGTCTTCCTCATTCCCCTTTATTTTTCATTTGTGATAAGAACACTTAACATGAGATTTACCTTCTTAACAGATTTCAAGTGTACAATACAGTATTGTTAACTGTAGGCATGACGCTGTACATCAGATCTCTATAACTTATTGATTTCACAAAACTGCAATTTTATATCCATTGGACTGTAACTTCCCCTTCTCCTCTCCCTCCAGCCCCTAGCAAACACCATTCTACTCTCTGCTTTTATGAAATTGACAGTTTTAGATTCCTTATGTAAGTGAAATCATGCAGTATTTACCTTTCTGTGACTGACTTAGCATAATGTCCTCAAAGTTCATCCATGTTTTCACATGTTGCGGAATGTCCTTCTTTTCTAAGGCTGAATAGTATTCCACTGAATGTATACACCAAACTTTCTTGATTCGTTTACCTTCCAATGAATATTTAGGTTGTTTCTACATCTTGACTATTGTTAATAATGCTGCAATGAACGTGGGAGTATTAATTTCTCTTCAAGATCCTTATTTCAATCCTTTTGAATAAATACCCAGAAGTTGAACTGTTGGATCATATGTTAGCTCTATTTTTAATTTTTTGAGGCACTTCAATACTGTTTTTCATTATGGCTGCACAATTTTACATGCCCACCAACTATGTACAAGGGATTCAATTTCTCTGTATCCTCACCGACATTTGTTGTCTTTGTTTTTTTGATAATAGACATCTTAACAGGAGTAGGGTGATATCTCACATTGTGGTTTTGATTTGCAATTTCTTCGTGATTAGTGACACTGAGCAACTTTTCATATACAAGTTGGCCATTTGTATGTTTTCTTGAAGAAATGTCTATTCAGGTCTTTAGCTCATTTAAAAATTGTGCTACCAGGTTGTTTTTTTTTTTTTTTTTTTTTTTTTTTGCTATTGAGTTTTAGCAAATATTGTAGCAAATATGTTTCTTAAGTATTTTGGAAATTAACTCCTTATCACACGTATGGCTCACAAACATTGGAAAACTGGGAATAAATGTGGCTAACTCAGTGTATGAGTCCATTTTTGTGTTACTATAAAGAAATATCTGAGGCTGAGTAATTTATAGAGAAAAGAGGTTTATTTGGCTCACGGTTCTGCAGGCTGTACAGGAAGCATGGCACTAGCATCTGCTTTTGCTGAGATCTCAGGAAGCTTCCAATCATGGCAGAAGGCAAAGGGGAACCAGTGTGTCACATTGCAAGAGAAGAAACAAAAGAGAGAGGAGGTAGTTCCAGGCTCTTTTGAACAATCAGATCTTTTGTGAACTCATAGTGTGAGAACTCAAAGATGGCACCAAGCCATTCATGAGGGATTTACCCCCATGATCAAAACACCTCCCGCCAGGTCCCACCTCCAACATTGGAGATCACATTTCAACATGAGATTGGGAGAGACAAAACATCTAAACTATAGCACTCTGCAAAGGTCACAGTGGTAGAATTGCACCCATGTCTTCTGACTCAAAATGTCTTCAAGACACTTTTGGACAATCACTACTTTCTTTCACATACTTATTTATTTCCATTACAATTTTAGTTATCTAAGTGAATGGACAAAAAATGTCAGTTAGCTGCCTGCTACTTTAACAGAACCATGTTAAATGCTAAATAGATACTTCAGTTCAGATGTATTTCTTGTGCTCAGTCCAGTTGGACTGTAGTTGGAGAGCCCAGACATATTTTCATGTATAATTAATGTGGGACTAAAACAAAAAGCATTAAGAAAGTTACCAGAGATTGTCAAGAGTAATTTTTAAGGAGTTCAGACATGAGGCCCATTCTATAAAATGAGTACACATTGGACAGGTCATGGGATGAAGAAGTGCATTTTGGGAGATTTAAAAAATTGGTAGCCAAGAATTTAACATCCCCATCCCTACACTACATAATCATAATACCCACAACTTCCCCCTCCAAAAAACTGAACTGCGGTATAAATAAAACCAACATGCCATCTTCACAAAAGTCCCCAGCTAGCAACCCTCAGTCTTTCCAGTCACAGAACTGTCCCAGAGTCTCTCCTTTATAGAAATTTTGGAACTACTAATGAACAAGCCAGGAATATTTGAAAACAAAAGCACTGAGGTTGAAATTTGTAAAATGCATTTGGAGGATGGGAAGGTAGATGACATTGTAAAACAGGTCGAGAGTGTTGAAGTGTGAGAGGAACATGCATGGAGCTCTGCTTCGGCAAGTTTTAATTCACAGCAGGGAGAATTCAGAATGTCATAGAAACTGAAATCATTTAAAGGGATAAGAGGTTTCTTTGAATAATCTAGGTAGTTAGAATGCAAGCGAAGATGTGAAGAAAAAGGACAAATTGGAGAATCATGTTTGTGGTCATGTAGAATTGAATTGGGAAGGCCTGTCGATTAATGGAGCAACACTCGGCATTCAGTTTTCCTTCAATAAGAAGGCTACGTTCTCTCATGCTTTATGATGGCAGCAGTGTGTAAAGAACTTGGAACTAGTTCCTTCAAAACAGGCTCATTTTTTTAAACTTGTTTATATGAGTTAGTTTTATTTTACTTTTATTTTAGGTTCATGTTACAAAGGAAAACTTGTGTCATGGGGGTTTGATGTACAGATTATTTGACCATCCAGGTAATAAGCATAGTACCCGATAGGTAATTTTTTAATCCTCACCCTCCTCTGCCCCTCCACTCTCAAGTAGGCTCCTGGGTCTGTTGTTCCCTTTTTTGTGTCCATGTGTAGTCAGCGTTTAGCTCCCACTTATAAGCGAGAACATATGGTATTTGGTTTTCACTTCCTGTTTTAGTTTGTTTAGAATTATGGCCTCCAGCTCCATCCATGTTCCAACAAAGAACATGATCTCATTCCTTTTTATAGCTGCATAGTATTCCATGGTGTATATGTATCACATTTTATTTATCTAGTCTACCACGGATGAGCATGTAGGTTTATTCCATGTCTTTGCTATTGTAAATAGTGTTGTGATGAACAAATGCATGCATCTATCTTTATAATGGAATGATTTATATTTTTTGGATATATACCCAATAATGGGATTACTGGGTTGAATGGTAATTCTGCTTTGAGTTCTTTGAGAAATCACCAAACTGCTTTCCACAATGGCTGAACTAGTTTATGTTCCCACCAGCTGTTTGTAAGCATTCCCTTTTCTTCACAAGCTCACCTGCATCTGTTATTTTTTTAATGTTTTAATAGCCATTCTGACTGGTGTGAGATGGTATTTCATTGTAGTTTTGACTTGCATTTCTCTAATAATTAGTGATGTTGAGCATTTTTTTCATGTTTCTTGACCACTTGTATGTCTTCTTTTGAAAAGTGTCTGTTCATGTCCTTTGCCCAGTTTTTCATGGGGTTGTTTTTTGCTTGTTGATTTGTTTAAGCTCCTTATAGATTCTTGATATTAGACTTTTGTCAGATGCATAGTTTGAAAATATTTTCTCCCATTCTGTAGGTTGTCTGTTCACTCTGTTGATAGTTTCCTTTGCTATACAGAAAAGCTCTTTTGATGAACTGGGTCCCATTTGCCAATTTTTGTTTTTGTTGCAGTTGCTTTTGGCATCTTTGTGATAAAATCCCTTATCCAGAATGGTATTTTCTAGGTTATCTTCCAGTGTTTTTATAGTTTTAGGTTTTACATTTAAGTCTTTACTCCATCTTGAGTTGATTTTTGAATACAGTATAAGGAAGGGGTCCAGTTTCAATTTTCTGCATATGTCTAGCCAGTTATCCCAACATTGAACAAGGAGTCCTTTCTTCACTGCTTGTTTTTGTCAACTTTATTGAAGATCAGATGGCTGTACATTCATGGCATTATTTCTGGGTTCTCTGTTCTTTTCCATTGGTCTATGTGTCTGTTTTTATACCAGTACCATGCTGTTTTGGTTACTGTAGCCCTGTAGTATAGCTGGAAGTCAGGTAACATGATGCCTCTAGTTTTGTTCTCTTTGCTTATGATTGCCTTGGCTATTTGAGCTCTTTTTTGGTTTAATATGAATTTTAAAATAGTTTTTCTAATTCTGTGAAGAAGGTAATTGGAGTTTGATAGGAGTAGCATTGAATCTGTAAACTACTTTGAGTAGTATGGCCATTTTAACAATATTGACTCTTTCTGTCTGTGAGCAGGGAATGTTTTCCATTTGTTTGTGTCACCTCTGATTTCTTTGAGCAGTATTTTGTAGTTCTCATTGTAGAGATCTTTCACCTCCCCGGTTAGCTGTATTCTTAGGTATTTTATTGTTTTTGTGGCAACTATGACTGGACTTGTGTTCTTAACTTGGCTTTCATGTTGGATGTTGTTGCTGGACAGGAATACTACTTATTTTTGTACATTAATTTTATATTCTGAAACTTTGCTGAAGTTGTTTATCAGCCTTAAGAAGCTTTTGGGCCTGGACTATGGGGTTTTCTAGATATGGAATCATGCCATCTGTGAACAGAGATAATTTGACTTCCTCGCTTCCTATTTGAATGCCTTTTATTTCGTTCTCTTGCCTGATTGCTCTGGCCAGGACTTCCAGTACTATGTTGAATAGGAGTGGCAAAACAGGCTTATTTCTGTAAGGAAACAGACTTTAAAGGAGTAATTTGCATCATAATAGAATCCCTTATAATGTTTCTTAACCAGGATGAGGTAACAACAATTCATTTTGCTTGAGGATCACTGTGAATTAATTGTTTAGATTATAACTGAGTATTATCAAGTTTTGAACTTCTTGCCAAAATTTAAGACTGAATTCTGCCTTTGAATACAATGACAGACTGATACTTGTTTTCCAAGGACCAAGACTGAAAGAAACATTATACAAATAGTAGTAGATATTTTTTATAAACATTCAGTGTGGCCTTACCATGCCATACTGACCTTCATCTTTGACCTGCAGAGAAATGTGGCTTATGGTGGTGTGATGTGAAGCCAGAGGAAGCAGCAGCGGAGGCTGCGTGGAGGAGCAACTCACTGTGCTAGAATTACCTGGAGAGTTTTTGAAAAGCAGAGATTCCTAGAACCTACTTGCAGGGGTCCTGCCTCAGTGTGCCTGGTGTGAACCCTGGGCATTGGTGTTTAGAGAAGCTTTGCAGAAGCTTTCTGTGGTGCTGCCCAGTCTCTTGCTCACTCCCCCTGCTGATGAAGCTGTCCTAAAGGCCTGGTTTGTAGAAGGAGAAAGTCTCCTTTTATATTTTTCTTTAGGTTTATTAAAACTTTCTATCAACCTGGAATCAAACTAGGCTTTTTTCCTGGAAAAAAATTTGCTCTTTATTCACACGTTTATTCATTCAACAAATATTTATTTAGCAAGCCTTTTTAAAAAGATACAGCGATCACTTTTAAGACTCATGGGTCAGTTCTTTCATAATGTTTATATTCCAGTGGGGGAAGATTCTTTCAATCAGAAAGAATGAAAGGAAGGAAGGAAGAAAAGAAGAAAGGAAGGAAAGAAGAAGGAAGAAGAAAGAAAAAAAGAGAAAAGAACAGAGGAAAAGGGAAAAGAATAGAGGAAAAGGGACCATAAGGAGAAATATGGCTAAAGGAGTGTTTACTTTCAAAAGAAATATCTCCTGCACACAAACGTGTGTGTAGGAGAATGGTATATATTGGTGCAGTGTTCCCTAGTGAGAGGCAGCCTGGCTTGTATCATGTGTAGACCTGAAGGGAGGATGAGAGTGTGGCTACTTGAATCCAGAAAGAAGCTGAATCCTGTACAGTCGGCTATTTGTAGAGAAGTTGCATCCTTAGATAGAGGGATAGAGCCTGGTATAAACTGGAAAAAATTATTCCCAGCACATATATCTGATAAAGGATATATATACAGACTATACAAACCAGTCTTGCAACTCAATAATAGAAAAATAACCTAACAAATTTGGCCATTTCCCCAGTAAGTACACAAAAAGGTGTTTAAGAACATTACTCATCAGAAAACACAAATTAAAATCATGACTGATCCATTAGAAAGGCTCTTTTTAAAAAAATCAAGCAATAACAGATAATAGCAAGCATGTAGAGCAAGTGGAACTTCATACATGGCAGGTGGGAATGTGAAATGGTACAACTGCTTTGGAAAATATTTTGGCTGTTTCTCCTAAAGTTAAACATACACTTGTCAAAGGATGCAGCAATTCCTCACCAAAGCATTCCCTCACTGCCCCCAAAATGAAAACTATTTCCATATAGAGATGCATATAACTTGAATGTGCATTGTAGCTTTACTTATAGTAGCCAAAACCAAGCATGACCCTAATGTCCACCAAGAGGTGAATAAATATACCATTTGTGGTATAGTCACATAATGTAATACTACACAGCAATAAACATGAAACAAGCAAACTAGTACGGCATGCAATTCCAAGGATGACTTTCAAAAACATTTTGCTGAGTGAAAGAAAACAGACATTGAAAAGCCCTTACATAGAATTTTAATCCACAGGACAGGATAAAGTCTTATAGGGAGATTATGTAGATAGGGAAGAAAATGAGTCCAGTATTAATTTTAGAGTTTCCCAGTATTTCCAGGCCAAGCAGAAAAAGATGATCCAAAAAAGGAGGCTATGGAGATACAGCCCAAGGGATAGGAGGAAATCAGGAGGGAGTGGCACCACTGAAATCAAGAGCAGAAGGAAGTGGTGGCCGTCCTTGTCTGCTGCTGCTGAAAGAGCAAGTGAAATCAGAACAGGGAAGTGACCACTGGATATAACAAAACGGGGCACATTGGTGACCTCCACAAGAGCTGCCTCAGTGAAGAAATGGGGAAACAGTGTGACTAGAAATGTTAGCAGAGGAAATGTGATGAGAGGAAGTGGAAATGGCAGCTCCTGACAACACTAGCCAGCCGTTTTGAATTGAAGGACTGCGTAGAAATAGGCACAAGCTCATGCGGAACAAAGGGAGGTTAATTTATGTATTATTAGCTTGTGTTTTGCTTGTTTGTTCATTTTAGAATTGGAGACACCAGCCCATGGTTGTATATGGGAATGATCTGACAAAGAGAGAGAAAGAGAAGTAGATGACTCAGAAGAAAGTATAATTGCAGAGGGAAATAGAATGGAATTGCAACAGAATGAAGTTAATTAAAAATACATAGTGTCCTTTTAATGTATTGCTTTCCAATTAAATATTTACTTTTTAATACAAGTATTACACCAAAGTCCCCTTATCAATCATCTTCCAGAAAACTTTGATCTCAGTTACCTTTGGTTTATTCATTGTATAAACACCAATTTGATTTTACTTGCTGGAACAAGTAAGAGGGAGAGTTGGAAAATGAATTGATGCAAGGGCTCTTATGGAATTAACAAAGAACAGGAAAGAACACTGCCAGAGAACTAAGTGACAACTGTCTTTCTCAAGGCAACAGGGAGATAACCATGAAAAAATCAGATAGAATAAACACAAGAGACAGCTACACTCATGTATACTTTAGCAATGATCACTTGTATAATATTTATAAATAACCAAAATGCAACAAAATTGGAAAGAAATAAACGTTTAAATAGAAAAAGCAAGCGAAGGCAAATTTAAAAGGTAAATGACAAAAAAAAAAAAGAAAAAAAGAAACAACATGGTCCACAAAGGGATAATAAACTTGTAAAAGCTGTAACAAGTAAATAAGAAAAAAATGGAATCAATGATTGTTTAATGAATAGAAACGTGAAGTTACTCATAAAAAAGAAATAGAAATAGTATGAAAAGGACCTTTTATTTACTACTGATGGAAGTGTAAGTTTGGGTGACTTTTCTGTAGAACTAATTACTACTATAAATCAAAAGCCTTAAAATGCCCTTAAAAGTTGACCCAATAATTCAATTTCAGGAGTTTTCCTGGAGAACTAATCAGATCTATCTATAATGATTTTATGTACAAGAGTGTCTGCTATAGGAAAAAAGGGAATAAATGTTCCAAGCATTCAATATGGTAAGATTCTACAGGAACATTATAAAATTATACTGTGGTGAAATATTCATGCCGTGTTATGAAGCAGAAAAAGGCATTTCACAAAGCAATATATACAATATTATCTCATTTCAATGTATTTTACATATGCTGGTAACAATGAAAAGTATATGTGACTAAATATTGATAACAGTTATTGCTGTATTATGGAATACAGTTAATTTTTACTTTTATTGTGCTTTCATATTTCTCTCCAAAGTGTTAGAATCATAAAAAATGCCACTTTAAAAATATTAACTTGTGTATCTATTTTAAAATCCAATATCTCAAATAACTATTGAATTAAGGAGGAAAAATAAAAATAATGAGAAAATAACATACTCTTTAGCTTTCACTTTGCCACAGTCATAGATGTCTTTATTATTCTGAATAAAAGGAGGAAAATAAATAAACTGCCCAACCAAGAAACAAGTGTCAACAAAGACATTTTTAAGAGAACAGGAACAAGAACATAATAAACCTAAACTAGAAATAATTCAAATAAACACAATATATGTAATAATTAATAAAAATTTATTTTATATGATGACTGAAAGTTTTGTAACAAATCTAGTAAAGAAAAAAATGAAAGCGCATATATGTAAAGAGAATTTTTAAGTTTACAAATTATAATATAATATATCATATAATCTCAATTTGTACATGTGTGATGTATGTGTAAACACAAAGACCTGAAATGAAAACACTAAAATGTTAACAATTGTTCTCTCTCTGTGATGGTATTACAAGTTATTTGTTGTATGTTTATATTTGTGTTTATTTCCCAAATTTTACCATGACAAATATTTAAATTATATTTTAAAATAACATTATAAACACTTCTTCCTAACAGAATGCAACTATATTTCTCATACAGATGAATACAAGTTCACTCTTTCCCCAAAGCAGGGAGCACAGAGTGGACCCCTGCGAGGAGGCGGCTGCAGCCACTGCATTCATCCCAGGGTGATGTTAAGTCCTCGTCTCTTTTAGTCACCATTGTATCTTGGACATTCTATAATCTAAAGGCTAGGTTGTAAAATTAACCACCAACACTCAGTGTTATGTACAATAAGAAAGGAAGAAAATGTGTGTAGCTGCTACAGTTTTTATTTTGGTAATAAAACTAGTTGAGGGGTTAAAAAAATAACATTATAAGATACTTGAAAATACAAATTATAAGTAAATACTCCATATAATTATAAATAATTGATTAAAATGTCTAAAAGAAATGGAAAATACAGAAAATATAGATGATCAAATATTAAGCATGATATATTTAATAATTACAGATAAAGATACCAATTTCTTAACAACAGTATTTCTGAATCATAAAATTAGATAATTTAAAATGTCTTTGCTTCATCTGAATTTTCTACAAGAGACTCATACCACTTTTTTTTTTTTTAACTGAGTTTCACTCTATTGCCTAGGCTGGAGTGTGGTAGACAGATCATGGTTCACTGTGGCCTAAACCTCTTGGGCTCAAGTGATCCTCCTACCTCAGCCTCCCAAGTAGCTGGAACTACAGACGCATACCACCACTTAAATTTTTTTAGTTTTTATAGAGACAGAGTGTTGCTATGTTGCCCAGGCTGGTCTCAAACTCCTCAAGTGATCCTCCCACTTCAGCCTCCAAAGTGCTGGAATTGTAGTTGTGAGCCACTGTGCCCAGCCATGACACATATCACTTTTTAATAAAGGAAAATAGTATTTATTACTCCAAACAAGAAGGAAAAGTAAATAATGTGATTCCTTTTAAAAAACACATTGTATATTCTTACTTGTAAGTAGGATCTAAACATTGAGTACACATAGACACAAAGAAGGGAACAGTAGACACTGCGGCCTGCTTAAGGGTGGAGGGTGAGAGGATGGGGAGAACTGAAAAACTACCTATGGGGTACTATGCTCACTACCTGGATGATGAAATAATTCATACACCAAACCCCAGTGACATGCAATTTACTCATGTAACAAACCTGCACTCGTAACTCTGAACCTAAAATAAAAGTTAGAAGAAAAAAATACTGAAAGAAAGTAAAAATAGCAAAAACTTCCCAAAACACCAATGTCAATGTTTTCAAAATTCTATCCATTTCCTCAAAAGCTACATTTGTATGTATGTATAGTTAGTATTGATGGTGAAGGTGCTCAAACTGTCAAGAAATGAATAAATCCCATTCCATATAAACAGTCTCACAGAGCAGTAAAAGTTACTGTGTGTAATTCAGTTTTCACACATAAGCATTGCAAGTGTAAATCTCAGTTCACAGCTTTGACCATGCGAGAAATGAAAATTTTTGTTTTTCTTTTTCAATTCAGGATGGCAGCATTTTAATCCTGGTTTCCTCAGGATTCTGCTTAAATTCTATGGAGTTTACTAGGTACCACAGTGTCACAGGTGACTATTTGATTTAGCCCTCAATGACACTTATTAATGGAGGTATTGATTGATTGATTCATTATCTGCTGTGTTCTAGGCAGCTGGTGGCATGTCCATTGCCTAGGCAGTTAGTTGTGTATGGGGCCTTCCCTCTTCCCCACCTGCATGGTCTTTTGGGGTTTAGTGGTTCTCTCTGCCACTCCCATACTGCTCCAGTGTGCTTGGGGATTATTCTGCTCTTCCTGGATCTTGCTGTCTCTCCAGAAAACACTGAATGTCTCAGATCCACAAATCAGCCTGGAGTTTCTGTCTTCCCCCTGGGGCATGGTCTGGGAAGGAGTGTGCGAGGTCACTCTTTCTTGGTCCTACTGATATTTTCATCTCAAAGTTTCCTTTCAACTCTATATATCTCCCTAATTTAAGGAACAATAATCTTGGTCGAGAATCCTTGCTGTTAATACTTTTCTTACCATCCCATAAGAACTTTCCTCTCCTTAAGGGTCCATTTTTTTCTCTCATTTTTGATACCTCATGCCTGTTCTTAAGGTAATGAGCACAGGTGGCCAGGGCATGACTGTGGGAGAGGGTCAAGGGAAATATTGAGACAATAAACTCTTCATATTGCAAAAATAGTTCCAATTATAAAAATGTAACTGGCCGGGCATGGTGTCTCACTCCTGTAATCCCCGCACTTTAGGAGGCCGAGACAGGCGGATAGCCTGAGGTCAGGAGTTCGAGACTAGCCTGGCCAACATGGTGAAAACCCGTCTCTACTAAAAAATACAAAAATTAGCTGGGCGTGGTGGCAGGTGCCTGTAATCCCAGCTACTTGGGAGGCTGGGGCAGGAGAATTGCTTGAACCTGGAAGGTGGAGGTTGCAGTGAGCTGAGATCATGCCATTGCTCTCCAGCCTGGGCAACAAGAGTGAAACTCCATCTCAAAAAAACAAAAAAAAAGTAACTGAGATAGCACAGATAAAAATGGAGTAGACTACTCAGGAGGCTGAGGTGGAAGGACTGCTTGAGCCCAGGAGTTCAAGGCTGCAATGAGCTGTGATTGTACCATTGGACTCCAGCCTGGGTGACGGAGTGAGACCTCAACTTGAAAAAATAAATGGAGTTGAACAAGCAGAAGAAAGAACTTCAGTGCTCAAAGACAAGGCTTTCAAATTAACCTAACCCATCAAAGACAAAGAAAAAGGAATTTAAGAAAATGAACAAAGCCTCCAAAAAGTTTGGGACTATGTTAAACATCCAAACCTAAGAATAATTGGTGTTCCTGAAGAAAAAGAGAAATCTAAAAGTTTGGAAAACATATTTGAGGGAATAAGTGAGGAAAAGTTGCCTGGCCTTGCTAGAAATCTAGATATTCAAATACAAGAAGCTCAAAGAACACCTGGGAAATTCATCACAAAAAGATAATTGCCTAGGCACATAGTCATCAGGTTACGTAAAGTCAAGACAAAGGGAAGAATCTTAAGAGCTGTGAGGCAAAAGCATCAGGTAACCTATAAAGGAAAACCTATCAGATTAACAGTAGCTTTCTCAGCAGAAACCCTACAAGTTAGAAGGGATTGGGGTCTTACTTTTGGCCTCCTTAAACAAAACAATTATCAGTCAAGAATTTGTATCCAGTGAAACTAAGCTTCATAAATGAAGGAAAGATGCAATCTTTTCCAGACAAACAAATGCTGAGAGAATTCCCCACTACCAAGCCAGGACTACAAGAACTGCTAAAAGGAGCTCTAAATCTTGAAACAAATCCTCAAAATACACCAAAATAGAACCTCCTTAAAGCATAAATCTCACCTATATAACAATAACATGATAAAAAAAGGTATTCAGACAACAAATAGCACAATGAATAGAACAGTACCTCACATTTCAATACTAACATTGAATGTAAATGGCCTGAATGCTCCACTTAAAAGATACAGAATTGCAGAATGGATAAGAATCCACCAACCACGTTTCTGCTGTCTTCAGGAGACTCATCTGACACCTAAGAACTCACATAAACTTAAGGTAAAGAGGTAGAAAAAGATATTCCATGTCAATGGACTCCAAAAGTGAGCAGAAGTAGCTATTCTTATATCAGACAAAACAAACTTTAAAGCAATGGCAATTAAAAAAGACAAAGAGGGACATTATATAATGATAAAAGGATTAGTTCAACAGGAAAATACCACAATTCTAAATATATATGCACCTAACATGGGAGCTCTCAAATTTATAAAACAATTACTACTAGACCTAAGAAATGAGATAGACGGCAGCACAGTAACAGTGGGGGACTTCAATACTCCTCTGACAGCACTGCACAGGTCATCAAGATAGGAAGCCAACAAAGAAACAATAGACTTAAACTACACCCTAGAACAAATGGACTTAACAGATATTTACAGAACATACTACCCAACAACTGCAGAATACACATTCTATTCATCAGTACATGGAATATTCTCCAAGATAGACCATATGATAGGCACAAAACAAATCTTGGCAAATTTAAGAAAATCAAAATCATATCAAGTAATTTCTCAGACCACAGTGGAATAAAATTCGAAATCAACTCCAAAAGGAACCCTCAAAACCATGCAAATACATGGAAATTAAATAACCTGCTCCTGAATGATCATTGGGTCAACAATGAAATAAAGATGAAAATTAAAACATTCTTTGAAATGAATGATAGTAATGACACAACCTATCAAAACCTCTGGGATACAGCAAAAACAGTGCTAAGAGGAAAGTTCTGTGAACCTCAAAATTTGAGACAGGTCTCAGTTAATTTAGAAAGTTTATTTTGCCAAGGTTGAGTACACTCCCGTGACACAGCCTCAGGAAGTCCTGATGACATGTGCCCATGGTGGTAAGGGCACAGCTTGGTTTTATACATTTAGGGAGATATGAGACATCAATCAATACATGTAGGAAGTACATTCGTTTGGTCTGGAAGGTGAGACAACTTGAAGCAAAGGCAGGAAGACGAGAAGCAGGGAGGGAGCTTCCAGGTCACAGATAGGTCATACAGGATTACATTCTTTCAAGTTTCTGATTAGCCTTTCCGGAGGAGGCAAATCAGATATGCATCTAGCTCAGTAAGCAGAGGAGTGACTTTGGATAGAATGGGAGGCAGGTTTGCCCTAAGCAGTTTCCTTAGTTGAGTTTTCCTTAGTGATTTTGGGGGTCCGAGATATTTTCCTTTCAGTTCATAGCGTTAAATGCCTACCTCAAAAAGTCTGAAAGAGCAAAAGCTGACAGTCTAAGGTCACGTCTCTCAGAACTAGAGAAGAAACAAGAAAATCCAAACCCAAACCCAGCAGAAGAAAATAAATAACCAAGATCAGAGCAGAACTAAATGAAATTGAAACAACAACAACAACAACAACAAAAAAAACAAAAGATAAATGAAACAAAAAGCTGGTTCTTTGAAAAGATAAATAAAATTGATAGCCCATTAGAAAAGAAGAGAGAAGATCCAAATACACTCAATTAGAAATGGAACAGGAGATATTACAACTGACACCACAGAAGTACAAAAGATTATTCAAGGCTACTATGAACAGCTTTATACACATAAACTAGAAAACCTAGAGGAGATGGATAAGTTCCTGGAAATATAAAATCCTCCTAGATTAAACCAGGAAAATATAGAATGTCTGAACAGACCAGTAACAAGCAGTGAGCTTGAAATGGTAATTTTTAAAATGCCAATTTAAAAAGGTCCAGGACCAGACGGATTCACAGCTGAATTCTATCAGATATTCAAAGAAGAATTGGTACCAGTCCTATTAACACTGTTCTAAAAGATAGAGAAAGAGGGAGTCCTCCCTAAGTCATTCTATGAAGCCAGTATCACCCTAATACCAAAACCAGCAAAGGACATAACAAAAAAAGAAAACTACAAACCAATATCCCTGAGGAACATAGATGGAAAAATACTCAACAAAATACTAGCTAACCAAATCCAACAGCATATCAAAAAGATAACCCACCATGATCAATTGGGTTTTATACCAGGGATGCACGGATGGTTTAACATACATAAGTCAATAAATGTGATACACCACATAAACAGAATTAAAGACAAAAATCACATGATCATCTCAATAGATGAAGAAAAAACATTTGAGAAAATCCAGCAATACTTTATGATTAAAGATCTCAGCAAAATTGGGATAGAAGGGACATACCTTAAGGTAATAAAAGCCATCTATGACAAACCCTCAGCCTACATTATACTAAACAGGGAAAAGTGGACAGCATTCCCCCTGAGAACTGGAACAAGACAAGGATGCCCACTTTCACCATTTCTATTCAACAGAGTACTAGAAGTTCTAGCCAGAGCAATCAGAGAAGAGAAAGAAAGAAAGGGCATCTAAATTGGTAAAGAGAAAGTCAAACCATCGTTGTTTGCTGATGATATGATCATATACTTAGAAACCCTAGGGACTCATTCAAAAAGCTCCTAGAACTGGTAAATGAATTCAGCAAAATTTCAGGATATAAAATTAATGTACACGTATCAGTAGCTCTGTTACATACCAACAGTGACCAAGCTGAAAATCAAATCAAGAACTCAACACCTTTCACAATAGCTGCAAAAAAAATTAAAATACTTAGGAATATACCTAACCAAGGAGGTGAAATACCTCTACTAGGAAAACTACAAAACACTGCTGACAGAAATCATAGACAACACAAATGGAAACACAGCCCATGCTCATGAATGTGTAGAATCAATATTGTGAAAATGACCATACTGCCAAAAGCAATCTACAAATTCAATGCAATTCCCATCAAAATGCCACCATCATTCTTCGCAGAATTAGGAAAAAAAAAATCCTAAAATTCATATGGAACCAAAAAAGAGCCCACATAGTTAAAGCAAGACTAAGCGAAAATAACAAATCTTTAATAGATGTTGGTGTGGATGTGGTGAAAAGGGAACACTTTTACACTGTTGGTGGGAATGTAAACTAGTACAACCACTGTGGAAAACAGTGTGAAGATTCCTTAAAGAACTAAAAGTAAATCAACCATTTGATCCAGCAATCCCACTATTGGGTATCTACCCAAAAGAAAAGAAGTCATTATATGAAAAAGATACTTGCACACACGTTTATAGCAGCACAATTTGCAATTGCAAAATTACGGAACTAGCCCAAATGCCCATCAGTCAATAAGTGGATAAAGAAAATGTGGCATATATATACCATGTACTACTACTCAGCCATAAAAAGGAACAAAATGACGGCATTTGCAGCAACCTGGATGGAATTGGAGACTATTACTCTAAGTGAAGCAACTCAGGAATGGAAAACCAAACATTGTATGTTCTCACTCATGTATGGGAACTAAGCTATGAGGATGCAAAGGCATAAAAATGATACACTGGACTTTGAGGACATGGGGGAAAGGGTGGGGGTGGTGAGGGATAAAAGACTACACAATGGGTACAGTGTACACTGCTTAGGTGATGGGTGCACCAAAATCTCAGAAATTACCACTAAAGAACTTATTCATGTAATCAAACACCACCTGCTCCCCAAAAACCTATTGAAATAAAAAAAAATAAAATTAAATAAATTTGAAAAAGAAAAAATAAATGGAGTAGACACCACTTAGGATGGCTGCCTGACTCCAATTCACTTTTCTCTGAAAACTCTCCCAATACACAGTGGTTGCTGCCAACCACCCTGTCTGTGGTAAGGAGCCCTGCCTCCTGCTAGAGTCAGTAAATATTTAACTCAAACTCAGCCAGTCGAATTTTGTGCCAGGATTGTGTAATTTGGAGCTGAGAATCTAGAAACGTATGAACCTACAAAGTGGAAATTATGGGCCCCTCAGTGTATCAGTAGAAGCACTCTATGGGGACAGCCACGAGCCCCTGAGTGGAAAACCTTGGAGCTGCCTTGGTTCCCCTTCCAATAAGTTCTTCCGTGATTCCATTCCGTGAGCGGTTCATTGCAACATACTCCAACTGGAGAAACAAACAAAAGGATAAACATAAACAAATCCAGGAAGATGCAAATCAACCTATTCCTGCAAGTCTCCTCACTACGGAGAGGGGCAGTGCCATGAGCAGTAATAAAATTGATGACTTTATGTTCACCCTTTCTGGGGGCTGAGATTCAGGGTGATCATATAGTGTATTTTCTAAACTAGATCACTTAGCAAGTAAAAGTGCACTATTAATTATGTTGGAATAGGAGCTGCAGTCTGACATACGAGGACAAATGGTCACTCTTCCCAGACTGCACCTGATGCATCTTCCTCAATCCAAAATCTGTGGTAGAAATAAACCAATGTGGACCTATTTTCAACAGGTAGCTGCAAACCAAAGACAAAGGAGGGCTTACAAATGATGACCTTGTCTAGGAAAATTTCTATGTGAAGGAGTCTGCAGAAAGATGCAGGAAAGCGTAACTCCCATGAAATGAATAAAAAGCAGAAGCACACAGGCCTAGCTGAAGGCAAATCAGAAAAGGAAGCTGGAGGTTTTAAGTCTGTCTGGCAGGAAGAGTTGCTTTCTGCACTGCACCAGAGCTGAAAATGGCTGCTCCATTGTTCAAAATCGTTGTTCAACACTGTTCAACACCATTTTACTTTCTGTAAACACAGCGACACTCTTCCTGGCAAGTTTCACGGTGTGAGCTTTCCAATTTTACATCCAATATTCTGCGGTTTGCACATGCACATGAGCTAGCTAGAATTCAGGGTGGGGTGTAAAACAGAGACAAAAACCACAGCAATGCTCTAAGGAAGTCCCATCCAGTTCAGAGCTGTCCTGTGCAGCTGTCTCCCGAAGGCGCCCAGCAGGGCAGTGTGCCCAGGCTTTCTAACTTGTGACTTCTGGTAACACAGGAGAGAACATCTCCTATAGTGGAAGGTCTCTGATGAAAAAGATCCACAACCAACCCAGAAAATAATGTTCTTGAGGTAATCAAGGAAAAGATGACATTTCAAAAAGACTGAATACATGATATAGCTTGAGAAAAGAATACTGGCTTCTCTTTCTTTTTTTTTTTTTGTAAATAATTAATTCTTGTTCAAGGAGACATGCAGTAGAATTCCACAATAGATAATTAAGATGGTCTGTAGTTGATGAAAACAAATGGAAAAATGATAATTGTAATAAAAATAGGATTCTATATTGAGCACTTATGATGTTCCAGAGACCGTATTAAGCATGCTAGTTTAGTGCCTTATTGCTCACAGTGGTGAGAAGATGTAATATCTGCATTTTACAAGTGAGGAGACATTAAGTTCGCATAGCCAGTGAACGATAGGTAGAGCTGGTTTGAATTCGCATCTGGCCAGTCCAAAGGAGTGTTGATCATCATTCCACACTACCACAGAGTCTTAGCTCAGACAGGGATCTAAGCAGAAGCTTCTCAGAGCCCCATGTGTGCACACTGTACACTTAAGTCAGTGAACTGTGCAGTAGGCATTACAGGCCCTGTGAAGAGGACTCTTAATGGGTAATGTATTAATTGGATATTACTCCAAAAGCAATGTGCACTTAATGTCAGTAAATTAGAATCCCATTTACAGTAAGTATAATTAACCCACTGAATATCCATTACTAGCCAGCTTTCTGCAGAGAAAGATCATTTTATAAAATGTCTTTTTTTTTTTTTTTTTTGGAGACAGAGTCTAGCTCTGTCACCAGGCTGGAGTGCAGTGGCGTGATCGCAGCTCACTGCAACCTCCACCTCCTGGGTTCAAGCGATTCTCCTGCCTCAGCCTCCCTAGTAGCTGGGACTACAGGCACCCACCACCACGTCCAGCTAATTTTTGTATTTTTAGTAGAGACGGGGTTTCACCATGTTAGCCAGGATGATCTTGTTCTCCTGACCTCGTGATCCACCCGCCTCAGCCTCCCAAAGTGCTGGGATTACAGGTGTGAGCCACCGTGCCTGGCCTAAAATGTAATTTTTTTATAAATACACTTTTTGTTTCTAGGAGCCTACAGCTAATATTAAAATATTTTTAAGCAACTGTCAAGCAGCAGGTTCAATAAGTCTCCTATTCAGTAGGAGGGTGGAACTTTCTTTGTACTTAGTGTAAGTAAACTAAGTATGATTTTCAAACTCTACATGGAAAATGGCTTTTCCCTGCTTACATCAAACAAGTAGACAATTTATCAACATATCACTTCTGATTACTTCACATTTGAGCGAGAGCCAAGGTTTAAAACCCCAGTCTGAGGAATGCATACATACTCTCTGACAGTGGAATGAAGGAAAGGTATACCATTCTGACTTTAGTATACGTCCCCAGGAACGTGTTTACACTGAGAAGCATGTGGTATGATGAAGGTCACTTGGCAGTTTGGCCCTTTCTTCTCTTTGGCAGTGGGAGGCCATGAGAGCCGGAATTCTCACGAGCAGCAGCGGCCCTGTGGCCCTCAGCAGAGGGACTGACTGGAAGCAGATGTGGCACAAGTCTCCCCATGCGGCTTCACTGTTGACTCTCAGGACATCTACCCTGGGGACTTCCCGCACCAAGAAGACCCTGAGGTGAGATAAATAGGCATCTTTCTTTCAACGAATTAAACAAAAGTGGATAACTTGATGGAGTAGCTGGAAGTCAATGCCACTTGCTTTTAGAAATGTGGCCTTATAAAGTGTAGGTGAATTGGAACATCTGGAAATATTTTTGAAAATAAATCACTGCTCAACTGAAACATTAAATAGCTTTTTTTATTTTTTATTTTTTTTGGCAAGTGATCTATCTTAGCATTACTTAGAAATGAACTCCTGGCAAACCACAAACTTAATGCTCTCCAATGAGATCAGCACGTAATTTGTTGTATTCTTAGGATTACTGTGCTTGAACTATTTCAAGAGTTTGGCCTGGCAGGAAATGAGTTTAGGGTGAAGCGGGGATGACAGGCACTACAATTTCTCTTAGTAGATTTTTATCAATCAGTGTTCATAATGGAGACCTGCATAAAGTCAGGAAACTTTACAGGAAATTGTCTGTATATACTTGGTTAAGAATCTTATTCCCATAAAGCCACAGTTAAAGTAAAAAACATGTGAAAAGCCATATTTGATGGAAGTAGAGACACTCTATAAAAAGAAACAGGAAAGCCCCAGAGTGGAATTAAACACACAAACTCACATTTACTTCAAAGAAAATAGAATAACTGTGTCAAGACCTCATACGATGGGAATCTCCTCTTTGCAGAAAAAGCAATGCTTCCTGTTTTGGGTTTTCATTATGTTTCTATAAATCCCTGAGAACAGAAAGGTGATTTCTGATCATTCTTCAACTACCATGTTTATGATAAAAGGCGACATTTCTGTGTGTGTGTGTGTGCATGTGTGTGTGTTCTTCTCCGTGAAATGCTTTGGCCAACACAAAAAATTAGTGATATAGCAAAATATTTTTGTGTGTGTAAAAATAAAAAAAATCATAAACAAAATGATACCAACTATAGTAACGATGCGAAGATATGCTAACATGAGAACAGCAGGGAAAAGGTGTTTACAAACAAATGAGCCAGGGGCCTCTAGGAGGGGCTGAGGAAAATTGTATTGACATTATTTTGTTTATGTATTTTTAAATTAATAGCCCTTTAGAAGATCTTAGGAGTACTCTGCAGACTAACATGTATTCTGGAATTTCCTCTGTAAAGAACTCTGATCAGCAAGAATTATAGGTGTTTTTCTGTCTGTGTAGGAGCATTTCTTCAATGATTCATTTCATTGTTTTGAGAACCTCAATGAATTGGTAAGAAAATATTTAAGATGGATAAGAACTAATTTTCTTAGGAAGAAGAAAACATTTCTGGAAACTTGGAAACCCCATTGAGCATGTGTAAGGAAGTGAAATAATCTTTCATAACGTGTATACCAGTAAGACACAGAATGATATTGTCCTTTGTTAAAAGGTGGCAGGAAGGATTCCTACCTCACTGCTGAAGGAATATCTCACAGTCTAAACAGATGGTTTAATCTGTCCTCCTCAGTAGAACATTTACCAGTAATAACGTTAATTGGCACCAACCATCTACATGACAGTCTAACTTCAGAGAACAGTGTGATTTTATTTATGTGTCCCTAAGAATGTCTTTATTCTAAAATTCAGAGTGTACTGCAATTTTGTAAGTGGCTTTGATCCCACGTTGCTTCGATCTAAGTGAGTTCACCCATCAGATCTGAGAACTTATGTCCAGCACTGACTTTACTTCAAAACATTTCCACATCTATCTGGGGTCTTTCACCAGAGACCTTTAAAACCGAGATGAAAATCTATTTTAATACACTGAAATGTATTTGACTTTAGCAAATTTAAATGTATTAGTGGTCAAATTGTCATTTGTTTCACTTAGGCTGATTTCCTCTGTCTAGTTATCTGCTAACTCTGAAAATATTTGTCAACAGAAATATTAACTAGCATTTATTGAATGCTAAACCAAATGATAAGAAAATTGCTATAACTGGCTGGGCATGATGGCTCATGCCTGTAATCCCAGCATTTTGGAAGGCCAAGGCAAGTGGATCGCTTGAGCCCAGGAGTTTGAGACCAGCCTAGGCAACATAGTGACATTGTCTCTACAAAAAACAAACAAAAAATTAGCCAGGTGTGGGGTCATGCCTGTAGTCCCAAGTACTCAGTAGGCTGATGTGGAAGGATAGCTTGAGCCCAGGAGGCAGAAGTTGTGGTGAGCCGAGATTGTACCACTGTGCCAGCCTGGGCAACGTAGTGAGACCCTGTCTCAAAAAAATTGCTATAACTGAGTATTAAATTTAGCCAACACAAAAATATCGGGGGAACTAGCCCCCGATAATTCAACATAGGTTCTTTTCTATTTTCCCTACATGTTGGCCGGTCTGAGAAATAAAGGGAAAGAGTACAAAAGAGAGAAATTTTAAAGCTGGGTGTCCGGGGGAGACATCACATGTCGGCAGGTTCCGTGATGCCCCCTGAGCTGTAAAACCAGCAAGTTTTTATTAGCAATTTTCAAAGGGGAGGGAGTGTACAAATAGGGTGTGGGTCACAGAGATCACATGGTTCAAGGGCAACAAAAGATCACAAGGCAGAAGGTCAGGACGAGATCACAAGGTCAGGGCAAAACTAGAATTACTAATGAAGTTCCACGTCCCACTGTGCACGCATTGTCATAAACATCTTAACAGGGTTCAAGAGCAGAGAACCGGTCCGACTAGAATTTGCCAGCCTGGAATTTCCTAATCCTAGCAAGCCTGGGGGTGCTGCAGGAGGCCAGGGCATGTTTCATCCCTTATCTGCAACTGCACAAGGCAGACACCCCCCAGAGTGGCTATTTTAGAGGCCCCCCTCTGCCGGGGAATGCATTCTTTTCCCAGGGCTGTTAATTATTAATATTCCTTACCAGGGAAAAAAGTCAGTGATATTTCTCTTACCCGTTTTTGGTAATAAGAGAAATATGGCTGTCCTGCCTGGCCCACAGGCAGCCAGACTTTAAGGTTATCTCCCTTGTTCCCTGAAAATTGCTGTTATCCTGTTCTTAAGGTGGCCAGATTTCATATTGTTCAAACAAAAATGCTTTACGAACAACTTGTGCAGTTAACGCAATCATCACAGGGTCCTGAGGCGACATACATCCTCAGCTTACGAAGATGACAGGATTAAGAGATTAAAGTAAAGACAGGCATAGGAAATTATAAGAATATTGATTGGGGAAGTGATCAATGTCCATGAAATCTTCACAGTTTATGTTCAGAGACTGCAGTAAAGACAGGCGTAAGAAATTATAAAAGTATTAATTTGGAGACCTAACAAATGCCCATGAAATCTTCACAATTTATGTTCTCCTGCCATGGCTTCAGCCAGTCCCTCTGTTCGGGATTCCTGTCTTCCCGCAACATGAAAAGATGCCACAATAAATGTATAATGCTTACTGGAAGATTTTAAAAAATATCTTGAAGGAAAAAAGCATGTTTCTGGCCATATCCTTTAGACAAATATTGCCCTATAAATTTTGCTTTGACAAAAATTTGAGTGCCTATTTGTACCAAGTCTATTGTGGGCAAAGCTGGATATATTGGTGTAAAAAATAGGTAAAACCCCTGTCCTTTTTGCTTTTGTAGGCAAACAACTAATAAAACATATATGATGTCAGATGATGCTATGAAGAAAAATTACAAGAGAAGTGACATAGGGTGAGGTGTGCTGGTCTCCAAGATGGCCTGGCCAGGCCACATAGGAGGGTGACATTTGAATTTCCATTGCGAGGGATGTGAGGGAGTGAACCATCTCGAGAAAGAACATTTAGGGTGGAGCAAATAGCCACTGCAAAGGCCTGAAGCTAGTACAGTAATACAAGATCTTTTCATTTGATAATCTTCCACACTACCTATATGGTAATATCCTTCTAGAGAGTTCAAAATAAAGTTGAGCCTGTGCTATTTAATAGGAGTATCTTTCCTTAGATACCTGAGCAGATACTTTATTTGGGACTGGTACCAAAGGAAGTGGCTAGAAAAGTAAGACAGAAGGGAGGAAAGTCAGAATAGGGTATGTTCATGAGCTCGTTCCTGGGTGCACAACTAGGTCTCTGTTCACCGGGACCCCATTCACACAGAACATGTCTCGCTAGACAAAGGTGGCTGGCACTTAATTTTTAGTATCATTTTTTGCAGAGACGGCAGGGGGGCGGTCTCACCATGTTGGCCAGGCTGGTCTCGAACGTTTGGCCTCAAGTGTTCCTCTGGCACTTTGGGAGGCTAAGGCAGGAGCAACCAGCCCAGGGAATTAATTCACTGCATTTTCTTTTCCATTGGTTGATGATTTTCCTGGGCATTTTACCCTCCTCCATCTCAAGGTTTGTGATGATTGAGTGTCCCCCAACTTCAGGGAGAGCCCAGAGGAAGCAGGGCAGAGAGATACCTGGCAGAAAACTGAGGGCGAGGGCTCACCACGCAATGCATCATGGGCAGCTGCTGCAGCAGAGAATAGTTACTGGTACTTTCTGCTCAGTGCGGATAGTCTGTTTCTAACAAGCAACGACATGAAATAGACAGTGTGACTACAGAGTTGACAGTATGTTATAAAAATTGGGGAGCCCAACTTATCTCTCTTGAGCAATAAGCCAATATGCAGACTTATCAAAGAGACTCTTTAAGGTGCCCACAGGCAACACCCTTTAATTTTAATTTTGTGCAAAACATTCTGGAATTTGCTTTAAAAAGTTAAGAAAACCTTGTTGAAATCAAGGAGATTGATAGAAGAAACAGTTTTACTTTAAAACTTTTCAGAGAATTTCAATAGACTCCAGTTAGCTTTGAATAGCGTTAGATTTTCTCCAACCTCTTACAAGACCCTTAAAAATATACTTCAAATACCTGAATGTGTGATGCATTGAGTAAAGTGAGTTACTGGCTAACATCGGAAGATTCCAGGGCTCAGTCCTCACTCCTCTTCTTCTCTGTCTACAGTCACATGCTTGCTGCTGTCCCCATCTATGATGGCTGTAAATTCCATTTGCCTGCTGCTGTCCATGAATGGAAGTCTACCTGGGACCCTCTCCTGACCTGGAGACCCACACATCCAAATGCCTACTTGGCAGCTCCCGTGGATGTTTCGTGATCAGCATTCCCAACAGTGAAATCCTGAATGCTCTTCCCCAAATCCACTCCACACACGGCCTTCCCTATCCCTTGTGGTGGCAACTGAGTCCACTGTGGGTCCATGGGCCCCCCTTTCTTTGACTCCCCAGCTCCAGTCCCCTAGCAAGACCAGCTGGATCTGCTCTTTGGATTGCCAGGATCTGCCCACGTCTCAGGGCCCTCACTGCCTGGCCCACACATGATGCTCAAAGACACTCTCACACATGTCCAAATATTTAAAAGTTATACATCAAACCCACAAACTTTAATTTGATAAGTAAAAAATGTTTAAATAAACAATTTTAAAAGTACATTTAAAAAGTTCTCTCCTCCTTCCTTGGTAGAGATGACTGCCTAATGATGTAGAAGGCCAAGTTCTACAGAGCTTGGGATTCCTGAATTTCCCCGATAGGAGGTATATGGGAGGGAAGGCTGCGGGGGGGCAGCCTGCCCATGGCCCACGCCCTGGCTCCCCCTCCCAGCTCTGTATGCACCCCTGGGCATCCCATCCACATGTTCATGTCCACGCACACGTTCCTCACCAGTCTCAGGGATATGCACACTCACTTCAATCTTCCCCAAATTATAGTTGTTCATATAGCAGATTTGTTTCTCTCATCTTATTTTACATTTTCAATTCTCTATATTTTATTTGTTTCTTTTTTCTTCCTTTTTTTAAACTTCCTCTGAATAGTTCAAAATTTCTCTGCTACCCCTGAAAGTTACACATTCTGATTTTGTTCTTTTTTTTTTTTTTTTTTTTAAACGGAGTCTCACTCTGTCGCCTAGGCTGGAGTGCAGTGGCCCGATTTCGGCTCACTGCAACCTCTGCCTCCTACGTTCAAGTGATTCTCCTGCCTCAGCCTCCTGAGTAGCTGGGGTTACAGGCGCATGCCACCATGCCCAGCTAATTTTTGTATTTTTAGCAGAGACAGGGTTTCACCATGTTGTTCAGGCTGGTCTCGAACTCCTGACCTCGTGATCCGCCTGCCTCAGCCCCGCAAAGTGCTGGGATTACAGGCATGAGCCACCACACCCGGGCTTCTGATTTTGTTCTTATATTTGTTGTTATATTGACAGCTGACTTCTTTTCTGGCTTACACTTGTGCTTTTATTTCCCTAACATTGTTTCAAGATTATTGCTATTTACGTCTTTTCTCAACATAACTGAAGAACCGTAGCATGCTCTCATCTGGCGTGCGAGAGTCCAGGGGTTTGAGTTTGGGGCGACTGATGTGTGGACCTCATTGCTGGTGTGTGTGTGCATGCCTGCACCAAGAGCCCATGCCAGCTTCTAAGCCCAGGCAGCACTGGGCAGGGCATGGGAGGTGATGCTGCCCAGCTCTGGATGGACCAAGCCCCAGACTCTGACAGCAGCTCTCTGCCAAGGCTCCTGTGGAAAATTGCACGGGGTACAGAGAACACTCAAGGCCACATCCCCGGGACGGTCAGCCCTTCTGTCCCCAAAACCTAAATTGGGATTGAGTCATCTCCTGTGTCCGCCTTACTTTATTGGTTTATTTCAGGTGCAAAGCATTGTTCTGTACTTATGACCTGCCGCATTCTCTCTGGAATCACTGGAGACAGGTTGGGAGGAAGAAGTGGCTCTCTGTTTTACTTTAATTCTCCCCTACACAAACACTTTATACGTTGAAGATGTGTGGCCTGAAATGCATTGGGAATAAAACTATTAAATAAGCCACACTGCTTATAAGTAATAACTCCAAACTACTACTCTTGGTGGGGAGAATTAATGTCACTACCCAGAAAGTATTGCGACAAACTTTTTTTTGAGACATCTACTTCAAAATCAGTTTATTCAAAAGAGATTAACATGTTCACTCCCACCCCTGCCCTACATACTCACACCATCAGTGTGACAGGGAAGGCCCAGGGAAGAAGTGCTCTGTGATCACAGATAGTCCATCGCGGTGAGAGACCCACCTCGCAGTGAGGAAAACAGTGCGTTTTATAGGAGCACAAGTCCCCTGGTAATGTTCATGAAGGTTGCTCTTCAGTGGATCTTTCAGCAAGTGCATACACAAGGATGACGGGCTTTCTACAGTTACAACATGTTCAATCTTCTGACTAGGTCAAGAGAAAAAAGAAAAAACAGACATCCCAGGTTATACGTCTGTCTGCACTGGCAGGATGCTCCCAGCGAGGGGACCTCCAGTTAGGGAAGCTCCCAGCGGGCATTGCCAGGTAAGCAGCTCCTCTTGAAGAATGCAGTCTCTACTGGGTTGTTTAGCTTGTGTGTGCCACACGTTGATACTCTGCCCAAACAACAGCTGTTTTAACTGAAGTGGAATATTCCACGCAACACTGATACAAAAACAAAATAACTCTTCGTTGTATATTTTCCTATGTGGAAAATATAGGCTTTGTCAATTCTATACATGCAGACAAAAATACAGAAAACGTAAAGCCTATTGCATAAATTGGAAAGCCTGTTTATGTTGTGATATATTGTTACATTCAAATTATATAGGGAGTTCGCTGGAAACGTTCATTGCTGAGACCACTTTGTTTCTGAAGAGACCATGTGTGTCCGGAGCTGGTTCCTGCTGGTGGGTTCATGGTCTCACTGACTTCAAAGAATGAAGCCGCAGACCTTCATGGTGAGTGTTACAGCTCTTAAAGATGGCACAGACCCAAGAACTGAGGGGTAGCAAGGTTTACTGTGAAGAACGAAAGGACAAAGCTTCTGCAACGTGGAAGCGTACCTGAGCAGGTTGCTGCTGCTGGCTGGGATGGCCAGCTTTTATTCCTTTATTATGCCCACCCATGTCCCGTTTCTGTCCTATCAGAGTGCCCTTTTTTCAATCCTCCCCACAATTGGCTACGTTTAGAATCCTGCTGATTCGTGCATTTGACAGAGCGCCAATTGGTGTGTTTTACAGAGCACTGATTAGTGTTTTACAGAGTGCTGATTGGTGCGTTTTACAATCCTCTTGTAAGACAGGAAAGTTCCCCAAGTCCCCACTGGACCCAGGAAGTCCAGCTGGCCTCACCTCTCACATGGACCTTGGCAAACCCTCAGTTGGGCGTAAGAGAGGCGATGGGTGTCTCAGGTTGGGCTCCACACCCAGGGTTATCCTGGAGGCAGCTCCTGGGGGCTCAGAGCACCAATTGTTAAATGCACAGCAATTCTATGAGGAAGCTGCTAAACTGTTTATAGCTTGAAATCAGCTATGGCAGGAATCTTTACACAACAAAAGTCAGCAAATGCCGCAAATCAGGGTTGTTGTTGTTTAAATTCAGAAAGCTTATTTACACCACTATGCCACCTTCCAGGCAGAAGAGTGTAAAAGGTGGAGAATTATTACAGGGTGATTGCACTGCTCAGAGGGGTAAGAGACGCTATCCAGAATGCAACAGCATACTGTACCAGGAACATTTTTACAAGCTGCCTGGTAACATGTTTCGGTCTCTGAATTTGGTTGGATTATTAAAGATTCACATCCTGCATGTTTTTATAATTATTATTTCAAATTACAGTAATAATTTCAGCCTAAGAATTAGCTAGCCAACGTTTGGTCTCCTGTATGTCAGAAAACCTTTCCATGACTGGTTACCATGCTTTCAAAGAACATCTAGTGGAGAGGCAGCAAAAAAAAGCAGGCCAGGAAATTGCTCACATGTATTAGAAGAGAAACTTGTCAGCAACCTTGTTGGAAGTCCTAGTCATCTTCCAACTAGTTCTGACTCAGCAAGCCGCTCAGGAGTGCACCCACCAAATGCAGGGGAAGGCCCAGGTAGGTAGTGAGGGAAGGTGCCAGCCTAGCGGGTAGCTCCTCAGCTTAGATTTGAATCAGTGAAAAACAGAAATATGCTCTCCTGACTCAGTCATACTGTGCTAAGGTAACAACCCAAGCGGCTAAGGAGCAAAGTGTGATTTTTCATGGAGAGAAAATATTGACACAAGAGCACGTGTAGGAATTTTCCATTTATCTCACAAATTATCCTGATCTAATTGACTCGGGCATCAAAAAGCCAGTGCTCTGAAGAAAGTTGCAGTCGATAACATAAGGGAGTGAATGAGATAGATTTGCAGACGTCAGAATGTCAAGAAGAATGCCAGGCCTGAAGACCCAGAAGAAGATGTACAATAATTATCTAAACAAGAGAGATGCATCTGAGACTTAGTGAGGGGCACAGGGTCCTTGAATTACGATCCAAGGGCAAATCCAAGAAGGGTTAACGTCGTCATTCAAGTAACTTTATTCCAGGCAGAAATTTCTACATACCAAGAAATGTCTGAGAGAATGGTCCAAACTTACTCGGGGTTGAGGGGGGCGGGGGCGGGTGGGGAAAGTAGTTGTTTTGTTTAGGTGCAAAGGAAAGACAGAGTAATAAACTGAAGCAAAACGTACAAGTGCAGGTGTGAACGAAAGGACTGGAGAAGACCCAGCCTGGAGCATGGCCCCGTGCCAGCCAGGAGCTGCTTGGGTCGGCGTTGCACTGCGTCTGATGAAGAATCTGACTTTGACTGCAAGTGCTGCCTCTTACCATAACCTTCCCTAACGCTGGCCTCTGATGGTTCTGATCTTTGCTGCCAGAGCTGCGCTGAGTTTTCTCTCTCTGCTTTTTAGATTTCCTTGAATATTTTAAAGAAAAAGTTAAAAAAAATAAGATGCTATATCCTGTTCTGAAACATTTTCAGGAAGTCCACTACAAATTGCATTTGTAAAGAAATAATAAGTGTATTCAAAGGACTAGGCATGGTTTTATATTCAGCCCACAGCCTAGCAGAGCCAATAAAACCAAAGTCAAGTCCCAGTTTCAGGTGGAGACCTCTCAAGTCATGACATCCCTTTTAATGATCTTAGGTTTATTTATATACAGGAGGTGGATGGAAAAATGGGGTTTTGTGGATATTACTATTTTTGTTCCATGAGGAAACAGTTTTATATATTCCTTGACTACCAAACAACTGGGCTAAAAGCTTGAAATTAGCAATCCTTGTCATAAAGACAGAAGGATACTACGCTGAAATGGAGGAGAGTTAGTATTTCATTAATTCAACAATTATGGAGCAACTGTTTTGAAACAGTCACACTGTCAGATATTAGAATATGTAAATCAATTAGACATATTTACCACTCTCGAGGGACTGAGGGACTGCTGAGGAAGACATGTGGAAAGGTTGTTACAATCCAGGTCAGTGAGATTTCATGTGAGTAATGCAGGTAATGATCACATGAAATGCGGAGTTACCGAATGCACATGAAGTTCTCATGTCGGAAGGCTAGCTTACTGATGTTCAGTGTCAGCTAGTCATCAGATGTGGAGAAAATCAACTGTGTACTAAGTCTAATTCATTCAGATGAAACATAATAGGAACTCTTTTTTTGTTTGTTTTTGTTTTTTGAGACAGAGTCTCGCTCTGTCGCCCAGGCTGGAGTGCAGTGGCGCGATCTCGGCCCACTACAACCTCCGCCTCCTGGATTCAAGCGATTCTCCTGTCTCAGCCTCCTGAGTAGCTGGGATTACAGGCACGCACCACCACACCTGGCTAATTTTTGTATTTTTAGTAGAGACGGGCTTTCACCATGTTGGTCAGGCTGGTCTTGATCTGCTGACCTTATGATCCGCCTACCTCAGCCTCCCAAAGTGCTGGGATTACAGGCGTGAGACACTGCACCCAGCAAAAGGAACTCTTAAAAGTTCATTAACAAAAAGCATCATGGAAATGCAGAGGGGAACCTCATGTGGTCTATAGAATTCGGAAGGGTGTCCTGAGGAAAATGATATTTTTGTTGTCAAAATAGGATTTGGCCAGAGAGGGAGGATAAAAAATTGTAAGGTGTTCAGAAATGGCACAGTGAGTGTGGGGACTATGGGCAGTTCGGTGTTGCTGGATCATGACGTGCAAGGCACAGCTGGCAATGGCAGACTGGAGAGGGAGGACCCTGTGTGTGCTGGTAGCATACTTGGATTTTTTTTTTTTTTTTTGAGATGGAGTTTCACTCTTGTTGCCCAGGCTGGAGTGCGATGGTGTGCGATCTTGGCTCACTGCAACCTCTGCCTCCAAGGTTCAAGTGATTCTCCTGACTCAGTCTCCCGAGTAGCTGGGATTACAGGTACATGCCACCACGCCCAGCTAATTTTGTATTTTTAGTAGAGACGGGGTTTCTCCATGTTGGCCAGGCTGTTCTTGAACTCCTCACCTCAAATGATTCTCCTCAGCCTCCCAAAGTGCTGGGATTACAGGCGTGAGCCACTGCGCCTGGCCTTGGATTTCTTATGTGGGCAATGGCAAGGCACTAAAAGGGGCTAAGCCAGACAAATTTCCATTTAAAGGTGAGTGCCCAAACCACAGTGTGGGAGACAGATTTAAAAGGGACAAGACTTGAGACTAGAGATGATTTTGGAGGCTTCTGAGTTGTCTAGGTGCGAGTGAGGGTTTGGACTGAAGCAGTAGGAGTAGACGAGGAAAAGCAGAGCAGGCTGGAGAAATAATAATGAAGGGAAATTGGAAAGACCTCCAGGGGTAGAGAAGGTGATGGAAAAGACAGAACTTCTAGGTTTTGATAACTGGTGACAGTCCCCACCAGCCACAGCAGAGTACAGAAAAGGCAAGGGCTAGCTAAAGAGGTAGGTGATGATGTCATTGGAGACACCAGAAGAATAGTGATGATGCCCCCGAGGCAATTAGGTCCTTGTCTCTGCAGCCTGGGGAAGGGCAGAAATGGAGAGCAGGATTGGAGAGTCAGAGGAAATAGGCAGAGAATCCAAAAAGTGCTCATGACGTTAATTAAGGGGAGTGTGTGGAGGAGATAAGCAGGGAGCCAAGAATTTAAGGTCTGAGCCAAGAAAAAGAAAGGAAGCTATGGAAAAGCTAGAGATACCTCTAAAGTTCAGGGTCAGGCATTTGGGGGTGATCAGGGAGGGCTGCTGTCCTCAACTTCCTCGAAGTAGGATGCAGAGCAGCCTGCTAGCACAGATGAGGGGTGGCTTAAGGAGATACAGAAAAGTCTTAAATAGATACAATTCTTAATTTAAAAACAAATTTAAAAAGGAAAAAAAAAAGGCCAGGCGTGGTGGCTCATGCCTGTAATCCCAGCACTTTGGGAGGCCAAGACGGGCGGATCACGAGGTCAGGAGATCGAGACCATCCTGGCTAACATGGTGAAACCCCGTCTCTACTGAAAATACAAAAAATTAGCCAGGCATGGTGGTGGGCGCCTGTAGTGCCAGCTACTCGGGAGGATGAGGCAGGAGAATGGCATGAACCTGGGAGGCGGAGGTTGCAGTGAGCTGAGATCGGGCCACTGCACTCCAGCCTGGGCGACAGAGCGAGACTCCATCTGAAAAAAAAAAAAGAAAAAAAGGAAAAAAAGAGAAAATTCTCACCAAAGACAATTAGGAGACTGAAGTGAAATCATGAGGCCAGCTGAACGCTGAGAACGTGCATTTTCAGTGGCGCAATTCTGCCACGCTGTGTAGTGATCTTTTTCACGAGCTGGTCATGAGCTACCAGGGTTGGAAGAGAGAAGGCTGACCTGAGCATGCACACCGCTGGATTCCACTGGGCTGTGTGAGGAGACGCAGGATGGTGGGGAGTGAGGGGAGCAGCTGGGTTCGGTGTGGGTGCAGAAGAACTCCAGGCGAGGCCAGACCAGACAGAGCGTGCTGTGGCTTAGAATCACGGTACTTTTTAATTGGCTGTATTTGTCAGAGGCATTTCCCTCCTTCCTCCTCATCTCACTTTCGCCTCTCCGACTTCTGTAAATTGTCCTTAGCTGTTTCATGGCTAAGAACTTTTTAATACTTATTTCATTAATTTCATCCCATGATAATTTTCCTTTTATCTGGGGTTATCTCCCAAACACTAAGTTGCCTGATACATGAACAACAATTCCATTCTATCTTGCTCACCAAAAATGTTTCTGAAGTCGTTCATGTGTTCCACCCTACAGCCAAATTAAGAATGTTAAAAAGTCTTCTAGCCACTTATCCCATGTTACCTTAGTTCAAGCCATTTCATGTTTTATGAGCTCGGTTACACAACACGTAACCATCTAATTGGCTTAACTCCTCCTCTGAAAGAAACTTGAAACAAGTTTCTTTGAGGTTGGGACCTCCTCTTGCGTCTTAGTTCTTAGACAGAAATGTGAGTGAAGTTCAGAAGAGTGGTCACTAGGGAGGGGAGTAAGCCAAGTTCAGAGTGCAAAGGCTAACTAGGGAAACAGCCTAGAGTCTTGAGATTTCCAATTCCTGGGCATAAATGAATGACTTTGCAGACCTTCATCCCAAGACGACGACTTCTGCCCTTGCCTCTGCCTTTGCATGTGAGAAAAGGCCTGGGCTGGGGTGAAGTTCTGTCCCTGAAATATTTCCTCAATGCCCCACACTAATTCAGAAACTCACTGAAGGCGCCCACCACCATGCCCGGCTAATTTTTTATATTTTCAGTAGAGACGGGGTTTCACCATAGTTTAAAACATGCATATTTGCCAATACATGTAAACTTTCCAGTCATGACCAGCTCGATGTGAACGAGTCTGAGTTAAGAGCTCTCTCTTCCTAACTGCATTGGCCACCACGTCACAGACAGGCGGGGCTTGTGGTGGGCGTTTGTTGTTCTTCTGTTAGTACAGTCCCATGGTTCACTGTTTTTCTAAAAGTGAGTTTGCACCTGTGAGAGAAGAAAGCTGAATTATCAGAAGCTAAAATATCCGTGAGCTCTGTTGGTGTCCGGCGCCCTGGTGCAGCCTGGGTTGTGTGGTGTTCTCACACTCTATCCCACCTTCAGTATGCCTGGGACAGGGAACACCACAGAGCCGCCTTTGTCCTATTGGTGGCCCACGGGCACTGGGTCAAAATTAGCAATACTAGCACTTTGCCTTTTTGTGCCCACAATACTTCGATCCTCCTGATACTTCCTTCCCTTGCCGCTCTGCTAACCTTGGGCAGGTTTTGGCCTAGGTCCCTTCTTGTGTCTTGACTGGCATTTCAGTGGTTAGTCCCCACATTGGTACACGATGCCTGCCCAGAGCTGGCCATGCCTCCTTTTGATTGGCTCTCCCCTGAAGCCTGTGCTGCCCTGGCCAGCCTTGGTCAAGACTTACAGGCCTTGATGAGGCAAACTATCCAGATCTTCTCTGGGCTAATAGCTCATGCATTCATTTCATAGACATTAATTGGTGGGATACCAGCTTGATGCCAAGCTCTGCGTTAGGCCTGGGGATAGCAAGATACATAGACAATGGTCTCTGTCTTAGAAGGCCTTTGAGGTACCCAGATTGCAGTGACAATGACCCATATTTGCACTTGTGAGAGTAGTCTCATTATTCTGGAGCTAGCAGCTGATATATTTTTTGATGTCCCAGCACATAATATCTTATGATTTTAGGCATCCTGCAAATACAAACTGCCAACAGGATCTCTTCAACATCCACAAAACCCAGTGCACTGATGGAGGCAAGGAAGTTAGCACAAAGAAAATTGGAAATACATGTTCCTATGTGATTGTGAGCTCTACCTCCTTGGCGGTCAGGACACCACGTAGCAATGGCAAGACTTGGGCATCTGCCTCTGTTGAAGATGGAGGTAGAACTGCAGCTTTTAAAAAAATAATCAGCTGTGAAAAACTGGGAAAAATAGAGCTTTTGAAATGCCACTCTGCCTTGCATAATTCTGGAATAAACAAAACAAAACGTTTCCAGAACAGTGTTTTGGCATGTGTCCTTAATAACCTTGTTTATGAAAAGTACCTGAGATATAGCCCAGCACCTGGAGTAAATGAAAGAGTAAATAAATGTCTCCTGGAGCTATTTTATGTGATACCACTGGCCAAGTCTATATCCTAGTATCACAACACTGCTTCTACGAGAAAATGTAATTCTACTTCTATCGATTCAAATACAGCCCCTTTCTTGATGCATGTGTGTAAGACAATATCCTCTGGCCCAAGACGTCCTTTTTGAGACAGACCTCATCAGGGACATGTGTCCTTGGCCCTGCCTTCCCTAGACAATGGGGTCACCTCAACCGGATATCATTACCAATGAAAAAACCTTAAAATCAGTGCTCACCCAGGTCTAACACAGGGCAGAGTGGTCATTTGGCATCCCTTGAAACAGGGATTCTTTTGTCTTGGTCCAGTGCTTTTCTAGAGGAGAAGGCTGGGTGCTGCCTGAGAGAGAAGGGAGAAAGGTGGTCCCTGTCAGCGGTTCTTATCTTTCTCTAAGACAGGAGACTCTGGGAATCAGCCCTGCCTCCCTACAGACAGAATAGTGACCAGGTGTCACTCAAGCATGTTCACACTGATGGTTTAGCAAAGTATTTTTTTCAACGACATCAGAACGTCCTGAAAGACTTGTGATGATTGCGCTACACAAACATCTTGCCAGCTTTCCGTGATTATGGACTATTGCCCACAAAATGGTTTAGAGGCCCAGGGGATGGGACCACAAATTGCTTAATCCAATACTGATGAGAAAATGATGTTCTGCTCAGAGACGAGGCTGAAAACAGACCCTCTGCTTTCTCTATGCCCTGGTGAGTCTCAGGTTACACCAGTAAATAACCCCTCTTCTTTATTAAAGAACCACGCAGAAGTGCTCAGGAAATTACTGTTTAATCATGTAATATCCAGATTGCTCAAACAATAATCTAGAGAGAGAATTTTTATGGCGCATTTAATATTTTGTTATTTCAAGAACATGCTGCCTTGTGTATAGCAGAATGTCTGCAAACATTTGTGGACTCATTGATTACAGAATTAAGCTATTTACATTTTTAAAAGAAACATCAAGAATTAGGCTTACCACTGCTTTAAAAGATATACATCAATGTTTTTCTGACTGTGAAAAATTTAAAGTTCTAGAAATTATCCTGCATCATTTTTAAAGGGCATGCATAAGGAAATACACTCTACAGTCAAAATATTAAAAATATCAATGCAAGGTGGAGACAGCATGACAAACATTGCAAAAGAGGAAAGAAACGCAGGCCAGGGTCGCCCACCCACTTACCAGCTGGGGGCACTGCTGTTGGGGCACATGATTTACCCATATTGACAAAATTCCTATTATTGTTGTTACTCTAGTTTTTATCCACAAAATACACACCAGAGTCAATTGGTAAGTGGAAAATAATTATTTTTTCTGGAAATCCTAATCAGTATTTCTCAGTGTTTACAAAGAATCGAGGAAGAACAAGTGGCTTCAAATACAACAGAAAATATTTCATTCAATAAAAGCATTTGGAGGAAAATATTGCAGCATGGCCTTCCTGGCTTCAAGTGTTCTCGGGAAGAAAATGCACATCCGTCTGTGATGGCTTGACAAAACATATCTGCTGAGGAGGAAAAGAGGCCAAGCTCATCAATCTCTTAAGGTTCCTCTAGTATTAAAGTGATCTTAATCCATTTTTAATTGGATTTTTATGAAAGTAGCTATCACATGGTTCCAAAGTTGTGACCAAGCACTCACATCATAAACATCTTAATTTGCAAAGCACCAACCCTGGTTCTTGGGAAGCCAGGCAGCCTGCAAAAACAAACTTAGAGGCTGCCAACAGGATCTCTTCAACATCCGCGAAACCCAGAAATCGTTTACAGCGTGTATTGTCTTCGTGTATGCACATTTGCTGGAGAGAGGATCAGTTTCAAAGAGGCCCCTGACGCTAAATCTGCTGCCCTTGGGAATTCTGTGACCAGCACTGTGCTCTATTCGATGGCCCCCAAACAACGTAACCTCTTAAATCTCTGTTTCTTTCTTTTTTTTTTTTTTTTGAGATGGATTTTCGCTCTTGTTGCCCAGGCTGGAGCGCGATCTCAGCTCACTGCAACCTCTGCCTCCTAGGTTCAAGCGATTCTCCTGCCTCGGCCTCCCAAGCAGCTGGGATTACAGGCATGTGCCACCACACCCAGCTAATTTTGTATTTTTAGTAGAGACGGGGTTTCATCATGTTGGTCAGGCTGGTCTCGAACTCCCGAACTCAGGTGATCCGCCCTCCTTGGCCTCCCAAAGTGCTGGGATTACAGGCATGAGCCACCACGCCCAGCCAACCTCTGTATCTTTCATTACGTTGAGAGGACCTCCTCTTCTTACTTCTGGGACTCATTAAATCCAAGAGTCCCTCTGAGTGGCTTCCCATGGCATCTACCCCAACCCCTCCACACAAATGGAAAGCTCTCTCCTCTGCCCACTCGGCTACTGCGGTGGTGCTTACCCACACTGGGGAGGATGCGTGTGTGCTGGGCTCCTGCTCACCTCTGGGCCCAGCCTCTTGCATGGTTTCTGGAACTAAGGCCAAATAATATGCATCAAATTGAGTGGATTTGATGACTCTCCTATCCCCCCATTTCTTCCACACATAAAGCTGACCAGTTTCTTTTTCTGTTTGTTTTTTGCATGTGCTTATTTTTTATCTTATTTTTTGTTTAACGTTTAAATTCAGGGGTCCATGTGTAGGTTTGTTATATAGGTAAACTTGTGTCACGGGGATTTGTTGTACAGATTATTTCATCACCTGCATATTAAGCCTAGTACCCATTAGTTGTTTCTCCTGATCCTCTCCCTCCCCTCATTCTCCATCCTCCAATAGATAGGCCCCAGTGTGTGCTGTTCACCTCTATGTGCCCATGAGTTCTCATTATTTAGGTCCCACTTACAAGTGAGAACATTTGGCATTTGGTTTTCTGTTCCTGTATTAATTTGTTAGGGATAATGGCCTCCAGCTCCATCTTTCTTCCTGCAAAGAATATAGCTGCATAGTATTCCATGGTATATATGTACCACATTTTCTTTATCCAGTCTACCATTGATGGGCATTTAGGTTGATTCCATGTCTTGCTATTGTGAATAGTGCTGCATTGAACATACACATGTATGTGTCTTTATGATAAAATGATTTATATTCCTTTGAGTATATACCCAGTAATGGTATTACTGAGTTGAATGGTAGTTCTGTTTTTTGGTCTTTGAGGAATTGCCACACCGTCTTCCACAATGGTTGAACTAACTTACACTCTCACCAATGTGTATAAGCATTCCTTTTTCTCCACAACCTTGCCAGCTTCCATTATTTTTTGACTTTTTAGTAATAGGCATTCTTACTGGTGTTAGATGGTATCTCATTGTGGTTTTGATTTGCATTTCTCAAATGATCAGTGATGTTGAGCTTTTTTCATATGCTTATTGACAGCATGTATGTCTTCTTTTGAAAAGTGTCTGTTCATGTCCTTTGCCTGCTTTTTGATGGGGGTGTTTGTTTTTTTCTTGTACATTTTTTTAAGTTCCCTATAGATGATGCTGGATATTAGACCTTTGTTGGATGCATAGTTTGCAAAAATTTTCTTCCATTCTGTAGGTTGTCTGTTTACTTTGTTGATAGTTTCCTTTGCAGTGCAAAAGCTCTTTAGTTTAACTATGAAAGAGGTCCCATTTGCCAACTTTTGATTTTGTTTCAATTGCTTGTGGCATCATCATGAAATATTTGTCTGTTCCTATGTCCAGGATAGTATTGCCTAGGTTATCTTTCAGAGTTTTTATACTTTTATACTTTAAGTCTTTAATCCATCCTAAATTGATTTTTGTACATGGTATAAGAAAGGGGTCTAGTTTCAATCTTAGGCATATGGCTAGCCAGTTATCCCAGCACCATTTATTGAATACAGAATCCTTTCTCCGTGGCTTTTGTCAGGTTTGTTGAAGATCAAATGGTTGTAGGTGTGCAGCCTTATTTCTGGGTTCTCTATTCTTTTCCATTGGTCTATGTGTCTGTTTTTGTACTAGTACCATGCTGTTTTGGTTACTGTAGCCCTATAGTGTAGTTTGAAGTCAGGTAGCATGATGCCTCCAGCTCTGCTTTTATTTTGCTTAAGATTTCCTTGGCTACTGGGAAGTGAGGAGCCCCTTTGCCCAGCTGCTGCCCGTCTGGGAAGACAGGAGGGCCTCTGCCCAGCTGCTGCTCCATCTAGGAAGTGAGGAGCGCCTCTGCCCACCCCCGGCATCATCTAGGAAGTGAGAAGCACCTCTGCCCGGTGGCCAACATCTGGGAAGTTGGAGCACCTCTGCCTGGCCACTGCACTGTCTGGGAAGTGAGGAGCGCCTCTGCCCAGCGCCGCACTGTCTGGGAAGTGAGGAGTTCCTCTGCCTGGCCTCCACACTGTCTGGGAAGTGAGGAGTTCCTCTGCCCTGCCGAGGCCCTGTCTGGGAAGTGAGGAGCGCATATGCCCGGCCGCCCCCCTCGTCTGGGAAGTGAGGAGCCCCTCTGCCCTGCCGCCCAACTGACTGGAAAGACAGGAGTGCCTCTGTCTGGCCGCCACCCTGTCTGGGAAGAGAGGAGTGCCTCTGCCTGGCTGCCCACCTTCTGGGAAGTGAGGAGCACCTCTGCCCTGCTGCCCAATTGACTGGGAAGAGAGGAGCACCTCTGCCCAGCTGCCCACCTTCTGGGAAGCAACCCTCCAAGTGTGAAGTGACAGCCTTGTGTGTGATCTTTCTGCCCTCCCCAAGTTTGCATTTTTTGACACTAAAGTTTACTTTTTAATTAAAAAAAAATTCCTTTGCTATTAGGGCTTTTTAGTTCCATACGAATTTTAAAAATAAGTTTTGCTAGTTCTGTGAAGAATGTCGTTGGTAATTTAATAGAAATAGCATTGAATCTGTAAATTGCTTTGGGCAGTATGGCCCTTTTAATGATACTGAGTCTTCCTATCCAAGAGCATGGAATGTTTTTATATTTGTTTATGTCATCTCTGATTTCTTTGAGCAGTGTTTTGTAAACTTCATTGTAGAGATCTTTCACCTCCCTAGTTAGCTGTATTCCTGGGTATTTTATTCTTTTTGTGGCAATTGTGAATGAAATTGCATTCCTGACTTGGCTCTCAGTTTGACTATTGTTGGGCTTACCAGTTTCTGATCAGGACAATTTCTGGAATTCATTCTGTCTCTTCAAGTTCTTTGCACAGTAACTTTTCCTTAGGCCCCTTAATCTGTCACTGAGGAAAATTTTAAGAAAATACAGAATGGTGCAGGATTAAAATGGCCATCGATCCCACCTCACCACAAAGGGTTGGCTTTGTGTTTGCAGCCTGCTTTTCTCTTCCTCAATTGTTTTGGCACAACTGGCTGAACAAATAGTGTTTTGGAGTGTGAAATGATGAAATAGTGTTTTAACATGAAACTCCATGGCAACAATGTAATGCATTCATGGTAAGGGGCACAGTCATAAGATGTGACTCTGCCAATGTTTGATATTTTACTAGTGTGTACAAACTAATTAAACTGATTGCACTATAAGCATGACTTGATATTTCCATGTACTTTCCTCTGACAGAAAAAGTGTCAAATGTAAAATCTGATCTTAAATAAAGGCCTGTAATGACATTTACTTTCCTGACCTGCGTAGCCAAACTGAAATTTATATAGTTCTTCCTTGAAGCCAAAAGAAATATAGGTTTGAGTCAAAACTGCTTTTAGGACTCTGGCCTGAGGAGCCCAGGCTGAATTCATGAAGGTGAGGCGTGTCCCAGGGGTGCTGCTCTTGCCTGTGGAAAACGATCTCCTTGTCCAGAGCCCAGCTTGAGCCACAGGGAGATTGCACTGGGCATTGGACAACAAAGGACAGGGCTCTGACGTCCTCTGGTGAGAACAGCCATTTCTAGGACTGTAGGATTTTAACACCTGGATGTCTGTTTCTATAGAAATACTGAGAAACAACAGGCAGAGGGTGGGTGGTAGGCACTGGACCAAGATGATTTTAAGAATTTCAATCAAGGAAAATACCACATAACTTGGCTCTCAGAAAATGAAAGGAGATTCAGGCATGAAATTAAGGACCCAACCAGCTTAGTTCCTGAAAACAGCCAGCATTCTTCCTGGAGCTGCTGTACGCGCTGGGCCCTGGCCGGGTGTCTGTGTGGCACTAAGTCCCCAGAAGAGGGTCTCCCTCCGTGGGGCAAGAACTGCTTGAAACAGGGGGTACACCAGATGCCTCAGCTCCAGAGGGAAGAAGACCTACAGGGTCCTCATGTCACTCAGTGAAAAGCACTGTGGGGCCACCCATGGCTGTGGTTTCAGGTGAGAACTGCAGGAAGAATTCTGAACTCAGGTAGAGAGAAGACAAAATGTGTTGAATATGAAAACTCACGAGCACCAGAGGAAAGCAATGCCTGCCTTCTCCAGGTGCCACCATACCCCATGCGAGAGCTGATGTGCTCACTTAAGGGTTCTAAACTCCAACTTTACAAAAGCAACCTCAATCACCTTCAAGGGCGTCTGATGACATCTGAGATAACAGAATTGGGCTGTGTGGGTTACTGGACTCAATTTCAAGATTGTCTCAGAAATGTTTTTGATTGACACGTTTCTGAATCAAGTTCCTGTGGGTATATATGTACGAACTTACCAGGGCTGCAATATTTTGAGACTCGATGGTCAGATGGCAACTCTCCCCTGCTCTTTGATGATTGAGATGGGGAAATGTCTGCAACAAAATGCATGGGAATCCTCAACGTCCTCTCAAAACCTGGAACGGCTCCAAGGTTCCTTTCACCCATTGCTCCTACTTCTATCCCCCATGGTCCTGCAGAGCGAGGCTGGCCCTCTTTCCGGTGACTGCCATTAAGGTGGCTGCAGATGGTTGGCAGCATCTCTGAATTCTCTCTTCTTCCGTGTTTCCTCAAAGGAGAGGATTTTGAGTCCTTCAACTGTCTTTGTTGCATTTTTTTCCCGAATGTGACAGTCTATCAGAAAATATTTGGGCTTAGAATTTAACACTATATTCCTCAATAAATAATCATGAAAAGCATCAGAAAGCCAGTCTGAAGACTGCAGAGAAGAGCAGGCCTACTATGTGCAGACGTCTCTCCTGCTGTAGCATGTGGTAGGCTCACATCTGTAGAGCTCTAGAAACAGCATAGTACCAGAGACTGACGCTCATGTGTTCTCTGCTAACTAGAAACTGAATTCATAACTTAAAAATTGAGAGCAACCAAAATAACATTTAATACTTGAATGAATAAGCAAACTGCAGTATATCCAGACAACAGAATACTATCCACTGGTTTAAAAAAAAAGAGCTCTCAAACCACAAAGACATGGAGGAACCTTAAATGCATATGCCTAAGTAAAAGAAATCAGTCTGAAAAGACTCCATACTATATGATTCTTAATGTACAGCACACTGAAAAAAAAAAAACTATAAAAATGGTAAAAAGATCAGTGGTTTCCAGGTGTTGAGAGCTACAGGGAGGAGCATACATAGGTTAAGCACAGGGGATTGTTAGGTCAGTGAAAATATTCTGTATGATGCTATGATAATGGATGAGTGATACTGGCATATGTGAAAACTCATTAAACTCTACAATACAAATTATCCAACTATATAACAAAAGGGTAAACCCTAATTTAAATTACAGATGTTAGCTAATAGTAATGTACTAACGTTGGTTTGTTGGTTGTAACAAAGGTACCACACCAATGCAAGGTGTTAATTTTTAAAAATAGCCAGAAACCAAAAAAACCAACCTCCAAACAAAATAGAAAGTACTCTTCCTAAACTCTTCTGCTGCATTTTCCTGTGGGTTTTGAACCCAAAAGGAGGCTTTGAGGCAGCCCCTGTCCCACCACATTGCTCGCTGCCCCGACAGGAGAGTTTCTGACCCTGATTCTGTTGCCCGACACATGGCTGTTCTTTTGTACATACATGAGTACTTGCTAGCCAAATATTTGGTGAGCATGCTCTTTATTCATCCATATGCCATGAATATAAGTGAACGGAGCAATTTATTCAACAACTATTGTTAAGTAACTGGTAGGAAGCAGGCATTGCTAGGTGTCATTGAACAAAATGGCCAATAACCACTGTCGTGGAGCTGAGACAGTCAGCGTGGCATCGTAATGAGGTATGCAGTGACAGTACTGTTTGACTCACTGCATCATGTGACAGCAGGTGGAGAACGCAGATCTGGGTGGGATCCTACTTCGCTAGTTACTAGCGAAGTCTTCTTGAGAGCTGACTTTACTTTCTGAGCTTTAGCGCTCTCTTCTGCAAGTCCAGGGTCATTACTTCTGTGGAGAACTTTTTTCAAGCTTGGAAAAGACAATGTATACAAACTCCAGCAGATCGGGTTTTTTGAGGCAGGAATTCTCAACTGTTTCTGTCTCTGTCCCTGTGTTTCCGTTTTACCCCTTCCACCCACCCACCCACACACACACGCATATGCGCGCACACACACACATATTTCCTTCTATAGTTTCCTATTTCCTATTTAAATGAATGTTACTGGTAAAAAAGGAAATTTGCTCTTACATGCCATGCAGTGTTCCTAGGGTAACTCTTTAGTCTCCTAGTTGGTGACTGACACGTTTTAAAATATGTTCCAGATGTGGGGTGGGGGGAGGGGGGAGGGATAGCATTGGGAGATATACCTAATGCTAGATGACGAGTTGGTGCAGCGCACCAGCATGGCACATGTATACATATGTAACTAACCTGCACAATGTGCACATGTACCCTAAAACTTAAAGTATAATAATAAAAGAAAACAACAACAACAACAACAACAACAAAAAATCTGTTCCAGAATTTTTAACACTCACTATAACAACATCGTAGATTGGAGAATGCAGCATATTTGGATTTGCCAATTCCAATCTTCTACCACCCTGACGCAAATCCTGCATGCGCAACCAGAGAAACTACTGTAATGTGACAGGGGCCCTTGATTTCTGTGAGGCTGCAGCGGGCAGCTGAGGGGAGAAACTGAGCCTGGACAGACAGGGGCCTCCAGAGTTGGAAATGGGCGACGTAACTTTGGTGGATAGACAAGAAATTGTGAAACGTGAAATGCTGATGGAATTATCCTAAAATAATTGATCATTTTGCTCCGCCGGGGTGATAAGGAGTGAAGTGAGGAGCTGGGGTAATAGATCCCAATGGTGCAAAGTGCAGGGTGACTTGGAATAAAAGAGTGGAGAAGGTGAAGAGAATGAGTACGTGGTTTAGTGGGATTTAAGTTTATTATTTCAGAGGTGGGATAATCACGGTGCTGGCTTAGCTTAGGGTGTGGCCAAGAGCACAGACTACTCAAATAGCATGGAAGTGAAGATTGTCAGAGTATAACAGAAGAATGTTTTTAGAAAAATAATAACAAGGAATAAGTATCTGTACCTGATATCAAAACATACTGTAGCATCATGTTGAAAACAAAGAAATATGAATGAAAAATATAAAAACATATGAATGCAAATGCGTAGAGAGCCCAGAAATTGACCTAGATTAGTGTAGGATTACTATAACCTTGTAAAACAGCAAAACATCATAAATGATATTGGGTTAATGATACAGTGTTGTGGAAAAAAATAAATATACAACTATATTCAAAATTCCCAAATATATCAAAGAACAAGATATTAAGGAAATTATAGATGGGCCAGCAAAAAGGCAGAACTTTAAAGTGTTGATAACATTCTAAGAATTAAGGCAATATAAGATAGAAGAGAAAAATAACAGATGCAATTACATAAAAATATACAATTTTTCTAAGTAAAAGAAAGGATAATATAAAAATTACAGAAGAAGATTGGGTAAGACATACAAATAGAATGCAGACATGAAATAAGGCAAGTGGTATAAACAAATATAGCCCTCATGGAAAGTTAAAAGGCTATAAAAATATTTATACGACTCAGACCAGTATTCTAACTCCTAAGGATTTATTCTAAGAAAACAGTGGAAAGGAAAAAAAGTGAAGTCCATTGAAGTATTGATTGTAACGTGATCTGTAACTGTAAAATAATAAAAAAAATAAAGTATCTAACAATAAGGAAATGGTTAAGGAAATTAGGACATAGTAGCTAAATGGCATATTTAGCTATTAAAATAGTAATTTAAAAATATGAAATTATATTATGTAACAATAAAATATTTGAGAGAAAAATTTAAGGCTATGGCTATAATTATTTATATGGTTACAGACATGAAAATAATAGACTAAAATGTAAGGTAATTACTTTGTGAGTTAGGTTTATGGATGACTTTTTTCCTACAATTTTATTTAAGAGTTTAAAATATTGTTTTATAAGAAAAGTATGGGAGCATGAAGCAGACGGCATGGGCAGGAAAGAAAGCGGAGCCGGCTCCAGGTCTCACTGAAACCAGGACGACAAGGTATCCAGATGAGGCACAGGCTGAAAAACGTCTAGACTGAGTCCGAGGCTCAAAGGCCATTTCCTAAACACTGAATTCTCTAACTAACACTAGAGTTAATTTGTGTTACTCACAGGAGGCGGGTTTGCTCTAGGGTGCAGAGAATGGGGACTGGAGGAAGGAATGCTGGAGAAGTGTTGTTCTTGGTTTTGAATCTGACAGACTGCCCATGTCCTAACCACACACACACACACACACACACACACACGATAACTACTGGGGGACATGGATGTGTTAATGTGAAAATTATTACACAATGAATATGTGTATCAAATTATCACATCTTATGCCTTGATTGTAACTGCCTTTTAAGTAGTTTGGTGGCTGAACTGGGTTTCTTTGCTATCTGAGCCATTAATTTCACAGAAGTCTGACAGGGGTGCAGAGTGCATGAGGGCCCTCTTCTGCCGTGGGTCCGTGCTGGGACAGTGTAGGCCACAGTTGCCAAGAGGGTGAACTTCTAGGCAGCAAGGCCATGCTGAATGGCTAAGGGCAGTTTGGTTGGAAGGTCCTCTCTGCTGGGCCTTTCCCAAGGAAGGGGAGTGAAAGCAGAATCTTCAGCAACCGCGTTGCAGGATAAAAGCTGCCAAGGGGAAGAGCATTTTGACAGGGAGAGGAATTGTGCGCCACAGAAATCGCGCTCTGGAGTAAGGCAATGAAAGGTAGATAAAATCTACTTTTGCCAAATGTTTGGTTTTAGTTCTCTTCTGGGGTAATACTTAAAATATTCAAGTGGTTAGGACCTAACCATTCTGAATTAAACCATTCTGAATTCTGTAACTGCTGGAAAGGGGAAAGACAGTGATAGGGTGACAGGGCACTAGGAAGGGGGTGGGCTTGGAGCAGTGGCCATTTACCAAGCAGTTGGAAACATCTCAATATTTTAACAAGAAGCAAGGCCATCTCAGTGCTTATTAGCCTTGGTCCTTTCTCTTCTCTTCTTCTTCTTGGTGGCTATAGCCTCTATTTGTTCTTTCTTTGCCTTTACCAGCTGAGCGCAATTCCCTTTCCCTCTGCTCGTGAGTCACATCATGCACTTCCTGTCCTGAATGGATGTGTGTGTGGTAGGGACAGGGATCCCACATGTGGACTTACTGGTTAGGTGAGATGAGGGTAAGTGAGCAGTGATGCAATAGCCAAAGTAAGATCCACCATCACCAAGGAGGCCACGGTCTGTTCCTGTTGTGGGCAGGAAGCCAGAGGGCGCCATGGTGGCCAGCAGTGTCGACAGGGATGTTCCCAATGGGAAGTGTGCTCTGTGACAGGCACGGGTGCAGGCACCCTTACAAACCACGTCCCCCCAGATCACAGCGAAACCTCATTCTGTTTCATACCTGGCCAGGCATGGTCGGCAATGATCAGGATGTGAGTGCTGGAGTCAGATGCTTTGGGCTGCAGTATTGGCTCCCCAAGTAATTGCCTGAGTGCCCTTTGATTACCTCGTCACTCTGAACCCACAGCTCTAAAATGAGAACAGCAATTTTACCTACTGCCCTAGGTTGCTGTGGAGGTTAAATGAGTTAGTAAGGACTCAGTAAAGATCTCATTGTTATTATTGCATTCCTCCTGTTTTATGCTGCAATTGCTGAGACTAGCTTGACTCCTTCACCCCAATCCTGTCTCAATTATACTCACATCTAGATCTTCAAAGTAGTCTACTTTGTGCGAAGACAATTTCTCAGCCTTTTTGATCAGTGCATACTTCTGATGAACATAAAAATAGTATGCCTAGTTCTCCAAGGAGATTTTGACCTACTCCTCTGTGGGACTTGCCCTTCCACCCCTTTCCTCAACTCCCATCATTCCTTGGTGGATAATCAGGGGTGAGCATAGTTTCTTTTTAATGACAAAATAATCACTTATTCAATTTGACTATGTCTACAAATTCCCAAGTACATGAATAATTTGTCCAATATTGGCTCTTAGTCTTCCAAAGAGAAAATGTTAGAGAACACCTCCACAAATGCACAGAGATTTGAAGAGCTGGACCTCCGTAAATGACCTGCATGATGAAGGCTGTGATAGACTCCAACTTCAGAGGACTGTGTTAGGGGAGGAGGAAGGTGGAGTTCAGGTTTAATAAACCCAGGAGGACAGACGATGGGGTGTTGCACCAAAAACATGCAAAGCCCAACCTCAGATCTAGATTTATTCCAGGAATAACCCCCAGAGTCTGGATCCAGAAGAGAAAGAAGAGCAGAAGCAGCAGGTAGAGAATAAGCAGAAAATGGAGCCTGGAACAGTGCTATTGCCTGGGGCTGGCTTTCGCAGGGAAGCCTTGAAGGGCCCGTGTCAGCATAGCAGACCTTGAAGGACCAGGGACCACAGGGGATAGTGGTCTGACAAGAGTTAACTCCTGGACATTCTCAAACCCAGCTGTGGATTGTGTGCCCATGATGGCACTTTAAAAGACCACAACAAAATCACTATTTGACAAATACCACAGGAGCAGCTGTTGCAGGCAAAAGTCATCAACAGGTGTTAAAACCAGCTGGGCAGGAGAGACGTATAACGAGAAACAGGACATTTGCTTAGTTTCAGTGTAGCTCTCTACAAGATATTTAATAATTGCAACAGGAAAAATAGTAAATGTTATGGTGGAGAAACCTGCCATATACTACCTTAACCAAGGCATCAAAGTGTAAGATCATACACAGTCTGATATGATGCATTTAGAAGGCACAATAGTCATGTTGCGGGAGACTGAGACATGACAACTAAATGCCACTTGTGGTCCTGGTCTGGATCCTGAAAAAGGACATTAGTGGGACACTGCAATTTGAATAAGGTATATGGATGTATTTCTAGTATTCTATCAATTTGAGTTCCTGGCTTTGATGATTATACTACAGTTATTTAGGATAGTGACATTTTGGGAAGGTACGAAAAGGGTATATGGGAATTTTTTGTAGTATTTTTGTAACTTTTTGTGTCCACAATTATTCATTTATTTATTTATTTATTTATGAGACGGAGTCTCACTCTTTCGCCCAGGCTGCAGTGCAGTGGTGTGATCTCAGCTCACTGCAAGCTCTGCCTCCCGGGTTCACGCCATTCTCCTGCCTCAGCCTCCTGAGTAGCTGGGACTATAGGTGCCCGCCACCAGGCCTGGCTAATTTTTTTGGTATTTTTAGTAGAGACAGGGTTTCACTGTGTTAGCCAGGATGGTCTCAATCTCCTGACGTTGTGATCCGCCTGCCTCGGCCTCCCAAAGTGCTGGGATTATAGGCGTGAGCCACCGCGCCCAGCCCCAAAATTATTTAAAAATACAATGTTAAAAATAAAGAATAATTTTTAAAAAGACAAAAACAGCAGCACTGGAAATAATAGTAAGCGATTGCCAGGCTCACCATAGTTACCTAATGGAGGCAGTGGTGGAAATTCCCATTCACGACGATGCCATGGAAGGAGGGAGGCCAGGACCCAGTCAGTAGCACGCAGAAGGCTTGTGCTCCAAAATCAAAGATCCTGACTGACCTGGAGAGAAACAAGAAATGCATTAGCCTTAGGGAAAGGGCTGCTACCTGTCCAGCCCAGCTCCATGCTAGAATGCTGACGTTTACACAGCCCCAGGGTAGAAGCCACATGCGGAGAACTAGGCTTCAGAAACCTGGGAGGCGAGTTGCCCTTTCAGAGGACGCTGTGTGGCTGCCACAAAAGGCCCAGGCTGCCTGTATGCAGGCTGCCTTCCCATGCGAGGAAAAGACTTCTACCTTCTTTAAGCTATTGCTAGTTGAAATCTTTCTATTAGTTGCAGCTACTCCTCTGTTGCCATTTTGTCCTTGCTCAAAGATACTGCAGAAAACTGCACTCCCTCCACCACCCAGGAGCCCCATTCTGAGTGGTGACATGCATACCCAATTCCCTGACCTCACATGCAGCACTCGTGTCATCTCCATTCCACACGACAACCCCCAAAGGCCATGAGGCCGGGCGCATGGGAAGCGATGTGCACCTGGCCTTCCTGGAGGTGCAGTGGTCACACGCAAAGTCCTGTGGCAGACAAGGAGAGGCTGTGTACAGCTTTGGAGGCTGTGCAGTGCTTCCACCCCATCTGTGGACACCTCCTCCTCCCAATCTTGCACCTGTATCCTGTGCTCTCGGCACACTGTGCGCTTGTACTTCCCTGCGTTCTGCCGGTTCTCTGATGCCTCTGAGCCTTTGACATACAATACAGCTTCTTCTGCTAGGAACATCCTCTATTCCACCTTTTCACCTGTGCCATCTATTTTATTCTTCAGGTTTCTGCTTAAATATCATCTCTTCCAAAAAGCCTTCCCTGACCTCGGAAGATGGGTTAGATGCCACTCTGATGCATGAATATTTTCACTTCGTCTTTCTCCATCACAGCATCCACCACATCACATCACGATCACTCGCTGATTTGTCCATGTGGACTATGGAGCAAGGACAGTGTATCTCTGGAACCTAATACAATACCTGGAATATAGTATGACTTCAATAACCAATTGATGAATGGGTCAATGGCAAACTTTATGAAGTCACACGATCATGACTTATCCCAGTGATGTGATATTGGACGGCCCGTAACACTTCTAATTTCTCCAAGTTACAACTATTGCTAGCTTTTGTGAGACCACCCAGACCCCCACTGAGCCCAGCTGCAGCACTGTTTCATAGCAACGGATTCACTGGACCATATCCTAAAGTAGGGGTGAGATTGGAAATGGGAAGGCTTTCCCATGAGCCATTGATTTCGTTAATCGCATCCTCACTACTTGCATCATCCACTAGAACAAGAAAGTCAAGTTATCTGTGCTGCTGTCTCCAATTCAAGCTGGGAAGAAAAAGAAGTAAGTGTTTCACATCATAAAGAGAAACAAAGGAAAAATAACGATGCTTTAAAAGAGGTTGACGATTTCAACACCTCCAATCCACTCTCATTCACTCTGTACTTTACTTAGTAAAGTAAGACAAAAAATGTCCCATTAAAGAAGCACACAAAACATTTGCATTTGAATGAGTAAAATTCCAAAACCCCAGTAATGTAAAGCAGCAGCTGTGGTGTGGGAGAAAAGAAGTTTTGGACTAGGAGATCTAGGCCTGGCTCTGCTTCCAGTAGCTAGGTGACTTTTCCAACTCAGCCGGTCTGAACTTGGGTTTCCTCTTTAGTATACGAAATGTTGAACTAAATAAACGACCTCTAATAGCCCCAGCCAAGTTTATCTCTTATCATTGTGCGCAGTAGACACAAATGGCAGTTTCCAATCATCTCCCCCAACCAGTCCACACCCAGGAGAGCCTGGAGGTTAGGGAGTGACACCCACAGGGAAGGATTATGCAGCTATACTTTCCCCAGTGTCTCCCTTAGATCATCAGTAGTGGTGGAAATGCTTTCAAACCTAGAAGTCCCTGGGTACAGGTGAGAGGTGAGTCTTAGAGTAATCTTATCTTTTAACTTTTCAATTTTTTTTTTTTTTTCCCTGAGACGGAGTCTCGCTCTGTCACCCAGTCTGGAGTGCAGTGGTATAATCTCAGCTCACTGCAACTTTGGCCTCCCGGGTTCAAGCGATTCTCCTGCCTCAGCTTCCTGAGCAGCTGGGATTACAGGCATGCACCACAACGCCCAGCTAATTTTTTGTATTTTTAGTAGAGATGGGGTTTCACCATGTTGGTCAGGCTGGTCTCGAACTCCTGACCTTGTGATTCGCCTGCCTCAGCCTCCCAAAGTGCTGGAATTATAGGCGTGAGCCACCGGGCCTGGCCCTAATCTTATTTAAAGACCATAAAAATCTATAAAACTTTCTCTTTTTTTTTTTTTTGCTTTGTGTAGCAAAATCTTCTTTTTCAGGAGCTGAGGAGTCAGAGAACATTTGGTGTGTGGTGCTGCTGTGTCTAGGTAGGGGTTTCCTGTCTGTAATTTCTTTCCGCTCCAGACAATCTGGGCTCCTTGAGGAATGGCTGTCCGCACTGTTCCTTGGCAGACAGGGTGGATTCCTCATGGCGTTTCTATTATTGTTTACTTAAACTGTTATTTTAAACTATTGCTGATATTTTACTTTTCAATTATGAAAGTCTTGTGCTTCTAAGTTATAATAATTATGATTTGATGAGAATCTACCATGTCCAAGTTTTGGGGATGTATGCTTCATATGCAATATAATTTAAATGTCAAAACGTACCTTTGACTGAAGTGTTCCTCTTCATTTTACAAAGAAACCAAAACTAAAATATCTTGCCCCAGTCAAACAAATGGAGGAGCTAAAATCCAGACCCAGGTCACTGCAATCTTGGTTTCTCACCCACTCCCACTCCTTCTGAAGGTCAGGATTCATATCTTTCACTTCCATGGTTTTTATTCCCAAATTCTTTCACATTTTTTATATAGAAGAAATATTTACTAGCATAAATTGTATTTCTTCCTGATAAACTCTCTGTAATTTAAGTATAATGAATGTAGAGCCATATTAATATTGAAGAGGTCCCACCTCATCTCGTCAAAGAGGCTTGAGGAGACTTGGTGACTGAGGCCCGCTCCTCCCAGCTGGAAGCTGAGTGCCTTCTGAGCTTAGGGAGACCAGGCATGAGCCTTACAGTGGTTCCGGTTGGAATAAGATATATAGGAAGGAAAAAAGAAAAGATCCTAAGGAATTGCAGGCTGCTGGGTTGATGGCTGGATTCTGAGAACGGTGGTGAGTGAAAGGGTGGGATGCAGAAAGGTTCCCACACTTAGCATTGGAAAGTGAATCACATCCATCCCAATGTGGACATCAAGGAAGCACCTGGAGTTGGTGGTGGGGACGGAGGAGCTGTGGGTGAGTTGAGTGTGAGGAACCTGGGGGACTGTTGAGTGGAGATGAGTCCAGTTTTAGATATGGCTACAAACGTTATTGAGAAGTTTGACTGAAAGCCTATATTTAAGTGAAATTTGAATCTATGTGATCAGATGAGGTTAAAAAAAAAGTGTCAAGTATAAGAGGAGAATGGATTAAATGGGGACTATCATTGATGTTCAGGAGGTGATCAAAGAAAGAAACATCACTTAAAAGCCCCAACAGGGAGCAGGAAAAGAGCAGCATCAAAATGGGGAAACATGGCGCTAAGGAGAATTCTAAGAAAAAAGTCGTCAGGAGTGTAAAATGTCAGAGAGGATAAGACCGTGCTAAACTAATCATTAGCTTGAGAAAATTGCTTTAAAGCTACCGCAACAGACTACTTGACTTGTAGAAACACATAGTGACCTAATAGGTATAATTTCTCCATTATATGTAATTTTTTCAGTTCCTAAGAGACCTGAAACACAGATTATTACATTGGTGGAGAAAAGTAATTCCACTAATGGGCCATGATAGAGACTGCTAAAGATTTGTTTTGCTTACTTAATAGTTTTTATTGACATTTTGAAAACAAATTTTGTCCATTTTACAAGTCAATAATATCTATTCCAAGGTTGGTATTTGTGAAATGGGGGCAACCAGAATGACTTCATCTCCAGGGAAGTGTCTTCTAATAAGAAACCCTCCAGAGGTGCATGTGATCAAGTGCTTGATGAGTATTTCATGCAGAGTATTAGTCATTCTCCTCAGCATTTAGCTCATCGTACACTTTTCCTTCATTTAACAAGTTTTTTCACTTTTCTAATTTAGAAACATTTCAAAAATTGATTGTGATGCAGTAAGCATTAAGAACGTTGACCTTATCACCATGGAAATGACTTCATTATCACTCTTGTTGCCAAAACCCATCCAGGGCAGTCTGTGATGCTGGTTTGAGACAAACAAAACAGTCAGAATGAGAAAGATTTTTCTTGGTATGAAGGGCAATTGGCCTATGTCTTCCAAAGAATCCCAGTCTCTTTCTCTGACAAAAATAAACATGCAACTTTGCTTCTCATACCGAAGAGTAATTTAAGAGACAGCACATGTCAACTTGACAGTGGTAATTCCGTAAATGAAGCTGTGGGCAGTGCAGGACTAACATGCGTGTCCTTTTTTTTTTTTTTTTTTTTTTTTTTTCGTGAGATGGAGTCTTGCTCTGTCGCCCAGGCTGGAGTGCAGTGGTGTGGTCTCGGCTCACTGCAAGATCCGCCTCTTGGGTTCACACCATTCTCCTGCCTCAGCCTCCCACGCAACTGGGACTACAGGCACACCCGGCTTTTTTTTTTTTTTTTGTATTTTTAGTAGAAACAGGGTTTCATTGTGTTAGCCGGGCTGGTGTTGATCTCCTGACCTCGTGATCCACCTGCCTCGGCTTCCCAAAGTGCTGGGATTACAGGCATGAGTCACCGTGCCCAGCCATGGCATGTATTTAAAACCAGGAAAGGAACCTCTAAGAGTTGGAGCCACATCAGTGGCTGCCCTCCTGCTGTGCCTTCTATGCGCAGTTACAATGCTGCAGTAAATTAGACACCCCCTCCCCATCAGCTCCAGGTCACTACCAAGATACCATTTCTAGTAAAGTTGGTCTTTCTCTCTGAATTTCAGTTACTTTTGAATCATGATTTTATTATTACTCATTCTGCTATTCTCCCATTCACTCAATAAATATTTTTTGATTGCCTTTCTACGTGCCTGGTATTATTGTAGTGGTAAACAAGATAAGCTCTGTTTCTTAATGGGGCTTATATTTTACTCAGGAGAGGCAGAAGAGCATGGCCCCAGGGACTCACTTCCTCCCTGCCTTTATATAATAGCTCAGCAGAGTACTTGGTAGGCGCTCTACCCGAGCCTAATAGGAGGACGGGTCAGTGTCTGGTTGCCAGGTTCTGGAGGACCTTCCCTTCCAACAAGGCCACTTTCTCAACTAGAGAACGTGTGTGGTCCCACAGATATCCCCTGCTCCCTTCTCTTAAATACACACCATAAATATACAGAGCATCATGGGGACATTGTCCTTCCTTGCTGGTGCCTTGGCCCTGATGCACCAGACTGTGTATATCCTGTCTAAGAGCTAAGGAGTAACACGACTTAAGGAGACCGTGCAACCCACTACTTCTTGGCTTGTTTTCCTCCAGTAAACTCTATTTTACACCTGAACTTTGTGGTGCTGGAACAAATAAATAAAGACAATTTTCAACAGTGCTAAGTGTGATGAAGGAAATGAAACGTTGCCATGGCTTACACAGGGGCTGAGGCTAAGTGAGGACTACTTCAGTTGGGACAGCCGGGAAGACCTCTTTGAGGAGACGGTGATAGAACCAAAGCAGGAATGATAAAAGGCAGCAGCTGGGTGTAGAAAGACGATTAGAGCACAGGACAAGCACGTGGGGAGGCCTGGATGATAGTAGGAGCTTGACACACGTGTGGTCGGAAAGAGCCAGAGCACAGCCAGTCAGGGGAAGAGAGGGAGCCGGGGGTCTTTGGAGGGTAGATTTGACTCCAGCTACAGCAAGCAGCTACGCGAGAAGTGAAAGTGAAGAGTTAACATGATGTGATGACCATATTTAAAAGTTTAAGTCTTGGATGTCGGGGAAAATGGCACACAGGGCCATGAATGAAGGCAGAGAACCTAGCCAGGAAGCTGTCACCATGGCCCAGCAAGAGCAAAGGGCAGAGGAGCAAACACCATTGACTGCAGTGAGAGGTAGAGGAGAGGACGGGTCCCAGATGCAGAGAGAGTGAGTGCTTTTAGTCCCTGTGTGCATGATCACAGAAAATCATGTAAAAGTTGCCACTGACAAAAAAAAAAAGAAAGAAAGAAAGAAAGAAAAAGAAAAAAATATATAGGAGGCAATAGGAAATGAAGATGGGCAAAGACTAGAGAATCTCATGTAAAACGGGAAGTCCACAAGGCCAAGCTTTGACAAAGCAAGTGGTTCTGAAACATTCTTGGAACATTGGTAACTCTCCAGCTTGCTGGCTGCGGCCCCCCAGGGGCTCTAGCAAGCTGGTGCTCACTGCAAAAGCATGGCCGAATAGTCTTCAAACCTGGATTTCAAAAAGGGAGACAGACAAGATAACCAAAGCTTGTGAGAAGCAAACTCACTGCGTTTACGGGTAAGATCAGGAACTGAGGCCTAGCTGACTTGGAGGGTTGCCACTAGAACTGATCTCAGAAACGGAGTTTATCGGGGGACCTGCCCTGATAATCACGTGGGTTCTTTTCTATTTTTCCTAAGCGTCGGCCGGCTTGAGAAATAAAGGGACAGAGTACAAAAGAGAGAAATTTTAAAGCTGGGCGTCCTGGGGAGACATCACACGTTGGTAGGATCCATGATGCCCCACAAGCCACAAAAACCAGCAAGTTTTTATTAGGGATTTTCAAAAGGGGAGGGAGTGTGTGAATAGGTATGGGTGACAGACATCACGGACTTAACAGGGTAATAGAATATCACAGGGCAAGTGGAGGCAGGGCGAGATCACAGGACCACAGCACCCAGGCGAAATTAAAATTGCTAATGAAGTTTCAGGCACCATTGTCATTGATAACATCTTATCAGGAGACAGGGTTTTGTGATCAACTGGTCTGATCAAAATTTATTAGGTGGGAATTTCCTCTTCCTAATAAGCCTGGGAGCACTATGGGAGACTGGAGTATATTTCATCTCTGCAGCCTCGACCATAAGAGACAGGTGCACCTGGCGGGGGGGCTGTTTATAAGCCTATACCTCCAGGCGCACATTCTCTTTCTCAGGGACGTTCCATGCTGAGAAAAAGAATTCAGAGATATTTCTCCCATTTGCTTTTGGAAGAAGAGAAATATGGTTCTGTTCTGCCCAGCTCACCGGCGGTCAAGAGTTTAAGGTTATCTCTCTTATTCCCTGAACAATTGCTGTTATCCTGCTCTTTTTTCAAGGTGCTCAGATTTCATATTGCTCAAACACACATGCTGTACAATTTGTGCAGTTAACGCAATTATCACATGGTCCTGAAGCGAAATACATCCTCCTTGGCTGACAGGATTAAGAGATTAAAGTAAAGACAGGCATAGGCAAGCACAAGGGTATTGACTGGGGAAGTGATAAGTGTCCATGAAATCTTCACAATCCACGTTCTTCTGCCATGGCTTCAGCCGGTCCCTCCGTTTGGGGTCCCTGACTTCCTGCAACAGGAGTTAGTCACAAGATTCCAGGGAAACCACAAACAAGAGGTGGGAAGCAAATTAATGACAGAGTGAAGCCCTCTGTGTCAGGCGCTTTGCACACATTATCCCTGGTAGTCCTCAAAAGCAGCCCTAGGAGAGAGGTCTGGTTTCATCTTTTCTCTGGAAAACAAACTAAAGCTCAGGGAGCTTTGGTAACAAGCTCAAGACATTAGCAGTAGTGGTTGGGAGCAGAACCAGGCTGTAAGCCCAGGGTTTCCCTCTTCCAGCTTCCGCTTATCTCCCCACAGTGCGTGGAACCTGGGTGGGGCAGCAGGGCCATCAGGGCTGCAGGGTTGGGCCTTAGCGAGGGAAGCTTGTCAGGTCCATGCATGGCCCAGCTAGGAAGTTAGCCTTTACTCATGGTCTGAGGTTCCCTGTCTCCCGGCTCTTCTGTTTGTCAGTCCCCGATCCCTGCCCCACACCGCCCCCCAGCCAGTGACTGCGGTTGTCCTAAACTTTGTCCTCTGGTTCTTCAAGGCAGTGGGATGTTCTCCATGTGAGCTTTCACCATCCACGTGGCACAGACCAGGGGCTGCCCCAAGAGTACAAGTCGTGGAAATGGGAGGTTCACCGGCACCTCCTCCTCCTGTAGGACCCCGCCCTCGGCCGGCCCCTGCCTGCCCTCTCTCCAGTCTGCACTTAGCTGCTCTGTACATGGAGGCTAGAGTCCACAGTTATCTGTAGAGTTCTAGAGTTCGTCTGATGGACACAACTTTGTAATTACCAAGAAATAATTTTTTTTTTTTTTTTTTTTTAAAGACAGTCTTGCTCTGTCGCCCAGGCTGGAGTGCAGTGGCATGATCTCGGCTCACTGCAGCCTCCACCTCCCGGGTTCCAGCGATTCTCTTACCTCAGCTTCCTGGGTAGCTGGGATTACAGGCACATGCCACCACACCCAGCTAATTTTTGTATTTTTAGTAGAGAAGGGGTTTCACCACGTTGGCAAGGCTGGTCTTGAACTCCTCACCTCAAGTGATCTGCTCGCCTGGGCCTCCCAAAGTGCTGGGATTACAGGCGTGAGCCACTGTGCCTGGCCCAAGAAATACTGTCTTACACAAAACATTCTGAATCAAACGGATGGTTTCCAGAATGGATTCATTTTCTTTTCCCCTCTGCTAATAACCTGGTCCTAGGCTCCCTTAGAAGACGCAGTTGCTGCAGGGTTTCCCGCCTCCGAGCAGGTGAGGGCATTCACGCTTCTGCACTGCCCTCCAGTGGCTGACTGCCTGAAATGCGAATCAGATTCTCTGGGAAGCAAAGCGCTCTTCCCAGAGGTAAGGCGACTTCTCAGGGGCTTCCATTATGGAGTAACAAACCGCAGTAGACATGAGTCTCCCTAATAACGAAATAGATTACTGGATTGCAAACTATTTACATTTTTCACTTTTATTTGCAACAACAACAGAAAAACAAAAGCTCTTGAGATGTTTAAAGGATCCGTGACGTAGTTATTGAGTGTAGACAGTAATTAAGTATATTAGAGAAGACTCCCATAAGCACCTGGAGAAGAAAGTACTGAGGACAATCGTGTCAATGACGTGAAGAACTGCCAGGTGAAATGAGACTTTATTGAGAAAGACGCCATACACTTTTGCTTTCTCTGAGTAACACCGCCATCTTGTGTCTTTTCTCCATACTTCCGATAAAACTAGGCAAATCTTTTGCTACTTTGAGCACTTCTAAATGTTTTCTAATAGAAAACATTTTTGGAGCTTTGGGATTCCAAAGCATTTAGGAGCTTTGGAATGTTCTTTCAAAGCTCAAACAGGAGAAAATACACATAAACTCTTCTTAAAAAACTGCATGGAGGTGTAGTTTATATTCAATAAACTGCACCTTTATATCAGTTCAAGGGGTTTTGGCGAATGTATACACCCAGTCAACCTCAACACAACATGTAGATTTCCATCACCTCCCAAAGTACCCTTGTACCTATTTACAGGCAAGCTCACCCCAGCTCTTGTCCAGGCAACCACTGATCTGCTTTATGTCCGTTCTGACTTTTAAGAATTTCATCTAAAAGGAATTATATAGCATGTACTCTTTTGTGTCTGTGTAAATACTTGCTTTTTCCATTTAACATAACACTTTTGAGATCTATTCATTTTGTTAAATCTAACAGTATCTTATTCATTTTTCCTTCTCAGTACTATTCTCTTGTATGAATATACCCCAATTTATTGACCCAGTCTCCTGTTGATGGGCACCTGGCTTGCTTCCAGTTTTTGACTATTAAGATTGCTATGAGCAAATGTGTGTAACAAATGTGTACAAATGTTCTCATTTCTCTTGGTAAATACCTAGAAGCAAATTACTGGTAGAGTAAGTAGATATTTAACTATAAAAAAACAGCCAAAGTATTTCCTAGAATAGTTATACCATTTTCTTTTTTCTTTTTTTCTTTTTTTTTTTTTTGAGACGGAGTCTTGCTCTGTTGCCCAGGCTGGAGTGCAGTGGCACGATCTCACCTCACTGCAACCTCCACCTCCCAGGTTCAAGCAATTCTCCTGCCTCAGCCTTCCGAGTAGCTGGGATTGCAGGTGACTGCCACCACACCTGGCTAATTTTTGTATTTTTGGTAGAGACAGGGTTTCATCATGTTAGCCAGGCTCATCTTGAACTCCTGACCTCAAGTGATCCACCTGCCTCGGCCTCCGAAAGTGCTGGGATTACAGGTGTGAGCCACCGCGCCTGGCCAGTTACACCATTTTCTATTCCCACGGCAATCAGTGAGAGCTCTGGCTGAGCCATGTCCTTGTCAATATCTGGTATGATCATCCTTTTGAACATTGATTCTAATGGGTGTGTGGAGGTGACTCATGATGAGTTTAATTTGCATTTTCCTGCTAACTAATAATGCTGAGCATCTTTGCATGTGGCTATTGGCTATTTGTATATATTCTTTGGTTAAAGTCTGTTTAATTCATTTGCTTCTCTCACTTTATAAAATTGGGTTATTTATCTTCTAATTATTGAATCATAAGATTTCTTTATATATGATGCTCTATAAAAGTATCTTGTCACATATATATATCGTTATTTTTTTCCTAGTTTGTGACCTGCCTTTTTATATTATTAATAGTATCCTTTGGGGAGCAAACATTTTAAATTTTGATAGTCTAATTTATCATTTTTTAAAGTTACAGATTTGTGGGCCGGGCGCAGTGGCTCACGCCTATAATCCCAGCACTTTGGGAGGCTGAAGCGGGCGGATCATGAGGTCAGGAGATTGAGACCATCCTGGCTAGCACGGTGAAACCCTGTCTCTACTAAAAAAAATACAAAAAGTTAGCCGTGCGTGGTAGCGGGCGCCTGTAGTCCCAGCTCCCTGGGAGGCTGAGGCAGGAGAATGGGGTGAACCCGAGAGGTGGAGCTTGCAGTGAGCCGAGATCGCGCCACTGCACTTCAGCCTGGGTGACTGAGTGAGACTCCGTCTCAAAAAAAAAAAAAAAAAATTATAGATTTATTACCTCAAAAATGTTTGCCTACATTGAGATCACAAAAATTTTCTCCTACATTTTTCCTAGAAGTTTTATAGTTTTACTTTTTGCATTTTCATCCATGATCTTTTTCATGTTAACTTTTGTGTATCATATGTTGGAAATACTAAAGTTTTTTTTTTTTTCCATACAGATATATAATTGTACCAGCATCAGCTCTGTTCCTGTTCTTAGCTCCTGTTCTTAGAGAAAATAAGTTCAGTCTTTTGCCATTAGGTATGATGTTAGCTGCACATTTTTAAAAGTGCCCTCTATAAGCTTGAGAGTTTCTTTTTATTCCTGCTTTGATGAAAGTTTTTGTAATAAATGTGGCTAAATTTTGTCAAGTGCACTTTTTCTTCTAGTCCTAAGGGAGAAAAAAACATTTTCCCCTCCTATTAATGTGAGGAGTTGCCTTGGTTTTTCAAATATTAAGACAACCTGGCACTTCTAAGAAATGTTCCACCTGATTGTAATATATTGTCCTTTTTATACATAGATGGATTCTATTTGTTAATATCTTGTTAAAGATTTTTGCATCTAGATTCATGAAGAATATTGGTGTAAAGTTTTCTGTATTTGTCTGGTTTTGGTATCAGCATGATGCTGGCTTCAAAAATTGAGTTGGAAAGGGTTCTTTTTATATTCTGAGAGAGGTTATGTTTTATTACAATTACTATTGCTTTTTTAAATGTTTGATAAAATTCACCAGTGAAGACATTTGGGCCTGGGAGTTTTGCTGTAAGAAGGAAATTATGAATTCAATTTCTTTAATACATATAGAGCTATTCAGATTTTCTAGCAACAATTTTTGTTGTACACTTTTTTCATTGATTCTAAGTTATCAAATTTAATGGCATAAATTTGTTTGTACTGTTATTACCCATTTAATGTTTGTAGGACTGGTAGCACTGTCTTTTCTTTCATCCCTAATATTGGAAATTTCTATTTTTTTTCTGATCAGTTTAGCAATAGATTTATCGAGATTGATTTTTTGAAGAATCCTTTTAGTTGTATTGATTTATCTCTGTTGTCTGTTTCTAGGGGTAGCGAATTTTTCTGTAAATAACTAATACATATTTTAGGTTTGCTGGCCATATGATTTGTAAGGCAGCACTAGACAACAATAAGTAAATGAATGAGTGGGACTATTTTCAAATGCAAATATTCACAAAAACAGTGTGAAGCCATATTTTTGCCTGAAAAGTTGTGATTTGCTGACCCTTGTTTTATTAAAAGTCTATCTTTACTTTTTGCTTCTTTCTACTTACTTTGGTGTTAATATTCTCATTTTTTCTAGCTTTCTGATGAAGAAAGTATAATTCCTTGGTTTTGAAGAACATTCCCAATGGATATGGAATTTGAGGTTCATACTCCCTCCTCTCACTCCCCACCCCAACTAGTGGTTTAAAGAGGTGATTCTGCCCTTAATTGCTTCCTATGATATATCTGCTCTTGGTTTTATCTTTAGTCCTCTGTATATATGTGTACTTTTTAAAATTTGGCTTTTTAAGATTATCTTTTTCTACTATGTCTTTTATTTAGGTTTTTTGAGCTTATTGGATACGTCAGTTTATAATTAGTCAAATTTGGAAAATTTTGTATTCATTGATGTCACATTGGCACCTTGAAATCAGCCAGAGTGGGAATATTTACATCATGAAAATTGGCCAATGCTATGGATTGAGGCTTTTTTCTCCATAAAGGTATTTGTTAAAATTTGCCAATATATTTCTGCCCACAGTTCACCAATGTTGGGCTCATTTTCAATCTCCTTTTCTCTCTGTGCTTCTACTATCATAGTTTCTATTGCTGTGTTCAAATTTACTGATCTTTTCTTCTGAAGTTCTCATTGGATGTTACACCTATAGTGGATATTTTTCATTCTAGATATGTTTTTCAGCTCTAGAAGTTCTGTTTGGTTCTTGTTAAAACATTTTCTATTGATTTTTTCATTATGTTTAATTTTCTTTAAATCCTTGGGCTTATTTTTACAAATGATTTTTAAAGTCACTCACTTAAGTCTTTCCTCTCTGCTATCTCTGCATCTGCCTCTGTTGACTGATTTTTCTCCTGGTTACAAGTCTACATTTTTCTGCTTTCTTGCATGTTTTGTAATTTTCAGTGGATGTCAAACATAATTTTTAATTTCAAGTGTGTAGCTTTAATTTTTTCCTTCCTTTTTTTGTATAAATCTTTACACTATGGCAAATTTAGCCCTGTTACTAAGATGCCACCCTCCTGAGGTTTCCACTAAATGTCCCATACAGTCAAGGAGGACTCTCCACCTGGCTGGTTAGAACTCATAGTCTCCCAGCCCTTGTGTCCTCTGCGAATTGTTCATCTTACAGCTCCTGGTCATTGTTAGCCCAGCCTCATGGTGTTGCATCTTACATAGGCACTATTGGTTTTCCTCAATAGATGCAATGGGAGCTCTTTGCAGATTTCTAGAGCTCTTTTTCCATTTAGCACCCTCCTCTATGCTAGTATGCCCTAGAAATTCCACCCATCTCTATCTTCCTGGTCAGTAATAATTACCATTCTCTGCATATAATCTTTTCCCCTTACCTTGTGGCTTTGGTTTGAAAACTGCCTTTCAAGCAGAATTCTGAGGGGGTAGACTCACTTTATTTTTTTACCCTCCCCTTATGAATCATAGTCTTGTATTTCCTGTTTCCCAGTGTCTGAAAGAGTTGTTTCCCATATTTTGTCCAGTTTTCTCATTTTTGGTATTGGGAGTGCAGGTCTTGCTCCAGTTTCTCCGCCATGGCTAGAACCTGAAGTCCTTGTATACTCCAGACCCAACCAATTATCTTCTCTTCCTTCATCGAGGATCTCCCAACCCCTTGGACAGAGCTGTTTTCTGTTTGTTTTTGTTTTTTAACAGAGAGACAGGGCCTTGCTCTGTCACCCAGGCTAGAATCATAGTTCACTATAGCCTTCAACTCCTGGGCCCGAGAGATCCTCCCACTTCAACCTCCTCAGTAGCTAGGACACAGGAGCATGTCACCATGCCCTGCTAGGTTTTATTTTTATTTGTAGAGACAGGGTCTCACTATGTTGCCCAGGCTGGTCTCAAACTCCTGGCCTCAATTGATCCTCCTGCCTCGGCCTCCCACAGCACTGAGATAACAGGGATAACTGAGCCACTGTGCCTGGCCTCAACAGAGCTGTTGACAGCACTATCAGTCTTAGGTGGGAAGCTTTATGAACAATAAAAAGGGAGGAGATATGAAAATCCACTTAATTAATCCCAGTTATAACTGATGAAGCTGGGCATTGTAGCTGGGTGGTCTTTTGTACAGTGAATAAATTATGTCCTTCATTGATACTCAATTCTTAGACTGAACTGAACTAACCTGAGGACTAGGTATTAATTTCCCATTTCTAAAAACAGAAAGTAACCATCCAGGGGCCAGTAAGGGATGGCAGAAAAGCATACAGATAAAATGGGGGAAAAAATGTCTGTCCTGGGAGTTAGGAAACTTGGTTCAAAAGCATCTATATGTATTTTCCTCACTTGCTTCCATTTCTGTCTGTAACAGTAGGCAATTAAACTCTTTACAATAAACCTGCTGGCTCCTTCATTTTTCTACTGTTTTGGTTTCTCTCCCGGCTAGCATTACCCCGTGTTTAGTGGGGTCATCTCGGTAGGCTGGAACAGCTATCCCCTTAAAGGTTAGATCACTCCCACTGCACCAACGAGCACAGGGTAGGTCTCAGAGCAATTCAGGGGAAGTGAATGGCATAGAAAAACAGGACATATCTAATAGCTTCTTGAAATAGTAGAGACATCTCTGTGTTTTCCAGTTAAAAAGGACTCCTGAGTTAAAAGGATCACAAGATGGCAGGGCATGATATTTTAATTCCCCATCTTTTTATTTTTTTTGTTTGTTTTTGTTTGAGATGGAGTCTCGCTCTGTAGCCCAGGCTGGAGTGCAGTGGCGCCATCTCAGCTCACTGCAAACTCCGCCTCCCGGGTTCACACCATTCTCCTGCCTCAGCCTCCTGAGTAGCTGGGACTACAGGCACCCGCCACCATGCCCAGCTAATTTTTTGTATTTTTTAGTAGAGATGGGGTTTCACCGTGTTAGCCAGCCCCATCTTCTTATTAAAACAGCAATGGCTGTGAAGTAAAACAGGCACCCAGAATTCACCTCCTCCAACATCTGATGTAATCAACAATAATTATTGACAGCAGCAAAAAGAGCAAGAGCAAGAACCCAATACAGAAACGTGTACAACTTCATGCTACCATAATGAAATAAGAAAACAGAAAAAGAACACTCTGCCATGACTTGGCATAGCTCCCTATCATGGACCCTAGGCCCCCAAAACAGAGTGAAAAAAATGTTGAGAATTTCCACAAATCGTTCCTGCTTTGGAGAAATGTTGTCTGAGGGGGTTGAGCTGGAAGCTCAGGCAAAGTCAAAACACAATCCAAGAGCAGAGACCTCTCCAGCAAGATGCAGAGCACGGGCCAGAGGGACGCTAGCTGGGGCCCTGGAGGAAGAGCCTGAGACCCGGGGTTGTCCCCACTGTCACTGTGCCCTGGATAGGGCCCTGGGTCACACTTCTGAGGAGAAAACAGAATCCATATCCTTTGCAAAGGAGCGGCTGGAACGAGGCCTAGCCATCTGTCTACATTGAAGTGAACACAAGCAAAGCACAGCTTACAGGCGAGAGTTCTACCGGGCACAGGGGACTCCGGAAATGTACCAAGGGCACTGAGAGAAGCCTGGCCACACAGCAGAGAGCAAGGTGGAAGGCAGAGCCGCTTGCTCTGAATGTGCAAGAAAAGCCATGACAAGATTATATTCTCTTCAGTTTTGAGTTTTAAACTTTTATAACATACATTTTTTAAAGGATCTACTAAATTTAAATTATACAAATATGCCACTGAAAGATAAATACATCGAGAGGTGGCGGTTGCATGCAGAAGCCAGATGAGGAGGCTGGTGAGGAGGCAGTTCGGAGACAGGAGGCCTCCATGGCCACTCTCTGCAACCAGAAAGGTCTCAGGGCACGAGTCCTGCAAAACGCTTCTCAATCAGTGAACTAACCTAAAAATAGAATGAAACAGGATGGAAGACGGTCCCACTAAAGAAAAAATTGAGAACCAAAATGACATCACAAAATAAATTTAAAATAGCAAGAAACACAGTAGTTAAAAATGGAGTTAATAAAGTGCAAAAAAAAAAAAAATAAAAAAACTTGAGCTGACCAAGGTGAGTACACAGGTGTAATTAAGGTAAGACAATTAAGAAAATATAAAAAGAACAAAGAAAAGCTAACAAAAGGGTAGTTGCCTTAAACAGATACTCCAACAGATCAAACAGAAAACATATTACAAGAACACAACATTTCCCTGAAGTAAGAATCGAGCAGTCTTGGGAAAAAATGATATAGAATGTCACTTTTCATTGAGATCCTGTTTGTCACTGAATCTCAGTTGCAGAGAAAGAATCCTTTAATCACATCAAGGGGACAAGGATGGGACAATCTGAGGTAGCATCAGATTTCCCTTCTGAAACACTGAGTGCTAGCATGTAATGGAGTATTTATCTTTCAACTAGATTATAAAGAAAAGAAAGTGATGCCCAAATTTATATGCACCCACATCACTAAAGTATACAGACAGGCATATTCAGGTACGCATAAACTCAGGAAAAACCGTGTCCTTAAGCTCCTTAAAGAAAACCACTTGACAATAAAATTTAACTGATTAAGCAATAAGTATTAAAATGAAGTTTCAAAACTATGATCCCTTTCCCTCACATGAGTACTCACAAAGCTCTCTTCCTAAAAGATTAGTTCTACATTGCAGCAATAGGACAGGACACGTCCTGATTTTTATATTCCTATGAGATTACTCTGTGTGCGTCCAAAAATTATACTCGCTTGAACTGTTAATATCTCTCTTAGGAAACAGGAGGGGAAAAAAGGCAATGAAAGCGTGCCTTCTATGTGGGTTTGTGAGGGCTGCCATAACAAAATACCACAGACTAGGAAGCCTGAACAACAGCGATTTATCCTCTCACAGTTCTGGAGGCGGGAGATCTGAGATCAAGATGCCAGCAAGGTTGGTTTCTTCTGAAGCCTCTTTTTTTAATTTGTGCATCTTCTCCTGGTGTCTTCACATCACCTTCTTTCTGTACATCTGTGTCCATAAGAACACCTGTCATATTGGATTATAGCCTACACCTCTGGCCTCAGTTTAGCTTTTTTTTTTTTTTTTGAGATGGAGTCTCTCTCTGTTGCCTAGGCTGGAGTGCAGTGGCCTTATCTCAGCTCACTGCAACCTCCACCTCCTGGGTTCAAGCAATTCTCCTGCCTCAGCCTCCCGAGTACCTGGGATTACAGGCAGTGAAACCCCATGCTCATCTTACTTTTGTATTTTTAGCATAGATGTGGTTTCCCCATGTTGGCCAGGCTGGTCTTGAACTCCTGACCTCAGGTGATCCAACTGCCTTAGCCTCCCAAAGTGCTGATTACAGGTGTGAGCCACCATGCCCAGCCTCTCATTTTAATTTAATAACCTCTTTAAAGACCTTATCTCCAGTGGCCAAACCCTGTCTCTACAAAAAAAAAAAAAAAAAAGAAAAAACATTAGCTGGACGTGGTGGCACATGCATGTGGTTCCAGCTACTGGGGATGCTGAGGTGGGAGGATCGCTTGAGCCCGGGAGGTTGAGGCTGCAGTGATCTGTGTTAGCACTACTGCACTCCAGCGTGCGTGACAGGGTGAGACCCTGTCTCAAAAACAAACAAACAAACAAACAAAAACAGAAAATACCTTATCTCCAAATACAGTCAAATTCTGAGGTCTTAAGAGTTAGGCCATCAACATGTGAATTTTGGGGGTGGCACAGTTCAGTCCGTAACATCCTCCATATCTCAAATAATGTAAAAAAGTGACTTCATGCCGTCATAAGTCATAATTCATCATACAGCTCCAGGGGATGTAGTGAAGAAGCCAGAACCCCTTACCTTGTTTAAATAAGTCAACGTGTTATAACAAGGTTTGTGGTCAAACTGGACTCTGTCAATGGCTTTGTCTTGGGAAAGGCACTGGGCTTCTCAGCATCTTGACAAAAGGATTGACTGGGGGCGGCTGCGGTGGCCCACGCCTGTAATCCCGGCACTTTGGGAGGCCAAGGCGGGTGGATCACCTGAGTTCGGGAGTTTGAGACTAGCCTGACCAACATGAAGAAACCCCGTCTCTACTAAAAATACAAAAATTAGCCGGGCGTGGTGGCGCATGCCTGTAATCCCAGCTACTTGGGAGGCTGAGGCAGAAGAATCGGTTGAAACCGGGAGGCAGAGGTTGCGGTGAGCCGAGATTGTGCCATTGCACTCCAGCCTGGGCAACAAGGCTCAAAAAAAAGAAAAAAAAAAAGAAAAGATTGGTAGTGGAGGGAAAGAGTGCAGGAGCCTGATGGTGCTTCAGCCAGAGCATAAAGGAAGCAGTGAGATGACTCTAGTTTCTCTCCCTCTCCTAGGATCTTTTATTTTATTTCTAATTTTTACTAATAGACTTTATTTTAAGGGTAGTTTTAGCTTTTCAGAAACATTGAGTAGAAAGTAAAGAGGTACCACAACCTTTTACACATCCTCCCTGCACAGTTTTCCCTATTATTAATATAGTACTAGCGAACATTTGTTACAACTGATGAACCAATATTGATACACTATTATTAACTACAGTCCATGGTTTACACTAGGGTTCACTCTGTATAGTTCTTCAGGCTTTGACAAATGCATAATGGCATGCATCCACCACTGTAACATCACGCAGACTGGTTTCACCTGCACCAAAAATTCCGTGGACTCCACCTATTCTTCCCTCTCTCTCACCCTCCCTCAGCCCCATCAAGACCTGGCAGTCACCGATCTTTTTACTGTCTCTATAGTTTTGCCTTTTCCAGAATGTCCTAGTTGGAATCATACAGTGTGTATTTTTTCAACTGGTTCTTTTACATAGCAGTATGAATCTGAGGTTCCTGCTTGTCTTTTCACGGCTTGAGAGCTCACTTCCTTTTAGCATATTCCATTGTTTGGGTTTATCACAGTTTGTTTATTCATTCATCTGCTGAATGACATCTTGGTTGCCTCCAAGTCTTGACAATTGTGAATAAAGCCGCTATAAACGTGTGTGTTAAGTTTTTGTGCGAGCATAAATCTTCCTGTTATTTAAATACCGAGGAGTGCAATTGTTGGATAGTATGGACTACGTTTAGCTTTATAAGAAACTGCCAATGTGCCTTCCACAGTGGCTGTACCACTGGCATTCCTACCAGCAACGGAGACTTCCTGTTGCTCCACATCCTTACCAGCACTTGATGTAGTATTTTGCACTTTAGACATTCAAATAGGTTTGCAGTAGTATCTCATTGTTGTTTTAGTTTGCAATCTCCTGGTGACAGGTAATGGTGAGTACCTTTTCATATGATTATTTGCCATCTGTGTATCTTCTTTTATGCAATGTCTGTTCAGATCTTTTGCTTATTTATTTTTTATTTCTTTTTTTTTGAGACGGAGTCTCGCTCTGTTGCCCAGGCTGGAGTGCAGTGGCAAACGATCTCGGCTCACTGCAAGCTCCGCCTCCCGGGTTCACACCATTCTCCTGCCTCAGCCTCCCGAGTAGCAGGGACTACAGGCACCTGCCACCATGCCCGGCTAATTTTTTGTATTTTTAGTAGAGACGGGGTTTCACCGTGTTAGCCAGGATGGTCTCCATCTCCTGACCTTGTGATCTGCCCTGCCTCAGCCTCCCAAAGTGCTGGGATTACAGGCGTGAGCCACCGCCCCCGGCCTTTTTGCTTATTTTTTAATTGGGTTGTTTTCTCCTGAAATATACTAAGAACCTTAACATGCAGTAGCAGCACTGCACCCTGGAGAGCCTGAAACCCTGCACGACTGTGTGGAAAGAACACGACCCTGTGCCAGATCCGCGGAGACTTACTATGTGGAAAGAACACAGCCCTGCATCAGATCTGCGGAGACTGGCCTGGGCAGAAATCAGCACGTGGCCAGCCCAGAGGGTGGCTATGTGTGTCGGAGCAGTTAGACTTCTCTAATACAGGCCAATGCAGGAAAAGAAGTCCATTAGGCAGATTCAGAAAGGGTTTTGTTTTTGTTTTAAGAAAATGATCATGAAGTAAAGGGAACAGTGAGTTTCAGGAGGAAGTAGTCAATTGAAACTGTTTACTGTAATTGATAATATAGAGTCACTGGCAACTAATTCTGTGATCTCTAAATCTTTCGAGTCAACTTCACCACCCTCTTCTGGTTACTGCATTTTTAACTAAATAAGATGGAGTAACTTTTTTTATAGTACTTAAAACCTTGTTTTTTCAAAAAGGGTTTGAGGAGGGGAGAAAACTTTATTTGATCTCATCACATTTAACTCTTAAAATATTCCTGTCTAAAAGACTCTTTATGTTTGAATCTAGGTCCAGTCTTTGATTTTTCCTGGGGAACTGTTGACACTTTCATAATTTCAACCACTGTGTCAGCTTCATTTTTAAAAAGATACAGCTCTTTCCACTTTGTCATCATACCTAAATGAAGTAATACAAAACAAAAAGCTGCTATGGAGTCCTTGGTTCTCCATAGATCTTCTTAAACTTTTTCTTGCTTCAGGCAGAGATTCAAGAATATAAATGGAATATTAATTCAGCTTATCTCAAACGATATTATTAATATTTCATGTATTTTTAAATTGAGGGGCAATTTAAAATTTCTGCTATATATACATTCAATTTACACTCAGTACAATTTATGTCAAAATTTTTAAAACTTGATTTGGTGATCTATATATTGACTTTTTTCCATCTTATAAACATTTTTAAACATACAGAAAAATTGAAAGAATTATTCAATGAACATCTTACACCACAACTAAGTCTACATTTAACATTTTGTTGTATTTGCATTATCACCAGTTTATTCCTCTAACCATGAACCTGCCCTTTTTAAAATCAAAATAAGTTGTAGATACCTGTACATTTCCCTCCTAAATGCATCGACAATTGTATAATTAACTAGAGCTCAATACTTGTTGAGGTTTTTTTTTTTTTTTTTTTTTTTTGAGGAAAAAGGCACAGACCTGCTGCTATGGATGGAATGTTTGTGCGCCTCCAAATTCATATGTGGAAGCCCAAATGTGATGGCATTTGGATGAGGGGCTTCTGGGAGGTAATTAGGTCAGGAGGCTGAAGCCCCATGTTGGGATTAGTGTTCTTACGACCAGGAGGAGAGCTGGTCCTTTCTTTCTCTCTTCCTCCATCTCCCGCAATGTGAGAATGCAATGAGAAAGTAGCTATCTATAAACCAGTAAAAGCCTTCACAAGAACCTGACCATTATCTCTGACTTCCAGTCTCCAGAACTGTGAGAAATAAATGTTTGTTGTGTAAGCCACCACTCTATGATACTCTGTTATAGCTGCCCACGTTGACTAAGACCCCTGTGAAACCCTAAGACCTGTTAAATTACAGAGCATTACATTCACTCCCCAGTTCCCTCACCCGCCTTCTCAATATGTAGCCCCGGGCAAACACTGTTCTGATTTTTTCCACCATTCATTATTTTTGCTTTGTCTAAAATTTCTTGCAAATGGAACTGCACACTGTGCCTTCTTTAGCGTAGGCTTGTTTCACTCACCATGTTTGTCATTCATCAATGTTGTGGCAGAGAGTTTTCTTTCCTTAGCTATGGAGTACTATTCTGTTGTGGGACTATACCTGTATGTTTATTCATTCTATTGATGGTACCCTGTTGCTTTTAGTTCTGTTATCAATAAAGTTACTACGAACATTCCTGTACAAGTCTTTCTGTGAATTTAGTTTCATATATCTTCAATAAGTACCTGGAATTGGAATTGTGGAGCCATAGGTGGTGTATATATGCTTCATATTATGATAAACTACTAAACTTTTCCCAAAAGGGTTATGCCATTTTACACTCCTAGTAACCAGGAATTAGAGTTCTAGAGTTCTGATTGTTACGTATTTTTGCACAGATTTGCTGTTATCAGCCTGTTTTTTTTTTTTTTTTTTTTTACAGACGGAGTCTTGCTCTGTTGCCCAGGCTGGAGTGCAGTCGTGTGACCTCAGCTCACTGCAACCTCCACCTCCCGGGTTCAAGGGATTCTCTTGCCTCAGCCTCCTGAGTAGCTAGGGTTACAGGCATGCGACACCATTCCAGACTAATTTTTGTATTTTTAGTGGAGACGGGGTTTCTCCACGTTGGTCTGGCTGGTCTCAAACTCCCGAAATCAGGTGAGTAGACAATTATAACAATACACTGTAATGAAAGTTATTTGAATGTGGCCTCTCCCAGATTACCTTCTGGTACACATCTCTTTTTGAACCAGATTTTCTTGGATAAGGGGAACCACTGTATGTGTTACTTGATTTTCTGTGTTTTGCTGAAAATACTGTCAACTCAGACATTTGGTGGTTGGGGTGAACTTGCCAACATGTGATTTTATGTTTTTTTGGAATGAATTATTTTTTTGAAAATTATTTATTGAGCATTTACTGTGTTTAGCACTTTACTAGATGCTATATTATACCCACTTGGAGCTTATGGTCTAGTAAGGGGATTTACAGTGTAGGGAGACAGACCGAGGAATAAATAAATAAATGTTAATACAAATGCTATGCAGCAAATGAAGAAGGTATTGTGAAAAAGGAAAAAAGAGCATGAGATAGACAGGATTGCCTTAGATGGTCACTATAGGCCTCTAAGGAGATGACACATGGGCTGAAGTCCCAGGGATGAAGAACTAGTCAAACGCATCTCAGTCTGTTCAGAATTTAAAAGTGACTCTTAAAGCTAAGGCAAGGTATGTGTAGTGTGTATGGACCACCTACAGTCAGATATACGGAGGTGTGTGACCTCTAACCCTGACCCACTGAATCAATATCTGGAGGTTCTGGGGTTACAAATTTCATTTACTAAAAAACTTAACAGGAGATTTCAGTTACTGAAGAAGTTTAAGAAGCACTGAGAGTTGTAACACGTCTTAATGTTCCATCAGCTCTTCCTGAGTTATATTGTTCCTCAGATCCCGTTATGCTCCATTGCTAAAAGGAAACATGGCCGGGCGCGGTGGCTCACGTCTGTAATCCCAGCACTTTGGGAGGCCGAGGCGGGTGGATCGCGAGGTCAGGAGTTCAAGACCAGCCTGGCCAATATGGTGAAACCCCGTCTCTACTGACGGTTTCAGCCATCCGGCGGGGGGTTCCTGGAATGCATCCTTGTGGGTAAGTGGGGAGCTGTGTGTACATTATGACCACTCCCGTAACCAAACCTAGCGTTTGACAAAGGCCTCAATTACAGCGGCATTCATTACCGTGAATGACAGCCAAAGTCAAAGTTTGGGGTGGGGATACTATTTTGAATTAGGCCATAACATTATATTGCTCATAAGCTTCATTTCGACCAACATTATATACATACAAAAAGTATGTACCGTAAGGACACACATCAAGCTGGACCGCAGGAAAAAAAACCACAACTTAGGATTTACCTAGTCAGCCGCTACTAGAGAGCAAGCACCGCGCAAGGCCGCTGGGGCTCGTGCTGTGGACGTGAGTGGGTTGAGGTCGGGCTGGTGGGGTAACCCGGGATCCAGCCGGAAAAAAGGGATAACGCTAGACTCACACTCCTAAGGAAGGCCAACGCCCCAACTAGCGAGCTCCGCAATGCATCTCTTCCAGGAAGCGTGGCCGGGCGCACGTCGCGCTGCGCTTGCGCACTGAGGTTTCGCGTAAGGAACCAATAGGACGGAGGAGTGGGCGGGCTGTTGGCAGAAACCCGGATTCCGGTTCCGGTGGGCCTCCATCAGCAAGCTCCAGTGCTACGTGTCCCTGGCATTTTAGGTGTCGGTTGGGTAGGTGAGTTTCTTCCCACCGGTCGGTACGGGCGAACGGGGCGGCCACACCTTTGCGACTCTTGGGGGCAGCGGGCGTGGGCGAGCCGGCGTGTCTCCCCGGGCGGCCGTCGCGGGGCGGGCGGTAAGTGGTCCCCTGGCTCAGGGCCGGGGTCTGGCCGCCGACATCCCACCAACTCGGCCTCTGGCGGAAGGCAGACCCAGGGCCGCGGACTCCCGGCGAGCTGGGTGGCCGGCCCGCGGGGCTCCAGGGCTTAGCGTCCTGCCCCGGCGTCTTCTGTGCTGCAGCCAAAGATGATGTCCTGCTGCCCGATCCCTTCGGGGTTGGCTCTGTGTGCTGTTGTGGAGTCCTGTCTGGGAAGAGCTGTACTCAGCTCTGGTCCTGCCGCCGCTTCCGTGGTTTAAAGTGAGAGCATTGGTCTAGAGTCTAGTTCGAGAGATCATAGTTGGTTTTTGGATCTCTACCCCTGACATTGAGTGCGGTATTGTGTGTAGCGTGCGTTTTTCTGGATAAAGAATTCTTAGCTTCCTTCGTGACAACTATGATTACAAAAAGTTTAAGCCCTTTGGATTTCAAGAGCAAAGTTGAGTGAAATACTGAGAAAACAGACATTACTGTGTTTTTGCCCCCAGAACGTTGCAGAATTCCTGGTGTTTCATTGACATTATTTCATTTCGTTGTCCACACCCTACACTAAGGAAGGCAACTGGGGCTTACAGAGGTTTACATTCCATAGCCAGTGATTTGAACTACCACCTGGCCACTGTTCTGAGTACTGGAAATGGAGGAAAATACAAATAACACCCTGGCTGCTTTACTTACTATAGCAGTGGCTCTCAAAGCTAAGATCGGATAACATTTCTATTGGGTAATAGATTCCTCAAAAGAACCTGTATGGTAAAATATATAGCCCTGTTTCCTTAAAAGATGTGTTCAAATCGAAAAGTTTGAAATTTAGCTAGTAGCTTCTCAGAATTTGCGTCTTCCTTTAGCCATTCTTTATACTTTAGAAAAGTATGTTGTATTGGCACGTTTTAGAAAAATCAAGGTTGAAATTCACGTTTGCCTCTATTCTAGGCTCTTGCAGCACCGTAGTTGGCATTCACTGTACAAGACACTGGCTTCTGCGTAGTTTAAAATAAAATATGGAAAGTAATTGTTGGATCTCAACACTGATGGTTCCTTAGGAGCGGTGAGGGGACTGTAGAATGAGAAATGGATGGGACTGCAGAGTGAGAAAAGGAATGGATGTGTTACCAATTGCGTAACCTTTTTTAACCTTTTAATAGAGATAGGCTTTTTATATTGCGTGTGCTGTTCTTTGTCAGTGAAGATATCATGAGTAAGATCTGTGCTTTTCTTATTGCCTTTGATAATTAACTGAAATTTCCAAAAATAATATCAATTTAGGCTTTGGAGTTTGTTTTTTGTTTTATTTTAGGAGGTGGAATTGACCCATGTTAGACGTGAATTCAGTGGCTGGTCTCATTTACATCTTTATATAAATGAGCAAGTGCTTATTGTATGAGAACCAATACCAGTGAGTATCTTTTTTGTTTTAAACAGGCAGTCATGGATCAGGTAATGCAGTTTGTTGAGCCAAGTCGGCAGTTTGTAAAGGACTCCATTCGGCTGGTTAAAAGATGCACTAAACCTGATAGAAAAGGTAATTGCTTGACTATGAGAGAAAAAATTAAATCTTTGCATTTTCTAAGCCTTTTGTTTGATTAACATCTTGATTAATAGCCCTTGCATTACTTTGATCAACATTTTTATTGATTGATCCTGCGCGACAGCTTTTTAACGTTGTCACTTCTTCCTAAATTTTTTACTCGTCTAAATTTTTATGTATTTTCAAATGGTGTAAGATTATTTATTACAGCCTTATGTTCCATGTAACATTTTAGTTAGTAACATTTTATGACTTTTAGTATCTTACATATTTTCTCTTTGGAAAAGCTTTGAAGTCTCCCTACTCAGCTCCCACCCCAACGAACAAAACCTTAACATGAAACCAACAATATAGTTTTTGCCAAACTAGAAAGTTAATTTTGTTATTTATCATGATTCATGTGTTAAATTTGTCTACTTTTATTCATTCATTGAGTTAGGAGCTGGTAATATAATAGAGAATATAACATGTATATAATATAGTATATAGTATATAATATAGTATATAGTATATAGTATATATAGTATATAGTATATATATAGTATAGTATATAGTATATAATATAGTATATAACATGTATATATTATAGTAAAGAGAATAGTCCTTGCTGTCATGGAGCTTAGACTCTTACCAAGGAAGACTGTCATAAACAAATTATTGCGGTTATATTTTTTAATTACTGCTGTGTTAAGTATTATGGAAGATAACTAGAAGGAAGTTTGACAGCACATAATAGGAGGACTAACCAAGTCAGGAGATCAGGGAAAGCTTCTCTTAGGAAGTAACATAAAATGACAACATTACCAGTGTAATGTTTTATAAAATTGTGCTCAACTCAGACAGAGTCTCACTCTGTTGCCCAGGCTGAAGTGCAGTGACGCGATCTCGGCTCACTGCAACCTCCGCCTCCTGGGTTCAAGCAATTCTGCCTCAGCCTCCTGAGTAGCTGGGATTACAGGCATGCGCCACCACGCCCGGCTAATTTTTGTATTTTTAGTGGAGCCAGGGTTTCACCATGTTGGCCAGGCTGGTCTTAAACTCCTGACCTCGGGTGATCTGCCCACTTCGGCCTCCCAAAGTGCTGAGATTACAGGCACAAGCCACTGGGCCCAGCCCAGTTTGATTTTTCAAGTCTTATTTTTGGCTTCATCATAATAGCAAAGGCACCGGACCCATCGTTTATAATGTACCCAAAAAAGGTATGTTTCTGCCCATATAATTGATATGTTATGATAAAAATTACAATGTTACATTTTAAAACTTAAGAAAAATAATGTATATTTCTTTCATCCATGACCTTTTTTTGTTTTTGGTATTTTCTGGTCATTTGCTAAGAAGAAAAAATATTTTTAGTACTTGCTGATGAACTCACTAGGACAGATATGCATTATTATTTGTTTCCTTAAATATCAACAAAACATGGAAATTTTAAAACCTGTCAAACAACTTGTTTACTGTTAATAGTCTCACCTTTTTATTTTTAAATTATATATCTATTAACAGGAGAAATGTATACTAGTTAAGTTCATTTATGTTGCTGATAGTTTTTTTCCCATACTTTCAGTGACAGTGCAAAAAATATGTGAATTTCCTGTTTTTAAATGCAGAATTCCAGAAGATTGCCATGGCAACAGCAATAGGATTTGCTATAATGGGATTCATTGGCTTCTTTGTGAAATTGATCCATATTCCTATTAATAACATCATTGTGTAAGTAAACTTTATGAAATAGACTAGGATTGAATGAAACTCAAAACCATTTGAGATGACAGGCTGTTATTTCGTTAATATAGAGATGCATCTCTTGACTTTTTAGTGCTGTTGGAGTCTACTGATATTTACGAGTACCTGATAATTGAGGGCTTTTAGATCTTACATGATCTGTCCAGAAATTCTGTGTGCTAGGCACTATTTTCTTTAATAAATAAAATTTTACAGAGTCAAGAAAGTATTAAAGACACTCATATGTCACAAAGCCAGCATTGAAACCTAAGTCCTCTTTGTGCTGTTACCTTGTTAATTTCTAATGTGCAGAGCAAATGCTTCCCATCCAAAAATCACTGCTGTGATAGAATTCTAACTCTGGACCAGATTGCCTAGATCCAAAACCTTTTTCTTGTTATGCAGTAGCTGTCCTAGCTTCAGGCAATTTGCCTAACCTCTCTGTGCCCAGTTTATTCAGTGGGGATAATAGTTCTTACTTGGATTATGACTTTAAGTCATGTAAGGCCCCAGAAACAATTTGGGTAAGAATACAAGTGAAAGTTGTTACTATAATGAGCCATTGATACTGATAGGAGAATATCATAACTTTTAAGTATGTTAGGAGGCAAAAAAGGCTGAGAAACACTGGGATCACTTTATTTGTTTCCAAATAATTTTGCTTTTTAAATTCATTACAAGTCATTGGGACACCTTGTGGCATTGAGCAATTAGAGCAATTAGGTAATTCAGTTTAGGGTAAGGACTTAGTATGAGTTTCAGTACTTACTTTGTGATTTTGTATGCATTTAATCTCAGCCTCATCCACTGTTTGGAGGTAATAAAATCTATTATTACCTGATAATAATATCAGGTGTATCAGTGCTTGTATCCATTAAAAGCACTGAATAAGTGTTAGTTGAATTAAGTGAACAACTTCAGGTTCTTTGCCTTTTCTGATGGTGATGGTGGCAATAATAATTAACATTCATTGAGAACTTCCATATGGTATTGAAATCAATCAGTAATATCAATTGATTTTATGGGGTGGTGAAGTTTGAAGCAATGATTTAAAAAATTTCTAAACTATAAATCTCCTAAATACTAGGTATTTTATCCCAGGTACTGGTACAGGTTGCCTTTTAAATGACAAGTAACAATGTATATTGTCAGAGGGATTTCTGAAGTAGGTTACCATAGTTATTAAGGCAGAAGTGCCACAAAGTGATATTCAGGATCATAAATAGTTAGAACTAGATGGGCCCAAGTCACTGATATCTCATTTGTCAGTTCAGAAATCCCTTGTATTTTACCAGTGAGAAATGCCAACTGTAGAACTGTGGAATCACGGGGAGAATACTGAAGTAGAATGAGGAAATCAGTAAAAAGAAGTGGCAGAGTCTCTGTCAAGTCCCTTCTTTTTCATACTCGGTGCCTCTGCTCTTTCTGCTTCCCATTCTGTCATGAGACAGATTTATTGATAGGAAGTGTTTCTTTAAAATGATAACAAAATTAGTTTCCTGTGATAATCACCCTTCATTGTTCTTAGTTGTACCTTTCAGAAGAACACGTAAGCCCACCTTTTCCAATTTTTTGGTATACAAGCACCTTTCAAATTTTTTCCCCGGCCTTCACTTAACCTATATTTTTGTCCCTTTTGCCAGACATCATTGTCTGCCTTGGGTCATACTCAGGTCCGTCTTTTCATATTAGATTATGAGTTGTGAGGCAGGCCTGCCTTGTTATTTATATTGTATGTCTCTCCTATAGAGTCTGGTCCAGAGCCCCCTTGTATCCGTTAAAAGCACTGAATAAGTGTTTGTTGAATTAAGTGAACAACTTCAGGTTCTTGTCTTTTTAATGGTGATGGTGGCAATAATAATAGTTAACATTCATTGAGAACTTTCCATGACTGTGTGTCAACTCATTTAATCTTCATGAGGAAACAGGCATGGGGAGGCTAAGTAATCTACTCAGATTGCATGGCTAGTGATAGAGCAACACGGGAAATCTTTCAGAAGCTAGTTACTTAGAAAACTTTTCTTCTAGTTAAAAAAAATGGTTTCAATGTTTAAGAAGTTAAAAAATCTATCTTTAGATATTTTTTACCTTAACATGAAGGCCAATTAAAACATTTTGTGAGAGACACTACAGAAAACTTACTCTTTTCTCATGTTATGCCAGGACAGCTGTAAAACTGAAAGGAATCTTGCTTTCCCTGCTTGAAAGAGGATAATCATTGTTTAAATCATTTTGAGATGGTAGCAAGGGAAATAACTCATTGGGTTGAATTATCAGTTTTTTCTTAAGATTTTTTTCTTCTTTTTTTTCTAAGTATAGCAATCAAAATTAATATTCACAGTATTAGAATTTAAAATAGGCACTTGCTGGCCTTTTAGTTATAGCAATACTATTTAATAGCATAAGCATTTAAAATGCTAAACATTAAAGTATATGCTCAGGGGTATTTTATATAATAATTTTCTCTTTTTTTTGAGATGGAGTCTTGCTCTGTTTCCCAGGCTGGAGTGCAGTGGTGCAATCTTAGCTTATTGCAGCCTCCGCCTCCCAGGTTCAAGTGATTCTCCTGCCTCAGCCTCCTGAGTAGCTGGGACTACAGTTGCACCCCACCATGCCTGGCTAATTTTTTTTGTATTTTTAGTAGAGACGGGGTTTCACCATGTTGGCCAGGGTGGTCTCGAACTCCTGACCTCAGGTGATCTGCCTCCCTCAGCCTCCCAGAGTGCTGAGATTACAGGTGAGAGCCACCATGCCTGGCCTATTTTATATAATTTTCTTCTGGTAATGGAATTATTTTGCTTTAACATTACTAAAATGTATATCTGACTATGCAGTTTTAATGTTTATGCTTTTAAAACTCAGAAGTTCTTCTGTAGAAAAGGTGATTTTTGTTTTCATCATGACTAACCCAGATTTTGGAATGATTATGGTAAGATGCAGTGCTTGAGTACCTTGTGCTCATCTGCAGTCTGTTTTCTGCTGGTGTGTTCTACTGGTGTGTCAACTTTATCAACTTGAAAAGCTTCTCAACTAACCATCCTGTCATGTAGTTGATATTTTTTGTTGTGTTCAGAAAGGCGTTATGCTAGACTATTCCAAAATGGCATTTCCTGAATGAGCATTGTGAGTTTACACATAGACCTCTTCCAGTAGCCACATCATCTTTTCAGGTCCAGGATTTTAAAGTTCATTGTGCCATTCTTTTATGCCATCTTTAGATGAAGTTAGGTGGGATTCACATAATTGGTCTTGAGCCGTTAAAGTTATAGCATATTGCATTTCAAATAATAATAATTATTAAAATCTTATCTATGCTCAGAAGTAATAATTTTTCTTTCTTTTACAGTGGTGGCTGAATACATTTTGGAAGAGAGTTTTTCATCTTAGAGATTGGTGAACAAGTGTGAGGGTGTGAGAAACTCACAGAATACAAATTTGCCTGTATGTTTTGTGGGTTTTTTTTTTTCCTTTCAAGATGTTTTCTATTTCTAAATTAAAGTAATTTCAAAGTAAATGAATATCTCTTTTTTCTGTCATAGATACTTATCACATTTCAACGATAAAAAATAGTAGTTTCTTTCTCTGAATAATTTGGTTTATAAGAGAAATGAAAGGGTTTGGTGAAATATTACACTTTCTGAGAGCTCTTCTGTTTTAGCCCCTTTGTGCTAGTATTACAAAATACCTGAGACTGGGTAATTTATAAATAATAGAAATTTATTCTCACAGTTCTGGAGACTGGGAAGTCCAAGATCAAGGTACCAGCAGGTTTGGTGTCCGGTGAGGGCCTGGCCTCTGCTTACAAGCTGGTGGCTTAAATGTTGTGTCCTCACATGGCAAAAGGGATAGACAGGCAAAGGGCCTTCATCCCATTCATGAGAGAAGAGCCCTTGTGACCTCCTCACCTCTTAAAGGCCCTACCTCTTAATACTATTACATTGGAGATTAAATTTCTTTATATATATGTATGTATGTGTGTCTTGCTCTGTCGCCCAGGTTATAGCTCACTGCGACCTCAAACTCCTGAGCTCAAGCCATCCTCCTGCTTCAGCCTCCTGAGTAGCTGGGACTACAGGCACATGCCACCATGTCTGTCTAATTTTTTGTAGAGATAGGGTATCGCTGTGTTGCCCAGGCTGGTCTTGAACTCCTGGCCTCAAGCAGTCCTCCCACCTCGGCTCCCAAAGCACTGTGATTACCCGGCTAAGCCACTGTGCTTGTCTGGAGATTGAATTTCAACATGAATTTTTGAGGGACATAAAAATTCAAGTTATAGCATCTGCTATCAGATAAATGTTTATCTATGGTCCAAGACAAAACAGCAAGTAAAAGGTGGTGATTCCCTATTAGAATTTGAGGGCAGGGTAGGAGTTTTTCTGTAAGCACTTAATTTTTTTTTTTTTTTCTTTTGAGATGGAGTTTCATTCTTGTTGCCCAGGCTCGAGTGCAATGCCACGATCTCAGCTCACTGCAACCTCTGCCTCCCGGGTTCAAGCAATTCTCCTGCCTCAGCCTCCCAAGTAGCTGAGATTACAAGCATGTGCCACCACGTCCTGCTAATTTGGTATTTTTAGTAGAGACGGGGTTTTTCCATGTTTGTCAGGCTAGTCTCAAACTCCCGACCTCAGGAATTTTAAATAGTCAAAATTATTATAGTTTAGAAGCTACTTGAAATAGTTTCCTAGAGTTATGGTTAAAACTTAAAAGTGAGAGGTCCTCTTATAGATGTACTAAATCAGTCACTCTATCTTGAACACTGGAGTTCTGAATTTTATTAAGAATTCACTGATAAGAGTCTGAAATGAAAAGGGGACTTATCCTCTTTCCCCTTTAAAAAAAAAGTGAAGCCAGGTGCAATGGCTCACATCTGTAACCGTAGCACTTTGGGAGGCCTACACAGGAGAATTGCTTGAGACCCAGGAGTTCAAGGCCAGCTTGGGCAACATAGCAAGACCTCAACGCTACAAAAAATTTTTAATAGCCTGGTGTGGTGGCATGCACCTGTAGATCCAGCTGTTTAGGAGGCTGAGGTGGGAGGATCTCTTGTGCCCAGGAGTTTGAGGCTGCAGTGAGCCATGATTGCACCACTGCACTCAGCCTGGGTGACAGAGTGAGATCTTGTCTCTAAAAATAAAATACAAGCAGTAATTTAAATTTGAGTTTATTCCCCCTTTTTTAAAAAAGCAATTGCATTGCTTCAATTTGTTCATTCAGTGTTTAGTTATTGCTTTATTTCCCTACTTCTAATATTTTTAAAAAATTTGTTAGCAAAACACATGTTTACATGTTCTTTCATCCTCAGTAGGGTAGGGAAGTGTCTAATTAGTGTGGCTGGGCAGTATTCCTCAGTTTTGGAATCCACGGTTCAGAGATTCTGGTCTGTTTTTGTAGTAACAGTAACAAATTTTTTTGCCTACTTAATGAAATGTTGACAGTGTTTCAATCTTGAATGAATTGATGTCTTCAAAGATAAAAATACAGTGAAAGGCCGGGTGCGGTGGCTCACACCTCTAATCCCCACCCTTTGGGAGGCAGAGGTGGGTGGATCATGGCGTCAGGAGTTCGAGACCAGCCTGGCCAAGATGGTGAAACCGCATCTCTACTAAAAATACAAAAATTAGCCAGATACAGTGGCGGGCGCCTATAATCCCAGCTAGTCAGGAGGCTGAGGCAGGCGAATCGCTTGAACCTGGGAGGCAGAGGTTGCAGTGAGCCAAGATCGTGCCACTGCACTCTAGCCCGGACCACAGAGCAAGACTCCATCTCAAAAAAAAAAAAAGTACGGTGAAAATTTGGTCATCTCTAAGCCTAAGGAGACCATATAGTCACATTTATAGCTATTAGCTGCTTAAAGGCCAAAATTGTATGTGCATATATATGCAAGTGCGTGTATACTTGTGTATGTTTACATATATGTATATATAGATAGACATTTACATACATGCACCTATATACGTGTATATTTTAAACACGGTAGAAATTCTGAAATGTAGACTTGGTGCTGGCAAATGTGTGTTATGTTGTTGGTTAAGATGATTCTGAACATTAATATTTTTTGACATAATTGTAAATTCCTATTATAGCATACATTTAGGCTGATTATTTTGATGACTTACTTGGTTCTTGACACATGAGCGGATAAGGTATTACATACATATTTTGTATGTATACATGCAAATGAAATGAGGGCTGACCAAGAATTCTGGTGATAGAGCAGAGTAACCTTCACAAGCAACAGTTGCATTTCTTAAGTAGGAAAGAATAAGTATATTTTTCTTATTCACCCTACTCCTAGCATATATGAGAGCTATATACTGTGAAACAGTATTAAACTTCACCATGCATGAATCACCTGAAGGAATTTCTTAAACATTTTCTGTTTGTTAAGTACCTGTAGCAAAACATACTAATGCCCTTCCTGTGGCAGTTCCCCAGTTTCTCTTCTTTGCAAGCAAAGTCATCTCGTTTTTCTTCAGGTTGTGTACCACGTGTATGGGTACGTGAACAACACGTTTTTGTTCACTTGTTTTTAACATCATGTAATTGGAATCACGCTGTTTGTATTCGTTTGTGACTTGCCTTCTCTCTAAAAAGAGTATTTTTGAGGTTCATGCATGCAGATAACATAGCTGCAGTAACTGTGGTCCATTTATTTGCACTGGTATATAACTTACTGTTATGAAATTATTCTGTAACTTTTTCATTTGTTTTATTATTGATGGACGTTTGGGTTGTTTTCAGTTTTTTGCTTTCAACAATTTTTCTTCCAAGTTTTCTTGCTAAGAATGTGGGTATACATGTCTTCTGGTATAGCTGTGCAAGCATTTCATTTGGTCTCATACCTAAGTAAAACTGCAGTGTCAAATTATGTCCATGTTCAGCCTTGGTAATGCCCATCATTTTCTGAAGTCATGCTAATTTCTACCCCTCCAGTAAGAGACTCCTGCTCTACATTCTCCTATTAGTACATTGTGCCTGTCTTCTTTTGTTTTGGCAGGTGTTTTCATTTACATTATGGTATTTTGGGATGAAGGAATTCTCAATGATAGTAATTTTACTGTATGAATATTTTCACCTAACATTTGTAACTTTTGTGTGTATTATTATTAATATTGTCAGCTTCTTATAGGATTACCCAGTCTCATCTTCACTGACCAGTGCTTTCCACCTTTCTCAAATATGAGACTCACATGGGCACTTGCCCCACCTTAGATCTACCACATCAGCATCTCTAGATGTTGGGCCTTGGATTCTTTGCTTTATAAAAATGCTCTTAGATGGTGATTCTTAACATCAATTGAGATTGAGAAACGTTACCCAGCCACACAGCTCGTCTTTTCAGCTAAAGCCCAGCTGGAGGTCACTAGCTTGTTGTATTATGACTTTTGTAGTAGAAAATGCTCCCATGTAACTAGCTGCATGTAGCTACTCAGAAATGTGGACAGCCTCATTCAGAAAAGAATACTTCTGAAGTACGACTGCACAATTCTCATTCTAAGTTCATTAAATGCTTAGCTCAGGCAACCAAGCAGAGCAGGATAGAGGTGAGTAAAATAAAACTCTTTGTATTTCTGATTCTTTTTTAAGGCAACTACCAATGCATTATTTACTCAGACCTCTCTTATCTCTGAGGAGTTAATTCTAACTGACAATAAGTCATCTCCTGTCAACGTAAAAGAATAAAGTGCGGCTGGGCACAGTGGCTCACGCCTGTAATCCTAGCACTTTGGGAGGCTGAGACGGGCAGATCACAAGGTCAGGAGTTTGAGACCAGCCTGGCCAATATGGTGAAACCCTGTCTCTACTAAAAATATAAAAAATTAGCCGGGCACGGTGGCGTGCGCCTGTAGTCCCAGTTACTTGGGAGGCTGAGGCAAGAGAATCACTTGAACCCGGGAGGCGGAGGTTGCAGTGAGCCGAGACTGTGTCACTGCACTCCAGCCTGGGTGACAGAGTGAGACTCTGTCTCGGAAAAAAAAAAAAAAGTAATTTGTTTAATTCAATCTCAAAGCATCTGAACATCAACTAGGCACCAAAATAGTTCTCCTTTGTGAATAATTACATGCATATCACTGACAAACAATGAAAGCCTGGTGATACTGCAGTTGCTAAAATGGGGAAGATGAGAAGGGTAGATGTTGGAGAATGGCTAGGAGTTTGGTTTGGGGAATGCTGGTTTGAAATGCCTATTAGTGAAGTAGAGGTTGAATGTGCGGTTGGATATACCGGTCTGGAGTTCCGAGGAGGTGTTTCAACTAGAGATAATGATTTGGGAATCATGAAGCCAGAAGAAAGGTTTCCAGGAATCAGTGAGCAGGTGAGCCAAATGCTGCTGGTAGGTTATGTGAGATAAAGATCGAGGTTTGACACAGGCTTAGCAATGTAGAGGTTGGTTATAATCTGGAGGGCCTGGCTGGGGTGGTTCAAAAGACAATGAGGGGAGTTGAGGAGTATGGACAAACTGCTCCTGTGATTTTTGTAAAGGGCAATAGGTTAAAGGGGTATTCGGGTTGAGAGAGGATTTATTTTTAATATGAGAGAACTAACAGTGTTTTTATGGTGATAGGAATGGTCTGAGGGGAAAATTGATGAGGAGGGGGTGAGAAGAAAGGGAGTCTGGTTCAAGTGGTAGTGGGAATAGCTCATTCTTGCTGATGAGGGAGAATATGGGTACAGAATCAGACTCTTTCCAAGGAGGAGAAGACGGGAGGAGGCAGTGAGGTTGAGGACACATGTCAGAGAATGATAGAGTAGTTCCATGGAATTCAAGCTAGGTAAGAAATAGAAGGCAAGATGTGCGTGAGGGACAACATAGACTGTGTGTACCAGAGAGGTACAGGTTTGTTTAAATTGGGGTCCTAAGGAGAATTAACTAGAAAGGTAGAATTGCTGGTTGCAAAGTACAATGCTTGGAATCGAATTATGGAGGGCCTGTAGTTATTGGTAATGACCAGTTGTAACATTGGAAAGACCATGGGATTCAGTAGCTAATACAGGTTGAAAATCAAGATTCTTGGAGGTGAGGAAGTCAAGAAGCTGGGAGGCCAGTGTATTGAGAAGGATTATGTTTGTGGGTATTAAATTACCGTGAATTACCATAGAAGTAGGGTTGGAAAGAAGGACAGCAAGCCTGGAGCCAAAGTCTTCTGGGGCATGGTGTGAGGGCACAATGACCGGAGGTGAGTGCTGTTTCAGATGAATACTGTTAGGAGGGATAGTGGATGCTGCTGACTGATGATACACGTGTCAGAACTGGAGGGTGGAGCTGTGGGAAGAGGATGATCTCGAAGTTGCTTTGAGGAACAAGGAGAAGCTGCCTGCCCTCCAGCCCCAGCCTTGTGAGTAGGATGGGAGAGGGAATGAAATCTCCATGGATAGGGCTGCTGGCTATCCAGTGCTGGAACAGCATAAGGGGAAAGGAAATGTTCTGAAATGAGGTTGAAGTGTTTGAGATTCTCTATAACTGACCGTGGATTCTGATGGGCAGCATGGAAGGGTTTCGGGAGTTAAGGAAGGGTGAAAGATGGAATCAGAAAAAGAGAAATAAGAGAGCAGCTTATAAGGGATGGTCAGGAGTCTTGGTCTTCTGAAAGGAGTAGGAATTAAGGGCATGATGGTTTTTGCCCTTCTTTTCCTGAGAGTAGTGAGGCAAGGTAGTGAGACTCACTGAGGCAAGGCAGTGAGACTGGAGGACGGGAGGGTGTGATTCTGAGGCCCACTCTTCATGTGCTGGTGGCGCTAGGAGCAGAGCTTCCCACACTGCAGTGTGCAGATGAACCACCTGAAGGTCTTGCTGCAGATCCCAGTTCGGGAAGTGTGGGAGGGGGCTGAGATTTCACATTTCTATAGAACTTGCATGGACTCCCAGGCGATGCTGATGCTACTTTAAGGAACAAGGGTAGAGGAGACAGAAGATTTAGTTTTATGGAGAGCCCATTGGCTCCTGCATTGGAGGCATTCGTGAGAGTATTCTTAATACTTATACCCACTTGTGTGTATCGGGTGGGGTGAGAAGGGTTTTCCTGAGGAGCATATATTGTAGAGGAAACTTTAGGATACATTGGATTTCAAAAGGCAGATACTAGAGGTAATACAGGTGTTGTCTCAAAGGATGGGTACATGTTTTGTTCCTCAGAGTTTCCTAGAGTTGGCACATTGCTTTAAGAGAAGCTGTGACAATAGGACAGTATCAAGAAACAATCAACTTTGTGCTTTTTATACCTGATCACTTGAAAATTTACTTTTCCCAAGTCAGTCAGAGGCAACACATTGCCTGCCAAAGAAGGGACTCGTGTGGAGTGAGTAAAAGGAGCTGTACAAAGTCAAAGTTCAAGTTTTATTCAACGTATAGGACAGGACTTTTGAGAATCAAAGGTAAATCTTGAGGATAGGAAGGCACAGGGTAGTATATGGCATAACAATAGAACTAGAAGGAGGTAGGCGTGTAGAGGAAGTAAGAGACCACTGTCATCCTCACCTGCTCTTGGGTTTGTGAAGAAACCAGTGGATCCTAGAGGAGTTGGGGTGTGGGCTAGGAGAGGAGGAGGTCTGACCTGGTAGGAAGTGAGGGAGGGAATGAGGCTCCCTCTTAGACAGAGGCCAGTACTTTTTGGGCCACACCAGGGAAGCACCCAGGGAGAACTTAGCCCATATTTGTAGACCATTTCATTGGAGGGAATAACACAAACTGTTCTGGAAGAAAAACTATGTGGCTCTGCCACCTCCTGTGGGGTGTGGGCCTTCCATGGATGCTGTCAGAATAATGCCAGGTATTACCTGGCAGGCATTTGACTATTTGTGCTTCAACTCTCTCCTGGCCCCCATGTGACCTACCCTATGAGGATGACTCTCACACTTTCGTAAAAAACCAGAACACTCATAAGCTCTCCTAGGATGGCGACCTTGGACCCCCGAATGCAGTAGAAATGTGGAAAGGGTGGCACACAGGTATGTTATAACTACTGTAGTTACAAAGTTAATCCCTATTAACATTTTAAGAGGCAATTTTAGGGTGTAAACTCTGCAAAAGCAGAGATCTTTGTTGTTTTCATGGATGCATTCCACAAACAAAATAGTGCCTGACACAGGATATAGGTTCAAATATTTATTGGCGAATAAATACAAATGGTTACCATATTAATTTTCTTAAAATCCCTTGCATGTTAGAAAAGGTAGTACTGAAAAATGCTTCAGTGAATTTCCAGCCGGTTTATATCATAATGAAAGGTCCACCATAAGAGTGGATGTTGGGGAGATGTCTGGCGTTGGTCTCAATGTAGGTAGGCATAATGCAAGACAAAGAAGCATAGGTGACTGCAAAGATAGGACATGAGAAAGTTCCCCTATAATGAAATGAAAATTATTTTAGCCAAAAGCTTCCTGTTGTCATAGTAAGTGGTGTTACATTGCCAGCCACAGGAGTCTAATGGTCTAAGAGCTAAGTGGAAGTTTAGCTTAGGTAGTAATAAAAGAACAACATTTGTAATTTCGGTGATGGGTCCACTTGAAGCCCAAACCTCACCATTACACAATATATGCATATGCAACAAGTCTGTACATTGTGAACCCTGAAAATTTGGGACAGGTCTTAGTTAATTTAGAAAGTTTATTTCCTGGTTCCTTTTACGTTGTTTTATATATAATCTTTAAATAAGCTTTGAATTAGACACAAATTTTTAATCTTTTTTTAAAAAAGGACATACTTTTTTTTTTTGCAAGAACATTTTCCTACAATATATATTTATTGGAAAATACCCAAATAATGAAGTATCTATTATTTAATTTAATATAACTTTATATTCTAAATTATGACCGGTTTGTCTGTAAGTATTTATCCTATTACATGTACCTAGTTATTTTAATTGTTTACCTAGATTATTTATGAAAACTGATAATCATGAATTTAAAGTTATGAAACTGCTATTGCAAAATTATAACTGAAAGTGAAACAAGATTTGACCTAACTAACTCCATCTTGCTCTTAGCCTCCACAGTGTACTTGTTCATTCCTGAGCATCAGCTGAACTAACTTTGGGAGGAACTTAGTTTATAGCTGTGAAACAAAGATAACAGTGCTTTCTCAAAACAAACCTCCTTATGCCAATGGACTAGACTGCCTAAAACCACAGGCTTAGAAGTTATGGTAATCTTACTAAATTCAAGATGCAGCTATTTTCAATAAACCCCTATCAATGTCTTATTTATTAAAAATTACAAAAACATCATTCTGTTTTGGGCTGGGTTTATAGTTTTGAAACCGCTATGACAAATTTCGACATCTTACAGTATTTGTCAGGGATAAGTATGAAATTGTTTGATTAATAAATGCAAAACAAAACATGTATGTTGGCAATTCTTAAGACATTTCTAATTTTTTTTTTTTTTTTTTTGGGACTAAGTTTCACTCTTGTCACCTAGGCTGGAGTGCAGTGGCACTATCTTGGCTCACTGCAACCTCCGCCTCTTGGGTTCAACCGATTCTCCTGCCTCAGCCTCCCAAGTAGCTGGGATTACAGGCATATGCCACCATTCCCTGCTAACTTTTGTATTTTTAGTAGAGATGGGGTTTCACCACATTGGTCAGGCTGGTCTGCAACTCCTGAACTCAGGTGATCTGCCCCTCTTGGCCTCCCAGAGTGCTGGGATTACAGGCAAGAGCCACCGTGTCCAGCCTCTAATATTTCTTTACCAATCATTTTAAAGCTAGCGTATTTATTAAAGAATTTACTGGCTGGGCGTGGTGGCTCACGCCTCTAATCCTAGCACTTTAGGAGGCTGAGGCGGGTGGATTACCGGAGCTTAGGTGTTCAAGACCAGCCTGGGCAACACGGTGAAACCCCATCTCTATTAAAATACAAAAAAAAAAAAAAAAAAATGTGGCGGTGGGTGCCTGTAAATCCCAGCTACTCAGGAGGCTGAGACAGGAGAATCACTTGAACCCAGGAGGCAGAGGTTGCAGTGAGCCGAGATCACGCCACTGCACTCCAGCTTGGGCAACAGAGTAAGACTTCGTCTCAAAAAAAAAAAAAAAAAAAAGATTTTACTTGTTGGCCAGGAATGGTGGCTCATGCCTGTAATCCCAACACTTTGTGGGGCCAAGGCAGGCAGATAACCTGAGATCAGGAGTTCGAGACCGGCCTGGCCAACATGGTGAAACACTCTCTACTAAAAATACAAAAAAATTAGCCAGGCGTGGTGGCGGGTGCCTGTAATGCCAGCTACTCGGGAGGCTGAGGTAGGAAAATCACTTGAACCTGGGAGGTGGAGGTTGCAGTGAGCTGAGATCCCACCATTGCACTCCAGCCTGGGAGACAAAAGTGAGACTCCGTCTCAGAAGAAAAAAGATTTTACTTGTTGCATAAACATGAAAAAAGCATGTGACTAGTCTTTTTTAGTATCTGATTTAGGTGCTTTTATTTTTCTTGAAACCAGTTAGAGCTCTTTTATATATTTTTAGTAGTGAAATATTTTGTATACAACACATAAATACATATAAAGATGTATTAGGCATGCTGACGGAAGTACATTTTATAGATTTATAAAGTCACCTCCCTTTTTTTTTCTCTAGCTTAGACTTTCAGATTCTTGATAACCTCTTTCACAACCCTAGGCAGTTGTCAGCTAAATAGCCCTAAATTTGCACATTAAACAACTCAGTTTGTGAAAATCAAATAGCAAATTTTACCTCACTTAAGGTACAGAGAGAAAAGGTCTGGTGGTGCTAGAGGGAGACGCTTTTATTTTTCTTTCAGCCAAATTAAACATAAATTTCTTAAAAACCAAGAGAGTACCCTCTGTTGCAGTAACTATTTTAGTCAAAAAAAAAAAAAAAAAATCAGGTGAAAACAATTCAGTCAAATGAAAAGAAAGAGAAAAACTTTTGCTCAAAAAGAAAGACAAGGTCCTAGGAGAGTAAAATCTTTAATAAATAAGCTAGCTTTTAAAACAAAACCATAAAGGCCTTTCAAATACAAACATGCACACATGCGCGCGCACACACACACACACATACATCTTGGATGTTAGCCTTTTAGTTGAGCTGACTCTTAACCATTGAACACTTAAAAAAAAGCTTTTTAAAAAATCTTATTGCTATATTTCAGCTAGGACAAAATGCTGCTAAACGAACTGTGATCGCACAAATTATATGATTTCTGAGCCCTTAAATGTAAGCAGAAATTAACACCAGCTGGTGTTAATGCTACCTTTAGTCATTTAAAGGGAATGTGCAAGACAGAATCCCAAACCAGTTTCTTACTAGTGATGGGTCTCAGGCTGTAGACTGCTCTCTACCATCTTAGAAACAGAAAAACAAAAAAACAGATAACTCATCTTCCCTGTTGGAAGACAGCTCAAACTCTATAAAGGAGTTACTTGCCTTCCATCATCACAGAGGCAGGAAAAACTTGTCTTCCTTGTGTTGGAAACAAGCAAAACTCCAAAAAAAAAAAAAAAAAAAAAAAAAAAAGGAGTTGTACAGCAAAATAAACTTTAGATCTCAAATTTTGGGAGATCAGGGATTCTCTGGAGGGGTTGCGTTCAGACCTCAGCAGATTGTCCTTTTGGTTTGAGCCATAAAGTTAGCTCATGCTGGTACCAAGCACCGATGTGAGATTTGTCAAAGGTCAGGGGCATCTCCACTCAGAATCCCCCCGTGGTTACCAAAATGTGAACCCTGAACTTTTGAGACAGGTCCCAGTTAATTTAGAAAGTTTATTTTGCCAAGGCTGAGGATGTGCCCATGACACAGCTTCAGGAGGTCCTGACGACATGTGCCCAAGGTGGTTGGGGCACAGCTTAGTTTTATACATTTTAGGGAGACATGAGCCATCAATCAATATACGGAAGAAGTACATTGGTTCAGTCTGGAAAGGCAGGAGAACTCGAAGCAAAGACAGGAAGACTGGAAGCAGGGAGGGGGCTTCAGGTCACAGGTGGGTGATAGAGGAACTAATGGTTGCAGACTTTTGAGTTTCTGATAAGCCTTTCCAAAGGAGGCAATCAGATACTCATATATCTCAGTGAGCAGAGGGGTGACTTTGAATAGAATGGGAGGCAGATTTGCCCTAAGCAGTTTCCACCTTGACTTTTCCCTTTAGCATAGTGATTTGGGGGCCCCAAGATTTATTTTCACAACATGTACCCTCTTTCACAACATGTACCCCCAGAATCTCTAATTTAAAAAAACAAGAAAACCAAAAAACCTCCCCCAGGTGATTCTAATGTGCAGACAGGGCTAAGAACCACTGCCTACTTCTCGCTGAATTTGGTTCACTGCTGCACTTTGTTTACTTAAAATGAATATTTTATTATTTTTGAATAGGTAGAATTACAGATTTTATAAGTAAAAATATTAAAAACAACTAACTAGAAAAAAAAAAGACAATCCTAAGACTGGAGACCATAAATAGTACTTTGTGATTCTTAATGTTTCAAAAAGGCACTAGGAACTCAGGAGGGGGCATTTTTGTTAAGTTTTCTCAGAGAAGATGGACCCTAGGCACGCAGCCCAGGAGCTTTCGCACGGAGGGTCCACGCGCGTCAGGGAGTCTCAGTTGTGGGGCGTCTGGCATGCTGCAAGGCTGTGGCTTTCTTCTGCTCCAGTCTCTATGGTACAAAACGGTCTCCCATGCCTCCTCGCTTTTTTCCCCTTGGCTATTTTTCTGGTCTCAGTTGAAAAGTCACGTCTCTGGGGAGAACTTCCCTGACTGATGGATGAAATTGTGTCCTTTCCTGTGTACTACTCTAGAACTCTGTTCCTTTCATGATAACCCACAACACGGCTTTCTCTAAACATGAGTTCGTTTATGTGTGTGTGGTTTTCTGCTCCCAGGGCAGGCCCTTTGTCACCCTTTCTCCTCCCCTAGTGTGTCCCGGTGCCTTGTGTGGGGAGATGCAGGGAAACAGGGCCTTTGACAGACTAGTTTGGCTTCAGTTCCCAGTTCCTAGTTCCTGTGGAGCCCACCTCCGTTTCTGCTGCTTTCTATGTTTCCATGCAGCTTGATAGTCTTCCTTACAATAGACGCCTTCACCTGAGCTGGGATGAGTGGGTTGTCCTTCTTTGTAACTATAAAGCCCTAGTAAGGGAATTTAGGAATGGATGCTATCTATGGATAGGCAGTTTCTGTCCATCCCACCAGTATTCTGGTAGGAACAGAGGGAAATCCCATTTTCTTTGAGAGTACATGATTGGACACATTTTTACAAGAAGTGTGAAGAGTACAGTGAGCACACTGCCCTCTCCACTAGTTCCCATCCCTACCCTAAACCCACCAGAACATGGAAGACTGGACGTGGGTCAGGTATTTGCCTTGTTCCTCATTGCCATGGCTTGCCATTCTCCCTAAAATCCCCAGCTTCTACTCATTCCATGGTAGACTATTACCCACACTTGTCATCCTGTGATAACAGATTTTTGTGTCTTTATTTTTAGAATTTTGAACTAATTTTAATCCCACAACTCTGAATGCCCAGTTTACACATACTTTCTAATTACATTGGTTAAAAATTCTTAAATCAGGGCCTAAAGATTGCTGAGGAGAGCCCCCTCCTCACTACGCAAGCCCACTTAGACTAGGCCTTTGCTTTAAAACCACATGTTATTGAAAGTAAGCTGCTGCTTCCAGCAGAAGAGCCTGCCTCTGGGCAGCTGCTTAAGGGCCTTGAGTGTTTCTGTAGGGTCTTTGACTACTGGTGACATCCTCCATGAAAGATAAGGGTCTTGGTAGATGTTAGAATCTTAATGTTATACGGTATCACACACCTTTTTATAATTGGGGCACATATAACTATGCATGTCAGAAACCATTAGTCTGTGGTTTCAAAAGAATATACAGACATCCAGATGGTTTTGATTCTTGAGTCAAATGCAGAGTTATGAAGACCACATTGTCATTTGTGGAAAAAATGGTTTGGGCATCAGGCATTCCTAGGCTCTCTAGGGTTCTGTGGAGTCAGTTTCCTACCATTAGCCCTGCAAATTTAACATTGTCTTCATATAGAAACCCCTCTTCTCACATAATTTGTGGTGTGCAACTGATCTTTGGTTTCTCAAAGCTTTCATTCTGGCAAGAGAGAAATCCAGGCCCCTCTTCGAATCTGTTTCTCAGGAACACACCTTTTGTCCATGCAGTCCCTTTCCCCACGGCAGCGTCAACTCTCAGGCCCATCACACAGCACTCCCAATGGCTCTTTGTTGTGTGAAATATATGGGATGGCTCTAAGATTTGCATATATGATGAGAAGCTTGTGAATATTTAGTGAAGAATACTACTGTCTTTATGTTCCTGTGCCTATAACAAGGAATTGGAATAATTGGTTCCTTGGTTCACACTTGCTTAGAAGACTCAAAATTTATCCTTATTCAAAATTTAGGGTTGTTTCTATTTAGTGAATAGTTTCATTTTATGAAAAGGGATATTTTCATGATTTGGTAGAAAGTGTAATGAATTAAGTCTGAGCTTCAAGATTTACTGTGTGTATATGTGTGTATATAGAATGTTGTTTAATTAAGTCCAGATAAAATTCCTAATAAGTATTATGACACTGTATGGATAAAAAAATAAAATTTGTATAATCCTTCATTATTCTTCTAAATTGTTTAGTGTTGTGTAAATATACTGTTCAAACCAGTAGAAAAGTATCAATGTTTTACTGGACTTACAGTAAAAGTTTTCTATAGTGATGAAAAATTGTCCACTCTTTAAAACCCATTGCTGTCTGAATTTCATTTATGCAATGTTTTCTCAAGAGACTACCATATTTTTACATTTATCTTCAACTAATTTTAAATCTATATGTGCAGTTTCATTTTTTCCTCTCTGTGGTGTATACAGATGGAGACATTCATTACAGGATTCAATTTATTTGCTATTTACTTAATAGACATTTTCACTTAATGTGACCTTTACTTGATAAAAAGGAAATAGAGCATCAATAGATTCTTTCATCAATAGGATACAATTACCTTGGTGATGATTTAATGGAAGAATAATATCAGAAGAGCTGTGTTGGAAGAGCTATTTTAAGACCAAAAGACAGCTTCACGCAAAAAGCACTCACAGAAGACAGGGATTTCATTAACCTGTACTTGGCAATGAGCAGTGACCCTCTGCTCTCCTCTTTTCTCTTATTTCATGCTTAAGCAATCATCAACATAAATGATATGGATGATAAATATACTTTATTTCTACAAAATCAGATAAAGAATGTTGAGTTGAGAGAAAACTTCACTTCTTTATTTTCTTTTTTTAAAATTACACTTTAAGTTCTAGAGTACATGTGTACAACATGCAGGTTTGTTACATAGGTATACATGTGCCATGTTGGTTTGCTGCACCCATTAACTTGTCATTTACATTAGGTATTTCTCCTAATGCTATCTCTCCCCCTACCCCCCACCCCACATCAGGCCCCCATGTGTGATGTTCCCCACCCCGTGTCCAAGTGTTCTGATTGTTCAGTTCCCACCTGTGAGTGAGAATATGCGGTGTTTGGTTTTCTGTCCTTGTGATAGTTTGCTGAGAATGATGGTTTCCAGCTTCATCCACGTCCCTGCAAAGGACATGAACCCATCCTTTTTTATGGCTGCATAGTATTCCATGGTATCTATGTGCCACATTTTCTTAATTCAGTCTGTCATTGATGGACATTTGTGTGAGTTCCAAGTTTTTGCTATTGTGAATAGTGCCTCAGTAAACATATGTGTCCATGTGTCTTTATAGTAGCATAATTTATAATCCTTTGGGTATATACCCAGTAATGGGATCACTGGGTCAAATGGCATTTCTAGTTCTAGATCCTTGAGGAATTGCCACACTGTCTTCCACAATGGTTGAACTAGTTTATAGTCCTACCAACAGTGTAAAAGTGTTCCTATTTCTCCACATCCTCTCCAGCACCTGTTGTTTCCTGACTTTTTAATGATCGCCATTCTAACTGGTGTGAGATGGGATCTCATTGTGGTTTTGATTTGCATTTCTCTGATGACCAGTGATGATAAGCATTTTTTTCATGTGTTTGTTGGCTACATAAATGTCTTCTTTTGAGAAGTGTCTGTTCATATCTTTTGCCTATTTTTTGATGGGGTTGTTTGTTTTTTTCTTGTAAGTTTGTTTAAGTTCTTTGTAGATTCTGGATATTAGCCCTTTGTCAGATGGGTAGATTGCAAAAATTTTGTCTCATTTTATAGGTTGCCTGTTCACTTTGATGGTAGTTTCTTTTGCTGTGCAGAAGCTCTTGAGTTTAATTAGATCCCATTTGTCAATTTTGGCTTTTGTTGCCATTGCTTTTGGTGTTTTAATCATGAAGTCCTTGCCCATGCCTATGTCCTGAATGGTATTGCCTAGGTTTTCTTCTAGGGTCTTTATGGTTTTAGGTGTAACATTTAAGTCTTTAATCCATCTTGAATCAATTTTTGTATAAGGTGTAAAGAAGGGATCCAGTTTCATCTTTCTACATATTAAGCAGTGTGTAGAGGGAAATTTATAGCACTAAATGTTCACAAGAGAAAGGAGGAAAGATCTAAAATCGACACCCCAACATCACAATTAAAAGAACTAGAGAAGCAAGAGCAAACAAATTCAAAAGCTAGCAGAAGGCAAGAAATAACTAAGATCAGAGCAGAACGGAAGGAAATAGAGACACAAAAAACCCTTCAAAAAATCAATGAATCCAGGAGCTGGTTTTTTGAAAAGATCAACAAACTTGATAGACCACTAGCAAGACTAATAAAGAAGAAAAGAGAGAAGAATCAAATAGATGCAATAAAAAATGATAAAGGGGATATCACCACCAATCCCATAGAAATACAAACTACCATCAGAGAATACTATAAACATCTCCACACAAATAAACTGGAAAATCTAGAAGAAATGGATAAATTCCTGGACACATACACCCTCCCAAGACTAAACCAGGAAGAGTTGAATCTCTGAATAGACCAATAACAGGCTCTGAAATTGAGGCAGTAATTAATAGCCTACCAACCAAAAAAAGTCCAGGACCAGATGGATTCACAGCCGAATTCTACCAGAGATACAAAGAGGAGCTGGTACCATTCCTTCTGAAACTATTCCAATCAATAGAAAAAGAGGGAATCCTCCCTAACTCATTTTATGAGGCCAGCTTCATCCTGATACCAAAGCCTGGAAGAGACACAGCAAAAAAAGAGAATTCTAGACCAATATCCCTGATGAACATCGATGTGAAAATCCTTAATAAAATACTGGCAAACTGAATCCAGCAGCACATCAAAAAGCTTATCCACCACGATCAAGTCAGCTTCATCCCTGGGATGCAAGGCTGGTTCGACATACCCAAGTCAATAAACATAATCCATCACATAAACAGTTCTTCATTTTCTAGAAACTTTGCAGAAACAGCAGCCAACAACAATAAAGCTACGATGTACTTTATTTTTGGTGTGATCCTCCCAACTCATTCTCTTCCATGCAACCTAACACATCTTGTGGGCAATTCTGTTGAAATGCATGGAAATAGCTATATTGCCTTGATCTGGACAATCATAACACAAAAATTATTGTGCTATAATATGAAATGTTTTATGTTTGTAATAAAATCAGTTAACACGTTAGAGTTTGTTTCACTTTTTTTCTACAATCTCCAGTCAGAATTTATGAAATGTCAAAAGCATGAAAAGTTACAACCTTTGATGATCATTGCTGAAGCCTTTGTTTGGCATCAGTACTAGAGTGGTATCATTGTAAAATGCCAGATTTAAAGACCCATAGGTAAAGAACTGAATACATTAGAATGTGGGAAAGCGCTTGGTGGGTTTCCTCAGCCAGAAATCTATAGATTATTTTCTTCTACTTAAGGAATTTAACTGTATAAAACCAAGTTGTGGTGTAAATGTGAGAAAACTCACATCAAATTCAGTAAATCTTTTCAGAAATTGGCTGAACAAGTCAATTACCTGTACACCTTTTAACCCAAGAGTAAACCAGTCTCCAAATGCCAATGTATCTGAGTTTTAGAATCAATTTTTAAAACATTCATAATTGTTTAAATTATTTTTTATTTTAGTCATGTCAGCTTAAGACTGTCATTCTACTTTCTAGGGTTTTTTTCCTTACAAATTATGATGTAAATTTTAAGATAATTGTCCAATTGTCTTTTTCAGTGGCACAGCCAGTTACTGGTCATTAGCTAAGTGTCTCAGTTATTTATTATTATGTAACAAACCACCCCAAAATTTGGTTGCCTCAACACTAAGAATTTATTATTTCTTACAATTTCATTGGTTGACTGGGGCTCAGTTGGGTGATTTCTCTGATGGTCATGTTTGAAGTCTGTTATGCAGAAAGCTTGGCTGGGACTGGAATATCCAAGGTGACCTCTCATTCTACAGGACTTCTCTCCATGTGGTCTCATTCATTTAGTATTCTAGTATGGATTTCCTTATATTCAAATGGCCAAGCTCCAGGACAAAAAAGTGGAAGTTATAATTATATTAAGACATAAGTTTGGAAGTCCCAGAACCTCACTTCCACTGTTTTCTATTGGACAAGTCAAGTCACACAACCAGCCCAGATTCAGGAGAAGGGAAATAGATTTCATTTCTTGATGAGATGAAAGGCATGCTTTTACAAGAAGAGAAAGAATTGATGTCTGCTTTCATTAAACACTCAAGTACCCTAGGGTGGTAATATTTATTTGTTCATTGTAAAACATTTATCAAGCTCTGGGATACAAGATGGAGATAAGAGTTAATAAATTGATGTAATTCCTATCTTTGTGGTAGTTAACAATGTTGTAGAGAAGATTCATAATTAAACATGTGCACAGTATTTGCATTTCTGGCAACATAGCAGATAAAATAACAGAAACGCAGAATAAATTTTGACCAAATTTGTGAATGGATAGCCAGGAAATTTCAAGTAACATAAATAAAGAGAATATTTAAAGTATGTTAAGTAGGCCGGGTGCGGTGGCTCACACCTGTAATTCCTGCACTCTGGGAGGCCGAGGACGGGTGGATCACCCGAGATCAGGAATTCGAGAGCAGCCTGGCCAACATGGTGAAACCCCGTCTCTACTAAACATAGAAAAAATTAGCCAGGTGTGGTGGTGGATGCCCGTAATTCCAGCTTCTCAGGAGGCTGAGGCAGGAGAATCTCTTGAACCCAGGAGGCAGAGGTTGCAGTGAGCCGAGATGGCGCCATTGCACTCTAGCCTGGGCAACAAGAGCGAAACTCCATCTCAAAAATAAAATAAAATAAAATATGTTAAATATGCACAGTGATACTGTGGTGGCTTACAAGGACATCAGATAAGATATGAACTTTAATGCTAGAGGCAGGGGTTTGAACATGCACACAGGACAGGCAAGGTGGAAGGTGGAAACTGACATGGCTGCATGTTTCGTGTGATTGGTCTAAAATTTCTAAGTGAGCAATAAGGAAGCTTACCTCTGTAAAAAAAAAATCCAGTGAAATATTAAAACTATAAACCTGAGCAACCCTTGGGCAGACAGACAATAATTTATGAGATAGACGAACCAAAGCTAAAAAGTTAACACCAAAACTGGTTATATCTGTAAAATCCTAAAATCTTTGGGGCATCAGGCAGAAATTAATACAAATATTTTCTGTGAGGGCACCTCAAATATACAGAGCACAAACAGTGCCCATCATAAAAATAGTTCTCGACTAAGCTGAGCTCACAATAAAAAATTAGACACCATGGGTGGTAGTTCCTTAAGCTACTCATCAACATGTCTGTGTTTTCCCCTTTTTAGGCACTCAGTGTTAATGCATTCCTTCATCCTCTTGAATGAAATGAGACTTGCTTTAGCCAATAAAGTTGCTTGGAAATGATATGTGTCACTTCTGGTGGAAGCACTTAAGAGTTTGTGTGCTATTCTCATTCTGCCAAGGTGGCTGATTTCGGAAGCATGTATTGAAAAATAATGTCCACCTCAGTCCTCATGGGAAGGGTATTACCAATAGAATGATTTACACTCATATCCCAATAGATAGGAGTTTTAAAAACATTTAAACTTTCAGATTATTTGCTTCCAAGGCATAACTTAAGATATCATAATTAATAAACTACATAAGGAAATAATCTATTTTAAGTGAGAGTTCACAAATAAAACATGTCCACGTATAGTACTTAGAAGACCTGAGATAAAAGAGAGTCTAAACATGTCAGTGAAGTAATATTATTTAATTTGGAAATACTAATTATTCAAGTGGTTATAAATGTGAAAGAAGAAATAGGCACTATAATGGAAGAAAAAGACAACATAAAAAAGGCAGTTTTTAAAAATAGCCAATAGAATTTCTAGAAATACAAAAACATAGTTATTTAAATTGAAAACTTGGACATCAGTGTGGGGTGATGGGCATTTCTTAAGACAGCTAGAACAAGTACTCCAGGCAGGAGTAAGAGAAAGAAGTAGAAATATGAGTTGTAGTAAAATTGAAATGTCCACCAACACAAACATCAGCCTTCATTGCATGCTGACACTGTGGAAGGAAGCAGCAAGAAGTAATGCGTTCTAGAGTGTGGAAGTGCTATACTTGTAAGACTAGAATTGTCCATGGGTCCACAATGATTCTAATAATGACCTGTGTTAACATCCTGATGAAGAGTATTGTGCTCATGATAGTGCTTCAATGTTCACCAAAGGGTCTTTTTAAACTCAATTAAATGTTCAGACTCATAGATTACCATAAGTCACTCTCAGCAGCATAATCACTTAGGAAGCATCGCGTGATGTCAGTGCAGTGACAGGTATTTCTCTTCTGTGGTATTCCTTGCAATAGTCCATAAATTTGTCTGGTGAAAATATTTTTGGTCCCTGGTAACATCTTAGGTGCAAAGAATTAAGATACTTATTGATTAACTTGGGTGAACCCCTGGCTTGAAAGCCTTATGAAGCACAGGAGCTAAAATTTCTTGTAATATTTGCACTGGCATGGCTTCTAGGGTATCCGCAAGGGAGATGCCCAGTTTCAAGTCACTACATTTATGGAAGCCCAATCATATCATTTTTCTGGGTACTTGTAATTCTCCTAGTCAGGATGCATTTTTACTGTTTAGGAGTTAATTTTTACCATAAGCTCTATTGTCTTAGAATTGGTTGACATTATACCTTTATCTTGTCTCCAGATAATCAGATCTAGACATTTTACTAAAGGTCAAATTCTTATGCAGAAAAGGGAAGAATTTGTTAACCATTATTTATGCCAACTCACATTAGCAGTGATACTAGTCCAAGTACTCACTGTCTTTGGGCCAAAAGGAGGGAACAATGTTGACTCCAAACTAGATTATAGATGGAAAACTTCAAAATTCAATAAAACTAAAACTAATGTAGTAAAACTTAACATATGCAAACCAAAACTAAAGCTACAAATTTTATCTAAAATATAGATGCATAAATTTCTTAAATATGGATGCATACATTTCTTAACTAATAAACTCAAGACAATATTGTATTTTAAGAATGAACTTACCATAACCAAGTAGGCAATAGAAGAATGGCTTAATGTTGGAAAATCAATGAAAATAGTTTATTTAAATACAGTTCAAGGAAAAACAATGTACATGATTTTCTCAAAGTCAATGCCCATTATTATTATTATTATTATTATTTTGAGACAGAGTCTCACTCTGTCACCCTGGCTGGAATGCAGTGGCATGATCTCAGCTAACTGCAACCTCTGCCTTCCGGATTCAAGCAATTCTCCTGCCTCAGCCTCCTGAGTAGCTGGGATTACAGGTGCCCACCACCCATGCCCAGCTAATTTTTGTAGTTTTAGTAGAGATGGGGTTTCACTATGTTGGCCAGGCTGGTCTCGAACTCCTGATCTCAGGTGATCTGCCCACCTCGGCTTCCCAAAGTGCTGGGATTACAGACAGGTGTGAGCCACCACGCCCGGCCTCAATGCCCATTCTTGAAAAAAATTAGCATAAAATGATGGTAAAGAATATATATTTCTCTAAAAAGAACATAATGGGGTAAAATACCATAATATTTTAAATAAATTTGAGATAAAATCAAGAATGCTCTTTATCCTCTCCATTGTTTCATAACTATTGAAGAATTTCTAAAATCTAATAAATTAAGAAACAAATAAGAGTAATACTATCTAAAGGGAACAGACAAGTAACATCGTTAGGCTCACATCCAGCTGACAATCACAAGAGAATCAATTGAAAAACAACACAAATCATTTAAATTAGTAATGTACAAGATTAAGATATCTCTAAAAGTACATGACAAAATCAATAGTTTTCTTAAGATTTCTAAGGTAATCATTTAGGAAATGTAAAGCAAAATAAAAACTCATTGAGTATAGGGACAAGAATATAGGATACCGTATAAATCAGGGACGACTAGCTGCTGTAACAAAAACAAACAACATAGAACCTCAGTTGGTGAACAACAGAAAGGTTTATCTTCCCTGTCATAATGCAAATGAGTTTGGGGTGGATAGTCTTTCTCATAATGGTTTATGGAGGTCCAAATTCCTTCCCTCTAGCCGCTTTGCCACTCTCTAGGGCTTTGGATCTTCCACAGGATCTTCAGCATCCATCCAGCAGACTACACAAGACCAAGGGTTAAGTAACAAGAAGTGTCATGATCTTGGGTAGAAAGACCTAATATTGTAAAGATGTATTTTTTACCTAAAAGTATAAAATAAAATAATTAAAATATACAACTTAATGTAGTTCTCGTAAGAATACCAGTAAAAATTAAGTTTGTTTTGATACTTTGAATATTATCCTAAAGTTCACCTATAAGACTGCATTGGAAAGATAAGCTGAGACACTTTTGCAAAACAGGAACAATGAGAATATATTTGACCTTTGGTACAAAACATGTAATGTAAAGGCAAACATAATTAAACACATAAGGTGCATGAATGAAAGGATTATGGAACCAAATGGACAGCATGGAAACTGGCCCTACTCACCAGATGATAAATAAGCTATAAGGGAGCAGTAAGAAAACGACTGTTCATCTGATAATTATTCCATAAAAATTGTTTGAAAAGGTTTGTATTTCTTCCCATCACATACACAAACACAAGACCAGATACCTTAAGGCAAGTGTCAGCATCCTACTACCCGAAGTCCAAATCCAGCCCATCACCTGGTTTTGTAAATAAAGTTTATTGGTACATGGCTGTATTAGTTCATTCTCACACTGTTATGAAGAAATACCCGAGACTGTGTAATTTATAAAGAAATAGAATTTAATTGACTAAGAGTTCCACATGGCTGGGGAGACCTCAAGAACTTAAAATCATGGTGGAAGGCACCTCTTCACAGCAGCAGGAGAAAGAATGAGTCCCAGCAGGGGAAATGCCAGATGCTTATAAAACCATCAGATCTCATGAGAACTGACTCACTATCACAAGAACAGCATGTGGGAAACTGCACCCATCATTCAGTTACCTCCAATGAGTCCCTCCTATGACATGTGGGGATTATGGGGATTACAATTCAAGAGATTTGGGTGGGAACACAGCCAAACCATATGAATGCCCATGCACATTGGTTTATGTATTGTCTATGGCTGCTTTCCTAGACGGAATTGTCACATACACTCTATGGCTCACAAAGCCTCAAATAATTACTATCTGGCCCTTTACAGAAAAACTTTACTGAACCCTGAACTAAAACAATTAAAATTATTGAAAGAAAATGTGAATGAAGGTTTACTTGCTTTGGAATAAGAGTTTCTCAGTATAACAAGAAACCACAAATACAGCGTGGTATATATTGGGCATATTAACTAATTCAACAAATAAACAATGCTCTAAGTCAAATGAAAACCTGGGAAATATTTGCAAAGATGATCATTACAATTTCTCTCATCCTATATGCATGTCCCCATGACTTCATTGTATGTCCCAGCCAAAGATAGACTCTATTTCCCCTCCATTTGAATTTGAACTGGCTCTGATTGCTTTGAACAAGATAATTTGGTGAAGTGAGGCTTTGTCACTTTTGAGCCTGGCCTGAAGAGACCATACAACGTGCAGTTCAGCATTGGAATACTTGGAGCACTGCACCTTCTGCATGAGCCCAGGCTGGCTCCTTGAGGATGCTCCTTGAGGATGCAGCACAGTTGCATGACTCAGCACAAGTTACATGACAAAGGGCCAGCGTTCTTAGGAGATAAAGATTGTTAGAAGGTCAACACTGTTTTCCTTTTTCCTTTGTTTAGAATTGCTTCTGATGCTCACCTGCATTTCCAGTTTGGATCTCGGGGATATGCCTTCTGAATCGCTTATCTTTTCTTCATTCTTCTGAGTGGTAACTGTGGTTGGCAGTTGTGAGGGCATTCACACATGCTTCATTACACTCAGTGTTGACACATACAGGGGTTTCTTTGTGATGGTGTCCCAGTCAATCTCAGTTATTGAATCTTTTCCCCTAGTGTTCCTCCTCCCTTTACATGTTATAAATGGACATATAACTTAAATGCAGTCAAGTGCACACTTCTTGAGTATACAGCTCAATTAATTTTTACATATGTATTTGCTCAGGTAAACACCACTCAAATCAAGATACAGAACTTTCCCAGAATCCTATCTGTTTCTTCAGAGATGATGTTGCTTCTAAATTCTCAGTATAGCGTACCTGTTTTTTGGTGTTGTACATTATCCTCATATGATAGTGTGTGTGTGTATGTGTGTGCGTATTTTCTTTGTAATCATCCTTGAACACAGAGAGAATAAATGATACCATTTGGGAGGTGACCATACAGTCACCCCTATGTCTGGTGCTTCCTAGAGGGGCTTCCTATCCTCCTCAGAGCATGGTGGGGTGAGCATGGGCACACACAACCAGATGTCAGACCATGAGCAACATTGCTGAGAAATTCACGGAGGAAGCCACGGGAGAAGATCAGTGGAACTCTGACTGGGAGCCCAAGGAGGACTGACCTTTTTCTATGATAACCCAAGCCACTTAAATATATTAAAGATGAGTATTTGAATAGAGGGCCAAACCACATGGTATACTTCTGGCAGAATGGTTAATGACAGAGACATAAAATTGAAATGATTAGATCATGATTTTGAAAATAGAATACTGCATTAACTAACCTAATATTGGAAAGATTTTTCTAAAATGAATATCAAGCATATCCCTAATTCGAGTTGTGATGCCTTGGATCCTTTACACATTTTGTTGGCAACATTGCGTTATTAAAACTCCATATATATGGTATGTCACAGAATCTCCCTTTTACATTTTTCTCACTTTGAATGCAGCTGCACACATCTTTAGAAAACATAGCTGATATTTATATATTTATTCTCTTAACCTGAATTTCGCTGCCATTGTTGTGGGAAAAAATATTGATGTTTAGGTCTTATTAACAGTCTATTATTGTTTATTAGCTACTGTTCCATCTTCTTTGCCTTGGCAGGTAAGTATCTGCTCTCCCGTTGATGCAGTGTGATTGACGTCTCTCTCTCCGTGCATAATTAGTATTTCATATAATAAAGGGCTTTCCTCCCTAAAACTCCGGAGAGTCTCACATGTGCCGGGTCACTCGGACAACGAAGTTCTGAATTTCATTATCTGCTACTCTTTTCAGAGGTGGCAGGGAACTTGAAGAGATTTTAAGTCTTAAATATGATGCCCTTTGAGTGACCTTGGACGTATTATATTTCATACCCCGGGTAGTGGCGTACTGTGTGCAGGACACGGAGAGAGCCGGGCGGAGGCATCGGTCTAACAGAACAAGCCGTGAGGCTGTGGTGTGGCGCAGCATCGGCAGGAGGGAAGGGATATTCTTCTCATCCATCCACCCGCAGAGGCCATCCTGTGTTCTCTCCAGTCTTACATATTCTGGCTCTGCTGTTTCAATTTAATATTTTTTCAACGAGCAAGTTATAATGTGTACTAATAAAAACATGAACTTTAAAAGACGCAAAAACGTTCATGTAGGGAGGTGGGTGGATTACTTGAGGTCAGGAGTTTGAAACCAACCTGGCCAACGTGGTAAAGCCTCATCTCTACTGAAAATACAAAAATTAGCCAGGTGTGGTGGCAGGTAGTCCCACTTACTCAGGAGGCTGAGGCAGGAGAATCGCTTGAACCCGGGAGGTGGAGGTTGCAGTGAGCTGAGATCGAGCCACTTGCACTCCAGCCTGCGCTACAGAAGGAGACTCCGTCTCAAAAGAAAAAAAAAAATTCACGTTGAAATTTTGATTTTACCATGTATTAAGAGCTTGAGTTTTGATAAGTTAGGATATGGACACCTGTTTCACATTCTTTTAAAAATACACTTTAAAAGTAATTACAAATGCTCATAGGAAATAAGTAAGCACCCCCAAAAAAGGGATGACAAATCTCTCAGGATTCCACTCCAGAGGGTAAACACAGTTGAGCTTGGTGTGAATACTTCCAGTATTTTTTCTTTGCCTACACCTGAACTTCTAATTGCTTTAAAATTAGGTTAGAGTATACATGTGTTTACTTTTAATTCAACTTCATTTTTACTGACTGTATCTTAGGAATGCACTGTAATTTATTTCACTAATTAGCTATTGTTTCACATAAATGCACAGATATACACACATCAAACAATGATTTTTGCCTGCTAAATGTATTTTTCCAAATGGTTTTCTCCAAATTTATGTCCATAACTGTCATATATGAGTGGTATATAATAGATGTCTATTGCTGCATATTATGGTTCTTTAAAGAATGTATGCTTTTTGATAAATAAAAATATTTCTTGGTTGCTATAATTTGCTTTTCATTGATTAATAATAGGATTAAACTTGTTTTTATTTGTTTACCTACACTAGTATTTCTTATTTTGTGAATTTCATGATTGTGGCTTTTGCCTATGCTGCTATTCTTAAAAAATATTTTTCTTACTTAGTTTGTTAGAGTTCTTTACATAATAGAATTAACGTTTCCATGTCCTGTGTTCATTTCAGGGATTATGAACCAAAGATTAGGAGCCTTCTTCTTGCAGAACTCTTAATTTATTCACTGCTTTTCTGTAAAAGGCAGAGAGGATTCCGGAGAGTGACTTTTTTTTTTTTTTTAATGGTCCTTTACTTTTTCGATAAACAGCATTAACGATTGGCTGCAATCTGTACTGGCTTTATAGCTTTCTGTTGGCAAGGTGTATTTCTTTGGTCTATTTCCGACCCATGCAAACTTGGAAACTACTTCTCTTTTCAGAGGTGGGGACAAACATGAGGTGGGTCAATGGTAAACTTTCGTGGACACAATCCCGTCGCTGCTTTTTCCCAAGATGAAGTGACCTGCCTTTCTCTATAATATGTAGGATGATTGACAGTAATGGCATCCAATTATGGCATTTTCTTTCTCATACAGGGTACAGAGAGCTGAACTTCTTTCCTACTCTAATGGAAACATTATAACAAAACATGCATGATGAAGGCATTTTCTTTTTTTTTGTTTGTTTGTTTTTTTGTTTTTGTTTTTGAGACAGAGTTTCGCTCTGTTGCCCAGGCTAGAGTGCAGTGGCGTGATCTCGGCTCACTACAAGCTCCGCCTCCCAGGTTCACGCCATTCTCCTGCCTCAGCCTCCTGAGTAGCTGGGACTACAGGCGCCTGCCACCATGCCCGGCTAATTTTTTGTATTTTTAGTAGAGACGAGGTTTCACTGTGTTAGCCAGGATGGTCTCGATCTCCTGACCTCGTGATCCGTCCGCCTCGGCCTCCCAAAGTGCTGGGATTACAGGCGTGAGCCACTGCGCCCAGCGATGAAGACATTTTCATCATATAGAACAAGCTATAATTATTTTTTATCTCATACTTTCATTCTTTCTGTTTTAACTTAATACATAAGCCTGTGGCACAATCAACCCCCAATGTCATTTTTCCAGGATTTGCTTTTTTCTGGATAAAGGAAGAAAGTTTTTAATTTGGAAAATGATCAAAGTCTTTTCAGGCCCAGGCAAGATTTCTCTAGGTTCTCTGGCACAGTAAATTGGAAATATCATTTTTCAGTGTATCATTTCCCCTTTAATTTTGTTAACAGTTTCCCCATAATCTCATTGTGAATATTTTCAAACATCCAGAAGTAATTAACTAATACAGTGAATACTTCTATGTCCTCTACCTGTCTTCACTAATTGTTAACCATTTTTTCATATTTGTTTGGTATGTTCTCTATATATTTCTTTAAACCATTGGAAAATAGGAAAATAATTTGCAGAAATTATATGTCTGTGAGAATATTGAGTTTTCTACATAAACACATATCATTGTTATCCTTATATCCAGTCAAAATATGGTATTTTTTGACATATATACATTCATGTTTTAAAATCATCAAAGCTACGAATCTTTTCCTTTGAGTTTCGTTTCTTTGATGATATGCTTTAAAAACTTCTCTACCTCAAGAATTAAAAATATTTTGTTACACGTATCTGCATTCTTGTCCTTACGTGATCTTTCCTCCATTTGAATTTCTGATTTATCTAGATCCATTTGGATGTGTGTTACAAGGTAAAAAATCAAATTTTATTTTTTCCATACCATTAGATGATTATCTTAGTACAAGTTACCAATTCATATTTCCTCTACTGATTAAAAATGAGATCTTTCTAATTTACAAAAATCAACTATGTATTTGGGTCTCATTTCACCATCCTGTCATTTCCTGTGCCAGCGATGCACACTTACAGTTTTGTAGCTTTTTCCTGAGTTCTAATATTAGATATTCATTATGCTCATTCCCCAAATCCCTGTCAATTTCTATCTCTAGTCCTCTCACTGCCTTCAACTTGGTTTGGTCATACTTTTTGTAGTGACGAGGCATCCTTGAATACAAAATGTCAGTCATATCTGCCATGCACAAAATGTTGGGAGTACCCACATTCACCGTGACAACTGAAATTGCCCACATGAATTTCCAAAATGCCACCTAAGGGGTCCAATTTGAGATCATTTAGTTGGAGGCTCATTTAAAATGTCATTAAGCATCATTTCATTAAGCAATGCCATTCTGAAATAGAGGCTGAGTCCTTCCATTGCATACACCAAAGCACATCTGAATTCCCTCATATTAATCATTCTAAATTTGTCTTGGTCATCGGCACCTATTACATACAGTGTCTGACAGTTGGTGTGTGTCCAATAAATATTTGTTAAGTGGCTAATGAATGGAATAACAATATATAAACTGTATTGGAAAAATAACATTGGCAGCAAAAGCCTATACGATCTAAGAAATGTGGGAGAGCTGTATGAAAAAAATAAATTATTACTAAAACATAAAAGAATACTTGAATTAATTGAGGGAAGCAAATTATGGCATAAAATATCAAATATTATAAAGATTTGGTTTTAATGCAATTTGGATTTTCTAATTTTATAACATTAAAATAAAACTATCATTAAATAATTCTAAAGATCTTTGGAAAATAAACAGATGAAACTTGCCAAGCAATGTTAAAAAATTAACACTGCAAGATGGTAGTGCCAGAACCAATAAATAAAATACTTTAAGGAAGCAGACCCCAAAGGGCCCTGTTGTGTTTGAGTACTGGGCCTCAAACACAACAGGAGGGCAGAGCCCATCTAGCACATGGCTTTGGAAAAAGCGGCCAGGTATCTGGAGTTTAAAAAGATAGATGCTTAACTCACATCATAGAATGAATTAATTTTAATATGGAATAGTGAGCTAAGTATAAAAGGTAATAAATAAATATTTTATTTATAATTCACCTCCTGCCTTCTAATGAAATAGATGCAAAATAAGAAAGGATGGTGGGTAAATGTGCAAAGTGCTGGGCAGAGTGATGTGTGAAACCAGAGAGGTCAGCTGGCCTTACAAATGCCTTACATAAGAAGAGAGGCAGTGAAAGTGCACAGTCAAGAGAGAGAAAGGGGAGGGTAGAGACAGAGCGGGAGAAGGAGAGAGAGAGAGAAAAAGAGAGAAAGAAAGGGGAGGGGAGAAAAAGTTGGGCAGACCCAGATACAGAGAGAGAGAGAAGGAGATAGAAAGAGGGTGGGAGAGAGAGAAAGAGGGAGAGGAGGGAGAGAGAGACAGAGAGAGAAAGGAAGAGAAAGTGAGAGAGAGAGAACCAGAGGGAGAGAGAGAAAGAGGGAGAGACAGGGGAAAGGGAGAAGGAAAGAGAGAAAGAGGGAGAGTGGCAGGGAGAGAGAGACAGAGACAGAGTGGGAGAGTGAGAGGGAGGGGGAGAGAGAGACAGAGAAGGAGAGAGAGGGAGAAGAGAGAGACAGAAAGACAGAGAGACAGACACACAGAGAGAAAGCTGGGGAGAGGAAGATAGGCAGTCAGAGAGGGAAAGAGAAGAAAAGTAGATACCAGGGTAAGAAGGAGAGTGGAGGCTGAGGATGAGAAATCCCTACATCACTGAAAAATTTAAAGAGTTTTCAGAGAGGTGTTTTGCTGTGCATCTGAATTTGTGAACGAACACACACACACACACACACACGAACACACACACACACACGAACACACACACACACACACACACACACACACACCGTGGACAGCGCTCTGGAGCAGTCTCCGTCATCATGTGTCTGAACAGTTACCTTTCATCAGATCTCTCCACATCACCCACTGCAGCTGCAGCAATCCAGAGTGAATGTTAAACACTCCATCTCTCCATGCGGCTCTGCTGCTGAAGGAACTGTAGCGGCTTCCTATTGCTCTTAGGATAAAGTCCAACGGGCTTAAATGACTTCTGAAGTCTTGCCTTGACTGGTCATTGAGAAGGTCTGCAAATGCATCTCCTACTACTTTGTCTTTTACTCGACATGCTCCAGCTGTATCTGAATATTTTCCTGCCCTTCAAAAGGGTCATATGTTTCTCCATTTCAGCACCTTCACCACATCCTGTCCTTCTCGTTTGGAACAGTCTTTCTTCACTCTCCACCCAGCCAGGTCCTCTTCCTCAGATTGACCTTCAAAGTTTTCACTGGACGTGCAGCCAGGTTGGGTCATGCCCCTGTGGAGCGCCTGTCACAGGGCACGGTGCCTCCATCCCTCCTGGCTCAGCATTGTCACTATCACCAAACAGCAGACTCTTCAGGGAGAGGAGCGTTTCTGTCCTGTTCCCTAGTGTATCCCTGTGCTTAGCAATGTGCTCAGCACCAATTCAGTGCTCACTGAATTATTATTATTATTATTATTATTATTATTATTATTTTGAGACAGAGTCTTGCTCTGTTGCCCAGGCTGGAGTGCAATGGCACGATCTCCGCTCACTGAAACCTCCAGCTCCTGGGTTCAAGCAATTCCCCTGCCTCAGTCACCCAAGTAGCTGGGATTACAGGTGTGCACCACCACGCCTGGTTATTGTGTGTGTGGGTGTGTGTATTTTTTTAGTAGAGATGGGGTTTCACCATGTTGGCCAGGCTGGTCTCGAGCTCCTGATCTCAGGTGATCTGCCCGCCTCGGCCTCCCAAAGTGCTGGGATTACAGGCATAAGCCACTGCGCCCGGCCTCAGTGAATTATGTTTTAATGAGCAAATGGTAAATGATACAAAAGATCTGAAGGAAATGACTACCATGCTATCAGCACTTAACTCCCAGTGTTGTCACATTGACTGATTTTCATGTTTCTGATTTTTCTTTCCTGTGTTTCCCAAATTTGAGAGGGGTTTAGTGTATTGTTTTTATCACAAGACTTAAGATTACTTTTATAGTTAGGGACAAAACCCCTAAAAAATGCTATTCTGTACATTCTTCAGGGCTTCTCATTGACTTCAAGAGAGCTTCAGCTTCTTGGTACATCCCCATGGGGCACCGTGATCTAGCCCTTACTTCTGGGTAGTGCCAGGAGGCAGTATAGAACCAGTCTGACATCAAGTAGCCACAGATTCCAGTTCCGGTCCTACCACGTAGAAGCCACATGACTTAGGGAAGTTGCTTATCCAATCTCTCTCCACCACTTTTTCCTTGCTATAAAATGAATAAAATGGCCCCTGCCTTATGGAGCTGGGCGAATTGTACGTGAGGTCATTCACGCACAGCATTCAGCATCATGCTTGGTAGCATGGTGGCTCTCAGTAAGCATTCATCAGTAACCTTGCTGTTATTTATGGCCCATGTGCCATTCTCTGATGATACCACATTCTCTCTTGCCCTGTGGCTCTGCCCACACGGCTCTTTTCACTTAGAGCTGACTTGTGTTTCAGGGCTCAGTTCACTTGCCCCACTTTCCCACGGCCGCACCTGTCAGTTGGGTGCCCTGTGTTTCATGGCAGCCCTAGTTCTTTTCCGTACTTACACATGTCTTATATAGGCTAAAATATCCTGGAGGTTTGGAGCTATGCTTAGCTCTTATCTATTCTCTCAATTTCTAAAACAATAGCTGATAGTTAATAAGTACATGAGGTAAATAATAAATATTTATGAAATGAGTAAGTGAATGCATGAATGGGCAAATTAGGCAATGCCAGACTGAGTCTGTTTTATCTCATAATGATCGTGTTTTGTAATCTATTTGCACTTTCTGTGCAGTGGGGGCGTAGGGAGTAAGTGGTGTTGTATGAGTTCATTTTGCATTGCTATAAATACCTGAGGCTGAGTAATTTATAAAGAAAAGAGGTTTATGTGGCTCATGATTCTGTAGGCTATACGGGAAGCATGACTCTGGCCTCTGCGTCTGGTGAGGCCTCAGGAAACTTTCAGTCATAGAGGAAGGTGAAGGGGAGCAGGCATGTCACATAGCAAAGGAGGGAGCAAGAGAAGTGCCAGCCTCTTTTAAACAACCAGCTCTTGCATGAATGAATAGAGTGAGAACTCACTGATTACCATGGGGTGGGCACCAAGCTATCCATTAGAGATCTGCCCCCATGATCCAAACACCTCTTACCAGGCCCCACCTCCAATATTGGGGATCACATTTCAACATGATTTGGAGGAGAAAAACCATCCAAACTGTATCATGTATGGAGCAGAGGCTAGGTCCTAGTTGGTTGTGGGTGGATGAGGTGTGAATGGGTGTGAGGTGGGGTTGGGGGATGAATGAGTGTGGATGGGATCAGGTGGTGACTATGAGCATGTGCATGTAAACCCTGAGTGTGGAGGGGCTAAGGAATGAGTGGATGTTGGTAGGGGTATAGGTAGTGAATGGGTGAGGGTTGAGGCATAGGTGTTGAGTGTGTATGAGGCAGAGTGTCAACAGAGTGGGTAGGGGGAAGTGGGTAGTTCATGACTGGGTATGGGGTGAGGGGCACATAATGAGGAGGTGGGAAGTGAGGTATTGAGTATGCCTGGGGCATAGTGAGTTGCTGTGGCCAGGAGGAAATCAGTTGGTGGTTATGGGGTGAGGATAAGTAATGAGTGAGTGTAAGGTGGGATGTAGGTAGTAAGCAGGTGTGGGAAAAGGAGTAAATAGTGACTGAGTATAAGGATGCATTAGGTAGTGAGTCCAAGGTAGAGAGTAGTAATGAGTACGGGGCAGGTTGCCAGTAGTGATGGGATGTGAGGTGGGGGTAGGTGGTGACTGGGGCTTCAGATACAGACAAGTAGTTTGGAATTGAACCATGGGCCTGGACATGGAGCTTGGACACAAACCTAGACTCAGTCCTTAGACTGAGACTCAGACCTAGGACTTAGCAGTCCTCCATGTTGGAGCTGAACTTTTTTTTTTTTGAGACGGAGTCTCGCTCTGTTGCCCAGACTGGAGTGCAATGGTGTGATCTTGGCTCACTGCAAGCTCTGCGCCCTGGGTTCACACCATTCTCCTGCCTCAGCCTCCCGAGTAGCTGGGAATACAGGCGCCCACAACCTTGCCCGGCTAATTTTTTGTATATTTAGTAGAGACGGGGTTTCACCGTGTTAGCCAGGATGGTCTCGATCTCCTGACCTTGTGATCCACCCGCCTTGGCCTCCCAAAGTGCTGGGATTACGGACTTGAGTCACCGTGCCCAGCTGGAGCTGGACTTTTGCCCTGCATTAGCCTGGAATTTAGATCTGTCAAATCCTGGTTTTTGGACCTGGTCCTCTCAACTCAAACCTGCACCTTCCACAAAGAACTCTCATGTGGACCTGGACTTCGCCTTGGACATATACATTGGTCCTGGACCATGGATGTGGAGATGGTCTTTAAACATGGATGTGAATATTGGATTTGGGCCTGGGACCTTGTTCCTGAACTTTGGACCCGGGCTTTGAACCTGGATGTTGTACCAATTTCAGACCACAAACTGGTCTTTGTCCTTGGAATTTGGATCTTGTTTTGGATCTTGGAACTGTTCAGGTTTATGCTTTCAGGTTTATGTTTCAGGTTTATGCTTGGACCTGAATTTGTCTAGGACCTTGGACCTCAACTTTGACCTTATCTTAATCAGAGGGCTTGAACGTTGACCTAGATATTGGATATTGACCTCTTAGCTCAGACTTGTACTGCACACCTAGAGCCTGGAACTGGACCTCAGACCTAGACCTCACATCTGCACCTGGCCATGGCCTTGGACCTGGAATTTAAATCCAAACCTTGACCCTGAAACAAGGCTGTGGCCTTGATCTTGAACCTGGACCTTTATTCTGAATCTTGACCTGGTCCTGGACATTGACTCTGAAGGTAGGATATGGAGACATGGATTTTCTATGACCTTCCTTAGAAGTGGACCAGAATCTGAGCCTGCACCTAGACATTTGCTCAGGATCCTGGACTTGACCTAAGACTTGGAACTTGGATGTCTATCTGGACCTTCTATTTGGACCTTGAATTTTGGTACTGGGCCTAGATCTTTGATTTGGGGCTTGAACTCAGACAGAAACTTTGGTCTGAAATTTGGATCTAGATTTTATGTTATCCAGGACTTGACATTATGCCTGGACACTAGACATGGAAATGACTTAGAACTTGATATTGGTTCTAGATCTGGATCTTGGTCTTGGTCATTGGACCAGGAACTAGACCAACACCAGGATTTGGAATCTGGACCTTGGACCTAAGTACTGGACCTGGCCTTTTGCCTTATACCTTGACATAGATTTGGACCTTTGAACTGGGCTTTTGACCTTTGTACTGGATATAGAGCTGAGATTTGACCTAGACCTTGAATGTAGATCATGGTTTTGGATCTTGGACCTGGAATTTGGACCTTGGAACATAGCACTTCAACCTTGGACCTGGTTGCTGAGGAACTTGGCACTGACTTTAGTCAGTATCCTTGGTCATGGAACTAGACTTTGGACCTGAATCTTGGACCTTGACATCTAACCTTTATCTTAGGCCTCAAATCTAGTTTAGAACATAATCTTGGTCCTGGTACTAGGATCTGGACCTTGATTCTCAACTAAGATTATGGACTTCAAACTTGGACCAGGACTTTAGACCTCAACCTTGACCTGGTCCTGGATTTTGAACCTGGTCTTCTGACATAAATTTGACCCAGACTTTGGATGTTGGACATTGGACCTATGCCTTGGAACTGGATCTCTAAACTCATATGTGGACCTCAGACCTGGAACTCAGGCAAATCTTAAATCCGGACCTCAGACCTGGATTTTCCCAGTTCCTTTAACCTGCCATTATTCCTGAAACTCAGACCTGTACATAGGCCTTGCACTTAGATATTGGACCGAAACCTAGACTGGGTCCTGGATATTGGATCTCAACCGTGGGTTATCTGCACTAGACATAGATTTCAATCTGGACTTTAACCCGGAAATGGATTTGTACCCTTAACATCAGTGCCCGGCCTCGTACCTGAACTTTGAAACTGATCTCAAGCCAGGACCTAGACCTTTAATCTTGAACTCGAATCATGATCTCTGTTCTAGACTTGGACCTAAATCTGACCTACAGTATTGATTTTGGACCTGTATTTTGGTCTAGATCAGAACCTTAGATCTGGATCTGGCCCAAGAAATTGGAAGAGGACATTGGAACTAGACTTCTAAACTTCAATTTAAACTTCAAATCTGGACTTCTAACCTGCCTCTGAACATGACTATGGATGAGGATCTTGGACCTGGGCTTCATACCTGAAGTCTAGGTATGAAGTCTTGGACTGGATTTTTGACTTTGCACCCAGAATTTGAAAATAAAATTCAGACCTCATTTCTTGACCTCATACCTGGAGATGTTTCTAAATAGGCCTCAGAGAGCTAGAACTGGAATGCGCACATAAACATCATTCCTTAGACCTGAACCTGGACCTCATACATAGATGAAGACTTGGACAATGAAACTTAGAATTGGACCTTAGACAAGGATCTGGGGCTCAGACTTCAATCTGGACTGTGGACCATGACTTTGACTTTGAACCTGGGCATAGGCCCTCAACCTTGGGCCTGGATATGTCTAGGACCTTGGGCCTGACTTTTAATTTGGTCATTGTTATAGACTTGGGACTCGGATCTGGATGTCTAAAGATTTTCTTGGATCTTGTACATAGACCTGGACATAACCTTGGACCTGGAACTTGTACTTAGAACTTGATCCTTGATCCATACTGTGGACCTGAATCCTGAACTTTCCCTAGATGTTAAACACAAATTTATAATTGTTTCAACCTGTACTTTGGAACTGAACCAATACCTGGATTTTGGACCTATTTCTAGGATCTTGGAGGTAAACCTTGTAACTGCTGCTTACCTTGGGATCAGGCAGTCAGATCTGGACCTTAGACTTGAAACTGGATTTAATTTTGGATATGGATGTTGGCTGTAAAACTTGGACCTGGGATTTTAAGTTTCTTGGGCATGACCTAAAACCTGAAATTTGGGTCCATACCTTGCACTTGGATATTAAGCCTGGAACTAGACCTGGACCTAGAGTTTGGACCTGAATCTTTGACTCTGTACCACAATTTGATCCAACTGCAGATCTGAAATTTACTGAGAATATATAATAAAAAGATAAAAGAGGTACTGAATGGATTTTGTGCCTCTACAGTATAGGTTCCAAATTAATCTCTGCTGAAGTGCTGCAACTGGTAAACCTTCATCGCCTTAATCTATACTGGATGTCAAATTACTATTATAATTGGGTATCCCACTAAATTTAAATAAGTTATCCTATACCTGAGGACCTCAGTAAGTTTAAATAAGATACCCTCTATACTCTTAGAGGAACTGCAAGTATAAAATAAAAGAAACATAGGTATGCCACACCTTAAAGCAATCAGAACTATTGCTTTGCCTAAATTCCCCATGACCATTGTGCCAATTGCCTTAAAATATCCCATAGCAGGTATTGACACTCTGACCCAATGAGTAATACACTGGAATTAAATTCAGTCTTTGGCACTTAGAATTGGCATGATAGAATGTGACCCTATGGGTTTGTTCCCATCTATCATAATTGTTACCACAGCTCCAAATAAATTAAATCAGGACCTTCAAGGATCAAAGTCCTATAAATAGGACTATCAAAGTCCTATTTTGGTTCAATTTAGCCTATTCTTAAACCTGAAAAAAATGAATGGTGTCTCACAGTGAATTCTTTAATGCCGTGATTCTACCCATTATAATCCCCATATTCAGTGTTACTAAAATTACTGACTTCATCCAATGAGCAACTGGAAAATAGCATACAATCGTAACTTTGGCTGGTATGTTCTGTTCTGCATCTGTTGCAACAGCCTCTCGGTGGCCTTCAACTTCAAGGGGACACAATGCACCGTTACCCAGCTGCCCATGAGGTACCTCAACAGCCCAACCATCACACAGTCTGTCTTTGTCCTGACCATCATGCAGTCTTTGTCGCAACCATCATACAGCCTGTCTTTGCAGGAAAGATCTTAGCTATAGCCACCTTTCTCCAGGAGCATAGGTGTGATGTTGCATTGGTGACTTTCTTCTCCAAAGAGATTCATCTGACACACTTATTCAGGACATACAAATATTCATAAAAGAGCTCACAGAAAAGAATGCACTACCGTCCCACACATGGTACAAGACCCTTCCGCCTTAGCAAAATGTCTGGGCTTTATTTGATCATTTGAGGGCTACTTCATCCTTGAAACTGTCAAGAAACAACAATTGACACTGTCAGCCCCCACAATGTTAGAACAGTTTGGCATCTTTTAGGAATTTCTGGGTTTGGGTTTCATTTACATTTTACCTAAAACCATTTATTCTGTTACTGGCTAATTGGCCCACTTTGAACGAGACCTCCTACAACAAAAGGCTCTAGTACATGTTCAAATGGCAACAAAACAGGCACTCCAATCAGTGGACCCCAGAGACTCCTTCATTGTAGAGCTTGTGCAGCCTCCTTTGCTGCCTCCTGGAGTCTGGCCAGAATGGCCCTAAGTTGTTCCTGGGCTTCTGCCTTCCTGAGCCCCGTGCTTTACACCATTAGCTGTATTGGGCTGCACATTGGGTTTTTCTGGGCAAAGGCTCTCACAGGCCCTGAGCTTCTCACTATGCCTTGGATCACGGAGGCAGTACCCTGCAGGCTTGGCATGGCCACTGAAACCTTGCTAAAATAAAAGTGATATTTTATAGGATAAAGCAAGATCTGTGACATCTGGCATATCAACTTTGCAGGAGAAAGCAGCTTCGCCTTGTCCTCAGTCATTTACCATATAGGCCTGGAGGAAATCATCCCTCTCTTGGACTCATTGGTCACTTGGGGGTCCCCTGAGTAAATAAGAAAGGGAGCTAATATACTTTATGGACAGCATCATCAACATGACACATGCTAGAGCCTGTTGAGTGTTGCTGCTGGCCATCCCTTAATCAGTGTCTTGGATAAAGTCCGGGACTGAATGTTCAGTTCAATTGGCTGAACTTCAGGTTGGCATCTTAGCACTGATGCTCTGTCCAACAGCCACCCTTACCCGCACATTCTGTTGTTGTTGTTGTTGTTGAGACAGAGTTTTGCTCTTGTTGCCTAGGCTGGAGTGCAATGGCGTGAACTTGGCTCACCACAACCTCCACCTCCCGGGTTCAAGTGATTCTCCTGCCTCAGCCTCCTGAGTAGCTGGGATTACAGGCATGTACCACCATGCCCAGCTAATTTTGTATTTTTAGTAGAGATAGGGCTTCTCCATGTTGGTCAGGTTAGTCTCGAACTTCTGACCTCAGGTGATCCGTCCACCTCAGCCTCCCAAAGTGCTGGGATTACAGGCGTGAGCCACCGCGCCCAGCCACCTGCACATTCTTATAGATCCTTGGCCATTGTCCATGATCTGGCCATCAAGTTTAGCCAATGGCAACAAAATTTTTTTTTCTAAGAACACAACCTTGGGAGTAAACAACTCTTAGAACTTCTTGTCTCACAACTATCAACAATATAAACCAAGGTCACGCATGTCTCAGTAAATACTAATCTACAATTCAGGTACTCTCTATTTCCCTCAACAGTTGAGGTATTATTGATAATGGCCAAGATCCTCAGTTCACTTTTAAAAATACACAATGTTGGGCTCTTGAACATGGCGTTCAATGGAAATTTTATCTCCCTTACCAGACTCCGACTAAGGGCATCATAAAACATCATAATGGCGTACTTAAACACGTTTAAATTCAATTATGTGAAATGTGGCATATTTCAGCCATCAGTCATTCATCAGGTATGAATTACAATGAAGAGCCTTATGCCACTTTTAATATCTGAGTGACTTTCAAGCCCAGCCCTCCCTCTTTCCCGCTTGCCTCATAGTTTGGAGAGATGATTAGAAATCCCATGGGCTCCTCCCTTGGCATTGGCAGAAAATTCAGACCATGCAAGTCCTGGTCCATGCCCTGGCCCCACCCACTAACTACAATAAAGCCGCAAGCTACTTGCCCCTCCTTGCTCTCTCAGCTTCTTCGAGACCATCTGTGATGCCTTTCCTGCATTCCCAGAAAGCCTCACTGTGTGAATAAGAAACTTTTGTACGCTTTTGGTGAGCCTGTTGCATCATCAGTGTTGACATCTGTTCTGTGGGGAGTTGATCCTGTGCTCATACAAGAAAACCACAGATAGGGTGCAAACCCCTGATTATAGTCAAAGGCACAGCACCAGGGTCCAAGATCTAGGACTAATTTTAAGTCCTAAATTCTGGACAAATCCAGATTCAAGGTCCACTTTCCATTTCAGGCCCAGGTTCAAGTCCAGGGTCTGAAATGGAGATCATGATAGAGGTCTGATATGTTATTTCCAGGGCAAAGTTCAGCTCCAAGGTCCGAAGTCAAATTCTAAGGTCAAGGTCCAGGCCCAATTTCTATGCCTCAGGTCAGATTTGATGTCCAGATGGGAGCAAGGTCCAAGATCCAGCTTCAAGATCCAGGTTTTGATCCACTTTGCAGATCCAGGTTCAGATGCAAGATACAGATCCAAATACAAGGTGTATGTCAAAGGTCCAGGGTTGATGTTTGCACCCATGGTTCTGGTACCAAGGTCTAAGTCCAGCACATTTGAAGGTCAAGGTCTGAGGTTCCAGTACAACATTTATGAGAAAAGTTGGTCTAGGCTGAGATCCAACATCAAGGCTGAAGTCCATGTCTGAGGTAAGAGAGCCAGTTCCACCCAGGAGTAAAGTCCAAATCTAGGGCACTAGTTCAAACTCTACATGGAAAGTTCTGGTCTAAGAGCCACATCCCAAGTATGGTTCCCAGATCAAGTCCCATGTACAGTCAGGTCCAATGAACTGAAAAACTCCAATTACAGGACTAGGTCCAATGTTTGTATTCACTCCCTACCTACCTACTCACTAACTACATCCCACCTCAAACCCACTCAGAGATGACACTGTTTGCCATGCAAACTCACCACCTATGCACTCACTATCCACAACCCGCTGCACATCCACTCATGACCTACCCACCTCGGCCTTCCAAAGTGCTGGGATTACAGGCATGAGCCACCATGCCCAGCCTTAAGGTAGCTATAACATTTAATTTATTTTTTGTTATCTTAGCACCTTGTTAACTGAAAATATTACTTTTAAATAATTCAAGCTATTCATGTGGTCTGGAAGCATGTATTTCCAGAAATTGGCATAACTATGTATTCTTTATAAATTGTGTACCAAAAATAATTATAAGCAACATGAAAGTCTATGCAATAGTTTTTGCAATATCACTATTCAAAAAAAAAAAGTTCACATTTTTAGCTTTTAATCAATGCATACTAGGCAGATGAGTAGGAGCTATGGGACACCTGGAGAGACAATGCTTATTGAAACTCCAGGATGAAACCTTGGAGCAGATGTGTTGTGAATGAATTACAAAGCAAATGCATGAATCACTAAATCACAAAGCTATTGGACACATAAAAAAGATTCCAACAGGTACAGGAGAAAGCAACGAATCTTTCTGATCTATTTTGTCGAATTGAGGGCTTATATCATGTTTTTAGAACACTTGTAAAGAAGACCAATTCTTCTTACTTTGAAAAGAACATTTCAGCTTTTGTTTTACCTCTTTGATATAAATCACTAATATTAGTATTTCCTCTGGTAAATTCTTCTGAAAATGACTAAATCTTTTAAGTAAAACTAATTTTGTAAATCTTTTGATATGTATTAGGGACTTAGGACCCATTTTTCTACATTATGATTCTATAATTGTGAGCACTAGATCCTAGGTTACATAACTAAAATCAAAGGTTAATTGAACTAAAAAGATTATATTATCTCTTGCATAGAAACAGCTGCATGGGAGTCAGGAATACAATGACAGGAGGTCCTTTTTTTTTTTTTTTTTTTTTGAGATAAAGTCTTGCCCTGTCACCCAGGCTGGAGTGCAATGGCGTGATCTTGGCTCACTGCAACCTCTGCCTCCTGGGTTCAAGTGATTCTCCTGACTCAGCCTCCCGAGTAGTTGGGATTACAGGCACCCACCACCATGTCCAGCTAATTTGGATATTTTCAGTAGAGACAGGGTTTCACCATGTTGGCCAGGCTGGTCTCCAACTCCTGACCTTGTGATCCACCTGTCTTGGCCTCCCAAAATGCTGGGATTACAGGTGTGAGCCTTGAGGCCCTTTTAAAAGCAAATGTTTTTATATAAATGAGTTTAAAAGAAGCTCCTTCCATCAATTTGACACTGCACAATCTGTGAGGAAGATGGAATGAATAAAGAGTACTTTTATGGGACCCAATTGTCTGATAAATTGTTGTCTAATAGTTTGGATCTTCTCAGGAAAAAGTTGTCTAAATTTTATTTACTATATGGACCAAGAGCCTCAAGGAAAAAAAAAATGAGATATTTGTAAATTTATTCTAAGATAGCCAGAAAATGAAAATAAAAGAAAAATCTGTTTTTTTGTTTTTTGAAACAGAGTCTCACTCTGTCACCCACGCTGGAATGCAATGGTGTGATCTCAGCTCACTGCAACCTCTGCCTCCCGGGTTCAAGCGATTCTCCTGCCTCAGCCTCCTGAGTAGCTGGGATTACAGGCAAGCACAACCATGCCCAGCTAATTTTTGTATTTTTAGCAGAGATGGGGTGTCACCATGTTGGTCAGGCTGGTCTTGAACTCCTGACCTGGTGATCCACCTGCCACAGCCTTCCAGAGTGCTAAGATTACAGGTGTGAACTACTGCGCCTGGCCAGGAAGCTCTCTTTTTAATGTCTGGGTCAAGCAATTTTGTTTTAAAACAACTTCCACTCCTGGGGGAAGGAAGAAAGACTGCCTGGGTTCTACTATGCCCCTCTTAATTGATATCAGGCCCCTGAATAATTCCTAATAATACACTTCAACAGTATGTCTTAGGACAGGACAAATAAATAACTAATAATTTAAATGTTTTTAAAAATTATTTGTTTTTAACATAGCTGATCACATGACAAGAAGATGTTTTCTAATACTAAGTAATTTTCAACATGGAATTACTAAGGTTTCTTACTATTGAAAACTGTGGCCACAGTAAGTCCAACATGTGACTCTCCAGCAAACTGTAAGAACACAGCTCTGCCCACATGCTGTGTGAGTGTGCATGAGACTCCCACAAAAGAGAAAAAAAGAAAGAGAGCAGTTCTTGAGTGTGAGACACTAAACTCACCAGGATGCCAAGCCTCCATGCTCCACTCACAAGCAGTTTCAAATAAGTAAGTGCAAGGTAGAGGTTCTAGCTTAAGATCATGAGTAGCTAGGAAAGCTGAATTGCCCTTTCCTAACTCCCTGTTAAAATAGTTGGATGGATGGGGGGATGGTAGATAGACAGACAGATGGATAGATGGAGAGAGAGATAGGATTACTGAATACTTAAGTAAGTATCCATAGGGAACTTAGGACAAATTACAAGTGGGTGTGGGGCAGGAAGTAGAAAATGGTGATGGGGCAGGGGTTTGACAGTGAGTAGCTGTGGAGTTGTGAGAACAAGTGGGTGTGAGGTGTGTGGGAGGTAGTGAGTGGTGTGGGATAGAGAGTGGCAGGGATATCGAGGGGGTAGCTAATGAGTGGGTGTGGGGCAGAAGTAGGTAATGAGTGGGTCTAGAACAGGGGTAGATAAAGGGTGTGTGGGTGTTTACAGGGTAATTACCTCCAACATACTAACCCTCTACCTGGTGAGTCATTAAAGGATTAAATTAAGTCTCCTCTATCAAAGAATAAAGGATTTGCCTTTTTTTTTTTTTTAAATCCTTGAGTTATCACTTTGGTTAAATGAATGACTTATTTTACAATGACCTGTGATCCTATTTTGTGATATCAAGCATTTTAAACCTTTGATATTTACAAACTCTCCAAAATCAAATGATAAATTGTGTCTTTTTCTGACCTAATTAATCCTTTAAGATATTAGGTTTCCTAAATTCCAAAAATGACATACTTGGCTTATTTGGCATAAAAATCATGCAGAAAGCATTGTCAAATATGAAATGTTTGGCTTTCTTTGGGCTGTATTTGTATAAATATGTTATTGGTATGTGTTTCAAAATTATGGGAAACTCGTATAATTCTGATTTGACTTAGTGTATGCTATCAGTAATAATTATAACTATTATGTTAAATTATTGTGTGCCACAGAGATAACAAATTTCCTTGTCAATTGTGTCTTTGACTATGGCTGCCCTAAAACTTTTTGTCATCCATGGACAATTGTTGTCTTGTTTTGGTCCTCTCTAGAAGGTGGTTTTATAATCAGCTATAAAACTCTGGTAGGTGTTGTTGAATGCAGGGCTCTGATAACTTTGGAAATTGTGACATTAGAATAGAGGAAAAACTTTCAGGACTTGCATGGAGAGCTGGGATGTCCATGAATGTCATGTGGAACAGGAGTTAACAGCATGGATTGAACTAATAAAAGATTTAAGTAATCTTTTTTTGACTTTTTTGCTTAAAATATTGCTGATCCTTTGTTTTGTTTTCCACAGTCAAGAAAACTTTTCTTTTGAGCTACTTACAGCTTGTAGCAATTGAGTAAAGTATATTTCTGGAACAAAATTTGGAGCATATTTGTTTCTGTCTACTTGATTTATCCAGATTTAGAAACTACTTGTGAGTACTCTTAACTTACGGCAATATAGTTCTTTGCATAAGTGCAATAAGAATATTTTCTTTTGCAACAGGACACCATTAGGGAAATTGGTTATTTTACCAAGGCTTCAACTGGAATGGTGTGCTTTCCTTTAAGGAATCAAACTTGACTTATAGAGCCAGTAAAAGCCCCTTGGGGAAACTGGCCTCATACTTTGTCTATAGAGTCACTGTACAGGGTTCCTGACCTGTGGTAAGTAAAGAAAGTCACTTTCTGACAGGTCCAGGAGTCTCAAGTTATCTTGGGACCTCAAGAGGAGAGGAATTTACCCAACTCATAGGTATCTGATGGTACAAATCCATGGTGGGGCTTGGCTTTAGTGGATCACCTGAGGCCAGGAGTTTGAGACCATCCTGGCCAACATGGCGAAATCCCGTCTCTACTAATAACAAAACAAAACAAAACAAAAATTAGCCAGGTGTGGTGGTGGGTGCCTGTAATCCCAGCTACTTGGGAGGCTGAGGCAGGAGAATCGCTTGAACTGGGGGTGCGGAGGTTGCAGTGAGCCAAGATCATGCCGCTGCACTTGAGCCTGGATGACAAGAGCGAAACTCCATCACAAAACAGAAAAAAAAGAAAGTCTTATCTGAGATTCCTTCTATGGAACAAAGTTCCATCAAAGCCAATTTTAAAAGCCTATGTAAAATATAATTATTCTTGCTTCTCTTTATACAAATCATCTGGCCAAATCAGTCCTACCATGATTTATCTTTACTGGAAAAGGGAAACTGGAGAGAGAAAATTTGTTTCAAAAACTGTAGTATACCTGTTGTTATATTCTAGTCTTGCCCTGTGTTTTTTCAATTTTTATTATTTTCTACAGTTTGGACTGAATTCTAATTTTTCCTGTCTCCAAGCCTCCAAAACAAATGTTTTCCATTTTTTTCTTCTTTCTTTTCCTTCCCGCCTCCATTTTTCCTGATTTGAAATCTCTGAAAACTAAGCTGTGCTTTCTTAAAGCCCTGTGAACTGAAACTAGACAACTTAAACTTCCGAAGAAAATACTGGAAATCTATTTACATACATAAGCCACTTTCATACCTGCATACTGATGTATGGACTTCAGAGTAGTGTGGCCTATATCAATTTTCCAGGGTTGTTCTTTTGTTTGTTGTTGTTCTTCTCCCTTCCTCCCCCTATTTTCTCTTAATAAGAAGTGAGACATCACAACCTGCTAAAAATGAGCTTTCCTAATAACATGGGACCTGCCCATCTGGGAAAAAACCATCCTAGCCATGAAAGATCAGACAAAACCTGAGACCAGAGACTCATTTTCTTCTAAAATGCTTTCTATGGAAGATTTTAAAAAGAAAAGAGGGGGAACGTGAAAGGAAAATAAATCTTTGGGCCCCCAAATCACTAGGCTAAAGGGAAAAGTCAAGCTAGGAACTGATTAGAGTAAACCTGCCTCCCATTCTATTCAAAGTCATCCCTCTCCTCACTGAGGTATATGCATATCTGATTGCCTCCTTTGGAAAGTCTAATCAGAAACTCAAAAGAATGCAACTATTTGTCTTTCACCTACCTGTGACCTGGAAGCCCACTCCCGCTTTGAGCTGTCCCGCGTTTGCTTCAAGTTGTTCCACCTTTCTGGACAGAACCAACATTCATTATATATATACGCTGATTAACGTCTCATGTCTCTCTAAAATGTATAAAACCAAGCTGTGCTCAGACCACCTTGGGCACATGTCATCAGGACCTTCTGAGGCTGTGTCACAGGTGCGCATCTTTAACTTTGGGAAAATTAACTTCCTTAATTGACTGAGGCCTGTCTCAGATATTTGGGGTTCACAATATCTATATGTCTATCTATATCATTGTTTTGGAAAAAAACAATAGTGATATTATTACTTTAAAAAACCCTGCAGAATGCAGCTTAAGATTTTTTCCCCAGCTTTATTGAGGTAAAAATTGATAGAATTTGTAAACATTCAATGTATACAACGTGAGGATTTGATACATACATACATTGTGACGTGCCTACCACTATCAAGCTAATTAACACAGCCATCACTTCCCATAATTACCTTTGTTTTGTGATGAAAACACTTGAGATTTACTGTCTTAGCAAGTTCCAAGAATGCAATCCAGTATTATTAACTAAAGTAACCATGCTGTACCTTAGATCCCCAGAACTTACCATTTTTTTTTTTTTGAGTCAGAGTCTCACTCTGTCGCCCAGTCTGGAAAGCAGTGGTGCAATCTTGGCTCATTGCAACCTCCGCCTCCTATGTTCAAGTGATTCTCCTGCCTCAGCCTCCCAAGTAGCTGGGATTACAGGCATGTGCCATTATATCTGGCTAACTTTTGTATTTTTTTTTTTTTTAGTAGAGATGGGGTTTCACCATGTTGGCCAGGCTGGTCTGGAACTACTGACCTCAAGTAATCTACCTACATCAGCCTCCCAAAGTGCTGAGATTACAGGCCCGGCCAGAACTTACCCATCTTATAACTGGAAGTCTGTACCCTGGAGACAACATCTCCTCATTTTCCCACCCAAATTCCAGGGCTCTTTCCCCAGAGATTTTGGCTCAATAGGTCATGGGAGGGCCCATGAATTTGCATTTCTAACCTGCTCATGGGTAGAATTAATGTTCCGCTTCCAGGGACACCATTTGAGAACCAGTGCTCTGAATGAAACACCACCTAGGGGAAAGGATCCCTGCATGGCTTTTTTCCAAACCCCTGCCAAGCCTAGTTCTAACTTCCTTTTCTTCTCATCGGTTCATTTGGGTTGCCGAGGTGCCAGTACACCAATGACTCATATCAGACTGCTGGTGAAAAGGCTGGAATGAAGCCAACCCTGATGCTGACGTTGCTCTTCTGTAACATCCCTTTGTCATGGAGCCTGTTTTAAAGTTTAACTTTTAGTTCACTCTCAAAAGAGGGGTACACATTCATCAGATTAAGTCAGAAGTGGAAATAGATTTAAATGCACTGAATGTTCCTACCTGTTTTCTCAATGCATTTTTACTGAATCTAATAATGTGAAATAGGACAAAATATAGAAATCTGCCCCAAGTAGCTTCTGTCTCCAAGGCACACTCTTGACTGCCTTAGTGGGTTTAAATTTAATAAAATGGGTACACATAAGTCTCTTGAAGTGTTTTTATTTCTTCTCTCGATTTGAAATGTCAGAGTACATATAAGATAGAGTAAAAATAATATAAAGCTAACATTATAGAATGGAGGCATGTGTCACTAAAAAAATCTGATATTATTTTATTGGCCACATTGTCAGCTATGGGGAATTTTAGCCAGCATCTCATCAGCAGTGAAAGACAGGAAACAGCTATGAGGCTTGCTGAGGTAGGCTTTCTTCTGTTTCTTCTTGAGGACAGATAAATAGGGACTTTGATGACTTGGGACTTTTCTTTCATCATTCATGTGGTGGGAAACATATATATAGAACAGCTGAAAAAAGGTTTAAAATTAGAAAACGAGGTGGTTTATTCACTGATTCATATTTCTGATGCAAAAGAAACAAAAATTTCTAAATAGCTCTTAGGCCAATAAGGAAATTAAAAAAATAATTATAGCTTACTGAGAAAATGAAATTAATGAGAAGGCTATATAAAAACTTATGGAATTTGATCAAACTCTGAAGCCGAAAATTATTTTGTTTTTAAAGTGAGGATGAATTAAGTTAACCAAGTAGTAAATTCCATGAGTTAGGGTGGAGAAGCAGCTTCTGAGGAAGGTGGCAAATTAAACTCATGAATTGGTCCCTCCCATATCTTTAACCCTAAACCGTGTAGACAAGATGTAAAAAAGAGAAGACAGGAACAATGTTGATAGCAAAGGGTGATGGCCTGTGGACTCTGGGCTCAGCAAGGACAGGGGCTGGGCACCTGTGGGGTAAAGAGAAGGAAGAGTGTCTACCTGAGGTTGAAGCAGGTGAGAAGTGAGTTGTCTTGCTCATGAAAAAAGAATAAAATCAAATGAAGTCTACTTTACCAATTCATGGAAAGATTTTGGCCTAGGAAGAAAGTTTAACAAAGGCGTAGCTTCATGTCCACATGTGAGCCAAGCTGCCCACTGGCTTGGTGATCACATCTCACTGTCTTCAACATTAATGTGGACTAGAAGTCCTAAAACTATCTGTTTCTACATTTATATCTGAGGGACCAGCTGGAGGCAAATACAAAATATCTACACAGGAAGAGAGAAACAGAGAGAACAAGAAAGAGAAAATCAAATCAAAACAAAACAAAACAAGTTTTTCCTACAACACATACTTGCAAAAATGTATAAAATCCCCAGAACTTACCCATCTTAAAACTAATTAAAATATTTAATTTTATAAAAAGACACAAGGAAAAAGCAAAAAATGAAATACTAAATTTACTGCAGATAAAATTATCTGGTGTAGACTAACAAATATTTGCAATAATTACATTTAAGATGCTAAAAAGGAATAGCACTCATGAAATGTGAACAATGATATGCTAAAAAAAATGAGAAAGAGAAGATATAAAGAAGAATCGATGGCAATCTTAAAAAAACTAAATGGGAGGGATTTTAGACTAGACACAGTTGAATAGCAAAACAGTGAACTAGAAACTAATACTGGAAAATTATCTCTAGGGCACTATTTTAAGAGCCAGAACTAAAATCCTGAAAACCCAGAGATGTGGAGAATGGATTGAGAATCTCTCTTATATGTTTGTTGAGGATTCCAGAAGAAGAGACTAGAAGGAATGATGAAAAGCCCATATTTTAAGAGAGAACTTTCAGTATTGAAATGAACAAAAAAATGAATGATTTTGAGACCTCAGATCAAGAGGGTGGCCTAAGCTTTCCAAATCAGATAAATAAAACATCCACACTTGAGATGTAACAAAATGCAGACCATCCAGGAGATAAAGAAAGTCTAACATGCATCTTGAGAGAAAAGACCAATAACCCGCCACGGATGAACCACAGGCCCTGGTGAGTAGGGATAATATCTTCAGACAGCTGATGTAGCTAATTTCCCCTCTATGCTGGACAACCCAACAGGGGAGGATGGAATACTTGCAAATTTAGTGGGTTCCCCAGTCTCCCTTTGAAATATTTTCTGTGAAGGAACTCCTTTTCCACTCTCAAAATTAATAGGCTTGTGGAGATGTTTCTGAGCACTCTTAAGTTAACTAAAATTTGTGTGGAAGCTTTAAGATACAAAACAGGCTGGGCACAGTGGCTCACACTTGTACTCCCAGCACTTTGGGAGGTTGAGGCCAGAGGAACGCTTGAGCCCAGGCGATCAAACCAGTCTGAGCAACATAGAGAGACCTGGTCTCTACAAAAAATTAAAAAAAACTTTAGCAGGCCAGGCACAGTGGCTCACGCCTGTAATCCCAGCACTTTGGGAGGCCAAGTCGGGTGGATAACCTGATAACAGGAGTTTGAGACCAGCTTGGCCAACATGGTGAAACGCTGTCTCTACTAAAAATACAAAAAATTAGCCAGGTGTGGTGGCAGGCACTTGCAGTCCCAGCTACTCCGTAGGCTGAGGCAGGAGAATCGTTTGAACTGGGCAGGTGGAGGTTGCAGTGAGCCGAGATAGCGCCGTTGTACTCCAGCCTGGGCAACAAGAGTGAAACTCCATAACAACAACAACAACAAATTAGCTGTGCATGGTAGCATGGGTCTGTGGTCCCAACTCTCTGGAGGCTGAGGGTGGGCAATCACTTTGGCCCAGGAGGTCAAGGTTGCAGTGAGCATGATGGCACCACTGCACTCCAACCTGGGTGACAGAGTGAGACTCTGTCTCAAAAAAAAAAAAAAAAAAAAAAAAGACACAAAACACAGTTTCAAACCATGAACCTAGACTGTCCAGTCCCATCCCAGGGTTAAAGCTCCTAATTTGATTCAAAATCACCAGCTCTCACTCCCTCAGCCGAGGCAGCTAGAAGGAAGGTAAGGCAGGGGAGAGGAACACTCCGCCAGTCGTGTTCAGTGCTGGCCCTGCACGTTTCAGGCCTGTGCCATGTTTGAAGTTGACTCTGACTTGCGTGGAGTGGATGTGTTATTTAGACCCACACGACGTGTTATTTAGACCCCTTCCTTCACAGACATTCTCTTTTCCACAGATGCCTTGACCCATCTGGCCTCTACGAATAAAGGGGTCCACCTTCAGCTTCTGTGCTGAGACCCCACTGCCCATCAGGGGGCCCCAAAGGACTCCAGGTCAGCTCTCAGAGTGCAGGCCCTGGAGTTCCTGCTTCCCCTTGTCCTGACCAATGCCAGGCTGCTGGCTGGTTCCTGCTTCTCAGCTCTTCCATCAGCAGCTCACCCGCCTGTCTCTGCCTCTACAGATGTCATAGGCGGGATTTGGAAGCTGGCCACTTCATTCCCCGCACTCCCCGACTCAATGTTCAACTCTCCAAGTCATCCAGTTGGAGCCAGATTTGAGGAGTTGGCCCCACTTCACCCCACCATCGCCCTGGGTGGGGACAGAACAAGACACAGCAACTCTGCTGTTTCTCCTGTGGCACCAGAGGCCATTCAGCGGCTGGAGCCATTTCCTGTGAGAATGCATCCTTCTCATAAGGTTGCCCATTTTACAACTCACCTGTACTTGAGTGCCTTGAATTTTCCTACTGAATAGCCCATTATACTAACTAAACTCTCATTCAAGATGAGTTAGACATGTTTAGATGTAGAAAGACTATGCGTAGACAACTGTTGAAACCCATTGAGACATATTTCAGAGGAAAGAAAATGAAGTTGAGGGAAGGATGGATAGAATGTGTACAGAAATTATTTAACCTTGAGAGTAAATTTCGTTCATGATTACATTTATTTTTAGTTTTTGTTTTATGCAGGCACATAATTTCAGAAGTCAAATAATACTCAGGGTTTTTTTTCATTTTAACCCAACCCCTCCCTTGCCTCAATCTCTCTCATCAGTCTTATCCAGTTCCATTATTAGAACAAAAGAAATCAAATATATGCTATAAACTTACACATGGAAATTTCCAGCACAGACCACCCCCCTGCACTGGAGACGCAGACGTCTTGCCCCCTACCTGGGCCCTGCACTTAGATGTCTTCACAGGAATTGCAGATTCTTGAGTTTCCTTTCCAAGCCTGCATCTAGCCCTGTATTGCTCACATACGTAAAAGACAACTTCAGATGATCGGGCCCAAAGTAAAAATCTGCTCTTCTTTTGAAAATCTTCTATCAAATCCGTCAGCAAATCCCGTTGGCTCTGTCTTTGTGTTATTCCCAGACTCTCGGCATTTCCATTTACTAGTGGATTAGTGTAGGAAATGTCTTCTTTCCCTAGACTGTAAGTTCCACAGGAGCAGGGACTCTGATTTTACTGCTGTGCCTGGAATAATGCCTGTCATGTAGTAGGAATTCAACACATTCATTTTTTAGTTTTTCTAAATTGAGGTACAGGCCAGGTACAGTGGCTCATGCCTGTAATCCCAGCACTTTGGGAGGCTGAGGCGGCTAGATCACTTGAGGTCAGGAGTTTGAGATCAGCCTGGGCAACATGGTGAAACCCTGTCTCTACTAAAAATACAGAAATTAGCCAGGTATGGTGGTGCACACTTGTAATCCTAGCTAATGGGGAGGCTGAGTCAGGAAGATGGCTTGAACTCGGGCGGCAGAGGCTGCAGCGAGCTGAGATCCTGCTACTGCACTCCAGCCTAAGTGACAGAGTGAGACTGTGTCTCCAAAAAAGATTAATAAATAAAATAAAATAAATTGAGGTATAAAATACATCCCCAAAGCGCACAAGTGCTAAGTGTACAGTGTAATGGATTTTTACATACGCATGCATGCATATAACTAACACCTAGGGCAAGACAGAGGGCATCTCCCTCACACCAGATGGCTCCCTCTGCCCCTTGCAGACAGTCCCTGTCCAGGAGGGAACGATGGATCTGGGGTCTGTCACCTTGGATCAGTGCTGCCTACTCTTGAAGTGTGTGGGGAAGGAGTCACACAGTCCCTACTCCTTTGTGTCTGGCCTCTCCTGCTCGATGTTATGTCTGTGAGGTCCACCCACATTGTTGTTGAGCCAGTGGTTTGTTCTTTTATTTTTGTTGCTGGGGACTATTCTGCCGTATGAATATGCCACCATACATTTATTGGTTTCTGATAGAAATGTGGGTTCTTGACAATTGTAAGCAGTCTTGCACACATCTTTTGGAGGACAAATGCACTCACTTCTCCTGGGTGTACATCTAGGAGGGGATTGCGGTGTCCTGGGGGAGCCATATGTAAGACTTTAGGAGCAAATATCAAACAGTTTTCCAAAGTGGTGTGCCAGTTTATACCCCAAGCAGCAAACACTACTGCAATTTATTTCTCATTCATTTTTCTACCCTGACTTTATCAGAAAAGGGAAATTGCATGTCTTTCTGGGAGCCATCCTCATAACGTGCTAGGAACTAACAATTTCGCATCCAGACTAAATTCATCTAACGTCTCTAAAATTGACAACCCTCTCACTATGACGTCAACCCCTGGCAAGAGGCATAGGTGACCTCTGTCTCCTATTTCTCGACAAAATTTTCAACTGATTCTAGTCAAGGTCTCTTTCCCCATGAAGATGTAATTTGCCAGAAATCAAGTCAGCTTTCAACTATGAATACCTATTTGGGGTTGAATTGTGTTCCCTCAATCCCAAGAATATGCATAAGTTCTAATTCCTGTACTTGTATAGGTGACCTTATTTGGAAACTGGGTCTTTGCAGATGTAATCAAGGAAAGATGCAGTCATACCAAAGTAGGGCAGGCCCTAATCCAATAACTGGTGCCCTTACAAGAAGCTGAGCTTTGGACAGAGACACATAGAGGGAACATGTGATGGTTAATTTTATGTGTCAACTTGACTGGGCCACGAGGTACACTGATATTTGGACAAAACTTATCCTGGGTGTTTCTGTGAGGACATTATTGGATGAGATTAACATTTAAATTGGTGAACTGAGTAGAGCACTTTGCCCTCCCCAACATGGGTGGGCCTCATCCAACCAGATGAAGTCCTGAGCAGAACAAGGCTGATCATCCACTGAGTAAGAGAGAAGTCTTCCCACCTGACTGCCTTCTAACTGGGATCCTCAGATCTGAACGGAAACTTTGGCTTTTCTTGGGTCTTGAACTTGTCAGTCTTTGGACAAAAACAACAGCGATTGGCTCTCCTGATTTCCAGGCCTTCAAATTCAGCCTAGAACAAAACCCAGCTCTCCTGGGTCTCCAGCTTGCCAGTGCACCCTGCAGATCTTGGGACTTGCCTGCCTCCATAATCACCTGAGCTAGTTCTTTGTAATACCTCTCTTTCTCCTTTCTCTGGGAGGCCCTGACTGACGCGCCATGTGTGTGGATCAGGGTGATGCTTCCATGAGCCTGGAAAACCAAGGACTGGCAGCAGCCACCAGAAGCAGGAGACAGCATGGGCTATATTCTCCCTCAGGGCCTCCAGAGGAGATCAGTGCTGCCAGCACTTGGAGGTCAGGCTTCTGACTTTCAGAACTGAGAGAGAATAAATCTGCAGTCCTAGAAAACTGTCTTTGCTCAGTGAGACCTGAGAGCCTCTGCTGATAGAGTTTGGTCATCAGAGCCCATAGGGGAATAAATGGGAAGTTCAATGCTTTTTTTTTTTCCTCTTAAACTATTTGAATTTCCTATTTACCAGACACCTGACCATAAAATCACCTCAGTAAATGTCCTAACTCAACACCCATATCACAAGGTATGGGAGAGGCCCCCACTGGGAGAGACCTTCCAACCCAAGAAGTTTGCAGCTCTTTCATGGTTGCTGCTGGCAGAAGGAATCCAGCCAGACGGACGGCAACATCCACCTGGAGCAGCACCTGGGCAAAAGCCGGTCCCACCCGGGGCACGCTGCAGAAGGTGGTGATGGCGGTGGTGGTAATGGAGGAATCTTCTATCTTCTACTAAAACAGCAAGTTGTAACTAAATGGAGAGTCTTCCATTCAAGTGCTGTGATTCTGTTTAATACACGCCCACAGCTCCTCCCAATCCTGCACAGGGACCTCAGGGAGGTCTGGTCGCAATGTGGGCCTGCCAAGAAGTCTTCCTAAATAGGTACTGGAACCACCCTTGGTTTTGGCGGCACACTGGAAAGGTAGATATCCAAGGGACAGCAAGAGTAGAACCCGGATCAGGACGGAAACCACAGGCACAGAGGAGGAAGAAAGACGAACGCAACCCGGGGGGCTAGTGTGGCTGCGGCCCACAGATGTCTCCAGCAGGTCACTGGAGAGGCTTATTCACCGTCCACCCCAAGCCTCTGCAGAACACTCTGGCTCTCACCAGAACACAGGGGACACGCAGCCTGGGAGGAGCTGTCACCGTTGCTGCCTCCCTCCCCATCTCCCAGGAGGCTGCCTCCAGGCTGTTTCTCGCCCACACCCCTGGTTTCCTCTCTGCCTCCTTCGGTGCAGCTGCAGGCTGTAAACCACCGCCGCAGGTTACCGCCAGCTCCTCAGCTGCTAGGCGACCCACCGCACCTGCTGCCCGTCCCGTCCCTCTGTGGGACTAAGGACACGGGTCCTGACCCGCGTAAGTGCCCAGCAGTGCCAGGCCGCGGAGGTTGACGCGTCCATGGCAGCGCGCAGGCCGACCCCGCGAGGCAGTGGGTGCGCGTGGCTGTGCGGGTCCCCTGCGGCTGCGGAGGGGCTGCTGGAGGGCTTGGCGGCCACAGATGTCGGTGGAAGAAACAGTGTCCTCAGGGAGATAAAGCTCTGATGACTAAAGATACTCTGAGCCTTGGCTCAATCTTGCTACATGGAGACTGCAATCCCTATTTTTCCAGATGGCTGTGAGAATGGCATGAGATACGAAATTCACGGCTTAATATCAATACATAAAACCAAAGTCCTATATGTGGAAGTGAGAAGTCAAATGATGTGAGGTTCTTTTGTGCCAGAATTTTTTCCTGAAAGAATGTAAGACTTAAAGTGAGCCATGGTAGTTTCACGATAATCTAGCTTCAAGATATTCACATCCATTGGGTGTTTATATCATTTTTATACTACATTTTTTGCTAGTTAAGTACATGGAGAAGACACTCAGCTATTGCTCTAATTTGCATTTTGGTTATTATTTAGGGTCATGTTTTCTAATGTTTTATTTATTATTTGCAAACCTCTACACAATTTTGTGTGAAATATTTTAATCTCTTCCCAAATATCTGATGGGATGTTAATGTAAATATCCAATTAAAATGCAAAATTAAACTTTAAAAATATGACTGTTTCCCAGTTGTAATATTTTTAAAGTGTTTTTCTAGTCTGTTGCTTTTTAGTTTATTTTTTCTTCCTTCTACCATTTATAAATATTTTATATTCAAATCTGTTTGTTTATCCCTTTGTGACTTCTTCTATTGCTTCAAACCCAAGATCACTCTATGATACAGACCTGACAAATCTTCTATCATATTACTGTGGATTTTTCTTTAGAGTTTTAAAGTTTTATTTTTGGCTTGATCTGGAAATTATTTTGTTTGATTTACCTTAAGGATTTTTTTTTTTTTTTGAGATGGAGTTTCACTCTTGTTGCCCAGGATGGAGTACAATGACACAATCTCGGCTCACTGCAACCTCTGCCTCCCGGGTTCAAGCGATTCTCCTGCCTCAGCCTCCCAAGTAGCGCATGTGCCACTTGGTGCATGCGCCACTATGCCTGGGTAATTTTTTGTATTTAGTAGAGACAGGGTTTCACCATGTTGGTCAGGAGTTCATTGTGGCGGGTGGATCACCTGAGGTCAGGATTTTTACACACTTTCTATACACTAAGAATGCTATCTTATTAAATGACATTTCACTGTGTACTTGTTCTTGGCATTCTGTTTACCAAATCATACATTTTTTCATCGGCAGCTACACTTTTTATGGCTTCTCCATTTGTTTTCTTTTGTTGCTAATATCTGAGACAGAACATTTTCCCATTGTTTTTTGATCTATGTTTCTATTGCCAACGACCATTTTAAAAAATTGAAATGCAGGCCAGGAATGGTGACTCTCTTCTGTAATCCCAGCACTTTGGGAGGCTGAGGTGGGTGCATCACCTGAGGTCAGGTGTTCGAGACCAGCCTGGCCAACATGGTGAAACCCTGTCTCTACTAAAAATACAAAAATTAGCAGGGCGTGGTGGCACGTGCCTGTAATCCCAGCTACTCTGGAGGCTGAGGCAGGAGAATCGCTTGAACCTGGAAGGCAGAGGTTGCAGTGAACCGAGATCGCACCACTGCACTCCAGCCTGGGTGACAGAGCAAGATTCTGTCTTAAAAAAAAAAAAAAATTAAAATGCATTGCTTTGTATTCCAATAATATAAACAGTAGTCTCCATTTAGGGGATGTAAAAAATTCAGAAAAATAAACATAGAAAACATCACCTATAATCTAAAATTTTTGTTAACATTTTGTTATATCTCATTTCAATTTTTATACGGAATTTTTAATTTATGAAGTTCCATCATCTATAAAATTGGGGTAATACTCATGCCTACTCATAGAGTTGTGAAGGATTAAACAAAGTTAAATGCATAAAGCACAGAGCATGGTGCTTAATACATAGTATTTAATAAATATTAATTATTTTCATTCACACAGTTGTACAATTTTGTACTTTGCATTTCACTTCATATGATACTGTATGCTTTTTCCTATCCAGATATAAACATTTTTAATAAAAATGTTAAATAAAATTGTAACTGGGTGGATAATACTTCCATAATATGTCAGTATGTGGCTGCCTGTGTGTGTGTGTGGGTGGGTGTGGGTATGGGTGTATGATTTTCCTACTGTTTTCCTGTTTTCCTCTAGTAGTTTACATTGTGAGAAAAGCTTCACCTGTTTTGGAGTTGGTTGCTTAGTATAGAAATCTAGAATTGAAGTTCTTCAGTGAATAGTAATGATGAGAAAACAGGCATATGTATACATGTAGTGTATGTGTATATATACATACAAACACTATGCATAATTTTATATATATATATATATATATATATATACAGTCTATATATACTCTCAAAGGCTTCATTCCAGTTTATAATCCAATTCAAAAATTAAAAAAAATTTTATTTAAACATTTTAAAATCTTTTGTAGAGATAGTGTCTTGCTATGTTGCCCAGGCTGGTCTTGAACTCCCGGCCTCAAATGATCCTCCCACCTCAGCCTCCCAAAGTGCTGGGATTACAGGCATGAACCATTGCATCCAAGGCCAAACATTTTAAAATTATCATTTTTCTTCAATTTGTCCCTACATATCTTATTCTGTACTAATTTTATACTGTTTTTCTTTTTTGCTACTATGATTGAACATTTTGCCATACATTGGTTTATGATATCATATTATTTTGTAAAAATCTTATGTCCTTTGCCTACTCATCTATTTAATCATTTCGTGGTTTCTAAATACAGCAAGTACCTCTTTCTTCAAAGGTCAAATAAAGGTCTATTCAATTTCTTTTCATAATTTTTCTGTTATCCTTATATTTATTCATTATGAAAGTGCTATTGGAGAAATTCAGTAATCACAGACACGTGAAACGTAGCAAAAATAAAAATAACCATACATTCTAATAGTAACAGTTAACATGTTGATATTTTTCAAAAAATTTTTTCTTTGCATATTTCAGATTTTTGTATATTATTTTATGCACTGTTAATGTTATAAATGTATATAATTTCATAAAATTGATCTGAGAATCTGTTAGTTACAAAGTACTTTACTACATAATGTAATTACTTTAAATATTAGATTTAAATATTTAATTTCTTTTAATTTTTGCTTTTGCAAATAATATTAGCATCTTATTTTATAAATAGTGCTCACTTCTGTGATAATTTCCCGTGTGAAATATATTTAAATGCATAGTTCTTTGATTAAAATTTTGCGTATTCTAAGGTTCTTGAAGAATGAGGCAAATTGCCTGTGAAGTCTTTGCGCCAGCATTCATTGTTATGTTATGTTCGGGGGACACTTTTAATCTAGAGTCTTGTGGTTTTTAATTCTGAAAAAGGTGGTACCAATTTATTTAAAATTTATTTTAAAATATATGTAATTCTAGAAATAAATAAGGGAACACAGAATTATTGGAATAGAACTCAATAAATTATATTTTAACCCACCAACGTGCTAGTACATTTTAACAACTGCTTTGGGTGTTTATATATACACAATCTATATGTGTCTGTATATATATATAACTTTATTCTAGATTTTACTGATATAAATGATGTGTAGCATTCAATTTACAAATAATAGTAAATTATACAACATTCTTTATTGCAAATTCTAAGTAGTTAATTGATTGTCACAGAAGGCTTTCACGGATAATTAGTCAAAGTCCTGGTATCCACAGCCAGCCTACGGTTGCAGTTGGTAAATTAGTACAGTTCTGTTACGAATGGTGGTTGATGTTAACAAGTAAGACAAAAGTGAAACTGTGAAGACGTATGTTGGAACTTCACACATTTGTCTAGGAGCAACATCTTTGCTAAATTGGATAACAGTTCTCTAATACTGGAAGAATATTTTTCAAGACTGTTTGTGCTATTCACAATGTAGCCACTATGAATATGGCACAAGTTTAGGTTTAATCTTCAATATTAACATTGTGTCCATCAATTTATGATGTTTAGACAATAAAATACAATAAATCAAGCTTTGACTTGAAGCACTTGCTAATTTCCATGCTGTGAATACTTCCGAGGTGGTCAGTGCAGTCTACCAACATGACATTAGTGAGTGAGAAGGTGGGAAAAAATGCACAGTAGCACATCGTTACGTCCATCGTAAAATGCGGTAGACATAAATAGCCTCAAATAGGAAAAGGAAGTAAAATAATTAGAAAATGATGAGTTTTGAGTATATATTACCTTTTAAGTGCAATTTATTTAATTGTAAAGTTATGTCATTCAATTTTAATAATGACACCTTTTATTAACTGGCACCAAGATTCCTGAAAATGTCAACCATGAAAATAAAGCATTATGAGGTGGCTCCAGTCCACTACTGCTTGACCCCAAATGTAATGAGGAATTTATCTTCATATAGTTAAAGTGTCAAATGTCTTACCACAAAAAATAGTAGTACAGTCTCCCTCATTATCTGTGGGGGATTGGTTCCAGGACCTTCCCAGACACCACAGTCCACAGATGCTCAAGTCCCTGGTGTAAAGAGGTGTATTATTTGCATATAACCTATGCACATTCTCCCAAATGCCTTAAATCATCTCTAGATTACTTATAATACCTAACACAATGTCAATGCTAGGTAAATAGCTGTTATATTGTATTGTTTAGGAAATAATGACAAGAAAAAATGACTTTACATGTTTGGTACACATGCAATTTTTGGAATATTTTTGAAAATATCAAAAAACTTTTTTTTTGAAGATTTTGAAAATGGTTGAATTCACAGATGTAGAACCCATGGATACAGAGGGCCAGCTATTCTTCATTTCATCTCTTTCCACCACCCGCAACTGTTCCCAAGAGGTAAGCAGCCTCAACTCCTCTAGCCCATTTCACCAATATATCTCCATGATTATAAAAAAGCCTTATTCTGTTACTTTTTGCTGATTTATTAATATTAGACATAGTATATTAAGTTTCCATGTTGCTCTTTGACAACAATATCACCTAACTTAGTTACATTTCAATGTATGGTTAAATCAATATCAGTATTTGCAATATTGTTAAAATGTATTTTTGAGCCATGTGCTTAATATTTCTTTCTTATAAAATTCTTAACATATTCTTGGTATTAATATCCCTTACCTCTTATTTGTTGATTGATGAATTAATTGATTTCTCTATTTCTGCATAACTGCCTCCCACATAATCCAATATCTCTACTCCAAGAATATTAATAGCATTTTCTGTGCACTGAATAATATCACCTCTACTTTATTTTACTTTTTCCTGCACACTACTGCATTCATTTTCTATTTCTGTGTAACAAATCATCACAAACTTTGTGGCATAAGACACCACACATTTATCTTCATAGTTTCCGTGGATCAGGAGTACAGGCATAGCTTGGCTGGCTGCAAACAGGGTACTGGTTGGGCTGGTTCCTTTCTTGAGCTTGGGGTCCTCTTCCAAGGTCATGTGATTGTTGGCAGAATTCAGTTAGGGGTGTGCGTGTGTGTGTGCATTTTACTGCGATATTTGTCTCTTTGAGGTGTCTTTGCTTTTTAAAAATTATTTCATTTGGTAGCAAAACTTGTATTATCATTCTAGAATTTTCCTTTATAGCACTCCTAATTATTTTTTTAAAGTAACCATTTGCTAACTCATCTATCAGGCTTTTTCTTTTCTTTTTTTTTTTTTTGAGACTGGGTCTCCCACTGTCACCCAGGCTGGAGTGCAGTGCTGTGATCACGGCTTATTGTACCAAATCCCAGGCTCAAGTGATCCTCCCACCTCAGACTCCTAAGTAGCTGGGACTAGGGCCATGCCAGGCCAATTTTTAAATTTTGCGGGGAGACAGGTTACCCACGCTGGTCTCAAACTTCTGGCCGCAAGCAACCCTCCCACCTTGGCCTCCCTAAGTGCTGGAATTACAGGCATGAGCCACTACGTGTGGCTAAAGTTTTAATTTTAATTTGTAGAGATGGTGTCTCACTACGGGTTGTGCAGGCTGATCTCAGCCACCATGCCCGGGCTCACCTATGAGTTTTTAAAAGTATCCTTGATTCACACTTATTGCCTATACAACAATAAATGACCTTATTCTTGACCAGGCCCGGTGGCTCATGCCTGTAATCTCAGCACTTTGGGCAGATCACCTGAGGTCAGGAGTTTGAGACCAGCCTGGCCAACATGGTAAAACCCCGACTCTACTAAAAATACAAAAATTAGCAGGGCATGGTGGTGCGCGCCTGTAATCCCAGCTACTGGAGAGGCTGAAGCAGAAGAATCACTTGAACCTGGGAGGCGGAGGTTGCGGTGAGCCCAGGTCGCACCACTGCACTCCAGCCTGGGCGACAGAGCGAGACTCTATCTCACAAACAAACAAACAAACATCTTATTCTTCAATCTGTGACTCGAGTGGAGTGGGGTAAAGGTGGGGTGCAGGAGCAGGGACAGGCCCCTGGCTGGTGAATTTTCTCCAATTCCATTTGTGAACGTTCACTAATTCCTTGTATTTTCATGGATCGGGTTTTTCCAGGTTATAGGCCACTAACCTGTTCCCACTGCATGGGAAGGGCAGGCCCCGAAGCGGGGCTACTCTGGATCCGCAAGTTCAGTGCACAGTGGTCCCTCTCTCAGGTCCCTTGCTGTCCCCGCCTTTGAGCTCCTGCTGCACACAGGTGCGGCGACTCGGGTTTCTGTGGCGACTGGCCGAATTCTGCTCCAGCGTCCCCTAGGCAAGGACTTGGCTGTGGGCCCCTCCCTGCTCCCCTCTGTTGGTTCTAAGAGCTCCATCCATGTTTAGTTTCCAAAGTACAGATTGAACACTGTTTTCGACTGTTCTCCTTTCTTACATTTTTTGTCCTCGTGGGTTGAGGACTTGTAAATCTGTGTTCTGCCACTTTAACCACAGTTCTGATTATTTTTTATTATAGAGACCCAGGGCAGCCCAGCGCGTGGCTCACACCTGCAATCCCAGCACTTTGGGAGGCCGAGGAGGGCGGATCACCTAAGGTTAGGAGTTCGAGAACAGCCTGGCCAACATGGAGAAACCCGGTCTGTACTAAAAATACAAAAATTAGCCGGGCATGGTGGCGGGTGCCTATAATCCCAGCAACTCGGGAGGCTGAGGCAAGAGAATTGCTTGAACTCGGGAGGTGGAGGTTGCAGTGAGCCGAGGTTGTACCATTGAACTACAGCATGGGCCACACTGTCTTAAAAAAAAAAAAAAAAAAAAAGACCCAGGGCTGATATGAGGGAAACTAAAGCCTCTCACATCCAATTTTATTTTGACTTTACCTTTTTACTGTTGGGAGCATTCATGTAACTTCCCAATACTCAATTAAAGGTGAAAAACAAAACAAGGAGAAATGTTCGAAATCCGAGTCAGCACGACTGGTCAGGATGGGAATTCTCCCGTCGTTGCTGTGTCCAGAACAGCACCTCCCTCCCTCCCCGCGTCTTCCTCAGACCTGATTCCTTAAAAAGAGGGCAGAAGGCAGGGCCAGGGGCACAAACAGTACTTCAGGGAATGTCCTCCTGGCATTGTGCGCCCACACTCATGGCAGCAGGGGGTGGATGGATGTTCCGACTCTGTATTTCCAGAACCTGTGTAATTTATTGAAATGAAAACCTAGAGCCTTATCTCTCTCTGGGATTTCTCCAAAAGGATTCAATTCCAGAAAGCAGTCAGCAAAAATGATGACTGTTCCCCCAAAACGGCTCTGCAGAAAGGAAAAAAAAAAAAAAAAAAAAAAAAGAAACTCGCAAGATGCAGAGAGAGAGAGAGAAAGAGAGAGAGAAAAAAGAAACAGTACAAACTGTTTGCCCAAAAGCTGCCTCAACCATTTTGGGAACTGATTATGAAAAGAAAGCTCTAATTTTTATCTCTGACATGTGCTGCCTGTAAGAAGGAGTGGGGAGAGTCATTCCTGGTGTTGTTGGCATCACTCCAAACTTTTCTCCAAAACACAGAAAAATAAGTTCTAAAAAAGCAAGCGAGCAAAGTCACCCTTAATTCAACTATTCCAAGAAAGAGGCTGCTAATGTTTTTTGTTTCTCTCTTTTGCTCTTGCATTGTCGTGAAATGCTTCACCACAAAGCTCTGTCAGTGCATATACACAAACATGTTCCCACACAGATGCACAAAACACACACGTGCACACACACAAGCCCACATGTGCACACATGTGCACACACACAGTCACCCCCTCAAGGCCTTGCCATCTCCCAGCACCTCTTCCAAGGCCTTCTCAGTGCCACCTGTGGAGTAGGAGGAGGGTGTCTGCAGCAGGGCTGGGTCAGGAGATTTAGCACCAGTTGTCCTGTGGCTGAAACCACCCATCACTAGGATAGGAGTTGGTTCTCCTACGTCTCTCACAGGGGATGTCTGGTAGGGCCCTGTGGTGGGCTTCTCACATGGCTCTTTCAGCTCACCGGAAATTTTATTTGTTTGTTTGTTTTTAAATCTAACTTAATTTTAAGTTCTGGGATACACGTGCAGGACCTGCAGGTTTGTTACATAGGTAAACATGTGCCATGGTGGTTTGCTGCACCCATCAACCCATCACCTAGGCATTAAGCCCCGCATGCATTAGCTATTTATTTGAATGCTCTCCCTCCCCCTACCCCCAAACCCCAACAGGCCCTGGTGTGTGATGTTCCCCTCCCTGTGTCGATGTATCCTCATTGTTCAGCTTCCACTTATGAATGAGAACATGTGGTGTTTGGTTTTCTGTTCCTGCATTAGTTTGCTGAGCATAATGGCTTCCAGCTCCATCCATGTACCTGGAAAGGACATGATCTCGTTCCTTTTTAAGGCTGCATAGTATACCATGGTGTACATGTACCACATTTTCTTGATCCAGTCTATCATTGATGGGCATGTGGGTTGAGTCCATGTCTGCTATTATGAATAGTGCTGTAATGAACATACGTGTGCATGTATCTTTGTAATAGAATGATTTCTATTCCTTTGGGTATATACCCAGTAAAGGGATTGCTGGGTCAAATGGTATTTCTGCCTCTAGGTCTTTGATGAACCTCCACACTCTCTTCCACAAAGGTTGAACTGATTTACATTCCCACCAACAGTGTAAAAGCATTCCTATTTCTCCACGACCTCACCAACATCTGTTATTTCTTGACTTTTTAATTGCCATTCTTACTGGCTTGAGGTGGTGTCTCATTGTGGTTTTGATTTGCATTTCCCTAATAATCAGTGATGTTGAGCTTTTTTTCATATGTTTGTTGGCTGCATAAATGTCTTCTATCATCAGAGAGAACAGACAACCTACAGAAAGGGAGAAAATACTTGCAATCTCACAAAGGTCTAATATCTAGAATCTACAAGGAACTTAAACAAATTTACAAGAAAAGCACAAAATAATCCCCACTAAAAAGTGGGCAAAGATTTTTTGTTTTTTTATGATGCTGAACATCAAAACAGAATAAAGAGATTTTTCTCCTTCTCTTCTCTCTTGGCTTCTTTACAAATTTCACCATTCCTCCCTCATAATTTTTGAATTGTTATGATTGACATCTTCCCAACATAATTTTGAGTTATTTATTTCTTAGTCTGTGCCAAGCCAGACAAAATTTATGTTCCAGTCTTCCTCTAAAATAAGAACCTGAATTGCTAATGTAAACCAAAAAAACCCAGGACCTTTCCAAGACACCGCAGTCCGTGGATGCTGAAGTCCCCGGTATAAAGTGGTGTATTATTTGCATATAACCTATGCACATCCTCCCAAATGCTTTAAATCACCTCTAGCTTCCTTATAATACCTAACACAATGTCAATGCTATGTAAATAGTTGTTGTATTGTTTAGGGAATAATGACAAGTAAAATGACTTTACATGTTCAGTACACTTGCAATTCTTGGAATATTTTTGAAAATATCAAAAAACTTCTCTCTTTTGCTCCCAGGCATGTCTCAATTGATTTTGAGGTTTATTTGGCCAAGGTTGAGGACACACCCTGGAAAAGTAAACAGAAATCACCAGAGGGTGTGTGATCCCTGCCTTTTCCAGAGAGTTTTCAGGACTTCAGTGTTTAAAGAGGAAAGAGCCAGCAGGCAGGGAAGAGGGACAGAAAAAAAGGGAGAGGGAGGCCAATGAGGAGAGTTTTTGCATTCTTGCGAGGCTTTGATTGGCGCTTACTGAATCCACACTTCATGCATGAAAGGAGGGTAGAGGAAAAGTCAGTTATGCATTTGTCTTCTGTGCTCAGTGAATCTACATTTTACATAAAATAATGAAAGTTGAGGAAGCAGTCAAATATGCATTTGTCTGGGGTGGGGTGGGCAGTGATAATTTCTAGTCTTGTCTTTGTGGTTCCTGTAAAGGTGAGCTGTGAATCTACAATATCAGAGTGAGATTCAACAGAACCGTCTTTTAGGGTTAATTTTTAGGGGGGTATGTATTCTGAATAATTTAGGGGCCCACAAGGAATTTCCTTGTGAGCAATTTGAGAGGGAAGCTACCTGAGGAGATATGTGGCCTTTTAGCCTTGCAGCTTTCTGTTTGGGAACAAGACAGAAGGCAGTTGTTTTTTTGTTTTTGTTTTTTGTTGTTGTTGTTGTTTTTTGCGTTACACAGTTCCCAAGCTTCTTTCCCTTTGTCACAGTGAGTTTGGAGTCCTGAGATTCTGTTTTTCTGTCACACGACTAAGTAATAAGGGGAAATGCAATGGACTCTTCTTAATGCAATTTAATGTCTCATGCAAAACAAGTACAAGTACAGGTGGATTTTGACTTTTTTCACACCCAAAGTTACAACTTACTGGGCCTATCACACACACACACACACACACATACACACATACATTTATTTACAAAAATTCAATCACTCCATTTTTAATGTTTTTTGGAGCAGTTAACCTGATTTTTGTAAAATTAGCAATGCATATTATGTATTTTCCTATATACAAACTCTTGAGCTATAGCACAGGTTTTAATGTTATAGTATTATATTCTACCACTGTATCATAATTTTTGGACTGTTTCCTATGATTAGAAATACAACCCATCAGGCCGGGTGCAGTGGCTCACTCTTGTAATCCCAGCACTTTGGGAGGTCGAGGTGGGTGGATCACATGAGGTCGGGAGTTTGTGACCAGCCTGATCAACATGGAGAAACCCCGTCTCTACTAGAAATACAAAATTAGCTGGGAGTGGTGGTGCATGCCTGTAATCCCAGCTACTCGGGAGGCCGAGGCAGGAGAATCGCTTGAACTCAGGAGGCGGAGGTTGCAGTGAGATCACGCCATTGCACTCCAGCCTAGGTAACAAGAGTGAAACTCCGTCTCAAAAACAAAAAAAAAGAATGAAAAGAAAAGAAATACAACCTATCTTGGTGGATCACCTGAGGTCAGGAGTTCGAGACCAGCCTGGCCAACGTGGTGAAACCCCGTCTCTATTAAAAAAAAAAAAAATTAGCCAGGTGCGGTGGCGGGTGCCTGTAGTCCCAGCTACTCCGGAGGCTGAGGCAGGAGAATCACTTGAACTTGGGAAGTGGAGGTTGCAGTGAGCTGAGATTGTGCCACTGCACTCCAGCCTGGGTGACAGAGTAAGACTCTGTCTCAAAACAAACAAACAAACAAAACACCTATTGCGTTGTTTTTGCAATGATAAATAGTATTGCTATGGCCAGTCTTTTTTTTTTTTTTTTGAGACGGAGTTTTGCTCTTGTTGCCCAGTCTGGAGTGTAATGGTGCAATCTCGGCTCACTGCAATCTCTGCCTTCTGGGTTCAAGCAATTCTCCTGTTTCAGCTTCCCAAGTAGCTGGGATTACAGACATGCACCACCATGCCCGGCTAATTTTTTGTCTTTTTAGTAGAGATGAGGTTTCACCATGTCAGTCAGGCTATCTTGAACTCCTGACCTCAGATGATTTGCCTGCCTCGGCCTCCCAAAGTGCTGGGATTCCAGGTGTGAGCCACCGTGCCCCATCTGCTATGGCCAGTCTTATACATCTTTAAAAACATAATTTTCTTTTTAAAAAAAGATATATTAAAAATTAATTGATACATAATATTTTACATATGTATGAGGTACATGTGATTTTTTTTTGTTACATGGATAGACTGTATAATAATGAGCCAGGGCATCTAGGGTATCCATCACCTTGTGTGTTTATTGCTTCTATGTATTGGTAATATTTCAAGTTCTTTTCTGGCTACTTTGAAATATATAACGCGTGGTGCTAACTATAATCACTCAATTTTGCTATTGAATATTAGAACTTACAGCTTCTGGCCAGCCATGGTGGCTCACACCTGTAATCCCAACACTTTGGGAGGCCGAGGTGGGCTGATCACTTGGGGTCAGGAGTTTGAGACCAGCCTGGCCAACATGGCGAAACCCTGTCTCTACTGAAAATGCAAAAATGAGTCGGGTGTGGCAGTGCCTGCCTGTAGTCCCAGCTACTTGGGACACTGAGGCTGGAGGATCACTTGAGTGTGGGAGGCAGAGGTTGCAGTGAGCTGAAATCATTCCACTACACTCCACAGCCTGGGCGATAGAATAAGACTCTGTCACACACACACACACACACACACACACACACACACACACACAAACTTATACCTTCTACCTAACTGTAAGTTTGTAGTCATTAACTAAACTTTCTTTATTCCTTTCAGTCCCCACATAACCTCCCCAGTCTCCAGCATCTATCATTTTACTCTTTCTCCCTCGATGAGATCAACCTTTTTTGCTCCCACATATAAGTGAGAACATGTGATATTTGTCTTTCTGTGTCTGACTTATGTCACTTAACATAATGACCTCCAGTTCCATCTATGTTCATTTTTTATGGCTAAATAGTATTCCATGCTGTATATATACCTCATTTTAGGTTGATTCCATATGTTTGCTATTGTGAATAGTGCTATTGTGAATTGTGGGCACAGGTATATCTTTGGTATTCTGATGTCTTTTCGTTTGGATAAATACCCAATAGTGGAATTGCTTGATCATATGGTAGTTCTATTTTTAGGTTTTTTGAGAAACCTCCATACTATTTTCCATAGTGGCAGAACTCACTTATATTCCCACCAATGGCGTATGTGTCCCCTCTTCTCTGCAACCTTGCCAGCCTCTGTTATTTTATGTTTTGTTGTTGTCATTGTTGTTGTTTTATAATAGCCTTTCTGACTGATGTGAGAATGCATTTCTCTGATTATTAGTAATGTTGAATATTTTTTTCATATACCTGTTGGCCATTTGTATGTCTTCTTTTGCGAAATGTCTATTCATGTCCTTTGCCCACTTTTTAATGGGATTATTATTATATTTTACTATTGAGTTAAAAACATCAATTATTTTCTATAGAAAATACTAAAACTGAAATTTCTGGCTCAAAAACATATGCATACTGCCAAAATTGTTGATGCCCAGTATGACTGACCTCTAGAAATGTTGTACCTCTATACTAACTGGGGAGGCCATTTGTCCTTTAGGAGACTGATATACAAGAGAAGCTCCATCACATGTATCCTTCCTACTCACTCCTTGATCACACCAAAAGCCCATAAAACACTGTACCTTCTTCAAGGTGGATATGGTGATCAAAGTATTAGAAATAGGGCATATCTCTAACCTGCTGTGGGAAGAAAAGTGCTTTCATGGGAATCTTCTGTTGGCTCTGGATGCTGGTGAGATGACAGCAGTCTGGTTTAAGTAGATGGTTTCAGGAGGTATGAGAATATGCTGGGGTGACGGAGGGCAAGTCTTAGACTACAATGACAGGCATGGAAAGTAGACATGGCCCCCATTAGATGGTGGAGCCAGAGTGGATATCAGAATGGCCTGGGCCACAGAGATCTCTGGACCTCTACTTGTCATTCCATTCTTGATTAATATGAACTGCATTTGAATGATTCAAATGTAGTTTTGCTAGTTACTATATTATTAGCATGATGAGAATATCTAGTAACTCAGGCAACCATGAGCAGTGCTGATGCAGTTTTGTCTTAGCCAGAATGTTTTCTCCACCTGATGGAATGTGCTTGGCTCATCTTCCTCTTATGATAAAAAAAACTGTGAATAGTATACTACCTCTTTCTACTTACTTTGCCTATTTCTTCTTACATTTTACTAATCAAACATGGCTTGCTAAAATTATTAAATTTATAGATTACTTCTATTAACACAATATACAGGATGCTTCCAAAGAAATAATTTGCATTTTTTCCTTCAGTTTTCCTCTTTTATAGTTTAATTTTAGTCTGTAATTCATTTGGAAATAAATTTGGAGTAACCTTATTTTTTTCTAATTACTTAATAATGTAATTACCATTTATTCAATAATTCCTATTTTTTCCATTGACCTCAAATGCAACTCTGTCACAGTCTAAGTTATCTTGAATAACTTGGATAGATTTCTGTACTTTCTCCTTGGTTTCATTGACGTCCCTGCCCTTTTAATAATAGTACTATGCTGTTAAATGTATTGTGATTATGCATTATGATGTCTAACAATGAAAGTGGCTCTCAAGGTACTTCCTTCTGCATGTCGGGGCCGAGGGTGGATAATTTTTTCTACATGTTCTTCAAGATGACCCTTAGCATTGCGGTGTGTTACGAAAAGTGTCCTTTTGATATTTTGCATAGAGCTACTTGAAATTTAAAAATCAATTTTGAAAAGGTGATTTCTTTACATGTTTCATTCTCCTTTTGTTCCCCACCATTCCTGGTAGGAACAGAGTTTGCCTCTCAATTTATGTGATTTTTAAAAAGTATTTCATTTCATTTTTGTTTTCTTCACTTAAGTCCTGAATATTCTTTCCGAAGCTTATTTTTGCATACTTTATCACTTTATTTTAATATTTGATAATAATATTATTGAATGAAAATTGAGTACTTGCTCTGCACTAGGCAGATCACAAACCCCTCACCTACATTATTTTATTTGTTCTTCTGAAGCACCTTATAATGTGCGTATGATCATTCTCCTTCTTTTGCAGATAAGGAAACTGAAGCCTGAATTGGTGTCATAATTTGCTCAAGTTCACACAGTGTCTCCTCTTACTTACAACATCAGGGACTCTAAAATTTTAGAGAGCAAAAGAAGCATCTGGGGCTGGTTTAAAATGGTTAAATGGGAGCTTCCTGGGCCTGTGTTCCGAGATTTCTAGTGGGGAAGCCTTGCGTGGGGTCTACATCTTGGGAAACACTGCTCTGGGCTATGAAGTATTGAGTAGTGTCTTTTTCCATTCGGTTTTATTACTGTCTATTGTGATGGAAAATTAATAGACATACAATTGATGCCTGTGTATTTATTTTATATTTTGCCACCATGTAAATCATCACATTAGATACAAACATTTTCATGCCATCCTTCTGGAGTAGTGAGATAAATGATCATAGTCTCTGGCTTATTTATCAAAATCTACAAAATTTATGAATGAATCACCTGAATTATTGTAAAATTACTCTCTTTGATGGCATTTATGTTTTCATGGATGGAGCATTTTCCATCAACTAACTTCCAGAATAGCATTAATAGTAGCAATAGTGAGTGTAGGTATTCACATTGTCAAGTTATTCACTTTTGTTCCTTCTTAATGTTTACCATAGACAAAGGGTGGTAAAGATGTAAATTTTGATATGCTATAGTTATTTTCCTACATAGCAATTGAGATATTATCCATTTTTCTGAACATATTTAGCTTTTCCTAAATATTCTTATATTCTTATAATATTTTAAATATTCTTGAAATCAGATCTTTAAATTTGCTTGATTGCTTAACTTTATGGGCAGTGGTGTTCATAATTTGATAAAGTGATTCATAAAGTGCTCAAATAAAAGTTATAAAAATAGAATCATAATCTGAGAGATTTGTTTTAAAATGGTACCAAAGGTCTAGCTCTTGAGATTAACTTCTGCAGTTTCTCACTAAAGTACATGAACTCCCCACACAAAAATTAAGAGCCACAGATAACATAACTTGTTTTCAGATCTTGGGAAGAATCTCAATGCATAAAACGTGTTGAGCTGATTTCTATGGGCTTTATGTAAAACTGACGGACAGAAGCTTAGTCAGGGTGGAACTTTAAAACAGAATGCCACCTTCAATAAACAGCACTGTCTCAATTAAGAAAGACGACATAAAGAAGGGATGTAACTTGGGGTTATTGATGAACTATTTGGAGAAAAATAACTAGTTTGATTTATTTTTGACACTATATACTAAAATATATTTCAGATGGATTCAGGAGTTAAATGCAACTTTAAAAAGCCTTAAGGAACTTGAAGACAACTTTAGTAAGCATTTAGAGATACTGGAAGAAAGAAAAGACTTTTTAAACAAAAACGAAGAGGTCAAAGTCAAAAAAAGAAAGATTAATTGATCTGTCTATGTACATAAATGGCAAGCCAAAAATTTCAGTTAAGACTGAGAAATAACCATTGGATTGAACCAAATGAAGGTCACTGATGTCGTAGGGAAGACCAGAACCTGATTGGAGTGGATTTTGGAGGGAATGGGAGGAGAGAAATTGGAAACAACAAGCATATACTACAGACAGCTCTCTAGGGTGGGTTTGCTATAAACAGGAGCGGAGAAATCAGTCAGTAGGTCAGTAGGTGGAGGGCACAGTAACACCAAAAGAAAGGTTCCTTTCAATGGGAGAAATAACAAAATTTCTTCTCTCCAGAAGAGAGGGAAAACTTATTGATGGAGGGGTGGAGGAGCAGACACACACACACACACACACACACACACACACACACACACACACACACACAGAGAGACAGAGAGATACAGAGAGACAGAGAGAGAGAGAGAATGAGATCCAGTGAACAAGTTGAGATGCTGGCCTCCAAGCTTCTTCCATAGTAATAGGGAGAAAGTAATAGGGAGAAAGAGTGCCTGCGCACACAGATTCAGGGCGAGGGATTGTGCATAAGTGTGAGAAAGGGAGCTATGGGCATCCTCCCCTGATTACTTCTCCATCCTTGGTGGAATAGAAGTCAGGTGATCAGCTGAGAGGGAGGATAAGAAGAAGGTGTGGGAGGTAGGAGGAGAGAGAAAATAAAAATAGGCAACTAGGTGAGTGGTTTAAGGAAGTTCCCCATTAAGGCTAGTGGTACTGAATTCAAAGGAGACAAATCAGAATGATAATAGGCTTTTCCATCCACGCTCAACAGCCTGGATTCAAGCACAGAAAAGAGGTATCAAAGGTTCAAAGTAATGATGCAATTAAAATATTTATGCATCAACATGACCCCTCCCCAGCCTCCCAGGCTGCTTCCTCCCATTTTGTCCCATTCCCCATCACAAAGGCCCTGCCTCTGAGCTGTGCATGTTGCTCGGAGGCACAGGAAAGAGGGAGCTTCCTCTGGGGACACAGAAGGTGGTGGGTAGGGATTTGCACAAGTTAAAAATCTTGTCCCTGTCACAAATAAAATAATTTAAAAAAACCCCAAAGTGGCAGGAAACATTAAAAACAAATATGAAATATGGTAAACTTGTTACATATAAATTTTAAGGTGAACGGATCATCATTTGAAATTGATTACAAGCTGAATTAGCCTCTTGTAAAATCACCACTGCCAGAGCATAAAAACTGTTTTAGGTGAAAGTATTTAAGCAAATTTCAGTATGTAAGTTCAACTTGAGTCCACAACTGAGTTTATGAAATACTGCCACAAATTAATAGTATTTCAATAGCATATTGTTATATTTCTTATTGGCCCTGTAAAATTTCCCAACTCTGCCTCCATTCTGTGATTTTATAAAAAGTAAACTTTGCCAGGTGCTGTGGCTCACACCTGTAATCCCAGCACTTTGGGAGGCCGAGGAGGGCGGATCACGAGGCCAGGAGTTCAAGACAAGCCTGGCCAGTATAGTGAAACCCTGTCTCTACTAAAAATACAAAAATTAGCTGGGTGTGTTGGCACACGCCTGTAGTCTCAGCTACTTGGGAGGCTGAGGCAGGAGAATCGCTTGAACCTGGGAGGCGGAGGTTGCAGTGAGCCGAGACTGCGCCACTGCAATCCAGCCTGGGTGACAGAGCGAGAATCCATCTCAGAAAAAAAAAAACAAAAGTAAACTTGGTTTATTAAATATTCTGAATAATGCAACAAACCTAAACTGCTCTGGTAAGTATCACAATTAGTAAGCAAGGCTAACCCTTATACCAAATACAGGCACACCTTGTTTTATTGTGCTTTGCTTTATTGCATTTCATGGATTTATGTTTTTTACAAATTGGAGGTTTGTGGCAACCCTGAGTTGAGTAAGTCTATCTGTTACAGGAAAGGGGTCCTGATCCAGATCCCCAGAGATGGTTCTTGGATCTAGTGCAAGAAAGAATTCAGGGTGAATCCATAGAGTAAAGTGAAAGCAAGTTTATTACGGAAGTAAAGGAATAAAAGAATGGCTACTCCATAGACAGAGCCTCCCTGAGGACTGCCGATTGCCCTTTTTTATGTTTATTTCTTGATGATATGCTAAACAAGAGGTGGATTATTCATGCCTCCCCTTTTTAGACCATATAGGGTAACTTCCTGACTTTGCCTTGGCTTTTGTAAACTGTCATGGCACTGGTGAGAGTGTAGTACTGAGGACATCCAGAGGTCACTCTTGTGGCCATCTTGGTTTTGGTGGGTTTTAGCTGGCTTCTTCACTGCAACCTGTTTTATCAGCAAGTTCTTTATGACTTGTATTTTGTGATGACCTCCTATCTCATTCTGTGACTTAGGATGCTTTAAACATCTGGGAATGCAGCCCAGTAGGTGTCAGCCTTGTTTTATCCAGCTCTTATTCAAGATGGAGTTGCTCTGGTTCACACGCTTCTAACATATCGGCACCATGTGTGAACAGCATATGCTCGCTTCATGCCTCTGTCTCTCTCCTCAGGGCTCCCTATTCCCTGAGACACAACAATATGGAAATTAGGTCAATTAATAACCTTATAAAGGCCTCTAAATGTTCAAATAAAAGGAAGAGTTGCACGTCTGTCATTTTAGATCAAAAGCTAAAAATGATTAAGGTTAGTAAAGATGGCATGTTGAAAACCAAGATAAGCTAAAAGCTAGACATCTAGCTCTAAATAGTTAGCCAAGTTGTGAATGCAAAGGAAAACTTGAAGGAAATTAGAAGTGCTACTCCAGTGAACACATGAATGATAAGAAGGCAAAACAGCCTTATTGGTGATATGGAGAAAGGTTGAGTGGTCTGGATAGAAGATCAAGCCAGCCACAACATCCCTTTAAGCCAGAGCCTAATCCAGAGCAAGGCCCCAAATTCTCTTTAATTCTACAAAGCCTGAGAAAGGAGAGGAAGCAGAAGAAGCAGAAGAAGAAAAGTTTGAATCTAGCAGAGGTTGGTTCATGAGGTTGAAGGAAAGAAGCCCTCGGCAAACATAAACGTGCAAGGTGGAGCAACAAGTGCTGATGGAGAAGCTGCAGCAAGTTCTCCAGAAGATCTAGCTACAATCATTAATGAAGGTGGCTACACTAAACAATAGATTTTCCACATAGGTAAAAAAGCCTTATGCTGGACAAAGATGCCTCATGCGACTTTCATAGAAGAAGTGAATGATTAGCTTTAAAGCTTCAAAGTACCGGCTGACACAATGGTGTGTCACACAAATTTTTTGGTTTCTCAGTACATATAAAAGTTATGCTTACAGTATAATGTAGTCTATTAAGTGTGTGGTAGCATTATGTCTAAAAACCAATGTATATACCTTAATTAAAAAATACTTTGGGCCAGGCACAGTGGCTCATGCCTATAATCCCAGCACTTTGGGAGGCCAAGGCGGGTGGATCACCTGAGGCCAGGAGTTTGAGACCAGCCTGGCCAACATGGCGAGACCCCATCTTTCCAAAAAATGCAAAAATTATCTGGACGCAGTAGTGCGTGCCTCTCATCCCAGATACTTGGGAGGCTGAGGCAGGAGAATTGCTTGAACCCAGGAGGTGGAGGTTGCAGTGAGCTGAGATTGTGCCACTGTACTCCAGCCTGGGTGACAGAGTGAGACTCCGTCACAAAACAAAACAAAACAAAACAAAACAAACAAAACAAAACAAAAAAACAACTTTGGCCAGATGTGGTGGCTCATGCCTGTAATCCCAGCACTTTCAGAGGCCAAAGTTGGCAAATCCCTTGAGTCCAGGAGTTTGAGACCTGCCTGGGCAACATGGTGAGACCCCATCTCTACAAAAAGTACAAAAATTAGCCAGGCATGGTGGCACATGCCCGTAAGTACCAGCTACCTGGGAGGCTGAGGCAGGAGGATCGTTTGAGCCCTGGATGTGGAGGTTGCAGTGAACCAAGATTACACCATTGCACTCCAGCTTGGGGGACAGAATGAGACATTTTCTTTAAAGAAAAAAAACAAAAACACTTTATTGCTAAAATGTGGTAACAATTACCTGAGCCTTCAGCGAGTCATAATCTTTTTGATGGTGGACAGTCTTGACTCTACGTTCAAGGCTGCTGACTGAGCAGGGTGGTGGTTGTTGGACGTTGGGGTGGCTGTGGCAATTTCTTAAGATAAGACATCAATAAAGTTTGCTGTATAGATTGACTCTTCTTTTCATGAAAAATTTCTCTGTAGCACGTGAAGCTGTTTGATAGCATTTTATCCACCGTAGAACTTCTTTTGAATTTGGAGTCAATCCTCTCAAACCCTGCTACTGTTTTATCAATGCAGTGTATGTCATATTCTAAATCCTTTGTTGTCATTTCAACAGTGTTCATGGTTATCTTCACCAGGAATAGTTTCCATCGGAAGAAGCCCCTTTCTTTGCTCATCCATAAGAAGCAGTTCAAGTTTCATCATGAGATTGCAGCAATTCAGTCACATTCTCAGGCTCCACTCCTGATTCTAGTTCTCTTGCTGTTCCTTCCACCTCTGCAGTTACTTCCTCCACTGAAGCCTTGAAACCCTCAAAGTCATCCATCAGGTTTGGAATCAACTTCTTCCAAACTCCTGTTAATGTGGATATTTTGACTTCCTCCCCTGAATCAAAAATGTTTTTAATGGCGTGTAGAATAAGAAATTCTTTCCAGAATGTTTTCAACTTACTTTGCCCAGATTCATTAGAGGAATCACTTCTATGACAGCTATACCTTTACAAAATGTACTTATTAAGTAAGACTTGAAAGTAAAAATTAGTCCTTGATCCATGGACTGCAAAGTAGATGCTATATTAGCAGGCATGAAAACAACATCAGTCTCCATGCACATCTCCATCAGAACTCTTGGGTGACCAGGTGGATTGTCAATGAGCAGTAATATTTTGAAAGATTTTTTTTTTCTAAGCCGTAGATCTCAATAGTGGGCTTAAAATATTTAGTAAACCATGCTGTAAAGAGATGCACTGCCATCATTCTTTGTTGTTCCATTTCTAGAGCACAGGCAGAGAAGACTTAACATAATTCTTAAGGGTCCTAGGATTTTCAAAATGGTAAACAAGCATTGGCTTCAACTTAAGTCACCAACTACATTAGCCCTTAACAAGAGGGGCAGCCTGTACTTTGAAGCTTTAAAGCTAAGCATTTTATACAGTGGTCTGGAGCTGAACTTGCAACATCTCTGAGATATGCCTGTCTTCTCCCAAATGTATAGTGGCGAAAGGGCAATAGTGCTGTATTTCAAAACAATCCTCTGGGGAAAAGAAAGAGAGATCAGATTGTTAATGTGTCTGTATAGAAAGTAGACATAAGAGACTCCATTTTAATCTGTAACCCTACCCCCAACCCTGTGTTCCCTGAGACATGTGCTGTGTCAACTCAGGGTTAAATGGATTAAGGGCTGTGCAAGATGTGCTTTGTTAAACAGATGCTTGAAGGCAGCATGCTCATTAAGAGTCATCACCACTCTCTAATCTCAAGTACCCAGGGACACAAACACTGCGGAAGGCTGCAGGGACCTCTGCCTAGGAAAGCCAGGTATTGTCCAAGGTTTCTCCCCATGTGACAGTCTGAAATATGGCCTCTTGGGAAGGGAAAGACCTGACAGTCCCCCAGCCCGACACCCATAAAGGGTCTGTGCTGAGGAGGATTAGTAAAAGAGGAAAGAACGCCTCTTTGCGGTTGAGACAAGAGGAAGGCATCTGTCTCCTGCCTGTCCCTGGGCAATGGAATGTCTCGGTGTAAAACCCGATTGTATATTCCATCTACTGAGATAGGGGAAAACCGCCTTAGGGCTGGAGGTGGCACATTCGGGCAGCAATACTGCTCTTTAAGGCATTGAGATGTTTATGTGTATACATATCTAAAGCACAGCACTTAATTCTTTACCTTGTTTATGATGCAGAGACCTTTGTTCACGTGTTTACCTGCTGACCTTCTCTCCACTATTATCCTATGATCCTGCCACATCCGCCTCTCCGAGAAACACCCAATAATGATCAATAAATACTAAGGGAACTCAGAGGCCAATAAATACAAAGGGATCCTCCGTATGCTGAACGCCGGTCCCCTGGGCCCCCTTTTTTCTTTCTATATACTTTGTGTCTGTGTCTCTTTCTTTTCCAAGTCTCTCGTTCCACCTAACGAGAAACACCCACAGGTGTGGAGGGGCAACCCACCCCTTCACAATCCAAGGAGGGGTCTCTGCGCACATGGTCATTCAGAGCAGCCAGGCCCTGGGTAATCCTCAAAGCCTGCAAGTGAAGTCACCTGGGTGTGGACACCCAACCTCCAGAGAGGGGAAAGGTTATAGAGGGTTGTATGGAGCATGTTTCACAGGCCAGCCTGGAAGAGACTCTTTCCTCTTTGTCCCCATGGCCCCCTTTACCTGCAAGGGAGGCTGGGAACTGTAGTCTAGCTATTCTCAAGAAGTAGAAGAAAAGAGTTTAAGTGACAGTTTGCAGTAGTCTCTGCCATAATGTTATTGCACAGGATGAGACAAACCTGGCTTAAGTGTTTTGATTTTAACTCAAGATTTTGAGTTAGCTCCCTGATACACTTGCCAAAAATGCTCTCTGACAGCTGCATTTTTTTTTTTGATTGTATCCGTTGAGATAGTTTTTGCCTATAAATCATAAGGTCTATGAATGTCATCAGCCTTTGGATCTCCTCAGCCACAACTCTCTCCTCCAATAGGCTATTGGGTCAGAATAGCTGGATGGTTTTGCAGAGAGACGACCTTAATTTTAAAAAAATCAAGAAGAAGCCCATGATTTAACAATTGCAGTAGGTGGAGTGAATTTTAACGTTCTAGTGTTTGTTTTAGTTACTCATTTTGTTCCCAGATCAGTGGGGAGACCAGAACCTCAGTCTTGGGCAGTAAATTGACAATTGCTTGTAAAGAAATCATTGCTACTTCTTCAATCTGCATGTAATTTGATTTTATGCTTTCAGTTCTCTGGTGCAGCTTGCTAAAGATGTGCATGCATGTAATTCAAAGATCTCAAAACCTCCAAATTATGTACAAAGCCAAAATCTCATAGGCATAAATCTGGAGCAACAAACAAGCAAACGAATTTCTCTTTGTGTCCAACTCTAATATGTTAAGCAAAACCTGTGTAATTCATCAAATGCAGACAGAGAGAAAACATAAAAATCCTTGATGTAATTTCACACAGGTGTACGGAGCTCCTCCTACACTTGCGGGACACGGCCCAGGGATGTTATTATTATTATTTTTTCCAGCTTCTCTTTACAAAAAAAGTTGTTTTCCAATATTTCCTGCACTCAAACATATTTTATCATTGCCAGCTGTCTTGCCAGGACCAAAAAAAGAGAAGGTGCCCTTCAAGTGTGCCTGAATTTCGTTAGTCTATTGAACGCTGCTGTACTAATTCACAGTGAGAACGATACACCCATGAGGGTACACAGAAGGGAAGGAGGCAATGCTCATATGTCAGAAACCTCAGTGCCTCTTCAAAAAAATTGTGAAATGAAACAAAATAACAGTTTTACATTTATGGGTTTTTTTATTCCAGTCTTTTATGAAACTGGATCATTCTATAGATAGAGTTTTGCATCCTGATTTTTTATTTTTTACCGTGTAATTCTACAAGTAGATCTTTCCAGTCTGAAGGGTTGCTAAGAGGAAGCACCCATGCTGGTGCTAATGAGCTAGCTTCACAAGTCAAGGGTACAGGGCCACAACTGTCTCTGCAGCGGCCACCCCCCAGGAAGCAGTGCTTGGGGGAGCCCTGAGGGTGATACATTGAGTAGGGGCAGCAAAACTGCCCCTCCATCTTCTTTGGGGCCCAGCTGGGCCTGAGAATCAAATTGACATAAGATAGGTTAATAGACAACATTCTTTTGGCACAAGTTTTAGTGTGGAACAGACACTTAACAAGAGCTATGTAGAGGGTAGCTGTTGTAATTGCGAAGATACAATCTTCTCCTAACCTACAGCCTAGATCCTCCACATACTGAGCAGATGGAAAACTCTAAATGACTCTGATGCCTGGTAGAATAAAAGTCCTTGTCTGGTCATGGTGGCTCATGCCTGTAATCTCAGCACTTTGGGAGGCCGAGGCAGGCGGATCATGAGGTCAGGAGTTCGAGACCAGCCTGACCAACATGGTGAAATCATGTCTCTACTAAACACACACACACACACACACACACACACACAATTAGCCAGGCATGGTGGCGCATGCCTGTAATCCCAGCTACTCAGAGGCTGAGGCAGGAGACTCTCTTGAACCTGGGAGGCAGAGGTTGCAGTGAGCTGAGATCGCGCCACTGCACTCCACCCTGGGCGACACAGCGAGACTCCATCTTAAAAAAAAAAAAAAAGAATAAAAGTTCTTACAGGGCATCACTCTCCTCTGACCTGCCTGTGGCATTTGGCTTATAAGGACCACACCTCCCAAGATGCAAAGGAAAGAGTTAAGAATACATCACTCAAAATATGCCATCCTGGCATACTGACTATTTAAGTAAAGATACTTGAAAAAACAGCAGGTGCAACAACATCGCGCTAACCTTCATGTCGTTTCCTAAAGCAGGGATGTAATGCCTGTGGGAAAGATGCCCTCTACAGAATAACATTCTTATCATCAAAGATGGACAGTTGAGGCCAGAATAAAGCTGTACAAACAAACTTTGTTAAGCCAGCCCTTATCTTCTTAGTCACCCTTCTCCCTGTGTCCTACCCTAGCCCAGTCCCCTTGGTCTTATCACATTTCACAACTATTTTTTTGTCCAATTCAGTATATAAGGGACTGAGTCTAACTGCTTCTTGGGGTCTTCTTTTCTGTATGAAGGCTCCGGTGCCATGTAAACTCACATAAAATAAATTTTATGCTTTTCATCTGTTAGCCTATCTTATGTCAATTTGATTCTCAGGCCCAGCTGGCCCCGAAAAAGATGGAGAGGCAGTTTTGCTGCCTCTACTCAATGTATCACTCTCAGTCCTCCCCGAAAAACTGCTTCGTGGGGGTGTGACTGCTGCACTTACCAAGAGCCCCACCCTGGGAGGGTCCCCACTCTCAGAAGTGTCCTGTGCTGGTTTTAATACTCTGCCATCAACTTGGGCAACATAGGAAGACTTCGTTTCTATAAAAACAATTAGCCAGGCATGGTGGTGTACACCTGTAGTCCCCACGACTCTGGAGGCTGAGATAGGAGGATCGCTTGAGCCCGGGAGGTCAAGGCTGCAGTGAGCCACGATCGCACCACTGCGCTACAGCCTGGGCAACAGAGCAAGACTCTTAACTAAAAAAAAAAAATTCTGCCATTGCCATCTGGAAATTCAGAGGTGCACAATTTGTATGTCTGCCATTCCATTCTTTCCCCCACAATCACGTTCTCCAGGATCATAGCATTTCAGTGGACCTACCAGGCTGGGTCTTCAGCAAGACTGGGTTACCAAGTGAGAGCACTCCCTCTATGACAGGATGAGTAAGGTGCACCCCAGAGGCAAACTTTCTGTCTGAACCGGAACTCACTTTGAATTGCAAAAAGGTATTTACATTCTGCTAAAGGTGAACAACCAGAGAAACCTATTATGTTCTTTATTTCATTAGTCCCTGCATTAGCCAACCACTTACACTGAAAACCATGGCAAGAAGAAAATGGAAAAATAGGGTTTTTGTGGGAAAAAATGGAAAAATGTTGCTTTTTTTTTTTTAAATATATACTTGCTGCTTCCATTTAGGAACGCTGGGGTCCAGGAGGAAGACTCTCACTAAAATCCGGTTTTCATTTCAGCAATGGCGAGCTGCTGCTCATGGTCTTGCTACTCAATTCAACTGCCAAATTCATTTCATTTCAGCAAGGGGAGCTGCTGCTCATGGTCTTGGGTTCTCTGTTTGGGGCCAGTTGTGTCCTGTGTCACAGGCATGATTTTGGACACAGCACCTACAGAAGCACTATACTCCCAAAGGCATGTTAGGAGAGTCCTTAGCCACAGGAGAATTGCACCTCTCAGCCTCTTCTCACCTCTCTGCCACAGGTCTGCTTCTGTGTCTAGCTTGATAACTGGCTGCTCTGTCTCTAGATTTTGGTGATTGTAATATCTCTAGTCACAGCCACATTTCTATTTGGAGGCTTGATTATATAAACTTCGGTACTTGTACTTACCTTTCCATTTTCTTTATTTATAATGACAAAACTCAGATACTTTCTGGAGGTGTATACCTGACAAAATGCCTGGGCAACTAAAGCATTTTCAGTTAGTCAAATGACCCACCCACATTTCCACCCCTTATGGTTTTTTGATGCTGCCTTATTGAGGTGCCAGAGAGAAGTGAATTTGCTGTACTAAACTGTACAGGAAAATCCATGGTCCAAAAGTATAGGAGAAGAGGTGCTTTTCTTTCTGTATTTTTTATTATTCAAGCCACAGCTTTATATATATAGCAGGTACTTTGTACATCTTTGTTCAAAGAGTGAATTCAAGACGGCATTCTTCAGTGATTAGTGCACCTCTTTTAAAGCAACTTTCAAAGTGCACATCCTGTAATCTATGCACTGGGGGTAGTTAGGCTGTGTGAGTGTGTGTGTGTGTGTGTGTGCACATGCACATTCTCTAAGAACTGAGTTCTCTTTTGGTTAATTCTAGTTCTTATTTGTAAAACTAGCTTTTAAAGAAAATTGTTCTGCCACTAGAAGTGATTAATCCACCTCCACATTTTCTATCATCAGTGAATTTAATTAACGTGGTGTGTTCCTTCCTTTGAGAGATTAGCAATTAAAACAGTTCTAACTCTCCTCATCAACACACACCTGAAAAATTAAAATAGATGCCTGGTCTTAATTGTTGCTGCTACTGCTGGCTCTTCGTATGATGACCTTCAACCAGTTTACTTTTCATGTATCTGCATTCATCTGAAGAGTCATTTCAAATAATTTTTGAGGTTTTCAGAGACACACAATCTTAAGCTTTAGTAAAGTCATTATCAAATGAATTAAAATAAATGCACTCCTACCATGTATTCATATTCAGAACTGATGATGAACATTCATTTTAAAAGCAAAGATACCTGTTTAAAACAATACAGAGCTGAATGTAAGATCAGGCATTGGATAAAATAGGCAACAGAGAAATAGAAAAAAGGGCCCCTTGGCCTTGACTTCTTCTACTGGGTGTTTCTTGTGATTATGGAATCCTGGTTCCTTAGGACGGCCAGTTGCTTGTTGTGGCTGCTTCTTGCAGTTCTCCTGCTGTCCTCCATCCTGGTCTGAACAGTGATATTTAAAAATGGGAAACCTCTCTTATCTGTGTGTTAATAACTCACTATTTAAGAAAGTCTTTGGTTTGCCAGTGAGAATGTTCCTATTTATAATTAGTCTTCTGGCCAGGCGCGGTAGCTCATGCCTGTAAACCCAGCACTTTGGGAAGCCGAGGTGGGCGGATCACTTGAAGTCGAGTTCGAGACCAGCCTGGCCAACATGATGAAACCCCGTCTCTACCAAAAATATAAAAAATTAGCCGGATGTGGTGGCACGTGCCTATAATCCCAGCTACATGGGAGGCTGAGGCAGGAGAATTGCTTGTCCCCGGGAGGTGGAGGTTGCAGTGAGCCGAGATCGTGCCACTGCACTCCAGCCTGGGCCACAGGGTGAGACTCTGTCTCAAAAATAAAATAATAAAATAAAATAAAATAAAATAAATCTTCTTAGAGGTATAGAGCCCTAAGATGTCCGGGACGGATGATGGCAGGTGACTGGATTCTGGGAGTTTTCCCCATGAATGATGCATTTGGGTAAGGGGTGGTGAGGAATGCCTTTGAGACAGACTAGATCATCAATAAGGCATCTTCCAGTTACAGCGCCACTCCAGACCCCTCAACAAGCTCTGTGCAATAGCTGCTGCCTCCTTGACATTTCCCGTTGGAGGTTTCATGGTTACCCTGGAGCCAATGTATGCTAAAATGAATCTCTGATCTGCCCATCCAGGGCTACTCTATGAAAACACAGTGTTTCCCATCTCAGCATGGCACCATCCCCTACCCAATGGTAAAAGTAAAAAACCTCAGCGTCTCTTCCCCATTGTCACCTGGCTAACTCCTAGCCTTTCAAGTCCCAGCTTCATGCTTAGAATGTGGATCCACTCCCAAGCTAGGTCTGTCTTTTGCTTTCTTACACTGTCCTGTACTTTATGTGCATCTCATTTATCAAATCAATTATTATGCAAATGGGTGATTACTTGTTTATTTTCTCTCCTATTAGAATGCAAATATCACAAGAGCAGGTACTGGAACAATTTTTTTTTAACCACTCAGCTACTAGCTGGGTACCTAGCATTTAGTAGGCACTCAGGAAATGTTGTTGTATGAATGACAAACATGTTATGATTGCTATTGGTGTATAACTATCAGAAAAATTCCTTAATATAACAAGCCCTACCTGGCTTTCAATGCAAATATACACTATCAGTATTATACCCAGATTCGAGACAAGTACATTTGTAGAATCTTAAATGGCCTCTTGAGAGTATGACATTCTCATTCCTACCTTAATTTTATTTGCTTTATTGTATATTACTTGTAAACTTCTAGAGGAAAGGGACTAAAGGAACTCATGTGTGATTATTATAAGCAGTGTACCCTCTCCCTCTCCCTCTCCCTCTCCTTCTCCCTCTCCCTCTCCCCATGGTCTCCCTCTCCCTCTCTTTCCACGGTCTCCCTCTGATGCCTAGCCGAAGCTGGACTGTACTGCTGCCATCTCGGCTCACTGCAACCTCCCTGCCTGATTCTCCTGCCTCAGCCTGCCGAGTGCCTGCGACGCCACGCCTGACTGGTTTTCGTATTTTTTTGGTGGAGACGGGGTTTCGCTGTGTTGGCCGGGCTGGTCTCCAGCTCCTAGCCTCGAGTGATCCGCCAGCCTCGGTCTCCCGGGGTGCCGAGATTGCAGACGGAGTCTGGTTCACTCAGTGCTCAATGGTGCCCAGGCTGGAGTGCAGTGGCGTGATCTCGGCTCGCTGCAACCTCCACCTCCCAGCCGCCTGCCTTGGCCTCCCAAAGTGCCGAGATTGCAGCCTCTGCCCGGCCGCCACCCCGTCTGGGAAGTGAGGAGCGTCTCTGCCTGGCCGCCCATCGTCTGGGACGTGAGGAGCCCCTCTGCCTGGCTGCCCAGTCTGGAAAGAAGTGAGGAGCGTCTCTGCCCGGCCGCCCATCGTCTGAGATGTGGGGAGAGCCTCTGCCCCGCCGCCCCGTCTGGGATGTGAGGAGCGCCTCTACCTGGCCACGACCCCGTCTGGGAGGTGAGGAGCGTCTCTGCCCGGCTGCCCCGTCTGAGAAGTGAGGAGACCCTCCGCCTGGCAACCGCCCGTCTGAGAAGTGAGGAGCCCCTCTGCCCGGCAGCCGCCCCTGTCTGAGAAGTGAGGAGCGTCTCCGCCGGGCAGCCACCCCGTCTGGGAGGGAGGTGGGGGTCAGCCCCCGCCAGGCCAGCCGCCCCGTCCGGGAGGGAGGTGGGAGGGTCAGCCCCCCGCCCGGCCAGCCGCCCCGTCCGGGAGGGAGGTGGGGGGGTCAGCCCCCCGCCCGGCCAGCCGCCCCGTCCGGGAGGTGAGGGGCGCCTCTGCCCGGCCGCCCCTACTGGGAAGTGAGGAGCCCCTCTGCCCGGCCAGCCGCCCCGTCTGGGAGGGAGGTGGGGGGGTCAGCCCCCCGCCCGGCCAGCGGCCCCGTCCGGGAGGGAGGCGGGGGGGTCAGCCCCCCCGCCCGGCCAGCCGCCCCGTCCGGGAGGTGAGGGGCGCCTCTGCCCGGCCGCCCCTACTGGGAAGTGAGGAGCCCCTCTGCCCGGCCGCCCCTACTGGGAAGTGAGGAGCCCCTCTGCCCGGCCACCACCCCGTCTGGGAGGTGTGCCCAGCAGCTCATTGAGAACGGGCCATGATGACAATGGCGGTTTTGTGGAATAGAAAGGGGGGAAAGGTGGGGAAAAGATTGAGAAATCGGATGGTTGCCCTGTCTGTGTAGAAAGAGGTAGACATGGGAGACTTTTCATTTTGTTCTGTACTAAGAAAAATTCTTATCCTGTTGATCTGTGACCTTACCCCCAACCTTGTGCTCTCTGAAACATGTGCTGTGTCCACTCAGGGTTAAATGGATTAAGGGCGGTGCAAGATGTGCTTTGTTAAACAGATGCTTGAAGGCAGCATGCTCGTTAAGAGTCATCACCACTCCCTAATCTCAAGTACCCAGGGACACAAACACTGCGGAAGGCCGCAGGGTCCTCTACCTAGGAAAACCAGAGACCTTTGTTCACTTGTTTATCTGCTGACCTTCCCTCCACTATTGTCCTATGACCCTGCCAAATCCCCCTCTGCGAGAAACACCCAAGAATAATCAATTAAAAAAAAAATTATAAGCAGTGTAGCTAGGACAGCCAGACCTCTTCAATATTGTCTTTTTCTTCTTCCTGAAAACACAGATAAATGACTTTTCCACACGCTTGCAGTGAGGTCGGCCATGTGACTGCGTCCTGACCAGTGGAATGTGATGGACATGATGTTAGTACGTCTAAGTCAGGCACATAGATATGTTCCCTCATTCAGTGGTGACCTTGGAGGCTGCATGTTAAATATGGATGCCTCAGATAGAAGCAGCCTGGGTTCCTGAGTCACTGAATGGAGAAGAATCAGCCAACTCTAATTGGACTGTAACATGGGGAAGAAAGAAACAGTTATTTTGTTAAGCCACTGAAATTAGAGAATTGACACAACAACTAAACCATCAAGAATAATACAAAAATTGGTACTTCAAAAGGAAGTACTGTAGTAACAAAAATCTGATGGCTGACATTGACTTGAAGTGAGGTGGTGGGTGGCAAGGAAGATGATGATCCATGCTAACTACAGTGGAAATATGTAGTAAAACTTCTGTCTGCAATATCTCTGGGGATAAATTGTAAGCCTTATGATTCAGCAACTCTAGCAAAAGCAGTAGGAAAAAAAAATCAAAGTGTGATTGTGATTGTGTGTTTTCTATAATTGGTTGTGTTGGCATGCTATTCAAAGAAAGCACAGAGCTCAGGAGAAAACTGACCAGCTTAAGAGCACAAAGTCCAGAAATTTGGGTTCTTGAAGGGCTGGACATTTCAACTGCATTTGAAACACAAACAGTAGGCAATAATATATTGAAATAAAAACCTTTCAGCTAGAAAACCATATTGTGACTCAGTCTCATTACAATGATTAGATTAAGATTTTTCCTCTCATTATTAAGCTGAACTAGGCAAGGGTATGAGAAAGTTAAAAAAAAAAAGTAGAAGATTTAAAAATGTTGTCCATGAAAATGTTTTGGGTGTGGTTGCAGCCATACGGAACTGTTTGGAAGCAAATGGATCAAATGCCCTCAAAGAGTTTGAAGAAATTATATTGCCAAAGAAAGCATAAACCTAATCTACAAAGTCTTTGGGTCACATTGTCTTAGTCACCTTGGACTCCTCTAATAGAATGCCATAAACTGGGTGTCTTAGAAACAACATAAGTTTATTGTTCACAATTCTGGAGGCTGGAAGTCCAAGATCAAGGTGCCAGCATATTCCATGTCTGGTAACAGCCCATTTCCTGGTTCACAGATAGGCTTCTTCCCACTGTGTCCTCAAAAGTGCCTTTGAAAGAAGGGAACCAATCCCATTCATGAGGGCTCCACCCTGATGACCTGATCACCTACCAAAGTCTCCACCTCCTAATACCATCACATTGGAGATTAGGATTTCAACACAGGGGGTTTTTGGGGAAGCAACCGTTCAGTCTACAGCAGACAGCAAGGGAGATCCAGGGTATGTGGATCCTATGAGGGAAGATTCCCCAGCATCCAATTCAGAAACTGAAGCCCAGTGAGCAATTAAGAACTCCCACGATCCAGGGGTTTCCAAGAAAAACAGAGCATGGAGTTTTCCCCAGAGGATAGCCCTGGAGTCTAATGAGGGGCCTTCCCAGCCCAGGACAGAGGAATTTAGCAATTCTGGCCAGCGGAGTCAGGTGTCCTGTTGGGCTGTGATAGGGTGTTTCTCCCACTCTGTTTTGGAATGGTGGTGTGGTGTTTGTTTCAGAGATAATGTGCTTGTTTGCTGGGTGGAGGAGAGCAACCACTCTCCCTCTAGGTGATTGGTGGCAGCCCAAGAGGAGTCCCGGCCATGGAGTGAGATTGCCTGGGGGCCCTTTGCATTGGGCAGTGACTGGTGGGACTGTGGTTGCCCCTCTGGGGGAAGGCGTGAGGGTGCTCTCTGCATGGACGGGAGAATGTTTAGGAGGCACAGAAGGGTCTGGCCAAGTCTTAGTGATCCAGCGACACTTCTTTTTCTCCTCTTCCTGGCCACGCGGGAAAACCGAGCTTTCTAACACCTTTACATTAGGTGGAGCTGTGTCACAGGCCGCGGCAAAATCTCTCACCCTTGATCATTACTTTTTCCTTTAGACAGTGAACTTGGAGGCTGCATTTTTAAGGTGGTACAGAGAGGGAAAGAGCCTGGTCCCTAAATCACTTGTTGGCGTGTCCCGTGACCTAACCTGGATATGAGAGTGAGAAACACACCTGTTGCGTGGAGCCACTGAGATTTGGTGCTTTTCTGTTTGCGGACTCAGCCTAAGTGTCAGTGCACTCGGCTGCCAACTGCGGAGACTGTCACAGTCTCGGCCACAGGGCAGGGACGCAGCCCGCGGACCCGCAGATCCGCCCGCTGCGCCTGGGGCCCTCCCTTGGCCTGTGCAGCCTGCAGGTCCAGCACGTCCTGTGTCTAATTGCTTCCCTTGGTGGCTTCCTCATCACCGGCCGGTCAGCGTCATCCTCCGTGCAGGTCAGGCACAGTCTTTCTCGCGGAGGCTGGGACGCCCGGGCCGCTGTGCGGCTGCGCGGGACAGCAGGTGGCAGCGTTGCCCAGAGCTGAGCTGCAGCGGTGGATTCCCTGCTCCCGACCCTCGCGGCCGCGCGCCCGGGCCAGGCTCTCTGCGCCTCCGTTCCCTCTGCAAAGCGGGCTGCACGGAACCCCCTCGTGTGCCCGGAGCCTGTGCCCGGCAACAGCGGCCTGGGAAAGCTGAGTGCTCCTGGTGCAGAGCGCCTTCCACACTCATCCCGGAGGGAGGTGACGGGAGCCCAGCGCGGCTGTGTGGAACTGCGCGCGGCCTGTCAGATCTGCGTCTTCCCTCGTGAATGGATCAATTAGCCACTGTCCAGTGGGGGCCAGCATGCAGCACAGATTGATTGATTATTGCAGCCCAGGACGGCGCTGGGAGGTCACTTCCCTTTCCGCCCTCCTTCCACCGCCCCGTCACCCGTCTGTAGCTCTCTAGCCGTCCGTCTGCGTTTGCTTTTATCCCCTTCCAACCTCTTACACACTGTAGTCCGTGACCTTTTAGAAACGCAACCTGTTCAACCCTTTAGTGTGTTCCCGCTGCCCTCAGAGTGAAGGGCATCTTGGTATGTCCTGCAGGGGTGGCGGGGGCTGCTGATGCTAACACACGCTTTCAAGTGTGCACGCTCCTGCTTCCTTCATGTCCCTCTGTACTCTCCTGCCTAAGTTGGTTTTTCTTCTTCTTCTTTCTTCTTCTTCTTCTTTCTTCCTCTTCCTTTTCTTCTTCTTCTTTCTTCCTCTTCCTCTCCTTCTCCTTCTCCTTCTCTTCCTTCTCCTTCTCTTTCTCCTTCTCTTTCTTCTTCCAGTTTCTGGTCCAGGTTTTTTTCTGCTTCAAGGCCAACACTGTTCTCTAGTCCTGGAATCTCTCCTCCCCATAATGAACTCTGAATGAGTCCAGGTCCCAACTTGTCTCCACTCCAGCGCCCATGCCCCTCTCAGTGAAGTATTTCAGAACCATATCCTAACCAAGTGAGACCCCTGCGCTTCACTACGCACTAAAGATCCATTCTTCTCCTTTGCAGCCAGCACCACTCATGTAATCGTTTTTCCAGTCTGTCTTCCCTGCTGGGTGGAAAACCCTGGGAGCTCAGGGCTGTGGCTCCGGCCGCTGCGGTGTCTGCAGTGCTGCCCTTTCAGCCCTGGATCTTCATTTGCAGAATGAATTTACATAAGGTTAAGGGCAAGGTAACTCACATTGCTTCTTGCTGAAATCAAGCCGTGGCTTCCCCTTGCCCAAGGGATATGCGCATCCCAGCTCCTGCAAGACGCTGAGATAGGCCTGCCATGGTCAGGGGCTCCAAGCAGGGAGGCTATGGATGGCGGCCTCCGAACAGGGAGGCTATGGACGGCGGCGGCTCCGCTGCAGGGCCAAACTACACACATTGCTGCCCACTCCTTCCACTCTTTCCCGTCCCTTTTCCCTCTCAGTGCTTGGGACAGAAAAGTGAAGCTATCTTTAAAGGATCTGGAGGCAGGCTTGGGCTATTGGAGCCAGACCTTCCCAAATCGAGGAACCAAAGCGTGTTCTAGAAGGATGGTCACATGCCAGGGTGGGCACATTCCTTTATAGCCTTCAGAGCAACCCTGCCGGAGCCATGGAGCACAGCTGGAGTTGGCTGGCGCAGGACACAAGACCTGCCTTCCTGAGCGCCCTCTACCCCTCCCCAGTTCTCTCCTCCCCCTAGGACTCCTCCACAGGCTAGAACGCCAAGCTCTCCCAGGTGGGGCCCCCTGCCTCCCAAGCCTACTCCAGCCACCTTCTCTTACATTTCCCTCGGTGTCCTTTGATTTCATCCATAACTAACCCCTCCCTGAAGTTAGGCACTGGCTGTTTATCAACAGTCTTCTCTGGAACGCGACGGTGGAAGGCAGGATGCTGTCTGCCTGGCCTCTGTGGAGATCAGGGTCCACTCAGGGCAGAAGAGCCCACCTCAGTGCTCTCCTCTCTGTCTCCTCTCAGTGCCTTATTTGGAGTTCTACTGATTTTTGTACCATGCGAATCCCTATATAAAATAATCACCCACATATTTTAAAGTTAGTTGAAGAAAAATTGTGAAATTAAAACATCCATCTAAATAATTTGATGTGTCACTGAGTTTTCTCCAAAATTGCCCCATCTTTCCTTTGCTTTGATGATGACAATCTGGCTTGAAAGTGCTCATAGATAATATTTTAATTACAACTAGCTGAAAACAAGCTTGCCGTCCCACTTAAAAAACTGAAGAGGAAAATATGGAAAAGATGATTTAGAAATGAAGCAGGGATAAATATTAGAAGAGGAAATGGAGGTGTAAGTATATTACATATTTAATGTTGCTAAAGATCCAAGAATAACAACTTCTATGAATATTCATACTATATTTTTATTCTAAAATATTGTATGTCATAATAGCAATGCTATGTATTTATTTACTGAGGCCCCTTTACTTTTCAGAAAATGTTATATTTGTTTTAGTTATTTAAGGAAAAAAGAAAAGATGTAAGAATACACCTAAGTATAAGTGGCAGTGTTTTATAAACTGCTTAGTTTTTTTTATTTCAAAGATTTTGTAGTATTTTCCAAACTACTACCAAAACTTGTACCCACTCTCTAGATCATATATAAAGAATAATAAACTTTAGGGTATAGGACATTTAGTCCTACAAGGTAGATTATGGCACTGGGAGATGTTGGATCTACTGCACTTCTGAACCCAGCTCTCAGGCAGGGAACCATTTGTAAGTACATCTTATTGGCTGCACAGCTTTGACTCAGTCTGCTCTATTGAGAACTTACTAATGACAAGGTGATGACTGCACTGATTTTTTTACCCATAGAAAGATAATTTACCAAGAAATCTTCCTTTCCTTGCAAACAGTGTTTTTTTTTTCCTAGATCACAGTCAAAGCCCCAGGGAATATTTTGTGAGTGCCATGGAAGAGTGGGGCCGGTGGGTGTCGGGCATAGGCTATGTGTTGCCATTTTTCAGTTTCCTGACTCTCAGCTCCAAATTCATCCTTCATTACCTGATCTGTGAAGATGCAGGTGAGCCTCTTTCATATTTTTTCTTTGCCACTGATCCGATGTTAAGGATTGTCATTAGAAGGTGCTGGAGAGACATTACAGATAGTAGGGATTTTCTGTCCTGGCTCTCAGGGCATTTGCCATGCTCCTGGAGAGCGTGCATTTTTCTTTACTGCTCAGCAGTGTGGTTTCTCCAGTGCCAGGTGCATGCAGGCTACAGGAAGCTCTCTCCAGCATGTTGCTGCCATGCTTTCTGCAGTTCCTGATTTGGACAGCACTAGCATAGCCAGGGACACCAGACAGCACAGGACTGTGCCTCGGCCCAGGTCCTGCTCTTTGTACCCTCTCCTTAGCCCCACCCACAGGCACACTGAAGCTCCTTAAGGTTGGCCATTCGGCAGGCTGTACCTTTGTCCATGCAAGCGCCCACAGCTGCTCTGACCCAAGCTGTGCACAGAGGGGCACTGGGTCCCTGCAGAGGGTGGTCCACCACCTGCCAGCATCCCCTGCCTGTGTCCTGCAGGTGTATTTCCTGTGGCCCTCTCAACATGGACAATGACATAGACATGACAGGTTTTTGGTCTCACACCTGCAGTGTGCCCTGCTCTCTCTGCCTGCCTGTTGGCCTCAGTTTGCTGGTGCCACAGAGTGATGTTTTCACTTGTCCAGCCACTGTGGGCCAGCTGTGTCCTGGGAAGCCCAGCAAAATTCTCCACTATCCAGTAGGTGCAGCCATACTTTCTTCAGAAGTCTAAGCCCCCTCTAGCTGTGTCCTTCCTTGGGTGCTCACCCACAGCTCTGGTGCCCTGTAGAGCTCTTTCTGTCTCAATAGTTACTCTCTTGTCCTGTTTCTTAAGAAATAGCATCATATTTCTTTATATTAAACCTCCCTTGTTTAAATTGTGTTGTGGTCTGCATCTCCTGATTGGACCCAGACTGATAGATACATGCCAAGAAACTATTTTTGATATAAATTTTCAGATGATTTAGGCAAACACATGCCTTGATCCAGACTATTTGACAGAGGTGTGCAGAATGCACATGTTTTGAATTTGGGTGAAGGAGCTGGACACAGCCCCAGAGAGCATTGCCCCTGCCGTGTGCACCGTGCACCACCCAAGGGAGCAGTTGCCCCAGCAGCCTGGGAAGCTCTGGGCACAGCCCCCTCCCTGCTGACCCAGTGCTGAACATCTACTCTCCTTTTCAAGGCCGTTAGGGTTTGGGGCATCACCCCTCATGTGCCTGTGCTCCCATATAGAGCCAGATGCAGGGCCTCCTCACCCATTGTCACCCATGCTCTGGCCCCACGCTGCATGGACCATACTTTTTCTTACCTAATAGCTGGCCACACGCATGTCCAAACCTGTCCTCAGAACCCCGGAGCTCTGTCTCTGTGATTGCCACCAGTGTTGTCATACTTATTTTTTTCATCTTCCTCTAATGCCTACTGAGTGCCAGCTGTGTGCCCCAGAGGTGCTAAGCCTCTAACATGGATTAGTTCATTAAGCCTTGAAAGCCCCCTACATGATTGATTCTACTTTTATCCTCATTTTATGATAAGGTCACAAAAGCTTTGAGAGGCTCAGGCTAATGCCTTCATTCTAGACCTGCTGTGTCCAGTACTGCAGCCACTAGTCACATGGCTATTTTAACTTAATTAAAATTAAATAAAATGAAATGTTTGGATTCTAAATTACAATCGCCTCACTCCAAGTGCTCAGTAGCCACATGCAACTAGTGGCTACCATATTGGTCACTGCAGGAACAGAACGTTTCCATCATTGTCAAAGTTCTGATGGATAGGGCTGTTCCAGACCACTACTTCTTCGGCTATCTGTGGTGAAGAACCTGTTATTTTTGTCCTTTCAACTTTATTTTCAACACATTCCATATGGACATTTTGTGATATGTAATAAAACATAAACTACTGAGGGAGAGATGTGAACAGTGGTAGCTAAGCTGACAGGACAAGATGGCAGCCCCAGAGCTGTGGCTCCACTGTGGCTGCCCTGACAACCTCCTGAGCTGGCTTCCTCACCGCAGCCTCCCGGCCTGGATCCAGAGATGGTGTCTCCCAGTAACAGACTTTGTAAAAACAAGTGGTTCAATTCCTTATTTGTCTTGAAAGTGATTCAAGACAAGACATCCCCTCTAGAATCTCCTAGGGACCTTTCACTGTGTGAGGCACTGGGGAGATGCCTCTCTCCCTCCTTCAATCGTCTTGTGGGGTGAACATCCCATATGGCCCTTGGGAACTGGTCCCTTTAAGTCATTACCGAAGCATCATCTGTTCTTGTCCTCCTGTGTCTCCCAGTTTGCTGGATATTCCACTCCTTGCAGCATAAGTGTGTGGGAATAATTTTATAACCTCAGTCAGTTGCCATTCCGGAAAAACCCTTGCAAAGCTGTCTCCGGTTCCATAGTTTCTGACACACTGTGCAGCTCTAAATTTCCTGAGGTTTTATGCCTTCCTAGTACCGTTCCCTGGGAAAATTGGGTAAAGATAACTTCCACTGTCAGGTCTCCCAAATATGTCTTGAAATTTTCTGTCCCTTAGGGGCCCTGCTCCAAATCAGGCCACAGGATCCTTTTGTTATGAACTAGTCCTCTATGTCTGGACATGGTTTGCATGTCTTCTGAACAAAGGACATTGAGATCATCAATGGATGATCCAGGATGTTTGCATAGCAGATAGTCTTGGCAGTAGAAAGACAACGACTCCCTCTGTAGAGATTTGGAAACATCTCTTCTTGGAGAAATCCCAGTGTAATAAAAATAATGTCTCTTCTAGAGAGAAAGAGGACCAAGTTTGCTAGCAGCCCCTACAGAAGACCAGGATCTCCTGCCCCTGGAGTTCTTGGCTTTCACACAGATTCCCTGTGGTCATAGCATTCTCCTGGGCCACGTCATACCCACAGGACTCAAGGAGAAAGGGGACCCAATGCAAGCATGAGGCTCATGCCGCCTATGCTATGGGGACAACAAAGGGTCTAAATCCACGTGTAGAAGTGTGGCCAGCTGACCCAATGGGTGTGGTAGCTGCTGCCACGTAGGAGCTCCTTGACTGTTCGGTGGTCTTTCTAGCCCTGCCGACCTGTGCACTCTCACCACCACTCCTCCCTCTTTCCCTTTCTCTCTCACTTCTATTTCATGATGAGTTTATCCATGATGGTCTATTAGCCTTTGATTCATTTAGCAAAAATTGTTGAGAACCACTGTGTGTCCGGCAGAGCCCCAGGTGTGGGGATACATAGTGAGCAGCACATTTATTATTCCTTCTTTCACAGAACTACATTCTAGGTTGAATGGTGTGGGGGTGGAGTGCTGTGGAGATGGCAGTAAACCAGCAAGTACTAATAAAATATCAGTACAAGTGCTATGCAGAGGATTCAACCCCCAAGGAGAAACGAGGACAGTACTATTTGGCTATTTAGTCTGATAGCCATGCAAGGTCATTGGGCAGGTGACATCAGGTTGAGATTTCAATGAAATAAGAAGGAATCAGCTGTGCAAGGAGTTGCGAAAGAAGTTCAGGAAGACAAGATATCTAGAGAAAATGCCCTGAAGGAGAATCAAGCTTGGCAAGCTCCATAGAGGCTGGAGCTCGAGGTGGAGGGGTAAGATGAGGTGCATTGCAGATCATAAAGGGCACAAAGAGCCAGGAGGGGAGTTCAGCCTCCTTTCTGTGTGTGACAAGAGATCATGGAAAAGTTGGAAGCAGAAAAGAAGTGATTTGATTTAGGTTTTTAAAGGATCATTCCGGACTTGCACAATGGACATTATAAGGGAGACTTGGGATGACAGCAAGGATGCGCTTTTAAAGTAGAGTTGACAGGATGTACTGATAGGTATGTGATAAGTTTAAGAAAGGGGAAAAAAAGCATCTGCTAGAGTTTTGCCCGGAAGCACTGGGAGGAGTGGCTGGGATGCTGTGGCCCGGCAGACAAGGCCCTGTGCCATCTGCAGCTGACCGTTCTCCAGCCTCCTGCACACCGTCGATCTTCCGGACTACGAAGCACTGGCCCCAGCGTGCCGGATTTCTGCTCCTCCAACTCTGCGTCTTCTGACTCAGCATGGTTGCACATTGGAAGCCTCTGCCTGGAGCCAAATCCTCATCCATGGTCTCTAGTCTAGGTTCCCTCTTCTCACCCAGTCTTCGATCACGGCACAGTCTGTCTAAGTCATAGCAGCTGTCACCTTCTGTAATGGTTTGTTAGCTCATTTACTTCTTCATCTCAATCCCCAGCCAGAAGGGGAGGAGTCTTCTGTCTTTTGTTCACTCAAGCATGCTCAGCATCTGACTACCGCAGACACATGGTAGGTTCACAATGACTGCATTTTGAATGACAAGTTGCAGTATTATCATGAAGGCTTACATTTTGAACAAAGTCAATATTATGTTTTTTTGTGTGTGTGTGTGTGATAGGGTCTCCTTGTGCTGCTCAGGTTGGAGTGCAGAGATGTGATCATATCTCACTGTAACCTTGAGTTCTTGGTCTAAAGTAATCCTCCTGCCTCAGCCTCCTGAGCACTAGGACTACAGATGTGCACCACCACACCCAGCTAATGTTTTTAAATTTTTTGTAGAGGCAGGGTTCCACTATGTTGCCCAGGCTAGTCTTGAATTCCTGGCCTCAAGTGATCCTCCTGCCTTGGCCCCCCAATGTGGTGGGATTACAGGCATGAGCCACCTCACCTGGCCAAATTTTTATTATGATGGATACAGTCATGGATACTTCCTTTTTTTTTTTTTTTTTTTGCAATTTTATAACTTTATTTGATGTATTTGACGATCAGTGATTAGTTCTCATCCACATTGACTGTCTATAGATTTTTGAAAGTGGTAAAAGGTACATAAGTAACCAAAGTATGGAGCTTATTTGGTGAATCTTCACCCGCATTACGTTTTCTGGGCAACCGCACACGGATTCGGTATGGGACATTCTTTATTCTTTTGGCCCAGACAGCTTTGTTGAGCCTGGTATCAATGTGCACATCTGGAGCTCCCATCTCCTTCATGGCAAATTTCAGAATCTCTTTGAGTGCCCGAGGGCCTCACTTCTTGAAGCCCACTCCATGCATGCACTTGTATATGTTGATGGTGTATTCTCGGGTCACCACCTCGTTGATGGCAGAACGGCCCTTATCTTCTTGCCATCCTTCTTTGCGGGAGCCATTCTGCCTGGTCCAAGTTGGAAAGGAAGAGTGCGAGGGATTGTGATACTTCTTTTTACATTTTTAGAGTTTTAAAAATTTTAGACTCAGGACTTTGGCCAAACTAGTCACAATAATCAGTCTTATATGACATTTGTCTCTATAACTTCATTAGTGTATTCATTCTGACATTTAATAATCGATAATGCCATTTCCAATCACCATATTCATCATGATTTAGGCAGACAAATGGTAATTTAAAGCCAACATTTAGCAGTATTGTTTTTTAGTTATTCTCAAGCCTGATGTAATTATATAGTTGAAGTAGAAATTGAGTTTGTGGTGATAGCAGAAATATTGTCATTGGAGCCAGCTATTTCCAATAAAATTTGTGTAAGCATCAAAGGCTACATTATTGTCCTTTACTTCTTATAATTCATTGTGTAGTACTTATACTTACTTCTTTTTTTTTTTTTTTTTTTTTTTTTTGAGACGGAGTCTTGCTCTGTTGCCCAGGCTGGGGTGCAATGGTGTGATCTCGGCTCACTGCAACCTCTGCCTCCCAGGTTCAAGCGATTCTCCTGCCTCAGCCTCCCGAGTAGCTGGCATTACAGGCGCCTGCCACCATGCTCAGCTAATTTTTGTATTTTTAGAAGAGACGGGGTTTCACCATGTTGGCCAGGCTGGTCTCGAACTCCTGACCTCAGCTGATTCACCCGCCTTGGTCTCCCAAAGTGCTGAGATTACAGGCGTGAGCCACCGTACCCGGCTAATACTTACTTCCAAATGTTGAAAATGCATGCTAGTTCAACTAAAAATCAACCTAGCTGTCTATATTACTTAGGAGCTTCATGAAGTCCTTAAGGGCTAGAGCCAAAGATGGTGAAAACAACAAAGTCCCAATAGTCTATTTAAAATAGGGAGTCACACTGTATCTGTGGCTATAAATAAGGGTCACCTCATAAGAATTAGTTCAACGTGGATGAGAAACTGGCTTTTCTCCAGGGATGAATGAATGCAGCATTTAAGAGTGCAGAGAGGTTTCACTCTCTGTGGCAGGTACGAGTTCCAGGTCAGCTGTTTGAGAGGGACTTACCCATTTCCCACTAAAATACCTGACAAGTTTAGACCTTTGTGGATTTTCAATTCCCTTAAAGATCAAACTGGACAAGTAAGCGGTGGATGTGTCCTGATCTGTTGGATATTATTGCAATAGCAACTTGATGGGAACCCAATGTTCTCAATCATGCAGATAGTGAATGAAACACAGCATATAGCCTGGTATGCGGAGTGTTGATGGCGTGACACAGTGTACAGAGGAAGATGGAAATGCACCAGCATGTGAAGTTTAGTTGGAGTGTGGTGCTAAAGCAGGCACTGTTGGAGTTTCAGCTTCTAACTTCATGCATTTTTTTTTTTTTGACACAGAATCCCACCCTGTCGCCCAGGATGGAGTGCAGTGGTGCCATCTCAGCTCACTGCAACCTCCTCCTCCCAGGTTCAAGCGATTCTCCTGCCTCAGCCTCCTGAGTAGCTGGGATTACAGGCATCCGCCACCACACCTGGCTAATTTTTGTATTTTTAGTAGAGATGGGGTTTCACCATGTTGGTCAGGTTGGTTTTGAACTGCCAGCCTCAGGTGATCTACCTGTCTCAGCCTCCCAAAGTGCTGGGATTACAGGTGTGAGCCATCGTGCCCAGCATTTTAGTAATATTTTATTGTATTGTCAACTCTATCAGTAATAACAATATGAAAGAAGTTTAAAAATAAATTAATGGAAGGATAGTTTATGTTTCTAAAAATCCAATTTTTGTATATGCATTTAGGCATTTTTTTAAAAAGCAAGGTAACAGAAATTTGAACTTTACATTTGTTGTCTTGATTTTCTTTTAGTATCAATTTTCTGTTTAATTGTTAGGGTTTCATGTTCAAGATATTTGTATCTTGTCCTGATAATGTGACATTTTGAAATAAAGCCAGAGATAGATGCTGACAGAAAAAGTCCAGAAATGAATTATTCCTACTGGCATCATGTGAGAAAAGAAAATGTTTTAAAATGGTAACATCTGTGAAAGCTTAGAACAATCTTCTTGTCTCAAAATGCATTTTAAAAAATTACACCCATGCAGTTGGAAATGGATATTTTATTATTTAATAATGTCCTATTTTAGCTGACGTGCAGAGAGAACACATTATCATGTACATTTTCTTCAATATTAAAGGCATTAAAGTAGTAGAATCATAGATTTGAGAGACACTTTAGGAATCAGCTTGTCAAATGCCCTTATTCTACAGAACAGGGAATGGAGGCCCAGGGGAGGGACACCATGAGGTGGTTGGTGTCACAGCTTAGGGAACTGGCAGGCAGCCCAGGGGCCAGGCTCGCCCCGTCAGTCTACCTCTCTGTAGGAAATTCAACCTCAGATGCTTTCCACTTTGAAGAAATCACAGGAAAAGTGCACACATCAGAGTGGAGAATTATTTGCTGGCATGTCCACATTCTAGACACTCGGTTGAATGCCTCTGTCCACTCTTTCCAGCCCTACTTCCTATATTCATGGTCCACCTACAAGCACACATGCACCTTCACCCTAACTGCAGAAATGTAAATGCAGGTAAGAACCCTAGGAGAAAACGTGTCCACAATTGTCTAATTATATTGAAGTGACAGCAGAATTAATCAGACATATTTTTAGGTTAATAGTTATTTTGCTTCATGCTAATTAACAAATAACAATTTGGAAAACTAAGTTATGGACATCTAGGAATAAGATTAATTTTTGTGTTTTTAGAATGTTTTGAAAGCACTACTGAGAATTCTTAGTAAAACAAGAGCCAAATTAAAACAGAAGTTATTTTATTTTATTTTATTTTTTGATGCACAGTTTCACTCTTGTTGCCCAGGCTGGAGTGCAATGGCGTGATCTTGGCTCACCGCAACCTCCTCCTCCCGGGTTCAAGTGATTCTCCTGCTTCAGCCTCCCGAGTAGCTGGGATTACAGGCATGCACCAACACACCCGGCTAATTTTGTATGTTTAGTAGAGACAGGGTCTCTCCATGTTTGTCAGGCTGGTGTCAAACTCCCGACCTCAGATGATCCGCCCGCCTTGGCCTCCCAAAGTGCTGGGATTACAGGGATGAGCCACCACACCTGGCCAAAACAGAAGTTATTTAAGAGATGGTTTTAAGAGACTCTGCCTACTCTGAACAGCAAATTCTTGACTTTTAACAGATAAGGACAGAGCTAGAAAATCCAGGTAGTTATTTTTAATAGTATTTTATTATTACATATATACTTTGCATATGTTACATATAATTAGTATTGCATTATTAGATATCTTATGTAATTTTATTTTATGTTTTATATAGTTATCATAACTACTTATCTTGGAACTTGGTGAAAATGGTATTTATGGAAAACATTTGCACCACCTGGAATATGAGCTGTATCATTACTATGTTTGGCTGGATACAATAAAATCTGAAAAACAGATAGTAGCTCTTACTATCTTTCTCCAGTGCCTTTGCACTCAGCAGGTGTGGTGAGCCCGCTTGCTGATGGAGCTTGAGTCTCCTGGGAAGCCCTCAGTATTCTGTCATCTGGCTTCAGCTGGAATGTTGGCCTTTGGCCTCATATCCCTTATTCTAACCTGGAGTACAGAGAGTGGAGGCTTTGCTTGTTACCCTTGAGGAGGCTTCTCTGACCAGCAGCGCTCAGGTGCTCCCCTACCAGCAGGACTGGCTTTCCTTTGTTGGGATCTTCAGCTCTGGAAGCTTCCTTCTCTTTGTGTTTCCTGTCCCGAGGGAAGAATGTTCAACATCTTTTGCTGAAAAGAGTGTTTTAATATATGAAATCTGAGGCCGGGCGCAGTGTCTCACGTCTGTAATCCTCCTAGCACTTTGGGAGGCTGAGGCGAGTGGATCATCTGAGGTCAGGAGCTCAAGACCAGCCTGGCTAACATGGTGAAACCCGTTTCTACTAAAAATACAAAAAAAAAAAAAAAAAATTAGCGGGCTTGGTGGTGCATGCCTGTAATCCCAGCTACTCGGGAGGCTGAGGCAGGAGAATCGCATGAACCCTGGAGGCGAGGTTGCAGTGAGCCGAGATCGCGCCACTGCACTCAGGCTTGGGCAACAAGAGTGAAACTCCATCTCAAAAAAAAGAAAAAAATATATATATATGTATGAAATCTGAATCTAAAAATGAATGCTCCCTTTCCTCAAAACTGGGGCAGCACCACAGCTCATACAAAAGCATAATATGACGCTTAGGTCAAAGGAGCTAAGGACCTTGCTACTCACAGAGTTGTGCTTAAACCAACATTGTTGCATTACCTGGGAGCTTCTTAAAATGTAGGATCTTAAGGCCAGGTGCAGTGGCTCATGCCTGTCATCCCGGCACTTTGGGAGGCCAAGGCAGGAGGATCGCTTGATGCCTAGAGTTAGAAATTAGTATGGGTAACATAGTGAGATCCCATCTCTACAAAAAATAATTTTAAAAATTAGCCAGGTGTGGGGATGCATGCCTTTAGTGTAGTCTCAGCTACTTGGGAGGCTGAAAGTAGGATGATCGCTTGAGCCTGGGAGTTTGAGGCCACAGTAAGCTTTGATCGTGCCACTGCACTCTTGCCTGGATGACAGAGCAAGACACCATCTCTAAAAAAATAAACAAATAAAAAGAAAAAGAAAAGAAATGCAGAATCTCAGAATCCACCCCAGACTTCCAGAATTATAATTGTGAACAAGATCCACAAGTAATGCATGTGCACTTTAAAGACAGACGGAGAGAGGTAACTTCTTACTTCTGTTTAATCACTTCAAGCCTTATCACCTGTATCATGGGGTATGAACTGTGAAGATAAAGTATATTTGCATTAAAATTTATTACATTACCAAAAAAGTTAATCTGAAACATGCATAAGACTGTACAAAGTAATTATTTTGCAGTAAATAGACACACATAATAAAAAATTGAAATAAGTATTAATTGTGTAATCATATTACTTATTTCTCTCCCTACTTGGTTTATATCCTGAGAACTTTAAGCAGCTTCAAAATGGCTATGATATCAGGTCTTATTTAATCATTCCTAGAAAACTCTTAACCACACCAACTATAAAAATAAATCTTTAAGGAAATAAATTGTGAGATTTTTTTTTTCTTGTTCATGACCAAATTGTATTTGGCCTTGTACTTAGTAGATAATAAACACTCTTTGGTTTTGTTGACAAAAGGTCTAGTCCTCACTCTCCAATAACTGGAGATTTTTATTCCAATACTCCTTGGCTTTCTGTAGGATTTTGATCATACCTGGTTCCTATTGCTCTTTGGTCCAGGCATTCATCAGAAGATCGCTTTGATTTTCCTTAGTCATGATTAGAGTTGCAGGTATCATTTACGTACTGAAAGTGATTAAACATATTGCAGAACAGTGAAAATGAGAAAAGTGTGAGATGATTCACATAGTAGAGAAGATGAAATGTAGAGCAGCAGTTTGCAGTCAGGGATAATTTTGCCCCCTAGGGCATAATGGCAATGTCTGGAGATGCTTTTTCGTTGTTATGGCTGTGTTGGGGGTGCTCCTTGCATCTTGTGGGTGGAGGTCAGGCATGCTGCTAAACATCCTACAATGCATGGGATGGCCCCTACACAAAGGCCATCTGGCCCTAAAGGTCATAGTGCTGAAGCTGAGAAACCTTGCTAAAGAAAGGAAAAGCCCAATTCTGTTAGTGATCAGATAAGGGCAAATAATTCAGTAGAAAAGCTTCTGGCATCAAACCTCTTGTGTCCCCAGGAGCAGAAAGAGGAGAAAGGAAAGAAATAGATCACAGACAGCAACCAAACCAGGCTTCATGTTATGTTTTCCACATCTTCTCACTCCAGCCCTGCCTCCAAAATACCTAAAGCACAGCTGGTCCTGGGCATATGCCATCTGAAGCAATGGAAGCCTAGTCTCAATCTATTTCTTCTTCTGCAAGTTCCAATGACATGAGAAATTGTTCTAATTCCCTTAATTTCATGATGGATATGTTGACCTAAAAGGAAGAGGCTGAGGCACAAAAAATAATTCAAAGAGTTTACTTGAGCCAAAGTGAGGACAGCTGCCTGGAAGACTCAGACTCAAGATGCCTTGAACATGAGCTCTGTCAGCCTCAGCTGCAAGCAGGTTTTTAAAGGCAAATGGGAACAAGGAGTGGGCTGACACAGAGTTGTTTGGCAGGAATTCTCATAGGCTTACAGAGATGACATTGATTAGTGATTGGCTCTCTGTTGTTTGAACTACAGGGTACGTGTTATAGTGTCCAGTGTGTGGCATCTGATGGCTATTTGGTCAGTTAGTCTAGAGCCCACATAGCATGTGGCTTCAAGAGGTAATGATTCAGCTCCAGAGGAGTAATGCTACTGCTGTTTGAGTCCAGTACCTCGCTGGGAAAGGGGCTCACATTTTTCAGATAGAAGTTTCTTTCTTTTCTTTTTTTTCCACAGATGCATGGCTTCACAATTGCAACACCCAAAGATGTTAATGGATTTAAATCTAGGGATTGAGGATGACTGCAGGTTCTTCCTCCATCTGTTTCAGGTACCACAGAAGTTGAAGAGGAAAGCAAGGGTGTCGTAAGAAGAGTTGGACTATTTCAGAACAGCAAGCTCTGCTGCTCTAGTAATTTGTGGTACTTAGTGTTTATTTTCATGTCAGCAGATGAAGAGAAGTCATGCACAAACAAAATTAAAGAAAACAAATCAACACCTCCCCATTATATTTCTTTAATGCCATCACACGTCAGCCATATCGTTTTAAAAAGCAATTTAAAGAGTTTCTGTAAAGTGATAAAAACCATTATAATCATCTCTGTTAAAATGGTAACCTCTTTTTATCTGCTAATTAAAGAGATAAAGCCACAGAAGGAATGCAGTCCCTACCTTGTTGTTTTTTGTTTTGTTTTGTTTTGTTTTTTGATTTATGGTTATTTTGGTGTGAAGCAGGAGGCTGACATATTTAATAGTCTAGGGAGATCCTTGATGGCGGGTGGGGGCATTAATAACTGTAAAATTATGGACTTTATTTTCTTAATAATGATTACATAATGCTTCCAGCAATATGCAGGGAGACAGATCAATAACGATATAAAAGAAAGAAGAAACAGGTCTTATGTAAACTGCAGAATCTGTTGCATCAGTTTACAAAATTGAATGAAGCTTGAGAAAAATTAAGTTGATAATTTTAAAGGGAAGACATGAGGGGCTTGTGGGAAGGGAGATTGCTTTAATGGGAAATATTATGTTTGAAAGGATCTGGTATGGCACTATTTGCATGAAAACCAGAAACATCCTTGGACACTATTGGCAAAAATGGTCATCTTAATGAGCTTTTCCATATATTTTCTCCCAATTTATTATTCCAATCCCGGTTTCAACTGGGAGAAACCAACATATGTAAATATTAATCATTCTGAGCAACCAACTCCTGATGCAAAAAACCTGGCAACTATTAATAGAACATCTAGATAATGAGCCACTTTTTATGAAATCTATGAGCAGACTGATTAATACGTTCTGCATGTTTATTGAGAGATGAAAGGAAAGGAGATAATAATCGCTTGATGGAAGTGATTACTTCAGTTTCATTAGATTATTGTTTTTTCCCTTATGCAGTTAATATCCAGAGAAACTAAATGAAAATGCGTGATATTCTTAGATAAAAAAAATTTGGATTGTTTTAAATGTTTTCTTTTTTTTTGAGACATTTTCCAGAGGTGTCTCTATTTTGTAAAGAGCCAATTCTTGGACTTATTGACCTATTTTGGTGTTTGGGTCTGCTGTCTTTTCATTTTTTATGCTTTAACATTTATTATTTACTTCTTCCCTGTCACCTCAGGACTTTTTGTTTTTGTGAATTCTTGTGTTGAATAGGTTATTTTGTTACTTTTAATAATGTTTACTTAAAATTATGTATTCACTTTGAATGTCCGAGAGTTTGATTATCAGTCTTAGTTTCTTCTTCTTGCATATTAGTAGGTTGTTTTTAATTTTACTTTTTACATAGGGAAATTTCATAATACAAGTGGAGAGAATCATGAATCCAAACCCTATGTCACCCTCACCTAGTTGCAATTGTCAATGTTTTGCCAATCTTCTTTCATGTATCCCAATTATTTTTCTTTTCAGGATACTCTAGCTTCATAATTACTTTTATTGGCTCCTCGACCCAATGTTATTTGGTAATTTATTAAATTTTCTCTTATTCAAGCTGTTTTTATTTTCACTAAGATGTTTAATGTTTTAATGTGGGCAATGCACATTTCATTTTTTTGATTCCTGCCTATTTATTGTTTTCTCGTGTTGGCTAGGTTTTCTAACTGGTGATTGCTAGTTCATAAGAGTGGTACTATTCATTTTCTTCTCTTGGTATAATATTTTATAGTTTTAAAAATATTTCATGTGTTTCATGAAATTTATTAAAATAGAGAAAATGTAAAAGAAGAAAATTCTCTTAATTTCAGGTATAGTAATCATTAGCATTTCATGATATATCATTTCAGGCCATTTTCCTTTATCTATTTGAAATCACACTTTGCATACACCATTGTGTTCAGGTTTTTTTCTTTTAACTAATATTGTATCATGATCACGTTATCTCACTGGGATTGTACCTGTTTGGGTAATTGAGAAATTCCAAACTTCAGGTCTCTTAGGCATTGTCAGGCCTTCCTTACACAAATTCTTCCATTCTTCTATCTGTAAACAAAAAATAAAATTCAACGCCCCCTCTCACCCAACCCTAACCAACTGAATGGATTCCTCCCTTAGGCCAAGGGCATCCCAAAGTAACCCTGAAAAACTAGCGCAGACCATGATGGAAAGGGAGGTGAGACAGGCCTCATTACACTCCCCTTTCTTTGGAATCCAGGCACAACTGACCAGCATTCACGTTAAAACAGAGATCTTAAGACTAACAAAACAGACTCTTTGTAGCAATGAGATACCAAAGTCCAACCTGACTCTACTATAGCATCACATGACAGATAGCAGGTCCTGAAAGAAATCAAAGTATTTTACCCCAAAATAGATTTCTTTGGCATATTTTGAAATGGTTCTGCAAAGCTGTCTCTTGTGGGGAAAATCTACATTCTATAGAGAAGCCTCTTCCCTTTCCGGGTCTTTTCCTGATCCAGGAAAGACTAAGAGTCTAGCACCTTCTTAAGTCTGGTAAGGGACATTTACTATGATTGTCTCTGAAGCCTGCTACCTGAAGGCTTCATCTACATGATAAGAATCTTGGTCTCTAAAACTCCTTATCTTAATCCAGACACACTTTCATATTGATTCCAGGTCTTTGGATAATAACTTAACTCTTTCAACCAATTGCCAATCAGAAAATCTTTGAATGCACCTATGACATGGGAGCTCCCCTGTTTCAAGTTGTCCCACCTTTCTGGAGTGAATCAATGTATACCTTCTTGTATTGATAGATGTCTTATGTCTCCGTAAAACTGATAAAACCAAGCTATAGCCCAACCACTTTGGACACATGTTCTCAGGACTTCTTGAGACTAAGCCTCAGGCCTTGGTCACTCATGTTTGGCTGAGAATAAACCTCTTTATATAATTTAGAGAGTTTGACACTGTAAATTAGGGCACATCCCTTACCCCCGAGCATCTGTCTGTTGTCTCCATGACCTTGTTCTCTCAGCCTCTCCTTGAATTGCCGTGGTTTCTGCTTCTTTTTTCTTTAAAGGCCCCCAAATTCTTTCTCGCCCTTTAAATGCTAGTATTTCGTCTCTGTTCTATTGTTCCAAGTATATGCAATTTCTCTGATTCATCTCATCCTCACAGAGCTCTCATCCTTTTTGGGAGTTCATGGATTCCAGTTAAGAATTCACATATAGCTTAAGAATTTCACATTTGTTCCTTCAACCTGGAACAAAGCTGAATTCATCACTTCCTTCTATAAGCCTTGTTACCCTCCTATATTCTCCATCTCAGTTTGTGACCCTGTTATTCATCCAGTTCCCTATTCAAGAAATATAAGCATGAGTCATGTCCTTCGGGACATTTTGTCATAAGGATATTTAGTTCTTTCTTATTGATTTGAAATAATATATAATTTACAATGGTATTTATATGCTTTTAAAAAAATACTTGACCAAACTCTTTTCTTTTTAACTAATAGCACGAAAATGTTTAATGCTAATGTAGTCATATGCATCAATGTTTTATGTTTTCTGCATTGACTTTTTTATGTTTAGAAAAATGTTTCTGGGGCAGAATGTCTTAAAATTCAAAGTTATGTATTCAGTGTAAAACATAGTATTTTTAAAGCAGCCTTTCCAAACCTTCCACTAAAATACCTGTGAAGGCTAAGAACACAGATGCAAACTCTTTACCGCATCAGGCTAAGGGGAGTTTGATGCCAGGTTGTGAGAACAAGCCTCCCAGATGGATGGCTTTCTATACAAACCCACTCATAGCTCACACCTCTTGGCATGCCCAGGTTTCCTCCTGAAAGAACCTTGGGATGTAGGCTTGACAAATTTCTTCCCTATCTACTTCCTGATTTTGACACTTAAAGCCTGAATGCTCAGAAAATTGCATCCTCATCTCTGCTGGGCCAGAGGGGAGCCCTGGCTCACCCGCCACCTCCCTGGGCCCTGTCCCTTTGTGATTCCTCAGCACCTTTTTTGCAGCTCTGAATATGTTGAATCCTTAGTCATTTTTTGATCCCCACACCCCCACAAGACTACATGCTTTGGGGGCAAAGACTATTTCTTAATCATCTCTGCTTCTCTACTGCCCTAGCATGTTCCATATTATGTAGGAAGTTCATAATAAATGTCTGTTGAATGAAATTGATGCAGTTAAAATTAGATTAGTGTTTTGATAGTGTAGGAACTGTTGTCATACCTTTCCACAGAAAAGATTAAAAAGTACTTGTTATGATTCATAAATCGATGCTTTTAATATATCTTTATTATTTTCTTCAAAGTGTAAGTTTTCAGCAAATAAACACGTTCATTCAGATTTATAAATAACAAATAAAACATATCTGTACCTGGCTGTGCCACAGATTGCTTATTGCAATTTCCAAATTAATTTATTGTCTCCCTCAATAAACAAACATCTCTTTCTATACTGCCAGTGTTTGTGAATGCCAAGACTGCTCATGCAATTTCTCAAGCCAGGCTTCTAGGAATCTTCTTAAATTCTGCCCTTCTCCTTCTCATTCCACATCAACCCTGTCTTTACAATGCCATTTCATTGCTGAATTCTATTTTGTCCTTTAATTCTCATAGTTATTACCTTCTTGAAGATCTTTCTCATTAGCTTATGGCAGTGCCCTACCTGATTCTTGTGCCCTTTGTTTCACCTCTGTGGCCTTTTATTCAATATACATACTACAATAAAATGCATATATGACTAAATCAGTGCTCTGCTTAAAGCCAACTGCTGGCTTCCATCATGTAAGTTCCACCTTCTGCAGTGACTTTTATGACACAGCCTTGACTACTTCTCTTTAAATATTGCCTGCCATCCCTGACCACTTCCCTCAAAGTTATATATGCTAAGAGCCCTCTAGTTGTTGAAGTCATCTGCACATTATCATGTCAACTAATCATGCCAACTGCTACACCTTCTCCTTAGCCTCCTTATCACTTACAGGGACTTTCCCAGCAGAAAGCTAATTATTCATTTATGCATAGTACTGTGTAGAATTTGCATACTTCTATTATTTCATTTACTGTATTCTGTTATAATTATTTATCCACACCTGTGTCACTTGGGCTCTTCTTTAATATCTTTGCATGGAAGGTGAGAAAATTATTGGTCTTTAAATCTATAGATTCTCAAAAAGCAATTGATAAACAACAAACTCAGAACAGGGATTAGTTAAGTCAATGACCTATGGTTTTAAAGATGGGAAGACCTTCTTTAGATAAATGTTTAGATTACTGCCTCTCTAATTTTTCTCTTATCTTAGATGATAAGTAGGAATAGATGCAGAATTTTGCTCTGCATCTCTTGGTCCAACATGCATTTCTGTTCATCTATTACATAAGACAATAATAAAGATACATTAATAAAAATTATGTAAAACAATTGTGTGGATAAGAAAAATGTTTCATATTTTTTCCTTTTTCTCACTGAACCCTCTCAAATAGTTCTATTGTAAGACATTCTACCTGAATTCAGGCGCTGTTGCTACTGTTGAAATAACAAAATAATCAATTTCAATTGTATGAGGTTTTCTGTTTTTACTTATTTTATGGATAGCATAAACCTGACCTGTTATTTCTTCACCTGGTGAGAAGAGGAAAAAGAACATTTTTTTTAGGTTTATAACCACTGTAAAATTGGAAAGTATTGACGGTACATGGTTTATTAGTATTACAGAGTGATTTCATGAATCATTAAAATAGACAGGTTTAGGAATTACTATTAAGAAAGATAATCACAACTGGAAGAAACTTTTTGTACAATTGTTTTTAAATGATTTACCTGTCACTATATGTTAGCGAGAGCTATTTTGTTGTTAGAATCATGACACTGATAAAGATAAAGCCTTCAGCCTGTGTACTAAAGATAACATAAAAGACAGTCAAGATTCCATTACTTGAACAAATCCTAACTCAGACAGCTACTACTTCAAGCAGCGGTGAGAAAAACCAGTTTTATGAGAGTCTTCCTGCTTAGAGGTCAAATTCAATTGAAGAAATATGAACTTAAAAAAAGAACTGTCTAATAGTCCTCCACAGTGACAGGGAATGCATACTTTTCTTCCCATGTTAGTGGAATCCTTAGTGAATAAATGCAGTTTGCATGGTACGGGATCCATGACGGGATAACAAAGGGGCAAGCCAGTTTCAAGACGGAAAGTGTGACTGGGTCCTGTCCCCTCCTACTCACTCATTCAAATGACTGGCGAGATTCCTTCACATGCCGAAAATCTTCATCAATGTTGGAAATTAGGAATAGGTATCTTATTTAAGAAAGTGAAATAATTTCTGCTACATTTACCGTCAATGGAGTCAAACTGAAGTCAGCGAGCTGGGGAGCTAGCCCCTGCTACGAGAAAAGAATAAGCCTAAGGCAGTCCCTGGAAGGCCCTTACAGGGCACTGAGGGCGTTGGAGGCTGACTCTCTGGCTCTCTCCTGTGTGTGGCTGGCAGGATTCAGACTCCAGGACCTCCAGTATAAATAGTGTCATGAAGCACACCAGTGTGGAATCTTTATCTGTACCACACTCAAGCTGCCATGGAGAGAAAATCTCTAGAAAAATGCCCCCAAAGCCCCTTCAGACATCTGAATAGAAATGTTAACCTGCCTTCATTTACTTGTCTGTAGTTCTCTCACTCAGACCAAGAAGAAACCACATGAGCACTATGAAAATCTGAACAGGATCTATTCATATTTTCTTCTCAGGACATGTTTATATTTCTACTACATGTAAGCCCTAACTGGACAGGTATAAATCTGTATTTTTGACAACAGATTAAAGGAAAGGGGGGACTTGAAGTGTAACTAATTCAAAATATTTTTTCTGAAAGATTTTTTTTTGAAAAATCAGAGTCCTTGATAACCTTGAATTACTAAAGGGAAAGGAGAAAATGTTGAAAATACAAAATTCTTATCCTCCACAAGATTTAAAATAAAACAGAATCTCTAACTTTGTTTCTTAGTATTCAATGAGAGAACACTTTGAGAATCTTACTAAAATTAAGGATGTTCAACCAGAAAAATACAGATGCCAATATACACACACAGACATATTTTTGCATGGAGAAATAGTTTTTTATTTTGAGGAGTTTTATAGCCTCCCTAAAACCAATCTACTGATGCTATGTTATCTCTGTATTAATCTGGGTTATCCAGAGGAGCAGAACCAATAGGATGTATCTATCTGTATTTATAACTATTTATATCTCTAGCTCTAGCCTATCCATATCCGTATCTATAGTTATACATATACCACCTCTCTATCTGTATCTATGTATGATACAGATATTATCATACATGTATTATAAGGAATCGGCTTATTATTATATGATTACAGAGGCTGAGGAGTCTTACAATCTGCAGGCAGCAAGCTAGATACCCAAGAAAAACTGTGGTTTAGTTGAATCTGAGTTCAAAAGCAGGAGACCAGTGTCCCACCCAGCTCAAATACAGGCAGAGAAGCAAATTCTTCCTCACTCCTTTTGTTCTATTGGCCCTCAAGGGATTGGATGAGGCCCATCCATACTGGGGAGGGCAAGGTGCTTTACTCAGTTCACCAATTTGAATTTTAATCCCATCCAGAAACACCTTCACAGACACACCCAGAAATAAGTTTAACCAAATATATGGACATCCCATGGTTCAGTCAAGTTGACACATAAAATGAAACATCATAACCTCTGATCTAGAGAAAGACTTTCTGAAAATAGGACAATCTGAGATAAACTAATACTGATCCCAGTACTCAATGTTATGGAGAGAGGTGGTCAGAGCATAGGCTTTCGAGGTGGGTAGATTGGTTTCAAAACCCTGGTTCAAATTTCTTGATAGGCTGTGTGATTCTGGGTAAATGCCACCTAGCCCAGTGCCTGGATTTGGTCAGGAACACTCAAAAAATGATGGGTATGATTGTTGTAGTCACAGAGTTTAAGAATATGATTCTTGAATTTAAAGTCGCAATGGAAGCAGTGAGCACTGTGCACTGAAAAAATTATAGATAAATTTAAAGTCTCCTAAAAAATATAAAAAGCATCAGATTATGCATAAAGGAACAGAAAACAGTGTCACAGCTCTCAGGAACACCAGTGGGAGGCATTGGAGGGGCAGCCACACATCTCTGAGGGAAAAACTGTGAGCAAAGCAAGAGCCAGGAACTTTCCGTTTGTGGAGAAAATCACGACAGTATTTTCAGATGCTAAAGGAGTACTGAATACAAAACTGCCTCTTCTAATCAAGCCCTTGAGTATTTTCCCCAGAACAATAAAAATGAGTCAATGTACAATAAAGAAATGGGGAAATTATGAGCAGAAAAGAGGAGCCAAGATCACTGAAATCAGTCAAAATGTAAAACATCAAGCAATTAATCTAAACGGAGCCACAGGACTGATTATAAAATGTTTTTGTTTGAAAGAAAAATCTATGAAGTTAAAACATGTGATGCATAAGCCCAATTAAGTGTTTAAAAATTGGAAAACTGGAAGGCAGAATGTCTAATAACTCATGTTTAAAAATATTTAAAAACAACTGAGGCACTGGGTAGGTAAGTTCTAGAAGTATTCGAAATCTGTTAGTTAAGTTATGCCAAAAAATTACACCAACCAGGAGAGCCTATAGGGGTCCACAGATATAAAAATAAGTGCTCATAGTCAAACTTCTCTTGTAATTAATGTTGGTATACTGTTCTCTCTCTCTCTCTTTTTTTTTTTTTTTTTTTTTTGAGATGGAGTCTTGCTCTGTCGCCCAGGCTGTAGTGCAGTGGCGCGATCTCGGCTCACTGCAAGCTCCGCCTGCCGGGTTCACGTCATTCTCCTGCCTCAGCCTCCCGAGTAGCTGGGACTACAGGCGCCCGCCACCACGCCTGGCTAATTTTTTGTATTTTTAGTAGAGACGGGTTTTCACCATGTTAGCCAGGATGGTCTTGATCTCCTGACCTCGTGATCCGCCCTCCTCGGCCTCCCAAAGTGCTGGGATTACAGGCGTCAGCCACCACGTCCGGCCTTATACTGTTCTCTTTTAAGTGATTGAACATTTTTCTTTCAGGAAGAACTTAAGCCTGATATATTGTTTGGATTATTCATACCAAAAAATATTTATCTGTCACCTTAACCTGATAACACCATCTTGGGTGAGGGAAGAACTCCAGGTTTACATTACTTTCTCCTCTACTCTAAGGAATATTACCTACTGTCTTTCAGTGTTCAGACTTGCGAAAGCGAACTGTTAAGTAATCTGGCTTTGCACGTTTTTCATCAATCTGTTTTCTCCCCTCAATATTCCAGTAAGAGGAATTGTGGAAAGAATATAAACAGAATCGCAGAGACAGAGATCTAGCTAATACCTGGGTGTGTCTTTTCAGAGTTGAGGCAGCCTCCTTCCGCCCGCCCTCCTGCTGGACTCACCTGCCGGAGTCCCGCTGGACGAGCCGCAGGCTGTCCTTTCTCTCTTCCAAGGTGCCTTTCTTTCCTGCATTGGAGAATTTCTGCGTTTCTAACAATCATATTTGCTTAGTGTTCTGCTGTGCCCCCCTTCGAGGCTCCTTCTAGCCGGATCCCCAGTGCATCATCTCCTGGCATCTCTCCCTAGCTCCCACTCGCACCCCCGAGGACACCTTCCAAATAGATTGTTACTTCCTTCATCTTTGCCTTGGGCCAAGCTAACTAGCAAATAATTTTATAGAGATGTTTGTTCTCATTGGCAACTTACAATTCAGGTTATCATACAAGTTATTGAAACAACTATGATAATTGTCTTTAATCCATCAAACTAGCAAGCCATTTTTTTTCCCTTAAATTATTGAACCCATGGTAGGGAATAATTAAACTGAAAGGAAGCCATTATATGCATGCCCAGTAACAGTGCCATTTATTTCAATTTTACTAGAAAGTAAGTTGGCAAGATATTTAAACATATTTCAAACATTTTATTAATAATTTTATGTCCTAGAAAGAATTCTAAGAAAATAAGTAAAATCAAGAAAAAAGCTTGATGCACAAAAATGTCTATTTTAGCATTATTAGTGGAGATACATGGGGGGGCCACCATTAGATGTTCAACAAATGGGAATTAAGTAAATTCTAGTTGATGAGAAAAGTATTGCATTTAAAATGCTTGCAAGGAATTTATAATAACATGGAGAAATTCTTGTATATATTAACTAAAAATCACAGAACCAATTGCATATCTGCATGTATTCTAAGCATAGAGTTTAGCTATTTTAACAGTGTAGAAAAATATTTAAAAGAAATATTTCAAAATCTTGGAAATGATTGATTTTGAGCAATAGCAATTTAGTGTTTTTTTTCTTACCATTTTTATTTGTATGGTTCAGATTTTAAATTGAAAAAAATACATTTATTTTGTAATGAGAAAAATTAAACAGAAAATGGGTAATTTATGTACAATTAGGCAAGACAGAAATAGTACTTTTAAACAAAATCTAATTCCATATTCTGGTTTTTCTGGATCTTTGAATTTTTATTTGACTAAAAGCCTTTTCCTCATGTGTTTTTCTGCAGAAGTATAACATTTGGCAAGGAGGAAAAAGACCAAATGCATGCCTGGATCCTTTGTCTTTGAATTTATTCTTTTAACCTACACTACTAATCCAGAAAAATTGATGTGACGTTTCTGTGTGAAGTCAACAGTAAAATTGTTAATATGTAAGAATAAAAGGTTCTTGAAGTTCTGAATGCCAGAGGGTACAATACTCACAGACTAATAATGTAGTGAAAGTTGTATGGTGCAATTTAACCTGGCAATTTCTTTTTCTGCCCACAGAGAATAGAAGAAATAGTTTAATAATGATAAACCATATAAAGCATTAAGGTCCGTGAAAAGCAATTGGTAAAGCCATAAGGAGAGAAACTCGTCTTTTTTACGATTGATTGGCATCCTCACTCGTATGCCGTTGGCCAACTCTTCCACCTCCCCTGCTTTAGAGGGAATATTACTCTGCTAACAGGAATGTCTTTTGACATTTAAACTCATTCTTTCATAGTTTTGGCAATAGAAGATGGTGGATTGAGACTGAAGTCCCTAAAGCTAACAGTTTGTCACAGATCAGCAGTTTTGGGCAATCTGATATCATTACTAAAATCCGTACAAAAAAATCCAGAAATTGTATGTGTAAACCATGTTTCTCCAACCAGCTGGGTTAAGCAAGTACGAACAGGGTGATTTTGATCGGGCTGAACTCTGTTGTTTGGCTGTTAGTCTGTCTGATGCTGTAGGAAGTCTCTGTTGTCCCTCAGCTTTCTTCTCTCCTGCTCCTGTCCCCCAGAAACATCAACATGCCATCCGGTATTTTTCTAGCATGCAAAGGTAGATTGTCACCTCCCTCCCGTTCCTGTTGTTCACTAGTGTCAGTCACAGGCCTGAGAATCCAGGGATCTGTTCCAGGACATTGTATTGCAGTGCACGGAGCTTTGTGAGGCCACATCTTGTCACTGCCCGTTTCCCAATCACTGTGTTCCTCATGCCCTCTCACCATTGCCAGGTTGCCTCCACTATCACACACCTCTGCTGCTGCTGTGCGATGCCTCTGTTGTCTCTGCATAAGGCCTCAGTAGGTTCAAATTTACCCAAATGCCAACATTGTCACTGTATTTTTGGAACTTTCAATGTACTTGAAGCCATGCTGTGCTCTGTGTTGAACTGGGAAGATCTCTTGCCTTTGTGGTATGCTTAATTTGAGGGTTAGCAAAGAGCTATTGGCTTGAACCCTGATGCCTTACATAGTATAGAGTGAAAATAGCCATTTACATTTGAATTTACGTCTCCCCTTCTCACTGGGAGTTGGATAGGAGTCCCTGATGTGTCAGGTTGGGTGAATTACTGTGAGGGATTCTATTCAAACTTAAAATTGCTTTTCTTCATCACCTGCTATGCCTTTATTTGTAGGCATTTCTGACCAACTCCTTCTCTTTCTAGAAGTAATTTTGCCCTGGAAGCCTCCTTGTTTAAATAGCCTTTGAATAGGTCTACCTCACTTGTATTAAGTGTGTGGGAGCCTAGTTTTAATTCACACCAATAACCTTAACATAGCATTAGACCAAAACTCAACTTTGAATGCCGCATGCATTGACTTAACATAGATACATTTTAGATTGATATATTTTTCATAAATCAGAAATACAAGTAAAAATGCAGACACAAGTAAAAAAGCTTATTTAAAAATGTATGTATACGTAGAACAAAAAATCACATTGTACCCTGTAAATAGACGTAATTATTATTTGTTAATTACAAATAAATAATTAAATGCAAATTATTTATATTTTATATACATATATTCCAACAGGCATATATATTTTGTCACCCCCTCAAAAAGGTAATAGACACATGTATTGTTTACGAACAGAAAATGCATGGTGGGATACATGTGAAAATGGCAAGAATGGTTGCTTTTGGGAATGGGGACCAGGGCTGGGGACTCATGTGGGAGTGAGTTCTTACTTTCCACTGTACATATTCCATGTGTGAAAAACTGTTCACCTGAGCTGGGTGTTATTTTTTTTATGATTAAACTTCAAAAAGTGTTTTACTGCATCCCTGATCTGTGCAAGGAGAAAATGCACAAGAGCCGTTAGAACTCCAGAGCCCCCTAAATGTCTGGATGCAGAATTATGACTCATCGTGTTTAACAAACACTGTTGTCCCTCAGCAGGCTTTGGGATGGGCTTTAAGATCTCTGCATACACCAAAATCCACACCTACTCAAGTCCTACAGGTGCCCCCTCAGATCCCCTATATGAAAAGGTGGCCCGCTATATATTTGGGTCTTGCATCTTATGAATACTGTATTTTCAGTCCACGTTTGGTTGAAAAAAAAATTCACAATATAAATGGACCTGTGCCGTTCAAACCTGTGTTGTTCAAGGGACAACTGTAATGATAAGAAATTAAAATTAAATATATCAGTTTTGCATCCATTTCCTATTGTTACTGTAAAAAACTACCACAAATTTAGTGACTTAAAACCACACAGATTTATTATGCTAAGGTTCTTTAGGGTAGAAGTCCAACCCAGGTCTCACTGGACTAACATAACAATGCCGGCAGGCCTGTGTTTTTTTTCTGGAAGCCCCAGGGGGAATCTATTTCCTTGCCTCTTCCACTTTCTGGAGGCTGCTTATATTCCTTGGCTTGTGGATCTTCAAAGTCCATGTCTCACGAAATCAATCTCTTCTGCCTCTCTCTTCTGCTTTTCAGGACTCCTGTGATTACAGCGGCTTCACGCAGATGATCCAGGGTAATCTCCCAATATGTATAGATGTTGATATAGTTTGGCTATATCCCCACCCAAATCTCATCTTGAATTGTAGCTCCCATAATTCCCATGTGTTGTGGGAGGGACTCAGTGGGAGATAATTGAATCATGGGGGTGGTTTCCCGCATACTGTTCTCGTAGTAGTGAACCATACCCAGCCTAATCTCCCAATTTTAAAGTCAGCTGATTAGCAAACTTAATTCATCTGCAACCTTAATTCCCTTTGCCATGTAATGAGCATATTTACAAGTTCCATTAGGAAGTGGACGTTTGTGGGAGGAGGGGCATTATTCTGACTAGCACAGATTTCCAGTTTTTTTCTTTTTGTTTTTTTTTTATATTTGACCTCTCACTTTTCATTTTTTCATCCTGCCGTGACTGTCTATGCCTGACTATTGTGCAGACAAAGTTAGTGTCAGGCAGGAGGCTGGGCAGTGCTCCCTCGGCTGTACAGCAGGTGCTCTTGGAGGGTTCCACCCTGCCTGTTGACTTCCTCCTCTAACATCTCCTTATATCACTTCTTATGAAAATTCAAGGACTGCAAAATCCCCCGAACAAGAATTAGGAAGAGGCCTAAGCTGGTCCACTTCACCTTGTGTGAGAGCACGTGGAGGACTGTGAGCACCCCTGCCCCACTCCCCTCTTAGACTCTGTGAGGCTGCTGGCTGCTGCTGCTGAAGTGGCTCCCTGGCCACGGTCACAGGCACAGGCTCAGTCACAGCCACAGCCACGGGCACGCTGCCTGTGACCCATTTCCTGGGTGGATTGATTCCATTCTGAACACCTTCCAGGTGTCCCTCTCTTCTTTGCATCCACACCCAGGGTACAGAATTTGTGAAAATTTATTGTTAGAAAGAGATTAAATAAGAATACACGTTTCCATGTGTAGTGTTTGCATAAAGAAATGCTGGAAGAATTTTAAAAAGTAATTCTTTGGGGCTGCAGGAGAAAAAAATGAGGACTGAAAGGCAAGACAGGCTGCTCAATATATAACTATATAATGTATACCTTTTTTTGAGTTATGTATCTCACTGAAAAAGTTGAGTACAAAATTTTAGATGAAGTAGACAAATTCCTAGAAAATATAATTTGAAAAGCTGACTCAAGAATGTATAATATCTGAATGGTCAATAAACATTAAAAATATTGGATCACTATTTAAAAATGAAGAGTAACTCAAAAGCTCAGGATGGTTTATCAGAGAGTTCTACCAAAATTTCCAGGAACAAATAATTTTGATATCTTACAAATTTCCAGATATTGGAAAAAGAGAATATATCAGGATTCATTCTAAGACTCAATCTTAATCTTGATATCAAAACTAGAAAAGTCATACAAAAGAGTATTGGAAACTAATTTTATTAATAAACATAAATGCAAAATTATGCAACAAAATATTAACATTAGAAACAAAATATCTAAAATATATGAACGAAATATATGACCAAGTTGTGTATCATTCTAGAAATGCAAGAATGATTTAATGTCAGAAAATTAATTAAATAATTAATCACATTAACAGATTAATGGAGAAAAATAATTTGATTTTATAAATGAATGTACACAGTATTTGGTAAAATTCAAAATGTGTGCATTAGAGAAAAAGAACTCTGCAGTCTAGAAAAGGAAGGAAATTTCCTTAATTAAAAATATTCTAAAAACTCAAGGAAACATTATTTTGTGAAAACTTGGAAGTATTTCCTTTAACGAGGAAATAATGTTCACTATCACCAGTACTATTTTTTTAAAAGGTCTGGTCAGGTATAAGATTAAACAATGGTATAAGCCTGGAAAATGGAGATATTAAAGTCTCATTATTATTATACAGAAGGTTTATTATAAAAAACACCGACAAATTATTAACATTAATAAGTTTTATAATTTGGTTTGATGTAAGATCCGTATTAAAAAATCAATAGCATTAATATATGTCAGCAATGTAGAAATTTACATAGTTAGGAATTTATTAAAGCTGCCATTTATTTATTTATTTTATTTATTTATTTTATTATTATTATACTTTAAGTTTTAGGGTACATGTGCACAACGTGCAGGTTAGTTACATATGTATACATGTGCCATGCTGGTGTGCTGCACCCATTAACTCGTCATTTAGCATTAGGTATATCTCCTAATGCTATCCCTCCCTCCTCCCCCTAAAGCTGCCATTTATAGTAACAGCAACAAAACAACAGAAAGGGTATCTAGGGGAAAATTAATAAAATACATTCTAGATTTGTAAAGAGCCAATTGAATAATTTATTGAAGACAAAGAAAATTTAAATAAATGGAGATATTTACTATATTTATAGATAGCAAGATGCACAAATATAAAGATTTAATTTTTCTCTAATTTATTTACAAATAAACTGCAACATCAATGCAAATCCTGAAAGGGTTCTTTTTTCTTTTTCTTTTCTTTTTTTTTTTTTGAGATGGAGTCTCACTCTGTTGCCCAGGTTGGAGTGGCGTGGCACAATCTTGGCTCACTGCAACTTCTGCCTCCCGGGTTCAAGCGATTCTCCCACCTCAGCCTCACGAGTAGCTGGGATTACAGGTGCCTGCCACCACGCCCAGCTAATTTTTGTAATTTTAGTAGAGATGGGGTTTCACTATGTTGGTTAGGCTGGTCTTGAACTGCTGACCTCAGGTGATCTGCCTGCCTCGGCCTCCCAAAGTGCTGGGATTACAGGTGTGAGGCACCACACTCGTGAGGCACCACACTCGCCCCCTGAAAGAGTTTTTCAAGTCACTTTTATACTAAAGCTAATATGAGAAATAAAAGGCATGAGAACAGCCACAGGCAGTGAATTTTCTTTTCTAGATTATCAGAGCTTATACCGATATATAAATTAAAATTCAGCCTTGGAACAGGCATAGATAAACTGACCAATGAAGTAAATACACCTTAGAAACAGAAACAGACATATATGGTTACACCTGGCATATCTCAAGGTGGCACAGCAGGTCACTAAGGAAAGAATGAACTAATCAATAAATGGGGCTTGCACAATTATTTATCCTATAGTGGGAAATGAAGTGGGATCCCTGCATCACATCGTATATAAATATCGTTCTCTGATTCGTTAAAATCTCATGTGTGAACTCCAGAAAGAAATAGAAGAACTGTGACAGGCAGAATTCTACCTTGGCCTGTATATCCCCTCTGTGAGTGTGGGTGGGACTTTGTGAATACCATGGGATTCTGCTCTTATGAGGAGGCTGCTTACGTGGCACAGGACAGGGGTTTTTGCAGACTCATGTAAATTCCCTAATTGGTTTACCTGAGTTAACCAAAAACAAGATTTTTCCAGGTAGGCTTCACCTAATCAGGTAAGCCCTTCAAAAAGAAAAAAAGGCCAGGTCTTTCCTGAAGGGAAAGCTTTGAATCATAGAGACCTTGAAGAAAGGGAAGAGTCAAGGTTTGAACTGTCTGCGGCCCTGCCTCTAGGAGCTGAAAGCAGAAGTCCTACAATTTCGAGGAACTGGTTTCTGTCAACGAACGGACTGAGCTTGAACAGAGCTCCCAGCACCATGGGAGACTTTGACCCTGGATTTCAGCTTTGTGAAACTCTGAGCACAAGATGCATCTAAGCCCCAGGGAACCTAGGAAGCAAATACCTATGTGTGGTTTTAAGGCTGTTTGTTTGTGTTAATTTGTTATGCTATAGTATAAATTAACACAGGAAACTATCATGAACCCTAAGAAGAAAGGGGACCTCAAAATGATTACTGTTAAATAAAAGAATAATGATATTAATATTAAATCAAAACTATGTTTCTCTTCTGGAAAATATACTTTTCCCTATTCCTTCTGCTTAGTATAACCAAAAATCCTGGACATTTTATATAAACAAACATGAGAAAACCTTGAAAGGTGGAGAGAAGTGTGAACCCAGAGAATCTGAGACAGGTCTCAGTTAATTCAGAAGGTTTATTTTGCCAAGGTTGAGGACATGCCCATGACGCAGCCTCAGGAAGTCCTGACAACATGTGCCCAAGGTGGTCGGGGCACAGCTTGGCTTTATATATTTTAGGGAGACATGAGACATCAATCAATATATGTAAGAAGTACATTGGTTTGATCTGGAATGGCGGGACATCTTGAAGCAAGGGCAGGAAGACCTAAAGTGGGGAGGGAGCTTCCAGGTCACAGATAGATGAGACACAAACGGTTGCATTCTTTTGAGTTTCTGATTAGCCTTTCCAAAGAAGGCGATCAGATATGCATCTATCTCTGTGAACAGAGGGGTGACTTTGAATAGAATGAGAGGCAGATTTGCTCTAAGCAGTTTCCAGGTTGAGTTTTTCTTAGTGATTTGGGGGGCCCAATATAATTTCCTTTCACATTTCCCCCCTCTTCGTAAACTCTTTTGGAGGAAGCATTTTACAAGAAAATGAGTGTGATCTCAGGTTTCATCTGATCTCTTATGGCTCTGATAGTTTATTCCTAGAGGGGTAGGTCCTGAAAGCTCATTTTTAGCAGGTTGTGTCCTGCGAAGAGAAAATAGGGGAGAGAAAGGGAGAAAAAACAACAAACTGAAGAACGATCCTGGAAAAATCGATATAGGCCACATTATTCTGAAGTCCATACATTAGTAGATGGGTATGAAAGTGGCTTAGGTATATAAACAGGTTGTTGTTATTTTCTTCTGAAGTTTAAGTTGTCTGGCTTCAGTTTGCAGGGTTCTAAGAAAGCACAGCTTAGTTTTCAGTGACTCCAAATTAGGAAAAATGAAAAAAAAAAGAAGAAAAAAATGGAAAACATTATTTTGAAGACTTATAGCCAAGAAAAATTAGAATTTGGTTCAAACTGTAGAAAATAATAAAAACTGAAAAAAAAACATTAGGCAAGATTAGAATCTAACAACTAGTGTTACTATAGTTTTGAAACATAATTTTTTTCTCCCTCTCCAGTTCCCATTTGTACTAAAGACAAATCATGGTAGGACTGGTTTGCTTTATTATACTTGGCTTAATTATTTATATACAGTGCAGCAAGAGTAATTATTTTTTAGGCCTTTAGATTGGCTTTGATGGAACTTTGTTCCATAGAAGGAATCTCAGATAAGACCTTTTTAAAGCCATGCCCAGCCATAGATTGTGCCATCAAATACCTATGAGTTATGTGAATTTCCTCTCCTCTTGAGGTTCCAAGATAAACCTGGGGCTTCTGGGCCTGTCAGAGAGTCACATTCTTTACTTATCATAGATTAGAAACCCTGTACAGGGACTGTGTGCACAAAATATGAGGCCAGTTTTCCCAAGGGCTTTATTGTCTTCATAAGTCAAGTTCGATTCCTTAAAGGAAAGCACACCATTCCAGTCAAATCCTTGGTAAAATAACCAGTTTCTCCAGTTGTGTCCTGTTACAAATGAAAGCAGATTCTTATTGCACTTGCGCAAATAACTGTATTGCCATAAGTTAAGAATACTCACAAATATTTCCAAATTCTGGAAAAATCAGGTAGAGAGCATCAAATATGTTCCAAATTTTGTTCATAGGAGTATACTAAATTGTTAAAAGTTGTCAATAGATTAAAAGTTCTAAGACTATGAAAAATGAAACAAAGGATCAGCAAACATTTTAAGCAAAAAGTCAAAAAGATTGCATGCATATGTTCATTGCAGCACTATTCACAATAGCAAAGACATGGAGTCAACCTAAATGCACATCAGTGGTAGACTGGATAAAGAAAATGTGGTAAATCTACACCATGGAATACTATGCTGCTATAAAAAAGAATGAAATCATATCCTTTGCAGGAACATGGATGGAGCTGGTGGCCCTTATCCTAAATGAACTAACACAGGAACAAAAGAGCAAATACCGCATGTTCTCACCTATAAGTGGGAGCTAAACATTGAGTACATATGGACACAAAGAAGGGAAGAGCAGACCCCAGGGCCTGCTTGAGAGTGGAGAGAGGGAGGAGGAGGAGGATCAAGAAACTACCTTATTGGGTACTATGTTTATTACCTGGGTGGTGAAACAGTCTGTACACCAAACTCCTGTTTACATGACATGCAATTTACCTATATAACAAACCTGCGCATGTACCCCTGAACCTAAAATAAAAGTTAAAAGAAAGGAACTCTCACAACTCAGCAGGAATAAAGCAAGCAATTATTCAAGTGAAAAATTGGCAAAAGGTTGGAAGAGGCATTTGGCTGAAGATGTTATGAAGACTTACAGATGGGAAAATAAGCATATCAAAAGAGGTTTAACACCATTAGGGAAATGCAAATTAAAACCACAATGATCTCCTCCTTGTATTGTCTCTCTACAACTGAATTTGAATCTAATTATCTCAAAATGCAATACCTTCTAACACTTACAGTTAAATCCTCAGTGAATCTTCTGCGCCTTTGCTTGCTGCAAAGAGAACTGCATCCTAGGAGGAGCTGCTAGCTCTGTTCCGCACCTAGGTGAGCCTCCACCAGGCAGATGCTGGCTTTTACCACCCCCATTGAGCTGGATGAACTCACCACCAGTCTAGGGAGGGGACTTGGGACTGAATGCTAGAGTGTCACCTAAACGTGGGTCATTTTCATGAACAAACGCTTCTTATAGTTTGTGTGCCTTTAGTCAATATCCAGTGTTGAAATTCATGTTTTTGACAGTTAATTGTACTACTTTATTGTAACTTTTTGGGGAAGAATATTTGTGAAACTTCAACTCCATCATGCTGGAGGTAAGAACTGTGAAGCAAAAATTTTATATCAAGGCACAATTTTTGAAACATTTGAAAGTGAACAGCAAGACTTACCATGAAAATGAGTCAGAAAATATACTGTCTGTGTATCATTTAACTTATAACTTGAGGAAATAATCTAGCCAAAAGAGAGAGATCAAAGAGATATAGAAGGTTAGAACTCAAGAACAGAAAAGTCATAAAATAGACATGCAGATCTTTCCTGAGTTGAAAATTCACATTTATAATTGTATTATGTCTTATCTTCAGAGGTTTGTTGTTGTTTTTGTTGCTTATGGACCAACCTGGCTCTTCAGTGTTTCTTTATACAGTTTTAATTCCTGTCTTTATTTTACTCCTTGCCCAGGTCCTGGCATTCTATTTTTCCTATCATAACCATCATTTGTCAGTTCTGAAGCTCTCTCGTCCATTTAATATAGCAAATGGTGTTCTTTTTCAGCATGTTCTAAAAATGACAAAATTATTTGCATAGTTGGCAGCTTGTGCAAAGGAACTTCATTTTATAAAGATATTAAATTTTACTCTGCAGAAGCAGAGTTACATAAAACAACATAAAAGCCATTTTTACTTCTAATTAAATTGAATAATTTTTTTCTGTCTTTTAAGTGTTTATATTAAATTACCCGAGTCACTTTTTAAAAGTAGGACGTTATCTTCTTAAAGCTTTTGTTACTTGATTTTTCCTCCAAGCTGTATGAATGTTCCTCTGTTAACACTATTGTAATTTAGAACTTACATTGTGATTTCTGTTAAAGATTTTGCAAGAAAAAAAAATTGCTAGGAAATATATGAAAATGTTTGCCATTTAAAAATTCCTGTCCGGCTCCAGCCCACACATCTATTTTCCCATTCCTCATTTTAAAACCTACCTATAAAAGCTGGAAAAAGATGACAATTCATAACATTGGAAAGTAAAAGTTACAAAATATTTCAAGGATCTGAGAGGAATTTACGCTACTTACAAAGCATATAGAGTCAAGTCTGAAGACACACTTGGCTGCTGATCTTGAATGATCTTGAATGATCTTGAATTTTGTTTTTGGCTGGGCGCGGTGGCTCACGCCTGTAATCCCAGCACTTTGGGAGGCGGAGGCGGGCGGATCACAGGGTTAGGAGATCGAGACCATCCTGGCTAACACAGTGACACCCCATCTCTACGAAAAATACAAAAAATTAGCGGGCCGAGGTGGCGGGCGCCTGCAGTCCCAGCTACTCGGGAGGCTGAGGCAGGAGAATGGCGTGTACCCGGGAGGTGGAGCTTGCAGTGAGCCAAGATGGCACCACTGCACTCCAGCCTGGGCGACAGTGAGATGCCATTTCAAAAAAAAAAAAAAAAGAATTTTGTTTTTTCCGGCGGGTGCAGTGGCTCATGCCTGTAGCCCCAGCACTTTGGGAGGCTGAGGGGGCAGATCATGAGGTCAAGAGGTCGAGACCATCCTGGCCAACATGGTGAAACCCCGTCTCTATTAAAAATACAGAAATTAGCTGGGCATGGTGGCCCTACAGTCCCAGCTATCGGGAGGCTGAGGCAGGAGAATCCCTTGAACCCAGGAGGGGGAGGTTGCAGTGAGCTGAGATTGTGCTGTTGCACGCCAGCCTGGCAACAGAGCAAGACAAAGAAAGAGAGGAAAGAATGGAAAGAAAGAAAGAGAAAAGAAAGAAAAGAGAGAAAGAACCAAAAGAATATAAAAAGGAAACAGGAAAGTCTTGAGAACTATGTACATGAAGTATGAGATTAAAAGGTTAATACATGTGCCAGGGTTCCCCAGGGCCACACCGCTGTTTGAGGACTCTCCACGAAGACTCACGGGACTCAGCATGCAGTTGTGCTATGGCCAAGATTTATTACAGAGAAGAATGCAAACAGAGTCAGCCAAGGGGAGGCTGCATTGGGGGAGGCTGCATGGGGGAGAAGGCCAGAAGAAACCACGTGCAAGCTTTTAAGGGCTCTTTCCCAGTGGAGTCACACAAGACAAGCTTGATTTTGACCAGCATGTAAACATGACAACACATGTGAAATGTTGTTTGTCTGAGAAACCTACTCAGCATCCATGGTTTTTATCGTGTGCTGGACATAAAGGCACTCTCTGCCTAGTATGTACCAAAATTCCAGACTCCCAGAAAAAAAGCAGGTGCCTCACATAAACCACATTGCTTGTACACACAGTTTAAGCAGAGTGAGACACCCTCATCAATTAGGAAATGGTGAGAACACTCCCAAAATACAAGTTCCCAGATGCCAGCCAAGGGCCAACTTGCAAGCAGGTCTTTCTAACAATAGCAGTCTCGGGCCTGCCATGTTCTTTGCATGATACTCAACTTATATTTTAAAATAATCCTACAAATTGATTTAAAAGAGGTCAACTCTTGAGTAGAAGATAAAACATGTGATAGGCAATTAATAAATTTAAAAAATACCAAAGTCCAGTAAAAATATGAAAATATTTCTATCTTACCAGAAATAAGAGGCATGAAAACAAATCAAGCTTTTCAAGTTAGATGTATTTTTGGTTAACATGGCATTGTTGATGTTATAAATAGTGCTAAGAAATGTGTACTTTCACGGACCATTCCTAGGCATATAATTCAGCAACATTTTCCTAAATGTCTTTCTCTCCCTCATGCTTCTTTCTTATGATGGATGGATGATAACTTTTCTTCTGTTTGAACAATGAAATTTATTTTAAATTATCCTAAGCAAATAGATATGCTGAAAAAATCCTAGACTAAGGATATTCACTGCAACATTATGAATAATGTTGAAATTAGATATATCCTAAATAACGTGTATTAAGGAAATAAATACATTTTACTACATCGTTCAATTGAATGATATATATCTATTAAAGAATAATATCTCCATGAGAAAAAACGTTATCAAAAATTAAAAGATTATAGCAATGGTGCCACAATGTATGATTGGAATAAGAGATCAAGAGTTTAACATTAGAAGGTCATAAATATAATAACAATGAAAAAGGGTCATTGCAAATTAGTTTGGACAAAATGAACTAAATCATAATGGAGCTTTGCCAAAAATTTTTATTTCTTTTTTATTGTAGAAAAATATACATTACATAGAATTTACCATTTTAATTATTTATTGGTGTGCATTAAGTGGCATTAAGTACATTCATGATGTTGCTCAACCACTATCCATTTCTAGAACGACTTCATCATCCTGAACAGAAACACTTTATCCATTAAACAATAATTCCTCATTCCCTCCTACTCCTGGAGTCCCCAGGTAACCTCCATTCTGTTTTCTGTGTTTATAAATTTGCATATTCTAGGCACCTTATATAAATGGAATCACAATATTTGTCCTATTGCATCTGGTTTATTTCACTTAGTATGATGTTTTTCCAGGTTCTCCCATGTTTTAGCATGTATTATAGTTTCATTCCTTTTTAAGCTGAATAACATGTCTTAACATGTACATACCACATTTTGTTTCTGCATTCCACTGTTGGACAGTTGAGTTGTTTTCCCATTTTGGCTGTTGTTAATCATGCTGCTTTAACCACTGGTGTACAAGCATCTGTTTGTTTCTCCGCCTTTAATTCTTTTGAGTATATACCTAGAAGTGGAATTATATGATAATTCTATTTTTAATTTTTAGAAATCACTGAACTATTTTCCACAGCAACTGCACCATTTTGCATTCCCATCAGTAATGTGCAGGGGTTCCATTTTCTCCATATCCTCACCAATCCTTGCTATTTTTCTTATTGTTTTAAATAATAGCCATTCCAAAGCCTGTGAAGTGGTATCTCTTTGTGGTTTTTATTTTCATTTCCCTAATGACTAGTGATGTTAATAAGCATATAACATGAATAGGCACATTAAAGGATTCATGTACTTATCGGCTGTTTGTATGCATTCTTTGGAGGAATGTTCATTCACGTCTTTTGCATATTTTAAATTTGGTTATTTGTTGTTATTTTTTCTTTTCTTGTGGAGTTGTAGGAATTCTTTATAAATTCTGAATATTGATATTTATCAGGTATATGGTTTGCAAAGCTCTTACATTTTGATCTTTGATCTACTTTGAGATAATTGTTATATATGGCATAAGATAAGGGTCCAACTTTATTCTTTTGCATGTGGATATTCATTTTTACCAGCGCCATTTGTTGAAAAAAAGATTCTTTTCTTAGTGAATGGTCTTGGCATTTTTGTTGGAAATCAATTGACCACATATTCAAGGGTTTGTTTCTAGACTAGATAGTCTATTTCCTTGGTCTATATGACTCTTCTTATGCTAGTACCACACTGTTTTGATTACTTTGGTATGTTTTGATATCAGGAAGTGTGAGACCTCCAACTTTTCTTTCTGTTTCAAGATTGTTTTGGCTACTTGAAAACCTGTGAGAGTCCATATGGATTTTAGGATGAGTTTTCCTATTTCTACAAAAAATACTGTTGGGATATTAATAGGTGTTGCATTAAATCTGTATATCACTTGAGTAGCATTATCATATTAACAATATTAAGTCTTGGTTGATGAACACAGGATGTCTTCTCACTTGTTATGTCTTTCATTTCTTTTAACAATGTTTTGTAGTTCTTGGTGTACAAGTCTTTCACTTCTTAGGTTAAATTTATGTCTTAATATTTTTATGATGTTCTTATAAATGTAAATGTTTTGAATTTTTCTGTATCTTTCATTGCTAGTGCATAGAAATGTAACTGACTTTTTTGTGTTTATTTTATATCATACAATTTTGCAGGATTTTTTTATTGGTTGTAACAATTTTGTGTGTGTGTGTTGTGTGTAATTTTTAGTGTTTTTTAACATAAAAGATTATATCATCTGCAGAGATAATTTTACTTCCTTCTCTCCAAATTCAATGACATTTCTTGTCTAATTGTTTTTGCTAGAACTTCCAATATGATCTTGAATAGAAGCGGTGAAAGCAGGCATCCTTGTCTTGTGCACTTATCATTTTGAACAAGACCCTTTCATTGTTTGATGATGATGATGATGATGATTATTGAGACGGAGTCTCGCTCTGTCGCCCAGGCTGGAGTGCAGTGGCGCGATCTCGGCTCACTGCAAGCTCCACCTCCCGGGTTCACACCATTCCCCTGCCTCAGCCTCTCGAGTAGCTGGGACTGCAGGCGCCTGCCACCTCGCCTGACTAATTTTTTCGTATTTTTAGTAGAGACGGGGTTTCATCGTGTTAGCCAGGATGGTCTCGATCTCCTGACCTCGTGATCCGCCTGCCTCGGCCTCCCAAAGTGCTGGGATTACAGGCGTGAGCCACCACGCCAGGCCCCATTCTTAAATCATTCTTTTTATAATGAAAACCTGTTGAAATTTGTAAAGTGCTTTCTTAGTACATCAATTGAGATGATCATGTGATTTCTTTCCCTTTCCGTTCTATTAATTTCATATACCACAGTGATTGATTTTCATATGTTGACCTTTTCTTACATTCCAGTAATAAATCCCATATGGTCATGGTTTATAATTGCTTTAATCTGTTGTTTAGTTCAGTTTGCTAGTATTTAGTTGAAGATTTCTCCATCAATATTCATAAGAAATATTTGTGTATAGTCTCTTTTTCACATAGTATTTTTTTCTGGTTTTGGTATCAGGGTAATGCAGGCCTCACAGAATAATTTGAAAGGGCTCTTTCTGCTTAATTTTTTTTTTTTTTTTTTGCAAGAGTTTGAAAAGAATTAGTGTTATTTCTTCATTAAAGGTTTGGTATAATTCACCACTGAAGCTGTTTGGCCTAGGGCTTTTTTATCTTATAGGAAGGTGTTTTATTTTGAGGCCCCCTCCTTACTAGCTATCTGTTTATTCAGATATTCTGTGTCTTTATGATTTGGTTTTGGCAGATTGCGGGCCTGTTTCATTTAGGTTACCCCACTTGTTGATGTATAATTGTTCAAAGTATTCTTTTAATCTGTTTATTTCTGCAAAATTGGTAGAATGTCTCAATTTTCATTTCTGAACTTAGAATCTTAAACATTTTCTCTTCCTTTCCTTTTTCAGTTGTTCTAAGGTGTTTTTCTAGTAAGTCTGATGTGCATGCTTTCTTACAGATGGTTTCTTTCAATTTATTTTGAATTTATTTGCAAATTTTGAATGAGCCATCTTCTATTTCTTAGTATGTCTTGTAATTTTTGTTGTTGGAAATTGGGAATTTGATGGTTTTAATGTGGTACTTCTGGAAATCAGATTCTCCCTCTTCCTCAGGATTTGCTTTTATTTTTATTGTTGAAGGCTGTATTAGCCCATTTAAGACTTTTCCAAACTGTTTTTTCAAAAATTATTTCTTGTCATGTGTGATCACTGGAGTCTCTGTTTCTTTAGCTCATGTTCAGCTAATGTTTAGACAGAGATTTTTAAAAAATCAGGGGCTGAAGCAAACAAACCAATGAAAGACACACACACACACTCTCAAAACAAAACAAAACAGAGGCAGGAGCTGCAAGGCAGCCTCTGAAGACTGGCTCTGTGCTGGGACCCTTCATCTCTGGGCTAGGCTTGCTCAAGCTTGGGGTTGGGCCAGCAGTGAAAGCAGAAGGTCTTCTCAGGTCTTTTCTGAGCACGTGGCACTCTTGAGCATTCACATGGCTTTCTAAATTCTCCTGGATATATGGCTGCACTTGATGTTCAAATTCCCCCAAAGCATCTCATTAAGCATCTCTTCTGGAACTCTGATGGCCTATTTTATATCTCTACTTGTAATCCCTTGCCCCAGACACCTGTGAGCTTGTCATCACCTTGTAGCTTTTATGAACAGCGTCAACCACTTTTATCACTTGCATTCGGAGTTATACAAAACAGAGATGAGTATCTTGTGTCAATCTGTCAGATGTCCCCAGACAGGTTAGAAACATAACATAATGATTTGCAGTGAAGTCTGCTCTGTTCCCTCTTATGCAATGGGAGGTGGGATCTGGAACCAAGCTGCCCTCTGCTGAAGACCCAGATTACTGCTGTACTGGGGAGTGGAGAGAGTAAGAGTGAAAGTGCCACACACCTTTCCTACTATTGTGACAATAGCTTTTTCTTGATAGGGCATTTGCTGGCTTGCTGTAAACCTGTGACTGTTTTCCAGAGATGCTTTAAAGTTGGTTCAGATAACTTCTGGGCTTTTTTTTTTTTTATGTTTTTGTTGGGGAGTGAGAGCTTGGAGTTTCCAAGTCTGCCATCTTGCTGCTCTAATTTTTTAAAATAAATAATAGTCAAACATAAGACATAACATATATCAAAATAACTTTATCTTATATTTAAATTATATGTGTACATAAACAAATCAGAAAAAAATAAAAACAAAAGCAAAACTTATTTATTCTGCCTTTTTCTCCAAATGCTAAAAATGGAGAGAAAATAATAGGCCAATAATTCTCAAACTTTCTGTTGTGAAGGAACAATTCTCTCTCTCCTCTAAATATGTCATGGGTAACACTTTTAAAAATAGACTAAAATGGAATTATTGGGAAAGTACAATAAAAGGCATAAACTATCAACCCCATTTTCAAATTATCAGATTTAATAGGCATATAATTTATCTGTCATATTGCAAATGAAGTTTCTAAATGGTTCTTCTCAATTTCTTTTGCCAACAGCAACCTTCAGTTCTCAGTTTGACACTTGATAGCAACCACACTTTCAGTAGCCTGGAGTGATCATTGTCTTTCTGTCCTCTGAATTAGAGAGACTCATAAGAATAGAGAAAAAATTACTAAAGGAAATATTTTTTGACTAAAATGGTAAAATCATCTGTACATAAAATCATTCAAACTTTGATGGCAGAAAATCATTTGGAAAAATATTGGTCTCAAATATTGTGAAAAGTTAAATACTACATAATAATTTATAAAGAGTTTATGCAAAAAGAGAAGTGAACCTAACAGTTAATTGAACAAAGAAGCATGCACACACTATAAGATAGAAATTGATAATAGAAGTGGAAAATATGTCATTTCCATGAAAGCGAAGAAAATAAAAATTACAATAAAACTTAAGATATAACTTTTGCTGAAAAATTATTTAAAAATTTTTCTAATAATTTCTAAATTATTTTCAACACAAAGACTTGTGTTGAAAAATAATCTTTCAATAACTTACCTACTTTTTTTAAGTAAAGTATAATTTTTAATTGAAATTACATTTAAAAAAACTATCTAAAGCAAAATAGTAGCAATGTATTGTGTATTTATACCATATATACAAGTAAAACATAAAATGACAATATCACAAAAATACCAGGGAAAAATGTGGAATATACTGTTCTACTGGTTTATATTACCTGTGAGATGCATATTATTTGAATATAGACCATTATTAATTAGAGATGTGCACTATAAATCCTAAGGTAACCATTAAAAGAATTAAAGCAATTCAGTGTTTTCTTAATATTCTTTGATTATGTTTCAATAATAAAACTACTCTCTAAATGTTTGGAAATAAATTGATGATCAAATGCCTACTTTTTCTCAGATACTTTCTGCCTTTGTGTTTTGCTTATTTTAATAAACCTCTGAGCTGTCTCTTCCTCATATAACGACTTCCAATTCATATGCATATAAAATATGGGACGCTTCATGAATTTGTGTGTCATCCTTGTGCAGGGGCCATGCTTATCTTCTCTATATCATTCCAATTTTAGTATACATGTTGCTGAAGCAAACACATCTATTTGTTAATCCTAAAAATTCAACAACATATGCACAACACTGTAAATTTCTAAAGTATGATGGTACCCAAAACACTATGACTAAAAGTGAGTTGTATACCATAAGGGTTAAGAGCTTGGGTGTTGAAGCGGGGTGCGGTGACTCATGCCTGTAATCCCAGCACTTTGGGAGGCCGAGGCAGGCAGATCATGAGGTCAGGAGTTCGAGACCAGTCTGGCCAATATAGTGAAACCCCGTCTCTACTAAAAATACAAAAAATTAGCTGGGTGTGGTGATGTGTGCCTGTAATCCCAGCTACTCGGGAGGCTGAGGCAGGAGAATCACGTGAACCTGGGAGGTGGAGGTTGCAGTGAGCTGAGATAGTGCCACTGCAGTCCAGCCTGGGCAACAGGATGAGACTCCATCTCAAAAAAAAGAAACGAGCTTGGGCGCTGAAAGTGAACCATCAGGGGTAAAGTTCCATCTTTAGCACGTACTACCTCAAGCAATGCAATCTTCTGTGCCCCTCTTTTTCCATCTGTAGCACAGTGATGATATAGTTTGGATATTTTCCCCTCTAAATCTCACACAGAATTATAATCCCTAATGTTGGAGGTAGGGCATGGTGGGAGGTGATTGAATCATGGGGGCAGATTCCACATGGCTTGATGCTGTCCTTGCAATAGTGAGTGAATTCTCGAGAGATCTGGTTGTTTGCAAGTGTGTGGGACCTTCTCCATAACTCTTGCTCTTGCTTTTGCCATGTGATGTGCCTGCTCCCCCTTTGCCTTCTGCCATGAGTAAAAGCTCCCTGAGGCCTCCCCAGAAGCCAAGCAGATACCAACATCATTCTTCCCTGATAGCTCGTAGAACCATGAGCCAATTGAACTTTTTTTCTTTATAAATTACCCAGTCTTAGGTATTCCTTTATAGCAATGCAAGTACAGCCTAACACAGAAAATTTGTGCTGAGGAGTGGGGCCTTGCTGTAAAAATACCTGAAAATGTGAAAGCAGCTTTGGAACTGGGTAACAGGCAGAGGTTGGAAGAGTTTGGAGGGCTCAGAAGAAGACAGGAAGATGAAAATTTGGAACTTCTTAAAGACTGGTTAAATGGTTGTGACCAAAATGATGATCTGATGGTGCAATGGACAGTGAAGTTCAGGCTGACAAGGTCTCAGACAGAAATGAGAAATGTATTGGGAACTGGAGCAAAGATTACTCATATTATGCCTTAGCAAAGAACTTGGCTGCATTGTGTTCATGCCTTAGTGATCTGTGGAAGTTTGAACTTAAGAGTGATAATTTAGTGTACCCACTAGAAGAAATTTCTAAGCAGAAAAGCTTTTCAGAGGTTACCTGGCTGTTCACAACCTACACACAGATGTGGGAGTTAAGAAATGACTTAAAGTTGGGAGTTATATTTCAAGAGGAAGCAGAGTATAAAAATTTGGAAAATTTTCAGCCCAGCTATGTGGTAGAAAAGGAAAGCCCATTTTCAGGGGAAGAATCTAAGAGGGCTGTGGAGCAACCAGTTGGTAGAGAAATCAGCATAAATAAAAGGGAGGCAGGAGCTGATAGCCAAGACAATGGGAAAAAGGTCTTGAAGGCATTTCACAGGTCTCTGAGGGAACTCCTTCCATCCCAGAGCCAGAGACCCAGGAAGACTGAATTGTTCTGTGGGCCTGGCCCAGGGCCCTTATGCCCTGTGCAGCTCCAGGACGCTGCTCCCCAAAATCCCAGCTTTCTGGTGCTAGCTCTGGCTCAGAGGAGCTGAGGTATAGCTCAGGCTACCACTCCAGAGGCTGCGAGCTGTAAGCCCTGGTGGCTTCCATGTGGTGTTAAGCCCGTGGGTTCACAAAGTTCAAGAGTGAAGGAGGCTTGGCAGCCTCCAGCTAGATTTCAGAGTATGTATGAGAAAGCCTGGGCACACAGGCAGAAGCCTGCTGCAGGAGTAGAGCCCTTATGGAGAACCTCTACTGGGGAAGTGCTGAGGGGAAATGTGGGGTTGGAGGCCCTGCACAGATTCCCTATGGTACACTGCCTAGTGGAGCTGTGAGGAAGGGGCCAAAGTTTTCCAGACCCCAGAATGGTATCACCAGCAGCTTGCACTCTGTACCTGGAAAAGCCACAGGCATTGCATTCCAATCTGTGACAGCAGCTGCAAAGGCTGAACCCTGAAAAGCCACAGAGGCAGAGGTGCCCAAGGGAGCCCACCTCTGGCACCAGTGTGTCCTGAATGTGGGACATGAAATCGAATGAGATTATTTTGGAGCTTTAAGATTTAATGACTTCTCTGCTGGGTTTTGAACTTCCATGGGCCCTGCGGCCCTTTCTTTTGGCCAACTTATCCCTGTTGGAATTGGAATATTTACCTGATGCTTGTACCCTCATTATATCTCGGAAATAAATAACTTGTTTTGTTTTTATAGTCTCATATATAGAAGGAATTCATCTCCAGATAGGACTTTGAACTTGAGTTAGTGTTGGAATGAATTAAGACTTCAGGGGATTACTGGCAGGGGATGATTGTATTTTGCAATGTGAAAAAGACATGAAATTTGAGGAGAGGTGGAATGATATAGTTTGCCCCCTCTAAATCTCATGTTGAAATGTAATCCCCAAGGTGGAGCCTGGTGGGAGGTGTTTGGGTCATGGGAGCGGATCCCTCATGGCTTGGTGCTTTCCTTGAGATGGTGAGTTCTTGACAGATCTGGTTTTTAAAAGTGTGGCACCTCTCCTGTGCTCTCTCTTGCTCCTGTTTTCGCCATGTGACAAGCCTGCTCCTCTTATGCTTTCCCCCTGAGTAAAAGCTCCCTGAGGCCTTCCCAGAAGCCAAGCAGGTGCTGGTGCCATGCTTCCTTTACAGCCTGCAGAACCATAAGCCAATTAAATCTCTTTGCTTTATAAATTACACAGTCTTAGGTATTCCTTTTAGCAACTCAAGAATGGCCTAACACATGTGATAATTACAATTCTTATTTCACAGGCTTATTGTGAGGATGAAAGGGTAAACACATGTACCACTATGCTTGACCCACACAAAACACTCCATAACTAATTACTAATTATTATGAACTATTCCCACTTACAGGTATGACAGGTGTGCAGAATTTGTCAAAGCAGAGACCTATGGTTTAGAACTGTCCTTTGCTCATTTTGGCTGGAGTTTAACAGCACCATCTCAGCTAGAGGGAGGAAGAACGAAACAGGTGGAAACAACTTTCCTGGTTATGTTGTTCTATCTATATTCCTGGTTCCTCTAGTGCTAGTTCACACCAGTACAACCCTGCCAAAGATCACTCTTCCCAGAATGCACTGCTTATCAATGCCATTCAATAGGGGTCACAGCTCTCTCTCTGGCTCTTCTCAAAATAGGAGTAGTAGGACTAGGAGTGGTGCCTGATAGCCGGATCCTGGGGCTGAAGTTGGGGACACCCACGTGTGGGGTGATCATGGGCTCTGCCTATAAAACTGGGTGCCAGAGTTTTGTGTCATGAGAGCGACTTCCCTCTCAGGAGCAATGATGTCTGTGAAGAGATCATGTCCAGATTGGCCATTTATGAATGGATAGCACTCTCTTTTCAATACTTTTACAATATTTCCTTTTTTTTTTTTCTCATGACAGAGTCTTGCTCTGTCGCCCAGGCTGGAGTGCAGTGGTCCAATTTCGGCTCACTGTAACCTTTGCCGCCTGGGTTCAAGCAATTCTCCTGCCTCAGCCTCCCAAGTACCTGGGATTACAGGTGCCTGCCACCACGCCTGGCTAAATTTTGTATTCTTAGTAGAGGTGGGGTTTCACCATGTTGGTCAGGCTTGTCTCAAACTCTTGACCTCGTTATCCACACACCTTAGCCTCCCAAAGTGCTGGAATTATAGGTGTGAGCCACTGTGCCTGGCCCATATTTTCAACCTGTTACTAGAAACAATAATACAATACAATTCCAAATCTAGAGAAATCTCTGAGTCTGATTTTCCTCAGACCACCACTCTCAGCTGTCCTTCAAGGCTACTCAGCCTGTGGCATCAGGAGACCCTCCACAAGTCCCTCTCCCATCCCTGCCACCTCACCCCACTGGTACCATGGAAGCCTGGAAGCTCCTTGGCTCCTGAAAGGTCATCTTGAGAAGCTTATTGTCCCCATGTGCTTGTCCTGGAAGAAGCTCAGTCCACACTCCTGCTAGCTTGATCACCATTGCACACTCAGAGTCAATAACAGCAAGTCCAACAGGGCTTCCAATCCATTTGCCATCTGCCAAGCACAGGTTGCTTTGAGAAAGATGGAGGATTGAAGAAATGACCCAGCTTTGAGGCCTGGTTCCATTTTCTGTAACAACTGGGCTTTGTAAGGGGGAGGAGGAAGCTATGAGACCTAGACATTCAACTGGAGACAAACCATCTGCAGAGGGAGTGAGAGTTACTGATTTCCACCTGCACTCATTCATTTTTTTGGTAGGCTCTATGACCACTTCTGTGATTTCCAACAGCAGTCTGTTTCTTGACTCAGTTTCTCAATTTGGACATCAGATGTCTGACTCTGCCTTGAAATTGTTCTTAGCTTCTTTATGCAATTTCTCTATCTGACCTTCCATTTTTCAAAGCATGTTCTTCAAGCGTTTAGCTTATCATTGATAAGTCACTAGCTGAGACTGTAGCTCATTCTATCCTGCCCCACCAGGGTGGACAACTTGTGTTTTTTGTTTTGTTTTGTTTTTAAGATGGAGTCTTGCTCTGTTGCCCAGGCTGGAGTGCAATGGGCAATCTCAGCTCACTGCAACCTCTGCCTCCCGGGTTCAAGCGATTCTCCTGCCTCAGCTTCCAGAGTAGCTGAGATTACATGTGTGTGCCATCACCCTGGCTAATTTTTGTATTTTTAGCAGAGATGGGGTTTCTCCATGTTGGCCAGGCTGGTCTCAAACTCCTGACCTCATGATCCGCCCACCTCAGCCTCCGAAAGTGCTGGGATTACAGGTGTGAGCCACCGTGCCTGGCGACAACTTTTGTTTCTTATTGCTATACAACTCTTCACAATCACAGCAGAAACGCCTTCAAATATTGCATAAAATCTCTTGTCAAGAGACTTTGTAATGGCATTTGTCAAGAGTATTGAGAGGAAAAGATATTAAATTACAGAAGAATCTTCTGATTAAAAAAATTATCTGAAGACATATGCTTGAGTAACTTACTCTGCAAACCTGGCCCACTTCTATTCAGTAGTTACCACAGCGGAAGAGAACATGACTTGTAGCTACAATAACATCGCTGCAGGCATGATAAATTCATCTATGATTGGACCAATTGGAATTTCATGGTCTGAAGCATTATGCATTTGTCAGTCTTGTTCAATTGTTTTCAGCAAAAGTGACTCAATCATATTGTTCATGTCATTCAGGGAAGAAAAGTGAAATGGTCTAAAATTAGACTGTGTACTAACTCCAGGCAATTGGTCTTTGTCCAGATACATTTCCTATCTGCTGATAGATTCTTGTTATAAAACTTATAACCCATTTGTGACAAGTCACAGCTCATTAGCCATTTGTTTCTCTATTACATACCTGTCTTTTATAATGTGATAATTTAATTTTCATGACATTTACCTAAAAATATTTTATAGCTATTAAGAAATAACAGCAAATACAAACAGCATCTATTAAATCAATTATTTTACTACACATATACTTAAGGATATAATGATTCAAGGACAGAAAGTTCATATAAAATAAAAATAATGCACACAGAAAAGTACAAAAATAGCTTCCCAAATAAATAATGTGGTTTTCTTTCATTACACTGTATGGGCAGTCAGCAGAGGTTTATAGATGTCAGACAGAAATATGAACCTCTAATAGTTCATAATGCACAACAATGATCAAGAGCATTTTGCCTTTGCTCCCAGATTCCACTAGTGACAAGAGAGTTTGTTATCTCCTTCACCACAACCCCAGAGTAACAAAGGACAAAGAAAAGACAAACCAGGAAATGGAGTGAAAGACTCTGGCTAAGGCGGTGTGCCACTGGGCTGCCTCTCGGGTATCTGCGGCTCACTCTGGATCACATTGAGGGTGCTGGTTGTGTGCGCCCTATTCATCTTAACAGCCTCGGCATTTAATACAGTGCTTGCGTGTATTTGCAATATGTAATTTTTAAATAAAAAAATATGCAAATATGTCTTCAGCAGCATAGAGCATTTTCGAAAATACAAAGAAATTAAGAAATAAAATATATTTGCCCATAATCCCACTACTCTGTGATAGAACTGTTATAGCATTTTATCATTTATCTGAGAACACTTTGATGTATGTGTGTGTGCGTGTGTGTGTGTGTCTATACATTTGCCTGTATGTCCACACACAAGTACCTAATTGGGGTTGTGCTTCATATGTCTTTTGGAACTTTCCATTTACTTTTTGTCACTGCAGTACTTTTACATATTTTGAAAAAGTTAAATTGAATTGCCAGGCTTGTAAGAGAATAGAGGTGTTTCTTGATTTATGTCTCCCCACCCTTGATTCCTGCTCTTATGTGGCAACTGCATTCAACACTTGCAGCTGTTTATTCTGTTTTTTAACTGCATTCCTGCAAGGTATGCTTCTGCCACTCCTGCATGATTATTTGGTTTATAGTTCTATCAGCTGGCTTTGTAGTAGGGGAGATGATGATTTGATTTTTAGATTCCTCACCTCCACACATTCCACTTCTGAGGACAATCACATGTGGCCTCCGTGGGCATTAGTATTGATATTATATTAATTGTGCTAATATTGAATGATTTCCATGGATTTAGATCTTTGTCATATAAGCTTTTCCAACTGATTTTTTTTTTACTAACCTGCCCACTTTATTTTTTAAATGTGTATATATATATATTTTTTTTTTTATGTCCTACCTTTCTTGAAGTTGCACTTTCTAATTCGAGGAGTGGTTTGGCAATTTATTACTATTCGATATTGTTGAACAGCAAACACAATTGTCACCTTTTTCCTGTGTAGAATATAACATTATGAAATGGTGAAGGAATGAATTTGATCCACTATACTAGCGATACAAACATGTCCAATTCTTTCTCTTTTTCTAAGTAAAACTTTTTGTGAGTTCCCACACACAGGGGCTGATGGAAAATCCAAACTCTGCAATTTTCAAGGCTGTATCTATGTATCTATTTTTCAGACCTTCATTTTATCTTCCTTAATTCGTTGAAAAGAGTGAGAGGTCTGTTTTAGTGCCACAGTCCTCTAGCATTTTTGTCTATGTCTCGAAATTTTACATTAATAATATTAGTTTAGTAAACCTTGATCAAAATATGGTTATTGAAATGTTTTCAACATGGAAAGATGATTATTTTTAAAATACAGGTGAACATTTATCAATTAAAAACAGTTTAATATTTACCCTTGAGAATTCAGATTTGTCTGAAGTTACCACAGCAGTTATTTTGACCTACATTATTTTCCATATTGTATCTTTTCCAACCAAATCATTGTAGGATTTTTAAAGCACATATGTTTTTAACTTAAAATACTACAAAATTAACTTTTTATTTTTCTTGCTTTACCTCAGGTTTTTAAATGCTAAATCATTCTAAGCCATGACCTCTTAATAGTTAGAGCTGTGGTTGGTAGGTTGATAACCATGCTGATTACTTAAAGGACATTACTACTCAGAATCAGATAAAAAGAATATTTTATACAAAACCATATGTAACACAGTAAAAGCTGTAGTTAAAGAAAAGTTTGTGTTGCTAACTGCCTTTATGATTAAAGAAGAAAGAAAAATAAAACTGGTAAGTAATGAAAAGAAATTTTTGAAAGAACAGCATAATTTATCAAAAGAAATCAGAAAGTGGGAATTATTATAGAAAACAATCTGATGAAATAGCAAACAACAAAAATAAGAAGGATGAATCATCACAGAACTTTTCTTTACTGATAATATAGATAAACAACTTGCAAGTGTTACTGAAGAAAGAAAAAGGAGAAAAAATAGACATACAGAATTGATGAGGGATGAGAAAGAGAATGTCACATAAAGAAAGAATTTTTAAAATCTGGAAACGCTTCCACATAAAGGGAAAGGCAGCAACTTTGAAAATCAAGATAAATAACTAGCATGATTTCCCGGTAAAATATAAACTACAAAAATTACCCAAGGAAGTGAAAACTTTTAATGGACCAATTATAATGGAAGAAATTCAGGAGGTGATAGAATATATCACATTGAAGAAGGCACCAGACCAGGTTTCTTCACAGCTGAATTTTAAATTATCTTTAAATATCTGACAATGTTACTGAAACTATTCTAGGCTCTAAAAAAGATATAAATCTTCCTGTTTCATTTACAAAGTCAGTAAATGTTAATAATAAAACTTAATAATGATAGCATTTAAGTAAAATCATAGAAAAAAGTGACAAGTAGAAACCAGATTATTTACAAGAAAATGTTAGCAAAAGAACCCAGAAATACATCAAAAGAGTAATACACTATGACCAACTAGGTTTTAATACAGAAATAAAAGAATAGCTAAAAATGAAAACATGTATCAAATAATCCACTGCATCACTAAATTACAAGAGAAAAAAAGACAATCCTCATCATTGATGCTGAATAGATATTTATAAAATGTATATGCCATTCCTTTTGGTTTTCTAAAATTAAAACAATGGTACAAGTAAAGAATTCATATCTTTTCAAAAAAGGGTTTACATTGAAAATTCTTCTCATCACTGTCCTGTCATCAAAACTACAGAATATCAAAGGAAAAAAAGAACTTAAAAGCAGGCCAGGCGTGGTGGCTTATGCCTGTAATCTCAGTACTTTGGAAGGCCGAGGTGGGTGGATTGCCTGAGGTCAGGAGTTCAAGACCAGCCTAACTAACATGGTGAAACCCCGTCTATACTAAAACCACAAAAGTTAGCTCGGCGTGGTGGTGGGCACCTGTAATCCCAGCTACTTGGGAGGCTGAGACAGGTAGTTACTTGAACCCGGGAGGCAGAGGTTGCAGTGAGCTGAAACCGGGCCATTGTACTCCAGCCTGGGCAACAAGAACGAAACTCCATCTCAAAAACAAAAACAAAAACAAACAAACAAAAAAACCTTAAAAGCAGCTGGGAAGGCAATGGATATGATCTACCAAAGAATGACCCACTTTCAACAAACAGCTCAAAATTAGAAGGGAGTGGAATAGTAGCTTTAATATATTAAAAGAAAATAACTGCAAGATTTCTACACTGAGTGAAAATATTTTTTAAGAACTGGAGTAAAGTAAAGACATTTTCAGAAAAAAAAAATAGTGTGAGTCCACTAACAGAACACCATTAAAGGAAATTCTAAAGAATGTACTTCAGAAAGAAAGTGTGCTTGAAAGTCTAAATGCAAAGCAGAATAATAAGCAATACTAAATACATTGGTAAAAGTATTGGTAAAATTAGGCAAACATTGACTATATAAAACAATAAAAATAAAATAACTAATTTATAGGGTGAAGGAATAAAGATAAACTAACATACTGGATAGCAATAGCATATAAGTTGAAAGGAGATGACTGTAATTAAAGCTTTCTATGTAAACTAGTTCAATCATTGTAGAAGTTCGTGTGGTGATTCCTCAGGGATCTAGAACTAGAAATACCATTTGACCCAGCCATCCCATTACTGCGTATATACGCAAAGGATTATAAATCATGCTGCTATAAAGACACATGCACACATATGTTTATTGCTGCACTATTCACAATAGCAAAGACTTGGAACCAACTCAAATGTCCAACAATGATAGACTGGATTAAGAAAATGTGGCACATATACACCATGGAATACTATGCAGCCATAAATAATGATGAGTTCATGTCGTTTTTAGGGACATAGATGAAGCTGGAAACTATCATTCTCAGCAAACTATCGCAAGGACAAAAAACCAAACACCACATGTTCTCACTCATAGGTGGGAATTGAATAATGAGAACACATGGACACAGGAAGGGGAACATCACACACCGGAGACTGTTGTGGGGTGGGGGAAGGGGGGAGGGATAGCATTAGGAGATATACCTAATGCTAAATGACGAGTTAATGGGTGCAGCACACCAACATGGCACATGTATACATATGTAACAAACCTGCACGTTGTGCACATGTACCCTAAAACTTAAAGTATAATAATAATAAAAAAGCTTTCTTATATACTTCCATTTTAAAGAGGAATATTAAAGTACCATGGTGGCTAACTTTGACATAATCACTAAAATATTCAAAATAGAATAATAAACTATATCGTTTAGAGGAAAACCTATAATGAGAAGATGAAATCAACAGTATTGCAAAAATTCTCAATCAAGTGAAAAGAAGGAAAAAGAGAAGGGAAGTAGGGAAAGTGGGACAAATACAAAGCAAGTAATAAGATGGTCGTTTTTGTAGTCACCTAATGTATTCATTTAAATATAAATTTAATTAACCAGCTTATCAATCACACTAATCAGAGTTCAAGTGCTGGACAGCAAGTGGCAAGTGGCTACCACATTGGACAACACAGATATAGGACATTTCTGTCACTGCAGAGAATGATTTTGAAAAGTGCTGCTCTAGGAAAACAGGGATAGAAATGGGTCCATGAGGAGAGAGATTATAGCAGGAAACCAGATGAGAGAGGATGTTGTCTGCAAATGGGATGGTGGCACTGGAGCAAGAAGAGAAGAATTGGAATCTGGACATATTTTAATTCAGGAATAAATGATAGATAATGTCATATAATCATTAAATAAATTCAATCAGTAGTGGATTTTTCAGGGAGAGTCTACCAAATAATCAAGTACTAGAACATTCCAAACTTTTACAAACTCCACAGAACAGATTAAGAGAGATCATTTTGTCACCCATTTTATGAGATGAGAATGAACTCAATACAAAAACATATTAACAATCACACAAAAAAACAAAGCAATCTCATCTATGAACATAGATTCAAAATTTTAAAACAAATGTTAGCCAACTGAATGTAGCAATACATAATAAATGTCATGCATCATGACCAAGATTGGGGCTTACCTCATAGATGCATGCTGATTATATGAGAAAATCTAATAATTCATGCAATTTGTCACATTAACAGGAGAAACAGGAGAAAATATAAGGAAACACAAGAAGTGAGAAAACTGTAAATTATAACTATATATTTATACAATATAAATTAAAAATATAAATGATCAAAACTGACCACAGGGGAAAAAATTCAAACAGATAAATTATTATAGAAGAAATATAGTTGTCAAAGACCTGTATGCTATCCCTACATCCATGAATGTTCACTTATATAGCCTGAGATATACTTATTGGGGAAACTGACCAAACAATTAAAGAATTGAAAATGTCAATGCTACATAAACTGATCCAGAGTATACATGTGGAGGGGTGTGTGTGTGTGTATGAGTGTGTGTGTGTGTGTGTGTGAAACAAGCTTCCAAGCTACATTTATAAATTCATCAAAATAATTATAACAAAATTTGATGTAGCTCCTAAATTTACAAGCTGATATTGATGCAAATTTTTCAAATAAAATATTAACAATCAGAATTAGCAGCAAAACAAGAGTTGTACACCATAACTAAGTGAAGTTTACAAAAATAATGCAATAAGTAGTCAATATTTGGAGATATATTAACATAATAGGTATTTTAATATAGCAAAAGAAAATTCATATAATTATCACTAATGATAAAAATACATTGGAATATAATTTAATAGTGATTTGTGGTAAAAATTAAGTGTAATTAAAATCAGAATAGATATAGAACTTGAATAGATTCTAATGTTTATTTAAAAATTTAAATGCATTCTTGTTAAATTTAATAATAAGCTAATGATATTTACTCACATCACTATGAATTAAAATTACTCCGAAGTTAATAGGCAATAATATAAACAAATAAGAGAAATAAATAAATGAATAAAATGGAAAGAAGGTACAGAATTATCATCAGTAACATACAGTATAGGAAACCTAGGAATCAGTTGAAAAAATAGTATAAGCAATAACAAAATTTTGTAAGATTTCTGGGTTCAAAATTAAGGCCGTCAAATCAAAAGTTTAAGAAAAATCACATTTACAAGAGCTACAAAAATATGTGTCTAGAAACAAATTTATAAGAAATGAGCAAGATTTGTGTGAGAAAAACTTTCTGATGCCATTTAAGGCTATACATAAATCTTTATATTGCAAAGATGTCAACTTCAATGCATTTTAAAGTCATGTGACCACAGAATTTTTTTTTTTTTAAGGAATAAGTGGTGAAAACACAAGTTCATTCAAAAGTTAATGTTTCCAACTGGTCACAGTGGCTGATGCCTATAATCTCAGCACTTTGGGAGGCAGGAGGCTCACTTGAACCCAGGAGTTTGAGAGCAGCCTGGGCAACATAGGGAGATTGTGTATCTACAAAAATAAAAACAATTAGTCAAGTGTAGTGGTGGGTGTCTGTGGTCCCAGCTACTCAGGAGGCTGAGGTGGAAGGATTGCTTGAGCCCAGGAGGCCAAGGCTACAGTGAGCAGTGATTGTGTCACTGCACTCCAGCCTGGGCAAGAGCAAGACCCTGTCTCAAAAAAAAAAAAAAAAAGTTAATGTGTTCAATACACATGCAATTGAAATGTAACAGGATAAGTTTAACAGGTGGGACTAGGAATACAATATACTAAAACCGATTAAAAATGGAAACAACAGTGGTTAAGCAATTTCTATTAGTGTATGAGTAAGTAAAAATACCACTAGCACAAACTAGAGAATCTAGAAATAGTCCTAAATATATTTAAAGTTGCTAATATATCTTAAAGGCAGGTTGGCACATCAATGAGAAAAAGATGGATTGACTGGGAAATGGTTGGTATTAATTTCTATTAAAAATATTAATTTCTATTTCTACTGACTCATATTAAAATAAATTGAAGGTAGGTAAAATAATTTAAATCACAAAATGAACCCCCTGAACCCCCGAACTACCACAACATAATGTAATTGCATCATATTAATAGTAATCTTCACTTGGTAAAGCTGTAATGAAAAAAAAATAAATTTAACTTTATAAAAAAATCCAATGTTTCTGGATAGAAAAAAAATCATAATACCAATATAAATAATGGATATATATATTTGTGGAACATATCAGTAAAATGATTATTTTCCATAATCTATAAAAAGGGTCTACAGGCTGGGTGTGGTGGCTTACGCCTATAATCACTTAGGGAGGCCAAAGCGGGCAGATCACAAGGTCAGGAGAGTGAGACCATCCTGGCCAACATGGTGAAACCCCGTCTCTACTAAAAAAAAAAAAAAAAAAAAAAAAAAAAAATTAGCTGAGCGTGGTGGCAGGCGCCTGTAGTCCCAGCTACTCGGGAGGCTGAGGCAGGAGAATCGCTTGAACTCGGAAGGTGGATATTGCAGTGAGCTGAAATCACGCCACACTGCACTCCAGCCTGGCGACAGAGCGAGACTCCATCTCAAAAAAAAAAAAAAAAAAAAGAAAAGAAAAGAAAAAAAAGGGTCTACAGAACTTCTAGGAAAATTATAGTCCAATACAAATCTGGATGAAGACATGAACAAACAGTTCAGAGAAAGGAAATATAAATTAGTCTTAAGCATGATGCTCAAATATTTTTTGTAAGAAGAAATATATGAACTAAATATATAATATACTATTTTTCCTCTATGAGAATCTGTATGTTGGCAGGGGATGGGAAAAATAGCATTCTCATGCACTTATTTTCGTGACAGTGAGCATTACTTGGTGGCTGCTCTAACAAATTGCCAAACGTTTGGTGGCTTAAAATAACCGAAATGTATTCTCTTCTCCTAACTGCTGACATTCCTGGACTTGTGGCTGCATCACTTCAATTTCTGCCTCCATGTTCACATTCCCATCTTCCTCTCCTGTGTGTGTCTGATCTCCCTTGGTCAGGGGCAATTGTGATGGCATTTAGAGACTCTTGGATAGCCTAAGACAATTTCTTACTTTCAAAATCCTTAATTTAATCACATCTGAAAAGACCCTTTTTCCAAATAAGGCAACATTCTTGGGTTCTGGGAATTAGTGTGAGGACGTATCTCTCAGAGCTATGATCAGCCTGCTACAGTGTTAACTGAAAAAACATCTCTGTAGGGCCATATCTATGTAAACTAAAATCATGGCATTTTTGACATAGCAATTACACTCAGCAAAAGGAGATGCATACGAAGATGTTTAGCATATCATCAATTTGTTGAAGAAAAAAACACAAAGAAAAATAACCTAACTGTTCAATATAGGACTAAAATAAATTATAGTATATCCTAGCTATTCACTTTTTGAAAGTTATTTTTGTTGTAAATACATTCCAGTTTCTGATTTGTTTTTTTACTCTGTGGTGTTTTTTTTTATGAACAAAAGTTCTTAATTTTAATGTAGTCAAATTTATCAATCTACTTTTGAATTGCCCTTTTAATGCTTTATTTAAGAAATACTTTATTTTGATGTCTTAAAGTTATCCTGCTATATTTCCTTATAAAAATTTTAAAGTTTCACTTTGAAATGTGAACCTTTTATTCACCAGGAATTGTTTTAAAGTGTATGGTGGAATTTGAGATCCTAGTTTTCTTTTCTTCTAAACCTTTTGTATCATCCTAAATAAGTGCATCCTTTCCACGCTGATAACTTACGTTACATCTGTGATATTTTTAAAATTTGCGTATCTGCATGGGGCTGTTTCTAAGATCTCTATTCTGTTCCTGTTAAAATTTACCTATCCCTGTAACAACTCCACATTATCTTAATAAAAATTTTTTTTATAATAGGGCTTGAAAAATACTGAGACAAAGGCCCTCACATATTTTTGCTATTCAGAAAAGTTTTAGCTTTCCTTATCTCTTTCTTCTGTTTTTAATATAGATAATAATATCATGTGTGAATAATAGAAATTGTCTTTATTTTTTCCAAGTCTTATATGTATTATTTCCCTTTTCTCTATGCTCTAGAATTTCTAAAATATTCTAAAATAGGATTGGGAAGATGGATTTGAGATATAAACATACTCCTCAATATATATATTTGTGAAATTTAAAAGTCAGGTTTATTGGGGTATATGATACATGCAGTAAAACTTAAAATTTATTCTTTTTAAGTATACGGTTCAATGAATTTTGACAAACATATACAGCTGTGCAACCCCCACCACTACATATCAATATATAGACTATTTCTATTACCCCATAAAATTACCCAAGCTTCTCCCGCATCTCCAGACAAACTCTACCCTTATTTCTGCCCCAAATGGCATATAAACAGGATAATAAAATATGTAGCCTTTTATATCTTTTTTAAAAAAATTCAACCTAATGCTTTTGAGATTCGTGCATGTTATTGGATAAACCAGGAAACCAGTCTTGAATTCCTGGGATAAATTTATTTGTTTTTCTCATTCATTGCTGCAATTAGTTTGCAAGAGAACAGAGTTTATCTGTTCACATTTGTAAGTGAGTTTAACTTGTAATTTTTATTTCTCATACTATTCTTTTCTGGTTTTGGTATTAAAATAAACTCTCCTCAAAAATTAGGTTGAAGAATATAGTGTAAAAGAGTTTCTATAATATGGAAATTTTTTTTTTTTTGAGATGGAGTTTCACTCTTGTTGCCCAGGCTGGAGTGCAATGGCACAATCTTGGCTCACTGCAACCTCTGCCTCCCAGGTTCAAGCAATTCTCCTGCCTCAGGCTCCCGAGTAGATGGAATTACAGGCATGCACCATCGCCCAGCTAATTTTGTATTTTTAGTAGAGACGGGGGGGTTTCTCCATGTTGGTCAGGCTGGTCTGGAACTCCCAACCTCAGGTGATCTGCCTGCCTCGGCCTCCCAAAGTGCTGGGATTACAGGCATGAACCACCGCACCTGGCCTGGAAATTTTCTTTTACTGAATTCTTAGAACTTGCACAGAAACAGATCTGGGCCTTGTGGTTTCTTCATAAAGGAGATTATTAAGCATGTAATTAGATTATTTAATAATATATTTAAAATTGTTTTGAAAAATCCTTCAATCCGTGTTTTTCCTCTGCTCTTACAGCACAGCGATCAACACAGAAGACTTCTGTGACCACAAAATGTGTGGGAGTTTCTCACCACTAGCAAGGGAGCAATCAGTTCTGTAGCAGACATAAACTGGGTGTCCTCCAGTTCAGTTCCATTACTGTCTACCTGGACATAGCCTCAGATCCCACATGGCGAAGGCTTAATTCCACAAGACCTCTTTCCTACCAGTTCCAAGTCCAGACCTCTGGAATTTATGACCGACTGGCTTCAACTTGGGATTCCCATAACCTCCTCTTTGGTTGGATTACTTTGCTAGAGTGGCTCACAGAACTTGAAGAAATGCTTATTATGTTTATCAGTTTATTACAAAGGATATTTTAAAGGATACGAATAAACAGGCTGATTAAGGGATACACAGAGTGAGGTCTGGATGGGGCCCGAGTGCAGACGTTTCTGTTCTGTCCAGGTGGAGTCCCGGAGGGCCACCTTCCTGGCTCATGGATGAGTTCTTGTTCACCTTCCTGTCAGTCTCCATGTGCTCAGCTATCAGGAAGCTCTTTAAACCCTGTTCTCTTGGGGTTTTATGAAAGCTTCATTATATAGGTGTGATTGATTAAACCATTGGCCTTTGGTGATCAATTTGACCTTCATCTCCTCTCTTCTCCCTGGAGGTTAAGGGTGGGGCTGAAAGTCCCAACTCTTTATTCATACCTTTTTCTGATGACCAGCCCCACGCTGAAACTATCAGTCAACATTAGCATAGAAAAGATAGCACTTTGAAGATTTCAAGGATTTTAAGATTTGTATTCCAGGAAACAGGGACAAAGACCAAATACATATTTCACAATACCATGAATATATAAAAATATACTATGCAATTATATATAAAATCTCATAACATAGGATCATTCAGTTTTTCTAGTATTTCCAAAGTAATTTTTTGGTAATTTTTAACTTTTCACAAGTTTGACCAATTTGAATAAAATGTTCAAATTTATTGTCAGAAGAAAGCACTGATACTCACATGTGGCTTCTCTATGATGAACCACACCTTCATCAGAACTTCAAGGTCATCTTGCTACATACTTAGATAACTTTTGCCACAATACTGATGACTTTCTCCAATACTTCTGAGTTGACCTAGGGTCTAGCTCACTTTGGGCAGTGGAAGTGCTCAGCGCCTATTGTCGTCTTGAATGTTGGGGCTTTAATAATGACTGAGTCTAAATGAGTCACGTTTGAACATTGAGATAATTGAAAAACAGCCCTGAAATTGAGCATAGAAGAATATAGTCAGTGATTCAACATAGTTTTTATGTATGTATAGTGACAAGAACAAGCTATTGAAGTATATTGCTACCTGAAAAAAGAAGAAATAATTTTAGTCCAGTTATTACTAAATATCATGTTATTCTGAACACTTATTTTATAACTTCCATCCTGAGATGTCTTTATTTTTGCCTGTGTTTGGATTTTAAATGTGTTTGAAGAGGAATAAAATGTGTTAATTTCTTTGGCTAGCTTGTTGAAGATTCTTTGGAAATTCTGACTCAGTGTACTAAGAGTACTGTGCTGAATTCACATCCTCAGCTGGGCAGGAGCATGCTGAGAGAACTATAGTTCTGATTGAAGGAACCACAATAACTGAGCAAATGAGCTCAAATGAATGGCTTAAATATTGTTTGTGGTTGGCAAATTAGATATACACAGGCAAGAAAAATGTTTCTATACTTTCCTTCTACAATTATGCTCAGTTTGTTAAAATATTTCCCATAAATAAGAGGATTGGGTCTCTCAAACCTGGTTTCTGATTTTGGCAAAATAAATTTGCAAATAACCTTGATTCTAGGGCACACAATTCCAAATCAAAGCTATTTACAGTGTAATTTGGCAGACTGCAATCCAAAATCATGGCTCTTTAGAATTTCATCATCCCAAAATGTTAAAAGAAAAGAAAGATGCATTTTGATTTTCTTTTTACAAACTTTCCTTTTAATTAGAAATTCCTAAATCCTTTTAGATATAGCATAGAAAGAAAAAAAAACATAGCAAAAAAACTCATTAAAAGAGAAACTGTATCAGTCAGGGTCCTGGCAAAAACAGATGGCACACTTAAATTGGGTAATTTGAGGAGAGTTTAATAAAGAGACTTATTACAAATGTGTGGGCAGAGCACAGGGAGGCGTGTGTGGGGAGGGGGGTGAGGAAGCACCGTGCTCTGGAGCACCCCGGGCCTGATGGGCAAAGGGCCGAAGCAGCGAACCAGGATCTAGAGAAGATGCAAGCTGTGTGTTGGGCACCCATCACCTCTGTGGAAGCCAGTTGCTAGTCCATAGGACCCTGACCTCACTCTCCACCCCTCACCATCCTTCCATTTCTTATTAGGGCTTCCTATGGTCTACACTAAACCGGAAGCCAGAGCCCACGGGCTCTGTTCTCATTGATGGCGCTCCCAGGGCACACAGCATCTGTGGATCTAAGGGGCCAGTGTACAGTACTCATCAGTCTGTACCACTGGTTCCTCAGCCTTCACTGCTGTCCTTCATCCAGGTAAGAAGCCCATGTCCTCAACATAGGGAACCCAGAAAATCCCCGCAGCTAGCATATCATCATGGGGAGATGTTGATATGACATACTCCTGCCTGAAGCCTGAAATATTAGCTGCAACCAGGGGCCTGTGGTAAGGCAGCAGAGAATGAAAGCAAGGGAGAGTACTGTGCGTCAGAGCTGGCTCGCCACATGGCCTCTGCTGCACTCATCACTGTCGTCTTACTCCAGCCTTTCTGTATTCTCGTTATGCTCTGCTAGTCTGCATCTAGCAGGTCCTTTGCCTGGAGAGACGACCCACATCTTCACGTAGCTGTGCCATGAGGTCAAGAGTGTTCTATCTTCACCAATGGCCGTAGTTCTCTAGTGACAAGGAATCTCCTGGTTCTGGTGTCATTGGTCCTCCTTGCTCTCATATCTGATAAGAGAGAGTAGCCCTTTCTCTGTTTGCTGGTTTGGTGATATGAAGGGTCCAAAATGGCCCAGAAAAAGTCTCTGCTTCTAAATTGTCGAATCATGACTATGTTTCTTGGTGAAACATAGTTTGCTTGGGCATAAAACCTCTGAATCTAATGCGGCTGAGATTCTAGGGACTCAAATCAAACATTTGTCCAGACTTCTATTAGTAACCAGGAACACTTCTACCTCCATGCCCTGATTCTTGAGTCTGACCATAGGTGATACAGCACCACTCATTAGCCCCTAGTTAAGGGATCCACTGTGTCCTGTAAGATGGTACCCAGCTTGGCAGAATGCTGTCTCCCAGCTGCTATAATAACTGAACTTTCAGCATCTGGGATAAAGAGCAGGTGCTGAGAACACTGAATTGCATTGCCACACATCCTTCACCAGAAAACGAGCTTCTGGAACAGATGTAGTACGGGCAGGACCACACAAAGATGGATGAGACATTCCACAGGACTGTGAATGTGGCATTGGCAGAAGCAGAGGCAATGGAGACCCAATTTCTACCAACGGTGTGTCTGTCCCTGTGAAGAGAAGTCAGTAATCTCTCTCCGAGGAAAGGAGTCCAAGATAACAACTTGCCATCAGGTAGCAGGCTGGTCGCCCTCATGTGGGAAGTCACACTCTGTGGTTGGTCAATTGCACACACCACAGTAGGGGTCAGCCACATGACTGCTGGTGAGGGAGTCCAGGACCCATGTCCCTTTTGTACTAGGCAAGCAGGCGAGGTGAACAAGGATGTGATAGGTTACTCAAGCAGTTTTTAAACATTCAGTGGGAACATTTAGCTTTTAAATTCTCTACAGAAATGGTATTTTATTATGGTTGACGGTCTTGGTGAGGCCAGTGGGAAGGGAAGCATTTCCAGGGGCTTCCATCTAGCCTTTTCTACTGGATTGGTGTCTAATTTATTGACCAGAAAAGAAACAAGGAAATTCTCTCAGCAGTTGAGTCTATTAAAGAGTCTATCATCTTTACCGTGTTTTCAGGGACTGGCGCAGCACCGCAGGTTGAACCCCCAGTCCTTCTAGCTCCATTGTGGGAAGGACACAGTTCATGGCTCCATCTATCACCTCAACTTCATGTGCCACTTTGGCCAGGGGACACAGCAACTATCTATGTCTCCAGGGGCATAGATGGGGAGCTAGAGTCAGAGTCAGATCAGAGCTAGTCTAATTTGAGGACAGTTTAATAAAGAGACTCTTTACAAATGTGTGGGCAGAGCACAGGGGGTCACAGTGCTCTGAAGCACCCTGGAATGTCCTTGTTCTCACTGCATCAGTATACTGATTAATGTCGATAGACTCCTTTGTGACATCATGGGGGGATTCGTGATAGACTCCTAAATTCACATTGCAGGGGCCGCTTCCAAAGAACCCAACACTTCCTCTGGACCTTTGGACTCCTTCCTCTGGTGATTGTCAATCTTGTGTGCCAAGTAGAATCATCTGGGAAGCTTCAAAAAGCACTGGTGCTTGGTGCCACCCCCAGAGATTCTGATTTCATTGGTCTGGAAGGTGACCTAAGCTTTGTGAATTCTGAAGGCTCCCCCAAGTGCCTCTGATGTGACTGGAGTTTGAAAGCCACTGCTCTAGAATAGTAGAGAAGACTAGTAGCAGAGTAGCTTTTTGTATTTTTAGCAAGTTCCCCAGATGACCTTGATAGGACCAGAGAATCTCTGCCAGAACATGCCAGGGTAGTTGCAGGATTTGCACTTCACAGACTGTAAACCACTGTTGAGTTTCAGCTTCAGTTAGCCAACCTAGCGGATGATCTACATTAGCCCAAGAGCTGGATGCAGCACATTAAATACAAAGCCTGAAGTGAGTGCAGAGATTTTATTGACAATGACCTGCTCAGACTTCATGCCTAAGTCTCCTTGGTCTGATGCACCCTGCAATCTACTCTCTCACATTCTCCCCAGGCCCTGCCGATAGAGTTTGGCGTGATAGTAGACATTTTCTGATAGATATCCTTTTCCAGAGAAGCCCTGGTACTTCTTTGTCCTGGCTGTACTGGAATCTAACTTTAACTATGGGCCTGTAGGCATGGAGGAGAGGGTGTGTTCTGAGGAAAACTGGCATCAGCTTGTGGCGTAATGGTTTAGGTAAAGACATTTCTAAGGTTTTATGCAAAGGAAGACTGGCTCCTTCTCATGGGGAAGTTAAGGGGCTCTCAGAAAGATGTGGGAGTTCTACATCCTGAGCCTGTCTTCTGGGTCTATTGTCTATGGGCCCATGCCTCTGTAGCAGGACACTGATATTGGTGTGCGAGGCCTGTGAGGGCTAAGTATTCCTCTGCAGTTCTGTGATCAGATGCCTGGCTTGGTCTTTCATCCCACCTGCCCCCTGACTCCAGGAGATAAGGAGATCTTTCAAATTTGTTGCAGAGACTCTTGATTTCTACACATGTTCTTAATTTGATATTCACTGCTTTCCAGTCCACCTTAGGGCACAGTTTCTCAACTTCATCACTGTTGACATTTTGGGTTGGATAACTGCAGTGGTTGTACATTGTAGGGTGTTTAACTGTATCCCTGGTATCTATCCACTAGATGCCAATAGTAACCTTCCATCCCCAAGTTATGACCATCAAAAACGTCTTCAGACATTGCCAAAAGTCTCCTGGAGGGCCAAATTGCCACCAGTTGAGAACCACTGCTCTAAAGCTATCAGAAATCCACATAATGCCATGATCTTGCAATCCATATTCTCACTATAGGGACTAATTGCTACAGCAACTCGATTTTCTAACAACTTGCCCTCTACTTGCCCTTTATTCTCTTCCACTTTAATTTGAATAATCATGATCTCCCACATGCAGTTGGTTACTCATGTCCCCCTTCCCTATGGCAAAGAGAGTAACTCAATCCTAGAATCCCATGTTGAGGGGCTGTTTCCTGGAGCTATTTCTAGTACCAATTTCTGTATCAGTTAACATCCCAGCAGGAAACAGATGTTACACTCAATTTGAGCAATTTGACAACAGTTTAATCAAGGCACTATTTACATAGATGTGGGCAGAATGTAGGGAAACCAAAAAGAAGTGTACAGCACCCCTGATTTAGTAGTGGGGGAAGGCTCCATTCCCAACTCTAGGACTGAATAAGCCAGAAGAGAAGGGAAGGGAAGCGTCCCGAAATCCTCAGAACCAATTTGGAGAGATGGAGAGAGAGCTTTGTGTGGTGGTTGGGGCCCTTGCCAGCAACTCTCCTGCAGAGAGGGCTGGAGCCTGGAAAACCAACCCCTCTTCCTTTCTGCTCCTTCTCCCTTCTGCTGGTGGTCCTTATCGGCAGCCTAACTGCAAGATGGGGCAAGGAACCCCCCTTTACCAAGGTGTGATTGATCAGCCTTCAGGGACACACAACAGGATGACGAAAGGTGAAGACCAGATTTAGAGGAGCAAAAGTAAGACATTCAGCCCAGAAGCTATGTTTCCAGTACTGGAAGGGAGGAACACATTGGGGAGAAGAAAAAAAATTCAGACACAGAGCACTGCTTGAAAAGATTGTCAGCAGCAAGAGAGATTGTTAAAATGAGAAGGGAGACAGTTTGAAAAATGGGAGAAAAAAAATCCCCAAAATAAAGGGTATGTGTGTATGCATGTGTGTGCATGTATTCCTCCTCTTTTCCTCATATTCTCCAAGTCGTTAGGGTGAAAATTCCCATTTTGTTTGGTCAAGGTAAAAATTACAGTGCTAAATTTTCTCTTAGCACTAAAATCCAATTGCTCACAAACTTAGAGATTCTACCTCGGAAACAGTCCTTGCTTCCATTCTTTTCACATCTCCTCAGCCACTGGCTTTGTTCTTTCTTCTAGACCAAGCTTGTCCAACCTATCTTCCCCTTATTTTGTTGGTGGTGTTGTTCTGTTTTGTTTTGTTTTAGGCTGTTAGCAGCCTGAAGCCATGGTTTTTAGTTTCTGTCTCCAGTGATAAGCGGAAAAAATGGATGAGGAAGGGGTTTACTGGCCCAACCAGAAACAGAAACTAAGAACGCATAGCTGTATTCTCTGCCTTGGACAACCTTGTTCTAGATGATTCCAAAGGCCTGACATTTTGTGTTTCAGCTTTCTTTTTTCCAACTTGTCCTCTTCACTGCCTTCAATTATGATTCTAAAACAAAATCTGATAATGCAAATTAATTGATTAAATAATTTTTGTTTTGTAAACAAAGTTTACAAAACTTACCATAGCTTAAAAAGAACCTGCACTCTATTTGTCCATCCTTGTTTTCTGAAATTCTACCCACATATTTCCGGGGTACATTAAACAGATCACGGCCTCTCAAGTCCTCCTCATTCCACACCTCCTCCTGTGTGCTCCTTACTCTACTGAGAATGAAGCCCTCCACACCACCCGCCATGCTTCTCAGGGAAACATTAGTAGCCTACTTTCAGAAGTCACCTCCACTATCAATATTCCATGAAAGCTTAACCAAAGCATTTGGGCAGATTTAGTGCTAGGAAATATAATTTTTATGTGCATAAAGAATATTTAACACTTAAAAAATTTTTATTGTGGTAAAAACACTTAATGTAACATCCACCCTCTTAATAAATGCTTAAATGAATAATACATTGTTGTTTACTATTGATCAACACTGTTAACATAAACAACAACAAATTACAACAATGTGTTGTCTTTTGCCTATTAAACGGTCATGGCAGATGTCCCATGCTGGTAGGGATTTGATAGGATGACCACTCTCACAAATTATCAGTTAGATGTTAAAGCAATAAAACATTATCTGGAAGGGAAAACAAAAGACTTACCAATCCAAGTTGTGACCACAATAAATTTGGCTTTAAAACCCAATAATGTATTAACAATTTATAAGACCCAATAATGAGACATGTGACTATTACTCCTGATATCAATATTATTTCTACTGCAGCCTCACGCTTGTTAGCAGTTGTTACAGATAGGCACTGGACTAACCACTTTTCTATTACACTGTTCAAGCCTCATTATGATTCTAGATGAAGAATTCTAACATCCTCATTTTACAGATGAGGAACTGAAACTCTGAGAGGTGAATTACATGCAAAAACCTATTCAACTAGTGAATGGCACATCTTGGAGTAACACTCAGGTCTCTGCCTGCAAAGTCTGTGCCTGTAACCATGACACAGAACCACAAAGAAGCATCATGAAATTCATTTCAGCTTACATATTCTTTCAAACAATTCTAAGAACCATCGATAAAAGTGAAGTGGTATCATTGGGGTAAATACCTGGGGTTCACTGTCTCTTGCCAAGAAGATTTAGGACACAGACACACATGACAAGTTTAGGAGCGGAGGTTTAATAAGCAAAAGAAAGAGAAAGGAGAACAGCTTTCTCCCTTATGAGAGAGAGGGGCTTCTGAAAGGAGAATCCCGCCCATGGCAGACTGCACTAGATTTTATAGACAGGCTTGAGGTGGCAGTGTCTGATTTAATTAGGGCCCACAGATTGGTTTGATCAGGTGTGACGTTTACATAGCACACGGAGAAGGCTGGTTGCCCCACCCTAATATTATTATGCAAATGGAGTCTTTGCCTGGCTGGTGCCATATTTTCTTCTTACTGTACCTGTGGTTTGGCAAAGAGAAGGGAAGATAGAACCGCCATTTTGAACATGCCTAGTCCCAGGTAGCTTTTTCCTATTGGCACAACTGCCAACATTCCTCTGTGCAAGCTTCCAGCTTGCTTGTCTATGTCTGCAGCTTGATATTACAGGCTGCTCTTTGTTGAAAAAGAAATTGGTTTTGGGGCTGCTTTTCATTAAAACAAAAACCTTACTGAGGACTCCCATACCCTCACTATCTGCCTAAGTAATTTCTTCTTAAGTCCTATATCAAAAGAGCATTTTTATAAATCATACTACTACTATATTATGAAACATGCAGGCAGTACAATAGGGTTTTAGAAGATATTTGAATAATATAGAAAATATTATATAAATTTGAATAAAAATATTAAAAATGTATATGCCACATAATTCAAATATATATATATACATGTTTACTATATTATTTTCTGGATTATGAAATTGTAGAGGATTTTTCTTTTTCATTTATGTTTTTCTATATTTTCCAAAATATCAGTTGAGATCATGTATTATTTTCAAAATAAGACTAAAACTCATTAAAAAATAAACCCATGTTAGAAACCTAGAACAGGCCTTAGGGAAATAGGTGTGACAAGAAAGACATCTGAGAATTGGGGCACCCAGCCAGAGGCTCTCACACCTGTGTTGCAGCAGAAGCCTTGAGAGGGCTAAATGCAGTGTGGATTTGGATTGCTGTGTCCCCAGCCACAGGGATTTTGATCCTGTAGATCTGGGAAGAGCCCTGAGAATTTACATTTTTCACAAGTTTCCAGGTGAATTGAGAGCTACTATTTGAGAATCATTGATTTAGGGAAAATTGTTAAGAGGCTCTTTCTGGGCAGCAAAACTTATGACGCATTTCATAACTGCCTTCCTGAGACGTTCCTTCTCCTCTCTCACCGCAGATCTCATGGCTTCTAATTTCTTGGCCTGTATTCTACTTTTCTCCAATGAAGTATAGTCTCCATTAACTTCCTGAGAATGAGTAGTTAGGAGATCTTTGTCTTCTTCCTTTAAAATTTTTTTTTGAAATATTCAACTTTGAATTCATTGCCGCATTGTTTTTCGGTGTCAGAAATGCTCTGAAAAGTCAAATGCCCTACTGATCTCTAGGCCTTTGAAAGGCTTTCTTGAGCTGGTTTTCTTTCTTGGAGGCTTTAAGATTTGTTCTTTATCCTTGATGTTCAAAATTTCACAATTATGATTTTTTATGTAGCTCTGTTTTTGTTTACTTTTCAATCTGGTCAAGTTCTGTGAATAACTCGAGATTTTTATGACAGTTACTCTGAATTTATAGATTAATTTGGGAAGCATTGTCATCTTTATGATATTTAGCCTTTCTATCTACGAACACATTGTAAATCTCTCACTTTTTCAGCTCTTTTGTTTTGTAATCATGTGTTATAATTTTCTTTTGAATGGCTTTCACTTGTATTCCTAGGTGTTCTTTTTATTCTAACAACTCATGATTCATACTCTCTTGGTTATGCCAGTATTTTCATGGAAAATGTTTTTAATACCCTGGCACTTCTCATTTCCTTGAGTTTTCCACTTCTAGTAATCTTGCCCACAATCAAGGGTCAGTCATTTATTTTTACCTTTAATATTGTTATTACCAATAATGACAACCCCTCCACAACCTCAATTTTAAGTATTACACTCTCTAACCACCACTTTGAATCACTTCTGCTTCCTTTCTCTACACTCCAACTTCATTCATTCACGGAATCCTCCAATCAGTTGCTCCACAGCTTTGCCACTGTCCCTCAGACCCCACACATGCCGCACTTCCTTTCGTTCCTAGCCGAAGAAGCCCCCTTGTCATTTGCTGTTGTCACTTTCACATACTTTCCTTTTATTCCTGGCAAAATGTTCCATGCAGTTAATTCCAATTCCCCATGCACTTTAAATGAGACTAGCGGAAAACATGCAATGATACTGGTGGGTCTCACATTAAATTCACAATCAGTGTACTTGAGAGAGTTTTTGGTGACAGTAATTCCATATTTCCCTAGTCTTTTTAATTTCCACTTTTCCAGAGGTCTCCTTTAGTCCCTCCCTATTTCTCTGAGAAAATGTAAATGTGAAAACGTTCATAGCTCCCGCACCAATATACCTGCATCTCTCTCACACACTCACTCTTTCTGTGTGTGTTATGTGTATGCTTTTTTCCCTCCTTTGTCTTCCATTAAATTTACATCTTTCTGCCTCTAAAGCTGATTCCTCTATTCCTGTACTCACATTTATTCCCTATTTCTGACTCAGGCACGTGCTTGAATCATCTGTGTTTTATATTATTAGGTTTTTTTTTTTTCTCTGTTGGACCATTTTCATCATCATACATGTAAGCTTAAAAAAAAAAAACTAAAAAAGTCCTCCCTTGACTCTGTGTTCCCCTCCAGCAATGCCCTCCCTATCTGCTCATTTTTTAGAAAAATTTCTTGAAAACATTTTCTACACTTCTTTCCTTCATTTTACATTCTCTCATTCCTTCTTGAACCCGTGCAACAAGCCTCCACTCCTACCATTCTACAGAAACCTCACTCAAGGTCATTTGTGATATTTATGTTTTCAATTCCAGTGACTACTATTTCTCGGTCCTCATTTTTTTCCATGTGACAGCAGCAGTTAAACAACTTGCTCTTCTGTTCTTGCTTTAAAAAGTTTCTTCACTTGGCTTCAGGGAATAGTTTAAATTAATCCTCCATCTCAAGGTATTCCTGATAATGTAAAATCTCTCAGAGGAAAATTCTTCAGAAGTCAAGAACCTCTAGAGAGTTATTAAAGAGGGACCGTTTTCATAAATAGAAATTATCTTTATTCATGTAAATGGAGGAGGTGAGTAAGCATCAGTTATTTTTCATTTAAAACTCCTTTTCTCCCATTTGCCTGTTTATCTCAGGAATAAGAATCTCGTGGTCAGTAAAGTTTTGCCTTGTTTTATCAATGCAATTTCGTTTTGTTATTTTGTTTAATAAGAAATTAAAGTGCACAATAGGATGCCCATGGTGGTTTCTAGATGCATTGTTCAGAAGGATGTGTCCTTCATGTGTGCATGGCTTTGGGTGGGCACATGGTCTCCTGATGGCAGTCACCTGTCTCTGCTGTTAACTTACCTACTTCTTATTAAAGATTTATGGTAGTTTACAAAGAAAATTAAAATCCAAGCAGATAATAAATGTTAAAAGTGGACGCATCAGAAAATAGACTAAAGATGGAGACAAAAAATGGTGCCAGAAATCAGACAAAGTTGAAAAAACTGGGTCAGCCAGAAGCTTTCCAGCAGAGAAAGCAGAAAGGAAAGCCTTTTCGTTACATAAATCATTGTCCACAAGATGAAAATAAACTAAATTTTCAGAAGACATACAACTAATTTCTTATGAGCACCGAAGAGGACTTCCTCTCAGAGATAATCACTGCATGCGGTACATAAAATTATCCTTGACAGCATCATTTACATAAGCTCCGTTAATGTGTTCACAGCTTTTTTATTTTTCATATGATACTCATTAGATGTATGTGCTATCACACTAAAGTGAACTAGAATGAGAGTAAGTATTCTCATGGCCAGTGTGACAAGGCCTAGCTACCTAGATGTCTGATTTCTTTTGACTTAGAGATGAGGAAGTATCTTCAGGCAGGGAAAGATAGCAGTCTTTCCCCTGAAGTGTGGATTAGCTCAATAGAATTTTAATAAATTCTGAGTAGCAATGAGCTCAAGGCTGTGTGCCCCAGATGAGTAGCTTGAGTGCACTGAATCTGCTTCCTAATGGGGAACAAGCCACTTGACTTAACAAATAATCACTTGAGGTAGTGTTGATATTCTCTTTTGAAAGTTTGAGATTACCAAGGCATCTGCCCAAATGGTAATCACCTTCCTCCATTTCAATGACACTCTCTCTTACTGGTGGGCAAAGCAGTCAAGAAAACCAGAGTGACACCAAAAATCTGGTTCATTGAATAAGAGCAGATAATTACAGTCATGTTAGGACACAGGGTATGAGCCCAGGAGTTAACACCTACTAATGTCAATATAGAATGCTCAGTGTGTAGACAAATTAAATACCAACTAGACAAGTGGACATTCTAGATGTCCACTTTTCCTGAGTGCCTTTTCTCTTCATGAGTTTAAAAATGCCTCGATGCTTTCATCATCTCGTGTTCCCTTTCTATTTTCAGATGCGTGTAAAGCGGTTGTTGGTGATGTGTATTTGTAATACTGGAGTCTTCTCTATCATGTTCAATTAAATAAATCACCAGTGCATAACAAACAGCCTACAATCACATAAAATTACTCCTGCCTTGTTAAAATCTCCTTTGTTACAGGAACTCTTAAAAACTTAAGGTGCCTCCAAGGAAAAATTATTACTACTCATACTGCAATAGGAAATAATGCTCCCTATAAATCAATACCAGCAGGGATGTTCTTATTAAAAAGGGATGCGCAGGTCAATTGCTAATTTCCAGTTGACAGTGTAATTTAGTAAGGCATACTGTGCCCTTATGGTGACTCGTGATCATTTTCAGAAAGAGCAGGGGTTATTTTTGTCAGGTTCTGCTAGAAGCAATTTGCAATAGAAATAAAATAGAATCAAAATTTCAGATAGCAATTTCTTTTTAGATATTTTCTTTATCATAGGCTTTAAACCGAATGGCAGGAAAATTAGTGACAGGTGATTGTCTTGGCCGGGCCGAGTTTGGCTGAAGGAGTGCTTCACCAAATGAAGATGGGACTCCCGAACCCAGAGACCTCAGGAAGGAGGCTGGAGGGGTAGCATGCAGCCAAGCCTCTGACCTCAGGTGTGAGGACAGCCACACAATAACAAGCCGCGTCTGTGCATCTGTGCTCTGGATCAGGGCTTCCTGAACAGCATCTCCCGGGAGGTCTTGCTGAAATGCAGATTTTGATTCAGGCATGTGGGAGGGCGCTGAGATTCTTCATTTCTAACAAACTTGCTGGTGATGAAGGTGCTGCTAATCTCAGAAACACACGGGGTAGAAAGGCTCTAGTCTATTCATTTTCATCCAAGGCAGCCTTATCCACCCACTACCCACAGGAATTACCTTTCTGTAAGGGAACATAGGAAGCCATGGTGCTGCTTATTTCCATTGCCCGTTACCTTATTTCCTAAATCAGAATAGTAGTTAACATCTTTTGAACACTTACTATATAGCAAGCACTGTTCTAATTAAAAATCAGTCTAGGCAACCTAGTGAGACTCTGTCACTACACAAAAACTGAAAAAAATTAGCCGGGCATGAATCTGTGTTCTTGTAGTCCCAGCTACTCCAGAGGCTGACGTGGGAGGATGGCTTGGGCCCAGGAGGTTGAGGCTGCAGTGAGCCAGGATCACAACACTGTACTCCAGCCTGGGCAGCACAGTGAGACCCCGTATCAAAAAAAGCAAACAAACAAAAGAACCTCACACCAACATTACATTTTATGACAACATTTTATTTAATTTTCCCAACAACCTTATGATACAGGTTCTATTATTATCCCTAGTTTATGGAAGGAGAAATTGATGCACAGGGTTTAAGATCTGAAATGATCCCAAAATGTGGCTGCCTGAGCCTGTGCTCCTTGCACTAGTTCCTGTTCAACATGGCCTGAGCAACAGGTAGTTTAAACTCACACTCACTGCATCATCTTGAATGTGTTGTGCACAGTTTACTTCCTTTCAGGTTCTACGGTCTGGTCCACTTATTTGAATATTATTAATGATTTTACCTTTTTATACTATCTGATTTAAAAGCATTGTTTTAAACAATGTATAAATACAACTAAAGAAATAAAGAAGCCCTAAATAGAAAGAATGGAATAGGCCACCTAAATTAAGTCAACTTGGAAACAATACATCACTGAATCAACATGCTTACTTTAACAAGAATAAAATACACTTGGATTTGTCTACACAATTGTACAGATGGTGTCTTTCGTACTGTTTATGTTTATCCTGTTGCTCATGTCTGAGTCGATGGATGGTAAAATTATTTTTTTAGATAAAGTACTTTAACATTTTAGAAGTATTAATAGAGGGGCTTTCATAATAAAAATTATTAAGTTGTACAAGACTGTAAATATCCTTGAGTCCTATAGCTTAATACAACAATCAATAGTGTTCCTGTGTATAGCCTTCTAGCATTAATTATATGTGTGTGTATACTGTGTGCATACTGTATATATATGTTGTATAATGTATGTGTGTATGTATGTGTATACTGCATGTGTATACTCTATGTATGTTTATTCTGTGTGTGTATATGTGTATAGTATGTATGCATGTGTATACTCTATGTATGTGTGTATACTGTATGTATATGTTGTACACTGTGTATAAGTGTATACTGTATATGTGTGTATACTGTGTGTATACTGTATGCATGTTGTATACTGCATGTGTGTGCATGTGTGTATACTGCCCATGTGTATACTGTATGTGTGTGTATACTGTGTGTATACTGCATGCATATGTTGTATATTGTATGTGTGTATATGTGTATACTGTATGTGTGTATACTGTGTGTATATGTTATATACTGTATGTGTGTATATGTGTATACTGTGTATGTGTATACTGTGTGTATACTGTGTGTGTATACTGTGTGTATACGTGTATACTATATGTGTGTATACTGTGTGTATACTGTATGCATATGTTGTATATGTGTATACCATATGTGTGTGTATACTGTATGTGTGTACACTATATGTATATGTTGTATATGTTGTGTGTGTATGTGTATACTGTATGTGTGTATACTGTACATATGTGTTGTTGCTGTTGTTAATGTAGCACTGTCATTATAAGTGAGGAATCTGAAACCAGAGAGTATTTTAAATTCTGATTCTACCATACCATCTTGGTGACATTGAGTCACTGAGATTCTACCATACCATCTTGGTGACATTGAGTCATTGAGATTCTACCATACTGTCTTGGTGACATTATGTCACAGATTCACATTACTCAACCTCTTTGAATCAAGTTTCTTCCTTCAAAAGAGAAAACTGCAGTGTCTACTTCACATGTTTATGAGAATGAAATAAGTTAGTATGTGTAAATATCAGAAATGTGGTTGGCACATTGTGAGTACTTGGTAATATTAGTTATTACCATATTTTGTGTAAAATTTCATGTTTTGATATTTTTCAAAAACATTTTTATAATGTTGTAAACATATCCTTTTACCCACCCCCATAATGCTTTGATTACAAAACCTTTGAATTGATATATTGATTATTTTTTCCATGTTTGGATCCATTTGTCTTGGAATAGACTGTGAAAAGTGGTTACAAATAATTTAAGGCTTTATATATTATTACATTTATTTAAAACATAGTAGTAACACTTGTATCTGATTGGTTTTGTGATCAACATGTACCCTTTTCATTAAATCCCACTGTTTTGGGTTCATTTATTTTTCAATGTATTTATGCATGAATTTTCTCTTTTTGCAAAATAAGAACTAAAAGAGAGGGCTATATCAAGACCTATTGTCTGCTTTCAGGGTAGGAGTATTGGTCTCAGCATTTCTAACATCCACCCTTGTCCTTTGTGAGTTCCCATCTCCAATCTGTAACTGCTGAACAAGGAAAGCCTGGGAGTAAATGTCCAGCGATTCACTTCACGTGGTTCTGCTTGTTTACTGATGTTGAAGAGATGGTGGCATCGATGAAAAACCCCAATTCCCAGATTGCTTGGACATCGGACCTCTTCCTGTCTTCCCTGACCTCATCCTCTGATTGGGAGCATACATTTCTCTGCTGTCTCACAGCAGCTACAGCTCAGCCGAGGATGGCCGCTCCTTCCTCCCGGGGAAGAACAATTGTAATCTGTGAGCAGCAGCCCTGTGTGATGGATTTTGAATGTGGTAGACTCCCAGGGACAATTCTAAATCCAGCTTCCTTGATGTTGTAATTAATATAAAACCCTTGCAAATTCTGGCAATACACTTACTGTCAATCTTAGCTTTTAAAAATGGAATGAATTTTCATTAGTCTTCCTAGGCCTTATTTTGGAACTTTCTAATGAGACTTTAGTTTAATCGAAGCACAATCAGTAATCTTACTGAAAACCCAAAGGCATTGTACTTTAAAGAAGAACGTTTCTAAGAATTCTTAAGCACTCTTAATCTTTTGCAAGTTTGCTACTTCTTCTGATGTCTTGAAGGCTATTTTAATTGGTAGGTGGGAAGGCATTAGTCACCATCAGTTTCCCACAAACCTTGGTTCCATCCCTAGTAGGGACTGTGCGAACATTTTGTTTAACATTGTTATTTCATAGTTTGGAAAAACATTAAGCCCAAACAGCTTTCATTATTTGCCATGGCAACACAGTAAGAGGTTAAATCTGGTATTTTTAATCCCAGTGCTCATGAGTTGTCTTTCATGTGCAGATAATAAAATGACACTTTTAATTTTTTATTAGCACTTCAGAAACTTCTTCACATACATTATCTTATTTGCTTCTTGCAGCTGCCATACAAGATAGGCAGGACAGAACTCATAATTCCCTCTGACAGATGAGGAAATTGGGGCTCAGGGAGGTTAAGTGGCTCATCACGGCCACGACACTTCTCTGGTGAAAGGCATCATTTTTATGGAAAGGAGCGTGGAGGAGGAGGAAGACACTGGCTTAGAAAACAGTATCTGTGAATCCTGTCTTTTCCTGTCTTCTGTAACTGGCTTAGCCATGTCATTTAAATTCCCTGAAATCTGTGTTTTTAAATGAGACACCTAAAATGAAACACACCAAATTACAGAAACACCTTAACTGCAAACCCCTAAGGTGAATTGGAAGCTTCAGATAATGAATGTGATGAGCCTAGAGTGGGTAAGTCAGGCAGGGTGGACCAGGCCAACAAAGAGGTCAGGTGACAAGGCAGGGAGGGGTGAAATGCTGGCAATGACATGGAAAGGTAGCTTTTGTGACTATTCCAGCCATGTCCCACACAAGTTTTGGTCAATGATGGCCTGCAAATATGATGGTGGTCCCTGAAGATTGTAGTGGAGCTGAAAAAATCCCTATCTCCTAGTGGCTTAGCCTTCCCAGTGTTGCAGCACACACTTTCCTCAGGCATTTGTGGTGACACTGGTGTAAATGAATCGCTGTGCTGCCGGTCGTAGGAAAGTCTAGCAATACAATGATGTACAGTACCTAATACTTGATCATAATAAATGACTATGTTACTGGTTTATATATTTATATACTATACTTTTATTGTTTTTTTTTTTTTGAGACAGTCTGGCTCTGTCACTCCGGCTGGAGTGCAGTGGTGTGATCTCCGCTCATTGCAACCTCCACCTCCCAAGTTCAAGCAATTCTCCCACCTCAGCCTCCCAAGCAGCTGGGATAACAGGCGCCCACCACCACGCCTGGCTAATTTTTGTATTTTTAGTAGAGACGGGTTTTCATCATGTTGGCCAGGCTGGTCTCGAACTCCTGACGTCAGGTGATCCACCCCCCTCTGCCTCCCAAAGTGCTGGGATTACAGGCGTGGGCCACTGCACTCGGCTACTGTTACTTTAGAGTAGAGTATACTTCTACTTATTAAAAAAAGTTAGCTGTAAAGCAGCCTCCGGCAGGTCCTCCAGGAGGTATCTAGAAGAAAGCATTGTTATCATAGGAGGTGACAGCCCCCTGCGTGTTATTGGCCCTGAAGACTCTCCAGTGGGACAAGATGTGGAAGTGAAAGACAGTGATATTGATCATCCTGACCCAGTGTAGGCCTTGGCTAATGTGTGTGTTTGTAAGACATTAAAAAAAATTTAAGAAGTAAAAATTAAAAAAAAATTTAAATAGAAAAAGTTTATAGAATAAGGATATAAAGAAAATCTTTTATATATATATATACGTATATGTACATATAAAACCTACATAATGTGTATTTTAAGCAATGTGTTATTACAAAAGGGTTAAAAAATTTAAGTTTGTAAAGAAAAAGTAAACTAAAGTTTATTATTAAAAAAATATTTCTTTATAAATTGAATGTAGCCTAATTATACAGTGTTCATAAAGTCTACAGCAGTGCACAGTAATGTCCAAGGCCTTTCCATTCACTCATCACTCACTCATTGACTTGCCCAGAGCAACTTCCAGTCCTTCAAGTGGTAAGTGCCCTATGCTGGTGTACCATGTTTTGTCTTTTATACTATATTTTTATGTACCTTTTCTATGTTTAGATATGTTTATATACAAAAATGCCTATTATGTTACAACTGCCTACAGTATTCGGGACAGTAGTGTGCTGTGCAGGTTTGCAGCCTAGGATCAATAGGCCTTACCATATAGCCTGGGTGTGTAGTGGGCTCTACCAGCTATGTTTGTGTTAAGTACACTCTATGATGTTCATACAACGATGAAATCACCTGAGGATGTATTTCTCAGAATATATCCCCATTTAAGTGACGCATGACTGTATTTGTGATTATTTCCTCTGTTGAAACACTTATCTGTATATATAATTGATGAAGACCTATGACGTTTTTTGTGCTGAAGAATACGTGGACCTTACTGTTTTGGACATTATAAACTTTTCCCATAGTATCTGCTACTTCTTGAAAATAATTGGATGAACAGGTGGTTTTTTTTTTGTGCGTGTGAAGAGACATTTAAAAAATAGTCTGAGATGTATCATCCTGAGGCTTGGGTTGTGTCACTAATGACAACTTGCAGTGCATTGGGGTGTGGTAAATAGGGTTTTTGTTGAACCAGAGAGTATCTGGGAAGAATCAGTATGGGATGGGGCCAAGACCATAGGGTGAGCCCAGGCCTTGAAGACTTCTAATTGCCGACTTAACATAATTTATGTTTTATGGACACATGGGAGATATTGAAAAGTGTTGAGCAAAATTATACTATGCATTCATTGGATGGGTTCATTGGTTACCAACTGGATTTAACAAGCTAAGGAAACTATTTATATTATATGGTTTGCATATTATTATAATTGTGTACATATTTCTTACTTTGTTAGACATTTATAATAAATATGATAGATATTATAAAGAATATATAGGTTAATGCCTTGTGGCAATAGTTCATGAAACCATTCAATATGTACATTCTCTCCTGTATATTGTGGGAAAACAATACAGGACCTAAGATGAATTAGAGTACATCAGCATTCATTTAGGATTCTAATTTTGCTGAGTTTAATGGTGACATCAGTAACTTCACCTCTTCTAGTTTTCCTGTCAATATAATTAGTATTTTGATTTTAGAGATTTTCGATGGAATTCTTCCCTAACATGCTTTAAGATTGGTCTCCTGGGGCCATCTTTATTGTTGTCTGGTACCACGAGGATCCCTTATTTTTGCAATTTTATCTGTTCTTTCCCAATGCCCATACCCACTCTTCTCAAATTTATGAGTTTCTCCTTTCTACCCTCTCACTCCCTGAAAGAGCATAAAAGGAAGGTAAAAGAGAAAGGAGGAAGGCAATCAAATTAATATGTAACAAAAAGAAGCATCATTGTCATCTAAAAGCCTAGTCATGTTTCTACAGATAGGTATAATTTAAGAAGCTTGTATAAATCATTTTCATTCACTGCCTGAAACTGTGGATAATAAAATGCAACGCTGCACCACAATAAACATCTAAAATGATGTGACAGTGCTGTTCATTCCAACCATGCTGTTGCTATAATAAAGGGAACAGGTATGTGTTAATGCTGGGGAATATGAGAATGTGTGCTGTTGCTGCCAATTTAAAAATGAAGTGAGGCTCTTATTAAACATTTGATGCATTCCTGTCTTGGAACATTAAAATATTTTAGGCACGTCAGCCTTATCCATAACTGTCATTGAAGCAAATACATACAAAACAGATTATTTAAGAAAAATCTGCAAGAGGTTCGGAGGAAAATGAGCTTAGTTTCAAGGCAACCAGTGCTGTATCTAACACTTTCTGATATTCTCAGAAATTTGAAATATAAGTCAGATACAAAAGAGTTTGACTATCTTTCTGATTCCTAAAATTCTGTAGGATGGAGAATACTCAGAACTCTCTCAGGCTTAAACAATGAATTTAGGCATTTTCACACACAGCTCAATCAAGGAATCTTCATTCTTTCCTTTATATTTATTTTCTTTTGCTTCTCTCCTCCCTTGTTTCCTTTCTTTCTTTATATGCATGCATTGTATTTCTACTCCATTTCAACTCCAAGAGCCTACATTACTGCTAGAGATAGATATATTTTAGAGAAACTTATGAAATGGACCACTGGCATCCACCCATAGGTCTGTGATTCACATTTTCAAACCTTTGAATTTGACATGCAGGCAGAATGAAATCTTGTAGCAAAAATTCCTAACTTGGCATCATGTAGAAAATGTGTATGATGTACTTTAAGGGCTCATTGCTTCCATTATAGTTTTCTTTGCATAATCAACATAATCATAACATTTTTAGTAGCATAAAGTTTAGTGTGTATTTTGCATCTCGGTGTGTGAAGATATAATTATTGTTTGTCTTGATTTTTAGTTGAAGATATTGACTTCATAATTACTTAGTGACATTGGCATTTGACATTAAAGACATAAGAGTAATAGCAAAGTGATTGTTGCAACCCTGTCCAAATCCTTGACCTCAATCATGCTGAGTGGTTAGAGTGTCTCAAATTTTTTTTGAAACACAGTAAAGTGTGTTGACACATTTTACAGCATCAGAGTCACCTTTTAAAAAAAGATTAATAGCTTTTGTTTTTTAGAGCAGTTTTAGGTTTACAGAAAATTGAGCAGATAGTACAGAGAGCTCTAATATACCCTCTCTCTCCTCTACTGTTTTCTCCTATTACTACCATCATGTACTGCTGTACATTTGTAAATACTGATGAACTAATATTGATATGTAATTATTAACTAAAGTCTGTAGTTTACATTAACGTTCACACTTTGTCTTGTGTAGTTCTAAAAATGTACTTCATGTACTCACTATTATAGTATCATACAGAATAGTTCCACTGTACCAAAACCCCTGTGCTTCATCTCTTCATATTTCCCCTGTACCCATGAATTCCTGGCAAGTATTAATCCTTTTAAGTCCCTATAGTTTTGCTTTTCCAGAATGTCATATACTTGGAATAATACAGTATGCACCCTTTTCAGATTGACTTATTTCACTAAGTAATATGCATTTAAGGTTCCCCCCATGTCTTTTTTGTGACTTGATAACACATTTCTTTTTGCTAATAGGCTTTTAAAAATTCATACATAATATTTTCCATATATATGGGGTACACGTGAGTATTTGTTACATGCATATAATGTGTAATGATCAAGTCAGGATATTTGAGGTGTCCAGCACCTTGAGTAGTTGTCATTTCTACGCATTGGAAATATTTCAAGTCCTCTCTTCTAGCTACTTTGAAATATGCAATACATTCCTGCTAACTATAGTTATCCTATGGAACCTTAGAACTCATATCGCCTATCTAATTATATGTTTGTACCCACTGATCAACGTCTCTTCATTCCCCCAACCCACACACCCTTCTCAAACTCTGGTATCCATCATTCTCTGCATCTGCATGAGATCATCTTTTTTAGTGCCCACATCTGAGAACATACCTTTCTAGCTTATTTCATTTAACAACGACCTCCAATTCCATCTATGTTGCTGCAAATGACATGATTTCCTTCTTTTTTTATGGCAGAATACTATTCTCTTGTGTATACAGACCACACTTTCTTTGTCCACTTTTCTGTCGATGGACACTTAAGATTCCTTATCTCTGCAATTTTGAATAGTTCCGCAATAAGCATGTGAGTGCAAATATCCCTTTTATATACTGATTTCTAGGTTCACCATAAAACTGAGCAGAAAGTACAGAGAGTTTCCATATGCCACCTGCCCCATGCATGCATAGCCTCCCACACTATTAACATCCCCTACCAAGTTGATGAACCAACATTGACACACCATTATCAACTAAAGGCCATGCTTTACATTAGGGTTCACACTTGGTGTTGTCCATTCTGTGGGTATTGACAAAGCCAGAATGCTATCTGTCCACCATTATAGTGTCCTACAGAATAGTTTTACTGTGCTAAAATCCCCAGTGTTTCACTTACTTACCCCACCCTCCCCCCAACACTTGGCAACAACTGATCTTTTTGTCTCCATAGTTTTGGTTTTGCCAGCATATCATATATTTGGAATCATACAGTATGTGGCCTTTTCAGATTGGTGTCTTTCACTTAGTAATATGCATTTAAGTTTCTTCCATGTCTTTTCATGACATGATAGCTCACTTCTTTTCAGTGCTGAACAATATTTGATTGCTGGAAAACCACAGTTTATTTATCTATTCACCTACTGAAGGACATGTCGGTTGTTTCTAATTTGGGTAATTATTAATAAAGCTGCTATCAACATCTTTGTGCAGAGTTTTGTGTAGATGAAGTTTTCAACTCTTTTGGGTAAATACTAAGGAGAATAATTATTGGATCATATGGGACAAGTATGTTAGTTTTGTAAGAAACTGCCAAATTGTCTTCCCAAGAGGTTGTACCGTGTTGCATTCCTACTGGCATTGAATGAAAATTCCTGTTGCTCCACATCTTCACTAGCATTTGGTGGTGTCAGTGTTTTGGGTTTAGATATTCTCACAGTTATGTAGTGGATCCCATTGTTTTAATTTGGAATTCCCCAGTGGTATATGTGCTGAGCATGTTTTCATAGGTTTTGTTGCCATTGGCATCATACTTTCTTTTGGAAAGATGCCATATTTTCTTTGGTAAGATGACTGTTCAGATGCTTTAACCATTTTTAAAATGAGTCATTTTTAATTGTTTTTTGTATATTTGGGATGCAACTCTTTTATCAGATATGCGTTTTGAAAATATTTTCTCTTAGTATGTGGCTTGTTTTTACCTTTTTTTTTCTGTTTTTTCACAGAACAGAAGTTTTTAATTTTAATGAAGTTCAACTTATCAATTTTTTTTCTTTCAAGGAGTATGCTTTTGGTATTGTATCTAAAAACAAATTGCCAAATCTAGGGCAATTTTCCCTAAGTTTTCTTCTAAGAGTTTTATAGTTATAGTTTTACAAGTCTTACATTGCGATCCATTTTGAGTTAATTTTTGTGAAAGGTGTAAGGTCTAGGTTCTTTTTTTTTTTTTTTTTTTTGACATTTGAGTGTCTGGTTATTCCAGCACCATGGGTAAAAAACTATAGTTGCTCCAAAGCATTGCCTTTGCTCTTTTGTCAGAGGTCAATTGGCTATGAATGTGTGGCTCTATTTCTGAGTTCTCTTTTTCACTCCATTGATCGATTTGTCTATTTTGTTAATAGCTTTATAGTGAGTCTTGGAGTTAGGAAGTGTCAGTCCTTCACCCGTGCCCTGCTTCAGTGCTGCATTAACTTGAGTCATTCTTTCATAATTTGCATTATATTTTCCCATTGTGGATTTGCCCACCATATCAGAAGAGAAACTGCATACTGATTAAACCTAAATGGAAGTCTGGACTATTCCATGAAGTGATCTTGTCATCAAGAGAAACTACAGAAGGAAATATTTATTTTCATCTGCTTTGTGCTGGATGCTGAGCAAATTACTTTGGGAAACTTGAGCAAAAACAGATTAAAGCAAATGTCTAAACAGTTCATTCTCAGGCAGGTCCTTGATAGTTCTGCCGTATGTGTATATAGGCTCCTGGAGGCAGTTTTTGCTGCCAAAAAACTACCATCACATCTTACAGCAACAAAAATGGCAGAGAGTGCTAATATTTAGATAAAGGTTAAATAGATAATTTGAGTGAGAGACAAAATATTTTCACAACAATTTTTAACATTAAGGAATAAAATTAAAAACCCTAAAAGCTTTTAGAAAAAAAATTGGATCAACCCTAAGATAAAATTCAGACTGTCTTCAGGCATTTTCTTTATAATGACAAATAACAGAGATCACCTAGGCAATGAATGTCTGCAGAGTACTGAGTAGATGAAAAAGCATTTAATGCCTATATCCTCACTACATTTATATTTTCAAATATATTCGCATAGGTTTATATAAAATATTCTTATAATTTTAATTTCCTCTATATCACTTCTGTGTCCCTTTCTTCCTATTTTAAATATATTTTTTTTCTTTTGTTTGGTAGCTGTATGTGTCTTCAGCCCATTTTCCAATTAGTCAGTTCTTTTCTTATTTATAATCTCCTTAATATTAAGGGTATAATTCACTTATCTGTGTTTTTTTTTTTCCTTTTTTCAAGTTGTTGTCTTTCAATTTTTTGTTTACTTACAGAAATTTTGTGTTTCAACACAGTTTATTACTTTCCCTTGTAATTGCTTATTTCCAGTGCTTCATGCTTAGAAGTTTTTTTGCCACCAGTTTCGAATGTCTTGATTTTTCCATGTAATTGTCTAATCCTCTAGAATGTTCATGGGTTTGTGGTGAATAGGGACTATTCAACTGCCTTTTTAATCAAATCATAATTACTGATTGAATACCCCACCTTCCCAGTTCCTGTCCATCTCATCTTTATCATGTATTATTATTTAAATACAATCAAGCACTTTCTGGACCATTTGTTGTGTTTCATTCATCTTCCTGTCAATTTTTGGACCTGCACCACAATCTTTTAATTATTGTACTTTCATTATCTTGGTGGTTAACTCTCCATTCATTTATCTTTAAAAATCTTCTTTGGCTATTTTCCTTCATTTCTTCTCTAAGATCAAGTTTAAAGTAATTTGGCAAAATTCCAAAAAAGAAAAAATCCACCAAAACTATCTAGGATATATTTGGAGATGCATGACTTTAGGAAGGATTGTTATCTTTATAGAGACTCATTCTGAAACAGTGTATAATTTTCCAGTAATTAATCTTCCTTTGCGCCCTCAGTATTTTGCTTTGTTTTGTTTTCTTCATTTAGGTATGGCATATTTCTTGACATTGTTATTCTTGCTAAATTTATGTGTGTGTGTTCTCATTGCGAATGCATTTCCATTTCCATTATGTTTTTTCTAACTAACATAGAGGAAAATGCTGTTTTGTATATTAATATTTTATCTTTTATCATACTAGAGTCAATTACTAGCTCCAAAAAAGTCAGTTTATTCTGTTGTGCTTTTTAGCAGATAATTATATTACATTCCAATTGTAATGATTATACTCTTTCCAGTTTTTGTTTCTTATTTCTCTTTTGTGCTCACTAGATTATTAGATCAATATTAAATATTAAACATTAATAGCAGAGATTCTGGTTGTTTCTAAGCTTAATAGAAGTGTTTGTAGTGTTTAAAAGTTAAAAAGGTGGTCTGTTGTTAGTTTTAAATAGATTTAATTTCTTTTATTGAGAAAGTATCTTTCAAATTCAAGTTTATAAGGTTATTTTAAAAATATTTTAAATGTTATCGAATACTATTTATTGTCTATGGAGGTGATTACTATTTTTCTAGTGTATTGCAGTCTTGTACTATCTTGCCTAACTTCATCTTATCTTAAGTGTATACGTATGCTTGCTTGGGCTCAATGCCTGGGGCTCCGCCACACAGGGGCTGTTTTGGTTGCTACAACTGTTGAGTGACCAACTTGCTGATAGTAGAAACTGGCGCTGAGACCCCCACATTCCCAGGATGCTCTGGTATTCAGTTGGTGACACTGGATTCTCTCCATCATGGAGGGGGTGGGCCTTTGCTTGGGAAAACACAGGCTTTCTGCATGTGGGTTTTCCTCTCTATGATCGTGCTTTTGCCGGCACTATTATCCCAACATTGCCTCTGATTAATGTGCTTATTGCACAGAGGACATGCGTTGAAGGACTCAGGCCCAGAGGACTCACCATACTACACCTAGCTTCCCTCTCACCCAGAAGCAGCTAACCTGATGAAACAAATGCCCTGGCCTTGGGAAGACTTAGCTATATCCTAATTGGAGCCAACACCCAGAAAAAAAGAAGCACTGTCCTAAAGATAGTAGATGATTTGAATCAGCGTGTGATATGGGGTGCTGATTTTTCCAAAGCTTGAATATATGGGTCCAGGAATCAAGGACCAAGTGGGAGTGTTTTCTCCACTATTACACAAGATTTCTCACTTACAGAATTTTTATATTCTTCCTCTATCAAGCTCTACTACCTTTGGTTCCAACGGAAACATGCCTGTACCAGGTGAAAACACTAGTTTCATTTAACTGAAAGTGGAGATTACTCCCTGCCATTTTAAGCTTTATATGCCACTGAATATGCTGTAGAGTATCATGACATGTAACTTATATTCTTCTGTAGTTTTTTCATGTTTCATCTCTCTTCTTTTTTTTTTTTTTTTTTTGTTTGAGATAGAGTCTTGCTCTGTCACCAGGCTGGAGTGAAGTGGCGCGATCTCGGCTCACTGCAACCTCCACCTCTGGGTTCAAGTGATTCTCCAGCTTCAGCCTCCCAAGTAGCTGGAATTACAGGCACACACCACCACATCCAGCTAATTTCTGTCTTTTTAGTAGAGACAGGGTTTCACTATGCTGGCCAGGATGGTCTCCATCTCCTGACCTCGTGATCCACCCCCCTCGGCCTCCCAAAGTGCATGGATTACCAGGATGAGCCACCACGCCTGGCTCATCTCTTCTTATAAGTCTTAAAAATTTATTTCTTTCACTTTTTTCTTGACTTTATTACCCAGAGTTTTACTTATTTTGCTATTATTTGTCCAACAACTTTCTCCTATCTGTTCTTTAAAGTTTTTCCATTATATAGTTTATTATTTTTATCTTTATTATGTCTTTTTATCCTGTGGTTCATTTGAATAGTAATTGTTACCTTCTCAGGTTGAGAATATAATTTATACAATTTCTTTCTTGTTTGGAAATAAAATATTTAAGAACATACATTTTTCTAAAATTCATAATTATATATACAAAGCATTAATTTCTCTGTTTTAGTTTGTTCAGGCTGTGAAAATAAGAATACCATAGGTTGGATGACTTAATCAAACACTGACTTCCTATGGTTCTGCAGGCTGGGAGGTTTGCAGATTTGCTGAGGGTTTGCTTCCAGCTCATAGGTTCATAGTCAGCTGTCTTCTCACTGTGTCCTCACATGGTGAAAAAGGAAGAGGCAGGTCTCTGGTTCTCTTTTATAAGAGTAATAATCCCATTTCATAGACTTCACTCTCATGACCTAATTATTTCTCAAAGGCCTCAGCTCTAAATACCCTCACTTTAGAGTTAGAATTTCAATTTATGAATTGATGGTTCACAAATATTTAGTCCATCATAGTCATGGTGTAATTGCTTTATTTTCAGTGAGGCTGAAAATTTTCATGTACTGGCTATTTTTTTCTAGAAAAATTATGATTTGCCCAAATTTTAAATTACTGAGGTATTTTTGTTTATTGAAATAAGATTTTTAAAACTAGTATGTGAGGATACTGATTTTTGACAATTATGTATGTTGGTTTTTCTCCCTTAGTTTTACATCTTTTGATGTTGAATCTTTACCTACTTAAAATTTAGGTGCTGTACTGTCATTTACTCTTTTCTCATTTAGATTTTACTTTGCTAGATTTTTTTCAAAGAGTCCATGAATTATTCATTCATAATGCTGTAAATAGCCATAATTTATTCATTTTCTTTACTGCCCAGTCTTCCTTTTGGTGAATATACGACTTGCTTATATATTCTACTGCTAATGATTGTCATTTATGTTCTTCCTAATTGTGGATTAGTAAAATGTTTCTAAGAACAGTTTTGCATGGGAGATAGATGTGGGGTAATGGGCATCATTGTTTTGTTCCTCATTTCTGATTATAAAAGGAAAAATATTCCATGTGTCATAATTAAGAACAATGTTTGCTAACATTTTTAAAAAATACCCTTTACCAGGGTAAAGATGGATGTTTTTCTGTTCCTATAGTTTTCTAATCATGAATGGATATTGAATTTCATCAAATGCCTTTCCCTCATCTAATGAGATCTATGTATGCTTTTTTCTTTTATTCTGTGAATTGAGCACGTCAACATGTAAGCAAGTCTCCAGCTGCCACAATCTGCAGTTCTCCTCCTGAAGACTGTCCTGGAAGCTGCAGAAAACTGTTCTCTCTCCTCATAAGGCGGACTTGAAGTGCCTGGGTATTAACCTCTAACTTTCTTTTTTCCCTCCCAGGGCCAGCACCCTCGAACAGTGACTGACAGGAGCTGGTATTTATATATTCCAGATTCTTCTTTGGCTGGAGACAACCCTGAGGTGTGTGTTTCATGCTATCTGAAACCCCCGTGGGATTAAACTCCTGTTGCATGTAGTGGTAACGAGTTTGATAACACATTCTGCCTACATTTTTTTAATCTTATTTCCTCCTCCTCTACTGGTGGTTCCTGAAACTCTTAAATAAATTGATTAGACTCAAATTCTTGTCTTGTGTCTGCTTCTGGGGGAAATCCAGTCTAAGACTGTTGAGCATTTTATTGTGGGTTTTTCCAACTTTGCATTCCCGGAATAAACTATGTTTATTTCAAGTGATATATTATATATTGCTGGGTTTGTTCTGCCATTATTCTGTGGATGATTTTTGCACCTACATCCACGAGTTAGATTAACCTGTAATGGTCTTTTCTCTCACACTGTCATGGTCAGACCCTCTAGCAAGATAATGCTTGCCTTATAAAATGTATTGGAGAGCATTCCTTGTCTTTCTATTGACTGCAATAGTTGGTGAAAGACTGGAATTATTACTTCCTTGAATGTTTAAAGATATGTTTGGAGCCATCCATGGCTTCACATATTTTATATAGTTTTTCCATCCTGTAGAGTGTGTATATAAATACATAAAGGCCTCTAAGGTGCTGCTTCTTCCTGATCTCCAGATCTCATCAATAGGACATCCTAGGGGACGGTCAGGCTGACTAAATTATGGCTTAGATCTGGAAAATCAATGCAACTTGGAGGCAAGATTATAATGTAAAGGTACTTCCATCCCTTCCAGGTAAAAAAGCAAATAGAAAACAACAAAAAAACAAGCCAGACACCTCTTTTTAAAATTCTAACTGCAGTAAGGTAGAAAATCACCAAATTGTAGACTACAGGACAGGAGCCAGGAACTCTGCTAATTTGCTCCAGTAAGGAGCCCACATGAGGACCAGCAGCAACCACTGTGCTCAGCACGGAAGCAAGCCTGTGATGGCCCAGAGTGAGGACTCCGCTGCCCCGGGTACTGCCAAAGAAAGAGGGAGATCCACATTTCCTCCAGGGACAAGACATTGCTTTTTACTGACTATTTTGGTAAAGAGGAGAAATTCCCAGCCCCTTCATAAAATTACAGCCTTTACAGGACAGAGAACCAATGCAGACTTTCTTCCGTCTTTAAGGTATACCTTTCAACAGTATTTTTAGAAGCTGCAGAAATATTACACATGGGTATAGTGTTCTCCTAGGGCTTAAGGGGGTCTAAGTATTCTATTAATCACTTGCCCCCTAAATCTTTGACTAAGGCACTCTAGTGACCTCAAGATATAGTATTAGTTCTGAGCCATTGTCTGATCACACAGCGAGGTGTGAGTATTTCTTTTTCTCTAATATTCTCCAAAGGCCTCTCTCCATGGGAGGCTGAGAGTAATACTCCCAGTACACACAGGAAATATTATCGCTGGGGCCATTGGGCTCTTCAGTGTTGGTGCTCTAGGCTTGTAAACTCTGCTGGTGGGTTTGGATCAGGGGGTGTGACTTTATTGTGGTGGCCCAAAACTCTGCTTTCAATAACTGAAGAACCATTCTTATGAGGTTATACAAGCCAAGTGTGTCTTCAAGAAGGTTGTCCTTCTCTTTCCTCCCTAGTAGCCCCATGGGCCATGTACCATTCAAGGTTGGTCAGACTAGTGATTACCCAGAACTTCTTCAAAGTCTTCTGCTCACTCCCTGGGTACTCGGGATAGCACAGGTGGACTCACAGGCTGACATGCTACTCTCCAGTGCATTCCTCTAGCTTTGAAGAAGGAAATGTCTTCTGGAAGAGCCCATGACTTGTCACTAGGGGTTGAGGATAACTCAAAATAGGAAGGGGTTCAGAGGATCATAAGCTAGAAAAGAAGGACAGAAACCCAAAACAACACGCAAAGACCACAGACATGAAAAGCAGCCCCACTGCCTCCCAATGCCAACAAGAGTCACAATCACTTTTAGCAGGGGACAAATAATGCATTTTTTTTTCTTTGAATCATTTCTGACTTCCTGGCTTTTAATAACATAATAAGAGTGTAAAACTCGAGTTATCATTTTCTATGATATATTCTCATTTAATTATGCTTGCTATTGGTATTCTATTTTGGAATAAATACATCTGTGATTTTTATTTCAAATTGTAGGTTGCAAAACCAATTTAATGTTTTGTGTCAAGCATGAACAAAAAAAGAGACAGAACAAAATAGAAAATATTATAATGCACTGCATATACAAAATAAGGCTAAGTATTGTTTGGTGAAACTTGTTTCTTTTCACATACAGTGAGATACAATAAAATACTGAACGATTCTTTAGATTTAACACAATCTGGTGGACGGTTTATATTATCCCTATTTATTTTCAACCTCACCTTTGATTCCTATCTCAGCTGGGGCATAAAGCCAACATAGATTTCAAGAAGAGTAAATACATGCTATTCTTCTCTGAGGTTTAACTACCTCAAAATGGTCTGTTTATTTCTTTAACAATGAAAACATAACTAAGTATGCAATGATTTTATGACAATATTTCTCCCCTGTCAACACTGTAATCCATTGTCCTCTGGGATTTGTATTGTGGAGTCTAAGATCTAATTTTTTGAATGTCTGATAACGTGTGTGTGTGTGTGTGTGTGTGTGTGTGTGTGTGGTATATGTTGTAGCTCCTTTCCCTTCCTTATCTTTTTAATTACACTGCTTTCTCAGCACCTGTCTAGGAGTCAGTCTCTTCTTTCTGTCCACCTGCCCTTTCAATTTATATACTCATGCTTTTACTTTAAATTGCATTTGTAGTTATTACAACGAGTTCAGTGCCATCTCCACTCAAAGCAGTCCCAATCTTTCACTCTTTCCTTTGGCTCCTCAAAGTGATCAATTATAAAGCAGAGGTACTGATTGCCTTCAAGCTTCAGGTTATAGGACCTTAGGCTGGGAGCTGATGGCCCCACACAGCTGATCTTCTGGTTTTGTAATGAGAGAAAATGGAAGAATCTCTCTGGAAGGAAATTGAACACTTTAATAGTTCTGCCTATCTTTCTTTGCCAGATCAATTGTAAGTTAGCACTAAAATGTCTCTAGAGTTACTAGAGACATTCTAACTCTAGAAAGTTACAGTCTCTCGTGCCTCCTGTATCCCTGCCATGTCAATACAAAGGGGCAGCCTGGCTGGAGGACTCAGTGCTGTGCCCCAAGGAGTTTTGCTAACAAGTTAGTTAAGCACCAGAAGAGGTCAGGCTGGGGAGAGAGCCTGTGTCCTGATTTTGGAAGTCATTCACGTTGGAATTTCCACACAGTCCTGCTCTGCCCTGTGCTCTCCCCTTGGCGTGGTCTTGTCTGAGGCGCCCTTGCCTGATGATCTTGCCTCTTGCCACTCTCCCCACACTTAATGTTCTTGTCCTCTTTCTTGTCTTTGAGCAAGCCTAGATGGACTTCGCCTCTGGGGTTTTGCACAGGTCCTTCCCTTTCCCTGGAAGGCTCTGCTCCCAGATCTCTTGCTGGGCTTCCTATCATTCAGATTTGCATAAACATCACCTCCTCAGAGCAACCTCCTCTGACCTCCTAGTCACACCCCTGTATATCATCCTACTGGGTTTTCTTCTTAGAATTTATCAGTATCTTATGTTCTTGCTTTTGAATGTTTATTGTCTGTCTCTTCTTAGATCTAGGGAAGAGCCTTATCAATTTCATTGCTGAAACCCTGAAGTCTTAACACTTCCTGAAACACTGAGTGCTCCCATAATTAATGAGCAGTTCCGAAAATAAAATTACTTGGGCCTAATATTTGAAATTATGTGCACACACATTTTTTAGCTTCATAGTCTTAACTCCAAAATACAATCATCAGAGTTTTGTGTGTTATCTCAGACAGGTTACATTTACCTCCTGCAATTATTTTTTCTTATACAAACTAAGTTATGTTTAATATTTTTACTTTAAAAAAACAGGATAAATAACAGAATCACTTATTTGAATGGCATCTACGTATCCATTGCAAAGTTACATTGCTAGTCCTGAAAATTCAACCAACATCATCCTGTATCATTAGTCCATGCTGTTTACAACAAATTGCAATGATTTTTTTTCTGAACTTAAAAATGTGGTTTTTTTTGTACTCCCCCTGTACACACCCACACATATGTGTGTCTTAACATACCTTCCTAAATTATATTCAAGAACTTTAAGGCAAACCAGTTCAAAATTATAACTATCAGGTTTTCTTAGATGCTCAAAATCATCTAAACATTATTCTTTTAGGCAAGCAAATCATAATCAAATCACTCAGAATCAATGAATTGATTGGCCGTATGAAGGACCACCTCCATAAAACAGATATGCAAAAATATACATGGAATTCCAGTGGGTTCATGAACTCCACTAAGCTTATTTACTAACCCTGACTAGCGGCTTCTGCTTTAAATAATTTTTATCTTATTTTATTATTTTACCCTCATGTGTTTTCATTTGCATTATTTTATTGCAAGCAATTTATAAGTCTTTAAGAAAGAACAAAAGCATTCAACTTAAATTCAAGTAAGCAATTTTAATATTTTAGGATTTTCTCTTATGATAAACATTACATAACCTTGGAAACAAGGTTGAGAATGTCTGATAACTTATTTTTAAATCTTTATTCCTATTCATAGTTATGGTTATTTACAAAGTTATAGTCGCAGAGACAAAATATAAGGTTAAAATCTCTGAAAGATCTCCTTAATTTGTTTTAGTTTCCGTTCCAATTTTTAAGGTTCCATATTAACTTCTTGAGTGTGAAGCAAATAGTGCACCATGTTCTTTCTCAAAGTAGCCAGTGAGTTGGACTCTTGGTGGCACAGTGACAGATAAATCTTCATTATTTTGGACACTGATACAATGAGCCTAGTAGCTCATTCCAAACTAGCATACGTCTTTGATTATGAGCATGGTAAACATTGCTGATACAGGTACAAGTCTGTGTTGCTTCAGAAATGACCAATCTCATGACCTAAATTTTGAGTAAAAGTACATTACATGTAGATTTTTCCCAACTTGACTGAATTTGAAACAGTATACTTACTTATGCTTTAATGTATGCAATCTTTAAGGCCCAGATAAATTTAATAGATGGTGTTTATCTTACCATTATTTTATGCATTTTTAAGTATTAAACTTTGAAAGAAAATACATTTCTAGGTTAATAAAATAGTGCAATCAAAACCTTTATTAATTTTTCTCATTAAACTGAAATGATAAACCAAATGAATGAGAAAAGTGGCAGTAAAAGATTTAGCATGAAGTATTATTTCTCAGGTAATGTCAAGAATATTATGAAAATATATACTTGCTTATAACTGAATCAAAGAAAATGAATGCATTTACCTTTGAAAAGCAGAGGTACTGATTGCCTTCAAGCTTCGGGTTATAGGACCTTAGGCTGGGAGCTGATGGCCCCACATAGCTGATCTTCTGGTTTTGTAATGAGAGAAAATGGAAGAGTCTCTCTGGAAGGAAAACTTAGGTCATTTATCTCTCAAGCTTTATCTATTCCATAATGTATATGGAACACTAATAGTTCTGCCTATCTTTCTTTGCCAGAGTAGAAAACAGGTTCAAAATAAAATAGTCTGAATTATCATAAAGACATAAATAAGAATGGAATATTTAAAATTATAATTCACTTAACCAGTGAAAACTGAACACATTAATCTTCTTTAGTCGGGGACCTGCCATCATCTTTTGCATATTGTATTTAGCCAACAACCAAATTTTAATTTTTAATTAGGAGACATTAAAATATAATTAGCGCAAATAACAGAATGACAAAGGTAACAGAATGACAAAGGTACAGAAATTCATAAAGGTCAAAGGAAGCAGCATTTTTAACCATAGCAAGAAATGTTCTAACATGAATTTAGGGAATTATGGTGAGTGCTTCACCTTCCCCACATTCGCCTCCTAGGCAAATTTTCTAGAAGCAACATTTCTATTTGACAAGATTATAATGATAATAATACAGAAATAGCTGTCAAAACCAGACAGTGTACATTCTTCACAGTCAAGAGACTCTCAAACCTCAATAAACACCATGTATAAAGGAACATAGTAAATTCCAACTTAGCACAGACATAACAAAATTAATTCATCGATCAGAGACTGATACAATTTTGAATATGCACTTTCCAGAATGAAGCAGAGGACAATAGAGACCATCTGCAGCTGTCAAACCTGTGGAAGTGAAACAATGAATTACAAAATTCACGCAGTGTATGAATTATCAACGAAAAACAAATGCTTCGTCAAAAAAAGTTGGTCATTGGCCCAACACACAGATATTCTTAAGTATATATTTATATATATAATGATAAAAATCAGCTTGCATGAGGGTCGCAGTACATCTACTTTGAAGTTATAGCACACATACTATAAGCAATTTACAGAATTTATCAGGTTTGCATACACAGGAATTGCAAAATGAATTAAAATACACTGAAATATAGAACACTCAAAATGTAGTTCTATAAACCTCCTAGGATTGACGGAGATTGGCCATAACCAGCACTTGCCACCATTGAACAAGAACTGTAATCAAGAAAAAGAAGAAAAATCCAAGAAAAAAAGGGGAAAATAAAAAAATTTCTTTCTCATGTTATTCCTTAAAGTAATGTCCTCCTTGTTGACTTGCAGTGTTGATAGTTTTGTTCTTCCCCTAAAAAGGGGGTTTTGTCTGATGATAGCTTCTGTTCTGTAGCCTTTTGATCTCTGTTTGCTTCCTGAAGATGCTGGGTCCTTTAGTAGGAAATTAGTGGTATCCATAGTAAATATTCCCTATCCTGATGACATTCAGGCCAACCCTTGAGCAGTCAGTGAGATGATTTTAGTCGCCGAAAGAAAAGGGAAAAAATAGATCTTGCTATTAGAAAACGTTCTATCACTTCACGTTAATTCTCTTAAAATAAAAGATCAGTGTTTTGCCAAAGAAAATATGATCAACAAAGCATGTGATAGCCTCTTCATTTATGCTTCCGGAAGCAGGCGCTCCTTGTGTAGTGAATTAGAGTACAGTGGGTGCAGGGTGGTGCTTGGAGTTTAGGGTCAACTTTGCTGTCCGCTCCGTAGATTTTACAGGCGATTTGCTCTTTGCTTTAAGAAGAGAAAGTGATATTGGAAAAAAGTCAGCACTTTAGATTAAAGCAAAGCACCCTTCACAAAGCCACAAACAAGAAGCAGGACAGAAAGTCCATGGCTTGTAGCTATCCTCGCACCTGCGGAAGAAGTTATAAGATATTCGCTCATCTTGAAGATTTCCAACGCTCCTTATTAGGTTGTTTTAAACACATACATATATATATTTAATTAGCTCGCCAGCTTGGCTCTGGTGCTCATGAATGTCTTGGCATGCACTGCAAACAACAACACATACAAAGGATTTCAGTCCCAGGAAGTTGGTGTTGTTTGTTTTGTCTGTTTTCAAACAATGCCACCCCACGGCTGGGAACACTGAGAGGGGCAAATCCAGATACTTTTCCCTCAAGTAATTCCTTGAGGATCATTCCCTGAAGTCATCTGGTTCTTCCTATACTGGTACCTAAAAACACATCTTTTTTTTTTTCCTACTGCATGAGCATAAATCCACAGGGGATATGACACAACCTAAGAACAGCAGGCTCCTCAACGAGGGGCAAACTTGTTCTAGGGTGGGTGCATTTGGGCATTTACTTTTATAGTGTTTTTTTTTTTTAATCCTCGAAATCTTGGAGAAAGTTAGTGCTATCAAGAATTGGAAACTCCTGAAAGAGCTCTAAGACTATCTCAGGGAAGAAATTGTAGTGTTGCATTCTTTTCTTCATATATTTTATTCAATAAGCTTCTAGCTACAAATGACATATTGAATAACTTTATTAGTAAAGAACAAAAATGTGATGAGGATCAAAGCATTACCTTCTTTCATTTTTAACTGGAGAAAGATTAAATGTGTTCGAAGGGGGTAAGTGTGGGGAAATGCAATCTTTTGAATACTTCATCTAAATCATGTTTGGGTCCACACTGACAATGATAAAAATTGTGGTAGAACCCCTTGTTCTCTAAAAGTCACTATATGTAGAATAAATATTTGGGGCTTCCAAAGTAGCCATTTAGTAAACTCACATTACTGTATTTCTGCTAGGTTACTTTAGTGTTGTCATTGATTTGCCTTACTGGTAGGTGGGCTATATATTTACCAGTATACAGTATCTCCTCACAGAAACCTAGTGACTGGAGAAGACCCAGAGGTTAGTGATGGGGCTCTGCAGAGTGGTCCTCTATTCAAGCTGGGTGACAAGTTTCAAAAAATGCAACAGTGATAGCTCAGTTCACGTGCAGTTCTAAGTACAGAGATTTTGCAAGGAAAATGTACACAATCTATGGAGAACCAATAACATCAGAGCTTTCCAAAATTAAACACGTATTCTCATTATCTTTTGAAGAGAAACTCTTTGACAGGGATTCATTTAATGAAAAAAAAAAGAAAGAAAAATAAATTATTAAATGCTTCCCCAAATAGGCAATAGTACTTGATTTCACACAAAGTATGTCTGGTATTGAATACAAGTTTTAAAATGCTGAAAGCAAATACAACGTGGTAAAATAATTCACTATTTAAAATGTATTTTGTGAAATATTGGTTTTCTTTTCAGCATGGGCATTGCAGATTGGCTCGAATTTGTTGAAACTGCACCATAATTTATGTCATCCCTTTCTTAATTAATCAACCCTTCATAGGACATGGCTGACCCCATTAGCCCATTGAGATATTATGGAAACAGCTGCTTCATTTTGATGCAGCATTTCCTATCATACTATATCCAGCATGTGCAAGTTAAAGCATGATTTACATGAGTATTATAACTAAAAAGAAACCCAATTATGCAGTGTAAAGAATATTTTGAGGCTACTAACATTTTGAACTTCCATCAGATATGTAATATACTATTGAAGCATAGTACTTTTGTTTTCAGATTGTAATCATTCAACCACTCTAAGTACATGCATTTACTAGCATATTTTTAATTAAATACAATTCATTTTCGCCAGGAAAATTACAAAGATTTTTTCCTATATAGTAAATTCTAAAGCAAATCTGTATTGTCATCAAATCACTGATTGTGTTTCTCTCCTTTCTGTTTTTTATTTATGTCTTGAATGAAAAGATATGTACTTCATCTTTGTAGGCCCAAAGACTTTTAGAAATGAAATCTGAGGATCTAAAATGCTATAATTTGTCCTGTGTAATTTTAACAAATAATCATCATAGTCATTTTCATTCAGATTTATACTAATTACATAATGCCATTACTTCTTATCAAACATGTTATGGTTTATTGTATGGAAATATTAACTTTTATACAAGTAAACCTCAGCCACTCTGTGCTCATTTTAAAGACAGAAATGCTTTTCTTTTGTGAGACACGCAGAGCCAGGATTGCCGTCAGGACCGCTGAGTTCTGATTTCCTCTGCTGCCACTCACTTTTGAGATATTAAATGAGATACTATTTCCACATGTTTCCAAAAGTGAGCATAATAACTGTGTAGAATTGTTTTATTCTTGTCATATTAGTATGCCAGGTATTGCATTGTGATAGGATTGCCTATTTTGTTTTATTTGGTTTCTTTTGCTCTCTGCTGAGGCCAAGCAGGATAATGTTTTCCCCTTAATACAGTCACACATTTAAGCAACTATTGCCCTCAGATAATTGCCTGTCCATTTATCTGTTCCTAATAGCTAGTTGTAATCTCTCTCTCCTCTGAACTTCAGCAGTATTTTCTTTTGCTAGGTTCTTTACCAGGCCTACATTGTGTGTAATTAATCATATTTGTATCTCACCTCACTGATTATGCTATTAGCTCATTAAAAGCAAGGAGTAAAATTTTTTGCAAGTTTAAAAATTACTTTCAATGTGTACAAGGACTCGAGAGTTTTCAAACTTTACCCCCAACATAAAATGCTCTGTGAAGAAGAAAGGAAGATGCTATTATCTAAATTATGTGAAGAAAATTTACAGGCAGCAGGTCTAGATGAAGAGAGGCCTAATGGGACCTAGAGGTTTCTCTTGGACACAGAATGCCATTTCATAACGTCCTTCGACATCTATTTAATCATGATGCCTTTCATTTGCTTTGTTTTTATGCTTGAAGATTTTCATAGTGCTCTTGCGACTGTAATTCCCCCGTCTTTGTAAGGCAGAGGAGGTGTTTTCTCCATTTTGTAAATGGAAGAGTCTGAGAAGTCTTAGAAGTCTAAGCAGGGCAGAAACTTGGCTTCCATTTCTCATCCTTTTCTCTTCCTCATGCAAGAGTGGTGTGGGCCTTGCCTCCCCAGAGATGCATCAGGCAAGCATTTCTCAAGAGAGTTGACAAATGAAAGCCCAGCCAAGGAGAAATATGGAAAAACCCTTCCAGATATTAACTTCACTATCGTATGATTTCAGAGAATAACAGAAATTCCATATATTTCATTACAAAAAGAAAGCAAAATTAAAAACAATCAAAACATAGTAGTTGAGACCTTGGCAGCCTCGCAGTCTGGCGGAAATGGTGTGAGGCTGCCCCTCCCTCCAGTGGACTGCCTGTTGCCAGCCAGACAGGGCCACTGCCTGGAGAGGTCAGGGCCTGCTTCCGCGTCACTGCCTGAGTGCCACCAGCTCCTGTTCTCGTGCCTCTTGCCCTTTCATGCCCCTCTCATATGTCTGCCAGGTAGAAGTGCTCAGTTGCCTTTCAGCACCTTCCTTTTTAGTTTAGACCTCCGTCTGTGCTACCATTTTTTCCCTGCATCTGCAGTCATCAGGCTGGGAGACAGTGGGCATGCTGAACAGTGCTGCATCCCTCCGCGTGCCCACACCTTGCCCTCCAAAACGGCTGAACCTATTGGGGACCTGCTAGGTGCCAGGCAACATGCAGTAGGCACTGTGCCTCCATCATATTGGTTAATCCTCACAACAATCCTGTGTGGCAAATATGCAGATCAGGAATATGTAACCCAGCAAAGTGAAATAACTCATCCTAGCAGGGAGTCATGCAAAGACAAAGATATGAAGAAACAGCAATGTGGTCCATCAGCACAGAGCAGAAATCTGCCGCTTTCGGAAACCACCTGAGGCAAGCAACCTTTCTGCAATACCCCACATTTGTTAAATTGAGATGTGCAGCTATCATTTGAATGTATACTCATCTTTTCAGAGGAAATGTACCACATATACCATAGTTCACATATAACATACTTCATACTTGATATAAAACTTAACTTTTCCCCAACTCTGAACTGATATTGGATATGAAAACATTATCAGCCTCTTGGTTTTTCAACGCATTAATAAAATGTAAAGCTTCTTTGTTCTTTGTAATGTACCAAATTTCTTACGATATAACATATTTTGAACTTTTCATAGCATAGACTTTTACAGCTTACAAAGGTTCCTCTGAATTCTTTTAAATATTCATTTAATACCTGGCTCCACTATTATTTTAGCATTCCTTCTTCTTTTCAAAAACCTCTTTTCCAAGCTTTTTATTCAAATTTGGTAGTCTGGGCCCAGGAAAGTTTACATTGATGGGTCAAAGTGCCATCATTAGTTAGTGACAGGGAGAGAATGAGAACCAGAGCTCTGGGCTCTAGGAAAGATCCCAGAAGAGGATGTGGGTATTTAATTCAAGGCGCTGAGTGGAGAAAACTAAGTAAACAACTTATTCCATGTACATTTGATAAGTTCTCCAAATATCCACTTTCTCTTGGCTTTGAATATTTTCTGATGGATTAATTTCCTGTGTAAATACAAGTTTAGTTGGCTTAGATAGGGGGCACATTCAGCATTTTCAGGGCATCGTTCTGCAGCATTAGGCGTGATTCCTGATCAGCTTTTCTCTTCTTTCTCTTCTTGTCTGGGTATCTAATGTAATCAAAAGGAGCAAGAAAAAAGAAAGAAAACATTTTCTACCCCCACTCGTCACCCCACTGTGGCTGCATGGTCTGACTCCAGAATCTTTGTTTTGTAAAAGTGAATATTAGTGAGGCTCATAACAACAAACCTAAAAATGGAAATCCTCCAATAGTAAAAGTAGCAACAGTCAAATACTTCTCTGTCTGTGAAGAAGGCCAGCTTATGAAGAACTGAGTGTCCATTACAGCTCTTCGAGTAGACGCGGCCCTTCAACATATTTCTCTTTTATTACAGATGCCAGCTTCAGAAATGAAAATCGCTGTGTGAGAAAAACTGAGCTAGCTTCTAATGCAATTTTTATTCAGGTTTGCACATACTAAATCACTGTTTAAGGGGAAAGGTCAAATAATAGAATGATTTTATCCCATAATTTTTTGAGAAGAATATCTTTTTATTAGAATGCTTACATGTCCGGTGCCAATTTCTTCTAGAAATCTGTTTTTTAAAAGAAATGTGCTTCACTTTGACCTAATACATAAATTGCCTATTTTGTGTGCCCTGGCATGCTGGTAGCAGCTGTTTAAATTCCCTTTCTTGCTTTCCTTTAGTCAGCAGATTTACAGCTCTGTTCTAGTTATGAGGGCTCTTACCGTAGCTGAGGGAGAGTACAGTTGCCCACGAACGCAGGTCTACAGGACAGGGTGCATGGGTGCCACTCCATTCACCAGAGACTGTTCTCTCTTGTTGCTTAGAACCCTGCTCTGCAGCTGTCAGACCTTTCTACCTCCTGCAGCTACTGAAGAGTGGATGCATGCACACAATGCTGCCTTCCTCCTGCTGGGGACACTGCACATCTGAAAACAGCACATTTTCATGGTAGCACACCCATTCAAGCAAGAACTGATTTTGTGCAGATGGGATGATGGTTATGATAGAAGCTGCTAATAATTTTGAACACTTACGATTTCTTTACCTCTGGCTGTGATCCCAGGAGGTAATCATAATCATTTTACTGATAGGGAACTGAAGCTGAAGGGGATTATGTAACTTATTGGAGTTTATTCAACTAGTAGGTAGTACAGGTGAGACTCAAATCCAGTTTCTGTTTGACTCTAGAGCTAAGATGGTACAAATATTTGCATCATAATTTCATCTGGCAATTCCTCATATCTGAAAACTTTATACTTTCCTAATTCTGCTTATTAAAAATATATAGAGATATGAATGGCTTTGGCAAAATCCAAAGGAGAACAATATAAATTGGTGGAAAAACAAACAGAAACCTTTCCAAGAACGAAATTCTAATACCACATATATTTAATAACTGCTTTAATGCATAAATAAGAATGCTTTATAATTAGCACTACATTTACTGATATATAGACAAGTGTTGCTAAAATGCTTGAAACTATTTAGTCACAGAGTTTAAAAATGCTTCCTGACTGTCTGCTTTCATTATTCGTTAGCATTCTCTTTATTAATCACGCATAGGTAGTTTTAATCCAAAATTTATTTGAATAATCACAAATTCCATATTAGGAATTCCACATGTGGTTTTGTTGCCCTGATCATGAATGGTGCTAAATTTGACTAAGGGTTTCAGAAAGTGTATTGAAGTTGGGGAATGCAATGGAGACAAATGGCATCCATGTGCACTGGTGTCCTTTCAGCGATCATGCACCCAGAGCCCTTCCCCGGCTCAGTCAGGACAGCTTGCCCTGAATTAGGAAGCCAACAGAAGTGCATCACAGCTAGTATTATTGACTACTAACTGAAAAGGGCAGAGAAAAGAATAACTCGTGAGTTGAGGAAACAGAGGTCAGTTTGGCTGAATATCTGAGAAATCGCTCATCAGTTGGTGAAATAAAGAATACCTCTCCTTATCCACGCCCTCTTTGAATGTTTCTATAGACCTCCATCACCAATACTGTCAGAGAAAAATCTCTCATCAAAGCAGGAAAAACAACTCATAATTTTAAAGAAATGGCAACTGAGGAACTCAGAGTGAAAAAAATAGAAGAAAAAGAAAGAAGGGAAGAAACATGGCTCCAAATATGTGATTTCATTTTCCACATATCTTCTTATGTAAATTGAAAAATAAAGATATAGCCATGATTTATAAATATAAAAACTAAAGGCTGGGAGCGGTGGCTCACGCCTGTAATCCCAGCACTTTGGGAGGCCGAGGCAGACAGATCACGAGGTCGAGAGATCAAGATCATCCTGGCCAACATGGTGAAACCCTGTTTCTACTAAAAACATAAAAATTAGCTGGGCGTGGTGGTGCATGCCTGTAGTCCCAGCTACTTGCGAGGCTGATGCAGAGAACTGTTTGAACCCGGGAGGTGGAGCTTGCAGTGAGCCGAGATCACGCCACTGCACTCCAGCCTGGGTGACAGAGTGAGACTCTGTCTCAAAAACAAAAAAAAACAAACAAAAAACTAAAAAACTAATTTTTATGGTTCATTAATGTCTGACTTTGAGGAAGGAATTATTGGAGGACCTAATGTCAATAGGACCTACAAAAGCATAAATTACATGGCTTCAGAAAACTCACCTGTTTTAATACAAGGAAAATGTCTTAAGATTTTACCCATATATTTTCCAAGTTTGAGCCAGTGGCCTTACCCTTTTCCTTAATTTAGCTATTTCAAGTTTTCTTAATTAGAATGCTTTATTAATTATCTTCATTAGTAGAAGTTATCTTCTTAGCTATCAGCATTAAGTAACTAGAAATATTTGACGCAAGATTTTTAAAATTCACATCTCATTTATCAAGATATACAAATAAAAGGACAGAAGTAAGCCATTGCCTGGAATTTGTTCATCAAACTTCCCAGACATAATTTGTCATTAAATATCATTTTAAATAAATTAATATTATCATCACAAATACATAATGAAGGATGGTCCAAGGGCTGTTTTTTAATCTTTTCTGACCATTGCTACATAGGCAGTCTGGAGTTGTTTTCTTAAACGTTCACCAAATTACATTAAACTTCATGTATATTCTTAGCAGTGGTATTATCCTCAGAAGTGTTTTGCACTATACATAAACCAAAACGTAACTTTCTATCCCTAAACATTTAACTCTAAGTACATGCTAAACACAATGCTAGGTGCTGCAATGACACCCAAAGTTCAGGACACAATTCCTATCTTCACAACCCTTATAATATTTTCAGGTAGTTTGAAATAGAGTGAGGTTTTAAATTCTAAACTTTTTTTTTCTATTTAGTGGTTGTGATTCTACAGCTTAATCCCTAAATGTAGGATTTTTCAAATTAACTATTTACAACGCTAGAAGTTAGAAAATTGCCTTCATAGCATATGGATTTGTTTAATCAGAAAAACTAAAGATAAAAGATTATATACAAGGCTGACGAACAGGCTCCTCAGGGTGTGTCTGTAACAGAAGCCATCAAAATGAAGCAAGAAAAACATTGACTCATAACAGAGCCCTTCACTGCACAGTGCTTGATACCTTTACATTTTAAAATTTGAAGTATTTCACTGCATTATTTAACTTCATTAAAATGTTTGTCTGTGAAGATAATAAAATTGCTTAACTTAATTTCATCTTTAAAATTTTCTCTACAGCTTCATATTTGTCAGCTTCATGGAATAAGAAATCACAACTCCTGGATTTTACTATTTGCTTTAATTCAAGCACTGTTTCACCTATATTAGGTATGTTTTATACCTATAGGATTCTGAATTCATGCAAAAATGCTCTCTCAGAGTCTGTTGTGAAGCAGTTGCATTAAGTAAAACATAATTCTCATTTATAAATCTTCCTGTGTCCGATTTCCCTTGATACTCCCAATGACAATGCATTGCTCCTCACTTTCATCTCCCTTGGAATTGGGGGTTGTGTGAGTCATCTCATTGACAGGAAAAATGATTGCATGATATTTTATTTGCTTGTATGTGTTTGATTTATTTAATCAATATGAATTCATCAAGATCACACCTATTTGCTTAGAAAAACAAGACTAACTTGATGGTCATGTTCTCCACCCAGCCTCCAGGAAATAAGATATAATAAAATACAAAGTTCCTAATTTCAATGCTACTAGCAATTTCTGAGTACCGACCATTTTCACAACAGTACTTTGGGTACATATATGTACATGTGTAGATATTTTTAAGATTTTGTCCTGAACTCTATAATTATACACCATTATTTTACTTTGCTTCTCTTTATTTGTTGAAATATTTTATGTGTTTGCTAATTTATTTTCTCTCTCATGAGACAACTGTTTACCATTTTTTAATTGGAAAAAATTTAAATTTTCTTTTTCTGCTTATAACAAAGTAATACATTATCATTGTACAAAAGTTATAAACAAGCAAAACAATAAAAAATTAAAAATCATAACTTACATTGACTGCTGTACATTTTCTTTTTTTCTTTTATTTTTCTATGCACATGGCTCAGACTGATTTAAAGTTCTGTATGCTATATATTTTTTCACTTTAAAGTTTTGTATCCTATGTTTTTTCACGTGATGTCATGTACTGAATCCTTTCTAATGTCTCCAAACATTCTTTGAGAAGATGATTCTAGAAGCTGCTTGATGTTCACTGTATGCTTTAACACATTCACTAGGTAACTTTCCTTTTGGTCATCTGTGTATTTCCAGGTGTATGAAAAACTCCATGGTAAGTATTGCAATTCATGACTCGCTATGATATCCTTGGAATTTCTTCTCAGAAGTATGATTTCAGGGACATATGGGCTGCACAATCTAAAGGCTTGTGAGTACTCTTCCCTGACAAATTTTCCTTCACAAGGGAAGTACTGATTCACCATGCCAGTGGCAATGTAGCAGAATGTCTGATTCACTGTAACCTTTATGATGCTTGTTGATTTAGAAAACTTTTGCCAAGATTATACCTATCAATTTTTTTTTAATGAGAAGGTGTTTTGACTGGGACTGCATCAAATCTATAAATACTTCTGAAAAACCTGACAGATTTGCAATTCTGAGATGGGCCATCCAAAAACATAGCATTGTAACTCATTTATTCAAACCTAAACTCTCTCAATGAAGTGTTTTAGTGGTCTTCATATTCATACTACTTATTTGCAACCATACTTTGTAAAAAAAAGATTATATATTTTATATCTTTTACTTGTTGCTACTATTGAGGATTCAATATTATTCCTAAAATATTTTCTATTTTGGTATTGGAGTTATGTAGAAGGTTGACCTAAGTTTATACTTTTATCTTAATTTTATTCATATTATATGATCACTTTTAATATCTCTATTACGACTGATTAGGAGTGATTAGGAGTGGGTTACATAATCACAGCATCTGTAAATATTGACATTTATTATTTTCCTAAGTATTAGACACAAATATTTCCTTGTTTGATGCTTTACTTTTTAGTTACATATTATTTACTTAAATAAAATTTTAAAGTTATAGCAAAATATTTTCACTTGCAAATTATTTTGTAACTTTTAACCTTCAAAGCCACAAGTATCTTATTTTATGCTAATCTTCCTATATTTGATTTTTCTTTCCTGCTTAGTTCTTTAACTGGCCTTCATTTGGATATATATTGTAAACTGTGATCATATGTCTCCTTTTGGCATTATTAATTAAATAGGTCCTTCTTTAACTGTTACATTTTTAAATTCATTAGATATTATTTTGTATAATTTTCGAGCTTTCCAGGCTTGTTTTTATTTTCTTTAATATCTATTCATATTTCTGTTTCTTTATTGTCCTCTTAAATAATAGTTATTTTGTAGCATATTTTCCTATCTGGTAGGTAAAGAGGTAGAGAACTAGGCATTGCTGAGCTCACTCACATGCTAGGTTTACTCTCCTAGATTTTTAAAATCCATTATCTCATTTAATGCTAAAAATGACCCTTGGCAGATAAGTATTACCATATCAGTTTTATACATAAGACTTTAAGCTTCAGAGAGATTTTGTGAGCAGCTCACCCAAAGTAACAAGCTGGTAGATAGCAAATCTAAGAATCAAATCTGTATCTACCTGGTACCATAAACTATGAAATTTTCATTATTAATTTATATTCCTATTTTATTTTTGTCTCTTTTTAAGGCTTTATATAATATTCTAACTTGTTTATGTTTTCAGATGTATTGCTAATTACTTTGTGATTTTAAAAACTCAGAAAATCTTTTTTGAAAGCTTGAATTTAATTAAGATGAACACCAATTTGTATAATTATGGCTTTAGAATACCTGTTATTTATTCAGGTTGCAGTTTAAATTCTTAAAAATCCTTTGGAATTTTATCATGTTTTATAATACAGATCTAGTTACAACCTTGGGCAAGACAGCTGGTGGCTAATATGTTGTGCTTATTTAGAGGAAAATTTATCATCAATTAATGGCATTGTGACAGAAGAAAAAAAAGCAAGCTCTGAAATTATAAATCATAAAACATAAGCCAGAAATGGAGATCTAGTCTTCCTTCCTCAACCCATCACTTCCACACAACCAGCAAGGAAGATATTTGCCTAGAAGAACCAGGTGGTAAAGACCATTAACTCTAATCATTTCATTGCTGATAATTGTATATAAGCATATGCAATAATAGTCATATTATTACAGCAACTAGTCACCATTCATTCAGGGATTATTAAGTGTCAATCTTCATATGTACATCATTTCCTTCAATTGTCAAAACCCTGTGAGGATTATAGTATAGTTCTCATTTAAGGAATGAGGAAACAGGCCGGGGACAGTGGCTCATGCCTGCAATCTCAGCACTTTGGGAGGCCAAAGAGAGGGGATCACTTGAGGTCAGGAGTTTGAGACCAGCCTGGCCAACATGGTGAAACCCTGTCTCTACTGGAAATACAAAAATTAGCCGGGCGTGGTGGTGCGCACCTGTAATCCAAGCTACTCAGGAGGCTGAGGCAGGAGAATTGCTTGAACCCGGGAGGTGGAGGCTGTAGTGAGCCGGGATCACACCACTGCACTCTAGCCTGGGTGACAGACAGAGCAAAACTCCATCTCAAAACAACAACAAAAAAAAAAAAAAAAGAAAGAAATGAGGGAACAGACATACTGTGCTGTGAGTGATGGAGCTGAGATGTGAAGCAGCCTTCCTCTTTAACCGCTGTGCACTAGTGCCTCTACAAATGAGTAGGCAGAGCCAGAGGCAGAAGGTCTGAGGAGTGTGTCCCTGCTCATTTACGCCCCTTCGCTGCTCAGATGAAGGCACTGGTTCAGCCTATCAGTGGCAGAAGTGGTCCTTGGAAGAAGGAGCTCTTGACCTTTCTTGCTCTTTTAGGGTGTGTGTTATTGTGACCAACAGAGTGAAGCCTTTCTAGCAAGTTTTCAACACTTTGGCCATCTAGCCAGGAAGCTGCTCCTCTGGTGGCTTCCTGAAGTGGCAGACATCATGGAATCACTTGAGACAAGAACTTAGAACACTGGCAAATTCCGTTTCATGTCTTCTTAATTACAGAGGAACTAGTAGTCACAAGCAAGCCTTCATGTGGCCAGTTATGAATGGAAAAACCCATCCAACCTTGATATCATAGGCCCAAATAGTTCTGAACTTCAATGAGTAAAATTAAATATGGTTTGCAGGAGAATTTAACCAGTATAGACTCTTAATCTACATAATTCTGGTTCAAATATAGCCCTAGCAGATTCCTTGGCCTGTATTATCCAAATCATTCCCTTATATCTATTTTTGTCTTATTCATAGACACTTGATTTACATAGTTGCCATTTATATGATAGAATTACAATGATTAAATTAATTTAACCTGTGTAAGCAGCCAAGTTGGATCATTTAAACAAAAATCAGCGGTAAGGGCTGAATTATATGACTGACTCTACCTCAAAGCAGTGCACCATTTACTCACATATTAAATGAGACAAGCACTCTCCCTGCAAAGACCCTCAGTCCCTCATCTCCCTCCTCCCAATGACTTTGACATCCTGTGTTAAGATCAATCCTGCTGAAAGTGGCCACTCTTGGCTCCTGGCAGCTGTTGCAGCAGCTGCCTCTTAACAGTCAGGTTCACATCATGGTGAACACACAATAATTGTATTTCATAGTTCAGAGAATCAGCATTCCTGCTGAGCTACTACAGACTCCACACACGGAGACACAAGTACCACCTTCACTGCAGCCAGTTTCCTTACAAATACCAGCTGTTGATCACAGCAGTGAACAGCTTCACAAAAGTCCATCCCAACATTGGAAACAATAAGAGCAACAGAACAGAGCCTCTAAAAAAAGTATTTTGTAGCATGACACAGATACACATACAGATATATATCTCATAGTAAATGATAAGAAGAAAATTTTTTTACCCTGAAAAACTTCAAAAAGCCAATGATTCTTTTAACTTTTGGAACATAGAATACTTATTTCTGGTTCTACACTCAGAGATGCTGATTCAGTAGGCACTGGGTGGAGTTCTGGAATATGAATTTTTAATAAGCTCCCTGATGAGTCTGGCATAGGTAGGCTGCACAACTCACTTTGAGAAACACTGTTTGGGAGTCTTGATCAGTTCTAGAGTAGTGGTAAAATTATCTAATTATGAAAACATAATTATACAAAATAATAATAACATGAGCCCCACTTGTTCAGGGCACATAGAGGAATTGCAGAAACAAGCTATAGTATTTGTAGCCAAGAAGTTATAGTTAGGGTGATAAACTGTCCTAGTTTGCTTAAAACTAAGAGGTTTTCCAGAATGTGTGACTTTGAGCACTAAAGGTTCAACAATACAAGGCACAGTTAGGGCTTCAAAGTAAGTATAAACAAATTGCTGAGAACTTGATGAGTAACCAATTCTGACTAAGAGAAAAGGAGAAAGCTTTAACAAAGGAGTTTGCATTTTTGTAGGAACTCAGCAAATAGGAAAAGACTCATACAAAGGAAACAGCATTTGCAAAGCCATAGAGGTAACAAAATATCTGAAAACATTCAGGCAATACCAAATGGAAAGACTGAATGAGATTAGGAACTCAGAAGAAACAAGGCTGGAGTTAGACTACAAAAACTAATGTTGGCACTTTGAAAAAAATAATCATTTCACACATGCTCTGTTGTGATACGTCCCTTGTATTAGAGTTAAAACAAGAAATTCTTTTTGGAATAGATTGGATTAGATGAGGAAAGTGAAGAGGGCCTGTGTTGACAATGAAACCAGTATTGGTTAGAACAGAAAAGACGCAGCTTCTCAAGGATGTTTTAGGGAGACAATTACTAGGACAATTCAGTGTGGCAGCTGACAGAAGAGATGAGAACATTTTCAAGGCTTCCTCAAGACCAATGACTGTGATAAATGCTATTAAAAGAGTTTGGGATCATAGGAGGAAGAACATTTCTTTTTGGTGAGAAAGCTAAGATAAATTCAGTCTTGAATATTTGAGTTTTAGATGTCTGATCTGGGTATCTATCATGAAACAAACCTCACTACAACCTAGTGCCTTAAAATGACAGGAGATCATCATCTGTCTCTGTTCTGCGTGTTGTCTGTACTTAGCTGGGCAGTGTTTGCTTGGGCTCCCTCATGCTGCAATGAGACAGCCACTGGAGCTGTGGCTGGAGGAAGGCTGGGGTGACTGGCTGCCCAAGGCTGCTTCCAGGCTCGCACACCAAGGTCCTTGGCTGGGCTTCACTCAGTAAGGTGGCTGCACTGCTTCCACAGTGGCTGGCTTCCAGGAGGGCTCAGCAGGTGCTGCCAGCCCCTGTAAAGGATAGGTCTAGAATTGGCACAGCTCACTTCTTCATACTTTATTGGGCAGAGTGGTCACAGGCCAGCCTATGCTCAGGGGAAGGAAAATAGGCTTCAATGCATGGGATGGAGACAAGTGTGCAGACATCCTTACTCTGCCACAGTTTTTGCAGGATATATATGTAGATACTTTGGGGACAAGAGTGAACATGAGTCTGGATCTACAGAAATGAGTCAGAAGTACAAAGGTGACTCGAACAATTTCCTAAGAAAATTTAGCAGTCAAAACCATGGAAGTGGATGAGAAGATCAGGCAGTTGACAATGGGAAAAGAACTATATTTAAGAGAGGAATTTAGTTGGGGAGGAGGCCAATAAAGGAGAGAGGAGAATGCTAGGAGCCAGTAAATAGGTGACCAGCCTGCAAAGAGAAGAGAGGTAAGAGTGTCAGGAAGGAGTGATCGAGGGAGAAAGGCTGCCTAGAGACTGGGAAGGACGAGATGTGAGAGGGTGGGGAATTGGAAGCAGGAGACACCAGTGACTTGCATGACAGCTTTGGGAGTGCGAGCGACCTGGGCAATTTACCTGGAGGAGCCAGCACGCAGCTCTGCACACCAGGGGTTGATCCATGGCCAGGTTGGGGAAGAGGAGCAGGAAGCCGCTTCACAGTTCTGTGTGACGTTGGGAAGGTGGGAAGGGGGTCAGTAGAAAAAAGTGAAGACAGAGAGAAGAAAGGAAGGACTAGTAGAGGTGGTCTGTGGAGATGTTTGACTTCTGGAAGGATTGGAGACACTGGATGAGACAGGAAGAAACAAGTAGAGAATGACTTAGTATATTGGGGTATTTGGGGGCATGGTGGAGGGGCGTTGAGTCCTGTGTTCTCTGCGAAGAGGGACCTAAACCACTCCATCCTGGTCAAGATCCTGGGACTTCCACAGTCAGTTGTGCTTGGTGCCACCCTCCTCTCTGAAAGGTCTTTCTTCTCCATATTTGCTTGTATGAACTCTCCCTATCCTCCAAGTCCCTTCTTCCAGGTTGCCCTCCCTGACTCCTCCAGCAAGAAGCAGGAATTCACCTTCTCAGAACATCTATAGAACATTTCTTCTGCTTCTAACTCTATGTATTGCTTTCCTGATAACATCATATTTATTGGCATCTTCTCTTGATAAGCTTCTTGCAAATAGAGCCAAAAAAAGTGGGCAGAGGAGAGTGGGTTTGATATGATCTAAGGTGGTCATGGTACACAAAACTGGAGAGTGTTCAGAACAATTGAAGACGGCAAACTTCAAAGGGATTGCAAAAGCCAAGTTTTGTTTATCTGTTTGCCTAACCGTTTTGCTTCATTATTTTGTTTTAATTGCTGATTACTAAATGGAGGTAGAATTCAAATAATTTTACAAGTGAAGGATTCACAAAGATAAAAAAGAATTTTAAGTGGGAGGGGAAAGTCACATGCTCAAAAACTTTTGGAAAATATCTGGAAAAGGTATGGGACTAGCCGTATTAAATAACAGTTAGCTTTATCTTGTGATAGGCAGATGGTCATAGACTATCTTTTCCATCTTCTTCTATTCATGTAAATCTCTGCTCTAGAAAAACTGGTTAAATTAATTGTATGAAAATTTGAAGATTTTATATAAAATTATTTTCAGCTAATATGTTTTCCTTCATTTAAAAACAGAAATTCTTTGAAAGAAAAATAGTATCAATTAAGAGGTGAGTGTTTCAGTTTAAATAATTTAGTCAACTAAGTCAAAGATTATGATGAAAATAAAGGGCCAAACGGGCCAGCTTTTGTGACAGAGATGACAGTGTCCCATATACCATAGATGAAGGATGCCTCTTTGTATCAAACAATAAAAGATAAAAGGCTAGTACAATATAGCTATTGGCTTCCAAGAGCAAGATTTTGATTTTTGTGCTTTCACCACATCTTGCCTTTCATAGAATAATGAAATAAAGATGGATGATAAATGGAATGTACAAATATTTTGTTTTCTTGCAAACTAAAATACAAACTCCTTGAGGAGAAGAAGTGTGTCTTCCATGTTTGTGTCCCTGTGCCTGGTATGTGAGTTCCTAGGAGGGATGGAAGGTGAATAAATGAATGAATAAATGAAGCATGGGTATTGAAATAAGCTTTATTTGAATATAATCTGAAAATCGTGAGGCAAAAATCATAAATCAGGATGTGGGTATTACAGTGAATATAATATATAAATATCCACCCCAGATACTGAATCATATATAATAATTGTGCAAGTATAGGAACTTACACATAAGTAAAGTGAGTGACTGGACTGCCCCAGCTTCTGAAATCGAAATTAGAAAATGTTGATAGAAGTATATAAAAATATTATCCAGTATTCACTGGTTGGAAATATTGAAATTAAATATTTTCAGATATTTCAAGTTACTCTTTGATATAAGCAGATATGTTTAGTGAACAGGACTTTTAATGAATATAGACTTCATGAGTCACTTTTTTCTCTCCTTCTACCTTTAACTCTAGAAAAAGCAATTTTGAATCTGACAGCAAGGCTGGCAATGGGATGCAAAAAGAGCAGTAATTTTTATTTGATAATTGTTAGAAGAGATCTAGAGTTTATCATTTAGCACTAATCACAGCGCTAAGAGATATTAAAATAAAATAAATAGATATTTTGAGATTGCATTATTAAACCCCAAAAGCTAAGAAAACATTCTAGAAATAGATAAAGCATTTCATTCTACCCTTGGAATTCTTCACTTGGAATAGGTAATCTGTTTGATTTTATTCTGCCGAACAGATTGATGACATCTAACTTGGAACAGTCTATGTAGGATAATAATAATTTCACTTCCATGATTTGGAGTTCTTGCTAATTAGGTTGTAAATTGTCTGCTTAGGCTACTCTGTAATCTTGCCTGTAGTGTCTAACTTCTTTTATGATAATGTGAAGAAAGAGGGGAAAATCACTCCAAAGACATTAAATCTTCCTCAAATAATAGTCACAAAGTTGTAACCATCATTTGGTTACCATTACAATTTAGCATATACCTGTGTGTTTAGTGTGTATGGATACACACATATATGTTCCAGCTATACTAGTTTGTCCTTTAATTTGGTAAGCAGAAAAGATTATAAAGAAAAAAATTAGACAAATCCACACACATTGGGCTTCAGAGAGGCTAAGCCATCTGTTCATCAGACTGACATAAATTGCAATGACCAAGGCATGCCAGGAGAGTTGCTCATCTACATTATAAGGCAGGGCAAACTCAGAGAACCCTAATCCAAGTGCCCTACAAATCTGCAAATCACATCCATTAGGAAGTAAAGCATTAAGAGAAAACCTATTTTGGCATACAGTATTTTAAAAACATTTAAAAGCATTGTTCACAAGCAAGGACTTAAAGATACATACCTATATGTATTTCTACATGTATATATATATTTGATATATATAAAGTCTATATTTGATTAGGATGATTTCTGAGATGTGTGTGTGTGTGCGTGTGTGTGTGTGTGTGTGTGTATTCAGGACGATATGAGATGAGATCTCAGAAATCATCCTGGTGAAGTAATCAGACTTTTTAATTTAATGGCTGAAGAGACCTTAAATATTAGCAATGTAATTTTCCATTACTGATGGTAGCATCAATACTTCTTTAGGGAAAAACCTAAAGAAGGATAAAGTCAGTATGTTTGTGCTCCCTTCATCCCATGTCACGTGTTTGAGGAAATCGGGACGGCCGCGGGGTTGTGCAGGGTACTGCTCATTCCACGAAGCCTTTATCCCACATCAAGGTTAAAACTTCCACGCATTTCCATTGGCTGAATGACTGCATACATTAATGCCATTCAGAACAGCTTTAACTTGCACAGCTGCCTTCAGAATCCTGTGACTAAGCTTCTAAATTGGCCTGGAAGGCAAATTCACAGAGGAGTTGCCTTATCTCTGCACCACTTACAGTCTTCAATCCCCCCTCCATCCTTCCATTATCATCATCACAGGCAGCTGAGGTTTCTCCTTCAAAATCAAAAGCCCTTGGAGAATAGTCCTGCTTAGAGCTATGGGTCGCTGAAAATGCATGATATGGCATGTCTCTCTCATTTACATTTTGATTAAGTGAAAGCCTCTTAATTTGGGTCATTATCGATACATAAATCTGTAGAGAAAATGAACATGCATTTGTAATGTAACCAACATTACATGATTTATTGTTCTTATAATGTGTAAATACAGAAAGGATAAAAACCAGAGTCCAGCTCTCAGATGCCCTGGAAATGAAGCACCACTAGGGGACTGACGGGGTGCACCCACATGCTTTGAGCTCTGAGTGAATTGGTGCAGGCTCGGTGCTCACCTCTCATAATCACTTGCACTGAACTAGGTCTCCGATTTTAAAAATCACCATTCATAAATCTGTCTACTCTATACGACTGACCTTTCTGTGGAGCGTTTGTGAGTGGTAAAATAAAAGGCTCGAAATGGGTTTCCATACCTGATTGTGGACTTTGTTTGGGGATTTTGGCTACCACTTGAGGGCTGGAGGTGGAGTGCGTTCGTTGGTTGGCAGAGCCATGGATGCTGCTGGGGATGGCTGCGGAGACGTTCTTGCGGGGCTTCATATCCTGCAGCCACATGGGCGAGGCTTCGAAGGCCTGCATTCTGCGGGCATGGCTGTTGGCATTGACTTTCAGATAGGCCTGGGCCTTGTGTTCCTGAAGCTCCCCGTAGTTGGCATCAGTCACCCTGCACTCATATAAGCCTTCATCCTTTTTCCTCACTTTGGAAATCTGAAGCTTGTGGGAGATGTCATTGCCTTGGACTTTCACTGTCTGAAAAATTGCAGGTAAAAAAAACAATAAAGTGCTACATCAAATGATTTTGTTCCATTTTTTACCCTGAGCTTGCTAATATTGGAAAGTTAAAGGGTCTTAATGGCCCCATAGCCATAGTGAAGGAGCTTTTTATTTCCTTAACGTCACATCTGAAGGCCTTGGCTATCCTATTCCACCAACCACTGCACTTGCAGACTCAGGAGATAATTAGTTCAATGCAGCCAGTGCCAGATTCTGTCAGCCACGTGCCCCCCATTGTCTACATGCCAGTAGCAGCTCCGTCATTTTTCCATCATGGGATTGGCCTCTGCCTGCTTAACTCAGTTCAATGAAGCACAAACCAATAAGGCCAACTCTATAGGTGAAACAACCTCTTTTCTTCCCTGTGGGCTATAAACTAAGCCCCTCAACTCTGAGACATCACAAAAATATTTTGTTGGTCATGAGTTTGAGTGAGAATGCACTTGTATCCCCACACTGGGATGACTACTAAAGGTGCTATTAATGAACTTGGATATTAATATTTTTCTTCTTAAATTTTAGATGCAGTCTTGCCTCTAGTCATAGGGTGGCATGGCTTGGGGTACAGCTTCATATCACCTGAAGTCTTGTTGCTCAAAGTATGTATCCCATGCCATTATAGGGACTTTATACTACAGGGACTTGGGATGCCATCGATAAAACACTGGCTTGATTTTCAAAATTGAAATTGGCTTATTTATTTCTTCTAATAAGTTTTATTCCAGATTAATAGCAAGATCATATATCTGATATATATATTAGATATATGATTTTATATTATATATCCTATATTATATATATAAGCATCTTTATCAGAACAGTTAGGTTTAATACATAATCATATGTTCTTCATAACTGAGACAATGATAGGGTTCATAAGACATTTGGGATTCAAGAATTTGGTTCATTTTGAAAGATACAGAAAAGAAATGAAGGAGGCCGAAAGTTATTTTTTCTGCTAATGGCCACTACACTTTCAAACGGCCATAAATTACTAGGAAAACCTGAGAAGCACTCATCTGCTTTTACATATAGAGGTATATATACAAATAATTTCCAACATTTGAACCCTATGGGTTTATGTGTATATAAAATTACATATAAATATACTAATACTATAAAAATGAAGTGAATACTTCCACATTTATTCTGGGTTAAATCTCCTAACAAAGTTTGAGGTAGCTAGAGTATTTATATTATTATCCCATTTTATAGTTGAGTAAACTGAGGCTTGGGGTGTTTGGGTCAGTGATTTTCAACACTGAGTGTACATTAGAATCACCTGGGGTGCTATTAAAAATACTGGCATGTGGAGTAATGCAGAAATATTAAGTCTGCATCTCTGGAAGGTGGAGCTTATATCATCAGTATTTTATAACAACTCTCCTGGGAATTCAAAGTTAATAACTAGTGGTTGAGAAAATATGTTCAAGGTCACACAGTGGGTAAACAGGGAACAAACTACTTTCTGCCTCAGTTTGTGTCTAAAACTCTCTTCTACTCATTAACTTTTATGCATTATTGGCATAGGTAATACTATCAACAGTTGTGTGTGTAATCATGTTTCTCAATGTATGCATCAGGGGTCAGGATGTATGAAGACTATTTTTGTTACTGGCCTTTAGATGATAGGGGGACGGGTGAAGGGTGAAGGAAGAATAGTCACCAAGCAATCTATCTAGTTATATATGTATGTGAAAAATAAAATAATTAAGAAAAAACTAGATTTTACCAATAAAGCTTTTCTAATATTGTAGGAAAACAACAGTTTCTGTGATATAAGAATAATTGAAGTATTCTAAAAAGTCAGTAATTTTATGAGTTTTAAATCAGAGTTTATGGTTGATATTTCATCTTTGTCATTTTTTCTTCCATGTTGAGATTACACATTTAGATCACAGAACTAGATTCTGTGTACAATATATTTGTACATTTTTAGTTATGATGTAACTCCAATCTTCTACCACTTTACGCTATTGTAAGAGCCTTAAAATACATTTTCTTTTAAAATGTAGGTCATTGGGATTTTAGATTTCTAAAAACAAATAATAACAATATGTTTATGCTTAACAGATTTCCTCCTTTTGTATTACATACCTATTTCGTTTCTATTTAAAAAATGAAGCAGTATTATTAATATTAACTGATGCTATGCGGCTCATTTGAGGTATAGTAAAAAAATAAGACTTTCACTTTTTAAATTTTACACACACTTATTAAAAGTAATAAGCAAGAGAGTGGAACTATAAGTTTACATTTTCAATAGGTCAAGCTCCTATAATAATGGTTTTACATTTATATTGGCTTTTGGCATTATATTTATATATTCTTAATAACAGCACTGGAAATACATTCCATGCATTAAAGTGACATTCAAAATTTAGTTGCTTAATTTCATCACAATTTCAGTATCCTGTTGGATGCTTTATATTTTTCTCCCTAAAAATATTTTCCTATGTTACTGTTTTACTTTCTACTAAAATATAATTGTTTCCATAATTTTGAATAGATATTAGCAATGTATTTACTCTTACTGTTAGGTAAGTTACAAAAAGCAAGGAAAGAAAGTGTCACACAACCTCTCTGGATAGCAAACGATTCTCTAGAATGTTTAGACATTTACGTGACTAAAATATGTAATTTTATTTAGGGACTCTAAATGTGCTTCCATTTGTATGTATCTAATGAGGCAAGCAAGGGGCACCCGGCTGTCCGGCTGTCCTGCAGCGCTGGCAAGCCGCCTTCTCGGGGACAGGGAAGGGCTGTGCGTCCCGAGCCTGGGCCCGCGGCCCTTGGCGCGCCCCGCACTCACGCTGATCTTGGTCCCGTCGCTGTCCGGGTCTCTGTCGGGCAAGAGCTCCACCTGCGGGCAAGGAGCGAACGCTCAGTCCCGCGCCAGGCCCGCCCGACCACCCGCTCCCACGCGAGCATAGCCTTCGCGGCTCCGGGCAGGGCCGTCAGGGTGACCTGGGGACAGGGGAGCGACCAGGGGCGTGGCCACCCCTGTCCAGGCCCAGACCGCACCGCCCCCACGCTGTCCCTGGCATACCCCACGCTGTCCCTGGCATACCCCACGCCGTCCCCGCGCTTTCCCCGGGGCTGTCCCGGGGCTGTCCCGGCGCTGTCCCGGCGCTGTCCCTGCCGCGCGGATGCTGCGCTCTGGAGGCGGGGCCGGGAGCCGCCGGGTCTTTTTCGCGGGTTGACCCGTGCGGACGCGCGCCCGGAGGTGGGTGGGCGGGCGGGCAGGCGGGGGGGCGCCAGGGGTGAGGCGGGCGGGCGCCAGGGGTGGGGCGGCCGGCGTGAGTGAAGGTGAAGTGCTCCGGGACGAATTTTCGCGCCTTTGTTCCGGCCACCATCCCGCCTGCCGTCCCGCCCCGCGCTCCTGGCCCCAGATTCTCTTGCTGGCTCGCAGGGGCGCCGCCTCTCGCTCAACTAGGTCTCCCTCGCCCGGACCCCCTTCCCCTCTCCCCTCCTCCCGCTATTTTCCTTTTCCTCATCTCCTCCTTTCTCCCTCTCCTTCCCCACCTCACCACCCTCTCTCCTGTCTCTTCCCAAGTCACCCTCCGTCCCCTCCACACTCCCCATTCCCCTACTTCCTTCTCTCCTCGCTTCCTCTCTTCTCTCCTTTTCCTTCCCTTCTCCACTCTCCTTCTCTCCTCTCCCTGCCTCTTCTCTACTCCTCTCTCCCTCTCTTCCTTTCCCTCCCTCTCCCTTCCCTCTCCCTCCGTCTCTCCTTTTCCTCTCCTTCCCTCTCTCCCTTCTGTGCCCTCTCTCCCCCATGTCTCTCCTGCTCCTTCTCTTCCTCCCCCCTTCCCCCCTCATTCTCTCTCCTCTCCCACCCCTTCCCCCTCATTCTCTCTGCTCTCCCACCCCCTTCCCCCCTCTTACCTCTCTCCCTCTCTCCCCATTCTTTCTCCCTCTACCCTTCTCCTTCTCTGCTTCCCACTCCAATTCTCCCTCTCTTCCTTCCCCCTCCCCTTCTCTCTGTCCCTCTCGCCCCCTCCCTCCTTTTCCCCTACCCTCTCTCCTTCTCTTCTCCTTTCTCTCTCCCTGCCCTCTCTTTCCCTTCCCTCTCTCCCTTTTTCCCCTTCCCTCTCTCTCTTTCCCTTCCCTCTCTCCCTTTTTCCCCCTTCCCTCTCTCTTTCCCCTTCACTGTCTCTTCCCGTCTCCCCCTTCCCTCTTTCCCAGCCCCTTCCCCCTCCCCGTCCCTCTCTCCCTCTCTCCCCCTTCTTTCTCCCTCTCCCCCTCTTCTTCTCCCCTCCCCACTCCAATTCTCCCTTCCCTCCTTCCCTTCTCTCTGTCCCTCTCCTCACTCCCTCTCTCCCTCTTTTCCCCTTCCCTCTCTCCTTCTCTTCTACCTTCTTTCTCCCTCCCTTCTCTTTCCCTTCCGTCTCTCCCCTTTTTCCCCCTTCCCTCTCTCCGTCTCTTTCTCCTTCTCTGTGCCTCTCCCGGTCTCCCCCTTTCTTCTCTCCTTCTCTCCCTCCTCCATTTCCCCCCTTTCCTTCTCTCTCCCTCTCTCCCCGACACCCCACATATCTGTTAGAAGTGGAGGTGAGAGGAGCTGGCCGCCCTGGTTCTCTGGTTGTTCAGCCTGGGGGCTGCGGTCCCAGATGGTGCCTGGTGCCCCGAGAAGGGAGAGGGGGTGGGGTGGGGGGTGGAGGCCGCCCACCGATTCCCCTCCCCCTCCTTTCGTCCTGGAAAGGGGCTCCCGGATGTCCCGGGATGTGGCAGCGTGGTAGGGGCAAGGCGGGCATCTGCCTAAGTACCAGAACTTACAGGAGGAGGCGCTTCCCGGTTTAACAGGAAGAAACTGGGCAGCAGGACTTCCTTCTGGGTTTTAACTTCGCGTCCCCAGGACAAATTCCCTTTCCCTCCCTAGAAGCCCTGGGGGTCACTCGCTTCCACAGAACCGGGCAGGTCCCCAGGGGTGTCCAGGCAGCACCTCGGCCCCCAGCCCCGGGCCGGACACCCTGAGGACCGGGCGAGCGAAGGGGAGACGCGGGGTCGGCGGGCTCCGCTACCTGCGCGCCGGCCCCCTCGGCCCCGGGATCCAGGTCCTCCGGCCCCCGCAGGAACCACCATTGGATCTCCAGATACACCGAGGCGGAGCCGCTCTGGAAGGCGCAGGACATCTCCACATTCTGCCCCTCGGTCGCCGTCACGTTCCGCGGAAACTCGGTAAATTTTGCTGCAAAACAGAAAGGCATCCTGTTGGAATATCCACACCCCTCTTGCCTGAGTCTCTTTCCTTGAGAGCTCGCTACATTTTTCCTGGACTTAAATAGCAACAAAACCCCTCTCTTACATCCTCGGCTTCGTCTGGTTCCCCCAGCCCCCTTCCTTTGCCTCTTTCCTGTCTAACTTTTGGTATCATACCTAAATCACTATGTTGTTGATCAAATCCAGATAATGGAAAGGTTAACAAGCTTGCCAATAACTCTTAGCCAAGATCCCCGCAGGTAGATCCAAATACCTTTTGTCAGATTGCAGTATTCCACAACATTTACTGAGAGAGTCAGTGAGATACAATTTAGGCAATCTGTCAAGTTGATAAATGAGGAGAGTCTCTTGCCTCTAAGTTTCTAAACAATCTACCACTAACTGGATGTTTCATGTAACAGAGTAGATCATGATTATCTGTCAAAATGCACATTCCTGATACATCAAAACGGTTATTAGCAACACCAGTGAAACACGCCTGCAGCAGTGAAACAAGTTGCACACTTTATAAACTGTATATGTTTCCTTCTCTCCAAATTAACCTTTATTTGTTCCCATCAAGTCACTGTATTTTGAATTGCCATACATCTTAAGATGTAATGATCACACATCCAGGCTTAGTTCAGATTAAATATTATTTAGAAGTCACTATGGAGATGTTTCTCAGCCTTTTCATTACCAACCTTGACACTGCTAGTTTGCAAGATTCATGCAACCCTGGTGAAACTCACAAAAATATAATGTTTCCTTCCTCCTAAAGGCATTTCTTGAACATGCAATGCTCTTATCTTGTTACCAACGTGGTTGTTCTTATCTTATCTAAGGGGCACTTTGCAAAGAGCTGATGGTTCCCTAAAAGCAGTCCTGGGAAGATTTGTATGGCCAGTGGAAATGCACAACCACAATGCACACTTATGGAGAAGAGGGCCATGGGGAATGCAGAAATGATTTGGGGTGGATGCACTCCTCCCCCCACCCCTCACCTCACCCCCGGTTTAAAGAGAGACACTGTCTCTTTTCAACATTTTATGAAATCCCAAAAATGATCTCTAGTGAAATGAAACTATATTTGTACCTAAAACAGGGAAGCTATTAAGGAGACATTCTGATCGGAAAAGGGCTTTTCTATTCTAGCTGGCAGAAGGAGTATGGCATTTCTGCTTGCAGAAGTGATGCAGTCTTTTGGCACCAGAGATGTGATCTGTTCATGGTGCTGAAACGACCACTGCAGCCTACGAAGTCCTGAACAATCGGGTTCAGCAGGCTGCTGCTGCTTGTCATGCAAGTTGTGGCTTTTTATGGGTCCTCAGAGGAGTCTGTCCTTTGATAAACACACATACAAAAGGAGTCACACGGACCTACAAAAGGGAAACTCTAAGCCCAGTCTGACTACACAAGGAAGAGGGACTGGCAATGGAGAGTCCCAGTATCCAGCCCTGTGTTTGTTTGCGATGATTATGTATGCATGAGTGGCTACCCTGTGCATGCACACAGATAGAAAGCACACACACACCCACACACACACACCACACGACCCTGTGTTTGTGCTCACCGAGGAGCCCACCTCATTGTCAGGCACCAGCTAGATTTTCTCTCCAGCCTAGCTAGTCTACAGTTTAATAAACTTTAAAAAAAATCGTCAAACAGAACACTATTTATACAGCCTAAGCCCACTGTTACTTGCTAGGAAGCTTATTCTATCTGCCTGTCCATTCTTTTTGAGTGTAGGAAACACACACACACGCAAGCAAATGTATATTTGCCATTGAGCAAGACTTACCTTGAGAAGAAAGCCCTTGTTGTACATATAAAACGGAAAAGAAAACAAATCCAACATACACCAAAAAGATCCCCATCATTCCAAAAAGGGAGGGGGGTCACATCAGTGTAGCCAACAGCCGAAAAGCCCTGAAAGAAAGGCGTGCGAGTGGATGGCAGGCTCAGTCTCAGAGCCCTGGGCGCGACACTGCAAACATCCTGCTGCTTGCTTGGCGAGGGCTGGCTGTGGGGAGAAGGGATTGCGATTCTGGAAGGTTAGAACCAGCTGGCTGGGATTCAGCGAGGCTTCCTGCGGAGCCCAGGCTGGAATCGCTGGGAAGTGTCTCGGCTGCCTGGCTGCCTGCTTTCAGCTACCTGGCAGCTCGTCCAACGTCAGCCCGCCGCTCCGGCTTGCGTGATCACTGCCCTCCCTAAACACGGAGCCGGCTCGGGAAGTGGGGAGTGGGCAAGCGGGGCGGGCTGAGGACTTCGCCGGGCTCGCGGCGCCGCAACTTTTCCCTCTAATGGCTGCGATGATGCCTTTAACTCTGTGCGCGCTGGACAGCGCCCCGCCCGGGAGCTCGCGCCGGGCGGCCGCGGAGGGCGCAGGGCTCGTCGGCGCCGCTGGGGTCTCCCTTCTGGAGAGCAGGGACGTCGGTTTTTTTCCACTTTGCTTCTCTCCCCCATCGGGTGTCTTTCTGGCTCGGCGGATCAGATCGCTCGGTGCCGAGGAGGACAATACAGTGACGGGATTGCGGCGCTGGCGGGGGGCTCGGAGCAAAAGGTTCCGGGAGGGAGTTGGGGCATTGCTGAGGACCGGGGAGCAATGGGATGGGGGAGAGACGGGTGGGCCGAGGAAAACAGCCATTTAGGGAAATGCCGCTTACCCAGTTATTAACTGCTCCAACCAGGAGCATCACATGCTACGATTTCACACGAATTTCTTGCTGAACAGCTTTCAGTACAAGCAGCTCATGCAGGAGCCATATCGCTCCAGCTGGCAGACGGAGAAGAGAAAAAGTACAAAAAGTCACGCATTGAGGGAATTTTCTGGAAAGAAAAGCCCACCATACTATGTTTACTTTTTAAAAAATTACATACCTCCTGCCTTCTTTTCCTTCATCTTCCATGTATTTTGGAGGGGGGAGGGGTTTTAAATACCGTTAAGGTCTTCATTACGTGATTTTGTTTTGTTTATTTGCTTTTCTTTTGCATAGCACAATACTTATGTAATGTTCCCTGGGACTAAGTGAATAAGGAATCTTATTTTAGACACAAAAAATCACAATAAGTTTCAGAATGTGGAACAAATCTACTTATCTGCCTTGGTGAAGATTTGAGATGTACATTCTATTTTTAATTAAGAACTGAAACAACAATGTATATTATGTTAAAGACTCTATCTGACCTTATGCAATCCAACTATTAGTGGATTTAAATTTTTTTTAACAAAATTAATAGCATTTGCCATCTAAGAAGAGCACACATTTTTTATTCCCATTATTATTTCTATGCAACTATGCCACAAATTTTCAGTATTAGTTTGAAATATGAATTAGTCTTAATAATGCTATCAGGAAGCCAATGTAGGGTATGTATTTTCATTTTACAGATAAAGAATTTGTAGTTGGCTAATGCCTTTACTAGCCAGAAAAAAAATTAACCTTAACATAGCGGTTGCATTTTAAATCACTTATCTTCTATTGCTGAATGCAGCAATAACTTAAAGCTCAGAAAACTAAAGACACAATAACGTCATCACAATATTATTTATTTTCTGAAAGTATATTTATTTTTTACTGTGAGTAGGGGCAGAATATGGGATTTGGAGACAATCATGGGAGATATTTTATATCTGTTCATGTTTAGGCCAACCAGACTCTGTATCCTCCTTGTATTTAGCAAAGGATTTTGAAGTTTATCGTTCTAAGAAAGGAAATCACTTTATGTTCAAACATTCATGGACAATGAGTTCAGAACATAGAAACATAATCCAAGTTAATACACCTGAACCATACTAAGCATTACGTGGAAAGTAAACAACAAAACCTTGCATATGCTTTAAATGTTAAGCCTAACAGGATGTTTTCAATGTGCTAACATGATTTTGGCTTTATTTCAACCTTTAGCATAAACATGGGTATAATATGTCATGGAAATGACCTGACTTCAAGGTTATCTGCTGTTAAAACAGTTCTCAATATAAAGGGCATTTATTTTAAGTAAGAGGAGTTCTAAATTAATTTAGCAAAGCATTTCAACTATTTAAAAGAAGTACTTGATCACTGTAACAATAAAAGTACAATAAAAATAAGCTTAAGAGTGTGAAAAATAAAGTGTGAGAAAGCTTTTATAGTACAAATAAGCCATTGAATTACTTTAAAATAAAGTTATAAGCGTTTAAGCTATGAAGGAAACAAAGAAGAAAGGAGGGAAGGAAAAAAAAAAGGAGAAAGATGAAATTGGAAAAGTCTTTTGTTCTCCTTATGAAAAGTGCCTGATGGGTATTTTAGTTTTACCAATGTAGACCAAAGTTTTTTCTTAAATATGTGTTATATCATCTCAAGGACTGTAAATAGTGCTAATAAACATGTATGCATTATCTTCTATAGGTCATTTGCCTTGTTAATGACAAACTGTCTCTGTGTTAACAGTTTGAAATGAGAAAATTTAATTAAGAAGTAAATATATTCAGTATATCACATGATCACAGTTCTGAGACTAGGTCCAATTCTTTATACAAGTTCTTGTAAAGCACTGTACTCTCCTACAAGATTGGAAGTAAATTATCAAGAAAGACAATTTGTCTGCATCCAGATATAAGAGAAATATTTCCTGCCCATTTCTCCTTTGCCAAAATGATTGCTGATGCCTTATCCTATAAAAATAACTGCAAATCTCTTCTTAAAAAATACCTATTGATAGTGCTCCAAAAATCAAATTCTACCATCTCACTTTTTGATTGCTTTGTTGCCCTCTTAATGAGCTTTTGGTCATTATTTTGCTTCTTAAAAATTCAGACATTTCCCCCAAAACCTAAAATAGGAATGTTTATCTGAACATGCTCTTTCCTCGGGCGTAATAAAATCTGTTGGAGATCATTCCATTGTGTTCCTTTGGCATCTTATTTAGATTATATTTGTTCATTTTTTTACATATTCAAACTTATTTAACTTACTCTTTCAAACACTGTTTCTTTGTGATGTCTGTAGGCTTCTACATAAACTTTGAGAGCAATTGATCCACCTAAGAGCTGAACTGGCAAGGGGGAGGGTCTTTATATTTTGTGGCTCTGTCCTTTTCTCCTAAGGATTTGGAGACATTTTTCCATCTTGAAGTTGAGGGAGATCACTGTATTTCACTCCCATAGGCTCATGATAGAATGGCTTTCCATATCACACTTTCAAAATTTGTCATAAGTTGAGGCTTAAGAGCCAATGTAAACTTTAAAAGTTTTTCATAAGTAACTGGAAGATACAAAATTAGATATTTCCTTTAGAAATAACTTTTAAAATAGCCATCTAAAGAATTGGAAGACAGTCCTCACTGGGTTAGATGAGCTGTTCCTGTCCATGCCCTTCGATGTGCATCCTACTGTGTTCTTGAACACTTTCTTTGGAGATGATCAAAACTGCATAAGAGAGAATATATCAGGGTACTGAGAAACATTTTCACTCACAATCTCATTCCTGGATTAAATTCTTTTCTCACTTCAGGAAATAAAAGGAAATAGTACAGAGTCTTTAAATGTTGAAGCAATATAAAAAATATCCACAAAGAAATTCTATTTCATTTGAAGAAAATAAGAGTGCAGGAGAAAGCTGCTAACTCATACTAACCAAAGATGAGCTTTTCACATTTGCTTTCCACTTAATTATACCAGTCAATGCTTTGGCCTGCTGAATGTACCAGTCTCTCCCTGTTGCAATTTCAAAGACACAGGCGAGTCTGTCATGTGATAATGATGGAAGAAGCAACATGAATAATACCTCTTTCCATATGTGTACAATGTCTTCATAGCATGTGTGAATTTCAGAATTGGAATAGAGTTTAATAAGCAATTAATACAAACCACTCATTCTACATATAAGGAACCTGCCATGACTAGTCACTTGTGTCACAGAAGCAAATCAATACTTTATTTCTTCAGCATCCTAAGATCTAAATTGCTTTAAAGGTAGGGTAAAACATTAAGTGTCTTGAGGTAAGCCAATAAAAGTTGTTTTTTACTAAGAAAAATACCACATAAAACAAAATCAATTGCACCCAAACTCTTTTCTAGACACTGATAAACAAGTCTTTTAAGATTCCAGAATCCTAGATAGTCCCCACATCTCAACACGACTTGTTGTTTTCTCAGAGCTTGTGTTTTATAAAGTAAACAATTGGTAGAGAGAGAATAACTGCTGGCCACTGGAAGTGTCAAACATTTTAAAGAGGCAGGTGACCTATGTGGACACTAACTGCCCATTACATGGCTACTGTTGATTTTAATCTTCCAGATGGCATTTCTCCTTTTATCTCTTCCTTTTTTACATGACTAAAATGTAAATTACTTACATCTGGCTTTCATTCTGTGGAAATCTATGTAACTTTGTAATTGGAGTTCACGAAGTTAGACCTCAAATTTTTCATGAGGTCATGTTATGTCATTTTAAATCGTAATATCTGGCCTAGAGGCAACATCCAGGAAAGGCAAAGGGAAGCCTCAATATCACAATCAGCTTAGATGCCCTCTACAAAACTCATGGCTACTTACATTCATTTTTTTCTCTTATGAGAAATTAAAATGGGCTCATGATCAAAACTAAGCTGTGCCTCTCAATTTCTTCATTAGCAACACAGTTAGCATCAATATTATGTGTCCATCCCTTTGTGAAAAAAATCTTCAACTAGAGGCCACCAGGTAAGAAAAGCTGAGGATGTTGTGGCTGAATCTACTGTCTCAGGAATGTTCCTTCCTTCTTCAGAATTATGCTGCGGTTAAAGCTCAGGATTTGTGATATTTAATAATTTCAATATATGTGTTTCTCATTAAAAATTCTGTTATGGATTTTTAGCGTGAATAACCAAGTAACCACCTTCCGTATCTATTTTTGTGCGGCAGATAATTATTTAGAGAAAGAAAACAAAACTATGAGAAAAGCAGCAATTTTTGATAAAGTCTAAAATTTCTAAGTTTGTCTATGGTTCTATACCTCTATTTACAGTTTGAATGAATGTAAATAATGACTTAAAACAATGCTTTTGAAAATCTTTCAAGAAACAAAACAAGTTATAAACATTTAGCTAGCCTTACATTTTTTAAGTATACACATTCTCAGTTAAAAGTGGTTTCTGGGTCAGGTGCGGTGGCTCACGCCTGTAATCTCAGCACTTTGGGAGGCCAAGGCAGGCAGATCACGAGGTCAGGAGTTCAAGACCAGTCTTCCAACATGCAGAAACCCCGTCTTTACTAAAAATACAAAAATTAGCCAGGTGTTGTGGCACATGCTTGTAATCCCAGCTACTCAGGAGGCTGAGGCAGGAGAATCGCTTGAATTCGGGAGGCTGAGGTTGCAGTGAGCTGAGAGCATGCCATTGCACTCCAGCCCAGTGACAGAGTGAGACTCCATCTCTAAAAAAAAAGTGGTTTCTGAGTTCTACCAACCTGGGGTCAAATTTCCTCTCAGTATTTATTGTCTATATGTTCTTAAGCAAGTGGCTTACCCTTCCTAGACCTCACCCACTTTCCCTGTAAATAATAGTTCCTTTTTCATATTTTGTGCAGATCCATTGAGATAATGCATGCAAATGCTTAATCACAGTGTCAGGTATACAGTAGTGTTCAATAAAAGCTAACTGATTTTTATTGTCATTTATCCCTATCTTTGACGCATGAACCTGAGGCTTTGTAAAATTCAGATGGAATGAAAAGGGAAGTCTCATTAAATCTTATAGAGGTATTTTTAGGAGAATGCATGGGAATATTCTGAGCTTCTCCTGAGGCAAACTGTGGTAAGTATACTCTGTGGATATTGAGGAATTAAGAACTAATATTTGAAAGAAAAACTGAAATTAGTTCAAAACAAGACTACATAAAAAATACACTAGGGCCTTGAGACTATATTTATGAGATATGTGTGAGAAGAGGGGCAGGGCAAGAGTCTGGAGTTCTATATTTGATTTAGCAGTGTTCTAGCAGAGTTATTTTCGGAAAATCGTTTTGGTATGACTCCAGTATGTATGGAGCTTCCACCCATCCTAAAGTAAACTGAGCCAGGTATGTTATTAAATGGCGATGGAGTGATTCTTTATGATAATAAACTTGATTGGAGTTATTCGGGTCACAGTAGGAAGGGCTCAGTGACTTAGGAAAGGGATCCTAGTCATCACAGAGCTCTGTGTAGTCCCTGGACTCTTAGAATCCTGAGAATTAGGGGACCATCATGGAAATCCTAGGTTGGTTAAAAATGTGACACCACTAGAATGGTACTGATTTATGTCAGTTGTCCCATTGTAATTATTACTGGCACACACTTTTATTATACTGTCAAAAGCTGTGCCCTTTGGATGGTAAATGATATGACTACCCTAGCTAAAGAGTAATATGAAGACCTTAGATCCGATATCAAGTTAAGCATCATGACTGGGTAACTGGCAAGGTACAAGATGAAAGATCATTTAAGAGTCTTTTAGGCTGGGCGTGGTAGCTTGCACCTGTAATCCCAACACTTTGGGACGCCGAGGTGGGCAGATCATGAGGTCAAGAGTTCAAGACCAGCCTGACCAACATGGTGAAACCCTGTCTTTACTAAAAGTACAAAAATTAGCTGGGCGTGGTGGCATGTGCCTGTAATCCCAGCTACTCAGGAGGCTGAGGCAGGAGAATTTCTTGAACCCAGGAGGCAGAGACTGCAGTGAGCCGAGATCGCGCCATTGCATTTCAGCCTGGGTGACAGAGCGATACTCTGTCTCAAAAAAAAAAAAAAAAAAAAAAAAGAGTCTTATAAACAGTCAGAATTTAGTTGGGGGTTATTTGAGGTGGATAAAAGTAATTTTTTATCCCGTCAGAGCGTTCTAAATTCAGGAGTAGGAGTCGGCTTACATTCTCTTTGGAGAGACCTATAGGTCCTGTGGGAGTAACCCCAATGGCCGGGCTGAATCATCAATTAGTCTTGGTAATTGCTAAGATTGGGCAAAGACACTTTAGATTTAAGGAAACATGGGTACAGGAAACTATACTTTGGAAACTGCACTGCAATTTAAGAAGGAGAAAATAAAAAGATAGAGCAAGTCTTCAAAATTTCCTGGGATTTGTGTTATATTCAGAGGGCTTGGTTACTAATTGTGAATATTGTGTTTGCTGCTCCATACTGAGAGGGGTGGATATGTGTGTTGTGTGCATGCATGCACATGCACAGGAATGGTGTGCTGTGACAATGAATTTCAGGGGTGTGATAGAACTGGAGAGAAGGGAGTAAATGTAAGAGTAAAGGAAAAACTGTAGCTGGCACTCTTTTCGTTGCAGTCTTTTAGCCAGACAACATGACTGGACCACATGTGCTAGATACCCTCATTCTCCAAGCAAGATGTACCAGCCTTCTGTACTCTATGGGACCCTCTCTTTTCCATACTGGTCCAGACCTTCTCCAGTTCTCTCCATTGCATCCTAGAGTTCTCTCTTCTTCTTCTTTTATTTTTTTTTGAGATGTCTCACTCTGTGGTCCAGGCTGGAGTGCAGTGGCATGATTTTGGCTCAACGCAACCTCTGCCTCCTGGGTTCAAGAGATTCTCCTGCCTCAGCCTCCCAAGTAGCTGGGACTACAGGCATGTGCCACCGTGACCAACTAATTTTTTTTTTCTTTTAGTAGAGATGGGGTTTCGCCATGCTGGCCAGGTTGGTCTCAAACTCCCGACCTCAGGTGATCCACCTGCCTTGGCCTCCCAAAGTGCTGGGATTACAGGCCTGAGCTACCATGCTCAGTCTAGAGTTCTCTCTTCTAAGATTAGAGACATAGAGAAACTTCTCTATGTCTTCTCCCTCTTCAGTAAATATTCTCTCTCTCTCTCTCTCTCTCTCCTCTCTCTCTCACACATACACAAACACACACTCAGTTCTTAATAGAAATCTACTCTCTGGATGATACCACATGCCTAGTCATGTTTCTATTGACCAGATCTAAAGTCTTTTATGTTTTTTCCCAGTTGTATATATTGGGTAATACTATGTATCAGTAGTTACATATTTAGTTTCTAGGTCCATCATGATTAATGGGCCACAAGCAGAGATCCATACCAGATTAAAATCCCTGGATGGCCATGGCATTATTTGGCTTATTACTGCACTTTTGTGCTTAATTAAATGTTTAAGTGCTGCCATGAAGAAGTCATCCCCATCAAAAAAGGAGCCCATTACAATGTTGCACTACAGAAGGCTGACCCCACAGAGCTGGCTTTATGGAAGCTAGTGATGCTTCACTGATAATTGGTAATGTCTTAGAGAACAGGGTGTCTTCTGAGCCCTCCCAGGGAATAGTGGGAAGGTAAATGTGTTTCACATAATAAATACATACAGCATTCCTATCTTCCTGAATCTTTGGTATCTTTTTCCATATTATACTATGGAAGTTTATAATTTTAACTTCCTTGAATGTAAGCCATCTTTAAATCCACGTTTCAGTTACCGAGCCAAGCAAACTCTTAGAACCACTTTCAACTTCTAATGCTAGCATGGTAAATCTTGGATCTCATTTAGTGAACCACTTTAAGAAATTAACGAAAATGTAATAAAATTAAATATCAATTTGTGATTATTATTTAAAAAATTTCTTAACACAAAAATATGAGAACTGTTTTAATATTAAGAAGGACATCTATTACATATCAAAATCAAATATCATATTTAACAGCAAAATGTTGATGTGTGCCTCTGAGTTTCGGACTTAGAAAAAATGCCCACAACCTTCAGAACCATTCAACATTGTATTGGAGGTACTAGCTAACAGCACATTAAATCAAGAATAATGAATAAAATATGTAAGAATCAAAAAAGTTGAAATAAAACTGACAATATTTGCAGTTGATATGACTATATATGTAGAAAATTCAAAATCTAAAGATAAATTGTCAGAATTTATATGTAAATTTAGAAAAAATTTTTGCATGTAAGGTCAATGTATCATATCAATTGTATTTCCATATCCTAGCAACAAAGATTGACTATTAAAATAGTTTAAAAAGATAAAATTTACAAGAGAATAAAATTATCAAACACCTGTGAATAAATCTAATGAAAAAGTGCAGGATTTCTGTATAGAAAACTATTAATGTGTTGAGAGAAATGTAAGAATATCTAAATAAAATGAGGGTATTTTCATCTTCATTGACTGGAAGACACATGACTTTATGTATTTATGCAATCTAATAAAAATGTCAAAAGGTCATTTGTGGTGATTGACAAGGAATTTTACATTTCTTCTGGAAATTTTTGAGAATAAAGAATAGCAAAGATTTTTTTTTTTTAAAGAAGAGAAATTGCCGTAGTCAATCTGGGCTGCTACAACAGAATACCATAAGGCTGGGTGGCTTATAAATAACAGAAATTTATTCCCCATAATTCTGGAGGCTGGGAAATCCAAGATGAAGGCACTGGCAGATGGTGAGGGTGCACTTCCTGGTTTATAGATTATTGTCTTCTCACTGTGTCTTTACCTGAATATCCATGGTGAAAGAGCTCTCTGGGGTTTCTTTTATAAGGACACCAATTCCATTCATGAGGTGTCCACTTTCGTAACCCAATCATCTTCTAAAAGCCCCACCTCCAAATGCCATTGCATTGGGGATTAGACTGTAACATATGAATTTTGTGGAGGACACAAATATTCAGACTATAGCAGCTATGAAGGCTTGATCTACTAGATATCAAGATAATATAAAGAATTGTTAGGACATTGTCATATTAGCATGAGGTTAGAGAAATGAACAAACGATATTAAAGGAGAGAATTTAGGCATCTGAATGTGTATATATGGACTTTTATATACGATAAAGGTGAGATTTGAGGTAAATAATCAAAGGAAGATATTTTCTATAAATGATGGTCGGTCTTTTGGATGGCTGCATGGAAACAAAGGAAAATATGATTCCTAACTTCAAACTCTGTTGAGAAAAAATCTAGGTTTAATATGGTCGAAGTTAGAACACCAAAACGTTAAAGTTCCTAGACAATAATATAGAGGTAAATACTCTTGATTTTGGTATAGGGAAGTATTGCTTAAATGGGGTTAAAAATACCACCCATAAAGGAAAAAATGGACAAATTGAACTCCATTAAAATTAAGTTCTGTTCACCAAAAGATACTATTAATTAAGAATGACAGATGTAGAGTAGAATGGGAAAGCTCATATTCAGAATATATTAAAAATTTCCACAGATCAATAAGAAAAGACATACTATTTTTTAAAATCAGCAAAACACTTTACACTCACTTCACAAAAAAGAATATCTAAAAACTGAATAAATACATGAAGACATTTCATCTCTTTAGCAGCAACTCAAATGTAAATGAAAGCACAGTGAGATAGTATGCTCCCATTAGAATCTCCAAATTTAGAAGATTGTTATTTTCAAGTATTATTTCAAGTATTGATCTGTGAAGGAATATGTGAAGCAATATAGGAAGGCTCATGCAATGTGGTGGGAAACCACCAAATTAGTACTAGCACTGTGGAACACATTTTAACACGTCTGCTAAGTGTAAGATGTATTCACACTATGAACTCTAATTCCATTCCTAGGTATATATGCAATAGGAATTTGTGTATCTCTACACTAAGAAACTTATGCAATAATATCACAATAATTACCTGGCATAATCCATCATAGTTACCTTTAAGAGGTCAAAACTGTAAATACCCCTAATGTCTATCTACAGCTTAATAAGTTGTGGCATATTCATATAATTAAATATCAGACATCAAAGAAAATCAACAAGTATAGCTATAGACAACAAAATTGATAAATCTCATAAATGTATTGAACACAGGAGGTTAGACGCAGAAGAGCACATACTCTATGGTACCATTCAATAAAGTCTTAAAACCAGGTAGAGCTATACTATGGTAATAGAAATAAATATTGGAAAAGTGAAAGGGGTGTCATGTGGGCAGAGGCCCAGCGGGTCTCATCATATTCTATTTCTTGACCTGGGAACTGGTTCTATGGGTGTTCTCTGTGTTGATTTGTTGATCTGGACATTTATGTTTTCTGCAGTTTTCTTTAATGAAAAAAAAAAAAGAAATTCAAAACCATTACCATTAAACTGATATCATGAAACATTCATTCTTAGTAGTCTCAAATGGGCCCTTGGTGTTGCTTGTAACTCTATTATTTTCATAGCAATAATTATAAATCTATTAACTCTATTATTTTCAAAGTAATAATTATCAATCTATTAATCCCTTGCTTGGTTCACTCCACACTCTCCACAGTTACTATTTCACTCTTGCCAGCTACCCCTTCCTACAGCCTCAAGAGCTCTCCTTTTGTGATAAAAAGCCACTATTGCTGCTCTAAATATTCAATAGAGGCTATGGGAGGAAAGCTCCTTCAGCTTTCTGTCACCAAACACACAAACTTACCTGCGGGAGTGAAGCTAGCATCGTTAAGGCAGCAGGCTTTTTAGAAAGAATTAAATTATGTTCAGAGTGACGAAACCCCCCAAATAACACCTTAAGCGAGATTGAACTTTATCTACCTGTTGCACAAACAATGTCTGGAGGTCAGAGATTCAAGGCTTTTCTGACATTCTGCTCTTTGAAGTCTGAGAGAGGCTGAATGTGGTCCTCATCTTTGTGGTTCAATGTGGCCACATCTACATTCCAGACAGCAGGCCCGGAGATGGGAGAGGGCAAAGGACCAACGTGACGATGGTCACAAGACTCCAGGCAGCTGATGCAGTTTCCCCAGGGGTGGTTTCCAGCTGTTCCGTTGCTCTGTGGCTCATTCCACACAGACTCTGTTGGTGTCGCCTTATTCCCCAGATGGTCCTTATGGGCCGAATTTAGGCTGGTTCTCAGATGGCTTTCTCTTTTATAAGATATCCATTTTCCATTCATGACTTAATCCAGTGTAATCTGGATTGAGCCAACAGAAATGCACTGAAACTTATTTCACCAAGGTGACTAAAAACGTTCTTGCAAAATAAATCAGTGGACATTTTTCATATCTTATCTAATTGGACCTCTCAACATAATTTAACTCTGATGGCCAACTCATGCATCTAAAACTTTATTTTCTCTTGATTTTTAAACATCACAGTCTTCTATTTCTCTTCCTATTTCCTTGGCCGTCCCAGTACCTTTTTCCAAGGCCCTCTGTTTCAACCCTTCATTCTATGCTAGTACTTCTAAGAACAATGTCCTATACCATATTCTTTTCATTCTTTACGCAAGACTTAACAATCTCAGCTATTTCAATTTCAGTTACATCATTGAGAATTTCCAGGCCTGTATCTTTAATTCAAAACTTCTCTTCTGAGATCTAGGACCATCTGACTATTGAAAATATTCACTTTAATATTTCCCAGGCACATCAAATTCAACATGGCCAGGACTTATCTTGTGATCTTCCCAAATCTGTACTTATTTTACTGTTTACTAACACAGCAATGGCACTATATTGCAATCATTCTGCAATTAAGAGAGCTTCAAGTCATCTTGCTGTTTTCTTTTTTTTCCCCAATTTCCAATGAATCAACAAGTCCTGTTGATTTATCCTGTTATTACTATTTGAATTTCAACTCTTAACATCATCACCAGGCTACCTAGATTACCACACAACCTTTGAATGTGATTTTCTATCTTTACTGTTGCTTTAGTCCATATCTTTTCCACCCTGCAGTAATAAGGAGCTTCCAAAACTGCAAATCAAATATTGTCTCTCTTTCAACATCATCACTGGAATAATTGCTGTAACATTTTGGGGTGCCATTCCTGCCTAGCTCTTTAGCTTTACCTCTTGCCATTGACACATTTAATTTTATCTTTTTTTTTTAATCTGGTAAAAAAGAATCTATGCTTTGTCAGCAAAAAAGATGTTTCTCTCCCAGAACAACGTTTCTACCTCCACCTCTCCCATTTCTAGTTTTCACCTGGATCACTCTGAATCAACATAAAGATAACACTTGAATATCACTTCAAAAAACTCTTTCTGATCACTCTATGCTATAGTACACCTATTCTGTGCTTCCAATCACCTGCATTTCTTTATAAAACTTGTCATACTCTGTGGTAATTGCATATTAATATTCTATTTTTCATTATAGACTATTAGCTCTGTTTTTTCATAATTTGAGTTACTTTGCTCAATATTTTTTCTTTAGTTTAGTGTCTGTCAGAAAAAAAAACTGTCCCTGAGAAGGAGTAATGAATACAACACAACAAAAAATGAATACCTAGAAACTGTGTGTACTTTTGTTCAATGCCAAGACCATTGGTGAGAAGAATAATTGCTTATTTAATAATAAACCTGGTCTAAATCTATTATTCTTACATCAAACAGCCTTAGAATATTTTTCACATCTGTGATTAAAAATACATGAGAGACAAAGGCACAAACACAACCTAATTGAGAATGGATAGTATTTTCAACAAATGTTTCTTTCTCAACTCCATATGATCAACATAGAACTCCATATGATCAATAATGTACCTAGACATATGCATTACACTATTCACAAAAATTATCTCAAAAGAGTAATAGACATAAATGTAAAATTCAAAACTATAAAACTTCTAGAAGAAAACATAAGAAAATTAATGAGATCTTGGGTTTTAGAATTAATTTTCAGATACAATACCAAAAGCACAATTCATAAAAGAAAACAAGTTGTTACACTTTATTAAAATAAAAAAAAATTTTTCCTGTAAAAGACATTGTTAAGAGAATAGATAGGCAAGCTTCAGACTGAGAGACACTATTTGAGAAACACATATTTAATAAAGAGCTTGTATCCACAAGATACAGAAAACTCTTATCTGAACAGATAACTCACACTAAAGAGGATATACATATTGCAAATAAGCATGTGAAAAGATACTAAACATTTGCCATTTGGGAAATGCAAACTAAAACAATAATGAGATACTGCTAAACTTATTAGAATGGCTAAAATCCAAAAACCTGACAATACCAATTGCCAGTGCGGATGCAGGGAAACAGAAAACCTCATCCATTGCTTCTGGAACTGCAATATGGTACAGGCCCATTGGAAGACAGTTTGACAGTGCATATTAGAGCTAAAATATTGTCTTTCTTATGATCCAGTAACTGTGTTCTTAGGTATTTACCCAATTTATTTGAAAATGCATGCCCACACAAAACCAGTATACAAAAGTGCTATTAGAAACTTTATTCATAGTAGCTGGAAGCAACTAAAATATCCTTTAAGAGCTGAATGGATAAACAAACTGCAGCAGCCAGACAATGGCATATTCCTCAGTGGAAAAAAAGGATGACTTATTAATTCATACAACAACATGGAGGAATATTAAATGCCTATTATTAAATAAAAAAGTCAGACTGATATGGGTACATACTGTATGATTTCAGTTATATGACTTTTTGTAAACATAACAGTGGTTGCTGTTGTTCAAAGCAGGTGGGAAGGTGGAATAATTGAATATGAGAATTGTTTTAGGGGCCAGGCATGGTGGCTCACACGTGTAGTCCTAGCACTTTGGGAAGCCAAGGTGGGCGAATCACCTGAGGTCATGAGTTCAAGACCAGCCCGGCCAACATGGTGAAACCCTATCTCTACTAAAAATACAAAAAAATTAGCTGGGCCTGGTGGCACACACCTGTAATCCTAGCTACTCGGGAGGCTGAGGCAGGAGAATCAACCAAACCAGAAGACAAAGGTTGCAATGACATGAGATTGCACCACTACACTCCAGCCTGGGCAACGGAGCAAGACTCTAGCTCAAAAAAAAAAAAAAATTATTTAGGGTGGTGAAACTATTCTGTATTACACTGTAATGGTGGATACAAAAAATAATGTACCTTTGAAAACCAACTTTACAGCATAAAGAATGAACTTTAGTTATGCAAATTTTAAAAATTTAGTTATGAGTTTAGTGATCCCAGGATGGAATGCAGAATATGAAGAAAGATTCTAACTCTACTGCAAATGTTGGACACAACTTCACTGAATGGGGTGAGGAATAGGTGCTGAACTAAGTTAATTTAGAAATAAGTAGTGTGTACGATTAAAAGGAAAGGAAATATGCATGAGGACTATTTTCAACTAAAGACTTGAAAAAGTTGTTTCCATGGGAGTTAATAATTCTGAAACCACTGCATAGATACTGGAATTAAACACATAAATGGATAGAAGATGGTTGGAAGCTAGATTTCTCGCTATTAGAGTGGAAGATTACAAATAAGCAAGAGAGAAAGCTAGAATGATCCATGTGATAATGGATTACAGTTGGAGGGATCCAATGAATTTGCTATAAAAACAGTTGGTTACACATAGAAATAAGTATATATGTGTGTAGAAATTGTTAGTATACACTTATATGTCTTTGCAGTTGAGAAATCCTAGATGCAAAAGTAACACTGTAGCAATGTGCACTGTAGCAATGAGAGGTAACTTCTTACCTCTCAGAAGTTAGTTTCTAATACCATTCTTCAATAAAATTAATAAGGGCCTCTTGGAGAAATTCTAGGACTGGAGCAAAAAATACACAAGTTAAGCCTGGAGCATCTTGTAGTACCAGAAGAGAGTGAAGAAGTGCTTAAGACAGAAAGAATGATGAAAACATATCAAAGAGACACAGGCGCCAACTGAAATAATTCTCAATTGTCAAATTTGAAAAAATTTAACAAAAATTAAGCAAAGCAGTATTGTGTTATAACCCTAGGCATAAAATAAATGTATTTGATTTCATACATGCATAGATCCTTGATATGGTGTGATGAGAGTGTTTTCATACTTCTGTGGTCTTCTTCCGCTAAGTCCATAACCTAAGTCTAATTATGAGAAAATTATCATATTAATGTCTACTGAGAGATATTCTACAATTGCCTGACATTAGTATTCAAAACTGTGAAGGTCATAACAAATAAGGAAAGTCTGAAAAATTACAACCTAAGAAAATATGATGAATAAATGCATTGTGGTATACTGAATTGGATCCTGAAAGAAAAATAAAATTAGGTAAAAACCAAGGAAATCCAAATAAAATATAAACTCTACCAAAAGATAATTTATCAACATTTGTTTATGAAGTATAATGAAATAATTATACTAATGTAAGATGTTAATAGTAAGATAACTAGGTGTGGGGTATATATATGACTTCTCTGCACTAAATGCATTTTTTCTGTAAATCTAAATCTGTTTCAAAATTAAAAATGTTTACTTAAAAATACACAAAGAGTGATGTAAGCAAGATGGTGAAACAGGAGTTTCTTGCACTTGTCCCCTCAAAGTAACATCATTTTGAAAAGCCGTCCATGCATAAAAATATCTTCATAAGAGCAAAAGAAGTGACTACAGCACCTGGGTGGAGCACAGAAATGAGAAGAGACACACTGAAGAGGGTAGGAAACACAGTTTCACATTATTCATGTCACCTCTCCCCTAAGACCACAAGGCCACAGCAGAGATCCCTCCATGATTGAGAAGGATAGTGAAGTGAGCCCCCAGCTTCACTGTAGGCCCTGGCACCAGGCCAGCCTCTGTGGATCCAAGTTCCAGGCCTGTGCCTGTAGACCAAGGCTCTAGGCTTGCCCTGGCATCAGGCTAGCCCCTAAGGAACCATTCTTTAGGCACACCCTGTACCGTGCTGGCCCCCAATCTAGACTCAAGGACTACCCCAGCTCCAGGTCAGTTCTCATAGACCCAGGCTTCAGGCTGGTTGGTTCCACAGACCCAGGCCCTACTCCTCTCCCACAGACTTAGGGTTCAGAACTTCCCTTGCAGATCCAGGTACCAGGCCCACCACAGAGAACTCTGGCACCAGATACTTCCTCATGGATTCAGGACCTAGGCCTGCACCCACAGACTCAGGATCGAGGTCTGCCCTCAGGCCAAGCCCTCCTTTCCCTCGACCCAGGAGTCAGGAAAACTTATTCAAGGGCTATCTTCTGCAGCAAGCTCAACCATAGGCCTCACTAATCAGCCTGCCAGGAATCTCTGGATTGGCTGACTACTAGAGGGTTTTCTCTGCCAAATTCAGTTGTGAATACTGGAAGAGGTGTAAATACAGTTGAAAATAGAGTTGTAAATACAGGAACTAGCACAAAGACATGAGGGATCATAAATAAACAGGGAAACATGACACCACTAAAGGATCAAAGCAGGGCTTTTGGCAGATCATGGCATACAGGAGGGAGGACTAGATTGCAGCTCCGACTTGGACGGACAGAGCACTGTGTGGAGGCTCCCATCATGAACTTTTGCTCCAGAACAACTGCAGGAATACATGAGGAAACCTGAGAAGAACCACAGATCCCCTGAAGGAAGCGGATTGCTTCTGCAGGACCTGGGAGACACTCCAAATACTGTGAGTGCCCAAACTGTGGAAGGGGGAAGGGGAGATCGTCCGCCCTGGAACATACAACCCCACTGGGGAAACTGACTGCCTAGATTATGGGAGAAGATTCTGACCTTACCTGAAGCTGAGTCAATTTAGAGAGCTGAGTGAAATATAGGGGTAGAGGAAGCAGCAGGAAAAGCCCTGGGAGCTCGCTGGGCTCCCTAGCCAGCCATTTTTGCCTGGCCTCACAGGAGTCCTTTGTGAGGACAGCCAGAGACACTGGGAAAAGACCATAGGGAGAAGAGAATTTCCAGCTGAACTTTGTAACAATTTGAACTGATTGTAACAATTTGAACTGGCCAGAACTTGGGTGAGGGTGTGAATCCAGTGTGCAGACTCCACAGGTGGGGGAAGAAGGAAAGCCACAGCTGGGAGGTGGGTGGCCTTGGCAAGTTCTCAGTCCTGCTAGCCCATTGCCTGGAAACAGAGTTGGTGCTATTGTGGGGAGCACGGTGGGAGTGAGACTGACCCTTTGGATTGTGTGAAAGCTAGGTGAGGCCTGTGACTGCCAGCTTTCCCCCACTTCCCTAAATAACCTGCATGACACTGTAGAGGCAGCCATAATCCTCCAAGGAGCATAACTCCAGTGACCGGAGACCCTCACCCCCATCCTGGACAGCAGCTGTAGCAAGCCCCACCCAAGGAGAGTTAGAGCTCAGACATGCCTAACCCTGCCCCCGCCTGATGGTCCTTCCCACCCACCCTGGTAACTGAAGACAAAGGGCATATAATCTTGGGAGTAACTATTCTTATATCAGACAAAACAAACTTTAAAGCAATAGCAGTTAAAAAAAAAAAAAAGAGAGACATCATATAATGATAGGCCTTGTCCAACAGGAAAATATCACAATCCTAAACATATATGCACCTAATAATAGAGGTCCCAAATTTATAAAACAATTACTACTAGACCTAAGAAATGAGATAGACAGCAACACAATAACAGTGGGGGACTTCAATACTTCACTGACAGCACTAGACAGGTCATCAAGACAGAAAGTCAACAACAACAACAAAAAAATGGATTTAAACTATACCCTGGAACAAATGGACTTAACAGATATATATACAACATTCCACCCAGAACTGCAGAGTATACATTCTATTCAACAGTGCATGGAACTTTCTCCAAGATAGACCATATGATAGGCCACAAAATGAGTCTCATAAATTTAAGACAATTGAAATTATATCAAGCACTCTCTCAGACCATAGTGGAATAAAACTGGAAATCAACTCCAAAAGGAGCCTTCAAATCCATGCAAATACATGGAAATTAAATAACCTGTTCCTGAATGAGCATTGGGTCAAAAATGAAATCAAGATGGAAATAAGAAAATTCTTCAAACTGAACAACAACAGTGACACAACCTATCGAAACTTCTGGGACACAGCAAAGGCAGTGCTAAGAGGCAAGTTAATAGCCCTAAATGCCTACATCAAAAAATCTGAAAGAGCACAAACAGACAATCTAAGGTCACACCTCAAGAAACTAGAGAAACAAGAAAAAATCAAACCCAAACCAGCAGAAGAAAGGAAATAACCAAGATCAGAGCAGAACTAAGTGAAATTGAAAGAAGAAAATACAAAAGATAAATGAAATAAAAAGCTGATTCTTTGAAAAAGTACAACTGATAGACCATTAGCAAGATTAACCAAGAAAAGAAGAAAGAAAATCCAAATAAGCTCAATAAGAAATGAAACGGGAGATATTACAGCTGACATCACAGAAATACAAAAGATCATTCAAGGGTACTGTGAACAACTTTACACACATAAACTAGAAAACCATATCCCAGATAAACACAGACGCTGAAACCCTTAACAAAATACTAAGTAACTGAATCCAACAACGGATCAAAAAGATAATTCACCATAATCAAATGGGTTTTATACCAGGGATGCAGGGATGGTTTAACATATCCAAGTCAATAAAAGTGATACACCACATAAACAGAATTAAAAACAAAAATCACATGATCATCTCAATAGATGTGGAAAAAGCATTTGACAAAGTCCAGCATCCCTTTATGCTTAAAATTCTCAGCCAAATTGGCCTACAAGGGACATACTTCAATAATGATAAAAGCCATCTATGACAAACCCACAGCCAACATAAAACTGAATAAGAAAAAGTTGAAAGCGTTCCCTCTGAGAACTGGAACAAGACAAGGATGCCCACTCTCACCACTCTTCTTTAATATAGTGCTGGAATTCCTAGCCAGAGCAATCAGTCAAGAGAAAGAAATAAAAGGCATCCAAATTGGTAAAGAGAAAGTCAAACTGTCACTGTTTGCTGATGGTGTGATTGTTTACCTAGAAACCCTACAAACTCCTCCAGAAAGCTCCTAGAACTGATAAAAAAATTCAGCAGTTTCCAGATACAAAATTAATATACACAAATCAGTAGCTCTTCTATATGCCAACAACGACCAAGCTGAGAATCAAATCAAGAACTCAATCCCTGTTACAATAGCTGCAAAAAAAAAAATAAAATAGGAATATACCACACCAAGGAGGTAAATTTTTAGTTTCTAGTTTCCTCTACAAGGAAAACTACAAAACACTGCTGAAAGAATCATAGATGACACATGGAAACACATCCCATGCTCATGGATGGGTAGATTCAATATTGTGAAAATGCTCATACTGCCAAAAGCAATCTACAAATTCAATGCAATTCCCATCAAAATACCACCATTATTCTTCACAGAATTAGAAAATAAAATTCTAAAATTCATATGGAACCAAAGAAGAGCCCAAAGCAAGACTAAGCAAAAACAACAAATCTGGAGGCATCAAATTACCTGATTTCAAACTATACTATAAGGCCATAGTCACAAAAACAGCAAGGTATAAAAATAGGCACATAAACCAATGGAACAGAATAGAAAGCCCAGAAACAAACCCAAATACTTACAGCTAACTGATCTCCAACAGAGCAAACAAAAACATAAAGTGGGGAAAAGACACTCTTTGCAACAAATGGTGCTGGGAAAATTGATGAGCCACATGAAATTGGATCCTCATCTCTCATCTTATAAAACATCAACTCAAGATGGATTAAGAACTTAAATCTGAGACCTGAAACTAAACATTCTAGAAGATAACATTGGAAAAACTCTTCTAGACATTGACTTAAGCAAGGACTTCATGACGAAGAACCCCAAAGCAAATGCAATAAAAAGAAACATAAATAGCTGGGACTTAATTAAACTAAAGACCTTTGCACAGCAAAAGAAACAGTCAACAGAGCAAACGGACAACCCACAGAATGGGAAAAATTTTCACAATCTAGACATCTGACAATGGACTAATATCCAGAATCTACAATGAACTCAAACAAATCAACAAGAAAAAATGTAACAATGCCATCAAAAAGTGGGCTAAGGACATGACTAGATAATTCTCAGAAGAAAATATACAAATGGCTAACCAACATATGAAAAAATGCTCAGCATCACTAGTGATCAGGGAAATGCAAATCAAAACCACAATGTGATACCACCTTACTCCTGCAAGAATGGCCATAATAAAAAAAATCAAAAAATAGTAGATATTGATGTGGATGTGGTGAACAGGAAACACTCCTGCACTGCTGGTGGGAATATAAACTAGTACAATTACTATGGACAATAGTGTGGAGATTTCTTAGAAGAACTTAAAGTAGAACTACCATTTGATCCAGCAATCCCACTACTGGGAATCTACCCAGAGGAAAACAAGTCATTATTTGAAAAAGATACTTGTACACACATGTTTATAGTAGCACAATTTACAAATGCAAATTGTGGAATCAACCCAAATGCCCAACAATCAACGAATGGATAAAGAAACTGATATATATATAAAATAAATAAATAAAATAAAATAAAATAAATATATAATAAAATAAATAAATAAATAAAATAAATATATATATATTTATAAAATAAAATACTACTCAGCCATAAAAAGGAATGAATTAATGGCATTTGCAGTGATCTGGATGGGAGATTATTATTCTAAGTGAAGTAACTCAGCAATGGAAAACCAAACACTGTTTGTTCTCACTCATAAGTGGGAGTTAAGCTATGAGGATGCAAAGGCATAAGAAAGACACGATGGACTTTGGGATAAGACTACAAATAAGGTGCAGTATATAGTGTTCAGCTGATGGTTGCACCAAAATCTTATAAATCATCACTAAAGAACTTATGTAATGAAACATGACCTTTTCCCCCATGACCAATAAAAATAAAAAAAAAATTGGAAAAAGAAACAAAAAGGATCAAAGTAAAACACCTGTTATTGACCTAAAGAAATGGAGATCTATTAGTTGTCTGACACATAATTCAAAACAATATTCTTAAAGAACTCAGCAAGGTATAATAGAACACACACATTCAACAAAACAATATCAAGAAAAGAATACATAAGCAAAATTATAATTTAAACAAAGAGACAGACATAAAAAAATCCAAGAGCTGAAGAATACAATGACTTAACTTAAAAATTTAACAAGAAAACTTCAGTATCAGACTCAATAAAAATGAAGAATCAGTGACCTCAAAGAAAAGTCATTTGAAATTACCCATTCAGAAGAATAAAAAAAAATAAGAAAACCTATGACTCTTGTAAAACTCTGTGTAGTAAACCAATATACAAATAATGAATATTTTGGAAGTAGTAAAGAAAGTAAAGAGTTACAAAACTTATTTTAAAATAATGACAGAAAACTTCTCAAATATGGAAAGGCAAACGCACATTCAGGCCCATGAAGCCCAAATGTCTTATTTTTTAAAGAGATTTTCACTGAGATACACTATAATAAAATTTTCAAAAGTCAAAGACAATGAGAAAATTTTGAAAGCAGCAAGAGAAAACGAGTCATCACATCCAAGAAAAAACCCCTTTCTCTCCCTGCCATAAGACTATTAGCATATTTCTCAGCAGACACTTTGCAGGTCAGTAGAATGATACATTCAAAGTTCTGGAACAAACAAACAAACAAACAAACAAACAAACAAAACCTTCCAACTAAGAATATTATACCTAGCAAAGCCATCCTTTATGAATGAATGACATAGTTTCCCAGATAAACAAAAGCTGAAGAGTTTGTCACCACTAGACCTTCCTTAATAGAAATGCTGAAGATAGTGCTTTAAGTTGAAAAAAAAAAGTTACTTAAAACATAAAGACATATGCACAACATAAAATTAACTAAAAGATAAATATATAACCAAATTCAGACTACCCTACTATTATAATGGAGGTTTGCAAATCACTTTTAACTCTAGCATAAAAGCTAAAGAAACAAAAATGTTAAAATAACTATAGCTACAATAATTTGTAAATGGATATCCTATATAAATGATGTAAACTGTGACATCAATAACATGAAATGCGGAGGGAGAAGTTAAAGTACAGAGTTTTGTATGCAAAGTTAAGTTGTCACTAGCTTAAAATAATCTGTTAAAACCATAAGATATTTTATGTAAGCCTCATGGTAACCACAAAGAAAAAAACTTGTAGTCAATAGGCAAAGGAGTCAAAGCATACCAGGAAAAGGAGTCAAAGCATACCAACATAAAAAATCATCTATTCACAAAGGAGACACCAAGAGAGAAAGAATAGAACAAAGGAACTACAACATAATCATAAAATAAATAACCAAATTTTGATAGTAAGTCCTTACTTATCATTAATTACCTTAAGAAAAAATGGATTAAAATTTCCCATCCAAACACATAGAGTGGCTGAATGGATTTTTTTTAAAAAAACCTATACTTTCTACAAGATACTCACATTAGTTTTAAGAACATACACACACTGAAAGTGAAGAGATAGAAAAATTCAATGCAAAATGGTATCTACAAGAGAGGAAGGATGGCTTTACTTATATTGACAAAATAGACTTTAATCCAAAAATGCTCACAAGAGATAAAAAAGGTGATTATGTAATGATAAAAGAGTCAATTCATCAAGAGGATATAGCATTTGTAAATATATATGTGCCCAATATGGGAGCACCTAAATATATAAAGCAAATTATAACAGAAATTTTTAAAAATACAGCAATACAGTAATAGTAGGGGACTTCAATACCTCATTTCTAACAAAAGATGGATCATCCAGATTAAAAAAAATAAGAAAATAGTGAACTTGATCATCCATATAGACTAAATGGACCTAAGTGATACATACAGAACATTTTCTGTAATAGCAGTAGAAACATTCTTTTCAAGTGCATACAGAACTTCTTCGTGACAGATTATACATTATGTCACAAACAGTTCTTAATAAATTTAAGAAGATTGAAATCATATCAAGTATCTTTTCTGACCACAGTGATATCCATATAGAAATAAATAATAGGAGAAAATTAGAAAATTCATAATTATGTGGAAATTTATGCAACATACTTCTAAAGAACTAATGGTAAAAAAATCAAAAAGTAAATTAACAGAATATTGTGAGACAAATGACATGTGAGATAACAACAAAAACTTATGGAATGCAGAAAAAGCAGTTCTAAGAGGAAAATTTATAGTAGTAAATGCCTATATTAACGTAAGTAAAAGATCTAAAATATACAATCTAACATTACACCTCAAGGAAATAGAAAAAGGAAAACTAAGCCCAGAGTTGGCAGAAATAAGAAAATAACAGAGAAGAAATAAATAATACAGACAACAGAAAAAATAGAAAAGATAAATAAAACTGAGTGTTAATTTTCTGAAAGATAGACAAAATTGACAAACCTTTAGCTAGAATAACTAAGGCAAAAAGGAAAGACTCAAATAAATAAAATTATAAATAAAAGAGGAGACATTACAACTAATACCACAGAAATATAAAGGATTTCTTGAACAAGAAAACTGCTATGAACAATTATATGTCAATAAATTGGTTAACCTAAAAGAAATGAACAAATTCCAAGAAACATACAACCTACCAAGATCAAATCATGAAAATTAGAAAATCTAAGCAGTCCAATAACAAGTAAAGATATTGAATCAGTAATTAAAGACATTCTATAAAAGAAAATCCAAAAACCTGAAGGCTTCGCTGGTGGATTTTACCAAATATGTAAAGATGAATTAATTCCAATTCTCCTCAAACTCTTTCAAAAAACTAAACAGGGACCCCTTCAAACTTATTTTACAAGGCTAGCATTATCCTCATACCAAAGCCAGACAACAGCACTCCAAGAAAAGAGAATTACAGGACAATATTCCTGATGAACACAGATGCAAAAATCTTCAAAAATACTAGCAAACTGAATTAAACAGCACATTAAAATGATCATACACCATAATCCATAATCTAGCAGGATTTTTTTGGAATACAAGGATGATTTAACATAAGCAAATCAGTAAGTGTGATACACCATATTCACAAAATGAAGGATAATGATTATATGATCATTTCAATAGACATAGAAAATTTATTTGACAAAATTCTACATCACTTATTATTATTATTATATATATATTTTTTGGGATAGGGTCCCACTCTGCCACCCAGGATGGAGTACAGTGGAACAATTATAGGTCACTGCTGCCTGAATTTCCTGGGCTCAAGTGATCTTCCTTTCTTAGCCTTCCAAGTAGCTGGGTCTCCAGGCATGTGCCACCACGCCTGGCTATTTTTTTGTATTTTTGGTAGAGACAGTGTCTCAATACGTTGCTCAGGCTCATCTCGAACTTCTGGACTCAAATGATTCTCCTGCCGTGGCTTCCTAAAGCACTGAGATCACAGGTGTGACCCACTGTGCCTGGCTTGGCATTCTTTTATGATAAAAACTCTCAACAAATTAGGTGTAGAAGAAACATAATATAGTTAAGGCCATATACATATGGTAAGTCCACCACTAACATCATATTCAAGGGTCCAAAGTTGAAACTTCTCCTCTAAAATCAGGAAAAAACAAGGTTGCCCACTGGAAGTGTAGTGTTTCTATACATTTCTATAGTGTATCACACTTACTGATTTGCTCATGTTAAATCATCCTTGCATGCCAAAAAAATCCTGCTAGATTATGGTGTATGATCATTTTAATGTGTTGTTTAATTCAGTTTGCTAGTATTTTTCAAAGATTTTTGCACCTGTGTTCATCAGGAATATTGACTTGTAATTATCTTTTCTTGGAGTGATATTGCCTGGCTTTGGTATGAGGATAATTCTAGCCTTGTAAAATAAGTTTAAAGAGGTCTCTAATTTTTTGAATGAGTTTGAGGAGGATTGGCATTAATTCATCTTTAAATATTTAAATAGGGCACTTACACAAGAAAAAGAAATAAAGGCACTTGAGACAGAAAAAGTAACATTGTCTGTGTTTGCAGATAATATAATCTTGTATATAGAAAACCATAAAGACTCTACAAAAAAACTGTTAGGACTAATAAATCAATTCAATAGTGTTGCAAGATACAAAATCAATATACAGAAATCGGTTGCATTTCTCTATGTTAATAACAAATTATCTGAAAAAGAAATCAAGAAAATAATTTCATTTATAATAGCATCAAGAAGAGTAAATCATTTAAGAATAAATGGAAGTAAAAGTTATGCACACTGAAAACTATAAGACATTTGTGAAAAAAATTAAAGACACAAACAAATGTAAAGACTTATATTTATGAATTAGAAGAACTGATATTGTTAAAATTTCCATACTATTGAAGGCAATCCACAGATTCAATAGAATCCCTATCAAAATTGCAGAGGCATTTTGCACAGAAATAAATAGAAAAAAAATCCTAAAATTTATATAGAAGCAGAAAATGCCCATGCTAGCCAAAGCAATCTTAAGCCAGATCAAGGCTAGAGGTATCACACTGTCTGATTTCAAAATACTACAAAACTATCATAATTAAAGCAGACATATAGACCAGTAACAGAATAGAGAGTCCAGAAACAAATCTGTGCATTTACTCTCAATTCATCTTCAACAGAGGTGCAAAGAACACCCAATAGGTAAAGGATAGTCTCTTCAACAAATAATGCTGCAAAAACTGAATATCCACACGCAGAAAAAAATTAGACCTTATAGTACTATAATATAATTTCATTGATAAATCTATATAATAATTTGGTATTAATATAATTCACTTTGACTTGTAAACATTTGACTTTATTTTCCTTTCACTTGGTTTTAAGTAAGTCACATACAATTTGGTTATTTTTGATAAAATTGATCAGCATGGCAGATGGGAGGCAGGACTAGATTGCAGATCCATACAGAGCAGCTTGCGGAGGCTCGCATTGTGAATTTTAGCTCCAGACTGACTGCAAGAAGAAACCAGAAATCCTGAGAGGACCCACAGACCCTCTGAAGGAAGCAGACTGTTCCTGCAGGACCCAGGAGGCACCCCAAATGCTGTGAGTACCCCAACTGCAGAAGTGGGAAAGGGAGAACCTCCTCTCCTATATGCACACCCACAGTAGAGAAGCTGTAGGTCTGTTTGCGGGAGAAATTTCTGACTTTACCTGGAGCAGAGTCAATTTGGAGAGCCAAGTGAAATGCAGGGGTAGAGGAAGCAACAGAAAGGTCCTGGGAGCTCGCTTAGCCCACTAGCAGGCCATTCCTACTGGCACCACAGGGATCTATCCAGAGGATGGCCAGAGGAGCAGGGGGTAAAACTCCACAGGGAAAAGGATGTTTCTATTAGAATATTGAAACAATTTGAACGGGATGAGAATCCTCCTGGCCAGAACTTGGGGGAAGGCTCAAATCTGGTGTTCAGACTCCACAGGCAGGGGAAGGGAACCAAGTGCTTTTCTTTCATAGCTGGGAGGCAGGTGGCCTGGAGCAAGTTTTCAAGCCCACCTTGCTCTCTGCCTGGAAATGGATTTAGGGCTATTGTGGGGGCATGGAGGGAGCGAGACCAGCCCTTCGGTTTGCGTGGGAGGTGGGTGAGGCCTGTGACTGCCAGCCTTCTCCCACTTCCGTGACAACCTGCATGACTAGGTACACAACTCCATTGATCTGGGAACCTCACCCCCACCCCTGACAGCAGCTGCATCAAGACCTGCCCAAAGAGAGTCTGAGCTCAGACACGCCAAGCCCCGCCCCCACCTGATGGTGCTTCCCTATCCACCCTGGTCACTGAAAACAAAGGACATATAGTCTTGGGAGTTCTAGGACCCCACCCACCACTGGTTCCTCTCCATACTACCACAGGTGATGCTTTCTGGAAAGTGCTACCTCCTAGCAGAAGGCCGACCAGCACAAAAATAGTGCATTAGACCACCAAAGCTAAGAATGCTCACAAAGCCCATTTTACCCCCCTGCCACCTCCACTGGAACAGGTGCTGGTATCCATGGCTGAGACCCATAGATGGTTCACATCACAGGACTCTGCGCAGACAACCTCTAGTACCACCTTGGAGCTGGGTAGACTTGCTGGATGGCTAGATCCAGAAGAGAGAAAACAATCACTGCAGTTTGGCTCACAGGAAGCCACATCCATAGGAAAAGGGGGAGAGTACTACATCAAGGGAACACCCCATGGGACAAAAGAATCTGAACAACAGCCTTCAGCCCTAGACCTTCCCTCTGACAGAGCCTACCCTAATAAGAAGGAACCAGAAAACCAACCCTCATAATATGGCAAAACAAGGCTCTTTAACACCCCCTAAAAGCCACACTAGTTCACCAGCAATGGATCCAAACCAAGAAGAAACCCCTGATTTACCTGAAAAAGAATTCAGGAGGTTATTAAGCTAATCAGAGAGGTACCAGAAAGACGAAGCCCAATGCAAGGAAATCCAAAAAATGATACAGGAAGTGAAGGGAGAAATATTCAAGGACATAGACAGCTTAAAGAAAAAACAATAAAAAATTTAGGAAACTTTGGGCACACCTTTAGAAATGCAAAATGCTCTAGAAAGTCTCAGCAATAGAATTGAACAAGTAGAAGAAAGAAATTCAGAGATGAAAGACCAGGTCTTTGAATTAACTGAATCCAACAAAGACAGAGAAAAAAGAATAAGAAAACATGAACAAAGCATCCAAGAAATCTGGGATTATGTTAAATGACCAAATCTGAGAATAATCGGTGTTCCTGAAGAAGAAGAGAATTCTAAAAGCTTGGAAAACATATTTTGGGGAATAATCAAGGAAAACTTCCCATGCCTTGCTAGAGACCTAGGCATTCAAAACAAGAAGCACAAAGAACACCTGGGAAATTCATCGCAAAAAGATCTTTGCCTAGGCACGTTGTTATCATGTTATCCAAAGTTAAAATGAAGGAAAGAAGCTTATCAGCTGTGAGACAGAAGCACCAGGTAACCTCTAAAGGAAAACCTATCAGGTTAACAGCAGATTTATCAGCAGGAACCCTACAAGCTAGAAGGGATAGAGGCCCTATCTTCACCCTCCTCAAGCGAAACAATTGTCAGTCAAGAATTTTGTATCCAGTGAAACTAAGCATCATATATGAAGGAAAGATACAGTCTTTTCCAGACAAACAAATGCTGAGAGAATTTGCCATTACCAAGCCACCACTACAAGAACCACTAAAAAAGCTCTAAATCTTGACACAAATCCTGGGAACATAACAAAACAGAACCTCTTTAAAGCATAAATCACACAGGACTTATAAAACAAAAATACAAGTTAAAAAGCAAAAACAAAAAACAAAAAAATCAAAGTACACAGGCAACAAAGAGCACGATGAATGCAATGGCACCTCACATTTTAATACTAACATTGAAGATAAATGGCTTAAATGGTCCACTTGAAAGTTACAGAACCACAGAATGGGTAAGAACTCACCAACCAACCATCTGCTGCCTTCAGGAGACCCACCTAACACATAAGGACACACATAAACTTAAGGTAAAGAAGTGAAAAAGGCATTTCATGCAAATGGACACCAAAAGTGAGCAGGGGTAGCTATTCTTACATCAGAAAACAAAAACTTTAAAGCAACAGCAGTTAAAAGAGACAAGAGGGACATTATATAATGGTAAAAAGTCTTGTCCAACAGGAAAATAACACAATCCTAAACATATATGCACCTAACATTGGAGCTCCCAAATTTATAAAACAATTACTAATAGACCTCAGAAATGAGATAGACAGCAACACAATGATAGTGGGGGACTTCAGTACTCCACTGACAGCACTAGATAGATCATCAAGTCAGAAAGTCAACAAAGAAACAATGGATTTAAACTACACCCTGGAATAAATTGACTTAACAGATATATACAAAGAGTTTCATACAACAACCACAGAATACACATTCTATTCAACAGCATATGGAACTTCCTCCAAGATAGACCATATAGTAGGCCATAAAACAAGCCTTAATAAATTTAAGAAAATTGAAGTTATATCAAGCACTCTCTCAGACCACAGTGGGATAAAACTGGAAATAACTCCAAAAGGAACCTTCAAAACCATGCAAATACATGGAAATTAAATAACGTGCTCCTGAATGAGCACTGGGTCAAAAATGAAATCAAGATGGAAATCAAAAAATTCTTTGAACTTTAGGACAATAATGACACAACCTATCGAAACCTGTGGGATACAGCAAAGGCGGTGCTAAGAGGAAAGTTCATAGCCCTAAATACCTACATTGAAAAGACTGAAAGAGCACACAGTGACACTGTAAGGTCACATCTCAAGGAACTAGAGAAACAAGAAAAAAATCAAACTCAAACACAGCAGAAGAAAGGAAATAACCAAGATCAGAGCAGAATTAAATGTAATTAAAACAAACAAAATACAAAAGATAAATAAGACAAAAAGTTTGTTCTTTGAAAAGATAAATAAAATTAATAGACCATTAGCAAGATTAACAAATAAAAGACGAGAGAAAATCCAAATAATCTTACTAAGAAAGAGGAGATATTACAACTGACACCACTGAAATACAAAAGATAATTCAAGGCTACTATTTACACCTTTATGCACATATCTAGGAAACCTAGAAGAGAAAGATAAATTCCTGGAAAAAATACAACCTTACTAGCTTAAATCAAGAAGAATTAGATACCCCAAACTGACCAATAACAAGCAGCGAGATTGAAATGGTAATTAAAAAATTGCCAGCACATTCCAGGACCAGATGGATTCATAGCTGAATTATACCAGACATTCAAAGAAGAATTGGTACTGATCCCTTTGACGGTATTCCACAAGATAGAGAAAGAAGGAACCCTCCCCCATTCATTCTACGAAGCCAGCATTATCCTAATCCCAAAACCAGAAAAGGACATAACCAAAGAAGAAAACTACAGACTGATATCCTTGATGAACATAAATGCTAAAATCCTTAACAAAATACTAGCTAAACTAATCCAACAACATATCAAAAAGATAATCCACCATGATCAAATGGGTTTCATACCAGGGATGTAGGGATGGTTTAACATATGAAAGTCAATAAATGTGATATACCACATAAACAGAATTAATAACAAAAATCTCATGGTCATGTCAATAGATGCAGAAAAAGAATTAGACAAAATCCAGCATCCCTTTATGATTAAAACTCTCAGCAAAATTGGCATACAAGGGACATACCTTAATGTAATAAAAGCCATCTATGAGAAACCCACAGTCAACATAAAACTGAATAAGAAAAAGTTGAAAGCATTCCCTCTGAGAACTAGAACAAGACAAGGTTGCCAAATCTCATCTCTCCTCTTCAAGATAGTACTGTAAGTTCTAGCCAGAGCAGACAAGAGAAATAAATAAAGGGCGTCCACATTGGTAGAGTTTACCTTGAAAACCCTAAGGACTCCTCTAGAAAGCTCCTAGAACTGATGAAAGAATTCAGCAAAGTTTCTGGATACAAGATTAATGTACACAAATCAGTACCTCTTCTCTACATCAACAATGAGCAAGTGGAAAATCAAATGAAGAACCCAACTCCTTTTATAATAGCTGCAAAAAAAAGAAAAAAACTTCAGAATATACCTAACCAATGAGTCAAGGAGTTGAAAGACCTCTACAAAGAAAACTACAAAACAATGCTGAAAGAAATCATAGATGATAGAAACAAATGGAAACACATCCCATGCTCATGGATGGGTAGAATCAATATTGTGAAGATGACCATACTGCCAAACGCAATCTTCAAATTTAATGCAATTCCCATCAAAATGCCACCATCATTCTTCACATAATTAGAAAAGAAAATTCTGAAATTCATATGGAACCAAAAAAGAGCCCACATAGCCAAAGCAAGTCTAAGCAAAAAGAACAAAATTGGAGACATCATACTACCTGATTTCAAATTATACTATAAGGCCATAGTCACCAAAACATTGTGGCACTAGTATAAAAATAGACACATAGACCAATGGAACAGGACAAAGAACCCAGAAATAAACCTAAATACTTACAGCCAACTGATCTTTAACAAAGCAAACAAAAACATAAAGTGGGGAAAGTACACCCTTTTCAACAATTGCTGCTGGGGTAATTGGCTAACCACATGTAGGAGAATGACACTGGATCCTCATCTCTCACCTTATACAAAAATCAACTCCAAATGGATTAAGGACCTAAACCTAAGACCTGAAACTAAAAATTCTAGAAAATAACATTGGAAAAACCCTACTAGACATTGGCGTAGGCAAGGATTTCATGACAAAGAACCCAAAAGCAAATGCAATAAAAACAAAGATAAATAGCTGGGACCTAATTAAACTAAACAGCTTTTGCACGGCAAAAGGAATAGTCAGAGGAGTAAACAGACAACCCATAGAGTGGGAAAAAATCTTCACAATCTATATATCTGACAAAGAACTAATATCCAGAATCTACAACAAACTCAAACAAATCAGTAAGAAAAAAACAAACAATCCCATCGCAAAGTGGGCTAAGGACATGAATAGATAATTCTCAAAAGAAAATATACTAATGGCCAACAAACATGAAAAAATACTCAACATTACTAATGATCATGGAAATGCAAATCAAAACCAGATGTTGGCATGGATGCAGTGAACAGGGAACACTTCTACACTGCTAGTGGGAATGCAAACTAGTACGACCTCTATGGAAAACCGTGAGAAGATTCCTTAAAGAACTAAAAGTAGATCAACTATTCGATCCAGCAATCCCATTACTGGGTATCTACACAGCGGAAAAGAAGTCATTATTTGAAAAAGATACTTGCACATGCATGTTTATAGCACCACAATTCACAATTGCAAAATCGGGAACCAAGCCAAATGTCCATCAATCAACGAGTGGATAAAGAAACTGTGGTATATATGTATGATGGCATACTACGCAGCCATAAAAGGAATGAATTAACAGCATTTGCTGTGACCTGGATGAGACTGGAAAGTATTATTCTAAGTGAAGTAACTCTGTAATGGAAAACCAAAAATTGTGTGTTCTCTCTGATATGTCAGATCTAAGCTATGAGGATGCAAGGCATAAAAATGATACAACGGACTTTGGGGATTTGTGGTGTGGGAAGAGTGGGGGCGGCGATGGATAAAAACCTACGAATATGGTGCAGTGTGTACTGCTCAGGTGATAAGTGCACCAAAATCTCACAAATCATCACTAAAGAACTTACTCATGTAACCAAATACCACCTGTACCCCAAAAACTTATGGAAAAAAATTTGGTTATTTTTGTGAGAAGTAATGTTGGTGAGGTTTTCTCCATTGTTTTTCTTGGTAGGGATGTATAGCACTGAAAAATTCAGTATTGGAGCTACATTAAAAGTTGTAGGGTAATTTAAACTTGTAAATAATTTAGATACTTCAAAAGAAGTATTTCAATTGTTTTCACAAAGAATCAACAACAAAATGAGAGGCAATACATAATTTTCTGTGTGTTCCACCTTTGTTTCTTGTGTGAAAATTTCTGTGATTTTACCATTGGTGTTCTGGAAATACTTTAATTGTGTTAAAAATTGTGTGCCATGAAAATATGATAATGCAATTGGGAAAAAAATTAAAAAGGCAAAGAAATCCTACTTGTATTTTACTGTTTTTTGAATAAGTGAATTTTTAGTGTGGGCTTTCACTGACTTATTTGATGTCCTTTTTAATATAGGCAAATTGTAAACAGTGCTAGTGGTTATAAAAATCTTGCAACTTGAACATTTATATTAGAATTCTCCATTAATTTGTCACATTATTGGAAAGAGATTTTGGATTCTGTTATTTAAGAAATAATTTTGAGGATTTTGGAGAGAATTAAGTGAGATGAATTATGTAAATATTTAATAGAGAATCTGACAAATTGAATGAGGTAAGGCAAAAATCAATGCTTACTGGATGATCCAAAAGCAAATGGTTGTGATGTAAAATATCTTAAGTATAAAACAGACTGTAAGAATGCTACATGCCAAAACACATGAAATTTTCTAAAGGTGTACCGAGAGGAAAATTTTCTGAATTTAAAAACTTGTCTTACTTGGAATATTGAAGTATTTGCATAAAAAATCAAATGGTGGTGTTTTGTAATCTCTATTGTATTTCTTATTAAGGTTTCATATATTACTTTCCCATTGTTCCTGAATTTGTTATAGTATATATAAACAGAAACATGGATGAGTACAAACAACAACAACAACAACAACAACAACAAAAACTTGTCTTACTAATCAAGAAATTGAAAAAAATGAATTAATTCTACATTTAAATTTAAAAATGATCATATATGAAACTTCTTAAAAGTGAGTGGAGGGATGGAATTTTAAAGAAATAATTGTTAAATTATAAAGTAGAAAAAGTAGAATTGATAAGTATATTCTAGTCCTGGTTCTTTTTATTTGCTTAATTTAATATTTTCAATAAGAAATTATTTTAAGAACATAGAAATACCCAGAAAATAATAAAAGCAACAACATACTCATTAGCTAGACATGACACATTTTGTCATACTTGCTTCAAATCTCTCCCTCTTTTTGTTTAAGAAATCTTACAGATAGAATTAAAAACCTCTATACCTTCACTCCTTTCTATTGGTACTTTTTATTCATTGCTATTCAAGGACTATAATTTTTATTTATTTTTAATATATTTCCTAAATATGTATGTACCCACAATATACATTTTATTGTTATTTTAAAAATCTTAAATAATTTTATATTGAATTTATCTTTTTATAATTTGATTTATCAGCCAAACATATTACAGTATAAAAATATAAAGCTGAATCAAAATGAATATTACCTCTTTTGAAATAATTAGATTGAACAGACATAACTTGACTGATAAAATGTATCTTCTAAAGTTTAACTGTGATTCTCTTGGATACTTAATGGCGACTTATTTTTAATTTTGCTAATGTATTTTCTAATTTTCTATAGTAAATTTTTTGTTTCACAATAAAATGCATATGCATGTATGTTTGAAAATAAAATGTACAAACCTATGCAAAACATTAGAAAATGTGAATGATACAGATAATGGTTTACAAAATATGGACTACAAATAGAGTCAAGTAAAGAAGAAAAGACAAGTCACCATAAACAAATGCTTGGATATCAGTAATGATCATCAGTAATGAATACCTTCCTGCTGCTTCTCTCTCATTCTACTTTTTGTAGACCTCCTGCTATGGCAGTTTTAGGTCTTTTATTTAAATATCTGGAGTCAGAAATTTTCTATCACAGAGAAAAAAAAAGCTGAAAAGGCATCTGTCTTAGCCCATTTGGGGTTGCTGTGAAGGAATACTTGAGGCTGGGTAATTTATAAAGAAAAGAGGTTTATTTGGCTCATGGTTCTGCAGGCTGTACAGGAAGTGTGACTCTGGCATCCGCTTGGCTTCTGGTGAGGTCCTTGGGCTGTTTCCACTCATAACTGAAGGCCAAGGGGAGCCAGTGTGTGCAGAGATCACATGGTGAGAGAGGAAGCAACATGGCGGGAGGTGCCGGGCTCTTGTTAACAACCAGCTCTCCCAGGAGCTTACAGAGTGATACTCATTCATTACCACCATGATGGCACCAAGCCATTCATGAGGGGTTCACCCTATGACCCAAACACCTCCTGCTAGGCCTGAACTCTAACATTAGGGATCAAATTCCTCTGTGAGGTTTGGAGAGACAACCAACCAACAAAACCACAGAAGCATCCAAATCATTTCTTCAGAGCTAAACTAAATCTTTTAGCACTCCAATCTTAGAGTATAATTATATTACAAATTACTACAATTTAATTATAGAAATTGCTCAGTGTTATACAAGCATTTCATAATTTATTTTGCAATTAATATATAGTTTAAGGGAGTTTTTAAAACTTTATACAAGTTTGTTTTGTAGGTTCTATGTAATATTAATATTTACTAATATTTACCTCATCTTTGATGTATTGATGTTGGGTAACCAGAAGAACATGTCTGAGCAGTCTCCCTTATAGTAGAATCTGCATAATGCAATATAATAAAAATATAATGAAACACTCAGCTGATCTCTGTAAAATGCAGTCTCTCTGTAAACAGCCAAGTGTTGTTTGACATGATGATGAATTGGGAAGGGAATGTAAATGACTTTTCAGTGTTGAAAGGGGTTTGTGCTATTGGAATATTACAGGAGCCTCTTCCCCTGCAAGCAATGTTTCAAGACTCTTGCACTCCTTGGAAAGTTTGTAATGCACCAATTTAAGGTAGATTATAATAAGAAAAAAAAACTACTAATACTGTAATTATATAGAGTACTACTAAGATAACATTTTCATAATATAAAATGTAGGCAAAATAAATAATAATTAACCCCCCCAAAAAAAGATGGAGTAAGGGGGCACAGAATAAGTAAAACAATTACAAAGGGAATAGAAAGATGATAGGCTCAAAATGCACTATATTAAAAATGACATAAATTTTGAATGTACTAACATTCCAGTTTGAAAACAGATATTGTCATAATAGTTATTAAAAAATGAGCATGATCCAACCATTTCTATAAAAAAGAGACACACTTTAGATATAAGGCCACAGAAGGATTTAAATTGAAAGATTGGAAAGAAGATATAAAGGTGGTCCTCGTTATTCACTGATTCCAAGTTTGCCTACTAGTCAAAATGTATTTGTAACTCCTAAATCAGTATTCTGTGTTTTCACAGTCGTGCTCAAACCTGTGCAGAGTGGTGAACATTTTGAGTCTCTTAAGGGCACATTCCCAGACGAAGTCAAATGAGGTCCCATTCTGCCTTCTTGTTTTAGCTCTTCCATTGTTCAGAAGTATCCTTTTTATGATCTACTTAGTGCCATATTTTTTTTGCATTTCTGTGCTTTGTGTTGGTGACTTTTCTGTTTAAAATTGCTCCCAAGGTTAGTGCTGAGGTTCTGGTGTTCACAAGAACAAGAAGGCTGTGATGTGCCTTATGCAGAAAATACCTGTGTTGGAGAAGCTTCCTGCCAGTGTGAGTGATAGTGCAGTTGGCTGTGCGTTTAATGCTAATGAATTAACAATGCATATTAGGTAAGGTGTCATTATATAGAAACACACATAAAACAAGGTTATGTATTGCTCAGTTCATGAAATGTTTGTGATCAGAGGCTCACAGAAACCTAACCCAGTAATTCCCCTGGGGACAATGGTTTAATATTTGTTAATTCAGTGCTCACAACTAACACTAATTCATGCAACTTTATAGAGCATAATTACATGGATAATGAGAATCGACTGTATGAAGAAAGCAGTAACCAGTAAAATCATGGTGTGATTATAGTACTACCAGAAAAATCAGACTTTAAATTATTCCTAGACATAAAGAGGGGGATTTTATAATGATGAAAATGCCAATTTAACAAGAAGAAATCAAACAATAAATTTGTATGTATTTAATAACATCAAAATATACTAAACAAAAATTGTAGAGAAACAAGGAGAAATAGAAATCTTTTCATCAGTAGAGATTTCAACACACCACAAGTAGCAGAGTGAACAATCTCAATATCAGTAAAACAGAAGATTTGGACAACAGGATTAAATAATTTGACCTAATTGACACATGGAGAACACCACTTCCCACAACTGTAGCATTCACATTTCTTTCTAGTACACATGGGCACATGTGTCATTTATCAAAATAAACTATATTATGCAGGGCCACAAAGCAGGTTTTAGTAAATTTCAAAGGAATGAAATATAATAATGCAAGTTATAATCTCTGATTATAGTGGAATTAAACCAGAAACCAATAACAGAAAGATAACTAGAAAATCCTTAGATGGTTGGAAATTAAGCAACAAACTTTTAAAAATCTATAGGTCACAAAAGTGATCGCAATAAAAATTTGAAATCTTTTTATATGAGTTATAGAAAAGCAAAGCATATAAATTTCACGTGAGAGAGAGTTGAAACAATGTTTGAGAGGAAATTTATGGCTTATTTTAAATGCACATATAAGAGAAGAAAAAAATGGCTCTTAGAAATGTTCAGACTCGGTGGAGCCAAGATGGCCTAAGAGGAACAGCTCCAGTCTACAGCTCCCAGCGTGAGTGACGCAGAAGACAGGTGATTTCTGCATTTCCATCTGAGGTACTGGGTTCATGTCACTAGGGAGTGCCAGAAAGTGGGTGCAGGACAGTGCATGCAGCGCACCGTGCGCGAGCCGAAGCAGGGCGAGGCATTGCCTCACTCGGGAAGTGCAAGGGGTCAGGGAGTTCCCTTTCCTAGTCAAAGAAAGGGGTGACAGACGGCACCTGGAAAATTGGGTCACTCCCACCCCAATACTGCGCTTTTCCAATGGGCTTAAAAAATGGCACACCAGGAGATTATATCCTGCACCTGGCTCAGAGGGTCCTATGTCCACGGAGTCTCACTGATTGCTAGCACAGCAGTCTGAGATCAAACTGCAAGGCGGCAGTGAGGCTGGGGGAGGGGTGCCCACCATTGCCCAGGCTTGCTTAGGTAAACAAAGCAGTGGGGAAGCTTGAACTGGGTGGAGCCCACCACAGCTCAAGGAGGCCTGCCTGCCTCTGTAGGCTCCACCTCTGGGGGCAGGGCACAGACAAACAAAAAGACAGCAGTAACCTCTGCAGACTTAAACGTGCCTGTCTGACAGCTTTGAAGAGAGTAGTGGTTCTCCCAGCATGCAGCTGGAGATCTGAGAATGGGCAGACTGCCTCCTCAAGTGGGTCCCTGACCCCTGAGCAGCCTAACTGGGAGGCACCCCCTAGTAGGGGCAGACTGACACCTCACACGGTGGGGTACTCCTCTGAGACAAAACTTCCAGAGGAACGATCAGGCAGCAGCATTTGCAGTTCACGAAAATCTGCTGTTCTACAGCCACGGCTGTTCTGCAGCCACCGCTGCTGGTACCCAGGAAAACAGGGTCTGGAGTGGACCTCTAGCAAACTCCAACAGACCTGCAGCTGAGGGTCCTGTCTGTTAGAAGGAAAACTAACAAACAGAAAGGACATCCACACCAAAAACCCATCTGTATGTCACCATCATCAAACACCAAAAGTAGATAAAACCACAAAGATGGGGAAAAAACAGAGCAGAAAAACTGGAAACTCTAAAAAGCAGAGCACCTCCCCTCCTCCAAAGGAATGCAGTTCCTCACCAGCAATGGAACAAAGCTGGACGGAGAATGACTTTGACGAGTTGAGAGAAGAAGGCTTCAGACGATCAAACTACTCTGAGCTACAGGAGGAAATTCAAACTAATGGCAAAGAAGTTAAAAACTTTGAAAAAAAATGAGATGAATGTATAACTAGAGTAACCAATGCAGAGAAGTGCTTAAAGGAACTGATGGAGCTGAAAGCCAAGGCTTGAGAACTACGTGAAGAATGCAGAAGCCTCAGGAGTTGATGCGATCAAATGGAAGAAAGGGTATCAGTCATGGAAGATGAAATGAATGAAATGAAGCAAGAAGGGAAGTTTAGAGAAAAAAGAATAAAAAGAAACGACAAAGTCTCCAAGAAATATGGGACTATGTGAAAAGACCAAATCTACGTCTGATTGGTGTACCTGAAAGTGACGGGGAGAATGGAACAAAGTTGGAAAACACTCTGCAGGATATTATCCAGGAGAACTTCCCCAATCCAGCAAGGCAGGCCAACATTCAGCTTCAGGAAATACAGAGAACGCCTGGAGAAGAGCAACTGCAAGACACATAATTGTCAGATTCACCAAAGTTGAAATGAAGGAAAAAATGTTAAGAGCAGCCAGAGAGAAAGGTCGGGTTACCCACAAAGGGAAGCCCATCAGACTAACAGCTGATCTCTCAGCAGAAACTCTACAAGCCAGAAGAGAGTGGGGGCCAATATTCAACATTCTTAAAGAAAAGAATTTTCAACCCAGAATTTCATATCCAGAGAAACTAAGCTTCATAAGTGAAGGAGAAATAAAATCCTTTACAGACAAGCAAACGCTGAGAGATTTTGTCACCACCAGGCCTGCCCTAAAAGAGCTCCTGAAGGAAGCACTAAACATGGAAAGGAACAACCGGTACCAGCCACTGCAAAAACATGCCAAATTGTAAAGACCATCAAGGCTAGGAAGAAACTGCATCAACTAACGAGCAAAATAACCAGCTAACATCATAATGACAGGATCAAATTCACACATAACAATATTAACTTTAAACGTAAATGGGCTAAATGTTCCAGTTAAAAGACACAGACTGGCAAATTGGATAAAGAGTCAAGACCCATCAGTGTGTTGTATTCAGGAAACCCATCTCACGTGCAGAGACACACATAGGCTCAAAATAAAGGGATGGAGGAAGATCTACCAAGCAAATGGAAAACAAAAAAAGGTAGGGCTTGCAATCCTAGTCTCTGATAAAACAGACTTTAAACCAACAAAGATCAAAAGAGACAAAGAAGGCCATTACATAATGGTAAAGGGATCAATTCAACAAGAAGAGCTAACTATCCTAAATATATATGCACCCAATACAGGAGCACCCAGATTCATAAAGCAAGTCCTGAGTGACCTACAAAGAGACTTAGACTCCCACACAATAATAATGGGAGACCTTAATACCCCACTGTCAACATTAGACAGATCGATGAGACAGAAGGTTAACAAGGATACCCAGGAATTGAACTCAGCTCTGCACCAAGTGGACCTAATAGACATCTACAGAACTCTCCACCCCAAATCAACAGAATATACATTTTTTTCAGCACCACACCACACCTATTCCAAAATTGACCACATAGTTGGAAATAAAGCACTCCTCAGCAAATGGAAAAGAACAGAAATTATAACAAACCGTCTCTCAGACCACAGTGCAATCAAACTAGAACTCAGGATTAAGAAACTCACTCAAAACCACTCAACTACATGGAAACTGAACAACCTGCTCCTGAATGACTACTGGGTACATAACAAAATGAAGGCAGAAATAAAGATGTTCTTTGAAACCAACGAGAACAAAGACACAGCATACCAGAATCTCTGGGACACATTCAAAGCAGTGTGTAGAGGGAAATTTATAGCACTAAATGCCCACAAGAGAAAGCAGAAAAGATCCAAAATTGACACCCTAAAATCACAATTAAAAGAACTAGAAAAGCAAGAGGAAACACATTCAAAAGCTAGCAGAAGGCAAGAAATAACTAAAATCAGAGCAGAACTGAAGGAAATAGAGACACAAAAAAACCCTTCAAAAAATTAATGAATCCAGGAGCTGGTTTTTTGAAAAGATCAACACAATTGATAGACCGCTAGCAAGACTAATAAAGAGGAAAAGAGAGAAGAATGAAATAGATGCAATAAAAAATGATAAAGGGAATATCACCACTGATCCCACAGAAATACAAACTAGCATCAGAGAATACTACAAACACCTCTACACAAATAAACTAGAAAATCTAGAATAAATGGATAAATTCCTCGACACAAACACTTTCCCAAGACTAAACCAGGAAGAAGTTGAATCTCTGAATAGACAAATAACAGGCTCTGAAATTGTGGCAATAATCAATAGGTTACCAACAAAAAGAGTCCAGGACCAGATGGATTCACAGCCGAATTCTACCAGAGGTACAAGGAGGAGCTGGTACCATTCCTTCTGAAACTATTCCAATCAATAGAAAAAGAGGGAATCCTCCCTAACTCATTTTATGAGGCCAGCATCATCCTGATACCAAAGCCTGGCAGAGACACAACCAAAAAAGAGAATTTTAGACCAATATCCATGATGAACATTGATGCAAAAATCCTCAATAAAATACTGGCAAACCGAATCCAGCAGCACATCAAAAAGCTTATCCACGATGATCAAGTGGGCTTCATCCCTGGGATGCAAGGCTGGTTCAACATATGCAAATCAATAAATGTAATCCAGCATATAAACAGAACCAAAGACAAAAACCACATGATTATCTCAATAGATGCAGAGAAGTCCTTTGACAAAATTCAACAATGCTTCATGCTAAAAACTCTCAATAAATTAGGTATTGATAGGACGTATCTCAAAATAATAAGAGCTATCTATGACAAACCCACAGCCAATATCATACTGAATGGGCCAAAACTGGAAGCATTCCCTTTGAAAACTGGCACAAGACAGGGATGCCCTCTCTCACCACTCCTATCCAACACAGTGTTGGAAGTTCCGGCCAGGGCAATTAGGCAGAAGAAGGAAATAAAGGGTATTCAATTAGGAAAAGAGGAAGTCAAATTGTCCCTGTTTGCAGATGACATGATTGTATATCTAGAAAACCCCATTGTCTCAGTCCAAAATCTCCTTAAGCTGATAAGCAACTTCAGCAAAGTCTCAGAATACAAAATCAATGTACAAAAAGCACAAGCATTCTTATACATCAATAACAGACAAACAGAGAGCCAAATCATGAGTGAAATCCCATTCACAATTGCTTCAAAGAGAATAAAACACCTAGGAATCCAACTTACAAGGGATGTGAAGGACTTCTTCAAGGAGAACTACAAACCACTGCTCAATGAAATAAAAGAGGATACAAACAAATGGAAGAACATTCCATGCTCATGGGTAGGAAGAATCAATATTGTGAAAATGGCCATACTGCCCAAGGTAATTTACAGATTCAATGCCATCCCTATCAAGCTACCAATGACTTTCTTCACAGAATTGGAAAAAACTACTTTAAAATTCATATGGAAACAAAAAAGAGCCCTCATCGCCACGTCAATCCTAAGCCAAAAGAACAAAGCTGGAGGCATCACGCTACCTGACCTCAAACTATACTACAAGGCTACAGTAACCAAAACAGCATGGTATTGGTACCAAAACAGAGATATAGATCAATGGAACAGAACAGAGCCCTCAGAAATAATGCTGCATATCTACAACTATCTGATCTTTGACGAACCTGAGAAAAACAAGCAATGGGGAAAGGATTCCCTATTTAATAAATGGTGCTTTGGAAAACTGGCTAGCCATATGTAGAAAGCTGAAACTGGATCCCTTCCTTACACCTTATACAAAAATTAATTCAAGATGGATTAAAGACTTACATGTTAGACCTGAAACCATAAAAACCCTAGAAGAAGACCTAGGCAATACCATTCAGGACATAGGCATGGCAAGGACTTCATGTCTAAAACACCAAAAGCAATGGCAACAAAAGCCAAAATTGACAAATGGGATCTAATTAAACTTAAGAGCTTCTGCACAGCAAAAGAAACTACCATCAGACTGAATAGGCAACTTATAAAATGGGAGAAAATTTTTGCAATCTACTCATCTGACAAAGGGCTAATACCCAGAATCTACAATGAACACAAACAAATTTACAAGAAAAAAACAAACAACCCCATCAAAAAGTGGGCAAAGGATGTGAACAGACACTTCTTAACAGAAGACATTTATGCAGCCAAAAGACACGTGAAAAAATGCTCATCATCACTGGCCATCAGAGAAATGCAAATCAAAACCACAATGGGATACCATCTCACACCAGTTAGAATGGCGATCATTAAAAAGTCAGGAAACAACAGGTGCTGGAGAGGATGTGGAGAAATAGGAACACTTTTACACTGTTGGTGGGACTGTAAACTAGTTCAACCATTGTGGAAGTCAGTGTGGCGATTCCTCAAGTATCTAGAACTAGAAATACCATTTGACCCAGCCATCCCATTACTGGGTATATCCCCAAAGGGTTATAAATCATGCTGCTATAAAGACACCTGCACACGTATGTTTATTGCAGCCCTATTCACAATAGCAAAGACTTGGAACCAACCCAAATGTCCAACAATGATAGACTGGATTAAGAAAATGTGTCACATATACACCATGGAATACTATGCAGCCATAAAAAATGATGAGTTCATGTCCTTTGTAGGGACATGGATGAAACTGGAGATCATCATTCTCAGCAAACTATCGCAAGGACAAAAAACCAAACACTGCATGTTCTCTCTCATACATGGGAATTGAACAATGAGAACACGTGGACACAGGAAGGGGAACATCACACTCCGGGGACTGTTGTGGGGTGGGGGGAGGGGAGAAGGATAGCATTAGGAGATATACCTAATGCTAAATGCCCAGTTAGTGGGTGCAGTACACCAACATGGCACATGTATACATATGTAAGAAACCTGCACATTGTGCACATGTACCCTAAAACTTAAAGTATAATAATAATAAAATAAAAAAAAGAAAAGAAAAAATGTTGAAAATCAACAATCTATTTTCATCTTAAGAAGTTAGTAAGAGACAGCAGATTAAGTCATCAACATGGAATAAAATGTAAGAATAAAATTTAAAAAATGAAATAGAAAAGAAATATACAATACAGAAACTCAACCAAGAAGCTAAAACTTGTGTTTTTAAAGTTTAGTAAAATCAATAAACTCCTAGCAAGACTGGTGCAGAAAAAAACAGAAAAAAAAGCAAATTATCAATATCAGAAATGAAACAAGTTTATCACTATAGAACCTACAGGTATTAACCTGACTCGAAGAGGATATTATAACACCTTTTTGCCAATTACACACCATAGATAAAATGGAAAACACATTCCTTGAAAACACATTTCACGAAGCCACCACAAGAAACAGAAAGTTTGCATAGTACTGTATCTACAAACAAGTTGATTCGGAAGACACTTTTCTACCCAAATGTCTTCACTGTTGAATTTTCTTTAACATTTAAGGGAGAAATAATACCAATTTTACACAATCTTCCAAATAATTTAAGTGGGAAAATTTCTCTCTCATTTTATGAGGCTAACGTAATCTTGATACCAAAGGCTGACAAGGAAAGAAAAGTCATAGGCCATCCTCTCAGATACATAGGGACAAGAATTCTACTCAAATCTTAGCAAAATGAATCCAGTGATATGTGAAGAGATCAGTATCTTACAGTAAAGTTGGGCTTATTAATGGAGAATGTTTGGTTTAAAAATTGAATATTAATTTTTAATAAAGGAGACAAACCATATGGTCATCTCAGTAGATAGATGTGGAGTCTAAGAATAGATAGAAAGTGATCCGATCTGATCCTGTAAGGCTTTCTACCAAAGACCTACACTAACATTATATTAAATGTTTTTCCCCATCCTTGCCAGCATAGCACATATTTAGTTAAAATTTTGATATTTTATTCCACATAGATTTCTTGCATTAATTTATTTTTTCAATTATTACATTACCAGTATTATTTATCTTGATTACTCAGTTTATTGGTGTTCTTTCTCCTAAATTTTGTGCCTGAGATGGTATTCCATTGTGTCACCTTACTCCTGGCCCTGGCATCAGGGAAACACAAATTAAAACCACCATTAAATGTTGCTTTTCATTCACCAGTATGAGTAAACAGGGGAAAAACCAAGTGCTGGCTATGATGCAGAGCAATGGGGATTTTCATTCACTCTTCCACGTTCCATGGTCTTGTCCAGCTGTGTGTAAGATGCATGTACAGTGAATGAATTCCTCCTTTTATCGTGCAATTAAAGCTAAAATAGGATCCATGATAACCCATCTCTCTTCTCCTGACCCTTTACAGGTACAATATAGCTAATACCTCCTTTTTGAGAACAGCATGGTAGATGCTCCCTGATAAAGTCAAGTGCATCTGACACACATGGCTAGAGAAAGCTATCACCTCTGGACGCAGTGGTGTGACAGCCACTGCATGTTGTGCTTTTGCTGGCCACTCAATGAATCGTCCAGGACCCATGCCTCAGCTGAAGGGTTGCATAAAGCTGCCAGGCCACAACGAGTCAGGATTCCTCTGAAGACTAATGGGTTTTAAAATGTGTGAAGGGGACACAGAAGGTAGGCAGTCTTCTGTAGAGTTATGGGGGCAAGATGAATACACTTGCTTTAGTCATTTGTCATTTGTTGCATGGTGTAAATCTGCAATTATTAATTCTATTGTCTTAGGACTTTTTGATCCCTTGCAGTAATCCTTTGTAGCAGCAAAAGGCTTTAAAAAATACATGTTACCTGTCACTGAATTTACATGCCTCAGGAAACTTGATGATGAGCATGTAACTTGCATAAAATGCATGCTGATATTTACTAATCATAGGAGCTATGGTAGCATTGGTTACGTAGCAATTAGAAGATCCAAATCCTTTAAAGTTCTTTTATTAAAGTCACTTTAGAAAGATTATGGCCAAAAGTGATGACTGAACCATGCAGTTGTAGAAGATGCAGAAGGTTTTTCAGAAAAAAATGTTCTTGCCATCATATTACAGAAGAAAGTTAAGAAGTTTATTCAAATACATGAAAATTACAAAGAACAAGTATACTGTTTGTGTTACTTTGATTTTGCAGATGAACAATATATAGAAAATTTGTAAAATTTTGTTTTAATGCCCACAAATATGTTATTTTTTATTTTTTTGAAATAATTTTATTTCGAAAATAATTATAAATACAACTATTTTTGTATGACTACAAATTAAATCCATTTAATTCAGTCAAGAAACCGATAGACTAAAAATATATATTTTGAATTGTTTTTAGTGCCTTCTTCAACTTTCAAAACTGTCCCAGTTAGAACAAAGCAGTATATGATACATTTCTCATGACTTAGTTCTTAGAAGTCTTCTCTTCTTCTTTTTCCTTCTTTTCTCATATACATTAACTCATTAAGTGATTTTATCCAGTCTCACAGTTTGAAGTACCATCTATATGGTGTTAACTCCAAAATCTGCAACTCTGTTGCCAATCTCTCCCCTGAACTTTAGACAATATAATTTATCTCCATGTAAATGTGTAACTAGTATCTCAAACCCAATGACACTTAGAGCGGATTCTTGCTTTCTTTCTTCAAATATGGTCCCCTTTTAGCCTTCCTTATCTCAGCAAATGCCACTGGTATTCACAGTTTTTTAGTCTAAAAGCCTTGACATCATCCTTGACTGCTCTCTTCTTTTCATACTCAATATTCAATCCATGAAAAAAACATGTAGGCACTGCTTCAAACATATCCACATCTGACCAAACATATCCACATCTGACTTCTTACTTTCTCCTTTACTATCCTCCTAGTTTAAATTACAATCATCTTTTTGTTATAAAAGCTCCCTATTTCCACTTGGTAGTCCACCCCCATCTGTATATTCTCCACAAAACAGCCAGTGTGATTCTTTCAAAATGTCAGTCACATCAGGCGGTTACTAACTTTTACCTGGCTGTCAAGGCCCACTCCATAAACCAGACCAGAGCATGTCTCTGACTCAGTAGCCCGTAAAATGCAGTTCATGAACACATGAGAGATCCCAATACCTCTGGGGGTCAAGTGAGGTCAAAACTATTTCCATAGCAACACCAAGACAGTATTTGCCTTTTTACTGTGGTGACATCTGAAATGATGGTGAAAAGCAATGGTGGGTAAATCCACCAGACCTCAGCACATGTCAGGCAATCACACGCATTGCAGTAGTGGTCATGGCACTCTATTCCTCCACACACTCTGTTTTCTAAAAAGAGTTTTACTTAAGACTATGCTGGATAAAGCAGTTAATATTATTAGTTCTATTAATTATCAATCTTTGAGTACAAGCCTTTTTAAGTTCTGTTTGACAAAATGGAAACTATACAATTCTGTTGCATAACAGAAAACCACCGTTTTCTCAAGAAAAAGCATCTGTGCAATTGTTCAAGCTGTGAGCTAAACCAGCTACTTTTCATAGAAACTTTTTTTTAACTTGACGTAGCAACGGGTATATAAACTATAGTCATTCATTCTTAAAGTCTGAAAGCCTTGACATCATCCTTGACTGCTGGCTTCTTTTCACACTCAACAAAAAGCTCCCTATTTCCACTTGGTAGTCCACCCCCATCTGTATATTCTCCACAAAACAGCCAGTGTGATTCTTTCAAAATGTCAGTCACATCATTCTTAGTATTTGGCAGACATTTAAATTTTTCATTTTAAAAAAATTGAAAGAAGCATGTCACTGAGAAAAACAACTAGCACTAGTGAAAATTAAAATTTTGAAAAACTTGTATGGTGCGCATGACAGTTTCCCATTAAAAGACACTTCTGATGAGATTGGTGGTGTTACTAATAAATGTGTCAACATTTGGAAGATCTGAATAACTCAATGAGTCAATAATTTCCCAATTACCAATACACACTATTACATATCATATGTGGGTAACTATCCATTCAGAGTGAAATATAAACCAATGGATTTTAATATAAGTGAGCATTAAAAGCTCATTGATATGATTCAGATTCCACATAGCAGCTAACCTTTAAGATACTACACCACTTGAAAATTCTGGCAGAGCAACAAAGAAAAATGTCCACGATTATCTGAAAAATTTATTAAAATACTCCTTTCATCTGGGCATGGTGGCCTGTAATCTCAGAACTTTGGGAGGACGAGGTGGGAAGATTGCTGGAGGCCAGGAGTTCGAGACAAATCTAGGCAACATACAGAGATCCTATCTCTACAGAAAATTTTAAAATGAGCTTAGGGTGGTGGCATGCACCTGCAGTACCAGCTACTTGGGAGGCGGAGGCAGTAAGATCACTTGAACTCTGGAGTTTGAGGCCACAGTGAGCCATGGGGAGGACCCTCACAGACTAATCACCTCTTAAAGGCCCTGCCTCTTTATACCATCACATGGGCAACATCTGGGTTTTGGAGGGGACACGTTTAAACCATGGTAATACCCTTCTCAGAAATTATTTTTTATTTTGGAGAATATGGCTATTTTTCATATTTATGTTCATGTGTAATATATTAATATTTTTAAAAATTTAATCTATTAATATTTTTTCACTTTTAATTTCTAGTACACTACATCAGCAGTTATAACTCATACAAATAAAAGCTTTTTGCAGTCTTCAATTATTTATTTATTTATTTATTTTATTTTTATTTTTATTTTTATTTTTTTGAGATGGAGTCTTGCTCTGTCACCCAGACTAGAGTGCAGTGGAGCAATCTTGGCTCACTGCAAGCTCCGCTTCCCGGGTTCATGCCATTCTCCTGCCTCAGCCTCCTGAGTAGCTGGGACTACAGGTGCCCGCCACCATGCCTGGCTAATTTTTTGTATTTTTAGTAGGGACGGGGTTTCACCATGCTAGCCAGGATAGTCTCGATCTCCTGACCTTGTGATCTGTCCGTCTCGGCCTCCCAAAGTGCTGGGATTACAGGTGTGAGCCACCACCCCCAGCCGCAGTCCTCAATTATTTTAAGAGTTTAAATAAGTTCTGGGACAAAAATGTGAGACTTGCTCTGCTAACTTAGTCTTTCAGTATATTGCCCCTTTCTCAATCTCAAACCACACTAGTCACCTTGCTGCTTCTCAACCCCACCACACAGTTTCCTCTGCTACCTTCTTATAACTTAGTATTTCCTCTGCTTTGTGTGCTAGTTCCCCATGAATCCATGTGGCTCATGCTCTCATGTCCTTTAGATCTCTGCTCAGTCACCACAACACATAGGCCTCCTTTGATAAGCCCGCCGCAAATCAGTCTGTATTACCCTCTAATCAAATACATTTGCTTACTTCATCATAGCTCTTACAACTACCCAATAAATAACATTCTGTGTTATTTATTTGTGTGTCTTTGCTTATTATCTCTTTGTTTACTGCTGTCTCTAGTGCTAAGAACCATATATGACATACAGTAGGTACTTAATAAATATTTTTTGAATTCAAATATAATGCAAGGCTGTGGTCAGCATGAAGACATCAGAGCAGAGTCCTCCCTCCTCCTTGGGAGCAGGGCCGTGGATTCAGGCTGGCCTCCCAGGAGTTGGGGGCCATGAGTCAGGGCTCTGTTGCTTAATCTGAAAGGGGTGGGTGAGTGAGCTATGTGGGGCAGAATTAACCTCGCACGAGAATTAAGGCAAAAAAAATGGGGCTAAAAGAGGGACAGAAACACAGTTCAGGATCTGCATTGAGAAATAAAGTTAGCATTAACAGAAAACCAAAGAAGGCACCTATTTTAAAAAAATTAGGAGTTTACCAGAAAGTGGCCAGGTTGTTTTACAAAAAAGTAAAAAATAAAATAAAATAAAATCTCCTTTCAGAAAACAAAGTGAAATCAGACTTGGTGTTTTGTTTTGTTTTTTAGAGAGACAAGGTCTCACTCCATCGCCCAGGCTGGAGTGCAATGGCAATGACATGATTATAGTTCACTGCAGTCTCAAACTCTCCCAGGTGACTTTTAAATTTTATTTTTTTGTAAAGATGGGGTGTCACTATGTTGCCCAGGTTGGTCTCTGAATTCCTGGCCTCAAGTGATTTTCCTGCCTCGGCCTCCCAAAGTGCTGGGATAATAGGTGTGAGCCACAACACCTGATCCAGAAATCAGAGTATTAAAAACTACCTTAAATGACAAAGTTTCAACTTAAGAACTAGAAGAGATCCAAAAGAAAAATGAAGAAAATATGAACAAAAAAGAATTAAAAGACATTTACTTAGTAAAAAAACGAATGACCAATAACTTTAGGAAGCACTCTTCAACTTAGAAGTCAAGGAAAGGTGACTTTACTTGTGAGCCACATCATCTTGGTCACAGTTTTAAGAATGTCCAGTTGGTGTAGAGGAGAGACAAGGGGAACTCACTGTGGCAGCAACAGAAATGGCTGCAGGGCAACTCCGAAACATTGCATTTATGAAGGGACTCACAGAATTCACACATATTTACCCACTTTATTGGGTAGAACTAGTCATGGTAAAGAAACCGCGCCAGTTATTCTAACATACAAAATTTAATATAGATAATTTTAACTGGGTTTTAGAGACTAAAAAATAGGAGGTTAAGGTGTCAGGAAGGCACACCTGCGAGAACACCTTTATCCCCAGAACAGAGGGAAGAGGTGGAGATAATTAAAATTAAGAAGATTGAAAGACTGGCCCAGCCAGCCTGGAATTAGAGTATCTGAGGAGGGGCCCTCCTTGACTGGTGCTGATGCCTCAGAAGCCCCAAGGATGGTCTGGTGGAGCTGGGATCTAGCACTCTCCGGAGCTGATATAGGGGGCCCTCAATGCTGCTTGTTCTGAAGTGCTGGAAACACAGCAAACTGCTTCTGACAGAACAGCCACTGCCCTGGGGGAAGGAGCCTCACTGGGGAAATGCGCCCAGGAAAACAAGCAGGAACAGAAAGCAAGCAGAACAGAGGAAGTCCGTGCTCTCTCTTCTTCCAGGATCCCTCTAATACCTCTTGGCAGAGTCTAGCCAGAGCCACAAACAAAACAGAAATGTGGTTGCAGTGTCCTGCCCCAGGCGTGCAAAGCACAGTGGACTAGAGTGGGTGTGAAGCTGAGAGACAAACTGGTGACCATGCTAATTCCACCACTAGGATATTGATTCAATGGAACCATCCCTGTTATACTGAGACAGTGAAATTAACAGTCTCGACAATCATTGTCAAAGCATTGCACAACCATTATATATCATATTTACAAATAATTTCCAATAGAATAGGTATTAAATAAGGACACCATATAAAGCATGATCCTTAATTGCATTTTCTGCAGAAAAATTATGATGAATGTGCTCTTACATTGCAATGCGAAATACGGTAATAAAGTAGCTATAATAATAATGTAAAATAGTAACTAAATAATAGTAACAATAAGTTATAATGATGAAAGCTAATACTTTTTACTGATACTTATTCAGTTACCATTCACTTTTTGCCAGACATTTTGCTTTTCAGTCATCATGTTCTTCAAACCTCACAACAAAACTGTTAGGTAACTTGCCATTCTTAAATGAGAGTCAAACAGACAAAGAAGTTCTCAAGGTATCAGGCAAACACCCTGACTCAGGTGTCTGAATCTAAAATACTTGCACTTCATATCTGACACATTTCAATATTGTACATATGTTATACATCACAGATGTGTGCATTAAACATTAATATATAATAAACATAATATCTATATCTCCCATATATATAATAAACCTCTTTCTGTGTGGTTGAAATTATTATTTGTTAGCAGTCTTCATCTTTGGTTTTAAAACTATGAGGTATAATTTCCTTCTTTAGCTTTGGAAAGTTTTTATTTCCCACCTTTCTAGAATGATCTTTTTCATTATACATAGCCTGTATACATTCTACCATGTCATTAAAATGTCATTTTTAAAGCTTAATTAATGTCACTTTGCTTTGAAGGTAGCATGGTTCATTTAATATCTTTCCTATATGGGACATTTGGGTTATTTTAGTTTATTTGCTATTATAAATGATACTTGCTCTGACCCAAATATTTGTGCCCCCCCTAAATTAATGTGCTGAAATCCTAACCCCTACAGTGATAGTATTAGGAGGTGGGGACCTTGGGAGATGATTAGGTCATGAGACAGAATCTTCATAAATGGGATGAGCACCCTTATAAAAAAGGCCTGTTATACATACACAATGGAATACTATTTAGCCATAAAACAGAATGAGATCATGTGTCTTGCAGCAACATGGATGGAACTAGGGGCCATTATCTGAGGCAAAATGACTCAGAAATAGAAAGACAAATACTGCATGTTCACACTTAAAGTGGGAGCTAATAATAAAGTCGAGTGTAGGGTGATGGAAAATGGAGACCTGGAGGGATGGGAGAATGGGAGGGGAGTGGGCTATGTGAGGTTGGTGATGGGTACAGTGGGGGAAGGCCCCGACTTCACCACCATGTATCAATGTAGCAAAATTGCACTTCCACCCCATGAATATGTACACATACAAAAACAACAAAAATAAACACATACAAATAATACAAATCAAGATAAAAAATAAACGAGGCCTGAGGGAGACTGTTGCCCCTTCCACCGTGTGAGGGCATAGTGAGAAGGTGCTGCCTATAAACCAGAAAGTGGGCCTCCATTAAACGTGAAATCTACTGGTATCGTGATCTTGGACTTCCAGCCTCCAGAACTGAGGACAACACATTTCTCTTGTTTATAAGCCACCTGGTTTATGGTATTTTGTTATTGCAGCCCAAATGAACTAAGAAAATAATACCATAATGGAGTTCTGTTATAGTGTTCTAAATGAATATTTATATCTTTTGGGGGAATAAACTTCTGTAAGTAAAATTTCAGGATCAAATTGTATGATTGTTTTAAAGGCTCTTGGGTGAAAAAGGGCCAAATTGTTTCTAAAAGTTTGTCAGTCCACACTGTCATCAGCAGCACAATGTAGCGGAATTTGAAAGTGTGTTTTCTAGAGTTTGACAGTGAAGTATGGTACTGCTTGTTTATTGAGGCTAATAGTTTTATCTTTTATTCCTTTTTTCCCAGTGGTTATTGTTCTATTGAAATATGTTTATGACATCTATTAAATAATGATGTGGATCTTATTAATCTTTATGATAAATGATTTATTAGAATTCATGCTAATTTGCATTAAAGAATAAGCTTATAACTGTAGGTACTTAGTGGAAGTTTTTAGAAGTGAGTCCTGGGGAAAAATAACCCAATTAAAAATATGTAGGCACATTACTTGAAAAAAAAACTCAGAAAAAAGAAAAACACCCAATATGCATGTTAAGTGGTATATATTATAACAGATATTAGGAAAATGCAAATTAAATCCACAATGAGATACTACATTATAACTATTAGAATGGCTAAATTGGTAAGACTGACAAGCTCTAAGGTGAAATGTTCCATAAATCATATTTAAAACTTCTTAACTGTATTAAGTAAATATTATTTTGTTTAATATTTTTTCTAGTAATTTCTGACATTCTTAAAAGCGCATGAGTGCTAGGACTTCTTGCATTGTAAGAATGTCTTCTGTGGCATTTACTTATGAAGAGTATCTTAGCTATGAGTAGAGATTTTACATTGCAATTACTTTTCTCACTCCAACAATGTAGCCAAATTTCTCTATTGTTTTGCAGAGGGAAGTCTTATTTCTTTAGTATTTAACTTTTTTCTTTCTGAATGTTTCTTAAGTTTTTACTTATTTTAAACAAAGAGAAAGGAAGGAAAGAAGGAAGAAAGGAAGGCAGGAAGACAGGAAGGCAGGAAGGCAGGAAGGCAGGAAGGAAGGAAGAAAGGAAGGAAGGAAGGAAGCAGCAGAGAGAGAGAGAGTGAGAAAGATCATGGAGCTAGTGTAGACTCTTGGCTTTTCCCCCAAAAAACACACTCCTGAGAAGCTCTGGACAAATGAGACTTATGAATATGAAGACCTAAATTAGGGATTGTGAGGCCTGCCAGCACTCCAAGAGGCAGTTAGGTTCAGGTCTCTGGGTGGGGCTGGGGCAGATACCTGGGGGTGTGGGCAGGTCTCTAAGTTCAGGAATTAGGCCAGAAAAAGTTTTCTGTTACTCTTGCTGCCCCACGTGTCCTAAGGGGCTCATTTTTTGTCCCTTAGACATGTCAGGCAAGTTAACTAGGGTGAAGTTTGTGGCAGTGTTAATAACCAGCTGGAGTAAGGAACAGACAGATGGTTTAAGCACAACCACCAGCTCCAAGCATCCCCTGCTCTCACATTTCCTCACCTGCTTCACACCTCCAGGACTGGTAGACTACAAGAGAAGGAAATTATCACTTTCCAGGGCTTATTTCTTCAGAGTGTAAAGCAAAATGGTAGAAGGCTGGTTTGTGGGCTGAGGAGGCAGTCACAATCACAGCACAGTTGTACCTTTGGCTTTAGGCCTGGGCACAACCCTTACCCCTTCTTGAAACATGCATTCACTAAATCAGGGAAGAGTGTTCACACCCGAGGAGTGTGACCACCATAACAGCAAAGAAAGTATATTAGATAGCAATGCCACATGAGGAAGTATAAATGAACAAAAAAGGATTAGGAATTTAAATAAGTAAAATATCCATTTCATGCAAGACAAAGGAAGATTTTTGTGTTTTAAATTCAGAACTAGAGACATGAACAAGAGCCAAGCGGAAATATCAACTATAAAAATTTAATAACTAGGTCAGGCGCAGTGGCTCACGCCTGTAACCCCAGCACTTTGGGAGGCTGAGGCAGGTGGATCACCTGAGGTCAGGAGTTTGAGACCAGCCTGGCCAACATGGCGAAACCCCATCTCTGCTGAACATACAAAAAATAGCTGGGCGTGGTGATGAGCACCTGTAATCCCAGCTACTCGGGAGGCTGAGGCAGGAGAATTGCTTGAACCTGGGAGGCGGAGTTTGCAATAAGCCAAGATCATGCCACTGCACTCCAGCCTGGGTGACAGAGCCAGACTCCATCTCAAAAAAAAAAAAAAAAAAATTAATAACTAAGAAAAAGAGCGTGCTTGATGGGAAAAGTAACAGAATGTCCTTCATTAAGAAAAACTTAGGGAGCTGAAAATCAAGTTGCAGATATCTGCAGATGGAAGTGGAAAGTCATAAAGATATAGAAAACAATTTAAATGAAAAGATATAGACATTAAAGAGCGATCCGAAAATATTACAAACAACAACAAATAACCTCATGCTAGTAAATTTAAAATTTAGATGAACAAATTCTTAGAAAAACAGGGCTTGCCAAAACTGACACGACGAAATGGAGAATCTATGCTTATTACACCTTCACAAAATGAAGATCCACGTCCATGTGGGTGTGTAGGGTCTACAGTGGTATCTCATGTGGTTTAATCTGCATTTCCTTGAGGACATGCACTTGGTGTGGAACTTTTCCTGTGCTCATTTGCTTTTCGTGGATTGTCTTTGGTGAGGTATCTTTTAGGGTCTTTGGTCTGTTTTACTGAGTTATTTTCTCATTATTGAGTTTTAAGTATTCTTTGTATATTTTGGATAACCGTCCTTTATTTTATATGCCTTTTGCAAATATTTTCTCATAGTCTTATGGCTTGTCTTTTCATTCTCTTGACAGTGTTTTTCAAACAGCAGAATTTTTAGCTTTCCTGAAGTTCAGTGTGTCCATTCCTTCCCTTGTGGGTACAGCCTGACATGGTTTGGCTATGTCCCCACCCAAATCTCATCTTGAATTGTAGCTCCTGTAATTCTCCCACGTGTTGTGGGAGAGACCCTGTGGGAGGTAATTGAATCATGGGGTTGGTTTCTCCCATACTGTTCTCTTGGTATGAATAAGTCTTATGAGATCTGATGGTTTTATAGGGGAAAACCCCTTTTACCTGGTTCTCATTCTATCTTGTCTGCCACCATGTAAGATGTGCCTTTTGCCTTCCATCATAATTGTGAGGCCTCCCCAGCCATGTGGAACTGTGAGTTCATTAAGCCTCTTTTTCTTTAATTACCCAGTATCAGGTATGTCTTGATCAGCAGCATGAAAACAGACTAATACAGTGCCTTTGGTGTTGACTCTGGAAAGCTCCTAGCCATGCCTGTTGTCATGTAGATTTTCTCCCATGCCTCTTGTCTTCTGCAAGTTTTATGGTTCTGTGACAAAAGAGTTTTTTAGATTCATGTCCACTTATATTTTGAAATACCTCGATACTAGGTAAGTTACTGTTTTTTTGTCTACTTTCTTTAGACATTACTTCTTAGATTTTTTTCCTTTCCTCTTATAAACCTGTGCAAAAGTAGGCTTGGCTTGAATTACCTTGGTACTTATCTCAGTCAATCTCTCCCTAGGGACCAGAGTTATGGGCTTTCTGCCTGTTTTGTTTTTTGTTTTTGGTATTATTTTGTAATCTATATTATTACTTCAGAAGAAAGAGGAATGCTTTTTTTCTTTATATTTGCTTATACTTAACTTCCCTGAGAAGAGAAACCATGTACTTTTTCTCCAACTAGTCCCATTTTGTTAAGATTTGTGAAACTGCATTCTGTGTTAACAGTGTTCTAATTTGATTAATTAAAGCTAAAATCTCCACCTTGTTAAGGCTCCCTTTTCTGTGGAAAATTATTTATATTTGATGATCACATATATTTCACCAAGACACAAATTTAACAGGGAGGCATCTGTCCTGTTTGCCATAATACTTGCAGTAGCTAAGGAGATAAAGCAACCTAGAAGTTTCTGTCTCCTGTTTTCTATTTAAAGTTTGAACAACTTTAAAGAAATTTGCAGGAAAGAAAGTTGTCTATAAATGATTTAAGTAGACTTTGCTTTCAATTCTGTTCAACATTATTGGAAGATGATCTACATTTTACCAAAGAAAGCTATGATGAGAGTTTGCAGGTCAGGCCATTAATTTTATTTTGACACTTTCAGTAGGCGAAGAAAGAGAAACGTGGATTTGAACACAAAATAACCCATTACGTGGTATTATTTCATTAAATATTATTGAGGCAGACAGTTGTCTAGCTGGAAGGGAATATAAAACATGAATAACAGGAATTTCCTATATATTTTATGAATTTTTAAAAGCCCAAGAGGTTAACAAGTGTTTAGATCATAAAACTGGACCCTGGGAGATAGAGGACTGGATCCCACTCTTCACATCTGCTGGTCCACATTCTTTCCACCCAACAATACCTTTTCTGAAACAGCATAGCCCAGGGCTCTCTGAAGTAAAGGGAGAAGTAATGCCGGTAATTGTGCCTCCTCATGCTCCATTTACAATGTATACAAATGTCTCACCAATTGAAACCCTTAGCACCTCAAACCGAAAAGTCAGCATTTATTTGCCTTGCCAATGATCACAATAGGTCTTCCATTTATTGTTTGCTCAGGAAAAATAGTGAGGGCTCTTGGAGTCACCCTTGGGAGGAGGTGGGGGTGGGAGCATAATAAAGACCAGACTTCAGTTTTCCTATTCAACCCCACAAATATTTACTGATGCTTTCTCTCACACAGGTCCAGTAGCAAAAGCTAAGTAAACAAGAAGGAATAAGATCTGGGATTTTTGTCCAAGAGTTTCACAGTCTGAGTGCAGTACAGATATGCAAGCAAATGCTCCTGGTTGCATAAGTGCAAAGAAAGTGGATTAAGCAGGAAGCAGAACAAGAACTAACCCCTTGAGCTTTGTATTTGGGGTCTACAGTGTTCGCCTAGGAGAGAACAAGGAGAAAGGGGGTGATATTTGTGCAGAAGGAGAGTATGCAGGAAAAAGTACTGTAAAACGTCTTGCTATGCTCAGGGAATTTTTGTAGTTCAGTTCTGTTAAATAATGAAATGCCCTATGTAATGAAAGAGATGATTCTGGAAAAGTCCTCAGGGTTAAAATTATCAAAGAATGGGTCAAGGATCCTAAATAAAAACAATTTATTTTGCATGTCATGAAGAATCATTATTAATTTATTAAAAGAATAAATAGTTGCATCCCAAGCCCCTGAGGGAAATGACTGAGACCGTGGCCCATGATCTGAACTTAGATACACTTGCGGGGGTGGCCAAGAGTAGCCATGGGAAAAAGATCAGACAAGAAGGAAGCCAAAAAACGTTTCTCAAAAAAGTTGCTCACCAAAGTAAGGTAGCCCAGTTTAGTTACCACAGCTTGGTAAAGATGTTCTTGCACAAGACCTGGCTCAGAATTTACTTGGTATCATAAACATTTTCCTAATCCTGTCCTATTGGCACTATTTATGGCAAACATTCCTTCAGGTGTCTGATGGCACTGCAGTCCAAATGGCATTATTTGGTGGCACAGAGGCAAAAGTTAAGGGATGAAAAGCAAAGATGCTGGCTACCCAGAAGATTCCAGAGGTCTTAGACATTGAGGGTGAGGAGGTTGCCACTCCCAAGGTCTGGTCCTTGCCTCCTACTCTCAGAATTCTGGTTTTGTCAATTAGCCAAGGGAAGGCTCATTTCTCCCTGCCAGGCTCCCATGAAGCTGCCCCATAGGGTGTGAGATGCAAAATGGCACCTTGTGAATCCCTGATGAGAAGTGCATCTGTCCGGGAGAACAGAGTGTCTGAGTGGACAGGGAAGGGCATTTGTTAAGTGAGTCAACTAAACAGAAGCAGAGTTGTGGCAGGACATTTGCTGTGAACATGGAATGCAGAGAAGGGCTGCCTATTGATGATTTACAGAGGAATTGTGCCTGATACTGGGACCTGTGGCTCAGGTCTTTGAGAGGACATTGTCCCACCCCTCGGAGCCCGCAGAGGCTCCTGAGGACGTGGGTGCTTCTGGCTGTGCGCCTTGTTCCAGTATGACTACCTCGTCTATGCCAACAGTGTTTGCACACCAACACAATTCACTGTAATTAATTAGGCTTGTAGATGTTACATTGCACTCACAGTCCAGTCAGGTTCTCTGCGATGAGACTGGGGTCACAGTTCCTGGGGTTGGGTGTTGTCAAACAAACACTGACAGAACCCTGTTATCCTCCCATGGATGACTAATGCTGTCTGCTGTGTGTGGGCTCTCCTTCCCGTGAGAACACCTCATTACTCTTTCCTGCAAGTGAGGAGGGAGGCCCTACATCTGCCCACTTACACCAACAGTGCAAACAAAATGCTACAAGACAACAGTAAGCACTTAGTGTCCAGGGATAATACAGTTTCCACTAATTTTGCACATTATAGCATTTTGGTGGAATTTTTGAAAGGGTAAGAGCTGCCACATGATGTACTGTTCTTATTTTGAATAATTCATCATAGAACGAGTGGGGAGAATGCATGGCATAAACATGGAAGCAAAGATTTGGGCTTCCAAGCAATATAGTTCTTCTCTGAAAGACAGTTTTAAATAGTAGGCATGTGAGGAGTATTACGTTGTTGTGGGCCAAAACAATGGTGAAGTGCATGTGTGTGGGAGCAAACATACTAAAGTGCTCATATTTTATAAAAGGGAGCCAAGAAGTGCTACTTTTTAACTTTGATATTAAATGCATGTAAAATATACTTAGGAACAACCTGTACAATCTAAAGTGAGATTTGTGTCTTTCTGCTCATTTCAGACTCAAAAATAAACAAAGCCTGATACTGTAGCAAAATGTGAAGTAGGACAAACCTAAACACAGAATGTGTAAGATAGTATGGCAACCTTTAAACAGAAGATAGTTTTTGCACACCTTGGATAAGAGTATCAAATTCCTGTACAAACCGGGACTCCTCTGTTAGGACAACAGAGCATCCCAGCAGGACTGAGCCTGCAAAGGGTGCCCAACCATGAGTGCTGGGGGCACCCACCCATGTTATGGACCCTTGTTCTGTCTTAGATGAAAGGCAATTTCTTTCTCTTCCAGAACAAACACTGACAGTACGAATATTGCTAAGGCTTTTTTCTCTCATTTCAATTGGTCTGTAAAGACAAATTCATTAAAAGAGCATTGCAAATAGCATTATCATTTGCTACTAGGAATGGAAATTTCACATACTATGAAATGCTATAAGAAAACAAGAAATTTGTAGTAAAATCTGAGTGACTAAGAACACAGGATGAAATAGTCATTGCTATAGAATAATACATTTCTGCATCTCTCAGGGAAGTTAAGTCAAATAGGATTAACTTTAGTTAATTGGTAGAGAAAACAAATATGAATCATTTACTGACTTTGAGGTGCACGTGTAATTGAACAGTAGGGAAAGGTATTAAATAATTTGAGACAGAAAGAAGGATGTTTTTTTTTTTTTACTTAAGTGCTTTTCCTTGTTTCTCTTTTTGATTTTCATAGTACCCCTTGGGAGGAAAACACAACAAATTCCTATGCCGAGTCACAAATATTTGGGAAAACATTTTAAAAGCCCTCTGTTTTTTTTTTTTTGGGAATAAATTTACCTTTGGTTTCAAGCATTTTGGAAAACTCAGAAAGTAGAATGTGATATACAAGAAGAAAAACATGTATCTGTATCATCAGCTAATAAATGGCAAATGGCAGTGATATTCTGGGTGCACATCCTTTGTTTCAGCTTTGGTTGAAACATCCACTCTGAGTAAGGTTTGATTTTTCTACTTGCCTCTTTGTTACCAACTGTGACACTAATAAGGCTAAATTTCTCTTCACAATTCTTATAGACATATTTCTGGGCCAAATGAAAAAAATTGTGGGAGACTAGAGCAGTTAATTAGGGTTGGCAAACTTCTCACTGAAGCATTGCAAATTAGTTACTTCAGCTATTTCATATTTCAAAGTAGTGTCTAATTTTAATGCAAAAGTAAGCTGAAGGGAGATGCTAAATGTCTTTTGAAAGGCCACCACACAATGCCACAATGAGGGTGCTGTCCAGCTAGTGGAAGGCAACTTGTCATTGGTGGACTCGATGCAAAGCCTCTGCAGTAAATGCTATGTAGAGGGATCCTGTCTGCTCTTAGAAATGCCACTCCTCTTGCAACCATGAAACAGATAGGGCTCATATGAAGGTGATACTATAAGCACCAGTTCCATGTGTCAAAGTTCTGACTCCTCTTGCCTTTCACTACCTAATGGGCAATTGCCAAGAACCCCTCATTTGTCACTGCCAGTGCCAGCGCCTCTTTAGCCAGGGCCTTGGAGCGGCTTTGGAGAGACAGCAGTGATTGAGCACAGCTGCAAACCCAGGTGCTGAGCAGGCAGTTTCCGAGTGTCCCATTCCCCACTAACTCACCTGTCCAGAAAAGTGGTCTTGCTAAGGGAGAGTGACAGTGTTAAAAACTGGTCATAAATCACAAACGGGACACTTGATTACACCGGGCTGGCTGGGCAGCATCAGGCTGACAGGGAAGATGTGAGCATGAAGTTGGTGAAAATCTTTTGAGAAAAGTCTGCTGTTAATGCTGATTTTTAGGCTTCATTGTGCTACATTATACCTTTCTTTAAACAAAGACAAACATTTTATCAATAAATTTTTATCATCATTATAGGTTTTTTATGATGCATTTTACTTGGGGTAAAGCACAAACCCCATAAACAACTATGTTTCCTACTCTGTTCATTTAACTTTGTAAAATGTAGTTTTGACACATTATACTTGGTGTATGTGGAGTTTTGTTGGATGCATAGAATGTGTAATGATCAAGTCAGGGTATTTAGAGCCCCTGTCACCCAAGTATTTATCATTTCTATGTGTTGGGTACATTTCAAGTCCTTTCTTCTAGGTATTTTGAAAAATACAATGCATTGTTTTTACCTATTGTCACCCTACTCTGCTATCTCTGTTGTACCCTTAAATCTTGCATTACTGTCTGGTATCACATTACTGTCTGGTATCACCTTTCTCCCTGTGATGTTTGAACTTTATTGCATAACTTATCTGTGTCTTCTTAGTTGGTCATATAAATTATAACAGGTTTCCTAATTTTAATCCATTTCTAATTTTTAAAATCTTAATACGTAGGCATTTTCTTATTGTTTTACTCAGGGTTTATACATTTATAAGTGATGTGTTTCTTTTTGTGAGCTATTTCTATTGGATTTTATGTGTGCTGATTATTTCCAAAATAAAAAATGTAATAACAAAGCCAATGAAACATTACGAACCTTAATATATGTATTTAATAACTATTCAAGATTTTTATTCTAAGGTTTGTTAATAAATGTATTTGCTCATTATTCAAGAAATATGTATCAAGATTATTTTGAACTTGATTAATTAAAGATTTTTATTGATTTCAAGATTTTTATTTCTAACTTGGCCAACTTTTTTATTTTTTGCATTTACATGAAAATGGAGACAAGTAGAATACTTAGTCTAAATAAAGTAGCCACTTATAATTTTTGACTCAAGGCTATTAAGAAATTATTCCAAATGATGTGCTAAAATTAGTACTGATTTGTCTTAGATCAGTGGCTATGGTCTCATGAAGTCCCCTGGAAGAGTACCTCTTATCCCATTTTCTTGTCCGCACAATTAAAAAGATCCATTAGCTGGGGCTTACCAAGCTCATAAGATGCAGGGGAACCGGCAGCTTTGGTGCAGTTACATTGTTATCTATTTTATTACCTTGTGGGAATAGATACAATTTTTCACTGATGTGTCCTAGACTCTGCCTCTGTGACTAGGAATAAAGTTTTAGCTAACACTGCCTCTTTCTCATCCCTACTGACCCTACTCTACTCCAGTTCATCATTGTCTTGCCTGAATCTTTACAATAATTTCTTAAAGGGTCTTTGTATGCCTGATCCATTCCAATTAATTGTCAGCACCTTAATTAGAGAACATTTTCAAAAATGCAAATATGATCATGCCATGAAATCCACTCTGACCTCCTGTGATGGCACAATACAGACAGTTGTTGAACCTCTGGCTCCACCCCCATCTCCAGCTTCATCTTTCACCTTCCCCTTGCCTCTGTTCCAGCTGATGCTCTTCTGCGCTCTATGGTCTCACAGGCACCTGGCCTTCATGACGCTCCCTCTCTCCAGAGCCCCTCCCCTCTTCTCCTTGGTTCCTATTTCTCCTGGTATGCTCAACTCCTGCTAATCCTCCAGGCTCCAGCTCTAATGTGTCTCTTCTGGCCCTCCAACCCATTAGCTTAGGTTCTCCCATTGTTTGTTCTCATAGCATTTTTTCATGGACTCTCTAATAATTTCTTCTGCTGTATTGTAATAAATCACTTAGTATCCTTATTGACCAGCAATCTCTATACTTGAAACAGAAAAGCCAAGCTGCTCTTGTGTAAAGACTCTAGCTGTCTGCCAGTGGCTAGTCCAGGGCCTAGAACACATTAGGTGCATAATGTTTGTTGAAAAACTAGTAACAAGGAAATAAGGAAAATAAAAAAAGACAGGATTTTGTTAATAGATATAATAGAAAATGTGAATAAATGGAATAACACATTCTCTATATGGAGAAAAAATCACTTTTGTTCAAATAAGCTTGTATAATTAATACTGTGGCAAAAATTATAGAAAAAAATTGGAATTCAAAAACAGTATTCTAAAGTTTATCTAGAGAAATAAATACAAAAGACAGGAAGGGACATTTATAAAGTAATATGAGGGAGTTATAGTCTAACCAGATATTACAATGTGTACTAAAACTAAAATAATTAAAATACTGCGAACAGGAATAAGCAGTGAGATTAATTTAACAGAACAGAACTTTTGCAAACAATTCCAGACACAAATACAATTGGGGGAAAATAGAATGGCAGCCCAACTGAGGGTTGTGATAATGAAATTACCAACTGTAAAAGAATAAAATTAGATTCTAAAATTTTGTACATAAAATGTAACACTATTATTATAAAAATGGAAGCATTTATAACTGATTTTCTGCATCATCATTGGCTAGCCAAAGTTTTTCAAAGCAAAGCACCAAAGGCAAAAACCATATATGTACACACACATATATTTTAAAGATTGATGTGAATACCTACACTTTAAAATATGTACATTAAAAATACCATAAATAAAGCTCAAAGACTATCTATCCATAGTCTTTAGAAGTTATATCAATGCAAATGGTAGATTATGTTTAGATTAACCACTAGAGTAATATCCCTACTAGTTAAGATTTCATCCAACTTGCTCAGAAGACCAATGCAACATAGACTAAAAGGCCAATGGCAATCAACTTTCAAAATATGAAATAGGAATACTTAATTAGTATATACAAAAATACACAACCACACATATGATCTCAGAAATGTAATTGGAAATCCAATCAGATACCATTTGTTTCAAATAGATGTTGATTAAAATAAGCAGCTTCTAGGATTAATGGGATAATTGGGAGTGAAGAGGATGCTTCTTTCTGGTGAGTTTAAATTATTAATAGTTCCATAAAGAGGATTTGGTGACATTCACACTCTGTAGCCTATCTCTTCCAATTCTGTTTATTTATATTAATGAATAAAGTTAAGATTTCATGAAAATTAACATGTTTATTAACTGAAAAATGCGACTTTTTTATATCTTAAAAATTAAGTTATAAAATAGGTGTGTTGGAAGCACTTGTTGGCTAAACAAACAATACTTGCATTCATGCACATAGAAAATGAAGTGTGAAAAGATAAATACTAATTATTAGCCACAGTTACATATTCCAGAATCCTCTCTGGGATTTCTCCCATTGCTAGTTGATGAACTAGCACCTGATGGACTGGAAGACACTCTCTCCTCAGGAAAATCTTCCAGTACCTCATTATAACTTCTTCTTGGGCTTTTTTCTTTTTGTCAGCTGGAGGAATTTTTCTTATTCTGTTATACGCCACATATCATTCAATTTTTTTTTAAATCTACGGCAGCACCTCAGAATTTAAAATGCAAGAGCCAAGAATTTGAATTGCTCACACTTTACACTATTAAAAATCTTCCCCAGTAGCATAGTTGAGCCCAGTGGTCTGGCTGCCCTTATCAGCACTCAGACCCCCAGGAGCTCAGGGTAGCAGGTATAATGAAGACGTGGGCAGAGGAAAGGGATCACACTGATTAATATAACCGCAATATATCAATGTATTCTCCCTCCACAGTTTTTCTACGATTAATATTTCACTGAAATAACTGAAAATGGAAATAATAAGACAGTATTGGCAACAACGATAGGTGAGTATTTATAGGACAAGGTGAAAGTGACTCCCAGTCAGAATTCACAGCCTTAACTGCTCTTGCAATTCCACTAGCATAATGGACTTCTCTATGCTGAGCATGGTAAGCTCCACCGAGCCAGTAAATCTATAAATATTCAGTAAGCATCTGCTACAAAACAGCCACCATTCTAGGCATTTGGGATACATCTGAGAATCAAAGGTGCCTGACTTCATAGAGCTTTCTCAGTGTAGTCTTCTGCTTTTCCATGATTTGGAGAAAAAAGAAAAGAGAAATTGCTTTTGAGAAAGTAGCCACCATAAGCAGAAAGTGAATGCAGAACATAAGCTAAGAAGACATTAATCTCATGCACCCTAGTGGTCACTCTTAGGTATGAAACTGAAACTTAACTGCTTCTAATTCACAAAACACCTGGTGTTGGCACGGAATACTATGCAGCCATAAAAAAGAATGAAATCATGTCCTTTGCAGCAACATGGATGTAGCTGGAGGCCACTACCCTAAGCAAATTAATTCAGGAATAGAAAACCAAATATTGTATGTTTTCACTTATAAGTGGGAGCTAAGTATTGGGTACTCATGGACATAAAGATGGGAATAATAGGCACTGGGAACTACAAGAGGTGAGAAGAAGAAAGGAAGGAAGGATTAGAAAACTACCTATTGGGTACTATGCTTACTACTTGAGTGATGGAATTATTTGTGCCCCAAACCTCAGTGTCACACAATGTGCCCATGTAGCAAACCTGCACATGTACCCCTGAATCTAAATAGAAGTTAAAATTAAAAACATAAAAATATCTCATTAATATTTTTATATTGATTAAATGTTAAATAATAATTATAATTATAAATAAATTAAAAGAAAAATAATTTATTAAATAAATTATAAAAATAAACTGTTAAATGTTAAAATAAAATAATTTTGGGTATATTGAATAAAATATAGAATTGAAATTTTAAAAAATACCCACTTTGGAATTTGTCTTGTTGTCCTTTCCTAGGATAAGTAGGAATTATGGTAGTGCAGGCGTAGCACAATTCCAGGGAAAAAATGACCAGTTCACGGGGACTGCCCAGGGGAGCGTGGCCAATTTAGTCCCTGCTGCTGCATCCAGGAGGAGCCCTGACATGGGGGCAGGGTAGGATGTGGTTCAGGAAAATCCCTCTTCTCTTAAGTCTGCAGCTATTACATCATAATATGTATAATGTATTACTATTAATGTATAATGTATAATAATAGGTATAATATATAATAATGTGTAATAATAATTACATCATAATTATTTGAATAACCTGGATATTATCAGTGCTTGATTCATTTTCCCTAAGAGAAAGGGAGAAAATAGACTCTAAGGCACCTGGACTGTGGGTGTGTTTGGCTTCCGTCCAGAGCCCATACTATGGCTGGAACATTAACTGTGTTAAAGTACACAACAAATTTGTCTCTTGAAACCCAATGTTCAAGAGGCATCTGTATACAGATATAAGCCTTGGTGACTTACCAAAGGGAACAAAAATATGCAACCACCACTCAGGTGAAGAAACTGAACGTTGCCAGTTACTAAAGCAAAATGTTTCTAAGAAAAATAGTACTATAAAAATCCCTATTTTATAGGAAAAAAGCATGCTTATAAATTGATTACAGACAGGAAATGGATAAATTACTGCAATGAGGGCTTGATACTGTGTGAGTATTCTAGAATGTGGTTTCAATCTTGGGAAGAATTATTTCGTGGTGGATCTCAAACTTATCATCTCTTTGGGGAGAAGAGCACAACATATAAACAAAATTTTACTGATGAAAACTAGAGAATATAAGTGTTTATACGTGTGTGTTTCTATACATGCATATATATCATAAAAGTTGGGCTGAAAGCTTATTTATTAAACACACGTGTCTAACTTTTTCTTATGCAAAAAGTTAAAGATATAATTATGTATAATTTTATTGCACAGATTTAACATTGCTTACATTACCTTAATGGGCTGTATTCTCTCTGTAGCATTTATCAGCCTATTTGTCATATTATATATTTATTATATATTTTATATTATATTATACATTTAAGTATATATATTATATATATTTAGTATGCACTTAAATATATAATATGACAAGTAAGTATAGTTTTTTTGTTCCCAGGTATGAGCCCAGAGCCTAAAATAGTGGTAGGGAATCAATAAATATTAATTAATCTGAGGGTTGAATTACAAAATAAATTAATATTTTTTCCATTTTGTGTGGTGCATGTCATAGAGTATGGGGAGATTGCAGTGACACCGGAAATGCTTCTGATATATAAACACATGCAGTGGACCGAACGCCCTGATACCTCAATTCAATATGAGCAGGAGAATGTACTGCAGCAACATGTTTAGAATAATTGTTCCTTGGTACGGATGTATTTAGATTTTCATTTTCTTCTCCATGTATTTCTACATTTAAACTTTTTCTACAATAAGCATATACAATAAATAAAGCAGTAGGTGAGTTATTTATAGGAAAATTACTCATCTGATGGTTGAGGGCGTCTAGGGAGGGGCATGAGTCCATCAATGAGAGCGAGGCTTACTGTTACAAAAGAAAGATCCAATCAAGGATATTTGACCTAATCATGGTTACTAGATGGAGATGCAGCCCAATCAAGCTGTAAGTGAATCACTGCAGAGGTGCACAAAACGGAGGCCTAATTATAATCAATTGTGTGATCATGGCTGAAGAAAGTTGGATAAAAGTTTTTAGAATTGTAATTTTCCTATTTCTATAAAATATTGGTATAAGAAAATACTGTAAAACTCTACCACTTAATTTTTCAAATAAAGGCATTCCAATACCATTTGGAGGACTATGAAAGACAAAGGAATCAGAGAGTGATATTTCATTGATCTACCCTCAATAAATACTTGTTCCAACTGGTAAAAGCATTGCAGCTTAGTAGGTGTAGCCTAGAAGGATTTGAACTTTATTCCACAGGTGATAGAAACTCGTTTAATAGTGTTGAGTAAAGGATATGAAGTAGATTTCATTGTTAATCATCTGAATAATCACTTTAATTCAGTATTTTGCCACTATAGACATGTATGTGTGGTAAGACACATGAATGTATGTATTTTAATACGTTTGTTATTTGTATGTTAATTATTTATGACTATTTAAAATATTTTTAAATTATGTAATTGACATAAAGTAAATAAATTCTTAATTAGGTTTTCTACCCAAGGCCAAATAATTCTTCTAATGGAGGTGTTTTTTTTTTTCTTAATATATTCCTGGACATAGGGTATCTAAGTGACAGAAGTGATTTATCTCTCATTTCTGCTTAGGCCTATTGTTATTCTCTTCAGTATATTCTTTAGAGGTAATCCTTTTAATTTCTCCCCAAATTTATTCAATTTTGGCATGATACTAATTATACAAAAAAGTAATATTTTATGCAAGTAAAAAAGTTGGTGTTTATAATGAATCAATAATTTCTTTCCATATTAAAAAATAAAAGGATAATGGAAAAGTTAAAATGCTTGACTTTGCTGGCACCTTATTTTACTCAAAAACACATTTTGTTCATGACTTGCCTTCTTTGATTTCCAGGTCACTGAGAATTTAGTAACTGTCCCTCAGAACTTGAGTAGAGTCGTGGCCCGAGGCCCACATTTTATGACACTTTTACACAGTTTCAATCTTCTTTACAAAAGGCTGTGTTTTGATTGGCACTTAGACCTGATTTACCAGGACTGATAATAAGCTTAACAACCAGTGAATCAGAAAGCAAGTCTCAAACAAGAGTGGGAAAAAGTCAAATTAAATTTGTATCATATTTTTTCTGAGGCATCTCCCATATTAAGTTCAAAAGGGGAATTGTTAATTAAACATTTTAATTGATTCATTCATTTATTCGCTCAAGCTTTCATTGAATATTTACAACATGTGAGGCAAATTTATTTCATCATGTATTTCACTTTCAAACTGTTTTAGGATTATTGTGTTATAGAGTAAATAAAAAATGTATATTTTTACTTCTCTGATATTCAGGAAGAATTCTGACATAAACATTTATTTACCCAAACAAAATGTGTCGCTTACAATGCTCTACTAAGGAACATGGAATTATTCTGCAAAAAGGGAAATTAGCATTTTTCAAGAAACAGTAAATGATCAGAGTATAGTTAGAATAATAAAAATACTTAGAACTGTGCATATTGAGAAATAAATCACACTTCTCTATTTGATATTTCCTCAAAAGGGTAAATATCATTGGTCATAAAAGGGCATTAGGAAGCACATATTTCCAAAATCTATATTTCATTAAATATCCATATTTCTCCTTGGTCATTTTTAAATTGCTCCCTTATTGTGTAGTCCAATTAAAACTTCTAAACTTGAAAATATGGGTGATAATGACTGGCTAATTTCCAGAGGGAGAGTGAGTGACAGATTGGCAAAATCACATATCTTATTGATTGAAAATGTTTAAACCTGATTTTCAAGGAAGAAGTAGCCTACTTTTCTTTCAGCTTCTAGACATGTCAACCAAAGGCATAATTCTCAGTACATCTCCTGAAGTACTGAAATGCAGGAAGATTTTAGACAGAACTTGTTTTTATGACAAGGATTGTCCAAAAGCTGGATGAGATTCATTGCAAGGAAAATGACGGCTGCTGGGAAGGTATTCTTTGGTATATAAAAAAAAAATTCAAACATGTTTAGTGCTTAGTGAGTTGGATTTTATTGCCTCTAACGTCTTTTTTTTAAATCAGGCAATGAATATTGAAATGCTATAGAGAAAGACAGAAGCTGGATATTGGTGTATCCTGTAGCCTGAATGGATATCTTAAAAATAATGAAATATGGCCAGGTGCGGTGGCTCACACCTGTAATTCCAGCACTTTGGGAGGCCGAGGCAGGCTGATCACCTGAGGTCGGGAGTTCGAGACCAGACTGACCAACATGGAGAAACCCTGTCTCTACTAAAATTACAAAATTAGCCAGGAGTGGTGGCACATGCCTGTAATCCCAGCTGCTCAGGAGGCTGAGGCAGGAGAATCACTTGAACCCAGGAGGCAGAGGTTGCGTGCGGTGAGCCGAGATCACGCCATTGCACTCCAGCCTGGACAACAAGAGCAAAATTCCATCTCAAATGAAAAAGAAAAAAAAAAAGAAAATAAATATTTTCTGCAAGGAGAAATGAGAGTCAAGAGACATAATTCTAGATTGGACAAAGTCCCTTTTCTGCTGGGCATGAGGGCACTGAGCTCTTTCCCATGCACTCACAAGTGGAACCCAGAGATGGTCTCAGAAGAAGAGTGTTTAGATGCGGGAAGACTTTGCTGAAATGTTCAGAGTTGTAGGCCAGAGACCCAGCAGGGAATCAAAGGTATCCAGGGCCTGCAAATGGCCAGTGCTCCCTGCAAATGGCCAGATTGCTCTCTGATCAATAGCCTAAGCCCAGTTGATACTATGGAGAACAGCTAAAATTCATGTGCCAAAGTTTTGGCTAAGCAATAATAGAAAAGACAACAGGATTCTGAAAATGTGCTGTCAGAGGGGCTTTTTCAGAGGGAAACTCAGCAAGGTGTTATCAAAGGGAAAAATGGGATCCAGTTCAATTGCAACAATGAGGCGTTGCCGAGCTATTTGCACTGAAATTGTGCTGGCAAAGAAACCAATTCAAAACACAAGTGAAAATACTCTGCATGGATGATCTGAAAACCTCTGAAAGTTTTCAGTAGGTTACTTTTCTCTGAGCTAATAGAGTTTCTGCACCAGTACCAAATGTGGCAGCACTTACTATGGAGTCAGTTGGGATTCAAAATTGTTCAAGTTTTGTCCATCAGGCCTTCCAGATAGTTTCAGGTCCCAGACAAGATAATACACCTACTCATTTTTTCTATTTGAAGGCAGGCGGCCACAAACAGAATGACAGTCTTCAGTTGAAATATTACCTTTGCATTTATCTGCATGAGGTAGACTAGGGGCAAGACATACGACTGCAGAGACCATTGCCACCCGTGGCCCAGTGGCACAGAGTGGTGGTTCTCTCACTCAGATGGGCATGAGGAGTACCCGGAGGGCTTGTTATGACTCACTTTTCTAGACTTTGTCCCTAGACATTTTGATTTAGTAGGTGAAGGTGGGAGCCCATAAATGTGCCTTTTTTTTTGTAGAGTGGGGGTATGGAGTCTCGCTGTGAGGTCCAGGCTGGAGCGTCATGGCGCCATCTCCGCTCACTGCAACGTCCGCCTCCTGGGTTCAAGTGATTCTCCTGCCCCAGCCTCCCAAGTAGCTGGGTTTACAGGTGTGAGCCACCACGCCCAGCTAATTTTTTCTTTTTTGTATTTTTTAATAGAGACGGGGTTTTACCATATTGACCAGGCTGGTCTCAAACTCCCGAGCTCAAGTGATCCGCCCACCTCGGCCTCCCAAAGTGTTGAGATTACAGGCGGCATTTCTAACAAACTCCCAGGATTTTGAGAACCGCGGCATCAGGATCACCTGCAGGGCTCGTTAAATCCAGGTTGTTGGGCTCCACCCACAGAGTTTCTGATTTGGTTGGTCTGCAGTAGGGTCTGAGAATTTGCCCAGTGCCCGGGTGGTGTTGCCACTGCTGATAGAAGACTGTCCTATGAGAGCCACTGACTGAGGGCACGACCGATGCACGGACAGCCAACCGTCTTCCTGGCTGTGGGAGGGAACAGTGTCCAGCTCCAAAGGGCAATGCTTCTCAGGTGTGTCCTGGACTCAGGACAGCAGAAGTACCCACTCTGTTATTTTGGATGAGGGAAGAACCCTTCTTGACGAATACTCTCGTGCTAAGATTCTGATTATACTGTTGCCTAGAGGGAGGGTGTGGAGGTGCAGGGCGGCTGCCTGTTGGTTGCTCTTTCGGCATAGTTCACGTTCATGGACTTGGATCCTGACAGGTAGGGATGCACAAGCTGCACATTCAACCCACCTTTCTCCAAGAATGATTACCCATTGCCCCGACAGGCACGGACTTCTGGTGACGGAAAGTACCTCTGCCTGACACCGCTGTACCCAGAGGCCAGGCAGGCCTGTGTGTGAACCATGGCCTGGAAGCGGTGTGGAGACGCCCTGTACTTAGCTGATGGAACATAGCTAGAAAGGAATTTGACAGGAGAAAAAAAGAGATGTGCTCACAGACAGCTCTGCAGGTCAAGGAAGAGGGATGGGCAGCAACTCAGAGGAGGAAGATGGGACGCCAGCTCTCCTGCATGAGGAGCAAGACCCTGTGAGGTGCTCGAAGAACCAGAGAACACCTATCAAGGAAAATGAATGAGCTTTCTTGGTGGACAAGCATCTGCACTGAAGGAGTGATTCCAGGCTGGGGAAGTCTAGAAGTCTGCTCAGGTGGCCATGGAATATTCACTGCACCGAGGAAGCATGCCTCAAACAGTTTTTGTCCTGTTGGGCCTGTGGAAGCCATGATATCAGGAACTCCATTGAAGACACTATTCAGAAGCTTCTTAGGCCATGTGTTTGTCTCCTACTCACTTACTTCTTAGAGTGCTTCCACAAGTGCCAATCATGATTGAAAAATTAAATATATAACAGAGGATCTATTGGCCGCTGTGTTCCACAGTTCCTCATGAAAATACCACACCTGCTGGCCTTCCCCAGGGAGCGGCCTCTCAGTTCGCGTGGTGCTCCTGCCCAGGCTCTGGAACACCGCGGCTGGTGCAGTTGGGAAGTCCGGGGTGCTGCATGGCCTTCCACTCCAGGAGGGCCACCCCCGAGACACCCGCCACAGGGCCTGGCTCTGGCTGCTTCTCCAACAACAACAGCAGCGCTCCCCCTGACCCATCTGTGATATTTCTTATTTTGCTCTTCTTTCATCCCTAGAGGCAGTCTTCCCTTCCATGAATGTCAAGATTGTAATGGATATAAAATAATCAACTGTTTTGTTTACATTAGCATTTGAGAACAAAAGATGGAAGGATCATTTTACTGAAGAAGCCTTGTTAACAATCTCCATGTATAAGCCTGAGTTTGAAATGACGAGATGAAATTTTATTTTTTCAAAGAGTTTTGTAATTGAAATGATAGAAAACTGAGTTTTCAGTATCTGAAGACTATAGATACTGAAAACTGAGTCTTCCGTATCTATAGAAACGATAGAAAACAAGTGTCTACATGAAGCAACACTTCTGAAGGGAGAGGTAGCTGAAACCAGGACACTTGAGGATGCTTATCAAATATGTTAAAACCTCGGTAATTCAGTTCCTTCTCATGAAAAAACCCTAAAGCGCTCTCAATTATTAATATGTTCAAATATTATTTTTCCCAAATTAGTCTGATCAAGAAGAAACCTACCTAAAGCAAAATCTACATAAAAATATTCATACTTAAACCTTTATAAGAAAGCTCTTAACTTCTAAGAATGGAAATTCAATTTTTACATGGAAAGTCCTTCAGACTTATATGCTGTATATAAAGTCTACACAATGGTTTCTGAGTTTTCATAAGTTATCTGATTTTATTCACTAGGTGCTTCCCACATCTTACTTCTATAAATATGTTTTATATAAGAAATTATTGACACTGCTTTTAACATTATCTTCTAAAATATACTTGATTTTTTTTCGAATAATTTCTCTTTTTGCCTAAAACTCAGCTGCTTCTCTTCTTCCAACCCGTGCTACCTGCTGAGCTTTCTGCCTCCCTACAGAGCAACTCCAGTCTTTTAATTACTCAAGGCAGAAACATGGAATTATCGTGGAACGCTTCCTCTCAGCATCCACAATAACTCAGGCTCTAAGTTCAGTACATTGTACCACCAACTTACTGCAAGCCCTGCCTGAATTCACGCCTCATCGTGGCTCACTGATGCTACTCTCCAAGCTTCTAATGCGTCTCCACCCCTGCCCTTAGGGGTTTTTCATTTTCTTCTCTGCAGACACTCATTGGACTTACTTACCTGATAGTTTATCTACCATCAGGAAACGCTACTCCTTTGTTTAGATTCCAGTGAGGCCTCTCTGGTGCTTTCAATGATAGGGAACCAGGGAGCAAGACCTGCAGAGTTCCTTGTTCTAAGCTCCTGCTTTCTGGTTAGTCTGTTCTGACGTCCTGTGGCTCTGTGGATCCATATCCCCTTCCTGTCTTTTGGAGTCTGTGTATTTCCCAATCATACCTGGATGCCTTTCCCGTTTCTCAAGTCTTTCTCTAATTTGAAAATCCATTGTCATCTTTCAATAAACAACTCAACCATCACCTCCTTTGAGAGGGTTTTCTTATTGCCTCCCCTGGAATGAGACTCTCGCTCTCCTAGAATGAGCTCATTCCCGGGGAAGAGATAAGAAACTGAATGCTACTGTTGCAACATATGTACATGTCTAAATCTCCACCTTTGTCATTTATCTTTCTGTTGTCAGTGAACAGCATGGCACCAATCTGAGTTGGCTGAATGAATGAATGACTGAGTGAAGAAGAGAGAAGGGAGTACAGACACGCACTCCTGCTCTTTTTTCGCACTTGGCTTATATTGCTCATTCTGAATATTATTCTTTAAGCAGGATATAGATAAACTGGAGAACATACAAAGGATGGTATGGGGATTGCAGCCTTGCAGCTAGAGAGGAGCATATGATGCTGAGAGGTGTTCAGACTGGCTCAGGAGAATCAGCAGAGCCATCCTTGCACACCTGCAATGGTGTCAATTGAGAAGAAACTTTGTTGTGTGTAGCCTCAGGGATGAGAAAACCAATGGGCTAGAGCTATAGAAAGAGATAAGTTCTTCACTCTCTCCTGCATGGACTGTACTTAGAAATAGTATTGGCCACTGAAAAGGGAATTTAAAAATTTATGCATATTACATATGTAATGTCAGTAGAACATGTTTTTCAGCTCAAGTCATTAATGACTTATCTAAAGAAAGGCCGTGTCAATAGAAATGGAAGTCATTAAGTAATAGAAGACTGACAAATGGAGAATTATAGTGGCAAAAGTTAATCATGGCTCTCCAGACCCTTTATTGGAGAAAAAGTGCCCTGCCAGGTTACTTAAAGTATTCAGTCTGCGTTTAAGGAAGGTTTATATTTTAAAGAGATGCACAAAGCTATTGGAGACTAATGATATTAAATTTTATTAATATAATTTAAGTCCTCCATCAAAGTTATGTTTATGGTACAACCTCGTGAAAATTTACTTCCCTTTGGGAAAGTATGCACTGGTTGAAATGACACAAATGTTTAGTCTGCCTAATAATTACAATTTGAAATTTAAATTACAAGTTGGTTCTGTCAATCGGTCTCATATGACTTTGTTTAGCATGAGCAAGTGTCAGGGAATCTTATCAGCTCTGAGACACTGATGAAATTAATTTTATGGGTAGGAAATGAAAAGAGGGAAATCATAAAGAGTGGAAGATTAATAAAATCATTGATGCCACGTGACCAAGGATAGCCAGACAGCTCCAGATGGCACCCTTTTGTCTTTCTTTAGACTTTTAGTGGAGAGACATGCATGTCTGTTTCACCAAGGAGAGAGAAACTGGGAGGGACATGAGAAATGCCAATGGTGCCATCCCAAGAGCTGTCTCACCTATGCCCCATCCACAATAGACGCCTTTTGCAGGATTCCCATCCAACTCAGGAATGGAGATGGCCACTGGGGAGATAGAAGGCATCTCAGTCCTCAGACACTTTGGTTATCACATCAGCGAAGGACAGAAAAATACAGGAATACTTGCTATGGTCCAAATGTGTCCCCAAAATTCATATGTTGACACTTAATTGCCAATACGATAGTGTGTAGATATGGGGCCTTTAAGTGAGGATTAACTTGTAAGGCTCTAGCCCTCATGGATGGATCTGGACCCTCCATCCATGGGCCCCAGAGACTGGGTTCATCCCCTTCCACCTTTTCCATATGAAGACACAGAGTTCTTTCCCTTTTGTCCTTTCTGCCCTTTCTGCTCCCTCCATCACGTGAGAAAAACTGGGTGGTATCATCAGTGACAAATGGGTCTCTACCAGACATGGAACCTCCTGCGCCTTGATATTTGGCTTCCAACCTCCAGAACTGTGAAAAAATGTATTTCTGCTCATTATAATTTACCTAGTCTCAGATATTTCGTGACAGCCCCACAAAACAGACCAAGACAACAGTCTTTTTCAACCGTAGTACATTAGTTAGCAGATAGTTGAACTTCTTTCCAAAATGTGTAGTAATATTTTCTGTAAAAATATTACTATTTTTATAGAATTTTACAGAATTGCTATTTTAAATATTACCATTTTTACAGAAAACAAAAAACACAGGACACATTTTATTTTAATTTTAAAGTGTTTATTCAGAAATTTAAGGAAAATTCCAAAAGGGTGTTCTTTGGAATAAACTCACTCTTTCAATATACATATAAATTTCATTTGCTTTATGAAGCTATAATGATATCTCTGACCTGCAATATGTAAATACCTGCATTATGTAAATACATGTAAACTCTTGATTACCTGTCAGCCACCAGAAATAACTTCTTCCTGCATACTTCAAGCTCACCTCACTCCCAGATATAATTTCTATTTCATGATGCCTCTCCCTACTGCTGGTACTATAATGCCAAGCAATTAAACCACATATAGCTATGTTAAAAATTGCTTGAGGCCGAGCGCGGTGGCTCATCCTGTAATCCCAGCACTTTCGGAGGCCGAGGCGGGTGGATCACGAGGTCAGAAGTTTGAGACCAGCCTGACCAACATGGTGAAACCCCGTCTCTACTAAAAATGCAAAAATTACCTGGGCGTGGAGGCTCGCACCTGTAATCCCAGCTACTTGGGAGGCTAGGGCAGGAGAATCACTTGAACCCAGGTGGCGGAGGTTGCAGTGAGCGAGATCGCACTACTGCACTCCAGCCTGGGTGACAGGGCAAGACTCTGTCTCAAAAAAATAAAATAAAATAAGACTCCATCTCAAAAAAAAAAATTGCTTGAGAATTTGATTAGAAAGGCTAATTTCTTTCTTAAAGATGGCTGTCAATTACATCACAAACAAAGATATTGATCAAGAACAAATGAGACTAATTTTTTCTTTCAAAGGTAAATTCGGATGGGAGTTCTCAGAGGAAGACATGAGGAGAATGTAATGATAACATTTATGACTATATAATAAAACAATAAAGGAACAGTAAAGGAATCCAATGGGCAGTAAAGAGTAAATCCAAATAAACTTGGGCTGATGATAAAATAATATATTAAAATGATATATATGGAATTCAGTAGGAATATAGATAAACAAGCACCTGTTTTGTCTCAGAGAATAAGGACAACCTCAGAGAGCAGGTGTTATTTGAGTTGAAACATGGAAGGTGAACAAGAGTTCATACAAACAAAAAGAAGGCAGGTCATTCTAATCAAGGAGCATGGGTAATCAGGAGCAGGGATAAGGAGGTGGGAACATGAGGTATGGTTCAGGCCCCTGGAACAGGAAATGTGAGTGGAAGCAAGTGAAAACAGTGAGGCTGGACTGGGTGGCAGGAGCCAAGGCATGAAGCACTTTAATGCCAAGGATTTTTGATCTTAAACAGTAAGCAATGGGGGGATTCTGAAGAATTTTGAGTCAGTGAAAGACATTTTCAGAGTTCTTAATGGAGAAATTACTAGGGCAACAATAGGATGATCACCTGGAGGGAGGCCAAGTAGAAGCATTAAGACTATTCTAGAGGACCAGGCAAGAGGTACTGTGAGCCTAGACCAGGAGTGTGGCTGTAGGAATCAAGGAGAAGTGGTAGATATACAAGATTTTGTATGAATTGGCATTATTTATGGATTGATAGAGCTGGAGGCTAAGAAGATGATTCATTAGTTTTCAACGTGTTAAGTTCTCTTTTTGTGAAATCTTCCTAGATAATTAAGTACAGTCTACATTGTTAGTTTCTTACTTTGGCCTTTTAGTGGCATCTTCATTTTTTCCCCACGATTTTTGGGTAAATGTGTTTTGTTTTGTTTTGTTTTGTTTTGTTTTGTTTAAACACATACTTATTCTCACCTCCCACAGGAGGAAGTGTAACTTCCTAACTCACCCGCATTGGGCTTGGCCATGTGATACACTTCAGAAAGTAAAATGAGAATGGATGTGACCTCTGCCACCTCTGCCTTGAAGCTTTGGATGCCATGTGGGAATCAGCTGAGAATTTTTGTGCCTTTGCTGACTGCTGGCAAAGCAACATACCCCAGGCAGGGCAGTTCATTCAGCCTGGGTTCTGGCGTAAGAAGAAATGTGATCAACTGTTCAGACCAACACACCATGTTTAGATAACATGAACAAGAAATTAATGTGTGGGCAAGGGACTGAGATTCTGAGTTTGTTTTTTACTGTAGCAGAAGCTAATTCAGGGACTATATGCTTCTTTGTAGCAGAATACTTATATTTCTGTACCTAGACCCCCCTTCTTAAAATGCATCTTAAACAGAGATTTCAGAAATGAATTATAATAAATTGAAGACTTAGCTTGAAGGGTAGAGGATTTTAAAAAGAAGCGCCCTCTTTGAAATCCACACCATGGATCTTATACTTTTTCCAGAAGACTAGTTTTTGAATGACTGTCTATTTGCATAATGGCTTTTCTTGTGTTCCCTTTGTATTTCTAGCTAATTACTTTAGAACATCTTCCTTACATTTTGCGTCATTATGGTCCTTTTCTTTAGGACCTATACATTCCTGGTCCACTACCTGCAATTTGGATAGAGTAGTTTTGGGAATAAAACATTGAAGTTGTGAGTAGTCTGAAACAATGATAGTTATCAATATTGATAAGTTGTCAATGTTGTAGACCACTCACATTAGAAAAAGAAGGCAACCTTTCTTTTCTCCTTCTATTATGAAATATGGGCTTTAGTGGTGGTCTGAGGTCAAATTTAGAAAGTATTGAAGATCATAATTTAACATTTTAAATGTAAAGAATCTTTTTCAAAAAATTCTTTGATGTCTTGAATTAGACTATAATGTAGTAGATCCCTGAGGTTTAACTTGAACCCCAAAAGAAGGAATTCTGGCATGAACAAGAATATGTTTGACACTGTAGTGGCCAAGGGAAAGCTTCCCTTCTGCCCTCTGTGGATTCCTTGAAAATAAACTGACAATACGTGGATTAATAGGAGAAAAAGACAAACACATTTATCTAAGGTACATAAGCAAGGGGGAAGTGCAGGAGGATGATTACTCAATAATCTAGTGAGGTTCAGATGCTTATATGCCCTTCTTCAAAGGGAAGAGGAGATGGGAGAAATGTATTTTCAGGGATAGTAAATGATTTTTAGGGGAATTGAATGAACATGGAGACAAAATAGCTTGTAAATGATATCTTTGTAAGCTCGATGGGACTGAGAACCAGCAATGATTTGGGACAAAGCTTGTCCGGACTCCAGGTATGGTGTTTAATTTTCAATCTCCTCCTCTATGTTATGAGTTTTATCTTCTCTGGTTAATAAAATTTCATGGGAAGGATCAAAGGCAATTGTGTGCCTCCTTGGGGATCTGGCTTCCAGATAGATAAGGGAACTTCGGAGAATAGCCTTATCCTTTGCTTTGTGGGAGACAGAGGATGGAGAGACAGGAGGGGGGAAGAGGAAGGTCAGAGAGACTTGGAGGCTGCTTCTTTTAGTTAAGCATGTCAAAGTGCTGTATTTTGGGGTATCATGTTTTGAGCCCCAACAACTCATAACAGTCATCCCTTATACATTTCCTGAAGTGAAAGTATCATTTCAATGGTAGTATTAGTTTTACTACTACTACTCGTAAGTGCTGCTACTTTTGAACATACCAGGTACTGTAGACTGACTTACACAATAAATCTACGGTAAGTTGATTTACTGCAGTTGTGATTCACACAAACCTCACAAATATTTTAAGAATAGGCACTAATATTTCTGTTTTATAGACAAAGAAACTAGAGTTGAGTGAGACTAAGGAACTGCCATGTTAGCACAGTAACCAGGCTCTGAAACTACCTAGTCATCTCATGCCCTGACATAAACTTACTTCAAATATATGCTATGAGACATGTATAAGGCTACATAATAATTCTAGAAAAAGTTGTAATTTGTTATCTACCATTATTCCATTCTCCAATTTTTGTTTCTAATTTCTTTTTTTTTCCCCTTGAGTTCACATCTGTGTCACTGAAAAAAACAACCTAGTTTGTTAGGCACACATCTTCTGTGTTGATGGATGTTAGCAACATATTTACTATTTTATTGGATTTTCAGATGCATTCTTTGTGGACTTAGTGATTAGATATTACTTTATTTCCAAATGATCATCTTTTTTTCTTAAAACTGAGAACACTTTGTATATATAAGAATTAAATAATTTTTATTATTCGTACGCAGATAATTTCTTCATTTAAGTAAACATGACTACCAAAGTCTAGATTCACCAAAAATGTAAAGATACCCTTCACATCACAGGACAGAATATGGAAGCCACTGCCATCTTTCATGACCATGTAAGCTAATAAGTATTCAGCCATTGAAATGGGCACATACAAACATACCCATATAAATAGAAACAACTGAAATTTACTTTGTAATTTATGTGCTTTTATCCAATATGTGAAAAAACAAGCATGGTATCAATTGTAAAGAACTTTAATTTTCTAAAATTCAATTTTAATTTTTGTGTTAAATTTTTAAGAAGTAAAATTAGAAAGCTTATCTTAGTGATCATCCAACTAATAGTTACTAAGATTTTATAATTACTGAGATACCAATATATCTTTCTTTTTAACACAAACAAACCAAATTGCATATTAAGTCAAACATTAAGCTACTTTTCTTGTATTTATTTGTATTGTGATATTGTTTGAATATGCAGAAAATTTACCAGGAAAGGAACTTTATGTCAAAAGAAAATGGAGCTGAGGGTTATGCAACAAGAAAATAAAAAAGTGTTTTCTATTTTCTTGTATTGCTAAAATGTTATCATCTTCTAGTCTCTCATTATGTCAAACTGCATATATATAAATGATATATCCCACTATGTGTTAATTCCTGCAATTGAAAACATGAAGAAATAAAAACCAGGTACCTCCTATATGGAGGCATGGTTATTTGAATACCACTTTTATCTACTTTTATGAGTTCATAAGTTCCTACGGATTCTAAATAATATAACTTACACATGTTTTTAAAGACTTCCAAGTGCAGCTCTATTCTGGAATGAGAGGCTTGCTGCACTTTCTTTATTATTGAATTCTTCAAGCTACTATTTTATCAAAATGTGAAGCAAATTTTAAAAGTCAATGCTTATTACCTGTTTAAATTACTTCTTTGTTATTCTCATTGAGCTGTTTTTTTGTGCAGAGTTAAGGTGAGGGGGCAAAGAAGTTAGAATGAAAGAATGGTTTTTATAAAAAGGAAAAAAGGAAGGAAAAAGGGAAAAGACGAGAAAAGAAGGGAGAAAGAAGTGGTATAAGTATAGTTTTTCATACTTTTCCATCTTTGAAGTCAGGACATACCTTGCATTTGACGGGTCTATGATGCCAGAGCCAATAAGCTCTGATTGGTGTGCAGAGCTTATTCTTTTTCCTGATGACCTAAATCAGGAGCAGTGTGTCCATCACCAAAACTTTTAAGAAACTTTTGAGGAAGGAATATGAGTCCCAGTTGTTGTTTGTTAGGATCAAGAAGGTGAGAACATCAAAACTTGCAGAAAGATATTAGTGATTTGAAAAAAGCTCCCAGAGAGGATAGTGAAACACTTTTATGAGATGCTGCATGATCAATGCTCTTGAAGGCACAAAGGACCATACTGTGTGGTGGGGAAATATGAGGATATCAACACTATTATCTGAAATATTACAGAAGAATTTACATTTAAAGATAAAGAAATTTGGAAATACATCAATCATTCATTTTGCTCATATTATTTTCCTTCTTATGTACATACAAAAATGATTTATGATAAAAACTTATCTAAAAGAGGTCTTTCTGTAAGTGTAAAATAAAAATCCTGAGTTATAATGAAACTGTTATTTGAATAACAGTTTTCCCTTTTTAGTCATACATAAATTAATGTTGCATTCTATTTTTTAAATGAGAATATACATTGAATTTTAATAACATTTAATTTTAAAAAGAAACAAAAGTGAAACTAAGGAAATTTTTAAACTTCAAATAAGTGCTTATTTTCATTAGTAGAGATCTTAGTATTTAAAAGTAAAGGAGAGCTTGAAAACAGATTATTAAAAATTAGTTTGGAACCATTGGTATTTTCAAAAATCAATTCTACTTTAAGGTATAAATATTTAAGACTTCCTTTTTTAGTAATTGGTTGACATTATTTGCAAAAATAGCTTGGTAAAATAGAAAGAGCACTGAACTCACATATCTTGAATTCCAATTTTGGAAACCAATTAACCTTAAGAGATTTGTCCATTACTTTTGAAGAAATTTTCTTTCTACCAATGATACTCATGAATTTTGCACCATTTACCACTTCTTGGATCCTGCATTTCTAACTAGCTCCCAGTCTGTGGCGATGTTGCTGACCCATGGGCCACACCTTGAGTACTAAGACCTTTAAAGAAAATCTATCTGTATTCACATAGCTATTACCATATTCCTCATCTGGAAGATTTGACTCCCTTGTTTATTTTGGTTTTCTGAATATTTTAAGAAGCTACACCTTGGTAGTCCAAATTGCTCATAAAATCTTTAGCCTTTCTAAAAGTACATTGGGGAAATCAGATTACACCTGTTTTAGGGCATTTACTCCATGCCTGCCTAGTCAGATCTGGGCAAATACTAAATATGTGAGATTAATGTTGCCTGATATCTTGAAAATTTTCCCAGTGGAAGAGGAGATGTTACTTACTGGGAAGATGTACCCAAAGAAAACTTTCCCTCTTTTCCCTACTAAAGTACCAAATGATTCAGAAAGCAGCACCTCACACTCATCTGAATCACACTCAGGGATGCCTGTGCTAGGGATGTGGACCCCAATGCTTTGATTTACATCTAGGAGGGTTAGTGCACAGAAGGTAGTGCTGGTGAGCTAGTCCCACAGTTGGGTTAGTGCATAGAAGTTAGCTCTAGGGTGTGAGTCTCACAGCTGGGTTAGTGCCTGAAAGTCAGCTCCGGGGAGTGAGCCCCACAGTTGGGTTAGTGCATGCAAGTCAGCTCTAGGGGGTGAATCCCACAGCTTTGTTAGTGCATAGAAGTCAGCTCTGGAAGGTGAGTCCTACAGCTGGGTTAGTGCATGGAAGTCGGCTCTGGGGGGTCAAGTCCCACAGTTGGGTTAGTGCTCAGACATCAGTCCTGGCAGTAGAGTCCAATAGTTGGTTAGCTAGCACAAGAAGGAAGTCTGGTTAACCCTGTTTCAGAAATAAAACATTTATAAGGACATGTTTTAATAAGTTTTAAGCTTCAGTGATCTGTGTTATTGTATTGTTTGTTCTCATGCTGCCATAAATAAATACCTGAGATTGTGTAATTTATAAAGAAAGGAGGTTTAATTGACTCACAGTTCTACATGGCTGGGGAGGCCTCAGGAAACTTACAATCATGACAAAAGGCACCACCCCACAGGTTGGCAAGAGAGAGAATAAGAGCTGTGTGAAGGGGGGAAACCCCTTATAAAACCATCAGATCTTGTGAGAACTCACTATCACAAGAACAGTTTGGGGGAAACCACTCCTATGATTCAATTATCTCTACCTAGGTCTGCCCTTGACATGTGGGGGTTCTTACAATTCAAATCCCAGATTTGGGTAGGGACACAGAGCCAAATCATATTATTCCACTCGTGGCTCTTCCCAAATCTCATGTCCTCACATTTCAAAACATAATTATGCCCTTCCAACAGTCCCCCAAAGTCTTAACTCATTCCAGCACTAATCCAAAAGTCCAGGTCCAAAGTCTTATCTAAGACAAGGCTAGTCCCTTCTGCCTATGAGCCTGTAAAATCAAAAGCAAGTTAGTGACTTCCTAGATACAATTGGGGTACAGGCATTGAAAAAATACACCCACTCTAAATGGGAGAAATTGGTCAAAACGAAGGGGCTACAGGCCCCATTCAAGTCCAAAATCCAATAGGGCAATCATTAAATTTTAAACGTTACTAATTATTTCCTTTCACTCCATGTCTCACATCCAGGTCATGCTGATGCAAGATGTGGGTTCCCATGGTTTTGGACAGCTTCTCCCCTGTGACTTTGCAGGGAACAGTTCCCCTCCTGGCTGCTTTCATGGGCTGGTGTTAATTGTCTGTGGCTTTTCCAGGAGCATGGTGCAAGCTGTTGGTGGATCTAACATTCTGGGTTCTGAAGGATGGTTGCCCTCTTCTCACAGCTCCACTAGGCAGTGTCCCAGTGGGGACTCTGTGTGGGGGACTCCAACCCCAGATTTCCCTTCTGCACTGCCCTAGCAGAGGTTCTCCATGAGGGCTCCACTCTTGCAGCAGACTTCTGCCTGGACACCCAGGTGTTTCTCTACATCCTCTGAAATCTAGGCAGAGGATCCCCAACCTCAATTCCTCACTTCTGTGCACCGGCAAGCCCAACACTATGTGTAAGCTGCCAAGGCTTGGAGCTTACACCCTGTAAAGCAATGACCCGAGGTGTACCTTGGCTCCTTTTAGCCATGGCTGGAGCTGATGTAGCTGGGATGCAGGGCACCAAGTCCCAAGGCTTCACAGAACAGGGAGGCTCTGGGTCTGGCCCACGAATTTTTTGTTCCCCACTAGGCCTCTGGGCCTGTGATGGGAGGGGCTGCTGTGAAGGTCTCAGACATGCCCTGGTGACATTTTCTCCATTGTCCTGGTGATTAACATTTGGCTTCTCGTTAGTTAGCAACCAACTTGAATTTCTCCTCAGAAAATGTGTTTTTATTTTCTATTGCATCATCAGACTGCAAATTGTCCAAACTTTTATGCTCTCCTTCCTCTTGAATGCTTTGCCACTTAGAAATTTCTTCCATCAGATACCCTAAATTATCTCTCTCAAGTTCAAAGTTCCACAGATCTCTAGGGCATGGGAAAAATGTTGCCAGCCTCTTTGCTAAAACATAACAAGGATCACCTTTATTCCAGTTCCCAACAAGTTCCTTATCTCCATTTGAGACTACCTCAGCCTGGACTTCATTGTCCATATCGCTACGAGCATTTTGGTCAAAGCCATTCAACAAGTCTCTATGAAAGTTCCAAAGTTTCTCACATCCTCCTATGGTGGGAGCAGGCACCCCAGAATCTGGCTATAAACTGGCCCCCAAACTGGCCATAAACAAAATCTCTGCAGCACTGTAACATATTCATAATGGCCCTAAAGCCCAAGCTGGAAGGTTGTGGGCTTATGGGAATGAGGGCAAGGAATACCTGGCCTGCCCAGGGGGGAGAAACGCTTAAAGGCATTCTTAAGACACAAACAATAGCATGAGTGATCTGTGCCTTAAGAACATGCTCCTGCTGCAGTTAACTAGCCCAACCTAGTCCTTTAATTCAGCCCATCCCTTTGTTTCCCATAAGAGATACTTTTAGTTAATTTAATATCTATAGAAACAATGCTAATGACTGGTTTACTGTTAATAAATACATGGGTAAATCTCTGTTTGAGGCTCTAAGCTCTGAAGGCTGTGAGACCCCTGATTTCCCACTTCACACCTCTATATTTCTGTGTGTGTGTCTTTAATTCCTCTAGTGCTGCTGGGTTAGGGTCTCCCCACCCGAGCTGGTCTCGGCACTATCTTCTTCTGAGCCCTCCAAACTCTTCCAACCTCTGCCTATTACCCAGTTCCAAAGTCACTTCCACATTTTCAGGTATTGTTATAGCAGCACCCCACTCTACTGGTACCAATTTACTGTATTAGTCTGTTCTCATGCTGCTATGAAGAAATTCTCAAGACTGGGTAATTTATTAAAAAATAGTTTTAATTGTCTTAAAGTACTGCATGGCTGGGGAAGCCTCAGGAAACTTATAATCATGGCAGAAGACACCTCTTTACAGGGTGGCAGAAGAGAGAATGAGAGTCAAGCAAAGGGGGGACTCCCCTTATAAAACTATCAGATCTTATGATAAGTGACTCACTGTCATGAGAACAATATGAGGGAAACCACCCCCGTCATTCAATTATTTCCACCTGGTCCCACCCTTGACATGGGATTATTATGATTCAAGGTGAGATTTGGGTGGGGACACAGAGCCAAATCATATCACTTAAATTCTGTTTTAATTTCCAAATTGGAGTGTAGAATTTAATATTATCAAATTTAGGATAAAATGTCTTAACTGTATATACAGTATGTGTTTATAGCATTTATTTTAAAATATTTTCTTTTAGCTTTAGAGATGTAGCCTTTTTTCTTCCCACATTCTCCTTTTCACACTCCCTCCAAATGTTTCTCCCAGAACACTTCTTGGTGCTCTCATCTTCCTTGGAGAGAGGCTTCCTTCCCTCCTCTTCATTCTCATGTTGGGGCAGCTGGCAGAGGTCACAAGTTTGGAGGCCCAGCAGCCTCATCAGTATAGACTGGTGGCTTAGTGCAGATTAGAAGTCAGCCTAATGCCATCTGCAGTGACATTCTCTTCATCACTGTAATACTACCAAGAGGCATGGGGCTCCCAGGTGACACCCCCACTGACACCTGATGTCTCATCTCCATTCTCATGTCTGAGATGCATTAGAGCCTTCACCCTCAGGATCTTCCCACACTCAAGCCTGATCTTCACTGCACCTGGCAGCACATTCTTCTATTTTGCAAAATGGGATAACTGAAGACACAGTTTGTGTCATTGAACATACAGCTTGGATTTCTGTTTCTCATTCTCTTCTTTTTTTTTTTCCAAGTTGAAATTTGTAAGAAAAGAAGTGAGAAACACTATCTTTCCTCCACTACTTAAAAACCAGAAGCCTGGGCCAGGTGTGGTGGCTCACGCCTGTAATCTCAGCACTTTGGGAGGCTGAGGTGGACGGATCATGAGGCCAGGAGTTCGAAACCAGCCTGGCCAATATTGTGAAACCCATCTCTACTAAAAATACAAAAGTTAGCCGAGCAGGGTGGCACATGCCTGTAGTCCCAGCTACTTGGGAGGCTGAGTCAGAAGAATCACTTGAACCTGGGAGGTGAAGGTTGCAGTGAGCTGAGATCATGCCACTGCACTCCAGCCTGGGTGACAGAGTGAGACTCCATCTCAAAAGAAAGAAAGAAACAAACAAACAAACAAAACTAGGAACCTGTAACCTACCTTTAGTTTTACTTTTCTGAATAAATATCCATTTGCTTCCAAATTATTTACACTACACAACACACTTCCCCCACTGATTTGGAATACTATCCTTATAATGATGAAAATTTTATATTTATTCTTTTTTCTCTCATTTTCCTTTATTTCCATCCATGTTCATTTATGTCAACAGCACTTTTAATTATTGAAGCTATAGAATAAGTGCAGTTATGAGAAAGGGCTGTTTCCTCCCTGTGTTCTTATTTTTCTGAGCTTTACTCTCTTACAGAATCTTCCATTTGTGACTTTAGCTTTGCTGAGACCAGCTCGGTTGGGGAGACCCTAACTCAGTGGCACTAGAGGAATTAAAGACACACACACAGAAATATAGAGGTGTGAAGTGGGAAATCAGGGGTCTCACAGCCTCCAGAGCTGAGACCCGTGAACAGAGATTTGCCCACATATTTATTAACAGCAAACCAGTCATTAGCATTGTTCATATAGATATTAAATTAACTAAAAGTATCCCTTATGGGAAATGAAGGGATGGGCTGAATTAAAGGACTAGGTTGTGTGAGTTAACTGCAGCAGGAACACGCCCTTAAGACAGATCGCTTATGCTATTGTTTGTGGCTTAAGAATGCCTTTAAGCGGTTTTCCACCCTGAGTGGGACAGGTGTTCCTTGCCCTCATTCCCATAAACCCACGACCTTCCAGCTTGGGCGTTAGGGCCATTATGAATATGTTACAGTGCTGCAGAGATTTTGTTTATGGCCAGTTTGGGGGCCAGTTTATGGCCAGATTTTAGGGGGGCTTGCTTCCAACACGTCTCCCTTCTTTGATTTGCAAAGAGATAAAAGCAAGGGCAGCTTTGTCATGGTGAGCTACTTCTCGCAGGAGTCAGAATCCGCATCTGCAGACTATAAAAAGACAAACAACATAGATTAAAAGCACAGTCATCATTGAAATCACAGAGCTTCCAAGTGTTTTTATCCATTTTAATGGGTTACTAGCTGCTAATCTGTCTGCAGCTCCTTTAAGCACTCCAGTTCCTGGCATTAAGGTCAGGTGTGCCTGGGATGCTTTAAATATTTGTTCTTTTAATTTTGCTATATCCAAAAACAAGTTTATAGAGTGTCCTTCTAGATGCTTTTTTATTCTTTCCCAAATTTTGATCTTATTAAGAGCATTTAATAGTTTCCACAAATCCCTATGTTTAGCTCCTAGAGCAGGCCATATCATTTGAGGCTGAGGTGCCACTGTAACACCATGGTTCCAGATAATAGGAACTTTTGCTGTACTTCTTATCATTTCTACCATCTGACCGTTTTGTTCAGATCATCTGAACATAGTGTGGCCGTGGCATGCAGACTGAGGGGTGCAATTCAAGCTAAACATCCCCTTAGGGGACCAATTAATAATGATTCCATAGGAATTGTTGTGCAGCACCTCTGCCTGTTCTGCAGTGCAATCTTCCTAAACAAGTACGTTCATTTTTTCTAACTGTTTACAAATAGGTTTTTGAGGGTGGTATGCCTCAATTATAAGAGCAGATTTATTATGGTAAATACTGAGATCAGAAAGCATGTGTAACTGTGTCATAAAGTGATTGCATCCAGGCATTATTGCCAGCCAAGATTGATAAATATACCTAATAAGTATAATTGTTCTCTATGTCAGCCCTTATTGAAGGAATACTCATGGCAGTGGTGATAACTGCTATCATAGCTATCCTTAAATTATTCACTGTGACTGGCTGTCCCACTTTCCTCAGGTTTTCTTCCACCATCTTTGACAGCTTCTTGATTTGTCCCCAGGTGGGTGGCTGTGTTAAACGGGTGTTGCTCATGACAGTTGGGGTTCTCCTCAGCGTCAGTCTTGACATGGCTGTTATTGAGGGGTCCTCGGGGTCCTCTCAGAGTCTCTTCTTTGGCATCTGGCTCATGATAAGGTTTCAGGTGTCTTGATGGTATCCAAATCGGCTGTTGATTTTGGCCTGGAGAAATACAAGCATAACCTCTACCCCAAGTTATTATTTTACCTATTTCCCAACTTTTTGTTATTGGATCTCTTCACCAAATCTGTTGTTCTGTTTCTGTCTTTGCAGCTGGTTTCTGTCAATGCTGTTCAGCTGCTGATAACATCTGGCCTCTGGGCAGCCTCAAAAAATTTAAAGTTAATAATATTAGGTTCAGTTGTATCTGTGGTGTTCCATATTCTCTGTCTCCCCCTTTCTGCTTTTGCAACTGCTGTTTTAGGGAGAGATTCATTCTTTCTACTATGGTTTGTCCTTGAGAATTGTATGGGATACCAGTAATGTGTTTAATATTCCACATAGAGAAAAATGTAGCTAGAGCTTGGCTAGTACAGCCTGGGGCATTATCTGTTTTAATAGAAGCTGGAATGCCCATCACCGCAAAGCACTGTAAAAGATGATGTTTAACACAGGCAGAAGACTCTCCTGTTTGGCATGTAGCCCAAAGTGAGAAAAGGTGTCCACACTACATGTACATAAGCTAGTCTCCCAAATGAGGGAACATGTGTGACCTCCATTTGCCAGAGTTAGGTTCTAGTCTTCGAGGATTAACTCCTTCTGTAAAAGATGAGGAACGTACCACTTGGCAAGTTGGGCATCACTGGATAATAGCTTTAGCTTCTTTCCAGGTAATGCCGTATCTGCATTTGAGACCAGAGGCATTAACATGGGTTAAATTGTGAAAGTGTCTACCATTAGATATTGCAGTAGCAACTGGGTGATCAGCCATTTGATTTCCTTCAGTCAAAGGTCCTGGAAGAGTGTATGAGCTCTAATGTGAGTCACGTAAAAAGGGTGCATTCTACTTCTAACTGTTGTTTGCAATTGGGTAAATAAAGTCATCAGTTGTTCATCTGTATTAAATTGTAACTGAGCATTTTCAATTAACTGTGTGGACTGAACAACATATGAAGAATCAGAAATCACATTAATAGGCATATCAAAGGCAGTCAATACCTCAATTACCGCTATAAGCTCCACTTTTTGAGCTGAGGTACAGGATGTCTGGAAAACTTTAATTTTGAGCCAGAATAAGAAGCTTTACCATTACTAGACCCATCTGTAAAAACATTCTCAGCACCTTCAATTGGTTTAAATTTAGTTATTTTACGGAGAATCCAATTAGTTAATTTCAAAAACTGAAACAGCTTTGTTTTAGGAAAATGATTATTGAGAATACCCCCAGAGTCAGCTAAATGGGTTTGCCAAGTAAGACTATTTATAAAAGCTTGCTGTATTTATGCCTTCATGAGAGGGACAATAATTTTTCCAGGATCATATCCATGTAATTTAACCATCCAAGTTCTTCCAATCCCTATCAGAGTAGCGATTTGATCTAAATAAGGAGTTAGAGTCCATGAATTAGTATGTGGAAGAAAAAGCCACTCTACTAAGTCCTGTTCTTGGACAATAACACCAGAAGGTGAATGCTGAGTTGAAAAAATTAGCAAATCTAGAGTCTTCTCTGGATCTATTCTATTTATCTGAGCTTTATGGACTTGCTTCTCAATCAGTTGTAACTCTGCCTCCGCCTCCTTTTTTAATTGCCGAGGGCTAGTGAGACTAGGATTTCCTCTAAGGATAGAAAACAGATTACTCATGGCATAGGTAGGAATGCCTAGAGCAGGTCGTATCCAATTAATAACCCCTAGTAATTTTCGAAAGTCATTTAATGTTTTTAGTTGATCCCTACGTACGGTTACTTTCTGTGGCACAATGGTAGTGTCATTTACTAAGGTCCCCAAGTGGGAGTAAGGAGTAGTAGTCTGAATTTTGTCAGGAGCTATAATTAAACCAGCATGAGAAATCGAATTTTGCAAGTGATCATAACATTGGAGTAATATTTCTCAAGTGGGGGCAGCACAAAGTATATCATCCATATGGTGAATAATGTAACACTGTGAAATTTTTTTATGAGTACGTTCAATTGCTTGCCCCACATACGTCTGGCAAATTGTTGGGCTGTTTGACATGCCCTGTGGCAACACTTTCCAATGATAACGCTTAGCAGGCTGCAGGTTGTTTACTGCAGGAATAGTAAATGCAAACCATTCACAGTCTTGCTCAGCCAAGGGGATAGTAAGGAAACAGTCCTTCAAATCCATGGCTATTAAAGGCCAACTTTTTGGAATCATAGCAGGAGAAGGCAATCCTGGCTGTAATGCTCCCATAGGTTGTATAACTGAATTGATGGCTCTTAAGTCAGTTAACATTCTCCATTTACCTGATTTTTTCTTAATTACAAAAACTGGAGAATTTCAAGGAGAAAATGTTGGAGCTATGTGCCCATTTTCTAATTGTTCTGCAACTAATTTCTCTAAAGCTTCCAGTTTTTCTTTACTTAGTGGCCTTTGTTTTATCCAAATTGGCTTATCTGTTAACCATTTTAAAGGTATAGGTTCTGGAGGCTTAACAATGGCCACCCTCAAAAATTATTTCCTAATCTTTGGTGGGAACTTTGTTTTTCCACTTGAAGTGGTTCTTTCAAACCTTGCAAATTTTTTTCTAGTCCCATACCAGGGACATACCCCATTTCATGCATTGTATGTTGACATTGAGGGCTATATAATTGTTCTGGAATTAGAACTTGTGCTCTCCATTGTTATAATAAATCTCTTCCCCATAAATGTATAGTTACAGAAGTTATAATCGGTTGAATAGTCCCAGGTTGTCCATCAGGCCTTTCATAATGCAAAATATAACTACTTTGATATACTTCAGCAACTTTACCAACTCCAACTATGTTAAATTGAGTGGGTTGAATTGGCCACGTAGACAGCCAGTGCTGTAGAGAAATGATTGAAATGTCCACTCCTGTATCCACCAATCCTTTAAATTTCTTTCCTTGAATAGTTATTTCATAGGTAGGATGTTTATCAGTAATTTGATTTACCCAGTAATCTGCTTTGCCTTATTTATTTATGCTTCCAAATCCTCCTGTTTGTTTAATTTCATTTTTTCCCATTCCCACATATGGCACAATCAGGAGCTGTGCTATGTGCTCTCCTGGCTCTGCTTTCCAGGGAACAGAAGTAGATATAACAATTTGAATTTCCCCATTGTAATCTGAATCAATGACTCCTGTATGTATTTGCACCCCTTTTAGACTTAAACTAGACCTTCCTAAAAGTAATCCTATAGTCCCTGCTGGCAAGGGTCCACAGACTCCTTCTGGGACCTTTTGTGAGGGTTCCCCAGGCAGAAGGCTCACAGCTTTTGTGTAGCATAAATCTACTGTGGCACTACCAGTTGTGGCAGGGGACAGACATTGTACAGGGGTGAGGGAATGGCCTGAGCTGGAAATGCCCCAGTTTAGAATGGGGCCCAGGACGGGCCCCTCATGGCATTTTCCAAAATCTGGTTCCCATCTTTATCAAACTTAGAGTGACACTGATTAGCCTAATATTTTCCTTTTTTACATTTTGGACATATTTCAGGCTCAGCAATTTTCTTTTTTCCTCTATCTGGCAGCCTGACTCACTGATTTTTTGTACATTCTTTTTTAGTATGAATAGCTTGTTTAAATTATTTGAGTAATTTAAAAGGAAAAGGCTCAAATGTAGCTGTAATATTTCCCTGTTGATCTGGGGGGTGTATTCTAACAGGGAACTGCCAAGCCTCTAAATCACCATCTCATCTAGCTTGCTGAATTCCTGCCTGAATAGAACTAAGAACCATTGCTCGAGGTGCTGCTCAAACAGTCACTGGGGCAATTACTTTTCGCCCAGTGTCCTCTGGAAAAGAAAGATCTAGGAGATCATTTTCTTCAAAATAATAAGGAGGGGGTGCAGAAGGGTAGGAATGAACCTCTCCTTCCTTTGCTGCTTTAGCTTGAGCTGGCAAAGAAACATGCTATGTAACCTCTTCTATTACTTTGCTATACTCTTGTTCTTCCTTGTCATCAGTGTGAAAAAGTTCCAAGGCAGAATGAACCAGATCCCACACTTGTCCCATTGTTACCCTGATGCTTCCGAGCTCCCCTTCTTACTCACCATGGGGATTGCTTTAAGAGTACTTGGGTGTCCTCCAGCTAGTTTTCCATTCCAACCATCACTCTGGTGACACTTTGACCTGGATTTCAGCCCCCACGAATGAAATGGACGCCACTTGCCGAGACCAGCTCAACTGGGGAGACCCTAACCCAGCAGCGCTAGAGGAATTAAAGACACACACACAGAAATATAGAGGTGTGAAGTGGGAAATCAGGGGTTTCACAGCCTCCAGAGCTGAGACCCTTGAACAGAGATTTACCCACATATTTATTAACAATAAACCAGTCATTAGCATTGTTTCTATAGATATTAAATTAACTAAAAGTATCCCTTATGGGAAATGAAGGGATGGGCCAAATTAAAGGAATAGGTTGGGCTAGTTAACTGCAGCAGGAACATGTCCTTAAGACATAGATCGCTCATGTTATTGTTTGTGGCCTAAGAATGCCTTTAAGTGGTTTTCTGCCCTGGGCAGGCCAGGTGTTCCTTGCCGTCATTCCCGTAAACCTACAACCTTCCAGCTTGGGTGTTAGGGCCATTATAAATATGTTACAGTGCTGCAGAGATTTTGTTTATGGCCAGTCTTGGGGCCAGTTTATGGCCAGATTTTGGGGGGGGCTTGCTCCCAAGAAGCTTTATAGATATAAACACACATAAATGTGAGTTCATGGCATAATGTATTAATTAATATTGGAAAATTGAATGTTTATAATTTCAAAACTTTAGGTATGAAAGCAGCCAATAAATTGAGTTATTCAAAATGTATGCATTCCTTTATGTTTCACAGGAAAGTTTTATAATTTTTGATAATAGATGAGCACAGTTAGCTTTATTGCTTGATTTGTTAAAAGCTTTTTACTTGCTGCTATGAATGAGATTATGAGATTTGTTCCTTTGTTGCATTCTAATGCATTATTTTTGGTATACAAGAAAATTTGGTTGTTAGTGTTCTCATTTTTGTTATTGTTGCTTTTCTGAATTTTTAAAACTTTAAAAAAATTCCATACATTTTTTATATATAATTGCAAAAAGAAGCATATAAAAAGGTATGTTCATTGAAGGAATTTGAGGGAATTTGTAAATTTATAGAAACCTATAAATAAGCATAATCATACCCCATTCCATTAAGTGTCTGTGCAGTCAATATTTCCCTCTTGCCCTTTATCTATGGGTATACATGTCTAAATACTCAAAGTGATGTCATATTGGATATAAGAGTTCATGTCTTAATTTTCCAGTTACCAAGAACTTTTTCCCACATTAATCATTATTTATCACAAACATGATTTGTAAGGGCAAAATATATTCTAGATTATGACTGTAACAAGTTATTTTTATTTGGACAGTTTAATTTCAAATTTAATATGATAATTAATATTTTAGTCTCATTGTACACACATTTTTATTTAGATTCCAAGTTTTCTTTAGTTTCACTTCATAGAAATGAAATTACTAGATTAGAGGTTTTCAGATTAATTTTAGGCTACATGGAGAAATTAAGCCTGAGAGAGGTAAACTACCAGATTTTGTGAAGTAAAGGGAGACTCTCTCAGTAAGTCCTGGAAGAAGTCATAGAGACCAGCACAGAGGATGCATAGAATTATCCAAAACGCATGCTGGAGTAGAACTTGGAGGCAGAGAATAAGACAAACTTCATTTACCTAAAAATGTGGAAGTAAACATCTTAGCCTATACCAGACCTGAAAATCAGAAGTAGAGGGAGGAAGCCGTGGTGGGATCCTAATGATGATGAACATAGACAGTAACACTCAGAGTCTATCTACAGTGGGAAAGAGCCTCTTCCTGAAGGAGAAACATTGGAAATCTGATCTGTGTGAGACTTGGTGGCCCAGAGCACCGGCCCCCAGGGAATGGAAAGGCATGACTTGGAAGTGCACCTGTGCAGGGCGGCAGCATTGAGAAGGTGCAGTGCTCAGGAAGAGAGAGGTGCCTTGGAGACAGGACAAGACGCCTTTGGAGACTTGGTCATAAAGTGAAGGAGGAAAGCAGGCCTTACTAAATAAAGTTAGTTTCAAAGAATCAGAATAAAGCTGACCAAGTTAATAACAGCAAATCAGGGTCCTTTAATTAAAGCAAGTGTACGTACTGCAGCAGCAGGAGAGAGCACTGTTGAACTAAGAAACCAAGGAAGCCACGAAACCCCCACCCCCACCCCCACCCCAGCATGGCTTGCTTTTGCTAGTTCAGGAGCATCTTACTTAGAAATCATGAAAAGATCATCATGAACATCCCTACAAAGTCAAACAAAGTGCAACAACCAAAATGATTTTAAAAAGAGAACCATCAGATAGAGAAAAGTTGTAACACAGGATATAAAATTGAATCAAATTTAATTAAATAAAGCAGTTTCACGTAAAAAAGCATATCATGTATCTAAAATGTCAAAACTCAGCATGGAAATGAACAACTAGAAGAGAGTGAAAAGTGAGTCAACAAAATTCTTACTATAAATCAAAAAACAAAACAGGCAAAAGTATCTCAGAAAGAATAACTCAACTGCAAAGACCCCAAAGTAGAGTAGATATTATGAAAAGTACCAAAGGGGGATGAACAATAAGAATGTAAATTATTAAGAAAATAAAAATACAGTAAAAGGAAGTACACAACCTCTGATATAAATTTTGTGACAGACATAGAATATGGGGGAAGATAGCTAAAATACATGCTTAGAATCAGTGAAGAGAAAACAAAACAATGAGAGAACTAATATTTAAAACTGTAACTGAAGAACAATATCTGTTAAATAAGAGACTTAACTACATATGAGAAGAATCCACTATATACTTGAGGAAATAGATTCAAAATTGTCAGTTCTAAAAACTACCCAAGCAAAGTTAGTAGACATAAATGTAAAGGGAAAAATACCTCAAGGGCCTCCAGGCAAGAAGGCACATTACTGAGAAGGGAAAGAAAATCAGTATGATACCAGCTGTTTCATTAAACAACTGTGGAATACCACCATCAAGAAGCTCAAGGAAGAAAGATGCAAGTAAAGAATTCTATATCCAGTCAAACTTCTTTGAGATTCAAAGCAGTAGAAAAACAATTTAAACATGCAAGAGCTCTGGGAATCTTGTATTCAGAAACACTTCCTGAGGATTATACCAGAAAACAAGCTTTATGCAAACAAGAGACTGCTGAAGAAACTTGGGTAACAAAGAACAGCAGGGAAAATAGAATGTATTTCTCTGTAAATCTAAGACTAACTTACAGTGGAAATGGGCTGAAACAATAATATATACTAGTAATATGATCTATAATGTATTAATAGCCAACTTAAAATGGAAGCTAAAAATATAGGGAAATGGGAAAATAGAAAATGCTTACTAAGTAGGTTAGAGGTAAGAGTCAAATGATATTTAAGCTTGTCAAACCAAATAGGAGAAGCTTATGAAAGAAAGGAATAATAAGAATGTACATAAATTAATTGGCATGAAGGTAATGCTAAAATAAAAATATCATTCTTTCTAAAGACCAAACACAAACACAAAACAATCACCAAAAACTTGAGTAGAACAGTTTAGTGATTAATTCTCATAAGTCAATCAAATGAAATATCTACTCTTTCAATCTTGAAATGGGATTCAGTGGGAAAATATAGCATAAAATATTTTGAATCCTCATTCTTTCACTCTTGGTTTAGGCCTCTAAATGAATGTGACTGATGACTGAAAGAATGCTAGTGACTCTTCCTGGACAGTAACTTGATGGTGACAGTGCTCCCTACACAGATGCCTGCTCAAAGTAGGGAGCTGTAGGTCAGAAAGATCAGTGTACTATGCAGAAGCAGGAAGGGAGCCATGTCCAGCACATGGTTTGACCTGGATTCACTCCTCTTACTGTATTCCCTGTTCTTGTTCTGACCATTGTCTGCTCCTCACCAATCCATCTTCTAAAATTTGTTATACCAGAATTTTAATATTCTTTGAAATATTACTCCTCGGACTGGTATCTCATTACTATTGCCTTAACTGTTTTATATTATTTAGTAAGAACAATATAACTAATACTGTGAATATTATATTTTTGTGTACGGGTATTTTTTTAATAACATTTTAGTTCATAAATAAACTTCATTATTTTTTCCTTTCTCATCCAACAAAGAAAGATAGTAAACACATTCTTGAAGAAATTTTTCATATAAAAATTATAAACAAAAGGCCAAATTTACCACTAAAAGTTTTTCACCACTTATATTTTCACTCCAGTAAGAATAGTTTAGTTTCAACAAATCATCACTGGAATTAATATTGCCTTTTTACCTTCACTACATTAAAGAGTCAAAAAAGGTATTTCTTCATTTTAATCTTCATTTTTTTTTTTGTATTTATTGATCATTCTTGGGTGTTTCTCAGAGAGGGGGATGTGGCAGGGTCATAGGATAATAGTGGAGAGAAGGTCAGCAGATAAACACTTGAACAAAAGTCTCTGGTTTTCCTAGGCAGAGGTCCCTACGGCCTTCTGCAGTGTTTGTGTTCCTGGGTACTTGAGATTAGGGAGTGGTGATGACTCTTAATGAGCATGCTGCCTTCAAGCATCTGTTTAACAAAGCACATCTTGCACCGCCCTAATCCATTTAACCCTGAGTTGACACAGCACATGTTTCAGAGAGCACAGGGTTGGGGGTAAGGTTATAGATTAACAGCATCCCAAGGCAGAAGAATTTTTCTTAGTACAGAACAAAACGGAGTCTCCCATGTCTGCTTCTTTCTACACAGACACAGTAACAATCTGATCTCTTTTTCTTTTCCCCACATTTCCCCCTTTTCTTTTTGACAAAACCACCATCGTCATCATGGCCCGTTCTCCATGGTCGCTGTCTCTTCGGAGCTGTTGGGTACACCTCCCAGATGGGGCGGCCATGCAGAGGTGCTCCTCACTTCCCAGACAGGGTGGCTGGGCAGAGGCGCTCCTCACATCCCAGATGATGGGCGGCTGGGAAGAGGCGCTCCTCACCTCCCAGACGATGGGCGGACAGGCAGAGACACTCCTCACTACCCAGATGGGGCGGCCAGGCACAGGCACTCCTCACTTCCCAGACAGGGTGGCCGGGCAGAGGCGCTCCCCACTTCCCAGACGATGGGCCGCCGGGCAGAGGCGCTCCTCACATCCCAGACGGGGCAGCTGGGCAGAGGCGCTCCTCACTTCCCAGATGGGGCGGCCGGGCAGAGGTGCTCCTCACATCCCAGACAGTGGGCGGTCGGGCAGAGACACTCCTTACTTCCTAGATGGGGGGGAGACCGGGCAGAGGCGCTCCTCACTTCCCAGATGGGGCGGCCAGGCAGAGGCGCTCCTCACTTCCCATTCGGGGCAGCCGGGCGGAGGTGCTCCTCACTTCCTCCCAGACGGGGCGGCTGGGCAGAGGCGCTCCTCACAACCCAGACGATGGGCAGCCAGGCAGAGATGCTCCTCACTTCCTAGATGGGGTGGTGGCTGGGCAGAGGCACTCCTCACTTCCCAGATGGGGCGGCTGGGCAGAGGGGCTCCTCACATCCCAGACGATGGGTGGCCAGGCAGAGACGCTGCTCACTTCCTAGACGGGGTGGCGGGCGGGCAGAGGCTGTAATCTTAGCACTTTGGGAGGCCAAGGCAGGCGGCTGGGAGGTGGAGGTTGTAGCCAGCCGAGATCACGCCACTGCACTCCAGCCTGGGCAACACTGAGCATTAAGTGAACGAGACTCCGTCTGCAATCCCAGTACCTCGGGAGGTCGAGGCAGGCAGACCACCCGAGGCCAGGAGCTGGAGACCAGCCCGGGCAACACGGCAAAACCCCGTCTCCACCAAAAATACAAAAACCAGTCAGGCGTGGCGGCGTGTGCCTGGAATCCCAGGCACTTGGCAGGTCGAAGCAGGAGAATCATGGGAGCCCGAGGCAGGGAGGTTGCAGCAAGCCGAGATCATGGCAGTACAGTCCAGGCTCAGCAAGAGAGGGAGACCGTAGAAAGAGGGAGGGGGAGGGGGAGGGGGAGGGGGAGGGGGAGGGGATCTCCATTTTTAACTACCAGTGTGGCTTAAAATTTTTTAATGTTTGTTGGTCGTTGTATTTGTTTCTCTATGATATGTTTCTCTCTATCCTTTGCTCAGCATAGTATTTTTCTTTTGGCATAGGAACATTTTATGTTTTAAGTTTATGCATTTTTGTCTCTCTGATTTATTACAATTAATTTCTTTAGTTTTTAGTTCATTATTTTCCAAAGTAATTTTATAAAAATTACATAAAGGACTCAAACATCTTTAGCCAACAGATTTTAATCATTATTTACAGAACAATCTACCCAAGAACAGTAGAATACATATTCTTTTCAGGTACCCGTGGGCTGTGTACCAAAATAGACCATATCCCGAATCATGGGGGGAAAAACCTCTAAACAAATTTAAAATATTTGAAACTATACAGACTTTGTTCTCTGACCACAATGAAATCAAACTAGAAATAAAAAACAGAAAAATAACAGGAAAATATCCAAACACTTAGAAGCTAAACAACACACTACCAAGTAATCCATGAGCTACAGAGGAAGTCTTAAGAGAAATTAAAAAATATATATATTGAATTGAATGAAGATGAAAATACAACATATCAGAACTTATGGGATGCAGGTGATATAGTTGAGAGGAAAGCTTATAAAAGTAAACTCTTACGTCAGAAAATAGAAAACATCTCAAATCAATAAGCTAAGCTCCCACATCAAGATATGAAAAGTAAAAAAGAGCAAAGGAAACCTATTGCAAGCAGCAGGAGGGAAATTATAAAGATAGAAGCAGGAATTAATACAATTGATGACAAAACTAACAGAAAACCCAAGAATCAAAGAGCTGGCTTTTGAAAAAGTCAATAAAATCTGCAAACCTTTTACAAGGCTATCAAGAAAAGAGTGAAGAAACAAATTACCAATAAAACAGAAATATCCCTACAGACATTGCAGAAATCAAAAGGGGATAATAAGCATTTACTAGGAACAATTCTACACACATAAATAGGAACACTTGGAATGGAGTATTTCCTCAAAAAACTATCATAATTTGTCCATTATGAAGTAGATGATAGACTTGCCTTATGTCTACTAAGGAAGTTAAATTTGCAATTTAAAAGATCCCTCCAAAACTCTCCAGTCCACGTGGTTTTCCTGGAGAATTCAACCAAGTATTTAAAGATAAATTAACAACATTAATTTTATGCAATGTTTTCCCTAAAATAAAAGAGGAGAGAACATGCCCAAAGTCAGGTCATATACAGTATTTACTGATACCAAAACCAGGAAAAGTCAGTACAAAAGAAGAAAAGTACAGACCAGTATTCCTCATGAATATGAATGCAAAAACTCTTATTTGTAAAATAAAAAGTATGGAAGAAAAATATTAGCAAGTAGAATTCAGCAATACATACAAAGAATTATCTACTATGATGAATGGAATATGGCTGGTTCAATAGTCAAAAAACCAGTCATTGTAATGCACTCTATTTACAGGCTAAAGAAGAAAAATCACATGTTCAAATGAATTGATGCTGGAAAAGCCTTTGATACAATGGAACAACAACTCATGATAAAAACTCACAGAAAATTAGAACTAAGGGAAACTTCCTTAATTTGAAAAATAGCATCTTCAAAATCCCTACAGTTAGAATCACACTTAATAGTGAAAGGCTGAAATGCTTTCCTTTTTTTTTTTTTTTTTTTTTGAGATGGAGTCTCGCTGTGTCATCCAGGCTAGATGGAGTGAAGTGTTGTGATCTTGGCTAACTGCAACCTCCACCTCCTTGGTTCAAGCAAATCCCCTGACTCAGCCTCCCGAGTAGCTGGGATTACAGGCACGCGCCACCATGCCCGGCTAATTTTTTCTTTTTTTTTGTAATTTTAGTAGAGATGGGGTTTCACCATGTTGGCCAGACTGGTCTCGAAACTCCTGACCTCAGGCAATCTGACTGCCTTGGCCTCCCAAAGTGTTGGGATTACAGGCGTGAGCTACCGTGCCCTACCAAATGTTTTCCCCTTAAATTTGAGAACAAGTGGGGGATGTCCATGCTCATCACCTTTCTTCAATGTAGTCCTAGAAATGCTAGTCAATGTAATAAGGCAACAAAAGGAAATAAAAGCAAATAGATTGAAAAGAATGAAATAAAACTCTCCATATATGCTGATGAACTCATTGTTTATGTAAAAATGCCAAAGTATCTATCAAAACCAAAACCAAAAAAATACCTTCTAGGACTAAATAATATGTTTAGTGAGATCATAGAATACAAGAAAAAAGCTAAAAAAAACTATTATATTTCTGTATGCTAGCAATGAACACATAGAAACCAAAATCAAAGACACAATCTAATTATAATCACTCAAAAAATGAAACATTTAGGTGTATATCTAATAAAACACATGCTGGACTTGGATTCAGAAAATTACCAAAGGCTGCAGAAATGAATCACAAGTCTAAATAAATGTATCTAAACATACTATGTTTATGGATTGGAGATACAACAGAGTAAAGATGTTAATTCTTCACAAATTGATATACAACGTTAATGCAATATCTATCAAATTATCAGCAAAAGTCTTTTTTTTGAAATAAGATTATTCTAAAATTGTTATGAAGAGACAAATGTACTTGAATAGCTAAAACAATTTTGAAAAAGAATAAAGTGTGAGAGATTACTTGATTTCAAAATTTATTATGTAACTTGTGATTAATACTGTGGTATTGGCAGAGGAATAGGCAGATCAATGGAACAGAATAGAGAAACCCAAAATAGACCCACAATAGTGCAGCCAAGTTATTTTTGATAAATGTGCACAAACAATTTAATGTGCAAAGAATATTCTTCCTAATAAATGGTGTAGGAACACTTGGATATCTGTAGGTAAAACAGGGAAACTTGAACTAAAGCTGACACTTTATACAAAAATTAACTCGAAGTGAATCACACAGTTAAATGTAAAACCTAAAACTCTAAAACTTTTAGAAGAAGACATAGGAGAAAAATTTCTGGGACTTTCTTCAGTGCTTCATGAACAGTTCTTAGATATGACACCAAAAGCACAATTTATAAAAAGAAAAGTCAATAAATTGGGCTTCATCAAAACTAAGAATTTTTCTCTGTGAAAGACTTTGTAAAGAGGCTATAAAGACAAGCCATAGGCTGGGAAAAATATGCATCAATCATAAATCTTACAAATAACTCATATCTAAAATGTATAAGGAAATCTCAACACTTAACAGTAAAAACATCTAGTTAGAAAATGGGTAAAAGAAATGTTGAGTTATTTCACAGAGATGATAAATGAATGGCAAATAAGCACATGAGAAGACGTTTGACATCAATAGTCATCATAGAAGTTCAGGGTAAGCCTGTGATGAGATGTACCTACACAGCTATCAGAACAGCCAAAATAAAATATGGCAATAGTGCCAAATCCCGGTAAGGATGTGAAAAATGGGGTCTCTTATTTGTTGCTGGTCAAAATGTAAAATGGTACAGCCACTCTCGAAATTGTTCAGCAATTTCAGCTATTGCACTCCTGGGCATTTATCCCAGAGAAATGAAGACTTAGGCTTAGCCAAAAACTGTATATGACTGTTTATAGCAGCATCATTTGTAATAGCCAAAAGCTGGACACTGTAGATGTCCTACAGTAGGTGAATGGTTAAATAAACTGTGATACATTGACACGATGGAATGCTATTTAGGAATAAAAAGGAACGGACTACTGACATACACGACTTGGGTGAATCTCCAGAGCATCATGCTAAGTGTTAAAAGCCCATTTCTGAAAGTCACATTCTGTGGATTCCACAGAATCCACATTCTACAGCACTTCTACAGCATTCTTTAAATGGCATAATTATGGATATGCAAACAGATTAGTAGTTGCCATAAGTTAGGGATGGGGCGGAGGTATGAGAGTTGTGATGATTAAGGGGTGACATGAGGGACATCTTTGCAAGTGTGGACCAGCTCTGTCTCCTGAGGTGGGGCTTTCACTAATCTACACAAGGGGTTACATGACATGGAACTGCACACACGCAATGCCAGTGTCAATGTGCTGACTGTGATATTGTACTATAGTTATGTTAGATGTAACCATCAGGCAAATGGGGTGAAGAGTACACAGGATCGCTCTGTAACATCTGTGTAACTTCTTGTGAATCTATGATTATTTCAAAATAAAAAGTTTAAAAAATCACTTGCTGTCTTTGCAAATAAACATTTTATCTATTGTGTAAAAATACGGTTAAATGTATAATAAAATAAATAATACATAGAAATCACAAAGTGGCCATTGATGATCTTAAATAGTGACTACTCCACTTACATTCAGTGATCTCCCTGAAGTTCATCTTTCGTGCCTACCATTTTGGCTTAGCCAGGGGCAACTGTTTTAAGACCTTGCTTATTTCTGGTCAACAGAAATGTGTTACATTTAGATAATACTGGAGCCATGGTGTGTAGTCACCACCAGAGCAATTTGTCCTGTGTTAACCAATGACATATTGCATCTTACTGGGCTCTAGTTGTTTATTAGTTTTCAATATCTTCCTCACTTTTTACCTGTTCCAGCATTTTCAGTTTGTTTTTTACAATTTTCTGGCTTCTCTGTTTCTTTTTTTTTTTTTCAGTTTTTTTTTCTCTGTACATTTCATTTGGGATAGCTTCTATTGCTATGTCTTCAAGTTGATTAATCATTTTTTGTGGAGTGTCCAATCTGCAGTTAATCCTATCTAGTATCCTATCTAGTACATTTTTCATCTCAAACATATTTTTCATCTCTAGAAGTTCACTTTGAGACTTTAAAAAATACCTTCCAAAGGTCTGGTTGACAAATGCCCAGGTATTTCTCCACCTTCCTGAATATTTGGATTATACTTATAATAACTGTCTGTCTACTAATTCTGTTATCTGTGTCATGTCTAGGTCTGTTTCGATGTATTGGGATTTCTCCTCCATATGGGTCATATTTTTATTCTTCTTTCTGTGTCTGGTTGTTTCAGTTGGATTCTAGACATTGTATTTTTACCTTGTTGGTACAGGATATTTTTTTATTCCTGTAAATATTCTGAGTTTAGCTCTGAGATGCAGTCAAGTGACTTGGAAATAGTTTGATCTTTTGAGAATGAGCTTAACAACATGGTGGGACAAGAGTGGATTTAATTTAGAGCTGGTGTTTCCCATGCTTAGCAAGACTGGGTGCTCCCTCCAGTGTCTTGTGTCTGCTTTTCCTAATGGGAACATAAAGTATTCTTGTTTCTGAGTGAGCTGAAGGAATTTCTCTCTCTGCTCCTTTCTAGCGATTTCTTTCCCAGCCTTGGGCTCTTTCTTTACACACGTGCACTGATGATACTCAGCTGAAGGCCAAGGGCAGGTCTCTGGGTATCTCTCTCTGCATAACTGCTCCTTGCTGTTTACCTGTCTTGGCCTCTGTGGATTTCCAAGTCTATCTCCTCAACTAAGATAAATGCAGGGCCCTGCCTCGGTTGCCCCTCCTGCAGTTATTATCTAAGCTCTCTCTGGGCAATGAGGCAGGGCAATTATAGGACTCACTGTTTTATTTCTCCTCTTTAGGGATTACTGTCCTGCACTACCTGGTGTCCAATGTCGGAGAGCTGTTGCTTCTTCCATTATGTCTGTTCAGTTGATTGAGGTGGGAGGGTTAATTTGTTTCTGCTCATACAAGTTGACTTCTACAAAGTCACTTCTATCCCTTTGTCTTCACAGACAGTCTCCATTTTATTGGAAAGAAGCTCAATCTCAGAATAAAATACTCAGTGATACCATTCTCTTGAGTGTCTTATGACCTCACAAGTTGAAAATCGCTGCTCAAAGCCTAGACAGGCCTTCACTGGTGTCCTGAGCTCATATGGTGCCTCATGGACGGCTGGACTCAGAAAGCCTCATCCACAAACTAGGATCTGAAACAGCCTCTCCGGAGCACTGCCTCTCCCAGGTTAGCCCCTCAGTAAGTAGACCAATTCCCAATGATGCAAAAACAAAGCACCCAAAGATAAGGGGCATCCAAAAATGATTTTATTGTGTTCCCAGACTGTGTGTCAGAAATTCAAGCAGGGCACAGGAAGGACGTCTTGTCTCTGCTTGGTGATTTCTGGTGCCTTGGTGGGAATTCTCAGTGACTAACAGCTGAGGCTGGACTGACTGGGGTGTCCTCACCTGCAAGTCTGGCAGTGGATGCCTATTGTCCACTGGCTCCTTGGCTGAGGCTGACCTGTGGGTAAGGATGGGAGCACTGCATGTAGCCTCTCCATATTGCCCAGACTTCCTCACAATATATGTTTCTTACATGTGGCTCAGCTCTCCAAAAACAGTGGTGGGCACCCAGGTGGGAGATGCATTATTTTTTAAAAAATAACATAAATGTAATTTTCAGAGCAGTTTTAGGTTCACGGCAAAATTGAGTAGGAAGTGTGAAGAGTTTCCGTAAATCTCTGCCTCTCCATCAACATTCCCACCAGAGTGGCATATTTGTTATCGGTGATGTCTTACATTGCCACAGATGGGCTTCTTTAACTCAGCAATATCCACTTAAGATTGCTCCATGTCTTTTCATGGCTTGATAGCTCACTTCTTTTTAGTACTAATGAATGTTCCATTATCTGGATGTACCACAGTTTATCCATTCACCTGTTGGAAGACACCGTGGTTGCTTCTATATTATGACAATTATGAGTAAAGCTGCTATAAACATCCATGTGCAGGTTTTGTGTGTCCATGCACTTTCAAATGTTGGATCATATGGGAGGAAGTATGCTTAGTTTTGTAAGAAACTGACAAATTGTCATCCAAAGTGGCTGCACTGCTTTGCATTCCCACCAGCAATGAATGATAGTTCCTGTTGCTCACCATTCTAGCGTTCAGTGCTGCCAGCATTTTGGATTTTTACCATTCTAATAGATGAGTTGTGTTTGGTGTCTCGTTGTTTCAGTTTCCCTGATGAAATGTGATGGAAGTGTCTTTTCATATGCTTAATTGTCATTTTAATAACTTCTTTGGTGAGACTGCGTTGTTTTTTAAGGCCTAATCTTGGAAGTCACACAGCATCAAATCTATATTGAAGCCATCAAAAGCCTGACAACATTTGATGGAGGCAAATATAGATCCACTCTGCTTGGAAATGTGGCAAGTCACATTGAGGAACAACGTGGATATGAGGACTGAGGAAGACATCGCGGGGAAATACAATCTACTCTGGCATCTTCAATAAGATAGAACAACGCACCTATGAGTGTTTAGAGAAACTGGGGCCAGGGCATGGAAAGAACTAAACATACTTGGAAGAATATCTTGTGAAGACTTGATTAATGTGGTCTGGGTTCCTTGACAGATGATCATTTAAAATAGTGGCAGACAGCCACAGAATCGTGTTACAGATCATTCACACAACATCCCCACTCTGGCATAAATTACATTTTTTAGTCCATAGCAACAAAAGTAATGTCTTGAGAAAGTCGTGCAATCTATGTGGGGTTCCATTATTTTATTCTTAAAAAGTGTAGTGTGAACTAGAATCCCTGAAAGACCTCTTTCCCTTCTAAATCTCTATATTTTTTTTTTTTTAGGTAGATCTAAGTTACCAGGAGGCAAATTTCTCCTTCCTGTAAAGATGAAATCCACCTAAGGGTGAAGGTTACTTAGAAGGTGATAGAAAGCATTAGCTGGCCCTCTTACTAATTTTGAGGGAAACTATGGGGAAAGGAAACAAATACCCCGAACTGCTAAGCGTTGGCTTCATGTCTTGTCCTCTTGCCCTAATTCCATGAAAGCCGCCCTCAGAGTGCACAGATTTGTCAGGTAAAAAGAAGAGATGATTCTTTCAGTCCTGGCTTGTTCAAAGCAGTCTCAGTGATAAACAGGTCTACAGATGAGCTTTACCTGTAGAAAATTGTATTCAAAAGCTCCCAGATCTTCTTATAACCACAAGGTCAATGTTTAAAAAGAAAGGAAACAAGTAGAAAAAATCTTAATGACATCATTTTCCTGTGCGGCTCTCATTTCTTACATTGCTTTACTTTTCTGTCATTTGCACTGACTTTTCAGGTCCAAATGTCAGGTATCAGAATTCAAAGGGAAACACTTTCTCTCACTTATCTGTGTTTCTGTTCCCCAGAGTCCCAGGCCTAAATTTCAGATTCTATTTTTATAGTCCTCACAGTGGAGAGTTATGTGGAACACATTGATTGTAGCCAGTTAGGTGTTGAGAAATTTCCTTTACTAAAAGCTTTGCATGACTTGAAAAAGGAGAGATCTGGGCAAGCAGTAAGACTCAATATTCAGGAAAAGATGTTTTTTCCAGTGTGAGCCTGCAGTTGTTACTTACAGCCTAGTGTTCTGTCTGCATCCAACAGTTTTAAAAGGAGCTGCAGATGCTCCTGGAGAAAGTTCTAGTCTTACTTGATGCCTATCAGAAATTCAGACATTTCATTAGTGCTGGAGACCGTTTACTCTTCTTGTAGCACAAAATAAGCAATTTTATACAATACTCACCTATTGTCCGGTAACAAGCTTTCCTATTTTTTTTGTGTGTGTGTGCGTGATCTCAACTTACATATCATGTCTTCAGAGAAAGCTTTCCGGCCCCTTATTCCATAGCCTCAATCCCAGTCTAGGCCCAGTTCCTCTTTTCTATGACTCTCAGAATATTTTGAGCTTGTTTCAAGCATTTATCTGCTTATGAGTAGTATTATTGGACGAATGTGTCTTCTGTACAGCCATGGAAAGCCTCAGAAAATGCCCATGCTGATGTTCGTAGCTCAGTGCATGCACAGTAGATATGCAAAATATAACTGTCAAATGAATGAAGAAATGAGAATTTCTTCTTCCAATCTCCATTTCTTAAATCAGAAAACAGAAGCTAAAAATTTAAGACTCTTATTTGTGATCTTGTGGTTGATGCGTGGTATAGATGGTCATGGAATTGAGGTCTCTAACAGCCCCCACCCTATTATGTGCCAGATGTACTCTGTTTCAACTGCCTTTAAACCCACTGTATCAGGTTTGATTTTTTTTAAAGTCAAACAAGAAATAAATTGCTGCTTGTTACATATTAGTTGCAGTAGAACAAACTGAGACGTATCCCTTTGTTCAGAGTGGGACCTACTCAGTAAAGATGCCTCAGGAAAAATTGCAGTCCACACTTGCTGCAGTATAGTGCATTTGTTTTGTTTTTCAAAACATCTTATGACCTAGCCAGTCTCTTAATGACACAACAGATGGTCCTAGAAGTTAGCTTGCAAAGCATTTTAAGCTTTCTTCACTAGAAACTTCTATGTATCTGTGCAGGGATAAGATAAAAACATGTTTGGATGAAGTTGTTATAAAACCTCAAGAATCAACGTACAAAGATATTACAGAAACAGTATGAAATATTCAAGTATCTTGATATACCATTGGGGGTGTGTGTGTGTGTGTCTGTGTGAACTTTTCTCAATAAACTAAATTTTTTGGATAATTGTTATAATTTCCTTTTATAAAAAAGTTTTTTTGTGTGTGTTTCAACTTTCGACATTCTCAGGCTGATGAATATTTAATTATTACTAAATAATATTGAAAATAAATAGTTTTAAGTCTCTTCCACATGCATTTTTTGGTTCACATCTCTGATTTATATTATTAAAATAATCGACTTGGTTGTTTTTAATATTTAATTTTTCTCATTTGTTAAATTAGGGCATAGTTACATAGAGTAAAATTGACGTGTGTGTGTGTGTGTGTGTGTGTGTGTGTGTGTGTAAAGTTCTGAGAGTTTGGCAAACATATGCAGTCATAGAACACCACAACCATTAAGATTTAGAACAGCTCCATCTCCCTATAAACTCTGTTGTAGTCAACCCCCAGCCTGCTCCCAGGCCTGCATCCATGAATCTACTTTTTGCCCTGATATTTTGCTTCTGAAAGAATGACATACAAATGAAATGATATAGCATGGAACCTTTTGAGTCTAGCTCCTTTTACCCAGCATAATCCATTTGGGATTTATCCATGTTGTGGTGTGGATTGGTGGTTCATTTTTCATTACTGCTCAATTGTATTCATTGTATATATGCACTTCGGTTTGTTCATTTATTCTGCAGTTGAGGACTATAGGAGTTGCTTCCAATTCATGAATAAAACCACTGTAACAGTTTATGTACAGGTTTTTTTGGTGTGTGTGAACAAAACCTTTTATTTCACCTGGATAAACACCTCAGAGTGGTCACTATATTAAGTATATGTTCAATTTTGTATTGTATTGCCAAACTATTTTACAAAGTATCTGTACTATCTTGCGTTGCCAAAAACAATGTGTGATAGTCCAGTTACTCAGCATCCCTGTCAGCATTTTGAATTGTTTACAATTGTAGCCAGTACATTAATGCAGAGTAATATCACATTATAGTTATTTGCTTTTCCCCAATGACTAATAATATTGAACACATTTTATATGCTTATTAGGTATTCATAAATCTATTTGAATTTTCAGATATTTGGACCATTGTTTAAAAAGCATTGCTTTCTTATTTCTGAGTTTTGAGGATCTTTATATGTCGAATGGTTACAAGTCCTTTATCAGATATATAATTTGCAAACTTGTTTTCCCCGTCTATGGCTTTTCTGTCTTTTCAGTCTCTTAACACTGTCCTCCCAAGAAGAAATGTTCAGTTTGATGATGTCTAATTTATCACTTTTTTTCTTTTATGGATTCTGCTTTTGGTGTTGTATCTTAAAAATCTTTGCCTAACTCAAGATAACAAATATTTTCACTCATGTTTTCATTTAGAAGTCTTAGAATTTTACATTTTACATTTAGTTTATGATGTATTTTGAGTTGATTGTTGTATAGGATATGAGTTAGAAATTGATGTTGTGTTTTTTGTTTGTTTGTCTTTGCATATGAGTATACAATTGTCCCAGCCCTTTTGTTGAAAAAAAATTTTCTTTCTTTATTGAATTGCCTTGGCATTTTTACTGAAAAATCAATTGACTGTAAATAGGTGGGTATATTTCTGGCCTTTCTTTTCTGTTTCCTTTATCTGCATGATTATTAATAGTCTCTTACTGTATTACTTGACTACTGAAATTTTATAATAGGTCTAGAAATCAGGTAGTGTGAATCCTTCAAATTTGTTCTTATTTATTTATTTACTTATAGATGTGCCTTTTTATTTTCCTATAATTTTAAAATTAAATCTTTGGTTTTTCTAAAAAATGCTGCTGGATTTTTTGTTAAAGTTGTGTTGAGTGTGTGGAGAGTTGCAAGTGAACTGACATCTTAGCAACAGTGACTTTTCCAGGCCATGGATATGGTATATCTCTGTTTTGTCTTTGATTTCTTTCATCAGGATTTTCTACATTTCAGTGTACAGACCCTACACATACTTTATGATATTAATATCCAATTATTTCATGTATTTCATCCTATTGTGAATGGTACGTTTTTAAAATTTCAACTTCTAATTATTCACTGGCGGAAGGTAGAAGTACAATTCATTTTTCTGTATTGACTTGTATTCTGTGACCTGCTAAACTCACATATTGGTTCTAGAATCTTTCCTGTAGATGCTTTACAATTTTCTATGTAAACAGAATTTCTTGGAAAAGAAAATTTTATTTTATTTTAGCTTGTATATATTTTATTTTAATGTTTTGTCTTATTATATTGTCTAGAAATTTTAGTACTCTGTTGAATGGTGTTATAAAGGCAGATAGCCTTGCTTAATTCCTGATTGTAGGAATAAAACATTTGCTCTTTCATTATTAAGTATGGTGCTAGATGTACGTTTCTTTTTATATATACCCATTTTCAGATGAGGATGGTCTTTTATTCCTAGTTTGTCTAAAGTTTTCCATGATAAATGGATATTGATCTTTTCCTAAGGCTCTTTCTGCATCTATTGAGATCATCATGTAGTTTTCTTATTTAGTTAGTTAATTTGATATATTAATTTAGTTGATTTTTGAATGTTCAACCATACTTGCATTCCTGGAATAAACACTATTGATTTATATTTTTATATGTTGTTGGATTCAATTACCTAACATTTTATTGTGATTTTGGCATTTATTTTCATGAGGAAAATTGATCTGTACCTTTCTTTTAATATATGTCTGAGTTTGATAGCAAGGTGATATTAACCTCATAAAACAAATTGGGGCATTTTCCTTCTTCTTTTAAATTTGAGGAGAGCTTATGTAAAATTGGCATTATTTCTTCTTTACACATTTGGTAGAATTTTTCAGTGAAACCATCTGGGCTTTGTGTTTTCTTTCTTGGAGTATTTGTACCACAAATATAGTTTTTATATATCAATTAGAACAAAAATAAAATTTTATATATCAAATAAAATAAAAATAAAATTAAATATGAAGTATATTTTTATATAAGTAAAAATAAAATTATATATAGGATTTACATATTTATGTCTTATATATACATAATTTATTGAATGAGTTTGGGAGTTTGTGTCATCATGAAATTTGTTCATTGAATATAATTTGTTGAATTGTTGCTTAAAATATGTCCTTATTATTTCTATAACATCTATAGGGTCTATAGTGATGTCCCTTTTTTCATTCCTTACATTTGCAATCTACCTCTTCTTTCTTTTTTCTTAGTCAATATGGCTAGAGATTTAATTTCATTTCTTAGTCAATATGGCTAGAGATTTAATTTCATTGATCATTTCATTTTGAATCAAAACACACAGAAAGCGACAAAATCCTGCATTTAGAACAATCCACTCTTGTGGAAACTAAGTCTCACCAGGCAGAGAACTCACTACCATGAGAATAGCACCAAGCCAATCAGGAAGAATCTGCCCCATGGTTTAAATGCCTTCCATTAGGCTTCATCTTTCAATATCACTAAACTGGGGTCAAATTTCAAAGTGACTTTTGGTAAGGAAAAGCGAACCATGCTTAAACCAGATCACCTTATGATCTCAGTTCTTGGATATATTCAATGAAAGTTGATTTGTAGATTTTCAGACATATTCTTTGTTGTACAGGTGGAGTGATCCTTCTTCCATCTTTTTACATCCTAAACAGAAATTCTTATGTATTGTTCAAACTTTTATGTATCAAATACCTATTATGTATTAAAAAGGAAACAGAACTCAAATGAGAAATCTAAATCAAAATAAACTCAAATGATACTTCCATGTTATCATGATCATTAATATTGTGTTATATTCTTAGAACACATTTTTAAAAAGGAGTTAAAAAGTCATGATAAATATTTTTAAAAAGCTTTTGTACTTTCTGGTTTATAGTTTCTGAATTTCTAGTTTCTTCATCAACTGCTCTCCTTTGCAGGCCTTACATTTTGGAGTTGTTATTGTTGACACTGTTTTATTCTTTCCTATTTAGTTTATAAAATTTTAAACCATTTTTAGAGCTGTGGCAATATTCAGTAAGGTTTGATGTTTAGTGTTGTCATAATCTTTTCAAATAAAGGGTTATAGCCTTATATAATAAAATACTACAGTGGTAAATGTCTATATATGGGGGTAAATAGTCTTTTATTTGAAATGCAAGTTGAACTTTTCTGTACATGTTTTCTGGAAAGATACCGCAAAGCTGTCCACATTTTCTCAAAGGGCTAGGAAGTACCACAAAGGCACTGTCTTAAGTACATCTTCATTTCAAATACAACTCTTAAGTGTTACTTTTGCTCTTCTTTTGTGATGCAAATGAAATAATAGGCATTAGTGCTTTTAAAAATATATGTCATCTATGGAAAAATAAGAGATATTACCTCTGATTGTAAAGTTACTCCACAGAAATATAGGTAGATCATACCTGGGTACCACTACTGTACATCTGAATACGGCCAAAATCTTTTTTGTTTGTTTGTTTTCAGGATGATTGTTGATTAGGGTAAGTTTCTATTACCAGGATTTTTTTTCTGTTAATTCTAGTGCCCCAAAGAATTGAGGCAGTTCATAGATCAGTACTTCCTCCAGTAATGGATTCTTGGTCCTGGACACTTTTTTTTATTCTGTTTCCTGTGGTTGCTTAGCTGTTGACTAGCTTTCTTTATCTAGCCTTCTTTCTTGGCCTGGCCTCCACTGCTTCCATTTTGGCTTTACTCTTTCTCTCAGGGAAGAGACTCTATGCCCCATAGTGAATCATCACCAGGGAGAAGTCCAACTGTCTGCTTGTGTGGTCATTCATGCCTTTCAGCCTGTTCAGTGAAGCTGAATGTTGATGACAGAGGTTTCCAAATAATGGACAGAATTAAAGAGGAATGCCACCTCCTCTCCAGCAGCACACAATCACTTCTGCTATGGTTTGAAAGATGGTGTCCCCAGTGCAACAGTATTAAGATGTGTGGCCTTCAGGAGGTGAAAAGTTATAAGGGCTCCATTCTCCTGAGTGGGAGCAGCACCCTTATGAAAGGGCTGAAGATTGAAGAGAGTGCTCTCTTGCTCTTCTATCCCTTCTGCCATGTTCCTCCTCTCTGGAACATGTAGCTACAAGGCACCACTTTGGAAGCAGAGAGCTGCCCTCATCAGACACCAGTCTGGTCAGTGCCTTGATCCTGGGCTTCCCATGCTTTAGAATCATGAGGAATAAATTATTATTGTTTATAAAATTACCAGTCTGTTGCATTTTGTTATGGCAGCACAAATAGACAAAGGCAACTTTTTTTCTTTCCTCTTCAATACTACAGTCTTCAAGTGGAGTTTGAAGTAAAGCTGCCCTACTTACTCCCTGTAACAATGAAGTACTAACTTTATTATTTTTTCTTGCTCTCCTGCCTCCCTGGTAGCTGGTAAACTGCTGCTTACCTTTTAGGATGCAAATTAAATCTCCTCATTCCCCTGTTCCAATAGCCTTACAATAAAATCCAGAAGCTTGACCTACATGATCACACCCTAGGACACCTTCCTAACCTCATTATCTTCCAACTGTCCCCTTGCATTCTCTTCCCCAGATATACTGCCTCCTCAGTGTCCGCTGAGAATGCCAAGGAGATGCTTTTGATTCTTGTTCTCCTCTCCTCATGTCCCTGCAAAATCCATTTAGATAACTCTCTTTCTCTCTTTTAGGTTTCTGCTCACACGTCCCTGCTCAGATGTCTCTTATTTCTTTTTCTTTTCTTCCTCCTACTACCTTATTCAGCAATACTTTCCCTTTTAGAGCCTAGTGCTACCTAATACCATCTTACAAATTATTTGTTTTCTAATGTCTTTCTCTCCCATCTAGAACATAAGTTTTATGAGAGGAGAAACCTTGTTTTATTCACTGCCATATCCAGGGAATCTGTGGTAAGTGTGGTGGTACTCATGAAATATTTGTTGGATGGGTAGATCAATAAATATATGAATGGCAGAAAAAGAATTTACATGCAGTGGGTTGATTGGCAATTAGAGAGACGCACTCAATTTGGTGTGACTGTTCCTTTATGCAGCCTAGCACATGCGGCTACCCACTGACCGCCAGCAGTGAGTGGGATTTCATGTGGACTAGCACCTTCCTTTCTCAAGGTGCAACCCTTTCAACATTTTCTTGCCAACTCTGACCCTCTAATTCAGACTCTATGGAGGGTGTCCTGCCTAGATCTCCTCTACTGAGCCTTTGAAAGAAACCTATACATTGTCTACAAGATAAAATCTAGTTAGTCTTTTGCATTCTTCTTCAATCACTTCCTTTTTATTCTATTTAAAGTATAAATAATATATATTCCTGATTTCTACTATTGCTGAAGGTAGTTTTCATATCAACTACTTCTGAGAAGGGAGGTTTGAATGACTAGAACAATTTTTTTCCATTATTCCCAGAAATTTGGCTATGTCATTGTGGCAGGCAGAGTAATGGTCCCCCAGAGATGTCCACTAGCCAATCCCCAGAACCTGTGACTATGTTACTTTATATGACACAGATGATTTTGTAGACGTGATTAAGGATCCTGAAATGAGAAAATTATCCTGGGCCCAGTGTCCTCACAAAGGTCTTTGTAAGTAAAAGAAAGAGGCAGGAGGCACAGAAGGAGATGTGACAATAGAAGCAGAGGTCAAAGTGATGAGAGAACGGAGCTGGGAGCCAAGGAATGTGGGTAGCCCCTGGAAGCTGAAAAAGGCAAATATAACTATTTTCTCCTGAAGCCTCCCTCAATTTTAGCCCAGTGGAACCATTTCAGACTTTTTATCTCCAAGAACTGTAAGACAAATTTTTGTTGTGTTAAGCCACTAAGGGTGCAGCAATTTGTTACACCAGCAATAGGAACCAAATGCAGTCATCTGGTATCTTGCAAATAATACTAGAATATTAACAAAAGGAAACACACTTCCAACTAATTCTTTCCGGAAGGAAAAGAAAATATCCAAGTGTGTGTAGCAGTGTTTTGCCTTTCTATACACCCGTCCCCCCCCTACAATTTGTGCCCTGGTTTCCTACCAGGCTAACAGCCATGCACAGCTCAGTCCACACTTTCTCCTTGATCAATGTCCTTCCAATCCAGCCTACTCTTTGCAAACCCTTATCCCTAGCAATTAATAGGTCGTGTTTTCCACATTCTTCTTCACTAACTTGGGCCCTGATTCCAGTGAACATGGCCCAGGATCTATATGCTTATCATACAATTAGTTTGAATACCAGAAATATGGGTAAATATTCCTGTTACTATATTTCATCTCTCAGATTAAAACACCATTGAATTTCAACTTGTTATTAAATTGAGCCTGGATTTGTCTTATTAGTTTGGTGCAAACTAATTGTGGTTTTTGCCATTACTTTTAATGCAATGAGCCTTAAAACTCACATGATTGAAGTTCTGCTTAGCTCTGCAACCTCATCTGGCTCCACTTTCTCTGTGGTTTTTGTGCCCCAACCGCAGGGCCTCTCTTTCTTTTCCTTCAATATGTTAAGATCGCTCTCCACTCAGGGCCTTTGCTTATGCAGTTTCTTGTGCCTAGAATATCTTCTGCCCTAACCCTTCTGGTTTACCTTTAATACTTCAGCAGTCTCCTGAGGAAAGCCTTCCATTCCATTATTATTCAGAGGACATTAGGCCCTCTGTTACATTCTCTCTCTGCTCTCCATATCTTTCCTCTGAGGCACTGATCCTGGTTGTTATTTACCAATAATTTGGTTTCACTACTTGCCTCCTCCATTTGTTAAAGACAGGCACAGTATCTGTCTTTGCCTTTTATTTGCAGCAATTAGCAGAGGACCTGGCATCTGGAAGCATTACAAAAAATGCAGATGATATGCTCTTTTCTTGTGTCCCCTGTCACTGAAACTTTAAGTTGCTGTGGGCACAATCTAAGTTATGACATTTATTACTAAAAGATAGTACTTTACATTTCTTTTCATCTCAAGGTCTCAGATTCCTCTGTTAAGGATTTCATCATGATATCCCATTATGCTAACCACTAAGCAATGTTCTCTTTTTATAATTATAAATTGAAATGACAGAAGAAAATTGAAGTAGAGGCAAAAATGTCTTTGAAAGATTCACAGGGAGGGAATGACCCAGCTTATATGGATTTAAAATACTTTCAAGTCATTCTTTTCTCTAGGAGTAATTATTTTCTTCTCTATATTTACATAATTAATAAATATATCTTTATCCACATATACATATATATTCCTGCATATATTCTACATATGAAAAATCCTGTATTTCAGTCATGGATTGGAAAGAACACATCTATCATTTCCCCTTGTGTAGGCAATTGTGTCATTCCATAATTGGCTCTAGGTTATGGACTTCTCTGTTTCCTATTATAATACCTTACATGTGTACCATGTTTTTCCTATGCAAAAAGTATTACTTCAAACAGCCTATTTTTTCCTCTTTAAACTCTTGCTTTCTAGAGCTATGTTAAACATTTGGAACTAAGTTGAAAAAACTTTGAGATTAGTTAATTTTAATATCAAGTCATATTTAACTAGATTATGATATCTTTTTTTGTACTACAAGGAATTCTTAAAGGTTATCTTTTACATGAACTTGGCAAATTTGTAAACAATGTCCTTTATAAACACTTTCTAAAAGAATTTCTTACTAGATCTGAAGCCAACTTTGACAGTGATGAACGTAAATTTTCCTTGTCAACTGTTTCATTGCTTAATTTGTCCTATAATTAAAATATGCTCCCTTTTACTTAATCTACCCTTTCTCTACCACACACTCAGCCATTTTTATTTCTCTTATTCAATCTAATAATACTAATTGCTATCTTTTCTCTATATTAGACATTAATGGCAGTTTGGGGTAAATTTTTATCATAATAGCATGTCACTATTCTCCATCCAGCAAAAATTATTCTGAGTTTCCTTTCAATATTGAAATATGGCCCTATAGTTTATCTCGTTCAATTTCATACATAGCTTGAAAAGACTGATTGTATTTTTAATGATTTATGTTTATTCATATTGCAATTTCCTTCATACTCAAGATAATTTATGGCATCCGATTGAAGGGCACCTTCAAGTAGTTATACCTTAGGTGGAATAATGTATATGTTTGCTACTTTTCCAATGAGTTGAGATATGTTTTCATACTCAAATAGAAAGGTCTGAATTCAAATACATTATATTTTTAAAGACAGCTAAGTTTAGTTTATCATATAAAGGATCTCAATAAGGTATATCTTTAATAGTTTTTACCTTTTTTCTCCTTGAGAATGCCACTAATACTTAGTGCTTTGTTCTTAAGATTCAGTCTATTTTTTCTGCAAATGCATTGATATACCCAAATCGAAGTTGGCAAACTGAAATGGAAGAGGGAGAAGTAAAATATCTAGCCTTTATTCCTCCCAAATTCTTCTCAAATATGACAGTATCTCATATATTTGAGACTGTTTTAATGCCTAAACTTGATTTATATTTCTAGCAGTTTCAAGGAATTCTTTCACATTGGCAGTATGATCAAGTATTGCTGGGATGCAGTGTGGTTTTAAAAACTGCAAGTGAAAACCACAAGTCCCTAGAAAAATAATTCTGGAATTTAACAGAACCACAGTTGGGGAATTCATTCATAAAATTCTCATTAATTCCAATAGAAGTTATTTTAAGAGGTGTTGACCAGTAGTATATTCTCTTTCTAATCACTGTTGGTCACCATTAATATTGATCCTCTAACCACATAAGTTACTAGGTTGGTGCAAAAGTAATAGTGCTCTTTGCACCAACCTAATACAAGCATTTGGTTCCAACTGGTATTAACCACACATATCAAAAAAGAAATGGATAAACTGCATAAGTCAGTGATTTCTAAATGACATTTATGTACAAATTCTATTAATTTCACTAGTAATCAAACATATTTTTCTTTTTTTTTCCTCCCTAGACATGGGAGTCTACTTCTTCTTAAGTGAACCTCCAGCAGTGCCCCCCAAAAAGCTGTTTTGTAAAGAATCAAGGATTACCTTCCAGCACTGTCTATGTTAACTGTCATCGCTCCAGTCTTCTGCTCTCCACTCATCCCTCTTAACACCAGCAGGAGAGGAGCTGACTTCCTGTCCTTGGGGCTGCCCGGTGGCACAGACCCAGGCCTCTAACTTCCCTGGCTTTTCACTAATTCCTCCATCTGCTGGTGCCTAAATTTTGTGATGGGATCAGAAGAAAGTATAAATGACCTTCTAATGGGTATAAATTTTATTTCCAATTTAATTTGAAATTTTTTATTTAATTAATATGAAGAATAAAATAGATTTCAAAATTTCAAGCAAAAGTGTCTAATTTTTGAGGTTTATAAGAAAAGTCATTTATACATAAAAAAGTGAGGAGGAAATTCATTCTATGAATTCTGTCCTACACTCGGATATTTCAGTGTAGGCTGCAGGTCTTCCTGAACTTCTCGCTAATCTGATTTTGTGTTGAAAACTATTAGAGGGAGTTTGGTGAGGAAAAGCATTTTTACAGGTAGTTCTGTGTCCATTTCTTTTGAATACCCCTCAGCACAGAGCAAGAAGCTCTGTAACATGCATTAGCACTAGTTGAAGGGTTTATTACCTGTATATTGGACTCTATGAAACTTTAGAGAAGAGAGTTTTTGAGAATATTTTATTGAATGTCCTCTAAATTTACAGTCAGCATCTTTTAATTGATGTTTACTTTGGTTTATGGCTTTCTCAAAGTTTCATTGCAGAGAAAGGATTATGAGTATGTTTAGTTGTAAACATGACAAGTATAGACTTTCTGAATTCAGAAAAGTGTGGAAGTAATAGGCCAATAAATTACTGCTAAGTAGCTGGGTTTAAAAAAAAACAAACACAAACAAAACTAAACACTGCATTGCAGATTCCTACTGTGAGCTTTTCTTTTTTGTTTTTTTTCTTTTTTGGATAATATATGTGCAATCATTCTCCCCAGAACTATCACAGCTTGAATTGAAATAATCGCTCTAATTTGTATGGCAAAAGAAAAAAATAACACCCTCGTTTGTGCTGATAAAATGCAACCTGTGGCAACTCCAATCCTGTGGTTTTAACGTGATTCAGAAAGCTGTCTGCAATAAAGGAATGTATTAGAGTTACTAAAAGCTGATACCATTTTGTTTTTTGTAAAGTTTTGGAACAATTTGGCTGATGGGGGAAAATGTGCTTTAGATTTTCTGATAAGTGATTTTCCATTCAACAAAATTTATTTCCATATCCAGAAACATTATTTTGTGAAGCCTTCTCAATCCATGGGGTACCAATGGGCTTCTAGTATTATGTGCTGGATGTAATTGCAGTTTGCACAAACCTCTTACAAACGGCAACTAAAAGTTGTCAAAAGATAGGAAATAAAGGGGCTGGTTGGTTTGACTAGAATAAAATATTTCTAGGGAATTGATTTCACTTTAGACTGTTTCAAAGGACACTGTAAGAACAGAAACCATGAAAATGTTTTATTTACCTGGCACTAATGTACACAGAAAACAACCTGAGACAAGAGGTTACACAAATTGGGGATTTCAAGTTGTCAGAGGAGTTGGAAGTGCCTTACCCCTTGTTATCCTCCCAGAACCTCTGGAGGTCAGGTAGCGTACTTTTGACTTTCAGGGCTCTGAAAAGTCAAATGGTTCTAATCATCTTCTGGAGAAGTTCTGTCCTGGCAACTCCATTTAAATAATTTACATTTCCACTTTTCCTCCCACTGGTTCACTACATCCCTCTAAAATTTCCCCACACATCTAATCTCTTTATAGCATTGCGTGAATGAATTACTTTAATGCATATTGTTGTTTCTCTGTCTAGCCCATTAGAATGTAAGTGCCACAGGACAGGGATATTTGTCTTTTTGCTCCCTGGTGCTGAAATCAGTAATTTGTGGTACTCAATAAATAGTCCTTAGGTGACTGGGTAGTTTCTATAGCCACAGACCAGTAAAGCCGCAGTGTTTTAATGGGTTTGTAGTACTCAGGAGTCCTTGGGAAACGAACCAGCAGTGGATTTGGGGTGGAAAAGGAAACCTTGAGTGATAGATTTATTCAATTCCTCTGCCAGAGAGACAAGATGGCCCACGAATAATGGTGGCCCCCAGCTTGGTCCAGACACCCAGAAGATCCCCAAGTGGATCAAACCACCGCCCCTCTCTGCAAGGCGTCTTCTGATCTCCCATACAAGGTAAGTCAGGGGACAGCCCCTTCTGGTAGAAGGGAGAATCTCTGATCTTATGAACTCATTGCTCTGTGAGCCATTCTAGCAAAATATTGAAGTTAAGGAGGGGTTCATGGGAACCCCTGACTTGTAGCCAAGTTGGACAGAAATCTGGGTAACATAAGGACCCACTACTTGTGTTGAGTGTCTGAAGTGGGGGACAGTTTTGTGGGACTGATCTCTTTACCTATGGGGTCTGCATTAACTTCAGGTAGTTAGTATCATAACTGAATTTAAGATACCCAGTTGGTGTTTGGAGAATTGGAGAATTAGTCGGTGTGGGAAACACACACTCATATCACACACAGACCCGCATACCGCACACATGAGGTTTTACACATTTGACATTGGAGTGAAGTGCTGAGTGTGGTAAACAGGTTGTTTTTTCTACACAACCTTCAAGACTCCAATTTATGTATGTTAGATCTTTTGTTTTTCACCATTTTGTTCCTCTGTGCTTCGTTCTAGAACTTAGGTGAGGAAAAATTATCTAGGTTACCTGGATCACACTTTGAAAACTGCTTCCCTATGGTGCCACTCTTCAAAATTTCAACCCGTTCTCCCTTCTTAATGGGCTCCAAGTCTGGATTGTTTTTCTTCTTAGCAGCGTGAGTCATTAGAACACATTTTTCACTTTCTCAGTCTCTCTGAGCCTCCCCTAAATGAGCAGATTCTGCCAGGAAATACGTAAAAAACAGGGTTCAGATCTCTGAATTTTCTTTTTCCTGGGAGTCTCAAATATATAATTCTTCACCATCTCTTTGACTTTACGTTGCCTTAATATACATACTTAAAATACTTTCTTCAGCTTTCTCAGTTGTTCTTTTGGGAAAGGTTGTTCAAACCCTTGTGCCACTTATAACTGACAACAGATCTCTCTCCATTTTACATTGGACAAAGTTTTAGCTGTTATCTTCAATGCAAAAATAATCAGAAAGTTAAAATGTGATTATTGTTAAAATATTCTAATTAGCCGGGCATGGTAGTGCGTGCCTGTAGTCCCAGCTACTCCAGAGGCTGAGGCAGGAGAATCCTTTGAACCTGGGAGGCGCAGGTTGTGGTGAGCAGAGATTGTGCCACTGCACTCCAGCCTGGGCAACAAAGTGAGACTCTGTCTCAAAAAAATCTATATATATTCTATTTAGTCTTTTAAATATGCATAACTTTACATACATAGGGAATTTTCATTATGGACGTTTGTGTAATGAAGGGTGCACATCATAACCATGGTTAAATTTGTTAGTAAATAAAAAGCCATAGGTTTTTAAAAATTTTTGTATTTAGATATTTTTATTTCTCCAAATTTGTTGTTTATCAGTAGTGGCTGAAATAAGAAATATAATTGAGTCCCATCATCGTCATCATCATGAAAATGGCTTTAAGAGAAAACTGGTCAGATGAATATTATTGTTTCCCATTTTCTACCAACAAACAGTTGCCATTCATGAATTGACAGCCAGGAGTCTGTCAAGAATGCTCAAGATATGTTATATAATACAACATGCCTGTTCACAGGGGGAAAAACACCCAGGAAATAACTTACCTGTACTTCTTGATTTCATCAAACAAGACAAGCACAAAAGCACCACCCATGCCTCTGAGAACACTGGACCATGAACCCTTGAAAAAAGCTTTGCCTCCTTCATCACCAGCAATCTTCCTCCAGCAGTCAAGTGTGCCTGTGTACATGATGTCAGTTACTTTGCGCCCTGACTGAATCATCACGAGAGGCGAACGATGTCAAATGAATAGGAAGTCAACCCAGAAAAGGCAGTGACAGTCTGTGTGGTCATCCAGCTGATGACGATGTGAGTGTCCTTGGGATCCGGAAGCATTCCCTTTGCGGTGTCATAGATACCGAAGTAGGCAGCTCGGATAATACCCTGCATAGACACGTTAAAGCCTTGGTACAGGCCCTTAATCCCATCAGATTTGTAGATCTTAACCAGGCAGTCACAGAGGCCTCGGAATTCCCTTTCAGCTTCAGCTTTACCCACATTAGCTGCTAGACAGGTACGGGCAAAATCAAGAGGGTACACAAAACACAAGTATGTGGCCCCAGCGGCACCTCCTGATGCCAGATTCCCTGCAAAGTAGCGCCCAAACTGAGTCTTTTGTCCACACCACCCAGGAAGATCTGCTTGTATTTATCTTTGAAGGCGAAGTTAAAAGCCTGGGTGGGGAAGTATCTGATGGCATTGGCCAGGTTACCGCGCCAGGACAGGACTCCCTGCTTCTTGGGAATACGACCACGCAGTCTATAATGCCCTTGTATTGCTTAGCTGAGGTGATCTGCTTGCTGGCATGCTGCACCTGCAGCAGCAGCTTGACCTGCTCGATGGGCGCTACCGCTGTCTTGGAGATGGCTTCGGCCACTCCACCTGCCAGGAAGTCCTTGGCGAAGGACACAGCGGCATCTGTCATGTTGAAAGGAAAGAGGAGGCAGGCTGTTGCGGGACGGGATCAGGCCGGGAACCGGCTTTGACTCCGGGGCTGCCTAGGTTTTTTTATTAAGCAATTCCTAGGATTCCCCTCCCGCTGTGAAAAACACTCCAAACTCTTGAATTTTAACATTTTAAAAGATGGCGTAGGGTTTGCGGGAATGTGCAGAGATGCTTTCCTTTTCTGTTTGAATAAACGTCTGTACCTTCTCACAGGTCCTAAGAAAAGGAGACCGTGTCAAATACACCAGGCGGAGTTACTCAGAGGTGTGTTTTTGTCTTTCTCTAGCTAAGGAGTGCTTTCACTTCCTCAGGTCTTAGACGCCACTGAGACTCTGATAGAAACATCTGAGTTGTCTTCCTTAAAAAGGAAAGAGAGAGAGAGGGAGAAAGAGAGAGAGAGAGAGAGAGAGAGAGAGAGAGAGAGAGAACCAAAAGATGAGCACAGTTTCAGGTATTCCGAAGACAAAGCCTATTCATGGACCCCAAGGTAAAACTTCTGATCTGGTTGGAATAGTCTGGAGACTGTTCCGTCCGGATCCAGTTGTGAATGTGCCACCCACATGCCCCGTGTATCTACGTGTTAGAAGGCAATGCTTGAAATTCCTTCCACTTGCTGCTGTAAACCCAGCTAAATCCCCTGAAATCAGCTCATCAGAAACTCACTTTCATAATCAGAAAAGAAGAACATGGAGGGGCAAAACACATGCCTGAGAGTAGTTATTTTCATGTAAGATGATGCTTAGTAACATCTATTTTTAAAATTATATATACACATATTTAAAACTGAAATTATATAATTTATTAAAAACATGCTTGAAAGTTCACCCCCAAGACTTTTGTTGTTGCTGTTCTGTATGATCTTACATCACCACTACTCCATACCACTTTATATGATTAACACTTATATATATAGAGAACATATACATATGTTCTCTATATATGTATATGTTTAAGAAACATGTATATATGTTTCTTAAAGGCTAAATTTAAGAAAATGTTTTTAAGCATTCCTTTATCTCATTATTTTGCACATTCATTTGAAAATGTTTTCCTGCTGAGAAGCAACATAAAATAGAAAATTTCTATGTATAACAAAGAAGGTATTTTGTGTTTATATTTTATATTTCTATCATAGTGCATAAAAAATCAGGAAAGTGATGCCCTAACATAGTTTACATTTTATTAATTTTTGTTATTTTTAGTTTTTTTAAACAACTAAAAGGCTTTCATTCTAAGCTGACAAAAAATTGCCTATTTGATTATGGAGTAGCTGAAATACAGCAAATCCTTATTAATTTAGAGTCTATTAGTAAAGTATTTGAGATAATTTGAAAAGGAAGAATGCTATTTATGCAATTTAGAGATAAACCATGTTGGCAAGTGAGTTAGGTGTAAATAAGATTTTATAAGGGGTATTTGCTATTCTAAGAGAAGGAATTTTCAGTCACATTAACATCAATTTGGTGAGTCAACTCTGAAACCCGTTTTTTTTTTCTGTACCTTAGTGTAGATCCAGTGGGTCCTCTGTGCTGCTGAACATTATTAGCATAGTTCATTATGCCATTCACATGTAAGAGAATGGCTCTTCTATTTAGTATTCTAGAATTTATTCTATGCTTCATATAGAGAACTCACCATGCTCCTGTTAATCTAAATGAGTGTGGAAATCAGTATGAATTGGGTGATGGTGTCTATAACATTACACCTAATGCTAAAAACAACAACAAAGGCCAAAATGATCAGGTAGACCATACAAAATAGTATGTTTGCAGTTATTTTTCATCACATGAAAACCAAGATCAACTAAAATCATTAGCTGATCTGATTAGGTAACAAAAATAATGTATCTCAGATATATTTACTTATATGAATGAGGGAAGCAAAACAAGTGAACAGTGAGGTTCAAAAATGAACCTCACTGTCAAACAGAGTTGAGGTTTGAGGCCTGCAGGGTCCTCTGGGATTCCTTTTAAGCCATTATTAAGGATTTAAAAATCTTACTGATTTCATGTCCAATATGTAATCAATTGACTATATAAAAATACATGGATCATTGAAGTTTCTAGCAAATGCAAAAGACAAGTAAAAATAAAATCTAAGCAAATTAAGAATAGTAAAGGAAAAAATAAGGTATTTATAAAATAATAGAATTGTCCACAAAGAAAATCTTAATATAGGAAAAAAGTATTAAGACTAATCATAGTGTTTTTAGCAGTTTTAGTTGGATAAAAGGTGTTTATATTTTATCTGTACCTTTTAGAGAAAGAAGTGTTTCTCTTTTTTTTCAGCTTTATTGAGGTTTTACAAATAAAACTTTATATGTTGAAGTGATGTTTGAGATGCATATACATTGTGAAATGAGTACAATTAAGCTAATTAACATATTCATTACCTGACATAGTTACCCTTTTTCGTGTAGTGAGAACATTTAAAAATCTACTTTCAGCAAATTTCGAGTATACAATACTGTATTGTTAACTATAGTCATCATGGTATGCAGTAGCTCTCCAGAACGTATTCATCCTGCTTAACTACACTTTTGTACCCTTTGACTAATATCACCCTATTTTTCCCACCAGTCTCAGTCCCTGGCAACCACCATTCTACTCTCTGCTTCCATGAGTTCTGCTTTTTTAGATTCCACATTTGAGTATTTGTCTTTCTGTGCCTGGCTTATTTCACTTAACATAAAGTACTCCAGCTTTATCCCTGTTGCTCAAATAATAGGATATCCTGCTTTTTAAAGACTAAATAATTTTCCTGTATATATATATATATATATATATAAATATATTATATTTAATAGTCTATGACTATTATATAGACTAGACTATATATGTATAAAATAGTCTAATAGTCTGTATATAATAATATATATGGTATTATGTATATATAATAGTGTATGTACATAACATTATCTGTCCATGGACACTTAGGTTGATTCCATCTCTTGGCTATTGTAAAGAATGCTGCAGTAGACATGGGAATAGGATACATTAATGACACATCGATTTCATTTCCTCTGGATATATACCCAGAAACCAAATTGCTGGATCTTATAGTAATTCTATTTTTAATTTTTTGCAGAATCTCCGTGCTGTTTTCCATAATGACTCAACTAGCTTACGTTTCCACTAACCATGTACAAGTGTTTGTTTTCCACATCCTCACCAATACTTGTTTTTTTATTTTTAAAATTTTTGATAACAGCCATTCTAGCAGGTGGGAGGTGATATCTCATTGTGGTTCTGATTTCCATTTTTCTGCTAATTAGTAATGTTGAGCATTTTTCTGTATACTTGGTGGCCATTTGTATGCCTTCTTTGTAGAAATGTCTATTCAGGTACTTTGCACATTTTTAATTGGGTTATTTGTTTTCATGCTATAAAGTTGTTTGAGTTTCTTATGTATTTTGGATATAAACCCCTCATCAGTCACATGATTTGCAAATATTCTGTCTCATTATTTAGGTTGTCTCTACACTCTGTTGATTGTTTCCTTTGCTGTGTAGCAGAAGCTTGTTAGTTTGATGTCATACCACTTCTTTATTTTTGCTTTTGTTTCCTGTGCTTTTGGGGTCATATCAAAAAAAATTGCCCAGACCAATGTCATAGAGCTTTCTCTCTGTTTTCTTCTAGTAGTTTTACAGTTTCAGGTCTTACATATGTCTTTAATCCATTTTGAGTTTATTTTTGTATATCGTGTGAGACAAGGTCTAATTTCATTGCTCTGTGTGTGAATATCCAGTTTTCCCAGAACGACTTATTGAAAAGGCTGTCCTTTACCCATTGTATGTTCTTGGTGTCTTTGCTGCAAATCAATTGACTGTAAATGTGTGGATTTATTTATTGGCTACCTATTCTGTTCCATTGGTCTATATGACTGTTTTTATACAAGTACCATGCTGTTTTGATTACTATAGCTTTGTAGTAGATCTTGAAATCAGGTAAAGCAGTGCCTCCAGCTTTGTTCTTTTTGCTCAAGATTGCTTTAGCTATTCAGGGTCTTTTATGGTTCTATATAAATTTTAGGATTTTTTCTATGTCAGTGAAAAATATTGGAAATGTTATAGGAATTCTACTGAATCTGTGGATTGCCTTGGGTAATATGAACATTTCAATAATATTAATTTTTCCAATTAATGAGCACAGAATATCTTTCTATTTGTGTCTTCTTCAATTTCTTTCATCAATATTCTATAATGTTTAGTATACAGACTTTTCACCTCCTGAGTTAAATTTATTCCTAAATATTTTATTCCTTTTGTTGCTATTATAAATGTGATTGATTTGTTGGCTTTTTTATATAATAGTTTTTTTTGTTAGTATATAAAAATGCTACTGGTTTTTATATATAGATTTTGTACCTTGCAACTTCACTGAAATCATTTGTTACTTCTAACAGTTTTTTAGTGGAATTCTAAGGTTTTGTATATCTGTAAAATTATGTCATTTGCAAACAAAAACAGTTCACTTCTTCTTTTCTATTTTGTATGCCTTTTATTTCTTTTTCTTGCCTAAATGCTCTTGCTCGGATTTCTAGTACTGTATTGAATAGAAGTGGCAGGAGTGAGCATCTTTGCCTTGCTCCAGATATATATATATATATTTTTTGAGACAAAGTCCTGCTCTGTCACCCAGGCTGGAGTGCAGTGGCACAATCTCAGCTCACTGCAACCTCCGCCTCCCAGGTTCAAGTCATTCTCCAGCCTCAGCCTCCCAAGTAGCTGGGACTACAGGTGCATGCCACCGCGCCTGGCTAATTTTTTGTATTTGTAGTAGAGACAGGGTTTCACCGTGTTAACCAAGGTGGTCTCGATCTCCTGACCTTGTGATCCGCCCTCCTCAGCCTCCCAAAGTTCTGGGATTACAGGCGTGAGCCACTGCGCCCAGCTGTCTTGCTCCAGATTTACAGAAAAAACTTTCAGCTTCCCACCATTGAGTATACTAGTTCTGGGTTTGTCACATATGGCCTCTGTTACAATGAGGTAAATACCTTATATACTTAATTTGTTGGGAGTTTTTACCATAGAAGATACTTGAATTTTGTGATGGCTTTTCTGAATCTATTGAGATGGTAATAGGATCTTTATCCTTTATTTTGTTAATATGATGTACCACATTTATTGATTTGTGTATGTTGAATCATTCTTGCATCCCAGATAGAAACATCGTGTATGATCCTTTACTGCACTGTTGAATTCAGTTTGCTAGTATTTTGTTGAGAATTCTTGCATGTATCTTTATCTGGGATATTGGCCTGAAATTTTCTTTTCTTGTAGTATCCTTGTCTGGCTTTGGTATTGGGGTAATTATGGTCATGTAAAATGAGTTTGGAAGTGTTCCTTTGTCTTCAATATTTTGGAAGAGTTTGAGAAGAATTGGCATTTATTCAAGTGTTTGGTAGGATTCACCAGTAGGCCATCATGTCCTGAGCTTTTCTTTGTTGGGAGATTATTGATTACTGATTCAATGTCCCTACTTATTATCGATCTGTTCACATTCTCTCTTTCTTCAGAATTTAGTTTTTGTGAGTTGTATGCATCTATGAATTTATCCATTTCTTCTAGGTTATCAAATTTTTGGGTGTATAATTGTTCATAATAGTTTCTTATAATCCTCTGTCCTTCTGTGATATCAGTTGTAATGTCTCCTCTTTCATTTTACTTATTTGGATCTTCTCTGGGATTTTTTTTTTGTAAGTCTAGCTAAAGATTTGTCTATTTTATTTATCTTTTCAAAGAAACACCTCTTAGTTTAATTGGTCTTTTCTATTATTTTACTAGTTTCTCTTTTATTTATTTCTGCTCTAATCTTTATTTTTTTTTCTTTTTCTGATTTTGGGCTTAGGCTGTTCTTCATTTCTGTTTTCTTGAAGTGTAAAGTTTAGTTGTTTCTTTGAGATCTTTTTTTCTTCTTAATGTAGGTGTGTATTGCTTTATATTTACCTTTTAGAACTGCTTTGCTATATTTCATAATCTTTGGTATGTTGTATCTACATATTCATTTGTGTGAAGATATTTTTGATTGATTTTCCTTTTGATTTCTTCTTTCAGTCATTTGTTTTTCAGGTGTCTGTTTTATTTCCACCTATTTGTGCATTTTTCAGTTTTTCTGTTGTCATTAAGTTCTAATTTAATACTATTGTGGTCAGAAAAGATACTCGATATTATTTAAATCTTCTTAAATTTCTAAGATTTGCTTTGTGGCCTAATGTATATTCTATCCTGGAGAATGTTCAATGTGAGTTGAAAAGAATGTGTATTCTTCTGTTTCTGGGTAGAATGTTCTGTATATGTCTATTAGACTTACTTGGTGTAAAGTGTAGTTCAAATTCAAAGTTTCCTTATTGACTATCTATCTGAATAATTTATTTGTTGTTGAAAGTAGGGCATTGTATTTCCCTAGTGTTATTGCATTGCTATTTCTCCCTTCAGTTCTGTTAATATGAACTTTATATATTTAGGCACTCTGATGTTGGGTGCATATATATTTACAATTGCTATATACACTTGATGAATTGATCACTTTATTATTGTATAATAATTTTCTTTGTCTCTTTTTACAGCTTTGACTTATAACCATAAATGCCTACATTAAGAAAAAAAGAAAAATCTCAAATAAACAATCTAACTGTACACCTCAAGGAAGTAGAAACTAAGTCAGAAAAAGGAAGGAACTGATAAAGATTGGAGCCAAAATGAATAAAATAGGGATTAGTAAAACAATAGAAAATATTTAAGTATAGCTACACCTGCCATCATTTTCCTTTCATTTGCATATTTTTCCCATCACTTCAGTTTCAGCCTATATGTGTCCTTAAAGCTAAGTGACTATTATGTAGGCAGCATATAGTTGGATCTTGTGTTTTTATTCATTCAGTTATCTATGTCTTTTGATTGAATAATTTAATTCATTTACATTTAAAATAATTATTTCAAATGATTACTTTATTATTTAAGGACTTACTACTGCCATTTTAATAGTTTTCTTACTATTTTATAGTTCCTTTGTTCCTTTCTTTCTCATTTGCTTTTTCCCTTTATGATTTGATTTTTTTTGTAGTGCTAGTTATTTTTGTATATCTACTATAGGTTTTGGGATGTTTTTGTGATTATCATCAGGCTTACATAAAGCATCTTATAGTTATGAGTTTATTTGAATCTGATAACAACTTAACTTCATCACAATGAAAACGCTAAACATCGACTTTTCTTCCCAACATATTATGGTATCAGTTTCATAATTTACACTCTTTATATATTGTGTATCCATTAACAAATTATTATAGCTATATTCATTTTTAATACTTTTGTCTTTCAATTATCATTCTAGAGTTACAAGTGATTTATGAAACACCATTACAGTATTAGAGAATTCTAAATTTGACTACATTCTTACCTTTACATTAAGCTTTTCACATTCCTATACTCTCTTTACCTTTTCTCATTAGGCAGGTTCACTGGTGATGAACTCCCACAGTTTTGTCTGGGTAAGTCCTTATTTCTCCATTTGTGAAGAACATCTTTGCTGACTGTAGTATTGTTGTTTGGTAAGTTTGCTTTTTGTTCTTTTAGCACTTTGAGTATGTCATTCCACTTTCTGTTGTCTCCTGGCCTATACATTTCTGCTGATAAATCTGTTGATAGCCTTATAAAGGTTTGCTTGAATTAATTAGTTTCTTTTCTCTTATAAGTTTCAAAATTCTCTCTTTGTCTTTGACTTAAGAATTTGATTATAAAATGTCTCAGATCTCTTTAACCAAGATTGTCTAACCCATGGCCCTTGAATTACATATGACCCGGGATGGCTTTGAATGTGGTCCAATACAAATTTGTAAGCTTTTTATAAACATTATGAGCTTTTTTGTGATTTTTTTTTTTTTTAGCTCATCAGCTATTGTTAGTGTTAGTGCATTTTATGTATGGCTCAAGACAATTCTTCTTCCAATGTGGCCCAGGGAAGTCAAAAGATTGGACATCCATGTCTTTATCTTTATTTGGGATTCTTTGAACTTTATGGATTTTGATGTTCATTTCCCTCTCCAGATTTGGGAAGTTTTTTGTCATTATTTCTTTAAATAAACTTTCTTCCCTTTTCTCTTTTTTAGTTCCACCAGGACTCCTGTAATGCATATGTTTGCCCCCTTGATGGTGTCCCATACATAAGTCTTGTACCCTTTCTTTACCTGTTTTCATTATTTTTTCTTTATGTTCCTCTGACTGGGTAATCTCAAATGACCTTTGTTTGAGCCCACTGATTTTTTTCTTCTGTTTGATTAAGTCTGCTATCAAAGTTCTCCATGGAACTTTTTAGATCAGTCATTGTGGTTTTTAGCTCCAGAATTTTGGTTTGGTTCTTTTTATGATTTACATCTCTTGGTTGAACTTCTAATTTTGTTTGTATATTGTTTTTATGATATCTTTTATTGTCTATCTCTGTTTTGTTATAACTCACTGAGATTCTTTAAAATAAGCTTTTAAAATTCTTTTTAGGCAATTCATAGACTTTCATTTCTTTAGGATCTGTCACTGGTGCTTCCATTTCTTTATGGTCTGTTACTGGTGCTCCCTGTTAGTGGTGTCATGTTTCCCAACTATTTGTGTAACTTATGACTATGTATTGGTGTCTATGCATTTGAAGGAGACATCTATTTCAGTTTTTACAGACTAGCTTCTGCAGTGAAAGCCCTCTACCAGTTAGTTTATCCAGAGATTACGGGCAGGTAATCTGGTGAGCTGTGTCAGCTGACTTGTTTCTGGAAAACTTTGTGTAGCCTGGTTTAGTGCCTAGGCCAGGCTGGGTCCAGAGGGGTTACTCTGGTTCCTGGTTCCAGAGGGGCCAGGCAGAATTTAGAGTCCATGGTGCTGGCATCTGGGGCCACAAGGTTGGCCTGCAGCTTGGGTTTGCAGAATTGACTTGAATGTTTGGTCTTTAGGTGTTGGCCTAAGACAGTCCCCTGAGGAATAGTCTGAGATCTGGGGCCTTGGTCAGGAATAGTCTGACCATGCTGGGGTTGACCTGGAGGCTGGGTCTGTAGAGATTGACCTGGTTCTTCGGTAATGGGAACATGCCTGGAGCCTGTATCCATAGGAGTAATCTTGAAGCCTGCATCCTTGGAGGCTGGTCCAGTACCATGGTCTACTGAGTTGGCATTGAACCCTGGGTCTGCTGGAGTGGGCCTGGACCCTGGCTTTCCTGGAGGATGGAGCAGCAGATGCCTGCTTGGTGTCTGGGACCACAAAAGGCAGCCTGGTCTATGGGTGCTGACCTGGGTCTGGGGTGGGCCTGGAGGCTGAGTCTGTGGATGCTGTCCTGCAAACTGTGGCTCACTGTGTGGTGGTGCAGACCTGGATCCTGGGGCTGCGGCAATGAGCCTGGTGCTGTGGCAAGCCTGGAGGCTAGATCTGTGGAGTACTAACCTAGCACAGGGGCCTGTTTCGAGCCCCAGGCATGTCTAGAACCTGAGGCTGTGGAGGCCATTCTGGAACCTGGAGCGTTGGTGTTTGATCTGGGGTCAGATGTTACTGGGGCTTGCATCTACAGCAAAGCTGGGTTCTCACTTTACTTGCTTTTGACCACATGGATATTATCTCTATTTGCACTGCCCTCTTCAATGTGTCTTTTCTGTGCTATACCTAGGTGCTGTAATCTCTTACCTGGATTTCTTAGCTCTTATGAAGCTATTTCTGTGCATGTACAGTTATTCAAATTGACATTTCTGTAGCGGGACAAGCCCTGGAAAGTCCTATTTCACAATGTTTCTGGTATCAATCTTACAAAGAGTTTTTAGATACTATACTAAAGTAACAACCCATGAAGGAAAAAATGTAAAATTGGCCTTTATGAAAACTTTAAAAAATGTTCTGTGCTGAAAACCTTGTTAAGAACTTAAAAAGACAAGATTCAGATTGACAGAAAAGTTTGCAAATCAAATTACTGACCTCAAATAATTGTGTCCAGAATATATAAAGAACTTCTGACACTCAACAATAGGTAAATAGATAAACAATAGGTAAATTGAGCAATTTTGAAAATGGCAGAAGATCTAAACAAACACTTCCCCCCAAAATATACAAATGAAAATTTGGCATATTAAAAGATATCCAACATTATTATTCATCGGGGAAATGTAAATTAAACCTCAATGAGATACCACTATAAACCTACTAAAATGGTTACAGTTGTAAAAAGCAATAACAATACCAAGCATTAGTGACTATACTGAGCAATTGAAAATATTTTTGTTCAGTGATTGTAGGAAAACAAAATGGTACACACACCATGGAAAATAGTTTGGTAATTTATTATCAAGTTAAATATATGTACTATATGTTCCAATGCCCATGGCTTCCACAAGCTTGCTGGCCAACTGTTGATCAGAACACTCCTTAGTGGTAAATGAAGAATTAGTACTAAAGTCAACTATGAGATAATGAAATTTATCTTGAGATTGGCATATGATGATTGAATGTTACCAGGTCTTGACACCTCCTGATATTGCATCTTTAGATACGTTATTTAACCTTATTGAGTCTATCTGTGATTCATGGGTTAAATGGAGACGTACCAGTCTTGCAATCATACACTAGTATGAATACTTTAAAGTTGTTAAATATTCTCTACTTTACAAGATAGATAAGTTTATGGAATGTTATTATGATCATTATCATAATCACTATCATCTGTGTTTCCTCATTACCAATCTGAAACTCTTCAAACACATTGTCCCTTAAGAATAGACTGGAAGTTTTCAAGGATATTGTAAAAAGATGTCATATTCTTCCTTTTGGCCACAGGGTGGTCTTTTTCCTTACAGAACACAGATGTCACAAGGACAAGAGCATGAACCAGGGCTGAGTATTAATACGAATAACTTTCTCTTTTATCTGTATAACCAAAACATCTTTTCACCCCGTAATTATAGCTACCCACTTAATTTTTGCAAACAGATGAGAGTACATTGGGTTAAGCCAGTAGTGTATTTTCAATCTTTACCTCTTCCATTTCTATATCGATTCTGTTATAGGAGTTAATAATGAGAAATTACAAATACAGTTGCTGGTAGATAAGCCCACAAAGTTTAGAAAAAATTGATACAAAAACACTGAAAACTCAAAAAGCCAGTGTGCCTCTTCTCCTCCAAAAGCACAGAACTAGGCTAAGGCTGAGATGGCTGAACTGATAGACATAAGCTTCAGAAGGTAGGTAGTAATGAACTTTGCTGAGCTAGAGGAGCATGTTGTAACCTGATGCAAAGAAGCTAAGAATCAAGATAAAACAATACAGGAGCTGATAGGCAGAATAGCTAGTATAGAGAGGGACATAATTGACCTGATGGAGCTGAAAAATGCAATATGAGGACCTCACAGTGCAATCACAAGTATCAGTAGAAGAGTAGACCAAGCGGAGGAAAGAATCTCCAAGTGTGAAGACTCTCTTTCTGAAATAAGACAAGCAAACAAGAATAAAGAAAAAATGAAATGGATTGAACAAAACCTCTGAGAAATATGGGATTATGTAAAGAGACCAAACCTATCACTGATTGGGGTATCTGAAAGAGATTGGGAGAACAGAACCAAGTTGGGAAATATACTCCAGGATATCATCCAGGAGAACTCTCCCAACTTAGGAAGATGAGCCAACATTCAAATTCATGAAATGCAGAGAACCCCAATAAAATACTCCAGAAGAAAATCAACCACAAGGTATATAATTATCAGATTCTTCAAGGTTGAAATGAAAAAAAAAGATGTTAAAGTCAGCCAGAAAGAAAGACCTGGTCACCTACAAAGAGAAACCCATCAGACTAACAGCAGACCTCTCAGTGGAAACCCTACAACCCAGAAGAAATTGAGGGCCAATATTCAACATTCTTAAAGAAAAGAATTTCCCACCCAGAATTTCATATCTGGCCAAACTAAGCTTCATAAGTGAAGGAGAAATAAGATCCTTTTCAGACAAGTAAATGCTTAGAGAATTCATTACCAACAGGCCTGCCTTGCAAGAGCTCCTGAAGGAAGCACTAAATATGGAAAGGGAAAAAACATTACCAGCCACTACAAAAACACACCAAAATACACAGACAAGTAACACTATGAAACAACCACATAAACAAGTCTGCAAAATAACCAGTTAGCATCATGATTGCAGGATCAAATTCATACATAACAATACTAACCTTAAATTTAAGTGAGCTAAATGCCCCAATTAAAAGGCATGGAATGGCAAACTGGATAAAGAGCCAAAATCCATAGGTATGCTGTCTTCAAAAGGCCCATCTCACATGCAAAGACACATATAGGCTCGAAATAAAGGGTTGGAGGGAAATTTACCAAGCAAATGGAAAACACAACAAAGCAAGGCTTGCAATCCTAGTTTCTGACACAACAGACTTTAACCTAACAATGATCAAAAAAGACAAAGAAGGGCATTACATAATGGTAAAGGGTTCAATTTAATAAGAAGAGCTAACTATCTTAAATATGTATGCACCCAATACAGGAGCACCCAGATTCATAAAGCAAGTTCTTAGAGACCTACAAAGAGACTTAGACTCCCACATAATAATAGTGGGAGGCTTTAACACCCCACTGACAGTATTAGACAAATTATTAAGACAGAAAATTAACAAAGATATACAGGACCTGAACTCAGCTCTGAATCAAGTGGACCTGATAGATATCTACAGGACTCTCCACACAAATTCAATAGGATATATATTCTTCTCATCACCACATGGCACTTACTCTAAAATTGATCACATAATCAGAAGTAAAACACTCCTCGGTAAATGCAAAAGAACTAAAATAATCATAAACAGTCTCCCAGACCAGAGTGCAATCAAATTAGAAATCAAGACTAAGAAATTCACTCAAACCACACAGCTACATGGAAATTGAACAACTTGCTCCTGAATGACTCTTGGGTAAATCATGAAATTAAGGCAGAAATCAAGAACTTATTTGAAACTAATGAGAACAAAGAGACAACGTACTAGAATCTCTGAGATGCAGCTAAAGCAGTGTTAAGAGGGAAAGTTATAACACTGAATGCCCACATCAAAACACTAGAAAAATCTCAAGTTAATGACCTAACGTCTCAACTAAAAGAACTAGATAACTAAGAGCAAACAAACCCCCAATCTAGCAGAAGACAAGAAATAACCAAGATCAGAGCTGAAATGAAGGAGATAGAGACATAAAAAATACTTCAAAAAAACCAACAAATTGAGAAGCTAGTCTTTTGAAAAAGTTAATAAAATAGACTGCTAGCTAGACTAATAAAGAAGAAAAGACAGAAGAATAAAATAAATACAATCAGAAATGATAAAGGGGATGTTATCACTGACCCCACAGTAATACAAACAACCATCAGAGAATACCATAAACACCTCTATGTACATAAACTAGAAAATCTAGAAGAAATGGTTATATTTCTGGACACATACACCCTTCCAAGACTGAACCAGGAAGAAATTGAATCCCTGAATACACCAATAATGAGTTCTGAAATTAAGGCAGTAATAAATAGCCTACCAACCAAAAAAAGCCCAGGACTAGATAGATTCATAGATGAATTCTATTAGAGGTACTAAGAAGGGCTGGTACCATTTCTACTGAAACTATTCCAAAAAATTGAAAAGGAGGGACTCCTCCCTAAGTGATTCTATGAGGGCAGCATCATCCTGATACCAAAACCTAGCAGAGATACAATAAAAGAAAATTTTAGTCTATTGTCCTTGATGAACACTGATGCAAAAATCCTCAATAAGATACTGACAAACTGAGTCTAGCAGCACATCAAAAAGCTTATCCACCATGATCAAGTTGGCTTCACCCCTGGGATGCAAGCTTCTTGGTTCAGCATACACAAATCAATAAATGTGATTCATCACATAAACAGAACTAAAGACAAAAACCACATGATTATCTTAACAGGTGCAGAAAAGGCCTTCAATAAAATTTAAAATCCCTTTACGTTAAAAACTTTCAATAAGCTAGGTGCTGAAGGAACATACCTCAAAATATTAAGAGCCATATATGATAAACCCACAGCCAATATCATACTGAGTGGGCAAAAGCTAGAAGCATTCCCCTTGAAAAGCAGCCCAAGACAAGGCTGCCCTCTCTCACCACTCCTATTCACCTTAGTATTGCAAGTTCTGGCCAGAGCAATCAGGCAAGAGAAAGAAATAAAAGGTATTCAAACAGGAGGAGAGAAAGTCAAATTGTCACTGTTTGCACATGACATGATTTTATTCTAGAAAACTCAATCATTTCAGCACAAAAGCTTCTTAAGCTGATAAGCAACTTTAGCAAAATCTCAGGATATGAAATTAATGTGCAAAAGTCCCTAGCATTTCTATGCACCAACAATGGGCAAGCAGAGAGCCAAACTATGAATGAACTCTTATTAACAATTGCTACAAAAGAAATAAAATACCTAGGAATACAGCTAATGAGGGAAGTGAAGAACCTCTTCAAAGAGAATTATAAGCCACTGCTCAAAGAAATCAGAGATGACACAAAGAAATGGAAAAACATTCCATGTTCATGGATAGGAAGAATCAATATCATGAAAATGGTCATACTGCCCAAAGTAATTTATAAATTCAATGCTATTCCTATTAAACCACCGTTTAAATTCTTCACAGAATTAGAAAAACTATTTAAAAATTCACCTGGAACCAAAAAAGAGCCCAAATAGCCAAGGCAATTCTAAACAAAAAGAACAAAGCTGGAAGCATCACACTACCTGGCTTCAATCTGTACTGTGAGGCTACAGTAAACAAAACAGCATGGTACTGGTACAACAACAGACATCTAGACCAATGGAACAGAATAGAGAATTCAGAAATAAGACCACACACTTACAACCATTTGATCTTCAGTGAACTTGACAAAAACAAGCAATGGAGAAAGGACTCCCTATTTAGTAAATGGTGCCGGGAGTACTGGCTAGCCATATGTAGAAAATGGAAATTGGACCTCTTCCTTACACAATATACAAAAATTAACTCAAGATGGATTAAAGACTTAAATGTAAAACCCCAAACTCTAAAAACCCTAGGAGAAAATCTTGGCAATACCATTCAGGACACAGGCATGGGCAAAGATTTCATGATGAAAACGTCAAAAGCAATTGTAACAAAAGCAAATATTGACAAATGGGATCTAATTAAACTAAAGAACTTCCCGGCAAAAGAAATTATCATCAGAGTTAATTGACAAACTACAGAATGAGATAAAAATTTTTGCAATCTATCCATCTGACAAAGGTCTAATATCCAGTCTACATAGAACTTAAACAAATTAAACAAATTAACTTAACCCTATTAAACAGTGGGCAAAGGACATGAACAGACTACTTCTCAGAAGACATTTATGCAGCCAACAAACATGAAAAAATGCTCAACATTACTGATCATTAGAAAAATGTAAATCACAACCACAATGATATACCATCTTACATCAGTCAGAATGCCAATTATTAAAAAGTCAAAAAAAAAAAACAGATGCTGATGACGTTGTGGAGAAAAAGGAACTCTTTCACACTGTTGGGAGTGTAAATTAGTTCAAACATTCTGGAAGACAGTGTGATGATTCCTCAAAGGCCTAGAGGCAGAAATACCATTTGACCCAGCAATCCCATTACTGGGTATATATCCAAAGAAAGAGAAATCATTTTATTATAAAGATACATCATGTGTATGTTCTTTGCAGCACTATTCACAATAGCAAAGACATAGAATCAACCTAAACGCCCATTAATGACAGACTGTATAAAGAAAATGTGGTACTTATACACCATGGAACACTATGCAGCCATAGAAAAGAACAAGATCATGTTCTTTGCAGAGACATGGATGGAGTTGGAAGCCGTTCTTCTCAGCAAACTAATGCAGAAAGAGAAAACCAAATGCTGCATGTTGTAAGTATGAGCTGCGTGATGAGAACACATGGACATATGGCGGGAAACACTGGAGCCTTTTAGGGGTGGGGGAAGAGAGAGCATCAGGAAGAATAGCTAATGAATTCTGAGCTTAATACTTAGGTGATGGCATGATCTGTGCAGCAAACCACCATGGCACATGTTTACCTATATAACAAATCACATCTTGCACATGTACCCCTGAACTTAAAAGTTTAAGGAAAAAAAATACAATTGATGATTAGGGATATTTATATTGCTCAAAATATTATTTTATTTAGCATTTTATTGAACTGATTGATTTAAGAATTTCAATTTTATTTTTTTCACATAATTTTTTGACTGTAAATTTGTCCTTATAACTATAAAAAATATAAGAATAATATCACTTTTAGGAGCTGTGCAATTTGATGGACTGTTATATCTACTTCTATATTTCTGCTATTATTTTAATGATATATCTCTTAGTTTAAATATTGGAATTGTATGTATTTGTATTTGTTCAAATATAAAAACTGGTTTCTTTCTTGTTTTTGCATTTTACTATTAGTTATAAAACTATTAAGTACTGTATTTGAATTCTTTAACATAGATTTTTAAATTTGACAAAATATAACACAACTGAATATTAAAATGTTACAAAATATAATATTAAAATAAAATTTTAGTTTAATATAAATGTCTCTTACTTTTATATGATCATAGCATGTGGGATGTTATGCTTGTAGATTTAAATATAAATACACATTAAATGGAGTTATTTTTTCGCAAGCCCTACTCCATTCTAGACTGACCAGAATAAACTCCCTGAATTCCACAATTTGGTTTAGAATCATTTTATGAAATTTCTTATTATAAAATTTCCAGAAGTATTATTTAATTTGGATAAAAATTAGCTGTAATTGAAACGTAGATAACTGGAGAAAATAGAGACCTGACAAAAAGTTAAGAATTCCATTGGTGCTTCTGGCACATTATAAATAATCAACTAAAGAAAATGCTAAAAAAAATACCAACCTTAGTAGTGTATTGATTTTTTCAATGCACTTCAGCATCTATATAAGTAGTTTTCTTAAACATACAAATTAAGTGCATTAGAAAAAAAAACCAATACTTGGTTTATTAAAAAGGATTAGAAAGAGTTGTATAATAATTTTCTTCCTAATCTTTAATAGATACCAGAAAAATTTATTTGTGATGACCAAGAGAACTCTAATACTGCTTTATAGTTCATTAACTTCAATATTTAATTTCTAGAAATTAACCAATAAATCAACTTTATATCAATAGTTCCTTAATTTTTAAAGCTCTTTTTAAGTCAATACATTTATTTGGATGTCTTCAGACTGTTGCTTTAATTAAATTAATTCAATTAAATTAACTAAATTTTTAGAAGAAAGAAATTCTTACATAAAACATGAAGTGGCTTAATAGTCAAATTTTACATTTTTCAGTAAGTATTAAATTAAAAGAAGAAACTACTGTAATAATTCTCAACATGAATTCTCAACATTCTAAAGTGTTATGTTACATTGTATGTGGTAATTAGCAATTCAAATAATTCACTATCTGTCTTCATCAAGACTTGAAAATGGTCAGACAAAACAGACTGAACACATTATATCCTTTTCAATTCATACAAGCTACAGAAAACATTGATGTTGATTACAGATGTAAATGTCTCTTACTTTCATATGGTTTATATTGAAACTAATAATTATTACATATTTATTTATCAGTTATATCTATTCTCAAAGGCTAGAGGACTTTTGAAGAAGTGTTGCTGTATATTTGTTCTCAATTTAATCTAAATACTTTTAAAAATCTGTATGTTCAATAGAAATGTGATAAAACCAGACATCTGGTTTATACACCTGCTTAGCAATCAAACAGTGAGCCTGGTTAGAGGGTTGACCTCTCCACTTCTCAGTTTTCTCATCTTTATATTTAAAAAGAGTATTCTTCTGGCTTGATTGTTGTGTTAAATTAGACAAAGTATATGAAGTCTTTGAACAATGCAAAAGACATAGTGTATGTTGAATAGGTTCTTACTACCTTTGCAATTGCAGTAGATAATTTTCCAGATCATTCTAGCCAATAGTGCAGTCATGACTCTAGATAACAAAAAACCTGTATTATGCCATGACCAGGCTCACAAAAAGATTTATTAGAAAGGTTGGGCCAGGCGCAGAGCTCACACCTATAATCCCAGCACTTTGGGAGGCCAAAGTGGATGGATAACTTGAGGTCAGGATTTTGAGACCAGCCTGGCCAACATGGTGAAACCCCATCTCCACTAAAAATACAAAAATTAGCCAGATGTGGTGGCAGGAGCCTGTAATCCCAGCTACTCTGGAGGTTGTGGCAGGAGAATCGCTTGAACCCGGGATGGCAGAAGTTGCAGTGAGCCGAGATCGCGCCACTGCATTCTAGCCTGGGCACAGAGTGAGTCAGACTCCGTCTAAAAAAATAAAAAATAAAAAAATGAAGTTTGTCAGCCCAAGCCCTTGTCTCTTCAAGGTCAAGGTAATTTTTTATTGCATTTCATTAAGAGCCATTTTTTGTACATTTGCTACTTGATTTCTTTGTCTTGTGGCCACCAGCCCCATCATCTCTCTCTGTAGAGCCACAGCCTACCACCTATTTAGAAGTGTTACAGCGTTGAACCGAGATGGGGTTGAGATCACTACCACATAATCTATGTTCAGAGATGGGGCATGGTTGACATTTTCTCCTTTAATTTCTCCTCATATTGCCAAAACCCTTACCAGATGTCTCCTATCTGGTCGAGAAATCAAGCAAAATAACATCCTGGTGTTCTTGTGTATCCATTCTGTCTAAAAGCTTCACCCCAGGTAAGGAAGTCAGTTCATTTTGTGCCTCCTTTCTTCTGACTTCAATGTACCCTGATTTTCTCCATATTTTCTAACTTCTCCTATCAGACCTCAGCACCTCATAAGTTGTTATTGTCTCATAATTTGATAAACTGTATGACCTAAAGTTTAATAGGTTTTGTTAACCTAAGTCAAGACTTATATTTGAAATTTCTATTTCTTTATATTTCACAGTGGCATAGATATTAGAGCCATCAATTGCTAATGTAAATATATTTTGGATGGCCTAGTCTTGGCTAGCTTCACTTGGTCCAAGTGAAATGAATGTCAATCAAGGAGAATCAAATTTCATGTATAATACCCGAACTTTAACACACTACACAACCATTTTTGGTCCATGGCATAGCAATTTAAATCACGGTCTCACACATGAATGACGGGGATGTTGTTGGGTTCTTGTCATGTGTTCCTGTCAAACAAGATAATTTTTATTATAATTTTATTTATTTATAATGTTATACAAAGCATAAATATAATTTTGACTAGCAATATATCTCCACTGTTATGCAGAATGAATGATCTCTGTCTTTACCGAGAAAAAAAATGCATCATCATAAGTTAGTATAGTATTTTATCCAGGTGGAATATTGTCTAGGCATTAAATGACAATTGCAGAGTGACAAAAGCAATTTTCTGGAAAATGTGCTTATACAATGATAAATATTGAGATAAACATAGAAAAAACAGTATATTAACTGGATATTTTAAAATGCAAATTCAACCACATTTGGAATAATTGTTGGATTTTTTGTTTTATTATAAATTATTGGCACTGTTTGGATACAGATTTTGTTTACTTTGCAACACAGTATTACATCACTGATAATTTTAAACATTTTTAGTGAGTAGTGCATAGCTCTAGAATATATTTAGTTCCAGCATACCCAAATCGTAGCTACTAACAGTTAACAATTAATAAGAGGGGACACCACCAATAAGGTGCACAGGACCCTCTCCATTTTCATTCTTGAAAGCAATATTAAATTGTTTCAAAGTATATTATGTAGTAAATGGAATGATAAATTATATTCATCAGGACATTCTTGCTTCAAAAACACTTGTTTCTTATTTCAAACAACCCACTCTTGCATTCTACATTGACCAAACACCTTAAGCAATTTCCCATTTACACTTTATTTTACTGCATTTTGCATGCACTTCTAAAATTCAATTTAACATTAATGTCATTTTGTGTACTGTGTTATTTATATTAGATGTCTGCATTGATCTTGCTCACTAGATATTTGATAAAGTTCTACTTTGCTGTGCTACTCAAATATAAGGTTGATGAAATTCTTTCTCCATTAACAGTTCTTCAAACATGCGAGGAAACTTTAGAATATGCAAACCTACCATAAAACATTTCCCTTTAAACAGAATTGTGCTAAAACAGAGCAACCAGAAGGTATCCTGAGCTTTGCACAAGCATGAACTGTCAGTGTATTTAGTATCTCAAGAGAAAAACTCCTCATCTAGAAGTAACATAATAGTCAAAACATTCAAGAAAATGGTTCATAAATGATGCATCGTAAAAGGTGACAGAGAAAAGCCTGAATAGAGAGCGGGCGAAAAAGGTGACAGAGAAAAGCCTGAATAGAGAGCAGGCGAATAATGTGTGAATATAGCAAGGAGATATAAATAGTTCAATCACAAGGGAATAGCAAGCAGAAACTGTCAAACAGGATTACTTTTCGTAAGTCTCAGGGATGATAAAATAAATGTTGAAAGATAGAGGGTAGAAAGTAATGAGAGAAAAGAAAAGTGCCACAAATAAAAATCAGACCAAAGTTTCAAAAAACCTATTTAAAAATACCTAATGCCATAATAGGAAGAGAAAGGAGGGAGGGAGGGAGAGAGAGAGAGAGAGAGAGAGAGAGAGAGAGAGAGAGAGAGAGAGAGAGAGAGAGAGAGAGGAGACAGAGAGTGTGTGAAAGAGGAATGGAATCATTTTAACATAGCATTATTTTTAAACTTTTTTTTTTTTTGAGATAGGATCTTATTCTATCACCCAAGCTGGAGTGCAATGTTGTGATCATGGCTCACTGCAGCATCAAAATCCTGGGCTCACATAATCCTCCCACCTCAGCCTCCCAAGTAGCTGGGACTAGAGGCATGTGTCACCACACCTGGCTAATTTTTGTAGAGACACGGTCTTGCCATGTTGCCCAGGCTGTTCTCAAACTCCTAGACTCAAGCGATCCTCCTGCCTTGGCCTCTAAAGTGCTGGGATTAAGGCACGAGTCATCATGACTGGCCTATTTAAAACATTTTGTGCATATGTTCTCTTAAAAGCTGTTCCATAATACTGCAGTAGGCAGAATGATGAGCCAGAGAAACATCCAAATCCTAATTCCTGAAATGTTTGAGTATGTTAGATGACATGGCACAAGGGAATTTGCAGATATTTTTAAGTTAAAGATCTTGCAATAGGGAGATTGTGCTGGATTATTCGGGTGGTCTCAATGTAATCGCAAGAGTGAGAGTGAAAGAGGGAGGCAGGAGAGTGGCTGTCAGAGTGATTCAGCTCAAGAAAGTCTTGGCCAAGCCATTGCTTATGTTGAGATGGAGGAAGGAGCCAAGAGCCAAGGGATGTGGGCTGAGGGATGCAGGCAGCCTTTAGAACTAGAAAGGTAGGGAATGTGTTCTCCCTGGAGCCTCCAGAAAGAAGGCAGCTCTGCTGATACCTTGGATTTTAGCTGACTGAAACTCATTTCAGACTCGTGACCTTCAGAACTGTAATATAGTATATTTGTGTTGCTTTAAGTCACTAAGTTTATGGCAATTTTTTACAGCAGCCAGAGGAATCTAATAATAAAAAAAACTATTAAGACAGCATTGAATCCTCATTAGAAATAAGAAAACTGACTTCTAAACATGCTATGCTATTAAATATTTAACCAATATTTCAACACATAGCCAGGCCTGAAATGCAGACTTTTCCTACTCTAAAACCTAACCTCGTGGCACTACCTTTAACTGCCATGTCACTGAAGATGTAGAAATATTTAATATTATAACAATATTATTATATATTATATAATATAATATATAATTATATATAAAATATTATAATTATTATATAATATAATATATAATATAATATATAATTATATATAATATATTATTATAATACATAATTATATTAGTCTTAATTGTATATATTTTACATTATATTATAATAAATTTATATTATAAATAAATAATTATATATAAATATACATTATATTTATATTGTATTATATTTATATATTATACGTATATTTATATTTATATATAACATATATATCTTATATATAATATATATCTTATTATATATTATATACAATATTTTATATATAAGATTTAATATTCTTATATACAATATTTTATATATTCTAATATATCATATATTATATAGTATGTAATATATATTTTATATAATGCAGAAATAAAATATAATATCATAATCATTATAATTATAATTATAATGATTATCATAATCATTATATATTATAATTATAATGATTATCATAATCATTATATATTATAATTATAATGATTATCATAATCATTATATATTATAATTATAATGATTATCATAATCATTATATAATTATAATGATTATCATAATCATTATATATTATAATTATAATGATTATCATCATCATTATATATTATAATTATAATGATTTAATCATTATATATTATAATTATAATGATTATCATAATCATATATTATAATTATAATGATTATCATCATCATTATTATTATAATTATAATGATTATCGTCATCATTATTATTATAATTATAATGATTATCGTCATCATTATAATTATGATTATCGTCGTCATTATATATTATAATTATAATGATTATCGTCATTATATATTATAATTATAATGATTATCGTCATTATATATTATAATTATGATTATCGTCATCATTATATATTATAATTATGATTATCGTCATCATTATATATTATAATGATGATCATCATTATATATTATAATTATAATGATGATCATCATTATAATTATAATTATAATGATTAACGTCATCATTATATATTATAATTATAATGATTATCGTCATCATTATATATTATATATAATATTAAAATATTATATATAATATTAAAATATTATATATAATATTAAAATATTATATATAATATTAAAATATTATATATAATATATAATGATGATGAATATAATATTCAAATATTATATATAATATTCAAATATTATATATAATATTAAAATATTATATATAATATTCAAATATTACGTATACAATATTATATATGAACTATTAAAATATTATAGATAATATTATATAAAATATTAAAATATTATATACATTTAATGTTATATAATATTATATATAATATATAATAAAATATATAATATTAAAATATTATATATAAAAAATAAAATATTATATAATATTATAATATTATAAAATATTAAAATATTTATTATATATAATGTTAAAATATTTTATATATAATGTTAAAATATTTTATATGTAATATTATATATAAAATATTAAAATATTATATACATTTAATATTATATATAATATATAATATATAATAAAATATATATAATATTAAAATATTATATATAATATATAATAAAATATAAAATATTATATATAATATATAATAAAATATATATATTAAAATATTATATATAATATATAATAAAATATATATAAAAATATTATATATAATATATAATAAAATATATATATTAAAATATTATATATAATATATAATAAAATATAAAATATTATATATAATATTAAAATATTATATACAATATATAATAAAATATAAAATATTATATATAATATATAATAAAATGTATATAATATTAAAATATTATATATTATATAATAAAATATATAATATTAAAATATTGTATATAATATATAATAAAATATATATAATATTAAAATATATATTATATATAATAAAAATATATATTAAAATATATATAATATATAATGAAATATATATAATATGTAATAAAATATATATATTAAAATATATATAATATATAATAAAATATATGTATTAAAATATATAATATATAATAAAATATATAACATTAAAATGTTATATATATAATATTTTAATAAAATCAATAATATTAAAATATATATTTTAATAAAATCAATAATATTAAAATATATATTTTAATAAAATATATAATAATTTAATAAAATATATAATAAAATACTACATATAATATTAAATACTATATATAATATTCGAATATTATATATTACACATTATATATTATATTATATCATTATAATATTATATTAGTCTTCATTTTATATATTATATCTTAATATTATATGTTCTTAATATTATAATAATAATAAGAATCATTTTTACAATGAAGTGTCTTGATATAACTGATAACAGTAGAACAACTTTATTGCCAAATATGAGTATGTACATGTTTGCATGCATTCACATGCAATTAAAATGATAGGTTTCAGTCTCTCAGTGAGCTTGTGCCCCGGGCTATGACTTTTACAAGTGCTTCTCTGGTTTTACTGTCTCTAGGTGAGACAATAAATCCTGGTGCCTGATGTCAGGTATTTTTCTTCACGCACATCAAGGAATAGAGGTGGTTTAATTTGAATATTTCCATTTCCCTGGATCAGTTAGGCGCTGGTAAATTAGTTTCTTTGGAGGGCAGTACTTTGTTGACAGAACTGAGAGCTCAGGCTTATTTTTAAATGGCGACTTTTTTGCCCTCCAGATGAAATCACAGGGGATTTTTCTGTAGTTTTTTTACAAAACCTGGTAGGGCTGCCGGAGGTAAATCTCTCAAAAATTTGAGGCCCCCTGAAACTCATCCCCACCAGGGTTTTTAACTGTCAGAGTTGTCCACGTTGAGCCATCAGTAATTTTTTAATAATAATTTATGTCTTTTCAACACTGCAGCCATAGTAGTGGGCTTTTGCCTCTGAACTTCCGTTCTTCATAAGCTGTGATTCTCAGTCTCTGCTTGTCTCTCCAGTTTTCAGGTCAGTGGTTTGCCCTGTGACTTTAATTCTTTGCTGTATCTAAAGAAAGGTGTTGATTTTCAGTTTGTTCAGCTTTTTCCTTGCTGAGAGGATGAGGGTGATGACTTCCAAGCTTTTTTTAATGTTGGATCAGAAAATGGGATTCTGCTGTGTCTTTTTGCATGACTGCATTCGACCATCTTATTACTTTCTCATGGTCTTCTTGTTCATTTCTTGCTCATTCTTAGAATCACACATTTTCCTGAAGTTGTGTTTTAGTGGAATTGCATATTTGAAGATCACTCTTAGAGTATTAGGGATATTTATTGCTACTGGGTTGTCTTTGCTTCTCAACCTTTTGGGAAAATAGAGCTGGATAATTGTATGATTTTGGAAAGAAATAAATTTTGAATTTGTATCAGTATTTTGAACTTGTTCCTAATGACATGAAAACATTTCTTATTTACTTTATTTCCACAATATACATTTACTGGTTTCAAAATGTCAAATGAAACGTTACCACTAGCAACAATATTATTGAATGCCGTTTAGGATCTCTTTCAGTTCTTTTTGTCTTTATTTCAGTAGTAATTTTTGAAGTCACTTTTGGTGGGGTATTGTGGCAGGCCAGATCTCACTAATGCAGGCCTCCATAACAATTGTTTCAGTGCTGACTGAGTGGTTAAGTTAAACATTAAAAGCCAGTGCCCCTATACAAAGGCTGGGCTGTAACAAAAGCCAACCAAGAGTTTTGCCTAGGCCTTTTCTGGGGCGTAAAGCATGACAAAATAATGAAGGAATTCTTTACAGGACCCGTTTAGGATTAAACAAGTTTTATTGTGGGTCTGAAGAAACTCCCCAGGCCTCCACAAACAAGTTTATTGGGAGTCTGAAGGAACTCCCCAAACCTTTGTGTTTTAGCAGGAGACAAGATAAGGGTGATCACCCCAGCACCGGTACCTATTTAGATTAAGTAAATTTACTGAGGCTCCAGCAGAAGTTCTTTAGGACTCAGATTTGAAGACCTTAGTTATTGATTAAAAGAAGTTAATAACTTATGTCTCTAGATGAATGCACACTTACATGTAGACGTATAGCTTAGAAGGTATGTAAGCTCTGGAAAATTTTGTAATTTTGAGTTGGTCTGGCGATAATTTCCAGGCCTTCTCTGTGTAACCGGTTGCAGAAATAAAAACTCTCTTCCTCCCCAGTTCATCTGCATCTCGTTATTGGGCCACAAGAAATAGCAGCCCAACCCTCAGTTTGGTCTGGGAACAAAATTTGGCATGGCAGCCAGAAGAGACTGGGACAGTGCTGTGTTCAGTGGCCAGTGGCTTGTAATGAGATAGTCTTCAGGAGGATCCCAGCAGCTGCCAGTGAGATTTTCCCCAGGGACTCTCCCAAGGGGTGTTCTGTGCACAAAATTGCACGTCCCTTTCACTACTGGGAAAGAACAGAGATCAGGAGCAGATTTGGTCAAAGGATGAGGTAATCGAGCATATGTAGGGAGCCTATTGTTTTCCTGTCTAGGCTAAGCCATTTGTCCAGTACCACCAAGGGAAGCAATACCACCTGCTTTGCATTTTGGTTGAAATCAGATTTTGAGTTGGTTTTGAGTTGCCTGAGTGCACTCCCCATTGTGTTGTCCAAAATTTGTCTCCATTTGTTTATGTATCTGTCTTATTCCTTTTGATACCATGTAAACTTGAAAATGGGAGATATTGGGTTAATCCTTGTTGAGAGGTCTCTGGGAAGGAAAAATATTTTTTTTAGTGGATCAGTGATTAAAAGTCAGCTTCATTAAAAGCTAACATCCAAGATGTGTGTATTTATGTGTGCATGTTTGTATTTAAAAAGCCTTCACGCTTTTGTTTTTGTTTTGTTTATTTCTCTCCTAGCACCTTGTCTTTTTTGAGCAAAAGTTTTTTTTCTTCTTAGTTCACTGAATTCTGTTTTCTTCATTAATAGCTATTACAACAGAAGCTCCTCTGGGGTTTCTAAGAAAAAGTGTAATTTGGACACTTAGAAATGTCTTTGTTTGGAAAAAAAAATTTTTTTAAGTGTACTGTAAAAGTATCACATGGTCCAGCCTCATAATAATTCTCCCTTTTTGAAAACCCAGGATTCAGTGTGGGCTTTGCCCAGTGCTTAAAGATCCAGTTAAAGGGTAGGTAGTCAATATCAAAATAAAGTTAGGCTCCTTACACAGTCCTATGATAAATTTCTATAATTTTATGTTTGATTTGGCATCCATCTTTAATCTCCCTCTAGCACCACCCAGACATTTTCTCTGTGTACCTTGAGATGTAAATCTTGCCATTTGATTTTTCCCCTAAGAGTTGTTTCTTTTAATATGCAGATTTAGGGCTATTTAGTTGACAAATTCCAGAGTAATAAACCAGGTTATCAAGAGTTTGCAAGTCTAAGATAGGAAAAAGGAAGTCTTATGAATCTGTAAAATGTACTTCTATTGGCATGCCTAATACGTCTATGTATTTATGTCTTGTGTAGACCATGTTTTACTACGGAAAATATATGAAAGAGTTCTAATTAATTGGCTCAAAGAAAAATAAAAGTGCTTAAATACTTTAACAGAAAAAGAAAAACTAGTCAAATCCTTTTCAACTTTATGTGACTTAAGTAAAATCTTTAATAAATAAGCTAGCTTTAAAATCATTGGTAAAGTAATATTAGACATATCTTAAAATTACCAGTATACATTTTTGTTTGCATTTATTGATCAGGCAATTGCATACTTATCCCTGCCAAATACTATAAGGTGTCAAAATTTGGCACTATAACTATAACTCAGCCCAAAACAGAATGATCTTTGCTTGTATAATTTTTAATAAATAAAATATTAATATTGGTTTAATGAAGATAACTACTTCTTAAATTATTTAGTAAAATACCCTAACTTCTAATCTTGTGGCCTTAGGAAGTCTCGTCCAAAGACATAAAGAAAGTTTTTCTGGGAAAAGATTGTTATCATTTTTGTTTCACAGCTAAACTATAAACTAAGTTAATGAACAAGAACAGCTTGGAGGTTAGAAATAAGATGGAGTCATTTAGGTGGGATCATTTTCACCGTCTCAGTTTTAATATTACAATGGTGGTTTCATAACTTTAAATGATGACTGTCATGGTTTTCATAAATAATCTAGGTAAATGATTAAAATATATAATTAGATAAATGTAATGGGACACTCATAAATTTGTCATAATTTAGAATTTAAAGCTATATTAAATTAAACAACTGACATTTCATTATTTGGGTATTTTCCAATAAAATATATTTTAGGAAAACAGTCTTTCTAAAAACTGTGTCCTTTTGAAAGGGAACTAACTTTTGTCTAATTCAAAACTTATTTAAAGGCTATATATAAAACAATGTAAAAGAAAGTTATAAAAATAAAGAGAGTTTCAAAGATTATTGGTAAAATAAAAATATCTTCAAAAAATGTAAACATTTAGTCTAAATTATGCAGGTCAAATATTAGGTTTGCTAATGCTTTAGGTCATAAACTGCTTCTTTGACTTAAAAATTGTCCAATTTATTTTGGAGTGTTAAATTCTAGATAAGTCCTGGGGACATATGAAATTAACCATGCCCCTAGCTATGCAAAAAGGTATTAAAGAAAAGAGATTTTATATAAGAAAGGATCTTGTATGGTAATTTCTTGTCCTAAAGTAAAATAACTGGTTGTTTAAAAAGAGGCATGTTGTCAGAAGTCAGAAAGTCAAGGCATGTCATAGCTTGTCTGTGCAGTCATGAAAGAATTTATGAAAGGGGATTTATGCAAGAAATATTGCACAATTTAAAGGTAATTAGACCTCCTAAATGCTTTATAAAATACCACTATGACTCTTAGCTGTACAACTTGCCTGCTTTACAGCTAGGTAAGACCTGGAACACATGGAGTTAAACACTAGAATAAGTCAGACCTTATCTGCACTTCTGTCAAGGTCCTAGGCCCCACATCTAGTACATAATGAAAGCGCCAAACTTAACAAGGTTTTCACCAAAAGTAAAGGTTGTTAAGAGTTAACAGTGTAACATGTATTTAAGAACTACTGGGCTGGGTGCGGCCTGTAATCCCAGCACTTTGAGAGGCTGAGGTGGGCTGATGACCTGAGGTCTGGAGTTCGAGACCAGCCTGACCAACATGGTGAAGCCCCGTCTCTACTAAAAATACAAAAAAAATTTAGCCAGGCGTGGTGGTGGGTGCCTGTAGTCCGAACTACTCGGGAGGCTGAGGTAGGAGCATAACTTGAACCCAAGAGGCTGAGGTTGCAGTGACCTGAACCTGAGATAGCATCATCACACTCCAGTCTGGGCGACAGAATGAAACTCTGTTTCAAAAAAAAAAAAAAAAAAAAAAAAAAAGAGCTATTGAAGAAACAGTCTACATGCAAGGTGTGTAAAGAAAGTAAAATATACTTTTGGTAAAAAGATTATAATGAAGTATGAGAATGTGGATTTTTTGCCTGAAGTTTAAAGGTTTATTTTAAGTTGGATAAAATAAAGCTGAAGTTTAAGCAAGTTGTGGAAGGTTGATTGTAAAGGAAGTTCTGTGTGTAAACATATTGGCTAAAGTTAAAGGGTTATCATCCATTTTTTTTTCCTGTAAATTGAGCATTAAAATAAAAATACACCAGATTTCTCTTAGAGCACTAACATCCTCTTTAAAAAAATTGTAAAGGGTTATAAAAGGTCTATGAAAATCTTACTTATGGTCAAACATTAAAATTGGGTAAATAGGTCTGTAAGGTTTTATTAAGAATTGGGTTTAACATTAATAGTACACTAATGTGAAGGTGAAATTTGGGTTACTTGGTATAAAAATTTTACAGGAAGCATTGTCAAATATGAAATCGTGTTTGGCTTTCTTTGGGCTGTATTAGTGTAATATGTTACTGATATGTGTCCCCAAATCATGTGAAACGCCTATAATTCTGATGTATCTTAGTGTATGTTACCAGTAATAATTATAATTGTTATGTTAAATTATTGTGTGCCACAGAGGTAACAGATATTCTTGTCAATTGTGTCTTTAAAGATGGCTACCCTAAAACTTTTTGTCATTCATAAACAGTTGTCTTGTTTTGGTCCTCTTTAGAAGGTGGCTTTATAATCAGCTATAAAGCTCTCACAGGTGCACTTGAATGCAGATTTCTGATAATTTTGGAGATTGTGACATCAGAATAGGGGAAAAATATTCAGGACTCTTGAAGAGCTAAAATGTTCATTAATATCAAGCAGGACAGGAATTAAATGCATGAACTGAACTAATAGGAGACTGAAGTGATCATTTTGATATTTTGCTTAAATGTTGCTCATCCTTTGTTTTGCTTTTCAGAGTCAAAGACTTTTCTTTTGAGCTATTAACCGCTTTTGACAAGTATATGCCTATGAACAAAATTTGAAGCATATTTATTTCTCTCTAACTATTTTCTCTAGAATTTGGAAGTTATTTGTGAGTATTCTTAATTTATGGCAATATGGTTATTTGCATAAGTGCAATAAGGATCTGTTTTCTTTTGAAAGAGGACACAATTGAAAAAACTGGTTATTTTGCCAAGGCTTTGATGGGAATGGTATGCCCTCCTTTAAAGAATCAAACTAGACTTATGAAGCCAAGAAAGTCCTTGGAAAACTGGCCTTGTATTTTGTGTACACAGTCCCTGTACAGGGTTTCTGATCTGTGATAATTAAAGAATGTCACTTTCTGACAAGCCAGAAACCCCAAGTTATCTTGGAACCTCAAGAAGAGAGGAATCCACCCAACTCATAGGTATTTGATGGTACAAATCCATGACTGGGCTCAGCATTAAAAAGATCTTATCTTAGATTCCTTCCATGGAACAAAGCTCCATCAAAGTGAATTTAAAAGGCCTATGTGAAAAATAATTATTCTTGCTGCACTATATACAAATAATGAAGCCAAGTATAATAAAGCAAGCTAGTCCTACCATGATTTGTCTTTTAATAAAAATGGGAAACTGGAAAGGGGAAAATTATGTTTCAAAAACTATAGTACACCTATTGTTAAATTCTAGTCTTGCCTGATGTTTTTCAACTTTTATTATTTTCTACAGTTTGGGTTAAATTCTAATTTTTCTGGCTACAAATCTCCAAAATAATGTTTTCATTTCTTTTTCTTTTCCTTTTTCCACATTTATCCTAATTTGAAATTACTGAAACCTAAGCTGTGCTTTCTTAAATCCCTGTGAACTGAAGACTAGACAGCTTAAACTTCAGAAGAAAACAGCAGCATCCTATTTATATGTGTTGCTGTTGCATACTATTATGTTTCAGCAGGTGCTGCCTCTAAGTCCCCAAAACAGAGAGTGCTACTGGGAACAAATCAACCTCTCCCACTCCAGCGATGTGTGTGGTACCTCATAACAATGACCCCCACTCTCAGCAGGAAGTAGCCAGAAAGATTATGATGCCCCATCTCCCTACAATTCTCATGACAAATAAATATACAAACCTGAAAGAAATCATGCACAAATTGACAGTGGGGATTGTGGCAGGCCAGGTCTCACTAATGCAGGCCTCCATAACAACTGTTTCAGTACTGACTGAATGGTTAAGTTAAATATTAAAAACCCGTGCCCTTATGCAAAGGCTGGGCTGTAACAAAAGCCAACCAAGAGTTTTGCCTAGGCCTTTCCTGGGCCTTAAATCATGACAAAATAACAAAGGAATTCTTAACAAAACCCATTTAGGATTAAATAAGTTTTATTGTGGGTCTGAAGAAACTCCCCAGGACTCCACAAACAAGCGTATTGGGAGTCTGAAGGAACTCCCCAGACCTTCATGATTTAGTAGGAGACAAGATAAGGGTGATCTCCCCAGGACCTAACACATTTAGATTAAGTAAGTTTACTGAGGTTCCAGAGGAAGCTCTTCAGGACTCAGACCTTAGTTAGAGATTAAAAGAAGTTAACTACCTATGTCTTTAGAGAATGCACACTTACACATAGACATATAGCTTAGAAGGTATATAAGTTCTGGAAAACTTTGTAATTTTGAGTTAGTCTGGTGATAATTTCCAGGCCTTCTCCCTGTAACCAGTTGCAGAAATAAAAACTCTTTTTCTCCCCGGTTCATCTGCATCTCATTATTGGGCCACGAGAAATAGCAGCCCAACCTCAGTTTGGTCTGGGAAGAGTATGACACTCATTTGACATAGTTACGTTCTTTTACGTGACATCATATGCTTATTTTTTGATTACTTCTTACAGGGAACCCTGTTTCTCCCTGCTTCTTTTAGTCATATTAACTAAGTTGTGGAAAGTACGAATCAGTGTCTTACCCTGCTGTTAAATACTGAAGAAAAATCAGTTAAGTAGCAGGAATAGAAAACTAACATCTGAATATTTGAACCTAGACAATGATTCGATAGTAAGTATATGCTTCACTAGAATAGGTGATTTATGTAGGACTGTCCCTTACATCTTTTCACAGATCAACACTCTAACTGAGACTTTCAACTACATTGAAATTACATGTTATTCTCACTAGTGCCTTTTCAGGACAAGATTACAGAAAGAGGTATAAAGAATACAATCAATGTCTAGTCATTAAAACTTCAATTTAGCATTAGGTAAGTCTCACAGACTGTAGTTGGGAATTGAAGAGCAAGTCCTATTTTACACATCCATCACTTTACCAACATTATAAGCCTTGAACCTATTTTTCAAAGGATGTTCCATCTGCCCTACTTCTAACATTCTAGAACATGTGCGCTCAGCTTCTTGTTTGCTAGGTGATTACTGTATTATATTATACTTCTTGTTTGTTCTTTGCCATCAACTGTATGTGCTCTTTATTTATGTTGAAACTTTATTAATGTTTAGCACATCATTTTAAAGAAACTTGGCAAACTGATCTTTGACAAAGGAGCAAAGACAATATAATAGAAAAAAGAACAGTCTTTTCAACAAATGATGCCAGCCAGGCACAGTGGATCACGCCAGTAATCCCAATACTTTGGGAGGCCGAGGCAGGTGGATCACTTGAGGTCAGGAGTTCGAGACCAGCCTGACCAACATGGTGAAACCCCATCTCTACTAAAAATACAAGAATTAGTCAGATGTGATGGCGTGTGCCTGTAATCCCAGATACTCTGGAGGCTGAGGCAGGAGAATTGCTTGAACCTGGGTGGTAGAGGTTGCAGTGAGCCAAGATCATGCCATTGCACTTCAGCTTGGGCAACAGAATGAGACTCCATCTCAAAAAAAAAAAAAAAAGAAGAAGAAAAGATGCAGGAACAACTAGATGTTCATGCTCAAAAAAAAAAAAAAAAGAGAAAAAACTCAAAAGAATCTAGACACAGACCTTATACCTTCTCCCCCCAAATTATCTGGAAATAAATGATAAACCTAAAAGTAAAACAGAAAACTATAAAACACCTAGAAAATAACACAGGAGAAAATCTAGATGACCTTAGGTTTCATAGGATAACTTTTTAGATACAACACCAGAGTCAAAATCCATGAAAGTAATAATTGATAAGCTGGATTTTATTAAAATTAACAGCTTCTGCTCTATGAGAGATAGTGTCAAGAGAATGAAAAGACATGGAACAGACTGGGAAAAAATATTTTCGAAAGGCAGCTCTAGTAAAGGGCTGTTATCCAAAATGTACAAAGAACTCTTAAACCTCAACAATAAGAAAATAAACAACATAGCTTTAAAAAATGGGCAAAATACTCGAACAAACACCTCATCATAGAAGATATCAAGATGGCAAATGAGCATATGAAGAGATGCTCAAATTCATATGTCATCAGAGAAATTCAAATTAAAACAACAGTGGGATCCCACTACACACCTATCAGAATGGCCCCCATCCAAAACACTGACAATACCAAATGCTGACAAGGATGTAGAATAACAGGAACACTCATTCAGGACATTTGAGCTTTGTTATGTTTAAAATAATGAGTCAACTGGTAATAAAAAACTGGACTTAATTCAAAGGACATTAATATTTAAGATTGTCAAATTGCCCTCAAACTGGCTGGACTCATTTCTGTTTGTCAACAATATATGAGATGTTTTCATTTTCCATTTTATGTAGCATTCCCTTTTGTCTAATATATATAAATACAAAGATTATTCCTGTTCATTGTTTTCTTTTAGGCATGTCTTGCAATACAAAAAGTCCTCAAGTTATTTATTTGGAATTTATGTTATACCTAGAATATTTTCATTTTACTGCTATTTTACTATATTGTATGTAGTGGCATTGTATTCCCATTTTTAATATGTATGCCTGTTATCTCTTTTTTTATTTTAGTTACCTCAGAGATTAATATTTTAAATTTTGTAACATATTTTATTATTTGCTTATCTTCTAAAACAATATTTTTGTGTTATTATTTTAGCTATAATTATTCAGATTTTTCTCTCATTCTATTGTACCATTTGTTAAATTATCACATTACACGCTTGTTAATGTTTATTAAATTGAAAAATTAGAGTTGTTAATTGTCCTCTTTGTTCCTACCACTTTATAATTAAATAATATGATCAACATGATTTTGGATCTTTGAAATTTTGTTGGGCATACTTTATTGTTTTACAAATACTTGAAATGCATATATATGTACCTAATAGCTCATGAGGTCTCTATATATTTATCAGATCATGCTTGTTGATTTTAGCTTTCATATTTTTGTACCCTTATTTATATTTGTGAGCTTAATTTTGTAGCTTCTGATGAAAGTAGATATTTTATAATATCCAGCTTAAATCCAGGTATTTTATAATATCTAGTTTAGTTTTTACTGTAGTTTCAGTTGGTTACTGGGTACACACAAATTCATTATTTTATATATTTTCACCAGATTGCTTTTTCAAAATTTCAAATGGCTTATCCAGTAAGATTTCTGACTTAAATTTTGTCTGATATTAATATTGACACACTATCTTTATTTTTGTTTTGTATTCGAATGCAAATTTTCATCCACTTATTTTCAATGTTTCTGTGTGGCATTATTGTATGATGTTTTTATAAACAGTTTATGACTTGATTTTTAACCCAATCAATATCTCTACCTCTTACTTTTAATGTGTAAGTAAATTTGGTAGGGTAAAAGCTAATATGCTATAACAAAGAGAATCAAAGTTCACTAGATTATACAAGATAGAAGATTACTTCTTTCATGTAACATTCTAGGGCCAGGTAGGCTTCACTCCACAAGGTCACCCAGGGATTCAGTAATATCATGGCTGTTCTACCCTCAGCACATAGCTTCATAGATTGCTCCAGTCATTACCATTTCCAGCCAGCAGACAGGATTGAATCCTCCAGGACATGGGTTTTAAAAAGACCCTGGAGGAACAAACAGCATTTATGTTTGTATACCATTGGCCAGGGCCTGGTTACATGGCTATACTTAGCTGCATGCTTTTAAATGGATGGTGAAAACTCAGGAAGAAGTAAAAGGCTGTGGAAGACAACTAGCTTTAGGCCAGAGTGAAGGTAATACATTTTTATTTGTTATGTTTTTTAAAAATATATATGTTTTACCATCTTGCATTGTTTTATGTCTACCATTATTTTTCATTACTTTCTTTTGTTTTTTAAAATATTTATGCCTTTTTTCAGTTCATTGAGTTGTTTTCTTTTCTGTTAATTCTGTTCACTTTAAAGCTAAATTTTTTATGTTTGTTCTTTTAATATTTTTAAACATTTTCAAACATGCATACTTAACTATACTTACAACGTTTTTAGCAAAGATGAGACTTTTTCAAAGCATCCTTTTCTATTCTCTAGAATATTTAAATTCCCTCTAAGCATGTCCATCCTCATTTTAAAGTTTACCTTTACATTTTAAAAAGATATTAGAATTATACTCAATAATTAAATTTACTGACATTTAAAAACAATTTTTTTTGAGTCCCATAGTTTTTCTTCTTCTGGGTATAGTTTATTACTTGTTGAAGCATTTTCCTTACTTGTTCTCTCAATAAAGATTTCTATTGTGTTAAATTATATTTGTCTCTCTGTGCTGAAAAATCTGTTTATTTTTCCTTACTCTTTTATGCTGGTACGACAGATTTTAAAATTTAGGTAATAGTTGTTTTTGTTCAGTGTTCTGTATATATTTACTAACTCATCTTTTGGCTTTATTATTGCTAGTGTGAATTGTGCTATAATTCTAATTGACATATCTGTGAAGGTTGTCAATTATTTGTGGTAATTTTTTACAACTGCCTCCTTATGTAGTTTCGTGTTCAGTGCTGCTAGTATATTTTTTAATTTATAGCCTCATGACCATTTTCACTAAAGTTCTGATTTTTTGTTTCTTCAAATATTGCCTCTCCACCTTTCTCTTCATTCTCTCACTCTTCTATTTTTAGAACTGCTCTGAGAGGTATATTGGGGACTGCTGGTTCTCTTCCATGTCTCTTAATTGCTCTTTCACATATTTCCATCTTTTTAATATCAATTGTATTCTCAGTGAACTCTTCTATCTCTTTTTGTTCATTTCCATCCATGTGAATCTCTTCTTAGCTAATGTTTTCACAGCTACTTCCATATGGTGTACCAAGTCTCAGTCTAACTGTGTGTTCACAAGGCAAATTAAGTGCTTTACCCTGTGCAGAGACAATTATAGAGCTATCTGTGGCTTCCTTGAATTCCTAGTGAAAAAGCTACCCTTTTCCCTGGGCTTGCTTTCTAAAGCCTTTTAGCTCTTTGTCTGAAATGGACATGGGATTATTTTCTTCTCTTTTTGAGATCAGCCAGTTAGATAGTAGAATGGCAAACCCTAGCCCCTAGTTACAAGTCTCGAAGCTAGTCCTCTTCTTCATCCCAAGTGATAGCTTTAGTTTCCTGGGACCGGGACACATTATGCTCAGAATCTTAGCCCTGATGTTTGCATTTCTATTCTATTCTTGTTTCTGTTATCCTTTTTTAGTTTTATTATTATTATTTTATTTTATTATTTTAAACTTAATCTGTCATATCTATGTGTTTGAAGCACAGGACATGTCCAGTGAGTGACCACACTCTGCCGTCTTGCCTCTCACCCATTTCAATCTGGTTTTCTATGCCCATCAAGACTACCCTGGCTGAGAGCATTGTGGACCTTTTATTACCAGGTTCATGGACACTTTCAGTTCTCATCTTACCACACAGCTTAACACCCATAGAAACAGGTAAACATCACTTCCTTCTTGAAGTTTCTTTTTCTTAGTTTACATAACTACTCTTCTGGTCAGGAATTCCTAGCTGCCTTTACTTATTATTTTTATTCGCTCGTCTTCTAAAGGCCAAGTTGCTTAGCATTAAGTCTTGTGCCCTATTTTATTCCCTCTCCTGCTGTACTATAAGTGAAATGCAGTGGTTTTGCCTGCAGAGCCTTTAGTCAGAGTCAGAGTTGAATCCTGACAGTTACTTAGGTGCTGTAAAATCTTTGTGTCTCAGATTCATCATCTGTAAAATGGATTTGATATTAACCTTTAGGTTAAAAGGTATTTTGAGTATTAATTGAGATAATACATGTAAAGGACTTAGCACAGTGCCTTGATACTCAGCAGATATTAGCAATGGCATTCATTATTTCTATCATTTATACACCAATAACTTCCCAATTTATAACTCCAGCCTGAATTTCTCTGGAAACCTTGAATGCTCCTTCTCACTCCCAATTTGACATTTCCTCTTGGTTGTGCAACCTGTGCCTCACATGTAAGGTGTTCAGAATTAATCTCCTGATCTTTTGCTTACCTGCTCCCCTTTTACTTCTACATTTTAGGGAAAGGCAACTTTCTCAACCCAGTGTTAAAATTCAAACACACACACAGAGTCATTCTTCATGTTGCTTTCCTTTTTCCAGTCATAGTTTAATCCACCACTAAGTCTTACCAGTTTTATTTACATTTTTAAAATGATGTCATTTCTGTTGCTACTCCCACCTCTACAGCCTAGATCAGCATCCTTCCCCACTTTATTAATTTTGACAACTGGCTCAGTTGCCTCCCACCTCCGGTTCTGCCCCCTTCAGTCCATTCTCCTCACAGAAGCCAGAGTGATAATTTTACAAGTTAATGAGCAGAAATGACAGATAACATATACATCGGTTTAACATATACTATTCCAAAAATCATTTTCTATTGATTGTTTTTGAGACTTTGATGCAAATAAGTAGTGTTTTTAATGTGTAGAACATTCCCCAAATATCATATACAAGTAGACTTTTCATTAATGTAGAGAGAACAAACTGAGATTAGAAAATATTACCTCCAAAAAATAAGTGCAATGAAGGCATTTAGATACACACTGAATACACTGAAAAACAAGTCCAGAAGAGATTCAACTGGAAAACTTATATGTTAAGAACAAAAAAAGAGTCATGAGCAAACAGAAAGGAGTCATTGCAAAAATAAGCAAGAGCTTCGCAATAGCTGTGATAGGTATTACAGGGCTAACATTAGGGGGTGAATAATCAGTACATGGATTAGTCTGTTCTCATGCTGCTATAAGGACATACATGAAACTGGGTAATTTATAAAGGAAAGAGGTTTAATTGACTTACAGTTCCACAGGAATGGGAGGCCTCAGGAAAATTACAATCATGGCAGAAGGGGAAGCAAACATATACTTGTTCACAAAGCAGCAGGAGAGAGAAGAATGACAGCTGAGTGAAGGAGGAAGTCCCTTATAAAAGCATTAGATCTTGTGAGAATTTACTCAGTATCTCAGGCATAGTAGGCGGGAAACTGCCCCTATTACTCAATTACCTCTCAATGTGTCCCTCCCATGACACGTGGGAATTATGGAAACTGCAATTCAAGATGAGATTTGGGTGGGGACACAGCCAAATCATATTAGTACGTAAGAGAAGAAAACAGCACAAAGTCAAAGAATAAGTTAAGATTTCAAAATTAAAAAAAAACTTTACCAATGGGTACATTGTATATATAAAGAAATACACACCTAGGCAGATCTTGGAAATTTAGAGAGAGATGGTAATAAGGAAACTATTAATAGTCTTCAAAATGCATCTCAGTTGAAATAACTGATGAATATCAGAGAAACATAATGTGATAATGTATTTTTTAAAAACATTGTGATTCTAAGAAAAAGAATTTTCTGAAGAGAAGCATTTATGAGAAAATATGTTTCATCTGATTTGGAATCTTAGCAATGATATCAAAGATTTGACTACAAAATAAGTTGGAGGCATTCATGCAACACTGTAGAGCTACTAACTGGATTAAATGCAGATGATAATCAGCTATGTAGAACACAAAAACAAATCAACAAAAAAACTGCTGAAACTAATATACCACTATTTCACTGTTATAGGATACAAGGTTAATATACAGATGCAAGCTGCTTTCCTATATACTAGCAATGAACAGTAAAATTTGAAATTAAAAACATAGTATCATTTCTACCAGCAAAACAAAAATAATGAAATACTTAGGTATAATTCTAACAAAATATTTACAAGGTCTATATAAAGAAAACTACAAAACCTATGAAAGAAATTGAAGAAGAACTAAATAAATGGAGAGATATGCTATATCCATGGATAGGAAAACTCAATATTAACAAGATGTCAGTTCTTCCCAACTTGGTCTACAGATGCAATGCAATCCCAATCAAAATCTCAGCAAAATGTTTTGTGGATATTGACCCAAACTATTCTAAAGTTTATATGGAGAGGCAAAAGACCCAGAAAAGCCAACACAATATTGAATGAGAAAAACAGTTTCAGAATTGACACTACCTGATTTCAAAACTCACTATAAGTTTATAGGAATCAAGACAGCATAATATTGATGAAATAATAGACAAATAGATCAATAGAAGAAAATAGAGAACCCAGAAATAGACTCACATAAATACAGTCAACTAATTTTTAACAAGGGGGCAAAGACATTATAATGGAGAAAAGGTAGTCTTTTCGACAAATGGTGATGAGACAACTAGATATCCATTTGCAATAATATGAATCTAGACACACTTTACACCTTTCACAAAAATTAACTCAAAATAGGCAACATATCTCAATATAAAATGCAAAACTATAAAATTCACATAGAATAACATGAAGAAAATCTAGATGATCATGGGTTTGGTGATGACTTTTTAGTTATGACACCAGAGGCACAATCCATTTAAGAAATGATTGATGATATGAACTGCATTAAAGTTAGAAACTTCTACTCTTTCAATGATACTCTCAGGAGAATGAGAAGACAAGCCACAAACTGGAAGAAAGTATTTGCAAGTAATATATCTGATAAAGGACTGTTATCAAAAATATACAATGAATTATTATAACTCAACAATAAAAAAAAACACAAAAGATGAGCCAAAGAATGGAACAGACACCTCGTTAAAGAAGATATGCAGATGGAAAATAAATGTATGAAAAGATACTGAAATTGATGTGTCATAAGGTAAATGCAAATGAAAGCCACAGTGAGATCCCACTACACACCTGTGGGAATGGCTGATATTCAGAACACTGAGGACGATGTGGAACAAGAATTCTCATTTATTGCTGGTGGGAATGCAAAGTGTTATAGCCACGCTAGAAAACATTTTGGCAGTTTCTTATGAAACAAAACATACTCTTACTATCTAATCTAACAATTACACTCCTTGATATTTACTGAAAGGAGTCCATGCAAAACCTACATATGTATGCTTATAGCAGCTCTACTCATAATTACCAAAACTTGAGAGTAATGAAGATGTCTTTAAGAAGGTGAAAGAGGACATAAACAGTGGTACATCCAGACAATGGAATGTTATTCAGTGCTAAAAAGCAATAAGCTATTAAACCATGAAAAGACACGGAGGAAACTTAAATGTGTATTACTAAGAAGCCAATCTGAGTAGGCTACTTATTATCATATGCTGTATGATTTTACCTACATGACAGAGCGGAAAAAACAAAACTATGGAAGCAGTAAAACATCAGTGATTTCCAGAGGTAGAGGGGCAGTAGGGGAATGCATTGGCTCAACACAGAGGATGTTTAGGACAGTGAAAACACCCTGTATGATACATAATCACTCTGTATGATACCATAGTGATGGATAAATGTCGTTATACATTTTTTGAAACTCACAGAATGCGCAACACCAAGAAGGAACCCCAGTGTAAAGTATGGCTCTGGGTGATAATGATGTGTGAATACAGGTGAATCAATTATAACAAGTGTTCCACTCCAGTGAGGGATACTAACATTGAGAAAGGCTAGGCAGGAGTGGACATAGGAAATATCTGGCGTGTATCCCTACCTTCTTTTTATTTTTTCTGTGATCCTAAAATTGCTCTTAAAATCTTTTGAACATATTCATATTGTTCCAATGTGATAAGTATGAATGTACAGTAATGGAGAAAACATAATACAATATAATATGTAAATACTTTTGGAAGGCTAAATTTAAGAATGTGAAGTTTAAAAAATATTAGAAATTTTTCTTTAATTTTGCACAATACAGCTCTGAGCAACAGTATTAAAAGTGAAACTTTTATATGTTTTCACTCTATTTCCAGAGTCCTCAGTCATTTTTATGACTACATCTAAAGGTTAGACATATGTATGTGTGTTTATTGGTGTAAAATTAAAATAGCACTTTTCTCTATGTAAGTGTGTTCAGTTCTGCAATAAATCAAAAGTATAGCCTAGAACTCATTTCCTTACCTTGTATGGCCTAATGGGAACATAGGAACTAAAGAGCAAAGGATTACATTTTCTTCCCACCATAACAGATGGATGCTCATTTGCAGAACAACGATGTGTTCTGAATAAAAAGAAGAAAATTTCAGTAAATGCAAAAAAGATTGGTGTGTATTTTCAGTTTTCTCCATATCTAATTAGAAGTGCATTTAACTGCTGGACAAACAATTGGTATCTGGGTGTAATTATAGACTACTCATAAACACTTGATTTAGTCTTCTTGTTAAAATTTTGAAACAAAATAAGTATATAATGTAATTTTAACTCTGTGGAATAGTACAGTCATCCTTATCTATTTTCAAAAGAATGGGGCTGACCTATAATAATAGTATCAGGAAAATCAAGCCTCAGGATAAATTAAGGCTTGAGAAAATAAATTAAAGGGAATAAAAATCTCCTTTTAGTTTTAATCTGAGTATGAATTGATAATGTCCTACAAAAATAGAAAGCATGATATTCAACTTGTATTTTGCTCCCTTCCCTGTAGAGTAAGCTTAAAATAAAAAAGGTCATAAATGGACTATAACTAGAATGAAGACAGATAAGAAAACTAAAAAAGATGTTTTTTAAAATATTAAAAAAATCTTTTTTAATGATATTTACTTATATTTTTCAATTACCTCTCTCTACAATAAATTTGAGTATGATCTGTAATTAATTACTAATTATCATAGATAAAATGTGAAGATATAGGTATTCATTCATATGGGAATTTTTTTTAAAGATTGATTTTGGGAAAAATGTTGATGAACTTGATTTTGATTCTAGGGAAAAAATTAAGAGGGCATTATTGCTATTTAAAAATAAAATTTATTTCTGTGATTATAATAGAGTACATACTACTATTTACCTGCAATAGGAAATTTGATATATTCAGAAGCCATTAAATAAGAAAATAAAAATAATCCCCAATAACCCATCATTCAGAGGTAAACACTATATTGGAGTTTTCTTCTTGTAATGATATAGTGAGATAGATAAGAAGATATTTACAGCTGTATTTGGTGTGACCATAGAGGGAGAGCTAGTTCATGCCAGTATTTTCTAACCCACAGACAAGGGCTTATATGGTTAAACTCTCAGTAGCTCTGCTCTGGAGTTTTTCTCTTTGTCACAGTACACAGGCTGTAATAAGAACAATCCCTGGTCTCCATCCCCTCCCCATCTCCAGGAGCTCTTGGATTCTTGGCAGGACCCCTTCGGGTTCTCAGTGTCCTCCTATTGTATGGATATCGGTTGGCTGTGCCTCCTTTTGGACCATGGTGGTTTGGACTTGCCCAGGGTCTACTACAGTCACTTGCTCAGGTCAAGGTGGACCACACAGACCCAGAGCATGTGGCAGGCACCCTACCCTGTGCCCAGGGCTTGGAGCTCCTGTCTGGCTTTGCCTCTGCTCCTACCAGCAGGAATATTTCAGCAACAAGTGCTCATTTTCCACAAACATATTTATTCCTAATATTAATACTACAGATTTAGGGGTTGAGTTCTCTAAGATAGCATCAAATTGCACCAATCTTTCTTAATGCAACAAATATAAACTCTGCAGAAGTCTGCTGAAAAGTCCTTTTTTTTTTTTTTTCTTAAAATAGTATCTTCAAAAACTCATTTATGGCTGGGTGCAGTGGCTCACGCCTGTAATCCCAGCACTTTGGGAGGCCAAGGCAGGCGGATCACTTGAGGTCAGGAGTTTGAGACCAACCTGGCCAACATGGTGAAACCCTGTCTCTACTAAAAATACAAACATTAGCCAAGCATAGTGGTGCACACCTGCAATCCCAGCTATTCAGGAGGCTGAGGCACAAGAATCGCTTGAACCTGGGAGGCAGAAGTGGCAGAGAGCGGAGATCACGCCACTGCACTCCAGCCTGGGTAACAAAGCAAACTCAGTCTCAAAAAAAACCACCCAAAAAAACCCTCATTTATCTTTAATTTAATAAGCATACTTAATTATCCATTATTTCTTGCCTGCAATTTATATTTTATTATCAATTTTGTAAGTAATTCTTTATATAACTTGAAAATAAATTTTGGCCTAGAATGTAAATTCTGAGAAGGTGAGAGTTTTTGCCTCTTCTTTCTACCGCTGTATTTTTGGTGAATAGAACAGAATCTGCTTGAAGAATCCATCACTGGCTCGTGAGTGTTAACTGCCATACCCCTAATCAACACAGTAACACATCTCCACCAGCACCCCACATCTCACTCCAGGTCCTCCTGACTCTAATCCTTTTTTTTTCATAGCAGTTATAATTTTGTAACAGAAATATTTGGTTTGGAATGTCTATAAAACCTGCAAATAAGTCGAGTACATGTTAAATATATCCGGAATTTGGGAGGGAGTGCAGGAGCAGGACTGTAGATAGGAATTTGGCACAGAGAAACTGTATAAAGTTCTGAGGGTTGAAGAGACTGCCAAGGATGTGTGTGTAGACTGGTAAGTGAAGAACAAAGACCGAGTCTGGGGTGGGGCAACATGAAGAGTTCAGGGTGAAGAGGAAGGGGCTGTGGAAGAAAGTGAATAGCAGAAGAACCTGGGCGGTAGGAAAAACTGGGCAAGTGTGGGATCTTGGAGGACAAGTGAAGAAAATGTATTAAGGAGGAGGAAGAAATAAATTGTGTAGAATGCTGTTGATAGATCAACTTCAATGATGTCTTTGAATTGACAGTAGATTTAGCAACATAGAAGTCATTTATAAACTATACAAAAGAAGTTTTGGTGGAGTGACGAGTTAAAGGACATATCAGAGTGTGTTTAAGAGGATAAGAGAGAAAAACTGGTTTGGAAATTAAGAGAAGTGTTTTTAATTTTTATTTTATTTTATTTTTTTAAAAGGAGACATAAAAACATATGTGTGTACTGACAGAATGATTCGATAAAGATTTTTTTACTGATGAAGAGGAGACCTCATGGCCACTGGGAGGGATTAGCTTTAGACAGAAACGTGGGTGGTTCTGCAGTAACAGGCAAAAGGGCAGCGTATGTAGGTGGAGGTACCTGTAGGCCGTAGATGTGAAAATGAGGCTTGTGGAAATTCTTTTAAGATTCCTTAAATTTTCTCAACAGGAAACATTAGAGTGAGAAGGGGGATGAAGCTGTTGAAAATTTCAGGGGAGAGGAGAAAGTGTAAAATAGATGTATAAGACAGAGAGAAGGCATAGATAGAAGATGTATGAAAATTGAGGTTGACGGTCATGAGCTAGTGCACATCTGCTTAGTTTTGGTTGTCTCTCCTCCAGCCTCATTCAGCACACAGGCTCAAGTGAGGGGTGGTCCCAGAAACAGAGTGAGCCAGGGTTGTAGTTTTGTCAAGCGATTATGAAAAAGAGTGATTTTAACAATTGCCTATAGAACAGCGATTCCCAACGTCTTTGGCACCACGGACCAGTTCCGTGGAAGATAATTTTTGCATGAACCAGGGGTCAGGGATGGTTTCAAGATGAAACTGTTCCACCTTGGATCACCAGGCATTAAATTCTCATCAGGAGCATGCAACCTAGATCCCTGGCCTGTGCAATTCACAATAGGGATCATGCTCCTGTGAGAATCTAATGCCCCACTGATCTGACAGGAGGTGGAGCTCAGTCAGTAGTGCTCTCCGGCAGCTGCTCACCTCCTGCTGTGTGGCCCAGTTACTAACAGGCCACAGACCAGTCCCAGTCAGCAGCCCCAGGGTCAGGGACCCCTACTATAGAATTTAAATTGGGTAGAAAGTGGAGTGAGACCATTAAGGAGTAATTGCCTGACAAAAATGTTGGTAGAATCAGTAGAATAAAAGTTCCCATGAGGTTGAAAGATTGTTGAGTTCAAGGTACTGGAAGAAATATTTTAAAAATAGGAGGTGGGGTGCATAGTGGGATGCATTAAATTAAAGCTAAGGAGGGTTACAGTGATGGAAAGAGCTAGGGTAAGATCATGGGGGGATGGCTGAGGCAGCAAAGGGAGAAAACTCACTGGAGGAGAGAAGGACAAGGAACTGAGTCCTGAGCATTGAATATTGAAATCACGAAGAGTTAAATAGGCCTAGTGATCCAGGGAAATGAATGGGATGCCGTTGGAACCAGCAGGGAAAAGCCACAGTGAAGAGGTAGAGGTGATTTAATCTGATAACATTATATCCAAAACTGTGTTTTGTTTTGATTTGGTTTGTTATGTCTTGTTTTTGGAGCACAAAGGAAAAGCAGTCTGTAATGAAAGGAAAAAAAATCAAGAAAGGCACTTATTTTACCTACAGGTTTAGCAACATGAAGGTCATAGAAAAGAAAACAAAAACAGACAGCCAATGTTTGAAAGGTAAAGCAGGGAAGGGATAAGATTCTATTAGATCAAGAGGGTGAACGCAACATTGAGAAAACAGGATGATGATATGGGGGACTGTGCAAACTGTATTACACAGGGAACACTGGAAGAGTTTTAGGAATGGGAGAGAGGGAAGAAAGGGCCAAAGATAGGGACTTATGTATCCCATGGAGTTTAGACTGCAGCACATGAGGAGAGAAATGTGGGATCTTATTTGATTTTTTGACATCTCTTTGTATATTCTTAGCACGTCTTTTCTGATTTATATGTATATGCATATATATGTGTATTTATGTTGTGAGTTTCTTTCCAGTCTATTTGTCTTTTTTTTTTTTTGAGATAGAGTCTTGCTCTGTCACCCATGCTGGAGTGCAGTGGTGCGATCTCAGCTCACTGCAACCTCCGCCTCCTGGGTTAAAGTGATTTGCCTGCCTCAGCCTCCCAAGTAGCTGGGATTGCAGGCATGCACCACCATGCCTGGCTAATTTTTATATTTTTTTTTAGTAGAGATGAGGTTTCACCATGTTGGCCTGGCTGATCTCGAACTCCTGACCTCGAGTGATCCACCCGCTTTGGCTTCCCAAAGTGCTGGGATTACAGGATGAGCCTTTGTGCTCAGCCTCCAGTCTATTTGGTGGATTTTACTTTATAGATGGTGTATTTTTGTGTTACTAAGTTTATTTACTTTGTTTTTTTTAAAAAATTTAACACTTTGGCTTTTGGAATTATATTTAAGGAAAACTTCCCTTTTCAAATGGATGAGCCAATTTTCTTAACACATTAATAATCGTCCTCCCACCTCTTGCCTTTAATTCATCCAGAACTCTTACTCTGTTTGATTCTTCTACTTGCCTGTACTTGTACCACAGACATACTGTTTTTATTACAATAACTTTTTAACATGTTTTGCTTTATGCTAGTCTGAGCCTTATTTCTCAGCATTCACACATACTTCAGTTTGCTTTTTTCAAAACTGCTTTGGCAATCCTTAAATATTTACTCTTCTATTTGAATTCTGAGTCATGATATATATAAAACAATCGTGAAGCATAAAGTACTACTTACCACAAGATATATATATTTTAAATATAACTGTATTTCAAATGATATCAGATCTTTTACTTGATGACAAAAGATTGAAAATCGTTTTATCAAAATAAAGACTAAGAAGAGAAAAATATAAAAGTTGTAAAGTACATATGAGAGCCGATGGAAAACTATAACAAAGAAGAATTTTTGAAAAGTGTAAATCAAATGCAACAAAATTAATCGTGAAGCCTAAAGGAACCAAAGAACCTGCAATCCTATGTAGACAAAAATAGATCTTCGGGAAGATGGGTTTCCAAGAAAGTGTGCTTCTGCAGAAAAACCTGACATTCAGAAGGCAGCACTTGGAGGAGGGGGTGCTAGGCAGGTGACGGGGGTAACTGTGGGCAGCTCCCTGAATTTCCCACATTCTGACATTGAGGCTCCATTATTTGTCTAGGAGGCTACTTTAAATTTTGATTTAATTAAAACGGCCTCCAAAAAGTCCACAAACCAATTGTGGATCTCATTGAATTCCCACGTAGGAAACACACCCATGTAACCATCTTCAGATGGAAAATCAGGGCATTTCACTTCAGAGGCCACATTGCACCTCCTCCCAGCCAGGATTTATCCACACAGCTAGCCTTTGTTACAACCATCTGCTCTCCTAGATTAGTCTCTCCTGCTTTTGAAACACATATAAATGGAGTATATAATATAGTATGTACCTTTGTCATTAGTTTCTTTCCTCAATATGAAGTCAGTGAGATTCATTTAGATTAGAGTATACAGCAATATTTCATTCAATGTCAGTGTTGTGTAGGGGTTGACAAAACTCTGTAAAGTGTCAGGTGGCAAATATTTTAGACTCTTTAGGCCATGTGCAGTCTCTGTCGAATGTCTTATTAAGATGTATTTTTTAAACAAATCTTTAAAAATGTTAAAAAAACATTCTTAGCTTGGGGCCCATACCAAAATAAGCTGTGGGCCAGATTTGGCCTACAGGACATAGATGGTCTATTATAGTATTTCTGTTATAGAATTCTATTGAATGAATATTCCAATCCCCTTTTATTCATCCCATTGCCATTGAACATTTAGGATATTTCAAATTTCGGTCTTTTATAAATGGTGTCACTATGAACATTCTTGTGCAGGCCTTTTAAATAACTGCTACCTGCATTTTGTTGAGAACACAGCTAGAAGAGAAACCACTGGATAACAGGATTTGCACATGCTTGGTGTAGAGGCTGTGACCAAATTGCTGTTCAAAGAGGTTGCATCAATACACACTCCTACAAGGAGCGCACAAGCATGCTAGTCACTGCACATCCTTGTCAGCACTTGGTATTATCTGCATTTTTCATTTTAACCATTCTAATGGTTGTCTAGTGGCTATTAATGACTACTAATGAAGTTGAACCTTTTTTTAGGTTTATTATTCATATGGATATCCATTTTTGTGAAAATCTGTTCAAATCTTTTGCCACTTTTCTACTAGATTTGCTTTTCTTACTCTTTTGTAGATATTTTGTGCATATTATGGATATGAGTCCTTGGTTAGATATGTGTATTACAAAGATCTTGCCCACTCTGATTTGCTCTCTTAATGGTGCTTTTTTGATAAACGAGTGCTCTTAAATTTAGTCTAATATAATTTGTCAAGATTTTCATCTCTGTTAAGTGCTTTTTGTGCATTGTTTGAAAAATATATGCCTACTCTAATGATATGAAAATATTATCTTTGTTCCTTGTAAAACTTTATATTTTTAAATCTTTCACCTGAAGACCTAAATTTTCTTTGTTGTTTTTATTATGCATGTGATATGAAGGATCAAGATTCGTTTCTTTCCTATTAATATCTAGTACACCTAGTTACATTTTTTAAAAAGTCATTTCCCATTACACTGAAGGGTCACTTTGCTATAAATCTAGTGACCATGTATATACAAGTTCTGTTCTTGGGGTCCTTGTTCTGTTTCATTGGTCTTTTTGTTTATAAATGCACCAATAGTACAATGTATAATTTAGTATGGATTTGTCAACTCTAGTTACCTTAGGATGTTTCAGTATATGGCATTAGAAAATATCCACTTTTATTCTTCCACACATTGGTCTTAGGTGGTCTTGGCTCTTTTTTTTTTTTTTCATATAAGTTTAAGAATCTGCTTGCCAACTTCAACAAAAACTACCTGCTGGGATTGTAATTAAAATTAAGTTGAATTAATAGATAAGTTGGGGCAAAGCATATGTTTACAATATTCTTGGTGCATCCCAGCCCAGGCCACTCTTGCCACCCGCCTTTCAAACATGAATTTGGTATATCCTTTCATTTACTTAGTTTTTTTTTTTAAGTTTCTTTTAATACTGTCTTGTAATTTTAAAGTAATAGTCTTATACTTAAAGATAAATTTGCATTAGATATTTCTGGTGTTTTCCTATTACTAAAATTGATATCTAGAAGAAAACTTTTCCTTATGTTTGTCACTAATGTATATATAAATACATTGATTTATTGATTAATTTTTGTGTGTTGATCTTGTGTCCAGCCACCTAGTTACATTTAATTTTAATTGCCTATTTTCAGTGTCTTTTGAATTTTGTATATGTACTGTCATAATCTCTGCAAATAGTGATAACTTAATTCCTTCTTTGTAAGCAACATCTGCTATTTCTTTGTCTTATTGCATTGGCTACAATTTCCTGCATAATAGAATAGAAGCAGTCATAGTGAGCCTCCTTAAATTGTTCCTAATTCCAGGGGGAAGCTTTCACTATTTCACCATTCAGTATATTTGTGCAGACATTTTAAAAATATTTTTATCAAACTAAGGGACAACTTTTAGTTCCAGTTTGCAAAGAGTTTTTGTTTTAGTGATAAATGGATGTTAAAAATATTACTACATATATTGAAATAATTGTGTATTTTTTCTTTTTTTTAAAAAAATTTACTTTTCATGTGGAAATAAACTGAATTCCAACTATTGGCTGACCTTGTATTCCTGGAATAAACTCAACTTGGTCATGATGTATTATCTTATATTTATATTGCTAAATTTGATTTCCAATGTTATATACATATATTTTTGCTTCTGTGTTCATAACAAAAATTGATCTATAATTTTTCTGTTATGTCCTTGATAATCTCTTGTGTCAAGTTTGTTCCAACCTCACAGAATGCTGAACTGCCCTCATTTTCATTGTCATAAAAGTTTGTGTATTTTTTTGAAATTTTAATGCTTGAAAGAATGGACCAATGAGGTCATCTGGGCCTATATATTTCTTCATGAGATGAATAGGTCTTTAATTACAAATTTAATTACTTTAAAATAAAGATGCCTATTTATATTTTCATTCCTTCCAATTTCAGGTTTTGTAAATTGTGTTTGCTCTAATAATGTTCATAATAGTCTCTTATTAATTGTATAATGTCAATGGATCTCTAATGATGTTTTGTTTTTTACTCTTGCTGTTGATAATTTATGCTTTTAAATAATTCAGTTTTGTTATATAAGCCTATACATTTTATTAGTCTTATGAAAAAACCAGGTTTGGTTTTCTGGATTTTTTTATATTATGTGTTTTCTTTTTTTAAAACAAAAAACTTACACATAATTTCCTTCCTTGTATTTTCTTTGGATTGAATTTACTGCTGTTTTCTAAGTTTTTGAGATACAGAGTTTGATAATTGATTTCTAACTTTCTTTAATTTCTCATATTGTATTTAAAAATAAACTTTTCCTAAACAAATGTTTAGCTGCATTCTACTAGTTTTACATATTCTCTCTCTCTCTCTTTCTCTCTGTCTTTCTCTCTCTCTCTCTTCTCTCTCTCTCTCTGTGTGTGTGTATATTAAGGCATATATGCTTTTTGGGTTAATATCAGTTTAGAATTATAATATCTCCCTTGTGCATGGACTCATCATTAAAATATCTATTTACTAGCAGTAGCAAAGCATCGTGTGCTTTCTTTTGGTTAGTTCTTGCATGGTATAGTTTTGTCTTTACTTGAAACTTACTTAAATTTTATAATCTTTACTTAAACTTTTATAATTTTTAATCTTATAAAGTATGTTTCTTGGAAGCAGTGCATTGTTATGAAAATAATCTAGCATGACATTATTAGTCTTCTAATTAAACTATTTAGGGCATTTCATTTAATATAATTACTGATATATTTGTCTTTTTATCAGCTTATATTTATTTTATATTTGAACCATTTGTCTTTTTTTCATTTTTCTTTTCTTCTATTAGATTCATCAGGAGATATTTTGTGCAACATTACTCCTCCATTAGATTGTTAGCTGTATATTTTTAAAGAAATTAAAAATCTTTTCTTCTATTTTCTGAATGTATTATACATATCTTTTAAAAAATCTTTGTTCAAAACTCCAATAACAAACTAGACCACTTCTGAAATTGTTTCTCTGAAATTGTTTTTTATACTTCTTTTTTGATCCTTTGATCCTATTTATTGGAGTGATTTGTATTCTAAATGCTGTGCATTATATTAGAAAAATTGTAGAGATTTATAAAGTGTTTTCTTTCTACAGATACAATGGAGTTAACTACCCTAATCCAATTCAAGCCTGAGTTAATGCAAGGTTTTATAGCACTCTATCACTCTCTAATTTTCTCCCATTTCTGGAGTTTATCTCCCTCAGGTGATCCTGAATTATGCTAATCCTATTTTCCTTAGTTCTCAAGAATGTCAGGTTGTTTCTTTAACTTCTTGGTCTTCTGTAACAAGCAGCTTCAGACATGAGAATGAGATTGTGGAGTGGGTGAAGTGTTGAGTTCTCTGACCTTCCTCTTTCTTTCTAGAATCCTGCCTTCTCCAATGTTTTTTCCTAACCCCTCCCTCTAGCTCTGCAACACTGTAACCATTTTTCAGGTTTCTCTGGTTCTTGTCCTTATTTTTCGATCTCAGTTTTTTTTAACTGGGCCTGGAATTGGCAAATGCCCTGAAGGAATGCTGGCTTACCTCTCTGGAAGGTCCGTGTTCTGGAATTTTGTACTTTTAGGTGCTGGCAGGTTCAATATCTCTCCAATGCCCTCAGACAAGTTTTTCTCTGTGCATTTCATCTGGGTTTGAAAGTTGTTTTTAACAGCAGTATTAAATTGCCACAACCAAAAAAAAATCAATATGGGTATTCTGATCCTGGAGGCTCCCAGGTGGACTCTTCATCTGTTAGAAGCAGTGTAATTTCCCTAACTCACTTCCAAGAAACTAATTATTGGGATGCCCACCTGTAAATATAAACCTATAATGTGCTCCTGGTCATCATGGTTTTAAACAAGTCCAACCTTTAGAACTGCTGTGAGATTAATAGAAGTCTACAGTCTCTATCCTTCAGATACTAGATAGGGTGGAGGCAATTAGACAGGATGACTCCCTGAAATCTTTGAGTGTCGTTATTTGAATACTAAAATAAGCTGGAAACCAGTTTAAGACTATTATTTATGCAATTGAGCTCCTTCAACCTGCTTGATGAACAGTACTAATGGGGTCCTGTGTATGGTGTTTTAATGCATTTTTAAAAAGACATCTGGAAATTTCTATTTCTATTCCACTTCACTAACAACATACGACCACTCAAATTAAAAGGAACAGGAAGAGAAGGATCTCATAATTTCTATGATCCACTGAGCTGCTAGCTTGGCAGTGCTTTCAACACTGGAACCTGTCACAGAAACACTGGAATGGGCTCAGCAAGAGAAACTGTGACAAAGTTAAGAAATGAAGACACTGATGAAAATATCAATGCTGGCCAGACATATTATTTGTGTTGGAAAGTGTGGCAGCATCTATGATGATTTGTGTGACTGATGAAAATAGCTGAAAGGTATGATGTTATAAGCATTTTCTCATTTTACACACGTGCACACAGTGGACATAGATGAAAGAATTATCATAAATGTATGGTAACTCACTTGTGTGAAAGGAAGCTACCAAACTCAACTATCAGATGAAATAAACAAAAAACCAAAATGAGTGTGGTTGAGAGTGTTCAATGTTATCTAAGTTCTTTGCTCCTGGAAAGCAGCAGCAAAAGTTAAGAAATTTTCCCACCCTCTTGTGTTCTGAGAGATGGCTAACCTAAAAAGACCACTCTATATTTTGACATAAGCCCTGCCTTCATCATTTCTCAAGACTCACTCATTTATCTGTCTCCACAAAATCCTAGATCTTCTTTCTTTTATTCTGAGAGATTCCTTATTAATGAACCTTTTCTCTATTATAGTAGTCTTAATCAAGTCATCTCCTTAATTATCGGGTACATTTTTGACAACAGAAAAGCAGAGGCTTTAATGAAAATATGAATGTTTTTCTGTATAATGAATGAGCAGAGTAATATGCAAAAAGCAACCTAAATTATTTAAGAAATCGTAAGTAAAATTTCCAAAAGAATATAATTCAAAGGCAGTACTTACATGTTGGTGATCTGGATGATTAAGCTGAAAGGTATTCAAAAACAGTGTAAAAGGAAAAAGAGAGGAAACTTCATGAGAAAAGTGAGATAAGTGGCATGGAACATCTATCGAGAAGCTTCAATATCTACATAATAGGAGTTCTGTAGGAAGAACCATAGGGGTAGAGAACAAACAAAATTCAAAGAATTGATTGTTAAAACATTTCAAGAACCAAGGAAAGACAGGCTTTTAGATCCAAAGGCTTATCAAATGCCCAGGTGAAATGTTTTGGGAGAAAAAATATTCACACTTGGAGCCATCCTAGTGAAATGTCTATGTTTCAAGAAAGAATGCTGAAATCTTTCCAAGTAGAAAATCTTGGAAAGGTTACTTAAAAAGTAGCAATGCACAGAATAGAACCAGCTATTTTAAAGCATAATGTCTTCAAATAATAGTGATAGCTAACATATTTAGCCCAGTCTTTTTTCTAACTTCTTTGTACATGTTTCTCTGAATTTTCTTAACAACTCAATGAGTTGTTAGCCTCTTTTTTTTTTCAGGGAAGGAAGTTTAGATACAAAGATGTTAAATAACTTGCCCACAGACACATAGCTGGTAAGTGGTGGAAAGGGATTCAAGTTCAGAAAGCCTGATTCCAAGGTCTATGCTTTGGACTGGCTTGAGGAAAATGCATTTATGTAGGTGAAACTATGATACAAATGTGAAGGCAAAATAAATATGTTTTTGGATATGCCAAGACCCAGACATTTTGCTGGATGAACTCACATAGGAAGAGCATGCAGACACAGAGAAAAGATCCAGGACTGAGCCCTGTGCGTGTGAATGTTTAGAGGTTGGGCCAATGACTAGCCAAGGAGATTAAGAACAGTGGCCAGAATGGAGAGAGTGCTGCTGCAGACACTAAGTGAAGAAAGTGTTCCAGGAAAAAGGAATGATGCCAATATCAAACACACCTATCAAGCAGAATGTGAGGGGAATTAAAACGCAACCATAGGATTTGGCAATGTTGAGATCCTTGGAGAAGCTGCTAGTAAACCTGACTAGAGTGGATTCATGAAGGGAGGAGAGGCCTTGGGTGAGCAGGCGTGACCTCTCCCTGACAGCAGGTCCATCTGGACTCGTACATGGCAAAGAGAGCCACGTCCAACTTGATAAAAAGTCTAAACTTAAATTACAAGTTTTAAACTATTAGACAAAAGTATGTAGGGATGTATGTATATCTTACAGTGGGACTTTCTTAAGCAAAGAACAAAGTTAAAAAGCTGAACTACATAAAAAGTGAAAACAATTTTAAACAAAGGTAAATAGGCAACGACATACAGGTGAAAGTATTTGCCATCAATAAAGCAGGAAAAAGATTTCAACTTTCAACAAAACGTGAACAAATGAATATAAAAACTTCAAATAAGTTGAAAAATAATTTAAAGCTGAAAACCTAATATAAAGAAGGTGAAATAAGAATATGTAATACAAATACAAAACAAAGAATTCAAAAAACTAAGAAGAAAATATTGGTACATTGGAAAGTATGCAATTGATACTATTTTGTTCATTAGTTCTGAAAAAATAAAGAAAACTTTAAATATGCTAAATTGAGATGAGGTAGGAAAAAAGATTACTCTCATACACTATTGGTGGGAATGCAGGTTGATACAAATTTTTTGGAGCCAGTTTGGAAGTCTTTTTCAAAATTTAATTGATAATTTAAATCTTAGAATTTAGTCCAGCATACATCATTGCTTCTGTGTAAAATGAAGCATGCACAGAAATATTTGTTGCAATATTATTTATAATACTAAAAAAAAAAACTAGAAACAAATTTAATACCAATCTATGGCTGCACAGTTAAATTCACTATGATGTTAGAATATTATGTAACTTTAAAGAAAAATGAAATAAATTACATTGGACACATGAAATGACCAAGCAAGTGTTAAGTATGAAAAAGCAAGTTACAGCATTACTTATTGCTGAAATTTGATTAAAAAAGAGGAGATGTAACTAGCTGCTATGATCTGATTTGTGTCCACCTAAAATTTAAATGCTGAAACCTAATTCTTAATGCAACAATATAACGAGGTGGGGCCTTTGGGAGATGAGTAGATCATAAGGACACTGTCCTCAACAGTAGGACTAGTGCCCTTATAAATGAGGCCCAAGGGCTCCTTCCACCACGTGAAGGCACAGCTAGCAGGGACCATACCTGAAGCAGAGAGCCCTCACTTGACACAAATCTGCTGGGCCATGATCTTAGACTTTCCAACCTCCAGAACTGTGGGCAATAAATTCCATTGTTTATAAGTTACTCAATCTAAGGCACTTTGTTATATAGCAGCCTGAATGGGACTATGACACTAGCCTACTAATGAGGTATAAAAGAAGAATGTCTGTAAATCTACATGAAAAATGTAACCCGTAATGACCTCTGAGGGGTGGGTTGAGGGTATGAGGAAAGAAGAAACAGTGGATCATCATCTCATTTTACTCAAAAGTTCATCGAATCTCTTGATGTTTTTAAATAAGCAATGTTTTATTTTAAATGTTTAAAGGAAGAGTTTTTGTAATTTTAAAAAGACAAAAAACAAAGAATAATTATATTCTTTACATTACAGAATGTACCAAAACCAGTTCTACATGGACACAAGAGATAGATCTAATGGTGAAACCTAAAAGATCTAAAGCATTTTTCACAATCAGAAAGATCACTATAAAGATAAAGCACCTGAAAAATCACTGACTAGAGTACTTGCCTTTTCATTTAATGTGTATGTTTGCATAAACTATGCATGCATATTTTAATATATGCATATAAAATTAGACACACATGGGAAATATGATGACAGGGACAACTTTCTGAATGACAGCTTTTTTACTTTATGTGTATTTGTGTAAAGTTTCTTTTTTTCCAAAGAACAGTAATTGTGTTTAACCATAAAGTAAAAAGTTAAATTAATTTTATATGATTGCTACATAACGTCTAACCATCTGGTGTCGGACAACAGCCTACACATAAGGAACTATGTCTTGTTCAGCCTGACCAAGGGCAGAAGAAAGGATGCAACAGCACAGAAAGAATAGATTTTCCTTGTACCCGTGTTTGCTTTGGCATTATTAGATCCAATAATGAGAACCTGGACTAGGAGACTGGATATTGATTATTTGCATTCTTTGTATTTAGCTGCTGGAGAAGGTGAACTGGGGAGAGAATGGTGTTTGGTCATCAAATTCACGTAGCCCAGCAAGTGGATTTTTATATTCTGAACACTTTCCCTTGAATTGCTCGACTTTTCTGCCTTGGAATTACATCTGTCCCCTGAAGGGGTAGGGCATTGCCCTTTGCCTCTGACCACCCAGTTTCTGGGGAGAGGCGAGGTTACTGCTAAGCCATGTGAATCACAGGCATTTTGTTTGGTGAGTCTGTATTTGGGAATGTCCAGGCAAGTGGTGGGAAAACTGGTTCCAAGTTCATTGTATCCTTGGTTTTTTCTGACCATGATTCTTTCGTTCAATAGGAAACAAGTGAACCTTGACCTTCCATGGGGCAGACACATGGCAGATGCTGCAGACTCAGTGTTGAGCACCTCAGCGGGGAGTGCACGGAAGTTCAGCAATAACTTAATTATAATTCTATCTGATAAAAGCTGCAATGCAGAAGTGTGTTATGGACTGTATTCTGTTCCCCCAAAATTCATGTGTTGAAGGCTTAATTTAACCTCTAACACCTCAGAATGTGACTGTATTTGGAGACTGGGTCTTTAAAGAGGTAAAATTAAAATGGTGCTATTTGGAGGGGCCTTAATCCAATCTGATTGATGTCTTCATAAAAAGAGTTCATATGGACATCCTGAGAGACACCAGGTATGCTCACATACAGAGAAAAGGCTATTTGGAAGCCAAGGAAAGAAGCCTTGGGAGAAATCAAACCTGCTGACATCTTTGATCTTGGACTTCCAGCCTCTAGAGATGGGGTACTTTCTGTATTTGAGTAACCCATCTGTAGCACTTTTGTATGGCACCCCTAGCAAGCCAACGCAAAGCTCAAGGTGCTCTTAGAAGGAGCAAGGATTGCTTTCCACAGGGAGACTGATCTGAAGAATGATTGGTGGTTAACTGTAGGGGTCCTGTGAATGCAGTACAGTGAAAAGATCCTAAGTGAAGGGAGAAGCCATTTAAAGATTTAAACACGACATTCCTATGATCTCTTTGAAACTTTTATAAGTAAATATAGCTACAACATGGTAACCAGTGAAGATCGGGGTCAACAAAAGAGACTGAAAAGCAGTGCACTGGCATCAGGAAACGAAACAAGAAGAGTATGCCTCACTGAGAGCCAGAAAGTCGAGTGGTCAGCAAGGCACCTTGAGATCAAGAGGTTAACTAGATGTTGGAGAGCTTGGTAGCTCTGACTAGAGCTTCTGATGCAAGTGCAAAGTTTAAACCAAATTCAAGTGGCCCAAGGAGGGAATGGGAGTAAGGAACTGGATGTTCTGTTATTAGCCCTTTTGAGAAGCTTGACTGTGAAAGCCATAGGGAGTTTGAACAGCCACTGGTTATTTGGAGGGTGACACAGGGAACTTTGGAGTCCTCTAATACTGTGCAATGGTTTTCAGTGTGCAGAAGCAGCAGCAACATCACCTGGAAACTTGTTGAAATGAAAATTCTTAGGCCCTGCCTCAGACCTACTGATCAGAACCTCTGGGGGCGGAGCCTAAAGAACCCCTGCCCTAGAACAGTCTTTCAGGTTTACAGAAATAGGCTGACTATAGTCAGAAGAGTCCTCATCCCTGATGGAGTTTCCTTCCCAAGTTTTAATGCCTTTAGTTCACTTATTCCTGTTTCATAAATGGAGATATGCAAAGTGCACCCACACTGCCATCCATACAAGAAATAGTAGTGGGTGAGTCTAAGAGAGGTGAGGCTTCTTGCCATAATAGTTTTGGGAGGTTACTGTCTTCAATTATACATTCGAAGAAGTTTGATTTTTTTTTTTTGGTGTGTTTGTTCTTCTCTATCTACTTTCAAATCTCACTTGCATTGACTTAATATAACATTTGTTATGTGCACTCAGTTTATTTGAGGAATTTTTTTTTTGCTTGTATAACCTCTCTCTCCCTCTTACATACAGTAATTTCCCCCTTAAATAATTGCTTAACACTGCTTTCAATTTTAAGCTCTGAAAAACTTACCTCCTTTATATTAATATCTATATATCCATCATCTTTTCATACCCTTTATTAATTCATACTTTTGGAAATTCTGGCATTAACCATTTATGTCTTCTATGGCTTTACTTTTTATTTACTTGTGTTTATCATATCTCTGAATTCAGCAATGTCTTCTTTACCCACATCACACTTCATCACCATTAGCACATGTGATTGATGGTGAAGGATACAGAGAGGACTCGTGCCTGTGTGTCAGTGCAGAGCTTAGCATGTAATCAGAGACAATGCCTGTTAGCCGTTCTTATCATCATGAGGGGACTGCAGCCAATGCTAACAATGGTACCTCACCAGTCTGTGCTCTGCACTGGAGCTTCACTGTTAATTGACTCATTCAGTCTTTCAAACCCTAGTCAGCTTTTTGATTGCATGAACTTGATTTTGTTTAGCTTTATAGGTCTCATGTGCAAAAAGGAAACACCCCTCTTTTGTTCTTTCCTTTCTCAGCAAGAACGATAAAATAACCATAATCTTTTCCCTGTGTATTCAAAATACTCTGACTGAAAACACACTTAAATTCTAGAAAGCTTTATAGTGATTTAAATTACAATGGCACCGTTTTTTTTCTGCTTGTCATTATCTTCCTAGGCTCTGTCACTACCATGGCAACACATACTGTATTTTACTTTGTGTTTAAAAATTGTTTATGCTGAGCCATAAACTAGTTTTGTATGAATATTCAACAATGCATTCCAAGTGGCAAAATGTTCTGAGCCTTGTCTTAAATCCTTCCCACGCTCAACTTTTAAAATAATGCTTTGAAGTGCAGTGCTGATCATGTCGCTCCCCTTCTCAAACCCCATCAGTGACTCCCCACTGTTGATCAAGGAAAGCCTATACCCCTTGGTCTGACTTCTGCCTCCTTTTTTTTTTTTCTCATCACATGAGTAATGCACCAACAGCATAACAAGGTTTGAGGAAGGCACTTCTCACACATGAGCATGAAAACCCAATCATCACGCTTATAAACTACAAAAGGATCAGACTTCTGCCTCCTTGATAATCTTGTCTCAACCTGCCTTTAATGTCTTTCCAACTTGCATCTGACCTCCTAATATGCATCTGAGAATGCCTCGTCTATAAACTACAGATGGCTTATTAAAAACGGCATCAAAAATGAAGACTTGATTGCATCACAGAAAAGAAGTATGAAAATAAGAGGGCAATGACTGTTTACTTTTCCTGCAATTCTCTAGGTGTTCCCTTAATAGTCCAGGGATGGTTGTTTCCCTTCTAATGGTCACCTACCAAAGGGGCAGAATAGAGAAAACCCATCTTATTCCTATTACCACAAATGAGATAAACCATCTCTGAGCCTTCCAGCAAACTTTCCTTAGTATCTATTAGGCAGAGTGTGTTTCACACAGACCACACACCTAGACTGAGGAAGGAGACATTCAGAATTGGCCGAGGCTAATGAGTACGCAGCTTCTGGCTCTGGGAGGATTCCAGCTTTCCACAAAGGACATGAGTACTCAGAGGAAGATGAAGAAAACAAGAGTCCAGTTGTTGAAGATGGGAGGAGATGGCTACTGTGTAGACAACCAATTGTGTTGTTGGTTGTTAGCTGTTCAACTAATGAACAACTTTATTGACATGAAAGACACAGTTGGTTGTCTACACCCTAGTTTTCAGACTAGGGCCAGGTGCAGTGACTCACACTTGTAGTCCCAGCACTTTGGAGGCTGAGGTGGGCGGATCGCTTGAGCCCAGGAGTTTGAGACCTTCCTGGGCAACATGGAAAATCCCCAACTCAACAAAAAATACAAAAGTTAGCCAGGTGTGGTGGTGCACACCTCTGGTCCCAGCTACTCGAGAGGCTGAGGTGGGAGGACCACTTGAGCTGGGAGGTCGAGGCTGCAGTGAGGCATTAGGGCACCACTGCATGGTGGCAGAAAAAGACCCTGTCTCAAAAATAAATAAATAAATAAAAATAAAAATAAACCAAAACTGAGACTAAGAATCATGTATTTCTTTGTCACTACAGTTGCAATACTGGGAGAAGGAATTGTACTTACCCTGGAAAAGCCTGTATAATATATACTCTATCTATTTCTTTTTGAAATCAGATCCCTACACTAGGCCTGAGATACTTGAAGCCACTTATCTCAACTAGGGTCCTTCTGACCTCCTTTAGCTAATGTCAGTCTCTTTCATGGAATCCACCTCCTGCAGGTTTCTGAGGCAGAGCTTATTTGTGACTGATGGGTCCTAGGAATGCTTCTCCTCTGGATGCTTTCCAGTGAGCAGACAGCACTCAGGCCCTCCTACGAGGAGATCAAGCTGGGCCATTCCTTCCACAGGCTTTGGAATCAACTGGCAGCCCAAGACTCCATGACAGTTATTATGCAGCAGCTCCTGAATGTATCCACCTGTATGTTCTCCTATGTTGTTGTTTATACAATTTATTTTCCCTGGATTGCAATTGTTTCCATTCTCCCCTTCTTAAGTCCAAGTGTATATCTGTTTTGTGGTCAAGTAATATTTTCTTTATCAAATGTTCACATGATAAAAACATAAAAAAGAGGTGATTTTTAGGGGATCAATGAAGTTGGATTTTTTTTTGGTCACAAATTAAATAAAAGTATAGGTATAACAAATTTGCACAGAATTATTTTTTATTTTCTTTGAAGTAAATCAATTACAAGTATATTCCTATAGACAGATATTTGTCTTTAAAACTTCGTTTATATATGTAGAGGTATTAACTTAATAAATGCTTTAATGAAGAAAAATATACAAGTTTATACATATTTGACAGAATAACTTGAATTATTTTTAATAGGTACATCTCTAGAAGTGTTTTGTTCTTTCGAGATGTTAGAATTTGGTCATATAACCAACAACATAGAGAATCACTCACATAGAAGAAATGTGATACTAGCCAAATAAATCCCTTGAATTATTTACAAGAAGCATTAATTATTTATCCACTAGTTCAATTGATTTGAACTATAACCAGGAATAAAACATAAGGGCTTTTTGCAGTAGGTTTAGGACTTGAAGAATTTAATCTCTTGAGTATAATAAATGAACTTGTTCTCCATATTACTCCATCTCCAGTCAGCATAGCTTGAGACAAATTTCTATATTAACTCTGTCAATGTTCATATTGTTTAAAATGGCATGTAAAACACACATGATTAAAGTTAAAATTATTATTTTATTATATCATTGAATAATTGAAAACAAAACTATCTATTCACTAATCTGAATAAGACTGAATACAATACCTAGTTATTCTCTTTTACTGGATACCCTTTGTTTTTCAACATAATTGTGTTATTTGTTTACTTGTTTGATTTTTACTCTTTAGAGCCTGTCTAATAAATAGTGTATTTCTTGCAAACACATTTACTTTGAGAAAGTGGGTACCATACACAACATTTTTAAATGCTATCTTTAAATATTGATAATGCTTCCAGGTAAGAGACAAAATGTATGTATTTCATGTTTCCAAATAAAGTCTGTTTCTACTTGTAAAAAGTTATTTTTTTTTGAAAATTTTCTTTTATTGGGTACTCAATGACTAATATATAACATAAAATATTGTAACTTTTTGTGAATTTTATTTTATTAATAAATGAAGACATTGTATATATACTTTCATCTTCCTCTTAAATTGTATCTTCCTAACTAACATGGAACCCATAAAACCAAATGATCCAGTAGTCATTTCTAATGAATTATATGATATTCACATATTTGAATTGGTCCTGGGAATTTATAGTCTGCGATGACTTTTAATCCAGGAAGACTTGATTCACAAGCTCCCTGCCATTCTAGGAAGGTTCCTGTTTTAGTCTGCACTACAGAAGTGCCCCTGCAATCTCCCACTAATCGATCAACCTGAGCTTGCCTTCCCTATACTCATATAATACAACCCAGGGAGTCTTCTGGGGCCAGAAAACCAATTTGCTTCTCTGTGAATCTGTACAATGTTTGAAACTTGTCTGAGTTGACAGTAAAACTTCTCGACTGACAAGGTATGCTGACAGATCCCCCCGAACACACACACTGCACACACACAATCTGATAAATGGGGGGAAAATACATAAAGCTGTGGTAAATACACTAATGGCCTAACTTGGTAGGAGAAGAGATCAGCAATTTATAATTTTAGCAAGAATTTTTTACTTGCTATCTCTATATAAGTGGAGGAAGCTTTCTCCATCTTAATTATTTTTCAAAATGTAGCCGCTGACAAGGTCAACCTTTGGCAGATGTCCTCTATAAAGAAAAATGGTTGCGGTATGTTCTCCCAGAACAGTGCTTTCTGTTGGGGAAGCTTGATAACAAAAGTGCTAGAGTGGAATTTCAGGGCATTTTCCTGTGTGCAACTCAGGAATACTGGTCCAGCAGCTTCCTCTGGTTACTGCAGCCATCAGTCTTCTTCCCTCCTCTTTGTCAAGGAGGTAGTCTTCACCATGGTCCATGTGTCTACCTTCCAGGGATATCAAGCATCTTCTTTTGTCTTAAACCATTTTTGTTACTTCCATTTACAAAGATCACGGAGGCTTACAGTCTCAGCTGAGATTCTTCAAATTTGTGTATTCTTCTGGCATTTGGGGTGATATATATTTAGATCTAGGTCATATTTAAGACCCATCTGAAAACTTTCTCACTATTAGTGGACAAATGCTGCATCTCATAAGATTCCCAGGCGCCTACAAGATCATGGCAAAACTGTGGCTGGAAATTCCAGTTATAATTCCTCCCAGTTGCCAGTAAAGGCTGAAGACTTGTTCTGATTCTTCTGACTATCCTCCCATTGCCTCTGATGGGTTGTGGGTTGTTACAATGTTGTCTCAACACTGAGGTTTGAGTGACTGAATACTGTAATGGGTATATGAAATATGGAACTTAAAGGTTTCCTTCTTTGAGCTAAGCTGGAGGTGTCTGGTAGGCTGCATGTCATGAGTAGGAGGTTCCACTATGTGTTCTTGCAGCACCATATACTTCTCTTTTGTAGCATTACTATTTATAGCACTATTAAATTACTGTCTCCATAATAAATCTGTGAGCCTTATGAAGGCAGAGAATGTACAGTTTGCTCACCACAGCTTCTTTAGTACCTAGACACACTCCACTGAATTAATGTGTGTATGTATGAATGAATGGTTTAGTAGTTCAATGTCTTATATTTTAGAGACTATGGTATTCACATATGTACATTTTCAAACCAGTATCTTAAGTCCTGAAATAGTCCCCACTTATGCAGTCATATTTTAATTATTTGATTACAACTCTAAATACATTTGAGTTATAATAACTCAAATGCAGATATCTCAGAATGCTAATAATTATATTAAATTTTCTTAAATATCAGACCTTGTGAACTACTTAATAAATCGGGAACATATAAATTCCAGGGTTATTGGATTGCTTTCAGACTACTTCATTTAGGCTAACTTATTCAGCAAACTATTTTATTTTGCACCTCCTTTACACTAATAGAGATTAACATATCTTTATATTTTAACTTCTGTTTGGCCCCTTGTGTCAAACATGACACACTGCAAAATACTGGTATGATCCACCAGATTTGTCAAAGGATAGTTGATAGTGCTTTCAACTGAACACACCCTTTGTAACTTTTAATAAAGTGTAATAACATTTTACATGCAGTAAGGCACCATAGCCATTGAAAACACAATATTCTTCCTAGGATCACTGATATAATAACACATCCCTTTTCAGTTACTAAGATTTTTGTAATCATCTCTTACATTCTCGGTTAGATAAAAACTTAAATGCTGTTTGCCGAATAAAAAATTATATATTGTTGATATTTCTCCAATACAAGGAATAATTTAAAATTACCAATCTTTTTTCAAAAATAGCAATGCAAGTGGGGAAGTAAATGTGGCCCTGAATACAGAATAGGTGAAATCATGTCATTACTTTTTTTCATAATCAAATGGCCCTGAAAAAAATAAACTAAACACTCTTCACTGGTTAATATGATTAAATGAAGATAAAACAGAGACACGAACATCAACAAAGTTCTCTCATTTCCTCTGAACCGGCAACAAATAAATAAAACACAGAGGTACAAATGCTCATGGATACTTTGTACAAGAAGTTAGAAGAATAGTAGTGGCTGTTTTAAGTGTAAAAGAGGGAGGAGAGAAACACAGGGAAAGGGAAAGGGAAAGTAAGAGGGAAGAAGGAGGAGGGAGCTGAGGCGTCTCCCGAGTTATGAGCAGCCCTCTCTACATATGAGCATCCAGACACACCCACGCCCACCGGAAACACCAGCCAGCCAGTCACACGGCTAGGGAAAAAGCGGAAATGAACGGCTTTTATGGAGCTATTACTTCCAGGATGTATAATGCATTGTGAATAAGTAATTACTCGAATAAAATCCTAGTTCATTCCAAAATGTTAATCATCTATTTTTCTAGATATATGAAAAACAAGCCTAGTCAATTCTCCTTTTTATTAATTAATGCATGTTTAGACATCTGGTTTAAAATGTTAAGTAAAGGGGCTTGAATCTTTTTCCTTAAAACTGTACTGACTCTGATATGCGAATGTCCCAGGTGGCAAATAATTAGGCACTCTCAAAACTATCGCTCCCATATTTCATTGGTAGGGGCAGGAAGAGACAGATACTCTGTCCATGCAAGTGAATCCCTCTTTCTATGTGTGTTTCTCACATGGCCATGCCACCTTCTCTTTCCGTTTCTCCTAACCAGGCTCAGCCTGCACAAGAGCATCCCTGATCATGCAGAACTGAGTACAGATCTCGAAGGGTGGAAGGACGGGGGTTAACCTCACAACTACCACAGCGCCTCTCCTCTCACATCTCATTTAGGAGTCTTTCTTCTCCATAGTTGCTCCTTTCAGCTTCTTAGCCGCCAGTTCTGTCACCTTTCTCCCTCTGGATTCAGGGAAAAGCCGTCAAAGCCTTCTAGACCCATCTCTTTCATTTCCTATTCTTCCCTCGCCAACTCCATGCAGATTTTCTTCTTTCCAAAGAAAGGCAATTTAAACTATGTTTCCGTCTCCAGCTCTAAATTTTGCATTCTTCCAGCCCTATTTAGCGATATCTTTAAAAAGAGGAAGTAACTAGGAAATATGGAGCTTACTTATGAAGCCAAAGGACTTGGCCTTTGCTAGGGGATACCATTCTGAGCAGGCAGTGGAGCCATTTAAATGCAAACACATGAGGCTGAGTCACATGCAGTGACCAGTATTGGACTGATTTTGACCTACAGTAATGGAAACTTCATATGGTCAACCGAATACATATATTTTTCTAAGTACAAGTTTAAATTCAAAATGAAATGCTTATTGCCTGCACTAAGCCATGGTGGGGCTGATAGAATTCTGTCAGCTTTAACATACACAGAGCTGTCTGTAGGAACCTGAGCGAATTGCATCATCATCACAATGTTTACCTCCTTAGTTTTCCTCCTTGGTGAGATCTGTTAACAGAAAAGCTATACTCTAAAATATTTTAGAAAAGTTTATTTTAAACCTCTTTTAAATACACTATTTAAAATATGGTGGTCAGATTACAGTTTGGTTTTATACATTTCAGGGAAGCAGGAGTGACGTAAGTCAGTATGTAGAATGTATACATTGGCTCGGCCTAAAAAGGTAGGATACCTTAAAGTGGAAGCTTACAGGTTATAATTGGATTCAAAAATTCTTTAATTTTCAGCTGGTTAAAGGAGTAAGACTCTCTCTAAAACTTGCTGTCAGCAGAAAGGAATATCTAAGATTAGGATCTTAAGTCAGAGTCAGCCACAAGATGCTGGGTCAAAATGCCTTGTTTAGCCAGACTGATGGCCTGCAGGCAGGACTTACCCTGGTCTGGCATCACCTTACATCTTGGTTATAATCTGGTATCTTATTGTCACATGAAATCCATTCAATTGGTCTTATAATATCTATTTTAACATTAATTCTGGGCAGTTTTGTCTAAACTCCATAAGGGGGTGTTATAATGAGCTGTATCCAACCTCCCTTCCCATCATGGCTGGGAACTCATTTTAAGGTTTCTATGGGATCCCTTTGGTCAAGAGGGAGCCCATTCAATGGGTGGGGGACAAGGATTTTATTTGCAACTCACAGGTCTTCCTGTCTTCCGTGGTCCACAGTCCAGAGGACACAAGCTTCACTTAACCAGACATCCTGACAACAGCCCAGAAGGGTAAACACTATTGGCTTTCTGTATTGGTGATATTCTTTGAGTTCTCTTCTGCTATCTGCATCCAATTTTCACCATAAGCTGTAACCTAGCAGGTAGAATTAGCCTTGAAAAAATTATTTAAAAATATGTTATTTAAAACACTTTCTCAATACATTTTATTTCTCACCTTATCACCACGGTGTGATAATGGCCCCTGAAACCATTTCCTTCATGGCCTTTGCTTCTATTTAAAATTATTTTGCTTGTTTGTATTTACTTTTATTCACAGTACTCACTGTATGTAATTCTCAAATAAATTCTCTGAAAGAAGAGATTTTTTTGTCTTATTCACTGCTAATGTTTTAGCATCAAGAACAGGACTCAACAAAGATGTATCAATGGATAAGTAGAAGATTAATTGGCAAATACACTGACTTCCACGGGGAGATGAGTATCCCTAGGTGGTTGGTAGACCTGCCTGTCGTCCTCCCCACCCAGTGTGCCCACCACCAACCCAGCCACTAAAAACCAGAAGGAGACTTGCACAACATCCATGTGGAAAACGAGTTTCTCCTGCCTCAGCCTCCTGAGTAGCTGGGATTACAGGTGCCTGCAGCCACTCCCAGCTAATTTTTGTATTTTTAGTAGAGATGGGGTTTCACCAAGTTGGCCAGGATGGTCTCGATCTCCTGACCTCTTGATCTGTCCACCTCAGCCTCCCAAAGTGCTGGGATTACAGGCATGAGCCACCGCGCCCGGCCCATAGTAATTGGTTTTAAAAGCTCATGCAGAAATGTAGAGAATATGCTGTTGGTGCACATACAAATATGCATGAGCATATACATATAATATACACATAAAAGATATGTACAATATATAGTACACGAATGTATATATATCTCATATATAGTATATGTATATATAAATTACATATGCATAATAAATACAAATGTATAACATGTATTTCATATGTACATACCTAATACATATACATATGCATATACATACAATTGCAATGAGATTAAAAATTAATCTAAAGACATTAAAAATTGAAAATTAAAATTTTGTATTTTTCTTACTTATGCGTTGAACATACAGCATCACGTAATGTAAAAACAAAGCAAAATTCTGACTTTTTAAAAATAAAAACTGTAATCTTACCTCAATATTTTGTGTTTCAGCAACTGGGAGACCAAGCCTGCCTCCCTGCTAGACTTACTCCCTCCTGCAGTTAATGTAGGAGAGAAGACAGATGTTGTAAATCACCATGACTTTATACCTCACTTCTCATGGCTGAAGGTTTAGCATTATCATTTCCATTGGAAACAACAGAGTTAAGGAAGAAACCAATAATTTTCCCCATAAAGGGGATGAAGGAAGTAATCAAAGGAAGTGACATTTTGATTGTTCCTTTAAAGAGAAGCATATTTTTGACACGTTAAATGTAAGCAAAAGTACATCTCAAGCGCTAATAACCACATGGCTAAAAGCAAGGAGGCATACATGTTTCTGGCATCTTTAATGATCACAAAATACTACTAGTGGTAACATTTTTGGAAAAATTACTATGTGCCAAGCCCTGTAATGACTGATTCACTTTGGATTTCACATAAATCCAGCCCCCCAACATGGTAAGAATATTTTTCTTCTTTCTAATCTCTATTTACGTCCCCTCCCGCATCCTGCTTTAGGAAAAGGAATAGCTGCATTTGGCAAACTCTGCAGAAATGTTAAGTGAGATGAAATGAGGAGAGACTTTTGGATGGGGGCATTAGTCAGTCTCTTTTTCCTTTCAAGACACTGGGAGGTGCAGATCGAAGGGAAGCACTCACTGATGGGAGGGAAGGTTTGTTGAGGAAGCTCATCACTAAAAGCCTAAGAATAGTAGTTTTTTTATACTGAAATTTTAGGTGCATTTATTAACTACCACTTATGGCAAAAAGGCATTAATTGAGTGCCCACAAAGTGCAAGGAATACTAAAAAAATTCAACATGATCCTTGCTCATAGAGATCTCCTGGTGGGGACACTGTGTTGCACGTTGTTTGGTGAGCTATCTGTTCACATGCCTGGCTGGCTGACTGAATGAGGAGTTGATGCCTGTGCACAGAAGAGTGCAGAATGGCTTTGTGGGCATTGAGCACAGAGTCAAGACCAGTTAGAACCTCTATTTGCAATGAAATGAGCAGATACATGTGTTTTATATCTGACCAAAACAAAAAAAAAAGAATATTTAGAAAGCATCTCTGCAGGTGATGTAGTTTTTGTTTGTTTTTGTTTTTGTTTTTTTTTCTTTTCAGATAGAGTTTTGCTCTTGTTGTCCAGGCTGGAGTCCAGTGGTGTGATCTCGGCTCACTGCAACCTCCGCTTCCCAGATTCAAATGATTATCCTGCCTTAGCCTCCCAAGTAGCTGGGATTACAGGTGCCTGCCACCACACCCTGCTAATTTTGTATTTTTAGTAGAGATGGGATTTCACCATGTTGGTCAGGCTGGTCTCAAACTCCTGACCTCAGGTGGCCCACCCCTCTGCCTCCTAAAGTGCTGGGATTACAGGTGTGAGCCACCATGCCCGATGTAGTTTTAATGCCAGTTTTTGCATTGCATGCTCCATTACTGGAGCCTGTCCCCAGATGAGTACCTGCTTGCCCAGAGCATGGTTACAGAGGCTGCACTGCAAGGGAGACAGTAGTGAGGATGAACCACTCTGATCATTTATTTTGGTCACATGGAGGTGAGAGGAAGGAAACGTTGCAAGAGGGAACAAGATATCGCTAATACAAAAATGCTTCTTTTTACTTGTCAGCTGAGATTCCATGTGCAGCGAGGTTTCGTTTTCATCACACAAATGTTTGAGGAAGAAAAATTCCTGACAAGTCATATTAAGGATGTAATATATTTTATTAAATATTAGTATTTCATTAAAGAAAGAAATGGTAATGTCAAACATTACATGAGAAAGAAAAAAAATAGCTCAATGCAAATGAAAATTTGATCAAATGCATACAAATTAGAAACATTTTAAAATATGTTAATTAAAATTACAGGCTTTATTCCCATTTCATGATTTACTGTCCTGGAGTGCTGTTCACATGTAATGAAGGAGGTACTATTAAACAAAAGTATTGAAAAATAAAATCCCATTTACTCACAGGCAGTGGTCAGAATTGAATCACTTTGCTCCAGATTCCCGACTGCAGTACTTGGCAGCTGTTATTAAGAGCCTCATGTCCTTTCCTCATGTCTTCCCACAACTCAGTTCTTTTTCTTATTGTTCTCTGCATGCCAGCCGATGCACTTCATCATTCTTACATCTGAGTCATCAGCACAGAACAGGGTATTCTAGGTGCAGGTCAGCAGAAGTGTCCTGAAATGGAGCATAATGTTCCTGCTTCATGACATTATGTCCATATTGTAGCTCAGAAGTGTATTAGTTTCCTTTTGGCTCAAGTCTTCAGACAAACTAATATGTACATAATTTGGCCTCCCATAAAATCGCAACTTTTAGAACTTTGCCAGTATATGTTAACATATTAAAATTTACATACTCTCAAGTAATCACATGAATTATCTATTGTTCCAGGCATTTGAAATCGTATAGGTTAGCAAGGAAAATATTTTGTATATTAAGTATATGACATATATAATTACATACTAAATTAAGAGTGTTATTTTTGCTGTTGCAAAAATACTATATATGATGAGTGTATTAAACAGGGTAAATGCACATAAATTTTTTCTTTTTCTTCCACATATAGAACTCCCTTTGAAGATTGGCAGTCTGGCAAGGGAGATCATTTTCCAAACTCTTGAAAACGTGTGAGGACTCATGACCTGTTACATCAATGGAACATGAAGAGAATTGAAGTGTATCACTTCTGCGCCAGGGAGCCTAATGGAAGAGGTGCCCATCCACCCTCTTTCCTCATCCGACAGCTGGATGGAAGGATACCAAGGCTTTAGGAGAAGGCAAAGCCCCGTGATGGGAGAGGCCTGAGCACCTCACAGTGCGTGGAAGCCAACTCCTCACCAGGAACACATGCAGTGGCCCTATGTGTGCAAGGCATCCATCTCCATTGTTGGAGCTGACCTTTTGGGTTATTTTGTAATGGCAGTTTACATTACCTTGTTAACACAACAGAACACTGTCAAAGAAATGCTCTATGGTGCCAACCCACTATAGCCCTTGAAATAGAAATTACATATCAGTCAAAGGTCTCCAGAGAAACAGCAGCAGTAGGATAGATGTGATCTTCACAGATAGACAGACAGATAGATAGATAGATAGATAGGCAGATAGATAGATAGATAGATAGACAACTGGACACAGATAGATTGACCACAGACAGAGATAGAGATAGATAGATAGATAGATAGATAGATAGATAGATAGATAGATAGATGATAGATAGATAGATAGACAGAAAATGAGACACAGATAGATAGACAGACAGAGATAGATAGATATAGATAGACACAGATAGAGATAGAGATAGACAGATAGATATAGATAGGTAGACAAATAGACACAGAGATAGATAGATAGATAGATAGATAGAAATAGAGAGATAGATGGACAGATAGACAAATAGACACAGACAGATAGAGATAGATAGAGATGGACAGATAGAAAAATAGACACAGATAGATAGATAGATAGACAGATAGATAGACAACTGGACACAGATTGACCACAGACAGAGATAGAAATAGATAGATAGACAGACAATGAGACACAGACAGATACACAGACAGATAGAGATAGATAGATAGATAGATATAGATAGACAGACACAGATAGAGATAGAGAGACAGATATAGATAGACAAATAGACACAGAGACAGATAGAGATAGAGAGATAGATGGACAGATAGACAAATAGACACAGATAGACAGATAGATAGAGATAGACAGAGACAGATAGAAATGGACAGATAGAAAAATAGACACAGATAGATAGATAGGTAGATAGATAGATAGATAGGTAGATATTTTCAGGATCAGATTGGCTTATGCGGTTGTGGGACTGGCAAGTCCCACATCTGTAAGGTAGTCTGGCATCTGGGAACTCAGCAGGATTTCTGTGGTAAGGTCTGGAGGCAGAAATCCTTCTTCTCTGAAAACCCCAGTTTTTGCTCTTAAGGTCTTTGACTGATTGAATGAAGCTCATCTGCATTATCAAGGATGATTTTTATTTTACTTAAAGTCAATTGATTGTAACATTTATAAAATGCCTTCAGAGCAGCATTTGGATTAGTGTTTGACCAAAGAACTTGACCCCATAACCTGGATGAGTTGACACATGAAGTTAACCATCTCATCCCCTCCCCCACCGGCTCACACAGAAGGCCAACTTCATCCTTACCTTTGATTAGGTAGGAATGGGCACCTGACCCTGGGAAAATCCAGCTGAGGCCAGCAATGTACATCTTGTGACCTAAAAGGAAAAAAGTATATATTGTACCCAAAGTATTTTTTGCAGTAATTTTCAGTTGGGAAATACAAAAGCTGGTAAGCAACCAGGAAGGCAAAAGGCAGAAGCATGTGTAGCTTTAAGCCAGGGCCAAGACAATCAAATTTACGTACCAATTGGCATTATGAGAAAGCAGCAAATAAAAGGTTTTCAACTACTGAAAAGGGCGTGGCTTCAGAGAGCATCAGAGATGACATAAGATAAAAATGGAGACACCAGGAAAAAGGATGATGATGCTGTCTCAATGCTAATTGCAGCTTCCATGAAATCTATCATAATTGAAGCTTTATTTTCAAATAACCTGTATATCCTGAAAGTAACTGCTAGTGCCCAACTAGTGATGGCTTGAGTATCTGCTTTTCTTTTAAACAAAAAGCCCTAAGAGAAGCCAATAGGAAAACTTTGCTAGAGGAAGTGTTGTTTAATCTCAAGTTTGAGAAATAAATGGGTGCAGTAAACAGAGGCAAAAGTTCAAACACATTGTGCATTTTCCTCCCATTCCAGTCTGTGCTCCACTTTGCAAGGAAAAAGAGAGGGAAGGTCCAAAAACGAATTCCGAGGGTATGATTTATGCTGTCAGCAATGGGAAGCCATTGAATAAATTTTAATCCCTGGGAGATAGATAATACTCTGTTAACACTGATTAATCTTGAGTGAGTACAAGGTAGAGGTCATTCAGTTTTCACTTTAAAAAATATTGTATTTATTTATTTACTTATTTAATTTAATTTTTTTTTTGAGACAGACTTTTGCTCTTGTCACCCAGGCTGGAGTGCAATGGCAAAACCTTGGCTCACTGCAACCTCTGCCTCCCGGGTTCAAGTGATTCTCCTGCCTCAGCCTCCTGAGTAGCTAGGATTACAGGTGCCCGCCACCACACCCAGCTAATTTTTTGTATTTTTGGTAGTGACCGGGTTTCACCATGTTGGCCACGCTGGTCTCGAACTCTTAACCTCAAGTGATTCACCCGCCTTGGCCTCCCAAAGTGCTGGTATTACAGGCATGAGCCACTGTGCCCAGCCCAGTTTTCACTTTTAAAAATAATTGTCATTGGATTTTCTGTGAAGTAAGCATGTATTTTTTCAGTAAGTGTAATCAAAACAAAAATTGCATACTTATCTCTGTAAAATATGATACAAAGATAAAAAGCAAAAAAAGAATGATAAAATGTAAGCAATGCCTTTAGAATTAATGAATGTAGATTCAAAGCAACCAAAATGTCAGATTTGATTTACTTAAGATCTTTCTGGAATGTGTGGCTAGATTGTGGTGGTGTAGAGATGCACACAAGCTAAGGCATGAGTTAGAATTGGCACCACAGTCTAGGCTGATGCAAGGCCATGGAGAGCCAGTCTGGTTCAGGGCTGGTCCGGAGGATGACAGATACAAAGCATGTCAGATAGGCTTGATGATGCTTCCCACCAGCTAGAGTGTGGGAGGAATGACAAAGGGAAGCTAAACATGGCTTCCAATTTCCTGACTTCAGCAATTAAGGTGATATTAATTATTTCTCTCAGAACATAAATGCAAATATGTTATGGATAGCTTACTTCAAAAGAAAATGCAATAGGGTTGTTTTGAATTGAACAGACACATATAAATTCTCAAGTAATTAGGAATAAGAACTGGAATTACAAACGTTTTAAAAACATTTTAAAAGATTAAGAGAGTTGCCCTCGACGGTGCTCTAAAATCTTGTTTACGAGAGAGCATATATGGGGGTTTATGGTTGTAATACAAGGAGGAAAGAGAGAATACAACAAGCTGCTCCTTGCTTACTTTTTATTCTTTTCAACAATTCCAGGGAATTACTGGATATTGAGTTGCTTGGATACTGCCACGTGAAACGCAGACCTGCTGTGACCCCCATTTAAGTAGTGGAAGTTGGAGAGCTGCACCTCTGGAGTTGACTGTACCTCTGGAGTTGGCTGAACCTCAAATCAAACTGCCCGAAACCAGAGCTCTAACGCTGACAAGTTACATATGTTCTGCTTGCTAGTGTCTTGATTGGAACACATTTCATTTTAAGTCATCTACATTTAACATAAATATTTAATCAAAGTTGTCAAGTGTGCTTTGAAGTATCAGGCAACAGTCATTTTTCAACTCAGGTGTCTAGACTAATCAAACTTTAAGAAAGAGTGCAACATTTATAATGATACCATCATTTTATTGAATCATTCCAGCTAAATTTGATTTCAGTGCAAAAATCACAACATTTGCTTTTCTCTGATAGAAATGCAGCTCAGAGTTATAATTTTCTTTTTGATTGAAGGGTATACAGCTTGTGGTGTTTGGGGCTCCAAATGAAATTCAAAACTATGTGACTCTCATTCAGACCCATATTCTGTGACCCTTCCTTTAAATTGAGAAAGGAAAGGGGAAACTTTTTTCACACTAATTCTCTACCTCCCCACTTTTGTCAGGCTAAATTTCTGCTCTGCTGAAAGAGGTAAATCTTTTGCTAAAGCTGTTGAACTGCACAGATAATACCTGCAAAATATTATTCTCGAAATATCAAGAGAATGATGTTATTGGAGGTTGTATCATCCTTCACTGAGTCCCAGAGTTGAGGTGAAGATTAAGTTAGATGATATACATGGATGCTATTGATGGAATCACTATTAGAAAAAAAGAAACTATAAAAACGTTCAACTTCCATTACAATGTTATTGAAAACAGCATTTGTTTGTTTGTTCCACTAACTTTTCTAAAATTCTTTAAAGAACATATTTGATTATATTGAGACATACACTTTTTGATATTGCCTGACTCATAAAAGAGGTACCTTCGGACATTTTAAAAGTATACGAGTTTTCAGTACTAACAGATTGTTAAAACTGAGTTGCTTTGGTTTGGGGCAGAATTTTTATTAAATAGTGGTAAAAATGAAAATCAAAAGAATATTTTCAAACCTAAGTAGAGAAGGTCTGGTGTAATTTTCCAGCAATAAGTCCCAGGAGAAAGCCTTGCCCAAGATTTAGCCATTGGAGCAATTGCTTACTCAAGGTCTTGGTTTTTTTCTAGCCCAAATGTATTTCTGTGACCAGTGCATGGGCTAGTGTGACAGGAGGCAGCCAGCCAGGTAAAGCTATGACAGTGAAGTAATGACATCAGGTTCAGAGAAGGAAAACTGCATATACTCATGTGGAACAACCAGTAAATAGATCAGATCCCAAACAGCATTATTCACAAGCCACATGCAGAGGACATATGCGGAAGATGTGCTCAGCGTTGGGCCACATGTTCTATCCTGCCAGTTGCAGGCATTCCTGCTCAGTCAATTGAGGTCAGTTGCTTTCCATCAGAGGCGAGTCTGGCCATCAGGTCTCCAGGAAGTCGTGTGAAATCAACAACAGAAGACAGAAGGTACGCTGGTGGCATCTGTGGGTTCTAATGTGCAAAACTCTAAAATCCAAATATCTGGAAGTCCAGAATTGTCTGTGTAAGTTTGAGGCAAAGTTGAAGAGGAGACCAGATGACTAAGAGAGGGTAAGCTGGTGTCACCAGGTCAGGAAACAAAGATGGCGTGGCAGTAAGGGTGTGTCCTCCAGGGCTGGGGCTGGACGGATGTGGAGCGGAGGAGTCACAAAGCTGGAAATGCACGCAGCCAGATGCTAGGTTTCAAAAGGCGACATGTTTTAAGATGTGTTATAATTTTGTTGACCAGTTTGAAGCTGTTTTCTTTAAATTGTGTAAGCTTCGGCGGACCCGCTAAACCTAGACACATTCCTGAGTACAAGTGTCTGGAGAGGACTGGATGTTTGCGGGATGAGAATAAAGCAACTCACATCAGACTGTAGCCTCTTAAGGGCAAGGCATCCCACCAGTGCCTGTTAACAGCTCGCTTCTACAGAGACATGATGTGGACATTGACTCTATCTGTAATGTATTTTGTAATTTAAGTTAATATTTAGCATTTTTATCAACCTTGGCTTGAGGACGTTAGGCCACAGTGGAATGGCAGATTTAAAATAATGTACAACAATACTAGGCAATTTAGAGGAAACATTTTATTTTCCATTATTAAATGTAAAGGAAAGGATGACTGTTTCTTATCCAATGCTTAACACCAGAAGTATTTTGAATTTTGGATTTTTTTTTTTATTTTGGAATGTTTGCATTATACTTCCTGGTTGGGTATTCTGAATCCAAAAATCCAAAATCTGAATTGTTCCAGTGAGTATTTTTTTTGAGATCGTCTTGTCAGTAGTCAAAAAGTTTAGACTTTTGTAACATTTCAGACTTGGGTTTTTTGGATTTGGGCTATTCAACCTGTACCAGTTTTGTACCTGCTACTATCCTACAATCTCATATCTCCTCTTCCCTTGTGTGGCCAGCAGACTATGAGTAAAAATCCATGGGGTATTTCTGTGTTCACGAATTTGGGGAGATGATTCATCCCTAAAAGACAACTCAAGGCCTCTTCAAGAATCCTCCAACTTTCTCATTTCCTGAAGTTCTATATATTTTCATTTGCTACTGAAAAAGCAAACTAAATTTTATGATTTGCTGTTTATTGAAGCATGTGTTTTTCTCTGGAACATTGTTTATGAATGTGTGTGTATGCATGGGTGTGTATAGTTTACATGGGTATGATAGTTTACAATGTACAATTTGCTTGTTGACTTATGTTTGTGTATTTCTACTTTAATAGTTCCATGGAGCAGAGGTCTTAATTATATCAGGCTGATTCATACATTTGACATTTTGTATTTTACACAAACTTAGTGCTAATGGTGATCTATTTTTTTCTTAATTTTAGGTCACTGAAAATTAGATTTGATTTTCCTAGTTCAGAGAGTAACTCCTTTATCAAGTTTGATATAAGGTGTTTCTTGGTATCAAATGAAAATTATTAATATTGGCCTTATACCTTTAGAGAATTGAGTTTTGGAATTTAATAAATATTTTCAAAAATCATAGGTAGATTTTACCAAGTATGTGTATACACAGCCCTATAAGATTTTGTTACTGATGCACTTTCTAAATGGCTTATTCCCATGCATTTTGAGAATGAAAGCTTTAGAGGCATTAAAAAAAAAAGTAAGCAGCAGAATCCTATTGACTTCTCAGCCAAAGATGAACTCATTTTCTTCAACTCCTAATGCTCACTGACTAAAAGCCATTTTTTTTTTTTCAAAAATCAAGGACTAAGAAAGGATGTTTTTCAAGAAACACTGCAAGTTACAGGTTAGAGAACATTTAATCAATCTGATGATTGGAGATAATCCTATTACAACAGCAATCTTATCTTGGTTGTTTCCTAACAGGAATGAAAGAAAATCTGAGTGAAAAACACTCCCAAAATTTAAATGATAAACTTACATTTATTGAAATAGTAACTCAAAAAATGGATCGAAGTTGATGAGTATTTTGTGCTAGTTGCTAGGGATACAAAGATGATTAAAATAAACTCATATTAAAATCTGTTAAACCTGTAAAATAAAATGGATTAAAATCCGTTCTTCGAAGAGTTAGATAAATACACAAAATAATAATTAGTGTAGGAAAAGTGACAGTTTTGCGTTAGGGCAGGTGTGTAGGGGAGCACTTCTCAATTTTTTCTCTAGGTTTCTCACTTACTCTCCAAATGTCAGTGTGCCTCAGGATTTTATCCCTGGCCATTTTCCCTTTACGGACTATTAGCAAGTCTTGTGTGAGATTAGTCTTAACTGGCAGCTATAAGCTGAGAGTGTCCACATCTTTATCTCCAGCCCAGATTCCCTGCTAAGGGCCAGCCCCACGTATTCCACCTTGCATTAGCCATCTGCCAAGTAGACAGCCTAGACCCCTTTCATGTTCATAATGGAGAAACAGAACTCATCATGCCCAATTCTGTCTCTCAAATTTATGTCCTCTCTGGTCTCAATAATTTATTCATTCTACACAAACACACACATACACACACATGCATGCACACATGCACACATATATAACTTAAGTCAGATCCAGAATAATTTATTAAGAATAAAAGTTTAACAGAACAAAATATGCATTCATGGAGCTTATAATTTTTTTACGCACAAAACTAAATTATCAGTCACTATTCTGATAAATAATTTGAATTGTGGAGAGTTCTAATCAAGCCTAATCAAGACAAGTAATAGTCATCCAGGTTACTTAGCCAACATATTACTAGCTTTGATTGGGAAGTGAAGAAAGAACTCCTTAGTAAGTTATATTCCAGTGATCAATCATCCCCCATCATATTTTATTATAATTGCAGCCCTTATCATATTTGTGATTATTTTGATAATTTATTTGTTTACTCCAGTGGTTCTCAAAGTGTATCCCATGTATTCACAACACTTTTGACAGGTTTACAAAAATTGAAAACAATTTTTAATTATACTAAGCCATCACAGTCTGCGATGGCTCAGTGCACGTTGGTGCAGCGGCAGCAAGGTGTACTAGCAGGTCATTGAACTCTTCATTGGCGATACTTGCAGGAAAACAAACAAATAAATGCATAAAACCAGTTTTACTTAAGAATGTCTGTTGGCTGTGAGCGGTGGCTCACGCCTGTAATCCCAGCACTTTGGGAGGCCGAGACGGGTGGATCACCTGAGGTCAGGAGTTCAAGACCAGCCTGGCCAACATGGCAAAACCTTGTCTCTACTAAAAATACAAAAATTAGCCGGGCATGGTGGCACACACCTGTAATCCCAGCTACTCGGGAGGCTGAGGCAGGAGAATCGCGTGAACCTGGGAAGTGGACATTGCGGTGAGACGAGATTGTACCACTGCACTCCAGCCTGGATGACAGAGCAAGACTCTGTCTCAAAAAAAAAAAAAAAACAAGAATATCTTTTGATGAAGCACAAAAAGTTAATTTCACTGTATTTTGAGCTATTAGTACCTGTATTATTAATATCTTGTGTTATGAAATAGGAAGTCTATGTTAAGTACTTCCACAGCATACCAGAGTATGATGGAATTCTTGAGGAAAAGTGCTTGCGAAATTAAGTTGTGAGCTGGACTAGAGACTTTTTCATAAAAAATTATCTTTGCTTGAATAAATGACTGAAGATTCTTTATTTTCTTGAAAATGAATAAAGTGAGCCTATCATAAAACTGATGGTATTTTGTTGCCAATAATAAAATTAAAGCTTTGTATCTGCTACCATTGACAGCTTCCCAAGATTTAAAGTCTTTTTGATGATATTTGAGATGATACTAACAAATGCGATTATATATAGTGTAATCAAATGTGTCAATATTTGGAAGATCTTCATAAACCTGTGATTCATTATTTTTCAAATGACTAATACATGATTTTACAGAATCATGAATGGGTAAAAGATCCATTCAAAGTGCAAGATGAAAGGATTTGTATATAACGGAGTCTGGAAAGTTCACTGATATGACTTCACATCCCACATTGCAATTCATCTTTATGAAGCTGCCTCCCTTCAGTGTAATATCAAAGAATAACTGAAAGGCTATTAAAATATGCCTACCTTTTCCAAGGTAGACTTTCTTTATATGCTTCATCGAAAACAACATGTAACAATATTTAACGCCAACACAGATATGAGAATCCAGCCATCTTCAATGAAAGTAGATATTACAAAGATTTGCAAAAATGTAAAACAATGACACTCTTTTCATTGTTTTAATTTTTTTAAATGGAGTTATTTTTTCATAAAAATATTTTCATGTTAATATGTAATGACTTTCCTGTTATGTAGAAATAAGTAAATAAAATCTTAAAATGCCACAGTGTTAATTCTGACTACAGTAAATATCAGTGGATATAACTCACGTAAACAAAAGTTTTGATGAGATCTCAATTTTTAAGAGTATAAAGTGGCCTTCAGTCCAAGGAGTTGGAGCAGTGCTCACTGGCCAAATATGCTGTCTCTCTCCATTAGAAGGTAAGGATCATGAGAACAGTGATCTTGCCTGACTGCCACCACTTTTATCTCCACTTTGTGGAACACGGCTGGCAAATAGCACTGAGAAGCATTTCCGCTGCAGCTGTCCATGCTTGCACATCTGGTTTTAATTCACCACACCCCAGTAAATACTGACCTGAAGGCCAGCAGCTTCTTTCCAGCTGTTGGCTGAGTCATTTTTACATGCCATGTCCAGGCCATTCAGATATCTCTTCGTCTTCCTTGGGCTAATCAAGTTATCACGGAGCACATGAAAGCCAGGAAAGATGAGATGATATTTTAAAGTTCTACAAATATTATTTCTTTATTTAGGAAAAATGTACTTGCTGAAGATCAGCCACAAAAATGGAATCCAAACTTGATTGGAATACTTTAAATTACCCCGCAATTTTTAAGCGTAGGGTCCTGGCAGAACTTTTAAGAGTTAAATATATCTGCCAATTTCTTTGTCTAATTATATTGAAGATGGTATTTACTTTTCCTACCCTTATATATTGTGGATTTGTAAGGACTGCCTTTCTAAGAGTTGTCACTTCTTATCAGTTGAAACGTCAGAAACGGTGTAGCCCCTCTTAATATATTCCTACTGAAAATTACTCTGCAGTGGTGTTGTAACCATAATTAATTGTTTGCAATTTGATTTGGGATCCACAGGAGAAAAAGGTGAAACATGATTTCCAAGTAGTTATGTTTACCATTATGGTTTAATGACACGCATTAGCCATACAAATGCAAAAGCAACATAACCTAGGGACCGGATTCTAGTACTTTATGCATAGAAGCAGCCAAGTGATTCTCATTAGTGTTTATAGAAGTCAAACCCACCATAAACCTTAAGGCAATGATTACAACATATTGCCTGGTGTTCTTACAAGTAAACACTATCTAAGAGAGAGTAGTTTGGCATATGAATTTCAAAAAGCACTGTTATTCATGTGAACACCCACCGGAGATCAAAGCACATCTAAGCACAAATAAAAGTTTCTTAGTTTTAACTAGTAGTTAGGAGTTTTTAAAAGCTGTAACTCAATAGAGAATGTTTAAGCAGAATGATGCTCACAAAAGTAGTCACACGTATCTGCTGCAGTGACTAAATAGATCTAGGACTTAATTTCTTTTTCCTTAAATCTGAAATATTGACAGATTTTCTACTATGTACTTGAGACTGAGAGTAGTACTACACATAAGTTGCTAAGTGTAAGGGTGATTATTTTTTAAATGTCTCTCCTAGAAAGCTAAAAAGAACGGAAACAAAGTCACAAAAATAACTGTTTATAAACTGTGTACTTAAAAGGAAATTTGATTCTGGCCTTTGGCCTGGCTGGGAATAAACTGGGAAGCTGTTACTCCATCCTAACAACAAGTGAAAAGCTGAATGAACTGAAAATCAACAGCCTTCTTAGACCCACAGAAAAGTGAGGTCTCAGGACAAACCACTATGCCTAAAAGTGGAGAAACAGACAAACAGGTAATGAGAATCACAGCATAGCAAAACAGAAATCTCTGTAGGAAACAGTACCAGGTACTTCACGTTATACTTTCAACAAAAAATTACAAGGCATACTAAAAAGCAAAACATACAGCTTGAAAAGACAGAACAAGCATCAGAACCAGATTCAGATATGGCAGGGATGTGGGAATTATAAGATTAGGAATATGAAAGAATAATGTTAAAGGCTTTGTTGGAAAAAGTAGGCAACACCCAAGAACAGATGGGCAACGTAAGCAGACAGCTGGACATTCTAAGGCAGAATTAAATAAATTCTAGAATCAAAAACACTGTCACAGAAAAATTTTAAATGCTTTTAATGGGCTGGACATGGCTGAGGAAAGGATTTTCATATTTGAAGATATGTCAATAAATACTTCCAAAATTGAAAAGCAAAGCAAAAAAAAAAGACTGAAAAAAATAAAATAGAATATTAAAGGATTTGAGACAATTACAAAAGGTGTAACATACAAACACAGGGAATGCAAGAAGAAAAAGAAAGAGAAAAAGGAACAGAAGAAATATTTGAAATAATAATGACTAAGAACTTCACCAATTAATATGAGACCCAACCACAATTTCAGGAAGTGGAGAGAATACCAAGTAGGATAAGTGCCAAAAAGAAAAAAAAAGCACAAGAAGAGAGAAGGAAAAAGCCCTACACTTATATTCAGGCATATAATATTCAAACTGCAGAAAATCCAAAATAAAGAAAACATATTGACTGAAGCCAGAGGGAAAAACATCTTATTTATAGAGCAGTAATTATAAGAATTACATCTGACGTCTCAGAAACCAGGCAAGCAAGCACAGAACAGAGTGAAAAATTCAAAGTATTGAGGAAAAACCACCAGCCTGTAATTCTGTACCACGCAAAATTACCCTTCAAAAGTGAAAGAGAAATAAAAACTTTCTCAGACAACCAAAAACTGAGGGAATGTATTGTCAGTAGACCTGCCTTGCAAAAAATGCTTTTTAAAAAAGTTCTTTAGAGAGAAAAAAAATTATACAGATCAGAAACATGGAGCTACATAAAGAAAGGAAAGATTTAGGGAAGAAATAAGGGAAGATAAAATAAAATCTTCTATTTCCTATTCTCAATTGAGCTAAGAGACAACAGTTTGTTCAAAATAATAATAACTGATATATTCTATGATTATAGCTTATGTGTAAGTGAAATGAATGAGGGTAATGACACATGGCATGGGAGGGAGGAATTAGGAATATAATACTCTAATACACATATAAAACATGTAAAATAGAATGTCTCTACATTATAATATTCCTTTAACACAAGAAAATGTGCAAGGTGTTATAAGAGAGTTAAACAGTGAGAAGTAATTTAAATTGGGTGGCTAGGTAGGGCCTCTCCAGGGAAGGGTATTTAGGATGAGACTGGAAGGATGCATCAGTTAACCAGATGGAGAGCTATGAAGAGTGTTGTGAGCAGAAGTAAGAGAATGTGTCAAGTACCATGCATTTTGCCTCATGAGAGACACTGAAATAGAAAGAAGCTGTGAGATAGAGAAAAGGAGACCAGGGCAAGCTAGAGAAGGAGGTCGATTCAGTTCCCGCAAGGACTTTTAGGTGATGGGATGCTGGTGTGTTGGATTTTATGAGATGTGCTAACCTGGGGTATGACATGATCTTAGTTATATTATAAGATAATTATGTTTGCTATGTGGAGGATTGATTAATTGTCACAAAGCAAGATTGAAACTATAAGAACAATTAAGAAGCTACTGTGTAGTTTCAGTGAAAGGTAGTGGCTATTTGCTCTAGGTACTTAGAAGTGGTATGGAAAAAAGTGAATAGATATACACACACATGTACCTGACATAAAAACAGAATTGTTATTTCTTGGCTTATAAATTTCTAGCCATATTAGTTTGACTATCACACTGGCATAAAAGAATCAGGTGACAAAGATCAAATTTGAAGACTCTAGAGCATGCTCAGGCCTTATCACAAAGTAATGGTAAAGAATACTTCGTTCTCTAACAAAATAACTGGAACTTTCAGTTTGGTTGTAATTTCAGTAGCATAGGTTCTAAGTAAAATTTTCTTTCTAGATAATCTCTGAAATCATCTTTTCTTTCTTTGAAAATTTGTCCTTTAAAACTCTATTTCAAGGTTCTTTCTCATCTTCTTCTATTGGTGACATGGCCTCATTTTCTGTCAAGGAACCAACTGTTCTAAATTTCTTGAATCCCTGGCAATGTCTTTGAATTTTCCTATTTGTCATCTTCCAAATTTAACCATTTACCTTTATCTTCATATGTAGCAGTTCCCACATACCTTCAATGCATTTTTAAATGATACAGTATTTTGCTTAAGTCCATGCTGCAATAAATACCCTGGTACATGCCCCCTGATGAACTTGTGCAAAACATCCCTAGGATATCTCATTGAGTAGCTCTCAGCTGGCAGCCATGTGCTCCAGGAATTCAGAAAATACTATCTTGCTGTCTCTGGCTTCCGTTAGTATATTGGGAAGCTCATTGTTGGTCTAATCACCATTCTTTTACGGGAAATCTCTGTTTTCTTGGCTGTTTTAAATGATTTTCTTTGCTTCGCTTGTTTTATTCTGTTCTTTCATGTACCTAGTGTGATGTTTGTTAGCTTTCCTGAATTTAAAGATTCATTTTGCTCATTAATTCTAAACAATTCTCACGTGTTACCTCTTAGAGTATGCTCCCACTCCACCCCTATCTTTTTTCTCTCCTCCTAAAACTCGGATCAGTAGTATGTTTGACCTTTTCATTTTCTCTCCTATACCTTCCCACCTGTCTTTTATGTTTATTTCCTTATATTTGGGTTGCCTTCTACATAATTTCTTCAACTCTAACTTCCAATTCAGTAATTGTCTCAGATGCTGTTTATTATATTGCTAGACATTCTGCTGTGCTCTATTCCTAGTCTGCCTTTTCATTTTTAGTCAAAACCTTTGTTCATTTAAAAATCATATTAAGGAATCTTACTACATAATCTATAACTGATCACTCAAAAACCTTCTATGAAGCTCAACCATAAAGAGAAACCCACAGATACACCAAAAATAGAATATCCTTACAGTTGCCTCAGAGGAAAGTCCTGTGCACAACCTCTGCCCACAGAATTAAATTCTGACCCTTCCACTTACTAGTGAGGTGAGTTTGAAAAATTCCTTGACTATTCTGAGTCTTAGTCTTAATATCTGTGTAAGGTAGTATTAGTTCCTATCTCCAAAGAATGCGGTGATGATTAACTTAGCAAACATATTCAGTATTCAGAACAGAAGGTGGAAAACAGAAAAAAAGGAAATATGAGGAAAAAGAATCAACAACTGATGTTTTTAAAATCTCATTTAAAAGCTACAGATTTCTCTAACAATGGCTCATTGGCTCTGTTAGCCTTTAGAAATAACTACATAGCAAATCACTAAATGAGGAACAATTATGTCAAATTGTGAATAACTCATTACTGCAGAAAAAATTAAATTGAAATTTTTAGAAAAAGCTATATGACAAAAAATTACCCTTTATTAAAATGTGAGAATATCTGAAACAGTTAGATGGGAAATCAATAATACCTGCTAAATCAAGCCATTGCTGTGGCTGTTCACAATCCCATGCTGAGGTAGCATGCCTCTATGTGGGTTCTGGAAAAGAGGTTTGTTATCCAGTAGTGATGACAACCAGGGGCCCCAGAGAAGGGAGAGACATCAAATGAGAAATGCATCCTCCACATATGAGCTAGGAAATGGGCCTCAACACTGCAACTGTTGTTGTTTGCCCCAATTCAGCTGTGCTGGACATTAGAAGCAGGGGCCAGAAACCTCATATCCACAGGGAATGTAACTGAGTCCGCTTTGCAAGAACCTCAACTTTAGACTCAAACAGCACAATTATCAAAATAGAAAACAAAGTTAAAATTCTTCCCAAAACAAATATCTTGCCCAGATGGTTTTATAGGTGATTTTTTTAACCAAACATCCAACACACAAATACTTAGGATTTTATGTAAATTCTTCCAGAGAATAGAAACAAAAATACTCAGCAATTTTATGAATATAAAAGATGCCACCCTTAGGTACTTAGTGTGAGGCATTTATTATGTCTGTGTCCCAGTAGAAATATAAAAGAATATTTGTGGCAACACTGGTTGCCATGGCCTCGAGGGGAAACAGTTCAAATGTCTAACAACCGATGAATAAATTTTGGCTTGTTGACATAATATATCCAGAGGGGAAAATGGTGAATCAAAGCTAGACATCAGCCAGGACAAACTCAGAAATCTAATGTTGGGGAACAGAAAAAGAAAGTCACAGAAGGGCTGGGCATGGTAGTCCCAGCACTTTGGGAGGCTGAGGCAGACAGACTGCTTGAGCCCAGAAGTTCAAGACCCTCATGAGCCACATAGCAAGATCCCTTCTTTGCAAAAAAAAATACAAAAAATTAGCCGGGCATGGGGGCACACATCTGTAGTCCTAGCTATTCAGGAGGCTGAATTGGGGAAGACTGTTTGAGCCCAGGAGGTCAAGGCTGCAGGGAGTCCTGATTGTGCCACTGCACTCCAGCCTGGCCTGGGTGACAGAGCAAGATCCTGACTTGAAAACAAAACACACAAAATGACTGCTTTATTGTAAGGTCAAACCAGGCAAATCTGAACAACATATTGTTTAGAGAATCAGTCATAGGTGGTAAAACCTTTAAAGAAATTCAAGGGAGTATTTCAGAGGAACCTAGGCCAGCAGCTATTTGCCCCAGGGTGGGGGTGGGGAGGTGGTGTGATGTAAGGTGCGCAGGGCAGGTTTTAAAAGAACTGGTGACATCATTTCTTTAGATGGATACATTGGTTTTAGCATCATTCTTTAAGCTTAAAATATACTAGATAAAATATTTTGTAATTTTGATATATTTAATAATTAAAAAGTAATAAAAGCTAGAGGACATTTGAAGGAAGCAATTTAGACAGTTATTCCATATGTCATTACGATATTATTACGATGGCTCCCTAGTCATTCATGTTCTGAAATTCAAAGCATTTTTAATTTATTCAAAAGTAAAGACAAATAAAAAATGTTTTGCTTATACAATTGGCTGAACAATTTGGAATACCTTTGCTGAGTCGTTTTAATTCAAATTCAAATTAAGTGGATTAACTGTGTCCTCTCTCACAGATAAATACTTCCTTTATTTCCTCCACGTTGTACTCTAAGCATTTAAACTATTTGCTTTCAGAAAGCTATTATCTTTCTTGGTGTGATACACAATTTCCAAATATTCCTGGTCATATTTGTAGATTTGAATGGGCCCAATTGACATCCACATCTTATGTGTCTTCTGAGATATTAACTGAAGCTTGCTTCAATCTCTGACTCTACAGAGAATTCCAGTGGATGTCAAATGAATGAGCTGGATGGAAATGCAATCATTTAACAGTGAGCCAAAATAGGCCCTTTCCCTGAAAGTGATTTTTAGAAGCAGTGTTCTCTGAAGCAGAACATTCTGGAGTATTATGTCCCTCAAAGCATTTGGGTCCTTTAGCTTAAATGCGCATCTCTCCTCATAAGCCATTACATACCTTAAAAATTCTGGAGTGCAAAAATTTGTTGCTTATAAATAGCATATTTATGTGTTAAATATCTGCAGCTTATGGGCCTTCATTCCTTTTTTATTCTTATTGCCCCGAAGACAATTTCTAAAATGATTTTAGAGATATGGAGTAGTAAATGAGGTATTCCTGAGAGAGAGCCTGAAGTGAAAGCAGTTTAGTTTGAAATGTCCCAAGTAATCATTTGGTTTTATATGTGTGCTTCAAGGTAGGTTAAGGTGGGACAAGAGAATGAGCATTTGCTCTTGCACCTGTAATTAAAATGGCAGAATCTCAGAGTTTCCTGGAATAGAATCTTATGTCAAGTTACTAAGAAAAATATAGTGCACTTTTGGCATTACAAGCCAACTATTGACAATGTGATGCAGATTCTGAATGAACAATTTGTTTTGTATTTCAACATAATATGCTTATAAAATCACAAACTATTTGTATTAACAATTAAAATATTAGTTTCAGAATTTATTCATTTTCACATATATTAACTTTTCAGTGATCAGCACTTAGCTCTGTTTCCTGCTTTCCAGCTTGCTAACTGGTTCAAAATAAAATCAAGACTTAGTGAAAACTATGTTCTTAACATAATGGTTTGAAGTATGTCATTTTCTTCTGGTTAAAACAAAAGAAGAGAAATCTTATGTGAACAATCTATGGTCTGAAACATTTACTATGGTTTTATCTTAAAATAATGTAGTGGGTTACTGTGTCTACTTCAACAGCTGCCTTGAGGCTTTGTTTGTTTGTTGGTTCAAATGGCTACCATCAGTCAAAGGAGACAGGCACAGTCAGCTCATTACAGCCTTAGCTGATGTACTAATGTAACTTCTAAGTCGGCTTAACATCAAACTTGCAAAATGCTTAGCTATTAAACAATATTTTGTTCTTAGCTGTATTTAGAAAAAAATGAGGATTTTGATCCTTTCTATATGGAAATGATGACCTTTAGTAGAAGAAAATTCTTTTTATTTATTTACAATTACTAAACTCTACTGCTTGTAAAACTTCAATTAGAAAATGATGTTTAAATCTTGTAGGTAGATATCTGCATGTGTATTTCTGAATTTGAATATGTGTGTATATATGCATAATGACAGAATAAAGTAATTTAAATTTAACATGTAACATAGATATGTAATATATAACAAACATAAATATGAATGTAAATATAGATACATAAACAACATACATACAAACATATAAATATAAATATATACATATAAAATATATGTAAATACATATAAAATAAAAGTATTTTTTACGTATAAAATACCTTAAAAAGATTTTGCTTCAGGCTAAAGATTTCATATGAGTATTTAATATTTCTACCTTTCTAACTTTAATATATTTAAAGTGAGAGTTCTTTGCTATTTTTATATAATTTTTGAATATTAATTTACCATTAATGTGTTATTTTCTTGGTATCTGTAATAAGAAATATATATGGTGGTCCTTACCCTCAGGTCTTTATCCTGAGATAGAGTTCTTAAAATCCTTGCAGTAGGGGTGCTGGAGGAATAATTTGTTCTGTATTTGTTCTTTAATCCTAGCTTCTGACACAGAGCTCCTTTGTAATGTCCTGAGTGACAAAAGCATCTTTTGTTCTAACGGGGTGGCTCTCAGTGGGCTCCTGGATACCCTTAGAGTGAGGGCTGGTTTCCCGGGGAACAAACCACCTGTGTAATGAAGGGGTTGGAACTTTCAGCCCCACCTTCTAACCTCTAGGAAGGGGAGAGGAACTGAAGGTTGAGTTGATCATCAATGGACAATGATTTAATCAACTATGACTGCATAATGAAGCCTCCATAAAAACCCAAAAGGCTGAGTTCAGAAAGCTTCCAGATTGCTGAACACATAGAGATGTCTGGGGTTGGCTCCAATCCAAAAGACGGCATGGAAGCTCTGCTTCTCCCTACATTTCTTGCCCTGTGCATCTCCTCTGTCTGTCTGGCACCCGAATCCTTTGCAATGTCCTTTATGATAAATGGGAAAATGTAAGTAAGTGTTTAGCTGAGTTCTCTGAGTTGCTCTAGCAAATTATTGGAACCCAAGGAAGGGTCCCAGGAACCCAGGTTTATAGCTGGTCAGTCACAAGCTTGGGACTGTCACCTGAAGTGGGGGCAACCTTCTGGGGCTGAGCCCTCACTTGTGGGGTCTGGAGCTTCCTCCAGGTAGATAGAGTCAGAATTGAACTGAATCACAGGACACCGCGCTGGTGTTCACAGAAGCATTGCCTGTGCTGGTGGCAGAAACTCTCACATACATTTTGGTAACCAGAGGTAAAGTGTTGCATTGAGTGTGATTGACTGTGTAAGAATGTAGAGGGAGAAACAGGTTTTTTGTCTGTTTTTTTACTCAAATTAATTTATTATGAATGTGTAGATGTGTCATTTCATTGAAATTTTTCCTGTGTTTCTTCTGAACCCCTGAATTAAATTAAATGTCAACTATATAGACCAGTTATATGTGAAAGAGTTAAGTGCCATCCAATATTTCTTCTGCCTCTCTGCTGTCTCAGACAATCGATCCTGCCATCCCTCAGGAACCTTTAGACAGGTACTATAAGAGTCATGCCTTGTGAGCATTTCCCTAAGTTTCTGTTGTATGTAAAATTATAAGGCCATCTAAAACATGTGTACTCATTTTAGAGGAATCTGTGGTTAAAAAACAGAACATGTAGAATCTGTTCTTTTCACTGAGCAATAATTTTAATAATCCAGAAGAACACTGACAGGCGGGGTTTGGAGAATAGCAGACTGATGTCCCCGATTTTCAGGAGAGCATATTACTGACACCTAATCAGACACCCATGACAGAGCTGGGCATGTTATCATCACACAGAAATACACTTGAAGTGATTTTTAATTTGGGGTGTATTTCCTACACTGTTGAACTTAAGTAACCCCTCAGTTGAAATGTTTAGCATTATGTGGAATATTAAGTGTCAGTGACTCAAGAGTATTTTAGATTGCATTTATTATAAGTGAGTTCTAACTGCCATTCAATCTTGTAATAGAGCTCTCATTTTAATTATTTGTACTTTGCCTTGCACAAAATAAATAAATAAATATGGTTTCTAGTTATACTAAAGCAAATTTTATGTCTAAATAATTTGTATATTGACCTATGATTATATTTATAACTCTTTGTTTAGAGACGTGTAATACAGTAATTTGACCATGTGTATAATAAACATTTGTTTACAAATGGAAAACAGCAAAATGTATGGGTTTTAAAATAAAAATAAAAAACAAGATAATTTTTGTTTTACCTTGGTTATCTTTCTTCTTTCCTGTATTTTTTGTGAGTTTATCGATGATAAAGTGAATTCTCCAAATCTTCCTTGTAAAATACTTTTTAAAAGTACTATATACTTCTAAAGAAGCTTTATATATTTATTCTATTTTCATCTTTGCTTATTTATTTATGAAACACATGAAAATAGATATAAAAGAAAAGGCATTAGTGTAAAAACTGTTATGAATTTGCATGAGTGGATATGCACTTCATTGTTTTAACAAGAAAGGTATAAGCTTTTGTTTGTACATTTGTGGTTGCTTTTTGCCACTAAGGCTAAAGTATAGGATGTGGTGTATTCTGTTGCTTGGCTGTCACATATCCTTTTGTGTAGCATCCTGTATGCTGAGAACAGGTTTTGCAGACTGGAGTGCATGACTCCTGGAACCTGGAAGTGGCTATGGCCAAGAAGAGCACGTAGTAGGGTAAAGGCTGGGCTGGTGGACACTGCCTTCCACCATAACCTCTAGACAAATCACTTTATGTGCAGATTTGTTGACTTTCCGAAGTTGAGTGAGACAGAGTTAAGCGATTCTTATTCTTACACTGATATCATTGAAGTCAACTGTTAATCTCCAATTCAAAAACATAATATTTTAGCTTTATTTGCCCTGCCTGGTCAGTTGTCCAAATGGTAATGTTTCAATCCTATGTCTTTTCTTCTTGGTTATTTTCCTAATTATGATTGATTTTATATTTTGAATCTATGTGCAGCTCCCAGAAAATGTTTTAGCAAGTGGGAAATTTGTAAAATATACTAAAAATTCATAAATAATTTATGACTGTTGTGTAGCAATGTAATCATTCAATACATGAGATAACTGCCAAATACTTGTTTTATTCTTTTGTTCTCTTTCTTTCTTTTTCTTTGTCCCTGCAAAATTATCATTTAAATATACTCTTATTTCTGTTTATAAAATATAACACACATTTATTTTGGAAAGGTTAGAAAATAAAGAAAATATAATAAGCCAACATTTTTATCCAAAATCCCTTCACTCAGAGAACCTCTGAAAACATTTTGTTTAGAGCTTTTCAGTTTTTCTTCCTTTAAAATACACATGGCTCTCACAGTACATTGTAATTTCATGTCTATATTCAGCTTTATTCATACAACAACATAGCATGAGAACTTTCCCCTGTGTTTATATATATCACAAGAGCTAGTTTTGCACAGAATTTAACTAAGAGTTCTCCTCTTACTGGATTGTGATGCTATTTTACAGTTTTAACAACTTTCAATAATATGAAATTAATCATGGTTCATAAATTATCCTGTGCATATTCAATTATACACTTAGGCTGTGTCTTGAGATATTAAATTATTGAATCAAAATGCATGAACATTTTTAAGAATTTTTATACATATTAACATGTTGTCTCACACATGTGCACACCTACACATAATAGCATACAATTTCATCAAGAAATTGGTCATTTCATCAACCTCTACTGAACACCAAAAATGACCTCTACTGTATATTAAAAGTGAAAAGGCACAGTCAATTTAGAAATTAGGCCTAATGAGCCCGTTAACCAAATGGACATTAATTTGGTTCTAAACTTGCTAGCAAGCAACAAATGGCACAGGGCAACTTTATGACAATATCATTTGTGATGCCAGAGACAGAAATTCAATAGGAATTCTTAGAAGGCAATCTTTCTAAAGAAGCTAAAAATGATTATACATATTTATTATTGATACAAGCAGTTTTTATTGGGTGGTTTCTTTTAAAAATCACGAATATGGAGTGCTGGAAACAAGTTAAAATGTAATTCCATAAAATTAATTTTGCAGAAGGTCTATGTAGTTTTCTCAAATTGCCCATATTGCTTTTGGTCTCTAAAGACAGGTATGTAAAAAAGCAAATTTTAGGATATAGTGCAAGTGCAGATGGGTTGAACTTTCTTTCAAAACCTTGTCTTCGAAAAGCATGTTTCAGCTGAGCTTCTCTTAAATAGTGGGTGACGGTGAGTCAGAGATTATACACTGTATTTTCAATGGAATCACAGAGTAAATTTATGCATAGGGCTTTTTTTAACATAAAAGAAAAGAGTGATGTAAAAAAAGCATTTTACAACTCAAGAGGACATGAATTTCATCATCCTTGTTCTCAGAAAGAAAATGCATGTACACAAGACAAAGACAAGAACATGATCCTTTTTTTAAAACACAGCTGGGCTTTGGCTGCAGATTCCAATATAGAGCTTGTGAATTAGACAGCTCGAGTGCACAGAGCTTTTTGCCAAAATAGAGGTGTCCTAGAAGTATAGCAACCAGAGAACTAGGTGGTCTTTTGTTTTTCCTCATGCTCTACTGACCTCAATCTTCTCTCTTACAATGTTGGTGTTTAAAAAGTATTGTAGAATAGGAAAAGAGCTCAAGAACAAAACAGCAGTTGTATACAATTCTCAAACTCACCCATCCTGGGCTTTCTCTGTCATTTACATATATACTTTGCAAGCAGTTCTAACTTTTAACATTGTAGCCAGCCTTCATTCAAAAGATTATTAGGTAATTTAGAAACAAATTATAGAGAGAAGGGGATGATACCAGAGTATCAGGAATATTTTATCGGAGCAGAAGAGTTTAATTAGCCTGTCTACATATTACTCCCATATCATAGATTCCATATGTATAGAAATGTTATTTGGATTACTCTCTATGGAATCAAAGGTCAATAAAAGCCAGTAATCTTAAAAATCCCTTCATGTTATTCCTTATAAATAGAATGTTCTAAAGTAGAACGATGTGTCTGAAGCTATTAATTCCTTATGCGACACAGATGATGTGACAATCATCATGCATACCTATTATTTTAAAACAAGGCAGCATCAATTTATTTCTTTTCTTGTCATAATGGAGGAGAAGAAAAGATAAGATTCTCTTAATTAGAGAAGAAAAACTGTCATCTATATATCTTCTAATATATACACAAATTTATAAATTTGAATATTACTCATCATGATTAAGGGGAAAATTCCCTTAAAGATTAACGATTCAAGGATAAGTATTTTATGATTATTACATGCTGAAAAAGAATAGTCTTATATATGTAATGCTTCATTTTTTAAATTCTATTAAATTTTTTCTTTCAGTGTGCTTTCATTATTTAAAATCCTATTTCAACCAGCAGAATCAACAACTCTTTTTTCTGTCCTGTCTGTTCTGAGATTCTCTCACAAGCAGCTACAAATTAGGAGAGCCTGTGGTCTCAAGCCTCTGTACAAAATCTCATTTGTCAGCACTGGGTGAAACAGTGCAATCCTAAGAAAACAAAGGTGTATAAAAGAAAAAGAAAAAAAAAACATGGATTATGGGGGGAATGCAAGATTTTGCTTCTATCAAAGTGTTGCAAATGTTTTACAATTTGTTTACCTTTCAATGGGGGGGTCCAATATTAATTTTTAATTTAACTAGTCAAAGATATCAATATTTTACTTTATGGGTTCGTTCCTTATGTTCATGATCAGAAAGGCTCCTCAACTTCTGGTGCAAATCAGCCTTCCTTTTATATTCTAATAATCTCCATTCCAAAGAGCTTCTCTGGGCATGCTCCTCATCTCAGGCCAGAAAACACCCATTCACCAATTGTTTGGCTCAATTATCTATTGAGTCATCCTTGACTCTTTTCCCTCACATTCTATATCCAAAACATAAGCAAAGCCTGTTGGTTTTACCTTCAAATACACTAAAAATCTGAGAATTTCTTCTTACCACTAAAGTCACTACCTTGGTGCAGGCTGATGCTATCTCTTGTTTGGATTATCCAAGTAACCTCCTCACTGGGTGCCCTGCTGTAAACCCTGTGGTCCTACCCCTTCTGCCACCTCCTCCCATCAGCTGTGTGAGTGTCCTCCTGAAAATGTAACTCAGATTTTGTGTGCTTGTTCACTAATAACCATCCATTGGTTCCTCTAAGCACTTTGTTCAAACGCCACCCTATTGTCAAGGACCTTCTTGACGACTCAACATTAATAGTATGTCCTATTGCTCACTCTCCCAGTTACTCTGTTTTTTGTTTTTTATTAATTTTTTTAAAAAAGGTTTGATTTGCAAAATTATTGTAAAGATAGTAGAGAGAGTTTCCATATACCCTATACCAACTTCCCCCAGTAGTAACATCTTATATAAGGATGATACATTTGTCACAACTAATGGACTGCTATTTAATTTTAATTAAAATTCCTTACTTTATTCAGATTTCCTCAGCCTTTTTCACAATGTCCTTTTTCTGTTATAGGGTCCCACCTAGGATGCCACATAACATTTAGTCATCATGTGTCATTAAGCTTCTCTTGACTATGACAATTTCTCAGACTTTTCTTGTATTTGATTACTTTGACAGTTTTGAGGAGTAATGGTCAGGTATTTTGTAGAATGTCCCTACAGTGAAATTTGTCTGATGTTTTTCTCATGATTACACTGGGCTAATGTGTTTATTGGAGGAAGAACAGAGAAAAAAATGTCATCTTCATCACATTGTATCAAGAATACCTCTTATCAATATGATTCATGATTGCTGGTGCTAAACTTTATCACCTAGCTTGAAGCAGTTCTTGTCAGTTCTCTTCTCTGCATAGTAACATTTTAAAAACAATTAATTTTCTATATCGTACTCTTTGAAAGAAGTCACCATGGTCAGCCCACACTTAAGAAGAGGGAGTATGCATTTGGAATTTTTCTGCATAGAAGATTTCTCCAGGGGGTGGAGCCAAGATGGTCGAATAGGAGCAGCTCCAGTCTACAGCTCCCAGCATGAGCAATGCAGAAGATGAATGATTTCTGCATTTCCAACTGAGGTACTTGGTGCATCTCACTGGGGATTGTCAGACAGTGGGTGCAGGACAGTGGGTGCAGTGCACCGGGCCTGAACCAAAGCAGGGCGAGGCATCACCTCACCCGGGAAGTGCAAGGGGTCAGGGAATTCCCTTTCCTAGCCAAGGAAAGGGGTGACAGATGGCACCTGGAAAATTGGATCACTCCCACCCTAATATTGCGCTTTTCTGACGGTCTTAGCAAACGGCACACCAGGAGATTATATCCTGCACATGGCTCAGAGGGTCATACACCCACGGAGCCTCGCTCATTGCTAGCACAGCAGTCTGATTTCAAACTGCAAGGTGGCAGCGAGGCTAGGGGAGGGGCGCCTGCTGTTGCCGAGGCTTGAGTAGGTAAAGAAAGCGGCCAGGAAGCTCGATCTGGGTGAAGCCCACCGCAGCTCAAGGAGGCCTGCCTGCCTCTGTAGACTCCACCTCTGGGGACAGGGCATAGCCAAACAAAAGGCAGCAGAAACCTCTGCAGACTTAAATGTCCCTGTCTGACAGCTTTGAAGAGAATAGTGGTTCTCCCAGCACACAGCTGGAGATCTGAGAACAGAAAGACTGCCTCCTCAAGTGGGTCCCTGACCCCCGAGTAGCCTAACTGGGAGGCACTCCCCAGTAGGGGCAGACTGACACCTCACATGGCCGGGTACTCCTCTGAGACAAAACTTCGAGAGGAACGATCAGGCAGCAACATTTGCTGTTCACCAATATCTGCTGTTCCGCAGCCTCTGCTGCTGATACCAAGGCAAACAGGGTCTGGAGTGGACCTCTAGCAAACTCCAACAGACCTGCAGCTGAGGGTCCTGACTGTTAGAAGGAAAACTAACAAACGGAAAGGACATACACACCAAAACCCCATCTGTATGCCACCATTATCAAAGACCAAAGGTAGATGTAACCACAAAGATGGGGAAAAAATGAGCAGAAAAACTGAAAATTCTAAAAATCAGAGAGCCTCTCCTCCTCCAAAGGAATGCACAAAGCTGGACAGGGAATGACTTTGACGAATTGAGAGAAGAGGGCTTCAGATGATCAAACTACTCCAAGCTAAAGGAGGAAGTTCAAACCCATGGCAAAGAAGTTGAAAACCTTGAAAAAAGATTAGATGAATGGCTAACTAGAATAACCAATGCAGAGAAGTCCTTAAAGGACCTGATAGAGTTGAAAACCATGGCGCAAGAACTACGTGATGAATGCACAAGACTCAGTAGCCGATTTGATCAACTGGAAGAAAGGGTATCAGTGATGGAAGATGAAATGAATGAAATGAAGTGAGAAGAGAAGTTTAGAGAAAAAAGAATAGAAAGAAACGAACAAAGCCTCCAAGAAATATGGGACTGTGTGAAAAGACCAAATCTATGCCTGATTGGTGTACCTGAAAGTGATGGGGAGAATGGAACCAAGTTGGAAAACACTCTGCAGGATATTATCCAGGAGAACTTCCCCAATCTAGCAAGGCAGGCCAACATTCAAATTCAGGAAATACAGAGAATGCCACAAAGATGCTCCTTGAGAAGAGCAACTCCCAGACACATAGTTGTCAGGTTCACCAAAGTTGAAATGAAGGAAAAAATGTTAAGGGTAGCCAGAGAGAAAGGCCGGGTTACCCGCAAAGGGAAGCCCATCAGACTAACAGCTGATCTCTAGGCAGAAACTCTACAAGCCAGAAGAGAGTGGGGGCCAGTATTCAACATTCTTAAAGAAAAGAATTTTCAACCAAGAATTTCATATCCAGCCAAACTAAGCTTCATAAGTGAAGGAGAAATAAAATCCATTACAGACAAGCAAATGCTGAGAGATTTTGTCACCATCAGACCTGCCCTAAAAGAGCTCCTGAAGGAAGCACTAAACATAGAAAGGAAAAACCGGTACCAGCCACTGCAAAAACATGCCAAATTGTAAAGACCATCGAGGCTAGGAAGAAACTGCATCAATTAATGGGCAAAATAACCAGCTAAGATCATAATGACAGGATCAAATTCACACAAAACAACATTAACCTTAAACGTAAATGGGCTAAATGCTCCAGTTAAAAGACACAGACTGGCAAATTGGATAAAGAGTCAAGACCCATCAATGTGCTGCATTCAGGAAACCCATCTCATGGGCAGAGACACACATAAGCTCAAAATAAAGGGATGGAGGAAGATCTGCCAAGCAAATGGAAAACAAAAAAAGGCAGGGCTTGCAATCCTAGTCTCTGATAAAACAGATTTTAAACCAACAAAGATCAAAAGAGACAAAGAAGGCCATTACATAATGGTAAAGGGATCAATTCAACAAGAAGAGCCAACTATCCTAAATGTATATGCACCCAATACAGGACCACCCAGATTCATAAAGCAAGTCCTTAGAGACCTAGAAAGAGACTTAGACTCCCACACAATAATAATGGGAGAATTTAACACACCACTGTCAACATTAGACAGATCAATGAGACAGAAAGTTAACAAGGATATCCAGGAATTGAACTCAGCTCTGCACCAAGTGGACCTAATAGACATCTACAGAGCTCTCCAACCCAAATCAACAGAATATACATTTTTTTCAGCACCACACCACACCTATTCCAAAACTGACCACATAGTTGGAAGTAAAGCACTCCTCAGCAAATTAAAAGAACAGAAATTATAACAAACTGTCTCTCAGACCACAGTGCAATCAGACTAGAACTCAGGATTAAGAAATTCACTCAAAACCACTCAACTACATGGAAACTGAACAACCTGCTCCTGAATGACTACTGGGTACATAACGAAATGAAGGCAGAAATAAAGATGTTCCTTGAAATTACCGAGAACACAGACAACATACCAGAATCTCTGGGACACATTCAAAGCAGTGTGTAGAGGGAAATTTACAGCACTAAATGCTCACAAGAGAAAGCAGGAAAGATCTAAAATTGACACCCTAACATCACAGTTAAAAGAACTAGAGAAGCAAGAGCAAACACATTCAAAAGCTAGCAGAAGGCAAGAAATAACTAAGATCAGAGCAGAACTGAAGGAAATAGAGACACAAAAAAAACCCTCAAAAAATCAATGAATCCAGGAGCTGGTTTTTTGAAAAGATCAACAAAATTGATAGACCACTAGCAAGACTAATAAAGAAGAAAAGAGGGAAGAATCAAATAGACGTACTAAAAAATGATAAAGGGGATATCACCACTGATCCCACAGAAATACAAACTACCATCAGAGAATACTATAAACACCTCTACACAAATAAACTAGAAAATCTAGAAGAAATGGATAAATTCCTTGACACATACACCCTCCCAAGACTAAACCAGGAAGAAGTTGAATCTCTGAAAAGAACAATAACAGGCTCCGAAATTGAGGCAATAATTAGTAGCCTGCCAACCAAAAAAAAGTCCAGGACCAGATGGATTCACAGCCGAATTCTACCAGAGGTACAAGGAGGAGCTGGTACCATTCCTTCTGAAACTATTTCAATCAATAGAAAAAGAGGGAATCCTCCCTAACTCATCTTATGAGGCCAGCATCATCTTGACACAACAGACTGGCAGAGACCCAACAAAAAAAGAGGATTTTAGACGAATATCCGTGAGGAAAATCGATACAAAAATCCTCAATAAAATACTGGCAAACTGAATCCAGCAGCACATCGAAATGCTTATCCACCATGATCAAGTGGGCTTCATCCCTGGGATGCAAGGCTTGTTCAACATATGCAAATCAATAAATGTAATCCAGCATATAAACAGAGCCTACAACAAAAACCAAATGATTATCTCAATAGATGCAGAAAAAGCCTTTCACAAAATTCAACAACCTTCATGCTAAAAACTCTTGATAAATTCGGTATTGATGGGACGTATCTCAACAAAATAGGAGCTATCTATGACAAACCCACAGCCAATATCATACTGAATGGGCAAAAATGGAAGCATTCCCTTTGAAAACTGGCACAAGACAGGGTTGCCCTCTCTCACCACTCCTATTCAACAAAGTGTTGGAAGTTCTTGCCAGGGAAATCACGCAGGAGAAGGAAATAAAGGGTATTCAATTAGGAAAAGAGGAAGTCAAATTGTCCCTGTGTGCAGATAACATGATTGTATATCTAGAAAACCCCATCGTCTCAGCCCCAAATCCCCTTAAGCTGATAGGTAACTTCAGCAAAGTCTCAGGATACAAAATCAATGTGCAGAAATCACAAGCATTCTTATACACCAATAACAGACAAACAGAGAGTCAAATCATGAGTGAACCCCCATTCACAACTGCTTCAAAGAGAATAAAATACCTAGGAATCCAACTTACAAGGGACGTGAAGGACCTCTTCAAGGAGAACTACAAACCACTGCTCAATGAAATAAAAGAGGATACAAACAAATGGAAGAACATTCCATGCTCATGGGTAGGAAGAATCAATATCATGAAAATGGCCATACTGCGCAAGGTAATTTATAGATTCAATGCCATCCCCATCAAGCTACCAACGACTTTCTTCACAGAATTGGAAAAAACTACTTTAAAGTTCATATGGAACCAAAAAAGAGCCTGCATTGCCAAGTATCAGGGGACCTGCCCTGATAATCACGTAGGTTATTTTCTATTTTCCTAAGCGTCGGCTGGCTTGAGAAATAAAAGGACAGAGTACAAAAGAGAGAAATGTTAAAGCTGGGCGTCCGGGGGATACATCACACGTTGGTAGGATCCGTGATGCCCCACAAGCCACAAAAACCAGCAAGTTTTTATTAGGCAGTTTCAAAAGGGGAGGGAGTATACGAATAGGTGTGGGTGACAGATATCAAGTACTTAACAGGGTAATAGAATCTAACAAGGCAAGTGGAGGCAGGGGGAGATCACAGGACCACAGGATGGAGGCGTAATTAAAATTGCTAATGAAGTTTTGGGCACCATTGTCATTGATAACATCTTATCAGGAGACAGGGTTTTGAGATCAACTGGTCTGACCAAAATTCATTAGGCGGGAATTTCCTCTTCCTAATAAGCCTAGGAGCACTATGGGAGACTGGAGTTTATTTCACCTCTGCAAACTCGACCATAAGAGACCAGTTCAGAGACCTACCCCTAGGTGCGCATTCTCTTTCTCGGGGATATCCCATGCTGAGAAAAAGAATTCAGCGATATTTCTCCCTTTTGCTTTTCAAAGAAGAGAAATATGGCTCTGTTCTGCCCGGCTCACTGGCGGTCAGAGTTTAAGGTTCTCTCTCTTATTCCCTGAACAATTGCTGTTATCCTGTTCTTTTTTCAGGGTGCCCACATTTCATATTGCTCAAACACACATGCTGTACAATTTGTGTAGTTAACCCAATTATTACAGGGTCCTGAGATGATATACATCCTTATCGGCTGACAGGATTAAGAGATTAAAGTAAAGACAGGCATAGGAAATCACAAGCATATTGATTGGGGAAGTGATAATTGTCCATGAAATCTTTACAATTTCTGTTTAGAGATTGCATTAAAGACAGGCATAAGAAATTACAAAAGTATTAATTTGGGGAACTAATAAATGTCCATACAATCTTCACAATCCACATGCTTCTGTCATGGCTTCAGCCGGTCCCTCCGTTTGGGGTCCCTGACTTTCCGCAACAGCCAAGTCAATCTTAAGCCAAAAGAACAAAGCTGGAGGCATCATGCTACCTGACTTCAATCTATACTACAAGGCTACAGAATCCAAAACAGTATGATACTGGTATCAAAACAGAGATATAGATCAATGGAACAGAACAGAGCCCTCAGAAATAATGCCGCATATCTACAACCATATGATCTTTGACAAACCTGACAAAAACGAGAAATGGGGAAAGGATTCCCTATTTAACAAATGGTGCTGGGAAAACTGGCTAGCCATATGTAGAAAGCTGAAACTGGATCCCTTCCTTACACCTTATACAAAAATTAATTCAAGATGGATTAAAGACTTACACCTAAAACCATAAAAACCCTAGAAGAAAACCTAGGCAATACCATTCAGGACATAGGCATGGGCAAGGACTTCATGTCTAAAACACCAAAAGCAATGGCAACAAAAGCCAAAATTGACAAATGGGATCTAATTAAACCCAAGAGCTTCTGCACAGCAAAAGAAATTACCATCAGAGTGAACAGGCAACATATAGAATGGGAGAAAATTTTTGCAATCTACTCATCTGACAAAGGGCTAATATCCAGAATCTACAATGAACTCAAACAAATTTACAAGAAAAAAACAAACAAACCCCATCAAAAAGTGGGCAAAGGATATGAACAGACACTTCTCAATAGAAGACATCTATGCAGCCAAAAGACACATGAAAAAATGCTCATCATCACTGGCCATCAGAGAAATGCAAATCAAAACCACAATGAGATACCATCTCACACCAGTTAGAATGGCGATCATTAAAAAGGCAGGAAACAACAGGTGCTGGAGAGGATGTGGAGAAATAGGAACACTTTTACACTGTTGGTGGGACTGTAAACTAGTTCAACCATTGTGGAAGTCAGTGTGGTGATTCCTCAGGGATCTAGAACTGGAAATACCATTTGACCCAGCCATCCCATTACTGGGTATATCCCCAAAGGATTATAAATCATGCTGCTATAAAGACACATGCACATGTATGTTTATTGCAGCACTATTCACAATAACAAAGACTTGGAACCAACCCAAAAGTCCAACAATGATAGACTGGATTAAGAAAATGTGACACATATACAGCATGGAATACTATGCAGCCATAAAAAATGATGAGTTCATGTCCTTTGTAGGGACATGGATGAAGCTGGAAGAAACCATCATTCTCAGCAAACTATCGCAAGGACAAAAAACCAAATGCTGCATGTTCTCACTCATAGGTGGGAACTGAACAATGAGAACACATGGACCCAGGAAAGGGAACATCACACACTGGGGCCTGTTCTGGGGTCGGGGGAGAGGGGAGGGATAGCATTGGGAGATATACCTAATATTAAATGACAAGTTAATGAGTTCAGCACACCAACATGGCACATGTATACATACGTAACTAACCTGCACATTGTGCACATGTACCCTAAAACTTAAAGTATAATAAAAAAAAAAGAAAATTTACATTATGCATAAATATAGATTTGTGTAAAAAAAGTCACTGCAGAGCAGTAAAAAAAGGACATTTTTCATTAAATGATGCTGTCATGTTGGATATCTATATATATAGATGATTATAAAATGCTCTTTATCACACACCATACACAAATAGCAATTCCACATTGGTTATAGCAATATAGTAAAGAAAAAATAATAAAGCTTAACAAGTAATGTAGAATAGTTTTTGATCAATCAGTAGGTAAATATTTTGAAAGAACTTAACAAGAAATAAACACAAATTAAAAGATTGTTACATTTACCTACGTCATTAAGGCCTTAACTCTTTGCCAGTCCAAGATGTTGGATTAGAGGGAGCGTCAGCAGGCCTCTCCCACTTGGGAAGAAAAAGTAGGTTTTAGATATTTAACTGTGAACTTTTGTTCCAAGAAGCAATGCAGGAACATAACAGGAAAACTGAAATCCAGAGACACTTTGAAAGAAGTTGCAGGCTTCGCCTATATCTTGAGCCGGGAGAAAAACTGTAAGTCCCAGAGTTTGAGAGAGGGAGAGACTGCCTCCAGGATATACACCCTCAAAGGAGAACCTGGAAAACCAGGCCATGGGGGAAAGCCCTACCCAGCACTAGAACTGATTTAGAGAGTGGTGAGGAATCTAAAAGTGGAAGTGGCAGCAGGAAGAGCCTCACATGCATTTCCAGTGTCCAACATAGACCAAGAGAAGCCATTCCTTATTATGCCTCACAGGAACCTCATAAATGTCTCCCAACTAACTCAGACAGCAATCACAGGTTGAAAAAAGTCCCCAGCTGAATTCCACAGTATAGCCTTGAATGGAGAGCACTCCCTTGGCCAGAACCAAGGAATGAGTGGGAGGGAAGTATGCTGCAGCCAGGAGCTGGGTGTCCTAGCTGTGTGGGTGGATTGGGAGGGGCATGGCCTGAAACCTGTGGTTGCTATCTCTGTGAAGAAAGTTTATGGCCTGGGCAGTTGTGAATTATGAGTGTAGACAGCCTGCAACTTAGCTTTCTGCTGCAGGTGGAAAACTACTGGTGTGAGACCTGCCTTGTCAAGTATCTGGGAGCTGGGTGAGGCTTACTGCCACCTGCTACTACAAACTGCCTGCATGAACTCTTCTGTTCAGCAGAAGCAGCTATGTTCCTCTATAAAACATTACGACAGTGGTCAGATAACTGCCTTGTAACTCCCATAGGAGTTGCTGATTGCCCCACAGGCAGAGAGCCAGGGTACAAACCTGCCTGACCCAGCCCCCATCTGGCTTTGCCCCTCTAACCACCATGGTAGCTTAACACAAAGGATAGAATCTTTCGGGAGCTTTATAGCCCTGCTCATCACCTGAGAAACCAGAGTACCTCCCCAGGGTAACATAAGGCAACCAGAAATCCCATAACTATCATTGTAGCTTGTGTTCTTTTGTAAGTACCACCTCCTGGCTGGAGGCCAACCAGCCAACCAAATGGACTGTGTAGTCCATTATAGCATCTTCAAGTAGAATAACACTGTTCCCAGAAAGAAGAAAACTCATGTGCAACTTCTGCTATCGCCATTGCCTGCATCACCCTGGCCAACCAGGAGGTCCTGAGTCTGTCCACATGACCAGTTCATCACCACTACAACGCACAACTGAGAAAGCCAGCACACTAAGGCTACCTATAACCAAGGAGTCTCACAGTCTCTGTCACTCCCCTGCCACCACCATTAGGGCTGGTGCTGGTACCAGTTGCTGGGGGATATTAAGGACATGTACATCACCACATCCCTTGTAGACATTCCCCAGGACTAGCCTGGAGTATGGCAACTTCACTGGGTAGCTAGACTCAGGGGAGCAATGGCATTCACAGTAGTAGGGCTCTCAGGGATTCCCACTCCTAGAGGAATGGGGAGGGTACCACATCAAGGGAACATGCCTGGGACAAAATAATCCAAACAGCAGGACTTGAGTCCCAGATCTTTCTCCTGGTGGGAAGTTTCTTTCAGGAGAGGCATAGTTGCAGTGCCAGGCTCAGTGGGGAATGTCTGCAGCCCAGGAGCTCTACCCCAACACTCAGGCAGTCCTGGTGCTTGTGAAGGGTCTTGGAGAAGGAAACTTTTTTCTCCCTTATCCACCACTGTGGACACAGCTGTGGTTTTTTCCAAGAGCTCAGCATGGGTGCACTTAGAGACAGCCTTTCTGGAACACTTCAGGGTGACATCATCCCCACAGAAGGAGCAACCTCCAAATGCAGGTTGCTTTGCATGAGAGGTAGAGTCACAATTCCTCTCTACTTGGAACATCAACATTCCTGCAGATAAAAATATGTGACTGTCTAATCTGAATAGCTGGAACACTAGGTGAAGAGTGTGTCTAGGTGATGGATAGCTTTTCTGCTGCCCTGGTAGGGAAGCTGAGGTAGATCCAGTCCTTCCCTCTTAAAAGACCTCAGTGCATTTTGCTGAGAGCTTCCCTAGCCACCTCTGTCAAGGCTGGGACCTCTGCCCACCATTGGGTATTGCATTTACCCATCTACTTTAGCCATAGCCAGTTTTTACCCATGGACATACCCCTTATTGGCCTGAAATAGTCAACCCAGTAAATAAAATACTGGGGAACAAATAAATAAATTAATAAGTACACAAAATAGGGGAATGAGTTAAGCTTCAAGAGATTTCTGCCATTGCAACCCTATAGAAAACAGTGAACTTGTTCATACACTGAGCACATTGTTACTACAATCATCATCCATCATACGAAAACTCTCTATAACCAAGGAACTTATATAGAGTCTTCACCCCTGAAGGAACCAAGAGCCAAATTAGGCTACAATAAACTATAAATATGAAAGTCACATTCTTGGGGGTGGGGACAAGAAAATTTTTAAAACCCGCAATTAAATACAAAATACATCCAGACTAATTAGAAGAAATAGTCTACACATGTAAGAAGAAATCAGAAAAAATAATTTTAGTAATATGACAAGAAAGGGTTCTATAACAACCCCAAAAGATTACACCAGCCCTGCAGCAATAAATACAAACCAAAATGAAATATTTGAAATACCAGATAAAGAATTTTTAAGGTTGATTGTTAAGCTACTCAAGGGGATAACAAAAGAAAGTGAAAACCTGCTTTTTAAAAAAAAAATTCAAGATATGAATGAAAAATTTGCAAAAGAGATAGATATCTTAAAGCAAAACCAATCAGAAATTCCAGAAATGAAAGACATAGGAAATTACAAAATGCAGTGGAAAGTTTCAACAATAAACTAAAACAAGTAGAAGAAAGAATTTCTGAGCTAGAAGAAAAGACTTTTGAATTGACCCAATCAGACAAAAATTAAAAGAATCAAAAGAAAGGAGCAAAGTTTCCAACAAATGTGAGATTATGTAAAATGGTTAAACCTAAAATTAATTGGTGTTACTGAGGGAGAAGAAAAAGCAAAAAGTTTGGAAAACTTATTTGAGTGAATAATTGAGGAAAACTTCCCTGATCTTGCTAGAGATTTAGATATTCAAATATAAGAAGCTCAAAGAACTCCTGTGAGACTCATTAGAAAAAGATGATCACCAAGACATAGTCAACAGGCTATAAAAAGTCAACATGAAGGAAATAAGTCTAAAAGCCGTGAGACAAAATCATCAGGTAACCTATAAAGTAAAACATATCAGAGACTAACAGCAGACTTCTCAGCAGAAACCTTACAAGCCAGAAGGGATAGGAGTCCTATTGTTAGCCTCCCTAAACAGAATAACTGTCAGCCAGGAATTTTGTAGCCAGCCAAACCAACTTTCATAAACAAAGGAGATATAAAGTCATTTTCAGACAAAGAAATGCTGAGGAAATTTATTACCAGGTCATTCCTACAAGGAATGATAAGAGGAGTTCTAAATCTTGAAACAAAAGCTTGATATACACAAAAATGGAATCTCTTGAAAGCATTAAACTCACAATGCCTATAAAAAAAGACATGATAAAAAAACAAAGCATCTAGACAAAATTTAACATGATAAATGGAACAATATCTCACATGTCAATATTAATGTTAAATATAAATGACCTAAATGCTCCACTTAAAATGTGTAGACTGACAGAATGGATAAAGAATCACAAACCAAATATCTGCCGTCTTCAAGAGATTCAACTAACATGTAAGAATTCCTATAAACTCAAGGTAAAAGGGTGGAAAAAGCAGGAAAATAGCTACTCCTGCTCACAAATGGAGACCAAAAGTGAGCAGGAGTAGCTATTCTTTTATCAGATAAAACAAACTTTAAAACAACAACAGTAAAAAAAGACAAAGAAAGTCATTATATAATGATAAAAGGATCAGTCCAACAAGAAGATATCACAATCTTAAATAGCACTAGACAGACCATCAAGACAGAAAGTTAGCAAAGAAATAATGGGCTTCAACTACATTCCAGAACAAATGGACCTAATAGATATTTACAGAACATTCTACCCAAGAACTGCAGAATATACATTCTTCTCATCAGAACGTAGAACATTCTCCAAGACAGACTATATGATAGGTCACAAAACAAATCTCAATAAACTTTTAAAAATTAAACTCATATCAAGTGTCTTCTCACACAAGAGTGGAATAAAACTAGAAATCAACCCCAAAAGGAACCCTCAAAACTATACATATACAGGAAAATTAAACAAACTTCTCCTTGATGATTTTTGGTTTCATGATGAAATCAAGGTGGAAATTCAAAAGTTATTTGAAATGAATGATAATAGTGACACAAGTAATCAAAACCTCTGGTATACAGCAAAAGCAGGAAATTTTTTTTATTATAAAAAAAGATGAAATTTTTTTTATTATACTTTAAGTTTTAGGGTACATGTGCACAATGTGCAGGTTTGTTACATATGTATACATGTGCCATGTTGGTGTGCTGCACCCATTAACTCGTCATTTAGCATTAGGTATATCTCCTAATGCTATCCCTCCCTCCTCCCCCAACTCCACAACAGTCCCTGGTGTGTGATGTTCCCCTTCCTGTGTCCATGTGTTCTCATTGTTCAATTCCCACCTATGATTGAGAACATGCGGGGTTTGGTTTTTTGGCCTTGCAATAGTTTGCTGAGAATGATGGTTTCCAGTTTCATCCATCTCCCTACAAAGGACATGAACTCATCATTTTTTATGGCTGCATAGTATTCCATGGTGTATATGTGTCACATTTTCTTGATCCAGTCTATCATTGTTGGACATTTGGGTAGGTTCCAAGTCTTTGCTATTGTGAATACTGCTGCAATAAACATACGTGTGCATATGTCTTTATACCAGCATGATTTATAACCCTTTGGGGATATACCCAGTAATGGGATGGCTGGGTCAAATGGTATTTCTAGTTCTAGATCCCTGAGGAATTGCCACACTGACTTCCACAATGGTTGAACTAGTTTACAGTCCCACCAACAGTGTAAAAGTGTTCCTATTTCTCCACATCCTCTCCAGCACCTGTTGTTTCCTGCCTTTTTAATGATTGCCATTCTAACTGGTGTGAGATGGTATCTCATTGTGGTTTTGATTTGCATTTTTCTGATGGCCAGTGATGATGAGCATTTTTTCATGTGTCTTTTGGCTGCATAAATGTCTTCTTTTGAGAAGTATCTGTTCATATCTTTCACCCACTTTTTGATGGGGTTGTTTTTTTTTTTTCTTGTAAATTTGTTTGAGTTCATTGTAGATTCTGGATATTAGCCCTTTGTCAGATGAGTAGATTGCAAAAATTTTCTCCCATTCTATATGTTGCCTGTTCACTCTGATGGTAATTTCTTTTGCTGTGCAGAAGCTCTTGAGTTTAATCAGATCCCATTTGTCAATTTTGGCTTTTGTTGCCATTGCTTTTGGTGTTTCAGACATGAAGTCCTTGCCATGCCTATGACCGGAATGGTATTGCCTAGGTTTTCTTCTAGGGTTTTTATGGTTTTAGGTGTAACATTTAAGTCTTTAATCCATCTTGAATTAATTTTTGTATAAGGTGTAAGGAAGGGATCCAGTTTCAGCTTTCTACATATGGCTAGCCAGTTTTCCCAGCACCATTTATTAAATAGGGAATCCTTTCCCCATTGCTTGTTTTTCTCAGGTTTGTCAAAGATCATATGGTTCTAGATATGCGGCATTATTTCTGAGAGCTCTGTTCTGTTCCATTGATCTATATCTCTGTTTTGGTACCAGTACCATGCTGCTTTGGTTACTGTAGCCTTGTAGTATAGTTTGAAGTCAGGTAGCATGATGCCTCCAGCTTTGTTCTTTTGGCTTAAGATTGACTTGGTGATGCGGGCTCTTTTTTGGTTCCATATGAACTTTAAAGTAGTTTTTTCCAATTCTGTGAAGAAAGTCATTGGTAGCTTGATGGGGATGGCATTGAATCTATAAATTACCTTGGGCAGTATGGCCATTTTCACAATATTGATTCTTCCTACCCATGAGCATGGAATGTTCTTCCATTTGTTTTTATCCTCTTTTATTTCATTGAGCAGTGGTTTGTAGTTCTCCTTGAAGAGGTCCTTCACATCCCTTGTAAGCTGGATTCCTAGGTATTTTATTCTCTTTGAAGCAATTGTGAATGAGAGTTCACTCATGATTTGGCTCTCTGTTTGTCTGTTATTGGTGTATAAGAATGCTTGTGATTTTTGTACATTGATTTTGTATCCTGAGACTTTGCTGAAGTTGCTTATCAGCTTAAGGAGATTTTGGGCTGAGATGATGGGGTTTTCTAGATATACAATCATATCATCTGCAAACAGGGACAATTTGACTTCCTCTTTTCCTAATTGAATACCCTTTATTTCCTTCTCCTGCCTAATTGCCCTGGCCAGAACTTCAAACACTATGTTGAATAGGAGTGGTGAGAGAGGGCATCCCTGTCTTGTGCCAGTTTTCAAAGGGAATGCTTCCAGTTTTTGCCCATTCAGTGTGATATTGGCTGTGGGTTTGTCATAGATAGCTCTTATTATTTTGAGATACTTGTCATCAATACCTAATTTATTGAGAGTTTTTAGCATGAAGGATTGTTGAATTTAATCAAAGGCCTTTTCTGCATCTGTTGAGATAATCATGTGGTTTTTGTCTTTGGTTCTGTTTATATGCTGGATTACATTTATTGATTTGTGTATGTTGAACCAGCCTTGCATCCCAGGGATGAAGCCCACTTGATCATGGCTCAAAATAAAGGGATGGAGGAAGATCTACCAAGCAAATGGAAAACAAAAAAAGGTAGGGCTTGCAATCCTAGTCTCTAATAAAACAGACTTTAAACCAACAAAGATCAAAGGAGACAAAGAAGGCCATTACATAATGGTAAAGGGATCAATTCAACAAGAAGAGCTAACTATCCTAAGTATATATGCACCCAATACAGGAGCACCCAGATTCATAGAGCAAGTCCTCAGAGACCTACTAAGAGACTTAGACTCCCACACAATAATAATGGGAGACTTTAACACACCACTGTCAACATTAGTCAGATCAACGAGACAGAAAGTTAACAAGGATACCCAGGAACTGAACTCAGCTCTGCACCAAGCGGACCTAATAGACATCTACAGAACTCTCCACCCCAAATCAACAGAATATACATTCTTTTCAGCACCACACCACACCTATTCCAAAATTGACCACATAGTTGGAAGCAAAGCACTCCTCAGCAAATGTAAAAGAACAGAAATTATAACAAACTGTCTCTCAGACCACAGTGCAATCAAACTAGAACTCAGGATTAAGAAATTCACTCAAGACCACTCAACTACATGGAAACTGAACAACCTGCTCCTGAATGACTACTGGGTACATAACGAAATGAAGGCAGAAATAAAGATGTTCTTTGAAACCAACGAGAACAAAGACACAACATACCAGAATCTCTGGGACACATTCAAAGCAGTGTGTAGAGGGAAATTTATAGCACTAAATGCCCACAAGAGAAAGCAGGAAAGATCCAAAATTGACACCCTAAAATCACAATTAAAAGAACTAGAAAAGCAAGAGGAAACACATTCAAAAGCTAGCAGAAGGCAAGAAATAACTAAAATCAGAGCAGAACTGAAGGAAATAGAGACACAAAAAAACCCTTCAAAAAATCAATGAATCCAGGAGCTGGTTTTTTGAAAAGATCAACAAAATTGATAGACTGCTAGCAAGACTAATAAAGAAGAAATGAGAGAAGAATGAAATAGATACAATAAAAAATGATAAAAGGGATATCACCACCGATCCCACAGAAATACAAAATACCATCAGAGAATACTACAAACACCTCTACGCAAATAAACTAGAAAATCTAGAAGAAATGGATAAATTCCTCGACACATACACCCTCCCAAGACTAAACTAGGAAGAAGTTGAATCTCTGAATAGACCAATAACACGCTCTGAAATTGTGGCAATAATCAATAGCTTACCAACCAAAAAAAGTCCAGGACCAGATGGATTCACGGCCGAATTCTACCAGAGGTACAAGGAGGAGCTGGTACCATTCCTTCTGAAACTATTCCAATCAATAGAAAAAGAGGGAATCCTCCCTCACTCATTTTGTGAGGCCAGCATCATCCTGATACCAAAGCCTGGCAGAGACACAACAAAAAAAGAGAATTCTAGAAAAATATCTCTGATGAACATTGACGCAAAGATCCTCAATAAAATACCGGCAAACCGAAACCAGCAACACATCAAAAAGCTTATCCACCATGATCAAGTGGGCTTCATCCCTGGGATGCAAGCCTGGCTGAACATATAGAAATCAATAAATGTAATCCAGCATATAAACAGAACCAACGACAAAAACCACATGATTATCTCAATAGATAAAGAAAAGGCCTTCAACAAAATTCAACAACAGTTCATGCTAAAAACTCTCAATAAATTAGGTATTGATGGGACGTATCTCAACATAATAAGAGCTATTTATAACAAACCCACAGCCAATATCATACTGAATGGGCAAAAACTGGAAGCATTGCCTTTGAAAACTGGCACAAGACAGGGATGCCCTCTCTCACCACTGCTATTCAACATAGTGTTAGAAGTTCTGGCCAGGGCAATCAGGCAGGAGAAGGAAATAAGGGTATTCAATTAGGAAAAGAGGAAGTCAAATTGTCCCTGTGTGCAGATGACATGATTGTATACCTAGAAAACCCCATCGTCTCAGCCCAAAATCTCCTCAAGCTGATAGGCAACTTCAGCAAAGTCTCAGGATACAAAATCAATGTGCAAAACTCACAAGCATTCTTATACACCAATAACAGACAAACAGAGAGCCAAATCATGAGTGAACTCCCATTCACAATTGCTTCAAAGCAAATAAAATACCTACGAATCCAACTTACAAGGGGTGTGAAGGACCTCTTCAAGGAGAACTACAAACCACTGCTCAATGAAATAAAAGTGGACACAAACAAATGGAAGAACATTCCATGCTCATGGGTAGGAAGAATCAATATCGTGAAAATGGCCATACTGCCCAAGGTAATTTATAGATTCAATGCCATCCCCATCAGGCTACCAATGACTTTCTTCACAGAATTCGAAAAAACTACTTTAAACTTCATATGGATCCAGAAAAGAGCCCGCATCACCAAGTCAATCCTAAGCCAAAAGAACAAAGCTGGAGGCATCACGCTACCTGACTTCAAACTATACTACAAGGGTACAGTAAGCAAAACAGCATGGTACTGGTACCAAAACAGAGATATAGATCAATGGAACAGAGCAGAGCCCTCAGAAATAATACCACATATCTACAACTATCTGATCTTTGACAAACCTGAGAAAAACAAGCAATGGGGAAAGGATTCCCTATTTAATAAATGGTGCTGGGAAAACTGGCTAGCCATATGTAGAAAGCTGAAACTGGATCCCTTCCTTACACCTTATACAAAAATTAATTCAAGATGGATTAAAGACTTAAATGTTACACCTAAAACCATAAAAACCCTAGAAGAAAACCTAGGCAATACCATTCAAGACATAGGCATGGGCAAGGACTTCATGTCTAAAACACCAAAAGCAATGGCAACAAAAGCCAAAATTGACAATTGGGATCTAATTAAACTAAAGAGCTTCTGCACAGCAAAAGAAACTACCATCAGAGTGAACAGGCAATCTACAGAATGGGAGAAAATTTTTGCAATCTACTCATCTTACAAAGGGTAATATCCAGAATCTACAATGAACTCAAACAAATTTACAAGAAAAAAACAAACAACCCTATCAAAAAGTGGGCGAAGGATATGAACAGACACTTCTCAAAAGAAGACATTTATGCAGCCAAAAGGCACATGAAAAAATGATCATCATCACTGGCCATCAGAAAAATGCAAATCAAAACCACAATGAGATACCATCTCACACCAGTAGAATGGTGATCATTAAAAAGGCAGGAAACAACAGGAGCTGGAGAGGATGTGGAGAAATAGGAACACTTTTACACTGTTGGTGGGACTGTAAACTAGTTCAACCATTGTGGAAGTCAGTGTGGCAATTCCTCAGGGATCTAGAACTAGAAATACCATTTGACCCAGCCATCCCATTACTGGGTATATACCCAAAGGATTATAAATCATGCTGCTAGAAAGACACATGCACACGTATGTTTATTGCGGCACTATTCACAATAGCAAAGACTTGGAACCAACTCAAATGTCCAACAACGATAGACTGGATTAAGAAAATGTGGCACATATACACCATGGAATACTGTGCAGCCATAAAAAAGGATGAGTTCATGTCCTTTGTAGGGACATGGATGAAGCTGGAAACCATCATTCTCAGCCAACTATCGCAAGGACAAAAAACCAAACACCACATGTTCTCACTCATAGATGGGAATTGAACAATGAGAACACATGGACACAGGAAGGGGAACATCACACACCAGGGACTGTTGTGGGGTGGGGGGAGGGGGGAGGGATAGCATTTGGAGATATACCTAATGTTAAATGATGAGTTAATGGGTGCAGCACAGCAACATGGCACATGTATATATATGTAAGAAACCTGCACCTTGTGCACATGCACCCTAAACTTAAAGTATAATAAAAAAGAAAGATTTCTCCTTTCTCCATTTTGTTTGTTTTTATTTATTCAACCATTTATTTATATCTATATTGACATATGGATACTTATTTTATATTTAACGTTATACTTCAAATACTACTTCGTTTTCTTGCTCCAATTGTTTCAAATTTGGCCCCTTGGAGCTCTTCAGTTTGCTTCTGAGTTCCTTTGATATGCTTGTATCTTTGTGTGTCTTTTCTGTTTGTTTGTTAGCACTATTTTACTTTCTGGCACAACAAGGTAATCCAGATTCATCTTGTGGATTTCCTACCACAGTACTAGAATCAGCCATTTCTCCAAGGATTCCTGATATTTTTTATTGGAGAAATATGTTAGAAACCAAGATCAAGGCACTAGACTGTCTCCAGGGTATTGTTTCCAGGCCCTGTCAACTGACAGAATAAAGAAATGTATGTGTGTATACATATCTGAAAAGATGTAAACAAACATATATCTTGGAAAGATATCTGCACTCCCATGTTCACTGCAAAATTATTCACAATAGTCGAGATATGGCAACAACATAAATGTTCCCTGATGTATGAATGGAGAAAAAAATGTCATACCCAGATACAATGGAATAATATTCAGTCTTAAAAAGAGTAAGAGCCTGTAATCCCAGCACTTTGGGAGGCCAAGGCAGGGAGATCACGAGGTCAGGAGATCGAGACCATCCAGGCTAACACGGTGAAACCCCGTCTCTACTAAAAATACAAAAAATTAGCCGGGTGCGGTGGTGTGCGCCTGTAGTCCCAGCTACTCATGAGGCTGAGGCAGGAGAATGGCGTAAACCCGGGAGGCGGAGCTTGCAGTAAGCCGACATCGCGCCACTGCACTCCAGCCTGGGCGACAGAGCGAGACTCCGTCTCAAAAAAAAAAAAAAAAAAAAAAAAAAAAAAAAAAAAGAGAAAGAAATTCTGCCATATGCAATGCCATGGATGAACCTGGAAGACATCATTCCAAGTGAAATAAACTAGTTACAGAAGGACAAATACTGCATGATTTAACTTGTATGAGGTATCTTAAATAGTCAGACTCATAGAAACAGAGTAGGATGGTAGTAGCCAGGAACAGGTAAGAGGTGAAATGGGGAGTTAATGTTCGATGGGTATGAAGATGAATAAGTTCTAGAGAACTGTATGACACTGGGCCTAGATTCAACAATATTATATTGTGTACTTAAAAATTTGTTAAGTGTGTAGAGTTCATGTTATGTGTTTATACAATGAAAAATGAAATAATACAAACAAAATATTTAAATATATCTATATTTAAATATAAATAAATAAAAATAAATGATAGTGAAGAAAACAAACAAAAAATATTTATGGATTTTGACACATACTTAATGTATTATACTCATCATTATATCATATAGAATAGTTTTACAATCTCAAAGAATCTCCTGTCCTTCACATACTTAACTTCACCCTCCCAAATCCCTTGAAACAACTGATCTATTTACTGTCTCTGTAATTTTGTGTTTTCCAGAATGTCATAGAGTTGTAATCACACAGTGTGTAGCCTTTTCAGACTGGCTGTTTCACTAAGCAATATGCATTTAAGATTCATCCATGTCTTTTCATGACTTATTTATTATAAAATTATTAATATTATTTCTTATATAAGTTTTTTAGCTCAGTTTTAGGTTCACAACAAAATTGAGCAGAAGTACAGAGGTTTCCCATATCCCTCTAACTTCTCTATGCATAGCCTATGCCATTATCAACATCCCCCACCAGAGTGCTGCATTTGTCAGAATTGATGAGCCTACATTGACACACCATAATTGCCTAAGCTATGTACCATACTTTAGGGTTCACTCTTGGTAATATATATTCTAGAGGTCTGGACAAATGTATAATGACATGTATCCACCATTGTATCATACAGAATAGTTTCATTCCTCTATAAATTCTCCGTGTTTCACCTACACATCCCCCACCCAGCACCTGACACCATTGATCCTTGTAATATCGCCATAGTTTTGCCTCTTCCACAGTTGCATATAATTGAAATTATACAGTAGTAGCCTTTTCAGATTTGCTTCTTTCACTTAACAATACGTATTTAAGTTTCCTCCATGTGTTTTCATGACTTCATAGCTCGTATCTCCTTAGCATTGAATAATATTCCATTGTCTGGATGTACCACACTTTATCCATTCACCTACTGAAGGGTATCTTGGTACATATGAATAAAGCTGCTATAAACATTCATATGCAGGTTTTTGCATGGACATAAATTTCAGCTAATTTTGGTAAGTGCCAAGGAGCATGATTGCTGGGTTGTATAGTAAGAGTATGTAATTTTTGTAAGAAACTGCCAATTCTCTCATTCTGTAGGCTGTTTACTCTGTTGATGGTTTCTTTTGCTGTGCAGAAGCTCTTTAGTTTTATAAGATCCCATTTGTCAATTTTTATTTTTCTTGCAATTGCTATTGGCATCTTTGCCTGTTCCTGTTTCCAGAATGGTATTTTCTAGGTTATCTTCTTGTGTTTCTGTATTAGGTTGGTGCAAAAATAACTGCTGTTTTGCCATTTCACTCTGTCGACCAGGCTGGAGTGCAGTGGCATGATCTTGGCTCACTGCAGCCTCTGCCGCCCAGGTTCAAGTGATTCTCCTGCCTCAGCCTCCTCAGTAGCTGGGATTACAGGCACCTGCCACTGCACGTGGCTAATTTTTGTAGTTTTAGTAGAGAGGGGGGATTTCACCATCTTGGCCAGGCTGGTCTTGAACTCCTGACGTTGTGATCCACCCGTCTCAGACTCCCAAAGTGCTGGGATTACAAGCGTGAACCACCAGGCCCGGCCCAGCAATTACTTTTGCACCAACCTAATAGTTTTAGGTTTTAAATTTAAGCCTTTAATTCATCTTGAATTTATTTTTGTAGGTGATATAAGGAAGATGCCCAGTTGCAATCTTCTGCATATGGCTATCCAGTTATACCAGCACTATTTATTGAATAGGGAGTTTTTTTCTCTATTGCTTCTTTGTACTGACTTTTTCAAATATCAGATAGTTGTAAATATGTGGCTTTACTTTTGGGCTCTCTATTGTGTTCTATTGGTCTATGTGTCTGTTTTTATACTAATACTATGCTGTTGTGGTCACTGCAGCCTTGTATTAACAGTATAATTTGAAGCTGAGTGATGTGATGTATCCAGCTTTTTTTTTTTTTTTTTTTTTTTTGCTCAGGATTGGGTATTTGGGCTCTTTTTATGTTTGCTATGAATTTTAAAATAGTTTTTTTTTTCTAATTCTGTGGAGAAATGTCATTTGTTGTTTGATAGGAATAGCATTGAATCTGTGAAGTGCTTTGGGCAGTATGGTCATTTATCAATATTGATTCTATCATTGAGCATGGAATGTTTTTTCATTTGTTTGTATCATGTCTAATTTCTTTCAGCAGTGTTTTGAAATTATTGTTGTAGAGATCTCTCACCTCCCTGGTCAGCTGTATTCCTAGGTATTTTATTATTTTTGTAGCTATTGTGAATGGCATTGTGTCCTTGATTTGGCTTTCAGCTTGGATGTTGTTCTATAGAAATGTTACTGATTTTTGTGTACTGATTTTATATCCTGAAATTTTGCTGAAGTTATTCAGATCTAGGAGCTTTTAGGCAGAGTATGCAGTTTTCTAGGTATAAAATCATCTTTTCTCCAAACATAAATAGTTTAACTTCATCTCTTCTTGTTTGGATGCCTTTTATTTCTTTCTCTTGCCTGTCTGCTCTGGCTAGGATTTCTAGTACTATGTTGAATATGAGTGGTGATCAGGGGCATCCTTGTCTTATTCTCAAGGCAAATGCTTCAAACTTTTGCTTATTCCATATAAGGTTGGCTGTGGGTTTGTCATAGATGGATCTTATTATTTTGAGGTATGTTCCTTTAATGCCCGGTTTGTTGAGGGCTTTTAACATGAAGCATGCTGAATTTTATTGAAGGCCTTTTCTGCATCTGTTGAGACAATCATATGGTTTTGTTTTTAGTTCTGTTTATGTGATGAATCACTTGTAAAATTTTTGAGAGGACATTATACTTAAAAGCAATAATACACTGTTAAAAAGAAACTGAGAGGGAAAAACATGTTTTACATGTGTTGAACCAACCTTCATTCCAGGCATAAAGCCTACTTGATTGCATTAGATTAGCTTTTTGATGTGCTGTTGGATTCAGTTTGACAGTATTTTGTTGAGGGTTTTTGCTTCTATGTTCATCAGGGATATTGGCCTGAAGTTTTATTTTCTTGTTGTGTGTCTTCCAGGTTTTGGTATTGGGATGATGCTGGCCTCATAGAATGAGTTAGAGAGGAGTTCCTTCTCATCAAGTTTTTGAAATAGTTTCAGTAGGAATGGAAACAGCTCTGCTTTATACATCTGGTAGACTTCAGCTGTGAATCCATTTGGCCCTGGCCTTTTTTTGGTTGGTAGGCTTTTTATTACTGATTCAATTTCAGAGCTCATTACTGTTTATTCAGGAATTCAGTTTCTTCCTGGTTAAATCTTGGGAGGTTGTATGTTTCCAGGAATTTATCCATTTCTCCTACGTTTTCTAGTATGTGTGAATAGGTGCTTCTGAGGGATATTTTGTGTCTCTGTGGGGTCAGTGGTAATGTCTCCTTTGTCATTTCTGATAGTGTTTATTTGGATCTTCTCTTTTTTCTTTGTTATTATAACTAATGGGCTATTAATCTTATTATTCCTTCAAAGAACAAACTACTAGATTCATTGATCTTTTGTATGTTTTTTCTCATCCTTCAAGAAAAAGTTTTTAATTTTAATTCCAGCCAAATTTGTTTTTCATGAATTGTACCTTCATTATTGTAACCAAAATGTCAGCACAATACCCAAGGGCAGTAGGTTGCCTCATGTTATCTTCTAGATAGTATTTTCAGAAAAAAATTTGAGAGGACATTATACTTAAAAGCAATAATACACTGTTAAAAAGAAACTGAGAGGGAAAAACATCTTAAATATTAGGAACACAAATTCAAAAACATAATAAAAATTATATTTCTGAAAATTGAATTAGATATAAAGAATATCAAACATGGCCATTCTACCATACCTTAAAATAACAGAAAGAGTTCAAAATTAGGAGACAAAATTTGAAGGGAAATATAGGATACATGCAAGATATAGAACAGTACTCTATATTGTAAGAACATATGAGAAAATATAAAGAAGACAAAAGAAAAGGATGCTATCAAAGAAGCCAGGGAAGAAAACTTCACTGAACTAAGAATAGATGCAGTACTCAGATGGAATATGTTAATTGAATATTGAGGAAATTCTCACTTGATAGGATAAGGAAAACCAAGAGAACCTCCTATAAACTTTCAGAGAGGAAAGAAAATAAACAAGCACTTGCAAAAAAACAGTAACTAGCTTGGCACAGGATAAATGCAATAAGGCAATGAAAACATTATATAGAACTCATAGAAAAAATATATAATTTTAATTTATTATTCTACATTCCCAGCCAAACTTCCATTAAGGTATAAGTTTAAGTCATATTGTGACTCAATAGGAACACCACAATGCACAAATTTTGGAATCAGAAATAGATTTCTCAGTTTAGTAATAATGTAAATAATGTAATAATGAAAAATTTTAAAAATAATAAAATAGGAAAGTCATGAGGTACAATTTTAATAATGAGAAAGAAATACACACTGATCATACTTACCTCTTACGTATAGCAGTAGAGGGTTGTGTTGATGAGTTATGACACACATCCTACAATTTTTTCTCGTACATACTAGACTGGAAAGAGAAGGGGAACATAAAAACTTTTAAGGGTCCGCTTGTGTGTTTCTTCTCCTGTAGGATAAGACTCGTTATAAATTACTTAGGAAGTGCATTTATAAGACACTTAGGTAAATGAAGCCTGGACCAAGCAGAGATTATGCAAGGAGGGCAAGGGGGAGAAGGTGAGTAGATGTGAATGTTAGAAGAGCTGTATTTTGTGGCTACTTTAAGCTGATTACCAACCCAAACAATTAGCAAAGTATGCTCAGATACAATTCCTCATGTGGGAGATTCTGAGGGATTGATGTTTGACATGATACAGAACTGCGCTGCACCCAGACTGACCAGATGAATCCTACATTGGACGAATCTGGCAATCAACTAAAGTAGAGTTTTGATCCAAAAGTTGCAGGGCAGCTGTGAGGCACTACCACTGCCTTTAACACCCCCGCACCATCCTTCTACCACACCTGGGAGAGGTCATCTAAGTTTAATCTGAACCACAAGTTGCAGTATACGTTAGCTAACATATCAGTTGATTTTTTTTTTAAGTATAAGAAACATACTTTTGATCATATAAGTGTGATGCTTAATGCATTTGTCAAGCATATTTATAAAGTTAAAGAGGCATGATGCACAAATTGCTGACATAAACACAAGTAATAATCTGGAACTCAAATTTCAGAAGATTAAAAAAAAAACTCACATGAAATAAGGGAAGGCAATAATTCTACATTCTTCTATTCTTGCTTGCCTGGACTAATTTTCGAGATTGTTAGAAAAATAAAGACCGGTAACAATTTGTAAAACATGGAGGGTATCCATTAGGAGAAAAAAATAACATCCAGAGCAGGCAAAGATTAGTTGTAGTCTAGCAAAAGCTGAGAGATGGGAAAAGTAAAAGTGTAAAATATATGTAAGACAAACTAAGAGCAGAATTAAGAAGTACATAATTACTTTGTTTAAAGGCAAATAATTTCTGATTGAATAGTTTTTTTTAAAAGAGACACACACTACATGCAATGATTATATTTAAACCATAGAAAGACTAGTGTGAGAAGGTGATACGGTTTGGATATGTGTCCCCTCCAAATCTCATGTTGAAATGTGATCCCATTGTTGCAGGTGGGGCCTGCTAAGGGGGGGTGATTGCATCACAGGGACGGATCTCCCATGAATGGTTTAGTGCCATATCCTTGGTGATACGTGAATTCTCACTCAGTTTACGTGAGATCTGGTTGTTCAAAAGCCTAGGACTACCCCCTCACCACTCACTCTCCATGTGACATGCCTGCTCCCCCTTCACCTTCCACGATGATTGTGAGTTCTCTGAAGTCCTCACCAGAAGCAGATGCTGGCACCATACTTCCTATACAGCCTGCAGAACAGTGAACCAATTCAATCTTTTTTTAAAAGTAAATTACTCAGCCTCAGATATTTCTTTATATATAGCAAAAATGGCTATAGGCAAAAGGACATATTCGGGATGTAATGGCCCAGAAAATAAATCACCTGTATTATTTTTTCCCATAAAATTAAACAAACCAACAAAAAATACCAAAAAAACCCAAAATGAACCATTATAGTTTAGCTCCAAAATTTTGGGAGAAGTTTTCTGTGTTTTGTCAGAATATAGAAATATGTTTTTTAATTTTGACTTAAAATATTTTGTACTCTGAAAACTTAAACTGCATACGTATGTATTTTCATTTCCAAAATGAACAAAATAAAGAGGAAAAGGAGAGAAATAGAAAGTGAGAGAGAGAGTGCAGAAATGTCTCAATTACCCTGGTGTGCGGGGGGAGAAGCATTCCCAAGAGCCTAGTTTTCAAAATTCAGCATTAATTTAATGGTAGATCAAAAGAGCAAGAGAAATGGAGCAAAGACAGTCAATTTGCTGCAATGTCTAGCCCCATAACTTGGAGCTAAATTTGCTTAAATCCTGAGATTCAAGGAAAGATGGGCTTAAGGCCCTGTGAACCTATGTGTAAGGAGCACCTGGCACATCAGAACCAGCCTTGCATGCAATTTCTGTAAATGACACCACTCAGTTCTGTTAGAATTAAATCTAGTTAAAAATCTATGAAATATCAGACTTATTTCACCTCTTAGCTTTATCATTACAGAATTCTGGGTTATTTCTTTTCTATCCCACACTTTCTCAATAAAATCCCTTAACATCTGACTCTAATTTTGTTCTACTCTTTTATATTAAACCAATTAGATAATCCATTAAACAAATGGGAGGAAATAGCATTAATGATATGTTGCACTTGCATTATGAAGTTAATTGGATTAACTAAATTAGCTCTTTTGTATTCAAGCTTGCATGTGTTTTTAATGTCGAAAGCAAGAAATCATCAAGAAAACTCCCATTTCTGTGATTTTTTCTCTTCATTTTAAAGCAGAGGTCAGTGACACCACATACTGTCAACAAGCCTAAAGTTTAAAGAAAAGAGAGAGAGAAAAAAATAAAGGAGAATACAAAATAAACAAGAAAAGAATCACAGAAATTTAAATAAGATATAGGATCTGTAATTCCATCTAACCTTACTTAGGGAGTAAGAGTAGCAAAATCGTGCAGCAAAATGATTCTGGACATTTTCTCTGGCTTCAAAATAACATGACATTCCTGGGTAAGACAGCATTGGGATCATGGATAAATTCAGGGTCCATAGTTTTCTATGGTATGAAAGGGCTTTGCTTGAGAGTAAAACCCTACTCAGGAAATCTTGGATACCTTGCCTCAAGGCCTGGATCAACCTTAAATTCAAGTTATCCAGACACTGACAACTGTGGTTATTTCATGACACAGCCCAAGTTTTCCAGTCAGAGTTAATGCTGGAAATCTCGAGTCCAGGTGGAAGGTGATGTGTCCTGACCACCCACCGGAGAAGCCTGATTATTCACCTTCACATCAAAGAGCATATTGCACTTGGAAATTGTACTTTCTAAAGTATGTAGATGATCCATTACATGGAGTGTTCTAAAATAATAGTCTGATTCTAAAATTTGTATTATAATATTCAATTATTTTATATTTAGAAGCAAAAATTGTTTTTGGATTGTATTAATTAAAATTTTCTGTTAAGAGGCAAACTTGGAATGTCTGTGAATATACAGTTCTTGATTCAGAGCAATGCTAGTCATCACTAAGGTGCACAAATACTCATTAAGAGGTAAAAAGAGGTAAGACCTTATGATGTGCAATACCTTCATTTTATTATTATTGGTATAGTGAATAAAGCTTGGTGTTCTTAGTCAAAGAATGAATCTGACTTTTATAGAGGAAGGTAGTAAAATTAAGTGTCTAATTATGTATAATGCTTTCAATAATTTGCCTAAAAATTCAGAAATTAAGATGTAAGTCTGAGTTGTAAATAATAAAAGACTTCAGAAATTCAGAATTAAGTATATTTCTATATTGTAGATAATTATTGGCTTTTTGTTCCGTAATTGTCAGACAGTATACATAGTATGTCTATTAGCATATACAGTTATATTGGAACACTTATTTTATTTGCATAACATATAGGATATGTACATCTTAAAACAAATCTGGGATCTCAATTATAATTTTTTTATCCAAATGATTACAATTCATAACAAACTACTTTTTTCCTTCAATTTTTTCACGTAAATAAAACCTAGGTTATGGCTATATAAAAATATAGTAGATTGCCCAGATAATAATAGAGTAAAATACTAATTCTGCTTCTTTTCGTTCTCTCAAACTAATCACATGCAACAAAGATCACAAGAATCAGTAAACTCCTTTTACTCTGGAACTAGGAAACATTCATAAGCAGAATTCCATTTATAAGAGAGCTCTGACAAGTGCTTTGGAAATAGGCTAAATTGCAGAAATGCTGAGAGAAGACAGAAGCCTCCTGGGTCACAGACAGACTAGGCAGAGTGCAGTTTCCACATGCAGTGGGAATGCTCTGTGAGGCAGGATCAGTGACCCCCCACACCTCGAAGTTGCACTCATGTGGATAAGTGACAGGAGCTGCCTGAACCTCCTGTGCCATTGCTGATAGATGGATGTGTTAGCAGACACCATAAATGAAGAGCTTTATAAGTGCAATATTAAATTCTGGCAAGAGTGGCTTGAGGTTAGTCCTTCCATACACTTGAATTCTGAATAAACTATTCTAGTAAAGTGCAATTTGGTGAGGACTGAACTCTGATCATTTTTTCTCGCTCAAATTCCTTTCTAAGGGACCTGGGGAGTCACGTCTTACATACCATAAAATCTCATTAAGCAGGTTTTTGTTGTTATTGTTGTTTGTTTGTTTGTTTTTTTTGACTTGGAATATTGTGGACGACTTTTCAACCTGACTCTGCTATGGCAGCACATGACAGATAGCAGACTCCCTTTACTCAGCTTACGCATTCCTTTCTACTGAGCCCAAGTTTGTTTTTTTTTTTTAATTATACTTTAAGTTTTAGGGTACATGTGCACAACGTGCAGACCTGTTACATATGTATACATGTGCAAAGTTGGTGTGCTGCACCTATTAACTAGTCATTTAGCATTAGGTATATCTCCTAATGCTATCCCACCCCCCTCCCCCCAACCCACAACAGTCCCCGGTGTGTGATATATCCCCTTCCTGTGTCCATGTGTTCTTATTGTTCAATTCCCGCCTATGAGTGAGAACATGCGGTGTTTGGTTTTTTGTCCTTGCGATAGTTGGCTGAGAATAATGGTTTCCAGTTTCATCCATCTCCCTACAAAGGACATGAACTTATCCTTTTTTATGGCTGCATAGTATTCCATGGTGTATATGTGCCACATTTTCTTAATCCAGTCTATTGTTGTTGGACATTTAGGTTGGTTCCAAGTCTTTGCTATTGTGAATAGTGCCGCAATACACATACATGTGCATGTGTCTTTATAGAAGCATGATTTATAATCATTTGGGTATATACCCAGTAATGGGATGGCTGGGTCAAATGGTATTTCTAGTTCTAGATCCCTGAGGAATCGTCACACTGACTTCTACAATGGTTAAACTAGTTTACAGTCCCACCAACAGTGTAAAAGTGTTCCTATTTCTCCACATCCTCTCCAGCACCTGTTGTTTCCTGACTTTTTAATGATTGCCATTCTAACTGGTGTGAGATGGTATCTCATTGTGGTTTTGATTTGCATTTCTCTGATGGCCAGTGATGATGAGCATTTTTTCATGTGTTTTTTGGCTGCATAAATGTCTTCTTTTGAGAAGTGTCTGTTCATATCTTTTGCCCACTTTTTGATGGGTTTTTTTTTTTTTCTTGTAAATTTGTTTGAGTTCATTGTAGATTCTGGATATTAGCCCTTTGTCAGATGAGTAGGTTGCAAAAATTTTCTCCCATTCTGTAGGTTGCCTGTTCACTCTGATGGTAGTTTCTTTTGCTGTGCAGAAGCTCTTTAGTTTAATTAGATCCCATTTGTCAATTTTGGCTTTTGTTGCCATTGCTTTTGGTGTTTTAGACATGAAGTCCTTGCCCATGCCTATGTCCTGAATGGTATTGCCTAGGTTTTCTTCTAGGGTTTTTACGGTTTTAAGTGTAACATTTAAGTCTTTAATCCATCTTGAATTAATTTTTGTATAAGGTGTAAGGAAGGGATCCAGTTTCAGCTTTCTACATATGGCTAGCCAGTTTTCCCAGCACCATTTATTAAATAGGGAATCCTTTCCCCATTGCTTGTTTTTCTCAGGTTTGTCAAAGATCAGATAGTTGTAGACATGCGGCATAATTTCTGAGGGCTCTGTTCTGTTCCATTGATCTATATCTCTGTTTTGGTACCAGTACCATGCTGTTTTGGTTACTGTAGCCTTGTAGTGTAGTTTGAAGTCAGGTAGCGTGATGCCTCCAGCATTGTTCTTTTGGCTTAGGATTGACTTGGTGATGCGGGCTCTTTTTTGGATCCATATGAACTTTAAAGTAGTTTTTTCCAATTCTGTGAAGAAAGTCATTGGTAGCTTGATGGGGATGGCATTGAATCTATAAATTACCTTGGGCAGTATGGCCATTTTCACGATATTGATTCTTCCTACCCATGAGCATGGAATGTTCTTCCATTTGTTTGTGTCCTCTTTTATTTCATTGAGCAGTGGTTTGTAGCTCTCCTTGAAGAGGTCCTTCACATCCCTTGTAAGTTGGATTCCCAGGTATTACATTCTCTTTGAAGCAGCTGTGAATGGGGGTTCACTCATGATTTGGCTCTCTGTTTGTCTGTTATTGGTGTATAAGAATGCTTGTGATTTTTGTGCATTGATTTTGTATCCTGAGACTTTGCTGAAGTTGCCTATCAGCTTGAGGAGATTTTGGGCTGAGATGATGGGGTTTTCTAGATACACAATCATGTCATCTGCAAACAGGGACGATTTGACTTCCTCTTTTCCTAATTGAATACCCTTTATTTCCTTCTCCTGCCTGATTGCCCTGGCCAGAACTTCCAACACTATGTTGAATAGGAGTGGTGAGAGGGGGCATCCCTGTCTTGTGCCCGTTTTCAAAGGGAATGCTTCCAGTTTTTGCCCATTCAGTATGATATTGGCTGTGGGTTTGTCATAGATAGCTCTTATTATTTTGAGATATGACCCATCAATACCTAATTTATTGAGAGTTTTTAGCATGAAGGGTTGTTGAATTTTGTTGAAGGCCTTTTCTTTATCTGTTGAGATAATCACGTGTTTTTTGTCTTTGGTTCTGTTTATATGCTGGATTACATTTATTGATTTGTGTATGTTGAACCAGCCTTGCATCCCAGGGATGAAGCCCACTTGATCATGGTGGATAAGCTGTTTGATGTGCTGCTGGATTCGGTTTGCCAGTATTTTATTGAGGATTTTTGTGTTGATGTTCATCAAGGATATTGGTCTAAAATTCTCTTTTTTGGTTGTGTCTCTGCCAGACTTTGGTATCAGGATGATGCTGGCCTCATAAAATGCGTTAGGGTGGATTCCCTCTTTTTCTATTGCTTGGAATAGTTTCAGAAGGAATGGTACCAAGTCTTTAGACAAAGCTGAACTCTTTCAACCAATTGCCAAATAAGAATTCTAAAACCCACCTATGACTTGTAAATTCCCACTTCAAGATGTCCCACCTTTTCAAGTTGAACCAATGTATACCTTCCATATATTGATTTATGATTTTGCCTGCAAATCCCATCTCCCTGAAATGTATAAAACTAAACTGTAACCCCACCACTTGGGTGCTCTTTCTTAGGACCTCTTGAGACTGTGTTACCTGAGCCACAGTCACTCATATTGGCTCAGAGTAAAAATCTTAAAATATTTTGGCAGAATTTGGTTTTTCCTTCGTCATTGGCAATCTGACCTTAAAATGTGAATCCAGCTGAGGATACGCACTGGGTATTCTCATTTTGTTCATTTTGCTCCAGTCTCTATCCTTTACCCCAAGCCCAGCCCTGGGAGGCTGACTTCTGTATGCTGTGTTCTCCCTTCTTGCTTCCAGTTGAATTTGGTCAGCAGCAACATAGGCAGAAAGATTAGAACGTGAGAGAAAATTAAAGCTGCGCTCCTCCGGGGAAAGGGAAGCACCCGGGTCAGCTATGCGGTTTGTGTGCCTTGTGTGAGAATGTTTAAAGGATACCTCCTCCCTCCAAGTGGAATTATTTGATGGTGTTTTCTCCCCACTTTGCCAAATTATAAGCAAGTAGTTCTTAAGAAATATAAACATATTGATACAAAATCTGCTTTTGAACAAATTGTTTTTGAAAATCTTAAAAAATCTTAAAAAATGTGGAAAACATGCTTTTACCTTCAACCTGTTTACAAGTTGCTTTTGTAATGTAAAGCAGCACAACTAAGCGGCTTGTGTTTGAGACAGCTGAAGCACTGACAAGGATCTGTGAGAAGACTCCAGGGGGCTCCTTAGCCAAGTTTCAGCACAAAGGCTTCATGACCATCACCGAATGCTGACAAAGCATCAGTCTCAGTACATCTCACAGAGAATAGAGTTTTCAGTGGCTCATCACACAGACTGGAAGAAATTCCAAACCCTTCCTGCAGACTAGAGAAAAATGTTATACAATGAATGCATGTATCAAAACATCAAATTGTACCACATAAATGTGTACAATTACAAAGTATCAATTCAAAAAACTAAAAAAGAATAAAGAAATGTTGTTAACAGAGGTCAGTGGAACACAGCTGAGGTCAGCAGCTGGGGCAGTGAAAGACTGATTTCCCTGACAGCATAGTGTTATCACCTATCCTCATTTCCTTCCGTCTCCCTTATTAGCTCACTCCATGCTTATCAAGAACATAGTCATTGTACTAACGAAGAGTGTATGTTATTAGCAACATAGCTATGTATTGCCTATATTTTACAGCCCAAAGCCAAGGATTTTACATTTAATTTTGCAAAAATAATAAAAATAAAACAGTCAAAGAGAAATTTGGTTTCAGACCAGGTGTGGTGGCCCGCATCTGTAATCCCAACATTTTGGGAGGCTGAGGCGGGAGGATCACTTGAGCCCAGGAGTTTGAGACCAGTTTGGAAAACACAGAGAGTTCTCACCTCTATAATATTTATAAATAAGTAAATAAATTTGGTTCAACATCCAAATAAGGTGCATAAAGTTAAATTCATAATATAATTTTATTTTTTTTTGAGACGGAGTCTCACTCTGTCACCCAGGCTGGAGTGCAGTGGCGTGATCTCGGCTCACTGCAAGCTCCTCCTTCCGGGTTCACGCCATTCTCCTGCCTCAGCTTCCTGAGTACAAAATTTTATTTTTAAATGACTTTTTAATTACATAATTAACATATGAAGAGACACAAGCAAATAAGCACAAAATCCGTTACAGAGGATGATTAATTCTCTCTGTTGGCTTCCAATCTAATTCCAGTTCCATATTTATTTTCTGGAGCTGATCATATATGTTAGTTTCATGTGATACATTTAGACACATATCTATGCGTATGTGTACTGATATAAATATATGTTACTGTGTTTAGGTGTCTTTTTAAAGGATATATTATATGTTGTAACATATACATATTTTTTATAATATATCTTGGGAAGCTATCCAAGGAACTTTATATGGATCTAGCTATCTATTGTCAACTGTGAAAAAGTATTCCATAGTACAAATATAGCAAAATTTAATAGCCAAAAATTAGTATTTAGCATACATTGTATATTTTGAGTACATATGTATATACATACACACAAATGTATTCTCAAAATATTTCATTTGTTTTGAATTTTGTGAAGTCCTTGTTCCATAAATTTGTTGTTTAATTTAGGTAAGTTAATAATAATAATTCATTTTCATTATGGCATTTTTGCTATTTGAGAAAGACTGTTCCTACCCCCAAGATTCTATATCTATGTGCTATGTAAATTGCATTTTTTGTTTCATTCATTGTATTCTTCAGTATTTAAATTATATAAATACTTTCTATACATTAATATAAATAATTAACAATGGAGCTACAAAAAATTAAAAATAATAATAAACATAAATGATCAATTTATATAAATCTCAACCTCATTAGAAAGTAGGATAAAAATTAGAACAACAAAGAAATAATAGTTTTCATTGATAAAAACAAGACACTTTAAACTTTGATCATATTAAGTTTTGATTTACGAGAGATTAAACTCATACAACCTCTCTCAAGAGCAATTTAGAAGTAATAAATTATTTTTCTCTGCAATATAATTTCTAGTTTGATACCTAGAAATATAACTACACAAAAAAGCACAAACAATGCTATTTAACAATTTTTAATAGCCAAATTTTAGAAGCAATGTAATACTTTTAACAAGAGAATGTTAAACCTCTTGTGTGATTATACAGTATTTGTCTTTCTGTGACTAACTTATTTCACTTACCATAATGTTCTCTGGGTTCATCCATATTGATACAATGGCAGAATTTTCTTCTTATGTCATATTTTCTTTAACCATTCATCAGTGGATATTTAAGTTGTTGCCATATCTTGGCTATTATGAAAAATACCACAATGAACATGGAAGTTCAGGTATCTCTTTAAGATAATGAATTTACTTCCTTTGGATAAATATCCAAACTGGGGTTACCAGATTATGCGGTGATCCTGTTTTTAATTTTTTGTGTAGCCTTCTTATTGTTTCCATAATGGCTTTACACATTTACATTCCTGTCAACAGCATTTAAGAGTTCTTCTTCATATCCTTGTTAACAGTTGTTGTCTTTCATAAAAATATTTTTATTTTTGATACATTACATTTGTATGTATCTATGGGGTACATGTGAAATTTTGTTACATGCATCGAATGTGCAATGATAAAGTCAGGGTATTTAGGGCATCAATCACCTGATTATTTATCATTTCTATGTGTTGGGAACATTTCAAGACCCCTCTTCTAGCTATTTAGAAAAATGCATCGTTGCTAACTACAGTTACCCTACTCTGCTATCAAACATTAAAACTTATTCGTTTTATCCAACTATGTTTGTACCCATAAACCAACTGCTCTTCATCACCCCTCCCTTCAAAACCATACACCTCTCCCAGCCTCTGGTATCTATCATTCTACTCTCCACCTCCAAGGGATCGTTTTTTTATTTCCCACATATGAATGAGAACATGGGATATTTGTTTGTCTGTGTCTGGCTTATTTCACTTAACACAATAATCTCTAGTTTCATCCATGTTGCTGCAAATGACAAAATTTCATTCTTTTTTATTATGGCCAAATGGTATTTCATCAGGTTATATATACGTCATATTTTCTTTATCCATTCGTGCATTGATAGACACTTAGATTGATTCCATATTTTTTATATTGTGACTAGTGCTGTAATAAACAAGGAAGTGCATGTATCTCTTTGATATATTAATCCCTCTTTGTTTGGATAAATACCCAGCAGTGGGATTGCTGGATCCTATAGAAGTTCTAGTTTTAATTTTTTGAGATATCTCCATACTGTTTTTGATAGTGACTGTACTAATTTAAATTCCCAGAGTTTTCTTTTCTCCTCATCCTTGCCAAAACTTGTTATGTTTTTTCTCTTTGAAAGTAGTCATTCTAACGATTAGTGATATTTAGTGTTTTCTCACATATCTGTTGGCCATTTGTATGTCTTCTTTTGAGAAATGTCTATATATGTCCTTTGACTTTTTTAAATTTATTTTTATTTTTTGCTGTTGAGTTATTTTTATATTCTGGATGTCAGTTTCCTGTCAAGTGAGTAGTTTGCAAATGTTTTCTCCCATTCAAAACATTGTCTCTTTAATCTGTTGTGTCTTTAGCTGTGCAAAGTATTTTTAGTTTAGTCTCATTTGTCTATTTTGTTGTTGTTGTTGCCTGTGCTTTTGAGTTCTTAGCAATAAAATCCTTGCCTAGACTAATACCCTGAAAGGTCTTACCAGTAAAATCCTTGCTTAGACTAATACCCTGAAGAATTTCCACTATGTTTTCTTCTAGTAGTTTTATAGTTTTAGACTTATGTCTAAGTCTTTACATCATCTTGAGTTGATTTTGTATATGGTGAGAGATAGGGGTCCAGTTTCATTCTTCTGCACATGGCTATCAAGTTTTCTCAGAAGCATTAATGGAAGAGAGTTTTTTCCCCAATGTATATTCTTAATGACCTTGATGAAGATCAGTTAGCTTTAGTTTAGTGATTCTAACAGGTGAGGTGATATTTCATTTTGGCTTTAATTATCCCTTGGCCATTTGTTTGTCTTCTTCTAAGAAATACCTATTTAGGACCTTTGCTTATTTTTAATCAATTATTTGTCTCTTTTTCTATTAAGTTGTATGAGTTCTTTATTATATTTTCATATTAACACCTTATTGGATACATGGTTTGAAAATGTTTTCTCCCTTTTCATAGGTTGCCTTTTCATTTTATTGTATGTTTCGTTTGACATACAAAAACATTTTAGTTTGATGTAGTCCCACTTGTTCATTTTTGCTTCTGTTGACTTTGTTTTGATGTCATATCCAAAAGACATTTTTTGAGACTAATATCAAGAAGTTTTTCTATATTGTTTTCTTCTAGGAGTTTCACAGTTTCAGGTCTTACCTTTATGTCTTTAACCCACTTTGAGTTTATGTTTGTGTGTGGTTTAAGACAAGGGTCCAATTTTATTCTTTTGCACGTGAATATCCTGTTTTCCCAACCCCATATATTGAAGGGACTAGCTGTTCCACATTGTATATATTCTTGGAAACTTTTCAAAGAGTCATTGACCATACATGAGTGGGTTTATTTCTGGGCTTTCTATTCTGTTTCATTGGTCTGTTTTCATGCCAGTACCATACTGTTTTAATTACTATAGTTTTGTAATATAATTTGAAATCAGGAAATGTGACGACTATAGCTTGGTTGTTGCTCAAGATTGTTTTAGCTATTCAGGGTCTTTGGGGTTCCATTCAAATTTTAATTTTTTTCTATTTCTGTGAAAAATGTCACTGGAATTTTGATAGGAATTGCATTGAATATGTAGATCACTTTAGGTACTATGGATATTTTGCCAATATGTATTCTTCCAATCTATGAGCATGAGGTATCTTTCTATTTATTTGTGTCTTCTTCAGTCTTGTAATCTATATTGTAAAGTTTTCAGTGGACAGATTTTTACCATCTTGGTTAAATTTCTAAGCATTTTATAATTTTTTATGTTGTGAGTTTGTTTTCTTACCTTATTTTTCAGATAGTTCTTTGTACATGTATAGAAACACAACTAGTTTATGTATGTTGATTTTGCTAAATCAACTAAATTACCAAATTAACTTTACTAAATTTGTGGATCTAACAGTTTTTGGTGGAGTTTTTAGTGCTTTCTGTACATAAGTTAATGCCGTCTGCAAACACAGAATATTTTACTTATTGACTTCCAATGCGGTTGTCTTTTATTTCTTTTTTTCTCCCTTTTTGCCTAATTGCTTTGGCTATGATTTCTAGTATTTTACTGAGTAGAGGTAATGAGAGTGGACACCTTGTCTTGTTGATAATTTTAGAGAAAAAAATTTAGTTTTTCTTCACTGAGTATGTTGCTAGCTATAGTCATATATGTTCTTTATTATTTTGTAGTACATTTCCATGTATATCTAATTTGTTGAGAGTTTGTATAATGAAAGGATGATGAGTTTTATCAGATGCTTTTTATGCATCTATTAAGATGATCATATGACATAATCCTTCATTATATTAAGGTAGTGTATTACATTTATTAATTTGCACAGATCAAACCATCCCTGCATCCCAGGGGTAAATCACTTTTTACTTATCATAATGTACGATCCCTTTAATGTAGCTTTGAATTTGGCTTAGCAGTATTTTGTTGAGAATTTATGCATCCATGTTCCCAGGCTGGAGTGCAGTGGTGTGATCTCCACTCACTGCAACCTCTGCCTCCCAGGTTCAAGCGATTCTCCTGCCTCAGCTTCCTGAATAGCTGGAATTACAGGCAGGTGCTAACTTATTGTATTTTTAGTAGAGACGGGGTTTTGCCATGTTGGCCAGGCTGGTCTTGAACACCTGACCTCAAGTGATTCACCTGTCTTGTCCTCTCAAAGTGCTGGGATTACAGACGTGAGCCACCCCACACCTGGCCACTTTGTCTGGTTTTGATGTCTAGGTAATATTGGCCTTGTAAAAGGAGTTTGGATGTGTTTACTCCTTGACAACATTTCAGAAGAGTTGAGGACTGCTTTTAATTATTTAAATGTTTAGTAGAACTCACCAGTAAAGCAGTCAGGTCCTGAGTTTTTCTTTGTTGTGGGTTTTTGATTACTGATTCAATCTCTATATTTATTATTGCCCTCTTTGGACTTTTTTCTTCATGATTCACTGTTGGTAGTTTGCATATTTCTAATAATTTATCCATTTATTCTAGGTTATCCAATTATTGGGTTATAATTGTTCATAATAGTCCCTTATATTTGTGATTTCTGTGCTATTAGTTGCAATGTTTTTCTTTTTTTTCTGAGTTTATTTATTTGAGTCTTCTCTCTTTTACTCCTGGGACTTCCATAATTCATATATCAGGTCTCTCAATAATCTAATAAATTCCATAGGCTTTTATTTTCATCCTTGTCATTCTTTTATCTTTTTCTACATTGACTGGATAATTTTATTCATAGGGTTCCATGTATTCCATAGGCTTCCCAAATTCTACTTCTTTTATTTTTTTTGTCCTCTGGATTATTTCATGTGACCTGTCTTTGAATGTATACATTCTCTCTTCTGCTCTATCCAGTCTGCTGTTGAAACTCTCAATTGCATATTTTATTTCTTTCAATGTATTCTTCAGCTCCAGAGTTTCTGTTTGATTCTTTTTATACTTTCTATCTCTTTGTTGAATATCCTGTTTGTTCATATACTATTTTTCTGCTTTTTGTTGAGTTGTTTATCTGTATTCTTTCGTAACTCATTGAACTTCTTTAAAATTGTTTTGAATTCTGTGTAAGGCAATTTATAGGTCTCAAATTTTTGTGTTTGGTTATTAGAAATTTGTGCTCCTTTGGTGGTGTCATGGTTCCTTGATTTTTTTGTATTCCTTTCAGTCTTGCCTTGCTGTCCTTGCATTTGAAGAACAAGTAATCTTCTCTCCTCTTTACTGACTGGCTTCAGGACAGAGACACCTTCATATCTCAGCCTGGCTAGAGATTCTTAGGCTCTTTCTGACCTTTTCTATGGATTATCTTCTCCATACTTTTTGATCCCTTTTGAAAAATAATTTTTATGATTATATGCCTTCTCTCAATCCTGCAAAGCCAGGGTAGTTGCTTGATGTTTTCTGTCTGTTTTTCCCTGGAGTGGTGCCTTGCAATACATAACTTTGTGTCCTCCTTCGCATCTCACAATGTTAAGCCCACTGTCTAAGCATGCTCGGGAGCTATATGTAGAGACTCACAATTGCTCTCTGCTGCACTGTGTGGGGAGCCAGTCATGGGGTGACAGGGAGTGAGGTGTGTGATGCATTGGGTATGCCTGTGAGGCCTTGGCAGGTCCAAGGTAAGTTTTTTTGAAGTGGCTCATGTGTGGACTTAACTGATGTAGTACACTAAGTGGTTAGTAGGATCCAGCTTTGGTTGAGTTCTGAGCCTCTGTTGCTATGTCTTCTCTGTTCTCTGCTCCCAGCCCTTCCCAACCATGCTGATTACCTCAGCATTCTGGGTGGGGTGAGAAAAAGTGGGTTTTTCGGGCAGCATCTCGCATAGCTGGGAAAGCTGAGTGCTCACTCAGCTTTATCCTGTGCTCACACTTTATCCTGTGAAGGAAATCGTGTGTCAAGAGTGTTCGTTGACACCGAGCTGTGCCGCCTGTGGGAGGGGTGACAGGAATAAAGTATCCTCTTTAATCCATCTGTTCTCAGACTTTTTGCTCCATAGTGTGTTGAATTTTCCGGATTTGACTCCTGGACTTTCACATAGGGACTCTCATCTGCCAGTGGCTGTCAAAATTGATGCTTCTGTGCAGAGATAACAGCAAAATGCTCCTATTCTGTCATCTTGCTGATATCACCACCACTAGCAGTGGTTTTAAGCATCTTCATTTTATTGATTTAATATGATTTTAATTTTGTTTGCATTAATTTACTAAATTGCTTTAACTCTATATTTTCACAGAAATCCAAAGCCTGAGAAATTTGCAGTTTATGTTGTGTATATTCAAGTAACACTGAAATAAAGATAATTTAATATGTACGTTCCACAATAATTTAATATATTTTTTAAACACATTGCTCAGAATAGAGAAATATTTTACTCTGAGGGTTATAGACACCTGAATTTGGATCTCAGACCTAATAAATTTGTTGTTCATTCTTATTAATAAAAAACTATGTGGGAGAGGAAGTCACTATAAATTACTCATCAAGGAACGGCAAAATTAAGAAAACACACTAGGAAGAATTAACACATATGCTATGAATGTGGAAGAAACTTGGCAGGAAGTCAGCTACAAGCTAGCTAGACTGTCTCAGGTACAAGGGGCAAAATCTAGGATTCAGTATTTGAGAATGAAGAAGTAGTTAAGACACTGGAAGCTATGGTTAAATGTTTCTGACTGATTAAATTTGAAAGTGACATAGGATATAGGAGAACATGCCCCATGTCTTCTTTAAAATCATTGAAATTAAAAAATTTCATTATTTTATTAAGAATTAATACCATTTTGGCAGTCCTCTGCTTTGATATGACATCACTTGATTTCTCTTCAGCTTACCCACAACACACAACAAAGGAAGGCGCAGATAGTGAGAATGAGGGAAATCCTAATGAAAAATAAAGTAGATGACATACATGAACAAAATAGTTCACATTGCCACAGCAAAAATTTAATACTGGACCCAATGATAGACTATATTGATAGCAAGAGGATCTATTTTACTTTCCACTTCATTCTGTGTTGCTGTAGCACAATTTAATAGAAAGAAATACATTTAACTTTTTAACCATAAATGTCTATGTATTTGAAAATGTTTCTGAACTGCTCAATATAGTCACGTCTAGGTAGTTACAATACTTGTAAAATAAGTAATATAAGATATAAATTTTTAAATAGTTTAACATTAAAATAACCTATTTTATTTATTATAATAGTATTTTAATATTAAAATAACCAATCATAATAAACAAAAAATATTAGCCACACTAAAATTCACCGTAATAAATACTGAAGAATTTAGAAGTTTAAAAAAATCTCAGGACAGGCTGGGCACGGTGGTTCATGCCTGTAATCCCAGCACTTTGCAAGGCTGAGGTGGGCAGATCACCTAAGATCGGGAGTTTGAGACCAGCCTGACCAACATGGAGAAACCCCGTCTCTACCAAAAATACAAAAATGAGCCGGGCATGGTGGCACATGCCTGTAATCCCAGCTACTTGGGAGGTTGAGGCAGGAGAATCACTTGAACCCAGGAGGTGGAGGTTGTGGTGAGGCAAGATTGTGCCATTGCACTCCAGCCTGGGCAACAAAAGCAAAACTCAGTCAAAAAAAAAATCTCAGAACAAAAAGTTGTTATATGACTATAAAAGCTGTATTTTATGTTCAAATTCCAAAGATAGTATGAACTTTTTTATTCCTTCTAAAAATACCAAATATACTTGTTTTTATAAATGCTTGTAATAGAGTTATTTTGGAAGTCGGGATTGTTATATATTTTACCTTGGATATTTAAACCCTTTTCTGTGGCTTTCTCATTTAGTAATGATAAAAAGCATTCATTTCTTGTTTCTGTGTGCGAAGCTTTTAAAAATTTCCTGGTATGTTGTTGGCAAGGGACCATTAGAATACTAATAATGGTGGAATAGTAACTTTGATTTTGAAATTCTATTGCTTTAGATTTTGTTGCATTCCCTTAACATGCTGAATATTGAAGCATGTTCGTACAATAATTACAAACATTTCCTTGAAGTCATTTTATCTGTCCATATTTCAAATAGGGAATTGGTTTCTAAATATAGAGCACTAGTTCTTTTGATTATCCTCTGAGTGCTAAATTTTAAAGCAACTTTTATGAAAGCCAGTGGAAGTTTTTTCTGGTACCAATTCATGTTTATTTTGACTTGATAATGAATGCTTAAGATCTTGATATGAACTTGAAGCATAATACCTGAATGCATAGTATTTGATGAATTAACAGCAAGGATAAGAATGCATTATTATGTTGTATGGATTTACATTTAAAATAAATCAGTAAGTATTTAAAGCAGATAATTATTTTTATTAAAATGCAATAGTATTGTATTAGTCAATTTTCTGGGAATCATTCTGAATTGCTCTTTTTGCCATTGTGCCAAATTATTTGTGACATAGTAAAAGTAATTATAGGAAGTCATTCATTTTGCCATTTTACTATTAAAAATCACACCATATTAAAAATTTGGTGCCACAGTTCATCTCATCCAGCCAAATGAATATTTTCTCCCCACATACAAAAAACGTGATTTAAACTTCCAGGATAAAATAGATCCAGACAGCAGTGGATTCTCAAAATATTCTTCCACCTGGGCTGGGCGTGGTGGCAAGCACATGTAATCCCAGTGCTTTGGGAGGCTGAGACAAGAGGACTGTTTGATGCCAGGAGTTCCAGATCAGCCTGGGCAATGTAGTGAGCCCCCCTACCCCTCATCTCTACAACAACAACAAAATGCAGCATCTGTAGTCTTCGCTACTCCAGAGGTTTAGGTGGGAGGGTCGCTTGAGCCTGTGAGGTCCAGGCTGCAGTGAGCTATGATTGCGTCACTTGCTTTGCAGCCTGGGCAAGAGACTGGGACCCCATCTCAAAGAAAAGTGCTACTACTTGGGAAGGGATAGGAAAAAAAAGCTGAGAGTCACAACAAAGAAGGTAAAGGTTACCAGAGGTTACCAGTGCACTTATTTCTAGATTTTGGAAAGGATTTCCACCAAAAGAAGGGACAGCGAAGGAGGAAGCAAACACACAATTAGCTGCTGAGGGTCTAGTCCTGTACATAGGTGGGATTTAGGCCTCCCTGTTTCCAGCACTCCAACTTAAAGATTCATAAAACCAGGCAGCCACAGCTTCTCTGCATTTGGGATGCCCACAGTCCTGAGTCCAGTGTTACCCATCATGGTTCAGCGTCCCACATCTATGAGGAACTCATGCTCAGGGACAGAGCACAGGACAGGTAGAGGAAAATAAGCCTGCCCCTTCCATTCTGGGACCCATAGCAGGGGCTCCTGGAGCTCCCCGAATATTTTAGACCACATGAGCCTCTGGAGTGAACAGCTAAATCAGGAACAGCCTGGTTCCATAGAAAGTGAGTCAGCAGCAGAGACATTGTTGTTAATCTTAATGGGGGAGCTGAGTGCTGGAGGGTTTGGGGTAACGTGGGAAGGAAGGAGGATCAGGTTAGAGACCCATGATGCTGCCCTTCATGGAAGAACGAGGTTGTATTTGTGTGTGTGTGTCTTCATGAAGCATTTTCCCACTAACTGTAGTCTCCTATCCGCATCAACAGTGAGTCCAGGCAGCAGGCAGGAATTGGGTTCTGGTACAGTTTAGATTTTACCCTCTAAATCTCATGTTGAAATGTGATCCCCAGTGTTGAAGGTGGGGCCTAGTGTGAGGTGTTTGGCTCATGGCGGTGGGTCTCTCATAAATGGATTGGTGCTGTCCCTGCAGTGGTGACTGAGCTCTTACTCTATTTCTTCCTGAGAGAGTTACTTGGAGAGCTGGTTGTTAAAAAGGGCCTGGCATCTTCACTCTCTCTCTTGCTTCCTCTCTCACCATGTGATTTCTACACATGTGCGTTCCCCTTCACCTTCCGTGGTGCCTGGAAGCAGCCTGAGTGCCTCATCTGAAGCAGATGCTGGCGCCATGCAGTACAGCCTGCCAAACCGTGAGCCGAATACATGTGTTTTCTTTATAAATGACCCAGCCTCAGGTATTCCTTTTTAACAACACAAGTGCTGAAGCAGGTGCTTATAGGAATATATTTTTCCATTAATCAGTAACCAGGTAACCAGGAGCCCTAAGGAGAACAGAGGCTGGAACAAGAAACGGTGGGCTAAGGTCAAAAAAAAGGTGTCTGAGATTTGAACTAAAATGAGAGAGCACTGGTATTGAAAATACAAAAATTAGCCGTTTGCTTAGGATCTTGACGATGTGTAGACAGACGTTTAAAAAGTCAGAAAAAAAGCTAAATAGTATGTGCGTGTGAAAAAAATGCATATAAATTGTGGGCAGCTTCAGTATGCTAAATCAGTATTAGTTATAAATGCTTTCTATTTCCTTATGTAAATTTTTTGTATCTTTTGTGTTCTCTTCAAAGAACAATTATTTTAAAAATTAAACGGTTTATTTAAAATATGGAGGATTAAATGGTGCTTAAGGTGTTTAAAAATGCAATCCATATTTAATCTAGAGAAAACATTTGGTGTCTTCTTCTTCTAATATAATCTTTCACAGCTGCATGTTCGTCATGCTGTGTGATTGACTTTGTCTTTACTAAAAATCTATTTTTCCTTTTTATTCATCTGCTCTACATAGTGATGCCGTTGTAGAAAAAAACAGGTCCTTGCCACACAACCAGGATAATTTAGGCACCTGGACACACCGTAGGGTGAATAGGGCAGGGTTTATTGGGTGAAAAGGAAAAAAAAAGGAAACAGGGACTCTTAGCAAAGCGAGAGAGAGTCCTGCCTAACAGATTGAATCCTAGGTTCCCACACAGGAACAGGAGAGACCACACTCTTCCCCGCTGCAAACAGCATGAACTTTCTGAGGCTCCACCTCGTCATCCCGGTATGCTGGCGGGTTGGAGATTCTCCAGGGACCCCTTTTTACTTGGCTGTCTTGATACCTAATGTTGGAAAGACTCCCCTAGTTCACAAGGCAGTATGTATAACTTCTTATTTAGTCTTTACAACTGTCCTGAGACATAGGTAAAGTGGGACTGACTCTCAATGCTTTAGACATGAGGAAGCCAATCGAGAGATAGAGGAGGAGATTGCCTGGTAACTTAAAAACTTCACTTAAAAAAAAAGCTGACTCAGAGAGCTTCATGAGTGAACTCTACCATGCATTTAAAGAAAACCAGTCCTTAACAATCTTTTCAAAAAAAAAAAAAAGAATAATACTGTACACTTCCCAACTCATTCTATGAAGTCCTCATTACCCCAATAACAAAACCAAAGGCATCACAAAGGAAAAAAAGGAAAATGAAATAAAAATAAGAAACAAAGCTACACCCCAATATCTTTTATTAATACAGACGCAAAAATATTCAATAGACTACTACTAGCAAATAAATTCCAGCAACATATAAAAATTATTATATAACATAATGGAGTGGGATTTATCCTAGGAATGCAAAATTGGTTTAATATCCAAAAGTCAACTAATGTAGTATACTATATTAACAGAATGTAGGGTATATTAAATGTGTCTTTTTACTTTTCTGTTTGTTTGTTTCTTCTTTTTGATGCTTTCACATGTGGGCCTTATAGACACTGGAGGAACTGGTCCTTCCAGGGCTAGCCACTCCCTAGAGATAGCAAACCACCCACCTCCAAGAACACATTTTCTGTGGAAAAAACCCACCCAGCCCCCACACATCCACCCACCTTTTCTCTTGGTCTATCACTATTCCCCAGGGGCAGGTGTCCAACAACTAGATTACTAAGACAGTTCCTAAGCCTCAGAGGCTGGTAAAATGATTCAAACCATCCAATTCCAAGTCTGCTTAACCTTCCTTGCCTGATTTTTGTGGGAACCAGAACAAAAGTTCCCACCCACTTTTCTCCTCCATCCCTCTGTCTTCCTACAGACCCCACTGCTTCCCCGTGTGTCCTGCATGGCTGGCCATCCATCCTGCTTCTAGGGAACTCTGAGTAAACTAAACTTCTTGCTTCATGAAAGTCATTTTCTTGTTTGTGTATCCTACTTGTGAAAGGAAAATATCTTGGGCCCCTTTAAGCTGGGAACTGCTCAGGGCAAACCTGCCTCCCATTCTATTCAAAGTCACCCCTCTGTTCACTGAGGTAGATGCATATCTGATTGCCTCCTTTGGAAAGGCTAATAAGAAACTCAAAAGAATGCAACTGTTTGTGTCTCACCTATCTGTGACCTGGAAGCTCCCTCCCGGCTTCCAGTCTTCCTGCCTTTGCTTCAAGTTGTCAAGCCTTTCCTGACCCAACCAATGTACTTCTTACATATATTGATTGATATCTCATGTCTCCCTAAAATGTATAAAACTAAGCTGTGCACAACTACCTTGAGCACGTGTCAGGACTTTCTGAGGCTGTGTCATGGGAATGCGTCCTCAACAATGGCAAAATAAACTTTCTAAATTAACTGAGACCTGTCTCAAATTTTCAGGATTCACACACTATATATGATTTTTAAAATTGTAGGTATCCATAAGACATAGGAGGGAAAAACCACGTGATTATCTGAGTAGACACAGAAAAAGCATTTGACAAAATCCAAGGTCATGATAAAAATACTCAACAAACTACAAATAAAGGGAATTCTTTCACTATTATAAAGAAAAAACACCCACGGCTAACACCAGGCTTAATGTTGAAAGACTGAATGTTCATCCCCTCAGAGCAGAAACACAAGGATGTCCATTCCTACCACTTGATTCAAAATTGAATAGGGGATTCCAGACAGGACAATTTATCAAGAAGAAGTAAGAGACATTCAGATTAAAAACAAGGAGGTAAAATTATCTCTATTTGCAGAAGTCATGATCGTATCCAAAGAAAGTGTTAAGAAATTTGCTAAAAAAATTTTTAAATATGAGTTCAGCAGGCTGCACCATCAGTGTACAAAAGTCATTTTTCTCTGTACCCTAGTCTATTAGTTTCCTACTATTGCTATAACAAATTATTACAAGTTTGATGGCTTAAAAATAACTTAAATTTATCATCTTTTAGTTCTGTAGTCAGAAGTATGGCATGAATTTCACCGGGCTAAAATCACAGTGGCATCAGGGCTGTCAGCCTTCCTGGAGACGCTGTAGGATAATTTGTTTCCTGGCTTCTTTCAATGGTTATGGGCTGCCTATATGCCTTGCCTCATGGTTTTTTCCTTGCATCACTCCAACCTCTGCTTCCATTGTCCATCTCCTTCTCTCACTCTAGGAGTTGGCCGGAAAATGGGAGTAATTAGTCCTGGGTATGAGGTTTCTTTTTAGAGTGATACATGTATTCTCAAATTGATTATGATGATGATTGTGTAACTCTGTGGATACACTAAAATCTATTGAATTGTACACTTTAAATGGATGAATAGTATGATACATGAAATTATATCTCAAAAAAGCTGCTAAAAACAAAGAAAAAATAAGGACATAAGCATGAACAGTATCTTCAGATAAAGAAATACAAATGAATATCAATTTCCACAAATTGATAATTTTCACAAAATTCATTTTTATTATTCACAATTGTATTATTCTTTTATAAATATTTTAAATTCACAGTAAAAATTAAAGGAATGATGAAAGAAGACAGATAAAAATGTAGAAATCATTGAGAAAAAAATACCACCAAGAAATAGCTATAGTTCATATATTAGGATATAACTAGGATTTTCCATTAAGATTTTTTTGTAATGAAGACAAGTTGAGGAAATCTTATATAAGTTGTACAGAGACAATTGTTCAAAATTCAGTATAAATATGTTTACTTTGGTTATTTTAAGCATAATTTAACACCTAAATGAACAATTATTGGAATAATCTCATGTGTTAGTATGCTTAAACAAAATGTGCAGAATATGACAAAAAAGATCCACGATATTGCAAGCACTTATGAAGAAGAACGAGATAAGCCTCATGAATTGATGAAATATTTTAATTGTGGTTTTAAAATTTGGCATTTAAACCTGCTAAGGTCTAGGGCAGCTCTCAGCAATTGGTGAGAGCATAAATGTTATGGTTTTTAAATGAGTTATGAGCAACAGGATAAATGAGTGTAGCTTTCCAAATGCCTGGGTATAAAGTTTCTCATGGAGACACCGAAGGAAATTAAGAGGGTAGTAAATTTAGAGCATAGTAAGATAAATATTATTTTATGCAACAGATAGTCACCTTGTAAAATTCATAGCCACAGTAAGATAGCTAAATACATATTTAGTCTTGGTAATTTTATGAGTAATAATAAAGGTTTATGTTAACTAAGACATTGATAAAAGTGCTGGCAAACAGATTGTAATAAGTGAGCTGTGATAAAAATATAAACAGAACCTAATATGTTCATGAAAAGACATTTGGTCCTGAAACATACCAAAGGGAGAGATTTGAGATTGAGATGTGCTTTCGGCTATACTGAGTGATAAGGTTATTAACCTATGAGTGTTCATTTACCTGTGTCCTATCCTAGATATTCCAGGCTAGAAATGTTTATTTTCTTGGTGCCATTCCTTAATATATATGGGCGACTTTCTCACCTGGAAATTATGTGGAAAGGACTTGGCTTAACTGATTAACTGTTACATGGCAGAACAAGAGGTTCTTTATTGTTAAGAGAAGATTATTTATCCAAATGATGTTTTGGGAAAAATATTTAAAGGAGGGAGTAGTATAAGAACATTATAAAGACATGTATTTTCTACTTAATGGTTTTGCTGAAAACTTGACTTGGAAGGTTTGGATTAACAGAATATAGTATCAGACAATATATTTTTAATTTACTCTTTCCAAATGTTCCATTAGAATATTCATGAAAATATAATAATCATTATCATTACTGTAAAGGTAGTCTCCAAAATAGTACCAAAATGTATAGAGAATATTTTAGGCCAGAGCCCATCTGTAATATTTACTAATTTTAACACTGATGGTAACAGAATACTAAAATTAGTAGACTAATAACTATATGTTTTTCCATCTGAAACAGAATATCAGTGCCCCCAAAATCATAAGAGCTAACATTTATTTACTGCTTACTATGCACCAGCAGTGTTATAATTATTTTTACAAGTATTAATACATAGAATTCAATAAGGTGCATAGCAGTATATCACCATTGCAAATTAGGAACCAGGATATCAGCAAAACGGTAAAAGAGAAAGCTTTGCTACTCATTGCATAAATTTCAACTAGCAATGACATACAGATAAGAACATCTTGGTGAAATTGGGAATAAGCCTGAGTCACCTCCATGGTCAACAGAGTTGTATATATATAAAAAAATGCATGGAAAGGGTAAGAGAAATAATCCCACTTTCATCCCATTATACCTCTCTCTCCCCCAAGAAGGCACAGCACCACAGAGAGAATTTCCTAGGATCATGATTACTATGGAGGAAAAAGAGAACTGGAAGTGGAAATCCAGACTCTATCATTCTGAGATGCTTCCCAGGAAGCCCACTTGAGTCTCATCTGAAGAGAAACACAGTGAGGAACGGCACAGATAGGCCACCTGGGGTCGAGTAGAAACAAACTGAGAAGGTAGAGCCTGCAGCAACAACCACTATGAAGATCTTGGTGGTAAGTCTTTGTAGTTGGCAGCAGTGATTCCTGATCAGAGGTACCAGCTAACAGCATGGCCCACGTGCAAAGCTGAGCTGGTCACTCTCAGAAGTAGAGGGATGTACTACGTGGCTTAAAATCTTAGATAGCTAGTCTCCAGGATCAGCTCTGACCCTGTCCTGGGGCCCTAGCCAGGGAGGGAGATGGCCAGTGCAGCAATTTTTGGCAAAGATTAGGAGCTAGATCTGCCACACCTGGAAGTTTAAACAACCCTCAGATAAGCCTCAAAGCCCACTCCATGGTCCAGCCCAGACAGAGAGGCAAAACTCAAACATGCATTTCTAATGTGCATAGAAACTGGTCCCATCCATTCTGATCAGCAACTCCACCTAACCTCAGGGCCCCTCTTGCAATCCTGTCCAGCTGCTGAACCCAAAGAATAGTGCCACCTGGCCAGGGAATACACCCTATGGCCAGCTTAATCAGAGGTGATTGTAGGGCCCATCCAGCAACTCAGCCTGATTGCAGAGCTCAGCCAGTAGTTTTGCTGAATAGCAGATCTCAGCCATGTCTCCCACCCAAACCCAAAGCAAAGACAGCAGTCCAGGCATCTACAGAAACTAAAAGCAACCTCTTCCTGCCCAGGGCCTACCAGCTGGCTTATCCAGAATCATAGGCTAGACTAAATAGTGAAGGACTATCCCTGCCAAAGAACACTTGTAAAAGCTGCAAAAGGAGCCTCCTCAAATGTGTAGATGTCAAAGCAACAACACAGGCATTACAAAGACTCAGAAAATCATGACACCTCTAAGAGAAACTAACAAAGATCCAAGAATGAACTCTAAAGAAAGGGAGATCTATGAAACAACAGAAACATAATTTGAATAATACTTATAAATAAGTTCAGTGAACTACAAGAAAGTATGGGTTAATAAATTAAATAAAATTTGGAAAACAATGCATTTATAAAATGAGTTTGACAAAAAATAGAAACAATAAATAGAAATCCTAAAGATGAAGAATACAATGACTGAACTGAGAAATGTAATAATAGAAAGCTTCAACAGTAGCCTTGATGAAGCTGAAGAAAAAATTAGTACATGTAAAATTATTCTGGCAGAGGAGCAAAAAGAAAAAAGAATGAAAAAGGCTATGAGAATAATGGGAAACCATCAAGAGACCTAACTAACCCATAATGGATCTTTAAGAAGCAGAAGAAAGAGAAAATGGGCCAGAAAACATATTTAAAGAAACAATGGCTCACAACTTTTCTAATCTGGAGAAAGCACAGAGGTTTCCAATCAAATTCGATGCAAAGAGAAGGTTATCAAGACATATAATAAACTATCAAAGACAAAGAAAAAATTCTGAAAGCAGTAAAAGATAATACACAACATAAAAAGAGGGTCCCAATATGACTATCTGCAGATTTCTCAATGGAAATCCTGCAGGGCAGGAGAGAGTGGGATCATATATTTAATGTGGTGTGGTGAAGGAACAAAACCTGCCAACCAGTAATATTTTATCCAGCAAAGCTGTCTTTTTGAAATGAAAGAGAAATAAAAACTTTCCCAGACAAATAAAAGCTAAGGGAGTTCATTATCATTAGGTCTGCCTTAAAGGAATTGCTATTATATATATGCACCCAATATCTAAGTACCTAAATATATAAAGAAAATATTAAAAGATCTGAAGAGGGTGGTAAACTGCAATACAATAATAGTAGTGCAATATCCCTTTTTCAGTAGTGGACCGATCATATAGGTAGAATATCAATAGAGAAACGCTGGACTTGAACACTTTAGATCAATGGACGTAACAGACATATGTAGAACTTTCTATCCAATAGCAACAACATACACATGCTTCTGAAGTGCACATGGAACATTCTCTAGGATAGATCATGTCAGGTCACAAGTAAAGTCTTAGTGCATTTAAGAAGATTGACATCATATTAAGTACAAAGGAGGAAACAGAGGGACAAAGAAGAAAAGGAACCTGCCCACGGCCTTCACACATAATAACTGGAGGAACTTTAGTTCAAACCCTGGAAGCCACAGCCTGTGTTTTCAACCACTCCTCTCTACTGCCTTTTTTCTTTTTTTTGTATTTTTTTTAAATTATACTTTAAATTTTAGGGTACATGTGCGCAACCTGCGGGTTAGTTACATACGTATACATGTGCCATGTTGGCGTGCTGAACCCAGTAACTCGTCATTTAACATTAGGTATATCTCCAAATGCTATCCCTCCCCCCTCCCCCCACCCCACAACAAGCCCCAGTGTGTGATGTTCCCCTTCCTGGGTCCATGTGTTCTCACGGTTCAATTCCCACCAATGAGTGAGAACATGCGGTGTTTGGTTTTTTGTCCTTGCGATAGTTTGCTGAGAGTGATGGTTTCTAGCTTCATCCACGTCCCTACAAAGGACATGAACTCATTAATTTTTATGGCTGCATAGCATTCCATGGTGTATATGTGCCACATTTTCTTAATCCAGTCTATCATTGTTGGACATTTGACTTGGTTCCAAGTCTTTGCTATTGTGAATAGTGCCGCAATGAACATACATGTGCATGTGTCTTTATAGCAGCATGATTTATAATCCTTCGAGTATATAGCCAGTAATGGGATTGCTGGGTCAAATGGTATTTCTAGTTCTAGATCCCTGAGGAATCACCACACTGACTTGCACAATGGTTGAACTAGTTTACAGTCCCAAATCATGAGTGAACTCCCATTCACAATTGCTTCAAAGAGAATAAAATACGTAGGAATCCAACTTACAAGGGATGTGAAGGACATCTTCAAGGAGAACTACCAACCACTGCTCAATGAAATAAAAGAGGATACAAACAAATGGAAGAACATTCCATGCTCATGGGTAGGAAGAATTAATATCGTGAAAATGGCCATACTGCCCAAGGTAATTTATAGATTCAATGCCATCCCCATCAAGCTACCAATGACTTTCTTCAGAGAATTGGAAAAAACTACTTTAAAGTTCATATGGAACCAAAAAAGAGCCCACATTGCCACGTCAATCCTAAGCCAAAAGAACAAAGCTGGAGGCATCATGCTACCTGACTTCAAACTATACTACAAGGCTACAGTAACCAAAACAGCATGGTACTGGTACCAAAACAGAGATATAGACCAATGGAACAGAACAGAGCTCTCAGAAATAATGCCACATATCTACAACCATCTGATCTTTGACAAACCTGAGAAAAACAAGCAATGGGGAAATGATTCCCTATTTGATAAATGGTGCTTGGAAAACTGGCTAGCCATATGTAGAAAGCTGAAACTGGATCCCTTCCTTACACCTTATACAAAAATTAATTCAAGATGGATTAAAGACTTAAGTGTTAGACCTAAAACCATAAAAACCCTAGAAGAAAACCTAGGCAATACCATTCAGGACATAGGCATGGGCAAGGACTTCATGTCTACTGCCTTTTTGAAGGCATTCACCCCACCCCGCCACACTTTAGCTCCTTGTTCTCCACATTTTCTCAGAAATTCAGCTTCTGTGCATCTAACCTGACAAGAAGTTGGGGCGGGGCAGCTCGTCAGGCAGGGAGCAAGCAGATGCACGGCACATGGGAGCCCTTTTAATCTACAGATTCAGACCTATCTGTTTCAGACATAAAAATGTTTTAAATTTAACTATTGTTTCTAATTGATTTATTCATGTTTCTTTTTTGTGAAGTGCTACTACTGCATAGATTTCATATTTTCTATTGCCTTTATCATCTTTGCATTAAAAAAATTATTATCATTGTGAACCTTGATTCACATGTCTTCTGTCACAAGGCTGATTAGAGATACTCTATGCTGTAAGCTACTTCTAATTTGGATTTGACTTTCTAAAATTATGTTTTTAGTTTACTACGATTTCTCCTTAATTCAGCTCCTCATGTTTCTTTCCGGCTTGCACTTCGGTTTGTTGTCTTGCAGTACAATACCCAACTTGTTTCTGACAGACCTCTTCATCCTCCTTATGCCACTGAGTAGCTGCTTTCCTGTATGGTTATCTGGGATATCTCCTTCAGCTGAGTACACATCTCTGATTCTCCTGGGCAGGGTTTGGTTTCTCCTGTGCTTCTCATGGTATTGTGCTATTAAATTTCAGTTTTCAGCCATCTGTGGATATAAGAACTAAGTGGCCCAGAGACACAAAGAAATACTGTGAGGAATTCTTTGGTGCTGCTCACTGCCCATCTAGATGCAGAAAAAGTCCTGCTTTCACATCAAAATCTCTCAGTTCTCATGGGACTGTATCATTCTCAGCCCAACTTTGTGTTCCTGGAGCAGAGTCCCTGGTGGAGCAAGCAAGATGGTCTCAAGACAATTTCTAACTTCTTTAGCCATGAACAAGCTGAGATGAGAGCAACCCTTCTTCACATATTTCCATGGGACAATATTCCTAAAATCTACAGGGATAAGCAGTTGATGCTTCCCACCCACATCTCCTTAGCAGTTGCGGTTCCTGTTCATGCCAGTCGTACTATGCCACCTATGACCATGAGTACTTTTTTCTTTCTGAGGCAAGCCAACATCCTAGAGAGGTAATCTCCCAGGTCGCATCCCCACCCAATGACCAATGGCAGTTGGTAGAAGAATTACTTCACTTACTATTTCCCAGTTAGATAATACTGAGGCATGTTCAACTCTGTCTGCCAGAGTTCTCCAGAAGACCAAGCTTCAGTTACACACAGCAGGAAAGGAAAGTGCTCACCAATGCCCACTTCACTGGCCTCTTTCCCTCCCCAGTTCTACTTTCCCACCCCCAGTCCCCCAACTACTGCTTCCTTATATCACCTCCTAGATCAGTTAACTCTTACTATGCAACACATGACCCCAATACTTAATGGCCTTAAGCAATTTCTCATATCTGTGGGTTTGCTGGGCTCTGCTGGGCAGTGTTTCTGGACATGTGGTGTCAACTAGGCTCAATCACACAACTGTCTCCATCGGAGTGCTCAAACTGTCTCCATCGGAGTGCTCAGCTAGGGCTGGAATACTGGGTAGCTGGAATGGCCGGGCCTTTTCCTTGAGATCTCTTAGCATACTGTGGTCTAACCCAAGCTTCTTTACCTGTCAGCTTGAGTCCAAATGGATGCAAAGAGAAGGTAAGTGACCCAAGAGTACAAAGAAGAAAGAAATTCTGTCGTTTGAAACAACATGGATGAAACTGCAGGCCATTATGTTCAGTGAATTAAGCCAGGCACAGAAAGACAAATACTGTAATTCACATATAGTCTCACTTACATGTGAAATCTTACAAAGTTTAAACTCGTATATATGTGGAGAGGAGAAGGATGGTTAGCAGGGGTGTGACGGGAGGTTGGGGAGGGTTCACCAAAGGATACACAATTTCATTTAGACAGGAGAAATACTTTCAAAAGATCCATTATACATCATGGTGACTGTAGTTACTAACATTTTATTTTCGAAAAATGCTGAGAGTAGATTTTAAGTGTTCTCACCAGAAAAAAATGATAACTATGTGAGGTAATGTATATGTTAATTATATTGCTTTAATGTATACATATTTAAAAACATTATGTTGTACATGACAAATATATGCAATTTTTATATGTCAACCAACCAAACAAAAAAAAAAACCCAAAATGTTTTAAAAAAATGCTGTGAGAAATCCTTCTGGACCTGCTCTTAAAGCTTGGGCCAGAAACTTTTAGAACACCACCTCTGCCATTTGTTATTGGTCAAAACAGGTCACAGAGCCAGCCCAGATTCAAAGAGAGCTGAAACAGGCTCCATCTTTTGGTGATAAGAGTGGCGTGTCTGCACAGGGATTCAAAGAATTGTTGGTGGCCATGTGGCTGGCAATCTACCATGCCTCCCAAGTAAGCTATTGGATGGATCTGAACGCCTGTGTCAAGGCTCTGCTTGTGAGGGAGACCAGCTGAAGGAGGCCTCTTAAACAGGTGGTGCTGGGCCCAAAGTGCTCAGCACTGGAGACTCACATGCTTATTTCATCCATGATAGTCACTCCCAGGCTTATCCCATGTCGTCCTGGTTTATCTGCTGTAGCACAGCACCAAGACTTCTCTACTTCGCCCTAGACCATACTCACCTCTTCACAAGCAGCTGGCATGACAAAGATTCCTGCCTCCTCTCACCTTAGAATCAGGAGTCTAGGCAGCACCAAATGATGCCATGAGAGTTTTCCTGAGCCAGCTGCTGGAGAGAGCCATGAGACGTGTAGGGTGGATAACACAGTCCTGAGGAATGGGTTATCACAGGAGTGGGGGACAGCACCCCTGGGACATATTAGAGGTCACTAAATCTGAGAATGGATGGGTCATTGGTGACAATCTGGCTCCAAGGTCTCTCTGTGGAGCCCTTATAACCCTGAGGGAATAGACCTTAGAAATCCCAAAGCAGTATATTTACTGAGAAGGGGGACACAGAATTGCCTTCCTGTTCTTATCTGTTAATTCCTTCTCATGTTTTGGAAACCCCCTTTTTTGACTTTCCTACTAAGAAAAAGGAAGAAGGCACAAAAGACTCCCAACCTCTAGGATGCCAGGCAAGGAAGGGGTTGAAGCAGCAGCCTTTTTTGATACCATCTGGGCTTTGGGGAGATCTGGAGAGGGCACTGGCCTCCCTCACAGTCCTGTGCTGTCACATCAAGGCTTGAGTTGTTTGTTTATAAAATTTCTCCTAGGAAAGAGTGTAGACAGTCAGTGGTGGTTAGTGCAGAGTTAATAAAGGGCAGCCTACTAAAAATGAATAATCTAACTGGAAATAATGACGGGGCAGGCATAGCTGCTCCAGTAAGGCAATTATAGTGAGATTGCAAAGAGGCAGCTTTGTGTGTGAGTGTGGAAGTCTAAACATTCCAAGCATCTGGAAAAATGGGACAGGGAAAAAAGGAGGAGGTAAAGCAAGACAAGAGAAGAGCCTGTTCAAATTCTCAGATTTAAGAGTGCACCTCTGCTTCTTAAATGGAGGATTTGCTCAGAAGGAAAGAAATGGAATAAACACAGAAAGCCCAGATGGGAAAGCAGGCTTAGCAGAGCCTGGGGATATGGCAGTACACTGTCTAGTAGTGCCTCGAGCTCCGTCAGCCTGGCTTGTTACAAGAATGAATCACTAGCCATGCTCACTAGGTCAAGTTCCTCAGAGGTGGGTGAAAAGACAGAATCAAGAGAGATGTAAGGATGGGCAAAAGAGGATCAGCAAAAGAATGATGAGTCTCATCTAGAGATTAGCCAGTACTTCTTTTCTTGTAGCAGGCAAGCAGGCATCTTCCCCATTCTCTTAAAATGTATGCATTCCTGCTAAGCCATAAAATGCATGAAAGGAAGCCATCAGGTCAGACTACTCTCCATTCCTTGAGATTCTGTCCTCCTTGATTTCAGTTCTGGGGTCCAGCCCACTCTCTGACCTGACAGAACTCTCGTGCCCTTGGTTCCAAGGGTGAGATGGGAGAACGTAATCTCCTGTGGCATAGCTGATTGTGTCCCTCAAAGTTCAGTTGCCTTGTATTTGCATGAATTCTTGGGACGTTTCCATGGTGGAAAATCCTGTTCCATTAGCAGAATCCTGGCCTTCAAAGTTGTGAAGTGCCTTTTAGATAGGGTGAAAATGAATGCTTCAGTCAGTACTCTACCCTCTGCTACTATTGTGACCCTAAATGATAGAGCACTGACCTAGGTTACTGTGGAGATTGATGTGGGTACCTGGGGCTCAGATTTCTCTGCATGGACCATAGGATCCTGAGGGCAAGGGAAAGGAGGTGATGTGGCTTCCCAGCAGGGCTGAACTTACCTTGGCCCCACCTCCACCCATCATCTGGAGCTTCCTCCCCTCTGGGTGGAACCTATCTTTTCACCATTGCTCAGGCAGAAGCTGGCCTAGGTCTAGCCTGCTCAACAACTGGAAAAGTGCTGTTTGCATTAGGACACAAATTCAGTTAGAGCCCACTTGGTTTATGCAGAAAACAAAGGTGGGTTGAGGCAACTAGCCCTCCCTCCTTTACTTTAGATAAAGAGAGGTCAACAAATTTGTGGCTCCAGTAGAATCATGTTTGACAACGATATGGATTGATGGTAAAAAGTGGTATTTGGTCAATTACATCAAAAGACTCATCTGGGGTTGCATAGAAATGAGCTTGATGAGACAGACCCTGTTCCTATAACTTCCTGTGCTACTAGAGGACACCTAAAGTCATACAGCTTTGCATCTGACCCTGGAATGACTAGTGTATCTCTGCAGGTGACTATCCGGTGTGCCCCTCCAAAAGAGAAGGCACAGGGGCGAAGTGTCCCTCTGACGAGGTACAAATCCATAGTGAGTCCTGACGGGCTGTGGCCAAGCACATCTCTCCACAGAACACAAAGAGAACCGGGACTGCACATTTGAAGACATCTGCTCTCTGTCCCATTATTTCAGCCTATAACAAATTAGTCCCACTTTTTTTTTTTTAAACTGAATCTTGCTCTTTTGCCCAGGCTGGAGTGCAGTGGTGTGATCTCAGTTCATTGCAACCTCCATCACCCAGGTTCAAGCTATTCTTGGGCTTCAGCCTCCCGAGTAGCTGGGATTAAGGGTGTGCACCACCACACCTGGCTAATTTTTGTATTTTTAGTAGATATGGGGTTTCATCATTTTGGCCAGCCTGTTCTCGAACTCCTGACCTCAAGTGATCCACCCGCCTTGGCCTCCCAAAGTTCTGGGATTAGAGGCGTGAGCCATCAAGCCTGGACAGTTCCACTTTCATCTCAGGTGTAGAATACAGCTCTGCCCAACCTTACGATAAAATCTTCCCTTGTTCACTACCTGTTTCATCAATAAGAAATAAAGCTAATATACTCAAACTATGAGGGATTCTCTAATTTTTCAACAAAATTCAGTGCATGAAAATCTACATATAATGTGTATGCACTCCTCCCAGTCTTCTAGACTATATATCTCGGGGTGGACTAAATAACCACTAATCTCTTTCTTTCTGGTGTCCTGTGGCCTGGACAGGACATTTCCAGCAAGATGCGAGAGAGGCAGTACTCCTAAATTTTCAGGTGGCTGCCTGTTCTTTGAGTGGCTTAGAACTGAGGTTTCCAAGCTGTGATAAAATACATGACATAGTCCTATGTTTTCCTGCTTTATTCCCACAATGTTGCTATTATATTTCAGAGTATGAGAAATATAGGCCACTGGTTATTATTTTGGTTTTTAAAATCTTGTCTGTATTGCAGTTAGGAAAAAAAGATCCTCCCCAACTCTGGAAAATCCTGACTTCTTATCCTCATTTTCCATAGCAGTTGTGGTTGTGTGCTCCTTGAGACTGCTGTGTGGGGGTGGTGGAGGCCCAGTACCAATAGGGTCTTCACTGACATGGAGTTGGGGTCTGGGGTCAACAAGGATGGACTGGGGGCCTCTTTTGGGGAAGTTCAGGCTCCTGAATCAGTCTTTAGTGATGTTACCCCATAAAGTCAAGTTAGTGAAAATGAAGGTGTAATGTTTTTGTGACCAGGTTGGTGAACCAGCTAGGTTCTCTTGACATGGCCCCTTGGGTTGAGAAGCCCTCTCTCACTGCATGATGTGGGGACATGGGAAGATTGGGGGTCAGATCAGGAAAAGCCCAGCCAGAAACACCAATCCCCTTAGCAATGCCCTACCAGGAGGTCTTGGATTTGAAATACCAGTTCTTTTTCTGGGAAATAACAAGAACTGTAACTTTGGCAGACACACCCCAGGATGTGATTCCAGGAAGAAACACACCCTAAAGAGAAAATTTTGCTGCATGCCTGTTATTGTAGGGTATAAAGAAGGATTCGGTGTTGGTGGTCCTTGTCATTCTTATCTTTTCATCCTCTACACTAATCTCTCTTCCCCTTTTCCTTCTTAACCCTCAGCTTCCAGGGACTGGGTTCCTGGTTCGATTCCCAGGCTTGTGATTGCGAACACCTCTTCCTGCCTCTTCCCCTCTCCTGCTCTTGTCTTTCCCCTGCTGGTTTCTCTTTCCCTTTCTCTTTTTCTCTGCAGCTCTCTTGTCCTGTCCCATACCCTTTCTATTTTTAATGTTTCCTCAGGGCACATTTCAAAGGTTGCCCTCTTTATGTGAACATAAATATCAGAGACTTTTATAATTACAGTATAGGAACAGCAGTGTCTATTGATCATTATATCATTCCTCTTCTCTCTTGGGTAAACTTGAGCAAGGAGAAAATCCTGGAAGGAAATTGGCTTTTCCTTTTCTAATGTAGATAAGAAGTGAAAAAGAAGGCACAGAATTCAAAGATTCGGGAAACGGTTCTAATATACTTATTTAGTCACTTCAAAAATAAAACTTAAAGTGCTATTAGAAGGATACATGTCAAAATTAATTCAAATTGCAATCACATATAAGCTACTGCATCTCTGTTTATATTAATGCTTTAGAGAACTTGGTTAAGTATTGATGTTTATTCACTGACATTAACATGCCATTTTGTATTAAGAGACATTTCCTTATCTTTTTGCACTTACTCAAATCATAATTTCATTAAAAGATAAGTATCTGTGTTGAAAAATTATAACATTAGCTACAATGATTTTTTAAAAAAGGTAATATAGTTCCCTGATAACATCAGGTTTATATTGTAAGGATTCAATGGCAACACTGAATAAGAATCAAGATATATGTTGTTATGTTGACTGAAAGATTAACCCAGAAGCCTATTCCTGATTTACACAAACCCTAAAGTGACCAAATTCCGTTTTGATTATTATATGCTTTTAAATCCAACTGCCTTTTACCTATAAATTTTATAAATTCAAATTATCAAACATTTTCTTATGTAATATTAGAAAGAATAATATTTACGTAAAAAACACATTTCATGGATTTTTAATCTTTTTTTGTTGTTGTCGTTGTTTTGTTTTGTTTTGTTTGAGACGGCGCCACGCTCTGTTGCCCAGGCTGGAGTGCAGTGGCGCGATCTCCGCTCACTGCAAGCTCTGCCTTCTGGATTCACGCCATTCTCCTGCCTCAGCCTCCCGAGTAGCTGGGACTACAGGCGCCCGCCACCATGCACGGCTAATTTTTTGTATTTTTATTAGAGAGGGGGTTTCACCATGTTAGTCAGGATGGTCTCGATCTCCTAACCTCATGATCCGCCCTCCTTGGCCTCCCAAGGTGCTGGGATTACAGGCGTGAGCCACCGCGCCTGGCCGATTTTTAATCTTTAAATAAACACTTTCTGAAATGATTTGTTCTCAGAATATAATAGGTATGGATGATAAAGAACATTCATCAATTCTCACTTGCACAAAATGATCTCACCACATTATTTGCTAAATGAGTATTTTACTTGGTCTCATTTTTTGAAAACAAGGAATGAGGAAATAAATATCTGATAATATCTTCAAAATATCCTCAACTCTGAGACCTCCCCTCCTGGAAGATGAAGTAGACACACGTTTTGTTATTCCTTCCCACTGTGTTCCCACAGAAGCCCTGGGGTATACATATATAAAACAAGCCATGACATACCAATCCACAGAGACCTGTAGAAGATTCTGAAAGGCTGAGACTGGCTAGGGACCTCAGGACACATGGAATGACATGAGCCTGTGTTCTCTGGATTTTCTTGTTGCCTCTGTGCTGAACAAGCTGATAACTGGCACAGAGAGAAAACCCCCAACCCCTCAACAAAGCTGGTTGTCTTTAGCCAGTGGATGAAGAAAGGAGCAGCCTAGCAAGACAGAGTGCTTTTAGATGATAATGGCTACTCCAGCCAAACATCACAGAACACACAGTGGCTCCACTCCTACCTCCTACCTGAGCCACAAAGGCTGAGTGGGGAGAATAGTCCCCCACCCTAAAGAGGCTGCAATAAGGTACCTTTCAGCCTCCTGCTGGGTGGTGCCAAGGGAGACCTCATGGCGAGAGTCAAGACTAGAGTTCTAACCCAGGCAGTAGGTCAAGAAAAAAGTCACACAGATTCAACAGAAAGAAACTGTCTCTACAGATGACGTGGTCATCTACAGAGAAAATACCAAGGAATCTGTACAATAAATCCTAGAACTATTGAGTTCAGCAAAGCCACAAAATCCAAGTTCAACAACGTTTCTATACAGCAGCTGTGAACATGTGGACCTTGAAATTATAATAATATCATTCAACACAGTTTAAAACATGAAATAGGTGTGATAGAGTTTGGCTATTTGTCCCTGTCCAAATCTCATGTTGAAATGTAATCCTCAGTGTTGGAAGTGGGCCTGTTGGGAGGTTTTGGATGACGCGGGTGGATCCCTCATGAGTGGCTTGGGCTTTCCACTTAGTGAGAAGTGAGTTCTCACTCTGTTCACACAAAATCTGGTTGTTTTCAAGTATATGGCATTAACCACACCCATGTGTACTTTCTGTCTTTTGCTCCTGTTTTGGCCATGTAACATGCCTGTTCCTGGTTCACCTTCTGCCATGATTGTGAGCTTCCTGAGACCTCCCCAGAAGCTGATGCTGTTATGCTTCTTGTACAGCCTGCAGAACTGTGAGCCATTAAACCTCTTTTATTATAAATTACCCAGTCTCTGGTCTTTGTTTATAATAATGCAGTTTTGCAACAGCCTAATACAAGGTGCAAATCCAACAATACTTATACACAAATTATATGCTGAAAACTATAAAACACTGATAAAAGAAATTCAAGATTTAAATAAATGTGGACTATTCCATGATTATGTAATGGAAGATTTAGCATAGTAAAGATGTCAACTCGTTAAAAAAAGATATACCGATTTAACACAGTTCCTGTCCAAATACCAGAAATATTTTTTATAAAACAAGTTATTATGAAATATATATGAAGAAGCAAAGAAACTAGGATAACTAAAACAATTTTGAAAAAGGTATTAGGGTAGCTAAAAAAATAAAAAAGTAAAATAAAGTGGGAGGAATCAGTCTACCCAATGTGAAAATATACAGTAATAAAGACTGTGTGTATTTGTGGAAGGAGACATACACAGATCAAGGGAACAGAATAGAGAATCCAGAAGTAGGCCCAAGCAAACATACCCAAACCAAGTTTGGCAAAAATTCAAAAGCAATTCAAAGGAAGCACCTTAGCTTTTTCAATAAATGGAGCTGGGGTAATTGTACATCCAGAGGCAAATAAAGGAATAAATGAAGAATTAGCGGCAGCTCCACCTAGGTCACATCAGAAATTATATAAAAATTAATACTTTACAAAACTATTATACAAAGATTAACTCAAAATGAATCACAGACTTAAGTGTAAAATGTAAAACTATAAAACATTTAGGGGAAAAATCATGAGAGAAAGCCTTCAGGATCTACTACTTGGCATAGAATTCTTAGATTTAACACCAAAAACATGATCCATAAAAGAAAAACTAATAAATAGAATTTCATTAAAATTAAAAAGTTTTACTGTGTAAAAGATCATATTTAAAGATGAAAGGACAAGCTACAGACAGAGAAATATTTGTGGATCACATGTCCAACAGAGAACTAGTATCTAGAATATATAAAATAAATTATCTAAACTCAACAGTAAACAATAAAACAATCCAATTAGAAGATGGGCAAAATACATGAACAAGTATTTCAGTGATAAGAATATAGAGATGACAAATAAGCACATGAAATGATGTCGAATATTATTAGCCATTAGAAAAATGCTAGTTAAAACCACAATGAGATATTGTTACATAACTTTTAGCCTGGTTAAAATAAAAACTGTGACTACAGCAAATGGTGATGGAGATGAAGGAAAACTAGTGATATTGCTTGGATTTGTGTTCCTGCTCAAATCTCATGTTGAATTGGAGGAGGGGCCAGGTGGGAGGTGGATGGATCATGGGGATGGATTTCCCCCTTGCTGTTCTTGTGATAGTGAGTGAGTTCTCACGAGATCTGAGGGTTTAAAAGTGTGTGGCACTTCGCCCTCATTTCTCTCTCTCTCCTGCTTTGCCATGGTAAGACATGTTTGCTTCTCCTTTGCCTTCCACCATGACTGTGTTTCCTGAGGCCTCCCAGCCATGCTTCCTGTGGAACTGTGAGTCAATTAAACCTGTTTCCTTCATGAATTACCCAGTCTCAGGTAATTCTGTATAGCACTGTGAGAACGGACTAATACAACTATATTACTCATAAATTGCTGTTGGAAATGGAAAATAAAACAGCCACTCTGGAAAAAAATTTGGCAGTTTCTAAAAACTGTGATTTTCATATGTGATTATCATATGACTCACCAGTTCACAGAAAGCCTGTACACTAATGTTTTTAGCAGTTTTATTCATCATAGCAAAACTCTGGAAGCAGTCCAGATGTTCTTCAAAGCACACTGTGGTACACCCATAACACTGACTAATAGTCAGCAATAAAAAGGGACAAACCATTAGTTCATACACAACCTGATGAGTCTCCAGAAAACTATGTCAAGTGAAAATAGCTGATCCCAAAATGTTACAGTCCACTTACATAATATTCTTAAAATGGCATTTTATAGAAAGGGAGAATATTTGTTGTTGTGAAATATTCTGCATCTTGACCTCATTGTCAATGTCTTGGCTGTGATATTGTGCTATGGTTTTGCAAGATGTTACCATTGGGGGGAACTGGGTAAAGGGTATACGGGGTCTCTCTATATTACTTCTAGCATCTGCATGTAAATGTACAATTATTTTAAAAGAAATGGCTTAATTGAAAATTTGTCTCTATGCCTGCATGAGGCTGAATTTTCTTCTCAGTGCAGAAGTTATATATACTTTTTTTTTTAGAAAGTATGCTTATTTTTTAAAATATGCTTTTTATGGTAACATGTAATGATAATTAATTTTCAGTAATTTATAAATAAATATTTAGAAAATGTGTTTATTTTCACTTCTGGTACAGTAAAATAATAATAGATACAATCTAACAATTCAAAGGACTCAGAAAAGCATAAACTTTGAGAACTATTGAATTAGGCACTGGTCAATGCTCATAAACATATTCAACCTGTAGTTCATTTTGATTCTGTGGACATATTAAAATATATTATCCTCTCCAAAATGTAATATGAAACGGGACGATCAAAGGCTTAAACACTAGAGCCCCATTTAATTTAAACACAGATGACCAAATATTCCTGTACAGAAACCATAACAAGACTTTTTAAAAAGATGTCATGTTAACTCTGCCTAATTTTCTGATTGGAATTTGCAGACTTCATAAGCACTTATTTATCTCAGCATTTTACAGTCAAAGGCCCCCAAATAGCAACAAATTGCCCCAGAGTCAGCAGAGATATTCATGTTACTCAGTGATACATCTTTCTGATGAGGTCTTAAATATTGATTTTTAAAAATTTATTATGCATGAAGATGACATTTTTACCCCTGAAGGCAATTAGCAAGGAAATTGCAATTATTAGACCCCCTGAGCACCAGTTTTTCTTCCTGTGTGTTCCTCTGAGTATTACAAAATATTCTCATTTGTGATTTTTCTATCCTCATCTTGCCCCCTTACCACAGATAAATTAGTTCACAACAAACATAACAAATTCAGGGGTCAGCACTTTGTTAGCAAGTGTTTAAAGCGAAGTTTTGCTTTTGTGGTAAGTTACCATGAAGAGAAGTCCAGAACTGAGACTGGGCTGACATTGACAAATAGGACTTGTCTCTGATGCATCTGTGTCCACAGTGCTCTCTGCGTGCAGTGCCACTGTGGTGGCCCCTTCCCTTGTGCATATCTTTCTGGCTTTCAGGCATATTCTACCCTCTGTAATAGCTCTGGGGTGTGCCATCCAGATTTTACCTCCCCTCCAGGACCCAGATTTCTTGGGTCTAGGCACTGGGGGTGTTGACAGCTATGAACTTGGGGATTTCCTTTTTGGAGGATTATTCTACAGTGAAAAGAACCACCACGGCCAAGGTGACGCCCTCTCTCCAGAGGCAGCCCACCTCCAGTGACAGGTCAGTGGGGGCTGGAGAAAGGCCTGGCCCCTTCACCCCATTCAGGACAACTGGAAGGAGGCAAGCATCCAGGCTGCGACCTCCGCGGGACAGGCTGAGGCTCCCTTTGGGGACGCCTCACGGCTCAACCTCTCCCTCTGCCCGTCCTCCTCCTACATCTTGGTATGTGCATGTCCCCATCTCAGAATCTGCTTCCCAAGTCTCTTGACCTTCACGCAGCACCTGGGTGAATGTTGGATGAGGAACACGATGTTGACATAGCTTCAAAGTACTGACTCACAGATAATTAATACTGATTAATTATGACATACTTATTAATAACTTTACAGTGAGGAAATCTGACTGACACTACCTTAACCAGGAGGAGAAAGGTGCGTCTGGATAAGACGTGCTGAGCAGAATGCATCTCCGATAGGAATGCCTGTGGTATTCCTATCGGAAATGCAAACCTGCATTAAAACTTTAGTATTAATATTAATATGGAAAAAGTGTTTCCAGTTATTTATTATTTTTTTGTGCTTTATAACAGGGTTCTATTACACAACCATTTTTTTTCAACTAAATTACTTAATTTCTCAGCATAAAACACCAGCTACACCTGAATTGAGGCACATTATACATGGGAACCAGACTGTGTTCTTCAAAGATGCTCCAGTTATTAAAGACAGGGAAAGACAAGGAAACTGTTCCAAATGAAAGAAGACAAGAGAGGCACTAATGGGGTCAAACGCTCAGACCGACGTTTACTACTTACCACTATTTTTACAACGCTGTTTATTTTAGTATTAATATTAATATGGAAAATAGCAAACAAAATAAGACACATTCCCAAATGTTATTTTTTGTCTTTTGTAACAGGGTTCCATTATACAACCATTTTCCTTCAACTAAAATGCTTGATTCAAGTCTTAGGTTGTTTAATTGTAACATCTTTCACTCTAAAGCTTTATTACTTTGTCACTCGTTACTCTTCACCTTGGTTTTCTCCTCATATGGTGTTGTGTCTCTTTTTGTAACTTATTTTTTCAGGAAGCTTTTCTGAGGGACTTTTTTTCTCAGGAAGATTCATTAGCTAGTTGTCCTGAGTTTATATCTTTGATTTTGGACACGTTTTCCCCTCAAGTAATATCTACCTGGCTATATAATTATAGGGCCACAAGAATTCACGTATCTCTGTATTTGGATCTCAGTGTGATTTGTGTTAGGCGTGATGTCCTTCTGACTTTAACTTCATTCATTCATTCATTCATTCATTCAATTAAGAAATATTCAAAATATTTATTAGGCGCCAACTATTGTTTGATGCTGTGTTGTTCTGGCAACATGATGGTGAAAAAAATAAGACACCATGTTTTCTGATTATATGCTTTAAAAAATTTTCATTTTATTCTTGAAATTGCAAATTTTCACCAAGTTGTGTGTTCATGTTAGTATACTTAATATTGATTGCTCATCTCTTTCAAACTGTAAATTTACTGTTTCCTCCTGCTCCGTAAAGTTGTTACTAGTTTTATTCTTCTTTTAATTTACATTTCTAGTTTATGCAGAATAGATGTTCTTGTTTTAACTATGCTCTCATTAATTTATTATACTTTTTATTCTAACATATTTAACTTTTAAAATTTTTTCTCTGATCTGTTTCTTAGCATCCAGCTTAATGTCCATTGGTCCAACATAGTTTTATATAAAGCCATTGTGTAATTTTTCTGTTCTTAGACTGTTTCCTTTTTTATAGTAGTCAGCTGTTCTCCATTATGGCAAAATTTCTAAAAATTTCTTATTTTGCTGAAGAAATTGTTATAAAAGAAGAACCTAGTCTGATTTCTTAAAGTAATACAGCTCTCCATAACTGCAATCTCTTTATTTATATATGACTTTTTAATTACTTTTATCTGACCTTTACATAGAGTCATTTGTCTTCATCCCATATTTGAAATATAGATGGTCTTGACTAGTGTGAATGCAAGCTAAGGAGATCTGAATACGTAAAGGATATTTTCAGTTTACTTCTGCTCTTTGCTGTCCCACAGTTCCAGCAGTGCATGTGCTTGGGGGAAGGAATTCCTCTACAATCAAGGGGCTCATGGCAAGGCTCAGGTAAGTGGTATTCCTATACATTTGCTGTGGCATTCAGAATTAGCCAGGGAAGTGCTAACTTCTGGCTAAGATATGGTCATAGCACCTATTCTTCAACAGATATAGGTTTAGCCTAATTTTTACTTTGGAGTTTTTAAGCTTTAAAAATAATTATAATAAATACCCCCTTAGCAAAAATGCTATAATCAAGAGAACATACTTTGAAAACAAAAAGAAGCAGATAACTAAGAATGTGTGCTCAAATCTGGATAAGACAAAATCAATATTAAATATACTATAGCCAAAATAACAAAAAAAATCAAATTCAAAATTTGAAGATATCATCATCAAATGATGATAAGAAGCAACATGCAGCCTGTCCTCACATGCTCAGTTTGAAGGCCAGGTAATGCCTGCCACTTTTCCCTTTTGTAATAATAAGTGGTTCATTTAGTCTACCCTTGTAGAATTACAAGGGGTCTCAAATAGCAAAAACAATACTGAAAAAGATAAATAAAGTTGCAGGACTCACATTTTCTGACTTTAAATGGTACTACAAAACTACAATAATCAATATCAAGTGGTACTGAATAGACATACAGACTAGTGAGAAAGAATTGAGTCAAAAAATAAATCTAAAAGTCTATGGCCAACAGAGTGCAAAGACTATACAATGAGGTAAAGAATGTAAAATAATGAAAGTGAACCACTAACCTCGCTTCATCTACAAAAATTATTTCAAAATGGATCAACAACATAAATATAAAAACTAACACTGTAAAACCTTTAGAAGAGAACACAGGGGTAAATCTATATGGTCTCTACTTAGCAATAGATTCCAAAATTTGACCCCAAGTCATGAACAATAAAAGAAAACATGATAGATGATTGCACTTCATAAAAATTAAAAGCTGTCGAGCATCAAAGGACATTATCAGGAAAGTGAAAAGACAACCTACAGACAGGGAGGAAAAATACTTGTAAATCGTGTACCTTATATGGGTTTAGTATCCAGAATATACAAAGAACTCTTTCAGTAGCAAAAAGACAAGCAATCCAACTTATAAAATATGAACAAATGACTTGAATAGACAACTGTCTAAAGAAAATATCCAAATGGCCAGAAAGCATATGAAAAGATGTTCAGTTAGCCAGGCATGGTGGTGCATGCCTGTGGTTCCAGCTACTTGGGAAGGTGACATGGGAGAATCACTTGAGCCTGTGAGGCGGAGGTTGCAGTGAGCTAGCCTGGGTGACAGAGTGAGACCCCGGGTAAAAGAAAAAAAAACCAAAAAACCAAAACCAAAAACAAAACAAAACAAAACAAAAGGCCATGTTCGACATCATTGTTGATGAAGGAAAAGCAAGTCAAAACCACAATGAGATACCACTCCATACCTAGTAGAGTGTGTTAAAATCAAAATAAGGTAAAATGATAAGTGTTTGGGAGGACATGGAGAAACAGGAACTCTCACATACTGCTGTTGAGAATGTAAAATGAAATAGCCATTATGAAAGAGATTTGGGCAATTCCTCAAAAAGTTAAACATAGAACTGCTGTACGACTCAGCTATTCCACTCCTAGGCATATACTTGAGAAAGAGGAAAACTCACATCTGTATGAAAGTTATACACAAATTTTATAGCAGCATTATTTATAACAGCCAAAAGGTGCCTGTCCCAGAGGTCCGTCAACAGATGAGTGGATAGACATATCATGGTATATAAATACAATGGAATATTTTCATCTTTCAAAAATAATGGAGTACTGACACATGCTACAATTTGGATGAACCTCAAAAGCATATGCTAAGTAAAATAAGCCAGACACAAAAGGTCAGATAGTGAATGATTCCTTTTACATGAATATAAATATCCAGGATGGGCAAACCCTTTAGAAATGAGGCAGCATGTTAGAAGTTGCCAGGAGATAGGGTGAGGCAGAAATGTGTATGGGATGAACTCGTGAGTGATGAAAATATTTGACATTAGAGAGAGGTGGAGGCTGCACAGCATTTTGAATGCAGTGACTGCCACTGAATTGTACACTTTATGATGGTTAACTGTATGCTATGTGAATTTCATCTAAATTAAAAAAGTGCAAGAAATCAGCAAAAGTAGTTCAAAAGAAACTTTGTTTTCTTACAGTCTCCTATATGTTACTGAGTAGTACGTACATACAGTGACATTCTGAACATCATTAATTTTGAAAAAGAAAATGATTTCTTTCATTATAATGGTTACCATTATAATACAGAAATTGTGTTATTAACATCAAATTATTTTCAATCAATTTTTAAAGCAATAAATAATTTCTCTATCAAATTAAGAGTTTTTCTCTGCCTAAATAGTTCGAGGTGTTATGATCTATGAATGTTTGTAAATAGTTTTAATATTTGAGATGATATAATAATGCAAAATTATCGGTAACTTTTCCTCTCAAATGTTTAGAATGTAGGATAAAACTGAAGAAACTGAACTTTTAAAGTAATTTTAAATTAAAAAAAAAACAGTATGCAAGTGCCCATTCATTAATTCTAAAGATATTATTGCACACTAATTACCACAACTGATGTACCAAGTGGTAGAAAATCATCCAATCGCATTAGTCTTCTGAATCTCCATACAATTTGGGAAGATATCAAAAGGTGAAAAAGAAAAAAATAACATTTTGTTGCTGTTTTTAAGAATACAAAAAAATTGAACTCTCTCTGCTCTGACTAGAGTTACTTCACATATGTACTGCCAAGTAGAATATTCCTTTTGATGAAGCTCTGCTTACCCAGTCCTTTGTAATCCAGAGATTCTCCTGGTATTTGCACAAAGAGAAAGAATTCAATGTGGAAACTGCTATCTACATGGGTCATTGGAACTCGGCAGCCTTCAGGACGTTTTAGAAGAGAAACTATTATGCATGAGCAACTTTATAGACCCAAACTGTGATTGCATTTAGAGTTGAATGTACACATTTTATTTCAGGTACAAAAACAACAAATATATCCAACCAATATAGAAGTAGAGTTTCAGATTAAGTATCTTTATTTCTTAAAAATAAAGTTAAGAAAACTAACAGGTCTTTCTAAGGCTATCTTTAGAAATGTGCTTAAGAGTATAAATGAGATTGTTAAATAGAAAATACAGAAGGCTGTTAATTTGGACTGAGCTCCTGCACTAGGCCCCAATGTGCCAAACCAAAATGGAGTCACTAATGCTAAAGACCCACATCACCAAAGCAAAACCAAGTTGTTTATTTGACCTTCTGAGAAATCAAGAGAGACGGTAGTCAAATCCCCAAACAGGCCACTTTTAAACAGGCATGATAAGGAATCCCCTCTGCTTTAGCTCTTACAAAGAAAATGTCCTGAAGTGATCTGATAGTAATCCACTTTTTGTTTTGTGCTGTTTCCTGGTTCTTGCTCAAGCTACCTTATGAAAGCCACCTGTCTGTCATGCCCACTATAGCACCTCTCTATTTTTAGATGAGATGCTACCTGATTAATGAATAAAAAATCAAAGCCACCTAGGTCATTTAACTAAATTTGTTATAATTGTGTCTTGACAATATCATATGATGAAAATAAAAATAAATTATTTGGTGGCCTCAAGTGCTTTAGAGATTTCCTAGTAATAAATGCACACATTTAATAGTTATCATTTTTGAGGAAGAGTCTCTTTTTACTCTGCTACAAATTCTTTGACCTTGAAAATAGAGTCACCCTATTGAAAGTAATTTAATCAACAAATGTGTTGAACTACTTGGAAATGAATTTCTCCCTTTAATTTGTGAAACATTTCCCTTTTGCTATTAAATCTTATAACATGGCATTTGCATGAAAATCAATTGTAGCATCTTAGAGGTGACTTTGAACAAGTCTCCTCTGAATAACTCTGAATGTGAGCTTCAGTGAGTAATCCACAAATGTTATCTTCATTACAAAGTACATGCAATTATTTTTTAAGATAGCATTGCCCTTAATTCTACAAAATTATTTTATTTTTGTAAGGCGAGGACAGTATCTTAAAATTTTAATGAACTTGCCCATACTAACATTCTAGGATAATAACAGATGGTGCAAATATTTTTACATAATCAGACCCAAGATAGGATAAACTAGTCATGTGTAACCAACAGATGTGTGCTTATAACAAACATACTTTGGAAACCGCTTCTTCTCTGCTAGATGCACGTGGATTAAATATTTGTAGACACTTGGCTTGAATTTGTAACGGTTCTCCGGACTATAATCATGGTAGATAGAATGTTTTTAAATAACCTAATCTTTGTTAAATATCAAACTTGCCTTTTTATACATTTAGCAGCTGTGTTCCCACTTTGTACAATATTTAAGTGGCTGAAGTTGAATAAGGTAAGAAATAAGATTCCAACCTAAAATAGGCTGTCAGGATCATCCCCTTGCTTATTGGGAAATGTTATCAATGTTTGCTCAGTTGTCAACTTTGACCTTAATCTAGCAGCAATGGCAAATCTGACAGATACCCGAAACAAGCAATTGCTTGACATATTAGGAAGTATTTTAATTTGACAGAAATGAACACAAAACATTTTCTTTAATAATGTGAACTGTCAGAGAACATGGACCAGCCCTGACCCCCGAGGATTCATCGTTCATTCAAGATGGTTTAGGGCAGTGCTGGGTTCTGGCAGAGCTATACTTCTATAAGCCAACTACTCAGATTTAAATAGTAAAACTGGTATGTTTGTGAGAAAAAAAAAGCTAGTGTTGTCATATAAAATGTTAGGGAAGTTGTTGCCTAGTAGATTTCCTGATGCCATATGTATACCAAGCCTGCCGATGCGAAGCCACCAGGAACCTAGATTCCTGAGACCACAGACAGGAGTGACTAATCCTATAAAAGAGGACTAGCCCTCCACCCGCCCCACACATTGCCATACTGTGAACTGCTGTTTCTACAGAAAAAAAAAAAAACCAGTTGCCAAGCAAAGGCAGTCCCTTGCACTCCAGTCTTGAAGACAGAGTGGTGCATAATTACCGAAACATTTGCCTCACCATGAAATAAACTAAGAATTGTCTGACATTGAAAATCAAGATCCTAAAATAAGAAATTTATATCTGAGTTTCATTGTGAGAAGCTAAAAGGAAAGAAATTCAGGATCAGTAAAATTCTAGCCACTGTGATGAAGAAATATCATTAGTTCTTTAATGAGAAGGAACAGAAGACACATACTTGAATAGACCTTAAATGCTTCACAGTCCATTGTACGAGTCTTTATCACCAATTGTCTGTAATTTTCATTGCAGAATAGGTGTTCCATCTCTACTTGTTTTTGTAAAATTGGAAGTGAAAGAACTCTACACATTTCTGTAAGTACAGACAAATATTGGATAAAATATGCCTCTTTGATTAATAAAATCAACCTTCTAGCTCCCACCCTGGGCAAATCAGTTAGAAATTACCTTTTCATTGTCAGTTAATCATAATGGCTCCTGAGATCTGTGCAGATAGAGCGTCATTCACAAGGTAAGTCAAGGTGCCAACTCTGTTTATGTATCCATTTACTTGTTTTCATCACACTGCCAGTGAGCTAAAGAACACAGTGAGTATTTTGTTATGTTACACATGTTAAGGGTACTTTAAGTACCCTTAAATACATAAAATTGATCAAAATATATGTGATTTCTTTTTATATCATGAAGAAGGTGTTTATGATCAGGGAGAAACTCAAAACAGTGTATTCAATATTCAAACAGCAGTCCTATTTTAAAAGCTTGCTTGAAAACGGAGAAGCAAAAATAATTAAATAACTTCACCTTTCAAATATAGAAAATGAATTAAAAGGAAATAATAAGAAATCATAAACAGCAAAGTGAAATTCTGATACTTTTATTATCTTAAAGCAAGAAGGCTTTTCTAAGAATATCAAAAGTGAAACCATATCTAGGAGGGAGAAAATCACCATTAGCACAATATAAAGTTAGGTGACAACTTGTACCAGATACAGCACATTTAACAAGAATGGCATGCTTAATGGAAATGTTCTTAGGACTCATTTAGAGAATATAACCCCCCCATATAAAAATAAATATTCAAATGCCTTAGTAATTGAAGAAAGCAACTTAAAGCAGCAGTGAAATGCTGTTGAGGTATAACTAAATCAAATTAGCAAATACACCTGAAAAAGGACAGAATCAGCATTGACAGAGAAAGGACAATGGATTCTCAGACATTGCTAATGGCCTTGAATATTGGCCAATTTTCCACGAGTTATGTGACACTGTGAACAAAATTAACATTATAAGCTGCTTCTAGGAATTTGTTTTAATGTACTCTTGTAGCTACTAGAAGCTTAGTAAATCTTGCTATGTCCAGGCAATTGAATAATTGGGATTACTAGAAACATTTATAACATCATAATAATAGCTTTTTTTTCCTTAGGAACTAATGATTTTTATTTTATATTTTTCCTTTTTCCATTACTATGAATTTATCTTAAGAAAATGACTTGGCATTTTTATGTGTAACAATCCAAAGCTTCCTATAGGTCTCACATTTGGAATCAGTTAATAGGTTATGATGCACTGCTATAAAACAGCCTTTGGAAGAGAGGTTTCAACTTTCTCATAGTACATCTTTATTGTAAAGTGTATGCACACATTTTTGCGCAATAGTCACATTCAGTTACGTATTATACAGAGAAAAATGGCTGTGAAATGTACAAGACAATTTTATTTGGGGATATGTTTAAGTAGCATTAATTGGGTTCTGTCTACTTTTAAGTACTTTCTAACTTTCATAAATAAAAATGTTATTCCTGACAAATATGTATTAAAATTATGTTTAATGTTGTACTAATACACGTGTTAAAAGGTTAGTTTTGAAAAACAGACTAGAATTTTTTTCTGTACAATATGAACAAATTTATATACAACTTTGCCCATAGATTGAAATACAGCATAATTATTAAAGATTAATTTCTTTATATTTGTTCACATTTTTAATATAAAATTAGGAACATGTGAACTAAAACTCACAAGAAAATTTTTCTTCAGAATTAAACTGGAACAAAAGCTCACTGCAAAAGCCCATATTTTATCTGAAATCCATACAGCATTTCACTGTACCCACATTTATTTCAAAGTAGATCATAACAAACTTTGTGATGTTTTAGAAACATTGCCAGATATCGGTTTCTAGAGTCACAGATGAGAAATCTTGCTGGCATGATTTTTATCTTTTTATTACGAGAAGATCATTATGTGGATTCCTGACCCTTAGAATTACCAACAATTGTATTGGGCTGTCCATTACATATTTACATTATTCCAGAGATTTGCTGAAAACATACAGCAGCAGAAACCAAGCAACATATTTCCAACCGTGCTGTCTGACTATTTAAATGAATATAAAGCAGATAAATTTCAAACAAGAAGAAGTCTCATTAGCCACAGCAACACATGGTGATGGGTCTGCTTTAGCTCATTGTAGTTTTGTGATGCATATTGTGATAATGAACTGAAACACAGCCCTTAACTTAATTACAAGGTCTTTGGTGGAAAATAGCACTCTCGTGTCATTGGACAAGTTAAATTGACCTATTTAAAACACTTATAGTATTCGTTAGACACCTCAGCATTATTCAGCCTTGATGACTTTGGACAGCATTGCATATAGCTTCATTTGGGATAGTAATAATAAAGATTTTTTATGACATTCTGGAAGGGGGAAACAATAATATAAAACTCACAGAATACTCTGAACAATTTTTCTTTGTCATGATTTCTTGAACCATAATGTTTCTTTCTTCTGCGTCTTGTTTTAATATATGCCAGTTAGAATATATGTTTATATAAAACAGGTTACGATACACAACATTGCATCCCTTCTTACTTTCTTCATTTTATTTCAAGCTATATGAATCATGCTATAGTTTGGATGTGTATTCATGCCCAAATCTTATGCTGAATTGTAATCCTCAGCGTTGGAGTTGGGGCCTGGTGGAAGGTGATTGCATCATGGGGGCAGATTTCTCATGAATGGTTTAGCACCATTTCTCTTGGCGCTGTCCTTGCCATAGTGAATGAGTTCTCATGAGATCTGGTCCTTTAAAAGTATGTAGCACCTCCCCGCCTCGTTCTCTTGCTCCTGCTTTTGCCGTGTAGCGTGCCTGCTCCTGCTTCACCTTCCGCCATGATTGTAAGCTTCCTGAAGGTTGCCCAGAAACAGTGCCAGTGTTATGCTTCCTGTAGAGCCTGCAGAACTGTGAGCCAATTAAACCTGTTTTCTTTATAAATTACCCAGTCCCAGGCATTTCTTTATAGCAATGCAAGAATGGCTCAATACACATCATTTACTTATTAATTTCTTTTTAAAAATATTTGTTGATGGTATATTCTTAAACATTTAAACTGGATAATGTAATTTTTAGATGCTACTTACAATTTCTAATATAAACAGTGTGATTTCATGTGGGTTTGCTTGCACATTGGCCTTTGCACTTAAGTAGTGGTTCCATGTAAATTGAGTGTCTGAACTTGAAGACAGTAATTGGGAGTAAGCCGGTATCCGTCAACCTCCCTGCAATGATGAAGTGCTGGCCACACCATTCTTGATGCAACTGGTACTTGCAGAAGCCACTCCATAGCAAATTTATTATTCTAAAGACATTTTCTTACATTTGATAGCTGAATATTATTTAGTGGGAAAATGTGGACTTTTATAATGATTTTACTAAGAAAATTGGTTAACCAGTTAGGGAAAATATTGTATTTCAGCTTAACAATTTAGAAGAAACTAGAGATGAATTTTATAAACTTTATAAACATAAAGAAATGGTTGACTTTTGCATATTTGTCCTACAATTAAGTACCTTTACGGATTCTTACCTGTTGTATTACTTTCCGTTCTATGTTTTATTTGGTTTTGCAATCATATCATGTACCAGCAATGACCAATTTGTTTCCTTGCTTTCAATAGATAAACCTCTTCCTTTTTGTCATAATGCTTTGCTACAACCTCCAGAAAATTACACAGTACAAAGAAACTTTTTCTACCTTTTATTTGGAAAAAAAAATTCTTTGGGGATTTTTGAGGTTAACTGTGAGGCCAACTACAGTTTGGGATTTGTGTTTTACACTTAAAGAAAACATATTTTGAATCATTGGATACTACATGTACTTTGCTCAGAAACTGACTTAGAATTTTACTTGTACATAAATAATTTAAATATCCATTTCATCCTATTTTAACAAAATGCTTTTTTTCACCTCTAATTTGAAAAATAATTCATGTTTATTGGAAAATAATGCAAGGATTACAAGAACCTAGTTAGAAGTAAGCAATATTACTTAACAAGCTCCCTAAAAACATATTGACATAATAATGTGTAGGTTTCATATTATTTGCTATGAGATGTTCATAAACATGAGATCCTTTAAAATGGGATTATATTACCCAAGTCATTTTGTATACTGCTGTTTTAATGTAAATACATGTTGTGGACACATCGTCTTAACAAAATATAGACTTACCTCATTATTTAAATTGCTGAGTAATTTTCATTTGTGTGGATATATCTTGCTTATTTGTTTTAGCCCACAATTTAAATATTCAAGTCATTACCAAATGTTGGCTTAGGCTATAAGGAAATATATATTAAAATGTGTATATATATATATATAGAGAGAGAGAGCTATATATATAGTTATATACATACATAACTATACATGTGTATGTATACAATTATATACATCTATGTATATGTTATATATAGTTGTTTACATATATGTTATAAATTGTTATATACATATGTATATGTTATATACATGCATATATTAGTTACATACACATCTATGTAACATGTTACATATAGTTATATACATACATAGTTATATACATACATATACATCTACATATGTATATATGTATATACATATACATACGTATATACTTATGAGTAACTATTATATAACATTTATACATATATGTACATAATTACATATAACATCTACATATACATGTATATAACTATATATGTTTATATACAGTATATGTAGTATATAACATATATAACTATATATGTGTGTATGTGTATATATATGCATATATATAAATCCTCTATCTCTAGCTCTTTTTCTCTCTGTTTCCCACTCTCTAGACACACACATGATGAAAGGAAAATCCCCCAAGATCAGAAAGAACACAAGTCGTAATGGCTTACCCTGCAGTGGCCAGCGTAAGGGAGCAGAGACTGAGATTTACTATTCACATAGGCTTACAGAAAAAAGACTCATACATTCATGCAAAAAACAAGAAAGAATGATAACTGAATATAACAGAACAAATGAGTGCATTTAGTAAAAATAAAAATTAATTAATTACCCTGATGGCTGGAAAATTCACCTCAAACTATGAACATCTAAAAGATGTAGGGTTATCTTTTAAAATGATGGCTACAATCCCACTACTTGATTGTGCAATGAAAATTATTGGCATAATTATATATCTTAAATTCAGCTTCTTTGGGTTGAACCTATTAGAAAAATATTGAGGAATTAAATAATTTACACAACAGAATATACTCATTACAATTATTCATAATATGAAATTACTCATGCATAATTAAAGCAAAAATTCTGATGATTGATATTGGTGAAGAAGTAGGTATAGAAGTATATTTTTTTACCAGATGCTTCTTAAAATCAGTGTTAGTTCATAGCAGTAAGCAGTAAGTGTAAAGACTAATAATGGAAAACAAAATAACAGGGTTTTTAAGAAAGAAAATTCGTGGAAAGAGAGCAGGAATGTATTGAAAAAAAAATAATTCTGTGATATTAAACAAGGTGAGAGAAAAATGTTAGAAGTTTACATGGAGCTTATGATAATATAAACAGAAGATAAAGTAAATTTAGGTAAAGAAAGAAAGGCAGCTGTTTATTATATAAACTTTCTAGAGTGTCTACTCCACTCTGGTGGATTCAACTGTTGATTAAGGATTAAACAGTGAGCAAAACAAAGTATTTTCCCCTAAGAATTTACAACACAGTGAGGGAGACCCTCAAGAAGCATATATTACATAATGCTTCAAGTGAAGAAAAGGCTATTGATAAAATGAAGTCAGCCCCAGGGGTGGGGAGACCCCTGGGGGCAGCAGGTGAGGAGAGGGCTGCTTTGTACAGAATGGTCAGAAGTCCTCTGCTAAAGTGACACTTGAGTAGAGGTCCTGAGGAAGTGAGGGTCTTGCTGACAGAGTCTATGGTAAATGCAAGAACCCTGGGGTGAGATGATGCTTGCTGTGTCTGAGGCATGGCTTGAAGCCCAGTGGCTAAAGAGGAGTAGCCAGTGGGAAGAAGGACAGGAGATGAGATCAGAGAGGCTGTGGCCAGTGGATACCACTTCTGATGGCTCTCGGACATCAATTCCTTTGCCTAACAGTGATTCCTAACTTCAGCTGCACATTGGAATCATCTGGGGGAGTTTGTAAAACTATGGATGCTTTGGTCTCCTTCTCAAGGATGGGTCTTGGGTATGGCCTGGGCATTGAGAATTATTTTTTTGATTCCCCAGGTGATTATAATTTGCAGCCAAGATTAAGACCACTAGTTGAAAGGGAGGGAAAATGAGAGAGATCTGACAAAAGGAAGCCAGGTGAAATAAGAGGCAAATCAAAGGAGAGTGATTTCTGAATGTCAGGTGAGGACAGGAGTTTGAAAGGAAGAGGGGTTAGCTGTGTCAAATGCTGCCTCTCTTAGATCCAGCCGGATGAAAGCTGATTTGATCACTGAAGCTGACAATGTAGTGATCATTAGTGATTCTGATAAGAGGTGTTTGTTTGAGTGGTAAGAATGAAATCCTGATTGGTGTGGGTTCAAGAGAAAAAATAGGGGCAGAAAAGGTGATATACTTTCTTTTCAAAGACATTTCTGTGGAGCTGAACAGAAGAATCTCCCATTGCTGAAGCAGAATGTTTGCTTGTGAATGCTTCTTGAAGATGTACCATGTTTTCAATAGTAAGAATGCAGTAGGCAGAAAAATCTGATTATCAACCTGAGTTAATAATTGTAAATTACTTTAGAACATTTCCTGGCTTACAGTAAATGTTTTACAAATATTCTCCAAGTGAATAAATTATTCAAGAGAATGCGTAGGGAGGGGGAAATTCCAAGGGAGAAAATCATTGAGTAGCTTAAAAGATGTGACCTAGCTCAGTGTCAGGAAACTGTCCTCAGATGGGTGCTCAGAGACTTTTCCTTTTTAATAGAGTATTAGTTATGTTACATTTGGTGGTAGGACTATAAAGATGCTTTCTTCAGAATTTTTAAATCTGAGTGAAATAAAAGGCAAAATCATCAGTTGGAATATGGGGGTGGAGTTTTGGAGTTCTGAGAGTATGGAGAAAACATGAAATAGTTTCAAACTCTAAGAGGGCAAATTGATTTGGATAATGCAGTAGGATTCCCAGGAGGCAGTGAAGACCCATTGGAGGATTTTGTCAGGAGTCAATGTGAAACCATCCAGCAAGGTTGTGTGTCTCTCCAAAGGCATTGGTTTGCCTCTCTCCATAGGTGTTGGTTTGCATGTTTTATTTTTAAAATACATTATAGAGCTCTCCCTAATTCCATTTTAATAACCTGTATACCTTTCTATTGTATGAGTATATTAAAATTTATTCCACCTGTGTCAAATGGCAGATATTTGTACTGTTTCAGTATTCTCACATTAAAAAGAATGCCAAACTAATAGCTTGACTCATGTCATTTTACATTTTGCCAGTTTTTATTTGGGAGCATGCTGGGTCAAAAGATAAATGCATCTGTTACTTTCCTAGTTGCTTTTTACTTGATATTTGGACAATATCAAAGCATGAAACACTGTCCTAGAAAATCATATAAAAATAGAGACAAATACTTCCAAAAATTTATGATAATCAACCTCACATAGGCTCTCAACACTACTCAGCAAGCCTACTAGTTTTCTCTGCCTCTCTCCTCTCTTCACACCTACTACACCCACCCCTTACAGGACCCCCTCATGCTCATGGAGGGACCACAGCCTATTCTTCTGATTCATGGGGAGAGTCTGAGCCTGCAGATGGAGACTGTCTGCTGCTGCATCTCCAAATGCACCTGCATCTGCACACTTCTCTTCGTGGCTGTTCTATAACAGGAGAGGTACATCACCTCCAAATAAAGTCCAATTAGGCTCTCTTCTGCTTTATGAGAAACCATTCATTGTCAATGACCAATTCTCTCTCTAGTATCTAGTAAACTTATTTTTCAATTGAATCATTCATCAGCATCTAAGTTCTTAGAGTTTTTCACATCTGAAAAATGATCTCCATGAACTTCCCTTAATTTCCGTGATACCATATTCCTACTGTGTTTATACCCCTTCTCTTCTAGCTCTTTTAGTACTATTTTTAGGCTTCTCTTCCTCTAGTAGACCATTATGTATTAGAGTTTCTCAAGGCTCAGTCACTGTCTCTCTTCTCTTTTCATTCTTTGTCTACCTAGGCCAATTCATCTATATCCACAGCCTCACTTACTCGCTAAGCACTGATGATACCTGAACCTAAACATTCATGTTTCTGGCTCAGAAGTCCTTCTCCTCACTCCTGACACTCTTACTGACTTCTTAGGACACAGTCCAAATCCTGCCCCTGTTCTTCTACTTCCCAGTAGCTAAGAATAATTTTTATGTTGTAAAGAGTTTCCATATGCATAATAAATAAGTAAATAAATAAATAGAAAAAATATGCAATAGTGACCATTCGTGGCATGCACAGCCCCAAATATTTACTACCTGGCCTTTACGAATCTTGCCAAACCTTGTTTTAGGTGACTCAAACTCTCATAAAAATCAGTACACTAAGTCTGGATTCATAGTCTGGATCCTCCACCTTCCTACAGCATATTTCCTCATGAATGACATCATTATTATTGATGGATATAAATCTCAAACCTAGTGCTTATACCTGCACACCTTACTCTCCATTACCTCCATTACCTCCTATATCCTATCTATCATCATGCTTTATATTTTAAATAACTCTTTAATACATCTACCAGTATTTATTTCAATGTCATCATCCTTTACACATTTACATTTCTAGCTTTCCCATAGCCACTGCTCACCCCTTCATGCTCACCCCTCACCTCTTCGTCTGCCCTTCATGGTCCTTCTAGAAACACCTTTCCTCCACAAATTGCTGATCATTTAACTCTTCTTTAATACTTCTCAGTGGATTCCAGTTGATTACAGGACCAAGAAGTGGTCATGATCCAGTTCTCCAGGCTTAACCCCCCACCTCCCTGCCCCTCCCCGTCTCATGCTGGCCTCACCTGTTTTCTTTCCCAAGCTTCATCAGGTTATTTCCCGCCAAACGCAGGGCATTTCTGTAGTGATTCACTGTGGTTGGAATGTTTCACCAGCAATATTCCTCTTTGTTTAATTCCTAGTCATCACCTAGATTGCACCTAAACGTCATTTCTTCGAAGACTTTCTTGACTTTCTATTTAGGTCAGGTTCATTTAAAAAGCTCTTCTTCAATATTCCGCATATGTGAATCTGGGCTAACATATCTTCCTTCTTGATGTGATGAAGTTTATGAGGGGACATAAGTCTGTTTGCTTACCATTGTGTTCCCTGAACTTAGCACAGTGCCTGATAACTATAGCACTGAAAATAAACATGTCATCAATGAATGGATTGAGTCTCTGACAAAAATTTATTATAGAAAATCAGTTGAGAAATAATTCAATAAGCAATTATGTACAATGGACTAATGATTTTTTAAAAAACACAATTAGGTATTTGTCTCATACCATCATTCAAAATAAATCCAGGAGAGTAAGATAGTTCATACAAAGTAAGGTACTAGGAGGCAATGTGTTTGTGGATGACTTTCTAAGCATGATCGCAGAGGCGGAAATCAAAAAAGAAATAATGACAAGATTTGACTGCATTAAAAATTTCAGAAAACCACACATAAGCCCTGTATTAGTCTGTTTTCATGCTGCTGATAAAGACATGCTGCTGATAAAGACTGGGCAATTTACAAAAGAAAGAGGTTTAATTGGACTCACAGTTCCACCACGTGGCTGGGGAGGAATCAAAATCATGGCAGAAGGCAAGGAGGAGTAAGTTACATCTTATGCGGATGGCGGCAGGCAAAGAGAGAGCTCATGCAGGGAAACTCCCATTTTTAAAACCATCAGAACTCGAGAGACCCATTCACTATCACAAGAATAGCATGAGAAAGACCTGCCTCCATGATTCAATCATCTCTCACCAGGTTCCTTCACAATATGTGGGAATTATGGGAACCACAACATGAGTTTTGGGTGGGGACACAGAGCCAAACCATAACAACCACATACAAACTTCTGCATAGAAAAGATGATGAAAATGCACATTGAAAAACAATTTATATTACAGGATATTAATAGTCTTTAAACATGTAGAACTCACTCCATTGCCTTATTTGTCACAGGATTTCAGGTAAAATCCTAGAAAATACAGTGCTGTGTTTACCTATGTGGCTTCATGCCTCTATAACTTTCACTTGGAACTCATTTTATATTAAATCTATCAATGAATTTTTAAGAATCAATTCAGACTGATAACCCAGTAGTAATCTTGAATGTGGGGAGGAATTTAGAAGTTACTTTCTCAGCTCCTTCTGAAATGCATTATTTTTTCTGAGATTGTATGAACCGCAGATGGAAACAGAAAAATTCACTCTAGTCAATGGATAATATTCAACTAAGACTTCTTAAATGAATAGAGTGCTTTGAGAAACACCCAGTGAGGCCTGCCTGTTCTGTTTCCCAAGAGACCATTCTTTTCCTACAGAGAAATGATGCCATCTTTTGAACCATGGATCATTAAATTTTCTGTGTTCTGTATCTTAAATTCGCCAAATATTTTTTTCTTTTCCCTTCTGTGTATAAGTGACTCTAGATTAATTGGTTGAAAAGTTAAAACTCCATTCATTCCTTTAAACATTTTCCCTGGAATTTAAGCTTTCATTTACTCTTCAGTATTTTATAGCTAATCAAACGTTGATTTAAACATAAAATAATTGTATTATAAGGATGATGAAATACATAAAATATCATCTTCCTTTTATATAAATATGAGTAGATTTAGGATTAAGATACATTTTGAGGATAGATTTTTATCCTATAATAGTCATACTTTTAAAAGGAATCATAGGGGCTATATTTATTTTTCAGTGACCAGTGTTTAAATTTTTTTATGACTATATTTATTTTTAGCTTTTGTTTTTCTACAATTTTTAGATCAAAGCAAAACTAAAGGTAGTAGCAAATAACACAGGGGAATGCATGAGCATTGAAACAAATTTCATGGACTGCTGTTACCCAAATGTCATGTTATATTGGGATTTGGGAGATTTATGTTCAGCCTTCTTAAAGCTATAATTATTTAGAATAACATATGCCCTCTTGAGCTAAGTCCATGTTTTGTTAACCAGATTAAATTTAGGGCACACGTTATAGAAGTCAAAACCTATCATCACTTCATTAAATTTATATTTTAACTGATAATCTGAAAACCAGGGAATTGAATAAAATAGCCCAGGGCAAGTAGATAGATAAATCAGATTCAGTACAAAATTATTAAGCATATTAGGAAAAAATTTAACTTATTCAGTAGTTCAGGAGAATATTCTTCTCATCATATTTCTTTATTATACTTAAATAAAAGCTTTATGTTAATAAGGAATCCTCCCTCACAAAAATATTTTACAGGAAAATGGCTCCTATTATTGTATAATTAAAAACATGGTGTTACAATGGATTTTTTATTGTCGTGAATTCATAGCATAGTTCATTGCACTGAGGGAACCTTGGATGAGGGCTTGAGGTAGCAGTGTTTTGGTTTCACCAACCCAGTTTGTAGAATGACAAGCTTAACTACAGCATGGTCTGCTCCCAGTGATCTCTTCTCAGTCAGCCTTAAGTTAGCAACCCCCTTTCCATACCTAAATGCTTAGGCCAGGAATCTATTTGTCCACGTTTAAACAATAGAGATGGCGATTTTATATCATCCAATCTAATGAGAATGTGGACAACAGGAGAATTTCTTAATTTACTGTCTTCATAGATACAAATGTATCTATTTGACATATTAATATAGAGTACCGAGATTTTCCTTGAATTCCCTTGTCTTTTCAAATGATTGATTTCATAAATTGATGACTACAAAATCTGAGGTGGAAAGGACTTTGAAATATACATAAGCCAAAATCTCTAGTTCTGTACCTGAGGCAGTATTGCTGTGAAAAACAGTGATTTTTTCTTGAATATAGTAAACACTCAATAGTTTACAAAATGCTTTGTATAAAATATCTCCTTTAATTTTCATTAAAACCCCATGATCTAGAATATTGACATTGTCCACATTGTACAGATGGAGCTGTACAGTGTGGACAATGCGGTGACCCCGGCTCACGGCAACCTCTGACTCCCGGGTTCAAGTGATTCTCTGCCTCAGCTTCCTGAGTAGCTGGGACTACAGACGCCCGTCACAATGCCCGGCTCATTTTTGTATTTTTAGTAGAGATGGGGTTTCACCGTATTAGCCAGGCTGCTCTCGGACTCCTGACCTCGGGTGATCCACCCACCTCAGCCTCCCAAAGTGCTGGGATTACAGGCGTGAGCCACCGTGCCCAGCCTAAAATTCAACTTTATTCATCTTCTTTGTTCATGCTCTTAACTGCTGAACCATAATGCCGCCATTTGAAAACCTAAGAGGCAGCTTTCTAATCTTAACCTCATTTCCTAGATGAAAAAACTAAAGCCAAGAGAGATATGCTCTTACCCTAGGTCACATTTCATACTCTGTTCCAACTCTTTTCACAGGTGGGTCTAAAATAGCTTTAAATATCAGAGCAGTGTTCTTTGCCACAGATACATATTTAATTCAAAACAACCTTCTGTTTATTCTTTCAATTACATTAGATGACAGTATCTTAATTATATGCCATTTTGTGGATCCCATTTGCTAATTAGGGCTTTTTAATGTTACAAGTATTTTAAGTAAATGCAACAATGTAAACAGGTTTAAAAGATATAAAATTAATGTAATTATTCACAAAACTGTGAAGTCCATAGGCAGGGCAAGTGTTGAGTTTACTTTGATTTCACAGCTGTAGCTTGGCAAATACCCAGTTTCTTTGTCTCTCCAATTGAAAGGGATTTTTTTTTTTTTCTATCTCTCTCTCTCTTTCTTAAGGCTAGATCCTCACACGTGTTGGGAAAATGTGTTCTAGCAGTTCCAAGCTTCTAATTCATGACTGTAGGTAATTCTTCCAAATGATTAAAAAGTGCTATTTCTCAAAAGACTCAACAAATTTCACTTCATGGTTAGGTTTAATTGGATCAGATTCCAACTCCTGATTTAGATTTTTAGTCATAGCAATTCTGTGGGTAGAATGGCTTAGTCCTGATGGATTAGTTCAGATTCTAACTAAGGGTATTTCCTTAAGTTGATTTAGCAATAAGTGCTCAATCATGGAACTAGATCAATGACCCTCCCAAATCCACCCACCAAACATAAAAACAAATAAAAAACAGAGACCGCCACGTAACAGGAGAGGAATAGCATGATTGTTATGAGAGACACAAATGCCAGCAAACCTAATGTCCTAGAAAATTCACAATGCAAGAGTAATCCTTTACCTTGGGTGCCCTGTGGAATATTTATGTTTTGTTCTTATATTTTAAACTTTTTAAATTGTGACATATAACTGGCATGCTGAAAAGTCAGTTAAATATAAATGGGTGACATCATTAATCATTATAAGTGGAACACTGGTGTAATCTTTACCTAGGTCAAATGAAAGCACAGCCAGCCAGAAAAAGGTCTCAGTATTCCCCTACATAATTGCAATCCCTTCCAATCTCGCTAAAACTTTACCCTTAGTATAAATATTATGGTAACATTTCCTTGCTTTTAAGTATAATTTTACCACCAAAACATGAATCCATAAGCAATGTATTTCAGTTTTTCCCACTTGTGGGACTTTATAGAAATTGAATTGTACAACACAAGTGACTGGCTTCAAAAACCTGTGAAGTTTCTTGTTGTCATTGTGTATTTTATTTGCATGCACTGAATGAAAATATTACATGCTATTTATACATATTACTGTTAACAGACATTTGGGCTGTCATGAACATTCTCGAATATATTTCTTGGCGCATACTGGCCTTGAGTTCTGTTGGATGTATGCCTGTGGATTTGTTGAGTCATGGAAAATATATCTGTTTAACATATTAGATACTGTCAAATGGTTTTCTAATATAGTACCAAATTATAGCCCCACTAGCAGGGGGATAGTTTCTCTCCTTCCACACCATTGCAAAACCATTCCCTTATCAATCATGTTAATGTTGGACATTCTGGTGGAGTGGATGTCTACCAGTGATATCTCATTGCAGCTTTACTTTGTCCATCACTGGCTAGAAATGAAATTGAGTATCATTTCATGTATTTTATTGGCCTTTATGTATATTCTCTTTTGTGACGTGACTGCTGAAGTCTCTCATATTTTTTTTTTAATTAGGTTGCCTGATTTCTTACTTTTGGTCAGTCTTTATGCCTTCCAGTACCGGCCACTTGACAATTTTTGTTCTGCATTTCAAATATCTTCTTCTACTCTATAAATTCATCTTCACTTTCTGAATCGTGTCCTTTGGCAAAGAGTTTCTTTTTTTAATAAAAAAAATGATAGCTTTCGGGGTACAAGTAGCTTTTGGTTACATGGATGAATTATATAGTGGTGAATTCTGAGATGTTATTGCGTCTGTCACCTGAGTAGCGTACATTGTGCCTAATATGTAGTTTTAATCCCACATCTGTCTCCTATCCTTCCCCTTTTGAGACTTTATATTAGTCCATTCTAAAACTGTTATAAAGACATACCTGAGACTGGGTAATTTATTAAAAAAAAAAAAGGTTTAATTGGCTCAGAGATCTGTAGGCTGTAGAGGAAGCATGGCGGCATCTGCTTCCAGGGAGGCCTTAGGAAGAATTTACTCATGGCATAAGGCAAAGCAGGAGCAGGTGTCTTCACATGGCTGGGCAAAAGGAAAAGAGACAGGGGAAGAACTACAAACTTTTAAAACAACCAGATCTTGTGATAACTCATTCACTATCATGAGAACAGCACTGAGGAGATGGTGCTAAACCATTCATGAGAACTCTGCCTCCATGATCCAATCACCTCTCATCAGGCCCCACCTCCAACACTGGGATTACAATTTGACATGAGATTTGGGTGGGGACACAGATCCAAACCATATCAATCTCCAAAGTCCATTTTATCATTCTGTATGCCTTTGCATATTCATAATGTAGCTCCCACTTATAAATGAGAACATTTGTAAATAAATGAGAACATTGTACTTGGTTTTCCATTCCTAAGTTACTTCACTTAGAATAATGGCATCCAGCTCTGTCCAAGTTGATGCAAAAGACATTATTTTATTACTTTTTATGGTTGAGTAGTATTCCACGGTATAAATGTACTACATTTTCTTTATTCACTTATTGGTCAGTGGGCACTTGGGTTCATCACATCTTTGCAACTGTGAATTAGGCTGCAATAAACATGCATGTGCAAGTATCTTTTTTGTATAACGACTTCTTTTCCTTTGAATAAAGACCCAGTAGTGAGATGGCTGGATTGAATGGTAGATCTACTTTTAGTTCTTTAAGGAATATTCATACTGTTTTCCATGAAGGTTGTACTAATTTACATTACCACCAGTAGTGTAAAAGCATTCCTCTTTCATAATATCCATGCCAACATCAATTGTTTTTTGACTTTTTAATAATAAGCCATCCTTGCAAGAGTAGGGTGATGTCTCATTGTGGTTTTAATTTGCATTTCCCGAATGATTAGTGATGTTGAGCATTTCTATCATATATTTGGCGACATTTGTATATCTTCTTTTGAATAATGTCTCTTTATGTCATTTGCCCACATTTTGATGGGATTATTATTTTCTGGCTGATTTCTTTGTGTTTCTTGTAGATTCTGGATAGTCATCCTTTGTCAGATGCATAATTTGTAAATATTTTCTCCCATTCTGTGGGTTATCTGTTTACTCTGATGATTATTTCTTTTGTACTAAAGAAGCTTTTAATTTTAATCAGTTTCCATTTATTTATTTTTGTTTTTGTTGCATTTGTTTTTTGAGTTTTAGTCACAAATTCTTTGCCTAGGCCAATGTCCAGAAAAGTTATTTTCAAGGTTATCTTCTAGAATTTTTATAGTTTTAGGTCTTAAAGTCTTTCATCCATCTTGAGTTGATTTTTGTATAGGATGAGAGACAGGGATCCAGTTTCATGCTTCTGCATGTGGCTAGTGAGTTTTTCCAGCACCATTTATTAAATAGGATGTCCTTTCTCCACTGTATGTTTTTGTATCCTTTGTCAAATATCAGTTAGTTGTAAGTATTTATGTATTTGGCTTTATTTCTGGGTTCGCTATTCTGTTCCATTGCTCTTTGCACCTACTTTTATACCAGTACCATGCTGTTTAGATAACAATGGCCTTGTAGTATAACTTGAAGTCTTGTAATGTGATGCCTCCAGATTTGTTCATTCTGTTTAGGATTGCTTTGGCTATTCAGGCTCTTGTTTGGTTCCATATGAATTTTAGATTTTTTTCTAATTCTGTGAAAAATAATTTTGGTCTTTTAATGGAAATTGTATTGAATCTATAGATTGCTTTGGGCAGTATGATCATTTTTACAGCATTGGTTCCTCCAAGCCATTAGTATGGGATGTTTTTCTGTTTGTGTCATCTGTGATTTCTTTCAGCAGTGATTTATAGCTCTTGTAAAGGACTTTCACCTCCTTGGTTATATATATTTCTAGGTATTTTATTTTATTTTATTTTATTTTATTTTTCACAGCTGTTGTAATAGGGATTGAATTCTTGATTTGATTCTCAACTTGGTCATTGGTGTATAGCAATGCTACTGATTTGTGTACATTGAATTTGAAACTTGAGTATTTACTGAATTATTGATCAAATCTAGGAGTCTTTTGGATGAATCTTGAGGGTTTTCTAGGCATATGATCATATCATCAACAAACAGTTCAACTTCCACTTTTCTAATATGAATGCCTTTTTTTTTTCTTTCTCTTGCCTGATTGCTCTAGCTAGGACTTCAAGTACTATGTTAAACAGAAATGATGAAAGTGGGCATCCTTGTCTTGTTCCAATTCTCTTGGGAAATGCTTTCAACTTTTCCCCATTCTGTATGATGTTGGCTGTGCATTTGTCATATATGGCTTTTATTAATTTGAAGTAAACCCCTTCTATGTCTAGTTTGTTGAGAGTTTTTATCATAAGGAGATGCTGGATATTATCACATGCTTTTTCGCAACCATTAAGATGATCATATGGTTTTTGTTGTTAATTCTGTTTATGTGATGTATCACATTAATTCACTTGCATATGTCAAGCCATTCCTGCACCCCTGGAATAAAACCCACTTCATCATGATATATTATCTTTCTGATATACTGTTGGATTCGATTAGCTAGTATTTTGCTGGGAATTTTTGCATCTATGTTCATCAGGGATATTGGGCTGTAGTTTTATTTTTATGTTACATCATTTCCTGGTTTTGGTATCAAGATGGTACTGGCTTCATAGAATGATTTATAGAGTCCCTCTTTCTTAATCTGTTGGAATAATTTCATTAGGATTGACATCAATTCTTCTTTCCATGTCTGACAGAGTTCAGCTGTGAATCCATCTGATCCTGGGATTTTTTTTGTTGTTGTTGACAATTTATTTATTTATTTTTATTACTGATTCAGTGTTGCTGCTTTTTGTTGGTCTGTTCAGGGTTTCTATTTCTTCCTGATTTAATCTAGGAGAGTTGTATGTTTCTAGGAATTTATCTATTTCCTCTAGGTCTTCTGGTTTGTGTTTCAAACTAGGAGTCTCAAATGATCTTTTGTATTTCTGTGGTGTTGGTTGTAAAGTCTCTAGTTTCATCTATAATTGAGTTTATTTGTATATTCTCTCTTGTTTCCTTGGTTAATCTGGCTAATGGTTTATCAATCTTTTTTGTCTTTTCAAAGAACCAGTCTTTTGTTTCATTGATCTTTTGTATTTTTTTGTTTCAATTTCATTTAATTCTGCTCTGATATTTCTTATTTCTTTCCTTCTGCTAGATTTGGGTTTAGTGCGTTCTTACTTCTCTAGTTCCTTGAAGTTTGACAGTAGGTTGTCAATTTGTGATCTTTCAGACTTTTTGATATACGCACTTAGTGCTATAAAATTTCCTCTTAGCAGATAAGCTTTTTGACGTGCTGCTGGATTCGGTTTGCCAGTATTTTATTGAGGATTTTTGCATCGATGTTCATCAAGGATATTGGTCTAAAATTCTCTTTTTTGGTTGTGTCTCTGCCAGGCTTTGGTATCAGGATGATGCTGGCCTCATAAAATGAGTTAGGGAGGATTCTCTCTTTTTCTATTGATTGGAATAGTTTCAGAAGGAATGGTACCAGCTCCTCCTTGTACCTCTGGTAGAATTCGGCTGTGAATCCATCTGGTCCTGGACTTTTTTTGGTTGGTAAGCTATTGATTATTGCCACAATTTCAGAGCGTGTTATTGGTCTATTCAGAGATTCAACTTCTTCCCAGTTTAGTCTTGGGAGGGTGTATGTGTCGAGGAATTTATCCATTTCTTCTAGATTTTCTAGTTTATTTGCGTAGAGGTGTTTGTAGTATTCTCTGATGGTATTTTGTATTTCTGTGGGATCGGTGGTGATATCCCTTTTATCATTTTTTATTGTATCTATTTCATTCTTCTCTCATTTCTTCTTTATTAGTCTTGCTAGCAGTCTATCAATTTTGTTGATCTTTTCAAAAAACCAGCTCCTGGATTCATTGATTTTTTGAAGGGTTTTTTTGTGTCTCTATTTCCTTCAGTTCTGCTCTGATTTTAGTTATTTCTTGCCTTCTGCTAGCTTTTGAATGTGTTTGCTCTTGCTTTTCTAGTTCTTTTAATTGTGATTTTAGGGTGTCAATTTTGGATCTTTCCTGCTTTCTCTTGTGGGCATTTAGTGCTATAAATTTCCCTCTACACACTGCTTTGAATGTGTCCCAGAGATTCTGGTATGTTGTGTCTTTGTTCTCGTTGGTTTCAAAGAACATCTTTATTTCTGCCTTCATTTCGTTATGTACCCAGTAGTCATTCAGGAGCAGGTTGTTCAGTTTCCATGTAGTTGAGTGGTCTTGAGTGAATTTCTTAATCCTGAGTTCTAGTTTGATTGCACTGTGGTCTGAGAGACAGTTTGTTATAATTTCTGTTCTTTTACATTTGCTGAGGAGTGCTTTGCTTCCAACTATGTGGTCAATTTTGGAATAGGTGTGGTGTGGTGCTGAAAAGAATGTATATTCTGTTGATTTGGGGTGGAGAGTTCTGTAGATGTCTATTAGGTCCACTTGGTGCAGAGCTGAGTTCAGTTCCTGGGTATCCTTGTTAACTTTCTGTCTCGTTGATCTGTCTAATGTTGACAGTGGTGTGTTAAAGTCTCCCATTATTATTGTGTGGGAGTCTAAGTCTCTTAGTAGGTCTCTGAGGACTTGCTCTATGAATCTGGGTGCTCCTGTATTGGGTGCATATATACTTAGGATAGTTAGCTCTTCTTGTTGAATTGATCCCTTTACCATTATGTAATGGCCTTCTTTGTCTCCTTTGATCTTTGTTGGTTTAAAGTCTGTTTTATTAGAGACTAGGATTGCAAGCCCTACCTTTTTTTGTTTTCCATTTGCTTGGTAGATCTTCCTCCATCCCTTTATTTTGAGCCATGATCAAGTGGGCTTCATCCCTGGGATACAAGGCTGGTTCAACATACACAAATCAATAAATGTAATCCAGCATATAAACAGAACCAAAGACAAAAACCACATGATTATCTCAACAGATGCAGAAAAGGTCTTTGATTAAATTCAACAATCCTTCATGCTAAAAACTCTCAATAAATTAGGTATTGATGACAAGTATCTCAAAATAATAAGAGCTATCTATGACAAACCCACAGCCAATATCACACTGAATGGGCAAAAACTGGAAGCATTCCCTTTGAAAACTGGCACAAGACAGGGATGCCCTCTGTCACCACTCCTATTCAACATAGTGTTGGAAGTTCTGGACAGGGCAATTAGGCAGGAGAAGGAAATAAAGGGTATTCAATTAGGAAAAGAGGAAGTCAAATTGTCCCTGTTTGCAGATGATATGATTGTATATCTAGAAAACCCCATTGTCTCAGCCCAAAATCTCCTTAAGCTGATAAGCAACTTCAGCAAAGTCTCAGGATACAAAATCAATGTACAAAAATCACAAGCATTCTTATACACCAATAACAGACAAACAGAGAGCCAAATCATGAGTGAACTCTCATTCACAATTGCTTCAAAGAGAATAAAATACCTAGGAATCCAGCTTACAAGGGATGAGAAGGACCTCTTCAAGGAGAACTACAAACCACTGCTCAATGAAATAAAAGAGGACACAAACAAATGGAAGAACATTCCATGCTCATGGGTAGGAAGAATCAATATCGTGAAAATGGCCATACTGCCCAAGGTAATTTATAGATTCAATGCCATCCCCATCAAGCTACCAATGACTTTCTTCACAGAATTGGAAAAAACTACTTTAAAGTTCATATGGAACCAAAAAAGAGCCCGCATCACCAAGCCAATCTTAAGCCAAAAGAACAAAGCTGGAGGCATCATGCTACCTGACTTCAAACTATACTACAAGGCTACAGTAACCAAAGCAGCATGGTACTGGTACCAAAACAGAGATATAGATCAATGGAACAGAACAGAGCTCTCAGAAATAATGCCGCATATCTAGAACCATATGATCTTTGACAAACCTGACAAAAACAAGCAATGGGTAAAGGATTCCCTATTTAATAAATGGTGCTGGGAAAACTGGCTAGCCATATGTAGAAAGCTGAAACTGGATCCCTTCCTTACACCTTATACAAAAATTAATTCAAGATGGATTAAAGACTTAAATGTTACACCTAAAACCATAAAAACCCTAGAAGAAAACCTAGGCAATACCATTCCGGTCATAGGCATGGCAAGGACTTCATGTCTGAAACACCAATAGCAATGGCAACAAAAGCCAAAATTGACAAATGGGATCTGATTAAACTCAAGAGCTTCTGCACAGCAAAAGAAATTACCATCAGAGTGAACAGGCAACATACAGAATGGGAGAAAATTTTTGCAATCTACTCATCTGACAAAGGGCTAATATCCAGAATCTACAATGAACTCAAACAAATTTACAAGAAAAAAAAAAACAACCCCATCAAAAAGTGGGTGAAAGATATGAACAGATACTTCTCAAAAGAAGACATTTATGCAGCCAAAAGACACATGAAAAAATGCTCATCATCACTGGCCATCAGAAAAATGCAAATCAAAACCACAATGAGATACCATCTCACACCAGTTAGAATGGCAATCATTAAAAAGGCAGGAAACAACAGGTGCTGGAGAGGATGTGGAGAAATAGGAACACTTTTACACTGTTGGTGGGACTGTAAACTAGTTCAACCATTGTGGAAGTCAGTGTGGCAATTCCTCAGGGATCTAGAACTAGAAATACCATTTGACCCAGCCATCCCATTACTGGGTATATCCCCAAAGGGTTATAAATCATGCTGGTATAAAGACATATGCACACGTATGTTTATTGCAGCAGTATTCACAATAGCAAAGACTTGGAACCTACCCAAATGTCCAACAATGATAGACTGGATCAAGAAAATGTGACACATATACACCATGGAATACTATGCAGCCATAAAAAATGATGAGTTCATGTCCTTTGTAGGGAGATGGATGAAACTGGAAACCATCATTCTCAGCAAACTATTGCAAGGCCAAAAAACCAAACCCCGCATGTTCTCAATCATAGGTGGGAATTGAACAATGAGAACACATGGACACAGGAAGGGGAACATCACACACCAGGGACTGTTGTGGAGTTGGGGGAGGAGGGAGGGATAGCATTAGGAGATATACCTAATGCTAAATGACGAGTTAATGGGTGCAGCACACCAACATGGCACATGTATACATATGTAACAAACCTGCACATTGTGCACATGTACCCTAAAACTTAAAGTATAATAAAAAAAATTTCATCTTTTTTTATAATAAAAAAAATTTCCTGCTTTTGCTGTATACCAGAGGTTTTGATTACTTGTGTCACTATTATCATTCATTTCAAATAACTTTTGAATTTCCACCTTGATTTCATCATGAAACCAAAAATCATCAAGGAGAAGTTTGTTTAATTTTCCTGTATATGTATAGTTTTGAGGGTTCCTTTTGGGGTTGATTTCTAGTTTTATTCCACTCTTGTGTGAGAAGACACTTGATATGAGTTTAATTTTTAAAAGTTTATTGAGATTTGTTTTGTGACCTATCATATAGTCTGTCTTGGAGAATGTTCTACGTTCTGATGAGAAGAATGTATATTCTGCAGTTCTTGGGTAGAATGTTCTGTAAATATCTATTAGGTCCATTTGTTCTGGAATGTAGTTGAAGCCCATTATTTCTTTGCTAACTTTCTGTCTTGATGGTCTGTCTAGTGCTATTTAAGATTGTGATATCTTCTTGTTGGACTGATCCTTTTATCATTATATAATGACTTTCTTTGTCTTTTTTTACTGTTGTTGTTTTAAAGTTTGTTTTATCTGATAAAAGAATAGCTACTCCTGCTCACTTTTGGTCTCCATTTGTGAGCAGGAGTAGCTATTTTCCTGCTTTTTCCACCCTTTTACCTTGAGTTTATAGGAATTCTTACATGTTAGTTGAATCTCTTGAAGACGGCAGATATTTGGTTTGTGATTCTTTATCCATTCTGTCAGTCTACACATTTTAAGTGGAGCATTTAGGTCATTTATATTTAACATTAATATTGACATGTGAGATATTGTTCCATTTATCATGTTAAATTTTGTCTAGATGCTTTGTTTTTTTATCATGTCTTTTTTTATAGGCATTGTGAGTTTAATGCTTTCAAGAGATTCCATTTTTGTGTATATCAAGCTTTTGTTTCAAGATTTAGAACTCCTCTTATCATTCCTTGTAGGAATGACCTGGTAATAAATTTCCTCAGCATTTCTTTGTCTGAAAATGACTTTATATCTCCTTTGTTTATGAAAGTTGGTTTGGCTGGCTACAAAATTCCTGGCTGACAGTTATTCTGTTTAGGGAGGCTAACAATAGGACTCCTATCCCTTCTGGCTTGTAAGGTTTCTGCTGAGAAGTCTGCTGTTAGTCTCTGATATGTTTTACTTTATAGGTTACCTGATGATTTTGTCTCACGGCTTTTAGACTTATTTCCTTCATGTTGACTTTTTATAGCCTGTTGACTATGTCTTGGTGATCATCTTTTTCTAATGAGTCTCACAGGAGTTCTTTGAGCTTCTTATATTTGAATATCTAAATCTCTAGCAAGATCAGGGAAGTTTTCCTCAATTATTCACTCAAATAAGTTTTCCAAACTTTTTGCTTTTTCTTCTCCCTCAGTAACACCAATTAATTTTAGGTTTAACCATTTTACATAATCTCACATTTGTTGGAAACTTTGCTCCTTTCTTTTGATTCTTTTAATTTTTGTCTGATTGGGTCAATTCAAAAGTCTTTTCTTCTAGCTCAGAAATTCTTTCTTCTACTTGTTTTAGTTTATTGTTGAAACTTTCCACTGCATTTTGTAATTTCCTATGTCTTTCATTTCTGGAATTTCTGATTGGTTTTGCTTTAAGATATCTATCTCTTTTGCAAATTTTTCATTCATATCTTGAATTTTTTTTTTAAAAAGCAGGTTTTCACTTTCTTTTGTTATCCCCTTGAGTAGCTTAACAATCAACCTTAAAAATTCTTTATCTGGTATTTCAAATATTTCATTTTGGTTTGTATTTATTGCTGCAGGGCTGGTGTAATCTTTTGGGGTTGTTATAGAACCCTTTCTTGTCATATTACTAAAATTATTTTTTCTGATTTCTTCTTACATGTGTAGACTATTTCTTCTAATTAGTCTGGATGTATTTTGTATTTAATTGCGGGTTTTAAAAATTTTCTTGTCCCCACCCCCAAGAATGTGACTTTCATATTTATAGTTTATTGTAGCCTAATTTGGCTCTTGGTTCCTTCAGGGGTGAAGACTCTATATAAGTTCCTTGGTTATAGAGAGTTTTCGTATGATGGATGATGATTGTAGTAACAATGTGCTCAGTGTATGAACAAGTTCACTGTTTTCTATAGGGTTGCAATGGCAGAAATCTCTTGAAGCTTAACTCATTCCCCTATTTTGTGTACTTATTAATTTATTTATTTGTTCCCCAGTATTTTATTTACTGGGTTGACTATTTCAGGCCAATAAGGGGTATGTCCATGGGTAAAAACTGGCTATGGCTAAAGTAGATGGGTAAATGCAATACCCAATGGTGGGCAGAGGTCCCAGCCTTGACAGAGGTGGCTAGGGAAGCTCTCAGCAAAATGCACTGAGGTCTTTTAAGAGGGAAGGACTGGATCTACCTCAGCTTCCCTACCAGGGCAGCAGAAAAGCTATCCATCACCTAGACACACTCTTCACCTAGTGTTCCAGCTATTCAGATTAGACAGTCACATATTTTTATCTGCAGGAATGTTGATGTTCCAAGTAGAGAGGAATTGTGACTCTACCTCTCATGCAAAGCAACCTGCATTTGGAGGTTGCTCCTTCTGTGGGGATGATGTCACCCTGAAGTGTTCCAGAAAGGCTGTCTCTAAGTGCACCCATGCTGAGCTCTTGGAAAAAACCACAGCTGTGTCCACAGTGGTGGATAAGGGAGAAAAAAGTTTCCTTCTCCAAGACCCTTCACAAGCACCAGGACTGCCTGAGTGTTGGGGTAGAGCTCCTGGGCTGCAGACATTCCCCACTGAGCCTGGCACTGCAACTATGCCTCTCCTGAAAGAAACTTCCCACCAGGAGAAAGATCTGGGACTCAAGTCCTGCTGTTTGGATTATTTTGTCCCAGGCATGTTCCCTTGATGTGGTACCCTCCCCATTCCTCTAGGAGTGGGAATCCCTGAGAGCCCTACTACTGTGAATGCCATTGCTCCCCTGAGTCTAGCTACCCAGTGAAGTTGCCATACTCCAGGCTAGTCCTGGGGAATGTCTACAAGGGATGTGGTGATGTACATGTCCTTAATATCCCCCAGCAACTGGTACCAGCACCAGCCCTAATGGTGGTGGCAGGGGAGTGACAGAGACTGTGAGACTCCTTGGTTATAGGTAGCCTTAGTGTGCTGGCTTTCTCAGTTGTGCGTTGTAGTGGTGATGAACTGGTCATGTGGACAGACTCAGGACCTCCTGGTTGGCCAGGGTGATGCAGGCAATGGCGATAGCAGAAGTTGCACATGAGTTTTCTTCTTTCTGGGAACAGTGTTATTCTACTTGAAGATGCTATAATGGACTACACAGTCCATTTGGTTGGCTGGTTGGCCTCCAGCCAGGAGGTGGTACTTACAAAAGAACACAAGCTACAATGATAGTTATGGGATTTCTGGTTGCCTTATGTTACCCTGGGGAGGTACTCTGGTTTCTCAGGTGATGAGCAGGGCTATAAAGCTCCCGAAAGATTCTATCCTTTGTGTTAAGCTACCATGGTGGTTAGAGGGGCAAAGCCAGATGGGGGCTGGGTCAGGCAGGTTTGTACCCTGGCTCTCTGCCTGTGGGGCAATCAGCAACTCCTATGGGAGTTACAAGGCAGTTATCTGACCACTGTCGTAATGTTTTATAGAGGAACATAGCTGCTTCTGCTGAACAGAAGAGTTCATGCAGGCAGTTTGTAGTAGCAGGTGGCAGTAAGCCTCACCCAGCTCCCAGATACTTGACAAGGCAGGTCTCACACCAGTAGTTTTCCACCTGCAGCAGAAAGCTAAGTTGCAGGCTGTCTACACTCATAATTCACAACTGCCCAGGCCATAAACTTTCTTCACAGAGATAGCAACCACAGGTTTCAGGCCATGCCCCTCCCAATCCACCCACACAGCTAGGACACCCAGCTCCTGGCTGCAGCATACTTCCCTCCCACTCATTCCTTGGTTCTGGCCAAGGGAGTGCTCTCCATTCAAGGCTATACTGTGGAATTCAGCTGGGGACTTTTTTCAACCTGTGATTGCTGTCTGAGTTAGTTGGGAGACATTTATGAGGTTCCTGTGAGGCATAATAAGGAATGGCTTCTCTTGGTCTATGTTGGACACTGGAAATGCATGTGAGGCTCTTCCTGCTGCCACTTCCACTTTTAGATTCCTCACCACTCTCTAAATCAGTTCTAGTGCTGGGTAGGGCTTTCCCCCATGGCCTGGTTTTCCAGGTTCTCCTTTGAGGGTGTATATCCTGGAGGCAGTCTCTCCCTCTCTCAAACTCTGGGACTTACAGTTTTTCTCCCGGCTCAAGATATAGGCGAAGCCTGCAACTTCTTTCAAAGTGTCTCTGGATTTCAGTTTTCCTGTTATGTTCCTGCATTGCTTCTTGGAACAAAAGTTCACAGTTAAATATCTAAAACCTACTTTTTCTTCCCAAGTGGGAGAGGCCTGCTGACGCTCCCTCTAATCCAACATCTTGGACTGGCAAAGAGTTAAGGCCTTAATGACGTAGGTAAATGTAACAATCTTTTAATTTGTGTTTATTTCTTGTTAAGTTCTTTCAAAATATTTACCTACTGATTGATCAAAAACTATTCTACATTACTTGTTAAGCTTTATTATTTTTTCTTTACTATATTGCTATAACCAATGTGGAATTGCTATTTGTGTATGGTGTGTGATAAAGAGCATTTTATAATCATCTATATATATAGATATCCAACATGACAGCATCATTTAATGAAAAATGTCCTTTTTTTACTGCTCTGCAGTGACTTTTTTTACACAAATCTATATTTATGCATAATGTAAATTTTCTTTTTTTTTTATTATACTTTAAGTTTTAGGGTACATGTGCACAATGTGCAGGTTAGTTACGTATGTATACATGTGCCATGTTGGTGTGCTGAACTCATTAACTTGTCATTTAATATTAGGTATATCTCCCAATGCTATCCCTCCCCTCTCCCCCGACCCCAGAACAGGCCCCAGTGTGTGATGTTCCCTTTCCTGGGTCCATGTGTTCTCATTGTTCAGTTCCCACCTATGAGTGAGAACATGCAGCATTTGGTTTTTTGTCCTTGCGATAGTTTGCTGAGAATGATGGTTTCTTCCAGCTTCATCCATGTCCCTACAAAGGACATGAACTCATCATTTTTTATGGCTGCATAGTATTCCATGCTGTATATGTGTCACATTTTCTTAATCCAGTCTATCATTGTTGGACTTTTGGGTTGGTTCCAAGTCTTTGTTATTGTGAATAGTGCTGCAATAAACATACATGTGCATGTGTCTTTATAGCAGCATGATTTATAATCCTTTGGGGATATACCCAGTAATGGGATGGCTGGGTCAAATGGTATTTCCAGTTCTAGATCCCTGAGGAATCACCACACTGACTTCCACAATGGTTGAACTAGTTTACAGTCCCACCAACAGTGTAAAAGTGTTCCTATTTCTCCACATCCTCTCCAGCACCTGTTGTTTCCTGCCTTTTTAATGATCGCCATTCTAACTGGTGTGAGATGGTATCTCATTGTGGTTTTGATTTGCATTTCTCTGATGGCCAGTGATGATGAGCATTTTTTCATGTGTCTTTTGGCTGCATAGATGTCTTCTATTGAGAAGTGTCTGTTCATATCCTTTGCCCACTTTTTGATGGGGTTTGTTTGTTTTTTTCTTGTAAATTTGTTTGAGTTCATTGTAGATTCTGGATATTAGCCCTTTGTCAGATGAGTAGATTGCAAAAATTTTCTCCCATTCTATATGTTGCCTGTTCACTCTGATGGTAATTTCTTTTGCTGTGCAGAAGCTCTTGGGTTTAATTAGATCCCATTTGTCAATTTTGGCTTTTGTTGCCATTGCTTTTGGTGTTTTAGACATGAAGTCCTTGCCCATGCCTATGTCCTGAATGGTATTGCCTAGGTTTTCTTCTAGGGTTTTTATGGTTTTAGGTGTAAGTCTTTAATCCATCTTGAATTAATTTTTGTATAAGGTGTAAGGAAGGGATCCAGTTTCAGCTTTCTACATATGGCTAGCCAGTTTTCCCAGCACCATTTATTAAATAGGGAATCCTTTCCCCATTTCTCGTTTTTGTCAGGTTTGTCAAAGATCATATGGTTGTAGATATGCGGCATTATTTCTGAGGGCTCTGTTCTGTTCCATTGATCTATATCTCTGTTTTGATACCAGTATCATACTGTTTTGGATTCTGTAGCCTTGTAGTATAGATTGAAGTCAGGTAGCATGATGCCTCCAGCTTTGTTCTTTTGGCTTAAGATTGACTTGGCTGTTGCGGAAAGTCAGGGACCCCAAACGGAGGGACCGGCTGAAGCCATGACAGAAGCATGTGGATTGTGAAGATTGTATGGACATTTATTAGTTCCCCAAATTAATACTTTTGTAATTTCTTATGCCTGTCTTTAATGCAATCTCTAAACAGAAATTGTAAAGATTTCATGGACAATTATCACTTCCCCAATCAATATGCTTGTGATTTCCTATGCCTGTCTTTACTTTAATCTCTTAATCCTGTCAGCCGAGAAGGATGTATATCATCTCAGGACCCTGTAATAATTGGGTTAACTACACAAATTGTACAGCATGTGTGTTTGAGCAATATGAAATGTGGGCACCCTGAAAAAAGAACAGGATAACAGCAATTGTTCAGGGAATAAGAGAGAGAACCTTAAACTCTGACCGCCAGTGAGCCGGGCAGAACAGAGCCATATTTCTCTTCTTTGAAAAGCAAAAGGGAGAAATATCGCTGAATTCTTTTTCTCAGCATGGGATATCCCTGAGAAAGAGAATGGGCACCTAGGGGTAGGTCTCTGAACTGGTCTCTTATGGTCGAGATTGCAGAGGTGAAATAAACTCCAGTCTCCCATAGTGCTCCTAGGCTTATTAGGAAGAGGAAATTCCCGCCTAATGAATTTTGGTCAGACCAGTTGATCTCAAAACCCTGTCTCCTGATAAGATGTTATCAATGACAATGGTGCCCAAAACTTCATTAGCAATTTTAATTACGCCTCCATCCTGTGGTCCTGTGATCTCCCCCTGCCTCCACTTGCCTTGTTAGATTCTATTACCCTGTTAAGTACTTGATATCTGTCACCCACACCTATTCGTATACTCCCTCCCCTTTTGAAACTGCCTAATAAAAACTTGCTGGTTTTTGTGGCTTGTGGGGCATCACGGATCCTACCAACGTGTGATGTCTCCCCCGGACGCCCAGCTTTAACATTTCTCTCTTTTGTACTCTGTCCTTTTATTTCTCAAGCCAGCCGACGCTTAGGAAAATAGAAAATAACCTACGTGATTATCAGGGCAGGTCCCCTGATACTTGGCAATGCAGGCTCTTTTTTGGTTCCATATGAACTTTAAAGTAGTTTTTTCCAATTCTGTGAAGAAAGTCGTTGGTAGCTTGATGGGGATGGCATTGAATCTATAAATTACCTTGCGCAGTATGGCCATTTTCATGATATTGATTCTTCCTACCCATGAGCATGGAATGTTCTTCCATTTGTTTGTATCCTCTTTTATTTCATTGAGCAGTGGTTTGTAGTTCTCCTTGAAGAGGTCCTTCACGTCCCTTGTAAGTTGGATTCCTAGGTATTTTATTCTCTTTGAAGCAGTTGTGAATGGGGGTTCACTCATGATTTGACTCTCTGTTTGTCTGTTATTGGTGTATAAGAATGCTTGTGATTTCTGCACATTGATTTTGTATCCTGAGACTTTGCTGAAGTTACCTATCAGCTTAAGGGGATTTGGGGCTGAGACGATGGGGTTTTCTAGATATACAATCATGTTATCTGCACACAGGGACAATTTGACTTCCTCTTTTCCTAATTGAATACCCTTTATTTCCTTCTCCTGCCTGATTTCCCTGGCAAGAACTTCCAACACTTTGTTGAATAGGAGTGGTGAGAGAGGGCAACCCTGTCTTGTGCCAGTTTTCAAAGGGAATGCTTCCATTTTTGCCCATTCAGTATGATATTGGCTGTGGGTTTGTCATAGATAGCTCCTATTTTGTTGAGATACGTCCCATCAATACCGAATTTATCAAGAGTTTTTAGCATGAAGGTTGTTGAATTTTGTGAAAGGCTTTTTCTGCATCTATTGAGATAATCATTTGGTTTTTGTTGTAGGCTCTGTTTATATGCTGGATTACATTTATTGATTTGCATATGTTGAACAAGCCTTGCATCCCAGGGATGAAGCCCACTTGATCATGGTGGATAAGCATTTCGATGTGCTGCTGGATTCAGTTTGCCAGTATTTTATTGAGGATTTTTGTATCGATTTTCCTCACGGATATTCGTCTAAAATCCTCTTTTTTTGTTGGGTCTCTGCCAGTCTGTTGTGTCAAGATGATGCTGGCCTCATAAGATGAGTTAGGGAGGATTCCCTCTTTTTCTATTGATTGAAATAGTTTCAGAAGGAATGGTACCAGCTCCTCCTTGTACCTCTGGTAGAATTCGGCTGTGAATCCATCTGGTCCTGGACTTTTTTTTGGTTGGCAGGCTACTAATTATTGCCTCAATTTCGGAGCCTGTTATTGTTCTTTTCAGAGATTCAACTTCTTCCTGGTTTAGTCTTGGGAGGGTGTATGTGTCAAGGAATTTATCCATTTCTTCTAGATTTTCTAGTTTATTTGTGTAGAGGTGTTTATAGTATTCTCTGATGGTAGTTTGTATTTCTGTGGGATCAGTGGTGATATCCCCTTTATCATTTTTTAGTACGTCTATTTGATTCTTCCCTCTTTTCTTCTTTATTAGTCTTGCTAGTGGTCTATCAATTTTGTTGATCTTTTCAAAAAACCAGCTCCTGGATTCATTGATTTTTTGAGGGTTTTTTTTGTGTCTCTATTTCCTTCAGTTCTGCTCTGATCTTAGTTATTTCTTGCCTTCTGCTAGCTTTTGAATGTGTTTGCTCTTGCTTCTCTAGTTCTTTTAACTGTGATGTTAGGGTGTCAATTTTAGATCTTTCCTGCTTTCTCTTATGAGCATTTAGTGCTGTAAATTTCCCTCTACACACTGCTTTGAATGTGTCCCAGAGATTCTGGTATGTTGTCTGTGTTCTCGGTGATTTCAAGGAACATCTTTATTTCTGCCTTCATTTCGTTATGTACCCAGTAGTCATTCAGGAGCAGGTTGTTCAGTTTCCATGTAGTTGAGTGGTTTTGAGTGAATTTCTTAATCCCGAGTTCTAGTTTGATTGCACTGTGGTCTGAGAGACAGTTTGTTATAATTTCTGTTCTTTTGCTGAAGAGTGTTTTACTTCCAACTATGTGGTCAATTTTGGAATAGTTGCGGTGTGGTGCTGAAAAGAATGTACATTCTGTTGATTTGGGGTGGGGAGTGCTGTAGATATCTATTAGGTCCGCTTGGTCCAGAGCTGAGTTCAATTCCTGGATATCCTTGTTAACTTTCTGTCTCGTTGATCTGTCTAATGTTGACAGTGGTGTGTTAAAGTCTCCCATTATTATTGTGTGGGAGTCTAAGTCTCTTAGTAGGTCTCTGAGGACTTGCTCTATGAATCTGGGTGCTCCTGTATTGGGTGCATATACATTTAGGATAGTTGGCTCTTCTTGTTGAATTGATCCCTTTACCATTATGTAATGGCCTTCTTTGTCTCTTTTGATCTTTGTTGGTTTAAAGTCTGTTTTATCAGAGACTAGGATTGCAAGCCCTACCTTTTTTTGTTTTCCATTTGCTTGGTAGATCTTCCTCCATCCCTTTATTTTGAGCCTATGTGTGTCTCCGCATGTGAGATGGGTTTCCTGAGTACAGCACATTGATGGGTCTTGACTCTTCATCCAATTTGCCAGTCTGTGTCTTTTAATTGGGACATTTAGCCCATTTACATTTAAGATTAATATCGTTATGTGTGAATTTGATCCTGTCATTATGATCTTAGCTGGTTATTTTGCCCATTAATTGATTCAGTTTCTTCCTAGCCTCGATGGTCTTTAAAATTTGGCATGTTTTTGCAGTGGCTGGTACCGGTTGTTCCTTTCCATGTTTAGTGCTTCCTTCAGGAGCTCTTTTAGGGCAGGCCTGGTGGTGACAAAATCTCTCAGCATTTGCTTGTCTGTAATGGATTTTATTTCTCCTTCACTTATGAAGCTTAGTTTGGCTGGATATGAAATTCTGGGTTGAAAATTCTTTTCTTTAAGAATGTTGAATATTGGCCCCCACTCTCTTCTGGCTTGTAGAGTTTCTACCTAGAGATCTGCTGTTAGTCTGATGGGCTTCCCTTTGTGGGTAACCCGACCTTTCTCTCTGGCTGCCCTTAACATTTTTTCCTTCGTTTCAACTTTGGTGAATCTGACAATTATGTGTCTTGGAGTTGCTCTTCTTGAGGAGTATCTTTGTGGCATTCTCTGTATTTCCTGAATTTGAATGTTGGCCTGCCTTTCTAGATTGGGGAAGTTCTCCTGGATAATATCCTGCAGAGTGTTTTCTAACTTGGTTCGATTCTCCCTGTCACTTTCAGGTACACCAATCGGACATAGATTTGGTGTTTTCACGTAGTCCCATATTTCTTGGAGGCTTTGTTCGTTTCTTTCTATTCTTTTTTCTCTAAACTTCTCACTCCATTTCATTCATTTGATCTTCCATCACTGATACCCTTTCTTCCAGTTGATTGAATCAGCTACTGAGGCTTGTGCATTTGTCACGTAGTTCTTATGCTTTGGTTTTCAGCTCCATCAGGTCCTTTAAGGACTTCTCTGCATTGGTTTCTCTAGTTAGCCATTTGTCTAATTTTTTTCAAAGTTTTTAACTTCTTTGCCATGGGTTGGAACTTCCTCCTTTAGCTCGGAGTAGTTTGATCATCTGAATCCTTTTTCTCTCAACTCATCAAAGTCATTCTCTGTCCAGCTTTGTTCCATTGCTGGTGAGGAGCTGCATTCCTTTGGAGGAGGAAAGGCGCTCTGATTTTTAGAGTTTCCAGTTTTTCTGCTCTGCTTTTTCCCCATCTTTGTGTTTTTACCTACCTTTGGTCTTTGATGATGGTGATGTACAGATGGGTTTTTGGTGTGTATGTCCTTTCTGTTTGTTAGTTTTCCTTCTAACAGTCAGGACCCTCAGCTGCAGGTCTGTTGGATTTTGCTGGAGGTCCACTCCAGACGCTGTCTGCCTGGGTATCAGCAGCAGAGGCTGCAGAACAGTGGATATTGGTGAACAGCAGATGTTGCTGTCAGATCGTTCCTCTGGAAGTTTTGTCTCAGAGGAGTACCCAGCCACGTGAGGTGTCAGTCTGCCCCTACTGGGGGGTGCCTCCCAGTTAGGCTATTCAGGGTTCAGGGACCCACTTGAGGAGGCAGTCTGTCCGTTCTCAGATCTCCAGCTGCATGCTGGGAGAACCACTAGTCTCTTCAAAGCTGTCAGACAGGGACATTTAAGTCTGCAGAGGATTCTGCTGCCTTTTGTTTGGCTATGCCCTGTCCCCAGAGGTGGAGTCTACAGAGGCAGGCAGGCCTCCTTGAGCTGCGGTGGGCTCCACCCAGATGGAGCTTCCTGGCAGCTTTGTTTACCTACTCAAGTCTCGGCAATGGCGGGTGCCCCTCCCCCAGCCTCGCTGCTGCCTTGCAGTTTGATCTCAGACTGCTGTCTAGCAATGAGTGAGGCTCCGTGGGCATAGGACCCATCCTAGACAGGCGTGGGATATAATCTCCTGGTGTGGCGTTTACTAAGACTGTTGGAAAAGCGCAATATTAGAGTGTGAGTGACCCTGTTTTCCCAGTGCCATCTGTCACCTCTTTCTTGGACTAAGAAAGGGAATTCCCTGACCCCTTGTGCCTCCCAGGTGAGACGATGCTTTGCGCTGCTTCAGCTCATGCTGGGTGAGCTGCACCCACTGTCCTGCACCCACTTTCTGACACTCTCCAGTGAGATGAACCCCGTCCCTTAGTTGGAAATGCAGAAATCTCCTGTCTTCTGCGTCACTCAGGCTGGGAGCTGTAGACTGGAGCTGTTCCTATTCGGCCATCTTGGCTCCACCCTCCATAGAAATGTAGATTTTCTTTACATCCTTGCCAGCATGTGTTCTTGCCTGTCTTTTGAATACAAGCCATTTTAACTAGGGGGAGATGACATACCATTGTCATTTTAATTTGCATTTCTCTGATTATTATTGATATTGAGCACCTTTTCATATGCCTGTTTACTATTTATATGTCATTTTTGAGAAATGTTTATTTGAATATTTTGCCTATGTTTTAATTAGATTATTAGATTTCTTTCTGTAGGGTTATTTGGGCTGCTTATATATTCTGATTATGAATCCTTTGGTCTGATAGGCAGTTTTCAAATATTTTCTCCTGTGGGTTGTGGTCTGTGGGTAGTGTCTTCACTTTGATGATTGTATCCTTTGTTCTGGACAAGCTTTTTAACTTGATGTGATCCTATTTGTCAATTTTTGCGTTGGTTGCCTGCGCTTGTGGGCTATCATCGCTCAAGAAATTTTTGCCCAGACAAATTCCTAGAGATTTTCCCCAATGTTTTCTTGTAGTTGTTTCACAGTTTGATATCTTAGATTTAAGTCTTTAATCCATTTGGATTTGATTTTTGTACATACTGAGAGATAGAGGTCTAGTTTTACTCTGCAAATGGATATTTGGTTTTCCTATTGTCATTTACTGAAGTGACTGTCTTTTACTGAGTGTATGTTCTTGGCAACTTTGTCAAAAATGAATTCTCTGTAGGTATGTGGCTTTGATTCTAGGTTCTCTTTTCTTTTCCGTTGGTCTACATGTCTCCTTTTATGCCAGAACTGTGCTGTTTTGGTTACTATCACTTTGTAGCAGAAGTTGAAGACAGGTAATGTAATTCCTTAAGCTTTTAAAAAAAATTTTATTTGCTTCAGGTAGATTTGTCTATTCTGGGTGTTTTTGGTTCCATATGGATTTTAGGATCAAATTTTCTATTTCTGTGAAAAACGTCATTGAATCTGTAGATTGCTTTGGGTAGTATGAACATTTAAAAAATATTGATTCTTCCAATTTATGAACATGAAGTGTTTTTTTCCTTATGTTTTGTCCTCTTCAATTTATTTTATCAATATTTTATAGTTTTCATAGTGGAGATCTTTCACTTCTTAGGTGAAGTTAATTCCTAGGTATTTAATTTTATGTGTGGCTATTGTAAATGGAATTACTTTTTAAATTTCATTTTCACGTTGTTCACTGTTAACATTTAGAAATACTACTGATTTTTGTTTGTTGATTTTGTATCCTGCAAATTTACTGAATTTATCAGTTCTAATAGTTTTTTGGTGGCATCTTTCAGTTTTTCCAAATATATAATATTATCTATAAACAAAGATAATTTGACTTATTTCCTTCCAATTTGGATGCCCTTTATTTCTTTTCTTTTTGTTTTTGAGATGGAGTCTTGCTCCATCGCCAGGCTGGAGTGCAGTGGTGCAATCTCGGCTCACTGCAGTCTCTGCCTCCCAGGTTCAAGCAATCCTTCTGCCTCAACCTCCCGAGTAGCTGGGACTACAGGCATGTGCCACCACACCCTGCTAACTTTTGTATTTTTAGTAAAGATGGAGTTTCACCATGTTGGCCAGGATGGTCTTGATCTCTTGACCTTGTGATCTTCCAACCTTGGCCTCCCAAAGTGCTGGGATTACAGGCCTGAGCCACCATGCCCAGCCTTGGATACCCTTTATTTCTTTCTGTTGTCTGACTGCTCCTGCTAGGACTTTCAGTACTAGGTTGAATAACTTATGACAGTGGGCCTCCTTGTGGTGTTCCATATCTAAGAGGAAAGGTTTTTCATTTTTTTCCCCATATTCAGTATGATACTAGCTATGGGTCTATCATATATGGCTTTCATTATGTTGAGCTATGTTCCTTTTATATTCCGTTTTTCAATGTTTTTACCATAAAGGGATGTTGAGCTTTATCAAATGCTTTTCCAGCATTAATTGAAATGATCTTATGGTTTTTGTCCTTCACTCTGTTGATTCACTGTATCACATTGATTGATTTGTGTATGTTGAACTATCCTTGCATTCTAGGGGTAAATCTCACTCTGTCATGATGAATGATCTTTTTAATGTATTGTTGAATTGGTTTGCTAGTATTTTGTTGAGGATTTTTGCATCAATATTTATCAGAGATATTTGCTTGTGGTTTACTGTTTTTCAATGTCTTTGGTATCAGAGTAATGCTGACCTCATGTAATTAGTTTGAAAGTATTCCATCCTCCTCTACTTTAAAAAATAGTTTAATTAGGATTTGTATTAGTTCTTCTTAAAATGTTTGGTAGAATTCAATAGTGAAGGCATCAGTCCCTGGGTTTTTTTTTTAACTGAAAGATTTTTATTATTTATTATGGCTTCAATCTTGTTACTTGTATTTGGTCTGTTCTGGTTTTAAATTTCTTCCTATTTCAACCTTGGTAGATTGTATATATCTAGGAATTTGTTCATTTCTTCTAGATTTTCCGATTAATTGGCATGTAGTTGCTTATAGTAGCCACTAGTGATCCTTTGAATTTCTGCAGTATCAGTTGTAGCATCTCCTTTTTCATTTCTGATTTTATTTATTTGGATCATCTCTCTCTATCTCTGTTTTCTTTTGTTGTTGTTGTTTGTTTTTTGTTTTGTAGTTAGCCTGGTTAAAGGTTTGAAAATTCTGTTTAACTTTTCAAAAACCTATCTTTTTGTTTTATTCTTCTTTTGTATTTTTTTCAATTTCAGTTTTATTTGTTTCTCCTTTGAGCTTTATTATTTCTTTTCTTCTACTAATTTTGGATTTGGTTTGCTCTTGCTTTTCTCATTCTTTCAGATGCATTATTAGATTGTTCATTTGAAGTTTTTCCTCTTTTTTCATGCAGGCACTTTTAGCTATAAACTTTCCTATTAGTACTGCTTTTTCTGTATCCCATAGGTTTTGGTATGTTGTGTTTCCATTTTCATTTGTTTTAAGAAAGTTTTTGATTTTCTTTTTAATTTCTTCATTAACTGGTCATTTAGGAGCATATAGTTTAATTTTCATATATTTGTATAGTTTCCAAAATTCCTCTGTTATTAATTTCTAGTTTAATCCATTATAATCAGAGAAGATGCTTTATGTTATTTCAATGTTTTGAGTGTTTTAAGACATTTTGTTACCTAACACATGGTCTGTCCCTGAAAATAATCTATGTGCTGAGGAAAAGAATGCGTATTCTACAGATTTTGGATAAAATCTTCTGTAAATATCTATTAGATCCATTTAATCTACAGTGCAGATTAAGTCAATGTTTCTTTGTTGATTTTCTCTCTGGAAGATCTGTTCAATCCTGAAAGTGAGATGTTGAAGTCTTCAGCCATCATTGTATTGAGGAATATATCTCTCTTTAGCTCTAATAACTTTTGTAATTTTGGCTTTATATATGTGGGTGGTTCAGTGTTGAGTGCATATGTATTTTAAATTGTTATATTCTGTTACTGAATTGACTCCTTTATCATTATATAGTGACCTTCTTTGTCTCTTCTTATAGTTTTGGTCTTTAAATCTGTTTGCCTGATAGAAATATAGTGACTCCTGCTCTTTTTGATTTCCCTTGGCATGAAATATTTTTCTATTCCTATATTTTCAGTCTAAGTGTGTCTTTATAGGTGAAGTATGTTTCTTCTAGGCAGCAGATCAATGGATTTTGTTTTTTCATCCATTCAGCTAGTCTATGTCTTTTCATTTAAGGATTTAGATTATTTACATTCAATGTTGTTATTGATAAGAAAGGACTTACTTCTCTCAAATTTTTGTTATTTGTTTTCTGGTCTTCTCTTCTTTCTTTCTTTCCTTCCTGTCTTCCTCTAGTAAATATCATTTTGTCTGGTGATATGATTTAGTTTCTTGCTTTTTATTTTTCATGAATTCATTGTATAAGTTTTAGTTTGAGATTAACATGAGGCTTGCAAATACTATCTTATAACCCATTATTTTAACCTGATAACAACTTAAAATTGTTTGCATAAACAAAAAGGCAAAAAGAACACTAATAAAAACTCTAGGCCTTAACTTTGTCCCCAGACTTTTTAACTTTTTGTTTCTATTTATATTTTGTTGTACTGACCATATCTTAAAAAGTTTTTGTAATTATTATTTTTGATTGATTCATCATTTAGTCTTCCTACTTAGGATAAGAGTAGTTTACAGACTATTGTGGGAAGTCAGGGGCCCCGAATGGAGGGACTGGCTGAAGCCGTGGCAGAAGAACATAAATTGTGAATATTTCATGGACATTTTTTAGTTCCCTAAATTAATACTTTTATAATTTCTTACACCTGTCTTTACTGCAATCTCTGAACATAAATTGTGAAGATTTCATGTACATTTATCACTTCCCCAGTCAATACTCTTGTGATTTCCTATGCCTGTCTTTAATCTCTTAATCCCATCATCTTCATAAGCTGTGGATGAATGTCACCTCAGGACCCTGTGATGATTGTGTTAATTGCACAAATTGTTTAAACAATATGAAATCTGGGCACCTTGAAAAAAGAACAGGATAACAGCAATGTTCAGGGAACAAGGGAGATAACCTTGAAGTCTGGCTGCCTGTGGGCCGGGCAGGACAGAGCCATATTTCTCTTATTAGTGAAAATGGGTAGGATAAATATCGCTGAATTCTTTCCCCAGTAAGAATGATTAATAATTAACAGCCCTGGGAAAAGAATGCATTCCCAGGGCAGGGCCTCTAAAATGGCCACCCTGGGAGTGTCTGCCTTATGCAGATGTAGATAGGGATGAAACACACCCTAGTCTCCTGCAGCACCCCCAGGCTTGCTAGGATTAGGAAATTTCAGCCTGGCAAATTCTAGTCAGACCAGTTCTCTGCTCTTGAACCCTGACAATGCGTGCACAGTGGGATATGGAAGTTCATTAGTGATTCTAGTTTCGCCTTGACCTTCTGCCTTGTGATCTTTTGTTGCCCTTGAAGCATGTGATCTCTGTGACCCACACCCTATTCGTGCACTCCCTCCCCTTTGAAAATTGCTAATAAAAACTTGCTGGTTTTATGGCTCAGGGGGCATCATGGGACCTGCCCACATGTGATGTCTCCCGTGGACACCCAGCCTCAAAATTTCTCTCTTTGTACTCTTTCCCTTTATTTCTCAGACCGGCTGACACTTAAGGAAAATAGAAAAGAACCTACGTGAAATATCAGGGGTGAATTTCCCCCGATAACATACTACAGTTACAGTGTTATTATATTCTGTATTTTTCCGTCTACTTACTGCTACCAGTGAATTTTGTACTTCAGGTGGTTACATGTTGCTTCTTAGCACCCTTTTCATTGTGATTGAGGGACTCTTCAGCATTTCTTGTAGGACAGGTCTGGAATTGATGAAATCCCTAGCTTTTGTTTGTCTGGGAAAGTCTCTATTTCTTCTTCACGTTTGAAGGGTATATATTTTTACTGGATAAACTATCTAGGGTAAGAGCTTTTTTTTTTTTTCCCTTCAATACATTACATATGTCATGCCACTTTCTCCTAGCCTGTAAGGTTTCCACTGAGAATTCTGCTGCCAAATGTATTGAAGCTCCATTTTATGTTACTTACTTTTATTTTTTTTTTCTCTTGCTGCTTTTAGGATCCTTTCTTAATTCTTGACTTTTGGGAGTTGACTTATTGAATGCCTTGAGGTAATCTTCTTTGGGTTAATTCTGCTTGGTGTTCTGGAACCCTCCTGTGCTTGGCTATTGATACCTTTCTTTAGGTTTGGAACATTCTTTGTTATTATCCCTTTGAATAAGGTTTTTATCCCTATCTCTTTCTCTACCTCCCCATTAAGGTCAATAACTTTCAGATTTGCCGTTTTGAGGCGATTTTCCAGATCCTGTAGGCATGCTTCATTGTTTTTTCTTTTTCTTTTTCTCCTCTTACTATGTATTTCCACATAGCCTGTCTTCAAGCTCACTACTTCCAGAATGTCTGCTTAATTCTTTTTAATTATTTTAATCTCTTTGTTAGATTTATCTGATAGACTTCTGAATTCCTTCTCCATGTTGTTTTGAATTTCTTTGAGTTTCCTCACCACAGCTGTTTTGAATTCTCTGTATGAAAGGCCACATGTCTTTGTTTTCCTAGGATTGGTCCCTGGTGCCTTATTTAGTTCATTTGTTGAGGCCACGTTTTCTTGGATGGTATTGATGCTAATAGATGTTCTTCAGTGTCTGGGCATTGAAGAGTTAGGTATTTATTGTAGTCTTCACTGTCTGGGCTTATTTGTAGCTGCCCTTCTTGGGAAGGTTTTCCAGATATTTGAAAGGACTTGAGTGTTGTGATCTAAGCTGCATCTGGTTTGGGGAGCACCCCAAGCCCAGTAATGCTGTGGTTCTTGCAGACTTGTAGAAGTACTGCCTTGATGTTCTTGAACAAGATCCAGGAGAATTCTCTGGATTACCAGGCAGAGACTCTTGCTCTCTTCCCTTACATTCTCTCAAACATACACAGTCTTTCTCTGTGTTATGAACCATCTAAAGCTGGGGGTGGAGTGACACAAGCACTCTTGTGGCCACCATCAATGTGACTACACTGGGTCAGACTTAAAGCTAGCACAGCACTGGGTCTCACCCAAGGCCTGATGTAACTACTCCCTGGCTACTACCTATGTTCACTGAATGCCCTGAGGCTCTACAGTCAGATGGTGTCAAAGTCAGAGAGGCCAGTGCCCTTCCCTTCATTGCAGCAAGGTCCCCCAGGCCCTGGATCAGTCTGGAAGTGCCATCCAGGAGTCAGGGACTGCAGTCAAAAACTTTAGAAGTCTACCTGGTGTTCTATTGTATTGTGGCTGAGCCAGCGCTCAAACCACAAGATGCAGTCCTTCCCATTCTTCCCTCCGCTTTCCAAAGGCAGAGGATCCTCACTCTGTAGGCCCTGAGGAGCACTGCCAGACTATTGCTGATGTTCCATTAAGGCCCAAGGTTTATTAAGTCAGCCTGTGGTGAATGCTGCCTCACTTGGGACTCCTGCTTCAGGGCAATGGGCTCCCCTCTGGCCCAGGAAAGTCCAGAAATGCCTTCCAAGAGTCAAGTCTTGGAAATGGGGACTCCAAGAACCCACTTGGTACTCTATCTCCCTGTGGCTATGCTGGTATTAAAGGTGTAATAAAAAGTCCCCTTTACTTTTTCTTCTGCTCTTCTCAAGCAGGAGTTTTGTCCCATAAGCACCACAGCTGATAAAGTGCTGAGTCTCACCTGAAGCCAGCAAGTCTCAGAGGCTCACCCAAGGCCCTTAATGTAGTACCTGGGTATCACTGTTGGTTATTCAGGGCCCAAGGGTTCTTCAGTTAGCAGGTGATAAATCTTTTCAGGACTGGGCTGTTTTCTTCAAGGCAATCGGTTCCCTTCTGTCCCAGGTTGTGGCTAAAAATGTCATCTGGGAGCTAAGACCTGGAATGGGGGCCTCATTACTCCTATTAGTGTCCTATTCTGCTGTGACTGAGCTGGTATCCTCAATGCAAGATAAAGTCCTCTCCACTTTTCCCTCTTCTCTCTTCAAGCAGAGGGCAGGGGTCTCTTTTGGAGCCATGAGCTGTGCAGCCAGGGGGTAGGGAAGGGGCAATGCCAGCACCCCCTTGGCTGCCCCAGCTGGTGTCTCATTATGTCACGTCTCCCCAGTCCACTGTCTCTGGGTCTATTTTGGCACCAGGACTCATCTAAGAGTTGCAGTCCTTATGGCCTAGAGTGCCCTTCAGGTTTATTTGGGGAGACACAGAGTTCTGTAGCTATTGGTAGTGAGGTTTGTGGGCACTCAAGTTTGTACCACTGGCATCAGTGATTCCCCTCTTGTTAGGGCTGGTTTAAATGCTCCTCCATGGGTGGGCATCAGCTGAGTTTAGTCTGATTTTCCTTTCTTCTCCAGCAGGACAGCACTGAGCTCAAGGCCTCACAACTGCTGTGTTCTTCCTTCCCCAGGTCCCAGACTCACTGTCTGTACCCCACTGTGGCTGGGAGGTGGGTGAGGGGTGGCAGTGGTGATTCAGGACTGTTTTTTCTATTTTTCCAGTGCCTCTTTCAGTGATCTGAAGTTAAAGCCAGGTACTATGAGTGCTCACCTGATTTTTAGTTCGTATGAAGGTGTTTCTTCTGCATAAATAGTTGTTAACTTGGTGTCCTCACAGTGGGAACCATCAGTGAAGCTGTCTATTCTGCCATCTTGGTCTGCCTCCCCTCTGCTAATATTTTCATTAGAATATTTGCAATTTATGTTTATAAGAAAGAACTTCCATTTTTTAATGTACTTTTAAAATGTTTGTATCAACCTTGTGAAGCGTAATGAACATAATATATATTGGGCAGTTTCCATTTAACCCACTGTTGATAGAGTTGGAAATATTTTGTCCTTGAATGTTTGGTATAATTTCTTAGAGAAGCCAGTGGAAACTAGAGAGCATTAGAGAGTATGTGTATGCTTGTGTGTGTATGTGTGCACACCTCCAAAGTGTTACTAATTCAAATAAATAAATATAAGCAAATTAATTTGCTAACTTATCACATGACTTGATAAGTTACATTTTTGAAAATATTTTCATATTTCATATATATTTCAATTCATTGAGGTACAAGCATAAATTTGTCCATATTATTATCTTATATTATCATTTTTTACTTTATGATGGTTGAAGGGTTGGAAGTGATATACCCTTATTCATTTCAGCTATTGGCTATTTGTACCTCATTCAATGCTCTTTGGATTTAATTTGTTATTGCCACCTGCCACAATCTCTTGAGATTTCTCAGCCTGCATTATTTTCTAATATATACATCCAAGGTTACAAATTTCCCTCTAAACAATGTCCACACACCACACTGTTTGATGTGTGACCCTTTTCTTATTCCTTTCAGTTTTCTTTGACTTAAGGCTTATTTGGAGGTATACATTTTAATTTTGAAATCCCTGTATTTTTTTAATTTATAATTTAATTGAATTATGGCCAAAGAAAGTACTGTTTATAGTTTCAATCTTTTCAATGTTTTAAGACTTGTTTATGACTAAATATATTTCAAAAATTTCACATGATTGAACAGGAAGTGTATTCACATTTGTAAGCTCAGCACTTTATATAAGTTAATGAGATTGAATTTTGCTAAATTGCTTAAATATTACATATTTCAGCAATATTTGTGATTACTTTTTTAATGAGTTACTTGGGCTGGGCGTGGTGGCTCACTCTTGTTATCCCACCACTTCAGGAGGCCAAGGCGGGTGGATCACAAGGTCAGGAGATCGAGACCATCCTGGCTAACATGGTGAAGCACCATTTCTATTAAAAATACAAGAATTAGCCAGGCATGGTGGCACACGCCTGTAGTCCCGGCTACTCGGGAGGCTGAGGCAGGACAATGGCATGAACCCGTGAGGCAGAGATTGCAGTGAGCCGAGATTGCACCACTGCACTCCAGCCTGGGCGACAGAGTGAGACAGTGCCTCAAAAAAAAAAAAAAAAAAAAAAAGACCTTGTGGATTTGTCTTTACCTGCTGATATTTGGTCAATTCTGAGCTTTCTATATTTTGATGCCATGTGTTTGGGTACATACTTATTTAGAATTGCAAAATGTTTCTGGTAAATCCATTCTGACGAATATATTTTTTTCATTTTAAATCTCTGTTATACCTTCTGTTAAATATGTCTTTTTTTCTCAAATGATTATAGGTACTTGTGGGTAAAGCTTAAATGATATATACCTTTTATCATCCTTTGACTTTTAAGCCTCCTGCATCCTTGTGATTTAGACATGTTTTATTGCAATACAGTAGTTTGTTTTGTTTCGCTTTATAATTCAGTCTGACAATATTGTCTTTTCATTAGAATTTGGAGTTCACTTTACATTCAATGTAAACATTTTGATACTTTATTTTAAATCTATTATCTTAATCTGTAATTTTTCTCTTTTTCTGTCAGATGACTTTAAACTGAGATATAGTATAGGTGAGTGGTGGTTTTATTTTCAGTTCTTCCAAATCATACTGCTTAAACTTTTGGCATTTTCCTTCAAAACATACAAACCCATCTCCTCCCACTGGCAGCCCCTGGAATTCAACCTGTATATCTCTAGCACATCATGCTGAGAGAGACACTACACAACCTCTGAGGTGTCCCCGTGGAGACACAGTGTTTTCAGTCGCTTGGTTTTTAATCTGAGTTTTTGCTTTCTCTTGCATCTGGATTAAATAATTGCTCACTAATTAGTGAGCTGCCTGATGCCTTTGATGCTTCTGCAAACATTTTATTTTTATTTTCTCAAGTTTACTATTTATCCTCAGGGGAGGGGTTTTTCTGATTTACCCAGTATAACATTACCGGATGTACAAGTGTTCACAGAATCTTTAAAATATATAAATATGCTCCATTTGAATAATTTATCTTCTGATAGACTGAGGGAAGCTGATATAGCCAAGGTAATCTTTAAATGTACAGTAGGAATTAAATAAATATGTCATTAAAATTTATCCTTAAAGCATTCTATGCAGTAAATATTTTTTTCTCTCACAATGTTCCATCGAAGGGAAGAATTTCTCAAATTTGAGCTATAATTATTGTTTGTAACATTTCTGATTAAAATAGACCAATATAATTTTTCAATTTTTGAAGACTGACAGGCAAAGCTCCATGTAAAAAAAGAAGCATTGTATTTTAGTACATGTTTTTTCTCAAAAAATGATACCACCCTCTTAAGTTTCAATTATCTCATAATGTCTCTAATGAAACTATGTCATTTTGGTGTACTTTAAACACAGATAACATTATTCTTTAACAAGTAACGTTAAAAAATAATTTGCTCCTTGATCTCAGATACATTCATTGGTCCTTAATGTTGTTCCACCAATTATTTTGAATATCTACTGGGTTATCGTTACTCACCACCTGAATGCTTCCTATCAACTTTGCCGTACCTGTGCACATAGGAGTTTTGCAAGGCAAGTCAAATTTACAGTCATGAAATTGTAATTAAACTATATCAGTATAGGATGGACCCAGTGCCTCCCGCCTGTAATCCCAGCACTTTGGGAGGCTGAAGTGGGTGGATCACGAGGTCAGGAGTTCAAGAACAGCCTGGCCAAGATAGTGAAATCCCATCTCTACTAAAAATACAAAAATTAGCTGGGTGTGGTGGTGCGTGCCTGTAAACCCAGCTACTCAGGAGGCTAAGACAGGAGAATCGCTTGAACCAGGGAGATGGAGGTAGCAGTGAGCCAAGATTGTGCCACTGCACTCCAGCCTGGGCAACAGAGCAAGACTCCACCTCAAAAAAAAAATTGTACATCAGTATAGACAAGAAAGTAAATAAATGTCTAATTTACATGTCTTAAATATTAATGGAGATGTGCAGTGGAACGAAGTTCTGTAGCTTCAAAATGAATCCTAAGTAGCCTTCTTTTAAATCTTTTAGGCAATCTTTGTAAAGTATCTCATAATCTAATTATAAAAATTTAGTTCTGTGAACACATTATAATTCACTATGGGAATACCTCTCCATTGATTGTCATTTTAAGTACTTAAAAATGCTGGACTGTGTATAAATATATAGATTCACATATTTGGAATGGGTAAGAAAATGTTTAAAGTATATAAATTTAATGTATTTTCAGAAACATATGCATCTCCATATAAAATGTGTAACATGTTTTTAACAATATTCTGTGGACCATTTTCCTCTCAGTATGTTGTGTATCAGTAATTCATAATGGGAGAAAAAAAGTATCCATCTTTGTGAATCATTGCTACCTTGCGCCACTTTATACTGATATATGTGGGTCCTAGCCACCAAATTTGTTAGTGCTGGTAAAGAAAAAGTAAAGACTTAGAACCGCTGGTAACAATTGCACTGTTAATAATTGCACTGTTAAATTTTGGGGGAGGTGATTTAAGATGAAAAATTTAAATTGACCAAGATGGATATCTCTTTAGAATTATATAATGCAAACTGACTTGAACATAGACAATCACAATTACTGTTGGGTAAATGTTTTCTCGGATCATTTCAACAATACATAAAAAACTAGATAATGTTGCACAGTGGCTGAACCGGCTGCATAGCAGCAGCTTAGGGATCCTCAGTGCAGAAGTGTGAGTGCTTGGGCTGAAGAGCTTGCGTGGTTTGGCCCCTCTCCTGCTGACCAGAAGAGCCTCTTGGTAATTGCTACCCTGGCTCGGTGGCCTTCTGTTAAGTTTACCTCAATGGAAATCTTTTTCAGAAGTGTTGGTTTGTTGTTAAGTTTCATCAAGGAATACAAACTGACCTAAGTTTTACCAGGCGAAACAGGCCACCTTACTTCGCGCAACTCCATTCTAATTAAATTGCATTTAATATATAAAGCCATCAAGGACTTGAGGTTTTTTTGATGTAGTAAATACTACTTTTGTTCAATGGGAAAATACCTATTTACTTCTTTGATTAAAAAGAAAAGACCTTTGAATTGTCCTTCGAGGCAAAGCATTTCATCCAGATACTGCCCCATAGATTTTTGCCTGAAAAGTTTGTATCTGGATATTAGGTGTCCATTTGTACTTGGGAAGCTTTGGTGTATATATATATCATATATACATATATATATACACACACACATATATATCATAGATACACATAGATATATAAGATATATATATAGGATATATATATAGGATATCTATGTGTATCTATGATATATATGTGTATACATATAGCATATCTATGTATATATATGATATGTATGTATATATGCGTGTGTGTGTGTATATATATATATATATATATATATATATATATATCTTTTTTTTGAGACGGAATCTCATTCTGTTGCCCAGGTTGGAGTGCAGAGGCACGATCTTGGCTCACTGCAACCTCCGCCTCCCTGGTTCAAACAATTCTCCTTTCTCAGCCTCTTGAGTAGCTGGGATTACAGGCACCCACCACCACACCCAGCTAATTTTTTGTATTTTTAGTAGAGAACTGGGTTTCACCATGTTGGTCAGGCTGGTCTTGAACTCTTGACCTCATGACCTGCCCGCCTCGGCCTCCCAAAGTGCTGGGATTAGAGGCATGAGCTACCACGCCTGGCCTAGCTTTGGTATATTTTTAAGATATTTCTGAATATCTCTACTCTGCATATTGAGATTTTTCTTCATTCCTGAGAAGTCTGAGAAAAAAAAGATTTTTGTTCTTTGATGCCACCCATGGTCCCACATAATATTATTTATTGTTCCCTTTCATCTTTGGGTATCCTGTGAATGATTGCTAAATAGTATAATAAAATATATTTACTTTTAACTAAAATGATGTGACAAAATTATAAAAAGCACCAAATATTTTTCCTTACAAAAACGGCTCAGTGATTTCACTCAGAAAGAATGTCCCCGGACCATTCCTATCATTCACCCTCACTCCTTAATAAGCAATAAATTATCTATGAGATATAGCTGTGTTCAAAAACTTGATGTACCTTATGAAGAAAAAAATGACCAGATGTTCCTAGCAGAAGGCTGGGGCTGTAACAATAGGCCTCTGGGACAGTGGGACTGACACGAGAATTAAATGAAAGCTCAGCTCTTGGGAGAGAATAATTTACAAAAAAAAAGAGGAGAAGTGCCAGACCTGGATGCTGTGTACAAGAGGAGGCTGGAGGAGATCCTCTTGCCTTTCAATGAGGGTTGAACATGACCATGGCTGCAGTTCGGCACAGCCTGTCATGAGAAGCAGCTACCCTGAAAGGCAGTGGTAAGAAAGAAATCAGATGGACAGCCCCCAAATTGGAAACCAGGCCAACCCAAGCTGATGAGAGCTCTCTGATGCCATCATAACATCTGGAACCTCATCCAGGAGCTTGAGAATTTGGGTAGAGGTAACAGCAAAACCTGCAGAAATGAAGGGATGAGCAAAAGAAAAAAATGAAACTCACACTTCAAGCTAAACTTTTTAAACAAAATTTTATATATATATAAATCATACATGTGTTACATATACATGTTAAAATTTTATCTATCATTGTATGTATATACATATATTTATATTTATAAACAAAACCAAACCAGGAGAAATCACACTAGAAATAATGACACAAAACCCCAAAAAGTACCCTAAACAAATGAGTTTAATAATCCTTAAGGAAATAAAGGCAAGGAAAACATCCGTAAAAAATTAGTAAAAAATGAATAGGTGAGGTGATGGACAAGGCAGCAGCAGCAACAGCGTAGTTTTAAAATCATTCCTGATCCACCCCCTGCCCCCCCCCACACACATTATATTAGGAAAACCATCTTCACTATCTACAGGACATCAGAGCCAGTGGCCTATAGACAATATCTACAATAATACGTGGTGACCGGGTAGCCCTACCTTTCTCAAAACACATGAGGGTTGACACAAACCTCAGACCACACCAGGATCATTTCAACAACTGTGAATAAAGATGGGGAGGGAAAGTAAAGCAATTTCGAATGTCCTTGTAAACCAGAGAACATAACATTCATCCACACACAAATTTCTACTAGTGAAAGAGAGGGATAGCAGAGGACAACAGAACTGGCCATGAATGGTGCAGGCTGCATTTGCAGGTGCGTGAAGGATGCTGTAGAAACAATCAGTGCTGGGGCAGTCTGAGTCCCAGGACTTCTCTAAATTCATCAGCCAAAGAACCCTCCAAGGAAAAGCCCCACACAGAGGGGAAGTTTCTGTGAGTAGAATCCACGGTAAGAAGGACAGGAACACTGAAAAGCAAAAGAGAGAAAAGATTCAGACAAAGGGTGGAGAGGGAGCTGAGTTTGAATATCTGAGTTTGTAGCCATATTTTTGAAAACAATTATAACAATAGGTGGGAGTTCAGAACTTGAGAGTTCTAGAGTGATGAGTCTAGAAGGTTATCAAGTTCCAGTCTCCCTCTAAGAACAGAGAAAAACCCACATCACTGAAACATGGACAATAGAAAATATTACAGTCAGATTCCATAAAGATTTTATAAAAACGGTATGAAGAGTAAACAGAGTAATGACAGTCCTACAAAATGATACCATACCAGAAAGACATGGCCTCAGAGGAGATACAATCTGTAATCTAATAGTTCAAAATGAGGTAAAATAAATTAAGAAAGCAATGAATTTTATGAAAGCAATACATTTTCTGAAAGCAGCAATGGAGTCACAAATACAAGTAAGAGGAATACAGAAAGGGGGAATTTGAAAAAAAGAGCTGACAGAACTAAGTAAATGTTGCTAATGAAATAAATAAAAATTTTTTTAAAAAATAAAGTAGAAGGAACACAAGAGTGAATTAACACCAGGGATAGTGCCAAAAGAGAAATAAAATAGAGATTAAAACACAAGCAATCAAGATTTGATAGAAAGTGGTAGCTGTACAAGACACCTGTGCTGACCTAACGTACATGTGGAAGGACACACTAAAGAAATGGAGCAAAAGGCAAAAATTATAACTGAAGAACACAGCCCTGAAAAAAATCAGACTTGAAAGTATATATTTGAAGAACTCGTTATATACTTGGGAAAATCAGCTCTGTGTGGCTAATAAGAAGGATTTTAGTAACACTTTCAACTCTTAAAAAAAAAAAGAATTAAAATCTTTTAGTAACTCCTGATCTTGTCCTTAAATCTAAAATCATTCTCATGCTTGCTTTGCTTCTTGCATCTTATTTCTTCCTAATTTGAAGAGATCCATTTCAAGTTTCTTGAATAATATTTGTACTTATGATTTTTTCCAAATTAATGATCTGTGTAAAGTAAATTCAGCCTCTCTCTAAAGTACCTTTATTTCACCTTTTGTCATGAATCTGATTCATATGGATATAGAATTTTAGTTTTATCATTATTCTCCTCCACCAATTTCAACACATAAAATACACTGTCTACTGGCATCTCTCATTGCTAATGAGAGTCTGATGTAATATATTATCTTATGATTTTGGGAATATTTATTTTCTCTCTGATGGTATTGAAAATTCTGTGGCATTTGATGCTAAGAAAATTCACTATACTGTGTCCATAACAAATAAAGCTTGTTTCTGATTCTACTCAAGATTTTGTATTATACAATTGTCTTCAATTTTGGGCATCTATTTTCCCATTATAAATTATCAATTTAAATATACTACCTACTTCTCCATCCATCTTCTTTTCTAATAAATCTTCTTTTCTAATAAATATCCATTGTCCTCCTTTCCACCCATAACAACGACTGTGTGTGTGCCCAAGCATTCTCGTGTGTATGCATGTGTCCTGCTATGTATGTGTCTGTGTGTTCCTGTCTGTGCCTGTATGTGTGTCTGTGTGTATGCCTGTGTGTGTCTGTGTGTGTACCTGTGTGTGTGTGTATGCCTGTGTGAGTGTGTGTCTGTGTCTGTGTGTATGCCTGTGTGTGCCTGTGTATTCCTGTGTGTGTCTGTGTGTATGCCTGTGTGCCTGTGTGTGTGTGTGTATGCCTGTGTGTGCCTGTGTATGTCAGTGTGTATGCCTGTGTGTGTGTGTGCCTGTGCATGCCAGTGTGTCTGTGTGTGTGTTTGTGTGTATGTCTGTGTGTGCCTGTGCATGCCAGTGTGTCTGTGTGTTTGTGTGTATGTTTGTGTGTGCTTGTGGGTGTGTCTGCATGTGTGTCTGTATGTATGACTGTGTGTGTCTGCCTGTGTGTGCCTCTGTGTGTCACTGTGTATGTGTTGGTGCGAGTTTTCCTGCATAGGAAGCTAAAGCTTATTTTTCTAGATTATTTTTCTAGATTTAAGTTCCACCTTCATTTTTAGGATATAAGGACAACCTTTCCTAGTTTTGAGCTTGGATATGAATTTTTTAGTATTACATATTTGTAGATGTTCCACCTATCTGTAGTAGAAGCATAGCTGAGAAAAGTGAACTGGTTTCCCTCAATATCATATTAGTCCTAGAACATACCTAACAGTAAGTCCCTTAGTTAATACTTTCTAGTTTTTTTTTACATTGAAATATTTTACTTCTGTGATTTTTGTTTTTATGAAATGATTGATCCTCCAAGTGGTCATATTATCCCTAGAATAAAATTTGAAAAATCACTTGACTCTTTCACGTCCCAGTGACTGAAAGGGGCCAGCGCATTTAGTGGGTATGGATGTGGCTTCTAAGTGCCCCCATGACACTGGAGAAAGTCTTGCTTATGAATTGTCATGCATCCCACATGACAATTAAATGTCTCCTGGAATATTCATATAGGCCAAAAACTGTCTACAATTACCTAATCCCAGACTATCTGTCCATTTTAGTTATCAGTAAATTTTATTTTGAATCATTTATTATACACCGAATTGTCCAGATATACAACTCCTGGCTGTACTGGGGAAATATATTTTTGCTTGGAACACTTTCAATAATTTGCTATTTTGGGAAAATATGTCAATAACCATTAGTATTTGTGCCACTGACTCAACACATCTGTATTGGTGTTCAATATTTTGAGATTATTCTGTATATATGTGTAGATATTTTTTGAAAACCTTTCTTTATAGTAAAGTTTAAACATTTACATTCAGTTGAATAATTAAAATTATTTTTATATCATTTTGCACAGTTTGTACTCTTCTAAATCATTTTTTCAATGAATCAAAACAGTTGTCAAGATTAAGTAAATATTTTGCTAACGTGTTGATAAATATGGGAAAGGTATATCTTAGTTCTGACATGAAGAGACAAACCATAGAATATTTGGAATGTTTAAAAGCCTTCTAACTAGAAGGAAAAAAGCATCAATTTTATGTAAAAATAACATAAAAGGTAGTAACGCTCATAAGTCATGGCATATTGGAGGAAACTAATCTTATGAAGTGTGATAGAAGTTATTAATGTGATAATAAAAATTCAAATAATATCTTCTGTCCAATCGAGCAAAGATACTGTTTTAATTTTTTTAATGTTTAGTTTTTATGAATACATAGTAGGTGCATATATTTATGTGTACATAAGATGTCTGGATACAGGCATATAATGTGCAATAATCACACCATGGAGAATGGGGCATCCATCCCCTTAAACATTTATTCTTTGTGTTACAAACAATCCAAAAATCAATGAGATGTTAATAAGTTTCAAAAAAAAGCCACATGACAGACTACAGTCCGACAAATTTTTATCACAAGTCAATAAAATCATTCTGTGCGACAAATGAAGTTTAACTACTAATATATGTAAGTTGCTTAAGGAGTAAAACAGTCATGGAAGAAATGCCATCTTATTATAATTACCAGTGATGGATACAGGGATTACCAGTATGCATATCCTTAAAAATTATTTTGTAGAAAAAAATTTTTTTCAGTTAATGGCATTGCTCCTGTAATAGAGAAAAAATAGTTAGGATTGGTCCACAGTATGGATTCATAGCACTTTTAGAGATCTCATCAAGTATTTAAGCTATTTATTTTATCACTACTGACAACAGTTATCTATTAACAATTTTAATAAAAATCTTGTAAAATTATGAATAATAATATCTGTTATCAATTGACTTAACATCAAACCTTTGAATAAACTGCAGCAATGATGACAAAGAATTATAACATGTGATCTACATAGAAGTAATGTATGTCTCTAAAGAAAATTTTTAAAGATATAAAGTTATTTTCATAATATTAATACTTTATAGGATTAATTAAAAATCAAGGATAAGACGTCTGCTTCTAGATAGAGTATAAAATATATGAATAACCTTCACTTCCACTAAAAAAGCAAAATAAAGTTAATGGATAAAATAAAATCATATTTTTCTATAAGGCTTTTGAAGAGCAATAGGTACAAAAAAGTCTTGTTGATTAAATTCAGATTAATACATATCCTTCAAGAGTACCCCCATGACACTCACTTCAAGAGTGACTAGTGGGCCATGGCAACTTTCATACCTTGAGAAAGCAGAAGTGTGGGCCGCTCACAGACTGGGAGACTGAAAACTTTGCAACACTGAGGAGAAACAAGTCAAGCTTTGGGTGATATTATGAGCTAATAGAATGGGTTGGTATCTGAAATTTCCAAATGGAAAAAGATGTTGCTAAACCCCACAATTCTCCGTCGCTTTTTCATCAGACTGTAACCAAGAAAGCAGAAGTAGAGAAGAAGTGTAAATAAAAGAAAATTTATGTAATGCCATGCATTCTCAATGTGTTTGGATTCCAAGGTTCTTGCAGAATTGAATCCAAAGTTTCAATTCAACTTTCTGAAACTGGAATAACTCCTTCTCAACTCAAATCATACAAAGTCAAAAGCTTAGTCCTTTGCTGATGGTGGCATAGAATTTAAAGATATTGTTAACCTGAAGTGAACTCAATCTAAATAAGTATATGTCCCATTCTCAGCTCAAATTAGCCTTGGAGGAATCGAAATGATCAGCCCTTCATTGTAACTTCCAGTTACAGGAGAAGACTTGCACTGTCCAGGAAAGCAATGAATAAACATTATAAAATATATTACATTCTTCACTATCCTTTTAAAAAACAGTACCTGGAATAAAATACAAAATTAAAACACATAGAAACAAAAAAATTCACTCCATAGTCAAGAGAAAAAAGAGATAATAGGAGCAGACCCATGGGTATCCAGCTGTTCAAATTAATATTAAAGAACTTTAAAATAACTATTTAAAATGTTTTTTAAATACAGAAAAAACAGGTGAAGAGCTACAGAATTTTATCAATAAAATGGAAACTTTTTAAAGAATCAAATGCAAATCAAAGAAGATAACAAATTAAATAAAAAATATTGGATGGGGAAGTACTATTTACAATAGCAAAAATGTAGAATCAACATAAATGCCCATCAACAGAGGATTGGATAAAGAAAATGGGGCACATATATACCATGGAATACTATGAAGCCATGAAAAAGAATAAAATTATGTCCATGGATACAGCTGGAGATTATTATCCCAATCAAACTAACACAAAAATAGAAAATCAAATACTGCATGTTCTCACAAGTGGGAGCTAAACATAGGGTACATATGGACATAAAGATGGGAACAATAATCATTGAGGTCTAGTAGAGGGGTGAGAGAGGGAGGGAGGCAAGGGCTGAAAAATTAACTACTGGGTACTATGCTCACTACCTAAGTGACAGGTTGAATCATACAGAAATCTCCAGCATTACCCAATATACTCATGTAACAAACCTGCACATGCAACTTTGATTCTAAAATAGAAGTTGCAAAAGAAAATAGAAAAGAAGTATTTTAACCCCTACTCCCCCTGTTAGAACATATTACCAAATAGTTCTTTTCTCCCCAAGTGTGGTCTCTTCTGCGATCTTTAACCATAATTTCCAAAAATAAAATAAAATAAAACATTGTTTAAAATTGGATAGGCTTAACTGTGCAGAAAAAAGGATCAGTGAATTTAAAGACAGATTAAGAGAAAATCAATTGAATGTACCCAACTTGAAGCTCACAAGAAAAATAAAAACTAAAAAAAATAAGCAGAGTTAGTAACCTTTGAAATAATATCAGACAGCCTAACATATGTGCAATTGGAGGCCCCAAAAATAGGAGGAAAAAATGAAACAGAAAAATATACTTTAAAAACAATAGACATGATTTTTACAATTCTGATGAAAAAAAATCACTGGGGTCCAAGAATCTCATTGTACTCCAAGAATGATATATAAAAAAGAAATACCACTTAGGCAAGTCAACCTGATGAAAACTAAAGGTGAAGAGAAAAACCTTTTTAAAAGCCAGAAAGAAAACCCCAACACATTGCATACAGGAGAGAAAGAAACAACAGTATTATTTGGCTTCTCTTCATAAACGACTGAAGCCAGGAGACAATGAAATTACATCCTTAAAGTATTGAAAAAAATACTCTAAATCTACTATTTTATCTCCAGGTAAAATATCTTGGAGAATGAAAACAAATAAGATTAACTAGTATTTCTAGATAAATAAAAGTTGAGAGAATGTGTTACCAATTGCCATATACTACAAGAACTTGGAATTTTTTAGATTGAAAGATGGCAATAGTTTCCTCATAATTTTTATTAAATGTCAAGTGACCTTTGAAACATGTTTTTCTATTTGAATTTTTTATTTTGAAAAAAATTCAAGCCTATAAAATGTTACAAAAATATATTTTTTATATTCTCCTCCCATATCCACATACACCCATGCACATGATTATACATATTTTCATATCTATACATCTTTATGTATATTATAATTGTTTACCTGTGCTAAGATAACAAGTTATTATAAACTTGGTGGCTTAAAACAACAGGAACTTATTATCTCACAGTTCTGGAGGCCAGCAGTAAAAAATCAAGGTATTGGCGGACTTAGTTCCTTCCGGAGGCTCTGAGGGAGAATGTATTCCATGCCTTCCTCCCAGCATCTGTCAATTTTAGCTGTGTCTTAGATTTTGGCTGCCCTCCAATCTCTACCACCATCTTCACATGGTATTTTACTCTCTGTGTTTCAATCTGTCTCTTGTAATAATATACGTCATAGGATTTAGGGCCCATCTTAAATGTAAGATGATTTCATTTTAAGGTCCTTAAATTAGTTACATCTGATAATGCTATTTCCAAGTGAGGTTACAATAATAAGTACCAGTGGTTAGGACTTGGGCATATCTTTTTGGAACCACTATGCAACATACTACAGTATATAATTTAGCCCCTCAAAAATAACTTCTATACCAAGTACAAAATTCATGCACCCCATCTCAGCATCAATAAATGTCTCAACACTTTAAGCACTAACTCTAAGTCAGATGTCTCATTTAACTATCATCAGCTCAAAAAGTCCGAAATTCCTTTTTCCAAGTCACCTTAATCAGGTATTGGTAAGGTTCTATGTATGACCCATCTGGGGCCAAATTCCACTCCATCTGTGGCCCCCTGAAACTAGAAAACAAGTTATCTGGCTCCAGAATAAAAGAGTGTAACAGGCACAGGATAGATATTGCCTAGTCCCAAGGGATAGTCATTAGTCTCAAGCAGGTTTGAAACTTTGCATGCATATCTCCCTATAACTGAAGGCCTGCAAATAATTTTCTGTGGCTCAGTGCTCTGCTCTCTGGGCCAAGGAGGATCCCTGCCTCTGAGTTCCCCTTTCTGGCCTCTCTCTCTTATTCGCAGCTCTACCCTCAGAGCCATATTTTCTTTTTCTTGACAGGTAGTACATGTTTGCTCCCCAGTAGCTCTATCAAGTCTGCCTGTAGACTCCCAGAAGTGCAACAGCCTTCTTTTATTTTATCCCATCTCTGTCCCTTTCACTCAAGGCTGGCATTGTTTTCAGTAATATAGCATTGTCAAAACCCTTGTGAGTGTCCTGTGTATATCAAAGGGATTCATACCATTAGAAAAGACCTTTCCCAGACACAACTTTCTGGATAACCCATCCCTATTCCTGGCTTCTGCTGAGATAATCAGTTTATTTCCCACATAGATAATCAGTTAGACTCCCACATCTAACCTCTTCAGCAAAAGTTGTTCCAGCCTCACCCTTGAACTTCTCTCCAGAGCTCGCTTTCTGAACCATGAATGTCCTAATTTTGGCATCCTTTGCAAAGTATATAGGCTGAGAATTTCTAAAATCATGAAGTTTTGATTCCTCTTTGTGTAAAACATATTCTTCTTCAATCTTTCTCTGCCTTCTCATATTTTATCATAAGCATGAAGGAGAAACCAGGCTGCACCACCAACATTTTGCTTAGAAATCTCCACAGCTAAATATTAAGTTCATCACTGACAAGTTCTGTTTTCCACTCAAGTTTCTTTTTATAGCAAGGCTTACCTTTCCTTCAGTTCTGGTAATATGATGCTCATTTCCTTCTGAGGCCTTGTCAGAAGCAGCTTTAATGTTTCTATCTCTACCAGCATTATGTTCATGGCAGTATATGCATCATCTAAGGAAACCAAAGCTTGCTTCATTGTGTTTATCACTTCCTTTTGAGCCCTCACTATAATCACCTTTAACATTCATATCTCTGCTAACCATATGTTCAAGGCAACCTAGGCTTTTTCTATCATGCACCTCATTTCTTCCCATTTCTACCCATTTCCCAATTTCAAAGCTACATCTACATTTTTGGGAACTTGTTACAGCAGCTCCAGGTCCAGTACCAAACATTGTATAGGTTTCCTGGGCTGCCATAATAAATTACCACAAACTGGGTGGCTTAAAACAATTGAAATTTATTTGCTTACATTTCTGGAGGCCAGAAGCATAAAATCAAGTTGTGAGCAAGATTGGTTCCTTCTGGAGACTCAAAGGGCCAATCCATTCTGTGCCTCTGGTGGGATCCTTGGCATTCCTTGGCTTTCATCTGTCCTTACACGATTGTCTCCATGTTGACATGGCTTTTTCTTCTGTGTGTTTCTATGTCTTTTCTACTGATACATGTTGTTGGAGTTAGGACCCATCCTTAGCTTACTTCCATCTGCTAAACCTCAATTTTTAAATGATATTCACAGGTCCTAGGGGTTAGCTCATGAACATAACTTCTAAAAGCCAGTATTCAAGTTACTATATAGATCTGCATATTTCTGTGTGTGTTATTATATTTTGTTAGAAATTCTCTCTCTGTTTTGCAACTACTCAAATCTGTCATTTTATCAAGAAATGAATTCAGCCACAAGGAACATTTAGATAAGTGTGCTTGGCTTCTTCCAATAAACCTTTATTTACAAAAGCGATGATAGGCAATAGTTTATCATACCATGTTTTAAAATATCAAGATTACTTGGTCTTTGGAGATGTGATAGAAATTCTAGAAAATCACCTGTAGTTCCTTAGTAAATTTTTTGATGTAATTAATAGAAAGTGTAGTTGTTTTATGTTCTTTTTTCTCTAATGGCATTAATTGTCCTAGTCTATATTTCACCAGGAAATTGTCCATTTCATCGTAGTGTTCAAATGTGCAAAAAGGTCTTCAAAAAAGCTTCTTAAGGTTTCAAAAATGTTTCCTTTTATCCCCTTACCTATTGCTTATTTTTTGTTTTTGTGCTTTATTATTTAAGAACTTAAGCAAGTAGTTAGTAGTTTGTATATTTTATAATATTGTTTGCAAACCAGGGTTTTCTATTTATTCATTATGTCTTCTAGTTTTTTATTTTCTATCATTTTATTTATTCTTTTATTATTTCTTTTCTTTTGCTTTCTTTTGGTTTACTTTGTTGTTCGTGTTTTAAGTTTTTAGGTTGAGCACTAAATTCATTTATATTCATCCTGTAATTTTTGCTTATGAAAGTGTATAGTAGTATTGAATTTCTTCTGATCAATGTTTTTAATACGCTACATAGACTCTGATATATTGTTTTTCTATTACTTTTTAGTTAGAAATTAAATCATTTTAATTTGTTTACTTCCTTTCATATAAGCATTCTTTAGCAGAAGGTGCAACTGACATTTTTAAGCAAAAATTATAAACATGTATTATGGGGTTATAAAATCTTTGGAAGTAAAGCATATAAAAATAGTAGCACAAAGTATGAGAGGGGGTGTAAATGGAAGTATAATATTGTAAGGCTTTAGCATAATACATAGAGTAATATACTATTAAGGCAGATTGTGATAATTTAAGAATTTAAGGATTTGTATTGGAATCCCTAGTGTACTTGCTTTAAAAAAAATTGCCGTATAGCTAACAAAAAGAAAAGAGTATATAAAAAGGAATACTGAAAGAATAAAGCACTTGATTAACCAGAACAAGGCAGGAAAAGAGGAGAAAACGCACAAAATATGGAACAAGTTGAAAACAAACTGTAAGATGGTAGAGTTAAATTAAACCACAACGTAATTTTATTAAATAAAACTGAACTAAATACTCCAATTAAAAGGCTGATTATCAATCTGGGCTGCAAAAAAAGAAAAGAAAAGCATGTCTCAAGTAATGCTATTTAAAAGAGAGATCTTTAAACTCTAAGGACATAAGTTGAAAGTTAAATGATTGAAAAATATATACCATGCAAATTTCAGGCATAAGAAACTCTGTCAAGAAGATAAATAATTCTAAATATATATGCATCTAGGAACAGTTCTTCAAAATGAAAGAAGCCGAGTTAACATAGTTTAAAATTCTGTACAAGGAAATTACTTAATGTGGCATTTCCCAATTACATGTTTGGTTGAAAAAGGTTTCAGTGCAGTTATGCAGTAAATGCAGAGACAACAAAATCAACTTGAAAGTCCTTGTAAGATATTTCCCCATAATATCATTATAGTAACATCACATTAATAAAGGGATTATATTAATTTTATTAATAACTTTAATCAAAATCATGTTATTTCCAATCCATACATTTTTAAATTTGTTGAAGCTGAATGAAAAAAATGTGTTTTGAAAATTGAATATTAAATGTGTTTATTTATTTTGGAGTTACTTATTGTTCTTCAGGATACTCTGATATTGTCCACCAAGGTTTACTGTTAAAGTGTATACTATCACTCCACTTCCTTATCATCTATTTAAAAATATAATCTGTAACATTAAATGTATCTGTCTATATGTATAGGTCATTAGATACAAAATATATTTTCTATAATATTTAGTTCCTACATAATCCCATTCTATGATGGAGAAATGTATTTTGATATTATGCTTTAAATAAGGGCTGGTTAATTTGCTAGAATATCTCCCTTTCTCTTCTTTAAATGTTAGTTGTAATTTGTAAAATATAGATTGTTTTGGCTTATTATCTCTATTTAATTTATGGTTATTTACCGCTTTTCTTGTCATGCACAGAAATGAATGCTTATTCTTCCTTAATCTTAAACTAATCTTTATTCTAGCATCTGGTTTAAAATCTGCATCTGCTTCTTCATTTCTTTCTAATTTTTGTACAAAATGGCATATGGTATTTTTACTTCCCTTAAATCCAGTCTTACTCATTATAAATGGATATAAGCATCTGATTGTTCATTATACCTTCTAGTTTAAAAATACACTTTTAAAATAGTTTTAAAGTACATTTTTTTTCTAGTTTTAAAATACATTTTAAAAATACGTTTTAGGGGGGCTGGGCATGGTAGCTCACGCCTGTAATCACAGCACTTTGGGAGGCAGAGGCGGAAGGATCACCTGAGGCCAGGAGTTGGAGACAAGCCTGGCCAACATGGCGAAACCCTGTCTCTACTAAAAACACAAAAATTAGCTGGGCATGGTGGTGCATGTCTGTAATCCCAGCTACTTGGGAAGCTGAGGCAGGAGAATTGCTTGAACCAAGGAGACAAAGATTGCAGTGAACTGAGATCGCACCACTGCACTCCAGCCTGGGCGACAGAGCGAGACTCTGTCTTTCAAAAAAAAGAAAAATCATTTTAGTTTTAAAATACACTTTTTCCATAAAATATTTTCTGTAAGACCCTTATATTATGATGAGGGTACTATAAATTATTTTAGGATTGTATAGATAGTTTATTATTAATGAATTCGGTTTCAATTTCAATGTCCAAACACACGTTATGAAATATTGGCTAAAATGGGAGAATGTGTTGGATCTGATAAAGTTGATAGCTGATTTGACTTTTTAGCAAAATTTATGGCTAAGTTATCATTGCTCCGAGTTTTATTTTCATAAATTTTCTTGAATGTGTTTCTCTAATCGTCTGCTGTTGCACATTTTAGTCTATATGGTAAATCCTGAGGGAGACGCATATTCATTGGGTTCTCATCTTCAACAGTACAATTTCAGTTTTTGACTGTAATTGTATTAGTTTTTCTTTCCACCATTTTGAAGCCCCATCATTGTTTTTGTTAAGCTTTATAACTATAATTGTGTAAATTATCTCCCAGTAGGTTTATTTTAATTATTTCTGCTTGAAATTCTTTTCAAAGTAATTAATTTTGCTACTTGTTTTTTTTTTCACATATAATAATATGTCTTTTTATGTTCAAAATGTCATCAAGTTAGATTTTTGTTTTGCTTGTGCCAATCGGTGGGAATTTTTTAAAATCAAGAAATGAAACATTTATATTTATTATAAATTTGAAAGTGAAAAATAATTTCAATATTTCAAAATGCTATGTCCTCGAAGGAATCAAGGTTTAAGGTTTTTTTTTTAATTCGATAAACAGCAGAAAGGGAGTAGATGAAGAACCTGGCCCCCTCTCTCCTCCCTGGTTAATTAGGAGAATAGAAGTGTTGCTTGGTAGAGATGAGTAAGGGTGATGGTCTGGTCGCTTGGAGAGACCTGTTTCTGCCACACCACCTGTCACATTTAGGGCTGGATAATAGAACTGACAGATATCTTTCGTGAAATCAGAGATAATTATATCTCTTTCCAGATAATTATGTCTTAAAGCAGCAAAGCTCATTAAAGAAGGTAGTGCCTAAAGGGTTACTCAAATTTCCTTGACCCTTAGGATAATGTGGGTGGGCAACCCTGCTGCTGAGAAGGACGTGGCAATTACTTGAGGGAAAATGTTGACGCCAAAATGCGCTCAGGTGAGAGGATACAGATAACGGCAAAGACTATGTGAGGTGAAATTCATCTGAGGACACTCCCATCTCAGCGCGGGGAAGGACTAGCCACTTCAGGGACTGCAGATGGGCGAGGTGCCGCCAAGTACGGATCAGAAGGCAGCATTTAACATTGCGGATGAGGAAACCACAAGATAACCGTGCACCAGATGCATTCCGTGAGGCCATAATAAGACTCCGCAGCATCAAGATGTCATTTGGAGGAAAAAAAAAATGAAGAATTCCTAAATGTGGAATTAAAATAGAACAACTTTAAAAGCTCTTCCACTAGATTCCATTATTTGCTACCAGGCAGAAATTGAGGCATAAACTGAAAAATTGGGACGTTTCTAAAACTTTGGAAGAAAAAAATGATATAACTTTTTGTTTACTCAAATTTCTGGCCTAGGAATTGTACTCGATATTAGAAGAAAAAGCATCTTGCTGGGAATGTGTGCTTCTTTCACCATCACAGGTGGCTGTTTCTTCAATAAACTGTATTGGGTAACTCAACAAGTAGATGACACCAGAATGGTGGGCACCTGAGGAGAGGGGGGTGCTCTCCAGAAAAGGCATGATGGAGCAAGGGCAGGAAGACTAAAGGCTAATCAAGTGCTAGTAACACAGTCTTCCTCCTGTGAGACCCTTCTTGAATCAAATCCAATGGGAAACAAGTCAACACATATTATTTTATATGTTTGTTACATATGTATTTTATATGTTATGTACATAGTGCATTTGATAAGTACATTCTCATTTATGATAATTTCAGTCTTCTAAATTTTAATATTCTGCTTAACAACATGGCTTGCATAAATATTTTGAGATGTTTGCTTTCTAAGAAAGCTAATTTTCTCTTATCAGTTTGCAAATATGTAAATATATACAAAAACTTTAAATACATATAAATATTCAATATGCAAATTAGAATTCTAAAATATGGTCAGTAGAGCTGATGGCAGTTTACATCATGTGAAATGAAAATGGTGATTTCACATTTGTCTCCTTTGGTGAAAATCTCCAACAGAAAAGTCATCTATTCAAATACCTGTCTACTTTCCTTTGTGCTCTAGTTCTTACTCAGATTGGACTCTAACAGTGGATATTAAAATCTTGTCTGGAGAAAGCTTCCTGTGGTCTTTTTGAAGTCTCTAATCATGCATGACACTGCTGAAACTTTAAAGTGCATAGGAATCACCTGGGGCTATTGTGACAAAGCAGATTCCTGGGTCCCAGCCTCAGAGATTCTAATTCAGTGTAGCAGGGAATGCTGTTGCTGCAGGTCTGTGACCACCCATTGAGCAGTGCTGGTCTAATTCGCTTCATTCCTAAATGGTTATATCCAACTCAGATGCAGCACGCACTTGAATTCCACCTCTAAGACCTCACTTCATGAATTATATTTTCATTTCATCCTCTCACTGTTTTAGCTCTTTCCGCCGATACTGGAAAGACCTTATTAAAAAAAACAACAGTAACAATATCCCCTCTTTCTATCTACCTCACCCTCCTTTCTTGCTACAGTTTCTCTTTGCCTCTCCCAGCTCCACTTTTTCCAACCAAACTAGTTGCTCGCATCCTCAGCCTCTACCTTGATCCTTTCTTGTCTGATAACTCATGGCATCCTACCTAATGCTGCACTGCAATGGCTCTGATGATAACATCCGGCCAAACACAATGGTTCTTGCTGTCCTTACTTCCCTGTACCTCAGTCTGATTAAGCTATTGTTTGTACTGTAGGTCTCTACTCATTCAAACTCTATCCTCTTGACTACCATTACCAAGCTCACTCATGCTTCTTATCTTTTAAGTTTCCATTGTTCTGCTTTTTTCTAAGTTAATCCTTTGATTGTGGATAACATGCCTATTTCACCAACCTTCTGTCTTTAGCCCACACTCTTCCTAATTTTGCAATGGCTGGCTCCTAGCTGTGTTCTTACATCCTTCCTGAGTTTCTGACTCAAATGCTTAAGTGTTACCTTTGGATTTCTTACAATCGAGCTTAGAATGTCCAATAATTTCCTTTTCAGTCCTGTTTTTCCCATCTCAATATGTCGAATGATTCCACTCTGCCTCTAATCATGAAAGCCAAGCGTGTCCCGTTAAGCACCACATCTAGCCATTTGTACTTAGATATTTTCCTCCGAGGCCTCCTCCTCACCAGTGCTGTTTATGTTCAAGTAAGCCTCATCTATCATTGGGACTGTTATTGCATTCTCCTAATTGTTTTCTCTGCCTGCATCTTGCTTGACCTCTTTACCTTGTACATTGTAGCCAGGATAAATTACGTATAACAGGAATCATCATCCCTTACTTCAAATTCTTCAAAGAGCCATGCACCTCGGATTCATTAGCCTGACAGATGTTGACCTGATCCTATTTATTTCTCCAGTCTCATTTCCAAATACATCTTACTTTGCCCCATACCTGGCAGTGATAGTGAAAACACATTGCTGTCTTTTGCCTCTACAGCTCTGCCTACTTAGAATACGTTTTGCTTTATTTCTTATTGCTAAAATATGAATATAGAGATATTTATAGTTATATAACAGAAACATCTACCATTAAAATTAATCCTGCCATTTTCTCATATTTGCAACACAAACAGATATATTTAATGTGTAAATATTAAGAGCATAGACTTTGGAACTGGGTAATCCGTGTTTGCAACCTGCTAGTTATGTAACCTCAGGCTTGAGACTTGAAATTTCTGTGCCTCAATTTTCTTATCTATAAAATTGAGGTAACAGTAGATTCTTTGTGGGCATATTGCAAGGATTAAATAAGTTAATAAATTAAATTTTCCTGGCCATTCTGAAAATAAACCTTCTATAAAAATTTCATAAATACTTTGCTCTATTGGGACATTTTATTGCAATTTCATTAAAATTTTAGCTTATGTAATTAAAAAACTTACACCCCACCTCTGCTCCTCACTTTCACTGTGACTATAAAAAATTGTTTAAACCCTGCTGGCCTTGGCTTCTCCATCTTCAAATGAGCATAATCATTTATAATATCCAAAATAATATTGTAAGAATTAAGTAAAATGATTTTTGTAAAGTACTTGGAAAAGATGCCTGGCCCATGGAAGATGTGCAAAAAATGTTGGCTTTATTATTATTATCACTACTAATTTTATCAGAATTGAATTCCTTCATTCATGAAATGGACTATCTACTTTATTCAGTTTGTCGTTGATGTACTTCAATGGCACTTTTATAAATAAAATTATTTTTTAAATCAAAATAGTTTCTTTTAATATAAAAGGTAAGATATTTTATTGCTGGTTTTGCTCTCCTAAGTAGCTACTGCTGTTAAAATTCTGTTGGTTTTCCACATTTTAATTTGTCCAGCAAATCTGCCTGAATATACATTTTCCTGTTTTTTTTTTATTTTCTGGATGGACAGTATTATTTTAAAACAGGAAAAATTAGGTTTTTATTTCCAAATATTTTACTAGATATGTACATACACATTTTGCTTGTTTCAGTGTTTGTCTTGATTTCTAATAAAATGTGGCAGTAAGACACTCCTCCCTGACCAAGCTTTCATCAGGCTCCACTAAGCTGCTTTTCTCCTAGGCCTCAACCTTGGCTCCCATCCTTGCCAGATCGGCATTGCCCAGTTTTAGCAGGAATCCTGCTAAGTCAGTTTAGAGAGGGTCCCCTCTACCCTTCCATCTGAAACCCCGGCCTGTCTTCAGCAAGAATCCTGTGAGGTCGGTCTAGCAGGAATCCCCCCAACCCTTTATGACTGCTCTTAGGAGTGTTCCATCCATTGACTTCTCCCTACCCCTTGGCTGTAAAACTCTAGCAGCCTTTACTGTATTTGGAATTTATCCCAGCTCTATACTGAGGTTTCTTTTCCCCTGTTGCAGTAGTTTCTGAATAAAATCTGTCTTTACTGCATTAACTAATGTTTGATGTTGGTTTTCTTTTTGACAGTTTCTTGCTGATGAAGCTTGGATCTGGATCAGAACCACCACCAAACTCTTGGATAGGATCACTGGACCTCCCAGCTTGTGCATCAAGACTTTTTGTCTTCAGTCTACTTGCTTGTTTGGGTTTGCAGTGATGAGTCTGGCTCTAAAACCCAGTGCTATAGATAAATGTCTGTTTACATACTTTGAGTCTTAGGATTCTCAGTATAGCTTGAGGCTGGATTACAGTCCCAAGCAAACAGAGGCTGGGACAGAGCCATAGACCCCACTGTGTGTAAGAGGCAAGTTTCTGTAAGAAGCAGAGGCTGGGATAGTGTCCCAAGTTTTTCTGTTCTAAGTTTAAAGAAACTGTGTGTTCTCACTCTACTGAAAGCTCTTATCCTCAGCCAAGTTGTGCTGCTGTAATGGAATGCCACAGACTGGGGAACTGATAGTGAACAGAAATTTATTGGCTCATGATTCTGTAGTCTGGGAAATCCAAGGTTGAGGGGCCAGCATCTCGAGAGGGACTTCTTGCTGTGTCACTCCCATTTTTGGGGGAGAATATGCTTTTATTTTCAAACTCAGGTGTGTGACACTCTACCGTTCAATGCTAGCACACCTGTGTGAGGCTTAACAACACGAGGAGCTGACAGCCAGTGATACACAAATTCAGCACCTCCCTCTCCATTTATTCTGTCAGGCTATACATGGGGAGCAACAAATACGGCTATGTGACAGCAAGAAAGTGAAGGTCTTTTTAGGAGGTGACATCAACAATGACGCAAACACACCACTCTGCAACCGAAAGCAAGGAACCAGAATCCTAGGGCTACGCAGAGATGTCAGACTTCATAGGTGTTTCAGGACTTTTATTTCAGACCAACATCACCACTGGAAACCCAGGGCTTGTTTCTCTCCAGTTCACTACTGCTTGGGCAGCAGCTCCAACTGCTTGGAAGGACAAAGAGATGGTGAGAGAGAGAAAAAGGGGGACAAATTCATCCTTTGAAAAGGAGCTTACTCCTGTGATAATGGCATTCACCTCATCACGAAAGCAGAGCCCTCCTGGCCTAATCACAGCTCATTAGGCCCCACCTCTTAACATTGTCACATTGGAGATTGTTTCTAGCACATGAACTTTGGGGGACACATTTAAACCACAGTACCCTCTCTTCTCAAACTCCTGTGGACAATACCCTTTGCCACTGTGGCTGTGGCTGTAATACCATTGGCTTTCTTTCACCCTGGAAAACCTTTACTAAAAACCCTCTTGACCTACAATGGCCCTTCTGGGGATCCTTGTCTGTCTTGATATTGGTTCACCTAGAAGACACTTAGAGTAACAAGAAACAAAAATCTTGGATGCACAATTCACTTATTCTGCTTGGTATGAAGAAGCTGAAAAATGACTAAATAATTCAAGCTGTACTCAAAACTCTAAAACAAGAAGAACTTCTTAAACAAGGTATTCAGAAAACATTTTCTGACCCAGTTAGCCCTGTATACCCCTCCTATGGTATTCCCGGAGTCCCCTCGCAGCCCTCCTCTGTATCTTTCTTTCTCAAAATGTCCCCTGCACGTCTCACCCCTAGTCCTTCAGCTCCCTAGAGCTGTCAGGCTCACTGGGCCCTCTCTCCTGTAGGTGAAGCCAGAGACGCAGCCTGTACTTGTTTCCAAGTGCGGACCACCGAAGAGATAATACTTAATTACTTGTTATCACCAAGGACTCTCCTGACCCCCAGGAGGTAAGGGAAAGGTTTACTGAACAATTAAAAATTTTTCTGAGAAAATACTCTCTGGAACTCTCTGACTCGTATCAACTCATCCTTATTCAAGGGGCCTGGAGATGCCTCCCATTGGTTCGAAAAAGCCAAATGTTTTATCAACCTTGAGAAACATTAAAAATCTCAGACTTCCCCTGATTCCCATCAGAAACTGAGGGAAGTAAGAGGAAAAAGTACTAGGTACTATCCCTCAGGACGATCTCACTAAAATTGATTGGTCATGCATTCAAAATTATAAACCAAAAAGGGCTGAAACTGTGGTTAACCACCACCATTGATTACAAACAACATGGAAGAACATTTGGGGCTGGAACTGACTTCCCAAGCAGCTTCTGCTCTGGCCACAAACTGAAAATGGTCTGAGACAAGAGCTGCATGACACATCACAGAATAATAAAATTAATTGGTAAACACAAACATATCCAAACTGTAGGCATTAGCTCAGTATTATGAAAACAGTATTTTTTTTAATAAAAAGGAAAATAAACATCACGAGTTTATGGCATTTCAATTGAAATAGAAAAACCTGGAAAATGTAATCAATAGCAAGCTCTGAAACTGTGGGCTCCCACTGACTGGGCCACTTGCTGGCATTATCATAAAAGGTGACACTGGGCCCGAGGTTGCCAGGACACCAAGAAGAGGGAAGAAGCCTGAGTCCCTGCCTCCCCAGGAAATGACTGACACCCCTCCAAGAAAGAAAATGTCCAATGCCCTCAACTGCCACTTACCTGTAATGGAACGGGAATAACCTCGTTTCCTCTTCCCTTCCTTGGGGCCACCGCAAATTACGAGTGGTGGGTTTTTATAATTTGCCTCATTGTTTGCCTCTGCCTCAATCTCTTAATATTCTTATGGGACTCCTGAAAGCTAAACACAACTCTCTTCTCAGCTCTGCCCCCAGGAATCCTGTTAGGAAGAGATTGTCTCTCCACAGGGATATCAAATTCACTGTGCCCCAGGGGACTCCTTAAGTCTTCCTTCCCCAGTGGCTTTGTCTGACTTCTCTGAGTCCATTCTCGCCTTCAAACTACCATACATTTAGCTAAAAATTTAAATCAACTACTAAACAGATTTTTCTCTTCTCTATGGACAACAATCAAACAAACAAACTTCACTGATACTGGATTTGTATGGAATGTACAATCCCTTAAAGTAGAAATAGGTCCTTCCATGCCTGTCCTCAAGATTCTCTAATATCATTTAAAATCAGAAGGACATGAGGGCTGTACTCAGTAGTCCCAGGTTTATTTGACAAAAACTTTTAGTCTCAGGCAGGGTGCGGTGGCTCACGTCTGTAATCCTAGCACTTTGGGAGGCTGAGGCAGTTGGATCACCTGAGGTCAAGAGTTCAAGACCAGCCTGACCAACATAGTGAAACCCCTTCTCTACTAAAAATACAAAAAATTAGCTGGGCATGATGGCACATGCTTGTAATCCCAGCTACACAGGAGGCTGAGGCAGGAGAATAGCTTGAACCTGGGAGGTGGAGGTTATAGTGAGCTGAGATCATGCCATTGCACTCCAGCCTGGGCAACAGAGAGAGACTCTGTCTCAAAAACCAAAAAAAGAAAAAAAAAACCAACTTCTAGTCTCCACTTGTAGTTTATGAATATTCCCATCTTAGTCATTAAAATCCTAAATGGGAAGGGTATCATTGAGTCCAAGATCTAAGACCTATCAATAAAATGGTCAAACCTGGGTTTCCCTGAGTGCTGACTCCTGCCACTGTACTGTCTGTTATCACTTACAACACTCAATATGTCACTGTCATCAATTTTTTTTCTGCCTTTTTTAGTATACCCCTTCATAAGGAATTCCAATACTTGGTTGCCTTCACCAGAAATATCCAACAATGTACGCAGACTAGTATGACCCAAGGATTTACAGAGGCCTCTACCTACCTCTTGAACACTCTAGGTGTCAATTTTTGTCTTCCCAAGTGACGCCATTTTACTCCAGTATGTGGATGACCTCCTTCTAGGTACTGAGAGTTAGGTCACTGAGCACCTTCTTAAGGCATGAGCAAGAGAGGATCACAGGGTGGCTAGAGACAAAATTCAGTGGCACTTACTATGTCTGTGGTATCTGGGCCACGGTAAAATTCTCTCCACAGACCAAACCTCTACTATTTAATACTTTCCTTTTTTTGAAACAAAGTAATGCTGAGAAGTTTTTGGGCCTTGCGAGATGTTGTAGGATATGGTACCTAATTTCTCCATAATTGCTGCAGTGCTCTGTGCCCTGATTAAGGAGTCATCTCCAAACCAAGTAGTCTGAGACTTGCTATCCAAAAATGCTTTTGATAATTTTAAGGGCTCTCTACTTTCACACCCCTCCCCCGTGCTTGGACTCCCCAGTTACTTCCTGACTTTTCCCTTGTTCATGGATAAATGTGGAGGTCATGCCCTGGTATATTATTCTAGAAACATAATGGATACCAGAGACCTCTGTAATATTGTATTTTGGCCTTGACCCAGTAGCTTGACCCATTAGCTAAGGCCTTTGAGCCATGACTGTTGCCTTTGAGCCATGGCTAGAACTGCAAAGCATGTCCAAAATACCACTGATGTGGTATTAGGTCAACCAAATGACACACATGTTCGCCTTGCTATACAGGCCCTTCTTGCTTAATGAAAACACATAGCACTTTTCTGCATCTTGACTTACCTCATGAAAGCTCACTACACTCTCCCTCTCAAATCACCGTATATCATCATCAAAACCCTAACCTTGCCAACCTTGCTTTCTTTGCCCTTTGATGGGATGCCACCATGAACGTGTCATTAACACTAGATCTTGTCCTGGGCTAGATTTATCGGAGAGCCCCTCCGCCAAGTTGACCTCAACCTTTGTGTCTATGGCTCCCTCTTTAGAGGGAGAATGGAACCTTCTGGAATGGATATGTCATCACTTATCAACACAAACCTCTTGAATATCAAGCCCTGACAAATGTTAAATCAGCCAGGGTGGCCAAGTTATTGCTCTCATTCAGGCTTGCAAAAAAGCAGAGGAAACAAAGGTTAGGGTTTATAGTACTGTTATAGCCACGGTACCTTTGAGGTAGTACATGATGTGGATATGTTGTAAAAGAGGATACATGACAGCAGCTTGTGCACCAGGCAAAAGCAGACATCTAACAGCAGAACCTCCAGAAGGATTGTTAGCACCCTGGTAGATGGCTAGTGTTAAAACTGAGGGACACAGTAGGAAAAGCTCGGCTGATGCCTGGAGAAATAAATTGGCCACTTATGTGTGTTAAATTAACAGCCATTTTCCCAACCACTCAAGGCAGCCAGACCCTTTCCAAACTTTGGAACGATGAGTCTGGGTCCCACTTCAAGGCCCTAAACACCTGGTAGAAGTATTCATCCCCTCCTTGGCTGCTTGGCTCAGACAAATGCTTTAAGATGCACTTAGGACACAACAAGGCCACCATTTGGCTGCTCTGAAGTCTACTGCCTGAGCCACTGTGTGGCCACACAACATGACTCAGTATGGAATGGACAAAATATGAGATATTTTAGACAAACAATAGTTCGGATTTTTTCATTTGTGTTTGGACCAAGCGATTGCCACTTGCCTCATCTGCCAGAAACATAACCCTGGAAAAAAACTGTGAAGTTAGGGCGAGGATGGCAAGCAACTTTCACTTCCTTCCACCAACCCGGACTCTTCCTGATGAAATCCCTCAGGAAGGTCAGTTGCCTCAGCATTCCTACAATGAATTTTCTCCACTTGGGGTATCCCCTATACCATCTCTAGTGGCAAAGAATCACATGCTATTCACAGAATTATACAGGAAATTCAAATGACAATAAACATTACACAAACACCCCACTTCTCTTACCAACCTCAGTCCCCAAGCACCATACAAAAAGCCAACAGCATCCTCAACACTAATCTGGCTAACCTATTTAAAGAATTGCACTGACCGTGGCCACCAGTGCTGCCTGTCACTCTATGACTCTGAGATCCTCCCCACTGTCTCCACATAAGTTCCGGCCTTTTCAAATTCTCACAGGTAAGGGCATGCACATGCCTTAGTCATCTGGGCTAGCAGAAGATTCTAAGGGACTCATCTCACATTCTTAGATACTGTGGAGGGCAATGAAATATACTCAGGACTATGATTGCTGTGTCAAGGCTGCCTCTTTTAGAACTTCCTGATTGTCCCTTACACAGCTTTACCAGGGGATCTAGTGCTCTGGAAACACCACCATCAAAAAACTGGAATTTAGATAGAAGGAAACGTGTACAGTTTTACTTATTGCTAACACTGTTGTTAAATTACAGGGTGTTCAATTTTGTGTTCCAGTTTTTCCACTAAAGAAATGCAGAAGTTATTAAGACTGGAGAAGTTTTCCATTCAGAGACCTCAAACCAAGCTCTGTGGAGAGCCTCTAGAGGCAAATGATAGCGAGAAGCATCAATTGTCCTAATATCCATGGAACAAGCAGCTGATGTTGTGAGGGGTCCAGTCAGCTTCTGCCCAGGACCAGGGAACAGCACACACCTAATTTGCCTTCCTACATCCTCCTGCTTTATCCTTGCCCTTTGCCTAGGAGTCCCCTGCTCTTCCCAACTCATTTCTCAAGAGTCGTTTGTGCCCACAGTAACTCCCTGCCTTCAGCATAACTTTTCTCGCCTGACTTTAATATTCAACTTCATGTTTTTGCCCCTACATTTAGGAGTTTCTGCTCCTTCCCTGACCTTTTCTTTTCTTACCTCTTAGTAAGACTTCTTCACCCACACAACCTTTGGAAAGCCTGGCCCCACTAGTCACTTCTTCCCACAACATCACAGAGTGTAATGCTGTGCCCCCTTTCCCATGGACACATCTAGAATTTCCCAGATTTCTTTGATCAATTGAAATGCTTTTTTTATTTTTTTATTTTTATTTTTTTGCTATGGCCCTTTCTTTCTCTTCACCTTCCTAAACCAGACTATAGTAATACATCATGAGAAAACCTTGAATCTATGCCTTTCTATTTTCACAAAGGTCATGTCTGTATTATTTTAGTTACACCAGTGTCCCCTTTCTGGGAATGAGCGTTTGCCATCACATTTACCTAGCATTACACTAAATCCAAAATAAAGCATCCAAGCTACAGATTCCTGAGACATCCCTCATACAAATGGAATTCTCCTCAATGCCCCACCCAACCTAATTTACTGGACCAAAATGAACCACATGTGGACTAACCACCTCTGGCAAATTCTTTTCCATCCTCAAAATGTGAATTATCTTGGCAGCTTCAGCAATTGGATAATTATTTATATGACCCTGGCTAGCTCCTGATGGTTCTAACTTTTTCTGTGGAACTCATGCCTATTGGCTGTTTCCGGCCAACTGGGCAGATTCTTGTTATCTCTCCAATCTTACTATTCCCTTTATCATACTCAATTCCTCATAATGTTTTTATTTTTGAGACAGAGCAGAGACCTGTCTTAGGAGCCTGCCAGGACTCTCTCCCCTACCAGGAAAATCTTGAATTCCTTCAAGGGACACTCCAGGCATCTAGCTAGCCCTGAGAAGTAAATGAGCAGCTTGGTAGCAATTAGGCAATAGGAGCTTAAAACAACAGCCAAGGACGTTAGAGTCATGAGATATTCCCTATAGCAACTAAAGATAGCATTTTAACATAGGTCTCTGAGTTGTTTTTCAGAAGCCCAGATCCCTACCCAGTGGATCCATGGACACATAGACCTTGGATAAGAGGGAACTGAAAACTGAACTCTGGCCATCATTCTTTGTTCTTCCTGAGGGCCTGGAGGAAATCACACCCATGAGCCAAAGCTAACATTCCTTTCTTCTGACCCCAAGTTTTAAGACAAATCTTTGCCTCCTTAACCAATCACAAATCAGAAACTCTACCTATGACCTGTAAGTTCCCACTTCAAGATGACTCACCTTTTAGGTCAAACCAATGTACAGTCTCCATGTATTGATGTATGACTTTGCCTATGCCCTCTGTCTCTATGCCTTTAAAAATCCTTACTTGCAAGCCATTGGGGAGATTGAGCCTTAAGAATGAACGGTGTGATTCTTCTTGCTTGGTGCCCTGCAAATAAATGCCCGTTCTTCCCCTGCAAACCTCAATGTGGGTGTTTGGCCTTAAGGCACCAAGAGAGCTGACTCCAGTTCAGTTCAATAACCTTTTCTTGAATTATTTCTAAACGCATCAGTCACTGCCTTCTGTTCACCTTTCTCTCATCATGGAAACAAAAGAGGTGTCCAGGACATCACAAGTTCCCTTGTAGATGATCTCTGCTCTGGTAGGTTATTTATAGAAAGCAGCTACAGAACTGGGCCTATATTCCATCCATGATCTCCCTACTTTTTGGAAAAGAATTGCCACTTTTTGGAAACCATCCCAAGGAACCTATCACCTGGCTGAAAAAGTTCAATTCCACAACAGCATCATCTACTCATTGCAGAAGCAACTCTCCTTGTGCCTGAACAATGCTACCAATGGCCTCCAATCCCTGGCTCACCCATGACAGGAAAACCGTGCATGCTGCCCTCTATAGCCACACTGTCTTCAACAGGATCCTGGCTGCAGAAGCAGGTGCTCGAGTGGTGGTTGGAAACAACTGGTGCATCTTCCTCCTGACAAACTGTCTTAAATCTTTCCTATAACCAAGAAGGTTGTAGAGGCAAACAAGAAATCTGTTTCATCACTGCCATTTTACTAACACCAAGGAAAGATTGTAGGTCCTGGGATGTTTTTGGTGATCCCTGAAGACCTGCAAAGTTGGGCTTATAGATTGACTCAGCCTGTTATCTTTGCTGTTTCTCTTCATAGCTATTCTTCTCTAAATGTCATAAGGCTCGCATGCATAGTACAGCAATTGAAAGCTTTCACCAAGTCTCAACAGGTGGTTCAGCTGCTCCCAATGAACAAAAGATGCTCGAATGAGAAAAGGACTTATATTATTCAAAGGAAAAAGAATTCATCTGGTAAAGAGGAGGAACTGACAAGACACTCTCCATGACCAAACTTTTGTCCGGCTCCTCACAACCTTCTTTTCTCCTAGGCCTCAACTGGCCCCAATTCTTGCAGAACTGCATAGCCTAGTTTTAGCAAGAATCCTGCTAAGGCAGTTTAGAGAGGATCCCTGATACCCTAGCCTGTCTTCAGCTGGAATTCTGTGAGATTAGTTTAGCAAGAATCTCCCTTACCTTTTTTGTCTGCTTTTAGCAATTTCCATCCACTGACTCCTACCGCACACACAAACACACACACAGACACACACACTTTATTGTCTTTACTGTATTCAGAATTTAGCCCAATTCTATATCAAGGTGTATTTTCCTTTATTGCAATAGCTTATAAACAAAATCTTTTAAAAAAATTTTACTTAACTAGTGTCCAGCTCTGGTTTTCTTTGGCAACAGCGCACTAAGGGTTACAATGGCTGTGATTGTCTTCCATCTGACTTTAAACTATAATATTGTAAAAATTGAATTCCAACTGTGATATTACTAAGAGTTTGTAAAAAGTGGTTTTCATTTTAAAGCTATTTATTTTGTCTGCTTGGAACATTTTGTCACTAGCACGTGTTAAATGTCTCAGATTTTTCTGTTATTAATGTTCATTTTATCTTCATGTATTTCCTTGCATCCTTCTGATCATGGTTTTTTCCACATAAATCCATTAATGTGGTAATTTGCATTAATAGATTTATCACGTTGAAATATTTTTTCACACCTGAGACTAAATTTATCTCGTAATGACGTTTTGCTAGTTTTCATTTACCATTTTTTATTTAGGATTTTTCACTTTGCTCATAAGTTAGATGGGGCCTTAATTTTTTCTGGGAGGGGGCTCTAGTTGTCTTATTTTCTTATCAATGCTGCATTACACTCTTACAAAAAATAAAAGTTTTACTTTTTTCATATTCTCTAAATCACTTTGAATTTGGTAGGAATTGTTTTTTTTCTTGAAGATTCGTAGAACTTGTTTATAAAACCATCTGTAATTAGTTCCTTTGGTTAAGGAGTACAGGTGACTAACAATTTAAATTTTTCATTTTGTTGTTTTAATCAGATCTTCTTTTAAAACAAATAATTGTAATTTATAGCTATTTAACTTTATTCCTTTCATCTAAGTTCAAAATAAAATATTGACATAATTTGTTCAAAATATTTGTTAATCATTAAATACATTTTAGTTATAATCATGCCCACTTTTATTTATTTAAGTGTTTATTCTGTTTCTTTCTTATTTAGTTATTCTTGTTTGCAGTTTTTTCTTTGGATGAATTTTGAATTTTGCTGCTACTGCCACTGCTGCTGTTGGCGGTTATTTTTAGAACTGGTTTTTGTTTGGGGGTGGACATTGCTGCTTGCTAGTTAGTATCCATACTCCTCCATCTTTCCCCAAAAATCTCTAATTTGTTTAGCTATGTCTTCCTTTCTACTCCCTGGGACACAGGGAAGCCAACCATAGCATCACCTACAGCATGGACCTCAGCACCTTAGGAGTAGTTCTGCCTTCCTAGACAGTGATCAATTCTCAAATGGTTGTGTGAACACACCTGTCCTGACGTGATGCCAGTAGACATTTGTAAAATAATTTGGGAATATTATTTTTCTAAGTGAGTTATTGAAAGTCATCTTTTCTTCTTCTAGGATTTATTCTGCAAAAATGTAAGGCCTGGAAATACTGTGATATCTAATTGCCTCTCTAAAGATGAAGCCAAAATACGGAGGGACTGCTGAGAAATGGGCCTGAGATCACCGGCTGCAACACGCTTGAATCCTGTTCTAACTCTGCCTTCTCATGTGTGATGGTTCATTTTCTCTGTCAACTTGGCTAAAGTAAGGTAACCAGTTGTTTGGTCAAAACTAGTTTAGATGTTGCTGTAAAGATAGTTTTTATAAGTGATTAACGTTTAAAATCAGTTGATTTTAAGTAAAGCTAATTACCCTCTATAATGTGGGTAGGTCTCATTCAATTAGTTGAAAGCCGAAGAGCCAGGCCTGAGGTTTTCCAGAGAAGAAAGAACTCTGATTCTAAACTACAACATCGTAGGTCGGCCTGACTTGGCAGTCCCCATAATTGTGTGAACAAGTTCCTTAAAATAAAATAAACCTCTCTCTTTTTTTATATACATGTACATATATGTATGTGTGTGTATACAATGTCCACCTCCAAACAAAAACTGGCTTTAAAAATGTATATACACACACCCGTGTATGTATATATATATCACACATACACATATATAATACATACACATATGTGTATATATGCAGTATATATACACACACATATATACTCATTATTCAATTCAATATTTAATATTTATATGTATGAAACTATATTACATTTCTATATAACAATATGCAGTTATATATATTACACAAAATATAACAGAATATATATACTCTGGTTTTTTGGGAAAACCTAACTAATTGAGTTACGCAATTTTCTTAATTTTAAGCCAGTTTGAGCTGAACTTTTACTTGAAGTAAAAGTATCCTAATATTTTATTATATCTATAGTTCCTCTTTTCCTGTTTTATTAATTTCTCCTCTTACCTTTATTATTATTATTTTAAATTTTATTTACAATAAATAAAATTTATTAATTTGTAATTTATTATTTAATTTTAATATTTAATTTTTACTATTAAATTTTTCTATTTCCTTTGGATTTACTCCCTTTTGTATCTTCTTGAATTAAATTTATTTCATTTAATTTCAATTATCTCTTTCTTCAATTATACTACAAAATATTTTATATTGTTACTTGCTTAGAATCTTGCTACAAACCTTGCCTGGGTAAGTAAACTTTGACATTAACTTTGGATTTAAAGGGTATATTTATGCTCAAACTATTAGTTAGTGCCTTAGGTCTTTGACTTCAATGAAAATTTAATAACCAGTACTGAAATTTTAAAACAATATATAAGAGGGCACATCCAGAATAATCATGTAATGCCTCCAAAAATTTATTTCTCTATAAAAGCAATGAGAATACTGGTTAAAAAAAAATTGTCAAAATCAACTTTTACAGAACTCTGGAAAGTAACCAAAGGCAGGCAATAATCTGAAAACTGCTTAATCAAGAAAAAAAGCCGAATCTTAATAAGATTGAGCTTTGTGTCATTTTAACTTGCCCTCTTCCCCTTCTGCTTTTCTCAGCTCCAAGGAAACCTTAAAAACCACCAGTCTTGTAATCACGTAGGGATGAAAACCAGCAGCCAATCAGCCACTATTGGGGGAAGAATGGGTTGGGGCTTTTTCAACCATCTCATTTCCAGAGGACTGTCATTATTTGACCTGTCTGGCCGTTTTCTGAGAAGCCATTACATGGAGCTCGTCTTTATTAGAACTGACTCAGAGCTTGTCCAATGCAAATAGCCCTCTCCCTCGGATATTTATTGGAAAGAAATCAGTGACAATTGGTTTAACTTCACATCTGCCTAAGGCAGTGATGTAGGTAAGGCTAATAAGAAACTGACTACAAAACTTGAAAAGCTGGGGAATGAGACAATCATAAAGAGCTTTGAAAAGCCTAGAAATATCCTGGGAATCTAGAGGGCTACATCCATGTGCAGATCTGGGCACATGCTGAGAAATAATCTGATAAGGTCCCAATTTCTCATCTCTGACTGATTTTGAGGCTCTGTGAAAGCAGAAAGCAAAGAATAAAGCAGTGTATATAAACTGCACATGCCCCAACTCACACATTCTCTCAGCAAGATTGGGAGTCTTACTGGTTCAAAAAAATTAATGTCCACTCATTAGCTGACCACTGAACTACAAAAACAGAGACTTCAGTGGCCTTACGTAACAAAGAATGCACACATAGCAAAATTAGCTTAGGAAAGTCACTATACAAATAGCAATAACATCGATACGACAAACAGTAATAATAAAAATAAATTATAGGGGGTAGAAATCTGATTTTCATAGTTGCTACATTATATAATTATGAGATACAAAATGAAAAAAATGAGATACAAAATGAAACAAAAAATATGGTTCATATACAGAAAACAAAGCTCAATATAAACTATCCGGGGAGAATACCAGAAATTGAACTTACTAGACACCAATGTTAGATCAGCTATTTAAAATATGTCCAAATAATTAAAGGAAACTATAAAAGTAAATCAAACAGAGAATATCAATGCAAGAGATACAAATTCTAAGTAAACCAAATAGAAATTCTGGAGTTGAAAAGAACAGTAAGTAAAATAACATATTTATTAAAATGTCTCGACAGGAGATTTCAACGGGCAATTAATGTATCTTTAGGTTTAGTGAACTTGAAGATACGTTAATTTAGATTATCTGGTCTGAGAAACAGAAAGAAGCAAATGAAAAAACAGAAAATTATGGGCCACCATGAAACACATGAACATCTAAATGTTGGCAGTTCCGGTAGGAGAGAAGAGAAGGAATGCTTGAGGAAATAATTGCCAAGAATTCCCAAATTCAATGAAAACTTTTAATTTACACATCAAAAAACCCTGAAATAATAGCAAGTAGAATAAACTCAAAGATTTTTCACACCTAGAAACATCATAATCGAAATGTCAAAAACCCAAATTAAAGAAAAAATCTTGAAAGGAGGAAGAGAGAAATGGCTTGTCATGTCCAAGGAATCCTCAATAAAATTAACAGCAGGTTTCTCACAAGAAATCATGGCAGGCAGAAGGGAGTGGATGACATGTTTACAGTGCTTAAAGAAGATGACTGTCAACAAAGAACTCAATACCCAGCACAATTTTGCTTCAAAAATGAAGCAGAAATTAAGACTTCCCTAGGTAAACAGAAACTGAGGGGATTTATCTCTAGCAGATTTGGTTTATCAGAAATACTAAAGAGAGTTCTTTAGGTTGAAATGAAAGGACTCTAGACAGTAATTCAAACCCATATGAAAAAATAGTAGTACCAGTGAAAATAACTATAAAATACAGTATAAATACATTGTTTATAAATAGCTATAAACAAACTTGTGAAGTTGTTACAAATTAAGATGCTCATTTTAATCTCATGCCAACTACTAAGAAAATAACTAAAATATTATTTTTAAAAATGACAATGGAATTAAAATGATATACTAGAAAATATCTATTTAACATAAAAGACAGTAATAAAGAAATAGACCAACAAAAGAGAAATAAGAAGTAAAAAACAGCAAAATGGCAATCATAAATTTTATCCTAACAAAAATTATATTAAATACAAATGAACTGATTGGCAGATACAAAAACATAATCTAATTATATCCTGTCTATAAAATACACAATTTATATACAAAGACAAAAGTAGTTTAGAAATAATAGGATGAAAAAGATATACCATGTAAATGGTAAACAAAAGAGAGCTAGAATAGTTATGCTAATGGAAAACAGTATGTATTTGCAGGCAAAAATTATTTCTAGAAACTGAGAGGGAAATTTTATAAGGATAAGTTCAATCCATGAGAAAAGCATAACAATTATATAAACATGTATGCCCTAACAACAGAAGCCTGAAATATATGAAGCAAAAACTGGTAAAAATAAAGGGAGAAATTACAATTTAAGAGAACTAGTTGGAGACTTCAATACCCTACTTTCAAAAATGGTTAAAACACCTAGACAAAAATTAATAAGGAAGACTCAAACAACTCTGCACATCATTTTGACCTCTGTAGATGACAGATGTTACCTATCATTATAGATGATAAGACATGTGCAGAACGCTCCATCCAAAAAGAATAGAATATAAGTTCTACTCAATTGTATATGGAAATTGTCCAGGACAGAGCATATGTCAGGCCACAAAATAAGCCTCAATTAATTTAAAATAATTTAAGTAATACAGAGTATGTTCTCTTACTGCAATGAAATAAAACTGGAACTCAAAAATAGAAATAACTGGGGAATTTAAAAAATGTGGAAATTTTAAAAAGACCCCCACACACTGCTAAATTATCAGTGAGTGAAAGAATAAATCACATAGGGAATTATAAAAATATTTTGAGATGAACGAAAATGAAATAAAACATAGCAAAGCTTCTGTGAAGGAGCTAAAGCAGCGATAAGAGAGAAATATGTAGCTGTAAGCAACCTGTACTTTAAACTGTCTTAAAAAAAACTTTAACATTCCACTTAAAGAAACTAGAAAGAAAAGAACAAACTAAATACAAAGCAAGCAGAAAGAAGGCAGAAACAAAGATTGGAAAGGAAATAAATGAAATAGAGAGTAGATAAGCAATAGGGTACATTTAAAAAGCCAAGTTATTTATTGAAAGACCAATGAAATGGACAAACCTTTATCAAGATTAATTTTAAAATGTGAATGATGATAAGTTTTGGAGACTCAAATTGTTAAAATCAAGAATGAAATAAGAAGCATTATTACTTAACCTTATAAAAAGGATTAAAATGAAATACCATAAACAATTGTATTTCATCAAATTACATAACCAGGATAAAAGTCTAGAAATACGTAAATGATCACAAATGAGTCAAGAAGAAATAAAAAATCTGAATAGACTGAAAACAAATATATTTACTTAGTAATAAATTTTAAAACTTGCCAAAAAAAATGATCAGGTCCAGATGGCTTAGCTGATTAATTCACCCAAATGTTCATGGAATAATTCATACCAATTCTTCACAAAAATCTTCCAAAACTAGAAGAGGAAGGAACACTTCTCAACCCATTCTATGAAGTCAATATTACTGTGACACCTGGCAAACACAACTACATTTCAATATCTCTTGTGAAAACGCACACAAAATCCTCAACAAAACAATAGTGAGTCAAATCTAGTACTGTGTCAAATGATTATAAATTGTGACCTAAGTAAGATTTATGCCAGGAATGCCAAATTGTTTCAATATGAAAAGTTAATGAATGTAATATATCATATTAATAGAATAAAGGAAAAATAATAACCCCAGTTGATGCCAAATAAAACCCTTAGATAGAATACAGTACACTTTCATGATATAACTGTCAACAAACTAAGAAAAAAGGGGAACTTTCTAAACCTGACAAAGGAAATCTACAAAAACAACAACAACAACAACACATAGATAACATTATACATGATGGTGAGATGCTGAGTGTTTTCTTCCTACCTTCATGATTAAGACAAAGATATCAGTTCTGTCCATTTATACTGAATATTATACTAGCAATTTTAGCCTAGGAAACTAGTCAAGAATTAAAGAGACATCAAGGTTGAAGAGGAAGTGGTAAAATTCTCTCTTTGCAGATGATATGGTCATGTATATATAAATTCTAAAGAAAACACAAACATTACTAGAGCTCATAAGGCTAGTAAGGCTGCAAGATATAATATAAATTTGTTTTTGTTTTGTTTTTTGTGACAAGTTCTTGCTCTATCAACCAGGCTGGAGGGCAGTGATACTGGATTGTGGCTCACTGCAGCCTTGAACTTCTGGCCTCAATCAATCCTCCCAGCTTGGCCTCCCAAAGTTGTGAGTTTACAGGCATAAGCTACGATGCCTTACCTTGAATTTTTAAAAAAGTGTTGTATTTCTATATCCTATCCATAAACAATCCAAAAATGAAATTAGAGAACAATTCCATTTACAATAGCATACAAAACAATACTTAGGAATAAATTTAACAAACATAATTAGTGAATGGAAAGACATCTCATGTTCATAGATCAAAAGATTTAAAATTGTTAAGATGACAATACTTTCCAAATTGAATAGAATTGAGAGATTCAAGAAGCAAATTTCTACATTAATCCTCAATTGATTTTTGATAAATATCTATACAATTCAACAGAGAAAAGCATAATCTTTTGAAAAAGTGATATTGGAACAACTGTAGCTCTATGACTAAAATAATAAAATTGAACCCCTACTTCAGACAATATATGAAAGTGAAATCAAAATGGATCATTGAACTAAAGGTAAGAGCTACCATTGTAAAGCTCTTGGAAGGAATCACAGAAGTAAAACTTGTCTTTGGATTAGACAATTTTGTCTTAGATATAATAGTAAAATAACATGTGGCAAGACAAAAAAGATAAATCTAGGTTCATCAAAATAAAAAAAAATGCTTCAAAAAGACACCATCGATAAAGCGAAAAGACAACCTGTGGAACAGAAGGAAATATCTGCAAATTATATATCAGATAAAATGTTACAGTCATGCCAATGCACCTCAACGTAGCAGTCTCTCCTTGTGATGTATCACCTGGAGTTCTTTGTGTCTCGACCAAGAGAATTAAGGAATGTGGACACAAAGGGTGAGGTTGGAGCAAAAGCTTAATAAGCCAAAGAAGAAAGCTCTCTGCTGCAGAAAGGGGGTCCGAAAGAGGGTTGCCGGTTTTACAAATGAATACAAAGGCTTATATAAGAACCTGTTTAGGGCTGGGCGTCTCATTTGCATAAGGTGCAAATTTCTGGTAGCTCCACCCCATCCTCCTAATGCACATGCAGGCCCTTAGCTTAAGTTACTCCATAGTGCTTTGTTCCCCTTCCAGTGCATGTGTCAGGGGACAGAATTTTCCATTGCAAGCATGTCTGGGTAAGTCACCTGCATTGCCTTTCTTATCTGTGTGGCTATGTGCATAGTTAGGCAAGCCCCCCATGCAAGTTTCCTTATCTGTGCCTGCTACTTGATTTTTTAGGCTATTCTTTTGTTTGAAAGAATTCAATCAAGGACCCAACCACTGTAACTGCCTGATCGACTGGTTTCCTCCTTTCTTCTCTATCAAAAAGACTTGTATCCAGAATATATAAAAAAACACAACATAACAATAAAAAGACAAACAACTCAGTTTTAAAAATGGGCCAAGCAGTTGAATAGACACTTACCTAAAGAATACATATGAATGTTAATAGCGAGTATATATATTAATAAATTCTCTTAGTAGTCATTAAACTGCCTTAATATTATTTTCACTCTTTAATATTTAATTATTGAATATAGATTTCTGAACTGACCATTACTTTATTCAACTATTTCAAATATATTATTCTGATAACTTCTAGCTTCTGTATTTCAAGATGCTCTCATTACAATGTTTGTTCTCCTTTAAGTGGCCTATATTCTCTTTATAGGACTCTAATCTTTTTCATTATGCTTCCGTTACTAGATGCATCCAGGGATGAATTTAGTTTTATTTATCTTTTCCAGGATGCAGTGTGCTTTATTCTATCTTAAAATGTACTATTTTCTCATTTCAAAACAATTTTCAGGGTTTTTTTTTAATATACTTTTTTCAATATCTTTTCTTTGGAAGTTTTAGTTTTGTGAAAGAAAAAAACCAACCCTGATTTCTAACTCTTGTAAACAAAAAATTAAATTCTAAAGCCTTTCCTCTTGGCTAAGGGCATTCATTATACATTAACATCAACACAGCATTAACTTCAACACAGACTTTAAGTCTGATAGGAAACATTTACAATCTATTCTGTCTGAAGTCTGCTACTTGGAGGCTTCATCTGCATGATAAAACCTTGGTCTCCACAACCCCTTATTGTTACCCAGACACTCCTTTCTACTGATAATAACTCTTTCAACCAATTATCAATCAGAAAATTTTTAATTCTACCTATGACTTGGAAGCCCCCACTTCGAGTTGTCCTGCCCTTCCAGATTGAACCAATGTGAATCTTACAGGTATTGATTGACGTATTATGTCTCCCTAAAATGTATAAAAGCTAGCTGTGCCCCAACCACCTTGGGCACCTGTCGTCAGGACCTCCTGAGGCTGTGTCATGGATGTGTCCTTAACCTTGGCAAAATGAACTTTCTAAATTGATTGAGACTTGTTGCAGATACTTTCTGTCTCACAAATTGGTAACCACAGAGGGATTCTGAGTGGAGGTTCTGAGATTTGGCAAATCTCCTATCAGTGCTTAGCATCACCTTGAGCCATCCTTGTGGCTAAAACCAATAGGACAATTTGCTGAGGCCTGGGAGTTCCCCTCCCTCCAGAGAATCCCTAATCTCCCAAAATTTGGTTGAGATCCAATGTTTATTTTGCTGTATGATTCTTTTTCTGGAGTTTTATTTGCTTCCAACAAAAAAAGGCAAATTTTCCTGCTCCCCATGATGATGGAAGACAGGTAAATCCTTTTGGAGTTTCAGTTCACTTCCAACAGGGAAGGCGCGTTTCAGTTTTTTCCTGCTTCTAGGAAGGTAGAGAGCAGTCTTTAGCTGGGAACCCAATCCTAGGTAAGTAGCTGAATTGGGGCTTTTTTGGTCTTGGAAATTCTCCTAAATGACTAAAGGTTGAAACTGACAACCAGGTGGTCTTAATTTCTCCTTACCTTTAGAGCACTCAGTAATCATATTGTTGGGGTTCTTTTTGTTGTTCTGGTCTTTCTCTCATCGGATTTGACCAACTGTACTTAACTTGGTCAAGTCCAAATGTGAATTCCAATTTATGGGGAACAAGACCTTTGAATTGGCAATATTCCTTGCAGCTGCAAAACAAAACAAAATGAAGCAAAAACCAAACAAACAAATGAACAAAAAACCATGTACTTGGTTTCTGTGTTTGTGTCCTGTCCTTAAAAAAAAAGTGTTCTTTTGTTTACATTTATTTCACTCTATTCTTCCTTCCCTCTTCACTGTGTTTGGTACCAAGAAAAATCTGGAGAAGGCTTCTAATGTCTCAAACTCCAAACCAAAGGCACCATTCATTCCTTTTTGGGGTGTTCTCTTTTTTTATGGTGTTTCAAGTGTAACGGCATGAAAGCTTTGGTTTCCTGCATTGCATTACCTGACCTCTTTGGCTTTTCAGGGGACTAGAGATTACCGAGTACCATGAGAGGATTTGACTTTGGTGTGTGTTACGATGGATGAGAGAGCTAAAAAATTAGGGGTGACTGAAGACAGTTTGCAGGAAGTGGTCTTATCTATTTTTTTTTCCTTCTAGGAAGTTGTTTGGATCCTAATTCTACTTTGGAGGTGCATTTTAGAGTCTTCTCTATTGCTCTTTCTTCCAAAATTAATCTCAATTGGCTTGCCTGCACATTTGTGTGAGGAACTGAACTGTCATTTTCATAATTAAATGAGACACTGAGTTTCCTCAGCTCTGAAGAGGAAGGGCATTTCACTCCCCCCAGCCAAAAGGTGCCCCTGGGAGACTGGGAACCAAGTGGGAATGTTTGGGGGCTGACCCCCCATGATGTGCAGTGGCCCTACAGGGAACCCCCAACAAAATTAGTTTAAAAGGCTCATCGAGGAAGCACACACAAGATCTTTGTCTCTCTGTGCTTTGAGCCCCCCAGAGGTGCTAGACCTCCAGAGAGAGAAACTGAGGTACGTAACAGGGCAGAAATGACTTGGTGGTGACATACTGTGGAACCCTGCCCACAATCAGCACATTTCAATCCACCACACTAAATTCTAGGCCCCAACCCACTTCCTCCTTTTAAGAAAAAATGTGGGAAATGAATCATGTAAGAATGAGGAACAACATGGAGAACGGTCCCTCTCAGCCACTCTGGTTTTATGGTGCCTCTACCTGCAAGCGGTTATGTAAATGGAAGGGCATGCCAGGTTTCCTAGCACTCCAGCTGGTCACACGTTAAGTCTGCTCTTGTGCACATTTTAAACTGAGGGGCAAATTACACCAAGGAGCATTCAGAGCCCAAAGGTCGACCTGCAACTATTATGCTCCTAAATTCTCTTTCTGGTTTCTTTTCTGCCTGCTTTAAGTCAGCTGCTACTTTTCTACTGAGCTAAAATCCACTATTTACATCTAACCATTTAGTTTTGCAAACCAGTGAGTTTTATATTGATATCTCATGGCTAGAGTTCTGAAATAAAATCTAAAGGATTTTTGTTTGTGTGAGTGTGAGTGTGTGTGTGTACCTACACATATTTTGTTATGTTTTTGGCCACATGGTACCAAATTGGCTTAAACTTGAAAGTACTCATAAATTAAATAATAAGCCCAAATGCTTTTCAAATTCACATGACTTAAGTAAAATCTTTAATAAATAAGCCGGTTTTAAAATTATTGATAAAGTAATATCAGAAATGTCTTAAGAATTGTCAGCATACTTTTGTGTTTGCATTCATTGATCAAATGATTTCATACTTATCCCTGGCAAATACTATAAGGTATCAGACTTTGATATAAGGGTTAGAAAACTATAAATCCAGCCAAAACCAGAATAATCTTTGCTCATGTAATTTTTAATAAATAAGATATTAATAGTGTTAGTTTAATGAAAACAGCTAAATCTTGAATTACTGGTAAAATAAACATATTCTTAACCTTAAAGTTCTTACTTGGGTAATAACCTAAAATTCACAGGCTATAAAAATGTTTCATAGGAAAAGTAACTTTGATCACTATCACAGTTTTCATAAATAATGTAGGTAAACTACTAAAATAAAATAATTAGATATATGTGATGGAATAGATACTTATAAACAAACTTGTCATAATTTAGAATCTAAAGTTATATGAAATTAAATAAGATATTTTATTAAATATTTGGGTGCTTTCCAATTAAATTATATTGTAGGAAAACATTCTAATAAATATGTTCTTATTGAAAGGTAAATAATTTTTGTCTAATTCAAAGCTTAAAGGTTATGTATAAAATAATGTAAAAGGAACTAGGAAACAAGAGAGATATAAACAATGTTATAGAGATAAAGAGATATTTTTGGTAAGAAAGCTTAAAGAAAAGTAACTTTATATGAGAAAGAGTCTTGTATAGTGAATTTTTGTCCTAAAATAAAATACTGGGTTGTTCAAAAAAGAGGAATATTTAGGACAAGTGAGAAAGTCCATGCATGGTGGGAATGCTGTAAGTCATAATAAGGTTAGTAAAAAAGGAATTTATATAAATGTTATGTGATTAATTGGTTATAATTAATGGAAATTATAATAGTTTTTCTAAAAATTGAACTTTGATATTAAAACACACTCACACAAAAATAAGGAATTGGTAAAAAAGAGATTTTATTAAAGATATTGAGTTGAATAACTCATTGGGTATGCAAGAAGTTTTTAATTTTTAAATTCTATTACCTGTTTTTTTTGAAAGTATTCATATTGATATCTCAGAAGATGTACCCTGTTGCTTCAGTTCCTTGTCTCTTTTGAGAAGGCCTGGGATGGTAACTCTCTCCTTTAATTTTTGTTGTAACTTTTAAAAATTAATACTCTAAAGTAAGGGAGATAATATTTGAAAATAGGCAAATAAATCTTTTGAATCTGTTTTTGTCTGATGTTTGTTGTATCTATATGTTTATGTGTGTCATGTGGAAGTGATATTTTAGGATTAAACTGTATGAAAGAGCTATAATCAATTGACTTAAAGAAAAGTAAGGGCTTATCAGACTCATGGAAGCTAGCTCAGGTCTCTTTTAACTCACATGACTTCGGTAATCTTCAGTAAGATTAATTTGGTAAATTTAATCTCAAAATTATCTCCAATAGTTTAAAATCTTGAAGTCATGTTATGTTAAATTAAAACCTCGTTTTTAACCATGGTGGCTCATGCCTGTAATCCCAGCACTTTGGGAGGCCAAGGAGGGTGGATCACCTGAGGTCAGGAGTTCGAGACTTTGACTGACGAACATGGTGAAACCCCATCTCTACTAAAAAAAATACAAAAATTAGCCAGGCGTGGTGGTAGGTGCCTATAATCCCAGCTGCTCAGGAGGCTGAGACAGGAGAATCACTTGAACTTGGGAGGTGGAGGTTACAATAAGCCGAGATCTCACCACGGCACTCCAGCCTGGGTGACAGAGTGAGACTCCGTCTAAAAAAAAAAAAAAAAAAAAAAAAAAAAAACATAAAACAAAAAGCAAAGAAAAAAAAACTCATTTTTTTTTTCCTCACTGGGAATTTTGGTCACCAAGAAGTAAAATAGTAGGAGCATAAAAAGTATTTTTGGTGACGTTTATAAAACACAAGGATGTGGATTTTGCTAAAGGAAATGTAATTTTTTTCTAGTTAAGAAACTAAGAATTTCCTTACAATAAAGGAGAAATTGTACAGATAAAGCTAAATAGATAAAAATAAAAATTAAGCCAGGGCTACAAAAGTTACCTCTGAGACATGACGTGGTTACCAAGAAGACAGTCAATATGAGGGGAAGGGCAAAACCAAGTAACTGTCAAAACAAAGGGTATAATATAAAGGAATTGTTTCATTTTGTAGATTGGTAAAATCAGCTTCTTGAGAAATCTTCACTACAATGAATTGTAAAAATAACTACTTTAAGGACAAAATCCTTAATTTTAAATGCTAGAGAATGAAAGAGCTTATTTGGGTTGATGCAGGGCCCACAGTTTACTACTGAGCAATCACTGATGAGTTTATGTGATCCAAATGCACAGGAGGTTATTTCTGACTGAACAAACAACCTGGTGGGCTGGATAAATGCCATTGTAAGGTCTGTTTGCCCTGAAAGGGGACTGCCTGACTCTTTCTATAAAATATAAGTGAAACACTAGAGATGAAGCAGTTGATATGCTTCACATGCAAGCCACGTGGAACTGACTCTATGATGGCCAGGATATTCTCCCATCGAATATGCTTATTACCCAGATCATGGTAAATTTGAGTGTTGGGGAGGGCCTTTTACATGGGCACCCCTCCTGCAGAATCATACGACTGTTTGAGAAGCGTTATCAAATTTACTGTTCCTGATGGGTCTTACAGATGCTTAATCAAATATTGGAGTAATTAACAAAAATAAAGTGGGGGTGGAAATTGGAGGAAAAAGGGAGTTAAAGGACTTGCCCCAGAAGGGTGATGGAAACTTTTGGATGATTATTCACTATTTGCCCCAGATTTGGAAAATATAAAAAAAATTTAAAGGCAAATGTTATCATGAGATAGGTTATGCTGCCTGGGGCAATGTAGAAGCAAATAAGATAAAGATTCACCAAAGGGTCTGAGTCTTTTGGCCTGTCCCCTGCTGGGAACCCAAATCTTTTTGATGTAGGCCCTTGCTACCTGGGAAATGCAAGAATGAGAATACTTATAAGCAGAGGGCTTCTTTTTTCCCCTAGGAAGGACTCCAACTATGTGAAGAGCTGCTAGATTCTACAGTGCCTAATAGACAAGTCTCATCTAACAAGAGCTGTTTGGCTTGTGGATAGCAGTTCCAAAGTGAACAAACAGCATCCTGTTTGAAAGCCACTGCTCTGGTTAAAGAAGAGTCAAGCAAATTTTTTTCTTGTGAGTTATTTATAGTTTAGAGCAATTGGATAAGGTATATTTTTGTGAGCAAATTTACTTTTCTTTCTGGGTTCTCCAAAATTTGGAAACTGTTCATGAGTATTCTGATTTTATGACAATATAGTTATTTGCCTAAATTTAGTAGGAGTCTTTTCTTTTACAACACGACAAATGGAGACACAGTTTATTTTACCAAGGCTTTGACTATCACAACAAATTCTTAGGTAAAGTTTCAGCAAAGTCAAATTAATAGCAGCCTATAAGGCCAATCAATTCTTGTTGCACTTTATGTGAATAATCAAGCCAAATATAATAAGCCTAAAACTTATTTCATACATAATTTTTCTTTAATAGAAAAGGAGGGCTAGATAGAAATTGTTTCAAAGGAAAAGTGTAACACTTGTTACTAAATTTCAGCCCTGACTTGTTTCTGAGTGCGGACCGAATCATTAATTATTTCTTGGCTACAATAGTCTTCTAAAGAGTACCAGATTATCATTTTTCACCATATTTTTAGTTGGTGCCCCAATGGAATAGGTTCCTTTTTCTGTTCTGACACACAAATACTCTTTTGATTATCAAAATAGTAATGTTATTTATCTCTCCTAGTTTTAAATCCAAGGAAACCAGAATCATGAAATTGTAAGGGCCATTTCTGAGGAATAGAATTAGCTCAGACTCTCCGAATCAAGACTGGGTACACAGATGCCTAAACAGCTGGTAAAACAAGGGACTTTGACTTCTGAGCTATTATGTGGCACCATTTCCCTAAAGAATTCAGGCACTGCAACTCTGAAGAATTTCCTGCTTTTGATACAAGTAGTTAGACAGGCACGAACCACCAGGAATATTGGGTGATGTTTTGGCAATTACCACATTGCCTATCTAAATGTGATAAATTGGCAGCTGGTGCCAGGGAGAGGCCATTTCCTGATGGTCCACACCTGTTGCACTAAAGTGTTAATTGAATCCAGATGCCAGGGAGAAGCAACTTCCCGGGCATGTGGAATAAGAGACAAAATGGCGAAATATGACCTTACGAGGTCACACCACTGAAAAAGGGAAGAAAGCCTCAGATGGGCATGCACACAACTTCCTAAACACACTGCACATGCTCACCTCCCAAGAGTAAGGAGGGAACTGCACATGTGGGCAGTGCACCCTAAGGGAAGAATCATGGGAAAGGGGCCACCCTCTAAAGTCCTAGGATCAAGGCTAACCACCGCACATGTTCTTCAAGTCACCTGCTTGGGTCTCTTCCAAGCATACTTTCTTTTCTTTCTTATTCTAAAGACTTTTTAAATAAACTCCCACTCCTGCTCTGAAACTTGCCTTGCTCTCTTTTTCTGTGTTATGCCCTTGAGTTGAATTCTTTCTTCTAAGGAGGCAACAATTGAGGTTGCTGCAGCCCCCATGGATTCATCGCTGGTAACTCGGATACCTTCTACCGGTAATACTTCCTGTAGAATTAAAATAAAATAATTACTGATAGGATAAAGATACCTCATGACAAAGCCTCCTGAGTATAATACTCCCCATTATGAGTTGCGCAGATACATACATATTAAAATTTTTTTTCAGAACAATGCTTATGTTTTGTATAGCTAATTGCTATCAGTCTGTAACTAAAACCAAGATTATAGTAGTTCAATGCATAGAAGTTAAAGACAAATCAATTTTGTAACCTCACCTTTGGCTTTTTTTTGTTGACTTTTTGCTTAAAAACATATTGTTTAAGAGGTAGTAAATGCTTGCTCACATCCATTCCTATCTGGCCCAGTACATTTAATTGGCAATGTCTTTTGACTCTAAGTTCATTGGCCATAGGGAATTCCATCAAGAGACAGGATGGACCCAGGGCAGGCAACCATGCTACCCCAGCAACTCTACGGGACAAGAAAAAAATTTGGTGGCCATTGATATTGCCTCTGGCAAATTTTGGCCAGAAAAGGGACAATGTAATCCAAAAATAAGATTCTCAAGCCCCCCAACCTTCTGAATGAACCTCTTTTCTTGGCCAAGGGCATTCCAGAGTTTACTTGAAAATCTAGTTCAGGCCATGATGGAGCTAACATCATGTTAGTCCCAAGATGGCATCCAATCAAGGGTTGGACATGCCTCATTATACCACCCCAGCATTTACATTAACACAGACCTTAAGTCTGATAAGGAACATTTGTAATCTCTTCTCTCTGAAGCCTGGCTCCTGGAGGCTTCACCTGCATGATAAAATCTTGGTCTCCACAACCCCTAATTGTTACCCAGACATTCCTTTCTACTGATAACTCTTTAAACCAGCTGCCATTCAGAATATGTTTAAATCTACCTATGACTTGGAAGCCCCCACTTTGAGTTGTCCTGCCCTTCTAGATTGAACCAATGTAAATCTTGCACGTATTGATTGATGTCTTATGTCTCCCTAAAATGTATAAAAGCAAACTGTGTCCCGTCTACCTTGGGCACATGTCATTAGGACCTCCTGAGGCTGTGTCATGGGCATGTCCTTAACCTTGGCAAAATAAACTTTCTAAATTGATTGAGCCTTGTCTCAGATACTTTTTGGTTCACACTCTCTAACAGGCATGGATCATACAGTTTGAATTACTAATCTATGTGGTCATGGCAATCCCAGCCACTGAGCTATTTCTGTTTTTTTTATAACTCTGAGAAGTGTAGATCCATCTCTGACTAGTTTTCCTCTTGCCTTATGATATATTTTCTCCTTATCTGACACTGGAAATTTGCTTTATTTGGTTGACATTTATGTGTGTGTGTAAAGAGTAATTTCCACATGACCTTTGTCTATCACATGGATTTCCAATTGTTTTTCCCATCTGAATGCTTCTACTCATCTTTCAATACTCCGTCATCGCTTGATTTCACGAGGATGAGGATAGCCATCTCTGGCCATGTGCTTGACATAGGCTGTGTTTTTGAGCCCCTCCTCTTGTTCCCATGGGTCATTGTGTGTACTTCTAGTAGTCCACTATATCAACATTACAATTTATTATTTTAGCTTGTCTGCACTACCAAATTGTATTTTGCCTGGAATTAAAAAAGAAATATTTGCTATCTTTTCAAACATTGTATTTTCTTTATTACATATGTGAAACTCAGGTTTATATATATTTTAAATTCCTAGCATAACTAATGATAAATTGTTTGCAAGTAATATCCTATCTTGAGAAAAATTAAGATGTTGACATTATAATGTCATATCTCCACAATAATCTTTGTTTTCCTCTAGGCACTCAATCTCTCAGGGATGCAGTAAAAGACCCTTCATGAAGGACAGCCTCAACTTCCAGATCAATTTAACTTCAAAGCCTCTGACATTGGTTATTTCTCAAGAGCTGTGATTTTTTCTTCTGTTGCAGTCATAGTTGGTCTAAAGGTAATAATTTCCTGGGCAGGAATCCAATTCTGTAACCATCTCTGTCAGCATGCCGATTTTGTATTGTACCTCCAAGACTCATCAACATAAGCTCAGATAGTTCTACCATAATACTTATATGTGCTCTTAAGCTAAAGCATCAGAAACAAAATTAACAATTAAAAACCTACATTAATTTGCTGATATAAGCATTTTAAAACTTACTGACACAAATAATTATTTGTGTATATCATGCAGCTTTGCCTCTTATTTTGCCTGTCAAAATCTCTTCATGGAGAATCATACTTCTCTTTTCTTTGCTAGTGAATAGTATTATTCATTTCATTTCCCTCTCTATACAGAGCACTGCCCTTACTTTTGTGGTCGTTAGTAAAGATAAATAAAGCATAGTAAGAGACGATTGAAAGGAATTTCCAAGAGGTGGTATATTTGAATACAAATACCTATGCTAAGGAAGTGAAAAAAGGATAAGATGGTAGAGAAAAATAAAGACAAAGATCACAGAAAAGGATGATCATTGATTAAACCTGACTTGGGGCCCATAAAGACTACCAGTGATTAGAGTCTACAAAATCACATACGCATGTGGCCACATAGAACGTGAACTCAATAATTGCATCAATAATATTTAGAAATATTCATTTCCAAAGATGTAAATGTTTTTGTTTCTCTTGAACACATTGTAGCAGAGGACTTCATGGGGAGTCTAAACAAAGAGACATGGGTGACCTCAAGGAAGCATTTGGACAAGTGGAATGAGATTCTGTTTTCCTTCATGTTTACCTTATTTATTTATACATTTAAAGGTTATGCCCTTTTCCTATTTGCAGGACAAAAATCCACACAAATACAAGGCACACTAGTGATGTTAAACTGGGCATTATTTATGCCACAATTAAAAGAAAATTAAGTGCTCTGGAAACTGAGTGTTATAGTTTTAGATATTTATGGGCAAAAGTTTAAGATTTGCGTAAAATTTTTAAATGAGTATGACATACTAATATGTCCCTCTTTTTCTTGCCAAGAGATTATGGGTGATATATACTGTGAGCATATCTGCATATGCCAAACACAGTAATTCAGAATTTTACTTTGTAGTGAAGGTTCAAGTAAAATAGATCTCTTTTGATGAGACGTACTACACACCCTGCATCTTTTGCCTGGGAAAATTTTTTACTCTTATGAGCTATATTTGGATTTTGGGGCTGCTCATAAAACAAAATAAATAAAATGACTATTTTAAAGCCAGTTTCATAGAGTGACCATTAACAATTTATCAAATATACAGCAAGGCAATTTAAATTTTATTTCCAATTTCAAGTTGTTAATTTGAAGATAAAGCCTACTAGAATGTAAAAATTGAAAAATATCAAATTCACAAATTACTTTTCATGATCCAAGTGTTCTTCTCATATATAGTTGACGTTATGATTCATGAATTTCTCTCAAATATTACTGATGCAATTATTGAGTTCATGTTGTGTGTGGCCACAAGTGTATGTGATTTTGTGGACTCTCATCACTTGTAGTCTTTATGGGGCCCAAGCCAGGTTTAATCAACAATCATCATTTGAGAGAAAATCATTTATTATGGGTCTGGAGGTACAAATTGTTTATAATATGGGGAGTTCCCCACATCTAGTTATACATGCAATGCGTAATTCTCATGTCTTAATATTTCTTACACTTGGAGCTGGTAATTTGACTATAAAGTACGTGCAGATTGAATGAGCACATATGTATAACTTTTCTTCCATCTAAAATCCCTTTTGAATTGCAAACACTGAAAAGCCTCAAAGACTTCCTGAGTAGAGGACGTGGAGCTAGAGTCGACCAAGATCAAGTTGGCTAGGGTCAATGAGACTAAGAGTACTAGAGGGGAGAGGACTGCATGGAGGGAGCCCCTCAAGTATTCAACTAAGTGCTGATCAATGTGGGAGAAAACTATCCCCTAGACTGGAGAAATACCCAACTGAAAAGATAAGCAGGAAGATCATCTGAAGTTCACACAGGGGTTAAATAGTGGGCCTAAATAGTATAACTGGCAACGAGGAGAAATCTGTGTAAGTAAAAGGAAAACACATCAGAGATATTAATACTTACCAATCAAGTCTTTCATTTGTTAGTGTTAACAGATGTCCAAAAATTACAACTACTAAAAAAAAAGCATGAATAGTAAACAAAAAAGATTAAACACACGTAACAAAAAAGGAAATTAAAATCAGTAGAATTAATATTTAGAGAGAGAGAGAGTGAATAGAAGAAATATCACATCTAAAAAACAAGAACAAGCTGTTATACACAAGAAATAACCATCAGTCTGGAAAATATATATGACTGATTAAAAAAATCAGTAAAATAGCTAAATAACACCAGCTATATGTCTGAAGACTTAATACAGATCAAGCATGGTGTGGGGAAATCATATAAATAGTAATTGAAGGGGCTTATTGATACATATGTGCCAAATTCCTCTGTTAAAAGACAATGAGAGAATTCTGGTATAGTGACAGTGTCATAAAACTCTGACTTTCCACCTTTTTCCTAGAAAACATTTAAAAGCAGTGAAGATGATGTAAAATAAAAACACAAATTTAATTAGTGCTGAAACTAGGAAACATTTAAAATTCCAAACTCTAAATGCACAAAACTGCCAAAAGCCAGTGGAAATTGCAAAAGAAGTTCTGTAAAAGCAATCAGGAGAAGACATTGTGGCTGATGATTCTTGGAGGGCAGGTGTATACCCGAGATGCAACATCAAAATTATCATTTACAATAACAAACTAGGGTCCAACAGCTGGCAGCAGAAGTGTCCTTGGACTCAGTTTGATTCCCAAGAGCAGAAGAGGGGGAGCTAAAGGACACATAGACAAAGCAGATATGCAAAAGCCTGTCTTTTGCTGAGGCCACAAGGAAGAAATGAGGATTCACATTGAAAACCTCTTCAGCTCCAAATATATCCCTATACTCACTGCTTCTTTCACATTAACCAAGTCTCAGTCATGTGAAAATCTAGCTTATATTTTGCTACTATAAACTCTTAGAACACAGCTGTCCAGCATGGGCATCCTCACTACTGATATCAGGAGCTAGCCAGTCCACCTCTTGTTTTTTAACCTGTGAGACTCACAGGAGTCCACTGTGTGTGCCTTTTGCCCCTATCTCAAGCTGCACAGGAAAAGTTTCACAGTAATCCCTTAGATTGAGCTCAGTGAAGCCTCTCTCCTTGACTTGAGATAGTAAGAAATATCTTCATTACTCCTAATTATTTTTTGATTAGGGGGAGTGGGATTTGCAAGACACCAACAAATCAGTACAGAGAAATCTTCCTTATAGAGTAGTCTTCCTGCAATCATTCTGCCTCTAACACTCACAATCTTAATTTAGCAATAAAGAGTTTTTGAAATAATCAATAGATAGGATACTTGTATTTCTGGTAAATACAAGGAAAAGAACAAAAGTAGGATGCTATGGTCTATTAAGGAAGATTGGTGAATTTATGTGCTCCGCTGTTCTCCTTGTCTGCCATCAACTCTTACATTAGTTGCTCTTTATAATTTTTAAAATCTTTGCCCTTTTTATGGAACCTCTATACCTTCCCCTATAAGTATGTCATTACACCAAATGCTGTCAGATCCGATTTTCTCATTTGGCATTTGAGTTCCTTGTTTATTAGAACTGCTGCTAAAACAGCAACAGAAAAGTAAACATGAAAGGAAATTTTAACATAAATCCCCTGCAAATGTGCAACATTAAACTCTTTATCCAGAAACAGCATAGGGCATTAGGAAAACACAAAAGTCTTGGTGGCAACACAGATGTGATGGGCAGTATAGTTGCCTTCTGACATCCATTCAGTACCATTGGGTAGCAGCAGCATAATTTAAATAGATCAACCCTTTCCTCCTTTCCACATCTGCAACTCACAAGGCTTGGTTTAGGCTGATCATCCCATGAACATCTAAGATTATCAGTATGCAGTCTGCACATACTGAGCGTTTCAGGGTTGGTGTACACCTTAAGTTAGTCTGGAGTGAAGCTAATGGCTTTGGTGTAGGTGTTGAATAGTATAATCTTAGGAACTCCTAGCATTCATCTTGTGGTCATTTGAGGGCACTAATCTTAAAATGAAACTGATAATTTAGGAGGCAGAAGTAGGTCTTCAGTGATATCATCTACCTGATGAATCAAATTCCATATTTCTCTAAAATTTATTATTCTAGGAGTCAGAACTTAATCCCTTTAGCTTCAAATTGGTTTTCTGTTACTTCAGATTAAAAGTACCATGTCAAACTAGTTTCCCAGGTACTACAGCTAGCCTAGAGGTTGGTTGATTATAGGTCTATCTGGCAGTAATAATTATTAAAGATGAGCTGAAACCAATACTCAGTTACTGATATTTCTGTATCTACAAGGGTGGTGTGGTTTAAAATGTAGGAAGGACACACAAACAATTGATAGTCTAATAACTATGAAATTTAAAATTGGTTCAGAGCCAAGACCTTGGACAGTTGGAAAAAGAAAATAAATAAACAACATATGATTTTTGAAAAATAAGGTGTATGGTATTTTGTTTGAGATTACCTCCCTATTCCAGAATGAGTAAATTAGAAATTTTATATAACACTCTCAAGATCATTTAGTGGAAAAGTAGATCAAAGATTCAAATTCATGTCTCTCAAGCCAAAAAGACTCTGCTCTTCTGATAATATCATTTTACCTTCTGTATAATGAGTTCCCTAAAACTGGGACTATCCAAGTTCTCATTAACAAATATATATCAAGGCTGCATAGAAGTGATTCTCACATCAATTATATACCTAATGGCATTCCAGCTGTGAGATGCTATGATTCTATTTTAGTTTCTTGTGGGTTACCAGGCAGGTATCGAAGGTAGTTTCAGTATTGTCCCCTGAAATAGCCTTTTATCATATATTTAATGATTCCTGTCATAATGTATTTTACCAGAATAGAAGAAAAAGATCAGATGTAGAATGATATGATCTATTAAGGAAGACTTGTGAGTTTGTGGACTTTTTTGTTCTTCTTGCCTGTCATTAACTCTTACATAAGTTGCTCTTCATGAATTTTTTTCTCTTTGCCTTTCTTTGGATCCTCTATACCTTCTCCTATAAATATGTCATTACACCAGATGTTGTCAAATCTGATTTTCTTATTTGGCATTTGAGTTCCTTGTTTATTAGAACTGCTGCCAACACAGCAAAATTCAGAGTAATCTTTCAGGTTTGAATTGCCCATATGCAATTTGGACAGCATGTGGATTATGCTTAGTGTAGACTGTGACATGAATTCAGTTTCTTTGAAGTTAATTGTCAGCTCTTACAGCTATAGTGACTGCAGAATAGTCAGCAAAATGCTGCAATCACCACCATTAAGAAATTTTGAATGACTGCCTTTAGATGCTGCATAAAGCTTATTGATGTGGGGGAAAAAGATCATTTTGGAATACTGAACATTTATCATGGTACTATTGCCAAGTTTCTAATTATATCTTAAGGCATGCCTTTGTGAAAGAAACTCCACAGAACTGAATCTACTGTCAAATTCCACTGATGTTGTTAACAAGAAATGACAGAGCAGCATCAAGGCTAACATGCCTACCATCCATTGGCATTACTAATAATTCAATAAACTTTATTATTAAGTAACTTACATATAAACGACTAAAGGGAGAGCAGATAAATTCTGACATACAATAACTGAGTAGGGAGGAAACTGTCAGCCCCAAGAGAAAAGCTCTGTCCATTATATAATGATAACACTGTCTACAGTTATTACAGTGAATAGACAGGCTGAGCTGAAGACACAGCTGCTGTCAGATCTACAGGAGCTACTCAGAAAATACAGCAGTAATTGTGAGACCAAGTACTAGCAAGAGAACTAGATGGCAATACTACAAGCTTTTGAAGTAACAACACTTTTATGAAATGTCAACTCATAGAGAACTCGTTGCACTTTTTAACTTCTAAATGCCATTTCTCTAAGAAATTTTGTTTGCATGCATGTCATCTGATATATGGCCTTGTGTCCAGTGATTTGGTCATCGCCTGATACCTCACCTTAAGCAATTCATCCTAAACCAGTGATTGATATTTGTCTATAATTCTCTTCTCATCTATACTTACAAATTTTTATATTTTGACCATATGACTCAAGTGTATATGATAAGGAGCTGACGAACTTTTGTGTCTATATGTAAATTCCATTTGATAATGGCAGTGTTCCATTTCCAATGCTTATTCAGAGCTTAACAGTGCCAGGTTATTGCATTAAATCTTTCACCCTACTTGTGAATTAGACCTTATATTCCTTGTTGTTGGATGAGAAAGCTGACAATTGAGTTAACAACTCAAGTAAGGATAAACTACTAAAATAAGTGGACGATCTATTAAGTGCCAAATTTCACAACCTGTCTTTTTAATATCATGCTGGCTTCCAGCAAAATGGCCTCCATTTCCTGCAGAACATGCATTCTAGATACTAATTTGTCAGTGCACAGAATTTCAAAAGAAGAGAATATATGGAATCAATCTGTCTTTGCATCATTTCTCTTCACTTGGTGAATTAGCTGATAAAATTGCAGGGTAGTTTTTAAAAAATGAGTAATGCTAGTATCTTTTCCACAGACATAATAGGAAATTCTATAATCCTGTAATAAATATCTATCCTCTAATTGTATCTTTATTCCTCTAATTGTATCTTTATGACATTACCTCATTTTAGTATGTGTTGGTCTATGAAAATAATCTGCAATGTGAGGGCAAGAGGAAAAGTGGCTGGGGCAGAACAGCCTACTTTTAAAATTACATTTTAAAAGGTAGAGATGAATGTAATTGCAATTAAATCCAGACAAAAATATGAAGAATAAATAGAAATAAAATCAGTTACACAGCAGATGACTTGAAAAGTCTCAGAATGGGAAGTAAAAAATAAAGACAACGAAATTACAGATTAAATTTCCAGTTTAAGGCCAAGCCTCCAATGGCAGTCCAGACTGCAAACCCTGTGCCTTCTCAGTGATTAATTTCTTGGCTTCCATTAGTTTCATCTTCTTCTGTGTCCTTGCCACCATCCTCTAAACCTGCGTAAGACTCTCCAACTTAAAATGTGACTCAGTCGTTGCCATGGATCATAGCATCAGTGCCAGCCCCTTGCCTGTCCTTGTTATCATTTACCCAATCACTTTTACACTCATCACTGGACTCTCACATCACTGAAAAAGCTTTGCCACAGGCATCAATTACTTTGATGTCTCTAACTAAATATTTTAAAGTCTTATCATACTTAGCTTCTGTCTGCACTTGCCGTCATGAACCATTCAGACTTTAAAGCATTGTCCTCCCTTAACTTCACTGGGGCCAGTCCTCCTGGAGTGCCTCCTGCAGCACAGGCTGGTCTCTTTCAGTCTCTTTTGGGATTTCTCTTTTGGCATCCATCTTAAAGTTTGGAGTTCCTCGTGCCTCTGTCATAGCCTTCTCATCTCACATGACACACGCTCTTCGAACATGTATATCTCATTCAGTGACCTCAGTTCCCAATCATATGCCCATGACTCATTTACATAGTCGACACAGGCTTGTTGCGAACCTGCTATGGGCCAGCCTCATTGGCACTCCTGAGTCCAGAGCCATATGTCTATGAGGAATTTCAGCACATCATATTTCACAAATCAAGTCTTATCATCTTTTCTACCAAGTCTGCCCTTGTTGAGGCTATCCTGTTTCAGAAAATGCCTTGACAGTTGACTGATTGCTGTAGGGGTTGTTAAATGTTGCCATTGTCTCTCATTAGCCTTCTAAAAAATCTCTCTTCACATCTAATATTTGCTCCCACGAAATCTAATTTCTTATCTTCCAAAGTAATGTTCTTTCATAGATGAAAATCTAATTATGCAACTTACACTCTTAAAATTCTTCGATGATTTCAATGAAATTGACCTTAAGATGAAGACTCAGCTTTTTGGAGTGGCATGCAGTCATGTGAATGTGTGGACCCATTCCTCCGTTTATGCTTGTCTGATGATTTCACACTCTCCTTCGTGCTCAGCCACATTGGACTATTTTATCCATTCAAGGAACCAGGCCATCTCACAGTCAAATTTTAGTATTTTCATAATATCACTTTGCATGTCTAAAGTATGTTCCCAGTATTTTCTTTGTTTTTTGTATCATAATTGGAATTCTTTTCTCTACTGGAATTTCTATTTTTACATATATAAGGTGATATATTTAAGGGACACAGTTAGTTGCAGAGAAAAAGGATAATTTATTCAGTTATTTTGAGGCTGTTTGTGCAGAAAATGGAATTTGATATGGGCCTCAAGAATGTTAAGGGTTTTAACAGAAGTAAACTGGAGGAGAGGGCCTTAGAGAAAAGATGAAAAGCCTGGAGTGGATAATGTAAAGGAGAGAGCAGGGAGTTTGCTTTAGTCTGCATAAAAGTGATGTATGTGAGGGTGAGGTTGAAAAGATGAGGGATGGTGGCAAAGATCCTAGAATTGTGAAAGTGAGCTTGAATTCTTGATAGTTGACATAACTTTTCATTTTTCTCTTAGTAAGAAATAATTGGAATTTTTTGAAAATACTGTGAGCTTTATTTTAACAGTTTATTGAAGTATAATTGATATACAAAGAACTTCACATATTGAATGTGCACAATTTGATGAATTTGTACATATGCAGACATTCATGATACAATTTTCATGATCAAGAAGGGAGACACATGCAAGTCCCCCATGCTTCCAAAGTTGCCTTGCATCATTTTTGAAGTGTACAATATCACGTTGTTAACTATAGGCACTATGCTGCCCAGCAAGTCTCTAGAATTTATTCACCTAGCATAGCTGAACCTTGAGACTCACTGAGCAGCTCCCCGGTTCCCCCAGGCCCCAGGCCCTGGCAACCACAGCCAGGGTTTACATTCACTGCTTCCATGAGTTTGACTGTTATAGAGACCTCATGTAAGTGAACTAGAATCTCTGTTGTCAATAATCGTCAGGTGAGTCTAACCAACTATGATGTGTCCCATTCATAGTTTACACAACTTCTATATTGCAATATCTTTCCAAGAAAGAGATAAAATGTTACATGTTTTTGTGTGCTGATACCATAAAGTATAATACAATACCCTTACTTTCATATAAAGTTTCCATTTCTCATTAGAAATTAAAGAGAGTAGACCTAATTTTGTGGTGTTTAGTTTCAAAATCTGACTTTTACCATATCACAGCACATTATACCATGTCATATATCATATCATCATGCACAAACACAAAATTTCATCTCTTTCGTGGAAAGACATTGAGATAGGAAAGTTGTGCAAAGCGTGAAGGTGCACCATCACAGTCAATTATTGGTACCTAACACTTATCAACCCATAGAGATTCTTCTCGCCTTTCCTCAGTACCACTTCCTGTCTGTATTGATCTCCCTTTGCCACAGGATAACATTTTCTCTCCTGCCGTTCTTCTCCTTTATTACTTGTTCCCTTGGAGTAACACGTTTCTTATTTTGTAGGACTTGTTGAATCTGCTAGACATAGTAGTTTGAGGTAAATGCATATACGTTGTATCTCACCTGTACTGTGTGGGACACACAGCACTGTGCTACTTACACTATGTATTCATGGTTCCTGATTCCCCAGGGCACCTCCACGTTCCTGCTTCTAAATTCCTTTCTTATCCCCCAGGCTTCTGTCTGCTCTGTTCTTCTCAGAATTCTCACTCAATCTGATAGATATTTATCATGTGACTTTAAATACCTTCTATAGACAAATGTTTCCAAAATTTTTATCTTCAGTTGGAACTCCTCTACTGAATTCCAGACTTACAAATACAAAATTAAAAATAAAATTAAATTAATTCAATCCCACTTGGATATGTAATAATTATGCCAAATTTAACATGTCTGAAACTGGAATCTTTATTTCCACTTTAAATTCAATAGGTTTTATATAAAATAGTTTCCCTGAAACACATATTTTTCTGTATCTAAAAACCTCTTTATTATTTCATAGCCTTTAAGCAGTTCTAAAATAATTATTTTATTTTTAAAATTTCCACAATATAAGATCTTGTATATGGGGACAATTTCAATTATTTACTGCTGTGTAATGAACTATCTCAAGACATGGAGGCTGAAACCTGCTTTTATGATCTCCTCCAGTTGTGTGGGTTGGCCAGCCTCAGGTAGCTGGTTCTTCTGCTCCCTTTGGCATTGGCTGGAGCTGCAGTCACCTGAAGGCTTGACTTGGCTGGAAACATTCAAGATGGCCAGTCATATGGTATCCAGCTGGCTCTGGCCCCTAGCGAGGACTCAGCCAGGTTTATCATCTGAGGCACCTGTCCTCCACCCCATGGCATCTCTGTGTGACTTAGGCCTGTCTCACCGTTGCCACTTGGTTCCTAATGGGAGCCTTCTTAGCACCATAGGCAGATGTCACAGAAGACACTTGGGACCACTTATGTCTCATTATCTGGGTCACGGAAGGTCACAGAAAGATGGAAGGGGAGTGGAAGTATGCTTCGCTTTCAAGACGAGCAGTGGTAATGAGTTGCAGGTATCTTTAGTCCCCAGAGTCAGTCACTGATCACAATTATTTACATTCCTCCCACATGCAAAATACATTCACCACTTTTAAACCCTCTGAAATCTCATCTTATGTGGTATCATGCTCAGGTTTAAGGTCCAAGATTTCATCATCTGTGACATAATAAGAAATACACACATAAGTGCATATACACAGGCATATATGCATTTATATATACACACGTGTGTGTGTATGTATGTATATGAATAGTTTTCTCTCTCCCTGATTCCTGACACAGAGCTCCTAAAACACTAACTGCCTGATTGATAGGAGTGATAGGAGCATCTTTTGTTACAATATTTGATCTTGGCCCCCAGTTCCTGACATAAGAGCTGCTAAGACCCTTGGAATCTCCAGAATACTAAGATTGCCTTTTTAAATGTTAATGTTAGGGCAGTTATGGCCCTAAGATAGCTTCAAGAGGTCACAAGAAAGACCAAGGCATGATTAGAGAATTGGAAGTTTCAGTCGTACCCCGAGACCTTCAGAGAGGGGCTTGAGATTGAACTAATTACTAACAGCTGATGGTTTAATAAATCCTTCTACATAATGGAACCTCCTTAGAAGTCCCCAAATGATGGCATTTGGAGAGCTTCTGGGCTAATGAATGCATCCATCTGCTGGGAGGTGGTGTACCCAAACTCCACAGGGACAGAGGCTCCTTTGCTTGGGACCCTTCCCTACCTCCCCCATGTACCCCTTCTTCTGACTATTCATCTATGTTCCCCATAATCTCCTCTATATTAAACTGAAATAGTAAATAAACTGTTTCCCTGAGTTCTATAAGCCGTTGAACAAATTACTGAACCTGAGGACGGGTTGTGAAAATCTCCGATTTGTAGCCAAGTAAGACAGAAGTGTGGGTAACCTGGGGACCCACTATGTGCAAATTGGTGTCTGAAACAGGGGCAGCCTTGTGGCACTGGGCCCCTAGCCTATGGAGTCTATGTTAGCTCTTGGTAGTTAGTGTCATTGTAGGACAACCAGTTGGTGTCCACAGAGAGTTGGATAATTTGTTGTTTGTTGGGAAAAACGAAATGAAACAAAACAAAGCAAAAACACCTCCACACACACATTTGGTGTCAGAAGCGTTGGAGAAGAGAAATAGTTTTTTCCTTTTATCCTATAAATTACGTCCAATTGCAGATGAGGTTCTTTGCATATGTGTTTTTTTGCGGACACAGAGATCTATCTGCCTAAACAGCCTTTCTTCCCAACATAAAATGTGGTTCCAAGAACCAGATCACCACAACAGAAACCCCTGCTCAAAAAGGAGGTGGTATGGGCTGAATTGTGTTGCCCCCAGATTCATATATAGAGGTCCCAACCTCAGTATATCAGAATGTGACTGCATTTGGAGAAAGGGCCTTCAAAGATGTGATTATATTAAACTGAAGCCCTTGGTATGGGTCCCTAGTCCAATGTCTTTTTTTTTTTTTTTTTTTTTTTTTGAGACAGAGTCTTGCTCTGTCACCCATCCTGGACTGCAACCTCTGCCTCCCGGGTTCAAGCAATTCTCATGCCTCAGCCTCCCAAGTAGCTGGGACTATAGGCGCCTGACACCACGCCCCGCTAAATTTTGTATTTTTGTATTTTTCGTAGAGATGGGGTTTCACCATGTTGGCCAGGCTGTTCTTCAACTCCTGACCTCAGGTGATCCACCCACCTCAGCCTCCCAAAATGTTGGGATTACAGGTGTGAGCCACCACGCCTGGCCCAGTATGTCTTTATAAGAAAAAAGAAAAACACACTAGGGCTGTACATGCAGAACGGCCACATGAGGACATAGCCAGGAGGCACCGTCTGCAAACCAGGAAGAGAGGCCTCAGAAGAAACCAAAGCTGCCAGCACCTTGACCTTGGACTTCCAGCCTCCACACCTGTGAGTTAAGGAGAGGATGGTCAACAGGTGCAAAGTTGCAGTCAGGTAGGAGGAGGGAGGAATAAGTTATGGTACGTTATTGCACAGTAGAGTGACTGTGGTTAACAATTATTTGCTGTATATTTCAAAATAACTAGAAGACAAGATTTTGAATGTTCTCATCACAAAGAAATAATAATTGCATGAGGTGATAGATTTGTTCATTACCCTGACTTGATTATTACATGATGTATACATGTATCAAAACATCACATTGTACCTCATAAATGCATGCAATTATTACCTATAAATTAAAAAATAAATTAATAAAAGTGCATACTGAAAAAAAGAGATGCTGGCAGTTGCTTTTAAGGATTTTTGTGGTAGTGGTCCTATAATTATCCAAACTCAGTTCAAGTAAGCACATCGGCACTTTCTTTTTTTTTTTTTTTTTTTTGAGATGGAGTCTCACTCTGTCACCCAGGCTATTGAGTGCAGTGGCGCGATCTCGGCTTACTGCAACCTCCACCTGCCCAGTTCAAGTGATTCTCCTGCCTCAGCCCCCAGTAACTGGGATTACAGGGTGCCCACCACCACGCCTGGCTAAGTTTTTGTACTCGCATTGACCCTTTCAACACTCTAATTGGAAATCTTACTCAGATCCACAGGGTCATTTCATACATTTTCTCACTTTCATCTTACCACAAATAATGTTTAATTATCAGTTATACAGTATCTAAATTGGAATTTCTTCTCATAGGCTTAAATAGTAATTTTGTGGCAAATTTCTCCCTGTCTTTCTAGCCTTCACAAATAGCCTGAGACTGATGCCTCGCTCCAAAGCCAACTTTACAATGGCAGTTTCTGTTTCAATCATATGTTGCTGAACAACCAAAGACCCCGAACTTAATTGCTTAAAACATTTAAGATCTCACAATTATGTGGGCTGACTGACAATAGGTTATTTACATTCTTTCCATGTAAAAATGCACACAGCCATTCCCAACATTCCCGGGTTCTCTTTCCGCGGGAGCAGTAGGTGCGGGCTGCAGGTGGCCGCTGGGCCACAGCACCCGGGAAGGTGCAGCAGGAGGTGCAGGCTCTGCCCTGGGAGAGCCCAGCTGAGGCTGCTGCCCAGGGCACTGTGATTTTCCTCCACTTGAACAAGCCATGTGGCTTAAGCTTGATATTTCGTGACTGGGTTCTAAAAGGGAGCATTTTGAGAAATGAGAATGCAACTTGCTGATTTCTGAAAGGCTCTGCCTTAGGAATTACTTTGCACCACCCTCACTGCGTTTTTCCAGTCAAAGCAAGTCCCGGAGCCAACCTAGATTCCAGCAGAGTGAAAGTGGTCTCTACTTCTGGGTTGGAGTGGTGGTAAAACGCATCCACCAGAGTCTACTTCGCTGTGTCTTGACTTACATGTGTAGTAAATAAATAATTTTTGAAACAGTGACTGAATGAAAGAGTGTGTGCTCTCATCCCAGCCAAGAACACATTTCTTTCACACTTTGTCACTTGAAAGAGCACTAATATTTCAAGATGTATTTTAATTATCCATTCTCTGAGAAGGCTTTTTAATTCATCTATCAGATAATGGCTTTCTTTTCATTTTAATTAAATTATAATGCTCTTCAGGCTCAGCATTGTATTTGAATAATATATTCATTCTTTATCTTCACTGGAATGCAGGCAAGTTGATAAAAGGACTGTATGTTGTTCACATATTTTCACCAGGTGCCTTTTCCAGTCTTTTTTTTATTACTCCTTAATAAATAATTGCTCAATAGTTGATATTTTAAATTATTCACATTTAACTATGACTTAAATATAGGCTTAAAAGTTTTTTTGAAAGCAACTTTGTTGATGGGAATACGTGTTTTTTGAAATAAAAATTTGATTTAAAAATTTTAGATTAGGCCGGGTGCTATGGCTCACGGCTGTAATCCCAGTACTTCGGGAGGCCAAGGTGGATGGATCACCTGAGGTCAGGAGTTCAAGACCAGCCTGGCCAACATGGTGAAACTCCATCTCTACTAAAAATACAAAAATCAGCTAGGTATGATAGTGCATGCCTGTAATCCCAGATACTCGGGAGGCTGAGGTAGGAGAATCACTTGAAGCTGATCCTGGGAGGGGGAGGTTGCAGTGAGCCGAAATCATGCCATTGCACTCCAGCCTGGGCGACAGAGCAAGACTTCATCTCAAAAGAAAAAAAAATAGATTAACAAAAATATTTTGAAGTTGGTACAGAGAATTCCAATATAACCAACATGTGTTTCCCCTGGTAGCAAAATTATACATTATTAGGGTACATTTGTTATAATTAAGAACCAATATTGATGCACCATTAAATAAAGCCCACACTGTATTCAGCTCACCCTAGTTGTTCTCTAATATCCCATTTCTGTTCCAGCATCCCATCCACTGTAGCACATTCGATTCAGCAGACATGGCTTTTGGGCTTCCCTTGGTTATGAGTTTCTCAGACCCTCTCATTTTTGATGACCTTCATAATGTTGAGGATTTCTGGCAGCTGTTTTGTAGAATTCCCCTCTATTTGGATTTATCTGATATTTGTCTCATAATTGGGCTGTGATCCCATGGAGTGTATGCATGAAGATCACAGAGAAGTAACATTTCCATTGCATTGTATCAAGGATACATACTGATGATATGACTTATCATTGTTGATATTCATTTAGGTCACCTGGCTGAGGCAGTGTTTTTCAGGTTTCTCTGCTAAAATATTTTCCCTCCCTCCTTGGAGGATTACAAGCTAAATGTAAATACTCTGTACTTTGTGGGAAGAAGACCCTACCTGCAGCACATTTAGCAAGTGAAGTTTTGCTCTACCTGCTTGAGGTAGTGCGTCTACATAAAGCATTTTCAATTTTTCTGCCCAAGAGTGTATCATGCCCCACTGAAATTCGCTTCTTACTCCCTTCGATATATATCTTCATCATTGTAATTTTTTGTATCACTTCTTATTTTCTGGCCTAACAAGATGTTGCAGGCTCATCTTGTATATTTTCTGCCCCAATCCTAGCAACAGCCATTTCTCCTGCTTCCTTTTATTGAAGAATGGTATAGAAACCAAATCTGCAGGCTGGATGTTGCTACTGGGGTTCCTTGCTTCTAGGACCTCTCAGCAGACAGAGCAAAATGTATGTATACTAATCTACATAGATATACACATATCTATAAAATGTTCTATATTGAACCATCTGTATCTATATTAAGCTAAATATAAGTTCATAGAAATGTCTTCAACTCCAGTCTATTGCCACACAGATCATTCTAGTGTCCTCTCCTTGCTTACCTATAACCTGTTACTCCAACTATATAAACCTGGCTCCCACCATCTGCCACCCATTTACTTAGTTGTGTACATTTCTAGTGGTTTCGGAATTGTCAACCTGTTCCCTGTGTGAAACAATTTTCTCAACTACAGTAGAGTGCTATGTACAATTTCCTTTGCCTTTAGTCTTACAGACTCCTTTAATTTCCAAAGATACTTAGCTCAGCATCTCCCTTTGCCTGCTTCAGTGAGGTTGTTTCACACATTTATAATATGTTTAAGTGATTTGGGGACATTCTGCATTCAATCCTGGGATCCCCAGCTTCCAAACTGACTTTTAAAAAATTTGTGTACATTAAGGTTAATCTTTGTACTGTAAGCTTCTATGGGTTTTTGACAAATACTCAGTATCTTAGTTTCATCATTACAGTGTACTCATAATTGCTTATAATTTGCTTCTAAATTAATAGAAAAGATTCACTGTAACTTTTTGACTTCAAACAAAAATAAATGCATGTTGATAATTTGGAAGGCAGCAGCAAACATGAGAGTTCAAGAAATAAAAAATAATTTAAAATTAATATCACAAAATTATCGTAAGAGCTATAGGATAGGTAAACATTAATAATCCCATGTTATTTTAGTTTAATTAATTCATAGATGACCTGAGCAATGACAATACACAATATTATATGGATTTATTTAGTCAAGAGAAAGTGAGATCATAATGAGAAAAAAAGAAAAACTCCGAAATTTTTTACCTTCCCTGTCTTAAAATGATTGATGGATGAAACTGCAAAAATAAAGGGTTCAATAAAATATTGTGGGTGGGCAAAATCTTATTAAAAATGTAAGTAGATAAATAGCTATTTTAAATGTACAACAATCAAATGTATTGAAGAATCCAGGTTGATTGTTACATATTTTGTTTTTTAAATATTCCATATATTCCCAGTATCAATGTTACGAATTATTAATAAAGGTGAATGCTACTACTTTTTCTTATGGTTTGAAAGGAATGTTCAAGCCAAGACAGATGTATTAGTTGTTCACTATGGAGATGGCATATTTGATATCTCCATTATCATTATTTAAACACACAATAGATGGAAAGAATTTGACAAGAGTGATGAGTTCTGTTGAGCAAAGGAAAAAGTTAGAATTGTTTGTAAGACCACATTTATATCACCTCTGAAAATGCAAAATACACGTTCTCTTTTAACAGTATTTTGACTCATTTTCACTTTAAAGCAGTATTTATTAAATTATGATCCTCAGAGCAAATATCAGAATTACCGATTTTACTGGCAAAAATGCACATATGAACCCAATTACAGCGAGTATGCAATACCTGCATATGAGGAATACATGAGTCCAACTACATTACTAAATCTGAACCACTGGAGGCATGAGTATAAGTACTTGTAGTTAGCTCTTCCAAATGCTTTTGTACAAATGATAAAGTTTGCTAAAGTATGTTTTCTTAGTTATGTTAGAAGATAAAGTTGTCAGATATGACATATTAATAGATTGACACCCATACCTATATCACATCCTCATTTTGAAACTTTAGTAATTAGCCTCTTCCATAAAAATCTAGACCCACTAAATAAATTCAAAGAAATGTTAAGTAGGATCATTTCTATAATAAACGTAAGATTTATCTGGTTGTTGATATCATTCTTATGCTCAACATTCAATAACAATTATAAGACTTTCTCTCTGACATGATGTAATTTTTATATAATGATAAATATATATTTGATCTTCCTTCCTGTTTCCTGGCACAAGCTTCTAAATAAAACCCTTGTAATTTCCTGTGTGATAGGGGATGATGGGAACCTCTTTTGTTATAATTTTTGGGCTTACTTCCCAGTTACTAACACAATAGTTGCTAAGACCTTGGACTCTCTGAAGTGACAGGACTGTCTTTTGTATGCCAATAGGATGACTAACAGCTGGAGCCCCTGGAGAGCATCAGGACAGAGGCAGGTCTCCAGACAGACCAAGGCATGACTAGAATGTAGGAAGTCTTAGCCTCCCCACTAGATCTTTAGGGAGAGGAGGAGGCTAAAAATTGAGTCAGTCACCAATGGCCAATGATAATAAATCATATTTACCTCCATAAAATTCTCTAAATTATAGGATTTGGTGAGCTTTCAGGTTGGCGAATGCATACACTCCATGGGATCAGAAACTCCTGTGCTCAGAGCTCTTCCGGACCACATCCTGTGTACCTCTTCATCTCCATGCTCATCTGTATCCTTTATGATATCCTTCAGAGTAAACCAGCAATAGTAAGTAAAGTGTTGCCCTGAGCTCTGTGAACTCTTCTCGCAAATTATGGAACCTGAGGAGAAAGTTGTGAAGATCCTCAACTTTGTACCCAAATCAGGCAGAAGTGTAGGCACCCTTGGCACTCTGTACTTGAACCTGGCATCTGAAGTGAGGGCAGTTTTATGGGACTGAGCCTTTAACCTGTGATGTCTATGCTAATTTGGTAGTTAGTGTCAGAATTGAATTGAATTGAATTTTGAGATGCCCATTTGGTATTTGGAAAGGGGAAGGATTGGCTGGTGTGGGTGAAAAATTCCACGTTTTGTGTCAGGTGTATTGTTAAGTACCAACAATACCAGTCAAGATAGCCTACACATTCAACACTGAAGATTATAACAGAAGATGATTATAATTTCTGTGATGAAAATAAAGAAGCTCCTTAAAATATATGACCAGAGAGAAGGTGGTGGAAGGGTGGAAATAATGACGATAAAAACAAATTAATATAATTAAAAAATAAACATAATGATTTAATTATCAAAGTATAATGTTGGTTCTCTGAACATACTTACAATTTTTTTCAAGTCTTTGGTAAAAAGCAGGACAAAGTATAAATATAGCTGCATAATAACTTTGGCCAGAGATTGGGCAGTGAGAAGTTGTGGACCAATCTTCTTGTCATATGGAGGAAGTAGTGAAGGGGGAGTCTGATACTTGGCTGTTTTCCTTTCTAGATGATGGCTGATTTGCATTTGAGATGATAAGGCGAACAGAACTTTCGGCAGGCTTATGGGGGTAGGGTGTATGACCTGCCAAAGATAAGAGGGTCCAGGAATTCAGCTGGGAACTCAAAGAGCAACATGAGTACATCTGAAACCCAAATTGGCAACTTACAGAGAACATGGATTAAGGGGATTCACCCATGGACTGCCTGCTCACGATTAGCAAAAATAAATCACTTCTGGAATAGGATAGCAAATAGAATATTATATATATGACAATAATCTGCAAAATTATGTGAGACCTTGTAGAGAAAACAATAAAATAGTAGTAAGAGAGTTTTTTAATTTCTAAAGAAATAGAAAGACGTAACATGTTTATAATTGTAAATATCCAAATTTTATTTATTTATTTATTTGAGAGAGAATTTCACTCTTGTTGCCCAGGCTGGAGTGCAATGGTTCGATCTCGGGTTACTGCAACCTCCGCCTCCTGGATTCAAGTGATTCTCCTGCCTCAGCCTCTCGAGTAGCTGAGACTACAGCCACACACCACCACGCTTGGCTAATTTTTGTATTTTTAGTAGAGATGGGGTTTCACCATGTTGTTCAGGCTGGTCTTGAACTTCTGACCTCAAGCAATCCACCTGCTTCGGCCTCCCGAAATGCTGGGATTACACGAGTGAGCCACCACGCCTGGCCAACATCCATATTTTAAATATGTCAATTATCCCCTTATCGATTAAAGATTCAATGTAATCGCCATCAAAATACTTAACAGATTCTTCTGTAAAAAATTCACAAGTTATTTCTAAAAGTTATATGGAAAGGCAAAGACTCAAGAATAGTGATGCATTAGTTTTTTTTTTCATTGCCATAAAGCTAGACTTGAGGTTGGATAATTTATAAAGAAAATATATTTATTTTGGCTTATGATTCTGCGGGCTGTACAAGAAGCACAGTGCTGGCATCTGCTTCTGGAAAGGGCCTCAGAAAGCTCACAACCATAGCAGATGGCAAAGGTGGAATCAGTGTATCACTTGGAAAGAGGGAGAGCAAGAAAGAGAGGGGAGGAGGTACCAGGCTCTTTTAAACAATGAGCTCTAGCTCTAACTAACAGAGAACTCGCTCATTATCGTGGGGAGGGCACCAAGCTATTCAAGAAGGATTCACCCCCATGACCCAAATACCTCCCACTAGGCACCATGTCCAACATGGGGTTCACATTTCAACAGGAGATGCAGAAGGGAAAAACATCCAACTGTACCAAGGGAAGACAATCATGAAGCAGAATGAAGTAGAAAGACAACATTATTAAACACCAACCCTCATTATAAAGCTATAGTAACTGACACTGAAGACAAGCACCAAAATAGACAATCAGACCAACCAAACATCGTAAAGAATCTGTAAACAAACCCAAAATGTTGGGAAGAGACAGTTTTGACAACAGTGACTTCAGATGCAGTGACTTAACAAGAAGCGTTTATAATTTTCACCCCACATCAGAAGCACTGTGAAAATTCAAAGCATACACGCTCTTTTGGGTGCTGGGCATGTACTGTGATTCACTTTCACAAATCTGCACTCAGAACAGTGGGAAAGATATATTCCCTTTTGAATATTCATAGGAAAATGAGTAACCCTGCATCTACCTTACCTTGTACCCAAAAATGTATACACGGCTGATTATATATGTAAATATGAAAAGCAAAATAAAGCCTTGAGGAGACAACGCAGTTGATCTTACTGACCTTCGAGTGGAAAAATATTTCTTCAAAGGTTACAAAAAGACCTAAATGTACTTTTAAAAAGACTAGACTGCAAAGTGGATCACATTCCGACAAGATCTTCTCATCGTAAGAATTCACCATTGAAAAATTTAAAATTAAGATGAATGGGGTAAGTGATTTTGTGTGCATATATCTAACAAAGAAATCATATGCCCACCATATATTCAGAATATGTCACAAACAACAAATCAATGAGAGGAAAAGCAGGGAATGCCCCAAATTATGGGCCAACTACTTGCATAGTCACTTTATAAAAATTATAAAAGTTGACCGGGCATGATGGCTCATGCCTAAAATCCCAACACTTTGGGAGGTTGAGGTGGGCAGATCGCTTGAGTTCAGGAGTTCAAGATGAGACTGGGCCAACATGATGAAACTCCATCTCTACAAATATTACAAAAATTAGCTAGTGCAGTGACACGCACTTGTAGTCCCAGCTACATGGGAGGCTGAGGCCGGCAAATCGCTTGAGCATGGCAAATCATTTGAGCCTGGCAAATTGCTTGAGGCCAGGAGGCGAGCTTGCAGTGAGCCGAAATTCCGCCACTGCTTTCCAGCCTGGGCGATGGAGAAAGACTCTCTCTCTCAAAAAAAAAAAAAAGAGAGACAGAAGAATCAAATAGACGCAATAAAAAATGATAAAGGGGATATCACCACCAATACCACAGAAATACAAACTACCATCAGAGAATACTAGAAACACCTCTACGCAAATAAACTAGAAAATCTAGAAGAAATGGATAAATTCCGCGACACATACACCTTCCCAAGACAAAACCAGAAAGAAGTTGAATCTCTGAGTACACCAATAACAGGCTCTGAAATTGAGGCAATAAATAATAGCTTACCAAGCCAAAAAAAGTCCAGGACCACACGAATTCACAGCCGAATTCTACCAGAGGTACAAAGAAGAGCTGGTACCATTCCTTCTGAAACTATTCCAATCAATAGAAAAAGAGGGAATCCTCCCTAACTCATTTTATGAGGCCAGCATCATCCTGATACCAAAGCCTGGCACAGACACAACCAAAAAAGAGAATTTTAAACCAATATCCTTGATGAACATTGATGCAAAAATCCTCAATAAAATACTGGCAAACCAAATCCAGCAGCACATCAAACAGCTTATCCACCATGATCAAGTGGGCTTCATCTCTGGGATGCAAGGCTGGTTCAACATACACAAATCAATAAACGTTATCTAGCATATAAACAGAACCAACGACAGAAACCACATGATTATCTCAATAGATGCAGAAAAGGCCTTTGACAAAATTCAACAACACTTCATGCTAAAAACTCTCAATAAATTAGGTATCGATGGGATGTATCTCAAGATAATAAGAGCTATCTATGACAAACCCACAGCCAATATCATACTGAATGGGCAAAAACTGGAAGCATTCCCTTTGAAAACTGGCACAAGACAGGGATGCCCTCTCTCACCACTCCTATTCAACATAGTGTTGGAAGTTCTGGCCAGGGCAATTAGGCAGGAGATGGAAATAAAGGGTATTCAATTAGGAAAAGAGGAAGTCAAATTGTCCCTGTTTGCAGATGACATGATTGTATATCTAGAAAACCCCATTGTCTCAGCCCAAAATCTCCTTAAGCTGATAGACAACTTCAGCAAAGTCTCAGGATACAAAATCAATGTACAAAAATCACAAGCATTCTCATACATCAATAACAGACAGGCAGAGAGCCAAATCATGAGTGAACTCCCATTCACAATTGCTTCAAAGAGAATAAAATACCTAGGAATCCAACTTACAAGGGATGTGAAGGACCTCTTCAAGGAGAACTACAAACCACTGCTCAATGAAATAAAAGAGGACACAAACAAATGGAAGAACATTCCATGCTCATGGGTAGGAAGAATCAATATCGTGAAAATGGCCATACTGCCCAAGGTAATTTATAGATTCAATGCCATCCCCATCAAGCTACCAATGACTTTCTTCACAGAATTGGAAAAAACTACTTTAAAGTTCATATGCAACCAAAAAAGAGCCTGCATTGCCAAGTCAATCCTAAGCCAAAAGAACAAAGCTGGAGGCATCATGCTACCTGACTTTAAACTATACTACAAGGCTACAGTAACCCAGACAGCATGGTACTGGTACCAAAACAGAGATATAGACAAATGGAACAGAATAGAGCCCTCAGAAATAATGCCACATATGTACAACTATCCGATCTTTGACAAACCTGAGAAAAACAAGCAATGGGGAAAGGATTCCCTATTTAATAAATGGTGCTGGGAAAACTGGCTAGCCATATGTAGAAAGCTGAAACTGGATCCCTTCCTTACATCTTATACAAAAATTAACTCAAGATGGATTAAAGACTTAAATGTTAGACCTAAAATCACAAAAACCATAGAAGAAAACCTGGGCAATACCATCCAGGACATAGGCATAGGCAAGGACTTCATGTCTAAAACACTAAAAGCAATGGCAACAAAAATCAAAATTGACAAATGGGATCTAATTAAACTCAAGAGCTTCTGTACAGCAAAAGAAACTACCATCAGAGTGAACAGGCAACCTACAGAATGGGAGAAAATTTTTGCAATCTACTCATCTGACAAAGGGCTAATATCCAGAATCTACAATGAACTCAAACAAATTTACAAGAAAAAAACAAACAACCCCATCAAAAAGGGGGTGAAGGATATGAACAGACACTTCTCAAAAGAAGACATTTATGCAGCCAAAAGACACATGAAAAAATGCTCATCATCACTGGCCATCAGAAAAATGCAAATCAAAACCACAATGAGATACCATCTCACACCAGTTAGAATGGCAATCATTAAAAAGTCAGGAAACAACAGGCGCTGAAGAGGATGTGGAGAAATAGGAACACTTTTACACTGTTGGTGGGAATGTAAACTAGTTCAACCATTGTGGAAGTCAGTGTGGCGATTCCCCAGGGATCTAGAACTAGAAATACCATTTGACCCAGCAATCCCATTACTGGGTATATCCCCAAAGGATTATAAATCATGCTGCTATAAAGACACATGCACACGTATGTTCATTGTGGCACTATTCACAATAGCAAAGACTTGGAACCAAGCCAAATGTCCAACAACAATAGACTGGATTAAGAAAATGTGTCACATATACACCATGGAATACTATGCAGCCATAAAAATGATGAGTTCATGTCGTTTGTAGGGACATGGATGAAAGTGGAAACCATCATTCTCAGCAAACTATCGCAAGGACAAAAAACCGAACACCGCATGTTCTCACTCATAGGTGGGAATTGAACAATGAGAACACATGGACACAGGAAGGGGGACATCACACATCGAGGCCTGTTGTGGGGTGGGGGGAGGGGGGAGGGATAGCATTAGGAGATATACCTAATGTAAATGACGAGTTAATGGGTGCAGCACACCAACATGGCACATGTATACATATGTAACAAACCTGCACGTTGTGCACATGTACCCTAAAACTTAAAGTATAATAATAAAAAAAAACTAATAGTGAAGAAATTAACACAGATGCAAAAAGAAAGCTCAAAACATTATTGATGTTAGCCTCAGACCTTATGAAGTTATCATAAATACAAATGGTATGTACAATAATACAAAAGTACAAAAAATACAAAGGATAATAATATAATACAAAATTTTGTAAAAAAATAAATATTAATAGAAAAAAATTACAAAAGTCATTATTTTTGTCAGAAAATTGTGAATTAAATCCTCAATACAATGTATGCAAAATGGCTAGCATTATAAAGACCAATGACACCAACAGTTTATGACAATGTGAAACAAATGGGATGCCTATAGATTGCTGGTTGGAATGTAGATTGTACAGGAACTGTATAAAACTATTTTTTATTATCTCCTAAAAATGAACATATCCTTTAATATAAAGATTTCATTCTTTGCTAAGTACCTAGAAAACTGCATCCATGTACAATGAGAGCACATGGACACAGCGAGGGGAGCAACACACACCGGGGCCTATGGGAGGGTGGGGGGCGAGGGGAGGGAGATCATTAGGACAAATACCTAATGCATGTGAGACTTAATACCTAGATGATGGGTTGATAGGTGCAGCAAACCACCATGGTACATGGCAAAGAGAATGAATAAATTACAAAGGCAAAATATGGATGAATTTCACAAACATAATTTTGAATAACATATAGTGAACAATATTACACTGAAGGTTATATTGTTTACATTGTGATCAATCGATTATTTTCGAATAGGTAAAGTAGTTTAAAATTGTTCTTTTTCCTTATTCTGATATCATGGTCAAAATCAACTATGTTACTTCACCTAAGATACTACAGGATCATCAAAATTTTTGCTCATAATGTGACTCAAGTTATTAATTTAAAATCATTGAGCATTTCTTATATTTTATAGTTTTACTGGCTGCTGACTTCTAAGCTATGGCTCATCACATTGAAGTCAAAAAGCTAGATAAATCTTGTTAATTTTAATGCAAATCGTAAGCATTTATGAAAAGTGACATATGGACACTGATGTAAATATACCACAAAGCAAAACATTAGAAGATACATTATTAAAAATTTACTACTGTAATGATGTCACAGAGAAATATCTATTTGTAAATACAAATAAGCATTTCTTTTTAAAATTCACGTATTATCAATATAGGCTTTGTGTTTTTCTCAGCCATCCCATTTCACATAATCCATTCAATAATAATAATAGTAATAACCTTCAGTAAGCAGGCAATTTTAACTAAACAATATTCAACATTACATAAAATACTAAAATATTAAAAGCAACATAGCAGATATTTAAGAAGAAAATTATGTTGTAAAAACACATTCAGTTAATTTTATAATTTGAGAAAATTTCATGCTACTAATTTGAGGTATATTTTGAGATACAATTTTATAAATAAAATATTTTCCAACAGAACATGGGAAAAACAGCTGGACACATCAAAATGTAATTATTTTCTAATAACAGAATGAGTCCTTCAGATTAAATGCTCTGGCCACAAAATATTCCTTATAGTAGATTTTGTTTTCTTAGTTGTTACTGATAAAACGTACTAGAGTTATTTTTTTACTTTGAAATGTGGGAAATGGATACTAAATTTTCAGTGAAGAGATGTTGTGTGTTCTTAAAACAACAGGAGTGTTCATAAAGAGTGCCAGTATATCCATCAATATTTCTCTGTGATTATCTGAATGATATACAATTACAAATCTTTTTCTTCTTTTTGTTTTCCAAATTTTCTACTTTGAGTAAAATAAGAACCCCTTCCTTACACCATATACAAAAATCAACTCAAGATGGATTAAAGTCTTTAATGTAAAACCCAAAACTGTACAAATCCTAAAAGACAACCCAGGCAATACCATCTTGGACATAGGAATGGGCAAAGATTTCATGACAAAGACACCAAAAGCAATAATAACAAGAGCAAACATCAACAGTGAGATCTGATTAAACTTAAGTGCTTCTGCAAAGCAAAAGAAACTATCAACAGAGTAAACAGACAACCTACAGAATGGGAGAAAAATTTTGCCAATTATACATCTAAAAAGTTGAAAAATAACAGATGCTGACCAGGATGCAGAGAAAATGGAAAACTTCCACACTGTTGGTGAGAGTGTAATTTAGTTCAACCATTGTGGAAAGCAGTACAGTGATTTCTCAAAGAGCTAAAAGCAGAACTACCATTCGACCCAGCTGTGTCACTGCTGGGTGTATGCCCAGAGGAATATAAATCATTCTACTATAAAGACACATGCACGTGTATGTTTATTGCAGCACTATTCACAATAGCAAGACATGGACTCAACCTAAATGCCCATTAATGACAGATTGGATAAAGAAAATGTGGTACATATACATCATGGAGTACTATGTAGCCATAAAAAAGAACAAGATCATGTCTTTTGCAGGAACATAGATGGAGCTGGAGGCCATTATCCTTAGCACATTAATGCTGGAACAGGAAATACCACGTTCTCACTTGTAAGTGGGAGCTAAATCATGAAAACGTATGAAGACAAAGAAGGAAACAACACACACTGGGATGTACTTGAGGGTGGAGAGTGGGAGGAGGGAGAGGAGCAGAAAAGACAATTATTTGGCACTGGCCTTAATACCTGAGTAATGAAATAATCTGTACAACAAACCCCCATGACATGAATTCACTTAGGTAACAAACCTGCATTTGTATCCTCGAACCTGATTTTTTTTTTAAAAAAACAGCACAAAAAAGATAAATACAAAGACATATATTGTTAAAATACATATTAAACTTAATTCTACCTATCAACAAAGCATTTGTTAAATATTTAGTCTCATATTTAATTCATGTTGTAATTTAACATCAACTATTCAACAATTATTTATTAAGAGCTTGTATGTTAGATACAGTGAATGCCACTTGTAGACAATTATTAATAAAATGTTCCATTTTCAACTTGCTATTCCATGAAAAAAGGAATTGAATATAATTCTTACCTATGATGTTGGCTATGAAAAGTGTTATAATGCAATTAAAATTAAGTGAAAGTTATCATTTCTAGTAGAGGAAAAAAAAAAAAACCTTCCCAGAGAATGCAGCAGTAAACTAGACCTTGAAAAATGAATACTTTTTACATTGACAGAGTGAAGGTAAAAATGAATCTATTCTAAGAGTATTTATTCTTTTATTCATATATATATTCCAGATATATTTAATACATACTAAGTCCAGCCCAATTGCATGTTCCTTGTGATGAAATAAAGGTGACAGGAATTTTTTTGCCACTCTTCATATTGTTAGGTAAAGTCTCATTCCACTGTCCTTGAAGATAAGTAGAGCCTGGCCTTATTTTCACTAATACAATGTGACTGAGGCCAGAGCTGAGCCTTTAAGAGATCTTCAGCTCCTATCTCTACTGTCACAGTGCTCTCTTTTCAACCTCACCATCAAGCAAGGTGCACCCCAGACTGAGTGCAAATTGGATTGTGGGGGAAAAAAGCAATTAAATGTTGGATTTATTTTAGGCAAAGAAACAAATTAACATTGATAGCCTGTTTTATATCAGTCATTTTATCTGGAAAAGTAAATATGTAATTTTATTTTTCACAACGATTTTAGAAGTTCCTTTCAGCCGAAAAGTCTTGCTTGTTGTGATAGATCGTGAAGTATGAACAAAAACAGTATTTTTTTTTTTTACTTTAGTGATGAAATAGTTGTGGTGACACCAATGTCAAGGGTGAGCCTAAAGAAAGGTGAAGCTGAATTAAGCTGGAAGCAAATGTCACTGGGTGGAGGAGGCCAAGGAATTGTGAGGTCATGGTGTTGATGGAATTATGGACATTGACAAGGAGGTAATCACGGTGCTGTCTGGAGTTGTTGAGTGGATAAAATGAACTAGCACCAAAATTCACAGCAGGAGTAAAAAACTGCTTCGATTGTTAAACAAAAAGATGCTGCTGTATTTTTAACACAGGAAGGTTTTCTGCCGTTTCCACTTCTGTGGACCCTGTGTTATACGTCACTTCTATTTCTAATCTCTCTCTTGCTCTTCTCCGTGGTCACCCCACCCTGCCTTTTACACGAAGCATTCTGACAACACATTATTTTGAGTTCTTATCTCACCTTACACGTTTGCATTTCACAACTTGATCCATTCCCCAGAAATCAAATATTATCTGAATAATAATCACATCACTACCAAGTGAATGCAATGGTGAATTACCTCTATACAGAGAATAATTTAAAATTGTCTAAACATGTTTTCTGCTCAAGATAATAGATTGAGCCAACATGCTTGCTTCTCTTTTCTTTCTACCTAGAGTTTAGAGAGCAGGGAAAATATTTTTCATGACCATTATACAACTATTGGAAGATAAGAATGGATACAACCAGCAAACCAAGCATTTCCAAGGGTTTTAATAAGGAAGAAAGATGTTATCAAATCAACAGACAGACTAGAATAGAGCAAATCCAAGCCTGAGGATGTCTGAGTTTGCTGCTGCACAGAGGGTGCTGACCCATGAGATCCAGAGAAATTGCAATTCCCAGTCAACAGCTGCAAGGACCAGCAGATGTCCATGGAAAATCACTACGAAACTAATGCACTGATGACTTCTGAAACATCCAGGCCTATATGCCGCACACCTCCACCTATTTATAAGGATTCATTGCGTATTGTATTTGACCCCAGAAAGTAGAGCTAAATGGACTGTTTTCTAAACAAATTCCAGCAGTTAAATCCAGCGGGTCTCTAATGTAGGTTGGAGTCTCCAGAGAGAAATAGAGCATGAGGCAAATTGAAACACTGTAAAGAATATGAACAAGACCAAAAAAGTAAGGACAAAAAGGACACAGCTGTTCTCCAAGCCACTGTCCATGAGAAAACAGTATTGATAAATAGGAGTGGCCTTTCAGCACTCTTCCAATAACGCACAAATAAAGATGTCTGTGATGGCACCATTGGGGTGCCACCACTGGGGTCCACAGTTGGGGTCCACAGTTCCAGATGCCCATTGAGGGAGAGGCCTTGGCCACCACTATCCACATTAGACTCAGATTAATGGAAATACTGGACACAGGGGTTTTCTCCTTATTTGTTATTCCAAGTAGACAAAAGAAAGTCAATACAAATAGGATATGAGGATGCTAACAGGTAGGCCAGAGAGTGGTATAAATTTCCAGTCTCAAAATCCTCACCAAAGGAAGCTCAGTTATGGATGATCTTTTGAATGAGGTTCACATCTGACCTTCAGTATTTTTCACCATCCTCTTCCAGGAACAGCCTTATATATGAGTATTTGTACTCATTTTGTAAATATGCTGGTCTTATTATATGCTGAGTGTCATTTCATATGGTTCAGGTGCACACCAGAAAAACTCATTGGTGCCAATAGTTATAATGATTGCAGCATGTTAAAATACACAGATAAATAAAACATTTATCACCTTCATGCTTCCTAAGTAAATATACTTCATTGTGAGTTTATTCCTCCTGTTCTCAGTACTGGAAAACAGGATCTGATTAGTTATCTTGACAGATCTAGGAATCATGTTACTAGTCCTTTAGATCAGTGATGGAACTGATCCCATTGGCTTGCGCAGCCATGGGAAACATGCAAACCTCACCACACTCTATCCAGTCACTGATGTGAAACCAGAATCAATAGACAGCAGGTAAATTTAGAGCATGAAAGAGAAAATGCAAGTGAATGAATGGGACAATTGACCTCTGAAAAAATATTTATTCAACAAAAATCATAAAATATTTTTTCTAATCAGTATTCACAGATAGATTTTAAATTACAGTGTCTCCTTATCAAAAACTGCAATGTGATGAAAATGAATAAAGAGTATAAAGAAAGTCTTGTAAATTAAAAGTATTGATATGTAATATATTTTCAAACTAATTAATGGGTCAAATAGGAGAACTGATTTAAACACAGTAAAATAATCAAGACATGGAAACTATAAGTACACATATTGGGGCATGAAAGCTAGAAAATAAGGTATTTTTCTATGAGTAGTACAGAAGAAGATGAAAGAAAAGAATGATAGAAATTATTATCATCCTCACCACAACCACTATCATCATCATCATCACCACCATCACCACCACCACCATCACCACCATCATCATCATCACCATCACCAACACCACCATCAACACAACCATCATCATCAACACTATCATCACCACCACCACAATCATCTCCATTATCACCACAACCACCATCATCATCACCACCACCACCACCATGATCATCACCATCATGATCATCATCATCATCATATTATGGCCACATAGAAAGAAGCACACTGAGCTTTTGATGTGAAAGCCCATGACAGGAGAGAATAAAAAATGAAAAATGGTTCACATATGCTGGTAAAATTTCAAATTTATAAGACTAATAAAAAAGAAAATATAATGTGTGAGGGACAGAAAAATGAAAGTGTACATTTAAATGAATGAGAATCAAATAAAAATCCTAGAAAGACAACTGTATTGTGTAGGTATTGATTCATCTTGGAGGAGGTACTGCACTGCTTCTTCTGTGAGAGTGTAAAAGGAAGGAGGAAGAGGGATTATGGAATTTAAAATATAATTGTCTGTCCGTGTAAAATCAAATGCAACTGGACCCATGCTGAAAAATTCTATCATCAGAGTTCTCCAAACCCTCCAGTTGTTATACTCCCAAACTCTGCTGATACTTGGTTTTGCTTGTTTCTATGTTTGTTGTTTGACTGTTTGATCTTTAGTTATAAAATCTGTCTTGTCAGGAACACAGAGAATAAATAATGAGTTGACAACATCTGCAAGAAAATATTTTAAAAATTATCAGATAAAATAGCAGAAAGTTAGTAAAGAAATTATATTTAAAATAAGAAAAAGAATAAAGACAAATCTAAAAGCAATGTAAGTAAAAATATTTACAAATTTGATGGATGAGTAAATGGTTGTATTTTCAGTTACAAAGGAAGCCCTTGAAGTAAAATTCAGGTGAAACGAGGCATCTGGGATAGTTAATACTGAGTGTCACCTTGATGGCATTGAAGGATGCAAAGTATTGATTCTGGGTGTGTCTGTGGGGGTGTTGTCAAAAGAGATTAACATTTGAGTCAGTGGGCTGAGAAAGAAAGACAGACCCACCCTTAATCTGGGTGGGCACCATCTAATCAGCTGCCAGTGCAGCCAGGATATAAAGCAGGCAGAAAAACATGAAAAGGGTAGACTGGCTTAGCCTCCCAGCCTACATCTTTCTCCTGTGCTGGATGCTTCCTGCCCTTGAACATCCAAACATCAGACTCTAAGTTCTTCCGCTTTGGGACTCGGACTGGCTTCCTTGCTCCTAAGTTTGCAGATAGTCTATTGCAGGATGTTGTGATCGTGCGAGTTAATACTACTTAATAAATTCCGCTTTATAGGTATATGTATAACCTATTAGTTCTGTGCCTCTACAGAACCCTGATTAATACAGGTTTTGGTACCAGGAGTGGTTCTAGAGGAACAGAATATTAAGAATGGAGTTCTTTCATTGGTTTTGGGGTTTCTGGAGTTGGCTACTTAATATGATTAGATCCAAAGATGCTAAGGACTCTACTTCTAATAGTATGGAGAACACTGATAGTCCTTGGCATGAACTGTTTAGAGACTGATGCCAAAAAAATGCATTTGACACTCCTGATTCACAACTATTGAGAGGCAAAAGTTTAGTGACTCTATACATAATACTTTGACTATGTCTAGATAACCAAGGAACATAATGAAGTTTGTTGGTTGCTCCTAAGTTCACTGGACAAAATGATGAAAGAAAATGATGAACTCAGAGATTCAAACTCCCAACTTTGGAAGCAGATACTGAGCCTCAAATCTGCTAAGATTGCCCTAAGTGAGAGTCTTATTTTCTGTAAAGAAAGAGCCGAAATTGTGGACAAACAGACACAAGCTCTTATCATGCAGTGGCTGACCTGCAATGAAAGGTTTATGCACTGCCTTGCCAAGTGTCTACTGTTAAAGTGAGGGCATTGATTGGAAAAGAATGGGATCCTGCAACTCAGAATGGGGAGTGGGAGGACCCTGATGAAGTTGGGAACACTGAGCTTGTAAACTCTGATGAAACTTTTTGACAGAAGGAACAGCTTCCCCATTCCCAGTAGTGGCAACATCCCCTCCCCAACCTATGCTCCCATCAGCCTTTCCACCTTTGTCTGAGGAGATAAACCCTGTGCTACCTCAGGCAACATTGATGGCCTCCCCTGAGGCAGTTGCTGGGGAAGATAATGTCGATTCTCCTCTGAAGCCACCCCAACACCCCAATGCCCCTGTTTGTTTCTAGACCTATAACTAGACTAAAGTCCCAGTGGGCCCCTAGAGGTGAGGTTAAGAGTATGACCCATGAGGAGGTGTGCTACACTTGAGAAGAACTGCTTGAGTTTTCTAATTTATATAAGCAGAAATCTGGAGAAGAGGCATGGTAATGGATATTAAGGGTATGGGATAATGGTAGAAGGAATATAGAGTTGGATCAGGCTAAATTGTTTGATTTGGGCCCACTAAGTAGGGATTCTGCATTTAGTGTTGCAGCTCAGGGAGTTAAAAAATGTTCTAATAGTTTAGTTGCTTGGTTAGCTGAAATATGGATTGAAAGATGGTCCACTGTGAGTGAGTTGGAAATGCCTGATTATCCTTGGTTTAATGTAAAGGAAGGGATCCAAAGGCCTAGGGAGATTGGGATGGTGGAGTGGATGTCACCTTAGACCTACTCATCTCAGCTGGGAGGGACCAGAAGATATATCCTTGACCAATGCTTTGCAAAATAGATTTGTGAGGGCAGCACCTATATCTTTGAAGAGCCCTGTAATTGCTCTTCTCTGTATATCAAATCTAACAGTGGGAACTGCAGTCACTCAACTATGAAATTTAAATACAATGGGAATAATTGGATCCCGAGGTGGCAGGGGCCAAGTGGCAGCACTCAACCATCAAAGGAAAGGTGGGCATAGCTACTATAATGAACAGCAGAGGCAAAGCAGCAATCAGAATAGTCTGACTTGTGTAGAGCTCTGGCATTTGCTAATTACAGTGTTTCTAGAAGTGAATTTGATAGGAAGCCGACTGCATTCCTACCTAATTTATATAAGCAGAAAACTTCCAGGTCGAGTGGACAAATGATTGATTTGAATTATAAAAACAGAATCACAGCCCCTCAGTCAATTTCCGGACTTGAGCCAGTTTACAGACCCAGAACCCCTTGAATGAAGGGGAGACCAGGTCCCCTTGAGGAAGGATCCTGTTACCTTACCAACAATTTATGCAGTGAGTCTTTGTCCCATCCTTCCCCAAGGAGACCTCCAGCCTTTTACCAGGCTAACTCTTCATAGGGAACAGGGAAATGATCAGACATTTCAGGGACTACTGGCCATTGGCTCTGAGCTGATGTTGATTCCAGGGGACCCAAAATGTAATTGTGTTCTTCCAGTTAACATAGCGGTTTATGGAGGTCAGGTAATTAATGAAGTTTTAGCCCAGGCCTGACTTACAGTGGGTCCTGTGGATCCCTGAACTCATCCTGTGGTCATTTCCCCAGTGCCAGAATGCATAATCGGCATAGACAGACTTAGCAGCTGACAGAACCCCCACATTGGCTCCCTGACTGGTAGGGTGAGGGCTATTATGGTGAGAAAGGCCCATTGGAAGCCATTGGGGCTGCCTCTACCCAGAAAAATAGTAAATCTAAACCATTATTGCATTCCTGGAGGGATTGCAGAGATTAGTGCCACCATCAAGGACTTGAAAGATGCAGGGGCAATGATTCCCACGACATTCCCATTCATCTCTCCTATCTGGCCTGTGCAGAAGACAGATGGATCTTGGAGAATAACAGTGGATTATTGTAAGCTTATCCAAGTGGTGACTCCAATTGCAGCCGCTGTACCAGATGTAGTTTCATTGCTTGAGCAAATTAACACATCTCTTGGTACCTGGTATGCAGCCATTGACTTGGCAAATGCCTTTTTATCCATTCCTGTCCATAAGTCCCACCAGAAGCAATTTGCCTTCAACTGGCGAGGCCAGTAATATACCTTTACTGTCCTACCTTAGGGGTATATCAACTCTCCGGCTTTGTGTCACAATCTTACTCAGAGAGATCTTGATTGTTTTTTGCTTCCACAAGAAATCACACTGGTCTGTTACATTGATGACATTATGCTGATTGGATCCAGTGAGCAAGAAGTAGCAAACACATTGGAATTATTGGTGAGACATTTGTGTGCCAGAGGATGGGAAATAAATCTGACTAAAATTCAGGGACCTTCTACCTCAGTAAAATTTCTAGGGGTTCAGTGGTATGGGGCCTGTTGAGATATTCCTTCTAAGGTGAAGGATAAGTTGCTGCATTTGGCCCCTCCTACAATCAAGAAAGAGGCACAATGCCTAGTGGACCTATTTGGATTTTGGAGGCAACACATTCCTCATTTGGGTGTGTTACTCCAGCCCATTTATTGAGTGACCTGAAAGGCTGCCAGTTTTGAGTGGGGTCCAGAACAGGATAAGACTCTGCAACAGGTCCAGGCTGCTCTGCCACTTAGGCTTTATGAGCCAGCAGATCCAATGATGCTTGAGGTGCTAGTGGTGGATAGGGATGCTGTTGGAGCCTTTTGCAGACCCCCATAGGTGAATCACAGCAGAAGACTCTGGGATTTTCGAGCAAGGCCCTGCCATCTTCTTTAGATAGCTACTCTCCTTCTGAAAGACAGTTCTTTGCCTATTACTGGGCTTTGGTGGAAACTGAATGTTTGACAATATGTCATCAAGCCACCGTGTGACCTGAACTGTCTATCAGGATCTGGGTGCTTTCTGACCCATCTAGCCATAAAGTAGGTCATGCACAGCAGCATTCCATCATCAAATCATCAAATGGAAGTGGTATACACATGGTTGGGCTTGAGCAAGTCCTGAAGGCACAAGTAAGTAACATAAGGAAGTGACTCAAATGTCCATGGTCCCCACTCCTGCCACCCTGCCTTCTCTCCCTCAGTCTGCACCGATGGCCTCATGCGGAGTTCCCTATGATCAGTTGAGAGAGGAACAAGAAGATTAGGTGCTGGTTCACAGATGGTTCTGCACGATATGCAGGCACCACTTGAAAGTGGACAGCTGCAGCACTACGCCTTTCTTGGACATCCCTGAAGGACAGTGGTGAATACAAATCTTCCCAGTGGGCAGAAGGTTGAGCAGTGCCCCTGGTTGTGCCCTTTGCATGGAAGGAGAAATGGCCAGATGTGTGATTATACAATGATTTATGGACTGTAGCCAATGGTTTGGCTGGATGGTAAGGGACTTGGAAGAAGCATGATTGGAAAATTGGTGACAAAGAAATTTGGAAAAGAGGTATGTGGATGAACTTCTCCGAGTGGTCAAAAACTGTAAAGACATTTGTATCCCATGTGAGTGCTCACCAACTGGTGAGCTCAGCAGAGGAGGATTTTAATAATCAAGTGGATAGGATGACTTGTTCTGTGGACACAACTCAGCCTCTTTCCCCACACACCTTTGTCATTGTCCAATGGGCCCATGAACAAAGTGGCTATGGTAGCAGGGATAAAAGTTACACATAGGTTCAGCAACATGGATTTCCACTCACCAAGGCTGACCTGGCTATGGCCACTGCTGAGTGCCCAGTTTGCCAGCAGCAGAGAACAACACTGAGCCCTCAATATGGCACCATTCCTTGGGGTAATCAGCCAGTTTCTTGGTGACAGGTTGATTATATTGGACCTCTTCCATAATGGAAAGGGTAGAGGTTTGTCCTCACTGGAATAGACACTTAAGATGGACATGGGTTTGCCTATCCTGCACACATGCTTCTGCCAAGCCTACCATGCGCGGACTCACAGAATACCTTATCCATTCTCATGGTATTTCACACAGCATTACCTCTGACCAAGGAATCACTTTACAGCTAAAGAAGTGCGGCAGTGGGCTCCTGCTTATAGAATTCACTGGTCTTACCATGTTCCTCATCATCCTCAAGCAGCTGAATTGATAGAATGGTGGAATGGCCTTTTGAAGTCACATTTACAGTGCCATCTCGGTGACAATACTTTGCAGGACTGGGGCAAAGTTCTCCAGAAATCTGTGTATGCTCTGAATTAGCATCCAATATATGGTATTGTTTCTCTCACAGCCAGGATTCTTGGGTCTAGGCATCAAGGGGTGGAAGTGGAAGTGGCACCACTCACCATCACCCGTGGTGATCCACTAGCAAAATTTTTGCTTCTTGTTTCTGTGATATTATGTTCTGCTGGCCTAGAGGGAGGAATGCTGCCACCAGGAGACACAACAGTGGTTTCATTAGACTGGAAGTTAAGATTGCCACTTGGACACTTTGGGCTCCTCCTACCTTTAAGTCAACAGGCTAAGAAGGGAGTTACAGTGTTTGCTGGTGGGATTTACCTGCACTATCGAGATGAAATCAGTCTACTTTTCCACAACAGAGGTAAGGAAGAGTACGCATGGAATACAGGAGATCCATTAGGGCGTCTCTTAGTATTTCCATGCCCTGTGATTAAGGTCAATGGGAACCTACAACAGCCCAATCTAGGCAGGACTACAAATGGTCCAGACCCTTCAGGAATGAAGGTTTGTGTCACTCTACCAGGAAAAAAACACTACCTGCTGAGGTGCTTGCTAAAGTCAAAAGGAATACAGAATGGGTAGCAGAAGAAGGTAGTCATCAATACCAGCTATGACCACGTGACAAGCTGCAGAAACAAGGACTGTGATTGTTATGAGTATTTCCTCTTTCTTTCATTAAAAGCAGGTTTGTGCATGTTTACACTTGTACTAAGAAAATATCTTCATTTTGTTTTCTTTTTCCTTTATCATGTGACATAACATTTATTAATTTCATATCAGCACTTAAGTATTGTTAACTTTATGTAATAGTATTTGGGTTGGGGATTAGTGCATTTCCGGTTCTAAGAAGGATAGTTGTATTATGTTAGGCAAAATTATGACCTTATTATTGTCTTTATTTGAAGATTATGTATAATCTCAGGGGATGTGTATGGGTTCAATTTGACGAGGGGTGGACTTGTGATGGTTAATACTGAGCGTCAACTTGATTGCATTGAAGCATGCAAATTATTGATCATGGTTGTGTCTGTGAGGGTGTTGCCAAAGGAGATTCATATTTGAGTCAGTGGGTTGGGAAAGCAGACATATCCTTAATCTAGGTGGACACCATATAATCAGCTGCCAGTGTGGCCAGGATATAAAGCAGGTAGACAAACATGAAAAGGCTGGACTGGCTTAGCCTCCCAGCCTACATCTTTCCCCCAAGCTAGATACTTTCTGCCCTCAAACATCCACTCATCGAACTCCAAGTTCTTCAGCTTTGGAACTCGGACTGGCTTCCTTGCTCTTCAGCTTGGAGACAGCCTCCTGTGGGACCTTGTGATCATGTGAATTAATACTCACAAGAGTATTAGTATAGTAAAAAAAATATATATATATATATATATATATATATGAAGAGAGTTTATTGAGTAGCATTTTATATATATATTTTATATATATTTTTATTCTGTATATATATTGAGTTTATTTAGTATTATATATATTTACATATATATATATTTTTTCTATTAGTTCTGTCCCCCTGGAAATCCCTGACTAATATACCATCTAATGAAAGAGTAAATGATGAACTCTTTTTGAGATTCTTGTAATTCTTGACACCATAGATACCTTCAGTAGTAAATTTTAAACTGACAAACATAGCAAGTGAGTATTATCCAAAGATGAGGTTAACCCTGATTTTTCTGGCAATTTCCCTGCTCTCTTGGTTGCTTTGTGCTGAAGAGTGAATGTTTCAGATATAATAGCTGAAGTCACTGGTGTATGAGAGTAACTTGGTGCCCAATCTATTCAGCTCTTATCATATATACCTTTAAACATTTTGGATTAGCTGTACTCAATTGAGGAAATGATTAATTTGTGTACTGAATATGTGTCTGAATCGCCATTACAGGTAGCATATACCCTTGGGAAAGCAAGTTTTCTAAGCTAATAATCAATTTAGCTTGTTGAGTAAGCAGGTCTTCCAGCAGATTTAAATAAGGAAGAAAAGCATCCTATTCAGTGGATAGCACTTATTTATTTTGGCCAGTGTCTGTAATCACATAGTTCTTCTATCATGATTAGATTTAAAAACTATTGTCACCACAGGGAATTTTTATTGATCAAGTCTGTCATTTTAAAATTTCAATTAAAATGTATAGCTGTGTTGCCTGACAAAAATGAACTGTATCAAATAGTAAAGTAAAGGCCTTGGATTGGGATTATGGAGACGCTGATTTTTAGTTTGGGATCTTCCCTTTATTAGTATTTCACAATCCCTTCAATGATGTTCAAATATCAGCATCCAATAAATCCTTATAACTATGGATCTTTAATGAACTTGAATATTGCTATTGAATATGGCAAAATATTTTATAGCTGTAGACCTTTAATACATTTGAATAATCATTATTAAAAATGAAATTTTCCCTTTGCTGAATTGTAAAAACCAAATATATTTTAACCCAGTTTTTACATATGTAGAGGGCACGTTCTTCTTAATTAGGCAATGTCTTTACAATCAGGATTAACTCTACAGAAAATAGTGAAATAAACATTGGCAATGGCCAAAAAGCCATCCTTGTTCTTATACTTTACTTTCATTCACACACCATGATGGTGCTCAAGTGACCTTATGATGTTCCATGATCTCTGAATCAACACCTGTGGATAGGAAGAAGAAATTTATGTCTGTCTATGCACTTTGGTATGAATCACTTTGCTAATGCATTATTGCCCTAAGACTTACCCATTTAATTTTGGTGATGGGATGAGTACCTTTATTCTGCTAACAGAATTTTTAGGCAGCTATAATAAAGCTAGATGCTTTGATGAGGAGAAAAGTGAGACTCAGATTCCTTATTCTGAACCATGCATTTACACCATTAGGAAATGTCTATGTTGCTGATTCATAAACTCAGTCCTAAATATATGGCTTTCTGTTCCATAGAGAGAGAGCAAAAAAAAAAAAAAAAAAAAAAAAATCACATGCTGTTCTTAAATGAGTAAATAAAATGTTGTTGCAGAAAACAACCAGATATTGAAGAACCTTGGAAGCTATGTCTTATCTTAGTGATCATCAACTCCCAATAGATTTGGAAAGACATTACATCATGCACAATTCCTGTCTCTGACTCAGCAAGACATTATAGCACCTGCTTGGAAAATAATGCTTTTTTAGGTGTACAAGGATATTCAGAATACAATTTACTATAGCCTTAAAAAGAAATCTATTGTACAAGCTTAGAATTATGGAAGTGCAAGCCTTCTTATAGATTTGTATAGTCTATCGGTGATTCTCTTTTTTACCTATTACCAAAGGTATCTTTATATAATTTTCTCTTCAGAAATTCATCTTCTGAAAAATCTGGAAACGTATTTTCTAACAAGCATATCTGTGCAACTGAAAATACTCTTATTTAAAGGTTATTAAGGAAATACATTTTGAGTTGGACTAGGTCTTTATGAGACAGCCACTATTACAACATGAGCTGAAATGTTTCTAGTGCAGAGTGAAATATCCATTTTCTGTGAATGTATCTGAAGATCTCTGGCATCCCCAGAGCTAGGTTTGATAGGCCCAGTGGAAGTGGAGAAATGGAGGCCAGAGAGAATTTATCACAGGGGGCCTCAGTAAGAGGTGTCAGAATGGAAGCTGTCCCACTTCTCCATAAAACAGCTACAGTAAAAATGCAAACTCTCCATTCCTTCAGCTTTGCATGAATTTACACATAATCTCTTATGTGTATGTTACACTTCCAAATTGAGAAGAAATGGCAAACTATCCTATTTGTGTTTTACTATATTACTGGTATTATATTTATTATTATACATAGTTATAGTTGACCCTCGAACAATGCAGGAGTTAGGGGCACTGTCCTTTTGCAAAGTCAAGCATTGTATAACTTTTGACTCCCCCAAAATAACTATCAATAGACTACTGTTGATTGTAAACCTCACTGATAACATAAACAGTTGATTAACATGTATTTTGTGTATTAAATACTGTATTCTTAGAATAAAGTAAGCTAGAGAAAAAAGTTATTTAAAAAATCATAAGGAACAGAAAATACATTTGACTAGTCATTAAGTGAAAGTCAATCATCATAAAGGCCAACATTCTCCTTGTCTTCATATTGAGTAGGCTGAGGAGTAGGAGGCAGAGGAGGAGTTGGTTTTGCTGTCTCAGTGGTGGCAGAGGCGGAGGAAACCTGCACAAAAGTGAGCCCCAGTAGTTCAAGCCTCTGTTGTTCTAGGGTCAACAGTATAAATCAGTATTATATTATTATAATAACAAATTCCTATTAGGTGAGTTGAAAACTTTTTAAGTTTTCTTAAATAATAATTATAAAACTTACACATGCTCCATTCTCCTATCTTCTGAGCTCTCCCCCCTCTATAATTCTCCGGAATAGGTAATGTTTGGAGAAGAAAGAAGAAAAGATGGAGAGCTAGTTGGACAGACAGTTAAGCATGTGGATAAATAAAGAGATACTAAATAGATAACTAGCTGGATGAAGATACAAAGTTGGAAAGATAGATAAGGTGTTCATATGTAGCATATAGAATAATGATAATTGCAAACTTCATAAAATTCAGAACTGAGTGATTGCAAGAAAGAGTTTGGGTATATCATCAATTAATTTTTTCATCTAACAAGATATTTATTGCTCATTTATTTTTTTTTTAAGACAGAATCTCACACTGTTGCCCAGGCTGGAGTGCTGTGGCACCGTCATAGTTCACTGCAGCCTCGACCTCCCAAGCTCGAGGGATCCTCCTGCCTCAGCTTCCTCAGTAGCTGGGATTTATAAGTGTGCACGATTACACCTGGATAATTTTTAAAATTATTGTAGAGATGGGGTGGGGTCTCTCTATATTGTGCAGTCTGATCTCAAACTCTTAGGCTCGAGTGATCTTTTCGCCTCAGCCTCTCAAAATGCACCCCTTTACTTTGGAAGGATAATTTCACTGGATATAGAATTAGACGTTGATGGGTGATTTTTATTTCAGCACCTAACATATTCCACTCTCTTCTTGCCTGTTTGGTTCCTGATGAGATGTCTGCTGAAATTGTTACCCATTTTGCTTTATAGATAGGTGTTCATTTTACTTTTCCTTCTTTTAACATGTTCCAATTATTTTGTTTTCTGCAGTTTATGTCTGTGTGTGTGTGCGTGCATGTGTGCAGGCATGCATGTGTGTGTGTGTGTTGGTATTTATTCTTCTTGGAGTTCTCTGAGCTTCCTGGATCTCTGATTTGGTGTCTGTAATTAATTTTGGAATATTCTTGAACATTATTACTTTCAAATATTTTTCCAGCTCTGACCTGCCTTCCGGTGTTTCGGTTACACATGTGATAAACTCTTTGGAACAGCTCGCTGGTTCTTGCATGCCATGTGTTTGCTTGGTTTTCATTTGTTTTTCTCTTTGCATTTCAGTGTGGGGACATTCTACTGACATAGCTTCAAGTTTTATAATTTTTTTTCTTCAGCTACTCCATTCTACTGATGAGCCCATGACAGACCCCCTTCATTTTGTTGCAATGTTTTTAATTGTTCACATTGCCTTTTGATCCTTTGTTAGTTTCCATCTCTGCTTCTGTTATGCATCTGTCCCTGTGTACTGTCTACTGTTTCTGTAAGAGCCCTTAAACTATTAATTCTAATTATTTTAAATATTGTTTGCTCCTTCCAGCATCCACATCATATCTCAGTCTGGTTCTGATCACTGCATTGTCTTCTCTTTGTTTTCCTTGGTGTTTGACACACCTCTTTGTTGTTGTTGTTTTGTTCTTGTTGTTGTTGTTGTTAGCCAGACATGTTTTACTAGATAAAAGGAACTAAGGTAAGTGACCTTTAGTGTGAGAATTCATGTTACTCTGTCTGGAAATTGGGCAGTGCTTAAAGTTTGCTGTAGCTATGGGTGCTGGGGGCTTAACATTCTCTAATGATCTGGTTTTCTATTTGTTTTTGTTTCTGTTTGGTGTGTTCATTGGCTCTGCCTCTCCCAGGGTGGGTGTCTTGCAGCTCCTTCAGTTGTCCTCCATGGTAGTTCCCTTGGAGTCCTGGTGGTGTGGTGGGAAGGTTGGGGAGGGAGAGCATCTGTAATCCTCTAATTAAATCTTGGTGTTGGTGACAGCCTGTGTTTTGGGCCTGTGACCTCCCAGGGGTCTGTCTGCAGATGTAGCTTCCCACCTTATCCCCACCCCTCCTCCCTTCCTTGGCTGCAGCATTCCCCGTCTATGTCCCTGAAGTCTGCTCCCTGTTGACAGTTCTTTCTGTCAGGTGATACAGAAGTGAGAGGGAGCTAGAGGGGACAGAACACCCTTCCCCGAGCTGGGATAAGATTCTGGTAGTCTTTTCTAGGAAAATTAAGCCTCTATTAAGGAGAAGGGTGTAGGCATGTTTTACAATGATTCCTCTCGCCCTCCTCTGCTAGAGACATAAAGATAGCTTTCTCATATATTCACTGTGAAAACCTGGTGAGGTTCCTGGAGGTGAAGACTTTCCATTTCCACAAGTTTCTCATCCTCTAGCTAGTTCACATTCATTTTCAGCAATTTATCAAAATCAACATTTAAGCCTTTCTACCAGTGTGTGCTCCAGCAGCCTGTACTCCAGGGCTGCAGCTCACCACTGTGTCTCTCTGGGTACACCTGTCCCTCCAGATTTTGGGGTAGCATTTTGCTTTGCATCTCAGTTCTCTACTGAGTTCAAGAAAAGTCATTGCTTTTCAGGTTGTCCTGCTTTTTCATGTAAGGATAGGAGTGAGACCCCAAGCTTTTTCCATTTACAAATGAAAACCAGAGTCTCCGTTGCCCTTGCAAGGAGGAAATACCCCTCCCTGCAAGACCCTGAGCCCTGCAGTGAAGACCTCTGGGTCCTTCCCTCCTTTTGAGCTGGGAGGATTGCACCAGAAGACACCACATGCCCTTTCTGTTGGTTTCTATTTCCTTTCTCTTATCCATTTAATTTTTTAGAACTGACTTATTCTATCTGAATAGTAATAAAGACATCATTTTTTCCTAATGCTGCAATGTTTAGATGTTCCACTACTATATTCTGGGTAGAATACTTGTTACTAAACTTCCTCTGCAACTTTTCAACTTTAATGTTTCTATTCAAAGACCATGTGGCTTTGGGTGGCTGCACTGTTTCAAAATATTTCCTGGATTTTAGTCTTTTAGTGATTTCTTAAGTTTACAGAACAAGATTGATGAAATTTTTTATGGGCGAGCTCTTTGAATCTTTTCCTGATGTTAATTTTTAATAATTTCATTGATTTGTATACGTTTTGAAAAGACCCATGGCATGTGGAGCATATGGGAGGAAGCTTCGGTTAAGTGTTCATCAGTGAATGAGGACGTGTGTGTATGTCTGGAAATTGGGCAATCATGCTATAGGGTACCGAGAATGCAGGAGACACAGGGCTCAAGCTGGAATTTCCAGGCAGAAGGGCAGTGGAGACACCAAGTCCCAGCCTCTTAGCACCCCATAAAGAGACCTGTTTGGGCTTCAGTCTGGTTGGAGGCTTTCTGCTCCAAGAGGAAGACATCAGTACCCTATTGATCTTTTTTGATGGGGTTGCTGTGATGGTCACATTGCACAGGCAGAATGCTTAGTTACAGACAATCTGGACTTATGTACATCAATCACTGGTAAAGTCATGTGACTAGTTCATAAAATCCATGGGGCATATGAGGAAGTTGCCGCCCCACAGGCCAGCAGGAGGATGCCTGCCTGAGGCTCTGTTCAAGCACACCTCCTCCCAATGGGACAAAGGCAATCCATGTATCTAGCTGCAAAGCAAACCAACCAGGGCGAGTCCTGATTCCACCTGCTTCTCGTTACAAGTGGAACTTTGTCCTTCTTTCTGAGGCTCACCCTGTTTTGCCTCCTGAACCTTGGTGGGAAATCAGGCCTTGCTTCCCAGACCTCCTTGCAACTGGCTTCTCAGCCCTTGAGACCACACACTCTGGACTTTACAATGGAGCTGGTGATACCTGGACAGGAATAACCCAGAGCCCTCTCCTTCGTGGTGGCTGGTGGCCACGGTTGGTGGTGTTCGGGGACGCAGCAGGGGCTTCAGGAACAGCGAGCATCCCAGGACAGCAGAGCTGTGCTGGGGGCAGGAACTGGATGCAGTGTCATGGTGAGGGAAACACAGTGGTATCTCCTCAGAAGGGCAGTAGTGTCCTCCACATATCAACTTAGTGACATTACTGGGGGCATTGCCACTGCTCGAGGAGCTTCCAGCCTGGTGCATCTTTACAATGGTTGACACAACTGTGCAATGATGGAAGAGATTCCACATGGAGCCAGTAATGAAAAAATATTTTCCTGAGCTCACACCTTATGGCAAGGAAGGACTGGACTGGAACCCTTGTCGACAGACTCTTAACCATTTAGGCTTCATTTTCATCTGCAGTCTTTTTTTAGTAATAGCAAGGTTTTTTTTTCTCCCCACTTCTTCCAGCATTTTAGCCATTTTTCAGTGTTTGGTTTGCTCTCAGCATGGGTCAGAAAGAGCTCCTGAAGCATGTCAACCCCTTGGAAATAACTCAATTAATATTAAACAAATAAAACATTTTGCACCAAGTATATACTGAGATAGCTATATTTTGTCCTTGATAAAGTTATAGAATAAAATGAAGATAAATAGCATGGAGGTTATAATATATATTAAACCACTAAAATATCTCATCTCATAATTCATCATCAGCAAAACAGAATGTCGACTTTTGAGCTTAACTTAAAATAGGCGTTTCTTTTACACATTTTTATTAAAGCAAAGATAGTGCAGTTAAAAATAATTTAATTTATGTTAGAAAAATATGTTTCACAAATCTTAGATTAAAATTAGGGATGATGTGTTGAAATCAAATTATTCTACAGAAGGTTGAAATCAATAGCTTAGCTATTTAAATTAATTTAATGTCACAAAAAGTGCAAATTTTCTTTAAAATCTTATCAGAGGAGTTCCAACTAACGAAGAGAAGATAAGACGACACTTCTTGGTCTGTTAGTAGTTAGCCTCAAAACTTCTCTATGATATGAGCACCATAATCTGATCATTTAGAACACTGCTTCACCCCTGAGGCCTCTTTCACAGCCATAGTAGGGAGTATCCTTGTGGAAAACAGACCACAAATTTAGGTAGAGGCATTTGTGAGATACATGAAGAGAGTGGTGCAGGGAGGGGTGTTTCCCATTAGAAATCCCCATGCTAGCAGGTGGTGAGGGGAGACACCAGGTAAGGGCTTCCATGCAGCCTCAATATTAGCATTCTCACTGGTTGGGCATCAGGGGCATGGCTGGGCTCCAGCTTAAGGGTTGGGCTGCACCCTAGCAATGCAACCAGGCTTCTGCAGGGGACCAGAAAGGACCTCCATCCATGACATAGGCAGAAAATGAACAGTTGTGGGGAATCCACAGGGTTTGGAGGGCAATTCCAGTGTCTGCTTTGATATCTATTTCCTGATAAATGTAATGAGAGAACAATAATCTTGAAATGTATGAAACAAAATACTGCAGAAGAAAGTGAAGAGAGTACTTTTGTCATTGCTGTAAAGAAAAGCGCATCTCCGAGAACATTGTAAAGCAAGGCATCATAAAATAATTTCAGCAAGCTGTTTGACTTCCTTAATAGAATAGAAGAAGGCATGGCCCCTTGGAATAAGACCTCAAAATGCTAAGAAGAGAATAAGTTTGGATGAAAAGAAAGTGTAGTACAATGAATGAAAATCAGACAGGAGGCAGGACTGAAAGCTCAGGTTAAAGAGGTCTGGATTAAAATAGCATAGGTTACATGGAAGCAGAAACGTTAATGAGCAAGATCAAAACCTCACTGGAGATAGAATACATAGATATTTGATGTGGAAAATGTTAACACTTGAATAGATCCCAAACTTCAGTTCCTCTAAGAAAGCAGAGGAAAATTAAAACCATCGAAAATGATGACAGACAAACTGACATATAGATATTGAAGGCTTGAGCAGAGACCCACATCAACAATGTATTTATGGAAATAAAACCTGGACAATTACAGTAGAAGGAAAAAAAAGAGAATACATTGGAATATAACTCATGGAGACTGAGGGAAAAGAAAACCTTAGTCATATTCTAAAATATTCCAAAGTATAATTTTGATTTTCTATCTTTACTTACTGAATGTTTGAAAATGTTTTTATGTATTATTTAAAATTTATGATATTTTCAAGTTTTTATGGCATTAGAGAAATTTTGGCTGGGAAAATTCTTCTACAAATCAAATTTTAAAAATTTTATTTAATTTTATTTTTACTTAAAAATAAATTGATGCTGAAGAAATGATTCATGCTGCTCTGTGGCAGCCAGTGCTTTGCTTTTTCCAGGCAGTTTGTGACTTCAGGTGGGGGCCTGTGACCAGCCTCCACTAAGAAAATGGGAGATGGAACCAGAAAGAGCCACAGTCCACGTTGCCATGTCCCAGCTGTCCTGTCTTAGAAACCATGAGGTAAGCGTCTGCTGCTGATGCACACTGCAAGCCTTACTCACACGAGGAGAGTAAACTGTCTTTGTACTAAGCCACACAGATTCTAGTCTTCTTGCCATGACATAACTTAGCCTGACTAATATGCATGTTTAGTGCAGAACTCCTGAAAAAAACCACAAATTTCTCAAGGAAAAATCTATAATCCCATCTCCCAACAATAAGCTTCATAAATATTTTGGTGTATTTCTTTAATGATCTTTATTTGCATATACATACATACTAGCTATGAATTAAAATCTGGTTACTGCCTTTTTATTTGTTCATAAGTATTTTCCAGCTCCTCGATTTTAATATCTGTCTAGCCTCTCATCACATAGGTATAAATCACTTAGCTTAAGCAAAGAGTTTCTTTGGGTTGGCTTTTAATGGTTTCAAGGTTTCTCTAGAAAACCAGTTCTGCTGCCCTGTGAAGAGCTCTGAGGACTGTGTTTTCTGTGCCAGAGACAGACAGGGCTGCTCCTTTGTGCGTCTCTGCTCCACAGCCCCCTTTCTGGGCTGCTGACTGCCTGGATCTTAGCTTGGGCTATAATGGCCCATCCTGATGCTTTTGTTGTCGGAGTCATTTTGTTCCTTCCACTGACACTCCTCAGGCTCACTTTTGAGCCATGCTGTCATCCCCTTTCAATGCAACGTATAGGCCTTTTGGTTCTTCTCCACCAAATACCAAATGCAAGTGTAGCTTGTGGTTACTCTCAGTCTCTATTTTTGCTCCTCTGAGTTATTGCAGAGAAATGTGACGAGATCCCTCCCTAGAGTCTCTGACAGGATGCCCTATAATTACCCCTCTGATTCTGTATCTCCCTTAAGATGATCCAGCCCAGAGCGGGCATTTGTCCTTGCTGTCACCTTGCTGGCTGACCCTCCCTCTGTCTGCCTCCCTGTCCCTCCTCCCATCTTCCCTGTAATCTCCTGGGTCTCCTTCCAGGCCTGCCCCTTTTCCTTCCCTTTTCCCTGAGGTTGTACCAGCAGATGGGATGTGCAGAGACAGGAAGGGGCTTATTAGTAAGTCAGGAGAATATATATTTTATTCATTGCACATAAAATCTTATACAAATAACATAATGACAAGTTTTGTAAATATTTTTAGAGTGTCTTTTGTTTTCCTTCCGTTTTTTCTGCAGGGAGTTCCAGGTACCCAGAATAGTTTCTTCAAATACGTATCTCTGATTATTGTTTTCCCAACTCTGATCGAGTGTAATGCAGTTTCCCAAATCTCCTCTTGGTTGATGATAAGAAAGACATACTCTGGTGAATTCTTATAATTTTATGTTTCTTCAGCATTGATTTTGAGTGCAGGTTTGACTTTCTCATACCAGAAGCAGGGCTCTATCACCCTTGACACATATTCCATTTCTATACTACACCACATGGCTCAAGCCGGTGCTCATAAATAAACACTTAGAGGCATCTCTCCTGTCTAGCAGACTGGGCACCCCACTTTCCCAAAGCCTCCCTTAATGGGACCATTTGGGCATTTGCTCATGAACTTAAAAGTGTCCCACATCCTTTTCCCTTGTATATGCTGCTATTTGCCTCTCTCTCTCTCTCTCTCTCTCTCTCTCTCTCTGCCTGATTCTCCACTCCTGCCTCCCCTAACCTGGGGGCAAAGGACTGCCCTCCCCACTCACAGAGCCCTCCTGGACTAGGGCCTCTTAGTAAAATCTGTGAGCACGTTTCCTATTGTGGTGGTGTATTGAATTTCCACCTTCCATTCGAAGGGGATGCCCCAGGCCAAGGGTTCCCTGGGAAGGGGAGAACACAAGGTCAGTCTCCCAGTGCAGAGGAAAGGTCAGGCAGGCTTACTCTGGACCCAGGTCAGACAAGAGCCACAAGAGTGTCTGCCAGTCTAAACAAGTTTCCTGTCTAAGAGATCCCCTGGTAATGGGTGGGACCACTAGACATTAGGCTGTCTACCAGGTAAAAGAAGTACCCCATGAAGGCACCCTGTATATTCCCACATCCAGCTCCTGTGCATTTGTTAGGGCAAGATTGCTAGCTGCTTTGATACTAAAACCCCAATTTAGCTGGGAGCTTTAAAAACCCACCCTTTCCTCACACTCATTAAGTGTTTTATAGCCCATCACTTTAGAGATGGAGTTTGAGTGGATGCACCAGCCAAAAACATGGGAAAAGATTTATTGTGTGAGCCTCATTGTTTTTGGTTTGTTTTTGTCTGTTCTATTTCCCTGATAAGAGCTAGAAACTGCTGTTTATCCTAAGAGAAATTTCTTAACATCCTGTCCTTTGAGTTCAATTTCAGATCTCATAAAGATCTGAAGATAAAATCTAAGTTGAAAAATAGGTGAATAGTATCTTCTTCTTCCTCAAATGTAATTAGTGATGCCACACTCAGTAATATACAATTTACTGGTATTGAGCCTCTTTCTGGATATCTTATCTTTGGAAATTTTTCTTGCAATACTTTCTACTGAGTTTAAAAGTAAAGATAGGTCACTGTGTTTGCCTCCCACTTATGGGAATCAGGTGGCAAAATTATTTAAGCTTAATGGCACACTTATTTAAGCTTAGAAATAGAATGAGCAAAGTGTGCCTTATACCTTCCCAATAACTGCTAAGATCTAATGAGAGTGATGTCCCCCATGGTCCCCAAGAGAGACAAGTGAATCCACCCCTGCCCAGGCTAAGAGGATTCCTCTGCCTTTTTGTGCTCCTGAACAAATGAAAAGCTTCAAGTTTGATTTCCAATAAAATTTTAAAATATAAATTTGCATACATTTTCAACTTATTAGATACTGGATCATTTTCTAGTATATTTGTGCATAAGCACTTATTTCTATAATTATTTTCTTTTAAGTATAGGTAATAAAACCCAGGAATTCGGGGAAAGGGTGATCTACACAATGATGATTAGTTCTTATTTCAAAATGTGTATTAGGGCTATTTCCAAATATGTTTTAAAAGCACCAGACTGGAGCCAAAGATGAAAGGGAAGTCTTATTAGTCTGTACTTGTTTCTCGCTGAGGTTGATGGAGACAGAGCAAGACTGCAGCTGGGGACACCCACGTGTGTTTCTCCAGAGGAAGGTTTTCTGCATGATGACTAATGTCTCACACATGTTTAGGGAATTCTATGCATTAGAGAGGAATGAAAACAGAAAAATGAGGGAATCATGGGATCAGGCTTTACGTGTTTCGGCATGCTTGCCAATAGAAAACTGACAGTGAAATCATGAAGTTGATACTTTATTACCTTTGTTATCTGCATGAGACATGTATAAGCAAATGAGACAACCTACTGACAACATGGGCTTCCCTGGTGGTTTGGCCAAAATAGCTTTTTTTTCCTTAAACTTTCATCTCTATTTTAGAAAGTTACAGATTACTTGAGCCAGTCCTGCTGTTTTGCTTCCTGCGATGCTTAGGTTCAGGACTCAGGTGACGTGACATTTCTGGACAGGGCTGGGCCTACCCACAGGATGCTGCTTTGCTAACCCAGGGCTCTCTCTTCTGCCTTGGCCAGGAAAACTATGACCTTACCTGCTGCTCAGCCTATGAGACCTAAGTTTTACTTAGTAATATTTTGGGGGAAAACTAAAATCTTAATTTAGACATTATGAACATTAATATGACAAATTATGGAATGATATGAAAAGATGATACACTCCACACTTACTACTACTGAATGATTTCCAAAAAATACCGAATAAACCGTATAAACAATTCATTTAAAAATGTGATTAATTTTTAAACTTCAACATTATTACAATTTCTACATCTCTGAAAAGCAATAACTAAAGTTAAGTATATTGAGTAATTTTTCCATGTCATAAAAAATAACTAAAAAAAGTTAAAAGGAGGCAGAGGTCATAGAAGGACAGAGGAAGCGGAGTCAATGTGTAGTGTTTCCATTCGGCACCTGGTATAATCAAGCACATCTTTCTAAGTGTGAGTCAATTCCATTAAAAAGAATGATTCTAACACTAAAACTGCAGCAAGTCAGACTCCCTTCCAATAGCGTGGTCTATTTGTGGAATTCTGGTGTCAGTAGTTTGGCGTTCTCTTCTCTGCTGTTCCAGATGACCTTTTTGGGTCTCTCTTGAGGATGGATGCTTCTGTGTCACAGACACCAGGGGGAAGAGAAAGCAATCGTTCCGCTGTGTGTCTGTCCTAATTCCCGACATCTGCAGACCCAGCTGAGAGCACCTGGATTCTTATTAGCTATAAGACTTGGAGACAACTATAAACTAAAAGGCACAGTGTTGTGAAATTCGAAGCGCAGGTACCCTCCATAGAGTCATAGTGCTTGTTAGTGTGTAACATGCATATTCGAGTCCCTGTAATATTAAGCCAAATGCTGTGGTGTGATTCAGGGACTGCATTACAGATGCATCTTTACAGTCATGAGAAAACTAAGGAATCTGTGTATTTTCAGTGAAATTTCTGTATTCACCTTCCTCTCCTATTTAGAACATATCAAAAGCGAACATTCCATTGGCAGTAGAGGCTGAAAAATGAAAGGCCAAACAAATGAATGGGCCATGAATGTTGCCAAAAAAAATCTCAGAGTGTGATATGGAAATCTGATGCCTTTTTCTATAGAAATGTTAAAGAAGAGGGTAACACAGTCAAAACTGTGTAAGTCTGTTTAATCTTCAACTTCTTTTCAAAATGAAGTTACCAAGACTCAAAGACAAAATAATTTTCTGAAATTTTACCTTTTAAATATGCACATACGCAAAACTGTGAGGAAGAGCAGATGGAAAAATAATTGAACATATATGACAGAGAGTTGATTACCATATATGTTACATCTGGATGCATTACATATCAATGAGGAAAGATAAACTCCATCATAAAAGCTGTCAAAAGCTGTCAAAGACAAATGTAAGTTCACCCCCAAAATTACCCGTTCTATGAAAAATTTCCAATCTTATTAACAAGTTCTGAACTCACTAGAACAATAAGATCTTAGGAAAATCAATTATGGGAGATAAAAATAAAAACGACTAATATTGTTTTTAAGAAATATCTCTTATTCATGTGAGGAACTGCACACACTAGGATGCTATTTTTGGTGTAAATTGTAACATTTACAGAGGATGTTTTGCAAATCAATTTGAAACCCTCTCACTTATTTATACATTTGATGGGGCAATTTTACTTACAGAATAGTTGTAAATATCACAAAGGTTATATACAAGTAGATTCATAAAATATTTCTCATTTTTTATGGTAAGAAAGTATTACAAACCTAAATAGCCAGTAATAAGGGCTTGAATCACTCATGATGACCATAAACTATGGTGTAATTTTTAAATCATGGGATGACTTAGGATGATTCTAGATTATTTAAAATGATGACATGCTACATTGTGAACAAAATAAATTTTAAAAGTAAAGGTAATATATAAATCCTATTCATTATGTTTTTAACTCATATGTTTTAGAATTATGTTGTTACGTATATAAAAGTTCATAATTATATATCTTCACCTGTTGGTTTTATAGCCTATCAGAATTACATCCACATAATTTGGCTAAGGGAAGTACAAAACTTCCCTTAGCTAAACTCTGTTTGTAGAATAAATGTTACGCTTTCTAAACCAGATCATCTGAGGACAGAAAGAGCTTGACGGGAGTCATTCAAATGTAAAATACACAGTTCAATGATCTTACACAACATCTAAGAACAGATTTGAGTATTAGTGAAATTGAAGCTGAAGTTGTAGCCCTAAACATTCAGATTCAGAGGGCATGGGTTAGGACCTAGCCATTTTATAGCCTCGTCAAGTGATTCTGTAGTCTTAAAAAGGTAAAATAAATGAAAAATAAGTGAAACACACTGTGCTAGATGATTTCAGGTAGAACCTAACACAGTCGACCTCTCTTTTCCAAGTAGTTGTATAAATACTTAGAAGCCGCCTTTAACTAATTTTCACAGCTCACATAAGTACAAATGCTGTTAGTAACCATGGAGCAAAGATGATAGTAGATTTCATACACTTGTGGAATTCTTACCGCATCTCCTAGAAGACCTCTTACAGGGCCTGTGGTTTAGAGACAGGAAAGACCTACTTCTTTCGCAAAAATTTTCATGGTAAGGACTCCACCGGGACTCAACTTCTCTCATATGTTAAAATGCTCATTCAGGCTAGATGCATCTGTTGGTTCAGGCTTAAAAAAATAGATATAAGATTGCAGTTTATATGATGAAGGGTATTTTGAAGCATCAAATATCAACTCTAGCTATTTACTCATACCTGGGCTATTCTCACTTCATACCGTGAATAATGGTGAAAACTTAATTTTATCCTAAAATCAAGAAAGTAACTTTAACAAGTGAATTAAGTGCTAGTTTATTTTGGTGGAACTACTCTGTTGGAGAATATTTTCTCATGAGTCTACTTCCTTTATGAAATGTTGTTAACATCTTACTGCAGATAAACTTGGTCTTGCCTCCTTTAGTTCCCATAAAGATTTTTCTGGACCCAGCGTGGTGGCTCACGCCTGTAATCCTAGCACTTTGGGAGGCTGAGGCAGGTGGATTGCCTGAGCTCAGGAGTTCGAGACCAGCCTGGGCAACATGGCAAAACCCCCATCTCTACTAATATACAAAATACGCCTGGCATGGTGGCGTGCAGCTGTAATCCCAGCTACTCAGGAGGCTGAGGCAGGAGAACCACTTGAACCTGGGAGGCAGAGGTTGCAGTGAGCCAAGATTATGCCACTGCACTCCACCCTGGGCGATAGAGTAAGACTCTTTCCCGCACCCTTCCCCCCCAAAAAAAACACAAGAATTTTCTGCACCTCAGTTGTGAACCTCATTCTTAATCTGTTTTATATCATGTCAGCTCAAATCCTGCTGGGTCTCATGGATATTTTCCCTCGTTCTCACCTCTATGTATGACAACAACTAAAATGAAAGCCCTTTGAAGGCAGAACCTTTGTCCAATGTCTGTCTGTGTGCCCTTGATATGGCAGCAGAATGACTTTACAGTAGTCAGTGAATGTATATTAAATTTGGTTAACATATGCTTGGGTTTAAAAAGTATATTTGCCCAATTTAAAATAAGTGTGAATAAGTTATAGTCTCATTCAAAATCTATAACCTCGACTTTAGAAGCCGAAGTACTTTAAATTCATACAATAAATCCCTAGAAAGGGTTATAAATGCAATGGGAAATTTTATGCAATTTTATTTTCAGAGCCAGAGAATAGTTTTTCTTCATTTGGGACTCTGGATTATACAATATTGTGACTGGAATTATAGGTCAGAATCCAACTACGACTACAATTATAGGCAACAATCTTATGAAATAATTATGTAATTTTTCCCCAGTAAAGGAGATTCTAGACACTTGGAGTGAAATGGCTCATATTTGTGTAAGATAAAAATGTTATGTCATTGTGTGATTGAGATGGGATTTTTATACAGTGTCTAATCTAAATATTATAATTGAAATATTTTAAAGTAACATTTTGCTAATAGAAAAATCTAAGAAACAAACAATTCCCAATATTAAGAATATATTTAAATTAATGATGGTACAATCATGCGATGTAACATTATGTAGACTTTAATTATCGTGTTTTTTATAATGGTTAGTGGATAATGTAATACAATAATTAATAATGAAATAATTAATATGGTCTTAAATTGAAAAGTAAAAACACAGAATGCAAAACTCCTCTAATGTTCAGTGTGTGTCTTTGTGTGGGCATGCCTATAGAAAGGAAATGCACCAAAATGTTTGCAATGTAATTTTGAGTGTTGGGATTATCAATGAGTGAGGTTTCTTCTTTATATTTTTCTATATTTTCTAAAATTACCTTTTTATAAGAAAATACAATCTTAAAACATTTTAAAGTGGGTATCTGTAAATATAAAAATAAATATATATATATTCCAATTTGCTCTACCACTCATGCCAAACAAAAAGCTACTGTAAGATCTTTTCTATGATAACATATGGTTATCTGAAAATGATTGAATTGTATACATATAGGGTGGCATTCTCAGCTAAAATTTCTTGGTAATGTTAAGTATCCCTGGAATCATATTACTGCTGAGTAACTACAGCCTTAGTTACTATAACAAATAAATCAACAGTAAAACAAACAAACACACAAAGCCCCCACAAAACCCACATAATGCCTTCTATTTGACGTATGAATACCTGTAGCTATTTAAATATACTGTGTTAGCAATGTGTACTTTCTACAAACTGCATAGCTTATATGTGTAGTGACTTTTTTGCAATAACAGATGGTTTGGAGTAGACATCATCAAAATTAATATGTAACTCTAACTCCTATCACACAATATATTTTTCAATTATCAATTTGTTAATACATACCTGAAGTCATTTAAGTACTACTAATAAATCTGGGAATAAAATATCTTCTAATATTGTATATCTTTCTTCCAAGATCATTTTGTAACCCAGTGTATGCACAGTCTGAGAAATATTTCACGTTGAAATTGTAAGGATTGGTTTGAATTGCTGTTGCAGTTCAGTAGTTTAATTTTTCATTATTAGTTTATAAAAAGAGGAATTCACCATTGTATAGGTGATACAGCTAGGTGAGGCGAGTGCAATATATTTATGAAAGGGTCTACTCACACTTCCTAATTTCAAGTCTTAACTCTGTCACTGATTTATTATGTTTCTCTTTTAAAAAATGAGATTAATTACAACAGTTACTTAATAATATTTCTTGATGATTGAACACAATTATACATTTAAAGCTATATCAGAGTCATTGGCATATAATAAAATTTGATGAAAGCTTCTAAAAATATTCAACATCAGGGCAATTTTGAATATTGCCAAGCAACAGGTCCAGTTTGGGAATTCTTAGAAGGCAATGTGCAGTTACTAAAACTGCTATCATCAAAGACATTTCAGCAATATTTCTAAGAACTTCTGATGATATTATTGATTGTATGAGGAAAAGTAAGCTCTCTGAGGACAGGGCTGGTTCTATGTGCCATCCACTTCATTTTTGATTTTAACATACAGGTATCGAGTGCAGACTATGTGCTAGATATTCTGCCAGGTCACAAGGGTTAAAATATCTAAAACACAGCTCCTGATTTTGGGGAGCTATCAGGCAAGTTGGAAAACTAACTTTTAAATCCTCAATTACAGAAAAGAGTATGAGATTCATTGGGTATTAGGCATTTTTAATGTGAAGTCATGGGTTTCAGTGGCCTGCTCCTTCTCAGTTCACTCTGTGGGAAATGGGGATCAGAGGACTGAAATTTGAAAATGCTGACACTCTGACTGCTCTTATTTCTATGGCTTTAAGTTCTTTGTCTAAAATCCAGGACTTTCTTTTCTTCTGCCAAAGTCTGTGAAACTGAGGCAAGCTAATATTTTAGCTTACAAATTGAGTGAAATCTTAGACCCTTCACAGTTCCTGACACATTTTTTTTTTTGGCAATCAAAAGATATTACTTTACAGGAACCTAAGCAGCAATCTACACTCAGACATTTCCTTTCTAGGATATGAATCTTAAAAAAATCTTCTTGAAATTGGCACACAGCTCTCAAAACAAATACCTGCTCCTCAGGACATACCCTATAGGACTGGTTTTTCACATTAGAACATTTATCTAATCTGGATTTGCCATTGGATTTCAATTATCTCTGGATGAGATTTAGTTTAAAAATAAGAAAATATAAATCTCCATCACAAATCAAAATTTTACTAGATTAGAAGCATTTCAATTTGAATAATTTTGTAAAACACAGTGTTCTCATTTTAAGCCATTTTCTCAGCAACATTGAAATTTCATCATACAGAAAATGTTTTCATTCTGTGAAACCAAAGGGCAATTTTGTTTGAAATGATGGAAAACCACAAAGGAAACCATGCATGGAAGCGAGGTTAGGGTAATGCATCTTTGCAGCACGAGCTTGGATGCAATGGAACAACTGTTCACCCCCCAAAATCAGCTTAGGGACCCTAGAATTTAAACAAACTATTTTCAACAACATGTTCCTTGAAATAATTACCTGTTTTTCACCCTTATTTCTATAATGGATTAGTGACACCCTCAGGCTTTTGTAACAAATCGCAGAATCCATATTTCAGCACTTTACAGATTTCCAAAGAAATGACAAAACTGAAACAGAAATGAGTAAGCGCAGAAAGCTCCAGAGAGAGGAGTGGCAGCAAATTCATCATACCATTAGCTGTCATATTTTAACTAAGAAAAGTCCCCAGGCATCCTCCTCAGGATACCCTTTATGGTGTATTTTTGCATACTTTCAATATATATTTAAATAGAGGTTAAATACATGTGTAGATATGGTCCCCAACTGACAACGGCTTGACTTAGATTTTGCAGCTTTATGATGGTGTGACAGTAATGCTCACTCTGTAGACACTGTACTTTGAGTAATCATACAACCATTCTGTTTTTCACTTTCAGGGCAGTATTCAATAAATTATGAGATATCCAACATTTTGCTATAAATAGGGTTTGTGTTAGATGGTTTGCTCCACTGTAGGCTAATGTAAGTGTTCTGAGCATGTATCATGTTTGGTAAGTTAGACGTCTTGAACGCATTTTTGACTTACAATATTTTCAACTGATGATGAGTTTGTTAGGATGTAACTCCATTTTAAGTCAAGGATTTTATAAATATATGGATTATGTGTATGTGTATACATGTATATATATATATATGCATTGAACTTACTGTGATGTTTCTAAGTTCTTTTGTTCTTAAACCTTTCTCCTTATATTTGAGAAGAATTACAATTTAACCAGACTCAAAGGCTCCGTGTCAATTTTGACTTTTCTATTTTTCTCATCAGCCAGCAAATAGTCCTAGAAAAAGTGAAGGTGCTTTAGAATTCAATGAGTACAGTATCTTTGTTTCATACTCAGGGTAACTAAAACCCAAATATACTGAAGTTATTTTCCCACATATTGCTAATATGAATTTTTTTCTCTGTGACTGGCTGTATCTCTGACTCTGGTTTTCTGGTCTCAAAATTCAACCTCTGGATCTGTTTTCTAACTTTAAATCTTGATTATATTATTGTTGAGAAAATAATAAAAATATGAACCTCTGAATACCATCACAATATCAATTTAACAATTTATGTGGAATAAATTAAAGGTTTACTTCTCGGAAATAGAAAATTATACAGATTCAAAGATTAATTATGTGCATTATATATGGATCATATCTTGACTTACGGGGGATTGTAAGAACACTAGGCACCTCAATCAGTAAAAGGAACATGAAAAAGACAGATTTTTAAATTTTAAAAATTCTAATATTATTTCAAACCTACTGGACATTTGCAAGGCTAGCACAAAAATCCTCAAAGTCCTTTCACCCACATTCCCCAGTTGTCAGCACCTTATTTGCTTGATTCTTTTTTCCAACAATACAGTCTGGTATCGATATCCATGCAGATACTTTGTTTTTCAGTCATTTGAAAGAAACTTACAGATATGATGCCTCTTTACAGTTAAATAAATCAGTGTGCATTTTCTAATAACAAGGATATGTTCATAAATAACGACAGATAAACTCTCACAATCAGGGAATTACTGTTTATTCAGTACTTTTTCTAATGTGAAGTCTTTATTCATATTTCACCCATTGTCCTACTATTGTCCCATTGTGTATTTGTTGTCTTTATAGCAAGAAGGAATCCTGGATTTCATGCTGCTTTCCATTATTGTGTCTGCTTTACTTTAAACAGTTCTTCAGTCTTGTTGACATGGGCATTTTTGGAGAGTACAGGGTAGTTATTTTGTAGACTCTCTCTTCCATTTGAGCTTGTCTGACATGCTCTTATGATTAAACCCAGGTTATCCATTTTTTGAAAGAATTGTTTTCCTCTGTGCATCATATCAAGAGGCATGTAACATTGAGTTGTCTAATTGCTGGTGAAGTAAACCGCAATCACTTGGTTAAGGTGGCGGCTCCCCGGAATCTCTATTGTAAAGTTACCACTGCTTTTCCTTTTTTAATGTCTAAGTGTCTTTTGGGTAGATACTCTGAGTCTATAAATACCCTCTTTCTCCTTGAATTTTCACTCATGGATTTGCATCCACCAATGATTTTTGACCAATTTAATAATTATTAATATATTGTACTCCTAGATATTAAGATATTATAAAATTATAGAAGTACATTAATTAGAAGCATGTTATATTGGAACATGGATAGACAAGTAGACCAATGAGACAGGGTTAAGATATAGACCCACAAGTATATGGTCACCTGGTTTATGCTGGATGACCCTGCAGTCCAGTAAGAAAAACATGATCTTCAATTAAATAATTCTGGATCAACTGGATAGACTTACAAGGAAAAATAAATGTTTCCAACCTGACATCATACACAAACATCAATTCTATGGCTATAGATCAAAATGTGAAGGTAAATCAATGAACCTTTTTTAAAAAAAATAAACTGGACTGTAGTATACTTAGGTAGATTTGTAGATTTGTACCTACTTTTTAAATACTTTTAATAGTTTTTGAAAAACAGGTGGTGTTTCGTTACATGGATAACTTCTTTAGTTGTGATTTCTGAGATTTAGTGCACCCATGATCACCTGAACAATGTACACTGCACCCAATGTGTCGTCTTTTATGCTGCACCCCCCACTAGGAAAACATAGCAGGTTATTTTCCTTCTCTTGGGGTATGAAATGTTTTGTCTTAAAAAAAAAACTCAAGAGATACTAAACATAAGGGAAAAATTAGGTAAATTGAGCTCCGTGAATTAAGGCTTTCTGTTCACTATTATCAAGGCAAGCCACAGAGTTGGGCAAAGTATTGAAGAACACATATCGAAGAAAAGAGTGTTCAAGTTTATGTGAAGAACTTCCCCGCATCAGTGTGGCAGACAACTGAGTATACAAAAGGGCAAAACGATTTGAGTACTCCCTTGACAAAAGAGGGTAAAAAAATGATAAAAAATGTTTGCAAATGTGCTCAGCTCATTAGTCATCGGGGCATGCTAATTAAAACCACAACAAGACACTCCTACTCACCTGGCAGAATGGCTAAATTAGTGACATTGCCGTAGCATGAATTGGTGAGTGAAGCAACTGGAACTTTTCTATACTGCTACTAGGAGTCTAAATTGGCACAAACAGTTTGGGAAAATATTTGATAGTTTCTACCAAAACTGAACATATGTGTAGTACATACACACCCAACAGAATTGCTACAAAAATGTTCATGTACAAAAGTGTTTGTAGCACCTCTATTCATAGTTGCTGAAAACTGGAAAAAAATCGAATGTGTAACAACACTAGAATAAATAAGCTGTGGAATATATAGAGAGTAGAATATTCATGCACACAGTAGAATATTATGTATCAAAGGAATATTCAATTTACTGCTATGTAACACAACATGAATAAATCTCATAAACATCATGTTAAGCAAAATATTTCCATCATACACCTAGAGACCCTACAATATGTTCTTCTATTCATATAAAGTTAAAAATCAGGTAAATCTGATTCACGAAATCTTGGGAAATGAATGACAGTTAGTGATTGGAAGCAGATGCAAGGAGACTTTTGGAAATGTTGCTAATTTCCATTCCTGTTCACCTTTTGAAATTTTATAGAGTGGAGCACGTAATTTGTGTACTTTTTGTATTTATGGTATACTTTATCAATTAATACTTTAAAGTTTTAAACATTGCTCAAAATCGTTTTTCCGTCCCCCTAGGAAGAAAGCACATCCTCCTAGAGGGATCACACTCTTTGAAGAGTTACCTATCAATGTCAAGGACTAGGCATTTTTTTACATCTCCTGACTTTTATCAGGTTCTCCTCTCATGTATTCTTTCGTACTCTACATGGTGTTTTAGAAAAGAAGTACTATATTTTTCTTTTCCATCACCTGCCTAAATCCCACCTCTTCTGCCCAAACTCAGATGCAGGGACTGGAAGCTAATTTTCCTAACCCTTTCCAAAGAAAGGTTACTCTTACCAGTTAAATCTTCTACTTCTCCCCGATCTCCTCGCTTTTCCAAACCCAAAATCTCTGTGCTCCCTATGTGCTCTCTCTGATAAACAGTCTTGGTGCATTGCTTTGCCTAGCTTTACAAAGGTCCCACTCCAAAGTAGACCACACTGACTTTTCACAACTGCTGTCCAATCAACCACCAGAAGTGCAACTGATCGTCACTGCCCTGATTCGAATGAACTTGGCTGCCGCATTTGAAATAAGAAACTTCATGAGAAATAGCAGTTTTATGGAATAAAAAGTCTCTTATTAAAGGCAATGATTTATTTTAAGTTATTTTTGTATTATTTCTACTTGCTAGGCTTCCTGGAATTTATTCCAAAATTACTAAAAGCCCTTTTCAGGGATATAGCACGGTGAAGCCCTAATGATAAGACCACTATTGTATTGATTTTCTAGAGGTCTTGGAGGTTGTGAAGGTTTATGATACGTGGAATTTAGAACATTTATCTCCTCTCATAATCACTATTTTTATATCCCTTTCTCCATATTTGTGCTTTTAGGCCAGTTATCTATATGGCCATCAGAAGGAAGAAAAAAGCGTTAGAGGAAATAAGAGAAATAAATTATATAGAACTGCATGGCTCATACAGCATTTTTCTTTTTCTGCCAATTTTTACACTAGTTCCCTGGCAAGCTGCATATGATTTTTCTTCACACTTACATTCCCCTGCTGATTTGTGTGGGGAAGTTTGAATACATTGCTTCATTTCTATGATCATTTAAAGTTTATTATGCATACTCCATTACAGATCTGATTGTTACTGAGGACTTCAATGCTGCAACTGGTGTTGAGCAAAGGAAGAGCTGTATCCCTGTGGGACACACTTAAAGATATTGAAATACTCCATAACACAAGTGGAATATATTTGATATATAAGATTTAGAAACTACGGGTATGAATAAAGGATTAAAAACATATATATACATAAAATATATATAAAATATGTGTGTGTGTGTTTGTATATATATATAAATACACCTTTCTTGATAATTTATTTTGGCACAGTTTTTTAGATTTCAAAACTGATTTGATTGGCTTTGCATTGTAAAACTTGTAAATGTCTATAAATATATTTTTATCACATAATTTCAATGTTTAGGTCACACCTCAAACCCCAGACCTATTTCTCAGTTTCTTGCAGAAAATAAAAGAAAACAATCATATGTTTAGCCTTTGTATATAATTAGCTATTAATACTACTTATACCATGAGCTGCTTTAGTCCCTAAAGTGTATTCTTGATCTTGGTAGTATGTTTCACTGGACACAGAGTTGAGTGAATCAAGAATTAGGTTTTTGGTGCTGTTTCTTACAGCATTCTTTGATTTTAATTAATTTTTTTAGTATTTTTGCTTTTAGTTTTTTTTAATGCCTTGTATAAAGAATGCAGATTTCATTGGAATAAGCTGATTGCTGGAGAAGAGTTAACTAAAGAGATGCACACCTATCCTTTTACGATTGCATTTTCCTCATCTTCTTATATAAACTATATATAGTAAATTCAAATCTGGCATATTGCTGAGGTTATAGTAGAAACTACTTTTGAACACTATGCAAAATTACAGTGCTAAATTGAAAAGAAGAGCTGGGAGCAGTTCCAACGTGTAACCCCAACTCTGAGAAAAAAGACCCTGATTTTAAATTATGAAAAAAATAGTATGACTTATGGAGAATAATACATATTAGATACTACATGAATGGTTTTCCAGGCATTCAATATTGTAAAGTGGCCATTGTTCAAAATATTATTTAGGCCTTATTTTTTATTTGTGAGTCTCAAATTTGAGGTGAGTTTTTTTTGCTCTCTCCAAGCTCAGTCCTTCTCTTATTATTTTTAAATATGCTCCCAAGCCTGGCCTATACACCATCATAACCTAATCACCATATCCAAGACACACAAGAGTCTTCTTTATTCTAACTCCAGTTTACATTCCCCCTCATTTCCCTTTGTCTAGAGAAGGTTGGAGTAATTGGGATGTAAACGACTCACCCTGCAATTGTTATGTTCTATGTAATTAGTGGTTGTCCTAGCCTAGGTCTCACAGAAAGCAGAGCCCAAGGTAAGGATTAAAAATGATTAAAAGCCACAGTCCTAGGATCTGAGAATGAAAGAAAGGGAAACAATAAAGAAAAGAGTGGAAAGCAATAAAACGTGTTCTATGACCAGGTTGACCATAGCTTCTGTTGAGACACAGAGCCCGCTGGTCACTAGTGTGGCCTCTCAATCCTGCAGGACATCATCTCTAAAAGGACCATACAGAGAAACCATATCTGGGGGAAGTCCAGGGGATGAATCTGCCTGACATCCTTCCTCCCCCATCTGGTCTTACACTGGCCCATCTTTGTCCAATTGGAGTGAATTTTCTGCTTTTCCAGACTGTGACATTTGACCAGCTTGACAGTTTCTCAGCAAGCCAGTCTCTCCTGCATCCCTACCTGTGAGGCGGTGCATCATCTGATTTGGAATTGGTGGGAACTGCCAGACACTGAGCAGGTGCAGCTGGTCCCCACCTCCACAGTGATGCACAGCAGTGGCCCAGGGGAGGACTCTCTCAGGTTAGGGGCTGATCAGAACCCTATGATGCCAGCAGAGTCAGTGACTGAGCAGCAAGTGGCTGGATTTGAGGTGGGCAGCAGCAAGAGAATTAAGAAGGCACATTGAGTGTTTCCACCTAAGCAGGTATACCTGAATTGTTTATTGTATGTCAATGTGACATCTCACTGACTTTACATATTTCTAATAACTCTGCATAATATTTTTATTCTTTGTGAAATTAAAGTGTTGCAACTGGTAAGCTGAAATCCTCCACGTATTATCTGGCACCATTTGTAGCTTTCTGACCTAGTGGCTACGTTGTTGATGAAAAACATATTTTACTTTTGCAAATGCAAGTTAATACAACTCACATCAATAAATACTGTATATATGCAAATTGCTCCCTTCTGCAGGAGATTTTCCAAGCCATACACACTTCTCAAGACTGAAATGATACTGTCAATCTCTTCACTTTTTAATCATTTTATGGAATCAGGCTAGAAGCCATCAAAGTGGCTAACTCACATGACTTTTCAATTCAATATTTCTTTAACTTTCTCTTAACATATATTATCTGTCACATGGAATTACTAGGAAATTACCTGGCCAGCTTCATGCCTAACATCCTCTCAGGGAGCATATAGGTTTCTGCGTTGTTACTTTGTGCCAATTACAGATAACCTTGTTTGGTAAACTGAACTTAAAAATTTAGAACACCTTTACAATTCACAGCAGTGTACTTTTGTTTGAATGCATGCTGAACACATCCCCTTTCCAGCTCCCATCCCTCCCTGGACCACCTTCCAGGGTGGTCACCTGTCCTTTCCTTTTCTCCTTTTCTCCTCCCTCTGTTCCCCTTTTACCTTTTCTTGCTCTACTTCTTTTCCCTGACTACTCTGTCTTATAAATTTCTATAAAAGTCAATGTGCTTTCGAAGTTTATTTTATCCGGAATGATACTCTTTTCCTTCAAAGGAGAAAAATGAAAACAAGTGTTTACAAACAATAAAGTCAAAATACATTTGGTGGTGGCTCATGCCTGTAATCCCAGCACTTTGGGAGGACAAGGTGGGTGGATCACTTGAGGTCAGGAGTTCAGGAGTTTAGGAGTTCAAGACCAGCCTAGCCAAAATGCTGAAACCCCGTCTCTACTAAAAATACAAAAATTAGCCAGGTGTGGTGGTGTGGGCCTGTAATTTCAGCTACTCAGGAGACTGAGGTGGGAAGATTGCTTGAACCTGGGAGGCAGAGGTTGCAGTGAGCTGAGATCGCAGCACTGCACTTCAGCCTGAGTGATAGAGTGAGACACTGTCTCGAAAACAAACAAACAAAAACAAAATACATTTTCCAAAGGAAAAAAAGTTCCTGTGGAAATTTTATATTTACCAAGTTGATCTGATTCCAAAGGATGTTAGAGGCTCATACTGAGTCCATGTGTTCATGGCATATTGAAAGACTAGACCAAAGATATATCAATACATTCTGGAACAGAAGTTACTACTCGGCACATTGCAATGAAACTGGATATGAAAACAGTCTAGGGTGATCATCTTAACATCTGAAATTTTTTTTCTGAAATTAAGCAATCTTTGAATAAAGGGAATCACACATATCTAATTTGCTGAGCATATTGACTATCATAAATCACTTCCTCGTATCTGGGGACACTACATAACATATCACGTTGTAATAGTACCCAGGTATTCAGTTCTCAGTTCTTAAATAAAAGGCATACATCAATAACAAGAAAGAGTAAAAAGATATCAATTGAATAGTCCAATTCAAATAGATAGAACAACATAATATGTGCAAAAGAAGCAACAGTAAGCAATAAGGAAACAAAAATAAATATGTAAGAAAACAGAAAAAAGTATAACTAATAAATTAAGAACTGTTTCTTTGAGGAAAATAAATAGCTGTTCTGTCAGCTAACCTAATCAAGAAAGAGGAAGCAAAGAATATTAAATATACAAAATAAGAAAATTGTATGTGAAAATAACCAAATGTACTAGGAGAATTAGCAGGAGTATTACAGAATTGTTTGCTCAATTCTAGACTAATATATTTGAAATTGATAAGATGAGTGATTTTCTAGATTATAAATTATCAAGTCTTACCTTACAGAGGCTGAAAATCTAAACAATCCAATTGTCACAGAATACATAAAATATTTGTAATTTATCAGGAGTGTGAAAGAACAGGTCATTCTAATTCTTAAATTTTGTTTCAGAATGTAGAAAAAGGGAGCTTACAAAATAGGTCTATGCTGCCATAAACTTGATACTAAGCTCAGGTATATTACAAAAAACCTACTAAGCAGTCTCTTTTATGAATATGTTTAGCAATCTTTTTTATGAATATTTGTGCAAAATATATATTTAATATTATAAATATTTATTTTATAACTATTTTATATTTATGTAAAATTGTATGTAATTTAATATTCCTATTTTATAAAGTTTTAGTTTTTATTTAGTTTTGTGTTTTATTTTTCTTAAAGACATTTTATTCATTTAATTCTATAAGGTAACTTTGATATATTATTATATCACCATTCATGTGTTTATGTGAGAAATATTATTAATTGAAGGAACCATACTGTTCATTGTGATAAAAACATAAATAAGAGTACCAGTTAAAATTGGGTTCAAATCCTATTTCTGTTCTTTAATAGTTGAATAACTCTGGGTAAACTGACATTGTATCACAGAGTAGTAGTGGGGTAAATGATAAAATGCTTATGAGCCAATGGCATCTTGTGTGTCCTCTAACATGATACCTACAACTAGAGCTACCACTGTGATAAAGCCAACTAGTGATATCAAACCACTTCATCTCAAATTGCATATGTTAATATTAATTTTATTATCTGAAAAAAATTAAAGAACTTATAAAATTTAAAAGGTAACCAATTTCTAGGGACTATTACAACAAATAGAATAGTCTACTATGAAAATTAGTATATTCCACATGTTGCAATATATTCAACAAGGTACTAGAAACCCAATTTGTAAAATTGAAATACTAGAAGAAAACGTTAATTATATGACCTTAAAGTTCTGTTTTTGCCTTAGTGCCCTATTGGGAAAATATGCAGGACAGAAAAATCAGAGTATGTGCTTATTTCTCATTTTGTTATGGACTTAGGATAAGACCTGAGAAGAGAGAAGAGAACCCGCAGTCTTTACTTTCAATTTAAATATTCGTTTGAGAGTAATAACCACACATTCATCACGTGAGTTTCCTTGAGTTGGTAGCATAGAGAAATTCAGTTGAACAAATATTTAAAGATTTTTTTGTGTTGTATAATGCGGTATTTAAACTTATTCTCCTTTGAAGAGACTAACATGCAGTCTGTTTTGCAGGTTAAACACTATATCACCAAATTATGTATGCAAAGTTACTGTCATATTTTATTTAATGATTTATTTTTATGGAACTATTCCCCAACTGGCACACAATTTTCTCCTCTGCGAATTCTAACTTTAATGAGTAAATGACAAATATCCAACAGGTTTAATGTTATTTCAGTATTCACCCATCTGGAGTTTCCTCATGACCAACCCAGTTCTAAATTACAGAATATTGAAAGAAATTGGAATAAAAACAACAACAACAAAAAAGAATTCCATTTCTCCTCAAGTTTCTGAAATGAATATTAAGATTAGACAGAATATTAAGTTTAGTAGATTTATACATACAGAAAAAAAATTAAAAGGTCCTTTAAGCAAGCACAGTCTCCCAATGATATCCCTGCCCTGAGTGGTCAAGCACTTAAATTCTAGGCATATAATAGTTTGTATATTGTTCATCCAAATGAGCTTCTCCATTCTTCCACTGTGAGAAGAGCCCACGCCCTGTGGCCTTCCAGCAGATGAGACCTATTTGCTTATTCCGGATTTTGCCTGGATTTGCCTTTTGACTTACATCACACAATAATACGATGTTTAGCCAGAATTTGGAAGTTCAGTCTATAGCAAGCAAAAAAGCAAACTAGCAGGTCAAAGCTCAAAATGTTCAATTACCCACATGCTCATAATTCTCTTAGTTATCTGATTCAAGCAGCTATGTAAATTTGTTTGAAAAATCATATAGAGGACAGAATGTTGAGATATTTAGATGAAAATTACAATAACCCTGGCATAGACTCAAATGGAAAATGCTTTTAAAAATTCTATTCCAGAATAGTTTTTAGAGTCAATACAGTTTGAAAAACTTTGGTTAATTCTGAGTTAAGCATATTAGGGATTATAGAAACATAATCAAAAATTGTGTTGGATAAATCTAAATTAAGAAAAAATGAGAGTTTTTGTATGGGCCATTTTCAAGGTTGCCTGTGAAGTTATGCAAAGTTAAATTATTAGCAAGTCACAAATATTCTACTGAAGCCATTGAATTGAACTTCCACCTATATACTTGGATTAAAAAAAGAGAGCCCATGTAAAGAAAATTAAAGGTCTCCTTTGCAAAATTCATCTTCTAGATTTGCAAAATCATTTTCCAGGTTAGAGATCTGTTGACTTATGAATTAGAATTATATTTGGCTTCAAGTGACAGAAAGCTGAAAATAACAGTGGCCCAAATAAAATGGAAGTTTATTTATCACCCACATCAAACAAATTCTCTCTTAGCCACGGTTCAGTGCAGAAAAGAACACCCATTCTAAAGCAGGAAAGGTTTTATTCAGCGGTTTCGGTTCCCACCAGGTCACTGCAAGGGCTGGGAGAGCTCCTGCCTCTGATGCCACCGCAGAGCTGCACTGGCCCCCAGCAGCCTCAGAACACACCGGAGCTGGGGACTTCCCTTCCAAAGCGGTGATCCAGGGGTGAGGATGGCTGAGCAAGAAACTGGCCATGCTCACAACAGCTTCTTGACCCTCTGGAAGCTGGGAATGAACACAAGAAAGTGCTTCAGAATGCAAAGCCCTGTTAGCCAGTTATGGTAGTCAGGAGCCACAGTAAGGCCTGTGCCTCCCTTTCAGATAGCATCCCAGTGCTTTTAATTATCAGAACTAAATTCACATTTAGACCTTGTCTAAAAGGGATTCTGCAAAGGTGCAGTGTTGAGTTTTTCAAACTCTTTCAAACAGAAGGCAAGGGTGAAATAAGGGTTGAGAAAATGAAATCAAGAAAGTTCCCCTGAGCCTGGAGGTGTGAAGTCGCATTGCTGTAAGTACGCAGGCTCCCTCCTGCTTTCTGCCCTGTTATCCCAGTGACCTCCCCTTGTTCTCTTTGTCAGTGTTAGCGAGTAGAGCTGGAACCATCAATCCCACATTCCTGGCACCTGGTGAAGGAAGTGGCTAGGAGAGATGGGGCCTGAGATGTGAGCCTGCTGTCTGGTAAAGTGGTCTTGAGGAAGCTGTCCCCAACATTCCCATCTACATCTCATTATCTAGACCTTAGCATCTAGATAATATCTAGACCTAGAGGGCACACCAAGCTCTCGAGGAGAAAAATGTACAGAAAATGAAGGCTTTGTTTCTATTCAAACAAATAATTTGAGAAGGGATCTGACATTGATTTAGCCTTGACAACAACCAGGTACTGCACTTGGCACTTTCCATTTGCTATTTGATTTTATTATCATGATTATATCATCAGTATTTTAACGCCTCTCTATTAATAGTGAAATTTTGGGTAGGGCACATTAAAGTTTTAGACTGGTCCAAAAAGCCTACTTCAGCCCCCACAAAAAAACATATATACATTTCTGAATTAAAAAGTCATCAAACTTTGTACAGAAAATTTCAAGGGCACAGTCTTTTATAAAACACAAAACAAGGACTTGCTGGTTATCTTTCTCCTGACCTGCAATCACAGCTTCAGGTACTTCTGGGCTTATCATAGCACCCGTAGTCTGTGAAGCCAAAAGGTCGTGGGGCCGAGCTTCAATTCCTGATAGGTTTCCACCGCTCCTCTCTATGGTCTTCACCACACTCAGTCTTTAAAATGAAAACTGAGTTTTTCAAGTTTATGTAAATTGCTTTAAAATTGTAGCTTCATGACAAATAGTTTAGTTCTATCTCTTTTAAGTTGAGTGCTAAATCAATCCTATTTAAAAATTGTGAAGCTATGTCTCATTTCAATATATATAAGCATAGTATTAATGATATATTACATATAGAGGAGTGTGCACATGAAATAATTCAGTATGTACTTTTTTCCGTCTGGCTTCTTTTTCTCAAGTTCATGTTTGTGAGATTTATACATACTGTTGAGCATTGAGAAATTTTGGTTTCTAGAGTCTCAGTGCTTTAGAATAATATTATTCTGTTATTCAAAATATTGCAATTTATTCATTTTTTATATTGACATACATTGCATACTTTCAAATGTGGAGTTATTATAAATGCCTACGTATGGTGATTTCTGTAGCTGTCTTTTTTTTAAAAAAATCTGTTTTTAAGACACATTTTGTTGGGTCATACAATATGTGTATATTCAGTGTTAGAAGATATTGCCAAAACTTTTCACTCTGGCTATTTCATTTTACATTCCCATCAACAATGTTTGAGAATCTCACTGAGTTCTCATCCTCACCAATATTGGTATTGTCCGTATTTTTCATAAGAGCCTTTTTTATATATTCATGATTATTTTCAACATGTAGGTCTTGCAAGGAAAATAGTCTTCATGTCACATAAAAATGACTGGCTAGTCAAAGCTGTGCAAGGAGAGAAACAAGTTAATGAATACTCTAATCAGAATGCAGGCCCTGACAGACTAGCATAGACATGTGTGCCTTTAGGAGTCCTGGCAACAGAAGGGGTTCAGTTGCATTCATTGCCAGTCAGGAAGTCACTAAGGCTTCAAGCATCAAAGAGGATTTCAAGTGAGGCTAGTTGAACCAAAGGAAACTTCAAGTGATCTGTTATAAAATACTGCTCTTCAAATGACTGAAACATTTTATTTTGATCAGCTTAGAGCTATTTCAAGTATTGTGATAAAATGCAAACCTACGTATATTAGGTCAACTGAGCTTGGACAAGGGTGCTAAGAATACACAATAGGGAAAAGATAGTCACTTCAACAAATGTTGTTGAGAAAACCGAACATCCACATGCAAAAGAATGTAGAGATTCCTATTTTACAGCACACACAAACAAAACTCAAAATTAATTAAAGACCTATAAACTCAAAATTAATTAAAGACTTAAAGGTAAGACCTGAAACTGTATAACTTCTACGAGAAAACATAGAAAAAATCTTCTTGACATTAGGGCAGACAATAGTGTCTTGAATAAGTCCCCCAAAGTATGGGCAATAGAAGCAAAAATAAAGAAGTTGGACTATGTCAATCTGAAAAGTTTCTGGGCTGGGCGCAATGGCTCATGCCTGTAATCCTAGCACTTTGGGAAGCCAAGGCAGGCAGATCACATGAAGCTAGGAGTTTGAAACCAGCCTGGTCAATGTGGTGAAACCAGTCTCTACTAAAAAGACAAAAATTAGCTGGGCATTGTGCTTCACGTCTGTAATCTCAGCTACTCAGGGGGCTGAGGCAGGAGAATCACTTGAACCTGGGAGACAAGTTGCAGTGAGCCAAGATCATGCCACTGCACTCCAGCCTGGGCGTCAGAGCAAGATTCTGTCTTAAAAAGAATGAATAAATAAAATAAAATAAAATAAAAAGCTTCTGCACAGCAAATGAAACAATCAACAGAGTAAAAAGGCAACCTCCCACATAGGATAAAAAATTCACAAAACATGTGTCTGCTAAGAGGTTAATATCTAAAATATATAAGGAATTTTTACAACTCAATAGCAAAAGAAGAAATGACCTGATTTAAACATGGGCAAAGAGTCCTGGTATGGTGGCTCACACCTGTAATCCCAGCACTTTGGGAGGCTGAGGCAGGCAGATCACAAAGTCAGGAGCTCGAGCCAGCCTGGCCTATATGGTGAAACTCTGTCTCTACTAAAAATACAAAAATTAGCCAGGTGTGGTGGCATGCGCATGTAGTCCCAGCTACTCAGGAGGCTGAGGCAGAAGAATTGCTTGAACCCAGGAGGCTGAGGTTGCAGTGAGCCCAGATCGTGTCACTGCACTCCAGCCTGGGCTACAGAGGAAGACCCCATCTCAAAAAAAAAAAAGGCAAAGAATTTGGATTGACATTTCTCTAAATAAGACACATAAATGGTCAACTGGTAAAATATGCTCAACAATTTTTTTTTTTTTTTTGAGACGGAGTCTCACTCTGTCGCCCAGGCTGGAGTGCAGCGGTGTGATCACGGCTCACTGAAAGCTCTGCCTCCCTGGTTCACGCCATTCTCCTGCCACAGCCTCCCGAGCAGCTGGGTCTACAGGTGCCTGCCACCCCAGCCGGCTAATTTTTTTGTATTTTTAGTAGAGACGGGGTTTCACCGTGTTAACCAGGATGGTCTCCATCTCCTGACCTCGTGATCCACCCGCCTTGGCCTCCCAAAGTCAACATTTTTAATCATTGGTGAAATGCAAATCAAAACCACAATGAAGTATCCAAAAACAAAAGATAACTACTGCTGACAAGGATGTAGAGAAATTAGAAACATTCTACACTATTGGTGGAAATGCAAAATGGTGGTTACTATGGAATATAGTATGGAGTTTCCTCAAGAAACTAAAAATGGAACTACTATGCTATGCAGCAATTCCACTTCTGATTATATATTCAACATAATTGAAGTCAGGATTTCAAGGAGATTTCTTCACTCCCATGTTCATTGAAATATTATTCACAGTAGGCAAGCAATGGAAACAACCCAAATGTCCACTCACAGATGAATGGAAAAAGGAAACATGGCATATACTTACAAGAAATATTCGGCCTTAAAAAGAAGGAAATCCTGACATTTGTAACCACAAGGATGAACCTGGAGGACATTATGCTAAGTTAAATAAGCCTGTCACAAAAACACAAATACTACATGATTCCACTTATATGAGGTACCTAAAATAGCCAAACTCTTAGAAACAGAATAGAATGGTGGTTACCAGGGCCAAGTAAGGATAAAGGGAAGGGGCTGCCGTCCTTAATGGTAACCATTTGGGAGAGAAAATGTAGGTCTCTGGCCAGTCCAGGCTCTACTATCCAGCTCCTTGGATGACACCCAAAGGAGGAGACAGGACTCAAAGGGGAAATGGTCACTGTACTCACTTAAGAGGAAAGTCTCTCAGACACATCCAAGTCGCCCATATCTGAATGTGGCTGAGAATTGCCTGAGCTTCCCATTTTCTAGTAGCTGATGCGCATCACAAGGGTGAAGTTTCTTACACTGTCTTGCCAAGTGTTTACCAGAGAGACATAATTTGATTTAGAAAAAGAAACAAATGTGACCTTTCTTAGACCCAGTCTTGTAAAGTAATATTCATACATTAGGATATTTGAGTGTCATCACTTTGATGTTACGCCTTTTCATGTTTTTAAACCATTGCATGTTTCTCATTAAATTTTAAGTATCTTAGACAAGAGACAATGACGTATTCTTTCTTCGACTCTCATTACCTGTTACTTGAGACGAAAGTGTGAAAGATAAATACTTGTCAATGAATAAACGAATCAGAAGCTCTTGAACCTAGGAGTGTTTATTTAAAACAAAGACCAGGCCCTGTGTGGATACCCATGTTGGCCATAGGACACTTTTGCTTTTATATTTTCTGTTTGCCAACTGTCAGTACCTTTTGCCAAATGTAAGGTTGTGGATAAACTAGTTACTAAGGAAGGACACCGTTTCACCAGGCTGTTGACTTATCAACAACCTTGGCTAGATCCATCTGAGAGCACATGACAGTAGAATGGATAAGAGCTATGAACTCTTTTGAGTGACCCACAACCTTCCCAGGTGCTCAGAGAATGTAGTCTCCTGAGCAGGAGAGGGGCAGCAGCCAGCCTCATACACATGGGCTTTCTCTAAAATATCAACCACATCATTCTCCTTTTTTAAAAAAAAGAATAGCCTTATTGAAGTGTAACTGATACACAAAAGCTGCACATATATAATGTTAAAAATTTAACAAGTTTGGACATGTGCAAGCACCCATGAAACCATCAGTATAATTCAAGGTAAGAGACAAATCCATCACCTCTCAAAGATTTTTTGTGCCCTTTGTTTTTTTATTTTTGTGTTTTGGTGTTTTATGTGTGTGGCGAGAATACTTAAGATCCACTGTCTTAACACATTTAAATGCATGTCTTCTCCTTTGGGTGTCATCCAAGGAGCTGGATAGTAGTGCCTGAATTGGCCAGAGACATTTTCTCTCCTAAATGGTTACCACATAGGGGCTGATGAAATATGTGACGTGTGTATACATTGGCACACAATGAAATAAATAAAAATCCCTTATGGATGGAGTTGGAATGATGAACAATGTATAGCAAAAGGAACTATTTAGTCTATATCACTGTATCATTTTAAATTTTATTTGTATTTATTTGTTTTAAAAATGGAAAAAACCCTCGAATGTATATTTACATCTATATGTGCCTTTTCTCATGTCTTCCTGGAATATCTCTAGAAGGATACACAAGGAACAAGAATCACTGGTTGCCTCTGAGGAAGGAAGTTTATGGCTTATCCAACAGACTTGAAAGGTGAATTTTCACTCTGTACATATTGACTTTTGCCAATTGACAATATATTATATTCTGAAAAAATTAATTTTAGTCTTCTGAGTGCGACTTTTTTCTTTTATTTTCTTTTTCTTTTTTTTTTTTTTTTGATAGGGAGTTTTGCTCTTGTTACTCAGGCTGGAGTGCAATGGCACGATCTCAGCTCACTGCAACCTCCACCTCCTGGGTTCAAGCGATTCTGCTGCCTCAGCCTCCCAAGTAGCTGGGATTACAGGCATGTGTCACCACACCCGGCTAATTTTGTATTTTTAGTAGAGATGGGGCTTCTTCATGTTTGTCATGCTGGTCTTGAACTCAGGACCTCAGGTGATCCACCCGCCAAGGCCTCCGAAAGTGCTGGGATTACAGGGGTGAGTCACGGCACCTGGCCATTTTTTCTTTTTTGTGTGTGTTGTCATTTTGTGTTAATCAAGACTCAATTGAAAACATGTAGTTATTCTATGCATACGATAAAATATTAGGATTGAAATGGATGGAAATAGATATGACTTGAAAAAAATGAAAATAAGAATAAAATATCTTCAAATTTTAATTGTTACATCATTATATTGTACGTTAGGTTTACATATATGTTTACATAGTTTTTGAGTTTACCATGCTTTTTGAAATAAATATGTAAATATTTTATATGAATGTTTGTGTCATTGAAATATGTCGGCCATTTTTGTGTGATCTTATTATTATCCCAAAGTCTTTAGAGCTTTCCATTTTCTGTCATCTCAGACACTCTTTTGTAACATGCCACTAAGTATTGATTTATTCTCATTTATAACAGTCTTTAGTTACTACTAATAGAATCTATTTAGGTTAATGTAAGCAGACATGGGGTTTAGTAGTGGATATTAGGTGGATTAATTCTATAATAGAATTTCTATAGAATACAGAAAAAGTGAATTAAAAGGCTTGAGTTTAAGCTTTTAGACTCACTGGCCCAGCTGCAGAGGGGTATGCTGAAGGCATCACTATCTGCTGTGGCTAGACACAAAATGCCAGCAAATCACCTCTTTTGCAATTGCTCTCAAACCAGATGTAAGAGTTCTCCAGTGGCAGGCTGACCTTGGAACTAACCCCAGAGTAAGAACTCCACCCACCAAAAAGCCAGTTACATACAGAACCTTCTTCTTCATGTTACTCACATTCCAATCAAAACGGTTCCTGAGGGCTGGGTGTGGTGTCTCAAGCCTTTAACCCCAGCACTCTGGGAGGCCGAGGCGGGTGGATCACCTGAGGTGAGGAGTTTGAGACCAGCCTGGGCAACATGGTGAAACCCGGTCTCTACTAAAAATACAAAACATTGGCCAGGCATGGTGGCTCATGCCTGTAATCCCAGCACTTTGGGAGGCCGAGACGGGCGTGTCACTTGGGGTCAGGAGTTTGAGACAAGCCTAGCCAACATAGTGAAACCCTGTCTCCACTAAAAATACAAAAAAATTAGCTGGGCATGGTGGTGGGTGCCAGTAGTCCCAGCTACTTGGGAGGCTGAGGCAGGAGAATCGCTTGAACCTGGGAGGCATAGGTTGCAGTGAGCCGAGATTGCCCCACTACACTCCAGCCTGGGTGACAGGGTGAGATTCTGTCTCAAAAAAAAAAAAAAAAAAAAAAAATTAGCCGGGTGTAGGGGTGCACGCCTGTAATCCCAGCTACTTGGGAGGCTGAGGCAGGAAAATTGCTTGAACTTGGGTGGCGGAGGTTGCAGTGAGCCAAGATTGCGCCATTGCACTTCAGACTGGGCAACAATAGCGAAACTCCATCTCAAAAAGTCGAAAAAAAAAAATGAAAAAATGGTTCCTGGATGTAACAGATTGGGGCAGTGCAGGCCACGTCTGCATGCTAGCTGCAAAGGAGGCAGAAAATGTAATCAAACAACAAGCTTTCGAAAAAATATATATTTATTTATTATATATATTATTACACATAAAATTCTATTATATGTAAAACATGTATTATATGTAAAAAATAAATATATATTATATATAAATATATATTATTATATATTATTATATGTATTTTTGGAAAGCTTGTTTGATTGATATATATATGCTTGGTGCTTAAATCAGTGTCCTTTTTTTAAAAATGTATCCATAAAGTTTTGAGTTTCTTTTTGTTTGCTTTTTATTTTTAGTTTGAAAATCCTAATTAAGCTTCAGAAACTCTTTTTTTTTTGCATGTGACATTGGAATCTATTTTGTTGCTGTCATCATCATCATCATTATTGTTATTGTTTTTGTTTTTGAGACAGGGTCTCACCTAGGCTGCAGTGCAGTGATGCAGTGACCTTTGCCTCTCCAGCTCAAGCTAGCCTTCCTCCTCAGCCTCCCGAGTAGCTGGGACTACAGGCGCATGTCACCATGCCTGGCTAATTTTTGTATTTTTTTGTAGAGAAAAGGTTTCATCATGTTGCCCAGGTTGGTCTCGAATTCCTGGGCTCGAGATCTGCCCACCTCGGCCTCCCAAAGTTCTGGGATTACGGGCATGTGTCACGGAATCAGGCCATCATTATGGTTAATTCAGGTGCTCCCAAGTGTCCTTTAGCAGGGGACAAGCTGCATCTGTGTTCTGATTGTTGCAACTAATTCTCTTCTTCCTGGCTTCTGAAGAGCCTCAAATAATCTCTTATCATGATTGTTATTATCATCATGATTATTTGGTTTCCCTGAGTTTACAACTGAGTAGTTGTAGTATTCTTTTTCTGTCGCCCAGGCTGGAGTGCAGTGGCGCGATCTCGGCTCATTGTAACCTCCGCCTCCTGGGTTCAAGCACTTCTCCTGCCTGAGCCTCCTGAGTAGCTGGGATTACAGGCATGCGCCACCATGCCCAGCTAATATTTTTGTATTTTTAGTAGAGATGGAGTTTCACCATATTGGCCAGCCTGGTCTCAAACTTCTGACCTTGTGGTCCACCCACCTTGGCCTCCCAAAGTGCTGGGATTACAGGCGTGAGCCACTGCGTGTGGCCTAGCTGTAGTATTCTTAATGGCATGAATGCCATAAAGTGTGAAAGATAAAAATCACAGGTCTATACGTCATAGACCTGTACTCGCCCAGCATAAAAGGTAGGGAAAGCTTAGCCTATGAGTTCACCTCCAGCTTAAGAGGAGAATGGGCCAACTCAAGTAACACTGACTTTGGCCTTGGCTCAGGTTCACAGATCACCATTACTGAGAATATGTATCTGGGAGCAGGCCCAGGCCCTCCACTTCTGTGTTCAGATCATATTCTGTGGATTGCCCACAGGGCACCCTAGCAGAAGCAGATCCCCAATTATACCCACAGGAATGTCAACAGAACCAGGGACTCAGTCTCACCCAAGCTCCCTCCCAACACCTGGAATTGTGGGCACCTGGTTTAGACGAAGGTGCACAAGGAAGGCACATGGAGCTAATGTGTCTTCCCTGGGCCGCTTTGTCTAAACCCGGTAGCAGGTGTCCACTTTCCAGAAATCTCTTCTAGCATTATTGCTGGCAACTTTGGAGGGCTCTCTATACTTTTATGGCATGAACCTGTCAATATCTTTGATAATCTACGTTTTTACAAAAACTCTACTTCTGAAACTATCTTAAGAAAAATATATCAGCCTGCAAAAATGCAAGATGAATAATATTTACTGAATTCTCTGCTTTAAAGCATCAGAAATAATCTATAAAGAATAGGCAACGAGTTTTAAGAAGGCTGATATAATGTGATTAATTCAATTTAAAATTATGTTTAAGGAAATTATTTTGTGTTATAAAGAAGTGTTATGCTACAGAGCTTTAACTGTAAAAGCAGAATGAAAAGCATCATGTACACTATATTTGAAGAGATGCATTTATAAGTTCTTCTGATTCAAAATGCCTGTGTTTTCTTGTCTTCCTTGATGTATTGTCTCCTGATTTTTCTTTCAAATTCATTCCTGCTCTTTAGTTTCCCTGCCTGTGTTCCCTCCTTTACCTGGTCCTTAAATGTTGATGGTCTGTGGAACTCAACCCTTTCTTGAACACATTTTCTTCCCACTGAAGAAACAGACTATTATACATCCTCTTTTTGAGAAGAGGAAGCTTTAAATAAATATATAAATATCCTTTAAGAAAAGTTAAGAGTGTTTAGTGAAAGGAAAAGTATGAACTGAATCAGTTGGCCCTTACAGCATTTAGGGTACGATAAGGGAGGCTGAACCACTCCACGTGGTATGGAGTGAAAGGGTTAGCAGAATGTTTAGCCATTATACAATGGTGGGAGCAGATGAAGAAGTCTGTGGAAAACTGTTGTCTCTGCACTGTTTTATGGCCTGAGGTCACTCTATGACTCTTGGGCCAGCAGTCAGGAAGAAAGTCCAAGCATGAAGGAGGGGACAGTGAGCACAACCTGGAATCTGTGAGGATAAACCAGATCCTCGTCTGCCTCTTATCGTTTCCAGTCTCAATTACATGCGTGGCTTGCAGGAGTTGCAGAAAGAATGCCTCTCCTGGGTCTCAGGAAAGCTGAAACAGGAAACCCAGGGCAGGGGCAGGAGATCAGGGGACTGCCCTGAGCCACAGTGGAGGCTGCATCTAAGTCGATTTTCAGAGCATAAGAGAAATGGCTGTGCCTTTCCTTCTGCTTTTCAAACCTCCTACTCATTTCTGTTATGGCCAAACCCTAACTGCACCATACAGGGAAGGGAGTCCCTGGGAAATGTAGTTCCAGCCTGGTTAAATTGACATGGCGTAAAACCACTGCAGTTCTCAAATATTATGTAATACTGGGTTATAAATCATATTCTACATATGTAAGAAAGTGGAAAGAAATAGAATGTTTATAAGCTGGGAGGCTAAACAATGAATTCATTTACTGACTGAATAGAAAAATGGAAAACAAGATTAAATATGATGAGGCTCTGTTCTTTGTCGTCAGTGACAGTTTTTTCTATTGTGTTCCCTGATGTTCTGTACAACGAGATAAGGAATCTTGGCTTGTCAAGCAGTGGGACTCAAAGCCAGCCTCTCTCTCTAAAATGAAACCCAGATTTATCTGTTTGTAGGAATGTCAGCATTGTAAAAGATGTTTTTGATAATTGTAGCAAGTCTTAAAACACAACAAGTGTGGGGTGTCATGGTGATTCATAAATTGTTCATGTTGGCATCACACTGGTCAAACTGGGTTCCTGGTGAACCCACCATTATTTTTCTCTCTCCTTCCCCATATCACAAAGGGCTTCAGAATCTAGGCTGCCATGTCAGGCTGCCTGGGTTTGAATCCTGCCTTTGCCGCACACTTAGTCATGTGACATTGAACAATTTTCTGTGACTCCATTTTCTAACACATGAAATTGTGGTCAGAGTTGTGTCTGTTTCAGTGGATTGCTATGGAGATTAAATGAGTGATAGGTGTAAATCATGGGAGACGGGGGTCCTATTGTAGTGGAAGTCCTCACTGAGGGGCTGGTCTTATTCTAACTCCCCACCTTGACCTGCACCCTCTCTGCCCACGTCCATTAGAACCCAGTGATGCCCAGCACAGCTCTTAAACTTAATATCTCTGTGTTCCAGCACATTTTTTCAAAATTGAATTAAATAAAAATGTTTTGGACAGTTCCGAACCAATTTGTTCTTCTGTGTATCTTTGACGTTAGGCAACTTCATCCAATCCATGGTTTAATTCCTCTCAACGTTCTGAAAAACGTCCTAATGTGCTTTCTCATTTTGAGTTCTGGACTTAAATGCTCTCACTTTTCTTTATCTGGAAGTCTCACCAGCACCTTGAATGCAGTGTTTCCAAAATGAAAGTCACAATTAGCGCCCCTTACATGCAATATTTTTTCTGTTTCAGTAAAAAATGCTAAAGTGTTGCTTATGCAAGATGCCTAGACTGATGCAGCACCTTCCTGTGCTGCAGCCATCTCACCCTTGCCCTCCCTTAAATTCTAGACTACTACTCTCATCTACATTTTCAAAAGTTTATCTTTATTGGCTGCTTAATATTATTAATAAAATTTTCTCCATTTTTTTGTCATGAGTAATTATATACATTATATACGTTTCAGCAAATATATCACTTGAAGGATATTATTAGCAACATTATTTAAAATACTGAAATACTGATTTTTGTTAAATCTTATTCCCTCTATTCCATATCTATCTACTCCTTGGTAATTTGAGTTAACTATTCTCTACATCCAATTTTTTCTTTTCCTTATGTACTTTCATGATTAATCCAAATTCAGTATGTTTCTTGTTTTCTATCAACTAAAATCATTGTTTCCAGACTCAACACCACTCTACTTGTGTCTAATTTCAGTAGATAATTTTTCAGCCCCTTCTTCACTGATATTACAGCAGTAGGTGAGACCCTTGACTGCAGCTTTTGTGAAAAGTACCCTGCCTTTATTTTTTGGGACTCTACACTCCTAGTTTTGCCTACCTCTCTGGATTTCTTTTTCTTTCCTCAGTCTCCTTTTCAGTTTCCTCCTCAAACTACTCAAAGATGTGTGCTCCTCAAGGTTCTCTCTTGGGTCCTGCTCTCAATTCGTAAAATCCCACGGCTATTGTGTGCATCACTGGGTCCTCTGTGGTCCTCTATTGATAAACACTGTCGAATACTAAATCCGTATCTGACACACAAACAATTTCCTGAGTTTAGGCCCATATTCCAAATGCTTCCTGAACATTTTATTTCTACTGGATAGCTCCTTCATGCTCCAGATTCAACCAGTCCCAAAGAAAACTGATCATCTTTTTTCACCTTCTCAACTTGCTCTTCATTTAATGTTTCCCATTCCAAGGGATAATCCCACCATTTGCCTCCCTCTTTGCTCTTCCACAGCTCAGCAGTCACAGATTAAGTATTTCTCAGATCTGCTTTTTTTTCCTTTTCATTTCTGCAGTTATACCTCAAGTCTTGCTGCCATCATCTCCTTCTTATGTATGGTAGAATCTCCACCAGCACAGTTTCACCTGTGCGAGCACACTGCTGGCATTGAGTCTCCTGGAACATACACCCCCGTGTCTTTTTCTGGGTGTCAGGCCCTGGCTGTCTGTCCCTTTATACTCACCCTCACACCAACCCGTGAACTTTCCCTAACATAGCAAAAAGTACGCTTGAAAGTCAGTGACTGTTGAATGACCGATCTTTACTAAGAGATTCTAAGAAGCAAGAGGGGGCAAAGCACACAGCTGTTTCTCATCCCTGAAGCTCCAGTGCCCAGAGCTGGCATTCAGTGGTACCTTCACTATTGTGAACCAAATTAACGGAGAACTATTTTATTTCCTAATCTATGAGAGTTATCCTTTTTAAATGAACTTTCTCATTTCATTGGTTAAAAAATAAAAAAATCTCTTAAGAACATTATAAAGTAGTCATCATCAAAAATTTTCTCATTCTTCATTTTAATGGGGCAATTGTGGAATACCACAATAAAATGTTTTTAATTATTGTACAATGTTTATTACATTAGTGAGTTATGATTTACTTTTAGTGTACTAAGAGATTTTTTAAAAATCACAGATCAATTTTGAATTTTATAAAACACCTTTTCTGAAGAAAACATGCTGTAGTGACTTAAAGCCTTCTGCATAGTTACTAGCGGTATAATTTTCGGCAAGTTTCTTAACTGTTTTGTGAATAAGTTTTCTTTCTTAACTGCTTCGTGAATAAGTTTTCTTATCTGTAAAATGGACATAATTAAAGTAATGAAAGTGAGTGGGTAATATATATGTTAAACAAAGCATATGGAGTCAGGAAATGAAATGTGGGCGTTTAAAATTTTAGCAAAAAGTATTTCCCTGTAATTACAAAGTGCAGAGCATGGTCATGAGAAGATAACACGCGGCACTGGCTGGGAGGATCCAGAAATCTTCCCACACAAGGGTGATGTGAATCCAAGGCTGTTTAACCGTAAGGGTGGGGAAGCCCACACTGGCACAATATTTTGTAGGTGAGTTTGACATTATCTGTGAATTTCTATAAATGGGCCTATCTTTAATCCAGCATTTCTATAAACTTACTTCTTAGAAGTAAAATAGCATATTTTACTATATATGTATGTAGTATATATATATAACTATATATATATAGTTATATATATATTTGAATATATACCTTCAGGTCATATATGTCAGAATTTATATATATATAGAGAGAGAGAAATATATAACTTGAAGGATATTTTTAGCAACATTATTTAAAATACTGAAAAAGACATGAAAATATGGTACCCTGTGAAAGCCAAGGTACATTCACACAGTGAACGTTGTGACTCTGTGAAGAGTATAGAGCAGTATGCTGTTTCAAACAAAGGTATCTACAATATTTTATTAAGTACAAGAGCAATTTTCAGCACACAGCATTTTGCTATGATACTGATTTGCAAATAAATCATATATAATAATTAAACTTGTCACCAGGTCTTTCATCCCTGTTTTACCAACACATGCTCAAAGTGTAAAACTATCTTATCTTGTCATCCACCTACTTGCAATGCACCAGTAACTTCTGCTTGTGATAGTCTGCAATTCTCTGTGTGGCCTGGCCCCTCTCCAGCACTTCAGACTTGTCTCAAAATATAACTCCTCTTTCAATCGACATTTCAACAACTCACCTTTCTCTTCTTCATGTATTTGGCCCCACCACTCCTCTCAGAACACCAGGTCCAGAATCCACCTCTTCACCCTTCAGATTCCAGTGAAGTGTCATCTGCAAAAAGTAAGCAAATAAATAAATACCTTACTTCTTAGAGTACATCAAACCCCCAACTTAAGTACTTTCATAGATCACTGATTGTTCCATCATAGCTTGTAACATAGTTGTCACTTTACATAATGTGCGATTATTTGATATGCATTTGTCAGCTCTTCCCGATTGTAAACATCCTAAGGGGAAAGCCTCATATCTTCTATTACTCATCATTTTGTCATCGCCCCCTAGCACAGGATCTGACATATATGTAATGGAAACAAAATTATTCATTTGGCTAATGAATAAAAGTTGTATTTATCTGATGCTGTATTTACCAATTACATAAGAGTATTTTTTTGGATGATCAGTTCTTGGAGATTCTTACTATTTTGTCAATATAGAAGTGCACATTTTGACTGCTTTTACATTGAACAAGTATTTACTGTATTATAAAAAAAAATGGCAAACATTTATTTTTATAGGACTTGCCTGGAGACTGGAGGCTCCCTGAATGTGAGACTATTTCTGACTTTCCCAGGAGTAGAGTGTCTGCCAGAGAGGTGCAGCTTGAATTAATGAAACTGACACTTTGTGTCATCGCTGAACATCCTGAAATATAATATTTCAGTCACAGGATCAGGAATTTTATACTCACTCTAGCAATTATAGCACAAGCAGTAGCAGCTTCATTGTTAATATCTATAATTATAGCAGTCCTTATGGTAAGATTAAAATTATAAGATCATAATATAATCACAGTTTATTTCTTAATTCAATATTCTTCTATTTAATTCCTTGATTCACTGTCATTCTATGTGTGCATATAGTATTAATTTTTCTGTTTCTCATGTAGAGCAACTAAAATTCACTTTTTATCTTTCTGAATGTGCCTTATAAAGTTATATTTTGGGGAGATTTGTCAAAGTAAATATTAGGAATTATGGCTTAGGGCAATTTAAAATTATTGGCATGGTTCTGATTTGCAGATCTGTCTTTGTAAGTGTTCACACAGAATCTCAGTGGCTCCACGTAGTTCTCCTTAAATTGGCTATTTGCAACAAATAAACACTGGAAATTGAGAGAGGAACGCTTATGTTTTGTAGATATACCCCTAGGAGGTTTGCAGTCTCACAGTGATGACTGAGCAAAAGAGATGTCAGTGCACAGAGTTCACAATTACTGAAGCACTGAAACTAATTTTAAAGCATTTATGCTTGCAAGAAGGTCATCATTGTAGTCATCTTAAAGCATTTATCCTTGAATAAGTTTAAATTACTAAAATCTCATTAGCCATTAGGGGAAGTAAAAAGGTGGTTGAGTCCTGGTTTGAATTATTTTTCAGTAGCTTAAATCTGCCTGACTTATATTAATTCCTGACTTATACTGATAAAATGTTTAACTGCTGTGTGTATGTATGTGTATGCATGCATGTATGCTTGTGTAAAATGACTGACATACAGTTTACATAACAAATCAAGTCTGAGGTCTGTAGGGCCTAAAGAGCAGTGCTAAATATCACAAATGGAAGAGGGCAGGGCTGTCAATCGGAAAGAAATATGTAGATTTTAGTGTAAAAAGAGGAAATAGATTTTAGGTGATAAGGAAGGCAGAGTGAAGAGGAAAAATTCTGAGTGAGCTGAGCAGTCTGAAGATGGGCAGTAGAAGGGCACGGTAATGACCTCCAGGCGGACCACCAGGCAAGCCTTTTCAGAAGACAGGTAGAAGCAAGGTTCAGAGGCCACCTCTAAGCATGCAGCTTACTGAGTCTCATTGCAGCACACAGCAAGAGGCAGAGGAACAGAGAGGAGGAAGGTTAACACCATGAGGAGAGGAGCCAGCAGGATGCAAAGTCGTGCTGTCTGCTTTTCTGTCCCTTTTAGGGATAGCCGAACAACTGCCTAACTCCTGGATATATTATTACTTAGTTTATAAAGGCAAGTAGCTATCAATGTTAGGGAGTCCTTATGTAAACGGATAGAATTGCATGCGTGTGTGTATATGTCTATTCCTTGGTGGCATACTGCCCCGTGTTTCTCTCTATGTTGCCCTCTCCGTGCACAGTTGTGGTGCTTCCAGAACTAGAGTAGAGAGGCTCAGCATACAGATCCAGTATACCCTTATTCTATTAGAAAGTATAACAAGAACATCTGGCTACAGCGGTACCTCCTCCAAACCTGCAGAGCACCAATCACTTTTACATGCTCGTCTTGAGCAAGGAACACTGAGGACCAATGAGAGTATCACCAATGGGTGGCCAGTTTATGGGGGCAAGGACTTTCAAAAGTAGTTTGTGCCAGGAATATTTGTTACTTAGCTCGTCCTGCCATTGTCCTTTCCATCTATTTTCAGCACACTGGGCATTACTTAACTTGTCTACGTCTAGTGCGTCTCGCAAGCTAGATGCTCACTTACTTGCTAAGAATAGCAGATGAATGGGTTTTACCCACCCCAATTGATTTAATTGTTCCTTGTAGCTGAAGTGGATGTTCTTTTTTTTTCTTCTGAGACGGAGTCTCGCTCTGTCGCCCAGGCTGGAGTGCAGTGGCGCAATCTCCGCTCACTGCAAACTCCGCCTCCCGGGTTCACGCCATTCTCCTGCCTCAGCCTCCCGAATAGCTGGGACTACAGGCGCCCGCCACCTCGCCTGGCTAATTTTTTGTATTTTTAGTAGAGACGGGGTTTCACCGTGTTAGCCAGGATGGTCTCGATCTCCTGACCTCGTGATCCACCCGCCTTGGCCTCCCGAAGTGCTGGGATTACAGGCGTGAGCCACCGCGCCCAGCCGAAGTGGATGTTCTTAAATGGCATAGCAAACCCACCTCACAGGTGACTTTATGAACTAGGAAGGAAGAATGCGGCGGTGGGGCATCCTGGTATCCATATGCTCAGGGCTGCTTCCGAATAAGAAGGCCGCAGCAGCACACTATAGCTATGGCCAGAAACGACCCAACCGTGGGGTGACACTGAGCCAGTGTGAGCATGTGCAAACCAGCCAGTGCCGGGACCAGGACATGAGGCTGATGTGAGAGCTCTGCTCAGGTAAGGTGCATAATCTCTAGATCAGTAAATTTAAATGAAGTGTCTTTTTCTTTCTTTGAAAAGTATTTATTTATACAACATAATTTATCACAAAAGATATATTCATGTAACTTAGTTTCAATCCACAAAACTGACACACTACTTTAAAACCTAAAGATGAAAAGTGTCCAGATCTAATGAAAACAAATATTAAGGAAGTATTAGCATTTCTTGTTATAGTGAAAGCCATGAGGTATTGGCATAAATCTAGATAATTAGAATAGAGAAATAGAACAGGAAACTGAGAAATAAACTCAGTTATACATTGGAGAATAAATATAAGTAAAAGAAACATAATGATGTAAAGAAATATTTTAAAATAAATTTTATTTGGGAAATTGGCTGTTTGTGAAAATAAATTCATTTGGATTTTTACCTCATACCAACTACCAAAGTAATTCTGTGCATATGCTTAAAATAAAATAAAAAGGAAACATAAATAAAATGAGAATAATATGTATCCAACCTCTAAAGAGAGAAGGACTTTCTCAATTTAAAGGTAACAGGAAAACAATCATAAAAGAAAGGACTGACAAATTCAACAACATAAAGACATAAAATTTCTGTTGGTAAAAATAATTAAAGGGTAAACCAAACTAGGGAAAATATTTAAAGCAGACATGAAAGACAAAAAGTTACTATCTTTATCAACCAATGAGCATACTAATGGAAAGAATTAATGTTTTACTCTGCTAGGTCTCAGCTCCCACATCTGTAAAAAGGAGATAAAGCCGACTTGATAGGGCTTTTATAAGTATTAAATGAAATATTAGAGACTCAGACAGGAGGGATTATACAGTTTAGAAACCAACTGATGTCACAAAAAAAAAAAAAAAAAAAAAGGAAAAGCCATGCAGTGATCCAACCATGAATCTATATCAATAACAGAAGAAATTCCACCTTCAATAAGGGAAGCAGGGAGTCAACGAAGTATTTACGATAATGAGAGAAAGGCAGTCAGAGTCAAGGGAGCTGAGCTGAGAGAGCAATGAGACTGTCCAGAAGGAAAGTGCTGACAAGGGCAAAGTTCCTCTTCTGCTGGGCTACCGCAGGGATCCTGTATTCTGAACACTATTGTAGTTCTCTCTCAACGTAGGTGATCTCTTGCTGTTGTTAATTTGTTGTGTTGAATTATATTTATTATTTTGATACAAATAATTTTCTAGTTCAGGCAACAAAACAATTTGTAGAAGATACTTTTTTTTTTTTTTTTGAGACAGAGTCTCCCTCTGTCGCCCAGGCTGGAGTGCAGTGGTGCAATCTGGGCTCACTGCAAGCTCTGCCTCCTGGGTTCACACCCTTCACCTGCCTCAGCCTCCCGAGGAGCTGGGACTACAGGTGCCCACCACCACGCCCGGCTAATTTGTTTAGTAGAGATGGGGTTTCCCCATGTTAGTCGGGATGGTCTTGATCTCCTGACCTCGTGATCCACCCGCCTCGGCCTCCCAAAGTGCTGGGATTACAAGTGTGAGCCACCTTGCCTGGCCAGAAGATACTCTTTTTTTAAAATAAAAGAATTGCTTGAGTAACTGTCCTTTGTTAATCAAATCAAATAAAACAATGCAACATTTCCATTTTCTCAGTGTGGAGAGTGGTAAGACATTTTGTGTGCTAGCATTAGCAAAGGTGATACTCCCCTTAAAGAGCAGCATGTGGACAGCCAGGCACCAGGACTCCAGAACCTTGTGAATTTAGAACGTCAAATTGGAGCTCATCAATAAGGCAAGGGTAGCATGGGGAGGAGACCTGCCTTCAGCAGGTGGATCCAGGTGCATACAGCATATAACTAATTCTGAAGCTCCCCCAGTTACGTGGATGATGGCAGATTGGAGGGGGAAGAGTGTATGAACACAGGAATATCAACCAAAGAGGACGTTCATGTGGAGAGGTGGGAAAGGGCATAGGGTGTGAGGCCCCATGTTGGGCACCAGTGTTGCTTGGGCAGGCACAGCAAGGGTATCCCAGTGATAAAGATACCCTACCCATTGAACCACAAAGGATTGATCTTTAAAAATGTCTATGAATCATAATAGCTTGGAATTACCAAAACCCAGTTCTACCTCTGGAGTTTTGCTGACCATTATGTGTTTTGAAATTAAGTACATTCTTGAGATCTTCATATAGTGTAAGTCAAGATGAAAGGATTGGGCTTCCTGCTACTACATCATCTATGGAGGCTAAAGCAATTAAGTCAATAAGTAAAAGAAATACAGTCATATTTGCATGACAAATCCATGAATCAGGCTATAATACTTTCACTCCTGATAAATCCTAATCATCTGTGATAATCCAAGATTGGGCAAGAGTAATGTTTTGCAACCTGAAGATGTCAATATAGACCATAAAGATTTAGAAATTATTGATGGAACAATCTCAAAGAATGTAGACAAGATGGGATCAGAAGTAAAGGCAGAAGGCTTTCTCCTATAAGAGGAGCTATTTTATGTGATGGGATGGCCATCAATTATTTTTGAGAAGAGCTGGGGTAATATCAACTAAGGCTTTCATTTCCCTTTGAGGCCACTGGTAGCCTCTAGCTCTAGAAATCGCCATAAGTGTTTAGGAATGCTCATCTATAAGGGAGCCATTGCAAATCCCTCCCCTAGAGGAAAGGCCTGGATGCTTCTCAATCCCCTCCACTGTTTTGGAATGAGGTTTCATTCCCCTGGCTCTCTGTTTCTGTGTGAAGGGACATTCACTAGAGTGTCAGTCCTGTACTTTCTCTAGCCCACAATGTACTCTGCTCCAGGGAAGCATGAGTTTGGAGGAGAAAGTTGGTTTTCTCCTTCAGTACCTTCTGCTTTTTGGCACTGGAAATGCAGTTTTGTTTTCAAAGGTGGTCAATTTGAATCCATTGTCCATTCTGTGTTATATAAAAATCTGATCATTGGAATGGAGGGTTATAGGAGAATGTGCAGTTATCAATTTATATCCTCCCAGAGCCAAATTTCAATATATACCTCATTGTAATAGACAGAATTATTTTAAACATCTCCACATTACAGTGGACAAGATGTTAAGGTTTCTCAGTAATTGCAAGAGGAAAGGGGTGCCGTGTTGTAGGAGGGTTTGGGGAAATAGGGGTGAGAACAGCCCACGGAGCTGCACCTGACTATACTCCCAGAATGCATGGCCCCTGGCAATGCGAGCCTACTGATAACAGCTCTGCAGCCTTCTCTGTGTGGAAGTCGATGCCCTGAAGGCCTGCTGCTCACAGCAACCACAGCTTCCTTGGAAGCCTCCCCTGTGGCTCCCTGTGACATGGGCCTCTGCACTGTCTGCATGCCCACACCATCGGTTGATGATCCTCTGTGTATGAGACACCTGCATTCAGCAGGGCTGCTTCTAGGTTGCTCAGTGAATTTCAGACCAGTGCCAGTCCGGGAAAATCTGTAAACTTTTCTAGCTGTCCAGTGGGCTGAACTAAACCTACAATAAGGTGTGACCCCAGCCTTGAGATGAGGCCTCTCTTCCAAGTTTATCCAACTTCTGTACTCTCCCTCCACCCTAGGGTGCCATATAATGTGTTGTGCCAACAATCTGCTTTTCTACTAACATATCTCGTAATTACTTTTTAAATCATCGTTTCATGCTTCTTTATATTAAACTGCTGTTTTACCCACGGTGTGGTTTCTATCTCCTGATTGAACTAAGATAGATGCAAAGACAGGACAGACTCTTTTAAGGAAAATAACAATTGCTGATTGAGGATTTTGGTGGGGCAAGGCGCAGGGCTTTTGGTTGTGATGGTGTTCAGTAGCCTATGTTGGATCCCTGAGTAGTTTTTAGCATTTCACTGTTGGATTTTTATTGCAGCTCAGCAGGACTTTGACACTTCTGAGCGCATGTGATTTTGACCTTGGCAGGTCACTGCAGTCTAGGGAAGCTTTGTTCAAATATGGGTAGCTATTTTTGTATTGGCAGCATGTGGAACTGAGGGTCCCTTCACCAAATGGTAGTGGCCTTAGGGCACAGACTGCTGTAGCTTCGCCTTGAATCACTCAAGTGCAGTCTGGGTTCATATCCCAGGCAAGATTGAGGCAGCGTTAGTGGTAAGCACACCCAGACTGGCTACACACAGGGTTAAGGAAGGAGTGAAGAGGGGTCACCTGGGATTTCTTTAGATGCTACTGAGATTGGGCAATGGTCTGCGAAAACTCTAATGACTGTGATCAGGGAACAGAACCTCTCCTGGGATTCCTGCTTTAGGAAATGGGCATTGACTTATTTCCTAAATTTCACTGGTGAAGTCAATTCTGTGATAGTTTTTAACTCTAGAATCTAGCATATGAAGCTCCTTAAGAAATGTGGTATTAAACTGATATATATTTTTAATGTAACTTTTTTAGTAGGATTTATTTTTATTTCCAAATTTGAACTTGAGGTTTGGTAACAGAAGAAGTAATGTGGCAAACTGGTTCTACACACAGTTCTGGAAGCAAGAATGTTAAAGTGTTCCTCTTTTATAATGAATGTTCTTATGTTAAATTTAACTAAACTGTGGACTTTATTTGGATTTTGCCAGTTTTTCCACTGATGTCCCTGTTCTGCTGCAGGACCCATGCAGGAGCCCACAGTGCGTTCAGCCCACACATCTTCTTAGCCTTTGTCATCCACAGGAGTCTCCAGCGTTGTCCTTGCTTCCCACGGTTCTGACACTTTTGAAAAGTTCTGCTCAGGTACTTTGTAGAAAGTCCCTCAATTTGAATTTCCCTGATGGTTTATCATGATTAGACTGGGGCTCTAGATTTCTGGGAAGAATGATGCAGAGGAGAAGCGTCTTTCTCATCCCGTCATATTGGGGGTACATGAATGGTAGCCTTTGTTACTCAGGGTAGTTTCTGCCAGATTCTTTCTCCACTGCATAGTTACTATGTCTTCCCATTCCACTGTGCTAGAGGACAGTCAGTAAGTCCAGCCATCAAGGAATCCAAGGCCATATGTTTAAACCACTCCAGTAAATTATATATATTTCTTAGGGGGATATTTGGGGGCATGTATATACTCTGTTTCTTTTTAAAATTCTACCCACTAATTTTGACATTCTCCATGGATCTGGCCTGCAGCAATTATTGCTATGGTATTATAATGGTAATTTTCTCTCCCCCTTATTCATTTATATTTATTATTTGGAATTCTTCCATAAGAGTAACTGTCCCTCATCCTTATTTATTTATTTATTTATTTATTTATTTATTTATTTATGTGAATATGGACTCACAGGTGCTTAATTTATTCTTTGGTATCTAGCACACTATTAACATTATTTCTTCTGTTGCTCAAATTTTTTCTGCTATGGCCATTGGAAGCTTTTTCACATTAGCTCCTGTGCCTTTTTGGCATGTCCCCATCTTCTATTTATTTTTTAAGTGCTTTATTATTTTCTGGCACTATTAGATGGTTTACCTCATCTTGTGTTTTTCCTGCCCTGGCCCAGAGTCAATCATTTATCTGCAAAGTCATGGTTTCTTCTGATGGATAATGGTATTTTAAAATAAATATGAACATTGGCTTTGTTTGTTATTACTGGGGTGCCGCTGTTCCTAGGCCCTCTCAGTGGACATAGCTACAAATATTTGTGTGCCTATAAATACTAAACCATGTAGACATGGCTTAATTATCTATATCTACCTAGCTAATATCTATTCACCTAGCTATTATCTATTTATTTATCTATGCATTGACTCTCCATTAAAATAAACATGGATTTATCCTGATTCCTTGTACTCTAGTCTAGAACCACAGGGTTTACTCCAACCTTCCTTCTTGTTATTAACAACCTGCGTCTCTAGTGAGGAACCTGGCTCCCCTTACTCACAATGTTTTGAGGAAGAAGACCTGGGAAGACATACCTTTGACCCCTCTCTTTCTCCTGCATTTGTCTGCACTTGTGTTCACTACCTTCCATTTTTCAGTGCTGCCTATGATAAGGTGTGCAAGTGATTCTAATTTGAGGTTTCTGGTTTTGAAAACAAATTCTGTCTACAGACCTAAACCATGTTTACTGCTTCTCTAACAGGAATAGATCTCACCTTTTATTTCCACCTATTGACCCGTTTGTCTTTTCATGTGGTTTTAGACTCTGGCAGGGAAAACGGAGTGTCTACCACATGACACTGTGGGTAGGTGAAACAGATGCAATAGTCCCATAGACAGTTTTTTTAAAATTTTATTTTTTTGATAAAGAAAAAGGACCTTCTGGTGTTAAAGCTTGAAACTTACATTTGTGTTATCTGAATTCCTTCCTCAGGAAACTGCCTTCAGGACTCTCAAAAAAAAGTAACAGAGAACTAAAACTCACCGATCACCACATCCAGACAGTGAGATCTGGGGCCCCTCCTTCATGATGCCTGCTTCTTTGCCCCTTCCTAGTTCCTGCTTTGCTATGCATTATTACATTTCTTCCCTGCCATATAAACCTCTAGTTTTAGCCGTTCAGGGAGATGGATTTGAAACTGAGCTCCCATCTCCTTGGTTGCAGCACCTGATTAAAGCCTCTTTCTTGGCAATTCTCGTCATCTCGGTCATTGGTTTTCTGTGCGTTGAGCATAGAATATAGACCAAACCCTGGTGTTTCAGTCACATAGGGATGAAGGGATGTTATAGTCATTAAAGTTCTCTTCTGCATCAAGCTCTGTATTACACACTTTGTAGATGCTCTGTTTATGTCATCATCATAAACTGTGTTTTTATCCTCTAGTGCTACATGAGTTTAGATTTCACCACTACCCAGTGCAGGTCCTGAGATAGGGATTTAAGCACAGTAGGTGATATGGGAGGGGACCCCAAGGGGTACACTAAGGAAATGGAGAAGGAAGACATGAAAGGATGGAAAGCCAGTAAATCCTGCTGCATAGAGGGAGTTGGCACCATGACACCTGGGGCTGGATTTTATGGGGTGCCTGCTGAGAGCTGTCTCCACCAAGTAAGCTGAGGCATCCAGCCACCAGCAAACCTCTCTCGTTTTCTGAGATTGGCTCTTGATGCATTAACTCTTGGGCACTCTCAGCCTGCCCTAAGGACTGAACAGCGCTGCATCCAGAGAGTCCTTTGACTGAGAAACGCAGGGAGCCAGACACATGTCTGTGATGACTCTTGGGCTGTCCAGGGAATATGAATGGAATATTCACAACATCTGCTATAAGAACTATTTACATTTCATTGATGAGGAAATCAAGCCCCAAATATTTGAGCAACTTCACTGAAATGACAGGGCGAATTTAAGGCCACATCTTTAAACCCAGATCTGATGGGAGCTCACCCCCACCGCTTCTGTGTTGTGTGTGAAGCTGCCCTTTATCTCTATCTTGCCTCTTGCTGCTGGGCAGTGAAGATAAAAGGTGTGGCTATGCCTCCTGCAGAAGAGAAGCAGGGAAGAAATACTACATACATGTGTGGACATCAAGAGCCTTGGGAAATGGGTGGCAGTCTATCATGGAGACGACTTTTACACAAAAAGTGTGGCCTGTGCCAGGTAAAATCTGGGAAATGCTTAAGAGCTTTAACACCATCTCCTAATTGAAGTCAGCATTGAAGATGTCAGTGGACACAACTGTGAAGTCATAGTCTAACAGCTTTGGATGACTTTTGTGTCATCTGAGTACATTCCTTTGTCTTCAATCTTTCAGCATCCAAGTGGGAGCTGGATAAAAGGAGGAACAGACTCCAGCCACAATATCTTTTGAAAACCAGAGCAGTGAGAAAAACATTCATTTGCACTGGGCTGTTGCACTTACCTTGAACTGTGAGACGTATGCGCGAAGCTACAATGGAGTGAACCTCTGTGGGAAGGGGGCCAAACCTTGGGCATCACTCCGCTCCCACTGATGTGGCTTCCAACAGTTGCTTCTAATGGATGGGATCTCATGAAGTTACAGTGAAAAAATGCCATCTTGCATACACTTCTTGTGACATATACAAAAAAAAGTTACTCTCAAGGTGTGACACCTGGAGATCCACATGTACAGTGACCAGCTTTCATCGGCCAAAGACAACCAAGGACTCATGGAGTGGAAAAAGGAGGTTGACTGTGTTGAGAATATGAAGGTTGAATGGGACTTAAGCTCATTGGCAAAGGTCATAAAAAGATGCTAGTTTGAATGACAACTCAGTGACTCTCACTGAGAGAATAGAAGCCTGCCAGCTTTCATTGCCATGTTAGATTCACTGTTTGTAACAAGTATATTTTTTCTTTAAGCAAATAATAAAAATATTCACATTGGGAAATACAAAGAAAAAAAGAAAATAAGAATTAAGGTAATCTTGTCACCCAGTATTAAAATATATATTCTGATGTATAATTATACACATGTATTCCAATGTGTAATTATACATATATTATACACAAATAAATATATTATTTGTGTTTATATAGATATGTATATGTAATCATATATATCATATGTTATCATATATATATTCATATATATCTGTGTATATACATATATATCTTCTTCATTGGAGAATACCTGTGTAATTTTTATAATCTTGGAGCAGATTGTACACAAATTTTTATAATATTACTTTTTCACTCAATTATATTTATTTCTTACCTTAATTTTGTGTTAAAAGCATTTATATGCTCTTACATTACTTGGAAATAACAACTGAGACTCTGTGCCTTATCAAAGGAGAGGTTCTGCTTTCTGAATAACAGCCAAGCTTATATATTCTGGTGTTGTTTTAGTTCTTTTAAATTTTCTTGCATTTCATCCTTTCTTCTTGTTATATCATCTTTGATAGTTGGGTTGATTCTACCAATTGGTTATACCCTAAAATCAGACTCATATTCATATCTAACAACTGAAAAATCAGGCATTTGCTAACTTTAGGGTTAGTGCAATTGCAGATATAGGGATGTGTTCAGAGGACAGCTGGGGAATACGTGGGGATCACTCAGAATGCATCAGCTTCCACCGTGCACATGTTGCCCAGGTCTGAGGTCTTTCTCTACTATCAGCACTTCGTGGTGTGCCTTTGCATGGTCCAGGCTTATACAATAACTTCTGAAATAGCAGATTAATCTACACACATTACTTGCTTATAGGATGCTGGTCTAAGCCCAAGATGACAGCTGGAGGAACACCTGGTTCAGGCATCCCCCTCATTGGAACGTCCACTGCATTGAACCCATGGGCTCTTTAGACATCTCCTGGACAACAGCTTCACAATAAATTGCATGCCTATCTTTCTTCCTCTTTTCTTTCTTCCAACGATTTGAATATTTTATGTTCATGCTTTATTCTACTACTTCTTCATAATCATATGTTCAATTATTTCTCCCTAGTTACTAGTTTAAAGAAGAAAAGAGTATCTTTAAAGATCACGTGTATAAAGTCTTAAATTGCATTTACTTTCTCTTTTGTTTCTTGCATAAAACTAACGTTTTAAAGTAATCTAGTTTTTAAATCTATATTTTAGTGTTGCTGTTGAGATATTTATTATTATTTTATATATTAATATTAGGTTATTTTGACTTATGCATTGTTATAAAGTATTTTATGTCTTTGCTTAGATTTAGGTACCTTCTGTTATCTAATGTATATCTCATGACTGATATTTCTATCTTACCACATCTTCCTAATTTGAGAGTTCATATCTGACTCACCTATCAATTGGCTTCAGTGCAAGTTTAGATATATATGTGAGTAGGTGAGAAGAATTTTTTCTAGGAACATTGATATGTAGTTTTTGTCTTATTTTTCTTACTCATAGCAACTTGGCTTGGCTTAGAAACATTTTGGTAATAATCTACACTACACAAACCTCTGCATGTGTTATTTCATTATGATTCAGTTATTTTCTGTTGAAATATAGAACTCTTCTGCCTTTTAAAAATGTATTTCTTGATTTATGTCTGAGTGCATATGGGATTTACTTGTTTAAGTAAACTTAAAATTCAGAAAGTTTGGGCTTTATTAATTTAGTGGTTAGTAAGCAAGTTAATTTTAGGTCTGGAGCATGAGGCCTTGGGAGGACACTTATCTCTCTTATTTCTTTCTCCTCCTCATGATCTGTCTGCTCTTTACTGAGATAGTACGCATTGTGCACAAGAAACGATTTAATCATCTTCTATTTTATGTTTTCTTTATAATTTTCCTTTTAATTTTTATAGACCTAATACCTTTTATTTCATCGATTTGGTTTTTATGAAAACTTATCTTCTATTCTCTGCCTTGTCTACAGTTTAAGTTGGAGGTGATATTTTTGATCCCATGAAGGTTTATTGTTTTAGTCTCCAAATAAGAATCAACAGAGGCTTTTCAATATGTTTTTTGCTTGCTTATTTCTAGGCAGAATATAACCAATAATTTTGCTTGGATCTTCTTCTTGGTTTGTGTAACTTTCTTGGCCAGCTCTCTAGATTTCCTCCTGTTTTTGTAAGGCATGGCTTTTTGTGCCAGCATTCTCACAGCTTTCTAAGGAAGGGGACATGTCTCTCTCAGTCACTCTTACATCTCCAACCTCTATAACAGTGTATGACAAAACAATGTAATTCTTAATAAATGTTGATTTATAAAAAGCACAGGAAGAGTGCCACCATGATATCATTACCCAGTGTGGTTTATGGCACACACTTAGGATTTGGACCAAGTGTTCATAACAAGTGAGCTGGAAACTCAGAATTTATGTGCAAGTTGTCTCAGATAGAAAGGATGAGGCCCTTGCCAATAAAGAAAAGATCATCAGGTTGTGACCATGATTGCCGAACAACAAGTAAATAAATAATCAACTCTGCTAGTCATTATTTTTCTAATATATGATGCTGTCCAACAGACACAACTGTAGTTTTACATTTCAATGTATACAGTGTACAAATGAGTTCCAGAAACTACAAAATCATAATATTTTCAGAGGTATATTAGATACTAATAAATTAATATAGAAAAATAAATATTTACTACTTTGAACTGTTTATTTAAAATCCTGGAATTAATAAGACACTATGACTTTCATTTGAGATAACGTATATATCTATAAATTATATGGCAAAAACTGGGTCTAATTTCCAGATTCGTATGAGATTTATAGATCAGATTTATGAAAATGCAATTAATTCCAGCATATCTTTAATCTTAATATATTTTTCTCCATGAATAGTTTGATAAAACCCATGAAAGTAATATTAGTTCTTGAAAGAGCAAATATTTGAGGGAATTACTAATATTAAATAAAACACATTTTCCAAGTGTGTCATCTAGACATGTAATCTAGAGAATAACATTAGATTTAATATTCTCTAGCCCAATCTCTGTAGGCGTTATTGATCAAATCTCTATGTGGGATATTATATTAGTGAGCTTGATGGGTTGATAGGCTGGGTTTTTCATGTTGCATCTGATATTGTAGTGATTTTATTAGAACTTGATGAAATATATTCCATGGTTAGTTCAGTTGATTAATGCATTGTACTCATGAAGTTACATTTGAGTTCAATTTCCTTGTAAGAGTTCTTCATTTAATTGTCTGCAATGGCCTACTAATTTCAACTAATCCATCAAATATAAAAACACCCAATGGCAATTGGAGAAATTAGAGAGAGGGCGATTTAGACGAGTTACCAGGAGTACCATCATCTGGCCACATGTCTCATGAAAGTATCATAAGGGTATTCCCTGAATTTTAGTGAATTCATTATTTATGCTCTTGAGACTTCCATTAAATACAATTATGTAAACCTGCATGTCAATTTATTAATTTTTAAAAATTACAAATTGGAAAGTTTAACTGGTTACCAACTTTGTAGTAACCTGGCCAATGCAGTCTCAATACACAGAGAGACAAGTAATCATATGTTTGCTTGGTGAGTATGAATTCTAAGCAAGGAAGTTTATGTTCATATGATTTAAAGGTTTGTAATATCACATTATAAAAATCTGTTATAATTATGTCCTTAATATGGATATTGAAGAAGAGGAGATACTAGTGTCTGATTTTCAAGAGCAACACCTTCCTAAGGGGGTGCTTTTGTGGATTGCTTCTATAACAATTATTTTGTTTTCTAAGTTGACAATATCTTTGCTTCTAACTGGCCTATTATATTTCTATATTTTTTCAGTTAGATTATGTACTAGTCTTGCTCTGGCCTCTAAATTACTCTCTTTTCATAAGCATAAATATTTATGACTCAATTATTTGTGTGCCCTGTTGTTCAATTGGCAGGATACCATAATTTCCTTATTTCCAAACTATTGGGTTGCATATGTGCATACAAACCCTTATAAACTGGGGTGAGGGAGGGAACTGTTATTTTTTCAATCTACATCCATCCACATGACTGCAGAAACTAATATTTTACAATACTGAGATTTGTTTTGTAAATTCATCCTTATATATTGGGAAATTCATTGTAAGCTTTACATACTTATAACATGAATAGATTTTATTCAGTTACTAAATGCTCACATATTCATTGCACCTCAGAGTTTGTGTGAGAGAAACATTGAACAGTAATAGAAAAATTAATGCTTTTAAATGTCTTCCTTCAAAAATTATATATTATGGTTATGGATTTGAATATCAACATTCATAAATAGTTTTATTCTCTGAAAATTTCAGTAAAGATTAAGTGTAAACATGAACAAAAACACAAGAGAAAATCCAACCCTTGGCCACCTTATTATTTTCTCATTTCTAAATTCAAACACTCTTTGCTACAATAAATTCTGTCTCAATATTTTCCAATGTCTTAGTTTATGGACTTGACACAAAGGGTAATTTACAATATTCAGTTACCCTAGAGCAAATTATCTGAAATTTACTTTTTATAAACAACTCCTTTTTTAATTAAAACTTCAAATGTTTGTTGAATTCACTCAAAGCTTATATATAGATATAAACACAAAGTTTATGTATATTTACTCAAAGCTTATATATATAAATATATACCACATATACATGTAAACTGCATATATCTATATATATGTAGTGTAATATTCTTAAAACCTGTTTCTTTGTTTTGTTATATTAGGGGTCAAAGTTCTCTTTCTCCAGGGCAACATTGCTTTTCAAAGAGTGGCATATTTACTCTGGGGAAAGAGTCCAGAAGCTCTTCCAGCCTTTAGTGAAGTTTATCTAAAATGACGTCACGGGTCCTTAATACTCCTGTAATCTTTCTTTACCCAACTGTATGTCCCACGCATCTCTCCAGCACCGTGGCTCAGCACACACCCCCCAGTGTTCTTTTAGCTTTCCCTGTGGGAATCCATGCTGTGTCACCCCTGCACTAGCCACCCTACATTGCATCTGCTTTGGAGCCATTAATGGGGGTAAGGGATTCTCTATTGCTCTACTATTTGCATCCTAAATTATATTTTTACTACATATAACTATGTAATGTCAGAATATGCAGGCAGTTAAAAACAGAAACATTTTATGCAATAGTAACAACATAGCAACATTCTGTCTCTTTCTTTCTCATTCTCTCTCTGTCTCTATTATCTATCTTTCTGTCTTTGTGTGTGTATGTGTGTATGTATGGAAAGGGGGAATATGTACTCTCAGATTTTGAGTATTTATTCAAATATTAGGAGTCATTCAAAGTATTTCAGTATTTACTCAAATACTGATTGAATTGAAAGGATGTTAATTTATATATCATTATACATGTTCAGGATACTTTGATAATTCAGACTGTTGAGGCAAACCTAAAAACAAGCCTATTAGATCTAGCAATGAATAAAGATTGAAGAAGGCAAGTAGATGATGTCAAGAGGCTGAGTCCTCTAACAAGTGTATATGACTTGAGAAATGGCTCAGGTTCACTAGGAATATTGGTGAAGACAAAGAAAGACTCCAAAGTTGAAAGAATTGATATGCCCTGCTTGTTATCAAAAAGGGATTCATTCTTTAGAAATGTGAGGATGAATCCTTGGAGTACAATGTGATGCTCTTCCCTAAAGTCAAAAGAGAAATGGGCACCAAGAACGATTGAGGACAAGCAGTGTGATAAAACTCTATGAAGCTCTTTGAACTTAGTATACTGAAATCAGTCTTGGGCACTGTTGTATGCCAGTAGTTAATGAAGCAGATAGGAACACAGAGTGGCAGTCTTCCCACAACTTGCTACATGACCTTCAAGAAGTTAGATAATCATGTCATAGCTTTAGTTCTTCATTTTATTTTTTTAAAATAATAGATTATATTTTAGCAGTTTTCATTTTACAGAAAAATTTAGCAGAAGGTACAAAAGGTTCCCATGTACACCCTTAACCCCATGGCTTCCCCTATCATTAACATCTTGCATTAGTGTAGAACATTTTTACAATTGGCAACCTTACATTTATATATCATTTTTAAACTGGAGTTCATAGCTTACATGAGGATTCACTCCTGTGTTGTAAAATTCTTCAGGTTTTGCCAAATGCATGTATTGTCCCTTTAATATCATACAGAATAATTTTCTTGCCCTGAGAAGCCTTGTGCTCCATCTATTCATCCTTCCCCTCTCCCCAGAGTCTCTGACAACCACAGAACAACCTATAGCTATCTGTAGAGTTTTGCTTTTCTAGAGTGCCTTATAGTTGGGCTCATACAGTGTTTAACTGTTTCAGACAGCTATTTTTACTTAGCAATATGTATTTAAAGTTTCTCCATTTCTTTTCATGACTTAGCTCATTTTTTATTACTGAGTAATATTCTATTGTATGGATGTACCACAATTTGCATATTCATTCATCTTATAAAGGGCAGACATCTTGGCTGCTTCCAGTTTTAGGCAATGATGAATAAAGCCACTATAAATATTCATATGAGAGGTTTTCTGTGGACCTACATCTTTAATGCATTCAGGTAAATACTTGAGTGCTGTGCTTGGTTGTATGGTATGAGTATACTTAAATTTGTAAGAAACTGCCAAACCTCTTCAAATATGGTTGCACCTTATTGTAATCCCACCAGCAATGAATAAGAGGTTTTTGTTGTTTCCAATCCTTGTCAGAATTCGTGTTCAGTATTTTGGCTTTTAGCCATTCTAATAGTTGTGTAGTGATATCTTGTTTAATTTGCAATTTCCTAAGAACATATAATGTTGAACAACTTTTTATATGCTTTTTTTATTTATACACCTTTTTGGTGAGGATTATATTAAGATCTTTTGCCCACTTTTTCATAGGTTTGTTTGTTTTTCTACTGCTGAATGTTGAGTCCTTTGTACATTTTGCATACAAGTCCTTTAGATAGGAGTTTTGCAAATATTTCTCCCCATCTGTGCCTTATAATTTCATTCTCTTAAGACTGTCTTTCACAGAGTTAAAGGTTTTAATTTTAATAAAGTCCACTATATTAATGTTTTATTCTTTCACAAATTGTGCTTTTGGTGTCGTATCTAAAAAATTATTGCTAAGCCAGGCTAACCTAAGTGTTTTTTCTTTGCTATCTTTCTAGAAGTGTTGTAGTTTTGCATTTTACATTTAATTTTATGATTCATTTGGGGCTAATCTTTATGAAACCTATAAGGTCAGTGTGTAGATCCTTTTTTTTTTCTCATGTGGATATCTAATTTTTCCAGCATAAAAACACTCTTCTTTGTTCATTCAATTGTCTTTTCTTCTTTGTCAAAAATCAGTTGGGTACTTTTTTTTGTATGTGTCTATTTTTGGCTCCCATTCTGTTTATTGATTTATTTATCTATCCTTTTAAAAAAAACACTTTCATGATTACTGTTGCTAAAGTAGGAGAGTTTCTTTTTTTGACTTTATTGTTTTTCAGTATTATGTTGGCTATTCTGTATCTTTTGCCTATGTGGACTTTATAATCAGTATATTCATATCCAGAGAATAACCTTCTGGAATTTTGATTTAGATTGCAATGAATCTATAGATCAAGTAGGTAAGAACTGACATTTTAACACTGAGTCTCCCTATCATAGGGAGAGATATCCCTAAAATAGAGTATCTCTCCATTTCTTAACTTTCTTTAATTTCTTTCCTCAGTTTTGTAGTTTTCCTTATATTGATCTTGTTCATACTTTGTTCAATTTATAACTAAGTATTAATTTTCCTTTTTAATTTTTTCTTTAAATTTTTGTTTTTGTTTTTCTTTTCTCTCTTTTTATGTTTTTTTTTTTGGCGTTGTGTTATTAATTGCAAGTTCCAATTGTTCACTGCCATTTAGGAAGTTTCAATTATCTATTGTCATGTAGGAAAATATGATACTTCTGTATGTTTACTCCGTATCCCACAATCTTGCTATACTAGCTTACTAGTTCCAGAAATTTATTTCCCTTGATTCTTCGGTGTTTTCTATATAAACAATTGTGTCATCTATGAAAAAAGACAGTTTAATTCCTTCTTAATATTTACCTTTTATTTCTTTCTTTTCTCTTATTGCATTAGCTAGGACTTCCAGTATGATATTGAATAAAAGTGGTGAGAGGAGACACACTATTATAAAAATTATTGTATTAGATTTATATAATTATAATTAGATATATATTTCCGATATAATAATTATGAATATTATAATAGATGATGTGTTTAGAGTGTCAATTACATTGTTGGGAATGCAGTTAACAGTCAATAAACTGTATCCTTTGTAATAAAAAGCTATGATAGCATTGTCTGGTGATATGACTTACATCGGTACTTAATTTTTCAATCTCATTTTCTTCAACTTGGCATAAGAGCTCAGAGTGTTTATTGTGGAGGCAGACAGACAAATGTCTTCTTGTATTCAAGCCTTACCTATTACTAGCTAGTAACTAATTACTAACTTGATCAATGTATTCTTTCTAAACTTCAGTTTGTCATCAAAAGTAGAAATAATAACAGTTACAGTCTCTAAGGGCTGTAGTGATGGTTAAAGTGTTAAATGAGATAGCCCAGGTGAGAGGATCGGCACACCACAAGTTCACAGGAAGGGCTCATGACACGTAAGCTGCCATCGTTTTTTTCTGCTCTAGGATGAGCAAACTTGGGAAGAACTTTTCCGAGGTTGCCTCTTGTTCGGAGATTTTGTCATTTCTCCTTTGACTAAGGACAGGTCTCAAAACGTAGAACTGTGTATGGTGATTGGTTTCATTGAGTATATGGGGACCCCAGTAGGAAGTAGGGAAGAAAGGTAAAGCAAAAACTCCACCACAGACTATGAAAAGGCTGTACAGGGCGGGAATACGCTACCGATGTTTGTGTTTTTGTCTTATCTAAACCAGAAAAGAAAGGTCTAAGGGTACTGGCCATAGGTTTTTAATGTTCTCTCATTTCACACTTGCATACAATCACACCGTCTTTAAATTCTGTGTGCCCTGTAGGCTCCACACAAATGTAAATAGATTATGATAATGATGGTGACTGAGATTATCACACTTTTATTTCAAGGGCAGGAGAAAATGAGTTTTTGTTGGTTAAGAATACAAAGTATGGCTGTTTTCCTTTGAGAAAAATGGTAACATCACCACTATATATTTGCATTTTCTTAAATCAGAAGGCTGAAGTACTGGAAAGTCCTACGTACTGTGTCCCTGTATTCCTGCCAACCACCCTATGTTCTCTTTCATCACCAGGTCATATATTAAAATTTTTTTCGGTTATACTGATGCACTGTTACATTTTATAGAACATTTTTGCTGTAAATAACACTGTACAATATAAATTTGAAAACGAAAAACTTTTAGAATTGAATCAAACATGCATGAGATGTGAGGCCTGGCAAATTTAATTTTTCATAATTTTAGATTTGTCAAGATCCAAACATCTAGATAAATAGAACAATCTTCTTTTGGGGGGTAGTTAAAGGGTAAAATCAGGAACACAGTGCTGAGATGATCTCACCCCTCAGTTCGCAGTATCATTTTATCGTAATTTCATATAGTGTCCCTGCTTTCCATTCTTTGTTACCCACCATGGTTCCATTGCCCTTTCTTTATTGCCATCCACTTTTGTGTGTTAGATGTGGATAATTCCAATTCAGCTTCTATACATTTGTTTTCATATATGTTCATCCACTTAGAATGCATAGTGATGTTTTATGTGTTTTAAGTTTGCTTTCATTGCCCTACTTTATGGATTTAATTTTCTCTTATTTTTCATTCAATATAATGTTTTTAATATTACTCATTTAGTTATTTGTGGCCTTAGTTCTTTCTGCTGAATGATATCACAGTCTACGCATTTACCACATTTTATTTGTTCTTTCACTTTAATAAAAGCACATAGCTTTCCAAAAAGTTTTGCCTCAACAATTAGCACTATGGTAAGTACCTTGCTACATGACAATACATCTATGAACAAGGGTTTATGTAGGGTTACACCTCACAATATTTGTGTGTGTTTATGTAAAGGCAGTAAACACATGGAATAGATGGATACACTAAATTCAGGGTATGTTTGCATGAGATAAGAAATGGAGGGAAATTTAACTGATAGAGTGAACAGAGAAGACTACAACTTGCCTAAAAATGTTTTAACTTTAATAAAAACATCTGAAACAAAATGGTACAATGTGATCAAGAAGAAATTCTTAAAAATAGGCACATGAACTTTTGGCATATTATTCTAGGTGCATTTATATAATTTTTAAAGTTAGATTCATTTCTGCTGTCAGAATTCAGAATCTATTAGGAGACATAGCAAAAAATTACATCACAAAATATAACAGTAAGTCCTACAGTTTAAATGTGCCCAACATATATTGCTTATGTGCATGAGGAAGGTAGGCATGGAGGCCCTAAAACAAAATACATGACTGAGAATAAGCTTCCAAATATTGCTGTATTTATGTGAATTTTGGATTGTTGAGTACTATTGTGCTAGGCATATGGGGAAAATTCAAGGCAAAGGTAACAAGTTGTGAAAAGTATGGAATTTTGGAGTTTTTAGCAAACAGATGGAAAATATTTTATGTGTGTGGAGCAGAATTTTTATGACATGATAGAAAGAGGATGAAATCGAAAGTTCAACCCAGAAAAGTCCTGCCAGGTTGTGCCAGCCAACGGTAAGGCTAATAGACATATTTTTACTCTGTGGGCCAACTAAAGGAGTGTAATGGTGAGAGAAAGATAATTCTCTTGTGTCAGAAAACTCTTACAAATTCTCATCTCTCAGATCAAGATACTGGGCAATTACCTTTTAACAAAATTGACTTCCACTGGAAAAGTATGTTCTTGTTCTGCACTCGTTAATCTTGGTATAGCGTATCGAAAGTGCTGGGCCTTCCTGGCCCTGAAAGAAAACTAGTGAACAGGAAAGGAAACAGGTGCTCTTCAGCTAAGTGTGACATGTAGGTTTCTGCCCTGAGAAATTCTTGACTCTTTCTCTTGTGAGAGTAAGATAACCTTACACAGTGTTTCAAAGGAGAGAGAAAAAACCCATGTCATTATCTTATTCATCTGCACTGGCTATACATGGAGAAGATCAGGTCATACGTTTGCAGTTTATACATGAGTGAGGCCTTTCTGACCACCCTACCTACTGTGAGTCCTCACTGTTGAAAACTTTCCACTAAAGTAAAAAAGCTCATCCATCAAAGATGGGAGGACACTGAGTGTAATATTTCCTAATTGTTTATATCTAGAGTAAAATATAAAAGGAATTTCTTGGGATAAAATAAGTATTGGAGCTGGGCGTGGTGGCACGTTCTTGTAGTCCCAGCTACTAGGGAGGCCTAAAGAGGAGGACAACTCGGGCCCAGGAGTTCGAGGTTGTGATGAGCTATGATCCTGCCACTGTACTCCAAACTGGGTGACAGAATGAGACCCTATCTCTAAAAATAAAATTAAATAAATACTAAATAAGTATTTGTAACATATGCTTTTTACAATTCTGACTCCTTTGGTCAAAGCCATTGTAAGCTAAATAACTAATTAAGTTCACACTTGATAAAGGAAAATGAGTACCCCTGATATTTGGCAAAACATCCTATAAAATAGCAGTATCCATATGGCAAACTGAAGCATATATTCCCTTTTTCTTACAGTCCCACATATATTTCTTTGGAAAACAAAATATCAGCCAAATGCAATTAGGGGTACTTAGGGAGATTAGTATCATCTCAAAACCAAGTGCAACACTAGCAGTATTGACATCTTGATGTGGCAGAATTCTAGAGCAAGAGAGTTAGAACGATTTGCTGAGATTCTTTGGTAGGAGAATGCAGGACATGCAAAATCTGGGTATCTCTCTTATTGGCTCTCTTTTTGTTACCTATGCCTACATAGCAAAAACAAACTACGCCAGAACTTCAACAACAACAATTTTTTAAATATATTTTGTGGTTTAAGAGTCCAAGCAAAGCTTAGTTAGGCAATTCTACTCCACGTAATGTTGACTGGAGTCATTGATGTGTGCAGATGGTGTTTTGACTTGACTGTAGAATCCAAGATGATTGGGACGGCTGGAAGCCTGGGCTCATCTGGGCCCCTCTCTGTCCCCACATGGCCCTTCCAACAGGGAACTTGGGATCCTTCCATGGCAGTTCAGACATCTAAAGAACCAAGACTGTACGAGTACTGTACTACTAGTACTGTATCTACAAACTAGTACTGTATCTACTATACTCTCTGAGCCTAAGTAGTCACAGAGCAGCTCAGATTCAAAGAGAGGGACTCTGACCACACCTCTGTATGGGAAGAGTGTCAAATAATTTATGAGTTTCTTGAATCAGCCCTAACCCTTAAGAGAGATGCAAAAATGTGTTTTCCGCTGTCTAGCAGCCAAGTTTGCACTTGAGAGACAGAACAGTGCCCAGGTAACTGGCAATACTTGGAAGGAACAAGGAGAGGATGCTAGTGATGTGCTTGGTTTTGAGATGATAGTATTTTCCTCAAGTACCTCTAATTGTATGTGGCTGATAAATTGCTTTCCAAAGAAATATACAAAAGAGGAGCTCTCCAGGGACCTGAGTCAGAATCACACCCATCCCATATCAACTCACACTAAACACAGTGCAGAGCAAAAGGCCCAGGAGCCAGGTCTACCCTTCTGTTCCTAGGTATGCAGGGCTGCTGGGATTAAGAGAGGAAAGAGCTTGAGTATCCAACCTGCAGAAATGAGCTTGCATTTAAGATTGCCTGCACCATGATGAATATGCATCAACTCAACAAATACAGGGTCTTATCCTTTATAATATAATTTAATACCATGTAATATAACAACAAAAAGTTTTCAGAAGTATGAATCTCGCCTAAGGCAAAAGAAAAGTCATTTCATCCATATATCTGGATTAGGATATTATGAACAAGGATATAGAGTAGGGAAAAGAAAGTTAAAGATTGTTAAATAATAGGAAAAGAAAGTTAAAGATTGGGAAATAATAAAGTAAAAGATTAGGGAAAAGAAAGTTAAAGATTGTTAAATAATAAAGTAAAATGTTTATTTAAAAAGAGTAGATTTTCTGAATATAAGATTAAATACTGATGAACAGCTCATTATTAAACTAAAAATTAAAGCTCTGTAATTGCCTCAGAATGCAGCAAAATAGCAAAATGATGGGAAATATGGAATAAAGATTCATAACAATCTGAAGAAAGTTCCAGAAAAAAAATAATAGAATGAATAAGGGAGATTCAATACAATAAGGAATAATATGTAACTTTCATAGTGATTTAAAAGGGGAGTAACAATTTCTGGATAGCACAAATTAAATGAAACTCATACCTACACAAATTGTAGATAAACTTTACAATGTTGATTACAGAGTAATGTTCTTAAACTCCAACACTGACAAAATTAATATGTTGTCTATGGAACAGGAGTCACACAGGCATGGGAGGCTGGTGAACACTTTGGTCAAGAGTATAGACTAAAGCCAGTTGGCTGGGATTGAGCCCAGCTCCACCACTTCCTATCAGTATTCCACTGTGAAATTAACATTATGTTTCCACTTTGCTTACTTATAAAATTAGAAAAACAACTACTGCCTTATTAGGCAGTTAGGACCATTAAATTATATAATATTTGTAAAATTATTGGAACAGTTTCTGATATATGGGGTTAGTTCATTGTTACTGTTATTTTCGGATATTTTTGGCAACAGCATATATAAAAAGATTATGAAGCAAAATTTGAGAAGTGTTTGAGAAAATCAATGTTTAACCCAGAACAGCTGAATAATCATTTAAATTTGAAGATGAAATAAAGATGTTTCAGACATTTAAGGACTAAAAAATCTGTCAACTAGTTTCTCTTTGAAAGAACTACGGAAGATATATTTCATTAGAGAAAAGTAATGAATCTCTGTAGATCACTGGAGATGCACAAGTCAATGATGATCAAAGAGATAAATAAAAGTTATAGTTGCCCAAATGAGATAGAGTTGTTAAAATGAATATGTTATTATAATAATAATAACTACAATTCCTGATTTTATCATTAGGAAAGGTTGAAGATGATAGTTACTGTAGGAGGATATAAAATAATATTAAGTTTTAAAATCTTATTCTGAAGCAAAAGAACTGAAATTTGGCTTAAAATCAATATTTTCTAATACTTTAAAAATGATCGAAATCTTCTTGTTAGAGTGAAAAACCGAAATAGTCCAAATACCATTACAGAACATTTCACCATTATAAAAGTACAAGGCTCAGCTTTATAAGTGATGTTTACCATCTATACTTAAAAAAGCAGGTATGTCCACTGAAATTGTCCCCAACACACACAAAATAATATCTTGGTATGATATTAAGAGTCTAGCATAATTGCTATCAAATTCAAAACAAGACAACTTATGAAAGGAAAACTACAAGAGAATATCACAAAAAGACAAATATGCTGAAAGTTATGAAAGAATGACTATTTTATTTTTCTATATATTAAAAATAATAAACCAATGCATTTTATATCAGTAAATAATTAAGTTTTATTAATATAAAATATATCACTGTAATTCAGTACATTAACAAATAAATAAGAAGACAAAAGTCAATGGTCATATAGTTGCATAAAATGTATTTGAAAATTTAAATAAACATTAATTAAAAAAAACTCTTGGCACTCAAGAATAAGTGAATTTCTTTGATATTTTAAGAGCATTGACTAGAAAATATAGAAAACATCATAGTTAAATCTTGAAATAGTAGATATAGTCATTATCAAAGCAGTAAAAAATAAGAATTAAGCTTACTAAAATTAATTTTAATATCATATTGTATCCTTGTATTGTAATTGATGAAGTTAAATGTGGCCAGGTTATTTGCCTGTTGACCATTAAAAAAATGTCAGTAGTAATCAGGTGTAGTAGCTCACACATGTAATCTCAGCACTTTGAGAGGCCGAGGCAGGAGGACTGCTTGAGCCCAGGAGTTCTAGACCAGCCTGGGCAAAACACCAAGACCCCATCTCTGAAAAAAAAAAAAAAATGCCAGTAGAAGTGACTTTTCTCACTTGTATGAATGGAAAAATTAAGAGGCCATGTGCAATTTGTCTTGTTCTCACATCTTGCATGTCAATTGTGGATGCATGTGTTGAGACTGTGTATGAATAATCCTAATCTGAAGAAGCCTGAATTGAGGAGTCACATAGAGAAGACGACTGCCCTGAAGGATTATACAGAATTGCAGAAATTTGGATGAATAATAAACTTCTGTTAACTGCAGAGAGCTTGTGGTGAGCTGTTAGTACAGCAAAATTTCACTTAACCTGACTAATATAAAATGCCTAATACTTGGAAGAAAAAGAAATTTAAATTATTTCAAACATTTATGATTATTTATACAAGAAAGAAAATAATGAAATAAGACATAAAGAATTAGTGCAATGAGTAGGAAGTAGGCACAAACATGGTAGGTATTAAACCAACTACATTTTACAAAATTATTTTAATTTTGAGTGGTCCAAATAACACTATTAAAGAGAGAAGCTGTCTGAATGGAAAACAAATGAACAAACAAACAAGGCCCAATTACGATTGTTTACAGGAAACACACTTTTAACATAAAGATTAAAAGAACAGGGATGGAGAAAATATGACATGCTAACATTAATTTTAAAAAGCGAGAGTAGGTATATTAATTTTAAACAGAGCAGACTTCAGAACAAAGAAACTTATCAGGAGTAAAGAGGGATTACATAACGATACATAATTACACAATGATAAAGGGGCCAATTATCTAAGAAGCTGTAAAAATTCTTAATGTGTATGCATCTAACCACACATAATCAAAATACATAAAGCAAAACCTGATACAGCTGAGAGAAAAAAATAGACAAATCATCTATTATAGTAGGAGGTTTCAACATGTTTCTTTCAATAAGTAACAGGTAAAGTAGGCAGAAAATCTGAAAGAATATAGTTGACTTGAACAGCATCACTAGTAAACTGGATGGAATTGACTTATATAGAATATGCCATCCAACAAAAGCAAAATATGCATTCTTAAGCTTGCATGGAACATTCACTAGAATCAATCACATTTTGGAGAACAAAACCAATTTTAACAAATTTAAAAGAATAGAAATAATCAAAGCATATTCTCAGATCACAAGAGAATGAAACTAGTAATTAATAATAGAAATATGGCTGACATATCTCCAAGTAATTGGAGATTAAACATATCTTACCTAGCAAATAGTTAAACAAAAAGCATTTTTAGCTAAGTGAAAATAAAACAACTTAGAAAGTTTGTGGTATGCCATGGAAGTAGCAAACGAGGAAAATTTTTAGAGCATTGAATGCAAATCATAGAAAAGATGAAATATATAATACCAATAATCTAAATTTCTACCCTAGGAACTTGAAAAAGAGGAGTAGTTTAACCTTAAGAAAGCCTATGGTAAGAAATAATAAAATTATAGCAAAACTCAGTGACATTAAAGACAGGACATCAATAGAGAAATCAACAAACTAAAAGCTTGTTCTTTGAAATGATGAACAAAATGGACAAATCTCTACCAAGAAAAATGTAGAGAGATAAAAATTACTAAAATCAGAAATTAAGTGAAGGGGGTTGTCATTACTACTCATCCAATGACATCAAAAACTTAACAAAAACATTTTACACAAATTTGATAACATAGATGAAATGGATCAATTTTTTGAAAGACACAAACTAACCAAATCCATGTAAGAAACAACAAATAATCACAAAAGTCCTGTCACTATCAAAAAAATTTTAAAAAGAAATAATACCAATTTTTTACTTTCTAACAGAATATAAAAAGCAGAGTACACATTTCCTAACTTATTCCATGAGGCTAGCATTATACTAATAACAAATCCGAAAAAGACATTATAAAAAAGGAAAAATTCTGACTTCTCTCATAAACTTGGATGTGAATATCCTCAACAAAATATTATCAAATCAAATAAAACAATGTATAAAATAATTATATATCACAACCACCTGGAATTTATTTCAGGTATGTTAGGCTGCATCAACTTTTAAAAATTCGTACAATCCACAGGCTAAAGCAGAAAAATCAAATAATATCAACTGACACAGAATAAATATTTCACACAATCCAACACCCATTTATGATAAAACTCTCAGCTCACTAGGAATGAAGGGGAACTTCCTCAATTTGATAACAACAACAAAAAAATAAAACCTAAATCTACCTTCTTACTTCATAAGGAAAACTGGATTATTTTCCTCTGAGATTGGGAAGCAAGGCAAAAATGTCTTCTCTTATCATTCATATTCAACATAGTATTGGAAAAATTAGCTAAAGCAGTAAGACAAAAAAATAAATGCAATGTATATATTTGAAAAAATGAGCATTTCTTTGTTTTTGGATAATATAATTGTCTATTTAGAAAATCTCAAATCAATTAAACAACGTCTGAAACAAAAAGTGATTTATCAACATCTAAATTGTAAGGTTAATATTCAAAGGCAATTGCTTTGCTTTATACTGGAAATGAAAAATTTGAATTTGAAATTAAAAACACAATACCATTTACATTAGCATAAAAGAAAAAAATCTTAAAATAGACAGTTTTAACTACACAAAGATTCCTATAAACCTCATGTTAACCACAAAAGAAAAACTTGTAGTAGATGACAGAAATAGAAAAAGGAATCAAACCAAACTACCACAAAGCAATAATCAAATAACAAAAGAAAGCAGCAACAGAGAAACAAAATAAATGCAAAACAGACAGAAGACAATTTTTTAAATGGCAATAGTAAGTTCTTATTTATCAATAATCACTTTAATATAAATAAATTAAATTTTCCAATAAAAAGACACAGAGTGGCTGAATGGATTTAAAAAATGGAAATAAAAAGCATGATTTTTGTATACAAGAGACTCAAGACAAAAGGAAACACCTAGACTAAATGTGAAGAGATAGACAATGATATTTCATGCAAATGGTAGAGACGAGAGAGCAGGAGTGGCTAAACTTATATAAGAAATAAAAAAAATCTAAGTAAAAAACTATCACTAGAGACAAAAAGGACTTTATATAAGGATAAAAGTTCAAGTTAACAAGAAGATATAGCAGTTATAAATCTGTATGCACCCAACCTCAGACCACCTAAACATGTTAGAAATGTTTGACAGATCTCTCTGGTGGCAGGGTGGAGCCAAGATGGCTGAATAGGATCAGCTCCCATCTACAGTGCCCAGCTTGAGCGAGGCAGAAGACGGGTGATTTCTGCATTTCCATCTGAGGTACCGGGTTCATCTCACTAGGGAGTGCCAGACAGTGGGCACAGGACAGTGGGTGCAGCGCAATGTGCACGAGCAGAAGCAGGGTGAGGCATTGCCTCACTCGGGAAGTGCAAGGGGTCAGGGAGTTCCCTTTCCTAGTCAAAGAAAGGGGTGACAGACGGCACCTGGAAAATCGGGTCACTCCCACCCGAATACTGCCCTTTTCTAATGGGCTTAAAAAAAGGTGCACCAGGAGATTATATCCTGCACCTGGCTGGGAGGGTCCTACACCCACGGAGTCTCGCTGATTGCTAGCACAGCAGTCTGAGATCAAACTGCAAGGTGGCAGCCAGGCTGGGGGAGGGGCGCCCGCCATTGCCCAGGCTTGGTTAGGTAAACAAAGCAGGCGGGAAACTCGAACTGGGTGGAGCCCACCACAGCTCAAGGAGGTCTGCCTGCCTCTGTAGGCTCCACCTCTGGGGGCAGGGCACAGACAAACAAAAAGACAGCAGTAACCTCTGCAGACTTAAATGACCCTGTCTGACAGCTTTGAAGAGAGCAGTGGTTCTCTCCCAGCACGTGGCTAGAGATCACAGAATGGGCAGACTGCCTCCTCAAGTGGGTCCCTGACTCCTGACACCCGAGCAGCCTCACTGGGAGGCATCCCCCAGTAGGGATAGACTGACACCTCACACGGCCAGGTACTCCTCTGAGACAAAACTTCCAGAGGAACGATCAGACAGCAGCATTCGCGGTTCACGAAAATCCGCTGTTCTACAGCCACCACTGCTGGTACCCAAGCAAACAGGGTCTAGAGTGGACCTCTAGCAAACTCCAACAGACCTGCAGCTGAGGGTCCTGTCTGTTAGAAGGAAAACTAACAAACAGAAAGGACATCCACACCAAAAACCCATCTGTACGTCACCATCATCAAAGACCAAAAGTAGATAAAACCACAAAGATGGGGAAAAAACAGAACAGAAAAACTGGAAACTCTAAAAAGCAGAGCGCCTCTCCTCCTCCAAAGGAATGCAGTTCCTCACCAGCAACGGAACAAAGCTGGACAGAGAATGACTTTGAAGAGTTGAGAGAAGAAGGCTTCAGACAATCAAACTACTCTGAGCTACAGGAGGAAATTCAAACCAAAGGCAAAGAAGCTGAAAACTTTGAAAAAAATTTAGACGAATGTATAACTAGAATAACCAATACAGAGAAGTGCTTAAAGGAGCTGATGGAGCTGAAAGCCAATGCTCAAGAACTACATGAAGAATGCAGAACCCTCAGGAGCCGATGTGATCAACTGGAAGAAAGGGTATCAATGATGGAAGATGAAATGAATGAAATGAAGAGAGAAGGGAAGTTTAGAGAAAAAAGAATATAAAGAAACGAACAAAGCCTCCAAGAAATATGGGACTATGTGAAAAGACCAAATCTACGTCTGATTGTTGTACCTGAAAGTGACAGGGAGAATGGAACCAAGTTGGAAAACACTCCGCAGGATATTATCCAGGAGAACTTCCCCAATCTAGCAAAGCAGGCCAACATTCAGATTCAGGAAATACAGAGAACACCACAAAGATACTCCTTGAGAAGAGCAACTCCAAGAAACATAATTGTCAGATTCATCAAAGTTGAAATGAAGGAAAAAATGTTAAGGGTAGCCAGAGAGAAAGGTTGGGTTACCCACAAAGGGAAGTCCATCAGACTAACAGCGGATCTCTCGGCAGAAACTCTACAAGCCAGAAGAGAGTGGGGGCCAATATTCAACATTCTTAAAGAAAAGAATTTTCAACCCAGAATCTCATATCCAGCCAAACTAAGCTTCATAAGTGAAGGGGAAAGAAAATACTTTACAGACAAGCAAATGTGGAGAGATTTTGTCACCACCAGGCCTGCCCTAAAAGAACTCCTGAAGGAAGCACTAAACATGGAAAGGAACAACCAGTACCAGCCACTGCAAAATCATGCCAAATTGTAAAGACCATCGAGGCTTGGAAGAAACTGCATCAACTAATGAGCAAAATAACCAGCTAACATCATAATGACAGGATAAAATTCACACATAACAATATTAACTTTAAATGTAAATGGGCTAAATGCTCCAATTTAAAGACACAGACTGGCAAATTGGATAAAGAGTCAAGACTCATCAGTGTGCTGTATTCAGGAAACCCATCTCACGTGCAGAGACACACATAGGCTATTTTGAGGCTTTTATTTTGAAAAGGATGGAGGAAGATCTACCAAGCTAATGGAAAACAAAAAAAGGGCAGGGGTTGCAATTCCAGTCTCTGATAAAAACAGACTTTAAACCAACAAAGATCAAAAGAGACAAAGAAGGCCATTACATAATGGTAAAGGGATCAATTCAACAAGAAGAGCTAACTATCCTAAATATATATGCACCCAATAGAGGAGCATCCAGATTCATAAAGCAAGTCCTGAGTGACCTACAAAGAGACTAAGACTCCCACACAATAATAATGGGAGACTTTAACACACCACTGTCAACGTTAGACAGATCAACGAGACAGAAAGTTAACAAGGATACCCAGGAATTGAACTCAGCTCTGCACCAAGTGGACCTAATAGACATCTACAGAACTCTCCACCCCAAATCAACAGAATATACATTTTTTTCAGCACCACACCACACCTATTCCAAAATTGACCACATAGTTGGAAGTAAAGCTCTCTTCAGCAAATGTAAAAGATCAGACATTATAACAAACTGTCTCTCAGACCACAGTGCAATCAAACTAGAACTCAGGATTAAGAAACTCACTCAAAACCACTCAACTACATGGAAACTGAACAACCTGCTCCTGAATGACTACTGGGTACATAACGAAATGAAGGCAGAAATAAAGATGTTCTTTGAAACCAACGAGAACAAAGACACAACATACCAGAATCTCTGGGACACATTCAAAGCAGTGTGTAGAGGGAAATTTATAGCACTAACTGCCCACAAGAGAAAGCAGGAAAGATCCAAAATTGACACCCTAAAATCGCAATTAAAAGAACTAGAAAAGCAAGAGCAAACACAGTCAAAAGCTAGCAGAAGGCAAGAAATAACTAAGATCAGAGCAGAACTGAAGGAAATAGAGTCACAAAACACCCTTCAAAAAATTAATGAATCCAGGAGCTGGTTTTTTGAAAGGATCAACAAAATTGATAGACTGCTAGCAAGACTAATGAAGGAGAAAAGAGAGAAGAATCAAATAGACGCAATAAAAAATGATAAAGGGGATATCACCACCGATCCCACAGAAATACAAACTACCATCAGAGAATACTACAAACAACTCTACGCAAATAAACTAGAAAATCTAGGAGAAATGGATAAATTCCTCGACACATACACCCTCCCAAGACTAAACCAGGAAGAAGTTGAATCTCTGAATATACCAATAACAGGCTCTGAAATTGTGGCAATAATCAACAGCTTATCAACCAAAAGGAGTCCAGGACCAGATGGATTCACAGCTGAATTCTACCAGAGGTACAAGGAGGAACTGGTACCATTCCTTCTGAAACTATTCCAATCAATAGAAAAAGAGGGAATCCTCCCTAACTCATTTTATGAGGCCAGCATCATCCTGATACCAAAGCCTGGCACAGACACAACCAAAAAAGAGAATTTTAGACCAATATCCTTGATGAGCATTGATGCAAATACCCTCAATAAAATACTGGCAAACCGAATCCAGCAGCACATCCAAAAGCTTATCCACTATGATCAAGTGGGCTTCATCCCTGGGATGCAAGGCTGGTTCAATATATGCAAATCAATAAATGTAATCCAGCATATAAACAGAAACAAAGACAAAAACCGCATGATTATCTCAATAGATGCAGAAAAGGCCTTTGACAAAATTCAACAACCCTTCATGCTAAAAACTCTTAATAAATTAGGTATGGATGGGATGTATCTCAAAATAATAAGAGCTATCTATGACAAACCCACAGCCAATATCATACTGAATGGGCAAAAACTGGAAGCATTCCCTTTGAAAACGGGCACAAGACAGGGATGCCCTCTCTCACCACTCCTATTCAACATAGTGTTGGAAGTTCTGGCCAGGGCAATTAGGCAGGAGAAGGAAATAAAGGGTATTCAATTAGGAAAATAGGAAGTCAAATTGTCCCTGTTTGCAGATGACATGATTGTATATCTAGAAAACCCCATTGTCTCAGCCTAAAATCTCCTCAAGCTGATAAGCAACTTTAGCAAAGTCTCAGGATACAAAATCAATGTACAAAAATCACAAGCACTCTTATACACCAATAACAGACAAGCAGAGAGCCAAATCATGAGTGAACTCCCATTCACAATTGCTTCAAAGAGAATAAAATACCTAGGAATCCAGCTTACAAGGGATGTGAAGGACCTCTTCAAGGAGAGCTACAAACCACTGCTCAATGAAATAAAAGAGGACACAAACAAATGGAAGAACATTCCATGCTCATGGGTAGGAAGAATCAATATCGTGAAAATGGCCATACTGCCCAAGGTAATTTATAGATTCAATGCCATCCCCATCAAGCTACCAATGACTTTCTTCACAGAATTTGCAAAAACTGTAAAGTTCATATGGAACCAAAAAAGAGCCCGCATTGCCAAGTCAATACTAAGCCAAAAGAACAAAGCTGGAGGCATCACGCTACCTGACTTCAAACTATACTACAAGGCTACAGTAACCAAAACAGCATGGTACTGGTACCAAAACAGAGATATAGATCAATGGAACAGAACAGAGCCCTCAGAAATAATGCCTCATATCTACAACTATCTGATCTTTGACAAACCTGAGAAAAACAACCAACGGGGAAAGGATTCTCTGTTTAATAAATGGTGCTGGGAAAACTGGCTAGCCATATGTAGAAAGCTGAAACTGGATCCCTTCCTTACACCTTACACAAAAATTAATTCAAGATGGATTAAAGACTTAAACATAGACCTAAAACCATAAAAACCCTAGAAGAAAACCTAGGCATTACCATTCAGGACATAGGCATGGGCAAGGACTTCATGTCTAAAACACCAAAAGCAATGGCAACAAAAGACAAAATTGACAAATGGGATCTAATTAAACTAAAGAGCTTCTGCACAGCAAAAGAAACTACCATCAGAGTGAACAGGCAACCTACAGAATGGGAGAAAATTTTCGCAACCTACTCATCTGACAAAGGGCTAATATCTAGAATCTACAAAGAACTCAAACAAATTTACAAGAAAAAAACAAACAACACCATCAAAAAGTGGGCAAAGGAGATGAACAGACACTTCTCAAAAGAAGACATTTATGCAGCCAAAAAACACATGAAAAAATGCTCACCATCACTGGCCATCAGAGAAATACAAATCAAAACCACAATGAGACACCATCTCACACCAGTTAGAATGGCAATCATTAAAAAGTCAGGAAACAACAGGTGCTGGAGAGGATGTGGAGAAATAGGAACACTTTTACACTGTTGGTGGGACTGTAAACTAGTTCAACCATTGTCGAAGTCAGTGTGGTGATTCCTCAGGCATCTAGAACTAGAAATACCATTTGACCCAGCCATCCCATTACTGGGTATATACCCAAAGGACTATAAATCATGATGCTATAAAGACATATGCACACATATGTTTATTGTGGCAGTATTCACAATAGCAAAGACTTGGAACCAACCCAAATGTCCAATAATGATAGACTGGATTAAGAAAATGCGGCACATATACACCATGGAATACTATGCAGCCATAAAAATGATGAGTTCATGTCCTTTTCAGGTACATGGATGAAATTGGAAATCATCATTCTCAGTAAACTATCGCAAGAACAAAAAACCAAACACCGCATATTGTCACTCATAGGTGGGAATTGAACAATGAGAACACATGGACACAGGAAGGGGAACATCACACTCTGGGGACTGTTGTGGGGTGGGGGAGGGGGGAGGGATAGCATTCGGAGATATACCTAATGCTAAATGACGAGTTAATGGGTGCAGCACACCAGCATGCCACATGTATACATATGCAACTAACCTGAACATTGTGCACATGTACCCTAAAACTTAAAGTATAATAATAATAAAATAAAAAAAATAAAAAAAAGAAATGTTTGACAGATGTGAATGGAGAAATTGACAGTAATACAATAACAGTAAGAAACTTTAATACCCCATTTCAATAAAGGATAAAATATCCACCAAAAAATCAGTAACAGACAACTGACTTGAACAACATTATAAACCAAATGAACCAAGTAGACATATACGGAAATGTCCAGCCAACAGCAGCCAAATGCACATTCTTCTCTAGGGCACACAGAACATTATCCATAATAGATTACATGTTAAAGTGAATATTAACAAATTTAAGAAGATTGAAATTATGCCAAGTATTTTCTCAGATCATAGTGCAATGAAACTAGAGAGCAATAACAGAAACAAAAAGGACAATTCACAAACACAGAAAAATGAAATAACACATTCTTGAATAAAAACTGGGTAAAGGAGGAAATTGAAAGAAAATTTAAAAATACATCAATGCAAAGAAAAATGAAAATACAACTTACTAAAGCAGCCATTACAAAAAACAGTATAGAATTTCCTCAAATAATTAAAAATAGAACTACTGTGTGATCCAGGAATCCCACTTCTGGGTATATATCCAAAGGAATTGAAAACAGGATCACAAAGAGATATATGCACTTTCATGTTCATTGGAGAATTCTTCACGACAGCCAATATACGGAGATAACCTAAATGTCTTTTGTCAGTTGACTGGATAAAGAAAATCTGATGTACAGAAATGTTGAGTGTTACTGCACTTTGCTTTTTTGTGCTTCACAGATTGCATCTTTTCAATTAAATGTTTGTGGCAACTTTGCTGTGGAGCAAGTCTGTTGGAGCCATTTTCCTGATAGCATGTGCTCATTTTGTGTCTTTGTGTCACATTTTGGTAGTTCTCACATATTTAAAATGTTATCATTATTATTATAACTGTTATGGTGATCTGGGATCAGTGATCTTTGATGTTAGAATTGTAATTATTTTGGGGTGCCATAAACTGTGCTCATATAAGACAGCAAACATAACTGATATATATTGTGTGTGTTCTGACTACTCCACCAACCAGCTCTTCCCCCATCTCTCTCCCTTTCCTTAGACTTCCATAATTCTTGGCTACAACATTATTAAAATTAGGCCATAATTACCCAGAGTGTTCAGATGAAAAAAGGAGTTGAACATCTGTCACTTTCAATCAAAAACTAGAAATGATTAAGCTTAGCAAGGAAAGCATGTTGAAAGCAAAGACAGGACAAAAGCTAGGCTTACCATGACCAACAGGTTGACTTTCTTACTGGAGGCTAATGGAACTGGTGACTCTAAGTTGAAATCAATGCTCATTTACCATTCTGAAAATCCCAGAACTCTTTAACAATTATGCTAAATCTATTCTGCCTGTGTTCTATCAATGGGATAAAAAAGCCTGGATGACAGCATGGCTTATTGAATATTTTAAGTCTACTCTTGAGACCGGCTTCTCAGAATAAAAAATGATTTTTTTTTCCAAACTATTATTACTCATTGACAATGCACCTAGTCGCCTGGAGCTCTGATGGAGATGGACAAGGAGATTAATATAATTTTCATGCCCACTAACACAACATCCATTCTGCACCCCACAGATCATTGAGTATTTTTTTACTTTTGAGTCTTATTATTTAGGACATACATTTTGTAAGGTTATAGCTGCCATGGATTGTGATTCCTCTAATGGATCTGCACATAGTAAATTGTACACCTTTCAGAAAGTATTTACCTTTTAGATATTAAGACCATTTGTGATTTATGGAAGGGGTTAGAATATCAACATTAACAGGAGTTTAAAAAAAGTTGTTTCCACCCCTCATGAATGACTTTGAGGGGTTTAGTCTGCAGTGGAGGAAGCAACTGCAGATGTGGTAGAAAAGCCAGATAACTATATTTAGAAGTGGAACCTGAAGAAGTGACTGAATTGCTGCAATCCATTATCTAACATGAACAGGTGAGGAGCTGCTTCTTATTGATTAGCAGGGAAAACAGTTTCTTGTCATGGCGTCTACTCCTGGTGAAGATGCTGTGAACATTGCTGAAATAATGACAAAGAATTTAGAATATCATATGAATTTAGTCGATAAAATAATGGCAGGGTTTGAGAAAATTGAATTCAATTTTGAAATAAGTTCTACTCTGGGTAAATTGCTATTCAACAGCAGAGCTTTTGGGTGACACTACTTCCATCAGGTGATCAAGATCAAAGTTAATAGTGATAAGTCAGGTTAATAATACGTAAACTTGTTATAATGTGATAAAAACCATACTATACTTCTGTGGTCTTCTTCCCACACAGTCAAGTGATGAGAAAAACATTAGATGAATTCTAATAGAGAGTCATCATTCAATATACCTGACTGATACTCCTCAAAATGTCAGGTAATCAAAAACATGGAAAGTCTGTGAAAAGGCACAGCACAAAGGAGCTCTCTCTCCTGCCATGTGACATGGCTGCTCCCAATTTACCTTCCACCATGATTGTAAGCTTCCTGAAGTCCTCACCAAAAGCAAATGTCGGCACTATGCTTCTTACAGAGTCTTCAGAACCATGAGCCAATTAAGTCTCTTTTCTTATAAGTTACCCCACCTCAGGTATTTCTTTATTGCAGTGCAAGAATGACCTATAGAGAAAATTGGTTCCAGAAGTGAGGTATTGCTATAAAGATACCTGAAAATGTGGAAGCAGCTTTGGAACTGTCTAGCAGGCAGAGGTTGGAAGAGTTTGGAGGGCTCAGAAGAAGACAGGAAGACGAGGGAAAGTTTGGAACTTCTTAGAAACTGGTTAAATGGTTGTGACCAAAATGCTGATAGTGATATGGATAGTGAAGTCCAGGCTCATGAGATTTCAGATGGAAATGAGAAACTTATTGGAAACTGCAGCAAAGATTACCTATGTTGTGCCTTAGCAAAGAGCTTGGCTGCATTCTGTTTGTGACTTAGGGAATCTGTGAAAGTTTGAACTTCAGAGTGATAATATAACGTATCTGGCAGAACAGCTTTCCAAGCAGCAAAGTATTCAAATGTGGTCTAGCTGCTTCTAAAAGTCTATTCTCAGATGCAAGAGCAAAGACATGCCTTTAAGTTGAAAGTTATATTTAAAGCAGAAGCAAGTTGTAAAAGTTTGGAAAATTTGCAGCCTAGCCACATGACAAAGGGAGAGGAATTCAAACAGGCTGAGGAGCAACCACTTGATACAGAGATTTGCATGACTAAAAAACAACCAGGTGCTAATAGCCAAGACAGTGGGAAAAAGGCCTGGAAGGTATTTCAGAGATCTCTCAGACAGCCCCTCCTGTCACTGGCCCTAAGGTCTAGGAAAACTAAATGCTTTCATCGGTCCAGTCCAGTGCTCTGCTACCCTGTGCAGCCTCTGGACACTGCTCCCCACATCCATGCCACTCTAACTCCAGCCTGGACTCAAAAGGCCCCAGATACAGCTCATGCTGCTGCTTCAGAAGGTGCAAGCCATGAGCCTTGGTGGTTTCCATGTGGTGTTAAGCTTGCAGGTTTGCAGAATGCAATGGTGAAGAAGGCTTGGCAACCTCTGCCTAGATTTCAGAGGATGTATGAGAAGGCCTGGGTGCCCAGGCAGAAACCTGCTGCAGGGGCACAGCCCTCCTGGAGAACCTCTACTAGGGCAGGACAGAGGGGAAATATGGATTTGGAGAGCCCGCACAGAGTCCCCAATGGGGCACTGCCTAGTAGAGCTGTGGGAAGGAAGGAGGCCACTGTCCTCCAGGCTCCAGAATGGTAGATTCAGCAGCAGCTTGCACCCTGAGCCTGGAAAGCCACAGGCACTCAACTTCAGCTTGTTAGAGCAGCTGCAGGGGCTGTATCCTGGAAAGCCACTGAGGTAGAGTTGCCTAAGGCCTTGGGAGCCAACACCTTCCACCAGAATGTGGCACGTGGAGTCAAGAGTTATGTTGGAGCTTTAAGATTTAATGACTGCCCTGCTGGGTTTCAGACTTGTGTGGGGCCTGTTGCCCCTTTCTTTTGGCCAATTTCTCACTTTTGGAATGGGAATATTAAAACAATGCCTGTAATCCCATTGTATCTTAGGAGTAAGTAACTAGTTTTGATATTATAGGCTGGTAGATGAAAGGGACTTGCCTTGTCTCAGATGAGACTTTGGATTTTTGAGTGATGCAGAAACAAGTTGAGACTTTTGTGAGACCATTAGCAGGAGGTTATTGTATTTTGCAGTGTGAAAAGGACATGAGATTTGGGTATGGGGTACAGGGGCAGAATGATATAGTTTGGATATTTGTCCTTGCCCAAATCTCATTTTGAAATATAAGCCCCAGTGGTGGAGGTGGAGCCTGGTGGGAGGTGTTTGGGTCATGGGGACAGATCTCACATGGCTTGGTGCTGTCCTCACAATAGTGAGTGAGTTCTCACAAGATCTGGTTGCTTAAAAGTGTGTGGCACCTCCCACTTCTCTTGTTCCTGCTCTCACAATGTGTTGTGCCTTTTCCACCTTCACCTTCCACCATAATTGGAAGGTTCCTGACACCTCACCAGAAGCAGATGCTGGTACTGCACTTCCTGTACAGCCTGCAGAACCATGAGCCAATTAAACCTCTTTTCTTTTTGTAAGAGTTAAAGAAAGAGGAAAGAAACACAAAAAGCAGCTCAACAGTCAAAGACAGGTTTATTTTGGAGAATAAACCTGAGAGGGGCTTCTGGCCGATTTCGGTCAGGAGCACTCTCTCTTAGAGACTAAGAGTATTTATTGGAGAGAGAGCTTATTACAAGCTTGGAATGTTTCTGTGTGGAGGAGAAGTTTATGGTGAGGTTGAAATGTCTCTGGTTGGAGGGGAGGTTTTCTTGGTGCTGACATCTCTCTGGCTGGAGGGGAGGTTATCTCTGAGCTGGCATGTCTCTGGTTGGGGAGGGGTTTGGAATGTTTCTGGTTGGAGACGTCATTTGTGGTTTATGGTCATGCTGACCTTAGTCATTAGGCTGATGCCCCTTGGATTCAGGCAGTTTTTGATCAAGGTGAACTTTAGAATAGTGGTGCTTGTCCAAGATGGCATTGCTCCTGCTGTGTCACTTATAATTAATTTATCCAGTGTTAGGTATTTCTTTATAGAAACCCAAGAACAGTGTAATACACTACCATATTCATGTAAGAATTTAATAACAAGAAAAACAATATGTGTGAGGAGTGTGAAGCCACTCTCCACTCAGTTTTGCTGTAAATATAATTGTCTTCTAAAAAATAAGTCTATTAATTAAAACAATAGGTAGTGGTCAAATGCCAAATCAGTCTTAGAGTGAGAATTACAAAAAAAAAAAAAAAAATAGAAAGTATTCTAAATTGTGCAATTAGGAGAATATCTAATTTTGAATTGTGCCACCTAATTGAACACCTAATTATGAATTCTGAATTATGCCATTAGAAGATCATTGTAAGTACATTTTAGCGAAAATGATGGTTTAAAAGTCAGAAAGAAAATGAGCATTCCAGTGGCAGCAGGCCTGTAGCACACAGAATACATTTTCAAGGATAACGTGGTGATCTTATTCATAGTTTCCTGCTTCCAAGTCTATTTACCAAACTAGACTGTAAACTTCCTGAAAGTAAGTGTTGTAATTTTTTGTGCAAGTCTCCAGTAGAGTGAGTTACTCATGTTACATGTCAATAAATATTTTCCAACCCATAAAAATCATTAATAAACAATCCCACCGTTTGCCATGGTGTTTGAAGGAACCAGTATTCCTTCAAGCTCACTACTTTGAGGGGTGTTTTTGAGCTTTCCATAAAATATTTTCATACATATATCAATTTCATATTTTAAATTTGGTAGGACTGTCAGTAAAATTTATTCATATTACTGAAGCTGTCACTTTGCCTATTTCTTTTTTTAGCTACAACTGTTCAACTTTGAGAGAATGTGAAGATTCAGATCTCTATCTAAATAAGTTTAATTATATTTTGTTTAAAAATTTTTAAAAACTTGTTTCAATGTTTTTTTTCTGAATCAATTTTAAACTGTAAAAACAAGAAACTTTAAATAAGCAAACACCTCCAATGAAAATCCTTTGTGTGGGCACGCATGGATGTCTGGTAACAGAGAGGCCCATTTAGCTCAGGCCTCTACTGATAGTGCATCAACACACAGGCCAGTCACCTGTTACATAATATACGTACATATGTGCATGTATGTGTGTGTGTACTTGTATGAATACATGTTAATATTTAGAGAGATCCTATAAAATGGCAAGCACTAATGTCATCCTTGCTAGCCCTATTGGTAGTATATATTCTTATTCAAAGTAGTTCTGATTAGAGAAATAATAAGATAGTGTATACATCTGAGGGCTTCTGTGTCATATATGAATAAATCAATATTTGAGAGGGCTTCTGTGTCATATATGAATAAATCAATATTTGAGGCCTGGTAAGAAATGAACATCCTGTGTGAATTCCTGGGAAGATTTAGTTTACACAGGCTCTACATCCTTGTTTGTCAAGTGGTAACAATTATTTTACCTACTTATGTGGCTCATGTGAGTATTATGTGTGACTGTGTATGAAGGAGTGAATACACAGCCTTACATATCAATACTTCAGTGATATAGTATTTTTATTATTATAATGTTGTGAATATGTCTTTTTTGTTTCCCTGTACTCTCATCAAACAGGAGTAAGTTTGATACGACAAAATTCTAGAGGGAATGCACTTTTCAGAAACCAGCATAAAAAGTAACTCCTCAGAGATAATTCAGATATCCAAATATATTTCATTTCTCACCCCAAGTATTAGGAACAGAAAAACAGAAATCCCAAACACTATGAAACCATGTGGCTAATGTCAGTTCTTACCCAACCACTTCAAATGTAAGTCAGTGCATAAACAGCCACAAAGGAGAATTTAAGAAGTCTCAAACAAGATATTCTTTCTGTTCTAATTCAGGGCAGCATTTATGATCATTAGTGCAGCGAGTCTATGATCTTGCTTAGTTCTTTGTCAAAGAATCATTAAAAGCATTGAAATTTCAAAGTATAAATGGTTCTATAACTTCCTAGTTCTTTGATCATATTTTTATCTTCTAATGTAGCATTTTAAAGCAAAATTTAATAATGGTGAAAGCCAGCTGACATTAATTATGCTTTCTAAATCATGAACAGTCTTCTAACTTACTTCAGTGTCAATCAGGAGCCCAGCTTAAGAACTGGTTTATATCACCTATTCGTAATAATGGTTGCACCCTCATGAAAAGACATTTTACTTTTGTATGCATACTTGTGTCACATAAAGTTATGATAATGAAAAAGTAGGACAGATATTTTTAGAATTTTCACAATCCTTAGTAAAATCAGTACAGATAGTTGTTTGACAAGTCCATATTATCCATGCTGATTACCTAGCTGTTTTAGAGCACTTTAATAACCTGGTAAGCTCAATAAATATGTAAAAAAGAGACTACCACGTCTTACCCTAATTTCAGAAGTTTTATAGATCTTCTATTTTTTTTACAAATTATTTCTGTTTAGGATTCAAGTTGAAATATCCCAACATATTGTGGATAATTGGCAATTACTTCACTTATAACATTTTAAAATAATCTGCATAAGACTGATATCTTTAATATTTTAAATAGCAACTTATGATCTGATGTTTTTAATTGACCAAAAATATTTAGATAAACTATCTTATGCCAGGAGAAATGACAATAGGGAGGAGTTATTGATATATAACTCAAAATCAATCATAGACTTAAATGTAACATGTGAAACTATAATAGTTCCAGAAGATAACACAAGAGAAAATCTACCTAAGCCTGGGTTTAGCAATGAATTTTTGGACAGTCCCAGAAGCACAATCTATAAAAGATAAAACAATAACGTAGTGGATTCTTCATAATTAAAAACTTCTGCTCTGTGAAAGACATTCTTTAAAGAATGAAAGTACAAGCCACAGGCTGGGAGAATATATTTGCAAAATATGTATCTAAAAAATTTAAGAAGAAAAACAAACTCATGAAAAATGGACAAAAGATCTTAACATACTCCTCACCAAAAAAGATTCAAGATAAAAAATAAGCATAGGATGAGATCCTCAATATCATATGTCATTAGAAAAATGCACATCAAAATAAGTGAGATCTCACCACACACCTATTAGAATGGCTAAAAGCCCAAAGATTGACAGCACCAAATGCTGTCAATGGTGTAGAGCAATGGGAACTCTCCTGCTCTGCTGATGGGAATGCAAAATGGTGCAGCCACTAAACAAAACAGTTTGGGAGTTTCTAACAAAATTCAACATACTCTTACCACACAATTAAGAACAACACTCGTAGGTTTTTACCCAAATGAGTTAAAGATGTATGTCCACAAAAAAACATACATACAAATATTTATGGTTGCTTTATTCATCATTACCAAAAATGAAGCAACCAAGATATCCAATAGGTGAATGGATAAGCAAACTGTGGTACATCCATGCAATAGGATATTATTATTCAACAATAACAAAATGAGCTATCAAGCCATGAAAGACATGGAGGAACCTTAAATGCTTGTTGCTATGTGAAAGAACCTAGTCTGAAAAAGTTACATACTGTATGTTTCCAACTATAAGACACTCTGCAGAGACAATTAAAAGTTCATCAGTGGTTGTCAGGGACTCTGGGGAGAGTGGAAAGGATGAATAGATGGAGCACCAGGCTCCTCAGGGCAGTGAAACTAGTCTGTATGATACTGTAATGGTCAATACATGCATTTTCAAAACCCAAAGAACTTTACAACACAAAGAGTGAATTTCATGTAGTTTAGAAATATATAAATATACAGTCATCAATTTTCGCAATGTGCTATACTAGTGCAAAATGTTAATAACAGGGGATACTGTGGGGCAGAAAGAGGGTATGTGTGAACTCTCCATACATCCTGCTCAAATTATCTATAAACCCAAAACTGCTTTAAAAATAAAATGTATAATTAAAAAAAAATTAAAATGAAGAACTCGGGCCATGACATGATTACTTAACTACCTGAAGTTTATGTAGCAAGCTGAAAGAAAACAACCTGTTTTCCTGTCTGTTCCATTAACCAATATTACACAGCAAAGTGCCCAGGACTAACTCATATGCCAAGTCCAGAGAGTTCCATAGACCTTCGTTTTGCCGCTTGTCCTCAGTTGTTTCTGGTTCCTATCTCTCTCATCTTAGAATCAACACCACATTGTACTTTTATAATCTACTCATATTTCTGAAGAGTGAATCCCTGTTAGATAACAAGCCAAGCATATCACTTCTTTAAACTATCGAGTCCTGAGAGATCTTCACCAGTTCCTTGTGGACTAGAAGCCCTTCCCAAGGGATATACACGAGGGCTCACTCACTTGACAATGTAATTTATTTGCCTGCTTCAATTTCCACAAGTTGTTCCATGTATTGTTGGATCTAATATGCTTGTTTCTATGTTTAACTCAACTGTCTAGATTTCCAAGTTTCCTGAAAATGTATAATGTATAAATGGTTAAAATTCATTCAATTCAATACTTATTTCAGAAGTAAAAAAAATTCCCCCATTTCTCTCTCTCTCTCTCTCTCACACACACACACACACACACACACACACCACATCTAATTGAGTTTTTCAAGGTAGCCAGCCAACACTTAATTGGGATTGTATTTTTAGATTAATTTTCTGAGAATTTATATTTCAAAATGATCAATGGAATAATTCTTCATCTATTCATTTTGACTTATTTTTATTATTGTAGTTGTAAAGCCTTCTCTGTGGATTTTATGTATCTTCTTGGTGAATAACTTCCTAGAAACGTTACAATTCTATTGCCTCTTTAAAGGGTATCTTACATTTCTGAATTAAAATTACCAGTATGCATGAGTTTTCATAGTTAAAGCAATGGAAACATTTTTTATCTCACTTATTAGTGCCTATTGCTGTCTGTTGTTTCTGTTGGCTATTTCAGTTAGCTAGGTCCTATATTACCTCAAAATAAAGGTAGTTCAATCTCTTTTCTTCTAGACTATACACCCTTATTTGTTTCTCCTCATAACATTTGCCAGGAATGGCAGCATTCTACTAAATAGATGAGGTGAGAGTGGATATTCTTGCATTTTTTTCTTATTGTAAAGGAGATGTCTCAAATGGTTCCCTAATAAGCATATAATTATGGTTCTGTTATCTATCTATCTGTCTATCCATCTACCTATCAACTATCAATCTATCATCTATTTTCCTATTTGCGTCCTAAAAATTTCTGCAAAGCTGTGGAAGTTCTTTACCATTCCTAGTTTGTTGAAATATTCTATAATTGGATGGCCAGATGATTTTTTTACCTGCATTGATAGAAAAAATTATATTTTCTTTATATTAATTAATGTGATAAATTATATTTCTGATTTTAAAACATCTTGAAATTTCTGGGATAAACCTCAATTGATTATAATTGATTATATTTCATTTGTATTTAGTTAGCTAATATTTTATTTATGTGTTTTGTATCTATATTCGTGATTGAAATGATAATTATATTTGTTGTCTTTAGGGTACACTTTACCTCTCTTTAGGGTACACTAGATTAAAAAATGAAATTAGAAGTTATAGCTATTTTATATATTGCATAAGATAAGAATTAATTTTTAATTGGTAAGGTTCACCTGGAAAATCATCAAGGCCTAGGGACTTAGGGGACTTGGAGAGGTTGTTAGTAATATTTTCATTTATTTACTTAGTTTATTCAAGTTCTATAGTTTTATGCCAAAGTTGACATGATATACATTTATAAATCCTATTTTAAATATTTGTAGATCCGATTTTACCTAGGTTCTCAAATTCGTTAGCACTCAATTGTTGATAATATTTTCCTTGTTATTATTGATGCTCTTCTATGTCCATATTTTCTTTTTTCTATTCAGCATTGCATTTGTGTGCAACCTTCCTTCCTTTCTTTTTTTCTTCCTTCCTTCCTCCCTTTTTTTTCCCTCCTTCCATTTTTTTCTTCTTTGTATTTATAAGCAGTCTTGCTGGAGTTCTTTTTACTGCATTCCCACTGAAATAGATACAATTATTATATAATAGACCGACAGTACTAAATGCCGGTGAGTATGTGGAACAACTAAAATCATATGTATTATTCCTGGGAAAGTAAAACAGCACATATGTAGGCTACGGCGACTCCATTTTGGATGCTAATTTGCCATACTGACTTCTGATTAACTCCAGTTCCGAATGAACACCTGGAAGATTTCTACTTTATCCACTGTTCAGTGTAAGGGCACATAGTTATCACAAATCCTGCTCTTAAGTGAATTATAGGCTGTGTTGCATATAGCATTCTTTTGTTTCCTTAAAGCATCAACTTTGGTTGTCCTACCTATTTCTTCTGAAGCATGCATACCCTTTCACTAAAGTATATAAGCTCCGGGTCTTGGGGTGACAGTGTGAAGATCTAGCTACCTTAGAGCCACCCAAGACTACACTTCTGACCCTAAGTTCCCTAATGAAGCATCTCTACTGTCAAACTGGCTTTGTCTGCCTCATTGTTTGCTTTCTCTGCTCCTTCTGCATTTGGGGGTTGCTTTGCATATATAGCCCTTTCGCGAAACAGCATATCTAGTTACTTGGAAAGCATTTAGCTGTTTCTTAAATAGCTAAACGTGTACTTCAAATTCAGCGCAGCCATTCTATTCCTAAAATTTACCTAACAGAAAGGACAACATTTACTCACACAAATATCCATACTAGCTTTACTTTTAGTAGTCAAAGACTGGAAACAACCCAGATGTCCATCAGCTGAAAAATACATTAACATGCCATGTTCTGTTTATACAATGAAATACCACTTATTCATGAAAACCACAACTGCAAAGAATAAAAGTAACCTATTAATACAAGCCACAGTGGGGATGAGTCTCTAAGTCATTAAGATGAGTAATGGAAGCCAAACAAAAATACGTATTTATGTAATTCTATTTATATAGAATTCTAGAAAATGCTACCAATTCTCTACTGAGGGTAGCTTCTGCTCCTGAAACAATTATCCTTCCTTCTCCTTCCAGCAGGATTCTGTGTCCTCGTTCCACACCAGCCCCCAAGGCAGGTGATGTTGTCCCAAGGCTCAGCAGCACAGATGCTGGTGCAGAACAGAAAAATGGCCGACAATGTTATGCATTTATTTGTTTGCTTTATGGCTCCTAGGATGTTTGCCATGTGTGTAGGGGCTGTGTCTGATTTACTCAGAATTGAAACTTCGATCATGGCATTATTAGACATTAAATAATCATGTGTTTAACAAATTATAAAAAATAATGTAAATTTGGTTTCCTCTTAATGCCTTTATTTAGCAATCCTAGGAAATCAACTCCAATGATACATCACTTATTCTCACAATGGTTTTGCAGGCTGACTTCTGAGCAAATGGAGAAACAAAGGCACAAGATGGGTTTGGGCTAAGTCACAGCACACCCCTGGCTGGTTTGCTTTGGTGTCACATGACCTGTGTCCTGGAATGTGTGGAGGACAGCCTGGAGTCACTGGAGCCCTGCAGACCCTCTGTGGGTTTGCCTGTGCATATCTGGTTCTGATGGTGGATGATGTTCAATTTTAAAATGGATTTTTCAGCCTGGCGTGGTGGCTCACTCCTGTAATCCCAGCACTTTGGGAGGCTGAGGCTGGTGAATCATGAGGTCAAGGGTTCGAGATCAGCCTGGCCAATACAGTGAAACTCCGTCTCTACTAAAAAAAAAAATACAAAAATTAGCTGGGCATGGTGGCACATGCCTGTAGTCCCAGCTACTCGGGAGGCTAGGGCAGAAGAATCGCTTGAACCCAGGAGGCAGAGGTTGCAGTGAGCCAAGATCATGCCACTGAACTCCAGCCTGGGTGACAGAGTGAGACTCCATCTCAAAAAAAAAAAAAAGACTTTAAAATTGTTTTCCATCAATAAACTCAGTGGAATGTCCATCATATTTGCTATCAATTATGTTCCCTGCCTCTGGTTTTCAGCATAGTGCCAGTGTGTGTTTAAGAATATAACTTTACAACTATTTGTGGAAAGTTGAGAGAAAGATGCCAGGTAATGCCAGATTAAGACAGAACAAAAGTTACTCTTAAGATTTCTCCTGCTTTTCTTTTTTTTATGATTTTACTTTGTACTCATGACTTAAACATTCTAGAATATGATTTCAGAATCAAAACAAGTCCACCATACTCTGACCTGGGTCAAGTTTTCAGCACAGGCTATTTTCTAGTAACTAACCTCTTTCCTTCCTTCCTTCCTTTCTTTTTTCTTCTTATTTTCCTTTCTTCTTAATGTAGTAATTATTTATCTTCATTTATAATTATAAAAATTATATAACCTAAAGAACAATTCTCAAAAAACATAAAATATGGCGGAAAATTACTTGTAATTTATATAGTATATCGATATATGATGTCCTAGTCATTTTGTTGCACACAATGTAGGAATAAATATAAAACACTTTACTATAGTCTAAAAAGTATTAGAATAGTCCTAATATAAGTGGTGGCAGCCATCTATTACTAATGTGTTTAGAGTGACTTGTCAGCGAACTTCTTGTATAAGCAAGGTTATGTATTAGGCCCACTCTTGTTACAGGTTAATGAACAGATTTATGTATACTTTAAAGGATAGAAAACTTTGGAGTTTTGAACTGTCAGCCTGAGCGTCATTATGCACAGTGGAAAGGGACGGCACCATGGAATATGCAGCAAATAAGACGTTAAGAGAAGTACAGCAAATGGTGAATCTCTGTTAACGTTACCTGCCAAGGAGATTTAGGGTGACTGATCTTCAAATAAAAAATCTTTCCTATTTTACATTATCCTGTAGTCCCTTTCTAGTAAGCCTGAATGTTTGTTCATACAACAGCCCAGTTATAAACACCTTCATGAATGAAGGGGAAAAGAATTGTTCAGCACTTGGAGCCAAGTACAGCGAGAACATAAAGTGGCACTCAGAATCATGCTGAGAGCCAGACGAGAGAAATGGATTGTGGAGATGGAAGCGATACCCCTTTGGAAAAGTTCTGAAATAACAATGAGGAGACTGGCTGTCTAAAGTACTTGGTTTACGATTGAATATTTATTTAAGTGATTAAAAGAAAGAGTAAACATAAAGTTAAAATATTTATTACCTATGCATATTTAAGTCTATTATATACTTAAAAAAATAGACTAGACTTGGTGGCTCATGCCTATAATCCCAGCACTTTGGGAGGCTGAGGTGGGAGGATCGCTTGAACCCAGAAGTTCAAGACCAGCCTAGGCAACATGGTGAGGCTGAGGTGGGAGGACTGCATGTGCCTAAGAGGTGAAGGCTGCAGTAAGCCACGACTGAGTCATTAGCCACTGCACTCCAGCCTACATGATGGAATGAGACCCTGTTTCAAAAAAAAAAAAAGAAAAAAGTTGACAATAGGTCATAAGCACATATAAACACAGCATTCATACGTAATAATATGATCTTATCATTTTAATGAGCCTTGTCAAATTTGCATAAGCATTTAAATGTCTGTTGCTTTTTCTTTAATACTTTAAGTATTAATATTTTAATGGGTTTCTTTTTTTGATATATGTCCCTTATTTTAAAATACATTTCTGTAAGTGACATTGTGGAGTAAGTCATTTAAAAATACTTGAGGCTTTTAATGAATGTTTCCAAATTTCCTCTAGATTATGTGCCCAAGTATACATTTTCCAGTATCATGTGTTACATACAACAGGCTTATTAGTAACCGTGTTAGTGAAAAGTTGCAATAAAATAATAATCAGGTAGGGGCAGGGTTAGGCATGTAGGAGCTCAGACACTCCTAAGGACATAATCTCTTGGGAGCTTTATGGCCCTGCCCACCATCTGAGAAACCTGAATACTTATCCAAAGACAACCCTCAAGCAAGCTTGTCTTCTCCCTATACAATCATAGCTGATGTGGTCTTGAAAGTGCAAATTCCTGGCTGGAGGCCAACCAACACAAAACCAGCGCACTTAACAAAAATACAACCAAGGACCCTCACAAAGTCTACTTCACTCCCTAGCTACCTCCACTAGTGTAGGTTCTGGCATCCACGGATGAGGAATCTGAAGACGGATCACATAATGGGACTCTTTGCAGACACTCCCCACTACTATCCCTGTAGCACTGCTGGGTGGCTAGATCCAGAAGAGCAAAAACAATCACTACAGTTTGTCTCTCTCAAGCCACATGCCTAAGAAAAAGGGAAGAGCACCACATCAAGGGAGCACCCCATGGGAGAAAAGAATCTAAACAGCAGCCCTTGAGTCCCAGTCTTCCCTCTGACATAGTCGACCCAGATGAGAAGGAACCAGAAAACAATTCTGGTAATATGACAAAACAAGGTTTTTTAACATCCCCAAAAGATCACACTTGCTCACCAGCAATGGACACAAACCAAGATAAAATCTCTGAATTTCCAGAGAAAGAACTCAGAAGGTCGGTATTACACAATTAAGAAGGCACCAGAGAAAGGTCAAATCCAACATAAAGAAATAAAAAAATGATACAGGATATGAATAAAAAAACTCTAGTGAAATAGATAGCATAACTGAAAAACAATCACAACTTCAGGAAATCAAGGACACACTTAGAGAAATGCAAAATGCACTGGAAAGTCTTAGTAATAGAATTGAACAAGTAGAAGAAAGAACTTCAGAGTGCAAAGATAAGGCTTTTGAAATAATTCAATCAGACAAAGACAAAGAAAAAATAATTTAAAAAATGAACAAAGCCTCCATGTAGTTTGGGATTATGTTAAATGATGAAACCTAAGAATAATTGGCATTCCAGAGGGAGAAGAGAAATCTAAAAGTTTGGAAAATATATTTATATTTGAGGGAATAATCAAGGACTACTTCCCCAGCCTTGTTAGGGATCTAGGTATTCAAATACAAGAAGCTCAAAGAACAATTGGGAAATTTATCACAAAGAGACCATCGCCTAGGCACATAGTTATCTAAAGTCAGGTTATCTAAAGTCAAGACGAAGGAAAGAATCTTAAGGGCTATGAGGCAAAAGCATCAGGTAACCTATAAAGAAAAACCTATCAGATTAACAGTAGATTTCTCAGCAGAAACCCTACAAGCTAGAAGGGATGGGGCTCCTATCTTTAGCCTTCTTAAACAAAACAACTGTCAACCAAGAATTTTGTACCCACAGAAACTACAATTCATAAATGAAGGAAAGATACAACTTTTTCCAGATAAACAAATGCTGAGATAATTAGCCACTAACAAGCCAGCACTATAAGAACTGCTAATAGGAGCTCTAAATCTTGAAGCAAATCCTCAAAATACACTAAAATAGAATCTCCTTAAAGCGTAAATCTCATAGTACCTATACAACAATAACACAATGAAAAAAAGCAAGGTATTCAGGCATCAAATAGCATGATGAATAGAATAGTACATCACATCTCAATACTAATGTTGAATGTAAATGGCCTAAATACTCCATTTAAAAGATAAAAGATAGCAGAATGGTTAAACACTTACCAACCAAGTACCTGCTGTCTTCAAGAGACTCACCTGATATATAAGGACTCACATAAAATTAAGGTAAAGGAGTGGAAAAGGTACTCCATGCAAATGGACAACAAAAAAGGGCAGGAGTAGCTATTCTTATAGCAGACAGAACAAATTTTAAAGCAATAGCCATTAAAAAAGACAAAGAGGGATTATATAATGATAAAGTACTAGTCCAACAGGAAAATATCACAGTCCTAAATATATATGCACCTAACACTGGAGCCCCTAAATTTATAAAACAATTACTACTAGATCTAGGAAATGAGATAGACAGCAACACAATAATAGTGGGGAACGTCAATACTCCACTGAAAGCATTAGACAAGTCATCAATACAGAAAGTCAACAACAACAAAAAATGGACTTAAACTATATCCTACAACAAATGGACTTGATAGATATTTACAGTAGTACATTCTACCCAACAACTGCAGAATATATGTTATATTCATTAGAATGGAACATTCTCCAAGATAGATCATATGATAGTCCACAAAACAAGTCTCAACAAATTTAAGAAAATCAAAATTACATCAAGTACTCTCTCAGACCACTGTGGAATAAAATTGAAAATCAATTACAAAAGGAACCCTCAAAAACATGCAAATACATGGTAATTAAATAAAATGCTCCTGTATGACCATTGGGTCAACAATGAAATCAGGATTGAAATTTAAAATTTCTTTGAACTGAAAAATAATAGTGACACAACTGATCAAAACCTCTAGGATACAGCAAAAGCAGTGCTAATAGGAAAGTTCATAGCATTAAATGCCTACATCAATAATTCGGAAAGAGCAAAATAGACAATCTAAGATTACACCTCAAGAAACTAGAGAAACAAGAACAAAGCAAACCCAAACCCAGCAGAAGAAAATAAATAACCAAGATCAGAACAGAACGAAGTGAAATTGAAATAGAAAAAGAAAATACAAAAGATAAATGAAACAAAAAGCTGGTTCTTTGAAAAGATAAATAAAATTGATTGACCGTTAGTGAGATTAATGAAGAAAAGAAGGGATAAGATAAAGAGCTCATTTAGAAATAAAATGGGAGATACTACAACCAATACCACAGACATACAAAAGGTCATTCAAGGCTACTATGAATACCTTTATGTGCACAAACTAGACAACATAGAAGAGATGGATAAATTCCTGGAAATATACAACCCTCCTAGATTAAACCAGGAAGAAATAGAAATGCTCAACAGACCAATAACAAGCAGCAAGATTGAAATGTTAATTAAAAAGCTACCAACAGATAAAAGTCCAGCACCAGATGGATTCACATCTGAATTCTAACAGACATTCGAAGAAAAATTGGGACCAATCCCTACTGACATTATTCCAAAAGACAGAGAAAGAGGGAATCCTCCCTAAATTATTCTATGAAGTTATTATCACCCTAATACCAAAAACCAGGACTTAACAAAAAAAGAAAACCACAGACCAATATCTCTGATGAACATAGATGCAAAAATCCTCAATAAAATACTAGCTAACAGAATCTAACAGCATACCAAAAAGATAATCCACCATGATCAAGTGGGTATCATGCCAGGAATGCAGGGATGGTTTAACATCTGCAAGTCAATAAATGTGCTACACTATATAAACAGAATTAAAAGCAAAAATCACATGATCATCTCAATAGATGGAGAAAAAGCATTTGAAAAAATCCAACATTGCTTTATGATTAAAACCCTCAGCAAAATTGGCATAGAAAGGGTATACCTTAAAGTAATAAAAGGCATCTATAACAAACCCACAGCCAACATTATACTGAATGGGGGAAAGTTGAAAGCATTCCCCTTGAGAATTGAAACAAGACAAAGATGCCCACTTTCACCACTTCTATTCAACATATTACTGGAAGTCCTAACCAGAGCAATCAGACGAGAGAAATAAATAAAGGGCATCCAAATTGGTAATGAGGAAGTCAAATTGTCACTGTTTGCTGGTGACATGATTGTATACCTAGAAAACTCTAAAGACTCATCCAAAAAGCTCCTAGAAGTGATAAATGAATTCAGTAAAGTTACAGGATACAAAATTAATGTACACAAATCAGTAACTCTGCTATACACCAACAGTGACTGAGCTGATAATCAAATAAAAAATTCAACCCCTTTTATGATAGCTGCAAAAAAAAAAATACTTAGGGATATACTTAACCAAAGAGGTGAAAAATCTCTATGAGGAAAACTACAAAACACTGCTGAAAGAAATCATAGATGACACAAACAAATGGAAACACATCCCATGCTCATGAATGGTTAGAATCAATATTGTGAAAATGACCATACTGCCAAAAGCAATCTACAAATTCAATGCAATTCCCATCAAAATACCACCATCTTTTGGCCAGGTGCAGTGGCTCACACCTGTAATCCCAGCACTTTGGGAGGCCAAAGTAGGTGAATTGCTTGAGGTTAGGAGTTCAAGATCAGCCTGACCAACATGGTGAAAACCTGTGTCTATAATCCCAGCTACTTGGGAGGCTGAGGTAAGAGAACTTCTTGAACCTGGGAGGTGGAGGTTGCAGTGAGCCAAGATTACTCCACTGCACTCCAGCATGGGTGATAAAGCGAGACTCATTCTCAAATAAAAAAAAAATACCACTGTCATTCTTCAGAGAACTAGATAAAGCAATCTTAAAATTCATATGGAACCCAAAGGAGCCTGTAGAGCCAAAGCAAGACTAAGCAAAAGGAACAAACTTGGAAGCATTATGTTACTCAAACTATATTCTAAGGCCATAGTTGCCAAAAGAGCATGGTACTGGTATAAAAATAGGCATATAGACCAATGAAACAGAATGGAGAGCCCAATACAGCCAAATACTTATAGTCAACTGATCTTCAACAAAGCAAACGAAAATTCAAAGTGGAGAAAGGACAGCCTATTTAACAAATGGTGCTAGGATAATTGGCAAGCCATGCAAGGAAGAATGAAACTGGATCCTCATCTCTCACTCTATACAAAGATCAACTCAAGATAGATGAAAGACTTAAATCTAAGACCAAAAATCATAGAAATTCTGGAAGATAACATTGGAAAAATCCTTTTAGACATTGGCTTAGGCAAAGACTTCATGGCCAAGAACACAAAAGCAAATGCCAAAAAAAAAAAAAAAAAAACTGAAAAACAACCAAAAAAAAAAAAAAAAGATAAAGAGATGGGACTTAATTAAACTAAAAAGCTTCTACAGAGCAAAAGAATTAATTAGCAGAGTAAACAGACAATCCACAGAGTGAGAGAAAAATCTTTGCAATCTATATCTGGACTAATATCCAGAATCTACAAGGAACTCAAATAGTGAGAAAAAAACAATCCCATCAGAAAAGTGGGCTAAGGACATGAATAAATAATTCTCAAAAGAAGATATACAAATGGCCAGCAAACAAATGAAAAAATGCTCAACATCACTAATTATCAAGTAAATGCAAATCAAAACCACAATGCGATACCACTTTATTCCTGCAAAGATGGCCATAATAAAAAAATAAAAAAAAATAGATGTTGGTGGAAATGTGGTGAAAAGGGAACACTTCTACACTGTTGGTGGGAATGTAAACTAGTACAACCGTGATGGAAAACAGTGAGGAGATTCCTTAAAGAACTAAAAATAGATCTACCATTTGATCCAGCAACCCCACTCCTGGGTATCTCTACCCAGAGGAAAATAAGTCATTATATGAAAAAGATACTTGCACACCCATGTTTATAGCAGCACAATTTGCAATTGCAAAAATATGGAACCAGCACAAATGCTCATTAATCAACGAGTGGATAAAGAAAATACACACACACACACCATGGAATACTATTCAGCCATAAAAAGGAATGAAATAATCGAATTTGCAGCAGCCTGAATGGAATTGGAGATTCCATTATTCGAAGTGAAGTAACTCAGGAATGGAAAACCAAACGTTTTATATTCTCACTCCTAAGTGGGAGCTAAGCTATGAGGATGCAGAGGCATAATAATGATACAATGAACTTTGGGGACTCGGGGGAAAGAGTGGGAGGAGGGTGAGGGATAAAAGACTACACATTGGGTGCAGTGTACACTGCTCAGGTGATGGGTGAACCAAAATCTCAGAAATCACCAGTGAAGAACTTACTCATGTAACCAAACACCACCTGTTCCACAAAAACTTATTGAAATAAATAAAAAAATAAAAACAATAATAATCATCATAGTCACTTCCTGATTAATTTAAAACAGATGTCACTTCTTAGAATTTGACTTGCCCTTTTAACATTTTATGGCCTAAATCACTAGCCATTTTGAAAATTATTATTTGCCAATCTTTAAAATATTGACCACTGCTATAAAAAAAAAAACACAACAAGGCATGTCCATTCCTTTAAGTCATTCATAAAGGTGCATATTACCTATTCAATGTATTACCTGGAAGTTGCTATTTTTGTAATCCATGTCAATATGCCAGTTATTCCATTATCCTTATAAACTTGTGTTTTTGTTTGTGTTTTGGTCATTAGGATCAGTACTGTCTTTAGAAATGTGGCAAGAGGGTTCCCTGCTCTAGGTCTGGTGCTTCAAGCTATATGCCTTGGCTCCAAGGACCTGGCCCACCAAGCCTCCAATTTCCCTTCTAGAAATCATTTTGGTATGCAGGACTCACAATTCCTTACAAATTGGCCCTATCCAACTTCTGGTACCAGCATGGCCTGACCCCCTAAAAACGGATTGCAGGACTATTGAGTGCACCCTGGGCCTGAAGGTTGGCCAAGACAAGACGAAGGCAAGGGGGAGGGGGCGGGAGATCACCTGTCTGTGCATGAGGCAGCTCATGGTGTGGAAGAGCCATGGTGTGGCAATATCAAGGGCTGAATGCCTAGCTGGCATAAAGAAAAGCTGTTTATCCTGCAGTCTCATTGAACTCATTTCTATAATACATACACAGTCACCTGAAGGCCATAAAACAATCCTATTGTCACTTCTTTTCAGTATTGTATCATTTTCCCACAGCTTAAAAGACTGCATATGCAATTTTAATAGTCTGTGTCTGGAGCTGAGATTATATGTGATTATATATATATTTTTTTCTGTTCCCTTTTCTTTTAAAAGTTAGGTTTAGAAACACACATACTTATGAAAAGTAAATCTTTAATAAAAAATTGAGATGGACTAAACTTTGCTGGAAAATGAAAAGGGAAATAAAGCAATATTAATACCTGATAAAGAAAGATTCAAGGCAAAAGAAAATCAAAAGGACAAAAAGGTTATTTTATATTGATGGCATAGAGTCTACAGTGAAAATTTGATCACCTTCAAGCAGAATACTGAAGGATATAATACAACATCTCTTTTCATTGCATAGGAATATTGACTCAAATGCAAAGAATAACATAATAACATAAGATGTTAAGATTCCTGTAAGTCACCAATGGATCAAAAAAACTAGTTCTAGTTCTATTAATTTGTACTTATTTATTAAAAATATACACTCTAGACTGAGATATTAAATAGTATTTGAATGCTCAAAAGCGTTTCAAAACTAACCGTTTCCCAAGAATAACAATAAACTTCAAAATCCCCAACACAGAAATTATGCAATTCAATATATCTAACCACAATGAATAGAAGTTGATGTTGCTACTACAAATGTAAAACAAATTACATGAAAATTTACAAAATAATAACAAAAAACACACTGTCTCTTAAATAACCCTCTGGTTAATATTGAGAGAAAGTCACTGGGGCTAATGTGAAAAATTTGCAGTAGAGGAGGAGAAGAATATCTGACTAAATAAGCTGATTGTTTAAAAAAGTTATATTAATCTTTTTTTTTTTTTTTTTTTGTGGCAAAGTTTTGCTCTTGTTACCCAGGCTAGAGTGCAATGGCGTGACCTCGGTTCACTGCAACTTCCGCCTCCTGGGTTCAAGTGATTCTCCTGACTCAGCCTCCCGAGTAGCTGGGGTTACAGGCACCCGCCACCATGCCCGGTAATAATTGTATTTTTAGTAGAGACGGGGTTTCACCATGTTGGCCAGACTGGTCTTGAACTCCTGACCTCATGTGATCCACCTGCCTTGGCCTCCCAATGTGTTGGGATTACAGGCTTGAGCCACCACGCCTGGCCTGAATTTGATCAAGCATTTAATTCATTCAAACTTTTCTTCAAGTGCATCTTTTTAGGTGGATACATTTTCCTGTGTGTGACTTATAATGTTGCACCAGGAAAGATATTAAGAGCTGTAGCATAGCCCTGAGGAGAGCTACTGGGGGCCTCTGTGAATACACAATTTTTTATGTTCCTCAGGCTACAACAAATGCTATTAGTGTTGCCTGTCTTTTCAAGCCATTGCTCTACAACTCTGCTGTCACATAATTAAGATTAAGTAGAATCATTTAGTTATGCTAAAACACTGTAATGTTGATTGTTTTCATATGAGCCACAGATTTGGACTGACACACATCAGTTACAGTAAATAAGAGAGCAAAAGTATAATAGAGATGGTCATATTCCTTCACACCCATCTTCCTGTCTTCCTGCAACCCCTTCCTGCCTCCGGTTTTTCCTTTGTTCCTTCTCTCATTTCTTTGTTTCTCTCTTATAGAATCCAATGTGGTTTCCTCCAAAAACCTGAAATCTGATTTCATTTGCATCCCTGTGTCTCACAGAATGAACTTACGGTCTTAACAATTTAATCAATTCCAAGCAACCTACGAAGCAACAGAATATTAGCTTTCAAAGCTTGAATGTAGAGAAGAATAAACGTGTTATCCAAAATAAGTTCAGCTTTGAAACTTTCCGTTCTCTAATTATTTTAAATTCTGTAACTTTCTAAAATAATTCTGTTAAAAAATTTTTTTTTCTCAAAAGTATTTCTTATAGCTTTTACAAAGATGGTTTTACAAATCTTTATTGAGATTTGTTTACATATGGATAAAAGACAAGCTAAATAAATGACCTCTCATCCTTTATGATCCAGGTCAGTACAGTAAACTCTAGACCTAAACATCATGGTCTCATCTTCAGAACTTAAGAACATTGCCTTTGATTCCAAATGTGCCCACTCACCTATGCATGTAAAGACAAAAATCCTCATACCTGGACTTTTCTTATTGGCTCCTATTTCTGACAAATGCTAAGGCTAAAGAAGAAAATCAAGGAAAATTATCTATTCCTATAACCTACAATGTGTTTGTGTGAATACTAATTTTAACAAATAATAATTTGGTGATTTGGTTTCAATGTGTGCACAAATTTTACCATCAGAAATGGTTTTAGTTACCATATGAACTCCTTTAGAAAAGAAATTGCTCAGTAGATTTCCACATTTGTATTTTAAAATGGCCCTAAGTGTACAGCAATGCATTGTCAGGAAAGATAACCACAAAGAAGAGTATCATATTAAGTGAAATATGCCAGGCACAGAAGGACAAATACCATATGATCTCACTCATGTAGAATCTAAGAAAACTGATATCATAAAAGTAGAGAACAGACTAGTGGTTGCAAGGGGCTTCGTGACTGGAGGTGGGGAATTGGGGAGATATTGATCAAATGATACAAAATTTCAATGACATAAGAGGAATAAGTTCAAGAGATTTATTGTGTAGCATAGCGACCATAGTTAACCATTTGTTGCAGTCTTGAAAAATGCTAGAAAAATGCTAAGCCAGTGGATAGAAAGTGTTCTCAGTACACAAATGATCACATGTGAGGTGATGCATGCTCGTTAGCTATATTTAATCATTCCACAATGCATATACAATATACACTTCAAGACATCATGTTGCACACAATAAATACATATAATTTTATCTGTCAACTTGAGTAAAAATAAATAATAAAAAATAAATTTTATTTATTTATTTATTTTTGTTTGTTTATTTTTTGAGACAGAGTCTTGCTCGTCACCCAGGCTGGAGGGCAGTGGCGCGATCTCAGAGCACTGCAACTTCCGCCTCCCAGGTTCAAGTGATTCTCCTGCCTCAGCCTCCCGAGTAGCTGGGATTACAGGTGCCCACCACCATGCCCAGCTAATTTTTGTATTTTTAGTAGAGACAGGGTTTTGTCATGTTGGCCAGGCTGGTCTCAAATGCCTGACCTCAAGTGATCCACACATCTCAGCCTCCGAAAATGTCAAAATTATAGGTGTGAGCCGTCGTGCCTGGCCAGAAGAAATTTAAAAAATAAAATAAAGTAAGTGAAATTCTCTTCATGAAAAATACAAATAACCTATGAACTCAACCACTCAAATTGGTATACAAATGTCTTTTCTTTTCTGTGCATAAAATATGCACATAATAAAAATATACAGAATTTTTATTTTTCATACTGTATAATATACAAATTATCTAATATTGATTTAATTAATTAATAACATAATTTCTTTCCAAGGTTGATATTTATAGAACACAAGACTTGCGAGAATGAGATGTTACCTTTTTCTTATTTATTTATTTATTTTTTTGGAATTTTAAGTTCTTAAGATGAGACCATGAAGTTATAGAGTTTACTATATTCTCCTGGATCATAAAGGATAATAGGTCATTTATTTAGCTTGTATTTCGTCCTCATGTAAGATAAGCTTAAGAAAGCTCTGTGTGGTTGCAAGTATTCCTGTCTATTCCACTCTTCATAATACAATTCCCAAAGAAAAGATTCTCTGAAATTAAAAACAACACAAACACTGGGCAAAAAAAGTGTCTCAAAACTTTATTACAATTTCCAAAAATAAGAAAGAAAAGTATAAATCACCTTATAGTTTTTCTCTCCACCAATGATTTTTCCCAAGTCTAATCTGTTCAACGTATTTCCGTAGGAGTAATTTTTTTGGAAAAAACTTCAATTTGGACCTGTAACTTTCCTTCAGAGCTTGAGGTGCTCCTACATTACACACAGAATACAGCCCCAGCTCAGATATAACGCTCGAATCCTCAGAATTTGATTGCCATCTTTGCTTCAGACTTATCTGCCCTTTCTCCCTGCTACACCAGTCTGAGCACCAGGCTACTTGAGGGTCCCGAATCCTGCTGAAGTCTTCCTACTGTCTCTGGCATCACCTAGTTGTCCTTGTTGTTGGTGTTTCCGTTCTGATCTACTCATTTTCTGCTCAGCAAATGTGTACTCACACCTCAAGGCTTAGCAAGAGCTACATCTTTTAAAAGTCTTCTCTGATCCATGCTGACTGAAAAGACTGTCCATAAAAAACAAAGGATGGAGTGCTGCATGCCAGCTGTGTGCCAGGGCTGCTGTGGGCTTTCACATGCTGTGGCTTAATCCTCAAAGACAGACAGTACAGTCAAGTTAATCCTAACTGCCAACAAGAAGAGTGGGTTCGGAAGTGTTGAGCTGACTCATCATGTTGTCATTCAGCTGATTGCATGAGACCTCACACTATTTTCAGAACTTTTCTATTAAGCCTATTGATGTGTGTTTTATTGGCTCTTCTTCCTCCCCGAAACCCTTGAAGCCCTGGTCTGGAGAGACTTTAATTTATCATGCACATCAGGTCAATTCTAATAGTGAAAGGAGATGTGTCCTTTTAATAATTAAATCAGGTTAATATTCATAGCATTCAGAACTTTCTTAGGTAAACAGGAATGTATTATTGAACTTATGTTATGAACTGAGTGTTTGTGTACCCCCGAAATGTGTATGTTGAGGCCTTATCCCTCAGTGTGATAGTTGGGGCCTTTACAGAAGTAATTAAGGTTAAAAGAAGTGATAGTGGTGGAACCCTGATCTGATAGGACTGGTGTCCTTATAAGCAGACACACTGGAGTTCTAGTCTCCCTCTCTGTCTCTCTCGGAAAGGCCATGTGAGGGCTCAGTGAGAAAGCAGCCATCTGCAAGCCAGGAAGACAGCCCTCACCAGGAACCAAATTGTTCAGCCTTTTGATCTTGGATTTCTAGCCCCAGAACTGTGAAAAATAAATTTTTGTTGTGTAAGCTACCCAGCCTGTGGTATTTTGTTATGGTAGCTTTAGCAGACTAAGACACTTTACTAGGCCATATATTATTTATTATTGTGTCTATCATTAAGTCTACTTACTATGCCACTATATTAATAGGCCATCAATACATGTAATTAAATAAAATAATCAGAATTAAAAGCATTTAAAAAGTACAACAGAATTAAAGAATTAAAGAACCATTCAATATTCAAAAAGTTAATGTCAACATATTAAAAGATAAAATTATATTTTTACATTAGGGCATACTTATTATTCATTTTTGTGAATAAAGAGAGAAGTTATTCTTATTTCATAAATATTTATATAAATCCCAAAGCCTTTGGAAATATTTTCAGTACAACTTTAAAATCTCAATTCTGGAATTAAAAACTGAATTGAGAGTCAGCAAATTTTTTGAAATAAGATTATTTCTTTGAATAGAATAAACATATAAAAGTAAGAAACAACATGCTGGGACTTTTTTTCAGAAGAAAAAACCTCTTAGTTAATACATTCAAAGAATACTTTATAGAAGCAGTGAGAAGACATAGAACAGCAAAAGGATCACGGGAGAAAACTGTGGATTGGCAGATGGTCAGTGTTCCCAAGAGAGTGCAGAAAAGGGTTCCCGGGGAGCCTTCTTCCTCTACCCTTGTTATAGCCTCATCTGAGGCTCAGGCACCTCACAACTGCAAGAAAGATCCTGATGCAGCACTATGGGCTTTGGTCTCAATTTATCTTAGTGCATATCTCTTTTGAACTTCCTTAGCAATTCCCTCCTTATTCAGAAATCATAACCTATACATTTTAATCCCATTCTGGACATTGGCTCCCTTTTTATTATTTGAGCCTAAGTTGTTGTCTTTGCTTCCTGACACGCACTCCATGTCTCACCCCCATTGCTATTGGCAGGAAATTATTTCTACCCCACTGTCTAGTGCTTGAGGTCCCGTCGAGGGGGCAGTGATATTCCTAGTAACCACTGCCTGCTCCCTTGGTTAGATTTTTGCGTACTACTGATTCTTGGTTTCAGAGTCACAAATACTGTAATCTCATTCTCACTGTGTTGAATCTCCAAGGACAATCACTTGCCTATCACTCATTGAACTTTCCAGGTGCTATTTTATGCTTGCCACCACCTCCCATGGTCTTCCTCAGCTGGGACTACGCCCATGGTGTTTTCCTACTGCAGCTACTTTAAAGAGCCATTTCCTCCCCATCTGCTCTCCTGCTCACCTGCTACTTGGATAATCATCAGCCCCTCCCATTCCATGGCCTCTATCACAGCAAGTGGCATAACTAAAGGAGCGCTGGAAAGAAAATCTGGCTTTCCTTGTATTTGGTTAATGCATCTGTTAGGTAATGGTGTATGATGCTTTCAGATAGCAAGGAAATGCAGGCTACAAATAAAGCATTGGGTTCAAGAGGGAAGAATATTTTTAAAATATTATAGTAAGGATACAATTTATTGGTATTAATAAAAGTAAATGTGTTGCCTTCTATCCTCTGTTGAGTATTTTTCTACACTTTCTTTTACTAGGTGAGAACTAGCAACTTACCTTTAATTCCTACCCTCAGCATTCATTATGTGACAGAATTAAATTGTATTTTAAAGTTACAAATTTGATTTATTGTAAATATATTATTAAATTTTAAAACAACTTAAAAAAACTACTGTAGTTAACACAACTCAGATATATCCAAAACTATAGAAAGAGGAAGGAGATAAGATTGGACCAACACAGCATTAAGATTTACAAACTTCTCTGAAATAATACAGCATAAGGCAGTGATATACTTGTGTGAACCAACAATTTAGCAGCAACAACCAAAAAACAAACAAATAACTGGACTTATAGGCGAGAAAGAGTGCAGCTTAGCTGTCTAGGTCACATAGGTCTGAACAATATTTCTTTGGTTTTGTTAGAACTCAATTTTTAAACTGACATTATGATTCACTTAAAAAATCTAGTGTCAGTTAGCAACTTCCAAAAGTATTTTTAAGTACACACAGGTTCTGAAATTTTGGATCACAAGTATATAAAATAAAAGGTTTCTGTTGTCTGGTAACATTTTCAACGTATCGAACATTTCAAAATTACTAAAAGAAGAGATTTTTAACATTCTCACTATAAAAATAGTGAGATGATAGATATGTTAATCAATTTGATTAAATCTTTCTACAATGTATGTGTATATCAAAACATCACATTGTACCCCATAAGTAAAAATTTTTATTTGTCAATTAAAAATAAATTTGAAAAAGAGTGGCTGGGCACGGTGGCTCATGCCTGTAATCCCAGCACTTTGGGAGGCTGAGGTGGCTGTATCACCTGAGTCAGGAGTTTGAGACCAGCCTGGCCAACATGGTGAAACCCCATTTCTACTAAAAATACAAAAATCAGCCAGGTGGTGTGGCACACACCTGTAATTCCAGCTACTCGGGAGGCTGAGACAGGAGAATCACTTGAACCTGGGAGGTGGAGGTTGCAGTGAGCTGAGATCACACCACTGCCCTCCAGCCTGGGCAGCAGAGCAAGAGTCTGTCTCAAAAAAAAAAAAAAAAAAAAAGAGAGAAAGAAAGAAGAAAAGTTGAAAATACCATACTTCCTTATTTCAAATTATATTATAAAGCAATAGTAACCAATGAATATGCTACTGGCATAAAAACTGACCCAGAGTTCAATGGAACAATACTGAGAGCCTCCAACATAAACCTAAGCATATATTGTCAACAAAGGCACCAAGAAGACACAATGAGGAGAAGACATTGTCCTCAACAAGTGGTATTGGTTAAATGAGATCCACATGCAAAATATTTAAATAGTGCACTAATCTTAGATAATACACAAAATCATAAGAACTGAAACTGTAAAACCCCTAGAAGAAAACACAGGGGATAGCTTTGACAATGATTTTTTATTTATTTTTATATTTTTAATTTTTAATTGTTGTGAGTATATAGTAGGTGTATATATTTATGGGGATGCTTTGATACAAGCATGCAATGCATAATAATCACATCATGGAAGACAGAGTATCCATCCCCTCAAGCATTTATCCTTGTATTACAAACAATCCAATTATACTCTTTTAGTTATTTTAAAATGTATAGTTACCTTCTTGTGCTATCAAATACTAGGCCTTATTCATTCGTGCAAACCTTTGTTTTGTACCCAGTAACTATCCCAACCTCTGGCTCTGAGAGCCCTGTTACCCTTCCCAGCCTCTGGTAACTGTTCTTCTATTCTTTATCTCCGTGTGTTCAATTGTTTTAATTTTTAGATCCTACAAATAAACAAGAACATGTGATGTTTGTCTCCCTGTGCCTGGCTTATTTCACTTGACATAATGACCTCCAGTTCCATTTGTGTTATTGCAAATGACTGGATGTTGTTCTTTTTGTGGCTGAATAGTACTCCATTGTGTATATGTACCACATTTTCTTTATCCATTCGTCTGTTAATGGACATTTAGGGTGCTTCCAAATCTTCGCTATTGTATATGTGCTGCAACAAACACAGAGTGCAGATGTCTCTTTGATATACTGAATTCCTTTCTTTTGGATACATACCCAGCAGTGGAGGTAATAAATTTTTGTAGTTATTATACCAAAAGCTCAGGAAAAAATAGCAAAAGCAATAAAATATCAAAGTAAACTGATCTAAGCTAAACATCAAACTAAAAAGTTTCTGCACAGCAATGGAAAATTAACAAAATGAAAAGGCAGCCACAGAATAGGAGAAAATATTTGTGAACCCTATATATGATAAAAGATTAATAATCAAAATACATAAGGAGCTCATACATTCAATAGCAAAATAACAAATAACCTGGACAAAAAAATGGGCAATGGACCCGAATAGATATTTCTCCATAAAAGTAATGTGCAAGTATATGAGAAAGGTTCTCAACATCAAGGAATTGGAAACCAAAACCACAATAAGATACCATCTCACACCTGCTAGGATGGCTATTATTTAAAAAAGGCAAGAGATAACAAGTATTGGTGAGGATGTGGAGAAAAGGAAAAGCGTATATACAGATGGTGAGAATGTAAATTGGTGCAGCCATTATGGAAAGCAGTGTGGAGTTTCCTCAGAAAATTAAAAATAGAATTACAATAACACCTAGCAATCTGTCTTTGGGGGTTATACCCGAGAAAAATGAAATCTACACCTGAGGCTGGGTGCGGTGGCTCATGCCTATAATCCCAGCACTTGGGAGGCCAAGGTGGGTGGATCACTTGAGGTCAGGAGTTCAAGACCACCCTGGCCAACATGGTGAAACCCCGTCTCTACTAAAAATACAAAAATTAGCCAGGCATGGTGGTACACACCTGTAATCCCAGCTACTTGGGAGGCTGAGGCACGAGAATCCCTCGAACCCAGGAGGCAGAGGTTGCAGTGATCCGAGATCACACCAATGCACTCTGGCCTGGGCAATAGAGTGAGATTCTGTTTCAAAAAAGAAAAAAAAAAAAGAAAGACAGAAAAAGAAAAGAAACCTACACCCAATAGAGATATCTGCACTCCCAAGGTCATCGCAGGATTATTCATAGTAGCCAAGATATAGGAACCTAAATGCCCATTAACAGATGAAGCGATTAAAATAACGGATATATGTATATATACATATATATATCATATACCATGTATTATAAACATTAAATCTTTAAAACATTAAAACATATAATATATATCATGCTACATATTATACACATATAGAAACATAAGAATATGATATACACACATTATATACATACATATACACACAATGGAATACTATTCAGCCTTAAAAAGGAACCAAATGACATTATTGTGACACCATGGACAAATCTAGAGTACACTATGCTAAGCAAAATAAACCAGGCACAAAAAGACAAATTTTGCATGATCTCACTCATATGTGGAATCTAAAAAATTCAAGCTCACAGAATTAGAGAGTAGAATGGTGGTTACCACAGACAGGGTGGTGGTGGATGAGGAGAGCAGTATTAGTTAAACGGTACAATGTTTCAGTTGGGCAGGAGGAATACCTTCTGGTGATCCATCATAGAGCAAGGTGACTACAGTTAACAATAATGTATTGTATATTTGAAAAGTAACAGAAGATTGGATTTTAAATGTTCTTACCACAAAGAAATGGTAAGTATGTGGGGTGATGGATACATTAATTAGCCTGATTTGCCCATTCCACAATGTATACATGTATCAAAACATGACTTTGTACCCCATAAATATATAAAATTATATACATTTGTCAGTTAAAATAAAATTAAATTGAAAAAAGAAAAGAGAATAAGGCACTGTTTAATACAGGGGGCAAATTTAAATCTAACAGTAACCCTAGAGACAGGTATTATTTCTCCCATTTCCAGAGGCAACATGGGATTGGTTGCATAGAGGTTGGGAAACTTGCCCAAGGCTGATGAGCTGATGTCATTCACATCTGATCTGATTTCGGGGATGATTTAAGCATTGCTTTTGGGAGCTAGATGGCTGGACAGTTCCACAAGGTCAAGGCAAAGATCTGCAAGAAACAGAGAAGGGCTGAGATTCTGGTGTAGCCCACATAAACAAAAATGTAACTGAGTACTCCGGTTCTTAGGGAAAGGGGCTGGCAGGAGGAGGTCAATAATAGGTGACAGCCAGGCTTGTAGAAGGCTGGCCGGGGTCCCCACAAATGTGCCTCTGTGAGAATCAGGAAAGATACATTTTGCTCAATGCTGATATAGACTGGGGCAGGGCACAGAGGATGGGAATGGGGCTCAGGCTAGACATCAGCCCTGATAGTCCACCCTCTCTCCCTTGTGCAACACAGCACCTTCAGAAAGGTTGAACTACCTGGCTTGGATGCCAGCCAGGGGGCAGGAACCTGACGAGGGCCACTTGGATCAGAGGGACCTGGGCATGAGAGAGGAGGCAGAACAGCAGCAAACAGAAGGTCCTCAGTCCAGCCAGGCGGTGCAGGGTGTTGCCTCTGTGTGGGTGCTGCCTACCCCAGCTGCCCTCAGCTTCTCATTATTTCCCAAACCTGGTGTGACTGTGCTGAGACTCTATTCATTGGGCTGAGAGGAAGGAAAGGGCAGCTAGGAAAGGTTAGGGGAGCACGCAGTATCATGGTAAGAAGGTGTGTCTTCAAGTGGGCTTATAGCTTTTTCCACAGTTCTGTCTCTACTCCTACCTAAATGTCAATTTCTTTATTCACAACTGGTGCTTCTAGCTATTGTTGATGTCTCCTCAGTTTGTTTCACCTATATCTTTAAATCTTTTTAGAATAAATTACTCTTAGGACATTTTTGGCATCCAAATTTGGAAGAATAACTATCCTTCAAGGTTATAAATTAAAACATATATTTAAACAACCTTCACCATTATTGAAAGTAAAAATTATATTTTGAATGACTTTAGAAGCTTTGCAATAAAGTTCTAATTACCTCTGATTCAAAAAGTCTAAGTGCTAATTATAAAATATTCTAAGGTGTATTCGCTGTCACTTGATGAAGATGAAGGTGGCACTTTATTGCTAACTGTAATGTTAAACTATTCTTAGAACAATACAATTATAAAACAAAAATTTCTCTAAAATATATAAAATGTGAAAACTAATAAATTAATCAAATACTTATTAAGTTGATAGACTAAATGCAATTTTTCAAAATGACTCTGAAAAACAAACCTGTTGGGTGCAGTTTTATTTTGAGGTAGGGAAGCCTGTAATATAGTAATCACTGCTGGAAAGAGCCCAATTCAATATCTTGTTGATCTCAAAAAATAATTTTATGCTCTAATTAAATTCATGGTTTTAAATTAAAAGTTGATACAAAAAAACACCAAGGGATTTAATAATGCAAAAGAGAGAAAGGAAATTAGAACTGGGAGAAAAAAAATGATGACTCTTGCTGGAGAAAAGAGAATGGCCATAAGGAAGGTGATCACTTTGTTATTTATTACTGCAGATGGCAATTTTGTTTAAGGAAGGAAAAATATTAATGAATTGGATATCCAGATACACATTGAGGTTGCCTGAAGTGTTTGAGGCATTACTTTAAATATTATTAAAAAATTATAAATTTACACAAAGAGTATTTTTGAAAGTTATCCTGAAAAACCTAGAATTGACTTTTATAACAAAGCACATATTAAAAAGGTGACTAAAACCTTTGAAAAACAATGTGTCTATTTTGAAAAGAAGGATGTCTTTGTAAATTAAAACTCAGCAAGATCTAATAAACACAATTGTACATGTTTTTTGATCAAACAAATAGTAGGATTTAGATCAGAGGTCTTTAAGCAACAAATTTACTTAAAAGAATCTAAGAAAATTTCCAAAGAAAATTCTGGACACCATGTTGAGTAGCCATCATAAGGTAACCCAGGTATGCCTATTGTGACCAAACTGCGAAGTCACCCTGGAAGTTAATTTTCCTTCCACTATGGATCAAATGTTTGTGCTCCTCCCTGTCATTCACCTGTTGATACCCAACCTCCAGTGTGATGGAATTTGGAGGTGGAGACTTTGGGAAGCAATTCAGTTATGAGGGCAGAGAAACCTCATGAATGGGATTAGTGCCCTTATCAAAGAGAGTCCAGAAAGCTGCCTCACCGCTTCCTCCATGTGAGGACACAGCTAGAAGGTGCCCAATATGAACCAGGAAGAGTCCTTAGGAAACAAAAATCTGCTAGCACCTTGATCTCAAACTTCCAACCTCCAGAACTACAAAACATAAACGTCTGTTGTTTACAAGCCACCTGGTCCATGGCATTTGTTACTGCAGTGTGACTGGACTGAGACACCTCTCATGTTTTATCTGAGCAGAAAGCAATTGAGGGCTGGTTTGGTGATTTTCCTCCATAAAATGCTCAGGGAGCCAGGATCCTGCATTTTTCCAGTCCCCTGCAAAACTTCAGCCTTCTTATCCCCAGTTCAAGCAACATCAAGAACACTTCCTAGAAGTTGGACAGGCAAGTTCTCCTTCCATTAGCCATAACTTCATCACAGGCCACACCCACAAAACAATTTCAAAAATGTAACCTTTGCCTGGGGAGTGGGCTTGTGCCACCTTGACTTTTGGTTTGTTAAGCAGTGAGGAATATCCAGGGAATTAAGAGGTCAATCAAATAAGTATTTGGATATTTTACCTGCTCCTCCTCTTTTCTGTAGATAAAAATATTTAGTTTGAAGGGTTAAGAATATTTAGCTTGAAGGGTTAACATTTAGTTTTATAAGTCAGAAAAAGTATTCTCCAAAATCCCCATCTAACTGATATTTCTATTATATGTCACTCACATATAAAAATGTTGCTTTTTATCTTACACTACACTATGAAACGATTTCTTTTAACTTAGGGATGTAAATATTTAATATATTGAGTAAATAAAATTATTTTTATAATACTGATTTTGTATTGTAATCATAATTTTAAAATTTTTATGGAACACTGTTAGGATTTAATTGATCAAATTTGACTAAATTATGGCTATATATGTCAACTTAAAGGTATTTGGAAATTGAAAGCTAGTCCATGAGAAAGAGAAAGTAAGCTAGTACTTTTCCCAGAATGTCCATCCCTGCTTGGTGTAATTGGATGGAGGCCACCAGGTACAGAAGCAGTGGAGCTGGTGTGTTCTGGTTTATCCTCACTTCCTGAACTTTCTGTCCAACTCTACTTTGACCTGGATTCTAACAAGAGGGAGGAGCCACAATGCCCCCCTGGACCATGCCACTCCAGCAGCAGGAAGTACTGACCTTCTGGTGAGTTCTCTCTAGTTCTTCCTTCACCAGGGCTGGCAGGCATCTTATCTCTGATCCTTCCTAGATAGTTACTTCATCAAATCCACTCACAGCTACATAAGGACCATTTCCTATAATAATTTTTATTTCATGCCATTCTATAATCTCAACTTTCTTCTACCAATATTCACTATCTGTAATGTAGAGGTTTATATGTAGTATAGGTAAAGGTAATCTTTTCATTGAAACAATTTCACAACCAGTGATTCTTACTACTTTATGTGGCACGTGAAGGGAATTCAGCAGCGGTGTCCGTTTCTTGTGATAGGCAACAGGGCATAATCTTATTTAAGAACACTGCTTCTACTTGTATAAATCAGTATATAAGCTCCTTTACCTTATCTTAATTTTGTCTTTATTTTTCAATTTTGATAAAATATCTAGCTGCCTTATTTGCTCATAATAAGGCATTTTATACCATAGCATCTAAATTACACACACTATAGGACTGGATTATTTGCTTCACAGTTTTTCTTTAGTTGAAGTAAATTGGCCTCTCAATAGAACATTCTCCTTTCTCATAGACAATTACATTGTCAAGATAATCTATGTTACATTGTGGTAACAAGCAACTCAAAATCTCAGTGGCTTTCAACAAGACATTGTTTCTCACACACAATATATAGCTATAACATATTGGCTGCTTCTGTTCCACATCATTTTGACATCAGCCTGGGCTTAGAAGTGGTATCAGTTCATAACAGGGGAGAAAGATATTTTTCCCGGAAGGGGATTTTTTTCTGGGAAGAAAATATGTCACTTTCATTTCTTTTTATGGTCTCAAACAAGTTACAAGGATAGGGCTGATGTCAACGAGATGGAGAAATACAGTTGGTCCTCTTTATCCATGGGTTCTTGTCCATGGATTCTACCAACCACAGATTGAAAATATTTAGAAAAAAAGTCACGAAGTCCCAAAAATCAGTACTTAAACTTACCATATGCCCAGTACTATGTTGAATCCACTGGAATAAAGTGATATGTAGGCATTGTACTATTACAAGTAATCTAGAGATGATTTAAAGTAAATGGATATGCATAGGTTATATGCAAATACTGTGATATTTTATAAAAGGGATGTCAGCATCCACGGATTTTGATATCTGAGGGAGCTCCTAGAACCAATTCCCTATGAATAACAAGAGATGACTGTATACTTCTTCCCCAGGGAGGAGTAAGGAACACTTTACGGTGTAATCAAACACTGCCTATCTTTCTGGGCATCATTTTGCTCCCCCACCACATTCAGAGCATAGACACTCCCTCATCCGAGGCAATAATCCCAAATCCCCAGCCACAGCCTCCATTATGTGCCTGTCTCATCCAGTCTGGAGCCCGTGAAGCAAACCCAACGTAAATGCCTCCCTCCTCTTTGTATTCAGCGGAGCAACAGGAACGATAGCATTGCAATAAATGCTCCCACTGGGAAAAGTGAACAACTGGACCTGCTATCACTGGTCTATAGCAATCCCAGAAACCTGCTGGGCAGAATTTTGAGAGGCTCCTGTCCTTAAGGTGGAGAATATTCTTTGGGTCCCGACTGCATACCCTGGGATTAGACACTTTCCTCCCAGTATATTTTTCCCTCCATGACCCTTGGTTCTGTTTTTGAAGAATGTTCTCTCTTTTTTACCATCTTTGTCACATCTGAGAGGATCATTGATAATGCACCCTCCCTGGGGCCAGATAGTCTTCTCAGTCTGTTTCTTGTCCTTTGAAGTTGGGTGAACCAAAGCCTATTGTAAATTCTGAAGCATCAAACTCTCTTCTGGCTCAAACTGATGGCTATTGGAAATACAACTCTCTCAAAAACTTACTTGCTTTCTTAATCCTTCCTGTGATAAGAAGCAAATATTTTAACATCATAATATCATCTACCACAGAGATGGAGCTTATATTTTTCTTTTACGTAGAGCCTCTGATGCACTCAATGTAATAGCTGTTCTACCTGCCTTTTATTTTTCATTTTTATATCTGACTTGGCTTTGCTGCTAGAAATAACATATGAAAAGCACTCGGAAATTACATCTTGCAGCTGATGTTCCCTAGAGACACCATTCCTGACCCAAATAGTCATTTGGCTTATATTTGAACATAAACATGGATGGCATCTCACAGCCTACTGAATCTGCTCACTCACTTTTATACTGATCAGCTGCTGGGTTATAAATCTGCCTTCTCATAGTTTACATGCACCATCCTTCCTTCTGCCAATACATAAGCACACAATAAATACAAACTATCTTATAAGCCATAGCGGACCAGTCAGCCTATCTTTTACTGTGAACAGATAATATTGCCTGGAAAAAAAAAAGTAGCTACTAAAAATGTATTTTTATATAACATATGTTTCCTCCTTGTTTTTCTTTCAGGGTGTTCTAATTTGACATTTTCCTTTAAAGTGTGCGTCACAATCTAAATACAGATTTTTAGGTATCCTCGGGTCACTATAAAATTGAACGGAGCCGCTACTCCCCTCATTTAAAATAACTACTCTTCCTTTTTTTGCAGATTATATATTCACCTCTGTGGGTTTTTGTTTGTTGGTTTTTTGTTTTGTTTTGCCCACTACATTGTTGAACTGATCGTTTTAAGGCATTATATAAAATCCCTTATTGTTTAGCTTGTCATTTAACACAATTGCTACATATCCTTGCTACTGGTCCTGCACAGATTAGATGGCCATGCCTTTTGTATTTTTATTCAAATGATTAATAAAAGGTTGAAAAGGACATAGCCAAGGATAAAGCCCATGGCACCCTACTGGAAACCACCTTAATGTTGACATCTATCCATTAATCACCACTTTGGGTTGAGTTTTTCAATCAGCTACTAATCCATCATTTTGATCTTGCACTTTTCTAAATCTTGTCCACAAATGCCTAGTCTGACATGATTTGTTTTTTGTGGGCCTATATTCACCGCCTCCTCTAAGGAACCATCTTTCAGCTTTAATGATGTGTTCCTTAGACAAGAAGGCAATATTATACTACACATCAGCAGTAAGCAGAATCTTTGTCCAACTTTTCAAACTGTAATTATTATTTGTCAAACTTTAAAAAACTTGTAGAACTTTGCCAAGTTTTCTCAACTCATTTCAAGAATATGTTCATAAACTCATTGGCAAATTTTCTGAGTAACTTGGATAGTAGTTCTTTTGCTTTAGTAGACATTCAAAGAATCTATGTGTGCTATTAAAAATTCCTTCAACTACCTCAGGTTTCAAAGTCTTTCTCACTAGTGTCCATTTTGTTTGCTTTTGTCTGAGAATAATTCTAGAAACTATATTCTAATTCACTCCTTGTCAATCATCAATGTAACAAACCCCATGGTATGTGTTATCCAGTCATTGCTGAGGTTGTCTTGAAAACAGCCATTATTTCACCTTGTCATTCTTGTAGTCAGTTTACTTGCTGACTCTGGATTAAACTAGAAAAGCAGGTGTTTTAAAGTTTAGCTATTACTGCGCTTCCATTAAATGTGAAGAAGAGAGACAGGTCTTGTCGTGGAAAGAAGACTGAATGTGGGTCCACATATGTTGGGCCTCAGACTAAACTCCAAACTTTCTAGTTCTGTATTTTGGTAGGTCATAAGATTCTCTGACTTACAGTTTGTTCTTTAAAATTATGAAATAAAAGGATTTTCTCACATAGAGTGCCGTAGCAATGAGAAAAGTATATAAGCCACCTTAAAGTACCATGTAAATGGTAAATAAGGCTCCTTACTATTGTTATTACTTGATTATTTAAAGTTGATATAAAACATAATAACAAGAAAGGGAAAATAAAAGCAGTGTATTGAGAACTGAAGGAAGAAATAAATTATATATACTGAGGATGATTAAGTCATTGTTTTGTCTATACATTTAATTAATAGCTGGGAAATAACCTATCCATTCTTATTTAGTAATTCAAATATATTGATGATAAAAAAGCCAAGAATAGTCAACAATGACATCAATTGAGTATTAAAATTTTTTTAGTATTAATATGTCACAATTAAGGTTTTGAGAAAATTTCAGATTTTTTTAACTTCGTATGTCACATTTTAAATATTTTTCTAGCTTTTCAAATTTAAAACAATTTTATTTCACATTAAAATATATTTATGACATGAAACTAGGAATATATTTTATTCAATCATTGTTTTTTGAATAATTGGGATTGAATTCACCATCAAAATAGGAATTATTGAACTGGCTGACAGTATATTTTAATTAATTTCCTTTATATTGATACTATTTAATTCCTTACAGTTAGGATTATCCAAAATTTTAAATTTTAAAGGGTGAAGTCACAGAAAATTTAACCAAGAAGGTTTTTATTACAACATTAAATTTTGAGCCCCAAGTATATGAACCTATTTCCCAGAGAGAGACTCACCTATAGAAATTTGTTTTTCTTACCGATTTTTATATTTTTGAAAGTCTTTTTGTACTTTATGTCCTTTGAGAAATGAGGGAAGTCACTGTTAACACTATTTCAACACATTCTGAGACATCAAAAGATAAAATCATAATAATAATGACAATGATAGTATCTTTTGGTGTTCATTTAAAATTAATAGCTAGTTTATAATTACTAATATTTAAAGAACTAGTTGCTTCTTAAGTGGAAAATGTATTTTAATTTCAAAGGCATTTAAATTAAAGGGAAGAGCTCTTTAATTTTACATTCATTACAAGCTAATCACTTTTCTAAAATATTGCAGCATAGTTGATTTTTAATTCTGAGACCTCTACAATTCAATTTAAATCAGCAGTATTATGCTGCATTACAATGGTATTTAGTCACTCATCATGATTATTTGATTTAGCCAACTTAAAGTCTGTTTCATGATTTTAAGACACAATAATATATATCAAAGCACCATCAATGTAGTTAATAAAACTCTTTACACAGCAATAGCTATTTGTGTCAGATTCAAACATTTCCTCCAGAACAGCCATGCAAACAGAAGAGTAGAGTGAGTTCCCATCATTTCTCTGTGTGAGAACAGAATGAAAGCCATGCCGACAGTGGTGTGTGTGCATCTATGTTCCTGTACTCTACATGCATGCTTTTATGTCCCTTAGCTGAGCCAACTTTTGAATACAGCTGTGTTTTGGTACCTGTGGGGATTGGTTCCAAGACCCCTGTGGATACCAAAATCTGTGATTACTCAAGTTTCTGATATAAATATATTTGCACACATCCTCCTGTATAATTTAAGTCATTTCTGGATTACTTATAACACCTAATACACAGTAAATTTATATGTAAGTAGTTGTTGTATTATATTGTTTAGGAAATAATTACAAGAAAAAAATGTCTGTGCATGTTCAGTACAGACACATCATCCTTTTTGTTCTGAATATTTTCCATCTATGACTAATTGAATCTGCAAAATCAGAACCCACGAATATAGAGGGCCAACTATAAATGTACTTATTTCTTTCTGTTCTGGGTACTATCAGAAAAACTTACCAAATGTCTAACTTTTCCATGAAGGGAAAGAAAATTCCCCCTCCTCAGAAGACAAAAGTATAGAGAGAGCTATTTCAATTTTTAAAAACTCCTTTTCTTACTCCTCCCCCAAAGAAGACTAGGGTGGTGGGGCAGGTTGGTGAGATGGGGGAGGGCACCCCAAGAGCTCTCCTCCCCAGGGTAGCTTAGTTTCCTCTACAACACAGAGATGATTTCACCTCCAGTTGGTGCTTGTCCAAGACAGTCATATGAAGGCATTTGGCCATACATCTCAGCCTCACTCTCCAATTAGCTTTAATTTTATTTAAGCTGTTATTTGTTTAACAGCTTTAATTTTATTATAATTTTATAATATATGCTATTACCTGTAATTATATTAATATAATATATTATTTCATTATTTAAGCTTTAATTTCATTTAAGCTGTTATTTCTATTTTTATGATTCTTACACCTCACTTCTCAATTAACTTTAAGCTGTGAGCAGACAGGAATGTAACTGATCAGCATTCTTTACCTTGCCAGTGGACACAGATTTGTTTTCTCCCTTCTTAGTATCCCTCCTTGTTGAATTTTTTAAATGAAAAGTGGCTATGCAACTGTGCAAGTCTTGTCAGAAACTTAAGTAGTTATAGCATAAATCCTATAGCATAGGCCAGGCGCAGTGGCTCACGCCTGTAATCCCAGCACTTTGGGAGGCCAAGACGCACGGATCACGAGGTCAGGATATCGAGACCATCCTGGCTAACACGGTGAAACCCCATCTCTACTCAAAATTAGCCAGGTGTGGTGGCAGGCGCCTGCAGTCCCAGCTACGTGGGAGGCTGAGGTGGGAGAATGGCGTGAACCCAGGAGGCGGAGGTTGCAGTGAGCCAAGACCGTGCCACTGCACTCCAGCCTGGGAGACAGAGCGACAGAGCGAGACTCCGTCTCAAAAAAAAAAAAAAAAAAAAAAATTCTATAGCATAAAAGCAGAGCTTTTGGGTAGAAAACCGTCGTTGCACTGCTCTGGCCATGCAGGAGGTTAGGAGGTGTGGGTTTGCAGCAGGGCAGAGCCCACCATGGAAGCGCAATGAGCACAAGATGGAAGGCACGTCACCTTGTCTGTCTGTTTCAGTTACATGAGCAGATGAATATTCATTTCTTTAGAATAGCTTGAATTGGATTTCTATAATCTGCAACAAAGAGAGTCCTGTCTAAACACAGGTACCCACGAGTAAGGAATGCAAACAACAGAACATGAAATTGGCTGTGTTGAAGGAATCTCTGACAAGGAGGATGTCTCTATTTCCAGCTAAGTAATTGCAAATTTGTGTTATGCATGGCAAAACAATTGTTGCTTGCTTTGTTCAGCACTGTGTGCCTATTGAATACTGTGTGTCATTGAAATGACCTCTTTTTCTTTAGCAGCTCTACTGAGAAATAATTCACATAACATACAACGTCATCCATTTAAAGTGCAGAATCCACTGTATAACAAGGATATATCAATATAGTTGCAGATGTGCAACCATTACCATAACTACTTTTAAAACTGTCCATCACTTCCATCAGAATCTTCATACCAATGAGCAATCAGGCCCAATCCCTCCTCAACCCATCTCACAGCCCAGACCTGGGCAATCACTAGTTACATTCAATCTCTATTGATTTGCCTATTCTGGACATTTTGTATGAATGGAATCAGAGCAAGGTTTACCTATGTTGTAGTGTGCATCAGTACGTTATTCCTTTTGGTTGCCTAATAATATTCCATGGTGTATATGTATTACATTTTATTCATTCAGCCATCAAGTAATGGACATTTGGCTAGTTTTACTGTTTGGCTGTTACAAAAAATGCTGCTATGTACATTCATTTGCTAGTCTTCGTGTAGATATATTTTTTCATTTCTGTTGGATATATAACTAGCAGTGAAATTGCTGTGTCATATGGCAACTCTTTGTTTAACCTTGGAGATACTGCCAAACTACTTTTCAAAAAGGCTGAAATATTCTGCATCCTCATAAGCAACATACAAGATTTTCATTTTTTTCCACATCCTTTCCAGAATTTGTTATCCATCTTTTATATTTAGCTATTCTAATAGGGCAAAGTGGTGTTTCATGGTTTTGATGTGCATTTCCTTAATAGTGAATGAAGTTGAGTGTCTTGTATTTGCTTACTGTTCATGTGTATATCTTCTTTAGAGAAATAACTCTTCAGAATTTTTGCCTACTTCTTGATTGTTTGAAAATTTTAATTTTTTAGTTGTAAGAGTTATTCATATATTTAGAATGAAAGTTCCTTATCAGATATATGATTTGCAAATATGAGAGTACATAGAAGAAAAATCCTTAATTTGCTTTTCATCACTTTAAAAGATAATTGACTATCTAAAGAAAAATTATATAAATATATTGAGATTTATAACTTGTGTAGAAGTAGAAGTGTATGCAATATATAATATATACAGAAATAAAATAGAACAAAATATAGAATAGAGAAAATAAACCTATAGTATTTGTATCTCCCAATATAGATCAAGTGATATATTTTGAAGGAGTACTGTCATAAGTTAAGATATATAATATAAATACTAAAAAATTCTTGAAAATATGTATTATTAATAATACAATAGTGGCCACAATGGAATTATTAGAAATAAAAAAAATTTAATCTACAAAAGACAAGAAAATAGAAAAAAGGGGTAAAAGAACAGACAGAACAACACATGATGGAAAACATTAATAAGAAGATAGCTATGACACAGCCATATTTACATTGTATTCATTTTTGTTGATATGAATACTTGTATTATATCTTTTTGTCATTAGTTTTTTAACCTATATATTTTTAAGTGAATATGTGCATTATAAGAATTTGAAAAACACAAGCAAAAAGTAAACTCATTCACAACCACATGTAGTTCACAGTTCAATGTCTCCTTCTAGGTCCTGTGTGTGTATAGACACAAGATCTAATTTTATGGAGTTGAGATAGTATAGTACATATCATTCTGTTTTCACATATCATGTCTATTTACCAATTCAAAAATCCCAAATCTATTTGAGTATTTTGATAACAAAGAATACGCTACATCAACTCAGTCTATTAGGAAAAAAATGGACAAATGGGATCACATTAAGTTAAAAAGCTTCTGCACAGCAAAGGATACAATCAACAAAGTGAGGAGACAACCCACAGAATGATATTTTGTACCAAAATATCTCATGTACTCCATAAATATATACACCTACTAGGTACCCATAAAAATAAAAAAAATTTAAAAAGATAAATACATAAAAATTAAAGAGTGAGTTAGACTTTTCAGACAGGTTAGAGTTCAGTATATTCCCAGCCCATAGATCCTTCCTCACTAGGCTTTTGGAGGATGGGAGCACATTATGTCAAGGCAGACTCAGAGCCAGGAAGCAAGGCACCCAGCACAGCAGAGAGCAGGGGGATTTCACAACAATGATGAAGAGAAATCTCCAGACAGCAAGTGTGCAGCAGACTGGAAATAAACAGACCATACCAGTCCAGTGGAAGAAGGACCTAGAGGAAATGTTGCCAAGACAATAAAAAGGGAACACATAGATGTGCCTATCTGTTGTAAGAGGAGGTTTGAGTACTTACTCTACTTTTGGAAAGGAATGATCAACGGCTATGAAGACTACAAGGAAATTTTTAAAGCATAAGACTACTGCATCTATACAAATGTATTAATACAAATGTATTAATGTATCTCTTTGAAAAAAGGAAAAATGGACAAATTGGATCACATCAAGTTAAAAAGCTTCTGCAAAGCAAAGGATATGTAAATTGTTGCTTTACTATTTTGTGTGCTATTCACGTATTTTCAAGGATTCATGCATTTTAAGCTACTTTCTTAGGATTGTTTCCTTGAAAATACATGAATAGCACACAAAATAGTAAGGTAACCATTTAAAAGCTATTTAAATATAAATATCAATTTAAACAAATTGAAACAATAGAGGAAGATAATTTGCCTAGACTGGAGCTTCATAGAACCACATTTTTATTTTTCATAGAAAAACATTAATTGCTAAGACTTGCAATCTAATAATCTAACAATATCAGTAAATGGATATTACTTAGACAAAGTCATATTATTTAAGAAAACATGGAAGTCAGGGGTGAGGTGTAATGGAAGTGACAGACACACAGGCAGCCCTGAAGCAGGGGTGAGGACATGGGGTCGACACAGTGGGAACAAGGAGGGAATACTGGGTGTAGGTGAATGCTGCTGTGTGTGTAAGTGGAGGAATGGAATTTGGTGACATGACTAATAGAGACAGAAAGTCAAAAAGAAGAAGCTAAGAAGGAGTTGATTTGGGAACTACTTAAAATACTTTTAAGAAGATTGTGGAACTTCGAAGTTAATGAGCATAGAATTTGAAAATTTCGATCTGTAGACCAAAAGAGCAATTTACCCCAGTGCTATGAATATGGAAGCCTTTTGAGACTAGACTATATTTGAGATGAATTAGCAGATATAATTGATTGCATGAAGTCTTTGGAGAGAATATATGGATTAAAGGAAGAGTTGAAGAAAGTGTCATAAATAACATCAGCTTTTTATGGATGGACCCAGGAACAGGAGGGAGCCACCTAAGGACGACTCGAAAGAGAAGTGATAACATAGATAAATGTGGGTGATATCACCAAAGATACAAGGTATATGAAATAAAGAAGTTTATTTATTTATCTTTCTATTCTGGAAAGACATCAGGAACCTATTAGGTGCCCAGTGAATGTCTGTGGGGAGAATGGATTAATGAATGAATCAATGAAGTCAACAATGGCAATGACACAGCAAGACCAGCCAGGACAACAATTAGGAAGTCACTAGGAACTTGATGCTTGCAGTGCCAGTGGAGTACTTTATGCTCAAGGTATAAAGCATAGCAAAAGTACTGCAGAGAGGACTGAATATAAAGAGAGGAGGAGTGGCTTCTCATGAAGCGCAGGCCCCATCCCCTAATCAAACAAAACCAAAACCCAGTGCAACAGATACAGGAGAGAAGTACGCAATCCACACTCCACTGGAAATACCCTAATTAAAGCTGATTGTCTCCTTATAAATTATGGGATTTTTATATACTCAAAGTATATTTTAAAACCCAGCATCAAAAATCAGTAAGGCTTATATATTTTCTGACAAGCAGGAAAAATGTAACCCTGAATATAGAAGCACAGTTCCTGTATGGTATTACTGGGATGGGCTTGGGACTAACCTCCTTGTCTTTTCCTTCTTCAGGAAACAGAGCTTTGAGGGAAAAGTCAAAACTTAGTACTACTTGGTAATAAGTAGGAGAAGTAGATTCATGATAAATAAATAAAGTTAGCACATGATCTTTACGGACATCAGAAAGTGTGATTTATTCATCTTCATTGAACATTGAAGTCTTTTGAATTGCTTAGAAATTAATGTAAATTTATACAATGAAGGAATGACACTGAGCTCTAATCATCATTGTCATATATTTGATGGGCTAATTAGTTAATTTCACATATTTTAGCAGAAACATACCAAAGCTGTAGAACAGTGGTATTACAGATCAAATGCCTGGGATAAACAACAATGGTTATTTGAAATATAACTATTTAGTTACAAGCGTATTTTTCAATACTGGAAATTTGTTTGCAAGCTAACTCAAAATAACACAGTTGATAATATTTAAAGTTCATGGATCCAAACCAAAATAGGCCACAATGTACAAAGTTTCTTGTTTATCTCTAAATCAGCCACTTAGAGGAAAAGCCCGTATAATAACGTGAGCGAACCAACAAATCAATGAAACTTTAAAAAAGGAGAATGCTTTAAACAAAATTTTCACTCTATTCTTTCAGGAAAGATATAGTTAGATGAATGTCATCCCTGCAGCTGTAGAGTTGGAGTAGCTTTTTAAATTTTTATTATTTATTTATTTATTTTTGAGAGGGAGTCTTGCTCTGTCGCCAGGCTGGAGTGCCGTAGGGCGATCTTGGCTCACTGCAAGCTCCGCCTCCTGGGTTCAAGCAATTCCCCTGCCTCAGACTCCCAAGTAGCTGGGACTACAGGCGCATGCCACCACGCCCGGCGAATTTTTTTGTGTGTTTTAGTATAGACGGGGTTTCACCATGTTGGCCAGGATGGTCTCAATCTCCTGACCTTGGGATCCACCCACCTCGGCCTCCCAAAGTGCTGGGATTACAGGTGTGAGCCACTGCACCAGGCCGGAGTAGCACTTTTATAAACAGCTATGACAGTAGCAGCTATTGCTATGAGATTTGCATTACTACTTAGCTAACAACTGATTAGAGGAGGATGCAACTGTGGAGTTTTATTTGATGTTTAATGATCTATGAGTATTTCTTAGGGTATATTAGGTCCACCTTCTAATGGGACCCTCCAAATCCTTTTTGTCACTTACCACAAACTGAAGTTGTATAGTAGCGCTTTAATTTGATTAACATTTGATCAAAGAAGTTCGTTTTCCACAAATCTTTACATGTCTTATGAGCAGAGGCTATGACTATCTCTCCTGGACTATCTTCACAAGGATGTCTGTAGAGTAAACAGCCTTGGAAGACAGAGATAGTGCCCCCAACAGGGGCAGAAATCACACAGGCCTACTGTTACCAGTTCTATCAAATAAGAATACACTGTGTCCAGTTAACTTTGAATTTAAGATAAAGTATGTCCTATGCAATGTTTGGTACATATTTATACTAAGAAATTATATGTTGTTTATCAAAACTTCAAATTAACTAGGCACACTGTACTTTATCAGGCAACCTTCCTTACCGTTCATTATAAACAATGTATTTTCCCTAAGTTTGGTCTCCTCTCCCAAAACCCGTGGTGTGCCCAGGCACGGCCTGGCCCTCTTACCTTGGCTGATAGGGACCGGGCCTCAGGAAGCTGGTGCATGTGCTGGCGCTCTGGCTGCTGCTGTGGCTGTGAGAAACACTCTTTCATTCTGACTCGCAAGTCTCAAGTCTTCTGCCAGCATCCATGAAATTGTGCTAGGCTGCTTGAGCTTATAAATGGAGTCAAATCTCAGACACATCAGACAAATCTTGACACCTATCTCCCTCACTAAAGTATAAAAGCCTTTGACAGCAGGGACTACTTATGTTTTGTTTAACACTGTGTCTGGCATATTGCCCACTACCTCTCACTAAGTAAATAGTTGTTGAAAAGGTGAATAAAAGCATAATTGAACGAGCTGTCAGTTGACTTTCAGCTGCTAAACTCTGGGAACCTTTGTAATGCAAATAGGCTAGATTCCCTTGTGTTATGTGTTTCTCTATCTTTTCTCCATCATTCCCCCCATCCTAATCCCCATTTCATCTTTATCTCCATCACTTTCTTAAGCTTTAGCTTCAGTTGCCTCCAGCCCTAGCGCTAATGCTATCATTTGGCCATTCTGGCATTGGAAACCTAACAGGGCTTGAAGAGGCCCAAGGGAACCGCTGAGAACCCTTGGAGACCAGAACACGTTCTCCAGTTGTACTTCAATTCCAGCATCCCCATCCCACTCATATGTACAATGCTTCACTAGAGCATTTTAGAAACACTAAAAACTAATAGAGGATAGGTTAATATAATAAGGAATGATTGGTTGTGTGATTGCTCAGTTCAGAATTGAGAATGGAATTTCTTTTGAAATATTCTGGCTCTGATTCCACACTGCACAAAGGAAGAAATGAGCCTTGGAGTATGGGATGCACGTACTACATTTACAAATCCAGACACTGATGCTGACTTAATCCTCTAAGGGTTTTTGAGATATACTCAAGATGTGTATATATAAACACACACACACACACCCAGTATAACATGGCCTATTCACTTCATTTGCTTACTTAACCATATATCTATACCTATTGTTCTATATCTGTCTATGTCTATGTTGAGGTCTGTCTATCTGTCCAACCATACACTGTTAAATGTTAAAATGACTAAAGTGAAAAATATAAAAATTTGATTAATTTTTAGATGAACATGAAACCTCAAAGAAATTCTATGCTAGTTGTATTCTACTGTTGGCTGCAGTCCTGGACCTTCAGGAAGTCTTCATCTTTCTTCTTTACCTTAAAGTTGAAGAGTATGGAATGTGCCACCCCAAAATATACCACTTTGGCATATTTATTATTCCAATCAGGAGTTAATTGAAAATCAACAAATGCAGGGAAAAAAGCCTTCTCAGAGCTTCCTTTATATCACTAAAAGCAGAAACTTCTGAGAAATGAGGACTGCAGACAATCTCCTCTCTCAGGAGAGTTTTAGGGCCATCAAGAACGGGGAAAGTTAGCGCCAAGATGGACCTGCACAAACAAACCTTACTAAAATCACCCTTGTTTTCCATTAGTTTCCCCATGTATTTACCTTCCCACAGCTTGCAGGTGATAGAAGCCTGAACACCCTTTTCCTTTGTTTTGAAATTTATCATCCTTTATTAAAAATGGGTTGTACTTACTCAGGCCTATCTGCTTTTTGAGATCTTCATATCTTTTATATAAAGGCCTCCATGTACGCATAAGATAATTAACATTAAATTAATTTGTGTGCATTGTCTCCTGTTAAACTGTCTCGTGACAGTCTAATTGTAGAGAAAAATTGGTTTTCCTCCCCTATGAAGTCTACTCCAATGAAAATAAAGGAAGCTTGGCAAAAAATTACTTATTCCTAAATTGCTCATTCTTTGCTGAAGGTTTTCCTAATTCCATTTACCTTCCACACCCCTTACATTGAATCTGCCTGTCTTAAAAGAATGTGAGTTCTGGGGTCAAGATGTCCAATTCCTTTCCATGGCAAACCATGGTCCACTGGTAAGAGCTTTAGAATCACAGTAACCAAGGTTTACATCTTTGCTAACATCCATGAGTTTGCAACCTCAGGGAAATTACTTAGGCCTTTAAGCCTGAGTTGTCTCAATTTACATAAGAATAATAACATAATGATAATAATTACAAAGATTAAACAAGAAAACGCACATGAACATTTTGTTCAGTAAGTTGTACCAAAAAAAAGTAAAATAAGGGAGATAAACTATTATCATGAAACTATTATGATGAACCTGTCAGTTTATTTCCAGAAAGTTTTCACTTTGAAAGGCAACAAGCAGAAATCACAGAGAAAGGGACCTCAAGACAGTTCTAGAAGAGTGGTATTACACAGATCAGATGCCTGGAATAAGTACAAAGCTGGTAACAAATACAAGATAAGAAGCCAAGACTTAGAAGGATATGGAAGTGTCAGACAATGAAGCTGAATGCAAGATAATTCCCTAAAACTGGGAACAAGACAGGGATGCCAATGGATGGCTCCTAGAAGGTGTTGGCTCTATGGCATATTTTGTGGTGGGTAGGCAGGTTATAAGACCAAACTCACCAAGTATATAACACCATTGACTTTTGAGGGTAAAAAAAATACTTTTATCAGACTCTCAGAAAAGTGCAGCAGCAATGAGGCATTTAAGCCTTTAAACCCCAAAGCAGCTCTGGATGCCATTTGTTGTTTTCCAAACTGTGTTCTTCGGAGTCTCAGGACTCAACACAGGCATATCAAGGACAAATATGAGCACAAGACACGACACACACATATTTTAAGAATGGCATCTTCAGGCCAGGCATGGTGGCTCACGTCTGTAATCCCAGCATTTTGGAAGGCTGATTGGGGAGGCTCACTTGAGGCCAGGAGTTTGAGACCAGGCTGGCAATATACTGAGACTCCATCTCTACAAAAAGTTTAAGACTAAGCCAGGCATGGTGGTGCGTGTCTGTAGGCCCTTCTACTCAGGAGGCTAAGGCAGGAGGATTGCTTGAGCTGGGGAGGTTCAGGCTGCAGTGAGTCGTGGTCACACCACTGCACTCCAGCACTCCAGCCTGGGCAACAGGGGGAGACCATGTCTTAACATATCTCAAAAAATAAAAAATTTTTAAAAAGAAAGAAAGAAAGAAAAAAAGAGCATTTTCATTGCAAATCTGGGTAAGCATATGCAAATATAAAGCAAAACCTTCCCACATTTGGCTTTTGATTGCATCAAACTTCCAGGTATGTCGGTTATCATATTTCTGATTGGTTTATTTGCATAAAAGAAAATTATATAGTCACTCTACCAACAAATGTAGTGGCCCTCTGACAGTTACTCTGCAATTTCTCTTCCCAGAATGCTGAGTCCTGGGTCATGCTTGTATTATACCTCAGCACCTATTGTCACACCTATTATATTTTTCTAATACAATATTTGAGAACAAAAAATAAGATTATTTTTCAAAAATTACTAGTCCAGAATAAGTTTTATAATTTGAAATATTATGCCATATTTTGTTTTTTCTTAAGCTTATTCTAAACTTTGCAATATGCCTTTTAAAAAGGTAGTAGTTGGGTATTTTGATTCTGGCAATAAGTTTTGTTGTGGTTGTTAATTTGAAAACTCTGAGACATCCTGTTTCTTTAATCCTCCCATCCATCACTATAGCTTTAATATTTGCCTAATGTACTTAATGTACTAATGTATTCAGAAAAGACAGTAATAGATTTAAAGCATTTTCTTAGGATTATTTTAAAATCTTGATAAAACCATTTTTCAAAAATCATAATTTATGAAGAGTTGGATTATTTTTCAAATTTCAAAAGAGGTGGGAAAGAAGAAAATAAAACGTATCAGTAAAAGTGTTTCAGTTTCAATAAAGGCAAGTCGCATTTTCAATAAAGACTCAGAAAGAATGACAATAGATGTCCTTCTGAATGTTTTTCCATCTTTTGCAATTTTACTAAAAACCAATGTGTACTTTTTGAATCATTATATGTGTATACGTGTGTGTGTGTATATATATATGTGTGTGTGTATTTCATTCTTTTAAATAATTTAAGGAAAAATAATTTTAATTAAAGGAAAGCTGGTAAAAACAATGCCACTCCCTAAGTTTACTTACTAATAAATTCTCAAACTATGTTTCTTAAAATTGCCTCAAATAATGACTTTTCTTTATTCACAGCAGAAATGAAAGGAACAAATTTATTTACTAACAAAATGAATGTCCAATGACTGTCATATCTCAGTTTTTTCCCCAAATCAAACTTACAAATACCAGGTAAGCCTAGGCCAGCTGCAGTGGCTCAAGCCTGTAATCCCAGTACTTTGGGAGGCCGAGGCGGGCGGATCACGAGGTCAGGAGATCGAGACCTTCTTGGCTAACATGGTGAAACCCTGTCTCTACTAAAAATACAAAAAAAAAAAAAAGAAAAAAAAAATTAGCAGGGCGTGGTGGCGGGCACCTGTACTCCCAGCTACTCGGGAGGCTGAGGCAGGAGAATGGTGTGAACACGGGAGGCGGAGCTTGCAGTGAGCTGTTATCACGCCACTGCACTCCAGCCTGGGAGATAGAGCAAGACTCCGCCTCAAAAAAAAAAAAAAAAAAAATACCAGGCAAGCCTAGACCTCCAAAAGTCAAACGTGTCCTTAGTGGCTGAAAACCTCGTCATGCTGCCCCATCTACATGATATTCTCCAATGACTTTGTGGCTGATTTATCATAAGTGCTTAAAATAAAGTGTTTAAATCTACTGTTTGTTATGTAATAACACTGATACAGAGCCACTTTAAACTTATTTCTTGACCGATATTAAATGACTTTGCCTTATAATTTAACATTTTAAAGTGGGCAATTGTCCCCAGATGGTATTTGGGCTTCAGATGACCATGAACGATTGTACTTGAGTTTCAGAGACTTTGAAAACCCACAATGCTTCTATTATTTCTTAACTATTGCTTTAAAAATGATATTAGTAATTATATTAATTCTCCAAGAAAATATTAGTAGTTACATTAATTCTCCAAGAAAATGTCTTTAAATATTTTAACATTATTCTCTAAAAAGAAACATAAGCAAAAGTTACCTTTATTGTCAAGTTCTCTGGTTGTGTTTTGGGCTAATTATCTTAAGTAGTGAAAAAATTATTACGCAATCTTTAATAAAACATTACTTTTTGAAGATGAAAGTCAAAATAACACAAATAATATTGAAAGAGATAATTTACAAAAAAAGGGCATTCATCAGACATGGCAATCTTTGCAAGATTGATAATTGTATTATTGCTGAATTAGTTTATAATCAATGTAGCATCTACTTGTTTAGCACAGGATCCATTGGTCCTACTCGTTTCTGCTTTTGTTGGAAATTCCAAATGACTCAGTTAGGGTTTGTCAAAGGGAATCCGGGCCTTTGCAAGTCAGCAATTGATATGAGAAGACATTTGTGTTCTGGTTGACCTGGCTCTTTTGTAATCCAGCTGATGCCCCACTCAGGAGAAAACAGTGGGTAGCAACATGCCTTTTCCTAATAAGGGGGTATTGCTGACTACATTATTGCCCAAATCAAAGGTTTTAGGTTTAGAGATTTCCATTGGTCAGAACATCCTTCTTGGAGAGCTGCAATTCCTTGAGATTAGGACATATTCCTGGATATCAGTCGATTAGACCTCATGGTTCTAAGATTTTTAGGCTTGACATTCATGTAGCTTTGTAACATCTCACATTTAAAAAAATGACAAAATTTGTTTTTCACTTTTCTGATGGATTGAATTCCAATACCATTGGCTGATGCCCTGCCATCTTTGTTGTACTGGTTGGTCTAGTTCAAAAGTAGTAAAGTGTTATTTTTAAATGTTTAGGAGGATTTCTTTTACATATGTAATTTTTAAGTTATCTCTTCTGTATTATTATTCTCCTGTGAAATTTGGTAATATCCACATTCTAAAAGGAATAAAAAATATCAGGAAATAAACGTATAAAGCATACTTGGCTTCTCTTAAATATTAAAATAAAATACTGTTTATTTTTTTAAAGGTAGTTTGTTGAATCATTGAGACCCTGCTGGTCTTGGTAATTACTAGCAAGGATATCTACATTTTCATGGGTTTCTGTGGTTTCCTGGGAGGCCGGAGTGAAAAAGACTCTCATGGAAGTAAAATGTGTGCTAGTCAGAGCCAGGAGCCAAATGGCCCCGTGGCACTGTCCCAGCTTCAGTGCTGCTGCCCTGAGCACTGCTTCAAAGAGAATGAGCAAGGTTACTGCACTGATGCCTCATTCATGCTCATTAAGATCAATAGTTAAATGAAAACTTAGTTTTAGTATAAGTGTCTCCCAAATAGTCTGTGTCATACAAAAAATTGTTATTCATCTGCTCATTATTTTTTGTTAAGTCTGGCAACCCTACTCAAATAGATATGATGGGAGGAAAAACTTTTCCTCCACCAACTCAGGTCTCAGTGGTCTGGAGACCTGTGAATTCAACTGATGATAGATGGTTTAAGATGAGAACAATTTATTATGCATGAGGGTTTATTCAGGGGAAGAAGCTCCCTAAACGGCTAGGAATGAGGGTTTATCTAATCACTTAATATTGTAAATGGGGGAGGGATAGGACTTCTATAGCTAACGAATGAACTTTTAAGGGAATAGATGGAAGGTATGCAGTTTGTGATAATTTTTTAAATACAATTTATCATTCCAGTGCTAATGCTCAGTCTACTTCCCGGCTGGAATTTCCCTCGAGAGGGGATTTATGGAAGCGTCACTCTCAGAAGACTCTGCCTATAGTCAGACAAGTTCAAAAGTCTTCTTTCTGTATCTGCTGTATCTCCAAAGTCTTCATTTTATAATAATCTTTGCACCATTCTGAGGCCCTTCACATACATGCTCTGGCAAACCACTGGTTGAGCATATTGGTGCAATATTTTTGGAAGGTAATTTGGCACCATCTATACCATTATCTATTGATTCAACATTGATTCAACAATAAAGCTTCATGATATTTATTGCACAAATGAACACACATGCCTTCAGAATGATGCATTTCATTTTTCAATGCATATAATATTAAATTAAATTTTGTTTTGGAATAATAAACAACAAAAGCAAACAAACAAATCCTAACTATTAATCAAAATGAGGACTTGTGGAATAAATTTTGATAAGTAGTCCCTGGGAAGAATAAGTTAGTTTTATATATAGTAATGTAAAAAATAAACAATATTATAATGTTATGATTCTTTCTGTATGCCCTTATTCCTAAAACAATAATTTTAAGTGAATACTGATAAGAGGCTATATATACCATATTCCAACTATGTGCAAGCCCTATGTGAGAACTTTGGGTGTGGTAGCTCATTTATTCCTTGCAATTGGCATATAGAATGTATATAGTTTTTATCTTTGTGTTATTTATGAAATAAGCATACAGAGGATAATTCACATATGTAAGGTTGCACATCTACAGGATAACTAGAGTTGGATTCATCCATAGACCTCCCAGAGATTCAGGTATTCAGGCATTCAGAATTTCCTATATAAGCATAGATACTACATGGAAATAGACATGAGAAACTGTCAACTGCTGTCATTATACCATATGGGCATTAAAAATGTTTGCTCAAAAAGATACACACACACACACACACACACACACACACAAACTCTCTGAGGAGTGATGCTTGGGTTTGGGGCACTGAATGGAAATTTTTTTTTTTTTACTTTTTACTTGTCTGACCTCTTTGATACTGTTTTACTCGTATTAAGAAAATATATTGGTTTTAAAACATAAAAGGTCTTTACCAGCTTCGTGCATTACTCTTCCTCTGAAGATAAAGAAAAATGAGAAATCTATTTTTATTATTTGCAATATCATTCTATATCTGAAGTGACAAATAGACAAAATTTACAATGAGCCTGGGACAGTGTGCAACTGATCAGAAGCCACTCGTTGGATTTTGGCCCTACCTACTGTAGACCTCACCTCAGAAGTATAAGTGTGTATGTATAAGTGTGCGGGCATTTCAGGGTGAGCATGTGTGTTTATCTGGAAAACACAGTGGAAGAGCAAGACTTCAAGAGGCAGAGGATCTGAGGCTGAGTCCCAAGACTTCCACTGCTGATTACATAAGGCCTGGTGATTCTCCAACCTCTCCCCATCTTCTGACTCCGGAATACATAAACCGTTCTAACTCAAAGGATCTCTCTGAGATTGTATAGCAATGTTTTGTTAATGTAACCAGCTGAGTCATTAGGAGATCATAATTTCTAAATTTCTTTTTTACTTTTAGTAGCTATACCCAATTTTTATTCCAATAAAATGTATTTTTCCATGTATGTCTCCATTTCTCCTGAATACATAGATAGTACACACTTTCTACTTTAGGGTTGATATAGAACATTCACATGCAACATTTTCTTTGATCACTGGTCAATCCTTTGAGCAAGGGCAAGCTAGTTTACATCATTCCAACTATTTAAATTAGGGCATGATGGCCCACAAAATTTATCCAAAATGAAGTGATTTTGCTCTGCATACCAAAGAACAAGTCATGTGTCTCCTGGTCCAGTGTTTGTTTGTTTTCTCTCAAAAGTCATGCTGTACCTGAGTAGGTCACCCCTTTTCAGGGCCCCTGCCCGCTGTCCTGTCCCAGACACAGAGATCTCCGGTGCAGCCAAACAATGCACTGAAGCAGAGCCACACTGGCTCTCACATCCTCAGGCAAATAGTTTCTGGCCTGATCACCAAGCTTCTACCACACAGCTCCTGCTTCCCATTCTCCTCCTCCCCCTCACACGCACTTTCACTTTCTACTCTGTGGCCTCTGGAGTGGATTCTATGATACACTGCCCAGACACTCCTGTTAGGTGTGCATACCTCCCAATGCTAGGAGCTTTGACTTCTGACCTGAGGTCCTCCCTAGGAACTGAAGTTGGCCAACGGAGTTGCCTCCCCCAAGGATATGCCCCCTCTGGAGGACAGCTCACCTTGAAGGACAGGCGGATGCAGGGCTGCAAAGTCTCCATTCAAGACTTGTCTCTGTGGAATCATTCTCTGTTGAGAGCTCTGGTGGAATGGGCTGAGGCCTCGGAAGCAATTGCATTGCTGTTTAATTGCTGCAGGTGCTCATCCCATCTAAACCCTCCCCAGCAGGCATTGCTCCCAAGATTTGTCCTCAACAAACCTCCTGCATGCAAATCTCCATCTCAGAGTCAGTTTCAGCGACTTAGGACAGTTGAGGAACAGGCCCAACTCAATTCTCCTGGGTTTGATGAAGCAACCCACTCTGTTGCTATATAATGGCTTGTATTCTGTCTCATTCCTTGTGAATAAAATCAAGTCCCCAAACAATACCTAACTCCTTTATTGGAACACACTTGATTGAAAAGAAATGTCGCTCAGATGCAAGGAGGATTCAATGAGTTTCCCACAGGGTGCGCTCTTTCAAGAAAAATTATGGATTTGCTCCAGATCATTCAAGTAATATCCTCTGTCCTGCTTCAGGAATAGACATTTAAAGACTTATTGAAGATAAGGAAAGCCAGTCCTTGTAATCCGGAGGAAGATGGCACACTCAGAAGCGCTGTTCTGTTTTGGACCTGTTCCTTCTGCATGGCAGTGACGATTATAGATTCCAAATTATATTTCTTCAAAGAATGTGGCTGCAATTCATCTTTACTCCTATGATTTTCATTTGCACTGATAGTGAAGATCGCTGCTGCCCCAGCGAGGGGAGACAGGTTCGGCTGCCCAACAGAATGCCCGCAAGCAAACGTCTCAGTCTTGCCCTCCATCTTCCTTTTGTAGGGGTACTGCCTTCATAATGAAAGTCTGCTCTCGGTGGGACTTTTTCAAAGGACAATTGTCAATTCATACTGCTTATTTTAGGTCTGAGATGAAGGCAATAAATCAGGGCTCTTGCATGCTTTTGCTATGAGCTCCCATGGCAGGCTCAGCCTGGCCAACATGACTGTACCTGGATTTGTTCTTTGTGCAGATTTCTGCCTAGTTTAAACTGGGATCCCAGGAACAGAAACATCCTGCCTTAACTCATTCAGTCAACAAGAACAATGCAACATTTCCCAGAACAGGAAGAAGTCTCAGGGCAGAGCAATTCTAATTTAAGGTACATCAACCATTCCACACGTAATCAAGGACAATATTCTACTATTCATTTTGTTCTGCTGTTTGCCACACCCCCTCCCCCACCCCCCGTGCAGAGTCTGGATATTTCCCCTCAGGCCAGCACCTTTCTTGACCTTAGGCATAAATACAGACCTGAAGCTACCCAACGGAAGAAGGGATTCTTTCTTGGGTTTATAACATTTTAAGACTGGAAAACATTTGTCATTATGCAGACGTTTCGTGACCAGAAATGTGTCACACACCTATTCCTAAATCAGTCCTTGGGAGGCACAAAGTAATTATCATCTTCGGCCTGGTGAAGTCTGTGAACATGTGGAGGGCAAAGTGCATGCAAAAATAAGCAGGTAGTGTTAGGAAGCTATGAAATAGACAACAAAAATGAAACAAATGGAGAATAGAAAACGATTTTAAAAATTAAAAAATTTAAGAGTTTGTGTTATGAAATGATAAAACTGCCAAATCTTTAAAGAAGAAACGAGACAGAAAAGTCAAATAAATTAAATGAAAAATGAAAAAAGAGACATTACAATTGGTGCCACAAAAACAAAAAAGATAAGAAGAGATTACAGGGAGCAACTATATACAACAAACTGGATAACCTAGAAGAAATGGATAAATTTCTGGAAAAATAAAACCTACCAGAACTGAATCACAAAGACATAGAAAGTCTGGAGAAACCAATAATAAGTTAATTTTGCCAGTAATTTAAAATCCCTTAGCGAAAAAAGCCCAGGACCAGATGGCTTCACTGGTGAACTCTACCAATCATTTAAGGAGGAATTTATGCAAACCATTCTCAACTCCACCATAAAATTGAAGAGGCAGGAATACTTATAAATTCAAGTTATGAGACCAGCCATACTTTAATACAAAAGCCAGAAAAGGACACCCCAAGATAAGAAAATGACAAGTCAATATCCCTGAATAATATGGACTTTTAAAATCCTCAACAAAATGCTAGCAAACCAAATTTAACAGCATATTAAAAGGATCATACACTATGGCCAAATGACACTTAGCCCTGGAATGCAAACATGGCTTAAAATACAAAAATCAACTAATGTGATAAATACAGCATATTAACAGAACAGATGATAAAAATCACTTGATGATCTCAATAGATGCAGAAAAAGCATTTGACAAAACTCAATACCCTTCTGTGATAAAAGCTCTCAACAAATTAAGTGCAGAAGGAAATTACCTCAACACAATAAAGACTATATATATGAAAAGGTAACATATGCAACCATGAAACACTAAAACACATTTTCTCTAAGATCAGAAAGGAGGCAAAAGGTGCCCACTGTTGCCACTTTTACTCAAATAGTAATGGAGGTCCTAACCAGAGAAATTAGGTAAGAAAAATAAAGAAAAGGGAAGGGAAAAGTTAAATCATCCCTGTTTTCAGATGGCATAATCTTATATACAGAATACCCTAAAATCTACACCAAAAAACTGGTAGAACAAAGGAATTTAGTGAGTTGTAGGATATAAAAACAGTATAAAAATAGTTGCATTTGTACACACTTAAGAGCAAACTTTTTTAGAAAAACAATACCCTTTGCAATAGCTACAAGAATAATAAAATACATAGGAATAAGCTCAGCTAAGGAGATGGAAGACTTGTACACTGAAAACCACAAAACATAAATGAAAGAAAGTAAAGAAGACACAAAGGAAAAGACAATCCATGTTCATAGGTAGAAAGATTTAATAGTGCTCAAATATGCATTTCTAGCTCAAATATTCACACTAATCATCAGACATGTATCAATAATTGCCTGGTTGATAAATCCAGCTCAATTTTACATGTACATACTACACTAAGTTTACATTTTATCTCAAACAAATACCTGCTTGTTTCCTTTGTAATGATACCAACTTCTAGCCTGTTATCTAAATTTTACACCTGGGTATGATCCATATTCTGTTTCCCTACTTTTCACCCAGTTTTATTCTTGTTTGCTGACCACTGGCTTTACTCCCAGTGCCACTGTCTTTGTTCTCGCTACTATGTCATTTTTAAACATTTTATTTTATTATGGTGAGAGGACTTAACATGAGCTTTACCCTCTGAACAAGCTTTGAAGTGTACAATAGAAAATTGTTAATTACAGAGGTGATGTTGTACAGCAGATATCCAGAACATATTTGTCATGCATAAATGAAACTTTATGCCTGTTAATTGGCAACTCCCCATCTTCTCCTCCCACAACCCACCTGGCAACCAGGAATCTATTCTGATTTTGTAAGTTTGACTATTTTTGATACCTCATATAATTGAAATCATCATCAATATTTGTGTTTCTGTAACCAGCTTATTTTATTTAGCACAGTGATCTTAAGGGTGATCATATATGTATGAATTCATTCTTGGGATCTGTATTATGTTGCATTGGTGTACACATCTGTCTTTTTGCCATTAGCATACTGTTTTAATTACTGTAGTTTTGTCCTATATTTTGAAATCAGGTGTGATGCCTCTAGCTTGTTGTTTTTTCTCTAGATTTTTATGGTTACTCAGGGATAGGGGTGTGTGTGTGTGTGTGTGTGTGTGTGGTGTGTGTTTCCACAAGAATTTTACTATTGCTTTTTCTATTTCTTTAAAAAATGTCATTGGGATTTTGACAGGGCTGCATTGAATCTGTAGACTGCTTGGGGTAGCATGGACATTTCAACACTATTAAATCTTTCTATCCATGGACATAGGTTGCCATTCCCATTGTTTCTTCTTTGCTTTTTTTCATTAATGTTTTGCAGTTTTCAGTGTACACATCGCCCATCTCCTTAGTTGAGCTTATTCTCAAGTATTTTATTCTTTTTGTAGCTATTGCATAGGTTACTGTTTTTCTAATTTTCTTTTCAGATAGTTCACTCTTAGTGTATAGAAATGCAACTAATTTTTATGTTGTTTTTATATCCTGCAACTCACTAAATTCCTTTGTTGGTTCTAACTAATGAGGAATCTGTGGCAGAAACACATACAGGAAAATAGAGAAGAAAGATGAAAACCATGCATATATTATGTTGTAACTGAACATGTATTCTTCTCAGTATAGACAAGTGGTTCTTTGTCACCTCATTGGCAGTTTGTCTGAGATTCAAAGTCAGTAATGTCTTCTGCTATAGTTTGCCTATTTCTTCCTCTAAACCTCATGTTGACGTTTGATCCCCACTGTTGGAGGTGGGTCCTGATAGGAGGTGTGTGGGTCACGGGGCAAATCCCTCTGAATAGCTTGGTGCTTTCTTCACAGTAATAAATGAGCTCTCACTCTTCCAGCTTCTGTGGGAGCTGGTTGTTGAAAGGAGCCTGGTAACTCCTCTCTCACTGCTTCCTCCCTCACCATGTGGTCTCTGCGCACTCTAACGTTTAAAGTGTCAAGAGGTTATTGCCTCCTGATCCCTAGATCCCAGCTATGGTAAATTTTTGTCAATGCAATCAATTATGCAGAGTGGCTTCATGATTCTCTACCTTCTCGTTCTTAACAGGGGTGGTGAAATTCCTGGTGGACCAGTTTGTGAATCTCATTATGATTCATTTCTGCAGTCTCAGTCTAGAGACTTCTCTTTTTAGCATGTCCATTGATTTTTAAGCCTCTAATTCTCTGCATTAAATACCTTTTTGCTTAATTTATTTGCAGTAAGGAAGAAGGAAGAGGAGAAAAAGGAAGAAAAGGAATAGTAGGAGGAGAAACAATAAATATATGTCTACTGAGAGATGGCTCTAAGCTTCTGGAAAGGGGAAGGTCAGTATGGGTCAGTATGGAATATTAAAGTTGATGAAACATAAAGCATAACACTTTTAGAGAGAAATAAATATCAGGAGAATTGATTACATTAAAATATACATTTCTATACAGAAGAACAAAAGAAGATATTCAAGAAGCTGGGAAATCTTTTCTGCAAATGGCAAAGGAATTACAAAATATCCATAAGCAGAATAAGAAAAATATCTTCTAGGTAACCTTTTGATGAAAGGGAAAATCGAAAAAGCAACTATATATAATACTAGCAATATTATAGTGCAATAACTATATGTTTAATGTCTAAACTGTGTTTAGAGGAGTTTTCAAATTTAAGCAACAAAATAATAATAAAAATAAATGAGATTTACATTGAAAACAAGCTACAAGTTAAAGAATAAAAATAAAATAATCATTAATTTTATATGAATAACGAACAGGATAAATAATATATAAAATTAAATAAGCATAATTTAAAATTCAATCTAAAATTTTTCATTATGTATGACAAGTAAAAGTAGAAATGTAAGAAAAGAGCATTTACAAATCACAAGCAAAAAACTGACAACCCAATAGACAAATGACAAGTTATAAGTATTGATTCAAAATTGAAAATGAAAAATAGATAACAAACAAGGAAAATGAAATTGATGTTAATAATAATAGAATACAAGTAGAAATAATAGGATAGCATTTAATTCTCAGATGATAATATATTAAGACATCAATCGTTATTTGTAAATCAACAACAGAACCAAAATTATTGACTACAATGCAATTTTAAATGATTACACATAGTCTAGTAAGTAATCAACTAAAATGATACAAACTAGTATTTTCTGACATAAAGGTATTTTCTAAATACGTTGTTTTTGAAAATATCAGGTTAAAATGACACATATGTCTGTTTATATTTTATATGGTTTCAAGCATGTTTGTGTGCGTGTGTGTGTGTGTGTATATATATATAGGTGTGTGTGTGAGTAAACCTGTGCAAGAAAATAACTGGAAACATTATTAGTGAAATATTATTGGTAATTGTGTCTAGTTAGATTTCCAGGTGATAGTATCTATTTTTCTTCAATTACTATTTTTTTCTTTAATTTCTATTTTTTCTTCAATAATTTTTGTAATTTTGCATTACTTATGCACATTTTTAAAATAAAATATAATATTTCTGAAAATAATTATTATTATATTGAAAATTAAAGAGAGAAATGCCAACACTATACAAAAGTATATGTAGCATATTACAATTTATAAAATTAGATGAAAGGATAACACTTGAAAAATTATGCCAAAGATCTATTAAGCAAATCATTTACATATTAAAATATGACTAAAGGTTAAAATGAAAAGCTGGGCTTTGTTTGTGACTAAATAAATATAATTCCTGAAAACTACAAAGTATATTTTATTTTTCTCACCAAATTAACATAATCCAAAAATTCTGTTTTTGTATAGCTTGTGGTGAAATGGGCTTTCTTAAATGATGATAATTAATAAAACAAATTTTAAATTTATGTTGAAAAGCTGAAGTATATTTCTAAAAAGTAATTATAACTTTTGTATTTTATTATAGGTAAATTTGAGATGTAGGAAATAGAAAACATCCTGTTATTCTAACAAAATAAAAGAGAGAGAGAGAGAAAGAGGAAGAGAGAAAAATGCTTCCCACAACATGAACTTTAATGTTTCATAGGTATCCAATGTTTATTTTGTCTGAGCACTAACTCTAAATGTTACCTGAGTTAGAGGACTCAGACCACCTGATTTCAGGACATAGTAGAAGGCTTCGATAATTAACACACTGGGATATCGGTAACTGAACAAATACATAGTTCAACGGAATAGAGAGTCCAAAAATAGACTCACACCAATATGGTTAATTGATTTTTGACAAAGGAACCAAGTGAATTGGGAAGGATAGTTCTTTGAACAACTACTGCTGAAGAAACCAGGCATCCAATGTAGAAGAATAAACATCAGTCTATGTCTCACACTTCATACAAGTCACTCAAAATAAATTATTGACCTAAATACAACATGCAACAAACTTTCTAGTCACAAAATTGTGACTAGAAACAGGAAAAAAAGTCTTTGATTGCTTAGGTTGTCCTAACAGCTGTAAGCTGCTACTCCAAGCCCCAATTCATAAAGAAAAAAATGCTAAATTAGACATTTGCGAATCAAAAAAATAACTGCAAACAACCTTTTGCTCCGTGAAAGACACTACTAAGACAAATGACAAGCCAAAGACTGAGAGAAAATATGTGAAAATAACACTGCATGCAAGGATTATAGCCATAATATTTAAAGAACTTCCAAAGATTAATAAGGAGGCAATCAGAAAAATGGGGAAAATATTTGAATAGACACCTCACCAAAGAAGATATACAGATGGCAAATAAGCACAGGCAAAGATGCTTAACATCATTAGCCATTATGATACAAATAGAACCACAATCACACACCACTACACATTTCCTAAGGTGGCAAAAATAAAAAATACTGATAAAACCAAGTGCAGACAAGGGTGTGCAGCACCTGAAAATCTCATGCATTTCTAGTGGAAATGCAAAAATGCTACAGCCACTTTGGAAAATATTTAGGTAATTGTTTTTACAAAGTTAAGTACATACTTAACATATAACCCAGCAATCCCACTTCTTAATATTTCCCCAAAAAAGAAATAAAACTTACATTTATGAAAAAATCTATAATAAGTATTTATAACAGCTCTATGCATAATTGACCAAAACCAGAAACACCGCAAACATTCTTCAGTGGAAAAATGAATAAACAAACTGTGGTACAACCATACCACGGAATATCACTCAACCATAACAAGGAACAGGCAATAACTTGGATTCACCTCAAATGAATTGTGCTGAGTGAAAGATGCACACACTCAAAAGCCTACGTAACAAGTGATTCCATTATATGACAGCCTGAAAAATGGCAAAAGTATAGTGATAAAGTTGCCAGGGGTGAGGAAGGAGGTATTTGAAAAAAAAAATAGCACAAGAGAGTTTTTTTTTGGAGAGTGATGAAATTTTTCTGTGCTTTCACATTGTAGAAGTTTTATAACTCTGTATTTTTGAGGACCAAAAGGAATTAATTTGTTGTGTGTTAATTAAAATAAATTTAAATAATAATCTAATAAAATATTATACAGGAGCACTTTGGGAGGCCAAGGCAGGTGGATTGCTTGAGCCCAGGAATCTGAGACCAGACTGGGCAAGATGACAAAATCCCATCTCTACAAAAAAAAGCAGAAAAATTAGCCAGGCATGGTGGTGTGCACCTGTAGTCCCAGCTACTGGGGAGGCTGAGGTGGGAAGATCACCTGAGACCAGGGAGGCTGAGGCTGTAATCGCACCACTGCACTCCAGCCTGGGAGACAAAGTGAGACCTGGTCTTATAAAAAAAAGATTATATGGGAGCTCGATTTTTTATTATTTAAAAATCCTTGCCAGTTTTAATAGCATGAGAAGCTGTGAGGACACTACAAGTAGGTGCAGCCCACCCAGTGCACACAGGGTCAGTACCACAGGTTTTCAGATGTTCTTGGATCTTCTTAGCCTCCTTATCATCAAGGTCAGTCACCTGAGTCCTCCCCAATATTCAGGAGTAATTGTTATACAGTATTCAAATGACTTAAGCCCTTCATTTATAAGAAGACTAAAGGCAAATATTTTAAATATTGCTATGATTTCCATGTGTCCCCCACAAAAATGTGCTGCAAACTTAATACCCAGTGCAACCATGTTAGGAAGTGGGGCCCAATAAGCGGTGAGTAGGCCATGAAGGCAGAGAGAATGGATTAATACTCTCATCTTGGGAGTGGGTTCATTATAAAAGGGTAAGTTCCGCCTCTTTTGCCTCTCTCATGTCCTCTGTCTGCCCTCCTGCTATGAGAATACACAGCAAGATGGTCCTTGTGAGATGTAAGCCCCTTGATCTTGAACTTCTCAGCCTCCAGATCTATAAGCCAATACATTTATGTTTCTATAAGTTACCCAGCCTCTGCTATTCTGCTATAGTAGCACAAAACAGACTAAGACAAATATGAAAAGAAGAAGAAAAGATCTTCTAACAGGGGTGTTTTTCCTTCAAAATAAGCAAATGAGTATGATTGTTCCTAATTTCTGATGCCATTTTTTAATGTTTGGCCTTCAAATGTTCTGTAATGTATAGCAGTTACTCTTACAGTTGAAAAAAATTACAGATTTTCATAAAGTAACTCTTCCTTATAAAATGTGAACTATGACAGTCACTGCTCTATATCAAGCACTATAAGAAATAAGGCACATGAAAATGTGCTTCCTAATCTTTTGGGCATATCTTCCCCTAATGATTAACACTAGATCTCACATCTATTTATGCTATAAAGTATTTTGTAATTCACAATCTAAGTTTTTGTACCTGCGAAATTCAATGTAAATTATTTTACTTTTGAAAAAGATATAATAATATACCTCTGACAGTATTGCTGTTGCATTTCTCCTATGTAGGAATGCTGGCTTGCTTTTGATCTTTAAGAAGTTCTAGCATTTCTTTCTATGTCTGCATGGTGAAAATTCTTCAAAATTAAAATGTATAAAGCTGCATTTAGCATACATTTAGTAAGAATGAAAAGTAACTTGACAACCTGATCTCAATGGGAAAAGCACAATATGAATTTTTTTGCTATAAGATGTTACACTCCCAAACTAATAGTAACCTGTTCTGCCTCCACGGACCAAGAACTGTGTGGTGTTTTCCTCAGACACAGTGAGTGTTCTCTTTATCCATTTTTGTGTGATCAATTACTGCTTTCCTTTTTACCTTGTTGCTATCCAGTGCCCCTGAGGGAACATAAATTTAATAGTAATTTATGATCTTTAATAGTAGGAACAAGCATTCTCTATTAATAAATGTGTAAAACTGAGTTTCATAAGTCATGTGGATTTTTATAATAAACCCAGGCTCTATTACAGGAAATGACCATTTATTGAAGAGAAGAAAAATAAAATATTCTAGTGGTTTAAATATTCTAGTTAACATTGAGGTGCCTCATATAAAATAATTAGTGATTTCCAGTCATATACGGTCAACATAATTTAACCACTTTGCTGATAAAGAAGACACTTGGAGCTATGTTTCAATAAAGAGGGCAAAATCACCCTCCTTTATTTTACTTTCCTCTTCTCAGCCAAAAGGCTATTATTCCTGCAAGTAATCATGTGCTTTTAAAGAGTGAAACCAATAGGGAATTGAAGGCAAAAGAATTGTGTGAAATAATCTAAGATCACATCTTCAAATATTCTGGTCCATATAAATTTTTAAAAATTAAAATGATACCATTGAAATACTATGTCATTTTTTGAGATTGATATCAAATAGGAAAAAGAGGTAGGAAATATTTTAAAAGCTGGCAACGGTGTTTCAGTTATCAGAAGTGAAAGGCAATGGGTTTCCAATTATGAGTAGTTCTACTGTAAAAACTACAAGCCCATTAACTTGGCATTGAGAATGGCCAAATAATCTATACATTATTAAAGGGGTGTTATATCTCTCCTAAAATGGATTCTGGTTCACTAAGAAAAACTTAGGTAGCACTAAACTTGTTTTTTTATCTGATAATGTTGCTGGTCTGCTAAAAAAATTGATGTGTATAACAGTATGTTTAGAATACAGTATAAAATGATATCTTGATGGGAAAGATGAATAAATATGGGCTTGCCACTGGTTGATTTAGGGGAGTTAGTAACTAATTGAAATGCTTAAACTTAAAGTTACTGATCAGTTTTGTAATAGAAGAGAACTTCGTCTTCAACCCTGCCTTCTTAAGCATTAAAAAAAATGAACTGGATTAAGATGTACAATTTATGCTTAAAAACTATGTTCGCCATTTGAAGATATACAGAAGATTCCACATTTGTCATGATGGAATGAGAAATTCATAAAATTTCAAAGAGCAAGAACATTAGAGTAAATCTATCAAGAAAATACAAATTGTACAATAGATGAACATAAAAATAAGCATACAAGAACAAAATGAGGAAGTGCTATGGTTTATGTATGTGATCCCCTAAAATTCATAAAACTTAATTACAATGTGATAATATTAAGAGGTGGGGTCTTTAGGAGGTGATTAAGTCATGAGGGTGGAGCCCTCATGAATGTGATTAATGGTCTTATAAAAGAGGTTCCAGGGTACTCTTCTTTCCTTTTGTCCTTCTGCATTCCACCATATGAGGAAGTAGAACAAGCTACTATCCTGGATGCAGAGATCCCTCACCAGGCATCAAATCTGCCTGCCCCTTGATCTTGGATTTCCAAGCCTCCAGAGCTTTGAGAAATATTTTTCTGATGTTAACATATTTTCTAGTCTACAATGTTTTGCTATAGCCAGGAACAGGTTAAGACAAGAGGTCACATAACAATAAAACTTGCAGAAAGAAATTATAAAAGAGGTAATTGGCAGTAAGAAAAATATGAATCAGCAGAATAATAGGACTAAATAGCTACTGCCATTGGCAAAAGTGTAAACAAATAATTCAAATTTAGAATTACATAGGTAATTGCAATTCTCCAGCCCAGAGTTTACTTTTCTGTTTTCAACAGTATTATATAAAGAGAATATTAACCTGGAATATATTTAGAAACAAACATCCTGGATAATGAAGGATGGGGGTATATTTGGCCTGGGAAAAAGAAGAATGTGGGCAGAAGAAGCAGAGTATTTGCAGGACCACTTATGGAAAAGGCTGTGTTTGACTGCAGCCTCTACTGATAAGTAGACCTCAATAATTAAACAAACCAATATCTAATCTGATGTTGAAGGAACTCCAAACAATGACTCCCTTGTAATTTTAATTATACCAAGTATTTGGAAGAGTTCTGGGATAAAGCAGGGAGGAACTTAAAGGTGATTAGTATGAATGGGGATTGCAACAATCACCTCTCACCTTTAGGGGCTTTAAAACCCTGAGTGCCATTTTTACAGATTGAGTTTTAGAGTCAGGAATTCCTGGTTCCCCCCAAAAACAACTTTCTCCTGACATATCTACACAAATTACAAATACATTTTACACAGAGTGAACTCCTAGAAAGTTGTATATGCCTCTGCACATGAGGTATAATAATCAAAGTGTTACTGTATGTCTTTAAAATTTAAAACTTAGTTCCAGGATTAATTGTGAAATTCAAGTGATACTGTAATTTTAAGGAATATCTATATACATATATACATAAAGAATATAAGTTTATATTTGATAAACTAATCATTTAAAAAATCCAAAAATAATTCAGAGTGGTTGTCTCTTTTCTTATTGTTTCCAATTTTAAAAAGTTCTTACTATTTAAAGATTTGGCACAATAAGATGTGGTAGAAGGATTTAGATTTTCCTGGAATTTGTGGCACACTTTCTATTTTCTAACCAAGCTCACATGGTTGAAATATATCCAAAGTTAGTGCCATTTTGCTCAAAGCAAATGCAATTTCAAACTGAAACAGTCTTGCTTTGGTTTAAAATAAGAAAAACAACATTGAGTGTTGCTTCACAACACATACCCTCCTTCTCTCTGCCTCCCTCCATATCTCTACTACAGTATATGACATGAGTGTGGCTTTGGGTGGCTTTATTAAGTATATGAAACTTTGCATGTATTATGTTGAAATTAACTTTTTTTTTTCCCTTAGCTAATGTAGTGGGTTGGATGGTGACTTCCAGCAGACATGTGTACACAGAATTTGTGATCATCACCTTATTTGGAAAAAGGGTCTTTGCAGATATAATTAAGGATACCAAGTAAGGTCATTCTTCACTATCTGAATAGACCCTAAATTCAGCTACAAATATCTTTATAGGACAAGGAAAGGACACAGACACAGAGGAGAATGTGTGAAAATGGGGGCAGAGGTTGGAGTAATGCTGCCACAAACCAAGGAATTCCTGGAGTCCCCAGACACTGGAAGAGGAAGGAAGGATTCTCTAGCAAGCCTTCAGAGAGTATGGACCTGCTTCCACCTTCGTTCCAAACTTCTGGTCTTCAGAATTGTGACAGAATGAATATGTGCTGTGTCAAGTCACCAAGTTCACCAAATACTACTTTGTCACAGTGGCCCTAGAAAACCAATAGAGCCATTATTTGTATTTGACCAGAACCTTACTTTTAAAATACAAAGATTCACCCATGGCTCAAAGAAAAATAAATATAATAGAAAAAGGAGCAAAAACCTAGGATTCCTGACACAGTAATTAACATACTTTAAAATAAAGAATTGATGAGGGCCTAAGGAAAAGTTCTTTGTTCTCTTTGTGGAGACTGGTAGCTGGGAGCTGGTTGGTAGCTTTGTTACACTTTTGGCCTGAAGGGTTGTTGTTGATAGCAGTTTTTGGTTTTTGGTTTGTTTTTATAGTAGACTATTTTAACTGCTTATTTATAAACCAAATTATGAACTATAAGATCAAAATATATTTTAAATAGTTAAAAAGTAATCTCAACTTCTGATCCTGACAGCAAATACGCGGCCTAACTGGCAGTTTGCTTAGTGTGGAAGGCATGTGTCCACTGTTTTAAGCTCATTTTTTAGGTAAAGCAAGTGAAATTTAGAGTAGCTAAAGTAAACTACTTCAGGTATGTTTTTATTTTTTAAAAAATCACTATGCAGCCTAAATGTTCCAATCCCATAGACAGTAACCTATCACATAACAGCCATATCCCTTTAGATATCAAAATGATGAAATATGAAGAAACTATGATATGAAAATAAAATTGGCAATAACAGTGGGAGAGGAATAGGAATTGATCTAGGGACATAAACAAATTTTGTCAGGCATGCTGACTGTCCAAATGTGATTGAAGGCCATTACTTTATAAAAAATACCAAACTTCAAGTAGATGGTTAGATAGGATTCATTTGTAATTGAAAGAAAAACACACAGCCAATTTGAAGTTAAATTATTACTAATGCCTATAGAGACTCTCAACAATAAAAACATGGAAATTGTTATGGTTAGTTTTATTTGTCAACTTGAATGGGTCAGTGGATGCCCAGATATTTGATTACACATTATTTTTGGGTGAGTCTGTGAAAGTGTTTCTAGAAGAGACTAGCACATGAATCCATAAACTGAAGAAACCAGATTGCCCTCCCCAGTGTGGGTGAGCTTCACCCAATTTGTTGAGAGCTCGAATAGAACAAAAAGCAGGAGGAAGGGACAATTCTCTCTCTTGCTGCATGACTATTTAAGCTGGGGTATCAGACTTCTCCTGTCCTTGAACTGGAACTTACACCATTGGTGCTCCTGGTTCTCAGACCTGTAGACTCAGACAGGAGCCACTCCACTTCTCTCTCCAACTTGCAGATGGCAGATGGTGGTACTTCTCAGCCTCCATAATTGCATAAGCCAATTTCTTATAATAAATCCATTTAAATCTATCTGTCTATCTATCTATCTAGCTAATCTATTAATATCTACCTATCTATACTGTTAGTTGTGTTTATCTGAAGAACCCTGACTAACAGAGGAATTTTACAGCTCAAGACATAACTAGATCAAGGCTGTAAAATCAAAGATCGTTTTTTACATACTTAAAGAGTTTCTTGTTAAAAAAAGAAAACATAAACACGAGCTTAGACAATAATTTAGAAAAAAGCATAAGTAATGTATGAATATTGTTATGTATTTTTGTTTTAAAAATAGATTTTAGAATCAGTTTTTCAAGTTTCATTGTGAATAAACCTGATATTTTGATCAGCATGACATTGTATTTATTCACCAATATTTCTTTCCTTGATTCTTTAGACTAGTTTAAAATAATGAATAGGTACGAAATTTTATCAAGCAGTTTTTAAACATTCATCAATATGTTCATTTTAATCTTTTCTCCATTACTCTAATAGTTTCATAAACTGATAAAGAACCCTTACCTTGGCAATAGTGTATTAATTTATTTAATATAATGCTGAAACAGGATAGCTACTTTTTAAAAAAAAAAAATGCCCCTATGGTAACATGTAAAATGAATCTCTACCACTATTTGTTCTACACTTGTATAAATTTAGTATCAGAGCTTTTCTAGATTTATAAAGTGACTTTTTCTGTATTCAATAATCATTACTGTTCTTATAAACTCAGTTACATGTATGATATAAAGAGTTTAAAAGTAATGCCACTGGACACGGTGGCTCAAACCTGTAATCCCACATTTTGGGAGGCTGAGACGGGTGGATCACCTGAGGCCAGGAGTTCAAGACCCGCCTGGCCAACATGGTGAAACCCTGTCCCTACTAAAAATACAAAAATCAGCTGGATGTGGTGGCTACTTGGGAGGCTGAGACAGGAGAATCACTTGAACCCAGGAGGTGGAGGTTGCAGTGATCCAAGATGGTGCCACTGCACTCCAGCCTGGGCAACAGAGTGAGACTCCATCCCAAACCAAAAAAAAAAAAGAAAAAAAAAAAGTAATGCCACTTAGACCTAGAGATTCTGGAGCTTCTATGATGGTAATTTGGGGACAGTGTAATTTTCTTTGTGTGTGTGTATGTAGGGGAGTTACAGTAAAACCTGAAAAATTTGCTCAGAAAATACTAAAAAAGTTGTAACACTTCTTTTTGTAAATTTAAAAACTTGTTCTCAGACAATTTTGATCATTTAAAAAATTTAGGACAATTTACTTTCATTGATAGTTTCAAAATGATTGACATGTACAAGTATTATCATATACAATGCTTATTAAAAATACAAAAGGAAACAACCCTGTTATCTACATCATCATTCTTTTTCCAAAATAAACATTTTTATTTTATATCTGTATTTTAATGAGCTAATTCTCTAGAAAGTAGTTTATATTTTAAATTCTTTAATTTTTAGAAAAATGTTAATGATAGTTACTTTACTAAAATTTAACATTTGAATTATACTCATTTATTTCTAATTTTTTTCAATAATAAAATTATTTGGGGTTTTTTTCGCATGTGACTACACTCTTGTTTCTGTTTCATAAGTACTAATGAATATCTATTGCTATTATATTTTATATATTCTATAGTTGGAATTTAAATCTTCTCAAAGTTATTTAGAAGTATTTTCGTTAATTTCCAATTTATTGAAATCATTTCAGTCAAACTGTTTTAATATGTTATTATTCCAGTGACAAATATGGACTTTGCATTTCTGATCAGCATTCAGGTTATGATGGGTGGCTGATAAACTTGATCCATGTCTTATTTAACTTTGCACAATGCTTGACATATATTTAGTAATAGATAAATTTTGGTACCATTAGCAGTTCTTATCTATACTATTATTACTTTCATTATCCTCACACAATATTATCTGCCTTTTGTAATCTCCCAAAGTTATTGACATTTGATGTGTGGCCTAACATATGAAAACGTTAAAAAATATTTCAAGGGCACTTGTGGAAAGGTATATCATATTTTTATGGTACAAACTGACTTAAAAATTATTCATACTGAAGTTATTTGTATAAAAGTCTTTAGTTTTCTGTTTTTTTAAAATTTATTATGAAAGCTTGAGTGATACAAGAAATTCTCTCATCATAATTATTTTTCTTTGAAATTATCCAATGATCTGATTTTCACATGCCTGTGATTCTTCTAGTCTAATAATTGTGCCACTCTTGTTTATATCATTCTCTGTTTCATGGCTCAAAACTCCCATGATAATATTACATAATATGAAAAAGACATCTAACATATTATGAAATACAGTTTTACAGACTAACTTGTATCTTATTTCATATAATTTTCTCCTGCCACAAAAAACTGTAACGAATGCTGTGAAACATTGTTCTAACAAATATGATGGTTTTAAAAAGAAGTCCTTCCTGTGAGTGAGGAATTGTTTCTGAACATTTTAAAACCACTTGCCTTAAAGAAACATGATTGACGTATCCATTTTATTAATGATACTATGGGAATAATGCAAAGGAGTATCCAATTTTGCTATGAAATACATGCTATGAAACAGGAAATCCACTCTGAGGGAATTAATTGAAAATGTAGAGCTTGGAATAAATATGCACTACCATCATAGTAATGCCTGTAGTGCTAAATGTTTCAAATAATACTTCCTCAATTAAACATCTATTTTTTTAAGTGCATTGAAAAGTCTTTTTTAAATAACAGCAAGATCCAAATTTGCTATTAAATCATGGAAGGTGTGTCCCATTTGACAGTCTCTGCTGTGGAGTAGAATAAATTCTGTGTCTAATGAACAATACTGATTTAAAGATAATCTTTGTATAATGTGCTATCATTAACATCAGCAGTTTAAGACATGAACTGAACAATCTTAAAGCTTTTTTATCATTAGAAAAGAAGATTCAATATTTCTGCAATAAAATTTGTTAGTCTGACTTAAGAAAAAGATAAAATGAAGTAAACTTCCTTGGATTTAGTAAGGGAACATTGTGGGTGATGTCCTATAAAATTACATAAGAGATGATTGGTGAACAAATTGGACAGTGACTACTGTTAAGTATCCTTCCAAGGTTCTTTCTAATTACTTGGTAAGGCAAATTTGGAAACAAACCACAGAATAACATTGCAATTATAGCCAGATGCACAATGTTGAGATTTTACAAATTAATTTTTATATATGAAGAATGTGGCAAAGTTCCCGATACAAGGTGGCTCGGTTCAGAGATCACACAATAAACTTAGCTGTCCTAATATATAGTCTAATTTTTAAATGTAAACATCCAAACCATTATCAGCAGGCAAAAATTAAACCATTTCTACCCAAGGCCGTTAAATGTACACTTGTTTGAGCTGACTCTTTATCATATAACATGGGCCTGTCCGTTCTCAACTGTGTGCTTCTGTATTTTACTTATGAAATTTCTGAGGGAAGAAGAATGTACCTCTCATTATTGAAAGGATAGAAAAAGGTGGACTCCACTGAGATTTCCTGCCAAGATTTCTGCATTCAGATTTGATGGAGCAGGCACGCCAAACCTCCCTCAGAAAACTGTGCCCATTTGAGGACACACTGCCATGGGATCTTGAAGCAGCATCAAGGTTGCACCTGGGACTCTGATTTGCTTCATTGCATAGAGAACCAACACAGAATAAAAAGCCTCTCTCAAATTTTGAATCATTTACCCCTTGCACTACACTTTGCACATTTAATAATAACCTTTCAAGCCAGAATGGGAAAAGGCAATAGAATACAAATGCAAAGTGTTCGACTGGTAGGGCTGAGCATTCCTCCTCTTTGGGGCCTCTGAATACTCCACAGCCTAGGAACTTCCTTGGGAGAGTTCCACCATCACATAAGCAAAAGGCAAGAACATTGTCATACCTGCCCAGCTCACTCACCTCTTAGAGAGCCGCAGGACTATTGTATAAAAACAACCTAAAAAACAAATGCTGGAAGAGTTCAGTGAAGGAGCCTCAGAATCTCATCTTCTACTGGGCTTCACTCTCAGAAATAATAAAATATCTGAAGTGTAAGAAGTCTGAATGAAGCATAAAGATTCCTCTAAAACCGTTAAAATACTTTCAAAAAATTTTGCTGAAAGCAAGATATGATCCCGTTTGTACGGAATGGCATAGCTGTATGAAGAGATAGTTATCATATATCCACATTGGTTTTATCAAGTATACATTATGACAAAGTCTGAGGAATGGGTAAAAAGTGTGAATGCATTTTAGATATTAAATTCCTTTCTTTTGTGTGATGCACGCTACTAAGTTATGGGGATAAGGCTTGTGACAACAAGGATATTTTGTATAATTAGAATAATGTTTTGTAATCATGAAAATGTTGTAGCAAGCACTTTATTTTAAAGAAAAATTAGTCTAGAGAGGGGCGCCGCATCATTGAAATTGCAGTGTGTTGAGGTCAATTGCTGCTTCATTTGCCTAGGCATCCAATCAATCAAAGAAGACACTGGTCATGATGATGTGATATAAGAATTTAAGCCATGAGTGCATTTCTTTCTTGGGGCTGCCTTCTATTCCCTAGGAAACAATCAGTAACTATCAATCAACGGAGATTGAAGAGCAGCAATGAAGAAAGATATGTGTCTCAGAGACTCCACAAACAGGGCTAAACTGAAGAACTCATGGAACTAAAGTTTAAGTCTAAAAGATAATGGAAGCAGCATCTCAGAAATATTTAATACTAAATATCACACACACACACACATGCCTGTGGGCCTGCACATTCACTAAGGCTGCCCTTTTTAAGTTTATGGTTCATTCTGTCACCTTTTCTGAGGGGATAAGAAAGGAAACTTGTTTTTTCTTTAAAATTTAGCATGTAAATTATATATTAATGTGAAATTTCTGCACTTTGACATGGCAAACTTTACTAGGCACAGGAAAATCATATCAGAGTTTTTGTTGCTTTGTTTCTTGGTTGATTTATTTGTTTTCAGCCAAATTGAATTCAAGGCAATAGCATCAGAGAGAACACAGAGCTGTTTCTATTGTAAAACACAGCCTACTCTGAGATTTCATAGGAGAAAGTGTAATATAAAATACTTGAAATAAAATATTCAGAAATTTGAAGTTTGTCTCAATAAGTCCATAAAAGCCATGGAGGTGTCCTTGGAAAATATATATAAATATAAACAGTTCACATAAACACATTCAAATGCAATTTCATATGTGGCTTTTAGGAAGGTAGACAAAAATATTTATAAAAATGAGTTGAAAAGCTCTGTTGAAAACCTAACAATGAATATGTGAAAAGTATACGATTAAAACTAGTAAATTTAATTTAAAAAATATTTTTAAAAGAACTGTAAATTGTGTTTGATGAGCGTTTATATCTTTGTCTGAATATGGCAATGCAAAAATTTTACAAACTAAATTTTCCCAATAAAATATTTAAGAAAACATATTAGAAAATGAGAGTCTTAATCAGAAGAAAAAAATGTGAAAATACTAAAATTTAAGTTAAAAAGTAAATTGAAGTGATTAAAATATGATAGAACAGGAAAATTAACTTCTACTAGTTTTACAGGGTTTATTATGTGCCAGTAGCTATTTAACTATGTAACACATTAATGCATCAATTCTTCACAAAAACCTTCAAAGCAGATAAAGAAATTAAGTCACAGAAAAGCCTCACACTAGAAAGGGACTTTTCTGATATTCAAACACAGATACCCTACTCCAGAAGCCATTCTATATCTATTACATTTGTAGGCGATCAAAATATGCCATCCTGAAATATGCTGTTTTGCTGAAAGCAATTGAGATTCAACAAAGGCAAAAATAAACTTTCCCAGAGCTTCTCTTCTCTGCCTAAAAGAAGACACTTCAGAGAAGTGAGGACTTCGATCTACGCCCTCTGAGGGCAAGTTTCACAGGCAGGAAGAAGATGGAAATTCGGCACCACGATGGACCTATCCCCAAAAATCTTACTCTATTTGTTTTCCCCATATATTTACCTTTTCCAAGTTTGCTTCCCCTAAAAAGCTAAACTCCTTTTCCTTTGTCTTGTCACTTCTCTACAAACATATTGTTATTTGCTAAGTTGTTACGTAAGTCCCAGTTTCTAACCACCCCTCTGAACTACCATTAGCTGAGGTTTCTCCTGTGTGCTATGTATTGCATCACGTTAAGAAACCTTATTTTTCTCTTGTTAGCCTGCCTTATGTCTGTTCTCAGCTGGAGAACCTAGAAGGATAAAGGGTAGAGGTATTTCTGCTTTGTGTTTTCCATCCCTGCATATTATAATCCCTCTGTATAGAACTGGAATAATTAAAAGGGGAAACTGTATAAGAAGCTCCAGGTTGATGAGCAGAAAATATATTTTTGAAACAGAACCACTTATATAAAAATCACACTTCAAATGTAAAAGGAAGCATTACAAATACATTAGTATTATTGGAGCATGGTGAAGATGTGATCATCAGCAAGAGTAATTTTCTTAAATAAAAGTCTGATGCTATGACTCCTTTGCTCAAATCTTGTAAAGATTTTTCATCCCACTCAGTGTTTAAAATAAACGCCTTACAAAAGTCTACAGAGATCTAAATTAACTGGCCTCTGTCAGACTGTACTTTTTTTCCAGGATCCACTTTTTGGTGATCTTTTTAGTAATAGAACCCTTGAAGATTCTGCCTGGCCCATACATTTCCTACCTAAGATTGCATTTCCCAGTGTGCCATGAGGCTAGGAGGAGTGGTGTCACTAAATTTAGCCAAACTGTATGGGAGAACATTGTGACTGACATTTGAGGTCATGGACTTTAAAACAGAAATGTCTTTGCCTCTATATCTTCTCTTTCTCCCTTCTCTGTAGGCTAAAACATTGGAATATAGACTTGGTGATCCCTGTTTTGATCAAGAAATGAGAGAAGGAGTTTAAGAAATAATGAAGCAACAAGGTAGAAGGAACATGGGTCTCAGATGAATCTGTGATTAAGAGCTGACTAGACATCTGAAACACCTGACTGTGTCTGGATTATTATGAGAAATAAAAATAAACTTCTGTTATGTTTGAGCTACTTGTCACTTGTCACAAGACAAAGGAAAAGGAGTTTAGGTTTTTAGGAGAAGCAAACGTGAAAAGGTAAATATATGGGGAAAACAAAGAGATTAAGATTTTGGGGGGCAGGTCCATCATGATGCCGACTTTCCATCTTCTTCGTGGCTGTGAAACTTGCCCTGAGAGAGCATAGATGGAAGTCCTCACTTCTCTGAAGTGTCTTCTTTTAGGCAGAGAAGGGAAGCTCTGGGAAAGCTTATTTCTGCCTTTGTCGAATTTCAATTGCCTTCAGCAAAATAGCATATTTCAGGGTGGCATATTTTGATCTTCTACAAATGTAATAGGTACAGAATGGCTTCTGTGTATTTTGTTCTTAGTTGCAGCATATATCCCAATGAGACGTGAAGCCAGCTGGGCTTCTGGGTCGGGTGAGGACTTGGAGAACTTTTCTGTCTAGCTAAAGGATTGCAAATGCACCAGTCAGCGCTCTGTATCTAGCTAAAGGTTTGTAAACACACCAATCAGCTCTCCGTAAAACAGACCAATCAGCTCTCTGTAAAATGGACCAATCAGCAGGAAGTGGGTGGGGCCAGATGAAGGAATAAAAGCAGGCCACTAGAGCCAGCCAGGTCCCCTTCCATGCTGTGGAAGCTTTGTTCTTTTGCTCTTCACAATAAATCTTGCTGCTGCTCACTCTTTGGGTTAGCACTACCTTTATGAGCTGTAACAATCACCGCAAAGGTCTGCAGCTTCACTCCTGAAGCTAGCAAGAGCACGAACCCACTGGGAGGAATGAACAACTCTGGACACGCTGCCTTTAAGAGCTGTAACACTGACTGCGAAGGTCTGCAACTTCACTCCTGAAGTCAGTGACACCATGAACCCACCAGAAGGAAGAAACTCTGGACACATCTGAACATCTGAAGGAACAAATTCCGGACACACCATCTTTAAAAACTTTAACACCCACTGTGAGGGTGCGTAGCTTCATTCTTGAAGTCAGTGAGACCAAGAACCCACTGGAAGGAACCAATTCTGGACACATTTTGGTGACCACGAAGGGACTATCACCTATTGCCAAGCAGTGAGACTACCACCTATCACCAAACAGTGAGTACCATTGGACCCCTTTCACTTGCTATTCTGTCCTATTTTTCCTTAGAATTTGGGGCCTAATACAGGGCACCTGTTGGCCAGTTAAAAGCGACTAGCGCAGCCACCTGACTAAAGACACGGGAGTCAGGCTTTCTGGGAAAGGGCTCTCTAACAACCCCTGACTTTTTGGAGTTAGGAGCGTTGGTTTGCCTAGAGCCAGCTTCCGTTTTTCCTGTACTTCTGGGCTGAGCCAAGGGTTGACAGAGAGGAAAGCCATTCAGCTCCGGGGTCCCGACAACAAGTTGGTTGACCCTGTGGCCATGAGCGGAACTCTCAAAGGCATGTCACCCAAGCGAGACTCGCCCATCTATTCTATCAACCCTGACCCTTGCCTCCTGGGTCCTAATGCCTGCCAGACAAACTTCCTCTCGCCTCTCTTCTCCAAGGCTAGTCCCGCTTCTAAAAATCCCTCCCTGTCTCTGGTGCTTTTCTAGTTTCTCCTATAGGAATGATTACTAGAATAAACTCCAGGACTCTGTTACCTTCTGTTGGCACCCGGGCTCACCAATCAGAAAGACATAATTTTTGCCCAAAGCCCTGTCACAGGGGGGACTATCTGGAATTTTAGGATCCCTCCTCAGACTAGCAGGCCTAACAAAAGCTATTCCTGAAGCTAGGATATGGGGAGCCTCAGAAATTGTATTCTTCTTATTCATATAAGTAAGGACAAAAGGTGTCACTCTTCCAACCCTGGGGATCTCTTCCTTCCCCCAGGGTATGGCCCTCCACTTCATTTTTGAGGCATAACATCTTTATAGGACAGGGGTAAGGTCCCAATACTAACAGGAGAATGCTTAGGACTCTAAGAGATTTTTGAGAATGCATCAGTAAGTGTCACTAAATCCAATTTTTCTCGGTCTTCTTTGCAGTCTAGGAGGACAGGCAAGGGTGCAGGTTTTCGAGAATGCGTCAGTAAGTGCCACTAAATCCGACCTTCTTCAGTCCTCCTTGTGGTCTCAGAGGAAAACTAGTGTTTCTGCTGCTGCATCAGTGAGTGAAACTATTCTGATCAGCAGGGTCCAGGGACCATTGCTGGTTCTTGGGCAGGGATTGTTTCTTCTGCTGCATCGGTGAGTGCAACTATTCTGATCAGCAGGTCCAGGGACCGTTGCGGGTTCTTGGGCAGGAGGAGAAACAAAACAAACCAAAACTGCAGGCAGTTTTGTCTTTCAGATGGGAAACACTCAGGCATCAACAGGCTTACCCTTGAAATGCATCCTAAGCCATCGGGACAAATTTGACCCACAAACCCTGAAAAAGAGGCAGCTCATTTCTTTTCTGCACTACAGCCTGGCCCCAATATTCTCTCTCTGACAGGGAAAAATGGCCTTTTTATAAATTGTATAATTGTATATATACAATTTATACAAAGTATAATTGTATAAATTATATAAATGTATATAAAAGTATAATTGCATAAATTACAATACTATCCTGCAGCTTGACCTTTTCTGTAAGAGGGAAGGCAAATGGAGTGAAATACCTTATGTCCAAGCTTTCTTTTCATTGAAGGAGATTACACAACTATGGAAAGCTTGCAATTTACATCCCACAGGAGGACCTCTCAGCTTACCCCCATAACCTAGCCTCCCTATAGCTCCCCTTCCTATTAATGATAATCCTCCTCTAATCTCCCTCACCCAGAAAGAAATAAGCAAAGAAATCTCCAAAGTACCACAAAAACCCCTGGGGTATCGGTTATGTCCCCTTCAAGCTGTAAGGGGAGGGGAATTTGGCCCAACCTGGGTACATGTCCCCTTCTCCCTCTCTGATTTAAAGCAGATCAAGATAGACCTGGGGAAGTTTTCAGATGATCCTGACAGGTACACAGATGTCCTACAGGGTCTAGGTCAAACCTTCAATCTCACTTGGAGAGATGTCATGCTCTCCAATGAAAAGAATGCGGCTTTAGCTGCAGCTCAAGAGTTTGGAGATATTTGGTATCTTAGTCAAGTAAATGATAGAATGACGATGAAGAAAGGGACAAATTCCCTACCAGTCAGCAAGCCATCCCCCGTATGGATCCCCACTGAGACCTTGACTCGGATCATGGGGACTGGAATCGTGAATATCTATTGACCTGTGTTCTGGAAGGACTAAGGAGAATTAGGAAAAAGCCCATGAATTATTCAGTGATGGCCACCATAACTCAGGGAAAGGAAGAAAATCCTCCTGCCTTCCTTGAGCGGCTATGGGAGGCCTTAAGAAAATAAACTCCCCTGTCACCCAAATCACTGGCGGGTCAATTGATTCTAAAAGATAAGTTTATTACCCAATCAGCCGCAGATATCAGGAGAAAGCTCCAAAAGCAAGCCCTGGGCCCTGAACAAAATCTGGAGGCATTATTAAACCTGGCAACTTTGGTGTTCTATAATAGGGCCAAGAGGAACAGGCCCAAAAGGAAAAGTGATATTAGAGAAAGGCCACAGCCTTAGTCACGGCCCTCAGACAAACAAACCTTGGTGGTTCAGAGAGGACAGAAAATGGAGTAGGCCAATCACCTGGTAGGGCTTCTTATCAGTGTGGTTTGCAAGGACACTTTAAAAAAGATTGTCCAATGAGAAACAAGCCACCCCCTCGTCCATGTCCACTATGCGGAGGCAATCATTGGATGGTGCACTGCCCCAGAGGACAAAGGTTCTCTGAGTCAGAAGCCCCCAACCAGATGATCCAAAAACAGGACTGAGGGTGCCTGGGGCAAGCGCCAGCTCATGTCATCACCCTCACTGAGCCCTGAGTACGTTTAACCATTAAGGGTCAGGAAATTGACTTCCTCCTGGACACTGGCATGGCCTTCTCAGTGCTAATCTCCTGTCGTGGATGACTGTCCTCAAGGTCCGTTACCATCCGAGGAATCCTGGGACAGCCTGTAACCAGGTATTTCTCCCACCTCCTCAGTTGTAATTGGGAGACCTTTCTCTTCTCACATGTCTTTTTTGTTATGTCTGAAAGTCCCACACCCTTATTAGGGAGGGATATGTTAGCCAAAGCTGGAGCTATTATCTACATGAATATGGGGAACAAGTTACCCATTTGTTGTCCCCTACTTGAGGAGGGAATCAACCCTGAAGTCTGGGCATTGGAAGGACAAATTGGAAGGGCAAAAAATGCCCGCCCACTCCAAATCAGGCTAAAAGACCCCACCACTTTTCCTTATCAAAGGCAATATCACTTAAGGCCTGAAGCTTATAAAGGATTACAGGATATTGTTAAACATTTAAAAGTTCAAGGTTTAGTAAGGAAATGCAGCAGTCCCGGCAACATCCTAATTCTAGGAGTACAAAAACCAAATGGTCAGTGGAGACTAGTGCAAGATCTTAGACTCATCAATGAGGCAGTAATTCCTCTCTATCCAGTTGTACCCAACCCCTATACACTGCTCTCTCAAATACCAGAGGAAGCAGAATGGTTCACTATTCTGGACCTCAAAGATGCCTTCTTCTGTATTCCCCTGCACTCTGACTCCCAGTTTCTCTTTGCCTTTGAGGATCCCACAGACCACATATGCCAACTTACATGGACGGTCTTGCCCCAAGTGTTTAGGGATAGCCCTCACCTGTTTGATCAGGCACTGGCCCAAGATCTAGGCCACTTCTCAAGTCCAGGCCCTCTGGTCCTTCCGTATGTGGATGATTTATTTTTGGCTACCAGTTCAGAAGAATCGTGCCAGCAGGCTACTCTAGATCTCTTGAAATTTCTAGCTAATCAAGGGTACAAGCTGTCTAGGTCGAGGGCCCAGCTTTGCCTACAGCAGGTCAAATATCTAGGCCTAATCTTAGCCAGAGGAACCAGGGCCCTCAGCAAGGAATGAATACAGCCTATACTGGCTTGTCCTTACCCTAAGACATTAAAACAGTTGCGAGGGTTCCTTGGAATCACTGGCTTTTGCCGACTACGGATCCCTGGATACAGCGAGATAGCCAGGCCTCTCTATACTCTAAACAAAGAGACCTAGAGGGCAAATACTCATCTAGTAGAATGGGAACCAGGGGCAGAAGCAGCCTTCAAAACCTTAAAGAAGGCCCTAGTACAAGCTCCAGCTTTAAGCCTTCCCACAGGACAAAACTTCTCTTTATACATCACAGAGAGAGCAGGGATAGCTCTTGGAGCCCTTACTCAGACTCATGGGACAACCCCACAACCAGTGGCATACTTAAGTAAGGAAATTGATGTAGTAGCAAAAGGCTGGCCTCACTGTTTATGGGTAGTTGTGGCAGTGGCCGTCTTAGTGTCAGAGGCTATGAAAATAATACAAGGAAAATATCTCACTGTCTGGACTACTCATGATGTAAATGGCATACTAGGTGCCAGAGGAAGTTTATGCCTATCAGACAACCACCTACTTAGAAACCAGGTGCTACTCCTTGAGGGACCAGTGCTTCAAATACGTATGTGCATGGCCCTCAACCCTGCCACTTTTCTCCCAGAGGATGGGGAACCAATCAAGCATGACTGCCAACAAATTATAGTCCAGACTTATGCCACTCGAGATGATCTCTTAGAAGTCCCATTAGCTAATCCTGACCTTAACCTATATACCAATGGAAGTTCATTTGTGGAGAATGGGGTATGAAGGGCACATTATGCCATAGTTAGTGATGTAACTGTACTTGAAATTAAGCCTCTTCCCCCAGGGACCAGAGCCCAGTTAGCAGAACTAGTGTCACTTACCTGAGCCTTAGAACTGGGAAAGGGAAAAAGAATAAATGTGTATACAGATAGCAAGTATGCTTATCTAATCCTACATGCCCATGCTGCAATATGGAAAGACAGGTAGTTCCTAACCTCTGGGGAAACCCCCCTTAAATACCACAAGGAAATTATGGAGTTATTGCATGCAGTGCAAAAACCCAAGGAGGTGGCAGTCTTACACTGCCAAAGCCATCAGAAAGGTGAAGGAGAAAAGGCAGAAGGAAACTGTCGGGCAAATGCTGAGGCCAAAATTGCTGCCAGGCAGAACCTCCCATTAGAAATATCTATGGAAGGATCCTTGGTATGGAACAACCCCCTCCAAGACATTAAGCCCCAGTATTCCCCGACTGAAACAGAATGGGAACTTTCACGGGGGCATAGCTTTCTCCCCTCGGGGTGGTTAATGACAGAAGAAGGAAAGATACTTATACCTGAAGCCAGCCAGTGGAAAATTCTTAAAATCCTCCACCAAACTTTTCATATAAATATTGAAAACACCCATCAAATGGCCAAATCCCTATTTACAGGGCCAAATCTCCTCTGGACCATCTGACAGGTAGTCAAAGCCTGTGAGGCATGCCAAAGGAATAATCCCTTGGTCCATCATAAGGCCCCTTTGGGGGAACAAAGAATAGGTCACTATCCTGGAGACAACTGGCAATTAGACTTCACCCATATGCCTAAGTCAAAGGGATTTCAATACTTGTTGGTCTGTGTTGATACCTTGACAAATTGGATAGAAGCTTTCCCCTGCAAGACAAAGAAGGCTCAGAAAGTGATTAAAGTCCTAATTCATGAAATAATTCCCAGATTTGGGCTTCCCCAAAACTTACAGAGTGACAATGGTCTGTCTTTTAAAGCCACGATAACTCAGGGAATTTCCAGGGTGCTAGGGATACAATATCACCCTCACTGCACCTGGAGGCCACAATCCTCAGGGAAGGTCAAGAAGGCAAATGAAACACTCAAGAGGCACTTAAGGAAACTAACACAAGAAACTCATCTCCCATGGCCTACTCTTTTGCCCATGGCCTTGTTGAGAATCCAAAATTCTCCTCACAAAATGGGACTCAGTCCATATGAAATGCTGTATGGATGACCTTTTCTCACAAATGACCTCCTACTTGATCAACTTGGAAATGGTCAACTTGGTCAAAGATATAACTTCTTTCGCAAAATATCAACAAAAACTGGAGCTACCTTGGCAAGTACTCTAGGAGTATGGGAAAATGAAAACAACAAATTCATACAACTTTTTAACATACACAACTAGTTCTGTCTGCCCAGCCAAGGTATATTCTTCTTATGTGGAACATCGACCTATATCTGCCTCCCCACTACCTGGACAGGCACCTGCATCTTAGTCTTTCTAAGTCCCAACATTAACATTGCCCCAGGAAATCAGACCTTATCAGTATCCTTCAAAGCTCAAGTCCATCAGCACAGAGCCATACAACTAATACCCCTACTTATAGGGTTAGGAATGGCTACTGCTACAGGAACCAGAATAGCCAGTTTATCTACTTCATTATCCTACTACCACACACTCTCAAAGGATTTCTCAGACAGTTTGCAAGAAATAACGAAATCTATCCTTACTCTACAATCCCAAATAAACTCTTTGGCAGCAGTTACTCTCCAAAACTGCCGAGGCCTAGACCTCCTCACTGCTAAGAAAGGAGGACTCTGCACCTTCTTAGAGGAAGAGTGTTGTTTTTACACTAACCAGTCAGGGATAGTACGATATGCTGCCTGGCATTTACAGGAAAAGGCTTCTGAAATCAGACAACGCCTTTCAAACTCTTATACCAACCTCTGGAGTTGGGCAACATGGCTTCTCCCCTTTCTAGGTCCCGTGGCAGCCATCTTGCTGTTACTTGCCTTTGGGCTCTGTATCTTTAACCTTCTTGTCAAATTTGTTTCCTCTAGAATTGAGGCCATCAAGCTACAGATGGTCTTACAAATGGAACCCCAAATGAGTTAAACTAACAACTTCTACCGAGGACACCTGGACCTACCCATTGGCCCTTTCACTGGCCTAAAGAGTTCCCCTCTGGAGGACACTACAACTGCAGGGACCCTTCTTCATCCCTATCCAGCAGGAAGTAGCTAGAGTGGTCATCAGCCAAATTCCCAACAGCAGTTGGAGTGTCCTGTTTAGAGGGAGGATTAAGAGGTGAAGCCAACTGGGCTTCTGGGTTGGGTGGAGACTTGGAGAACTTTTCTGTCTAGCTAAAGGATTGTAAATGCACCAGTCAGCACTCTGTGTCTAGCTAAAGGTTTGCAAATGCACCAATCAGCGCTCTGTGTCTAGCTAATCAGGTGGGGACTTGGAGAACTTTTCCGTCTAGCTAAAGGATTGTAAACCCACCAATCAGCACTCTGTGTCTAGCTAAAGGTTTGTAAACAGACCAATCAGCTCTCTGTAAAACAGACCAATCAGCTCTCTGTAAAACGGACCAATCAGCAGGATGCGGGTGGGGCCAGATAAGGGAATAAAAGCAGGCCACCAGAGCCAGCCGGGTCCCCTTCCATGCTGTGGAAGATTTGTTCTTTCGCTCTTCACAATAAATCTTGCTGCTGCTCACTGTTTGGGTCCACAATATTTTTATGAGCTGTAACACTCACTGTGAAGGTCTGCGGCTTCACTGCTGAAGTCAGCGAGACCACGAACCCACCAGAAGGAAGAAACTCTGGACACATCTGAACATCTGAAGGAACAAACTCTGGACACACACTGTCTTTAAGAACTTTAACACCCACCACAAGGGTCCGCAGCTTATTCTTGAAGTCAGTGAGACCAAGAATCCACTGGAAAGAACCACTTCTGGACACACGAATTTATACAGTTTCTTGGCTACCTCTGCAATCTCTTCTCCTACCACTGTCTCACTGTAGCCCATTGGCTACAGTAGCCTCTCTCTTGTTTCTCAAATGGGAACACTCCTCACTCAAGAACTTTGCACACTCTCTTGCCAATGCCTTGGACTCTCTTCACAAACATCCCCATGGTTTGCTCTCTCACTTCATCAAGTCTCTGTTCAAATATTAAATAAACATAAAGCATCTCACTGACTACTTTATGTATACACCTCTCCCCATCGCCTTAACCTCTACTGTGTTACTAAAATCCTCTTCTGTTGTGCATGATTTATATTTTCCTGATAAAATATGTGCCATAAGAAAATAAATTTCACTTATTTTGTTTTCTTCTGTATCCTTACAGTCTAAACTAGGCATTGGCAGAAAATTGAGACCCAATAAACATTTTGAAATCAGTTAACAGAATGAAAAAACAAATTCCTTTTTTTTCAGGTGCACACAAAACAGATCATACGCTAGATCACTAAGAAACATCAACAAGTAAGTTGCAGAAAGTTAAAATCTTATAGGCAATATTCTTTGATTAAAATTCAATGAACTTAGATATTAAAAACTAATTTCACCTAGGAATCAATTTTAAATTGTTGTTAAGAAACTCTTGGATGAGAGGATGATGTAGTTTGGATCTGTGCCTCCACCCAAATCTCATGTTGAATTGTAATCCCCAATGCTGGAGATGGGGCTGAATGGGAGGTGACTGAATGGTGGGAGTGGGTTTCTCGTGAATAGCTTAGCACCATATCCTTGATGCTGTTCTTGTGATAATAAGTGAGTTGTCGTGAGAGATGGCTGTTTAAAAGCATGTGGCACCTCCTCTCACACTCTGTCTTTTGCTTCTGCACTGGTCATGTGACATGTCTCCTCTCCCTTTACTTTCAGCCGCGATGATTGTAAGTTTTCTGAGGCCTCTCCAGAAGCCAAGCAGATGTCACCATGCTTCCTGTACAGCCTGCAGAACCATGAGCCAGTCAAACCTCTTTTCTTTATAAATTATCCAATCTCAAGTATTTCTTTATAGCAATGCAAGAACATGCTAATATAGAGGGTAAATATAAACAGAAATAACAGAATTTCTAACATACCGGGATGTATTTCTAACATTATAGGGATAAAAACACTATACATCAGGTTAGATGGCTTTAAAGTAGTAACCAGAGAAAAAGTCATAGCCTTAAAAATGCATGATAATAAACATACACTAATATAAATAAATGAATTTAAATTTTTAAGGAGCTAGAAAATGAACAAATATAAATAAACCAAAATAGAACACAAGAAAGAAAATAGTAAAGGTAAAAACAGAAACTAATTATGTAGATAATGACAGAGTATATTAAGATTATAAATCAAATCTTCATTAAAAACAATTACAAAATGAATAAATCGTTATTTAGTTTAATCAAGAAGAGAGGATAAAACACAAGTATAAAAATTAGTAAATGCAAAGGAGGGTATAACTATCAATATAGAAAATTTAAATTAAAAAACCTTTAAACCATTGCACCACACCTCTGTACAAATTAATTTGAAATTGTACCTGGAGATGAGCGATATCTTAAAAAATATGTCGCTTATCAAAATTGATCCCTATAGTGATAGAGAGCTTAAATACATCAATTTTTATTTAAAAAAGAGAAAATAACAAAGTAGCCTCAGTTGGTGTCAGAGTAGTAAGTATTCTACCAAAAGTGGAGCAAATAGTTTCAATGCCATATAAACTGTTTCAGGTGATAGAAAATGAATAAACTGTCAAGTTCATTTGAAAAATTAAATATAATGTTAATACCTATATCTGATAAAGTCAGCACCCTCAAAAGGAAATTTCAGCTGAATAACTGTCATAAATATTGTTGCAAAAATTGTAATTCTAAATAAAATGCAATGTGAATAGATTTCAATTGAATATTATGAGAACAGTACATCATGACCAATCATGGAATATAACAGTAACGTCCAAAAGTTTCAATATGAGAAACTCTCTTTGTGTAGTTCACCATATCATTAGACCTAAGGAGAGGTTATGCTTATCCCATAAATGCTGAAAAAGTCTTTAACAAAATTCAACAAACTTTCATAAGAAAACATTCAAGAATATAGCAATGGAGACATTTCCTTAACATATGGAGAAGTATGTGGGCATTATATATATAAAAAATAAAATAACATATATGCCATACTGTGCATGTCAGCACAACTGAGTGTGTGTCTGTACTAAAGCCAGCATCCTACTTAATGGGAAATCACCAAAGCCATTTCCATTAAGTCAGGCACAAGGTAAGTATGCTCACTATCCCCATTACCAATTTAGTCCTGTACTGAGAAAACAATTAGAGGCATAAGAATTGAAAAACAATGAAATGCATCTCCTTGGCAGATTATGTGACAATGTATCTGGGAAACCCCCAACTAATCAATAATAGAAATAACTCAAAAATATAATTATTCAGCAAGATGGGAGGGAAAAAATTAATAAGAAATTATCAATTCCTTTCCTATATCCAAGTAACAAATTAGCACTAAATTTAACAAGAAAGTTTTAGAAAAAGAAAATTTTAATAAACTTGATTTTAAAAAACTTAAAATGTATTTCTGAAAATATACAAAAGTGGATGTGAGCAAATGGAAAGTCATCTCTTGTTCTTTGATAGGTTGCCTCAATATCATCATCATATCAATTATTGATCAATTATTGGTAAATTAATTTGAAAAATGATTGTAATTTCAGTAACCAAGCCAACAAGCTTTTCTGGAGGTAGATGATTTCATTCTAAAGTTATATGGAAAAGTAATCATAGAAAAATAAGAAAATAGAAAATATTTGAAGAGGAAGTAGTGAAAATTTAAAAGTTTAACCATACACTTTGGTGGCAAGGCTTTGGGAAACCCTGTTTTGAACTCATATATTATTGCTAAGGATGTAAGTTGATAAAATCCCTAGGGAACTAAATTTAGCAACATAAACATAGTTCCACATGCATTTACCTGTGACCCACCAATTCTACTTGGAGGAATTTACCCTGAATATATACCTTCAAAAATATGAAAATGCATATGCATAAGTTTATTTGTAATTTCAAAATATTGATAACTGCCTCAAGGCTCAAACGTAGGAGACTGTGATATATGCATACAATGAAGTACTGTGACTCCATAAAGACAATGAAGATATATAGGATGCATATGGGAAGATTGGCAGGACATATGTAAATTGTAAAATAATATGTAGTATGTGACATATTATGTATTATCTAAAAAAGAAAAGGGTTAAATAAACATACACTAACCTGATTATTTTTGCAGAGAAATACATGAAGCGTAATGCATTTCTTACCTACAAAAACTAACTAATGTGTTGTAAATCATTGATTAAAATGGGAATTAATGAGTTTATAGTGAATAGGTAAGAGTATCAAAAAATAATAAATAAAGAAGCACACCAATAAATAAATGTTGGAGAAGAGAGGAGTCTTTTGTATGATAGAATTTCAACCATTTGCTGATCAAATGTATGCTGGAGTTGGAAAATTCCCATTTTGCACCCATTATACTAAAGATGAACTCATTCAAGAATCATCAGTAGATGCTAAATTGGAGGCAAGGGTGTTGTTTGATTTGACTGAAACTTAGAAATTTGGATAGTCTGAAAGTGTGTCAATACAGATTACATGCTATTTTTAATAGATAAAGTGGTAAATAAAAGCCCACAACAAGAATACAATACAAAACCTTGACCAGATCATCAAATGTAACATCACCAGAAAATGGCCAAATAATATCACCCACCTCTGGACATTCTGAAAACATACTATCACTTTTTTAGTATACCAATGGGCCCCATGACCTGCATCTAACCAAAACAAAAACCTCAGGCAAACCCAAATTGAAAGACACGATACAAAATAAATGGCCTATACTCTTTTAAAGTATCAATATTATGAAAAACAAAGAAAGGTTAAAAAAACTGTATGAGTTTAAAGTGTCCCCAAAAAGTAGAAAAACTAAATGCATTACATAATCCTGATCTGCATCCTCTATTGGATGAAAAAAAAAATAAAACATGTAAAAGATATTACTAGAACAATTTCAGGAAACTGCAATATGGACTGTAGATTAGGTGAAAGGATTATGTCATGTTAAGTTGCCTGAATTTGATAACTGTTCTGTGGTATTTGGAAAGCACACAGGGACATATTAAGGGACAAAGTGCATGATATATACAAGCTCATTAAAAGTAAAAGGAACTCTATATGTATATTTTACTATGTAATATGGTATATATATTTCCTATCTGCTTATCCATCATCTATATCTGTTTAGAGAGGATGGAAAAGCAATTTTGGCAAAATAAGAAAATTTGTTGAATCTGGGTAAAGAGTTTCTACTATTCTAGCAGCTTTTCTGCAATTTTTAAATATTCAAAATAAGATTTTTAATATGAAGCATAAACAGAAACAACAGGACAAATTTGCAAAGGCAGTTTGGCAGAAATATTATTAATATATAATGAGTTTTTACAATTCAAAGAATTTGGATACACTGATAGAAAGGGCAATAAATGACATTAATGGATATGTTACAAAAAAAATCAAATGCATATAAACTCATGTTTTTTCTCTGTAGAAATCCAATAATACAAAAATAAAAATATATTGTTATCAGTGACACTAATTAATTTGTTGTTTGCTTTATTTGTAAATGCTAAAATGTCTGGAAAGTCCCAGGTGTATAATGCTCATGGGAGCTTAATTTGCTACAAGCTTTGAAGAAAGTAATTTAGCAATATTTATCTAGATCATTAAAAATGTTCATATACTCTAGTCAATTAATCCCATTTCTGTAATTATTTTTTAAATAAAATGATCTAGAAGGCAATCAAAAGTTGGTATACATAAAGATGTGCATTGTACCACTTTAATAATATGAAAGAAATGAAAATATACTACATATTTGTTGATCAATCATTTTATTAGGCTGTTCTAAAATAATGTAAAATAAAAGTAAATTGTTGGGAGGAGAGTAACAGATATAGCCATATCTAAATTTTTGACTAAAATAATGGAATATTATAAAGATTATAAAATAATAACCTTTATATATAACAGTCATTCCTATAAAAATTTATTTTATGTGAAATAAATGACATAGTATGAGTAAACTATCTCTATTTGTACTTCCATATACAGAAGTACTGATTAGAAGAAAAACAGTTCACTTCAGACAGAAGTATCAAGAAAAATTTAAATAATAGCTACATGTGATTGGACATATTGTGCCTATTCTGCAGGTAGAAATACAGCTCAAATGGCTCAGGAGGACGTGCCATGTTATCTGCAAGAAACAAGGTGAAAAGGGGGGGTGCTGCATTGTATTAGCATTTTGCAGTTGCAAGTGGAAATATAGCCAAGATCACAGGTGACACTCAACCAAATGGAGTTAAGTGCCCTCAAGGATGAAATTCTGACAACAGTTCAAGCTGCCGTGGATACATGTCCTACTTCTCTTATCATTGACCATATAATGTGTAATCATAACATAAAGTGAATGGTAAGTAGTAGTGGACAACATCCGATAGAGTCATCATCTCCTTGAGGAAGGTCAGATCAAGAGTGTAGGAGAAGTTGGTACAGTGGACAAATATGGGAGATAAGACAGTGGATTGCAGGTGCTGTGTGGGTTTCACAGAACTTTCTCACTCTGTGGTCAAAAGCTAGCCATAAATTAGTTGTCTTTAAATCCACATTATCTCCCTTATTCTACCTGGTAATATAGCTACCTTGGAAGAATTATAGACTGGAAAGTTGTAGAGTTCATGCTTCTGGTGTGTGTTTTACTGATTGGGTTACTAGCATGTGTAGCAAGGTTGTGCTTTGATTATTCTCTAACCGTTGGCCCCACCAAAAATACTTGAATACACAAAAAATAGAGCAAATGGTTGGGAGAAGACCAACTGATATATCTATATCTAAATTTTTGCTGAGCTATAATTATATATTATGTATGATTATCTCACATGAAAATAATTTATAATAGCTGATTTATTAAAGATCTATGGTCTCCAAAACTGCACTGTTTGATCAACTGATTTTTATTTAATTTTTAGTATTTAGTTTTTCATTTATAAAAAAATTGAAATTTAAACTTTATGTAATATTCTAATGTCTTGACCATGTTCTCCTTGCATCAATGTACCCTGTATAATCATAAAAATAGCAGAAGGAGAATATCCTTCCAGTCCTCTCCCACTCCTGTCCCCAGAGAACCAAGCAGGAGGTGATGAGGAAATTTCCAAGAGAGGAATTGTTCAGCTTCACAATATGACAAAATTGTACATGTTTAATCTGCTGTTCCTCTGGTTCTTTACTTATGAACTCAGACACAAAAGTAGAGGAACGATCTGTTTATGTATAAAAAGCAGTTAGCAAAATTGTATTTCATTGCATTATGCACAGGATTTAAAATCTTATACAATGTTTGCTTTAATCAATTAATTCCTACTCCACAAGCAAGTGACATCTATTTAAAATTAGATTCTAGAATGGTATTTTGAGCCAGGTTAATCAGAAAGAAAGACGTTTTGTAAGTAATTCTCTAAACTGTAGCCCTAAATACACAGAGTCTTTCAATTTCTTGCAGTGACCTCACTAAGAATTATATTTGGCATCCGACCTGCACCAGATGACTCTCATCACTGTATTCACATTGCCCCTAGCTCCCTTGAATATTTACAATTCATGGGATTTTTGTTTCATGGAATTCAATCCTGATTATTGTACAGCAGTCTATAAACTACAGTGGTAGATTGTTTTGTCACTTGCAACAATCAGTGCCTGTCTCCAGGGAGACATTCCACTCACGTATCTGTTCTTCGGTCTCATACATCGAGACTCTTCACAGTTCAGGCGCTAATGATTTTTGCCACCAAACACTTATGTTCACACCATTTTTAAAGCAGTTTTAAATCCTTGGGCAATTGGTCAAATGCTTCTTCTGGCTATTTTCTTGGTAAGTGGGCTTTTTTTCAGTAAAAAGGGACTCAGAATCACATGATGTACTACGAAAATAATTTTTTTATCCTTAACCGCTTTATAAAATCACATACACACACATATATAAATTGAAATTTGCAGTAGCTCAGAATTACAAAAATGTGTTTGACTTTTATTATTACTGTGGTATTTTTAGTGATCTCTATAGAAATGGAACAGATGGCTTCATGTTATAATGGAAGAACAATTATCATTAAATGGGTAACGATCTACAACATGTGAGAAAGAGAAAAATATAAAATTCTTTTTATAGGTTTTGATGAGACATTTCTTTCATGTATAGGTAATAATTCTGTGCACTGCTCTATAATTTTGGGAGGGATAATAGCAAAAATGTAGACTGAAAATATGTGCAAAGCTTTACTCACAATGGTGTGAGTGGCCACGAACCTTCACACCCTCTATTACACCATCACCCCTGCTTATGTTTTAGAGTCATACAAAGAAATAAGCACAGGACAACGTGGGAATGGCGGCTAAAACCTTGTACAAGGTAGAAATGCAGCACAGAGGAAGGATTCACTCTCTTAGAGGTTGTTGGCTGGGTGCAAGTCAGGAAATAATGTTGTGAAGAAATTTAGAGGCAGCAGTGTGGAAGAAATCAGCATAAGAACATTCAATCAAATCATGTTCAGTAACTGCAAATGGCAGACATTTTTCATAAAGCATAGAAACCAGTGCTCTCTGCAGAAGACGGGAGCAAGAAACAGATGAGGTTGGAGAAGCAGTTCTCTTCTCAATATTTCTCTGGGCTTAAAGATATTCTTGGCTCTACTTCCTCACTGCCAAATCATTTCCTGGCTAGTGTCAAAACTTTATCTCGTTCTTCTAGTCCACAATACCACTCAGAAGCAGCAGAGACTTTCCTCTGGAACCCACTAGGATACTAAAGCTATCTGGGCCACTGCTACAGGCCAGGAAAAGCATTTGTGTGATTCCTAGGGATTCGCATTTCAGGAAGAAGTAGAGGTAATCCATGGAGCCTAGAAAAAAATACTAAATTTACCTAAGTAGTTTTTTGTTTGTTTGTTTGTTTTTTAGCTCATGCCTCTTACGACTGTAACCCTTGGTCACCGTCCAAATGATATGCTTTCCAAGGACTAGTCATTTTATCATCCAAGTGTATTCTCTTTCTCATTTCCCAGCTGTAAACTTTACTCCCAATCTCTAATATGTCCCATGGAATGGTTATTTCACTCTAAACAAACTTCCCTGAACTATCACCTCTTCAGCAAATTCGAGACTTATCTCCTCACTTAAGCTGAAACATTTTGACACCTTGCTTGAAACAAGACTGCTTTCTCTAACCCTCCATGTACCACCTGGTAGGAAATGGTGCTGTCCTCTACTGAGTGGTTCTTGACACAATTGAGTATCAATTAGACAAGCTCATGCAGAAATATCACCTTGTCCTATACATTTTTATTTTTCATACAAACTTTTTCTCTTGGTCATTTTCTCATATTCAATCTTACTTTCCACTTTTATTCTTGAACAAGCTTGTTGACTTAAATATCCAACATCTCCAGCATTTAGAAATCCTTAAATTGCACTTTCTAAACCTATTATCAGAGCCACTTTGTGGATCCTGTTATTTCAAGTTTACTCCACCTTTTAGATGTTAAATTGCTAAGTATTTCAGTCCTCTAATTCTTCTTTCTTCAACCTTCAAAATGCTGCAATCCTACTTCAACATGTCCCAGGACTTCATGAAGATACTCATTCCATTGCCCCTGTGATTTTCTCCTCCTCTTCCTCCACAAGTTGAGATTGCATAATCTGATATTCTAACTATTCTCTTGACTTTACCACTTTGATGATTTTTTGACATATATCTTAAAAACCTAAACACTTTCATAGCTGAATATTTATGAAAAAACTGAAATAACCATTCAGGCTTTGGCCACTGCAAATGTATGACTCCCAATATTAGTTGGGCATAATTACCTATTTTTTTGTAATTTTCTCAATTAATACACGCTCTTCTCAGTCAGTAATCCCAAATATTTTTGACTCAAATTTCTCTATATAATTTAATGTTCTTCACTATGACACAGATTAACAAATAGTCCATCTGCTAAGAACTATTTTACCTGTACTCAGACAAGGCTGGGTACAAAGTCAATTAATATAATCCACTACATCAACAGACTAAAAAAGAAAATTACATGATCATGTCAATAGATACAGGAAAAAGTGTGATAAAATTTAGCAACCACTCATGATAAAAACTCTTAGTAAACTAGGGATAGAATTTGGAATCTACAGAGGGGAACTTTCTCAACTTGATAAATAATATCTACAAGAAAACTATAGCTAACATCATATTTAATGATAAGAAACTCAAAGCTTCTTCTCTAAGATAAGGAACAAGGCAAAGCTATCTCCTGCTACCAATCTTTTCAATATCATGCTGGAAGTACCAGCTCATGTAAGAAAAAAAAAAAGGGTGGGGGAATAAAAGTGTACAGATTTGCAAGAAAAAATAAAACTGCCCTTATTCACAGAAGACATAATCCTCTGGATAGAAAATCTGAAAAAAATCAAGATCTAAATTCTTGTAATTAATCAGCCGTTACTGAAAGCCATACTAGCATGAACAAGTAGAATTTAAATTGAAAAATGCAATACCATTTATATTAGCACTTGCCCCCCCAAAAAAGTGTTTGTATATGACAAAATATGCACAAGAGATATTTAAGGAGAACTACAAAATTCTTATGAAAGAAATAAAAGAACTAAATAAATGAAGAGATATTCCATGTTTTGGATAAGAAAAAATCATTGTTGTCAGATATCTGTTCTTCCCAACTGAATATATAGAGCCAATGTAATCCTAATAAAAATCCCAACAAGTTAATCTGTGGGTATCCACACGTTGACACTAGAGTATATAAAAAGAGGGAAAAGACCCAGCACAGCCAACACAATATTGAAGGAGAGCAAAGTTAGAGGACTGACGCTATTGGACTTCAAAATTTACTTTAGAGTGCTGGTAATCAAGGCAGTATAATATTGGCAAAAGAATAGACAAATAGATCAATGGAATGGACTAGGTATCCCTGAAATAGATCCACATCAATACAGTCAGCTGATCTTTGACAAAAGAGAAAAGGCAATAAAATGAAGAAAAAATAGACTTTTCAACAAATGAGGCTGGGAGAAGTGAAGATTCATATGCAAAAAAAAAGGGAATTTAGACACAGGTCTTACACCCTGCACTAAAATTAACTCAAATTGAATCATAGACCTAAATGTAGAACACAAAGTTATAAAACTCCTAAAATATAACATAGGAGTAGATTACCTAGGATTTGGCACTTTTTAGATATAACACCAAAGGTACAATCTATGAAACAAATAATTAATAAACTGAACTTTATTTTAAATATATATGTGTGTGTGTGTGTGTATATATATATATATATATATGCTCTGTAAAAAACATTTTTAAGAAAATAAAAAGAGAAGCCACAGCCTGGAGAAAATATTTGTAAATTACATATCATTACATATCTGATAAAGGACTATTATCCAAAATATGCAAAGAGCACTTAAAACTCAATAACAAGAAAAACAACTCTATTAAAAATTGGGTGAAAGTCCTCAACAGACTCCTCACCAAAGAAGTTACACAGATGACAAATACACACATAAAAAGATGCTCCATGTCATATGTTATCAGGGAAATGCAAAATAAAATAAAAATAGAAAGCCACTTCATACCTATTAGAATGACCAGTATTCAGAACACCAGAAACTTCAAATGCTGGCAAGGATGTGGAACAAGAACTCCCAGTCACTGCTGATGGGAAGGCAAAATGGTGTTACTACTTGGAAGACATTTGGTTGCTTCTTACAAAACTAAACACACTCTTATACCACTTTCCAACCATCATATTCATTGGTATTTACCCATATAAGTTAAATAGTTATGTCCACATCAAAACCTCCACATGGATGTTTATAGCAACTTTACCCATAAACGTCAAAACTTAGAAGCAACCAACATGTCCTTTAGTAGATGAATGAATTAAACCTTGGTGGTACATTCAGAAAATAACATAGTATTCAACAGTGAAAAACGAGCTATTGAGTAATGAAAATACATGGAGGAAACTTAAATCTATATTACTAATTGACAGAAGTCAATCTGAAAAGGCTACATACTGTATGATTCCAAATATATGACACTTTGGGAAATGCAAAACTACAGAGACAATAACAAGTTCAGTAGTTCCAGAAGTTAGGGATGAGGGAGGGAGGAATAGGCAGAGCACAGAAGACTTTTCAGGCATGGAAACCACTCTCTGTGATGCTATAATGGTAAATACAAAATGTCATTATACATTTGTCCAAACCCATGGAATGCACAACATCAAGAGTGACCCTCATCTAAATTGTAGACTTTGGGTTTGAATGATGTGTTAATGTAGGTTGATCAATTGTAACAAATGTACCACTCTGGTGGGTAAGTTGTTAATGAAAGAGATTGTGTGTGTGGGTGCAGATGGTACACACGAGAAATCTCTGTACCTCTTCTCAATGTTGTTATGAAATGAAAACTACTCCAAGAAGTATTCTATTAAAAGTAATAATTGGCTGGGCATGGTGGCTCACGCCTGTAACCCCAGCATTTTGGGAGGCCGAGGCAGGCGGATCACCTGAGGTCATGAGTTCCAGACCAGCCTGACCAACATGGAGAAACCCTGTCTCCACTAAAAATACAAAATTAGCCAGGCACAGTGGTGGCCACCTGTAATCCCAGCTACTCGGGAGGCTGAGGCAGGAGAATTGCTTGAACCCAGGAGGCAGAGGTTGCAATGAGCTGAAATCGTGCCATTGCACTCCAGCCTGGGCAACAAGAGAAAACTCCATCTCAATAAAATAAAATAAAATAAAGTAACGTAAAATAAAAGTAATAATTATTGTAAGGGGTGAGGTTAGAATCACTAAAATGTGGAGTATCGTCTTGAGATTTAGTGGAGAGAGAACCATGCAGTCATCTGATTTCTCTGTTGAGCTGCTGGAATGTCACTCAGGAAATGTCATTCTGGGTCAGAAATCACAGATTTAGGAATATTTTCAGGGAAAGATTTTTGAGTTCTCTTGGTTGTATTGAATTAATGTACCTATAGTGTCCTAATGTAAATGCACAGTAGTCCACTGGATGTACTCACCACATAATCATGGGTTGCATAGAGACAATTGAGATTCATCATAATGAATTGGGGGTTCATTTTGTCGGTGAGGGCAAGTTCATTCAGGAATTGTACATACAGTGAAGAGACAGCTTAATATAGAACCCTGGAGGTAACTCACATTTAATGTTTGAAAGAAGGAAAAGGGGCCGGCATGGGGGAACAATCTATTATCCCAGTATTTGGGGAGGCTGAGGAAGGAGGACTGCTTGATCCCAGAAGTTTGAGACCAGTCTGCCTAAACTCTGTTTGCACAAAAATGAAAAAATTAGCTGGGCATGGTGGCATGCACCTGTGGTCCCAGCTACTTGAGAAGCTGAGGTGGGAAGCTGAAGGCTTGAGCCCAGGAGATCCAGGCTGCAGTGAGCTGAGATGACACTACTGCACTCCAACCTGGGCTATAGAACAAGACTATATCTCAAAAACCCAAAAATGAAAACAAAGAAAAAAGGAAAAGCACCCCACAAATGAGTCAGAAGAGCAATAGAATTAAAACTAGAAAAATAGATTTGCATAACCATAAGATGGATGAATTTGAGAAACAGGAGTGTATCTGTACAGCATCTAATAATGGAGGAAAGAAAGGAGTTTGTTTAGGACCATTCTTACTTTTCAGTACCCATGAGGCATCCAGTGGGATATGTCAAAAGAAAAAATGTAAACTCCGTTCCAGAAATCTCAGGCTTTCGCTTTGAAATAATTTTGGTTTTTCAGAAGAGTTGCAAACATGGTACAGAGTTTCTGTAAACATGTCACCCAGCTTCCCCTTAATGTTAACATCTTACATAACCCAGGAATATTTATCAGACTGAGAAATCAACATTGGCACAATAGTAATGCAATACTAGTGCCTTTATTCACATTTCACTTTTTCCACTAAAGTCCTTTCCACTAGTGTCCTTTGATGTCCCAGGACGCACTCCAGGATGAAGCATTGTATTCCCTTGTTATCTTTCATTAGGCTCTGTCTTTGCCAATCAGGCTTTCATAAGAAAAGTACCAGAGACTGAGTGTCTTAAAAAACAAAGTTTCTCGGGGTTGGGAAGTTCAAGCTTAAGGCCCTGGAATATGTGGCATCTGGTGAGGACACTTTCTGGTTTGCAGATAGCTGTCTTCTCACATTGTATCTTCCTATGGTGGACAGCGCAGGATCTGGTCCTGTCTCTTCTTCTTTATAAATGCACCAGTGTCATAACCACTCTCATGACCATCTTGCTCCTGAAGGCCTCACCTCCTAATGCCATCACATTGGGATTGAGGATTTCAGCGTATGAGTTTTGGAGTGACATATTTAGTCCAGTTAACACCCTTCCCTGGTCTGTTACAGTTACTCTGTCTTTCCTGGTCTTTTATTGTTATGATACTTTTGAAGAATATTGGTCAGATATTTTGTAGAATGTCCTTCAGTATGGATTCATCTAATATTTTACCATTATTAGACTGAGGCTATTGATTTGGGAAAGACAATCACAGAAGTTGAGTGTTCTTCTTGTCATATCACATTCACACATTTTGTCATTGGTGGTATGAACCGTGGTCCGCTGGCTAATGTCATATCTTCCAGCTTTTTTTCACTGTAAAGTTACTGTTTTTTACTTTGCATGCATTGTTCTTTGGAGGCATGTCACTAAGGAATGGGTACTGATTTTATATTTTATAAGCTTACTTTGAAATTATGGAATATGAACAGAAGAGCCAGGATACTATGTAAATGTGCAGACCTAAGCAGATTTCTAGCAAAAAAAAAAAAAAAGAAAAGAAAAGGAAAAAAGACAGAAAGAAGAAGAAAGAAAGAAATAGAAAGAGAGATTTTAAAAATAAAGAGAAATCTGAAATTAAGCATTAGACTCTGATTACGGAGATTAAACTTGTAATTATCAAGTGAAAACAAAGTTTCCTTCAAAGACAGGAAGATGTACTCTAGATGAGAAAGGAGAATACCCAGTCCCCTCCTGGGACATTTTAAGATGTAAACCAGGAACCAACCACCAATTAAATGAATGCTGCCCAAACATTAGAAAAATTTTAACCACATTGCTTAGGAAGAAGCAAAAGGAAACAAAGAATGAGGCCACTTTGCCTAATAAAATGTGTTAATTCTAGAATGTGTTCTCTTTTCCCATTCCTTTACTTTTTACCTTAAACCATTTGATTAGCAAAGAGGGCTTTTTCAATGTTAAGGATGACAGAGAGAAAAAAAGTAATTCTATTTTTAGCAATTAGGTAGTTTTTCTTGATTCTTTGGAATTCTAAACTTAAATGGTATTCCCAGTTTCTGAATAAACAGGAGCATAATTTATAAGATATTAGGGTGGTTATATAAGATATCCAAATTATCTACACATTTTCTTTTAAATAACTTTAATAGCTCCTAATTGCATGTAAAATACATAACAATAAACTGGCCGGGCGCAGTGGCTCACTCCTATAATCCCAACACTTTGGGAGGCCGAGGTGGGCAGATCACCTGAGGCCAGGAGTTCGAGACCAGCCTGACCAACATGGAGAAACTCCATCTTTACTAAATCATACAAAATTAGCCAGGCGTGGTGGTGCACGCCTGGAGTCCCAGTTACTCAGGAGGCTGAGGCAGGAGAATCACTTGAATCTGGGAGGTAGAGGTTGTGGTGAGCCAAGATCATGCCATTGCACTCCATTCTGGGCAACAAGAGCAAAACTCTGTCTCAAAAAAAACAAAAACAAAAAAAATGAAAGAAAACCAATAAACTATTTCTAATCTTTGTAATTATCTTCAGGAGGGATTTAAAATTTACTTATTTCAGAAATAATTTAAAAGTCAAAGTGCAACAATATATCTCAAATGAGGAAATCAAATAAAAACAATATTTAAAAAAATGCATTATAAAGAAGAGATATACGAAGAATTAATTATCAGTATATCAACATAACAAATTAAAGAAGTGATCCTAGGATCATTGTCATATAAATACTTGATAAATTAGAAAACTAGTGAAATTAACTAACTAATCCTTTAACATAGTTTGTGTCATTTGGTCAATCAATATTTTTTTAATTGAGGAATCAGTCACGTCTCCTATCTCCTTACCCACATACTCAGCAGAAGTTGCTACGTATATGAATGGTAGAGTTAAAATTAATGTGGCACTGTTTAGTGTGGAGACATGAACCACATGATCTATCATTATTACTTAGCCTTCACATTATAATTTACCAGTTTGATTTTCATTTTCAGTGAAATCGACAATTCAGTTACAGACAATCATGGCCTGATGGACCATGTAACTGGCAGAAATAACGCACCATTTAAAGATTTTGTTCTTCATCAATATGTAACTAATAATATCCTCTTCTGTGGGCATATAGCTTTTTATTTCTTAAAAAAACTCTATTCACATGAATTAACTTTATCATTTCTCCATAACTAGACTGAGGAAAATTATGAATCTCCTGTGGGTCACTAGGCAATATTTCTTAAGTTCTCAGTACAGACCACCATACAGTCTCCTGTCCTGTTCATTCTGGTCTGTCTGCAAATCTCAGGATGAAACTAATATCAGTAATTTGGGCAAAAACAATAATTCCAATATCGATCAGATTTCAAAATTTTTTAACACGTTGTTCAAAATAAACTATTGCTTGTAGAAATTTCAGAACCAAACTCATATAACCCCTCACTACTACATGAATTCATTAGTCTTCATTGTGTATTATGCCTTTAGTTATCTTTTTTCTACCTCAGTTTTATTTCATTTATTAAAGTTTACCTTGTTTCTTGCATTTATATTTGCAAGTCAAAAATCTGCATTTTGTTACAAGTTGAGTTATGAAAATAAATGAATAATTAGATATAGTTGGATAGATATATTGACACCACTGAATTCCTTTAAATCAGAACATATTTTAATAAGATTGTGCTAATTAACTTTTCTTCTGAGGAAATCACAAGTCAGATTTCTCATCAAGGAGAAGTTAATTTAGTTCCCTATGGCCATGTATAATGACCCAATGGCATTTGCTTTAACATTATGGGCTCAGATATTCACGGCTGGTTTCTCAGATGGTGGTTTATTTTTTTTTTTTAATCATTCTAACTACATTTTGAGGAGTAAGAACTAAGCAATAATTGTGTCCTCTAAATTAACAAATTGAACATAATTTAGCATGTCCTACACAAATTGAGTTTCTAAAAAATAACGATAAATGGCAAAATTATTCCAAAAACTAACATTTGTGGGGTTTTTTTTTTTTTGGTTTTGTTAAACACATTTTTCATTAATCTAAACTCCTGATCTCGGATACTAGACATGGGCTCCGATCCCAGGACTCTGCTCTGACTTACTGCACCTCCTATGCATTTTCACGTATAGGTGGCTTGGTTGATATGAACAACATGTGAAATTTCATTCATGATGCAGTACCTAAGACACTTGAGGAGCTGACCACCCATTGCCTGTCAATGGTGCTGCATGCCACACTGGCCTGCTTACACCTCAGAAGATGGAGCTTTTCAGTTGACCTTGAGCCACGCTTGGTTTCCCAGGTGGTGGTTCAGAAGTTTCACCAGCTATTAAAATTTGGTCTACAGTCAACATAATGCTTACTGGTACAATATTTTTGGCATTTGCATAAAAGCAGGACAAAGAAGAGGACCACCATCACTGATATCATTTAACGCTATTCCAAATATTCTAGCAAATAAAGTAGGATACAGAGATATAAAAATTTAAAATAAGATATTAGGAAAGAAGCAAACATCATTATTTCCTACAATAGGGTGATCTGCTTTCTATTGCTGTATAGGAAATAGTCCCCAAACCATCCCCTGGGAACTAAGTGTTAAAACTGGGACTGACATGGCACCTCTCTTGGTGCAGTCTCAGGTCTGACCTGTATGGTCACAGCATGGTGGCTTCAGAGCAGCCAAGATTGCTCACCCGTTTTGACCTGGGACTCTGGAGAACAAAATTGAATAGTGCCACTCTTTATGACTGACCTCAGAGATCACTCAGCCTCACTTCTGCTATATTTTCCAGTTATAAGGGAGTCCCAAGCCTGCAGGTTAATATGAAGGAGACATAGACCCACCTTCTTGTTAGGAGAAATACCAAAATCACATAATAGAAGAAGCCCCAGGAATGGGAAGGATGGTTGCAGCCCTGTTGAGGGCTGTGTGCAACACAGTGTATGAACAAGATGTTCTACCTGGAAGACAACCACAACCAAAACAACTGAAATCCTATTAGATCTATTATGAAGACTCAGCAATGTCACTTATATAAAATAAATGCACAAACTTTAATACCTTCCTTACTACCTAGAACTAATTGGTTAATTTATAATAGGGAGAAAGTATTTCACATACAGTTACTAAAATTATATATGTATGTATTTTTGTCCTATATAATATATTCATATCCAGATATATATATATATATATATATATATATAAAATATTCCACAGGATAAAACCAAAATACTTTATAAGATTTGACTTGTTTTAAAGTGGGATTTGAATATATGCAGAAACGTAGTAAGTTTCTAAGTGGAAATATTTAATTTGGTATGAATACACATATATTTTATGTATTTCAATGGAATTTCAAGGGATTTTAATTTTTCAGTGAGCCACAATCATTCTAAAGTACATTTATAAAAAAGATATCTAAAATTAGCAATATCTGCTTAAAAAAAGAATAAAGAGGGAAAATTTTACTACCAATTAATAATAATAGAATAAAGCTCTAATTATTAAAATTATACAATATTAGTTCAAGGAATAATCAGCTACTTAATAGAATAAAATGAAAATTGCATACATAGATATAAGTACAAATTTGGGTCTATTATAGAAATGGCATTGGAAATCAATGGATAAAGTTAGATCAAAATAATCTACTTATGAAAGTTTATTGTTTGGAGTAAAAAAAAACACATACAAGGCTCACATTTAAAACACAAAAGATTAAATTCCTGATGTATTAAATAGTAAACTGCAAAAGTTAAATCATAAACATACAAATGCAGAGAGCTTAATATAATGAAAGAAATATAATAAAACATACATAAACAAATATGTGCTGTAGAGGTAATCACAAATTTATCAACTCCTTTAAGAAAATTACTGATAATTTTAAAATGTAGATATAACATATATATCTTAGTAAAATTTAAATGCAAAAGAAAGAGAGAAGGAGAAAATCAAAAGATTAAAAAGATTTAATATTATAGGAAGCCTTTAAAGTAGCATGTTAAAGAGGAATATGCTAGAGTAAACATTGGCATAATTCTGAACAGGTAGTTTACAAAAGACATGCAAATATTTCAAATAAAGATGTCTATATTAGCATCATGTATTTTAGCATTGCTCTTATAGCAAATTCACAATGCCTACAAGAAATGATAAAACAGTTCAATAGATGTTGATAGATGTGAGAGAATGAGTTCTTTCACTCTCTAACTGTGGGAATTATAAATCAGTATATCCTCTTGAAAAGTCATAAGAATACATTAAAATTAGTGTGCTCTTTGCAAAACCAATTTATGTCCTAGGAATTTATCCAAATAAAATAAAAGCAGTCATACAAAAATAATTTTCCAAAATTCACTCTTAACCATGCTGTACATTGGAATCATGTGGGAAGCTTTAAACATTGTTGATGCTGAATTTCTAATTTGATTGAGCTGGTCTCTCAATTTTTACAATGAGGACTTGTAAAAATTCTCACTGGAATCTAATTATGAGTTAAGGTGAAGAACAACTAATTTAAAATGTTTAATAAAGCTTTGTGTATATTAATGAATGGCTTTGAAATAGACTAACTCTTGGGAGAATAGGTAACTGTGGTAAGGTATTATGATGAAAGCTTTGAATCATTAACATAAAACGTGGTTGAATAACAATATAAATTTTTGTAAATCCATACACTAATTTAGAAACAATTCCCACATTTTTAGTATTCAATATTTCCGAGTAGTATTATAGTTTGCCATTCAATTTAGCTACCTCCTTTCATACACTCAATATACTTGTATATATTTCTTATGCATTCCATATTTCATTATTTTATATTTCATGTTGATTATTTTGTTATATATTCCATTTACCTTGTGTATTTTATTTATTTATTTATTTATTTTTATCAGCATGGAAACTCTGCCCACAATAGCTATCAACTGATTATTGCTGACATAAGAAAAAGCTATTACATTTGACAAATTACTTGTACATTATTCCATATTAAATAATTTTTTCACTTGATCTTCTTGAGTGAATACATTTTTTGTTTCTGTATCTCTTCCTCATTCCTTAACAGAAATTTTAAAATAACTTTCATTTCAATGGTAAAATACGGTTGGTTGGTGTGATTTCCAAACAAATGTACTTTTTTTTTCCCCCTTTTTCAACTTCTTGTTTAGATTTAGGAGATACATGTGCAGGGCTGCTACCTGGGTATATTGTGTGACACTGAGGTTGGAGCACGAATGGTCCCGTCACCTAAGTAGTAAGCACATAACACTTAATTTCTAAACCCTTACCTCATTCTGTCCCTCCCCACCAGTAGTCCCCAGTGTTTATTGTTGCCGTCTCTACGTACATGAGTACTGGACATTTAGCTCCCACTTGTAAGTAAGAATACCCAGTATTTGTTCTCCTCTTCCTGAGTTAATTTACTTAGCATAATGGCCTCCAGTTGCATCCATGTTGCTGCAAAGGACAGGCTATTTTTATGGCTGTGTAAGTATTCCACAGTTATATTTACCACATTTTCTTTATCCAATCCACCGTTGATGGACACCTAGGTTGATTCCATGACTTTGCTATTGTGATGAATTGTGCTGCGATGGATATGTGGGTGTATCTCTTATTGGTAGAACATTTTTTAAAATTTTGGATATATACCCAGTAATGGGATTGCCAACCAAATGTATTTTAAGGAAATATATTTTTCACATTTTGAAAGGCATTTTACCATGAATTTCTAAAAACTGTATTAAATTATTGCAGACTTTCACTTAAAAGCAGATCTAGGTATTGATCATCTGATAGGATGCATGTTACGTTGAGATATGCTAAAATTATCAAGCTTGTATTACTACAATTTAAAAACTAATGGTATGATGAGTTTTTTCTTTTTCTTTTTTTAAAATTTATTTTACTTTAAGTTCTGGAATACATATGCAGAATGTGCAGGTTTGTTACATAGGTATATGTGTGCCATGGTGGTTTGCTCCACCTATGGACCTGTCCTCTAAGTTCCCTCCCATTGCCTCCTACCCCACAACAGGCCCTGGTGTGTGTTGTTCCCTTCCCTGTGTCCATTGTTCACCTCCCACTTATGAGTGAGAACATGTAGTGTTTGGTTTCCTGTTCCTGTGGTAGTTTGTTGAGGATGATGGCTTCCAGCTTTATCCATGTCCTTACAAGGGGCACAATCTCATTCCTTTTTATGGCTGCATAGTATTCCATGGTGTATATGTACCACATTTCCTTTTACCAGACTATCATTGATGGACATTTGAGTTGGTTCCATGACTTTGCTACCATAAATAGTGCTGCAATAAACATACCTGTGTGTGTGTCTCTATAGCAGAATGATTTATATTCCTTTGTGTATATACCCAGTAATGAGATTGCTGGGTCAAATGGTATTTCTGGTTCTAGATCCTTGAGGAACCACCATACTATCTTCCACAATGTTTGAAGCAATTTACATTCCCACCAACAGTGTAAAAGCCTTCCTTTTTCTCCACAGCCTCGCCAGCATCTATTGTTTCTTGACTTTTTAATAATCATCATTCTGACTGTAAGATGGTATCTCATTGTGGTTTTGATTTGCATTTCTCTAATGATCAGTGATATTAAATTTTTTTATATGTTTGTTGTCTGTGTAAATGTCTTTTTTAGAGAAGTGTTTGTTCATATTCTTTGCCCACTTTTTGATGGAATTGTTTGTTTCTTTTCTTGTAAATTTGTTTAAGTTCCCTGTAAATTCTGGATATTAGACCTTTGTCAGATGGGTAGATTGCAAAAATTTTCTCCCATTATTTAGGTTGCCTGTTTATTCTGATGATAGTTGCTTTTGCTGTGCAGAAGCTCTTTAGTTTAATTAGATCTCCTTTGTCAATTTTGGCTTTTATTGCATTGCTTTAGGAGTTTGTCCATGCCTAAGTCCTGAATGGTATTGCCTAAGTTTTATTCTAGGGTTTTTATGGTTTTGGGTTTTACATTTAAGTCTCTAATCTATCTTGACTCAATATTTGTATAAGGTGTAAGGAAGGGGTCCAGTTTCAGTTTTCTGCATATGGCTAGCCAGTTTTCCCAGCACCACTTATTAAATAGGAGATCCTTTCCCCACTGCTTGTTATTGTCAGGTTTGTCGAAGATCAGATGGTTGTAGATGCGTGGTATTATTTCTGAGGTCTCTGTTCTGTTCCTTTTTGGTCTATATGTCTGTTTTGGTACCAGTACCATGCTGTTTTGGTTACTGTAGCACTGTAGTATAGTTTGAAGTCAGGTAGCATGATGTCTCCATTTGTTTTTTATGCTTAGGATTGTCTTGGCTATACAGGGTCTTCTTTGATTCTACATGAAATTTAAAGTAGTTTTTTCTGATTCTGTGAAGAATGTCAATGGTAGTTTGATGGGAATAGCAATGAATCTATTAATTACTTTGGGCAGTATGGCCATTTTCACGATATTTGTTCTTCCTATCCATGAGGATGGAACGTTTTTCCATTTGTTTGTGTCCTCTATTATTTCCTTGAGCAGTGGTTTGTAGTTCTCCTTGAAGAGGTCCTTCACATCCCTTGTTAACTGTATTCTTAGGTATTTTATTCTCTTTGTAGCTATTGTAAATGGGAGTTCATTCATGATTTGGCTCTCTGCTTGTCTATTGTTGGTGTGAAGGAATGCTTGTGATTTTTGCACATTGATTTTGTATGCTGAGACCTTGCTGAAGTTGCTTATCAGCTTAAGGAGTTTTTGGGCTGAGATGACGGAGATATACTACTACAATTAAAATGTAATTGGTATGGTAAATTTTTCCAACTTTTTCTTATGTTTGACTTGTTGGTCTATAGAATTAATTTATCACTCTGGCTATGTTGGCATTTTCTATTCAGCATTATATTTTCATTATTAATATAATTTTAGTATTCAGCTTGAAAAAAAGTGTTTGTTTTTTAACCTATTTTGCAAAAATTCTGTAGTGACTCCTTATCATCTGTACCCTTGTTTCAGAAGAAAGTAGTTACTCCATGACCCATGGTAGCACCTCCTGGCAGTTCTAAGGCTGAGAGACTGTCACTGAATGCAACATGGATTTGACCCCTTGGAATGTTGGGTCATGTATTCAGTACACCTCCTGATTTTCTGATTCTGCAGGCCAGACTTCTTCAACTTTCTGGCCCAAATTTGACAGGAAGATAGAGCCTTCCAATCTATCCTCTGCTCCAGATGCCTTCATCATTCCTGGAATTTCTCCTTAATTTTCCTCTCCCAAATGGATAATGCAATCCGTGCATGCAACACCTGAAATGATACTAACTTTGAAAGAGCTGGTGACTTTGTCTGTTTAGATTATGCCCCTGAGGTACAAACTGTCACTTAAGCAGGCATAAGAGATTTTGCCCAATTAGAATATTCAAAACTAGGTTGTATGCGACAACTGAAAAGACTCCTTCTTTAAATGATGAACATGAAGTAAGTACCTGCATGACTGTGATCAAACCATAAAACATGTATCTCCACAAAAGGGATGCAGTGCAGTTTACATGTTTTTGAAAATATGCAGAAATTATTTTATTTGAATTCTGGGGAATGCAGAAGTTAGTTACAATCATGTTTTTCTTCCACTTCTTAGTTTGTTTCAATGTCTCATTGTTTATCTGGAATCACTGGGGTGCCCATGTATCCATCTCAAATATCTCCCATCTCTCAGATCTAACTCCATTCTTTCATTTTTCCAGTGCTATTGCCAATTTTTGTCTTTTATATTTATCTACCTGCATATATTTTAATGTGAAGTTGAGATAATCTTTTTTTTTGGAAAACAATTTCAACTGTAATTAACCTGATGCCTAGCTTCAGATTCCTCCTTCTTCTTGGAACTGTCCTGCATCTACATTTAGAGTTCTTGGGGTGCAGTCAAAAAGGCTTGCCTCGGGGATTAAAAATGTGTTCTGATAACCAGTCCAGTATGCCTGATGGGCCCTGGCACACCCTCAGGATTTGAATCTGTTTAGCTTATATTAAATACTTAATATAATTTAAAATAGTTTATGTGGGATTTTTATTTACTCTGTATACAAAAACATGTCATTGTTCTTAGAATCATTTAGTCTAAATATCAAAGTGAAAGTTGAAGGATATTAAGAAACTATGGGTAGCTCATACTTCAGTATCAGTTTTAGCTTTTCCAAGAAAGTGAAATTGCTATTGGATATTACAGTGAATGATCCCTTACAGCATAGGCAAGGTGGAATGAAAATGGCAACACTTATATAGTGATTTTTAGGGTATCAGGGGCATTTTCATAGTAATAATAATAAAGTGCAGTCATATTTTGTGCAAAGATTAGGTCAAGCTGATTTGTTTAAGCTGAATTTGGAGTAGAAAAGGATCAAATCAAATGTCTTGATCAGTTTCAGTGCTATTTTTATTCTTGTCATGTACCCTTCAAGCTTGCATCATTTGGCATAAGCAGTGTCTTACCAGACTTAGGAGTTTTGCTTTCATTTTATAAATAATAAATTCTAGATGTTTCTGCAACTTCATATTTTCTTCTATTTTTTAAAATACCCTCTCCAAATATATTTTTTGTTTTATGCTAAGAAAATGGAAATTATTCACAGCTAATACTGTTAAGTAGAATCAATGTTTCATTAATACTACACCTAATTTGATAACGAAACATGATTTAAGTATACAAAAGCATTGATAACTAAACATGATTTAAGTAAACAAAGGCAGAGAATATAATGACCATTTACAATTGTTTAAGAGCTGCATCCCTTACAGAAAATAAATAACAAATTTGAGTAACAAAAATTACAATGCAGAGTAATTGGGTTGGAGTATAAATTTTTTTAAATAGTGTGTGAGTTGACTATTGCTATTATAACAAATTACCACAAGCTTAATGTCCTAGCACAGCATGAATTTATTACCTTACAGTTCTGAAAGTCAGAAGTTTGAAGAGGGTTTTAGGGATTCGAATTAAGGTGTCAGCAGACCTGTGCTTCTCTGGAAGGCTCTACGGGAGAGATTTACCTTCTCCAGCTTCCAGTGGCTGGCTGCCCACACACCTTGGCTCGTGGCCACCTCCTCACGTCAGTCCAGCCTCTGCCACCATCGTCAACTCTCCCACTATGACTGAGACCTTCTGCCTGTCTCAGGTAAGGACCTTGGTGATTACATTGGATTCACTCAGGTAATCCAGAATAATCTCCCCTTTCCAAACTCCTTAGACTAATCTCATCTTCAAAATTCCTTTTGCCATGGAAGGCAACATATTCACAGGTTTCATGGATTAGGTTATGAATATCTTTGGGGGAACGTTATCCAGCCACATAGTCTGCATATATTTTCTCCTGCATTATTAATGATGTCCTAAGAAAAACAATTGATTTATATGGGTCATATTATATGTGACATTTGGACAAAAGTCAGGAAAAAAAATCAAACATATTTGCATCTCTTAATTTTAGATTTCTGCCGTTATTGTTAGTTCACATATTTGTTTTACTTTCTTGATATGATTTTACACGACTAATTTATCATTTACCCACATGTTTATGTCCTAAAAAATCACTTTATGTTGGTCAGATCATAAATGAAAATAAAGTTAAAGCCAAAATAAATTAAACATTTATAAAATACTTAATACTAGCAATCCCATTATTCTTATTTTCTCTTTAATTTGTAATTAATCAGGTTTGCATATTTCAGTGCCTATTTTACCTTAAGAGTGGATAGAATCTAAATTATAATGAATAAACATGAGTTAATCAAATGTGCAAGTAGAGATTTTACTTTTCGATGATACTGAGTTATTGATTTGCTAGTATTTTAACATACATTTCTCCAACTTTATCTTAGGAATAGTCTCAATAGTTCAAGTGATCTATAGGATTAAGTATTTACTTTATATTAATTCATCATTCATGATTCAACACAACACCACGCATCCCAAACAGTCAAGTATCTTTTGCGATCATGCATGTGAGTCCCCAAAGGTGGGGTTTCCCCCTCAATCCCCTGTTTCCTTCATTGCTGAGTCTCTGTCCCTTAGGCTGTGCCTAGAACTCAGCTGCTGCTCTAAGATATTTGTTGAATAAAATATATTAAATATGATAATTCCACAAGAATATTTCTTTATCTCAGTTCTTGTTCATTATTCATTTGTTGGAAAACTTTTTTTCAAATGCTATATTAATGAATGTATAACTATCTCCTTGAGAAGAGGCATTTTTAATTGACAAAGTAATGGCATATCTTAAAGATTTCAACATAAATGCTATGTTTTCTTTAAGCACGTTAGAACAGTATCTATTATGGCTCATAGCACTCAGCAAAGGCTTGATGTATCCTCAATACATTCACAAGAATAAACCCCACTTTTCTAAAAATGACTAATGAGATTTCAAGATATAATGGAAGTGCTCTTAGCTTACTGAATGCCATGTTAACTCTTAACAGCAAAATACAAACAAATATAAAACTCAAAGCTGACATCAATGTCTGCAGCATTTTCTGGTTCTGAATAAGATGCTATCACATTTAGCAGGACACATCTCTAGCACTCTCCTGTGATCAATTGCCAGTTACTCAGCAAGATGTCTTATTACTGTTAGAATAATTGGCAAATAAAACTTTGTCAATGCACGTTGTTACCACGTATAGAATCTAATAGCAAAAAAAGAGAAATGATAGTTTCAGAATGATTAGACGAATATTTCTGTTTACTCTCATGAGGCATGATTCAGTTATCTTGAAGCCTTTATTTCACAAGGACTTTGTCATTTTTGTTGTCTTCCAAAAGTTTTGTACATTATAATACACTGTCAAAGCATATCTTTGAAGAGAGAAATGTGGGATGCATTTAAATGCACTTGGTCCTTAAATAAGCAGAAAATTAATGTGGCATACTTTCCGTAGCTTAGTAGAAGAGAAATATCCCACATTGTATTATTGGCTGAATAATGTAAAGCAATGCATCTTTCAGTAAGTTCAGTAATTATTAATGCTGAATTTAAACCAACAGTCTTCAACTTTGTAGCAGAAAAGTCAAACTATCTCAATAAGGATACAGAATAAATTAGATATGACAATTTTTCTTTAAAATAATTTATTGCAGAATGTCAAATATTATTTTCTTGATTCATATTTTAAGTTACTGTTATATGCCCAAGAAAATATCAATAAATGAAGGTGAAATAAATATATAACAAGTATTTTATTAGTGGGGAAGTATGAAATTCATCTATTTATGAAAATAGCCAATGTACTACCCTTATGATGTTTTTCATGGTAGACTGAATTTATTAGCAGAGGCAGTTCACCAATTATCAAACACACTTGAAAATTAGTTAACATTTTTAAGAGGAATTTTGAGAGAAAAATAATTTTATAAAATACTTTGTCATTAGTTAGTGGCTATTTATGGTATATCTTCACAGTACTGAAACAATTGTAGATGAACTGAACAATTACGAAGAATAAATTCATGGCCATTTTTTAAGTGGTAGGTGGTATTATTTTCATTTCTATTTATGATGCAATAATAACAGGTTGAAAGATAGACAATTCTGTCCTCAAACATTGACTTTTCCAACATAATAAACACCTGGTGTTTAACTCTTGCTAATGAAGTCAAATCTGTTAAATATTATAATCCTCTGTACACATAACTGTCTGAGGAGAAGTACAGTCAACAAATATTGAGAGTCAGTGAGGGACTACCCAAAAGTCGGAGTGTCTGTGGATAAATTTTTCAGTGACACTGCACAGGCTAGGGCAGTTCTGTTGCTGTGGTTCTGGTGCTGGTAGTATTAGTAGAGGTACAAACTAAGCATTTCTAGGGGGAAAGGTGAGTGCTTTGGTAAACACTTTGTACATATTGTCTCATTTAATCTTTTTTAAAAAGCAAAGTAGGTATTATTATTGCCATTTAACAAATGAATAAACAAATATTCTGAGATGCAAAGCATATTGGGCAAGTTGCTAATCCAGATTTTTAGGGCACACACAAAGCCTTTCTAACAATTTCTCAGTTATTCATGGCTCTTAGGTTGCAAAGCCCTCATATCCAAGCTGAACTTGTTTACATAAAACAATTTTTGTTTAAGTAAGTGAAATCAAGAGCTGCAGGTTGGAGATCAAACCAGACTGCATGGACTCCCTTTCTCAAGGTTGTTTCTTGTCTCTGTTTTTTTCAGCACATGAGTTTCAGGCTCTCTACCGTTCATGCCCATGACACCAGGAGCAGCACCCTGGAGCAGACACAGCCAGACCACAAACCCAGCTCAAGGTTAATCACTGCTGCCCGTCAATGTGATTATCTCCCTCTGCATGGCAGTGCCATTTTCCCACTGTGGGACCAGAGTATGTGCTGTCATACACAACAGTAAACACTGGATGCTGTTAATTCATGGCTGCCTGGCGTGCTCGCACACACACACACACACACACACACACACACACACACAGACACACACACAGGCATCAATGCCTTTCTTTGTAAAATACAATTTAAATTTATTCCTTATTCTAATACAAAAAAGTTACATATAATCAAAGCCACACCTACTTCAAAAACACAGCCAGCCAATGGAGGTATTTCTAAGTTTTAAATTTCTAAGTCTTTTTTTTTTTTCAGAGACACGATTTTGCTCTGTCACCCAGACTGGAGTGAAGAGGCATGATTAAGGCTCACTGCAGCCTTAATCTCCTGTGCTCAAGCGACCCTCCTACCTCAGCCTCCTGAGTAGCTAGGACTACAGCTGTGCCCCACTGCACCCGACTAATTTTGTAAATTTTTAGTAGAGACCAGGTCTTGCCACGTTGCCTAGGCTGGTCTTGAACTCCTGGGTTCAAGCAATCTTCTTGCCTTGGTCTCCCAAAGTGTTGGATTACAGATGTGAGCCAACACACCCAGCCAGTCTTTTCTATTTCTCTCAGTCTGAACCTTGTATGGCTTCTCATACATAACTTTGAAATCTATGGACTAACAGAAATGTTTATTCCTAACATGCCCAATTTAAAACAGTAGATAAAACACAAGATGTGTTCAAAGAACACTGTCATTTAGAAAAGCAGAAAATGGAGAGAAAATTAATGTGAATTCCAGTCCAAAACTGAACCAAATCATTCTTTCATTCCTTCATTTTTATCCAAGTAAACAAGTCATTACTGAGCCTCCACTGCATGCCAGGTCCTGTTCTGGGCTCTGGATAAAGCACAGGGAGGAAAATAGCAAAGGCTTTTGTTCTCACGGAGCTTGCACTCTAGTGGGGGAATAAAAATACTTAGGGATAACTAACCAAATAAATAAAATTTTATCAGGATAAGGAAGTAGAAGAGTTATTTATACAATGACTGGGGATGATGTGTTATGTTTAGATAACTTGGCAATTGAGAAAGGTGTCTTGGAGAAAGGGGACTTGATTGATGATCCCTATGTGGATACATTGGGAAGAGCACCTTAGGAAAAGAAATAAAATCTAAAATCCATCAAATTTGGTGCATTCAAGAAACAATAAAAAAGGCAGGCCGGGTGCAGTGGCTCAAGCCTGTAATCCCAGCACTTTGGGAGGCTGAGGTGGGTGGATCATGAGGTCAGTAGATTGAGACCATCCTGGATAACATGGTGAAACCTGTCTCTACAAAAAATTAGCCAGGCGTGGGGACACACGCCTGCAGTCCCAGCTACTTGGGAGGCTGAAGCAGGATAATCTCTTGAACCCAGGAGGTGGAGGCTGCAGTGAGCTGAGATTATGCCACTGCACCCCAGCCTGGGCGACAGCACAAGACTCCATCTCAAAAATCAAAAAACAAAAACAAAAACCAAAAAAAGGCAGCATGAAGATGTGCCTGTGAGAAAGCAGGGTAGCAGCTGAGGTCTGAAAAGAAGCAGAGTCCTCTTATGCATCAGTGATGTGTTAGAATTTGGGTTTTCCTCTAAGCACAAATTGGGAAGTCAATGGAAAAGTGTAAGCAGAAAAGTAATAAATCTGTTTCGTAATTTTAAATGGGTAATGGATCATTGTGGTCAAGTGTGAAAGCTGACATCCAGTAAGGATATAGGCCAGGCTAAAGTAAATGGCTTCTAAGGTGATAGCAGTGATAGATGGAGAAGGAAAATATTTGCTGTAGAAACAATAAAACCTGCTTAAGAATTGAACCTGGTGGGTGAGTGATTCAGAGGTGAACCCTACGTTTGATGTCGGGAGTATTTAGAGAATGGTCTCATTTAAGGAGGAAGACATTTATTGTATGTTGATTTCTACATACACAGTAGATTTACAAATGGAGCACACCAGAAGGCTACTGAATATACAAGTAAAGTTTCCTTAAGGGAGAAATAAATGCCAGAGTTATGAATCAAGCAACTATTAGCAAACATATTAGGATTTCACAGATATAGTCCAAAGAACAGGTTATGCCAAAGGCTGCAAAAATGCACTTTTCTGATACCCGTTGTATGTTTCAGTCAGCCAATTTAGCAGTCCCAGATTTTACACAGTGAAGAGAACCAATTAGCTTGTCATCTTTCATGGCGACACGTAAGAAGGTATTGTGAAGTTATGTATCATAAACATCTAGTGATATCGCAACCAAATTCAGTGCTTTCGAGATATCAGTTATAATATGGCCCTTGGTGGAGGAATTGGGTCAGGAGGGGAAGAGAGAGCTCACATGTTCAAATAAAAGAAGCTGAGAGCAGAGCACTGTAGACACTAGACCATGAAGTTGAGGGTGTGACAAAGTTGAAAGTGGCCATGCCTGGTTGAAGTAGGTTCTAACTTTAAGGTCTATTTCTACACCCTATTATATTAGCTAAACTGCCTTGTGGTCTCAGAAAAATGATGTCTAACTCACTTTACCTAATAAACGCACTTTGATTTGATTTTCCAGTAGAAGAATATTAGCACAGTCTCATCATCCCTATAAACTTAGTAGGTGATTGATCTAGGGTTAGACTATATCCTTTACTTGACCTTTTGATGCTACAGGTTAAACCATAATAATTATAAATTTGCAGAGAATAAACATTCTTGCTTTTCACACGTACAGGTTTCTTTACAAAATATTGTTATTGGGCCAAAGCCACTTAAAAGATAAGATGTTTTGTCGATGTATAGTTATTCATACCTATCCTGTGTGGTGGTGTTTGCTGGCACTGAAATGGTGGAAGATATTAGACTTGAAAGTTTAGTGCCCTTTCTAAGATCACCATTAATTCTATTTTCATCTCTCACCTCTCTGTGTCCATTAAAATGATGATGCAACAAAAGGCCAATTACACATTTGAGAAAATTGCTAATAGATTAGCCACTTTGCAATCATTTCACAGGCCTGCTAAAGGTCTTCGGCTGGAGACAGAATGGTAGCCAACATGGTATAAGTCTCTGACCTCCACATGCCTAAGTCAAATGGAAGCAATATACCATGCTAAAATTAGCTGAATATATCTCTCAGAATTTGTCATGTAATTCCAAATGTACTATTGAAATTGAATATGCCTGCTTCCAAAAGGAAAGGGTTCTAGAATATCATGGAAAAAAGGCTCAATGAGAAAAAAAAAATGGACCAATGAAAAGAGCTGTTAGAAGAGCAAAAGAATCATTAGAGAAATAGCATTTTTAAGGATCCAGCCAGAAATCATTTGTCTAGAGAATTTTTGGGTTTGTTTAAGAAAAATGTATCATTTTGAGCAATAGAAAAATGGCCTAGCCAATATCTACTCTCTAGGCTTAAAGACCAGAAGCTTAGTGACATAATTAACAATGCTTAAACTGCACCGTAAGAGGAAGTATATACATATAAAATGGGATCATCAGTACCAGGAAAGACAGGACATCCCAGGTTATTTCCAGACTCAAGTGACTGTTTATCCTTGTACTCAAGAATATTCAAACAATTTGCATTGGAGATGTTTTGATTTGTTCCTGTTTACCTTTAAGAAAATGTTCAGTTTTAAATTCTAATCTCTCTAAAATAAAGTTCCAATTAAATATAATGTTTTTGGGGGAAACTGAACCAAATGTTTTCTTTTAAAAGTAATATGCCTCACGCTTGTAATCCCAGCAGTTTGGGAGGCCAAGGCGGGTGGATCACGCAGTCAGGAGAGCAAGACCAGCCTGGCTAACAGGGTGAAACCCTGTCTCTACTAAAAATACAAAAACTGCCAGGTGTGGTGGCACACTCCTGTAATCCCAGCTACTCAGGAGGCTGAGGCAGGAGTATAGTTTGAACCCGGGAGGCGGAGGTTGCAGTGAGCCGAGATTGCGCCACTGCACCCCAGCCTGGCGACAGAGTGAGACTCCCATCTCAAAAAAAAAAAAAAAAGTAGTATGCCTATATACAGGTGAGAATAACCTGAAAACATATTTGAACAAGAGACTGAAATGGAGCAAACTAGCCTTACAATGTATTAAGATATAATCTAAATCTCTGGTGATCAAGAGTATGACCTTTTCATCGAAACAAAATAAAATAAATAAAACTAAGTTTACGGGCACATAAATATTTAAGATATATAATAAGGCAGCATTTAAAATACTTCTAAACAGGTGGATTATTTTATAAATTCTATTGAGGAAAGGCCATTGATAATTACTGTAAACATACGATATATATAGGGCTAGCTCTCTTAAAGTTTTAAAAAAGTTTTCCAATAAAAAACACAAACAGCCTTGTAAATTAATGGGCAAAGGAGACAAGTAGTTTACAAATTAAACAAGAAATATAATCACATAATATGCCAGTGAAAAGATGAAACACAACATAAAAAACAAATACAATAATTAAAATACTAATGACATTGGATGTTTTATCTGTAAGTTTGGGAAAGATTAAAAATTATGACATTATCCAGAGTTGATAAGAGATTTCTGAAAATCACATAACCCACTCTTCACTTGTTCACACCTTCAAAATTTGCCATGATGGTATGTATCCATTTTCACTGCCTTCTCAGTTTTTTAAACTGTCTTATTCAATATCCTATGTCTCTCCTGCTTTCTTTGTCTTTTCTTTCTTGTGGGAGTCAATTTATCTCCTCAGTTTGCTCAAAATTTCCTAATGATGTTGGCGTAAGCCCACTGTACATGAGCCTCTATTATCTACAGCCTTTCCATTCCTGTAGCAGAAGGACGTAAGACAGAATTCAGGCTTTTCAAGGCTCTCTAGAATGCCCATCTCAGAATGGAAGATAATTTTGTTTTGTTTTGTTTTTGGGTGGAGTCTCACTTTGTAGCCCAGGCTGGAGCACAGTGGCCTGATCTCGGCTCACTGCAAGCTCTGCCTCCCAGGTTCACGTCATTCTCCTGCCTCAGCCTACCGATTAGCTGGGACTACAGGTGTGTCTGGAATTGGTGGGTTCTTCTTGGTCTTGCTGACTTCAAGAATGAAGCCGCGGACCCTCACAGTGAGTGTTACAGTTCTTAAAGATGGTGTGTCTGGAGTTTGTTCTTTTTGATGTTCCCACATGTCCGGAGTTTCTTCCTTCTGCTGGGTTTGTGTTCTGGCTGACTTCAGGAGTGAAGCTGCAAACCTTTGCGGTGAGTGTTACCATTCAAAAAGGCAGCGCCTCCGGAGTTCATTTCTCCTGGAGAGTTCATGGTCTCGCTGACACTTTAAGAGTGAGGCCGCAGACCTTCTGGGTGAGTGTTACAGCTCATAAGTGAGCAGCAGCAAGATTCATTGTGAACAGCAACCTCCATGCTGTGGAAGGGGACCCCAGTGGGTTGCTGACGGTGGCCTAGCTTTTATTCCCTTATTTGGCCCCACCCACATCCTGCTTATTGGTCCATTTTACAGAGTGCCGATTGGTCCATTTTACAGAGTGCTGATTGGTCCATTTTACAGAGTGCTGATTGGTGCATTTACAATCTTTTATCTAGACACAGAGTGCTGATTGGTGCATTTACAATCCTTTAGCTAGACACAAAAGTTCTCAGAGTCCCCACCCTATTAGCTAGACACAGAGCACTGATTGGTGCATTTACAAACCTTTAGCTAGACACAGAGTGCTGATTGGTGTGTTTACAAACCTTTAGCTAGACACAGAGCACTGATTGATGCATTTACAATCCTTTAGCTAGACAGAAAAGTTCTCCAAGTCCCCACCAAACCCAGAAGCCCAACTGGCTTCACCTCTCACAGGCACCTGCCACCACGCCTGGCTAATTGTTTGTATTTTTAATAGAGACGGGGTTTCACCCTGTTAGCCAGGATGGTCTCCATCTCCTGATCTCGTGATCCACCCACCTCCGCCTCCCAAAGTGCTGGGATTACAGGAGTGAGCCACAGCGCCTGGCCAAGAGGTGGGTTTTAAAGAATGCTTTGCTTGCTTCACATCTCTTTTTGGAAGAGCTCTGTAAACACTATTCCTGGTCTTTTTTTTTTTTCTTCTAATAATTATTTCAATTATAGGATATTCGTGAATGATTTCCCATGGCTCTCTCCTGTTCCTCACATCTTGTGAGCAGAGGTGCTGGCCACCCTCCACCCTTGTTCTGGTCTGTCTTTTCAAGGATGTTTGCATAGTTAACAGCCTTGGAATAGAGTGAAAGAAGAAATGGGCAAGTTGGTTTGCTCTCCAGTGTGAAAAAGTATTACGACCTCCTCCAGAAAAAGAGCTAAAAGGCTTCCTCTCTATTATGAAAGATTCAGGTTCCCAAGCTTAGGGTCCCTTTCCTGTTTCACTTACTCCAAGTGAAGGTATATCTAACCCTGTTATGTCACCCAGTGGGACTTGGAGTTTCAGGAACCAGTGCAAATTCTGATATTCAACTGCTACTATTTCTGTGAGTACTAATCTGTCTTTTTTTTCTGACTACGAGATTTGCGTCTTCTGCTTGGATCCATGAAACTAAGGCAACTTAATTTGTTAGCTTGCTAGAAGAGCACAATCTCGAATGCTTCACAGTTCTTGACTGTTTAAATGATGAGGATGGGATGTGACAAAGATGCAGCTTAATTAAACAGGAAGAATGAGGACCTCATGGGTTGATCAGAGTAATTGGAAGAAATTCCATGGGAATCAGTGATGAACATGTTTACAAATCGTATTGCCAAATGGGCCGTAAGTGGACCTCTACTATGTTGTCTGCTAATAAGAGGGAGTGGGGTGGGTTAGTGTACCTTTAGAGCTAGCAGCTGTCTGGGAGGTTATGTTGTAGGCACTGTCACACAGCACCCCTGACTAATCTATGATCTAGGTCCTGCTTGTAAACAACACTGTCCTTCCAGGGGCACCATGTGTGTCCTCAAAATTGTACTATTTGTGTGGAAATCAGGAATTAACTTGCTTCCTATCCCTCCCAACCCCATTCCACCCTGAAAAAAAAAAACCTAGTGAATTGCACCACCTTAGTGGTGGTAGTAAGTAATCTTTAAGTCTTAAAGCAATACCCTCAGGAAATCATATAGCCCTCAGGCAATTGCGGGCATATCTCCAAAATGAGGCCAACCCTGGTTATTCAGCGGAACTTCCCAGAGGGATAACTAATTGATTATTTAAGCCCGCACTGATGGCAGTTTTCTCTGTGATGGGAATCATCCTATTAGAAAACTTGTTACAACACTTTGTGCTGACTTGACCCACAGTGATAAATGACACCATGGTGTCTTCGGAAGGCATTCAGGTCTGCCTTAACTCCCTGGCAAGGAAAGTTACAGACTACTGACTTGTGCTAAACTTCTTCCCAGTGGGTCAAGATGGAGGCAGGACCATAAAGAATGCATCCTCCTCTACCTGGATTATTGCCTAGAATCAAATAGAAAGATCAACTCAGAAACTTAAAGAGCAAGCCACTCGGCTTTCAAAAATTGATCCTGATGGTTACTGAGATTTTTTTTTTTAACCTGGTTGAATGCAAGCATAAATGAAGTCAATATTTCAGGTGGGACTCATCCTTCAACGTTGAGTCCCATTGAAAGTAGTCTTAATTAAATGACATTTGAGATACATTAAATAAATTTGATACCAGCTTCTGCCAGTCAGATTAATTAGAGTGACTGCAAGAGTGGCAGACTCATGGGAAACAGTGTAGAAACAAGGGGTAAATATTACTGAGGAAAATTCTCCATGGGTCTGTCACATTTTTGCATGTCTCGGGAGTGGGACTGCCTAGTTCTAGACTATCTTGCTAAGGATGTTCATATACTAAATGATCTTGGAATATAGTGTCCTCTCAACACCCCCACACTCCTACATCCCAGAGAAAAGTGCAGGTTTATTTACTGTCCAGAATAACAAAGACAATGCCTTTCTCTGGGCAAAGGTCAAAGCAGGCTTACTGTCTTTTATAAATGATTTGGTTTTCCTAAAATGGTGGTTCCTCTCTTTTAACACAACCTACTGCAAGCATGGGCATTGCTTAACACTCTGTGTCACCTGTGGGATCAGGGGCTTGAAGAACTGGCACCAATGCAGATGCTTTAGCCATGGCTCTTGCTCTTAATAACAAATGGCCCTTTGTCTCTGACCCAGAAGTGTTGCATCTTCTGCCAGAATCCATGAAGCTGTGCCAAGCTAAGCTATTAGCTTGCAAGTAAGGTAAATTCCCAGATCCTTCCTGGTGTTTGATAGAAGATATTGGCCGATATTGGCCAATAAATCATATTGGTCAATAAATCATAAAATGATTCATTATATTTTAACTAAATATATACTTGATATCGCTTATCAAATGATCAACTCTCAGCATGTAGAAATACATTATAATTTGACATTAGGTAGTGGAAAGGTAAATTGGGTGATATTTATTGAAATTCTGATTGTGACAGATGTTCATAATCCGTTCTCATGTTGGGCCTAAAGTCTAGAACATGAAGGATTAGTTATTTATAATAAAAGACCTTTCTTACTTTAACTCTTTTTTTCTCTTCCTTTTTCCCTCCCTATGAACCTAACTAGCGTCCCTAAGTCATTGAAATGTTGACTCCAGACAGGAGAAAAATTCTGCTCTGAGAAGTGATAGTAAATTCATGAAAGTGAAAATAACCCCGGAGAGAGGGATACAAAGCAAAACGCTCTTCATCATGAGATCTTGGGAATGCTTTTAAGAACAAGGCAGAGGAAATAAAGTCCTTAAAAGAGATTGAACATAAACATTTTTAGAAAAGGACTGAACCAAGAAAGTGTAGTACCAAGGAAGCAAAGAGAAGAGAGTGTAAAAATAATGCAGTTTTGTAGCAGGGTCAAATACTGCAGAAAGGACGATTAGCATGAGAGCTCTAAGGAGGCCAATGGGTTTGGCAATTAGGAGGTCATTGATGACATTTAATCTTACAAGTCACTACATAAGTCAGCTAATGAAGACAAAGCTGCCAGGTCCCCCCAGTGTATCATAATATCAGCCCTGCGGTGAGTGATATTATCCACAGGGTAACGCTTAATGATGAATGGTAGTGTGATTAAATTGCCATAGAATACCAACGGGAATGTTCATTGCAACCCTTTAAATACCAACAGCACGATTAATACTCTAGAACAGACATGCAAGAAATAGATAGTGGTTTGCCACTTACATCACTGTCAAATTTTATGTCACCTTCAGGGTTTATTGATGTGAAATGAAGTGCATTTATTCAAATAGAGTTAGTTCTGAGGAATAAGAACTTAATAAAATGGGATTATACATAAAGAGAAATGGAAATGCTCTTTAATATGCATATGTTGTTACTATTCTGTAATTGCTAAGGCTATTGTCTCCATAATGTAGAATATTTTTAACAAAGAACTAAAATTACAATAGTCAGGTAGCAAATGTATCTTTAAGAAACGTCATCTTTTTTGATCCCTTGAAAGAATATATCCTATTATAGGTATTTCCTGTATTAACAATTTCAACTCTATGTAATTAAGTTTAATATTCTCCTACTGTATTGTGAAAGCATATTTTTTCCTTTCAAAAACTATATAAATTTCTAGATTTCACAGCTGCCTGATATTTATTTTTATGCTTTTTAGGAATAACCTTTAAGTGCTAGACAAACCCATAGTATATGATAGTAAATTGTCAATATTTTATCTTATTGGTTAAAATTTGCTTTACATGTCAAAGGGGAATATGTGTGTGTGTATGTGTGTCTGTTTAGATCAAGGTTGACAAACTTTGTATGTAACAGTAAATATTTTCAATTTTGCCAGCCATAAGTTCTCCATCACCATTATTCTTCTCTACTATTATAGTAAAAAAACCACTCATAGACATCATGTAGACAAATGGGCCTAGCTGTATTCTAATCACACTTCCTTTACCAACATAGGCAGAACAGGGCAAATTTGGCGTGAGAGGCTATAGTTTGCTGAACTTTGTTATAAATAATACATAGTGGCTTATTCATGGCAGTTGCTATTATTGACAGTAAGATTGAATTGAGGATGTGTAAAGAACACCAAAACATATAAATTAGGATAATAGTAAAAGATACATGATTTTAAAATTACAAAATGATTAGGAAAGTAGCAGTTAAACAATCTATATAACATATTGCCAAAAATGAATATATAACACAGGAAGCATTCAAAAAACTAATAGAAGTAAACCCTGTGTCTTCAGTTAGGAAAATAAATGTAAACATGCATATTTTTTCTAGGAAATTAACTGTTGTGAATTCCTGCTTTTGAAATAAAATGATTTCTAAGAAAACTATATGTAAACATAGAGAACTATTAATTATATAAGTATAAAATATCAGCTAAATATAGGCAGATAAAAAATTAAATGACAAATTTAGTGAACTGGTAAGATTAGACTGCAAGGAAAAACAAAAGGTAGAAACAAGAAATAAATTTACTACAGAGAAAAATACTCACCAATAAATAATTTTTCAACAAGAACTTTGTGTGCCAAGTGTTGTAAGAGCTAATTATTTTAAAATGTGAAAAAAGGAAAAATGCGTGGATCTTAAATAGATATGTAAAACATAAAATGAATGAAGAAATGACAGAGAAATGATAATTTTTTACTGCATTTTAACTATTAGTGAATGCTCAAATTGTGTATTGGATATTTGTAAACATGTATTTTATAGTAGACCTCCATAAAATTTCTCAATAAGTCAAAGAAACTCAATTTGTGTTTTCTTTCTCAATATAGGTGATGAATTTATCTCCTCACCTGTTCTTGAGCCCCACCTGGTAAGGACATTGTGATGATTGAATGAAAGAAGGAGCTGAGGAGTGGAAATTTGGGCCTTTAATGGTATCTTAAAATTTCTCCGCTAGCCTTTCTCTGTCCATCTCAGTCTTTCTGTTGTGCAAAACAAACAAGCAAACAACATAGCAACACATTTTTAGTTAATCTACACCAATGTGTGCTTGTTACATGCTGCAAATTGCAGACCATAATGAAAACAGCATTGGATATTTTTGCTCGAGTTCCAGTTCTCAGCTAAAGATGGAATATTCTATTACCACCACACTTTAAATTCTGAGAGTGTAAACAGATTTAGCACAAGAAAAAGAAACAAAAAACAAAAAACCAAGTCCCTGGGCTTTCTGCCTCCAATCCTGACTCACACAGGTCTATTGGAATGGATTTGCTCTTTCTTCAAGAACTCAGTTCGCCAGGACCAGGCACCATCCTCTGTTTTACATGGGTGTTTTATGTTACACTATTGTCTTCAAAGGCATTTATGAAGGGGAAAGTGGTCCAGAAGCTAGATTTCCAACTACCTAAAAAATTACCTATTTTCAGGCAATGAGTGACATTCCAGTTTCTTTGGTTACAAACATCCTGCATTTCTTATTTATTTATTTATTTATTTATTTATTTACTTATTTATTTATTTATTTAGAGACAGAGTCTTTCTCTGTCACCAGGCCGGAGTGCAGTGGCGTGATTTTGACTCACTGCAACCTCCGCCTCCCAGGTTCAAGCAATTCTTCTGCCTCAGCCTCCCGAGTAGCTGGGACTACAGGTGGGCACCACCACTCCCGGCTAATTTTTGTATTTTTAGTAGAGACAGGGTTTCACCATGTTGGCCAGGGTGGTCTTGATCTCTTGACCTCATGATCCACTAGCCTCAGTCTACCAAAGTGCTGGGATTACAGGCGTGAGCCATTGCTCCCAGCCCATCCTGCATTTCATAATCTGAGAGTAAATAGCAGGGAGGCAATTGAGGATCTCACTGTTTACTTGCAAGCACTAAGATGCTTCTTTTACTTTCTTTTTTTGATGTCTGTGTCTCCAGCAGATAAACCTGCATTATGTATTGGAATTCTCTCATATAGGTAGTTAGGTTAGTGGAAACTTTACCAGACATGGGCAATGATTTGATGAATTGTTATTGTTTTTAAACATTTTGTATGATTTTTTTTGACCTTACATTCAAACTTTAGGGACATTCATAGAAATTATCAGGTTTGCCTAATCAGACATCATTTCAAATGGCTTAAAGACTTCTAAATTTCCCATATGACCCAGCAATTCCATTCTTAGGGATATACCCAAGAGTAATGAAAACATATGCCCTATGAAAACTATTTTCTAGACATAAATAACAGCATTATTTATAATAGACAGAATGAGGACAGAACCCAAATGTTGATCAACTGGTGAATGAATAAACAAAATGCCTTATACCTATGCAATAGAATATTATAAAGAAAGAAATACTAATTCATGCTATAGCATGGACAAACCTCAAAACTATTGGGCTAAATGAAAGAAGCTAGATGCAAAATATCACATAAAATATCTGAACAGGAAAATCTGTACACATGAAAAATGTTTTGTTTTTGTTTTTGTTTTTGTGACAAGATCTCTCCCTCTCTTCCAGGCTGGAGTGCAGTCAGGCACTCATAGAAGTTCTATGCAGTAAGTCGTGAGAATTATCTAAGGATAGGATTTAAATAGCAGATAATCTTGGTCAGAGAGACTGAAACCCTACTTCCATTCTTACTGGTTACTTGATGTTGGGTGCTTAGTTTCCATAGCCTCCATTTCCTCATATGTCAATGGGCTTGACTGTGCCTCACAACCAGACTTATGTGTGCAGCTTAAAGTTCTTACAGAGTGTCTGATATGCAATGAATGACCATTTATTATTCCTAGGATTTGATTTGATAGAAAAAAGACTGGAAACTCGTTATTGAAATGTAATGCAATAAATAAAGAAATAAGTGTACTTTTGAAGAAGGAAGCAGAATTGTGGTTACCTGGAAGCTGTGGGAAATTTGCACGTGGCCCCACCAGTAGGACCGTTTCTCACAACCATCCATGTCTTCAGTCTTAGGTCCTGCAACATGACACTTACAGTGATGCTAATGAAACCATCCCTATAAACTTTGTAAAATTAATCAGGGAAGAAGGGAGAGGGAGAAATGAAAATAACCCATTGCAGCACACTCAGCATTCGTTATGAGGTCACTCTGCTCTCTCCTCCTTCCTCACAGTTGTTTGGTGCCTGTTGCCCCAGAATCACATAGACCCTTTTACAATATGATAGTTCCCCTTAACTGCCCTATACATAACAACTTGAATAGGTCCCTGCATGCCAGTGAAACCACTGATGCCAGCTGGTTTGAAGGACCCCACAGGAGGCTGACTCACTAAAGAATGAAGCCTCCACATCCAGATGATTTCATCCCCCTCACCCCAACCAATTACCCCAATTTTCCAGTCTCTTCACTTTCCATGATCCCCTTAAAAATCCCAGACTAGAACTTGTCAGGGAGATGAACTTGAGTGTCTCCTCCTGTCTTCTCCCTGTGTGCCTTGCAATCATTAAACTCTTTGCCTGCTGCAAACCCTGCTGTCTCAGTGTATTGGTCTGCTACTGCATAGCAGGCATACAAACCTTTTGGTCCTACGACACTAAATATGTATTTGTTTTTCAGTACCATTAAAGGGTGTCATTTTCCATATTGGGCAGCGCTGGGGATTGAAACTCAACCTTGTAAAACATGTACGCAGAAACAATATTTATTCATAATTGCCATAACTTGGAAGCAACTAAAATGCCCTTCAGTAGGCGAATGGATAAGTAAGCTGTGGCATATCCAGAGGATGGAATATCACAGCACTAAAAGGAAATTATTTATCAAGCCATGTCAAGACACAGAGTAACCTTAAATACATGTTATTAAGTGAAAGAAGCCAGGCCCAAAAGGCTGCATGCTGAATGATTCCAACTATATGACATCCTATAAAAGGCAAAACTGTGGAGACAGTAAAAGATTAGTGGCTGCAGGAGTTAGACTGGAAAAGATGAATTAATAGGCAGAGTACAGAGGATTTTGAGACAGTGAAACTACTCTGTATGATACCATAATGGTGGCTATATGTCATTATACTTTTGTCCAAACCCATATAATGTACAATACCAAGAGATACCCTAATGTGAACTATGAACTTTGAGTGATAATGATGTGGCAACCTCATTTTATTGATTGTGACTAATGCATCACTCTGGTATTGGATGTGGATGGTGGGAGGGGCTATGTATATGAGATGCAGAAATTATGTTGAGTCTCTCTGTTCCATGAACTTTTTTTGTGAACCTAAAAGTGCTCTGAAAAATGAAATTTATTTAAAAATAAGCCAACAAACGATACGCAATCCTATCAAAATGAAAGCTTTTCTGGGCACATTTATATGCTGATCTACAAGTCACTGTAGTTTTGCTTCTATAAGAAAAAAACATTCAAACCTATACAAGATTGTGTAATGTCTCTATATTGTGTAATGTCCCTATATTGTGTATCACTTAATTTCAGGGCCCCATTGTCATTCACTTGTATTCTAGTCATTTAGCATAAATCTTGAACTGTGTATTATATGGTGAGTTGTTGTAAATCTTAAAACTTCTTTATGATATAAGAAGTCCTCCAATACTCATGTGGTAGGTTAAAAAAATACCCCCACCCCCAAAGATATCCATGTCCTAATCTCTGGAATCTGTGAATGTTATATCATATGGCAAAAAGAGAGAAAGAAGGAAGGTGTTTGCAGATGTGATAAAGTTAAGGATCTTGAGGTGGAGACATTCTCCTAGCTTAACTGAGTAGCCCTAAATGTAATCACACCTCCTTCTAAGAAGGAGGTAAAGGGAGATTTCATACACAGACACACATGGAGAAGGTGGTGGGAAGATGCAACAGAGGGAAATTTGAAGACATTTGTCCTGAAGTTTGGAGTAGCATGGAGTAATGCGGCAACCACCAGAATCCCAAAGTATCAAGGAATTCAGAGAGCACTGTCCTACCAACACTTTGATTTCAGCTCAGGGGTACAGATTTTGGATTCCTGGCCTCTAGGACTCTGATGGAATAAATATCTTGTTTCAAGCCATGACGTTTGTCACCATTTGTTATAGCAACAATGGGAAAGCAGTACAGCTCCCCAAATTGTTTTGGAAAAAAAAGTGCTATAAAACCATTGAACCCAAAACGAGGTCACTGAGCTGACCTCTCCCATCTGTTCCCAAATTCCTTTTTTGATTGATCATGTGTAGGGATTGTATTTTTCTAAGACGAGTTCAAAATATTATAGATTGACCTTGAATCCATTCATCTTAGCACTCTCTACTGGGTTGGTCTTAACGTTGCCTCAATCTTTGTATCCTAAGGTTAGTTGTGTGTGTGCGTGTGTCGGGGGGTGGGGTGGAGCATGTGTGTGTGTGTGCATGTGGATGGGGGCGGGTGTGTGAGAGTGTGTGTGGGAGTGTGTGTACTGCTTCTCTCATTTATACTGTTGAGTCGATATAAGGCTGTAATGTGTATAGAAAGTGAAATGTATATGTGGTACAAAGATGCTCTTGCCAAAGAAGTCATTTATGGGTATCCATGTTCTGTAATGAGCATTTCCTCTCATTTATTTGAGAAGAGTAATAGATACATTCCTTTTACCCCTTAGGCATTTTTCCAGTCAACTAAATCACATCCTATTTGTATCTCCTAGTCTTTCAATTATTTTTATTGCTTGCTTTACTCCTCCCTTCATTTATTTTTTCCCATTTAAAACTGGAAAATTAACCAGTGAATTTAGCCTGCATTAGTGTTTGCCTGCCCCCCATATCGATGAGGCACATGGCTGGCCTAATATCACTGGAGAGTTCTTTATTTTGCTTTGTTTGATCAGTAATAAGACTCAACTTTTAAATAATCATAATAGCACAGACATAACCAGAAAAACAGGATTTTTTGAAGTAGTTACATCAGGCAAAACACTTATTCTGATGATACTTCCACTCCTCAAAATAATTTCGCATCTCCTTTATAGATTTGGCCTTAGAGTCAGTTTTCAGGTTAAACAATAAAATGAGCATCTCATTATTTAAAACTAACAATTCTTATCATTTTAGGCAAAAACAATAGGATCCAAATTTATTAACCATCAATTTTTTTCCATTTATAAAATTTCAATCTATATTTTAGAGATTTCTATTTACCATATTTGAAGATATCTTAAATGAGGATTTTTACCTTTAAATGCCCTAATTTTTGTCAGGTGATTAAACAGAAACGGTTTTCTCCTGAAGTAGAATCTTTAGACCCAGGCGAGGACCCCCTGGTTTTGGAGAGGAGTATAGGAAATTTTTCAAGCCCTTCTTGAGTGTCTGGGACCAGCCATCCCCATTGCAGCCTAGGCAGGGTGCCCTGAGCACCTAAGGGGTTGCATGTCCCACTCTTTGTCTCTCCCCTTGGGAGCTCTCTCCAACTCCCCATACCCAATCTTTCCCTGTGCTCTCTGGGACATCCAGATGCTCAGGAGATCAGGGGACGGGCAGCCATGGGGTGGCACCTGGCCTGGAGTATTCAGGCTCCATATGGACGATCCTGGAAAACAGATGATGTTTGGGACACCAAGATGGTGCGGACACTCTGATTTTGGGAGACACTCGATCATTGTGGAGGTAGGGCCAAGTCAGTGCTCTGGGCTGGGGCAGCATGTGTGGGCAGGTGTTCAGGCCTTCCCTCATTCTTTTCTGCCCATGTTGCCCACAGTGGCATAGCGCTGAGGTCAGCTGCCCCCTCCCCAGGTTCCGCCCATGGGCCAGGCCATCCTTTCCACTCTGGCAGTGTGTGGACATCCAGGTGTTCTCAACAGTGAAAGAGGTCTCGGGCAAGGCTTGATTACAGCCTACAAAGTTCAAGAGAAGACATGTTTAAGAGAACATGTGTTGTTCTAGGTTTACACAATAGCATCATAGAATTTCCAATGGAAAAATTAACATGAATAAGTAAATTATCTTTTACATTTTCCTGCACATTCTGCATAAGAACTGACCTTGGGATTATCATCAGCAAAAACAGTGATGATGTTTGAGAGAGTCAGAGCTGCACAATGGAGTGCCAGTGGGCATCATGGTGTCATGAGTAACAATGTAACCAGCATAAAATAAAGGCTATTAGGGAACCATAAAGGCAAGAAGATATGTATTGTTTTAATACAAACATGTCCAGTGTGAGCCATGAGATGAGTAACAGGAGTGCAGCCACCTTTGTCTTAGGGGAGAGATATGAAATTAGCAAGAAATGGTGCTCTTGACAAGAAAGAACATGGAGAGATGGTCCTAAGACCTCAATGGTACGAGATGGTGTCTGGAGACTATGAAGACTCTTCATCTTCCCTGATTAGATGATAAACAAATATGTAAGCACCTTTCTGTATGCATTATTTTACATCTTCATCAATAAATCACTATACTTTTCATAAGCCTATGAATTAAAAATGTTTTAATAAAATTATTTTATAGACAAGAACCCTTAAATAATTTGGTTCCACCCCTGCATGCTCCACAGGCAGCCTAGTACTGTAGATAACTAACTATATTGACTCCAGGTTCACATGATGCTATCGTTCATCTATTTAATAAATAATCATTCAGCTCCCACTAAGTGCCAGAAACAGCTTGTTGGAGACAGTGAAAAGAAATATATTTTACAGGAATATTGTATTAGTCAGGGCTCTCTAGAGGGACAGAACTAATAGGATATATGTAAATATGAAAGTGAGTTTATTAAGGAGAATTGACTCACACAATCACAAGGTGAAGTCCCATGATAGGCCCTCTGTAAGTCGAAGAGCAAGGAAGTGGCTCAGTCCAAGTCCCAAAACCTCAAAATTAGTGAAGGCTACAGAGCAGCCTTCAGCCTGTGGCTGAAGGCCCAAGAGCCCCTGACAAACCACTGGTGTATGTCCAAGTGTCCAAAGCTGAAGAACTTGGAGTCTGATGTTTGAGGGCTGGACGCATTCAGCCCTCAAAGATGAAAGGGAGAAAGATGAAGGCCAGAAGACTCAGCAAGTCAGCTTCTGCAACCTTCTTTTCTGCCTGCTTTTCTAGCCACACTGGCAGCCGATTGGATGGTGCCCACCACATTGTGAGTGGATTTTCTTGAAGGCGGGTCTTCCTCTCCCAGTCCACTGACTCAAATGTTAATCTCTTCTGACAACACCCAGAAACACCCAGATACACCCAGAAATAATATTTTGCATCCTTCGATCCAATCAAGTTGACAATATTAACCATCACAAATCCACCCCTTGTCAACTTGAACCCATACACATCTCCCGAAATCATACATAATCTCCAAATTAAGACAATAATAAGGTCATAATTACATGTAACATAATACAGCTGTCTTTCATACAACTGGAAGCACACTAATCCTTCACCTAAATGCTATTATGTAGTTATCAACACTTAAATGCTGATACGAAGTCAATAAATCTTATGTCACTTAACAAAGAAAAAGAAAAGAAAATGAAGATATTTTCTTAGTACAAGTGTATACATGCACAAACATGTTCTTAACAAATTAAGAATGAAATATTTATAACAATTACAGTCCTCCTTTCTGCACTTGTCACGTGGTCATGGATGGTACTGATACCGATGACTAACTTCTTCTACTATTCACTCTGTATTCCCTTTGCCTTCAGCAAGCACCTAAGCTGGTTGTGGTTTTTTACCTGGTGGAGTGATCCAAACCTTCATTCCTGAAGGGTGTGGGCCATCTGCAGTCCTGCCCGGATTGAGTTGTTGTAATTCCCCATTAACCTTAATCACAGGGCATGGTAATACTAAGAGACACCCTAATGGATCTACTGTACTCCACACATACACTTTCTTACCTCCATAGTGGAGTAGTAGATTGATTTACTCTTGATAGTCCAGGTCAGTCACCCCAGCCAACGCTGTGACTCCCTCCTTAGCCTGTTGACTTGGAAGCTGGAGGAAATTAATGTGGCCAGGTGGCAATCTTAACGGCCAGTTTAGTGGAATCATTGTTGTGCCTCCTGGTGGCAGCATTCCTCCCTTTGGAACTAAGACCTCTAGGCCAGCAGAATATAATGTCATGGGAACAGGAAGCAAAAAATTTGCTAGTTGGTCACTAGGGATGATAGTGAGTGATGTCACTTCCACTTCTACCCCTTGCTTCCTGGACCTGTGAATCGGGCTATGGGAGAAACAGTACCATATATTGGACACTAATTCAGAGCATACACAGATTTCTGGAGAACTTTGCCCCAGCCATGCAAAGTACTGTCACCTTGTAGGCATTGTAATTGCGACTTTAAAAGGCTACACCATTGTTCTATCAACCTAGCTGCTTCAGGATGAGGGGGAACATGGTAAGACCAGTGAATTCCAGGAGCACGAGCCCACTGCTGCCCTTCATTAGCCATAAAGGGAGTGCCTTGGTCAGAGGCAATGCTGTGTGGAATACCGTGACAGTGGATAAGGCATTCTGTGAGTTCACAGATGATAGTCTTGGCAGAAGCATTGCCTGCAGGATAGGCAAACCCATATCCAGAGTACATGTCTATTTGGGTGAGGACAAAATGCTGCCCATTCCATGATGGACGAGTCCAATATAATCAACCTGCCACCAAGAAACTGGCTGATTATCCCAAGGAATGGTGCCATATTGAGGGCTCGCTGATGGTCTCTGCTGCTGGCAAATTGGGCAGTCAGTGATGGCCGTAGCCAGGTCAGCCTTGGTGAGTGAGAGTCCATGTTGCTGAGTCCATGCATAACATCCATCTCTGCCACCATGCCACTTTTTTCATGGGCACATTGGGCAATGACGGGGTGGCTGGGGAAAGAGGCTGAGTAGTGTCCACAGAGCAAGTCAACCCATCCACTTGATTATTAAAATCCTCCTCTGCTGAGGTCACCCTTTGGTGAGCATTCATGTGAGTTACAAATTTCTTCACAGTTTTTGACCACTTAGAGAGGTCCATTCACATACCTCTTCCCCAAATTTCCTTTTCACCAATTTTCCAACCATACTCCTTCCAAGTCCCTGACCATTCAGCCAAACCATTGGCTACAGCCCATGAATCAGTATATAATCACACATCTGGCCATTTCTCCTTCCAAACAAAGTGCACAGCCAGGTGAACTGCTCAAAGTTCTGCCTATTGCAAAGATTTCCCTTCACCACTGTCCTTCAGGGATGCCCTAGAAAGAAGCTGAAGTGCTACAGTGGTCCACTTTTGGCTGGTGCCTGCATTTCATACCACACCATCTGTAAAACAGGAGCTAGTCTTCTCTTCTGTTCAATTGAGCATAAGGAACTCCCCATGAGGCCATTGGTGCAGATGGTGGGAGAGAAGGCAGAGTGGCAGGAATGGAGACCATGGGCATTTGAACCACATCGTCAGGTAACTTTCTTGTACCTTCAGGACCTGCTTGACCCCGATCACATATATAACACTTCCATTTGATGATGGAATGCTGCTGTGCATGACCTATTTTATGGCTATATATGGTTCAGAAAGCACCCAGTTCATGATAGGCAGATCAGGTAACATGGTAACTTGGTGACCCATAGTCAAACATTCAGTTTCTACCAAAGCCCAGTAACAAGCCAAGAACTGTCTCTCAAAAGGAGAGTAGTTATCTGAAAAAGGTGGCAGGGGGCCTTGCTCCAAAATCCTAGAGGCCTCTGCTGTGATTCACCTATGGGGGCCTGCCAAAGGCTCCAAACAGCATCCCTATCTGCCACTGTCACCTCCAGCACCATTGAATCTATTGGGTCATATGGCCCAAGTGGCAGAGAAGTTTGCACAGCAGTGTGGACCTGTGGCATTGCCTTTTCCTGTTCTGGACCCCACTCAAAACCAGCAGCCTTTCAGGTCACTTGATAAATAGGCCAGAGTAACACATCCAAATGAGGAATGTGTTGCCTCCAAAATCCAAATAGGCCCACTGGGCATTGTGCCTGATTCTTGGTTGTAGGAGGGGCCAAATGCAGCAACTTATCCTTCACCTTAGAAGGAGTATCTCTACATGTCCCACATAACTGGACCCCTAGACATTTTACTGAGGTAGAAGTTCCCTGAATTTTAGTTGAATTTATTTCCATCCTCTGGCACACAAATGTGTCACCAATAAGTCCAGTGTGTTTGCTGCTTCTCACTCACTGGGTCCAACTGGCATAATATCATCAAGGTAATGGACCAGTGTGATTGTGGAAGGGAAAAGTGATCAAGATCTCTGTGGACAAGATTATGACACAAAGCCTGAGGTAGAACAGTAAAGGTATATTACTGACCTTTCCAGCTGAAGGCAAGTTGCTTCTGGTGGATCTTATGGACAGGAATGGAGAAAAAGGCATTTGCCAAATCAATAGCTGCATACCAGGTGCCAGGAGATGTGTTAATTTGCTCAAGCCATGAAACTACATCTGGTAGAGTAGCAACAATTGGAGTCACCACTTGGTTAAGCTTATGATAATCCACTGTCATTCTCCAAGATCTGTCTGTCTTCTGCACTGACCAAATAGTAGAAGTGAGTGGGGATGTGGTGGAAATCACCACCCGTGCATCTTTCAAGTCCTTGATGGTGGCACTAATCTGTGCAATCCCTCCAGAGATGTGATATTGTTTTTGATTTACTATTTTTCTAGGTAGAAGCAGCTCTAATGGCTTCCATTTGGTCTTTCCCACCATAATAGCCCTCACCTTACTGGTCAGGGAGCCAATGTGGGAGTTCTGCCATCTGCTAAGTATGCTTATGCCAATTATGCATTCTGGCACTGGGGAAATGACCACAGGATGAGTCCAGGACCCACTGGACCCACTGTAAGTCAGACCTCTGCTGAAACTCCACTAATTACCTGATCTCAGAGAGTGGGGTACTGCTATAAAGATACTTGAAAATGTGGAAGCCAACTTTGGAACCAGGTAAGAGGCAGAGATTGAAACAGGTTGGAGGGCTCAGAAAAAGACAGAAAGATGGGGAAAGTTTGAAACTTCCTAGAGACTTGTTAAATGGCTTTGACCAAAATGCTGATAGTGATGTGGACAATGAAACCCAGGCTGAAGTGGTCTCAGATGGAGATGAGGAACTTCTTGGGAACTGGAGCAAGGATCACTCTTGCTATGCTTTAGCAAAGAGACTGTCAGAATTTTGCCCCGGCCCTAGGGATCTGTGGAACTTTGAACTTGAGAGAGATGATCTAAAATTGGAATTTATGTTTCAAAGTAGAGCATAAAAGTTTGGAAAATTTGCAGCCTGATGATGGGATAGAAAAGAAAAACCAATTTTCCAGGGAGGAATTCAAGCTGGCTGCAGAAATTTCCCTAAGTAACCAGGAGCCAAATGTTAATCACCAAGACAATGGGGAAAATGCCTCAAGGGCATGTCAGAGATCTTGGCTGCAGCCCCTCCCATCGCAGGGTGGGAGGCCTAGATGGAAAAATGGTTTTGTGGAATGGGCCCAGGGACCCCCCTGCTCTGTGCAGCCTCAGGACATGGAGCCCTGCATCCCCAGCTGCTTCAGCTCCAGCTATGGCTAAAAGGGGCCAAGATACAACTCGAGCTGTTGTTGGTGCAAGTCCCAAACCTTGGCAGCTTCCACGGGTGTTGGGCATGTGGATGCACAGAAGTCAAGAACTGAGGTTGGGGTCCTCCACCTAGATTTCAAAGAATGTGTGGAAATGCCTGTATGTCCAGGCAGAAGTCTGCTGCAGGGGCAAAGCCTTCATGGAGAACCTCTGCTAGGGCAGTGCAGAAAGGAAATGTGGGTTGGAGCCCCAACATAGAGTCCTCACTGGGCCATTGCCTAGTGGAGCTGTGATAAGAGGGCCACTGTCCTTCAGACCCCAGGGTGGTAGATACACCAACAGCTTGTACCACGTTCCAGAAAAGCCACAGGCACTGAATGCCAGCCTGTGAAAGCAGCCAGGAGGGGAACTGTATTCTGCAAAGCCACAGGGGCAGAGCTGCTCAAGACCATGGCAGCCCTCCTCTTGCATCAGTCTGACCTGGATGTGAGACATAGAGTCAAAGGAGATCATTTTGGAACTTTAAGTTTTAATGACTGCTCCACTGGATTTTGAACTTGCATGGGGCCTGTAGCCCCTTTCTTTTGGCCAATTTCTCCCATTTGAAATAGAAGCATTTATACAATTCCTGTACCTCTAGTATATCTAGAAAGTAATTAACTTGGTTTTGATTTTACAGTTTCATAGTTGGAAGGGATTTGTCTCAGATGAGACTTTGGACTTGGACTTTTGAGTTAATGCTGGAATGAGTTAAGGCTTTGGGGGACTGTTGGGAAGGCATGATTATTACTGAAATGTATAATATAAAGGCCATAAGACTTGGGAGGAGGCTCTGTGTTCCCACCCAAATCTCATCTTGAATTGTAATCCCCAGGTGTTGAGGGAGGGACCTGGTGGGAAGTGACTGGACCATGAGGGCAGTTTCCTCCATGCTGTTCTTGTGATAGTGAGGGAGTTCTCAGGAGATCTGATGGCTTTATAAATGACAGTTTCCCTTGGGCTTTTCACTTTCTGTCTCACCTGCCGCCATGTAAGACGTGGCTGCCTCACCTTCCACCATGTGAAAGTTTCCTGAGGCCATCCCAGCAATGCAGAACTGTGAGTCAATTAAATGTCTTTCCTTATAAATTACCCAGTATCAGGTATTCCTTTATAGCAGTATTAAAATGGACTAATGAAAACATATTTGCTGAAGAAGTGGCATTTGAATGGAGGTCTCAATGACGTAAAGAGTTAACTCTGCAAGGACCTGGGGAGAATGCATTTTAGGAAGAGCAGCAGAAAGTACAAAGCCCCGGAAGTCGGAGCAAGATGGCAGTATGGCTAGATATGAGTTATTCTGTCCTCTGAGCATCAGCAGGTCACACTGAGCTGGTACACCATGGTGAATGATAAACTTTTCTTTCTGAGTAAGATGTAAAACCATTGAAATATTTTGAACAGAATATTTTTATAATCCAATTTATATTTTCAAACAATAACTAGGTCTTGAATAGAAATATTGTGTCATGGGGCAAAAGTGGGAACAGAGAGACTAGTTACAGACTTGTTGCAACAGTTAAGGTGATACACTGATGTTGACTTTAAATAGAATGGTAACTCCTTAGTGATCATAGGTAGAGATGTCAGGACCTATTCATATACTGGATGTGGGATGTGAGAGGGAAAATTTAAGAAAGAAACAAGAATGTTTTCCAGCATTCTCTCAAGAGAGACTGAATAAATGGAGTGCCATATTCTTAGAAGCATAAAACTGGGTAAAAGAGGGAGCAGGCTTTCACTTGTTTGTTTGTTTGTTTGTTTGGAGGGTAAATATACTCAGCAGTACTGCCTTGGAGATGCTAAGTTTAACCAGCCTGTTAAATAAAAAGTATGTAGTTACATTTTAAAGTCTGGAGTTAGCCTCAAGATCATATTGTGGGCATAAGTTTGAGTATCAGTAGCAAGTAGATGGGCTTAAAAACAACAGGATGGTGTGAATTCCTCTGGGGAGTGAATGTTAAGAAAAGGAAGGGAAACAATAAATGATCCAGAGGGCAATCCAATATTTAAAGGTAAGAAAGTGGGGGATGATTTAGCAATAAAGGCAGAGAATGATTGGCCAGTAATGTGAAGGATCCAAAAGAAGGGTCTTTGGAGTCACTTAAAGAAAAGATTTTAAGATAAAGGGAGCAATCAGTTCTATCAAAAAGTTGCTGAAAGATCAGTAGTGTAAGAATTGACAATGATCATTGAAACTGGCAACATAGAAATTGACAGTGTCCTCGAAAAGAGTGGTGTGTATACCTTGATGGCGAGGAAAGTGTGATTTAAATATATTCACAGTGAATGGAAGTTGAGAAAGAGGTGACAAAACATATATATATATATATACACACACACACATAACTGTATACATACGGTTATGTCAGGTATAATGACACTTTTATATAGAAAAAATGACTTGTAGATTAAGCAAAGCAATGAATATAGAAATAAAAAGAACCTAGTAAGTGTATTATAAAATATACATATACATGCACACATATATACCTAAACTATGTCTTTAATGCTTTGCAGAACAATTAAGATACATGATAGGGAAAAATATTCTGTGGGAGTTGTCACGTATTACACTGAAGTGACAAGAGAATATGTTTATTTATATATTGAGGTAAAAATGTTGTGACTCTTAACATATCCACTCTAAAATTTGGATGACAGTTACCACACTTTCAAGCTACAGGATTTCAGGTTTGAGAAAGACTGCATATAGAAAGTAAAATGCTACATACTCTTAGATCAGTACAGTAAGTCCTCACTTAACATCATCAATAGGTTATTGAAAACTGGGACGTTAGCCAAAACGACACATAACAAAACCAATTTTACCAGATGCTAATTGATATAACAAGAATTAAGTTCTTGTGGCATATGTGTCTGGTCACAAAAACATCACCAAATTTCTAAATAAAGATTCAAAACATTTCTCATATTAAAAATTAAAGTAAATGTGAGCTATATATGCATTTAGGAATGATTAATAAGAATAACTACCAACCCAATATTTGATGAATCAGTGAGGGGCAGCGTTTGTGGTGGTGGTGGGTTAAATCAAGAAATAAATGCTTACAAAGCGAAAATTGTAAGGCTATTGCTACCACATGGAGTTCAAAATCAGACAAGAACAAGTATGGTGGTTCGCTGAGCACCTTCTTACCTCATTGTATATTGTCCTGCATTTGTATGATTATTGTATCCTTAGCAAATTTTTGTTTTACAATAATTTGTAAAATAACTTATTCATTCATTTTCCAACCCACTACTAATTCCAGTTCAGGGTCACAGGTGGGCGGAGGCTCTCCCTGCGGCTGAGGATGAAAGGCGGAAATCAGCCCCCTAGTGGCCCTCATCCTATGGCAGGTGCACTCACACACATACTCCCACACTCACCCACACAGGGACCATGTAGACATGCCAAGAACCTGACAGGCACAGCTTTGGGATGTTGGGGGAAACCACAGTACCCGGAAAAAATCTCACAACGACATGGGGAGAACATGCACACTCCACACAGACAGTGGCTCCCGCTGGGAATCACTTCTTTTCTTATCAAAGTTATAACAAAATGGTGTTGAATGAAATGACCTTGTTTGAGAGCCTGCTTTCTATATGAATAATAGAACAGATGTGTTATGCCACCAGTAAAATAATGAAAATGTCCATGATTAAAATAAATTGTGTTGAGTAAAACAGGAAACTCCTATCATTCATAGCAAATGTTTCTTTCTTAAGATGAAGTTGAACCAAAATGAGTGACGGTCCCTTCTCTAATTTGGTAACCTCAATTACAAATAAGTTGTTGAAGAGGGATACTCTTCTCGAAGTAGCTACTGGTGTAGAATGGACCTGGGATGACTAAGTTCCTACTTTTGTCATATGTAGTCAGGGACCTATGTGGAGAAAGACTTAAAAAAGAGGGACTTAATTCTAGCCCCAGGCAGGAACTAGAGCAACTGACTTTTTGAATCCTGGTTTTCCAAATAATGGCTGCAGGAACAGCTCTCTCTCTCTCTCTCTCTCTCTCTGTCTTTTTCCAGAAACGCAACTCCAGATCCTGGAGGACCGGCCACACAATGGAGAATCAGGAGTCACTGTTAGTCATGTATCCTCCACCACCATAGTCATGCAGGTCATGGTTAGATGGAAAAACGTCCTATCCTACAACAATGGCTGAGATAGGAGGAGATGAGTGTGCTGTCCTATCCTGTGCCACTCTCTCTCTAGTAAATGTGTTTCCTCTGAGAACAAAAGCACATAGCATCTTAAATGCAGTTTGTGTGTGTGTGTGTGGCTTTAAGGAGCAGAGAGTTTAATAGGCAAAGAAGGAAAGAGAAGGCAGAAGGAAAAGGCTCCCCCATACAGAGTCAGAGGGACGGGGGGGCTCCAAAGCCAAAAGAGGAAGTCCCCAAGTGCGGTGGACACTAGCCAGGTATATATTGCAGAGGCTGCAGGAGGCAGGGTCTGATTTGCACAGGGCTAAGGGGATTGGTTTGACCAGGCATGTCATTCACATAGCCGCGAAAAAGTTGGCCCTCTCACCTTAGCCTTTTTATATGCAAATACAGGGCGCCATGATGTTCTAAACACATGGGGATATGTGGGAGCGGCCATGTTGCCAGGAACATGTGGGGAAAGGGCAAGAAGGCCAGGAATAGCCATATTTGGGTGAACTCAGTTCCTATTGGCCTGCATTTGCATATCAAAGTTGCCTGCCCTGCCACACAGTTTGGCTAGAAGTAAGGAACAGAGTGGTTTGCTGCTGAATCATTCACATCTTTCTAAATCAACTCTAGGATGGTAAAGTGTGCTAAGGAGTGAGAGGCATCTAGGCTAAGTTTTCACACACTTGGAAAGTCAGTGCACACCACAGGTCATGTGATCCGTGGGACACTAGATGTAGTACAGGACTTGTTATTCAGAATGGCCACCCTGTAAATTTTGGCACATTAAACAATTTACTGAGTTTCTCTTATGACTCCTCTGCCATCTCTAGGAAGACACCTTATTTTGTTTGTATCTTATTTTCTCTGAGCCAAGATCCAGTCCTTATAATGGTTTCTCATATGAGCCCTCTGGCATCACTAGGAAGGCACTATATTTTCATTGTATCTTATTCCCTCTAAACCAAGATCCAGTCCTTATCATGAAAGAGAAACAAAATGCAATGATGAAATAAAAATACATATCTTCACAGAACAAGGCATCATATTGAAACCAAAAACAAAAACAATTGCTAAGTCTCTCTAGCATAGAAATACTGGAATTAACATTTGGGACACAGACAACGTATGTGAATGTGAAGACGAAAATCCCAGCCTCAGCTCTAGTGCCTTTTCTCTGGCCTGGGTAGGCATGTGGTATCAGTGAATAACCTGCAGGTAGCTGCAGGGAGCTTAGAAAGGAGGTCTTGGCTGAAAATATAAATCAGTGACTCATCAGTATATAGGTGTTATTTATATATCATCAGGACTCATCAGTATATGTTTAGTATGCTAAGTGAAATAAGCCAGGCATAGAGAGAAATCTACTGCATAATCTCACTTATTTGTGGAATCTAAAATAAGCTAAGCTCATAAGAGTAGAAAGGAATCATGGATGCGAGAGTGACAGGGCTGGCCAGGAAGGGAGGCATGCTGGTGACATGGTACAAAGTTTCAGCTAGACAGCAGGAACAGCTGTAGTGACCTACTTCAATAATTTAATAATAAAGCACTGTATATTACAAAACTACTAAAATAATAGATTTGAAATGTTCTCACCACAAGGAAATAAGTAGGCGAGGTGATAGAAATGTTAATTAGCTTGATTTAATCATTCTGCAATGTACACACATATCTGAACATCACACTGTACCCCATAAATATATATAATTATTATTTATGAGCTAAAATTAAATTTAAAATATACTTTAAAAGTGGCAGGTCATAATTGAAAAAGGAAGTACCTACAAAATAAAATTAAAAATAAGCATCCAAAAACAAGGAAAAAAATCAAGAGAGATGCTATCAAGAAAGCCAAAGTAAGAATGTGTCAAGAATACAAGTCCTCTATACTCCATGGAAACAAGAAAGATGGGAGCTCCTCACTTTAGCATAAGGGGAAGAAACTGAGAGCCATATTCTCTTCCCAAAGCTGGAGGCTGCTGTAGAGCTCCCTCACTGGTCCGTGCTGAAAAGGAGCTATAGGATTTATGCAGCTGCCCTCTAGGGAGGCTGCATGGCACAGATACTCTCTCACAGATAGGACAGAGACCACTGGCTTGCTATCAGATCTGCACTATCCTCAACATAACCATTTAGCAAAAGTTTCAAGACACCCATAAAAAAATTGCTTCCAAGATAAAGTGGAGACATCTATAAAGCAATCAAAATAAAAGAGAAATACAGGAAAATAGTTATAAACTAAATGAGACAACAGAAATAAAACAAATAATAATGCTCACTCAGGTTGCATCTTCACATTTTGAAAATATTTAGAGAATATTAACCCTAAAAATAAAAGTCAGTAGTACCTACAAAAATAAGATGAATGTACTCCATATCCAATGAAAATAATGAAAAAACTGAGACAACTTGAAAATAAACATATTCAAGAGTCTCAAAGAGATAAAGGCAAATAATCTATAAAACAGGAAATATGAAATCATGCAACAGGAAAAACAAGAATAAATGGATATTAAAATGTTTTGTTAATTTTAGTAAATTATAATGACAGAATTTTTTTTAAAATGCCAATTGTCACAATAAACTGTATGCAGGATTGGAAACAGTTGGGTGTAGTAATCTGCAGGAGTGAGTGCCTAGTATCACAATATGGCAAGGGTGTAGCTAATAAGAAATTTAAAAGATAATGCTAACAGACTACTTCAGGAAAGAGAGAAGGGTTGCCAAGGACAAGGCTATATTAAAGATTACTGCAAGCAAATAATAAATACACATACCTGTAAATTAACTTAACTAGTCACTGTAAAAACTTGACTAAAATTTTGTGTTTAAAAGACAAAAACCCTCTTGACAACAATAACTAAGAAAATAATGGCAGAAAGGATGTCCACAAGAAATTAAATTTTGCTAAGTTTCTTATTTTACTCAGGAGTAGGAAGGAGTTGCTGAGTAATTTTAGACTTTATTAGAAACACTGAAAAATTAATTAAATGTGTTAAAACTTTAAAGGTAACAAAAATAATTGAAGATTTCTTTGTAACTTCCAAATAAGGAGAGAAAAATGTAAAGAAAATATAAGCACTTTATCAATGCAATCTCAAGCAAGAGAAGTCAAGAAACATGAAGACTAAGAAACACAGACTATTACATATGAAATCAATGCAAATACATGGGTAAATATATATATAGCAATCTTATCCATTAAAACAGCCAGATTGCATAAAAAATTAAAATTAAAATGTAGCTGAACAATGTTTACATAGACATAGCTAATAAATAATAATTAACATTTAGATATTAAAGATTGAAAAGCATAAGTTTGAAAAATACTATGGTCGTTAGTTTTATGACAGTTTGGCTAAGGCGAAGTGCCCAGATAATTCTGGACATTTCTGTGATGATGTTTTTGGATGACATTCATATTTAAATCAGGATTCTGAGTAAAGCAGATTATCCTCCATAATGTGGGTGGACTTCAATCAATTGAAGGTCTTAATAGAACAAAGTTTAACATATATATGCGGAGAGGGAGAGAGAGAGATCAACTGCAGAGAGAGAGAGAGAGAGATCAATTGTCTTGTGCAACTGAGGGAGCCGACTGAACCATTTGTCTAAGCCTGTCGTCTTCTTGTCTGATGCTTGAAGCCCACAGGGCAGGTAGTTGGATGGTGTATTAATCAGGGTTCTCTAGAGGGACAGAACCAAAAGGATATATGTATATATGAAAGGGAGTTTACTGGGGAGAATTGGCTCACATAATTACAAGGCAAAATCCCATGGTAAGCCATCTGCAAGCTGGGGAAGAGAGAAGCCAAAGTGAGTAGTGGCTCAGTCCAAGTCCCAAAGTATGAAAACCAGGAAGGCTGACAGTGCAGCCCTCAGTCTGGCCAAAGGCCCGATAGCTCAGAGAAAGCTGCTGGTGCAAGTCCCAGAGTTCCAAGGCTGAAGAACTTGGAGTCTTATGTCCAAGTGCAGGAGGAGCAGATAGAAGTGTCCAGCTCAGGAAGAAGACAGAAGCCAGAAGCCCCAGCAAACAAAGCTATCCCACCTCCTTCCCGCTGCTTTGCTCCAGCTGCTGGTGGCCCATGGGACAGTGCCTACGGACACCGAGGGTGGGTCTTCCTCTCCCAGTCCACACTCGTGTCAGTTTCCTTTGGCAACACCCTCACAGACGTGCCCAGAAACAATGCTTCACCAGCCATCCAGGCATCCCTGAATCTAACCAAGTGGACACCTACTATTCGTCATCACAGATGGGAAGATGGATGGAATGTGTGGGAGATGATGAACAGGCTGAACCCCATAGCAGGAGCTGGCAGCTCCCACTGGGGACTCAGAACCTTGCCCGTCACTGTAGCCTCTGACCTGGGTGGTATAGGCAGAAGTCAGGGCACACACACATGTGACCCAGGACTAAGAGGCTGAGGGAAGACCTAGGTCCAGGTAGAGCCGCTGCAGGCCCCGCTGCTGTGTCAGTCTTACAGAGTGCATCAGCAGACCAGCTCCAATTCCCTGAGCTTAACCCCGGGATGGGAGGCTTGGGATCTCTCCAGATCCCCTAGTGGGAAACAGTGACCTTGTATCATATTTATGCAAAGGAGGAATAAGTGAAGTAAGTGTTCAAGAAGAGATTTTTTACTTTCCAAACAAAAAGACAAAAATCTTCCAAGATTAGGTTCCTTTCCTCTGAGTCCTTTTTGATTCTAGTCCATTCTCCATTCCTTGGCCTGGAATGCTGGTGCAAGTCAGGACACTCAGCAGCTGTTTTGAGATCTGAAGACAAAAGTGTCGTGCTTACAATCAGTTCTTCCTAACATCTTTGCGAAGATGCACCAGAGCTAGTGTACCTACTTCTGGACATTTTACTTTATTATGAGTATAAATCCCTGCTTTAGCCAGGGATTTATTACAGTACATCCAGTAATATGGATGTACTGGTACCTAAAATACTCATTCTCTTCTTGTTAGTTCTACTGCTACAGCGAATTACAAAGCTAGGCCATCAACTCAGAGGGAGTATGGAGTATGGAGGATAGTTTATGTATATACACACAAACATATATGTATACATACATACATGTATGCACAAATATTCTTTTATCTATAATATACATTATACCAAAATATATGCAATCTTTTATATATCAAAATACCACTCAATCTAAAGACATATATGTATGGCAGTATATAAAAGAGCTATACATGTGTGCATACGTTTGTGTATAACATAGCCCACCACTCAAGAAAAAGAAAATATATATATATATAAATATATATATAAAAAATATATAAATATATATAATATATATATTTATATATAATATATATTATATATAATATTGTATATATACACAATATATATATTATATATAAATTATATAATTATATATAAAATATAGGTAATATATATAATATAAAAATATATAAAAAATATATATATAAATATATATATAAAAAATATATATATATAAATATATATATATTGTTTTTTTAGATGAAGTCTCACACTGTCACCTTGGCTGGAGTGCAGTGGCGTAATCTTGGCTCACTGTAACCTCCACCTCTGGGGCTCAAGAGATTTTCCTGCCTCAGCCTCCCATGTAGCTGGGATGACAGGCGCCCGCCACCACACCCAGCTAATTTTTTGTATTTTTAGTAGAGATGGGGTTTCACCGTGTTGGCCAGGCTGGTCTTGAACTCCTGACCTAGTGATTCACCCACCTCAGCCTCCCAAAGTGCTGGGATTACAGGTGTGAGCCACTGCGCCCAGCCAGAAAAAGAGAATATATATTTTATTGTGATGTAACTGCACCATTCATGGACACTAATCGATATTAGATTAAAAAGTAACTACTCATCACTTTCAGAAACTACTTAAAATACAGAACTATACTTTGAGATCTCAATGCAGTTATGTTAAAATTAACAACAAAATATGCTGTTAAGAAAAACATAAACTGCAACTAACCAATAAATGGGGGTTGGTGTAGATCGACTGCAAAATTGTGGTGGTGGTTTCATGATTAGACATTTGCTCACTGAGTTATGGCCTATAAAGGATAAATTGTATTCCAGGTAAATCGTACTGAAAACTGACTAAACAAAGTCTCATGTTCAAAAACCTAAAAGGAAGGCCTTAGTAATAAACTGGGTAAAAAGAGAGATATGAAATTATAAAATATTTATAACTGCACAATAATATATGTCAAGGCCTGTGAGATAATATTAAAATACTAATAAAAAATTTGTTTATCTCTTTGTGCATGTTATGATCATTTATGCAGAAAATTCCAGGGAAGAGTAGCCATAAAACTGGAAGGCAGAGAGTTTGTTGGATACAAACTTGTTGAATGCAGGATGAACATAAACTCACAATAATAAGAAAATATGATAGGAAGATTTTAAAAGGGGCAAGAATAGCTAATATAAATTTTAAAAACTGAATAGGATAGTGTAATCTTTCTTTTTCAGTATCAAAAATTATTATAAGTGAATCAGTGTGTATTGGGTCAGGGTGGACTAATGAATCAGTGGAACCTATTAAAGCATCTGGAAGCAGATCCACACCTAGAAACACTTGGTATGTGAATGAGACCACCTTGCAAATCACTGGGAAATTAAGGGCAATTTAACAATGGCTGTCAACTGAGTATCCATATGACAAACAAACAAACAAACAATTTTCATCTTTAACTTTCCTCCTGTAAAATAACTTTAAATAATTCAAATCTAAGAAAAATTTAACAAAAAAGTTGTATTATAAAATATTAACAAATGTGATTATATAAGAATGTAAAGCATTTATCTGAAAAAAGACACAGTTTAATTTTAAAAGCAAGGATTCAGACTACAAGAAGATATTTCAAGGCATATAGTCAATAAAGCATTAGTTCCCAGACTATGTAAATCAATCCTAGATTTAGACAAAAGCACACAATCTAACAAGTGGCAAAGTTGGTGCAAAAGTAATTTACAGAAGAGCAAGCCCAAATCATCAGTGTATGGAAACATTTCAAAAGTCTGACTGTAACATGTATTGTTGCTCTGATGGAGGAAAGTGAGCCTTCACAGAGCTGGTGGTAATGGAAATTGATACAACCAACTTAGAGGGCAATTTGACAACATCTTCTTAAGTTGAGAATAAGCATATTGAATAAGCAAGTTATTCATATCCTTGGTATTTAAGGGGAACTTGTCACATATGACTTTGGGACAGGCAGGCAGACTTTAATTATAGCAAGATTTGGAGTAAAGAAAAACAGAACCAACCTTACTTTTCATCAAAAGAAATAACCAAAACATAATCACCTCTTTCAATGAAATAGTCTAGAGTGTCTTAAATAAATGATGCAACTCTAACTCTACATAGGCTGGTGAGGATAAATCCCCAAAGCTTAAGATGTATACTCTGTAGTGCATTACTATATGCTATGTATAGATCCAATAAAATGCAGTGAAAATATAAAAATAAAGGTTAGACTAAAATTTCAAAATATAGCTAACTTTAGAAAGGGATCCCAGAAGGGTGCACTTACATTTCTAATAATAAACATTTATTTCCTTTTTAAAAATGAAATCTGAAGCAACTATTTGCAAAATATTAACAATTATGAAATCTTAGTAGTGGCAACATAGCTGGTAGTTACACAGTCACCTGGACTTTTCTACGTGAGTGAAATATTTCATATTTCAGAATGATGAAAAATGGTAAGATCATGTAGACTGTTGGATTAGAAAGTACTTGACTTAAGTAGAGATGGAATTTATTTTTATTGTTAAGGAGAATGTGAACTAAGGGGTTGAAGTGTTGCTTTTGCAATTCCTTTGATTCAAAGATAGGGAATTATGGATCACTGTTTAGATTCTGGTGAGAACTAGTCAGTAGAGAGAAAAAGTGAAATAGGCTGAACTTTCCAACGAGCTGGATGCCCATAGAACTGAAGCTTGAAGAACTTACATTAGCACAATGAGAAGCACCTGCTACCTGTAGACCAATTATTCTTCCTTGTCCCTCCTGTTTTCCTTCCTGGCAACATAAACCCTTCACTTATTAGGGAGAAGGAGTGGATTTAAGATTTGTCTCCTGTCTCTCTAGCTGACACCACACATAATAAAGCCTTCTTTTCTGTCAATACTTGTTGTCTCAGTGATTGTCTTTTTGTATGGTGAGCACAGAACCTAGGCAGAATTCCTGGCGTTAAATGACAAGAAATTGAAAGTGCGTTTGTGTGTGTGGTGGCGGGGTGGGGGGGGCGGTGGGGGGGGGTGGTGTTGGGGGGGAGAGGTGGACCATCACCCAGAACAAGGTCCATTTGGGTTATAGGAAAGATGGTGCCCACAAAGCAGCAGCCTGGTTCTCAATAGGAAGATCTCTTCCAGGATATCGACAACTCTTAAGGAGGACAAGCATAGAGGCATATACATTTATGCATGGTGGGCAGAAAATGAGGAAAATCCTGACTTAGAGGTTCTGATTCTATAAAGCATATGAAAAATTATCTTCTGAGGAAAGGGATGGAGGGTAGTTGTGTTAAATTATAACATAGTCATTGAAGATTGTGGGAAAATTCATTTACTGGGATAAATTTGTAAGCTTTCCAGGCAACCGTGGGTGCAGATGTGAAGTTGTAATCATGCATGTATAATCCTACCATGATTCCATTATTTATTCATTTGTTTATTTTCTAGGAGTGATAGGCAAACAAGAAGGAAGGAGGCCACACTGTGAAATGTATATGAATTATTACAGGGCTTTTATTCTCCATAGTAAAGTATGTGTGTGAATGCTCCTTTGCTGTAAATGCTTTCCTATGTGTTTTCTAACTGGGCTCCTTATTTAAGGTAATAAATGCAATTTTTTAATAATTAAATTCAAATACCAGATTTTTAATTTTCTGAATACCCTCCCCTGCTTGAATGTATTGTTTATTCACACACATAATTCATTTAACACAATATCCCTATTTATCCTTTTGTCACTGTGTGTATCTTAATCTCGTGGACTTAGATGTTAGACTAATTGATTTGTTTTAGCATTGCTCCTACTTTAGCAAATGATTATCCACAATTATAGCAGATTACGTGAGTGGAGAGTTCAGCTGAGTAACAGGCTTCTTTGCCTTTCATGTTCCATTTTTTAGTAAAATGTGCAGGAAGATTTCTCTCTTCTTGCAGAAGGGATATAGTCCCAGCAGGGCTTTGTGGCAGCTGAACACATAAAACCATTATTGTCTAGGAAAACATTCACATCCACTAGTTCTTGATTAATTGTAAATAAGTGGCTTTTGGAATCTTACAAAAAATGCACATTGTTGGAAGTAAATTCCAGCCAATGAGATATACTTTTTAAGTGTTTGGATCATAAATGAATGCATTAAACAATGCAGGGAAAAATGTACTTTCTACAAAGTATCCTAGAACCACTACCGAGGACCGATAATGACTATGTAGCATAGACAAGTCAGTTTCTCCTTTCTAAGTCCCAATTTCCTCACAGTTAGAGAGGGCTAACTCATGAGGCTACCAATTTGACAGCTTAGAGGTTAGGAGTAAAGGAATTTTTATATATAAATAATTTTTAAAGGGGAAGTTGTTACACAAGAATAAAAAACATTTTGATTGTAGTTATCTAATGTATATAAAGTAGTATACTTTACTGCTGAGGATTAGAGGCAAATCCTCTTGAACAGTCTAAATAACTCCCATATTTGTAAAACATAACATTACAGAAGACATACAGGAAATGAAGCAAAACATTAAATGTGGTGAGCTTAGGTGGCACAGTTATTGGTGAATTTTATTTTCATCATTTTTTGCTAAATTTTCCATAGTTAACATGTGGTACTTTTATAAAGAAAAAGCAAATTTACCAAAAAAATGATTGCAACATTGAAGAGTCTAAATTAGTTTTACCTAAAAGAAACTTATAAGATTGGATCATCATTGCATAGATGATCTGAGATATATTTGTACAGTTCAATTAATTTTAATACAAGAAGTGTGCGATCATCTTCTCAAAGCACAGTGCTAGACAACGGGCTTTCAAGAGAGGATGAAGGCTTATTTCCTGCCTTCCCAAAGTGTACGTTCTCTGTGCACATTCTGTTTTAAGTGATTCCATTTACTAAACATCATATTCATGGTAAAACAAATCATCAGTATCCTAACAGCTACAAGCATGTAAATGTCTGCAATGTAACAGATGCCTACCAGCAGCGACCATATGGAGCTTGAAAACCTAGCCATTTTTTTTTCTTTTAAAGAGGACTTTCAAGGTTGTGAACCCAGATTTATCAATAATGACCCTTATTCTATTTTTAGGGAAAATTTGTGAACCAACAGCTGCACTGATGAAGCTCCTAACAATCCATGAGGGTATTCAGATATTTCTTGAAAATTACCCACACTCAGACCCAGGTAAGATGAAAGCACATTTTTTCCAGCTCTAGGGAATACATACTTTAAAACTTTAAAAAAATTTACCTTTCAATGAAATGTTGAGAGTTCACTCAGACCCTTCTCTACTATGCCCTGATGTTATCAAACTTCCATAACTGTGATATAATTATCAAAGCCAGGAAATTAATAAACAGGTGCCTTATTTTTCCCTCTAGAGCTTTCTAAAGGGATTCCCAGTTTTTCGATCCATAGGGTACTGCCTCTGGTGATTCACTGTTAAGGTGGAAAATTACTCAAAGAAAAAGTAGCTAATGAATTTCAGATTACAGTCAATGCTTAGAGCTGCTTTCAGCACAGAGGCAATGACCTTCACCTTTGTGAGACAACTAATCCTGCCCTATTGATTTCTCTGATCCTCTTCCTTCATTCTCCAAAGTGAAAAGTCTGGTTTTCTTTATTTACTTTCAATCTATTGATGCAGTTGCTCAAGGCTAGACACAGAGAACACAGGTTCAGAATTGCTGATTCAAATCACTTTAAAAAGCAAGTTTATCTCTGAAGTTCAGTATTTTTTATAGTTCCATTTTTATAATGTACACTTACTATGTTTGAAAGTTTTACACATCTTAAATGTACAATTTGATTAATTTGGACAAATGCATAGATTAAGTGATTCATTGAAACCAGCCCAATTGTCCTATACAACCGACGTTTAAAATTTCTTTTGAATAGACATAGAAATTGACCATCCCAGTGTTAAAATTTGAAAAAGTTACATTTGTCTTATCTGAGTTCCTTTCTCAGGAATCCAACCATCAGGCCTCCTAGATAGTATCAAGGACCTGAAACTTACCAGATTACTGAATTTGGACAATGAGATACCAAACCCCTCACAATTCATGATTGCCTAACCGACCACCTGCTCCCTGTTGACCAACTCTTCTTCCTTACCCCTCCCTAACTCCTGTTTAACTGCATGTTGTTGTATTTCTCTCCTGCTATATAATCCCCTAATTTTAGTTGGTCAGGGAGATAGATAGATTTGAGACTGATCTCCCATCTCCTTGGCAGCAGCACCTGATTAAAGCCTTCTCCCCTGGCAATACTCATTATCTCAGTGATTGGCTTTTTGTGTGGCAAGCAGCAGGACCTAGGCCAACCACTGGCATTTTGGTAACACCATAACCCTCTCAAAATACAAATATTCATGAAAATGTTTTGTGTGAACAGAGGTTTTCATTTTCTTGGGTAAATATGTAAAGATTGCTGAATTGTAAGGTAAGTTTGTAGCTAAATTTATAATAAATTGACAAAATGTTAAAGTGACTGAACCATTTCACATTCCTATGAGCAATGTATGAGGTTTCAAGTTTGTCCATGTCCTTATGAACATTTGTTTTTTGTGTCGTTTGTTTTAGCCATCCTATTGTGCATTTATCTTATATAGAAATATTTACCAAACTTCAGGCCACTAAGATTTACTTCTAGTTTTCTTTGAAGAGTTTAATAATTTCACCTATTGTGTTTAGGTCTATTATTCATTTTTGATAATTTTTATGTATGGTATGAGGCAGGATCTAAGTCATAGTTGGCAAAATTTATCTATACAGGGCTAGATACATATTTTGGATTTTGTGGACTATGCAGTACCACCTCTGCTACTCCACTGTGCAGGTGCAATCTGGATTAGCAGCCAATTATTTTGGTGGGGTTTCCATATAGATTTGCGGCTTCACCTTGTGACATCATTCTTCCAGGGATTTCCGCCATAATTTCTCTGCCATTCTGGCAGCCTTGATCTTTGTTCTCTGACTTCTCAAGCCAGTAAGCCTGACACTTTTTATTTCCAAATTGTTGATCCAACAGTGAGAACTGGAATGCATAATCTAGTAAATATATGTACAATTATCAGTGCCATTTCTTTAAGTTTCTGCTCCTTTGCAATTTCTACATGTGTTTGCAGCTTTCCAGTGTCTTCACATAGTTATTTATTTATTTATTTAGTTTTGAGACATAGCCTTTCGCTGTTGCCCAGGCTGGAGTGCAGTGGCATGATCTCGGCTCACTGCAACCTCCACCTCCCAGGTTCAAGCAATTCTCCTGTCTCGGCCTCCCGAGTAGCTGGGATTATAGGCATATGCCACCATGCCAGGCTAATTTCTGTATTGTTAATAGAGACGGGTTTCACCTTGTTGGCCAGGCTGGTCTCAAACTCCTGATCTTAGGTGATCCACCTGACTCAGCCTGCCCCAACCTTCAAAGAGCTAGGATTACAGGCATGAGCCACCTTGCCTGGCAGTTAGTTTTTAACAGCAGATAACTGTTATCTATTACAGAGAAAGTTGATCCAAGTTAATCTCTACTGTCATTACCAATAGCAGAGCCCCATTCTACCAAAATTGGAAAATCCAGATTCAATTTTTAACTCTTCTATTTTGTATTTTTTTCTGCATAAACATATAAACCACCTCAGTAGACTGTTAGGTCCCATAGGTAGTTATGGAGTTTATACTTCAATCATATCCAGGGCTATCGCTTATATTTCTATGCAATTGTTTATTTATTGACCTGATTTTTCCTGATTTTAGATACCCAACTGAACAATATGTTCTCTGTAATTTATGAGCCAGATACATAAATAGAACAAGCACTCCTAACTGTAAGCAGTATAAATAGGAGTGATATTGCTTATTCTACCCCACCTAAATATAACTTTTATCCTCTACAAACTGTTCTACACTTTCCAACAGCCATTTCAGGTGTGCAGACCATCCCATACTAACCCCACTACCCAAGTAGTGTGATTAAGAGATAAAGGAACAACCCCAAGTGAACATACAAAATGCTACATTTTTCATTTTTCTCTGGTTACTAATTACATTCAATCCATGATATTATATAATAGATACATTAGTTTCAGATTTTTTATGATATATAATTTACCACAGTTAGAATGAGTTTTTAAAAGACCCATAGTTATTGTTATACTAACAGAATTCCTGGCTACTCTATACTTTATCAATGTACCATATTGACCCAAATATAATCCCAAGAATTTAGCAAAGCTCTTATACCTAAAGATATGGTACAGTAAAATTGTCAAGGTGCAATGCATTTGAAATTATTTGGTAGTTCCGTAAATCTTCCTTAACCTCACATGGACTTACAACTGAATGTTGAAGTATAAGGCACTAAACTACTCATATACTCCTTTGTCTTTGGATCTTATTGTATGGTAAGAAATTTTATAAATATATATCCCCTCTGAACGCTGATAGCATCTGAAAGGAGGTTTGACATCAGAGTTGTTTTTTGTTCTTTAATGTAGGCTTAGCTGTTATCCAAACAAAATTTCAGATGCTTTATCTTCTCTGCATGGTGATACTTAGGAACTAGTTAATGAATGTGAAGAAAGACGAGTTCCTCAATAATATCAATAATATCCAGTTTCAGAGAGAATGCATGCCTTCTATCTCCCTATCACATAAGCCATTCTCACAGCCACCTGAACTAGATTTTATGGTGTATAGTTAGTTCAAAGTCTGAGCTTATGTCTTTCCTTTATTTAGTAAAATTAGAGAGTGACTAGATTGTGAAAATTTGTAAACCAGCTGTTAATTTATGTTTATGAATTTTATTTCAGATTTATGAGAGTAGTTAATCTGCTCCATTTATGAAATGAGGCTTAAAGTATTTAATGTACCTGGAAGCTGAAGCTGGACAGCTACCCTTTCCTACTCACAGAAATATAAAGAAACAGTTGGTTATTTTTAATGGCCTTATTTTCTCCTGTCTACCATAACCAATAACCTTGGTGATCATTTTTATTCTGTGAAAAATAGTTAATAGTACACAGGCTCAGTAGGGAACAAGGATTAGTCAGGCAAACCCATCTTCTCAGAGGCTCTTAAGTGAATGACTTTTCAAGTATCTCCTTGAATATCCCAAAGGTCAAAGTTTTCTGTGTGCTATCTCTTCTGTTATACTTCTCTTAGATACTTTTTGTTCAATTTTTAGTCCAGTTTTGACCATAGTATAATTGATTAAACATTTTGAATATATGCTATTCAACGTGATGCTTTGAAATACAGAGATCAATGCTGTCATAACACTTAAATGTAGAATTAGTCATGTAGAATTGTGTCGAAATTATACATGTATTCATTTCGTAGGGTAATTCTAAATTATTTTTTATATGGACATGGTCCTTATTTTTTGGTCATCTGTGACTTTGCAGCATCTAGAACAAATAAATAAATAAAACATGTTCTTCTTCCATTCCAATTTTCTTTGACTTTTCTACTTTTAGTATGAACATGTAGTTTGATACTCAATATGAGTCTTAATTTTCATTTCCAGAATAGCATGTAGTATTTCCTTGTCTTCTATCTTTTTGCATATATCTAGTGCATCTTCTATATAATATGCTATTTTTTAGGAAGTCATATTTAATTCTTTAATTTTTCTTTTGAGGAGCATTTTAAAATCAACCCCGTCTCCATAACTTAGTCCTTTTCTTTCCTTTTTCCTTCCTTTTCATTCTTTCTTTTTTCTTCATGTTTCAGGCTTTATTTCATTTTAGAAAAAGATAAATTTAAAGGAAATGTAGAAGCCACACCCCAAACCATCTTCATATATAATCAAAATCCTGAAACCTACATTTTTTTATAACTTTACAAAGTTACTTTATATGTCACGCAATTTTATATTGTGTGTTTATGCATGCGCTTATGTGTGTCTCTACATAATACAGTATTATATGTTTTGAAAATTTATACAGATGGTATGGTGCAGTACATTGATATTGCATTAGTAGCTGGTAATTTGGTCAAAGACAAAAAAAATTTTTTTAAATTTATTCAGGAAGAGTCCTCTAGCTCTTGTTCTCTTATTTTAGATGCCTCTGGCAGAAGTCTTTAAACTATGGTTCATATATATCTTGAAGAAATATATTTCCAGATCATCAAAATTATTATCATGTTGGTTTTTCTAAAAGTAACCATCCTGGGAATACATTTTTGGTTAAAGTCAAGGTGTTCTTTTGTCAATCATCTTTCGCTTTTTAAATAAAATAATTGCAAATAATTGTATAAAATCACTTTTTGAGTCATTTGGTTTAATTTTTTTCAAAAACATTGTAGGAGGAACTAACCAAGCTGTTAGCTTTTAGACCACTAAAAGTAATTATTCATAATAAACCACTGTGTCATTTTCAGCATATATCTAAAAATGAATTCAAAGAACTGAATGAAACTACAATGAGAAAACCCCTAACATGAGCATCTCTTTATTTTTGTGACTGTATACAGTGCCTGTAGCCAGAAAAATTATGGTGAACTTTGACTCATTCAAGCAGCAAGTTGTGCTCATTCAGACACAGAAATATAGTTTAAAATAGATCTTGATGTTGCTCATTAAGATATGGAGATTCAGTTAAGTAATATTTCATTTTTATATGTAGGATGTATTACAATTTATAATGGAATTCTACAGGATGCTCAAGTTTTAATACTAATTATAATACATCAACCCACATTATTTCATAACTTAGAAATATATAATCATGGAGAATTTTTAAAAATCAACTTTCATACATAACTTTGTGGTACAGAAATAATGGAGTGATTAATAAAATAATTTCAAGCATAATGCATATTATGATAAAATTCTGTAAGATAAATGGAATGGAGTCATATTAAAGGAAAAAGACACAACATAAAATTTCTGATTTTCAAAGAAATGCTTGCACATGATTTGCAGAAGGTAGGAAATCCCTTCAGTATTTAGATTCTCTCGGAAAAGAGCAATGTGCAAATTTTTTTTCAATGTTTAATCATGCTGGAAATTTCATCCTCTGTGATACTCTAAACTTCTGAAGAAATAATGTAATTTGCCAACTCAACAACATCCAAGGTAGTACATTCATTCTCAAAATCCTTCTAATATAAAACGCAACACTGAGGAACTCCACTCTTTAGTACTTCTTTGTATGTTTTTAATATATTTTGTTGTAATTTTTTATAGTTCATAATTTTCCTGCATATTGCAAAATTTTTCTCTATCATATTTCAAATTCTTATGTTGATACTAGTTTCTGAGCTCAATAGTTTTATTGTTCTACTTGTTTGTTTCTTCATCAAAATCATGCTCTTATATTTTTACCATCTTGATACTTGGTAGGTTAAATTTTTCTTCTTTAGCTTTCTTTAAAACTTTTTAACTAGAGTTTGTTCATCCACAAAAATACTCAAACTGGCTCATAAAATTATAGTTTTTTAAAGCATTCAAAATTATGATTGAAAAATACCTTAGTGGAAAGAATTTAACTTTTATATATATATATAGTTTTTCTATCAAGGAACATAATGTACCTCTCCATTTAGTTAAGTGACATTTATATCCTTAAATATATTGTACTTTTCTCTAGAGTGTTCTTTAACCTCATTTATTTGATTTATTCCTCAGAATCTTAGCATTAATTAATGTTGCCATATTAATCATTGTTGGTTACAGAATATTGAGTTTTGTTGACGCTACGCCCGCAACAACCTTACTTAACTCCTTTGGTAGCTAACAATGTCAGTAGCTCAATGTCTGCTTTCAGATTGTTTTTATTTCTGTACATTATCTTGGGTTTTTTTCTACACAAAATTATTTTATTTGCAAAACCATTTAATTATTCATTTGTTTTTAGGCTTTTCTGTTTTGTCTTTTTATTGTATTGCGTAAGGCCTCTAATTCATTGTTTAACATTTGAGTTGACAAACTACATCGAGGCCTGCCTTGTAAGTCAGTTTTAATGGAACACAGCCACATGCATTTGTTTACATTTTCTATAGCTGATATTAGAAAGGAGCCCCTTTGAGATACCTAAAACTTGGAAATTTTGAGGAGTTGAGAGAAGCAGGGTCAGTTCTCTATCTGCAGCTACCACTGCCCAATCCATGCCCCCATCCTCCTTAGGTTTATTTTAATCCTGATACAGAGAAGAATTGTGGCTTTGCTCCTGTGTCCCTGACCAGATTGGATGCCTGGGATTACGTGTCACTGTGAGGAGGGAGATGCAGATACCACAGGAAAGCATGCCACCAGTGGAGCTGTAGAAATCAACAACCTGATTAGAAACGATGAGCCTGCATAGACCATGGTAAAAAAAAAAAAAAAATCAGAGTAGATAGTCACCTCCGACATTTTTTAATGTGAACAAAAGAGATAATACTGTATCAAAAATAGTACATAGGCCACTTTTATTATTTTCTCAGATTAAAAGAGTAGGAAGGCAGAATGCTTCAGAGGAAATGAAGGATGCAAACACCAAAGGCAGGCGATGCAATATTGTGTAGCTAGGGCTTGGTAAGAATGAAAAGAAATATGGAAAGATAATGATTAGCTGAAGATGATTTCACTGATTGAAGAAACACCTGATACTTTTGTACAAAAGAGTGTGCTAACTTATGAATATAGTGATTGAAAAAAATAATCATAATAGCATACATTCATGAAACTTCTAAATGTCACTGATACAAAGAAAGCTCGTAAAACTACCAGAGAGAGAAAATAATACATGTAAAACGAGAATCAGATTCACAAGAGTATTTTCATATGAAACAAGAAAAATTAAGGCTACAATAAAATACAGCAATGGTTACAGAAAACAGAAATATTAATAGCTTATAAGGCTGGAATTATAATTCTAAGGACTTTTATGTTTGAGAAACAGAAAATGCATTTTTGGGCATACAAAAACTAAGACTTGCTATCACTGTAATGCCACTTTCAGTAAATAAACAAACAAAAAGAAACCAATACTGTAGATTTTAAACATGAGTGTACTTAAAAATTAAAGAACGATGGAAAGTTTTCCTGTTTAAACAAGGATAATTGTTACCACCAATTTAATTAAGTGTTGTTTCAGAAGTTTGACTAATAAAGTAAAGCAGGAAATTTTTAAAAGAGAAAGAGAGGAAAAGAAAGGAAAATATCAAACGGTCATTATTAAAGATGTTAATTCTTTTCATACTCATCTCACATTAAATGAAAGAAGTATCAATGAAATCCAAATAGATGACTTTGAAAAAACCATTGACTGGCTCATTCTGAAGCTTACATGGAAAAATCAAAGGGACAATAACAAGACCCTCTGGGAAAGAAGAAAAAGGTATAAGATATCAAATTCATTTTAGAAACTACATTTAGGGCATCTAGTTCTATCAGGATATAGTAACTCCTTCTTCCTAGGCTGTCCCCTTACTGCCAACGAACATTGGGGATAACACAGCAAACAAGCAGAGCATCTGACGTGGCCTAGGGACCTCGAAACTTGGAGAAAGTCTGTGCTCCTTCCATGCCTGTCCAACAGGGTGCCGCAGAAGCCTGCAACACAGTAGCTATAACAGAAACAGACAAGGGCTCCAAGAAAGCCTGTACCCTAAGACAAAGGGTGACCTAACAACAGGTAACAGATAACCAGCCCTTGTTCAGTCAAACACCAGTGAACAAACATTGCCCTCACAAGCTTCTAGTTGGGACCCAGCAGGAAATTGACTACCTCCATACCTTTCACTCCACCCCACCATGCCCTCTCTGCATAAGAAGCAGGCAGCAGGGCTTAGAGCCCACTGATTGCTGTCAGCCTGCTTGGCAGGGAGCTGATCTCTCATCCCCTACATTATGGTAATGGGAGTTGCTCCTGTTTCTTTCCTGAGGCAGTGTTTATGGAGCTGAGTAGGAAGTTGCTTTTCTACCCTCTCCTAGAAGACATAGGAGGTGCTCAGATCATCTCATAAAGACAGCATCAGCAGAGCCCAGTGTCAAGTTGAGCTTCCACCTCCAATCAGCAGCAACAAGACTTAACTGAGGTGGTGCAAGGTTGCATTCACCATCACCTGGCTTCACTATTTCCTTTTCTCTCTACTGCCATGTCATCTTCCCAGTGTGGGTAATTGAGGCTGAACAAGGTGGTTCATGTCAGGGCCAGAAAGCACTCGAATTCCCCTTCCAGCCCCACCACTGATGGCTGTTGAGTCCCACGGAGAACCTGAAGGTCCACACCCAGCTGACAGCAAAAAGACTGAAGGAAGCAGAACATAACAGTGGCAACCACTGCTCTTGTCCTTTCCTTCAAACAATGATGTCAGAAGATCCAAGAAGGAAGCTGTGTCCCCAACCGAACCTAGCATCACCCAGGCAGAATGAGTTGAACCAGGTGGAGTAGTCAACACTTAGCTTCCAACTTTCTCTGCTGAAAGTAGGGCCAGTGAGGAGCTGAGTCGCCCCCTTCAGCTTGCATTAATGAGGCCAGGTGGTGGGAGGGAGCAACTCCATACTCAAGGCTTCCCCACTTCTACTCCCTGAGAGTCAGTAGAGTCCAGCTTCTAGTGCCAGCGTAGAACAACAAATCAGTGTGAGTCATCCCTTTGTTTCTACCTTCCCTGCTGGCACTGGGACCCAGGAAGGAACTGATTTTCAAACCTCATTTGAAGACAGAGTTGGTCTAAGTCAATGCCCACAGTGAAGGTGGTGGTGGTGGGGCCCTGTGAGAAGTAAATGGTGCATAGACACACACCTGGCTCTCATATTACACCTTACTAGGAAAGTGCTCTCTACTGAAAAGAAAATATATATCTCTATATATATCTATATATATAAACCAAGTTATAGAATCTCATACTACAGCATGAGATTCAAAATTTCCAAGATACAAGTGAAAATCACTGGTCATATCAAAACCAGAAAAATAAAAAAAATGACTGAGAAAACACAGTCAACACATGGCAACACCAAGATAAACTAAACGTTGGAATTATCTGACAAGGATTTTAAAGCAGTCATCATTTAAGTGTTTTGACAAGTAATTATGAATTATCTTAAAACAGATGAATAATTGGAAAGTCTCAAGAAAGGAATAAAGTTATAGCCAAAAACCAAATGGAAATTATAGGCTAAAAAATACAAGGACTGAAATAAAGCACTCACTGGATGGTCTCAATATAGAAGAGATCTGGCGGAGGATCTAATCAATGAATTTAGAAGAGATAAATAAAAATTATCCAATCTAAAGAAAATGACCAGAGTCACAGGGACATATAGGCAAATAACAGAAGACCTAAAATTCATATCATCAAATATTCAGGAGAGGTAAGAGAGAATGGGACTGAAAAAGTACTGAAAGAAACAGTGGCTGAAATTTTTCAAATTTGTCATAAAGTCATAAACCTACAGACTCAAGAAGTTGAGTGAAGTCTAAATTAGATAATCCTAAAGAAAGTCATACCATGCCACATCATAATTAAACTTGTAGAACATTTTTTTAAAAAAGAAAATATCTCAAAGGCAGCCAGAAAGAAATGGTGCATTATTTAGCATAGAACACCAATTTAAATGACAGCAATTTCTAGTCTGAAACAGTAGAGGCAAAAAGAAAGTAGCAAAACATTCGCAAGTAATGAAAGGATAGAACTGTTAAATGTGAATTTCATGCCTGACAAAAATATCCTTTAGCAATGAAGAGGAAAAAACACACAGAAGGAAGAAAAGTTGGATAATTGTTTTACTGGCACATCTACCTTCAAAGAATAATGATGAAATGGACTCCAAACCAAAAGGAAATGATAACAAAAAGGCTTGAAACTTCAGAAAGAAAAACAGAACATTGGAACAAAAAAAAAGGGAATACATACAACATATTATCTTTTTCCTCAGGGGTATCATAAATCATATTTGGTGGTTTTGGCAAAATTATAATACCATTTAGTGTGAAATCAATATATACAGAGGAAAAACAATTACATTTTAAAAGTCAAGAGGCTAAGTGGACCTGCACTTTACTCAAAATAATAAAACACTGATACCAGTGGACTGTAATACATTATGTATTAATAATTTAATACTTGCAGTAGCCATTAAGAAAACTATAGAAAGTGATATACCCAAAACACTATAAGTAAATTAAGATTTAACCTTAAAAATAAGTTCAAATAACCCACAGGATGATAATAAAAGCAGAGGAACAAGAAATAGAGGAAATAAACAGAAAATAACTAATACTATGATAGAGTTAAGCATGAACATATTAATAATCACATGTAATTGTTTAAAATACAACAATTAAACAGTGTAGTTTGGTAAAGTAGACTTAAAAAGTAAACATGGTTAACAACATGCCATGTATCTACAAGAAACTTCAAAAGCAATATCATAGGTAGATTAAATGTAAAAGGATTAAGATATACACTGTGCAAATCTTAACCAAAAAAAGTGGCTAAACTAGTATCAGATAAAGCAGACTTCACAGTGCAGAAAATTACTAGAGACAAAGAGGTATGTTAGATTATGATAAACAATCCAACAGGATGACATAGCAATCTTAAATGCATATACTCCGCACAAAACAGCCTCAAAATGTATGAGGCAAAAATAGAGCTGAAAGGAGAAACAAACAAATCCAGGATTATGGTTGGGAATATCGACACCCTACTCTCAGCAAGTAATAGAACTACTAGGCCGAAAAATCAGCAGAAGTACAGAACTGGATAACACAAATGACCAACAGGATTCAACTGACAAATGCAGGATATTCAACCCAAAACAGCAGAAAATACATTTTTCAAACACTCACAGACATTTGCCAGCAAAGACCATATCCTATGCTACAAAGCACACTTCACCAAATTTAAAGCAATCTAAATCATATATGGTATGTTCTTTGACCAAAATGGAATCAAACTATAAATCAATAACAGAAAGACAACAGGAAAATCTTTGGAAAACTAAACAGTATGTGAATCAAAGAGGAAGTCACTAAGGAAAATTTTTTAAATACTTAAAACTGAATGACAATGAAATATAATAAAAAACGTCAGATCCAGATAAAGCAATTCTAAGAAGGAAGTTTATAGCTCCAAACGCTTACATTAGAAAAGTGGTAAGATCATGAATAAATCATCCAAACTGCTAGCTCAGCAAAACTAGAAAAAGATAAAAATCAAATTGCAAAGTAAGTAGATTGAAGGATAAAGTAAAATTAGAACAGACATCAATGATATCTAAAACTAAAAGAATAGATAAAAACCAATAAAACAAAAAACTGGATCTTTGAATATATATTTTTAAAATTCATAGACTTGTAGCAATATTGACATGAGTGAAAAGAGAATAAAAATAACCAAGATTGAGAATGAAAGAACAGGTAATGAACGGTTGGAAACAAAAATTAAAAATCCATTAAAAATTAGATTCACTCCAAAGAACATGAAATATTTACATGTAAACTTGTTAAAATATACAGGAATTATATGTGGAAAATCACAGAAAGCAGATGAAGGAAATAAAAGGTCTAAATAAACAGAGAGACCCACTGTGTCCACAGATTGGAAGAACCAATATAAAGGAGATGGAAAATCTCCTCAAGTTGGTATTTAGGTTTATTGCAATATCTATTTAAAAAGTGTTCTGTAGACAGACAGAGGCATATTGTAAGACTTATATGGAAAGCAAAGCTACTAGAATAGCCAAGATGATTTTTGAAAAATAAAAATTTAGTGGGAAGAATCTATGTGATTTTGAGACTTATTTTATAGCTACAGTAATTAAATTGTCATAGGAATAGACTCAAAGATCAATAGAACAGAGGAAATAACTCACAAGCAACCCACATAAATATATTGACCGATTTTGACAAAGGTACGATAGCAGTTCAATGTTGGAATGACAGCTCTTTCCACAAATTATGTTGGACTAATTGGACAATCATGAGGGGCAGAGAACCGTAAGGTATAAGTCACACTTTGTACAAAAATGAACTCAAAATGCATTATAGACTGTGATGGTTAATTTTATGTGTCAACTTGACTGGGCCATTTTACCCAGATATTTGGTAAAACATTACTCTAGATGTTTCTGTGAGGGTGTTTGTTTTTGTTTTGTTTTGGAGACAGGGTCTCACTCCATTGCCCAAGTAAGAGTGCAGTGGTGCAACCATAGCTTACTGCAAGCTGAAATTCCTAGGTTCAAACAATCTTCCCACCTCAGCCTTCCAAAATGCTGGGATTACAGGCAGGAGCCACTGCAATCAGCCATTAAGGGTGTTTTTTGTTTGTTTTTCAGGTTTTTTTTTTTCTTGAGATGGAGTCTCGCTTTGTCTCGGCTCACTGCAACCTCTGCCTCCCAGGTTCAAGCAATTCTGTCTCAGCCTCCCCAGTAGGTGGGACTACAGGCACACACCACCACGCCTGGCTAATTTTTGTATTTTTAGTAGAGATGGGGTTTCGCCATATTGGCCAGGCTGGTCTCAAACTCCTGACCTCAGGTGATCCACTCGCCTCGGCCTCCTAGAAGTGCTGAGATTATAGGCGAGAGCCACCAAGCCTGGCCAGTAAGGGTGTTTTTAAACAAGATTTACATTTAAATTGGTGGAATTTGAGTAAAGCAGATTACCCGTCTTAATGTGGGTGGGTCTCATCCAATCAGTTCAAGGTCTGATTAGAACAAAAAATACCTACTGTCTTAATTAATGTAGCTTTTTAAAGTAAAATTTTAACATTGATATAATTGGAGATTCACATGCAGGTGTAAAAAATAAGAAAGATCTCATGCACCATTTATTTATCTAGATTCCTTCAAAGGTACCATCTTGCTATATACTTCAATTCCACAACCAAGATATTTATATTGATACAACAAAGATACAGAACAACAAAGATATAGAACATTTTTATCACTACAGTTTCACTTCTCAGTGGCTAAGATTTTGTCAGCATCACTTCTTTCCTGTGATTAAGTTAAATGTATCGTGCTCTAATAGAAAATTAGTTCAGTTTGTCACTCAGCTGCTACTTAGTTTTGCTTGCTCTGGTTTATAATTTTCCTACCCAATTTCTAAAAGTGTTCAAGTAGGAAATTAGAAAAAAAAATACCAAAGACTAAGTTAGATATCATTTTAAACGGAAAGTTTGTATGGCTATTTTAGTTCAGAACAAGCAAATATCAACATACAAAAGAACCCTTAAATTTCTAGATTATTTTTAATATTTAACAGTTTGAATACAAGTGCTTGAAATTATTTTATATATTGCTCTATTAATTTTAAAATACATTACAGGCATTTAGAAAACCTCTAAGATAACTAACAGATATCCATTATTTTCACTTTCCCAATGAACGTAACATCTTTATCTCTCTTGTGTAAACAATTCAGTTAATTACACAGTTGTCCATTCTTAAGTGCCATCATTATTATTATCTTTTTATTAATTATGGCAAACTGCTCAGCTGAACTTGTAATAAGGATTTGAATTATTATTGGAGCCATAGAGAATTGAACATTTGGAAGTCATAAGCTAAATGACCGTGGGCAAAATACTGTCATGATGCTTAACTAACGCATGTTACAAAGTGGTTTATTCAGTTGCATTCTATACAAAGATAATACCATACAAATTGGTTTAATTTTCTACAAGTGAGATTTCTAAAGAGAAATGTTTAAAAATGCTTTACCAAGTGCATAGCTGCAGAGGCATGAAATGGAATTCAGATAACAAACAACTGATTGTATTAGCTGGGAAATTTAACCAAAGATCAGTAATAAGGCACTGATAGGGTTCTGAAAGCATGTATGATGTTGTAAGGAAGTGGAGAAGGTCCTAATATTTTCAGAAGTAAAATAATTTTCATAAAGAAACATATCTAATTAAATATTTACGATGGTTTTAAACTTTTTATTTTTATGTTTTTATTTCAATAGTTTTTGGGGTACAGCTGATTTTTGGTTACATGGATGAGTTCTTTAGTAGTGAATCCTCAGATTTTAACGCACCTATCACCCGAGCAGTGTACACTGTACCCAGTATGTAGAATTTTATCCCTCACTTCATTCCCAACTTCCTTCCTGCCTCTGAGTCCCCAGAGTCCATTATATCATTTGTGTGTGTGTGTGTGTGTGTGTGTGTGTGTGTGTGTGTGTTTTTGCATCCTCATAGTTTAGCCCCCACTTATAAGAACACACAATATTTGGTTTTCCATTCCTAAGTTACTTTACTTAGAATAATGGCCTACAGCTTCATCCAAATTGCTGCAAAAGACATTACGTTTTTTCTTTTTATGGCTGAGTAGTATTCCTTGGTGTATATATACCACATTTTCTTTATCCATTTGTTGGTTGATGGGTGCTTAGGTTGATTCCACATCTTTGCAATTGCAAATGGTGCTGCTATAAATATGTGTGTGCATGTGTCTTTTTCACATAATCACTTCTTTTTTGGGGGTAGATACTCAGTAGTGGAATTTCTGGATCAAATGGTAGCTCTACTTTTAGTTTTTTAAGGAATCTCCACAATGTTTTCCATAGTGATTGTACTAATTTACATTCCTACCCAGCATTGTAAAAGTGTTCCATTTTCACAACACCAACACCAAAATCTATTGGTTTTTTTTATTTTTTATATGGCCATTCTTACAGGAGTGAGGTTGTATCTCATTGCGGTTTTAATTTGCATTTCCCTGATGATTAGTGATGTTGAGCATTTTTTCATGTTTGTTGGCCATTTGTATATCTTCTTTTGAGAAATGTCTATTCATGCCCTTTACCTGCTTTTTGATGGGATTATTATTTTTTTCTTGCTGATTTGTTTGAGTTTCTTGTAGATTCTGGATACTAGTCCTTTGTCGGATGCATAGTTTGTGAATATTTTCTCCTACTCTATGAGTTGTCTGTTTACTCTGCTGATTATTTGTTTTGCTATGCAGAAGCTTTTTTAGACAAATTAGGTCCCATTTATTTACTTTGTTTTTGTTGTGTTTGCTTATGGGGTCTTTGTCACGAATTATTTGCCTAAGTCAACGTCCAGAAGAGTTTTTCCAATGTTATTTTTTAGAATTTTTGTGGTTTCAGGTCTTAGATTTAAATATTTGATCCATATTGAGTTGATTTTTTTATAAGATGAGAGAAGGGGATCCAGTTTCATTCTTCTGCATGTGATTTGCCAATTATCCCAGCACCATTTATTGAATAGGGTGTCATTTTCCCAGTTTATGGTTTTGTATGCTGTGTTTAATATCAGTTGACTGTTAGTATTTGGCTTTATTTCTGGGTTCTCTCTTCTGTTCCATTGGTCTAAGTGCCTATATTTATGCCATATCATGTTTCTTTGGTAACTATAGCCTTGTAGTATAATTTGAAGTCTGGTAATGTGATGCCTCCAGATTTGTTTTTTTGCTTTGTTTTGACTATACAAGCTCTTTTTTGGTTCCATATATGAATTTTAGGATTTTTTTGTAGTTCCGTGAAAAAAGATGATGGTATTTTTATGAAAATTACATTGGATTGGTAGATTACTTTGGGTGGTATGGTCATTTTCACTATATTGAGTCTTCTCATCTGGGAGCACAGTATGATGTGTTTCCATTTGTTTGTGTCATCTATGATTTCTTTCAGTAGTGTTTTGTAGATTTCCTTGTAGATATCTTTCACCTTGTTGGTAAAATTATTCCTAAGTATTTTATACTTTTTGCAGCTGCTATAAAATGGATTGAGTTCTTGATTTAATTCTCAGCTTGGTCATTGCTGGTGTATAGCAGTGCTACTGATGGTGTACATTAGTTTTGTAACCTGAGACTTTACTGAATCCATTTGTCAAATTTAGGAGCCTTTTAAATGAATCTTTAGGGTTCTCTAGTTATACAGTAATATCATCCATTAACAGTGATAGTTTGACTTCCTCTTTTCCAATTTGGATGTCTTTTATTTCTTTCTCTTGCCTGATTACTCTGGTTATGACTTCAGTAGTACATTACATTGAAGGGGTGAAAGCTGGCATCCTCATCTTGTTCCAGTTCTCAGGAGGGATACTTTAAACTCTTCCCCATTCATGATGATATTGGCTGTGGGTTTGTCATATATGGCTTTTATTACTTTGAGGTGTATTCCTTCTACGCCTATTTTATTGAGGGTTTTGCCTTAAAGGGATGCTGGATTTTACCAAATTATTTTTCTGTGTCTATTGATATGATTATATGGTTTTGTTTTTAATTCTGTTTATGTGATGTATCACATTTATTGAGTTCTTTATGTTAAATCATCCCTGCATCACTGGGATGAAGCCCTCTTGATCATTATGTATATTATCTTTTTGATTTGCTGTTGGATTCAGTTAACTAGTATTGTATTGAGAATTTTTGTGTTTATGTTAATCAAGGATATTGGCTTATAGTTTTGTTGTTTTTGTTGTTTTGCCCTTTCCTGGTTTTGGTATTAGGGTGGTACTGGCTTCATAGAATGACATAAGGAGGATTTCCTCTTTCTCAATTTTTTGGAATAGGATTAGTAGGATTGGTACTAATTCTTTTTTGAATGTCTGGTAGAATTTAGCTGTGAAACCATCTCGTCCTGGACCTATTTTTGTTGGCAGTGTTTTCATTACTGATTCATGCTTCTTGTTATTGGTCTGTTCAGGGTTGCTATTTCTTCCTGATTTAACCTAGGAAGGTTGTATGTTTCCAGGAATTTATCCATTTCCTCTAGATTTTCTAGTTTGTGCATATAAAGGTGTTCATAGTATCTTTGAATGATCTTTTGTATTTCTGTGGTATCAGCTGTGGTATCTCCAGTTTCATTTCTAATTGAGCTTATTTAGATCTTCTCTCTTCTTTTCTTGATAAATTTTGCTAATAATCTATCAATTTTGTTAATCTTTTCAAATAACCAGCTTTTTGTTTCAATTTCATTTAATTTTGCTCTGATCTGTTATTTATTTTCTTCTGCTGGTTGTGGGTTTAGTTTGTTCTTGTTTCTCTAGTTCTTCAAGGTGTGACATTAGGTTGTCAGTTTGTGCTCTTTCAGACTTTTTGATGTAGTCACTTAATGCTGTGAATTTTTCTCTTCTGCTTTCGCTGTGTCCCAGAGGTTTTGATAACTTGTTTCATTATTATCATTCATTTCAAAGCAATTTTAATATCCATCTTGATTTCATTGTTAACCCCAAAATAATTCAAGAGCACATTATTTAATTTTCATGTATTTGTATAGTTTTGAGGATTCTTTTTGGAGTTGATTTCCAGTTTTATTCCACTGTGTTTTGAGAAAATAGTTGATATGATTTCAATTTTCTTAAATTTACTGAGACTTGTTTTGTGTCCTATCATATGGTCCATCTTGGAGAATGTTCCATGTGCTGGTCAGAAGAATGCACATTCTCCAGTTCTTGGAAAGAATCTTCTGTATTTATTGGGTAAGTTCATTTGATCTATAATGTAGTTTAAGTCCGTTGTTTCTTTGTTGACTTTCTGTCTTGATGATCTGTGTAGTGCTGTCATGGAATATTAAAGTCCCCCACTATTATTATATTGCTATCTCATTTCTGAGATCTAGAAGTAATTGTTTTATAAATCTGGGAGCCCTGTGTTAGGTGCATATAAATTTAGGGTTATAATCTTGTAGGACTGATTCTTGTATCATTATACAATGTCATTCTTTGTCTTTTTTTTTTTAACTGCTGTTGCTTTAAAGTCTGTTTATTCTGGTATAAGAATAGCTACTCCTGCTTGCTTTTGGTTTCCATTTGTTGGAATATCTTTTTCCACCCCTTTACCTTGAGTCTATATGAATCCTTATGTATTAGGTGAGTCTCTTAAAGACACCACATGTTTAGATGGTTTTTTTTTTCTATCAGTTCTGCCATTCTGTATCTTTTAAATGGATAATTAGGCCATTCACATTCAATATTAATTTTGAAATGTGAGGTGCTGTTGTATTCATACTAGTTGTTACATAGATATATTGTTTTCTTTTTCACTGTGCTATTGTTTTATAGGTGCTGTGAGATTTTGCTTTCAGGGGATTCTATTTTGGTGCATATCAAGCTTTTGTTTCAAGATTTAGAACTCCTTTTAGCATTTCCTGTAATGCTGATTTGGTGGTGGTAAATTCTCTCAGCATTTGTTTGTCTGAAAAAGTATATTTCTCCTTTATCTATGAAACTTAGTTTTTCTGGATGCAGAATTCTTGGCTGACAATTATTCTGTTTAAGGAGGCTAAAGATAGGACCCCAATCCCTTCTAACATGTAAGGTTTCTGCTGAGAAGTCTATTGTTAGTCTGAGAGGTTTTCCTTTATAGGTTACTTGATGCTTTTATCTCACAGGTCTTAGAATTATTTCCCTCATGTTGACTTAGATAGCCAAATGACTATGTGCCATGGTGATGATATTTTTACAATGAATTTCTCAAGAGTTCTTTGAGCTTCTTGTATTTGGATATCTAAATCTCTAGTAAGGCTAGGGAAGTTTTCCTCAATTATTCCTTCAAATAAGTTTTCCAAATTTAGCCTTCTCTTCTCCATCAGGAACACTAATTATTATTAGGTTTGGCCATTTTACACAATCCCATATTTCTTGGAGACAGTATTCATTTCTTTTGATTCTTTTTTCTTTATCTTTGTCTGATTGGGTTAATTTGAAAGCCTTGTCTTCAGGCTCTGAAATTCTTTCTTCTACTTGTTCTAGTGTATTGTTGACACTTTCCACTGCATTTTGTTTTTACCTAAGTGTATCTTTTATTTCCAGAAGTTCTGATTTGTTTTACTTTAGGATATCTATCTCTCCGGAAATTTTTTTTTTAATTTCTTTTTGTTGGTTTTCATCTTTCTCTGGTATCTCCTTGAGTAGCATAATAATCAAATTTCTGAATTCTTCATCTGGTATTTCAAAGATTTTATCTTAGTTTGGATCCATTGCTTGGGATCTAGTGTAATCTCTTGGGGTGTTAAAGATTTTCAAGTAATTGTAAGAAATAATACAGAGAGATACCATGTACTATTTACTCATTTTCTTCTATTAGTAGTATCTTGCAAAAGTGTATTACAGTAACATGGTGATATTTATATTGACAGTGACAAGATAGCTCATTTCCATCACCAGAGGGTCCCTCATGTTACCTGTCTAGAGTCCTACCCACCTCATTTTCTCCATCCCATCTCTGACCCTGGGCAAACACTCATGTTCTCTATTCTCTATAGATTTTACATTTCAGGAATGTTATATAAATGGAAACATTCAGTATCTGACATTTTGTGATTGGCTTTTTTCACTCTGCATGATTTTTTAGTGATTGATTAAGGTTGCATATATCATTTGTTACCTTGTATTGCTCAATAGTATTTCATTGTATGAGTGAACATCATCTGTTTAACCATTCACCAGTTTATGGACATTTAGATTGTTTTCAGTATTTGGTTATTGCCAAAAAAGTTGTGAACATCACACAAAAAGTTGGGTGAATTTAAGTTTTCATTTGTCTGTAACAACTGCCCAGGAGTGAAGTTGCTAGAACATATGGTTGTTACGTGTTCAGTTTTATAAGAAACTGCAAAAATGTTTCCCAGTACCATCTTTTATTCCCACCAGCAATGTGAAAGTGACTTGGTTTCTTCGCATTATTGCCAGCATTTGGTGTTGCCACTATTATTTATTTTAGCCATCCTGACATTTAGAGTGATATCACTTTGTGATTTTTAATTTGCATTTCTTTAATGGTGAATGATGTCTAATATTTTTTCTTGTGATTATTTGCTATCTCTATGTCCTCTTTAATGAAATATCTGATCATGACTTTGGTTCATTTTGTGATTTTATTGTTTCACTCTTGAGTTTTGAGGTTTTTTATATATTTTAGGTACTAGTCATTTGTCATATAGGTGGTTTACAAATAGTTTCTCCCAGTCTATAGTTTTCATTTTTATCTTCTATTTTGCATTTTGCAAAACCTAAATTTAAAATAAGAGTTCCAACTTATCCATTTTTCTTTTTATCATTCATACTTCTGGCGTCAGTTCTATGAACTATTTGCCTAGTTCCAGATACTAAAGATTTTATCGAATATTTTTTGTTCCCAAGTGTATTAAAAATTAAGCTTTTTTTCTTTAAATACAGGATGAATTTAAACACATGATAAATTTTAATTTAATTTTTGTATAGAGCGTAAGGTTCAGGTCAAGTTTCCTTTTTTGCTTATGGATGTCTAATTGGTTTAGCATCATTTTTTTTTTTTTGAGATGGAGTCTTTCTCTGTTGCCCAGGCTGCAGTGCAGTGCCGCGGTCTCGGCTCACTGCAACCTCCGGCTCTGGGGTTTAAGTGATTTTCCTGCCCCAGCCTTCCGAGTAGCTGGGATTACAGGCATGTGCCACCATGCCCAGCTAATTTTTGTATTTTTAGTAGAGACAGGGTTTCACCATGTTGGGCACCGTTTTTGAAAAGGCTATCCTTATTCCATTCATTTGCTTTTGCACCCTAGTCAAAAATCAGTTAGACATACTTTAGTGTGTCTATTTATAGGTCCTCTAGTCTCTTCCATTGACCTAGTGTCTATTCCTCTAAATATCACACAATCTTGATTGTGTAGTTATACAGTAGGTCTTGAAACCCAGTAGGTGACTCCTCTTACTTTATTTTATTTTATTTATTTATTGTTTTTGATGAAGAGTCTCACTGTTGCCCAGGCTGGAGTTCAATGGCGCAATCTCGGCTCACTGCAAGCTCCGCCCCCCGGGTTCAGGCCATTCTCCTGCCTCAGCCTCTGGAGTAGCTGGGACTACAGGCCCCCGCCACTATGCCTGGCTAATTTTTTGTATTTTTATTAGTATTTTTAGAAGAGACAGAGTTTCACCAGGTGTTAGCCAGAATGGTCTTGATCTCCTGACCTCGTGATCTGCCCGCCTCAGCCTCCCAAAGTGCTAGGATTGCAGGTGTGAGCCACCTGTGCCTGGCCCCTCCTCCTACTTTATTCTTTTTAAAAAATGTTTAAGATATTGTTCCTCTGCGTTTCCACATAAATGTTAGAATCATCTTGTCTTTAGGGACAATCTTTCTGCCATTTGATAGAAATTTCTTTAAACCTGTGTATCAACTTGGGTTGAATTGACATCTTTACTATATGAACATGATATATTTTTTTCATTTAATTAGATTATCTTTGACCTTTTTCATTTTTATAGTTTTTAACACGTAATACCTGCACGTTTTCTTAGATTTATATCCAGGCATTTTATTTTTGAGTGATTTGAAATGGTATCATGTTTTTCATTTCTGTGTCCATACACCGATTGACAGTGTATAGAAAAGCAACTGATTTTTATATCTTTATTTTGTATCCTAGAAGCTGTTGAACTTAGCTTTTTCTAGGATTTTTTTTTGTAGATTTCTTTCGTTTTCTACAAAAACAAACATGACGTCTGAAAATAGGGACAATCGTGTTTTCCTTTCCAATTTGTGGAACTTTATTTTCTTATTTTTCTTTATTGCACTGGCAAGAACTGTCAGTGCTATGTTGAATAAAAGTGGTGGAGCAGGCATCCTTATTTTCTTCTCAATATTACAGAAATGCATTCAGTCTTTCACCATTAAGTATAAAGTTAGCTGTAAGTTATATATATATATTTTTGTTTGTTTGTTTGTTTGTTTTTTGTTGAGATGGAGTCTTGCTCTGTCGCCCAGGCTGGAGAGAGTGGCACGATCTCGGCTCACTGCAACCTCCACCTCCCGGGTTCAAGTGATTCTTGTGCTTCAGTCTCCCAAGTAGATGGGACTACAGGTGTGTGCCACCATGCTCAGATAATTTTTGTCTTTTTAGTAGAGACAGGGTTTGGCCATGTTGTCTAGGCTGGTCTCTAACTCCTGATCTCAAGTGATCCACCCACCTCGGTCTCCCAAAGTGCTGGGACTATAGGCGTGAGTCATAATGCCCGGCCTGTATATGCTTTTTATCAGAATAAGAAGTTCCCCTCCATTTTTAATCTCCAAAAATGATTTTTCAAAAATTATAAATGGATATTGAATTTTGCAAAATTCATTTTGCATCAATTAACACAATTATGTGATTTTTATCCTATAGCTTGTTAATATGATACATGACTTTAATTGATTTTCAAATGTGAACCAATCTTGCATCTCTGGAAGAAATCTTTTTTTTTTTTTTAGTATAAAATATTTATTGAAAACAACAGTATTTAAGACATTTACAGAGAGTCCCATAGAGGATTCTCAAATATTTTAAACTTAGGATGCAGACTGCTATTCACGATGCATAAAGAAAAAGGTGATCTCTAGAGCAACTATGTATCTGCAACATAAAAGAAACATTTACTTCAATACTTTTACATTGAGGAAAACGTCATTAAACGTATTTTAATTTTAGTACACTCACAGTAGGAAGATAATAGTCTGCTTTTACACAGGTCTCCAGAATTCCTGTTTTTCCTTTAGATAAATTTGACTTCATAGTCAAGAGACTCATGGTAAAGAAAAGATATCAAAATACTCATATTTTTGTTTTCAGTTCAATTTCCCCCAAATGTTAACTTCAGCTATTCTTTATTCCACTTGATGACATTTTTCATGTTTAGCAACATTACATGATTGTCCTCTTTAAACATTTAAAATACTTAGAACATTTTAGCATTATCTCAGGTTTCAAGCTGATGTATAAGTCAGTTTATATACCTTTGTATCTTACAAATAGTGAGTAAAACAAAGTACATTCTATATAATGTCTGATATTAATATAATAAGAAATACACTTAGAGTAATAAATTAGCCCTCTTTACCATTTATTCTATGATATAGGAGGCAAACAAAACAATTCCAAAACTTAAATATTGATAAAGATGACACATGGCCTTGGGGTATATGTATGTGTGTGAATACATACTCCCAACACACATTTACATAGGTGTATATGTATTTATGCATGTATGTGTATATTGCTATAACTAGAAAGACCACATGCAACCATAAAAAATATATAATAAAATCAATTCGTGGGATATTAAATGAATAAAAAGATAAACCATAGGAGATTTCAGAGAAGGAGTAGGCACATGGATATAAAAAGCATGGATTAAGACTTCAAGATGGAAGTGAGATTTTTTTCTGAGGCTTAAAAGAGAGCTGTAATTGTGGTAAACTAGTAGAGGAAAGCAAGGTATTCCTGCTTCAGGAAAATTGTAAATCAAGACCTCTAAAGACTCATGCTAACTGAAGCATTTCAGTAAAAAAATGGGAGATTACAGCGGAAGGGGGAGTAGAGGAAATCCATTATAGGGGAACTTACATGCCTTTAAATTTGAACTCTATTTTAGAATTAACAATGAACAATCAATGGAATTTTAGGCAAGGAAGTGACCCAATCGAAACAGTTCCTTAGGATCAAAAGGTAACTATGTAGGAGATATTGGATAGGGAAAAGGCTGAAGGCAAAAAGCTGCAATCACATTGGTTTAGGAGAAGAAAGTGACAGATCTGAGATACTTTTTGTTTATGGTACTGGCATATGAAGAACAGGAAAGAATCAAAAACTTTCAGCCCATCACAGGTATAACTCAACAATGTGAGTTTTACAAATCCAAAATGTCTACAGACATTCTGCTCTTTTGATTCTCAGTAATTAAGGGTTTCCCAGACTTGAGTGGCCAACTTGAGCTTCCCTGTCAGATAGTTACCAATCTCTACCCAAGTATATATGCAACAATGTACCTGCTTCTTAAAAGTACCACAGGGTTAAATGTGAATCTCTATTTCCTAGCAGCAGTTCTCAAACTCTTTCTCGAGCTTAAGAATTACCAGGGAAGCACATTTAACATATAATTAAATGAAATAATACACATTAAGTGTCTAGCAGTGGCTTTGGCACTTCTGCAGATGCTGATATGACAGCATCACATGCTAAGTTAAGATTTTCAGATACTGAGTTTTCTTAAAGCAGACTAAAGCTTTCCCCATAGACCTGCGTAGTCCCTGATTTGTTTTATTAACTAATAAAATAAAACAGCAACTTAGGAGAAGATTTTTTCTTTCTCCTTTTCCATTGCAAAGAAGGTAGTTACATGTGCTTTCTTTTGTCTTTTCTCACAAAAAGATGGGTCTTCACACTGGGACAGGACAAACAACTTAGAGAAAGGCAGCCCAAGATAAATGAAAAGAAATAACTATTAAGCCATCTACTTCCATAAATTTCCCCTCCACCTTCTTTCCTTGCCAGTTTTTTGGGGGCTAGTGGACAAGATTTTGATGGTAGTGAGATGGGGTCTACAAAGGGTATTGTAGGTACTATCACCCTTCCATTGCCTGTTCCATTCCTCCTGGTTCACAGAGGGCAATAGTATGTGTTCAGCTGGATGCTAGACACAAGTCTTTTTCTAGGCAGGAAACCTGAAGGAGTGAGGCAGGAGACTGCAAGTGTGACAAGTTATTTAACCCCAAGTTCAGTTTTCTCAAGTTACTGTGAGGCTATTCTGTAGGGACTGGGGAATTTTGATGGTTGTTCCTTGTTCCTTTCCCCCAACAGGGAGTACCTCACAAAAAACCCCAACAACAAAACAGACTAATGAAAATTTTAATTTATATTTTTGTTAAAATATAAAAGTAGCATTAAATTATCAAAGTCTAAATTAGACTAAATATAAATGTTATACAACCCACTGAATGGATTTATAGTTTGACAGTGTTCCTTGCAAGTGTCTACTCATCTTCCATCTTTTTCCTTTTTTTAAATAATTCTGCCCCAGTCTTCACTTAATCATCACATGCACTTTATTCCATCAAACATCACTTCTCAGGATCATTCTACTTGAAGAATCATTAAGCCTGTTTAGAGCTTTTCCAGTCTTAAAATTTGTCATCTTGACTACACATCTCACGGTACTACTTTTCTCCGTTTTTCTGGTTAGCCAGAATGTTCCATTAAGAAACAATAAAAGGGCCGGGCGCGGTGGCTCACGCCTGTAATCCCAGCACTTTGGGAGGCCGAGGTGGGTGGATCATGAGGTCAGGAGATCGAGACCATCCTGGCTAACAAGGTGAAACCCCGTCTCTACTAAAAATACAAAAAATTAGCCGGGCGCGGTGGCGGGCGCCTGTAGTCCCAGCTACTCGGGAGGCTGAGGCAGGAGAATGGCGTGAACCCGGGAAGCGGACCTTGCAGTGAGCCGAGATTGCGCCACTGCAGTCCGCAGTCCGGCCTGGGCGACAGAGCGAGACTCCGTCTCAAAAAAAAAAAAAAAAAAAAAAAAAAGGAACAATAAAAGTTGTATAATTCTCTAAGATGAAAGATTAATATATTCAATGGCTATTATATTAACCACTTAGTGAACATACAACAAAAACTACTTATCCTTACATTAATTGACTGAAGTTATAACATAAGAAATTAGTCACACTACTACTTTGTCATTCACTTAATGCTTACAAGATTACTCAAGAAATCAAAATGGCTTCCCATTGCTTGACGTTTGTTTTCCAAATACTTCACGTTTCAATCTCATATACCTACAAAGAGAAAAAATCCAAACATACTTTCCTTACCTAAAAATATTAAAGAAGGCTAAAAGGCATTAGGAATTTTTTTAAACCTTGAAAAACAGTGTTACACTTCCAACATGTATTTAAGTTATAATTCAGTTTCTATCCTGTGGCATAGCTTCAATTTAAGTGCATCATAGTTATATTAAATGGGTACGTCTTCATCTTGTCAAGTCAGACGGTGGTTCTTTTGCATCAAGGCTCTTATTCAAAATGTCTTCTTCTTTTAAATTAGGTAGTTCTCCAAGACTACATGCTATTGTGGTTCTCAATCTTTGTTCCACTGGAGAAAACTTAATTAGTGGTGAAAGAGACCGTTTTCTTTCACCGATGGACATGCGTAAAGATGGCTTTATATGCTCAGTATGCAAATCACGGGTGTCCAAAAAGTTAAGCGTATCATCTGTTTGTACATTTTGGGGAGTAGGGCTCAATTCTGGTTTGTGTCTTTCAGGTGTTTGGGAATTCGAGAGTTAAGATTCTTCCCTTTTCTTGGAAAGAGGTTTCTTCAGAGCCTCGTATCTACTGCAAAGAGCCTGTAAATTAAAGTCTGATTCTGGAGTAGTCTGTCTCCCTCCCACAACATCTTCTAGAAGAGTGCCACCATGCATAGGACTATTTGGCTGCAGTTTAAAATTGGCCTCTGAACTACTGGAACTATTAAAACTTAGGTGACCAACTTCTTCCGGAAGAGTTTCGTGTAATATGCCAAAATCATTATCTTTAAAACTCTTAGAACTAATTCCACTTGATATCTGAAAAGAATTCCACAACATAGTTTTATTTGTGGAAGGTTTGTTACAAGAAACTTCTAAGTGGTCCAATATTTTCATAAACTCCTCTTCACTGCCACCCATCACATCTATCCTATTGCCGACAGCAGGGGAGAATGTCTCCATTCGGCTAGTTTCTGAAAGCTTGGTGAAGGCTAAACATTCCAAATCTTGCTTGCAAATTACTTTCTTATTTAACAAATCTGACTGATTTTGTGTTGGTGGTTCATCTATGTGACTGGTCAGCACGTTTCTGAGGCACACACTCGCAATCTGAAATAACTTTCTCTTCAGTCGAATGAGACTGGCCAAAATCTGATAGAGTGGTTTCTAAGAGAAAATCAGCCATGCTAAATTCTCTTTGATTGTGCAACACAGGTAATGATTCTGGCAATACTTCTCTATGTTCAGCATCCATTTGAATTGGTTCTTTAGTTCTGTTTTCTTCCATTTCAATAGCTTTTCTCCACGAGCTCCTGATTTCAGTTATCAATTATAACTGAAATTCCCCACATTTACCATGCTTCAATTTGTTTGAGCAACCTCATTTCTCCCGGACACCGGACAAGTGCTCAGGTGCCACTCGTGTGGACACAAAAGGCTGCCACACTTGCCACACTTGTCCTTCACCCTCACTGGTGGAAGGCAACCACTTCACACGAAAAGGCAAAGGGCCCACTGAACTGTTAACACTTTAGCTGTTCATGGATGGCAGAGATAAAAGAACACTGAAACACTCTCTCTGGGGCTTTGGGGGCCATGGGCAACCCCCACCCCCAGATGCTGCCTCGGTGCCTGCACACAGTTTGCTCCTGCTGGCTCCCAAAAGTGCTCTCGTCCTGGCTCCTGCACCCTGTCACCCACAGGCTCTTTCCTGCGAGGGGTGGAGCACAGGAGGTCTGAATGGGTGGAGTTAGCACCTGCCAGTGCTGAAGTGGCTGGTTCCAGTGCTCCTGCACTCCAGTTGTCACCTTGTTTGCTCGCAGGCTCCCTCCCTTCAGGAGTTGAAAACTGCAGGCTGGGCAAAGGAGGCACCCCTGTCATGAGTCTCATGAAGGGGTCAGGGAAATATCCTGCTTCAGTAGGCACTGACACAAAGTGTAGATCAATAGATGTACACTGAGTAAATGTGTAATCTTAAGATAATAATTACCATTTGGCAAGTCCGATAACTTACGTAGGAAGCTGGCTGCCTGTCTTCCCACTCAGGGTAGGCTTGGTTGAGAATAATAGCTTAACTTCAGCTAAAGAAAGATAATGTATAAAAAATAAAACATCCAATAAAATCGATTAGATTAATTTTGTCTCATATTGCTAGCCTTCTGCTCTGCTAAGATAAAACTGTCTCAGGAGGAAAGCTTCCTCAAACCAAGCTCCTCACTGTCTCTACAGAGTAAGGTCACTGACATAAGGACAAAGTTATTTCCACAAATATGAAAAGGCACTTGATCAGCTAGGGAGGCCTGGAATAGACAAACTGATTTTTGACAATGATGCAAACGCAGTTCACGTATGGGTTGCCTTTCCAACAAATGCTGTTGGCGCAACTGGACACCCATAGGAAAGTGAAAAATGAGCCCAGACTGAAGCCCTTACTTCACATGAAAACCTGCTCAACAGGACCATGGAAATAAGCGCAAAATTGAAACTACAAAACTTTTAGAACATATTTGATATTAAGGCTAAGCAAAGTGGTGTTAGACATGACATTAAAAGCATTATCATTAAAAGGAAAATTAATAACCTTATGTAAATTAAACATTTTTTCTCTGAAAGTGACCCTATCACAAGGGTGAAAAGACATACCATAGGCTGAGAGAAAATATTTTCACACACATATATGACAAAGGATCAGTATCTGCAATGTGTATCAGGAATTCTCAAAACTCAACAAGAACACTAAAACAAATGCATTTCAATTAAAACAGTCAAAATATAAATGGAGATTTCACTGAAGAAGGTATACAGATGACAATAAGCACATGTAAAGTATTAAACTTCATTAGCCATTTGGGAAATGCAAATTAAAGCCACAATAAGACATATCAGAATGTGTAAAAATTTAAAAATGGTGATAATATCAAATTCTGGAGGGGAACTGGAAAACTCATACAATGCTGGTGATAAGGTAAATTAATCATACTCAGAAAAAATAGTTAAGCAGTTTCTTAAAAAAACTAAACATGAAACAAATATATAACCTAGAAATTGTGCTGCTGGATATTTATATTAGAAAAATATGAACTTACGCTCACTCAAAAATCTGTATATAAGTGGTCATAACAGCTTTATTTGTAATAGCCAAAACCTGGAAAGAACCCTGGTATCCTTCAATGGGTCAATTGTTAAACTGTGGCAACCCACATCATCAGATGCTATTCATCAACAAAAAAGCAAACAATTGATACCTAACAACAACTTGAATGAATTTCCATGCAATTATGCTGAGTGAAAAAAAAAAAAAGCCAATCTCAAAAGATTATATACTGTTTGATTTCATTTACATAACATAGTTAAAATGAGAAAACTGTAGAAAAACAGAATAGATTAGTGGTTAGCCTTGTTCAGGGAGAGATAAGGGAAGCAAAGTGGATGTGGCTAAAAAAGAGCAACATGAAGAATCTGTGGGGTGATGAAAATCTTTGTGTCTTTGTTGTGTTAATGTCAATATCTAGGTTGCAATATTATACAAAAGTGTCGTAAGATGTTTCCATTGGGGGAAACTGAGTAAAGGGTACATGGAAGCTCTGTGTATTATTATAACAGCATGTGAATATATAATTATAAAAAATTCAGCTAAGAGAAAACACTTGATCACAAATTTTAAAAATGCAATAGAATTATAATCACCCTTCATTATAGATAGTGGGATAATCAGATATATAATATAAACTATAAATATAAAATCATGTTAGAAAATATTTAAAAATTAAAAATGAATTAAATATTGAATAATAAAAATGAGCATATTGCAGAAGTAAAAATTTGAAAAAGTACATATGTAAAAAATAAAACTACTAGAAATGTGTGTGTGCATGTGTATATGCATTTATAAACTCAATGGAACTATTAACAGCTGATTAAATGTAGCTTAAGAAAGCGTTAGTTAAGTGGAAGATAAATCAGTAGAAATTTGAGAGAAAGCTGCATAGAAATATAAGGAAGTTAAAATAAAAACAACATTGTTAAGTTTACAGGTTAGAAATTAAAACCCCAACATAGATCAAATGAGTTTGTAAAATATTAGAGAAGGGAAACTAGGAGAGAGGCAAATATCAAAGAGTTAATGGTTGTGAATTTTACAAAATTGATTTCAGATATGCATCCTAAGATTCAGAAAGCAACATGGGTATAAAATAATATTGTTACATTTTAAATAACACAGAGGCATATATTCAAAACTGGATGTCATGTCTTCTCAATCTGCTCCTTTCACAGTCTTTTCAAGATATTTATTACAACCTTTTCCTTCCAGTGGCTCAGGCAAAAACTGCTGCATTAATCTTTCTTGATCTTCTGCTTTCACACCCTATGTAACCATTATCAAATTCTCTTATTTTCTCTATACCACCTGTCTCCTTTAAATATCTACACAAATGACCTAATTTGTTGATTATCTTCCCTTACTAAAATTTTATATTCAAAGAGAGCAGCGTTTAATTGCTTTGTTCACTGCTATCTTCCCAGCATTTGGTATATGTTAGGCAATCAATACAAGTTTACTGAGTGTATTCTGCATATATTCATCCATAACATACTTTGTTCCATCCAAAATTTTGCGTATCATACAATAAATCAAATAATTCATTTTCCATTATATAGAGTGCTCCATTGTGAGAATATCTCACTTTTTATCAACTTTCTTTTTATTAGATATTTAGAAATTTTGTTATTATTTACGCTAACAATGACACCTATATGTTGTACCTCTCTGCTGGTGCATATGTAAGAGTTTCTTTAGAGAATCTGCATAATATCAGATATGGAAAGTTTAGGAAAACATGGACAACATTGTAAATCAGAACTAGTTAATCTATGTTTTTGTTTTTAATAAAATGACATGATTTCTTTCAGTGGTTTGTAGCATATAGTCAGGGATTATGCAAAGTTCAGGATTAACAGGGTCCATCATCATGGATGTGGATTTTAACCAATGATATGTAAAACAGGGTATATAGTAAACATGTAACTATAATGGTGCACAATGCAGAATTGGAATAACAATTACAATGAACTATGAGATTTTAAAGAAGCTTCCCTTTTTCTAACATAGTGATCTACTCTTACTTTGCTGTGGTGGTTGAGTCCCTATAAACTTCTGCTAGAGCAATTGAGTAGGTAAGTGTGAAAAACACTGGTCTAGAGCATACTGAAACACACAGATAAGGACAAACATCAGGAAACCCTAAGTAGAATTCAAAGGATTATAGGATCCCCAATGCGTCAATTCATTAATTCAACTCCTTCCTTCTTTGATTCAGCAAGTATTTATTGAGCATCTCCCATGTATAAGATGCTAGGAAAACCACAATAAGCAAATAAAACAATATATCTTTCCACAGGGACCTTTTGTTCTCATGTAGGCAGATATGTAAATGTTGATGAGTGTTGAGAAGAAAAACTGTAGGAAGAAATATAGGGAGTAGTGGAGTGGGGACCGGGTTGCAGTTTTAAATAGGAAGCAAGGGAAGGCTAATGGAGAAGTCTGCATTTAGGTAAGCCTTGAAAGTGCTGGGAGAGGAATCTAATGAAAAACCTGATGCAGGAGTATTCCAGGCCCAGGAAAAAGTAAATGGAAGGCAATGTGAAAAGTCTTCCCCAGCATGATTAAAAAACAGTAAAGAGGAGAGTGTTACTGAGGGCAGAGGCATAGGATGGCTGCAATGATGAGCTCAGAGGGGTAAGGTGAACAAGAGGTAAGTCATAGAGAGCCCCGTGAGAGACTGGCCACACAGTCTAGCATCCAACCAGGGACACTTTTAAGAGTGAAAGGGTGGTGGATTAATAATTTTGGCTGGAAAACAGGTGTAACTTGATTGCCCTCACAAACTCATCTTTCTAGAGTCACTCTAGGGACTTTCACTCTTACACTGATGGAAATGAAAAGCCACGGGAGAGTGTTAAAGAGGGATGGCAGGATCTGACTCCTGTGAAAAAGAAATCACTGATGATTGTGTTGAGAATTGAATAAAAGGTACAAAAAGAGAATAAGGGAGCCTCAGTAAAAAGCTCCTGGGATGAGCAGCTGAGAGACATAGCGGGTTAGGCCCGGTTGGGATGGTAGCAGTGGAGGAGAAGAAACCAATTGGAATGAATATATCCTCTTTAGGGACATGTCCACCAGGGATGAATCTAGAGATTTAGGTCTGAACTTTGAAAATGATGAATTTATAAGGAATGAGACAAACTATCACTTATTCTATTGTAAGCAACACCTCAACCAAACCTGGGAAATATTTTCTTTCCTCTGGGTCAACTACAAATGAGATTTTTCGAAACTTACATCATGCTATCAAATTTGTATATTGTTTGTAGTTTATTTTTGACTTTCCTGAGCAAACTGCCACCACAGTGAAACTTCTACCACAGTGGAAGTTTCTGCTTTAACTTTAGCACTCAAATGATTTGTCTATAAATGACTCATCACCTTGAAATGAGTGTTTATTCTTATTTACCTGATGAGTATAGGGATATTATGAATATAAGCCCTATAAATCAAAGTTTTAGCAAACTTGATATTTCCAGAAATTAAATTTCTGATGCAGAGCTAATGACATGGCAGTGCAATGTTACCTGCTTTTCTAAGTTTTCTCTGCTGTATCTGTTGCATTCGATTTCTGTGGGTAAATTTGGGTGCATAGTGAATTCACAATCACCGTTAAACCTTCCTTGGAGATTTGGTGGCTAGACTCGCTCACAGACTAAAGAAGACAGAGCTGGGAGCTGAAGAAATACAATGAGGCTGGACAAATCCTTCAGGCAGGGTTATGGTGGTTTTGAAAGATTACATGATTTGTCTAAGATAATTCATTACAAAGTAGCTGTCGGTAACTCCTGTGAAAACGATGGATATTGCCAGCTCTCTCAGGATCATTTTGTTTTTTATTTTCTTAGGGCTAATAAAGCTACTAACTTATTCACATTATTTTTTCTAATAAAAGTGAATTTGCAAGATTTTCCTATTTCTAAATTTCCTGTGCTTAAATTAGGTACATGGAAAAGTACAAGATATGGATGACATGATTTACCACTCTGTTCTTCCGGGCACTTTAGGATAGAGATGAACATTGCAGAATGATGTTAGTCTCAGAGCTGGGCATTCTTTGCTGTTCCCTTATTATATTTCCTGGTTAGTCTTTGCTTATTTTAATGACAGTCCAATGTGGTGGGTTAAACTATTAAGTATGTTTCTGCTGCTGTTAATCTATTTAAGTTTAAATGTCAAAACTGTATTAAAATCATGTTAAAATATCATGCTGTTTTAGTGTGTGCATGGGCAGAAAAGCTTACAGGTTTTAGTATTTGGGCTGGCAAAAATGAGATGGGAGGCAGGCTCCAGTTATATTTGAAATATTTTGAGCAGATTATTTATATTTTTGGACTTTTAAGATGAGGTTTCACAATACTTATTTCCTTATAGGGTTTGTTATTGTTCTTCAGCAATTTTGACATTAATGATGTATCTGTGAACTTTATGTTCACAAAACTACCATCTACATGAACATATGCTGGGACATAAATACTATGGAATTATACATGAAAACAAATCAGTAATGTGATAAAATAAATGCCAAATTTTGTGTGCAATATGCTTTACCCAGGTTAGGAGATATTTTAAATTAAAAATAATAGTGATGTTTGGTCAGATATTCATATTAATTAATTTTAAATTTTACATAAACCTGTTTAGTCTTTCCTCTGTTTTTATACCTACAGTTAAACATGATGAGTAATTCACATCTGTTGCCTCCCTCTCTCATTCAGGTGTCTTTTGCATTCATACCATGTCCTAGATCTGAATGCTGCACTGCCTTGTTTTAATATTACTCATTACATTCATTCATAAATTCAAGAGACCTGTCAATCATTCTGTCATTCAACCAATACTTACCGCATACCTATTAAGAGTCGGGCACCATCAATAGCTCTTTCAATTGGTTTGCTTGACTTGCATGAACAATTTTAATACTTTTCTTAAATTTTTATTTTGAATCTTTCACTAAAGAGGTATTTATAGAGCAATCATTAGGAGTCAAGTATTCTGAGAGTCACTCAAAGCCATTGCCTATTCGATGGAAATTGATTATCTGGAAAATTATTAAAATATGTTTCATCATGATAGTTGATTACCCTTACCATACCTCCATGGCATCTCCTGTATGTGTCTCTCTCCTTATTTAGATACTTCTCCCAAGGATACTTCCAATGCCTTTAGACAAAGGGCGAAGTCCTATATCTTTGTGTGGCAAATTTTCTGAGGCTTTTTCTACCTGAAAATAATTTTATTATCTCACATTGAAATGACAATTACCTTTATATCAAATTATAAGATTAATTTTTTATTGTCCAAAAATATTTCCCCAATGACCTCTTACATCTAAAGTATCTGTAGAGAATTTGACATTGTTCTTTGCTTGCTATTTTTTCCTGTCTCTCAGGATGCTTTATAAATTTATCTTTTTCATTATTGTTCATTTTTATCTTTTAATCTGAGTTTCTACATATTTATTAAATTTTATGATTTATCTACATTATTTTCATTATTTGATAACAATTTTTTTCTCCTGTCTGTTAAAATATATTATCTCACAGAAAATCCTATTTCCTAGATATTGGCTTTAATTCCTCAATTATATTCTTCATTTCTTCTCCAAAATTTATTATGCACATTTGCAATTAAACTATTGAAAGCATTGCATATTGTATACACATGTGCTATTAATCTAGATTCTATAATTAAACATTTCTATATATGCCCTATCACATTTCTGTCTATTCATCCACTCCATCAGGTTTAGTTTGTTAAAAATACATATTTCTCATTTCTTTACTTTTCTGCTGCCTTCTAGAAGAGTTCCTCAATCTGATATTTCTACTTTCTAAAATATTCTTTAACTTGATCTAAACTACCATATTTTTTAATTTTTATTTATTTATAGTTTACATTCCCCCTTGTTTTTCTTCATGAACCTGCCTTCTCATGCCAGATCTAATATCACACCTCCATCATATCTCATACAATACGAGGTATTGTATAGATATGTCTTGGTTGAATACATATCTCATACAATACATGAAATATGTATTTATATGGTACAGCTGCTGCCTCAGCATCCATTTTTAGGTCTGACATAAGTTGTTTCAAACCCATTAGCATCCTGTCACTGTTGGCCTAGTTAAAGCTTATCCTCATTTGTGGTCATTTGCAAGATAGTCCACTTTTTCCTCACTGCACAAACTCAAAACTCAATACGTCTCACACAGCTGATCAGGATCAAACCTATTGGGCAACATCAGAGTCATGTAATAAGTACCTACTTCTCACATGCTTCCTTAGACCATCCACAACCCACGGGAAAGCCTAAGAAATGACATCTAGGCACCGTGACACCCTGACCCCCAAGCTTCTCCTTCTGTCTCGCTCCCCACCCACTGACTGAGCCTCCTGCCACCTCCAGACCTCCTGTTGGTGACCGTCACACTCCTAAACTCTCTAGGAAGTATAAGTGGTACATCTCTTCTGTTTCATGCATTTTGGTTTCATCCCCTTACTGTGTCTTACATGACACACTCACCCAAACCTAACCTTCCACCTGGCAGGGTTCTCCTAAAGAGTGGCTACCTCGCTTATGACCACTCTTGACAGAGAGAACTCCAGGAAAAGTTAGAAAGAGAAATCACAATGGTGATTGGGGGCAGCTGTTAGAGTGCATGGCCATGACCATGAGGAAGGAGACGCATGCCTTTAGACTGCTCATGGCTCACTAACGGGCTCTCCCCTGTGGCTCACGCCATCTAGGAGGGATCTGCCACTTGCTGGCAAATATCTGTGCTGCTGTGCATCACTGCCTATTGTGTTTGTTCAGTGTGGCCACATCTTTCTACCCTAAATTCCTACCCTTGAAAAGCCAAGTCCTCTCCAAGGTGCACAAATTGCCAGCCTACTACTGCAAAGGGATGACCATGATTGCTCTCACTCCTCGCATGAGAACTACTGACCAGAGTCAAACTGGCTAAACTGTTTGAAGGTCCCAATTCATGTAGCAATGTTCCGGGACAGGAGAGGGGCAACCCCAACCTTGGTGCTGAGGCCATCAGGCATGACCACCAAGTGCTTAGTGAAATCCTGCACACTGGAACTGGGAGACTCCCATATGCACGGCCACTGTGTCAGTGGTAGTGTGCTGAAACTCTGTAGGTTTCTCCAAACAGAGGGGGAACCCACTTCACAGGAAGCCAAAACACCTCACTGACGATGGTGCTGCTCTACATTGCGGCATTCCATTTCTTCTGGGGCTCTTTATCCTTCCATCCTCATGAGGTCAACTGGGATACCCTAGAGAGGAGGCAGCTCTCAGGGTAAGGGGCAGACAGGAGCATACATGGAGGCCGCCTGCATAGCAGTCACCATTCAGGATGACCGCGAATTTCAGGTTAACATCCAAAGAGAGAGGAAAAATATTTTAGCCATCTAGAAAAGCAAGCCATTCTAAAGATTTTACTGAAGAGGAAAAAACAAAAGAAAAGGAGAAAGAGAAGGAGAGATTATCTTGCAGTGGAGGACTTTCCCAGGGAAACTACTACCTAGAAGCAACTGGCCCTTTTCCTCTTTTAAAAAAATCCCATTTACAAGAGCATCAAAAAGAATATAATACTTAGAGATAACTTTAACCAAATGGGTGAACAATCTTTACAATGAAAACTATAAAACATTAATGACAGAACTTGAAGAAGACACAAATAAATGAAAAGATATTCCACAGTGATAGATTGAAAGACTTACTATTGTTAAAATGTACAAACTGCCCAACGTGATATACAGATTCACTGCAATCTCTATGAAAATTCCAATGATCTTTTTTACAGAAATTGAATAAACAATTCTAAAACTGCTTATGATTGTTTGTAGAACCACAAAAGACTCCAAGTAGCCAAAGCAAGTCAGAGAAAGAAAAACAAAGCTGGAAGCATCACACTCCTATTTTCAAATTATATTACAAAGTTAGGGTAATCAAAACAGTATCATATTGACATAAAAATAGGCAACAAACCCATACAAAGATTTTCAACTAATCTTTGACAAAGGTGCCAAGAATACACAATTGAGAAAGCATAGTCTTTTCAATAAATGGTGTTGGGAAAACTATTTTTCTACATGCAAATGAATGAAAGACCCTTGTTTTATGGCATATACCAAAGTTAACTCAAAATAGATTAAATACTTAAAGTTAAGATTTAAAACTATAAAATTAATTGTAGAAAACTTAGTGGAAAAGTTCCTTGACATTTGTCTTTCAATGAATTTTTTAGATATGACACAAAAATCATAAGCAACAAAGCCAAAAATAAGCAAGTGGTGATACATTAAACAAAAACATTCTGCACAGCAAAGGAAAGAATTTACAAATGAAAGGCAACCTACAGAATAGGAGAAAATATGTGTAACCCATAAATCTGTTAGGGTATTATTATATATCTAAGATATATCAGGTAATCACACAATACAATTACAAAAAGTAAAAATTAAAATCAAAAAATCAAAAAACCCAATCTAAAAATGAGTAAAGGCCTTGAATAAACATTTTTCCAAAGAGGACATAAAAATGGCTGATAGGTATATGACAAGGTGCTGAGCATCACTAATCATCAGAGAAATGCAATTCACAGCTCCAATGAAAAGTTACCTTGTACCTTTTAGGATGGCTATTATCAGGATCAGAAGATTACAAGTGCATACACACATGTATGCACACAAAATAGTAACTATGGGTGATGACAGTTGTGTTAATTTGTGGAAATCAGTACACAGTTTACACATATATAAAATCATCATGATGTATACCTTTAATATAATTTTTATATCTCAACCAAATATTGTGAAATAAAATTTTTAAAAAGCAAGCTGATGGCAGCCATATATCTCAACATATATTTGTATATATACTTGTTTCCAGGGACTCTTAACACCTTATTTCACTGATAAACAATATTATCTGAGATTTGGTACAAATAATATACTTCTTTTATAAAATTTATTATGACTCTCCTTGAGTTTAACTTTTTAAATTGTCATTATTAAATATTTCCACAGATTGCTTAAACTATTTTGGAAACAGATGTAGAGTAGCTATGCTACAAAGTCATCTTATACCTTAAGAAAAGCACTGTGTCCAGTGAAAGGGAGATAATAATCTTCCTGTACTCAGGCCAATCAGACTTCATCTTCAATAAACATCCAGTTTGGTGAACCACACCATAAAACTTAATTTTATAAAGCATTATAGTATATTTTAAAAAGGATAAATGGGAAACAATGGAGAAGAAGAAAAATAATGAAAAAAACTGTATAGCTTTTTGGCCATTGTTTAGAAAACAATTCCAACACTGCAGAGTTAAAAGAAATGATCAGAATTTGGGTTTTTCACTTTTTGTCATTTGATAGAAATAACCATTGCAAATAGAATAAACAGGAGTTAAATTTTTTTTTAATTTAAAAAAGACTTTGAAAACAAATATGGTTCCTCCAGAATTGTATAAACTACCTGAAAATTCTCATTGTTGGAAATATCCTACTTTTAAATTTGACTAAATAAATCTATAACTACAGTTCTTTTCGTCCAACTGTAAAACAACCAAATAAACACATTTTGTGGTTATTTAACTATGTTTTAACTTTAGTAATTAGCTAAAGTCATTGTAAAGGTTACTGAAGAAAACCAATAAATTAAAAAAGTTTTTATTTTCTGATATAAATCTAGCAGAAAAATTTTTTTTTACTAATGTATTTCTCACTAGCAGAAAGCTAAAACAACCAATACTTATGAACTTGAAGGCTAAATTTTATATAAATTTTGAGTCAAATAAGTCAGTGAATAGCAGCAATTATTCACATTATTTTAAGGAAACTGTCTAAGTTATCTCAACAGGTCATTTTCTCTCTTTTTTTTTCTTGAAAAATGCCTCAATTTAGCGTTATATTTGGCTTTCAGGAGGAGATTCTGTAAAGCACAGCAATTTTCATTGTATTTAAAATTGCAGCATTTTCTATCTAATAATTTGATTTTGAGATGTCTACTCCAAATGATACAGTGATATATGTGTAAGCAAAGCAAAGTCCAAGTACTTATTGTAGTCTGAGGAGGGTGAACCCCTGTGTGATTGTAGATCACATTAGAAAAGTGAAACAGTCTTAATTGCCATTTATATTCTTATGAAGATATGAATATCTAACTATAAATCTCATGTTATTTACAAAATGAAAATTTAGGTAGAATTAGCTAAAAAAGGAGTAAAAATAAGAGATATCCAAGTAGGAAAGATAATTATTCAACACTGTTTAACATATTGGAAAATATTCTTCATATATAAACAAATTGAAAGTTTCTAGTAGCAAAATGCTACCAATGTAATGTTCCAGCTTTTGTTGTATAATAGATACTTCTCTGAAGTTTGTCTTATATTTTTAGAACAGAAATAAAAGATAGTATAAAAATATGACTGGATTATCACATTAAACGAGTATTTAATGTATATTAAAAACAAAAGTTATGTTTTATATGGCGTTTGTTAATAACAGTTCTAGATTTTTGTCCCTCCATATTTCCTTTTAAACTATGTATAATAAAAATATAAATATTTGCATTTTAGCAAAAAGTAGCAAATAATTCACATACTTAAATAAAATTATAATTTTATTGATGATCAATTTAGTAAAAAAGTCTTACCACCAGTCGCACACTTCTGCCAACCTGGATGAAATATAAAGAGGGACGAAATATAAACATTAATCCTACTATGAACCACAAATCTGTCTCAACTAGCAAATTAGGCAATTGTTACATTTTCAACAATTAGTTAAATGTAACTATATGTAGTTATCTGGCATCAGCGTAAGCAGGGTTCTCTTACAATGAGCCTCAGGGAAGATTGATTTTCATTCAGTTCTATGAAGAGATGTGTATGTCAGTCAAATGGCTTAACTCAGCTTTTAGCAATCCATTATTCTGACTTTAAAACAAGTGTGTGATGGATGAGACTTTACTTTCCAAATTAAGCTTACATCACAGCTTACCTCAGGTCTTTGTTTTCATTTTCCTTTTAAATCAAGGGTTTCCAGGCTTTACCCTTACTGATGCAGTGAATTTTAAGTACATATGCAATAAGATATTAAGGAAAGATATAGAGATATTGTATTTTTTGAGTCCTTGAGTATCACAGAAATATATCCTACTGTGTTTACACATAAATGCATTTTGACTAATTATAGACTTTTCTAGGTAGTCTGCTTCCTTAGCAAATTCTACAGACATTGGTCTAGGTCTTTGGACAAGCTACACTGCAGAGGAGAAAATATAACCAAAAGAGTGCACTTGTGAAATTTACTTTTGCCTGAAATAATAACTTAGACTCAATCCCATCCACCGTCACCTTTGCTGTTTCAAATTCAGCAAACTCTTTTATTTTCAGTCACACTTAGACTGCTTCATTTCCTACATATCCTTATCACCTTCTATTCTTATTTTTTAGATTTATAGTAGACACAATTTAGAAATTTTCTGAAATATGATCTGTTTTCTATAAGCATGGGTATCAGAAAAGAATAAAGATTTTTTGACCAACTAAATAACACAAAATTTAAAGGCTCTAAGGAAAATATAAAGAAACACCTATGTACTCCAGCCTACACAAATGAGGAGGCTTGAGCTAACCGGCTCACAGATTGCTTCTCTAGTTTCCCAGAATTCTCCACAGGAGTGAACATCAGCTGATAGCCAAAAGCACACACAGTGAGTATTCTTTGCCAAGCATTTTTTTTTCTCTTTCCCCCTCCACTTAACCTTTCGTACCAAAACCTATTGCTCTGCAGATTTTTGCTGCATGCTTGTCTGCCAGTCAGGGAATCTGATGGATAGTAAACACTCTTTCCAGAACGTTTATTGCACAACGAAGTGAACCAAGTGCCTTGGCATAGTGAGGTCTGTCCCATCGATGTGACACAGTCAACTTAGAGGACTGAACAAACAGGCCTATGCTTACTTCACTTACACTCAAACCTTGCATCCCGTCTCTACTGAATCCCAGTTTGCTTTGCTTCATATTTACTACTTTTTTTTAATGAGGAAAAAAATCAACGGAGACATAGTATTTTCCAGTAGAAAAATTGCATTGGCATCCCTTGGCCATTCTCTTTATGTGTTTTGGTAGTGGTAAAATCTTCCTCTCCTGTTTAAACCTGGTAGACAGGTTGACACTCACATCTCATAATCAGATGAACCCTCTCTAGCAGGCACTAAGCTACCGCTGCACCTGCACCGTCCACCATCCCAGCTGGCTACCAAAAGCCATTCCACGCTTTCAATGTGGGAGAAAATAAGTCACTTCAGGAGAGACATTTGAATCCCCTTCTATGGTATTTAAATTTGTATGCCACCAGACATGCTTTTTTTAAAAAAAGGAAAAAAAATCAAAATCTGCTTTAGAAATTTTAAAAGATTATGCCGAAGATTTTGATCAAATTTTGATAAAGGCAGTGTGAATTTTACTTCTTTAAAATATAATATAGGAAGGACGGAATCTCACTTCCCAAAGAAAACAATGAATTAGTAGCCAAACCCAAACCATATATATACATATAGCATATGTGTGTGTGTGTGTGTATATATATATGGCGGTCATAAATTTAAAAATGCAAATTATGATAATAAGTAGACATGCCATTCTACAATCATAATCCTACCAAAATTTAAGTGGTCCTATAGTGTATATGTTGATCTGGATGTACCTTGTGTGTACACTTATACACTTATAATATGAGTGAAAATTGGTAAAATGTACTTCGGCACTACATTGACATTCTTGTGTAAAACTGAACTTTTGAAAACCTAAGATCCCACTCTTTGCTCCTAGGTTTAAATTCTTGAATATGTGTGAAAAAGTCACCATTTATAACAAGCAAAATCTCGAAAGAACACCAAATTTTATCCACAGGGTAATTGATTTATTCACAGGGCCATACTGAAAGATCAATTAAATTAATAAACCTTTTCTAGACTGATCAACAAAAACAACAACAACAAAAAAAAAAACAGAAAGAAAGCTGTAATTAGAAATATCATGAAAGTAAAGGGAACACTCCTACAGATCCTTAGGATATTAAAAGATCGCTGAATTCCAGTTTCAGCTCCGATATTTAAAGTGCTTGGAAGCCATCACTCCCATCCTTAAAAGAAGAAAAAAAGAATACATGAGCAAACCACATCAATGACTTCTGTTATACCCAACAGAAAATTGAGGATCCCAGGGAAAAACACCACTGAATTCTGAAGACACAGGTGAATATATAGAATCATGGCTGAGATTATTTTTTCTGAAATAGAAATTGCTAGTGACATAAACAGGTAGAGACACTTAATGGCAGTTTTATGAATTTCTGGAGGCTGGTGCTGATTAAGTTCCATTGAGAAACTCCTAGGTGCTGAGGCCTAATGGAGAGGATTCACGTTCTGATAGATTTTATTTCAGGGAACCACACAAGTTTCCTACAGAGAAGCCATTTTTTAAAAAAAGAAAAGAAAAAGAAAAACTTCACGTTTTATGCAGGGGATGGCGAAAAGTCACCATTTTGAAATATGCTCAGAAAGTTCCCCATAGCACAGGCTCGTTCTCCATGGGCAACGACTATACCAAAGCCTTCCTTGCCTGATGGAAGAAACATCAGCCTACCCCAGACTCCTCCAGTCTTTCTGCCTCATCTATGAAAACATAAAAAGGCTATGAAACACATCTGAAGTTCAAATCCCAGGTACTTATTCCCATCAAAAGATGGAAATTTAGTCATAACATTAAAAATGCTTCTTCTCCCATATCTTAACACCATATCAACAAGTTTCAATAAAATAAAAATAAATTACAATAACAGAGCTATAAGGCACACTCTATTTAAGAGGGAGTTACTGGGGATACCTGAAGATAAGAGAAAGAGAAAGGAAAAATGACGACAATAAAGGAAACTGAAGCTTCAGGGACCTACAGTGATATCAAACATTAAACACTGCACAGCTACTAGCCAGTCATCAGAAACTTCAAGCTAAAGTCTTTTTACCTCAGTTTCGGTTACTCTACACATTATGTCCAGCACTCAAAAATATCACAAGGCAACCTAAGGCAAGAAACAGCACAGTAAGGAGAGACAAAATAAGCATCGTGCCAGACTTGGATAGGACACAGATGTTTGAAGATATGATAGGGAATTTAAAATAACAATGACTTACATGTTAAGGGATCTAATGGGAAAATGTCAACATGCATGGATGGATGAGAAATGTAAGTAGAGGTAGAAACGCGAGAATCAAAAGGCAATGACAGACATAAAGAGCATTGTAACAGGAATGAAGAGTGCCACTGAGAGGCTCGTCAGCCTCTCAGTAGACCTGGTCCTCCCTTACCACTTTTATTTAACATTATCCCAGAAGACTTAGCTGGTGAATATGACAAGAAAAATATAATAAAATTCGTACAGGTATAAAAAGGTGAAATACAGCTATCATAGGTGAAAGACTGAAATCTGAAAGAAACAATAACACCCATAACGATAGCAAAAACCTCCTGAAACAGATGAGTATAGCTAGGTTGCAAGATATAGGTTAATATAGAAGAGACACTTGTTAATTCTATGTATCAGCAATACATAAAAGCAATGTAAAATAAAGCAAAACAATGTATAATAATGAAAAATTCTATAATGGAATATATAGATATAAATCTAACAAAATATGTACAGGCTGTGAATGTAGAAAACTCTAAAAATCTGTTAAAGGAAGTCAAAGAAGAGCTAAATAATTGAGAAATCATTGATTAGTAGACTCAATATTATTAAAATGCCAATTCTTCCCAATGTGATCTGCAGATTTAACACAATCCCAATAAAAATGTTGATTAAAGCTCTACTGTATATGTCAATAAAGGGATTTTTAAGTTTATGTAAAAAGGCATAATAAACAGAAAAGCCAAGACAATATTGAAGAAGAGCCAAGTTGGATAATTGGCACTACCTGACATCAGAAGTTACCATAAAGTTGCAATAATCAAGATAGCTTGATACTGGGGAAAGAATAACCACATAGATCAATCAATGGGAAAAACAGGGAGTTCAGACACTGATGCACACAAATTATATTTGTAATCAACTGATCTTTGATGAAAGAGCCAAGCAATTCAAAGAAGAGGATAATCTCAACAAACGGTGCTGAAACAATTGAACGTACACACACACACACACACACACACACACAAAAACACACACACAAAATCTGGTCACAGATTTCATGGCTTTTACTGAAGTTCACTAAAAATGAATCATAGACTTCTATCTGAAATGTGAAATATAAAATTTCTAAAACTTAGCGTAGTTAAAAATCTGGTGAACAAGTATTTGACAATACCTTTTTGATATAATGCAAAAGTGCAGTTCATGAAAGAAAAAATTGATACATTGGATTTTACTAAAATTAACAACTTTGCTCTGCAAGAGACACTATTTAAAAAAAAGCCACATTCTTAGAGAAAGTATTTTTTAAATATTTGATACAGGCATCAAAGATATACAAATAAATATAAAAATGTAACAATAAAGAAAATGAACAAATCAGATAATAGTGAGGAAAAGATAAGAACATACACCTCACCAAACAAATATACAGATGGCACATAAGCATATGAAAGCATGCTCAACATCATATGTCACTAGAAGTTTACAAATTAAAGCAACACTGGGACACCACTACACACCTATTAGAATGGCTAAAAACCAAAAATTGGCAACCTCAAATGCCAATGCAGATATGGAAAAACAAGAACTCTCATTTATTGGTAATGTAAATACAAAATGATACCGCATCTTTGGAAGGCAATCTGGCAGTTTCTTACAAAGTTAAACATATCCGGGCCGGGCGCAGTGGCTCACGCCTGTAATCCGAGCACTTTGGGAAGCAGAGACGGGCGGATCACCTGAGGTTGGGAGTTCAAGACCAGCCTGGCCAACATAGTGAAACCCCGTCTCTACTAAAAATACAAAATTAGCTGGGCCTGGTGATGTGTGCCTGTAATCCCAGCTACTCGGGAGGCTGAGACAGGGAGAATTGCTTGAACCCAGGAGGTGGAGGTTGCAGTGAGTGGAGATTGTGCCATTAGACTCCAGCCTGGAAAAAAAAAGCGCGAGACTTTGTCTCAAAACAAACAAACAAACAAACAAACAAAAATATCCTTAGCATACAATCTAGCAACTGCACTCCGAGGTATTTATCCAGCTGACTTAAAAACTTACTTAATGTGTACTCATATTAGTTCATGAATCATAACAAATGAACCATACTTAAGTAATGTGTTAATTATAGGAGAAATTGTGTGGAGTTGTATGGGAGCTCTGTGTTATCTATTAATGTTTTCTGTAAATCTAAAAGTATTCAACAAAATAGGATTATTAGCCAAAATTTAAAAATAATTACTTCCTTTCAGTTTTAAATTAAAAAAAAATAGTGCAACGGGACAAAACAACTATAGACTCTGTGTTAGAAGGAAAGTTTTGGGATAAAGATGGAGGGGACGTTGAACAGGAAAACCAAAGCGGAGAAAATTCCTGTTTATCCAGTGAGTTCATAATGGAGTATGAGCAATGTAATAGAAAAAGTAGTGCTTTGGTTTGTCTTCTGTACTCTGTATTTGTCTTAGTGATAAGTCAAAGATAAGAAATTTGTTTTTATTTTAATAAATTAATTTATGCTCTAACCAGTTTCATGGAAATAAGAAAGGTGTGTGTGTGTGTGTGTGTGTCAGAAGGAGAGAGAGAGAGAAACAGACAGAGAGAGTAGCTCAGGACTTGTGGAGCAATTATTCAAATGTAAAGAGTTATCAGCTGGCTAATTTGTTGCAACAGGGTTTGAAATTCATTAGAACTCAAGTCACTTTCCTTATTGAACTAAGCAGGAAGTAGCATATAACATAGCCCCACAGGTGACTGGTTAATACAGTATCTTTCACATTCAATCAAGGTTCATTCAGAGTAATTGAGAACACTCACCTTTGCTGCCACAGGCGTTGCTGTCAGAATTAGCACACAGATTAAAGTCCTATCCAACAGTTTGGCATGGTCTGAGAAGGTAAGAAAAGGCTTCACCACCATCTTGGCGGGTAATGCTCTGCTGAATCAGAACTGGGAGGCTTCCTTCAAGCATAGTAACTAATGTCTTTGTCAGTTCACTTAAGTCATCTTCAAAAATGAAATGTTAATATGAAATACATAGTTTCTTCATTACATTTTTTCTCATGTGAAAATTTACTAGGGTGTTAATTAAAAAAACAGAGACCTTATTTTTACATGCACTCAGTAGTCTATCCTGGTATACGTAACCGGCCCATCACAAAATGGTTTTCAGGCTTAATGTTCTTTCATATGGGGAAAGTGAGACTTTCCTTCAAATAGACCCCATTCTACATCAATTTCTGAGGATAGATTATTTTCCTTGTTGAATATATAAGACTTAACATTTGGAGAACCAAATATGAAGGAATAAAAAAGGAAGGAAAAGGCTATTTAATGATTGGCACTATATCTTTAATATACTAGGCATTTTGACACAGTCTCACACTTAATATTTTCTCAACCTGACTGGTAAATAAAGTATCACCTGTTTTACATCGATGAGTATTTTTCCCAAGTGAATTGGGAGAGGAAATTGTGGAGGAAAGTATGTCTGCAGACTCCAAAACCCACATTATTTCTATGATATATCTTTCTGTAAAATGGTTAACTATTTTTATTTTCCAGAAGGAAGTTTTTCTTCTTGCCAAATTAAAACAGAGAAATGTTTTATCATTGTTCGCTAATAGATCTTGACTAGGGAGATGAGAGGTGAAGAGAAGTTTTAACAGGACTGTGGCATATGGAATGCTCAAATGTCTCCAGGTCCTGGCCTGTTATGTGTGGTACCAAAGAAAACGAGAGAGATACTCCCAAGATGTTTCATCTGAATTTAGACCCAGGAGATACTCCATGAAAAAAGAATTGTATTGTCATTTATGTTCGAGAAACCTTGCAACCTGTGCTTACTTTTTGATGATTTATCATATTAATACACTAAAACCTCTGACAGGTAGAAGTAAAACCACCTGGTTAAGAGGTTTACCTAGCCTCACTTACTTATCCCAAAAGCCATTTTCTAAGTACTGTTGCCACCAGTCCAGAAGAGTCAGCATTTCCTTCTAGCCTACTTTAGGAAACACAGCACTAGTTTAACTTCCAAATGGAACTGGAATCAAATGTCCTGAGTTTAATTGTGGACATTACGAGTGACAGACAGTACCAGGGCTTTCCTTTGGATAAAGCTATCTGCTTTATCTGCTTTGTGTGAATCTTAACTCATTTTCCAGGAGGAGGAGCAAACCCAAAGAGCATGTAAAAGGTCTTTGTAAAGAAATAAAAATTCCTGTAATCCCACCACTTTGGGAGGCCGAGGTGGGGGCTGATCACTTGACGTCAGGAGTTCAAGACCAGCTTGGCCCACATAGTGAAACCCCATCTCTATTAAAAATACAAAAATTAGCTGGGCTTGGTGGCACATGCCTGTAATCCCAGCTACTAAGGCTAAGGCAGGAGAATCACTAGAACCTGGGAGGTGGATATTGCAGTGATGCCACTGCACTCCAGCCTGAGAGACAGAGTGACACTGTCTCAAAAATAAATAAATAAATAAATAATAAAAAGTAACAAATCATATTTTTAAATGTTCTGAAAAGTTAATACATAGTTGCATAATGAGACCTGTTTGTTCCACTGGTGTCAGCACCAGCTTATAAAATTTAGGGCCTTATTTAATAGTACCTCTTCAGTCTCAAAAATGGTTCCTAGTTCTTCCCAAATGCACAGTCAAAATTGAGTGAATAAATGAGTATGAGAACTACCTTCATGAGTTTCCTGAATTATTTCCTTACTTGTTTCAAAACTTTTACTAATGCTACATTGAAGATAATGTTTCGGGGGGAAAAAAAACTATTGATAGCCTCCAATTCATTAAACATCTCAATTGAATAAATAACTACTAGACACCTTATTTATTCATTTATCTTATTTAACTATTTAACTTATTTAATTTGAATACCTTCTATGACTTCAGATGTTGGAAGAAAAAACAACTTAAAAATTAATATCTAGGCCGGGCACGGTGGCTCACACCTGTAATCCCAGCACTTTGGGAGGCCGAGATAGGTGGATCATGAAGTCAGGAGTTCAATACCAGCCTGGCCAAGATGGCGAAACTAATAAAAATACCAAAATTAGCTGGACGCAGTGGCAGGTGCCTGTAATCCAAGCTACTTGGGTGGCTGAGGTAGGAGAATCGCTTGAACCCGGGGTACAAAGGTCGCAGTGAGCTGAGATCGCGCCACTGCGCTCCTGCCTGGGTGGCAGAGTGAGACTCCGTCTCAAAAAATAAAAAATTAATATCTAGAAATATTTGTCTGGACTTGATGTAAACCTGGTACCATTAAATGACATTAATGTGCGATTTTTTTAATGCTGAAGAACATATTACCAAATAATAAAGAAGCTGAAGATTTTTAAATATCTCTAATTTTTTTAGGAATTAATGTTAACTTTATAGGGGTTTGAAAGTATGTATTAATATTAATTTCTTTGTTTGAAGTATTATTTAGAAGGAAGCATACGTAACTATATACAATGCCCATTTGTAGTACTCCATAACTGTTATATTTGACTAATTATCTTACCTTCCACAACTAGACCAATTGATCAAATGTTCTCGAGGTTTCTCTATGCTGCAGTATTTAACAGGATTCTCTTCTTTGTAAGAGTGAATAATATTGTATTTTGTGTGTATACACCACATTTTGTCTACCCATTCTTTCATTCTAGGGCATAGAAGTTGCTTCCATATCTTGGCTATTGTCAATAATGATGCAAGTAGCATTAGTGCGTATATCATTTTGAGGTTCTGTTTTCAACTCTTGACTATATACCCAGAAGTGGGATTACTGGATCACATAGTAGTTTTTGTTTGTTTGTTTGTTTGTTTTTAATTTTCAGGAACTCCCATGCCGTTTTCAACAGCAGATACACCATTTTACATTCCCACCAACAATCCACAAGGGTTCACATTTCTCCACATTCTCAATAACACTTGTTATTTTCTTTCTTTTCTTCCTTTCTTTCTTTCTTTCTTTCTTTCTTTCTTTCTTTCTTTCTTTCTTTCTTTCTTTCCTTCCTTCCTTCCTTCTTTCTTTCTCTTTCTTTCTTTCTTTCTTTCTTTCTTTCTTTCTTTCTTTCTTTCTTTCTTTCTTTCTTCCTTCCTTCCTTCCTTCCTTCCTTCCTTCCTTCCTTTCTTTCTTTCTTTCTTTCTCTCTTTTTTTGATAGTGGTCATCCTAATGGGTGTGAGATAATATCTTATTGTGCTGTTAATTTACATTTTTCTGATTATTAGTAATGTTAAGCATCTTTTCATATACTAGTTGGCAATTTGTATATCTTATCTGGAAAAATATCTAATCAAGTTCCTTGCCTATTTTTGAGTTTTTATATATTTTGTCACTGAATTGTAGGAGATATTTATATATTTGGGGTATTTATCTTTTATCAGATGTGTGATTTGCAAATATTTTCCTTTCTGTAGGTTGGCTTTTCACTTTGTTAATTGTTTTCTTTGATGCACAAAATATTTTAAGTTTTTACTGTAACTTTTTACTGTAGCTTTTTACAGTAGCTACAGTAAAAACTATAACTTACTGTATATTTACTGTAGCTTCGTAACATGTTTTGAAGTCAAGAAATACGAGATCAACTTTGTTCTTGTTTTCAAGATTGTTTTGATTATTTCAGTCTCCTGAGAATTCATATGGATTGTAGGACTTTTTGCCATTTCTGCAAAAATGTCATTTGGATTTGTTAGGGACTGTATTATATCTCTAGATTTTTGTGGGGGTAGTATGGGCATTTTAACAACAATTACATCCTTATGTAGTCTCATTTGCACATTTTTGCTCTTACTTATGCTTTCTGTATAATATTTAAGAAATCATTGCCAAATTTAGTACAATGAGGCTTTTTTTTCTATGTTGTCTTCAAGGATTTGTATAGTTTTAGGTCCTGCATTTAGATCTTTAATCAATTTTTAGATATTTGTATATAGTGCATGGTAAGGATCAAACTCTGTTCTTTTGTATGTGAACTTCAGTTCACCAACACCATTTGTTTAAGAGACTATTTGCTCCACATCGAGTGGTCATGACATACTTCTAGTTTCATTGTCCATACAAGCAAGTGTTTATTTCTTGTCTTACTATTTTGTTCAATTGTTCAATGTCTGGTTTTAAGCCAATAGTACACTGTTTTGATTACTGAAAATTTGTGATATGTTTTGAAATCGAGAAATATGAGATCATCAACTTTGTTCTTGCTTTTCAAGATTGTTTTGATTATTTGAGTCCCTTGAGAATTCATATGAATTGTAGAATTATTTTTTCCATTTCAGCAAAAATGTCATCTGGATTTGATAAAGATTGTATTAAATATCTAGATTTTGGGGTGTTAGTATGAACATTCTAACAACATCACATTTTCCAAACCATGAATATGGGATGTCTTTCCATTTATTTGTGTCTTTAAATTTTTTAAGCATTGTTTTGTAGTTTCTTGTGCAAGTCTTTAGTCTCTTTGATTCAGTTTATTCCCAAGCATTGTATTATTTTGAATGCTGTATTAGTCACAAATCAAGATGAGATTTGGGTGGGGACACAGCCAAACCATATCAAACCATAATCAAATTATTGTATATGAGATTGTTTTCTTAATTTTCTTTTTTGATTTCTTGTTTATTATTATTATATAAAAACACAACAGATATTTTATGTTAATTTTATATCCTGCAACTTTACTGAATCCTTTTATTGATTTTAGCAGTTGTATTTTGTGGAATCTAAAAGTTTCTAAATATAAGATCATGTCATCTCTGGACAGATACAATTTTACTTCTTTGTTTTATTTCAATTTGGATGGCTTTCGTGTCCTTGTCTTGTCTAATTACCTAGTCTAAGACTTCCAGTACTATGTTGAATGAAAGTTATGAGAGGGCGCACCATTGGCTTCTTCCTGCTATTAGAGGAAAAGCTTTCTGTCATTCACCATTATGCATGATCTTAGTTACTGGCTTCTCATATATAGCCTTTATTAAGTGGAGGTAGTTTCATTTTATTGCTATTCAGTGTTTTTGTTATGAAAGGGTGCTGGAGTGCATCAAATGGGTTTTTGCATTAATTTAGATAATCACATATTTTTTATCTTGTATTTTGTTAACGTGGTATATATCACATTAATATTTATATGTTGTCCTATCTTTGCATACCAGAAATTGATCTCATAGCTAATAATATATAATTTTTTAATATGCTACTGAATTCATTTTGGTAATTATTTGTTGTGGACTGCTGCATCAAAGTTCATTAGGGATATTGGCCTGTATTTTTCTTTTGTGGTGGTATATTTGCCTGGCTTTAAAATCAGGGTAATAATACTGGCCTCATAGAATGCTTGAAAGTGTTTCTACCTCTTTAACTTTTGAAAAGAATTACAGGATTGTTAGTTTTAATTCTACATATTTTAGGTATAGTTCTCCAGTGAAGCCAAATGGTTCACTGCTTCTGTTTATTAGTATTTTGCTACATTTTAAAAAATACTGATTCACTCACCTTATTAGTTATAGATCTTTTATATTTAAAATTTCTTCATAATTCATTCTTGGAAGGTTGTATGCCTCTGGAAATGTATCTTTTTTATATACATCACTCAATTTGTTGGCATATAGTTGCTCATAGTATTATCTTATAATCTTTTTTTAACCCCTTTGGCATCAGTTGTAATATTCCCTCTTTCATTTCTGAAATTATTTGAATTGTGTCTCTTTTTTTAAGTAATCTAGCTTTGTGTTTGCCAATTTTTTTATTTTTCCAAAAACCAATACTTGGTTTTGTTGAATTTTTATTGTTTATGCATACTGTTTATCTCTTCTTTATTCTTTATTGTTTTTTGTTTTTGCTAAATTTTGTTTTGCATTTTCTTATTTTTCTGATTTCTTGAGGTTAAAGTTGTTTACTTTTTAAAAATGTAAGCATCTGCAGCTATTAGCTTCCCTCTTACTGCTGTTTTCACTGCATCCCTTAAATTTGGTATTTTGCAGTTGATACAGTTTGTATATTTGTCCCCACCCAAATCTCATGTTGAATTGTAATCCTCAGTATTGGAGATGGGGCCTGGTGAGAGATGACTGGATCATGGGGGTTGATTTCTCATGGATGGTTTAGTGGCATCCTCTTGGTGCTGTCCTTGTGACAGTAAGGTCTGTCTGCTTAAAGCATGTGGTACCTCCCTCTCACTCTTATTCCTGCTTTCACCATATAATGTGCTTCACGTCCCTCCATGAGTAAAAGCTTCCAGAGACCTCCCCAAAAGCTGACTGTTGTCAATGCCGTGCTTGTACAGCCTGAATTGTGATCCAATTAAATATTTTTTCTTGATAAATTATCCAGTCTTAGGTATTTCTTCATAGAAATTCAAGAAAGCCTGATATAGTAGTTTTTTCTTTGTCTCAAAATCTTTTCTAATTTTTTTGTGATTAATTTTTGATTAATTTGTTATTTGAGAGTATGTTGTCCAATTTCCACACATTCATTGATTTTACAAGTTTTTCTTATGCTGTTGATCTCTAGTTTTACCACATTTTGGTTGGAAAAGATACTTTGTTTGAATTCAGCCTTTTTACAATTGTTTAGAATTGTTTTATGAGCTAATCTATACTCTGTCTTGTGGAATATTACTTGTGCATTTAAACAGCTTTTGTTGGGGTAAGTGTTCTTTAGTGACCTGTTAAGTCCAAATGGTTTATAGCGTTTAAGTTCTCTCTTCTGTTTGGTTGTTCTAGTCATTATTTAAAGTGGAGTATTAAAGTTTCCTAGTATCATTCTATTTCTTTCTATTTTTACCTTCAATTCAGTCAGTTTTCTTTGTATAATTTGAAGCTGTGATGGGCATATATTTTTAAATTCACTATATCTGTGTATTAATTCATTCCTGTACTGCTATAAAGAAATACCTGAGACTGGATAAATTATAAAGGATAGAGGTTTAATTGGTTCATGGTTCTGTAGGCTTTACAGAAAGCATGGTGCTGGCATCTGCTCCACTTCTGGTGAAGCCTTGGGGAGTTTTCAGTTGTGGTGTAAGGTGAAGTGGTTACAGGTACTTCACACAATGAAAGCAGGAGCAAATGAGGGAAAGAGTGAAGGGTTGGTGCCACACACTTAAATGATCAGATCTTGTGTGAATTCAGAGTGAAAGCTCATTCATCACCAAGGGGATGGCCCAAGCCATTAATGAGGGCTCCACCCCTATGATCGAAACACCTCCCACCAGTCCTCTCCTCCAGCATTGGGGATTAAAATTCAACGTGAGATTTGTGTAGAGACATATATCTATACTATGTAATTCTGTCCCTGGCTTCTCCCAAATTGCATGCCTTTCTCACTGCAAAACATAATCATGCCTTCCTAAGAGTCACCCAAAGTCTTAACTTATTCCAGCATTAACTCAAAAGTCCAAAGTCCAAAGTCTCATTTGAGACAAGGCAAGTCTCTTTCACCTCTGAGCCTGTAAAATCAAAACAAGTTAGTTACTTCCAAGGTACAATGTAGGTATAGGCATTGGGTAAACATTCCCATTCTGAAAGGGAGAAAATTGACCAAAAGAAAGGGACTACAGGCTCCATGCAACCAAACAGGGCAGTCATCAAGTTTTGAAACCCAACAGGGAGTCATTAGGTCTTAAAGCTCCAAAATAATCTCCTTTGACTCTAACTCTTACCTAGAGAGCACACTGCTGTGAGGGGTAGACTCCCTAGGCCTTAGGCAGCTGTGCCTCTATGGCTTTGCAGGGTTCAGACCCAGCAGGGCAGTCATTAAGTCTGAAAGCTCCAAAATAATTTCCTTTGACTCTATGCCTTACATCCAGGGCACACTGCTGTGAGGGGTAGACGCCTCAGGCCTTGACAGCTGTGCTTCTATGGCTTTGCAAGATTCAGACCCCATGGCTGCTCTCATGGGTTGGCGTTGAGTGCCTGCAGCTTTTCCAGGTGCAGAGCGCAAGCTGCCATTGGATCCATCATTCTACTGTCTGGAGAATTGTGGCCTCCTTTGCAGAACTCCACTATTCAGTGCCCCACTGGGGACTCTGTGCGGGTGCTCCAACCCCACATTTCCCCTTGACATTGCCCTAGTAGAAGTTCTCTGTGAGGGTTCTACCCATCAGGCTTCTGCCTGAGCACCTGGGTTTTTCCACACATCCTATGAAATATAGGTGGATGATGCCAAGCCTCATTTACTCTTGCAATCTGTGTGTCCACAGGCTTAATATCTTGTGGAAAACACCAGTGCTTATGGTAGCTTGTGCTCTCTGGAGCAGCTGCATAAGTGTTATATGGGGCCTATAGAGCCAAGGCTGGAGCCTTAGTGGCTGGGATACGGGGAGCAGTGTTCTGACACTGGGCAGGTCAGCAGGGTCCTTGGCTTGTCCTGGCTCAGGAAATCATTCTTCCCTCATGTACCTCTAGGTCAGGGATGATACGAACTGCCATGAAGGTCTCTGAAATACCTTTGAGGCCTTTTGCCCATTGCTTTGGCAATCAGCACTTGTCTCCTTTTTAGTTATGCAAATTTCTCTAACAAGTGGTTGGTCTACAGCCTCTCCTGAAAATGTGTTGTCTTTCTCTGCCACATGGCCAGGCTGCAAATGTTTCAAATGTTTATGTTCTACCCTTTTAAATTAAGTTCCACTGTTAAGTCATTTTGTTGCTTCCACATCTTAGCACAGGTTGTAAGAAGCAGCCAGGCTACATCTTCAATTTTGCTGTTTAGACATTTCTTCTGCCACATACCCTAAACCATCACTCTTAAGTTCCAACTTCCACAGATATCTAGGGCATGAAGAGAATGAAGCCAAGCTCTTTGCTAAGACATAACATACATGAGGTTTGCTCCAGTTCCCAATAAGTTCCCCATTTCCACCTGAGACCACAGCAGCCTGGACTTCATTTCATATCCTTGTCAGCATTTTGGTCACAACCCATATAGCCAGTCTCTGAAAAGTTCCAAAATTTCCCACATCTTCCTGTCTTCTGAGCCCTCCAAACACTTCCAATCTCTACCCAGTTCCAATGCTGCTTTTAAATTGTCAGGTATCTTTATAACAATACCCCACTCTTGGTACCAATTTTCTGTGTTAGGCCATTCCTGCATTGCTGTAATGAAATACCTGAGACTGGATAATTTATGAAGAGAAAAGGTTTAATTAGTTCATGGTTCTGAAGGCGGTATAGGAAACATAGTACTAACATCCCTAGGCTTCTGAGGATGCCTCAGGGAGCTCTTACTCATGGTGGAACATGAAGAAGGAGCTTGTATGTCACATGTTGAAAGCAGGAATGAGAGAGAGAGAGTGGAATGAGAGGTGCCACATACTTTAAACAACCAGATCTCATGTGAACTCGGAGTGAGAGCTCACTTACAACCAAGACGATGGCCCAAGCCACCCATGAGGAATCAATTCCCATGATTCAAAGGTGAATCCAGGCTCCACCTCCAACACTGGGGATTACATTTCAACAAGAGATTTAGGTGGGAACAAATATGTAAACTATATCAATCTTCCAGTCAAATTGATTTTTTTATTATTATATAATGTCTTTTTTCTCTCTCATGACAGTTTTGGCTCAAAGTCAATATTCTTTGATATTAGTATAGTCACCTCTGCTTTCTTTTGGTTACCATTTGCATGGACAGTTTTTTATATTTTTTCACTTTCACCCTATATGCACTCTTAAATCAAAACTTAGTCTTTTTCAGAGAGCACATAGTTGTATTTTGTTTTTTTACCAATTCAGCTAACCTGTTTTTTATTAGAATGTTTAATCCATTTACATTTAAAGTAATTGCTGATAGTGAATGACTTGCTGTTGACATCTTTTTAGAGTAAAGGTTTATATATTTTTATAGCAATTTGACAATGATGAGGCATTTTTAGTGTATTTTACAAAAACATCAATCCACAACACATTAGGGAAAATCCCAAAAGCTTGGTCCTTTACTATAGTTTGACAGAAGGAGACAAAACAAGAATGCACATAGCTGTGCAGTTTAAGGTAGCAAAAATTTAGATACAACCCAAATGTTCATCAACAATAAAATGGAAAATCTTTGATATACCCATACAGTGGAATACAGCAGTGAAAATGAATGAAGTACAGCTACGTAGTATTTATATATGGATGAATCTCAGAAACATAATGTTGAGCAAGATGAGCAAGTCAGTAACAGATACAGTATAACTTCACTCATTTAAAATGAAATGTATATTGAGATATGCTTATTGGGAATATAAACATGGGAAACCGTAAAGAAATTCAGGATGGTGATTATCTCTAAAGGAGAAAGAAGTGAACTGGATCTAGGAGTGGCATACAGGGAATTTTAACATTAATGGGAATGCTCAAAATTAATGGTAATAGTGGGTAGATGGTGTCTGTTTCTTCAGTCTCTATAGTTTATGCATACTTCATAAATACTTGTCTGGGTTTAGTTAAAAGTTAAGATGAATTTAGAAAGGTAAACAAGTAGAGAAAGTGACTAGAGAAACCCCTTTTGAAAAAACTGCTGTAAAGGCAAGAATGAAATGGAACAATGGAGCAATAGTTAGAAAATAATGTGGAAATTTTTTTTTTCTTTAACATGGTAGGTTCTTTTAAAAAATTTGTTTGGCATTTTATTAATTGATTTGTGTGTCTCGTAGTTATGTTGTCCTTTTTTCACTATCTTACTGCCTTTCTTTATGTTTCATTGATTTTTTGTGAGTGAACTGTTTTGATTGTTTATTCAACTTTTATGTATCTTCCATAGGAATTTTATTTGTGGTTACCATAGGGATTACATAAACAATATAAGGTTATGTAACAGTCTATTTTTAACTGATAACACACCCCATTTATGTTATTAATATTCCCAATTAAATCTTTTAATATTAATTCATTAACACAGATTTATAATTATTTTATGCTTTAAATTCTATACAGAATTTAAAGTGATCTATGCACCCATATTATGATATTACCAGATTATTTATTTGTCCATATATTTATCTTTAGAAAGGAGTTTTATATTTTCATATGGTTTGAGCTGCTCTCTAGCTTCCTTTCATTTCAACTCAAAGAACTCCCTTAGAATTTCTTGTTGGGCAGACCTAGCAGTGGTAAAATGTCTCAGCCTTTATTTATCTGTGAAAGTCTTAAACTTTTCTTCATTTTTGAAGGACACTTTCTGTGGATATAGTATTCTTGTACTATAAAAAATAATTTCTTAGTTTGAGTTTTTGTTAGGTAATCATAGTTCATTTCTTTAAGGTCAGTTTTTGGAAACTCATTGTTTTACCCTTTGATTAAGCCATATTTTTTTCTTTCTTTCTTTCTTTTTTTTTTTTTGTATACCATGTAATCTTCTCTTGGTATTTAAGTATATGAAAAAAACCTCTTTCCAGTCTTCTGAAATGGGTTTGTACAGGAGAGCACTTACACCAATCAGGCTAGCTTAGTTTCTCAGCCCTTCCCTGGAGATGCATCATCTCTGGCCTTGCATGTGTAATTTTCCTGTGACAGAGGCTTGACTGTTTTCTTCTCAAGAGCCTATACTCTCTTACTTTTCATTGTATCTGTATGTACTACTTCAGTCTCCCTTGGACTGTAATTCACACAATAATTTTTTCTTTGCAGCTCCTAACCTGGCATCTATCCTATGCTGCCTTTCCAATCAGTGTTCTGAGTCAGGCTAGACAGAGACTACTCCCTTAAGCATCTTCCCAAAAAGCCAGAAAACAGCCCATTCTTCTCTTTCCAATTGAGGGAAGAGCTGGTTGCTGGTAGTTCTGTAAATTTTTGAGTAAGATGGCAGATAGGGCTTGGATCTAAAATAAGCAAATCCCTGCTTTGGTGTAAGTCTTCTTGACTTTGACCTCATTTATGTGCTACAATTTTTTAATTGGCTTATGGAATTCTCAGAAAGGCAACTTGATCCATATATTGTTGTTAAGTCAGTTTACAGATGCAGGCTGTGGCCTGGTGCTGCTTCTGCCGTCTTTCTGACTTTCATTCTTGCTGTTGTTGTCTTATTTTGTGACTAAGGTTAGATCAGTTTCCTAGAATGTTTTGATTTAAATAACTGTTCATCCTTTACAATTGTTTCAAAAGTATCAAAAAGAGTAAGCATTATCTCCTTATTAATGACACTGTAATATTTTCCTTCAAATGTTTTCTGCCTGTATGTAAATATTTGCTGCATTTCATTCAAATAATGTCCTTAATTATTATTATCTTACTTATTCTATATATTAAATTTTATTTTTTCTAACTTTCCTATAATTTTGTTAATTTTTTTAGAAAAAAAGATGTTTACTACATTTTAACATTTATTTCATTTATTTGCTTATAGTACTTTAAGCCTTTCTATATTATTGTTTATATCTGTAGTTTTATCAACTTTTAAACTATTTTCATTAATTATCTATTGTAATATATTTTCTCTGGGTTTTGTGGTTTATTTTGCTGCAGGTTTGTATATTTCATAAGTTTGTAAAATTTTTTCTAATGCACCAAATGTGAGTTAAAATTCTCCTTATTTAATTCCTTTCTGGTTTTATTAATTATCATTTATATTTTTATTATTTATTTTATTCTATAAATAATAGGTATATCTTGTTGATAGTAGGGCCACAGAATTTAAATGTGTATTTATTTTCTTAGATACCTTACCTATTTTGTTTTATTTTTAATGCAATATATATGTACCCTGTAGATTTAAGTAAGTAGTTCTGAACATTTTATGTTTCCAATTGTGTCTTCTTTTTCATATCCTGAGTTAATTAAGAGTAAAATTTAAGCCCAATAAACTTTATTTATTGATTTTTGATACTTTCATATTGACTCAAATTTGATACCACTGTAATAAAATAACCTATTCTATATAATTCCTATTATCTAAAATTTTTGAGATTTCCTCTGTGATCTAATACTATTGCAAATATGTATGCACATGAGTGTGTCTCTGTGTGTTTTGATTTTGATAAATGTTAGTTTTCAAATTCAGTTTTTATTTCTGCTATTTGATGTATTTTAATATTTACTCATATTTTAGGTAATGAGCTATTAATAATTATTTCTAAAGTCTGATTGATATTTTAAATTTATGGATTTTTACATTTTTCTCCCTTCTGTTGAATTGACAGAAATTTTCTTCATAGAAACTATTCATCTTGGTGTTTCTGGAAGTGAACAATTATATTTTGCAATTTTTGTGGTCACTCTTGAATTTTTTTTCCTTTTTTTGAGATGGAGTCTTGCTCTGTTGCCCAGGCTGGCATGCAATGGTGTGATCTTGGCTCATTGGAACCTCCGCCTCCCAGGCTCAAACGATTCTCCTGCCTCAGCCTCCCGAGCGGCTGGAACTACAGGTGCCTGCCACCACACCTGGCTAATTTTCGTATTTTTAGTAGAGATAGGGTTTCACCATGTTGGCCAGGCTGGTCTTGAACTCCTGACCTCATGATCCATCCACTTCGGCCTCCCAAAGTGCTGGGACTACAGGTGTGAGCCACTGCGCCCAGCCGATCACTCTTGAATTTTTAATATGTGTGCTTAAATATTTCAAAATCAGTATGTACATCTATTTTTTAATTGTATCTTTCTAAATTAATGACCATAGCATTCATATGCTTTAATTATCCAACTCAAAACATCCATCTTGGCATTTTTTTAAACTCTGACTTTAGCATTGTTTCTTTATTTTTCTGACAACATAGGTTTTAAATTTTTTAAATTTATTTCTAGGCTCATTTACAGACAAGCATGTTATAAAATGTATAAATAATACACTTTTTGTAAATGGTCTGTATTACTGTAATATTTGCTGATAGCATGATGGTCATTACACTTAATCTATGTATTTTCTCCTGTTATGACAGTGTCTTTATATTTGAAGTTCCACAATTTCTCCAAAATATCACTATGCTAGTTTTACTTCAATTAGCTTATGATAGAAGGTTTATACTATTCCACTTTGAAAAACCGAAGCTTTCATTAATTATTTTGTACTTTCAATTATTCAATTGAATTTAAATTACTTTCAATAATTCAATAATTATCAATTGATTTTTGTATTACTTTTATTTCTAATGTTTTTTTCCTGATGGAATGCCACTTGAAACAAAACTGAAACATCTCAATTTATTATTTGAATTTCTTTTTTAAATTTAATTTAATTTAATTTAAGTTCCAGGATACATGTGCAGGATGTGCAGGTTTGTTACATAGGTACACGTGTGCCATGGTGGTTTGCTGCTCCTGTCAACCCATCACCTAGGTATTAAACCCAGCATGCATTAGCTATTTATCCTGACGCTCTCTTTCCCCAACAATCTACACCAAAACGCCTCAGTGAGTGTTGTATCCCTCCCTGTGTCCATGTGTTTTCATTGTTCACCTCCCACTTATTATTTTTTTATTGTGATATTTGCTTTATTGTGGTGGTCTGATACCAAACCTGCAGTATCTCTGAGGAATTCCTGTATTCTTTTTTATTTTATTTTATTTTATTTTTAGTTCTGGTGTACATGTGCAGGATGTGCAGGTTTGTTACATAGGAAACATGGGCCGTGGTGGTTTGCTGCACCAATCAACCTGTCACCTAGGTATTAAGCCCAGCATGCATTAGCTATTTTTCCTAATGTTCAGCTCCCACTTCTAAGTGAGAACATGCAGTGTTTCGTTTTCTGTTCCTACATTAGTTTGCTGAGGATAATGGCTTCCAGCTCCATCCATGTCCCTGCAAAGGACATGATCTCATTCCTTTTTATGGTTGCATAGTATTTCATGGCATATATGCACCACATTTTTTAAATCCAGTCTGTCATAGATGGGGATTTGGGTTGATTCCATATCTTTGCTATTATGCATAGGGCTGCAATGAACAAATGCATTCATGTATCTTTATCATAGAATGATTTATATTCCCTTGTGTATATATTTCAAGTAATGGGGTTGCTGAGTCAAATGGTATTTCTGGTTCTAGATCTTTGAGGAATTGCCATACTGTCTTTCACAATGATGGATCTAATTTATATTCCCACCAACAGTGTAGAAGTGTGTCTATTTCTCCACAGCATTGCTGGCATCTGCTGTTTCTTGACTTTTTAATAATCACCATTCTGACTGGCCTGAGATGGTATTTCACTGTGCTTTTGATAATGATCAATAATGTTGAGATTTTTTCAGGTTTTTTGGCCGCATAAATGTCTTCTTTTAAGAAGTGCCTGTTCATGTCCTTTGCTCACTTTTTAATGGGGTTGTCTTTTTCTGGTAAGTTTGTTTAAGCTCCTTGTAGACTCTGGAAATTAACCCCTTGTCAGATGAATAGATTGCAAAAATTTTCTCTCATTCTATAGGTTGTCTGTTCACTCTGATGATATTTTCTTTTGCTGTGCAGAAGTTCTTTGGCTTAATTAGATCCCAGTTGCCAATTTGTGCTTTTGTTGCAATCAGTTTTGAGGTTTTTGTCATGAAATCTTTGCCTGTGCCCATGTCCTGAATGATATTGCCTAGATTTTCTTCTAGGGTTTCTGTAGTTTTGGATTTTACATTTAAGTCTTTAAAAACTTGAGTTTAGTTTTGTATAATGTGTAAAGAAGGGGTCCAGTTCAAATTTCCTGCATATGGGTAGCCTGTTATCCCAGCACCATTTATTAAATAGAGAATCCTTTCCCCATTGCTTGTTTTTGTCAGGTTGGTAGAAAATCAGATTGTTTTGTAGGTGTGTGGTCTTGTTTCTGAGTTCTCTATTCTGTTTCACTGGTCTATGTGTCTGTTTTAGTACTAGCACCATGCTATTTTGGTTACTGTAGCCTTGTAGTATAGTTTGAAGTCGGGTAGCATGATGCCTCCAGCTTTCTTCTTTTTCCTTTGGATTGTGTAGGCTATATGCGCTTTTTTTGTTTGTTTCATATGAATTTTGAAGAAGTTTTTTCTAATTCTGTGAAGAATATCAATGGTAGTTTAATTGGAACAACAATGAATCTTTAAATTTCTTTGGGCAGTGTGGCCATTTTCACGATATTGATTATTCCTATCCATGAGCATGGAATAGTTTTTTATTTTTTTGTGTTCTCTCTTATTTCCTTGAGAAGTCATTATGGGTTCTCCTTGAAGATGTCGTTCACATTCCTTGTAAGCTCTCTTCCTAGATATTTTATTCTCTCTGTAGCAATCGTAAGTGGGAGTTCATTCATGATTTGGTCCTCTGCTTTTCTATTGTTGGTGTGTAGAAATGCTTGTGATTTTCACACATTGTTTTTGTGTCCTGAGACTTTGCTGAAGTTGCTCATCAGCTTAAGATGTTTTAGAGCTGTGACAGTGGAGTTTTCTAGATATAGGATCCTGTCATCTGCAAACAAAGACAGTTTGATTTCCTCTCTTTCTAGCTGAATATGCTTTATTTCTTTATTTTGCCTGATTGCCCTGACCAGAACTTCCAATACTATATTGAATAGGAGTGGTGAGAGAGGGCATTTTTGTCTTGTGCCAGTTTTCAAGGGGAATGCTTCCAGCTTTTGTCCATTCAGTATGATGTTGGCTGTAGGTGTATCATAAATGGCTCTTGTTATTTTGAGGTATGTTCTGTCAATACTTAGTTTACTGAGAGTTTTCAGCATGAAGGGATGTTTAATATTATCAAAGCCTTTTTCTACATCTATTAGTTCTGTTTATGTAATGAAATACATTTATTTGTTTGAGTATGTTGAACCAGCCTTGGTTCCCAGGGATAAAGCTGACTTGATCATGGTGGATAAGCTTTTCAATGTGCTGCTGGATTCAGTTTGCCAGTATTTAATTGAGGATTTTTGCATCAGTCTTCATCAGGGATACTAGCCTGAAGTTTCTCTTCCCTTCTCTTTTCTTCTCTTCTCTTCTCTTTTCTTCTCTTCTCTTCTATTCTCTTCTCTTCTCTCCTCTCCTCTCTTCTCTCCTTCCTTTCTTCCTTCTTTCCTTCCATCCTTCCTCCCTCCCTCCCTCCTTCTTTTCTTTTCTCTTTTCTTTTCTTCTCTCTTCTCCTCTCCTTTCCTTTCCATTTCTTTTCCTTCCTTCCTTCCTTCTGTCTCTCTCTCTCTTCCTCTTTCTCTCTCTCTTCCTCCCTCTCTTTCTTTTTCTTTCTCCTTCCTCCCTTCCTTCCTTCCTTCCTTCCTTCCTTCCTTCCTTCCTTCCTTCCTTCCTTCCTTCTTTCCTTCTCTCTCTCTCTCTGCTAGGTTTTGCTATCAGGATGATGCTTGCCTCATAAAATTAGTTAGGAAGGAGTTTCTCCTTTTAATTTGTTTGGAATCATTTTAGAAGAAATGGTTCCAGCTCCTCTTTGTACCTCTGGTAGAATTCAGCTGTAAATCTATCTGGTCCTGGGCTCCTTTTGGTTGGTATGTTGTTTATTACTGCTCCCTCTTCAGAACTTGTTATTGTTCTATTCTGGGATTCAATTTCTTCCTGGTTCAGTCTTGGAAGGATGTATGTGTCCAGGAATTTATCCATTTCTTCTAGATTTTACTTTATTTGCATAGAGGCATTTATAATATTCTCTGATGGTTGTTTGTGTTTCTGTGGAGTCAGTGGTGATATCCCCTTTATCAATTTTATTGTGTCTATTTGATTCTTCTCTCTTTTCTTCTTTATTAATATAGCTAGTGGTTTACTTGTTTTATTTATTTATTTTTTTCAAAAAAAACTACTCTTGGGTTTGTTGATTTTTTGAAGGGGTTTTCATGTCTGGATCTCCTTAAGTTCAGCTATGATCTTGGTTATTTCTTGTCTTCTGCTAACTTTGGGGTTTGTTTCCTCTTGCTTCTCTAGCTCTTTTAATTGTGTTGTTAGAGTGTTGATTTGAGACCTTTCTATCTTTTCCATGTGGGCATTTAGTGGTGTAAATGTGTCTCTTAACACTGCTTTAGCTGCATCCCAGAGATTCTGGCATGTATCTTGTCTTTTTGTTCTCACTGGTTTCAAAGAAAGTTTTGATTTCTGCTTTAATTTCATTATTTACCCAGGAGTCATTCAGGGGCAGGTTGTTCAATTTCCATATAGTTGTATGGTTTTGAGTGACTTTCTGAATCTTGAGTTTGAATTTGACTGTGCTGTGGTCTGAGAGACTGTTATTATTTCAGTTCTTTTGCATTTGCTGAGGGATATTTTACTTCCATTTATGTGATAAATTTTAGATTAAGTACCATGTGGTGCTGAGAAGAATATATACTATGTTCTCTGTGGGTGAAGTGTTCTGTAGATTCCTATGAGGTCTGCTTGATCTAAAGTTGTGTTCACATCCTGAATATCTTTGTTAATTTTCTGTTTCAATGATCTGTCTAACATTGAGAGTGGACTGTTAAAGTCTCCAGCTATTTTTGTGTAGGAGTCTAAGTCTTTTTATAGGTCTCTAAGAACTTGTTTTATAAATCTGGGTGCTCCTGTATTGGGTGAATATAAATTTAAGATAGTTAGCTCTTCTTATTGAATTGAACCTTTTACCATTATGTAGTGCCCTTCTTTGTCTTTTTTGATTTTGTTGGTTTAAAGTCTGTTTCATTCGAAACTAGAATTGCAACCCCTGCTTTTTTTCTGATTTCCATTTGCTTGGTAAATTTTTCTCCATCCTTTTATTTTGAGCTTATGTGTGTCTTTGCATGTGAAATGACTCTCTTGAAGACAGCACACAGAAGAGTCTTGACTCTTTATCCAGATTGCCATTCTGTGTCTTTTAATTGTGGCATTTAGCTCATTTACTTTTAAGGTTAATAATGTTATATGTGAATTTGATCCTGTCATGATGCTAGCTGGTTATTTTGCAGACATGTTGATGTAGTTCCTTCAGTGTCATTGGTCAGTGTTGTACTTCAGTGTGTTTTGTAATGGCTGGTAATGGTTTTTTCTTTCCATATTTAGTGGTTCCTGCAGGAGCTCTTGCAAGGCACGCCTGGTGGTGACAAATTCCCTCAGCATTTGTTGTCTTAAAATGATTTTATTTCTCCTTTGTTTAGGAAGCTTAGTTTGGTTGGATATCAAATTCTGGGTTGGAAATTCTTTGGATTTTGTGGGGGCATTTTTGTTGATGCTGCTGTTGTTGTTTTCTGTTTGTTTGCTTTTCTTTTAATAGGCACCTCTTCTGTAGTGTTTGCTGGGGTTCCACTCCAGAACCTATTCACCTGGGTCCCTCCCGCACCTGGAGGTGTCACCAGTGGGGGCTGCAGAACAGCAAAGACAGCTGCCTACTCCTTCTTCTGAGAGCTTTGTCACAGAGGGGCACTGACCTGTTGCCACTGGGAAAGCTCCTGTACAAAGTGTCTGGTAACCCCTGTTGGGGGTCTCACCCAGTCAAGAGTCACAGGATAAGGGATCGGCTTAATGAAGCACTCTGGCTGCTGCTTGGCAGAGGGGGTGACACACTGGTAGGAATCCATCTCTAGTCCAGACTGCCCAGATTCCTCAGAGCCAGCAGGATGAAAGACTAAGTGCACTAATTCATGGAGACTGTGGCTGCCCCTCCCCACAGGGGCTCCATCCCAGGGAGATCAGAGTTCTGTTCATAAACCTCTTGCTAGAACTGCTGAACTTCTGACAGGGAAGCCCCACCTGGTGTGGAGGGATGGGTCAGGATCCAGACCAAAGAAGCAGTCTGGCCACAATCTGTGAGAGCTGCTGTGCTGCCCTGTGGGGAATTCCTCCTGTATCCAATCCACCCAGTCTCCCTTTCACCAGCAAATCAAAACAGCAGACTAGAGCTGCAGTGATGGCTGCCATTCCTCCCACTGGGAGCTTAGTTGCCTTAGGCAGCAGACATCTGTGATGATGACAGCTACCCCTTCGCCCAAGAACTTGGTGGCCTTAAGTAGTCTCCAGCCGAGTGGCCACTGAGAATCTACACATCTCTGTGCTTCAGACCCAAGGCCTTGGTGGCATTGACTCACCAGGGGAACTCCTGATCCATGGGTTGCACAGATCCATGGAAAAAGCACGGTTTCCCGGGCAGGGTAGCACAATCAGTCACCACTTCCCATAGCTGGGAGTGAGGGCTCCCCTCGCTCCATGTAGCTCCCAGATGAACCGTCGCTCCACCCTGCTTTTCCTCACTCTCTCTTGGTTGCACCTACTGCCTAGTCAGTCTCAATGAGAGAACCTGGATATCTTGGTTGCCGGTACAGGATTCGCTCACTGTTTTCATTCTTGCTGGGAGCCTCCAGCTGCAGCTGTTTCTAGTTGATCATCTTGTCCCTTCCCTTATTATTTGAATTTCTTACATGGTTTCTCACATTTTTATCTTTCTCTATTGTAATTATATTCTGAGTATGTTCTTCACAATTGTGTTTCAATTAGTGGATTGTCTCTTACTAGTTTTGAGATCACATTAAATGTTTTAATTTGGGTACAATAATGTTCTTTTAAATACATTTCATGTGATTTTTCCATATTTTTTATATTTGTCATTGTCTTAGTTTTATTTCTAGTTTAAAAATTTTTGTTAACTATTTTGTTGCCACTTTAATAGATTTTCTTCCATTTTCTTTTTAATTTGTTCTTGTTTGTATAAAGGAATGCTGAAAAAATATTGAATATTACAGTTATTTTCAAGTTGTTGAATTATTTTATTGTTTTAAAAACTGAAATCAATTTAGCCATCACATTCCCATTTTAACCTACATTATAATTTTTATAATGATTATAGCTTTTTCTTGGTTAATTCCATTAAGTAGTATATTCACAATATCATTAAAGGATTTTTTTTAATTCCCAGACTTAATTGGAATATCGGTAAATATCATGCTGTTTCATACATTTTAAAAACAGCATAATATATATTTTTTATTTCCATTATATTCCCATATATAATTTTTTAAACAAAACTGAGATATGACTCATCACCTATCTTTTTAGCTTTTATAGAAAAAATTTTATTAATAACATGAAATAATTTACATAATTTGTAATATTGAATCATCTGTGTATTCCTGGAACAATTTTATTTGGTCATGGTATATCTTTCTATAATGCAGTTAGTTCATCTTGCTGTTTTATTAGAACTTACACAATCATGTACTTACTTAGATTGATCTGTAGTATTGTTTTCCATGTTAAATCTATCTTGAGTTTATGACCAATGTCATGTTTGTTTCATAAAAATAATTTTCAAGTTTTGCAGCTTTTGATAGGCTATGATATATTTATTAGCTTTTTCATAACTAGTTTTATGAATATTTGGAAAACCTTTTCTGAAAAATTTTCTAGGCATGATCTTTTCTTGGGAGATGTACATTAAAGTTTTGTATTCTACAGAATTTTTTTCATTTCATTTGCATCACTTTATATTTTACCATAACATTATCATTTGATCTCTCTCTGTATATATATATATTTGAGATGGTGTCTTGCTCTGTTGCCCAGACTGGAGTGCATTGGCACAGTCTCCGCTCACTGCAACCACTGCCTCCTGGGCTCAAGCAATCCTTCTGCCTCTGCCTCCCAAGTAGCTGGGACTACAGGCGTGCAACACCACACCCACTAATCTTTTTTTGTATTTTTAGTAAAGATGGGGTTTCACCATGTTGGCCAGGCTGATCTTGAACTACCAACCTCAGGTAATCCACCTGCCTCGGCCTCCCAAATTTCTGGGATTACAGGTGTGAGCCACCACTCCTGGCCTCAATCTATATTTTTAAATGAATTTTTATATATCTAAGAAATAAATTTTTAATATTTTCATTAATTAATACTCAAACTCTTTCTTTTTTTCTTTTTGAACTATTTCTTATTCCTCATTAATATCTCAGATTAATCATTTTACTTTCATTTTTATCAATGTATAAAACAATACATTTTCCTGAAGAGAATTTGAACTGCTTTCCATTGAATCTATGTTAATGGTTTATTATTGTTGACATCATCTTTATTATTAAAGTTTTCTATATATCACATCATTTTGTTTTTATTTCTTCTTTAATCCTACTTACATTTAAGAAAGGTTTAACTTTCTATGCACTAGAGATATTTTTGTTTCTAGTTTTGTCATTAACATTTAGTTAAATTTATTGTAAAAATAGGATATTTCCTGAAGCATTTTCATTTCTTGCAAAATATTACATTATCCTCAGTGTCAGCTTCTGTGACTGTTTCATGGTGTTATCTAGGATTTCATAACACCGAGTTTGCACATGTGTTCCTGTGTATGTAATAATACTAAGGTCTAATTAATTAATATTTGTTTTCTCCTTATCAATAAATAGCTAAAATAATAATCTATTATCAAGTAGAGTGGAAGAGATGAGTAACATTTTCATACTATCAAAATGATATTCCAATGCTTCTTTAAGTTACCTTTAGTTTTGCAAATCAATATGTATTTACAGAATTTATTTGTTACTATCAAATTGTTTTTGTATCATTACAAGTTGCTCTCTTTTATTCCATTTCTAATGTTTCTTGATTTGAGACTGAAAAGTAACTTTTGTTTTAGATTCCCCATTTAATACTTGAGGTTAATATTTTTACTTGTATTGATATAACAGCCATGCTTTATTTAATTCCTTTATCATATGTTATGCCATAATTTGTTTTTATTGCTATATTTTTTAAAAATTTACTATAAAGCTTTTTTTAGCATTCATGAAGGTATATGTACTTATATACAGCTGTGTGTTTTTTTTTAATTCTTTTAATCTGATAATTGGAAGGCTTTTTCAAAGAAAGCTAATGTAAAAGTGTTCAAATGCTTTAAATCATGAAATAATGTAATTATATCTTTCTATTGTAAATTGCAGTCATTTCATGATTTTAGGAAAATCAAGTTTAATTCTTTTTCTCAGTGCTTGGCTTTAGTCTTCAAATATCTACACAGGGCCTAAATGTATTAGAAATATACTTGAGGCCGGGTGCGGTGGCTCATGCCTGTAATCCCAGCACTTTGGGAGGCCAAGGCAGATGGATCATGAGGTCAGGAGTTCAAGACCACCCTGGCCAAGATGGTGAAACCCCATCTCTACTAAAAATACAAAAATTAGCTGGGCATGGTGATGGGTGCCTGTAATCCCAGCTACTTGGGAGGCTTAGGCAGATAATTGCTTGACTCTGGGAAGCAGAGGTTGCAGTGAGCCAAGATCACACCACTGCAGTTCAGCCTGGGCAGCAGAGCGAGACTCCGTCTCAAAAAAATATATATATATATACACATATATATATATGTATGTGTATATATACACATATTATGTATGTATATAATATGTATATATACACATATATATGTGTGTATATATACACGTATTATATATGTATATAATACGTGTATGTATATAATACGTGTATATACACATATTATATACATATATATGTATATACATATACTTGAAAAAGGGAATGATATTTTTGTATAGAATATTATGTAGTATATGTTTAAAGCTTGGAGAATATGATAAAAATCAAAAGTGATTTTGACTTGATATTTTGTGAATGATTGGCATACTTTAAAATTACTAAACTTTGTAACTTAATCATTGTACACTGCTACATCCTTCTCTAAATGGTAGCATGACTACTTTTTGACAGACCTAATTTAATTTGAGCAGCCAACAAAAATAACAAAAACTCAGATAATAAAATATATTTTAAAATCATGCAGAAATGTGCTCATATGCCTACCTCTCAAGAAATGTAAAAAGGAAAACATTTTAAAGAGCAATTGTAAATTTCTCTATGTACTTGAAAGATTTTTAACATATACCAATAGCAATTATATTGGAATCTTTGGATAATATATTATTAGATCATAGAGGGAGGGAGCCAAAATAAAAAATAAATAACTCAATATAGTAGAATTCCTGTATTAGTTTTATGTTTCTGTGTATCAAACTACCACACAATTGGCAGTTTCATATTCACAGTGGATCCCTGAACAATGCAGACCATCTGGGCAACAATGCTCGAGTGGTTGAAAATCTCAGTATAAGTTTTGGCTTCCAAAAACATAGCTACTAATGGCCTACTGTTGACTGGAAGCCTTATTAATAACATGAACTGCCTAGGCTGGGTGTGGTGGCTCACACCTGTAATCTCAGCACTTTGGGACGCTGAGGTGGGTGTATCACAAGGTCAGGTGTTCAAGACCAGCCTGGCCAACATGGTGAAACCCCATCTCTACTAAAAATACAAAAATTAACCAGGCATGGTGGCAGGTGCCTGTAATCCCAGCTACTCGGGAGGCTGAGGCAGAGAATTGCTTAAAACTGGGAGGCAGAGGTTGCAGTGAGCCAAGAGCATGCCGTGCCACTGCACGCCAGCCTGGGCGACAGAGTGACTCTGTCTCAAAAAAAAAAAAAAAAAAAGAAAAAGAAACAAAAAACAAACAAAAAAAGCAAAACAAAAAAAAGGGAACTGCCTATTCTTCCATTAAAATAGGTCTGAGAAAAGGAAATGTTATTCAGGAAATCATAAGAAAGAGAAAATATATTTAATAATAATTTAGTGGAAGCGGGTCATCATAGAGGTCTTCGTCCTCATGGTCATCATGTTGAGTAGGCTGAAGAGGAGGAGGGAGAGGGGGAGCTGGTCCCACTATCCTGGAAAGGAAGTGGAAGAAGAGGTGGTAGATGTGGAAGGGGAAGCAGGAGAGGCAGGAACACTCCATGTAACAATGTGAGGGTTATGGGCACCAACCCCCTGTGCAGTTGAAAATCCAAGTATAACTCTTTACTCCCCACAACCATGCAGATATATTGTAATTTTTGTGTAACTTTTTTTGCTTTTTTGTTTCTCTAAAAAAATGTTTCTATATATTTCTTCTTCCACAAAGTCTTCTTCCACCATTTGCTTTAGTGTCAGGGCTCAGTTATCATAAAAGGATACATGTTGTAAAGAAGTCAAAAGCAAGCACTCTTGGATAATGACAACCCTTGTGCCACATTGTCTACTGTCAATTTGTTTTCTGGCACTACTTATTCTATGTCCTCCTCATTATCTGGCACTGGTTTGAATGCACTCATCTCCACCAAGTCATCTTCTGTTAATCCCTCTGGTGTGGTGTCTATTAGTTCCTGATTTTTCCAAGATTTGTAACTTGAAACCATTTACAACACCACCACTCCCATACTTTTTCCATATGTACAATCTCTTTCATGATTTCCTTGATTTGGCTCTGTCTTTAATCATGTGGAGTCATGTATAACATCTAAACATAGTTTTCTCCAATAGAAATTTATTGCTTCTGACTTGATGGATTTTACACCTTTTTCTGTAACAACAATGGCATCCTCAATAGTGTAATCCTTCCAGGCTTTTCTGTAACAACAATGGCATCTTCAATGGTGTAATCCTTCCAGACTTCTATGATGTTCCCTCAAGATGCTCTTCTATAGCCTTGACCGTCCTCTCCATAGATGATTGACAATCCTCCTCTTACTGTGCATAAGAACCCAACTTAGGACTTCCTGATATAAAGGCTGAATTAGAGATGTTGTGTTTGGGAGCAGGTAGACCACTTTGACACCTCTGGTGTTGAACTAATGAGTTTCTTGGAGAACAGCAGTGTTGTCCCATATTAAAATAACTTTAAAGGCAGTCCCTTACTGGCAAGGCACTTCCTGATTTCAGGGACAAACCATTGATGGAACCAATATAGAAAAGGGGTTCTCATTGTCCAGGGCTTCTTGTTGTACAAACAAAAAGCTGGCAGCTGGTGTTTATCTTTTCCATTGAAGGCTCTGGGGTTAGCAGCTTTATAGATAAGAGCAATCCTGATCATAAATTGGACTGCCATTTGCACAAAACAGAAGAGTTAGCCTATCCCTTCCTGGCCTAAATCATGATGCTCGTTACTCTTCCTTGCTAATCAGTGTCCTTTGTGGCTTTTTTTTCCCCCAAGAATGGGGCACTTTTGTCTGCATTAAAAACCTGTTCAGGCAGATATTCTGCCTTCTTAATGATTTTCTTAATGGCATCTGAGAACTTTTCTGCTGCCTGTTGGTTGGCAGAAGCTGCTTCTCCAGTAATCTTGACATTTTTTTAAGCCAAAACTTTTGCTAAAATTATCAAACCATTTTTACACTGGTATTAAATTCTTCAGCTTTAGATTCTTCTCCTTCCTTTTGCTTTAAGTTGTCATATAATGACTTTACTTTTTCTCAAATCATATGAGTCTATAGTTACGCCTTTTATGTAGCCAGCCTGCACCCACATAAAAGCTGCATCTTCAATATGAGATAAAAAGGTATTTCCCAAACAGTGTAAGATTTTCATGACTGCTGGAAGAGGTGCAGCTATGACTTCCTGAATTTTCTTTTCTTTTGCACAATGATATTTATGCTGAGTTCATATATCTTAAAATGGTGGGCAATGGCAGCTGCAGACCTCTGTCTATGGTACATCCCAAGCAATTCAACTTTTTCTCGTAATGCCATGACTTTTCTCTCCTTCTTGTGAACACTTCCAGCTTAACTAGTGGTACTTTGTATAGGTTATTCAAGATTTACCATGTTGCATCGAACACAATGAAAAAATATGCAAGAGCCATGAGAGATTGCTTTTTATTGGGATAAGCAATTTACTGAAGAGATGAGAGGCTCACATGGAGATGATTATCTTCACAGGGCATTTTAAGTGGATCTTAGCAACGCTTGGGTTCCCTGCAATAGCAACAGGGGATGGCTCTGAAATTATTAGAGTAGTACAGCATTACTACAGTTAATTTTATGCAGTTATTATTTAATATTCCATCTTCATGTTTGTTTACATTTCTCTGGACTGAATGGTACCATGTATGTTTTGTGTTTGTGTGTGTAATTTTGATAAATTTTAATTTTTATAACAGATTTGTGTGCATTTTATGGTAGTGATAGTGAAATAGACTAGTAGCTACAAATATTTTCTGTCTTCATGACATATCTAATTTTTTCTTAAATTTTTATTATATTTCTAAGCTATGCTATTTGCAAGTTTTTTTTCAAATTGTCACATATTCCCTAAAAAAGTATTTTAATATATTTGTTGAAAAGAAATTTGTGTGTATGTGATCCCATGCAGTTTAAACTGGTGTTGTTCAAGGGTCCACCGTATATCGTGGTCAGAATTCCTCCTCAGGGTGATTGGATTCTCTGTTCAGAGTCTCACTGGGCTGAAATAAAGGTATCCACTGGGGCTGCAGTTCCTACTGGAGGTTCAAGATCCTTTTACCAGTCTTGAATTTTTTTTTTTTTTGGCAGAATTCATTCCACGGGGATTCAGGGCTAGGTACACTGTGTTTCTACTATTGGCTGAGAAAACCCTCAGCACTTTGAGGCCACCACAATTTCTTACGACTTGACTCCCTTAAGCAATGAACAACATGATGTTTGTCATTTTCCAGGCTAATCAAATAATTTCCTATAACCAGCTGGAAAAAAGTGGTGCCTTTAAAGTGCACACTTGATTAGCACATGCCCAGGATAACCTCCCCCATTGCCATAGTACATAATACAATTAAGGGAGCGATGTGTCATCTTAGCCATGGGTTTCATCCACACTCAAGGAGAAGGAGGCTGCAGAAGAAAGAGGGCTGTCTAAAACCCATGGGATTTTAATTTACAGAGGTGACAGGTCAATGCCATTGAAAGAATATCACTGAAAGTTTCCAAGACAAGGGAGCCAGGCTGCATCATGCAAGGGCATCTGAGAAAGCACCATGATCAGCCAGGAGGCAGAAGGTGCAAGAGAAAGCCTGCCCCAGAGGCTGTATTGTGTTTTCTATGGGAAAGAAGGGAAGATGGGATCATTGGAATAATTTTAACAGGCTCTGGAACATAAGGGTAGTCTCTAGCTTGCTCCTGGCCCTGGGGTGATTTAGGATAGGGAAAGAATTGGCATTGTGTGCGAGAGTTAGATAATGAAGGTGATTTGAGGCATAGGCTGTACTATTTGATTTCTATATGAAAAGTATGTTCAAAGGCAAGTTGTGTTTTATCTCTAAAAACTCCCAGGAGTTAGCTTGAATTACACTGGAAGGGGCAATCTCTCCATAGGCAGGAAGGTTCTCAAGATGTGAAACCATCATAAAATACAGGGGAAAAAAAACATGATTAATACAAGGTCATGTGAATCATCTTAGAATTCTACCTACCATAAATTGAAATCAAATTCATAAGAGTTTGTTATGATAACTGAAGGGACCCAACAATGTTTAATGAAAAGATTCTAAACAAAGAATAAAAAATTTAGCAGTGTATCATCTTCAGCAAGCATCTTTATTATTCTGAAGTTTAGTTTTTTTAACTGTAAAATAAGTGTAATAGTATACATGCTAAAAATATGTAGGGTGAAGGGAGAAAGTATATTTTAAGAGCTTACCATAGTATGGGCACAGAGTTGGGCTCCAAAATTACAAATATCATCATTATTATTATGTTATCATATAAATTTGATTATTCTTAGATTCTTTTAGCCTGCCTGCCTGCCTGCCTGCCTTCCTTCCTTCCTTCCTTCCTTCCTTCCTTCCTTCCTTCCTTCCTTTCTTCCTTCCCTCCTTCCTTCCTTCCTTTTTCATCATTAAATTCCAAACTATGGAAACTCTTGGTTTATTATAACAGTGTATGGACTTGTACCCTTTCTTATTTCTGAGATCCATATTGTGGTTTCCAGAATGTCCCACTAATCATATTATTTACAAAAACACCTAAAATATGTAACACCACCTATTTTGTAGGACAGCAGGCACCAGAAAACAGATAGACCAGTTTGAATCAATGGAGACTCATGATATACTGGGAAAACTTTTGGATTCTTATTTGACAAGATTATAAATAAACATATGTACATAGGACAGAATTGACGAGGTCACAAAGTATGCATGAAAGGGAGTTGAGTTTGGAATGCATGGCATTACAGGGTTAAAAAGACTACTTTTGGAAGTCTCCATTGAATTGAGAGGGACAAGGTGGGTTGGGGGTTAGTAGAAGAGAGAGAAACAGACAAACAAACACACCATGTTAAGGAAACAAAGGAACAGGCCAAGTATGGTGGCTCACACCTTCTATCCCAGCACTCTGGGAGACTGAGGCAGGCAGATTACTTGAGCCTAGGAGTTGGAGACCAGCCTGGGCAACATGGTGAAACCCTTTCTCTACAAAAGTACAAAAAAAGTTAGCCAGGTATGGTGGTGCACACTTGTAGTCCCAGCTACTCGAGAAGCTGGGGTGGGAGGATCGCTTAAGCCCAGTAGGTGGAGGTTAGAGTAAGCCACGATTGTGCTACTGCACTCCAGCCTGAGCAACAGAGGAAGACCATGTGTCAAAAAACAAAACAAAAACAAAGAAATAAAATTAGGAACTGTAATTATGTCTTGATATAATTTTGGTTGTTTTAATCAACATAGATGTCTGACTATAATTAAATATAGCAAAGTTTTAGACTAAAAATTCTTTGCTTGTTCAAGTTTTAAAACAGCTTTATAGCTTTTTATCTAGACGCTCAAACAAGAGAACAGCTGAGAATGCTTTAGAGTTCTGCAGAAAGTGTGCATATCAATGATCCCTTCAGAAGAAGTTAGGGTGTAGTGGTGATTCTCAAGTTCCCAAAGGAGCTATAACAGGTGGAATCAGGGACCAATGAAAGATATTTTTATAGTCCCCTATACAGGTTTTCACTATATTCTAAGCATTAGCATTTGTGAGATCCCTAGATGGCTGTCTAGTGAGCAAGATGTAAATGTTTATTTTATGAAACCATTGTGTTTTGGGTATTGTTACAGCAATGAACTGTATGTAATTCAATAGTTTAAAAAAAAGTCACTTTTTAATAGGTAATGAGTTATTATGATGTCATGAAGGCAAATGTCAAAGTGCTGTGTAACACTCTTGAGGATTTATGGATATAAACGTTCCTTGGGCTCCCAATGGTGGATGTAGGTGTGGGTTAAAGAAGTTGTAAGTTGGAAAAGACCCTGAACCTGCCAGCAGAATAGATTAGATTCTCTTTCTTATATTGCACACTACATACTACATTTCAGATGTATTTAAAGAAATGGTATACTCACAAAAAGATGGAGGAATGGAGCAGTATTATGATTGTAGTCATGGAAATCTGTATCAAAGATGCAAGGAAAACATTCTAAATTAAGAAATTAGAGGAAACGGTATGTTCAATCGTTGCTATCTATAGAGTTGTAAATCCCTGCAAATGATGAGATTGATTTATACAATACAACGACCACACAAAACATAACAAACAAACAAAACACAACATCGTTTTGATTTCATAGCAATCTTGTTGGAAATAAGTAAATTCAGTGAAAGCAGAAACTCCGATTTGGCAGAGACCACAGCAATGTCAGGTCTATTCGCAGAAATCTTGGGAAGGTGATGGACTTCACACAAAAGACAGGCAGAAAGTCTAGAGCCAATTTTGTTTCATTGCAAAAGTCAGGATGATATAAATGGATTTATAAATTATATTTAGTAGGAAATATGAATTTTAGAAGGCTTATTGCAAAATCAAATTTTGTGATTTTTAAACTATAAAAAAATCATAATCCTGGGTTTTCCAGAAAATTTCTTTATAGTATTTTCTTCACATTTACCCATCATTTCCAAGATGTCTCATAAATTTTAATATTTTGTGACAATACTCCATCCTTTATCAACCCAGAAAAGAAAAGAGTATTGCTTTTGAGACATTTCAAACCAATGATTCTTTTTTTTTTTAATTCAGAAATTTTGGACATTGATGCTAAAAGACTCCCCGGCTATTGGGAAATGTAACCCAAATGGTTGAAGAAAGATTTTTAAATTAGTTAAACATAATCTGTCTACATACATTAAGTTAATCAAAAGGCTTCCATTTTTGTCAACCAGAGTGTGCTGTAATCACAGTTGAAATCTGCAAGGCAGGCCGGCGCGGTGGCTCGTGCCTGTAATCCCAGCACTTTGGGAGGGGGAGGCAGGCGGATCACTTGAGGTCAGGAGTTCAAGACCAGCCTGGCCAACATGGCGAAACCCTGTCTCTACCAAAAAATGCAAAAATTACCCGGGCGTGGTGGCACAGGCCGATAATCCCAGCTACTCGAGAGGCTGAGACAGGAGAGTCGCTTGAACCAGAAATACGGAGGTTGCAGTGAGCCGAAATCGCACCACTGCACCCCAGCCTGGACGACAGAGTGAGACTCAATAACAAATAAATATTCACGCAGACAAATACTATCTGTGATGGCTAATCCTAGGGGTCAGCGTGGCTGGAGGAGGGTGCCTAGATGGCTGGGCAAAGTTCTTTCTCAAGAGACTGTGAGGGCGTTGCCAGAGGAGATTGACAGCTGAGTGGGTGACTGGGAGAAGAAGACCTGCCCTCAGTGTGGGGGACCAGCCAATCCGGTGCCAGCGCGGCTGGAACCCGGCCGACAGAAGATGGCGGATGAGCAGCGTGCAGGGTTTTCTCCCTGTGGCTCACTCTCTCTTACTGTGCTGGGCGGTTGCTTCCTCTCCTGCTGCCCTTGGGAGTCAGACTCCAGGTTCTTCAGCCTGTGGCCCCTGGGGCTCTCGGGCCTTGGAGGACTGACTAGGAGCACACGGTGGGCCTCTCTGGTTTGGGGGCCTGGGACGTGGCGGAGCCCTGCAGCTTCTGTGCGGCCTGTTCTGGGCGTCGCGTTGAAACGCCAGCCAGTTCCCCAAGTAAGCTCCCTGCACACACGCCTGATAGCCTGTTGGTTCCGTCCTTCTGCGGGATTTTCACTACCACTCTCTAACTCACACACAGCAGAAAGAGCATACGGGAGAGATGAAGCAGTCCACTCCAAGAACATTCTCATCCTACGGATTACGAGGTTTGCCTGAAACCGTTTGTATATGTGCATAAATGTGATTTTATGTCCAGCATCTTTAAGCATGTGGTACAGAGGGAAGGTGGGCAGCCCAGAATTCGTACCTCGGCTTTCAAATTTGGGCTTCAATTATAGTTCTGACACCAGTTTCGTGATTTTTAAAACTCATCACCCATTTGGGGAACTTTGTTTTCCCATCTATGAAATATGGATAATTGTGCCACATAATATTTATTTGAAGAGTGACAGGATATCTGAAGGTCATTAATAGTCAAACATCATTTAAGCAAAATTTATAACGTTTTTTACAAAATTGAATCAAAATTGGATAAGGATTTATAAAGAGTAAGTCAAATTTTTACCAAGACTTCATACCTGATATCTGTTTTATTAAAATGATAGGCATTTTTGAAGATTAAAAAAAAGCAACTAGACAAACTATCAGAGATACAATAACGTTTTCCAAGCTACCAGTGATTTAACCTAAATACAGAGTTCACCATTTTCTAAGCAATTAAGAAAATGAGATCTCTTGCTAATTAATAATTAGTAAAAATATTATCTATAATATATAATCTCTTATATATTATATATAATCTCATATATTATATATAATCTCATATATATAATCTCATATATAATATATAATCTCATATATAATATATATAATCTCACATATATATATAAAATGAGAGATAAAATATATATGGTTCTGTCTCTCTGGAACCTTAACGTAGGTGTTAAACATATTCATAATTTATTCTTTTAATAAACATTATTGAAAACGAAGTATCTGTCAAACATTGTACCAAGTAATTGAGATTTAATGGTGAAAAATCACAGTTTGTGCTATCAATTTAGAAGGAAAGACATTTGAGCAAGCGATCGTTTCAAAACCTATGATAAGTGAGTAATTTCAGGACATTATGCTATGTGCTAGATTTATACAACCAAAAAGAGTGGAATGACGGGGAAAAAATGTCTTTATTTAAATAGGAACCACAGGGATTGGGCGCAGTGGCTCATGCCTGTAATCCCAGCACTTTGGGAGGCTGAGGCAGCCGGATTACCTAAGGTCAGGAGTTCGAGACCAGCCTGGCCAACATAGTGAAACCCTGTCTCTACTAAAGAAAATGCAAAAAAATTAGCCTGGCGAGGCGATGGGCACCTGTAATCTCAGCTACTCAGGAGGCTGAGACAGGAGAATCTCTTGAACCAGGGAGGTGGAAGTTGCAGTGAGCCAATATTGCGCCCCTGCGCTCCAGCCTGGGTGACAAAGGAGACTCCACCTCAAAAAATAAATAAATAAATAAATAAATAAATAAATAAGTAAATAAATAAATAGGAACCACTGTAATAAGAGTGAGTTTATAGGTCCACTCTTTAATATTCCCAACATTTTTATTTATTAATCAATTTAAAATTTTTAATATGTATATATAAAAGTTGTATATATTTCTGGGGCACATGTGAAATTTTGATACAAGCATACAATGTGAAATGATCAAGTCAGGCTAATTAGGTTTCCATTACTTCAAGCACTTATTATTTCTTTGTTTGGGAAACATTACAATTTCGTTCTTTTAGTTATTTGGAAATATTGGCAATAATTGCAACATTGCTCTTCCTCCAGCACAAATTTCCTTTAGTCTTATTTACAAAACTATGGTAAGGAAGTTGAAATTAAATTCAAAGTACGCCATATTACAGGTAAAATGGTTCCATAATAAAGCACACTGAAAAATTGTTGTATTTATTAGTTGAGAAGACTGTCACAGCAACTGTCCCAATATGTAGAAAACATATCTCTCTAACGTGTATATACAGACACACACACACACACACACACACACACACACACGTATTTATAGTGCCAAGCTAGGCAGCTAATAAATGTGTTCAGCAACAATATATAAATCAATAAAATAATAAAGGGATAGATTGAATTAATTTTGTTAGAAGATACAAAAGTTGAACATTTATAAATTTTAGGTGGCTTGAACTTGACCTTTTCATTTCACTCTTTCAAAAAATAAAAGGTGAATTTTGTTTTGCTTTCACCCAGAAGAATTATAGTAAATGCATAATTCAAAAAATATAAAAATAAAAACAAACCTAATTAGTACAATACATCATATAATATGTTCACTTTCTTTAAATTTTGTAAACTCCATACTACTTTATTACTGCAAATCTAATTACAGTGAAGTTACGTTTTATTGACTATATTTGTTAAGTTCTAGAGATTTATTTTTCAGGATAATAAGTACACAAGAGCAAAAATACGTATTGTATATGAGATCAAAGTGTCTAAAGGATACTAATTTTTTGGTGTATGGGTGTAAGTTATTTTTTTCTTTGTATTTAGATGAATTACACATTGTGAGAAAGCAGTGCAGTTTTAGAGAATTATTCTTAGATTTCTGATGATAATTCATGATTTTATTAAACATTAAAAAGGAAAAAGTAGTAGCTGTAACATTAATATAACATTAATATAACACGAAGCAGGACTCTGCTGAGATTTTTTTTTTGTTAACAGTATATTTAGTATTTATTTCAATAAACACTCAGGGCTTTTTTTGTTTTAATTTTTGTAAAGCCAAAGGTACAAATACCATAATTTATAATATTTTCCTGGGTGAAATATTTAGATTTAAATATATTTTTTCTCAAATATTAATATGACTGCATAAAATTTGTGGTTACTAAAGCCAGCTCTGATTTAAGTAAATGATTTTTTCTTCTGAAAACTAATGAAAAAAATAGATCCTAAATCCTCCAGAGCAAAATAATCTTTAAAATTGGGACATAAAAAACATCTCATTTGGGGGTCTGCTCAAATGAGAATCTAAGAGCTTTATTAGTTTTCTTACATGTCTTCTGTATTATGCCAAATTTAATATAGTGACTGAAATAGATCATATAATTCTATGCATCTAATTAAGTAGGTCTCATTACTATATATACTTGTATATTTTTCTTTCCTTTTATTCTATTCATATACCTTGGAGTGTCATTTCCACTTGACTTTACGTTTGCACTTTTGCAATTTTTCTCTTCAAAAGCTTTATGGTAATATAATGAATATATAATACAATTTAGCCGCTTAGTGTACAATTCATTGCATCTTAGTATATAAACAATGTTGCACAGCTATCACCACAATCAATTTTAGAGCATTTTAACAGCAGTCCCTGTAAAAGAAACTCCATCTCCAATTAGCAGTCACTCTGCTTTTTAAATTTTTTCTTTTGTCTTCTTTTCTTTTCTTTTTTTTTTTTTTTTGAGACAGTGTCTCACTCTGTCGCCTAGGCTGGAGTGCAGTAGCGTGATCTCAGCTCACTGCAACCTCTGCCTCCCAGGTTCAGGTGATTCTCCTGCCTCAGCCTCCCAAGTAGCTGGGACTACAGGTGTCCACCACCACACCCAACTAATTTTTGTATTTTTAGTGGAGATGGGGTTTCACCATATTGGCCAGGCTGGTCTCAAACTCCTGACCTTGTGATCTGTCCGCCTCGGCCTCCCAAAGTGCTGCGATTACAGGCGTGAGCCACTGTGCCTGGCCGCAGTCGCTCTACTTTTACAGCCACCCCCACCCTCAACTCTAGACAACCACTGATAAAAGTTCTGCCTCTATAGATTTGCTTGTTCTGGACACTTTATATAGTTGATATAAATGGGGTGTGAATTTTGTCAAATGATTTTTTCTGTGTCTTTTGAGATAGTGTGTGTTACATCAATTAACTTTAAGATGTTATGGCACTCTTGCATCCTTGGAAGAAATTGCACTTGATCTTTGTGTGTAATCTTTTTATGTTTCTGGATTCAATTGCTAGTATTTTCCTGACAGTTTTTACATATATTTTTGTAAGAGACATTGGCCTCTAGTTTTATTTTTCTCTATCTTTTTCTGGTTTTGATACAGCATAATACTTGCGTCATCGAATTACTTGGAAAGTGCTCTCTCCTCTTCTAATATTTTTGTAAAAGTTAGTGAAGAATTTATATGTATTATTTCAATGTTTTGTAGAAATCATTGAGCAATTTGGAACTGGGTTTTGGAACTGGGTTTTTTTTTTTTTTTTTGAAATGGAGTCTCGTTCTGTCGCCCAGGCTGGAATGCAGTGGTGCAGTCTCAGCTCACTGCAACCTCTGCCTCCCAGATTCAAGCAATTTTCCTGCCTCAGCATCCTGAGTAGCTGGGACTACAGGTGCACACCACCATGCCTGGCTAATTTTTGTATTTTTAGTAGAGATGGGATTTTACCTTGTTGGCCAGGATGATCTCCATCTCTTGACCTCATGATCGCCCTCCTTTGCCTTCTGAAGTGCTGGGATTACTGGCATAAGTAACCTTCCCCAGCTAGGACTGAGTTTTTTTTATTAGAAATGTTTAATTTTTTAATTCAGCTTCTTGTTATAGATCTATTCTCATTTGCTATAATTTTGTGAGTCAGTTTTGGTACTTTCTCAGAATTTGTTCACTTTGTCTAAGTGACCAAATTTTTTGGCATAAGTTGTTTATAGTGTTTTCTTATAAGCCTCTTTATTATTCTACAACATTGGTAGCCATATCTCCTCTTCTTCCATTCTTGATATTAAGTTGCATCCTGTCTCTGTTTTTTTTTTCTTTACTAATATAACTAATGGTTTGTCAATATTTTGGTCTATTCCAAGAACCAAATCTTGGTATCATTAATTATCTCTCTTATTTTCCCAGTCTTTATTTTGTTACTTTCTGCTCTAATATTTATTACCCTTTAATATTTGCTGTGTGTATGTGTGTGTTTACTTTTCTCAGTGTTTTAAGAAGGTGGTTCTGGTTACTCATATGAGTTCTTTTTTTTATATAAGCTTTTCAACTTTGAAGTTCCTGTTGTATAATTTAAAAATTGTCTGGCCTTTCTTTCACTTTCTTACCACTAAAATTCTAAAAACTCTTATAACTTTCCAATGATGGAAGTATCTTGGTTATTCAACGCCCCCTTGAAATACACTTGAAATTGTACTAATGAGGTGACTCATGGTAAGACCTTAAATAGCTTTTAAGATTGAGGCTGCTAATGTCAGAAAGGCCACTCATATGATTAGAGGCTTGCAGTTTTGTGCCAACAATATCAGCCTTACCCTTAACCTCTGTGGAAGGGAGGGAGGCTGTACATTGAGTTCAATTATGTGGCCAATGGATTACATTGACCATGCCTATGTAATTACATTTCAACAAAAACCCTGGACACTAATGCTCAGTGGACTTTCCTGATTGGTGAACACACTGACATGCAAGGAGAATGATGCAACCTAAGAAGGCATATGAATTCTATATTCCAGACCCCTGGGAACCTCACCCTGTGTATCTCTTTGTTTTGCTATTTCTGAGTGGAGTCCTTTTTAATAAAATTGTAATGCTAAGTATAGTGTTTTCCTCAGTCTTATGAGTGGTTCTAGTGAAATTATAAGACCTGAGGAGGGTGGTGGAAATATTCTCGATTTGTAGCCAGTTGATCTGAACTGAAGACAATCTTGTTGTGGACTGTGCCCTTTAACTTCTTGAGTCTGTGCTAACTCTGGGTGGTTCATGGCAGAATTGAATTGTACTACCTCAGTTAGGGTTGGTGTCAGAATAGTTGGTGTCAGATATGGGAGTCACTAGCATGATCCTGGCTCATTGAAATCTGTGCTTTGAGAAGAGAAGTAATGAAAGGGAAGGAGATAGGGAAGCTTGATTTACAAGTGGCCATGAGGTTCCCCATGGTATAAAATAGCAGATATGCTGTAGTCAGTTACTGAAAGTAAAGGTTACCAGTGAAATTCAGGTATGATTGTTTCTTCTCTCAGAGAGGTGCATTACTGGGTGTATAAGAAAATGTAAAATAGAAAAAAAATAAGTTTAGAGTAAAACTGGTGTTTGAATGTGTTAACTAGTTTTATTTAATTTACCTAAATATATTATGGAGATAATTAGGGTGTCTGACTAGGGGACATTTCCTCTATGTAGTGTTATAAAACAGAAACATGGAAATCTGCCTTTAAAGCTATATTAATTGGACCTGCTAAATAGGAGTTAATAAGATTGTGTGAGCCCAAGCAAGAAAGAATAGAAAGAAGCAAGAGTGCTAGTATAGAAAAGTTATCTGTGCAATAACCTTGTGTGGAGCACAGGCTGGGGCTTATAATAAAAGCCTGTAAGTATCTTCTAGTGAAGTATATTTCAGCCACAGTGTGAAACATCTAATTTTGTCCTCAGATGGGTCAGCCTTTGGCATGTGGGCTTTCACTATGAAAGAGGGGACTCAAAAGTTGCTTTCCTTGATATCTCGGTTATGCTGCCTACATCTGCTGATATCACACCCAGAAGTTAGGCTCCACTAATTGCCAGCTGATTCTATTGCTTTAACAATGCCTGGGTGGGGCATAAATTGTTTCACTTGTGATATAATTGATGTTGGGCCCTTTTATAGACTTTAAGATTGGTCTTTGAGGCTTTCACTGACATGCTAGGTGGTCTCTTTTCATCTTTCTCTTTCTTGATTTTCTCTGATAAATTTCTAGCTAGTCCAATGTTTAGCTTGTTGCTAATAAGGAGTTACCAGCCTCTTCTTTACTGTTTACTACTGAAGTCTCCATTGTTTTTGAAAGCACCTTTAGGGTTGAACTTCTTCACAATCTGTTCCAAACAGAGGCAATGAAGCCCATGGAGCTCTCTGCTCTTATGTTTTCACTCTCCTTCCGAGAAGCAACTCTGAACCCTACTCCAAAGCATGGGTAGGGACGAGATGCTTCTCTTATTCAAGTTACTCCCTTGCTTTATGAATAGGGCACTGACAAGTGGTGATCACTTCTAGTCTTCTTGGGCTGCCTGACCAGCATGGAACAGGTAACTTACAAGTGATCTGGGGTGAGGCTGATAAGGGTTCAGTGTTCCTGGCCTCCTGTTCCTTTGTTGGGGCTTCCCCTCTCTAAATGAGGCCTGGATGGAAGAAGAAAGTCCTGTTCTTCTTATCCAGCCTTGTCTGGAATAGAGCTTATGCAAAACAAAGCAGGGGTGGAGGATGAGAAATGATGGTATTCTGCACTTCCTGGAGAGATGCCATAATTTTAGAATAAAAGGTAGAGGGAAAGGGAGTCCTGTGTTCTTGGCTATAGCCACTGGGATTTGAGCTTCCATCATTCTGAGCCATGAGGCAGGGAGACAGAGCAAGCTATGGTTCACATGCCACTAACTTTCACTGTTCATATTAAGATTTGGTAAATTTCTTAAGTTTTCTTGTCCTCCATTCCTACTTACCCATAAGACAGTTTCTAGAGACTTTAAATAGTTCTTTTTTTAAAAAAATAATTTTTATCAGCTATGATCATTCGGCTGGGAAAAAGGTTCTGTAGAGTTTCTCATGCCATCATTCAAAAATCTTTTTGTACTGTCTGCTTTCAATCTATGGTAACACATAAACTGAAGCATCAACAAAAACTTCAAGTCTAAATATAGTAATTACAGATGAGTACTTCACTACAGTTCAAACCCTTATAATAATTTTCAGAACTCAGCTTCAGGGAAAGGAGTTAGAGAAAATGGAATAGCAGGCAGATGACCTATCCATTGATACAAGATAAAAGAAGGCTAGAAGAAGTCTTTTTGTATTTTTTACAAATAGATTTACAAGCATTTATTCATGTATTCTTAAGATGATCACTACTGAATATGCAGTGCCTATCAACACTCCTTTTTATTTGTTATTCATGTAAAATAACCACAGGTTCCTTGGTATTTAATGTTTTTTTAAATGTGGTCCAGGAAAACAACACCTACCTTCTCTCTATTCTTTCAACTCTCTGGAGTTGAAAACAAAGGGAAAAAGGAGTAGAAGAAATGTGATAGATAATTTTTTAGTTCTTTTACATTCATTCTGGTAGATAATCTTTTAGTTCGTTTACATTCATTCTGGTGTAATGAACATTATTTTTGGTTTTTCTACCACGTAAAGAATACTGCACTAGAAATGATAATTTAAGCCTAATGCTTCACTAGTTGGAGAAAAGAAGATAATATTAAGTGATGAAGAATTTTAACGTACCAGGTAAGTTTTTTTAAATGCCATAAAATATCTTTCATTTATGATTATTGATTTGTAATTTATATTTGGGGGAAATTCAGTATGCTATAATAGGTTTGTTTATTTTTTGTTATTTTAACTCTATTATTCGAATTGGTATACATTTATTTTAAATCTGTAGGTAAAATACAGATATGATGACAGGGTACGATGATTAGCTGTGGTTTTTGACTGGCTTGGCAGTTTGGGGATATTGCATTTAACCAAAATATGTTTGTTTTATAAACTCTTGAATTGCTGCAAGAATCACTATTCCATGGCTAAACAAAATAACAAGAGATGTTAATTTCTGATTAAGTGATTTGAAACATTGAGTCGGCCGGGCCCAGTGGCTCACGCCTGTAATCCCAGCACTTTGGGAGGCCAAGGAGGGCGGATCATGAGGTCAGGGTTCGAGACAGCCTGACCAATATGGTGAAACCGCTTCTCTACTAAAAATACAAAAATTAGCTAGGCATGGTAGTGGGTGCCCCTAATCCCAGCTACTCAGGAGGCTGAGGCAGGAGAATTGCTTGAACCTGGGAGGCAGAGGTTGCAGTGAGCCGAGATTGCGCCACTGCACTCCAGCCTGGGTGACAGAGCACGACTGCGTCTCAAAGAAAAAAAAGAGAAAGAAACATTGAGTCAATGGGAATCTGATGAAAATATTTTCATATTTTAAATTTAAAAATTGAATTTTGGGACAAAAATAAGCTATACGCTAAAGATGACAGGTTATTGTAATTGATGTAATAAGTATAGAAAATATCATGGTCTGAAATATAGGGAAGGAGCAATGATGATGAAAAAGAAATGGAACTGTTCAGAAAGAAGATTAGGGCTATACAGTAGCTAATGCACTGCAAGACTGATTGCCTACAGCTATAGAGCCAAAGTCAGTGAAAGACATGTGATATTAGATACTTAGATTTTAAAAACTTTGTTAAATAAATAGAATATATATGAATACGTTTAGGAGCTATATCTGCCTTCAATGTTTATACTAGCAAACAATAGGATATTGTTGGCAAATACAAGCCCTATAGAGTTATTTCATACTAGAAATATTAAAATAAGAATAGGTACACACTTTAAACAAATTTAATGAGGCCCCAGAAACATATTTTAAGATTGAAGTTGAGAAATTAAGGAATATAAAGTCAACTTTAAAGAACATCCTCTTTCAAGCTTGTCAAAAGCATTGTAGTATGGGGTGGGAATGTAGAATCAAAGGCGAAATACAACTTATGTCAGAATCACCTTCAGTGCCAATTAGCAATGTAAATTCCTTTGATGAGATTTGCTGGGATAAGCAATTTTGAGGACAAGGGCTGGAAATCAACAGTTTATAAGATATCCAGGTGATTCTTATATGTACTAAAATTTAAGAATCACTTCCCCAGTCCATTGCATTACTAGACAACTTACAATATGGAATCTGTTTGATAAAATATATATGGTGATTTCAGAAACTGAGGAATGAAAATGCATTTTTCCCTTTATTCACTTAAAGAGCATGGGGCCAGGGGGAGGACTGTGGCCTGCGGGATGCAGGAGATGCCCTTAATGCACCCAATGCATTCTTAAATAAGAAAATATGAAAGGTATTTTTTATTTAATGATGGTTTTCTTTAAAGGCCTGTACCATACCACTGATAGTTAATTCATTATGAGTTATTATAAAAGGTTGAAATATACATGCTTCAGATAATCTGGTTTGATCCATAGCTAAAATTAGTAACGATTAGACATACCATCTGAACTTTAGTAGCTTTTCTTTTCTTTTCTTTTCTTTTTTTTTTTTTCAGATGGAGTCTCCCTGTTGTCAGCCTGGGGTTGGAGTGCAATGGCACGATCTCGGCTCACTGCAACCTCCACCTCCCAGGTTCCAGCAATTCTCCTGCCTCAGCCTCCCGAGTAGCTGAAATTACAGGCACCCGCTACCATGCCCGGCTAATTTTTGTATTTTTGGTAGGGACGGGGTTTCACCATGTTGGCCAGGCTGGTCTAGAACTCCTGACCCCAGGTGATCCACACACCTCAGCCTCCCAAAGTGCTGGGATTACAGGCATGAGCCACCGTGCCCAGCCAGTAGTATTTTTATAACAAAACATTTGATATTTTTTATACTTATTAGGGCTTAGGTCAGATCTACATACTCTGAAAGTCGGTCAAAGGAAGTTCATTCACATGTGAAAATAAAAGGCACAGGTCTGTCCCAATGTGGTCATGCTGCTATAACAAAATACCATAGACTGGGTAACTTAGAAACAACAGGAATTTGTTTCTCACAGTTTGGGAGGTTGGGAAATCCAAGGTTAAGTCACCAGCAAATTTGGTGTCTTGTGAGGCCGTGTTCTTGGTTCCCAGACAATTCCTTTTAGCTGTATCCCCACATGCTAGAAGCAGGGAAGGAGCTCTCTGGGATTTTTTTATGCAGATGCTAATACCATTCACATGGGCTCCATCCCCATGAATGAATCACCTCCCACAAGTCCCACCTCCCAATACCATCACCCTGGGGGTTAGGATTTCAACACATAAACTCTGTGATGACACAAAGGTTCAGTCCTGCAGGGAGCTCGCTAAAATTATACCTATACGTTGTGGAAGAATTCAGGAGAATAAGGCGAAATGGATGTGTTTATCTTGTACATTTCATTTGCACCAAATTTATTTCTGAGTTTTCACTAACACTTGTTAAAATAGGGAGTGTCCAAGCTTCCAAATTCTAGCCAATTGAAGCATTCTATGTGGGCATTTTATTTTCAAGTTATCAAGGAAAAGCAGTTGTTAGGGATGAAAATCATCCCTAATATAAAGCTCTTCATTTTTAGTCCAATTTAATAAATTTTTTTGTGGGAGGAAGTTCTCACAAAAGAGTACAGTCCAATGAATATTTTAAATTTCTTTAGCCTCATTCCTCAGAAAGAGGACATTTTAAAGAAACATATTAAAGGAATGTAAAAACCACATTCTAAAAGTTTTACACTCATTTGCTACAATTTCAAACCGTTTAATTTTGTCTTCAGTCATTACTTTGATTTAATTGCTGTTATTTAGAACCTTTAAAAACATTCAATCAGCTGTTTTCTGTTTTAAAGCCACTAATTTATTAATGATTTATGTCACTTCACCTCTCGAATTCTTGTTTGTTTGTTTTTTCTAATTTTAGTGTAAGCTTGGGGAAATCAGATCTTTCTGTACCTCATGTGTGTGAACAAGCCTAAGGTTTATATTTTATTTACCTATATACTTGGAACATAAAAAGGAGTGTCCCGTCCACAAATTAAAACCCAAAGTACCCAGAGGAAGGGCCTAACGTCAAAAAGACCATTTGACAGTGAAGATTCTACTCTATATTGTGGCTGCACATACCCATTGCAGCAAATTTCTGAGACATACAGCTATTTTGATGAAGTTGTAGATACATTTCAATGAACTCACTAAGCCAACTGACCCTGAGATAACAGGTGCCATTCAGGAGTTAGCACTTTGAAATAAACTCAGCAGATACCTTTCATGCCAGTATTAAGCATATGGTTTAGTACAATGTAATTCTCTAAAATGTTTGTTAGACAGTCACTCAGTCAACCAGTCAAGAAATACTTATTGAAAAATCTACTATTTGCCAGGTACATCATTCAACTGGAGACTAACAGGGACCAAGACATGAGCATTGTCCTCCAGGAACTTCTAGCCCACTCAGAGATACAAATGAGTGCATAGGAAAGTAAAACACTGTGTAATGTAGAGAAAATAGAAGATTAACATAAAGAGGCAGCAAATATCTTTTGAAAGTCAAATAAGGCTTTCCATTGTGGAATGAAATAACCTAAGATGAGATGGATGAACAGGTTTTAGCATATTAGTGGTGGTGGTGGAGTGCTGTTCAGTGTTTTATGCATAAAAGCATGGCAGGTGCAGACTTCCAGAGTTTGGAGAGTATGAAGTGGATTGATTGAGCTTCGTTTTATATCAGTATTGCAATGGTATTACTGATACTGAGTGCATTGACTTAGAAGTGTTTTCCTTACTTTCAATTTTGGTTTATTTTTATGCTAAGCAAGTAAAGGTTCATGTTCAAATACTTAATTGTCATTATGGAGTGCCCTTAGCTGAGATGAGGCCTTAGGGGCATGAAGTAATGGCACTTCGGGTGGAATCTGGAGTTAAATGCACTTCAAAATTCGCTCCTGTGTTTCTCAATGCTTGGTCTAGGAGCTAAGAATAAGTGTATGTATCCCAGGACTACATAAAAATCTCATTATCTGTCCCCAGAGTCAGATTCTACCACTGAATGCCTAAAACTTGTCCCTAGGGCACAACCTTAACATTCAAGTCTGGTGCTTACCTTTTTCTTCTGAACTGTTTCTGTTTTATCAAATCTTTGTTTATTCCTCTGAATAAACCACAGCATCTCGAGTTTCCTTAGTGATATGGAGGAATCTTCTGCACAGACCAACTGACTCACTAGATGTCTGGGTTTCTGTGAGGTATTTGAATGGTCGTTAGAAATTCTACATCATGAAACATCTCCTTGGCAAGTACTGGGCCATATGGGAGAGATGAAATTGATTGGATGGCTCCTGATCAGCCAGATGGAAATCAGGATGCATGGAAGCTGAAGTTCCATGCTATGCCCAGGCCTTTACTCCCTATGGTCTGTCCACTGACTTGGAGATACACAGATGCCAAGGAGAAGACCTTCAAAATGATGCTTGCAGTGACGCTGTTTAATGTTCCCTGTTTTGTGGGATGTGGGGGGGTCTTTACATTTGATGAGGTTTAACAACATTTATTAACTCATCTGTAGCATATGTTGAGAACTGCATTTTTCACAGTCATCCCAAAAGTTCCCATCGGTCACATCCCCACCTAATACTGAATGTTTTGCCCATAGGAAGAAAGAGGGGATTATAAGCTATAAAAATATTTTGCTATGATAATTTTAGATTTATTCCAAAGCCTAGGCACACCTACCACAGATGTTAACATATTCTGAATTCATTAAGACAGTCTCACCTTCTGACAATAAATTTTGCTACTTTAAACTTCTAACCTAATCCTTGATCAGAGTATGAAGGAAAGTTTGTATCTCAGAAGAGGCTTACAAAGCAATTTACAGGTCACAAAAAATAAACAAAATAATAAAATAACACTTGCTAATATTTAAAGTTTGGTCAGATTCTAGTCCCAGGGATTTATGTGTTTTACCTCCCCTCGCATACACTATTTCTATGAGGGAAGCACTGGTATGACTTTAACTTTATATTTGAGGACACTGAGGTTGAAAGAGTTTATGCAACTTTTGAAAGTTCTCACTTAGACTAATCTAAAGCTCAGGATTATAATCATGATCCCATCGTGATTCCCTTGGCTTAAATTTTAAATTTAAACAATAATACTTCCATCATCTTGGTTTACTCACAGATTTCTTCTTGTGTTCAGGCTTTTACTTGTTCACTCACTAAGTTTAGCATGATTAGTTATTGGGGCACCTCTGCTCTTCACCCAGCATCCATTCTTGCAGGTTTTCAGCAGTATCCACTGCTCACGAGCAATCTACCAGGAATAATTGTCATGTGGAGAGCCAGAGGGGCACAAATATGAAGAAACACAGATTCTGCCCTTCGTTTCTCAGAGGGAGACACACGCAAAACTCATAACGTGGCTGACATGGCCAGAGCCATGGGGAGGGGGAGGCTGAGGTGCAGTGCAGCATGAGAGGATTGGACCCCCAGCAAGGTGGGCAGGGAAATCTGGGCTTGCAGCTGCTTGCTGTGTAATCAATATGCTTTTCAAAGATTTGAGGGTTGGAACTGGGAAGAGGCCTGTGTAAAGAGAGAAATTCATTCTCTGACCAAAAAAAAAAAAAAAAATTCCTCAAATACAGCTGGGTAGACAAATACATTTTGTGAATGGTCATTTTGATTACTTTACCAAGAGCTAAAGGAAAAAAAAAGTCGACTATTTGTTTGTAAATGGAAAGTGTATGGATTTCTCAGCCTTGGCTCTGTTGCTAACTTGGCTTCATTATTATTATTGTAATTATTATTTTATCTAACTGTTATGCTTCTTTAGAACATCAGCCATCAAATATCCAATATTCATTATCACCTGGTGAAGTTCCTACAGTGGTGGTGTATAAGTCAGGGTTCTCCAAAGAAGCAGAACTTATAGGATATGCATATATCCTGTAAATGTGTGCGTGTTTATATGTATATAGGATGTGTGTTTATATACATATATGTAGAGAGAGAGAGATCATAGGAATTGGCTCACAGGATTACGGAGCATGGCAAGTCCAAGATCTTCAGGCTGGCTTGGCAAGCTGGAGACCCAGGAGAGCTGATGGTGTGTGGAGGCTAAAGTAACGCTATCCCGGATGCTCATCCTATATGTTGACTTCTGACTAACTCTGGTTTTGGGAATGCCTCTAAGATTTCTGTGCTATCCACTGTTCCTTGTGTAAACATGTACTTACCATAAATCTTGCCCTTAAGCAATTGTTCTACACATCCCTGCTGAAGCATGGACATTCTGTCCCCATGGTGCATAAGCCCTATGTCTTGGGGGTAACTCCATGGAATCCACCATCCCATCCTGTGGCTGTCCAGGGCATGGTTCTGTTTGTAAGTCCCCATTTAGTGTTTCTGAGAAACTGGATATCTCAGACTCTGTCTCTGGCTTCTCAGCTTCCTCAGCCTTTGGGAGTAGGTTTACATAGACATGCCCACTGTGGAACACGGCATGAGTTTCATTCCAAGGAAAAGCTGATGTTTCAGTTCTAGTCTAAGGGCAGGAAGAAGCTGATATCCCAGCTTCAAGGTACTCAGACAGGAGGAATTTTCCCTTACTTAGGTGGAGTTGAACTTTTTGTTCTACTTGGTGCCTTTACCTGACTGGATTAGGCCTTCCTACATTAAGGAAGGCAATCTGCTTCATTCAGTCTTCTTAGCCAAAGACATCCCCAGAGAACCATCCAGATTAGTGTTTGACAAAATATTTGGGCACCCCATGGCCCGCTCAAGTTGACATATGAAATCAGCTATCACAGGTGGTTCTCAGAATGTGGTCTTGGGATTGACAGATAAACACTATCTGGGAATTGCTAGACATGCACATTTTGAAGTGCTAACCTTGATCTGCTGCCTCAGAAACTCTGGGGATGGGGCACAGCAGACTGTGTTTTCAGGAGCATTGCAGGCAATTCTGATGCAAGCTAATGATTGAGACCCAGTGGCAACAGGATTGCTCCTGCTTCTCTCAGATGTTACTCACTCACATTGAAACTTATCTGTTTGGAGAAGAGAGTTGTTATTTCAGGGTGCTTCCTACAGTTCACATCTGCACTGGGTGAACTCCATGGCCTATTAGACCAAGGAGTGGAAACATCTATTACTTGTTAAGGATAATTTTCAGAGTCCAGAGTGCTAACCATTACGTTGTGGGGCCAGATGTGGTAAGGATAGTTTTCAAGGTGTACATTTAATATGCTATAACAGGAAGTTGTGAGGACTGTCATTAAGCCATAGTATTAGTACTCTTCATGGTGCAGCACACCAATTCTGGACTACGAATCAAAACACCAGTGGTTTTGCACCAAGGCCAGCACACACCCAGCTGTGCTGCCTTGCAGCATGACTTAAATACCTCCAGCCTTGAAGTCTTTAGCTGTTACTTGCACAAATAATGCCAGGCCTGTCTACCTCAGATGTTTATTTGAGTATAAAATGAGAGAAAAAATGAACTAAAGCTTTTGATACTTGTGAAACACTGATCAAACACACAGGGAGAGAAAGGCTAAGTTTGATGTATTTTAAAAAGCAGCGTCAAAAATATCAGTGGGAGAGAAAGTGTCTGTCTTACAGAAAGCTGTAGAAGAGGAATGATGTGTCCTCTTGCTAATATTTCCTTCATCTGGAAACACCCATCACTGGGAAATTGAGGTGGCAAAGGAACAAATAGCTAGGCCTCTCTGTGGTCTTAGTCCTAGTAGTTCACACATGAAATCGACAAGAAGCAAATAGATTAGACTTTGGCAAATTCTTATGAAAATCAATCAGGGGATTAAAAAAATAAGACTTGCCTTCAATGATTATTCAAATTTAAAGAAATCTGATTGTTAATGAAGCCACACACACAGAACTTGGTGTGGAAACTGAACAGCTCATACAGGGTATTTTGCCTAGAGCTCAATGAAGTTGTAGTTATGGTTGATAGTGGATAAGGGAACTCCTCTCAGAGCACAGAGCCTGAGTCTCCCAGAATAGATACTGATGGCCTCAGCAGCCCATCTGGAGCAGCCACAGTGGGGATGCCAGCTGCAGCAGCGGAGGTGTGGCTGGGACTGTGCACTCACAGAGCAGGCAGGGGCCAGGGACAGGAGGGAGCCCTGCCCTCTTCTGAGTTGGCAGGTCAGAAGCCCTGCACTCCCAGGTGCAGCTGCCTCCACCCAGCCATGGTTCTGCACCCAGGCATCCCTGCATTCTTGGGAGCCCAGGAATCCCCCTGCCCAGCCAGGCTCAGAAATGTCTGCTCCCATTCCTCCTCACTCTTAGCACCTGCTATGGAGCAAAGTTAAGGCCAAACTTGGGTGCTGTCACTACCCAGCTGGTTGTGCACATGCTTGGGGTGGCACTGACATGCCAGCTGCCTGCTGCCTCAGCCCTCTCCAGACTTTGGGTGCCAACAAGCACAGGAGGGAGGCTGAGTGGGGATGAGAGCGATTCAGTTCGGGCCTGCAGGGGCCCCTTGGCATGAACTGCCTGGGCACCATAGATGACATGTTGATGGTGGCAGGAGGTAGACAGACTCCTTGGTGGAAAGGGACAGGTCCCTGGTAAAACCCCACCTTCAAGTCAGGGACAGCCTGAAGACTGGGGGCCAGGCTGCCAGTTATGAGTAGAGTCTGCAGTCCAGAGTGAGAACTTGTGGTGCTTTCTCTGGGCCTGCCCATGGCATATACTTTCCTCCTTCTGAGCCCATAAAAACCCGGGACTCAGCCAGACTCAGATGTCAGGACTACCAACTGCAGAAAGGAGCTACCCACTTCAGGTATCCTTGACTCTGTGAGATGACCTGCCTGCAGATAGGAGCTACTCACTCCAGTTCTCCTCTCTGCTGAGAGCTAAACCGTCATCGGGACCACCTGCCTGTGGAAAGGAGCTACCCACTTTGGGTCTCCTGAGAACTGTTCTGTTGCTGAGTGAAGCTCCTCTCCACCTTGCTAACCCTCCAGTTATCCACATAGCTCATTCTTTCTGGATGTGGGACAAGAACTTTGGAACCTCCAAATGGCAGGACTGTAAAAGCTGTAACACAAACAGGGCTGAAACATGCCCCTGCCACTTGCCATATTGCGGGCGATGAGAAGGACAGAAGAGCTGCAGTCCTTCAGAGATCTCAGACCTAGGGGTTCCCTGAGCTAGGGCTATGTCACCCTCTTTGGGGCTCTGTGGCTCCTGGCATCTCCAGGCTTCCGGGTACCATTGCATCCCCTCGTCCAGAGGTAGATGCCTGCAGCGGAAGCCATGTGCAGTACATCTGGTCCTGCTGCAGCCTCACATAGTGCTGGCACCTGTGCTGGCACCTGCAGCTGCCTACCCCACCACAGCAGCTAGCGTACCTGGCTGTCTACAGTGGACAGACCCCATGCTCACTCAACCACACACTCCTTCCTGCTCTACACCTCGCTTGCCCTTGGCAGGTGTGGGATCCGGGACAGTAGTGTGAGCTGGACGCAGCTACCATTCTGAGTGGGTGGAACGAGCCCAGCAACTAATACTCAGGCAGAAAGTGCCTCTAGGCACAGAGATTTCTGGCTGGTGAAGTGACTCCCTAAGGATCCCATGATAATAACAAAGCACTGGATCTCCTGTTAGGGGTTAGAGTTTTTCTTTTCCTGACCATCAGGATTATCATGTGCCACGGATACCTGTTTTCCATTTTTTATTCTTAATGGGAATTTTGTTGTAACTCTTCTATGTGTGCTCCAACACTGCAGAGACAGATAGGTTATCATTGAGCTTGAGACTGGCTCAAATCACAGATAATAGATTACAAACTGATGGTAATCTAGGTGACTTTTGATGTTACTTCTTAAAGATGTGAGTATGTTCCATGTGGAGGGACTGAGATTGTTCATGGGCAACCGTTAGCCTGTTTTCTGGACTATGACAGACAAATTGAAATGCAACTCCCATCACAATCCACTTTTCCCAAGTTTTTCTTGCAAATAAAGGTAACTATGTCATATACATCTATCAAGGGAGTTTTTGTGGGTCAGCTATGTATGTGTCTCTTTAAGAACAAAAAGCAAAACCCTACTAATAGTAATTTTTGTTTTGGTCATTTTCCCAGTCTCCTTCACCCAGCTTGGAGTTTTTTTGTGATACTTGGAGAAGCCACAGGTATCTGCTAGCCATGCAGATGAAACACGCAACCAGTCAACCCTAGAATTCTAACCTCTGAATTTTTGACATAGTGAACAAATAAACCCCTCTGTGTTTAGGTCATTTTGGACCAGTTTTCCTGTCATTTGAAAATGAGTACATTACTACATCATAAATGAGAACTAGAAAAAAATAAATCCACCCACTGGCAAAAGGAGATCATGCAGAGTCTTTTCTATCTCAGTCTGGGTTTGGCAAGAAAAATATTCTTCAGTAAAAGTCCTTAAATGATGCTCTTTCTAAGAAATTTGATGTTCACGCTTTTAATACCTGCACAGCCCAGTCACTTTCAAGCAGATATTAGGGTAAAATGTAGTTGGAGGCTGGTTTTGCAACTGGAATACCCGAAAGAAATGTCCAGCACCAAACATAGGATTCTTCACGATAAGATCTTTTTCAAAGATGTGCTCATAATACAAAATTAGCAATTAAAATACAAGGACACATGCATTACAATGATGAAAATTAAATGGACCAAACAATATCAAATGCTGGTGAGAACCATGAGCAACTGATACTCTTGCACATTGTCTGTGAAATAGAAAATAGTACAGCTACTTGGGAAAACAGTTTGGCAGTCTCTTAATAATATTTAAAAAGGCCTGCGCAAACATCCAGCAATTCACTTGATAGGTGTTTACAAAAAATGAATTAAAGCAAATGTCCTTACAGAATTATATTAGAATGATCATCACAGTTTATTCACTTTAGCCAAATCTGGGTGTTATGAATAAGCATATTGAAGTGTACTCATATAATTAAATTAATACATAGACATTAAGGTAAAGAAAATATGGACACATGCAGCAACATGAATGAAGCTAAAAATTATGTTGAACAGAAACAAAGCAAAGACAAAAGAGTGCATGCTTAAGATGTATATTTATGTAAATCACAAATACAGGCAAAACTAATGTATGGTAAAAGAAATCAAAACAGTACTTACCTCTGGGTAGCAGTTAATTGGGGCTGTTTGTAAAGAAAATTTCTTAAATAATGATGGTTGCAGGTTTGCTGATTTATTAAAACTCAGAAAACTGTAAGTTCTATTCCTTTTACTGTGTAAATCATACATCCATTAAAAATGATGAAATACACAAGCACACAGCACATGGGTCTAGTGCCAGCATGTCATGGGTAAACAGTGAGCAGGCAAAGTAACAACAGATTAGAATTTGGATAATTTAAGAGAGTCAAACTGTAGGTGAAAATTACAAAAACATCTGAAATGATTAAAGGCATTACAAAAGGAAATAATAAAAAGACATGAACAGTGAATAAGAAGCAGGCATATTTGAGAAAGAACCAAACAGAAGCCATATGTCTGTCAAAACCAATAGCCTAAAAGTTTAGATCATGTACAACTTGAAGATGAGTTACTAAATTATAAGATAGAGATGCAGAAACTATCTAGAATGCACCACAGAAATATGAGATAGAAAATATGTAAAAGGATATAAACAGACACTTCTCAAAAGAGGACGTTTATGCAGCCAACAGACGTATGAAAACATGCTCATCATCACTGGCCATCAGAGAAATGCAAATCAAAACCACAATGAGATACCATCTCATGCCAGTTAGAATGGTAATCATTAAAAAGTCAGGAAACAATAGATGTTGGAGAAGATGTGGAGAAATAGGAATGCTTTTACACTGTTGGTGGGAGTGTAAATTAGTTCAACCATTGTGGAAGACAGTGTGGCGATTCCTCAAGGATCTAGAGGACTATCACAAGGGCAGAAAACCAAACACCACATGTTTTCATTCATAAGTGGGAGTTGAACGATGAGAACACATGCACACAGGGCGGGAAACATCACACACTGGGGCCGGTCGGCAGGTGGGGGACTGGAGGAGGGATAGCATTAGGAGAAATACCTGATGTAAATGATGAATTGATGGGTGCAGCAAACCAACATGGCACATGTATACCTATGTAACAAACCTGTTGTGTGCATGTACCCTAGAACTTAAAGTTTAATAAAAAAAAGAAAAAAAAGATAATATGTAAAAGAAGGGAAAAGATACATGTGTGACAGGATGAGACAGTAAAACATATTCCTAATTTGAGAAAGATAAAGTAGAGTGACTAGAAGACAAGCAATATTTGAAGAGAGTGGCTGAGAATTCTTTTAATAGTTGAAGGATATGAATATTGATATTCAGGAAGCATTAAATTACCCAAACCATATGTATGAAGTAATCAAACAATAGGATGCTGAGTTATACAATATGTTGTCAGCCTAATTGTTATTTTTTTCCAGGAAATCTATATTTTTTGGTGGTACTAAGATTGCCTTTTTTTTGAGATATGGAGGTGTCAAGTTGTGGATTTATTTTTTTAAATTTTGCTTGGACTCAATATGCCCCTTTTATACGAAGACTTACCTGCTTATATAATTCAGCACTCAACAAAATGATAATATACATTTTTAAAGCACCTATTTAGAAAAATCGAGCCTGTGTAGGTCTCAATGCATGTCAACAAATGTCTAAGAATATATAAAGAATATTTTCTAACCATAACCAATCATATTTAAAATAAAAAACTAAGTAGTAGTAAAGCAAATAAACAAGCAAAACTGGAAATTAAAAAAAATCTAAATAACTAATCGGTTTAAGAGGACATAATAATGAATATTACAAATTTTTAAAATTAACCAAAAAATAAAATAAACCAAAAGCAAACCTATGGAGTTTATTTAACATGGTACTTGGAGGGGAAATATATTTACCTCAGGGTGTTCACCTAGAAACAAACAAGAAATATATAATTTTGTTAAGTGTTCAATACAGGAATTCAGAAAAAGTAAGAATAACTTTTTTTAATTGAAGGAAAAAAATTAATTTAAATGTTGGAAAATAATGAAAAAACTGGCAAAATCAAACCTTAAGTTTCTGGAAAGAAACAAACATACAAAAAAAAATACATGAACCATGAAGAAAAAATACATACATATAAAAATGTATTAATCATAGTAGAAAATGTAAAAACATAACAACTTTGCTCAAATTTGAAACCTCAGCATAATAGATATTTTTTAAGAAATCATATACATTATTAAAAATATTATTAGATATACAAGACCTGAATATTATGACAAGTATACTACCGCTTGTGTTTTCAGAGCACGTGCAATGTGTGTTTGCATATCTTTCTTTTTTTGACTTGCTCTCTTCTCTTTGCTGAATTCTGTAATCTCCACAATATATCTTCCAATTCAGTAATCATTCATTTCAATAATTCTTTCTTCACCACTATCTAATCTATTGTTTAATCTATGCATTGAGCTTTTTTAATGACTACATTTTACATATTTATGTTTCTAGTTAGCTGTATTTTAAACCTGACATTCTTTCTTTCTTTGTGATTATGTTGTCTAGCAGTTGATACAAAAGAGAAAGTGCAAGGTCTTCAACATATTACTTCAGTACATGCATAACATAAATGGCACTGAGACAACCTTTAGTGCTTCTCAGCAAACACTGCCCTTGCCTCCTCTCCTCTTGGGCGCATTCATCATTGCTTTGCTTTTCAAAAAATAAAATGTTACCACACCAATGTATATGTTATTTCAAAAGTTTTTCTTATACTAGAGATTTATGCAAAAAAAGCATATATATATATATACACATCTCTTAAAATATTTTTTCAATATTATGCTTCTACCATACATCCATATTGTTTCACCTACACTATGAGTATTTCATATATACTACATGCCCATTCTATATTCCTATTCTTCCTGATGAGCATTTGGGATATTTCCAAGTTTTGCTGTCAAAATAGTGTTGCTATAAGCATTCATGTGCCCATTCCTTGACAGTTATATGTAATGGTTTGTACAGAAACTATATCTAGAGAAGTCAAATTGCTGCAGGATTCTAAGGAACAGGCATGTTTATTTGCAAAATAAACTCTAATTTTTTTCCAAAGATACCAGCAAGTACAACAGCAAGTGACTGCTCATCTCTTCAAATTTTTGCCAAAACATGCTATGACAAATCCTTAACTTTGCAAATCCAGTGTAATCATATTCTGGAGGTTTAGAATGAATATTTTTTATTAAGTTAAGGAAGATATCGGTCTATCTGTCTATCTGTCTATCTATCTATCTATCTATCTATCTATCTCTCTCTCTCTCTACAACATCATCATCATCTATCATCTATCATGTCTCTATCCATCATCTGTGTATCTTTTTATACTATAAATGGATATAGTACTATGTTAAATAATCTTCTGCATCTAGTAACATGAGGTCAAAAGTCTTCCAATTTGTCTATCTCTCTCTGTCTCTCTCACTGTCTCTCTCAACTGCCCTCACTCTCTTCCTCCTTGTCTGTCTTTCTCTATTGGAAAAAATGCCTAGCTTTATATAGTGCCATAGAAAAAAGGCCTAAATTTTTTTCTATAAATATTTTGGATTATCCTGGTTAAATTTTTTCCTAGGCATCATGTAACTTATGGCTACTATGATTGTTATTTTAAAAAGTTTAATTACCTAACTCCTGATTGTACATAAAAGTGCAGTTCATTCTTATACATTAATCCTTTATCTATACCTTTATATATTGCTCTGTCTACATCTTTTAATGAAATATAATACATTTTCTATAGATTCTCTTGAATTTTCATTGTAGACAATTATATAATCAGCTATTTTCATTATGTTTATTTTTTATTTATTTATTTTTTTTGCACATGCTGGTCTTGAACTTCTGGCCTCAAGTGATTCCCCCGTGTTGGCCAACCAAAGTGCTGGGTTTACAAGCATGAGCCACCGTACCCAGCCCCACCTTTTCTTTATTGTACTTTATTATCTGTACAATTTAATTTGGATGTGAATGTCTCTGAGTTGTATATGAACATTAGAGTTGTTTTCCTGGCTTGATTGTAAGCTACTTGAAAATATGCTTTATTTTTTTTTTTAATGTGCCCTACTATGCTGGGCATATAAAATAGTAATAATATCTGAGAAAGTACTTTCACATATGTAATTTCACGCTGTCTAAATAAGTGTTAATTGCCATGTCTTAAAATACTGCTTTTACAGTACTGGCATAGAGCTTTGATTCTGATCTGAAGTAATACTGAGGCTCATTTGTGGAATTGCCTTTTAACTTTATAAGATTTTTTAATAAAATTATTATAAGATCATTTAAGATTATTTAAGTTATTGAGGGTGAAAGGTATTTAGATAATCTGATTTATATATCTGGACTGTGATATGTCATTTGTGATTTTATTGAAAGTATAGTTTTTCAGTAGAAAAATAGTTTTGAATTTGGGGGTTATTAAAATCTAAATTTTCATTTTGGAAGTTCACTGGTCTATGAGCAAAACTTTTTCAAATGATGACTGTATTTTATTTAATTTTCAGAAAGTAAACTACAATAAAATAGTATATTCCTATGAAAAAGTAGATATATTCCCTGAGCTAATATATGACTAAAGTGTCACAAGATTCTGTTCTCATATGTAACATATTTCAATTAATGCTGACAATTAAAATACCATTTAAACTTGTAAATGAATGTTTTCCTTTTTAATTATGAGATAAATTTTTCATTTGTTTACTTTTCCTCTTTAAGATGTACTTACAAAGATTTTTTTTACCTAAAAAAGAAGGAATGCTCTATTATTAAACTCATCATGTATACTTACAGGGCTTTTGGAAAGAATTTCTAAAATGCTTTTTAACTTGGTTTTATGACAATTGCTGATATAGGCAAATGTTGCTTTAATCACCTGCGATGGAAACCGAGGTGGATTAGGAGCAGGATCCAAATCCCTAACTGAGTTAAGGGAAAATACAGTCATCATGTTTATTTCTTTTAAAGCTCACCTCATTATTTAAGACAAATTTACTGCCATTGGCTAGGAAATTCTATAACATGTTTCAAGAAGCTGTGATAGTTGGCATCCTTGTCTTTTCCTTGATTTGTTAAATAATTATTTTTACAGGTAACCTATGAGAAAGATATGTTCTGTAGGGTTGGATAGATTTTCAAATATATGGAACATGTTTTCAAGTTCAGGAAGTTCTCTTCTAGCCACTTAATTATTTTTAAATTTTACAGTGAATGAGTGTTAATTTTCATCTTACAGTTACTCTACATATTATTGAAATAATCATATTAATTCATAAGTGGTGAATTACATCAATTTGATTAATGCTTATTCTGTTTTTCATCCACACATTTTTTAACAGCAGAAAATTAGCTATGTACATGATGATTTGTCTTACATGTTAATGTACTTGGTTTAATCATATAATGTTTAGGATTTGTACACTTATGTTAATGAGTAAAATTGAATTGTATGTTCCTTTCTTTTTTTTTTTAAAGAGAAGGTAATTTTAATCACCCCATTTTCAGTGTGGTGAGTGAAGCACAGTAAAATCAAGCAATTTATGGTAACCCTTATCACATTACTGATAATGATTCAGAAGTATTGCTTCCTAATTCTAGAGTCGCCTCTTTCTTATTGTGGTGATGTTTCCAGCTAACACAGGAGAGTCACATAAAATCCTTAAGTACAACTTCTGATCTGGCACTTACATCCCATATTTAAAAAATTTCCAGTGTTAATTTTTTTCTATTTATTTATTATTTATTTTATTATTATACTTTAAGTTCTAGGGTACATGTGCACAACGTGCAGGTTTGTTACATATGTATACATGTGCCATGTTCATGCGCTGCACCCATTAACTCATCATTTGCATTAGGTATATCTCCTAATGCTATCCCTTCCCCCTCCCCCAAGCCCAAAACAGGCCCTGGTGTGTGATGTTCCCCTTCCTATGTCCAAGTGTTCTCATTGTTCAGTTCCCACCTATGAGTGAAAACATGCGGTGTTTGGTTTTTTGTCCTTGTGATAGTTTGCTGAGAATGATGGTTTCCAGCTTCATTCATGTCCCTAAAAAGGACATGAACTCATCCTTTTTTATGGCTGCATAGTATTCCATGGTGTATATGTGCCACATTTTCTTAATCCAGTCCATCATTGATGGACATTTGGATTGGTTCCAAGTCTTTGCTATTGTGAATAGTGCCGCAATAAACATACGTGTGCATGTGTCTTTATAGCAGCATGATTTATAATCCTTTGGGTATATACCCAGTAATGGGATGGCTGGGTCAAATGGTATTTCTAGTTCTAGATCCTTGAGGAATTGTCACACTGTCTTCCACAATGGTTGAACTAGTTTACAGTCCCACCAACAGTGTAAAATCATTCCTATTTCTCCACATCCTCTCCAGCACCTGTTGTTTCCTGACTTTTTAATGATCGCCATTCTAACTGGCATGAGATGGTATCTCATTGTGGTTTTGATTTGCATTTCTCTGATGGCCAGTGATGATGAGCATTTTTTCATGTGTCTTTTGGCTGCATAAATGTCTTCTTTTGAGAAGTGTCTGTTCATATCCTTTGCCCACTTTTTGATGGGGTTTGTTTTTTTTCTTGTAAATTTGTTTGAGTTCTTTATAGATTCTGGATATTAGCCTTTTGTCAGAAGAGTAGATTGCAAAAATCTTCTCCCATTCTGTAGGTTGCCTGTTCACTCTGGTGGTAGTTTCTTTTGCTGTGCAGAAGCTCTTTAGTTTAATTAGATCCCATTTGGCAAGTTTGGCTTTTGTTGCCATTGCTTTTGGTGTTTTAGACATGAAGTCCTTGCCCATGCCTGTGTCCTGAATGGTATTGCCTAGATTTTCTTCTAGGGTTTTTATGGTTTTAGGTCTAACATTTAAGTCTTTAATCCATCTTGAATTGATTTTTGTATAAGGTGTAAGGAAGGGATCCAGTTTCAGCTTTCTACATATGGCTAGCCAGTTTTCCCAGCACCATTTATTAAATAGGAAATCCTTTCCCCATTTCTTGTTTTTGTGAGGTTTGTCAAAGATCAGATGGTTGTAGATGTGTGGTATTATTTCTGAGGGTGTATGTTCCTTTCTTACCTGAGTCATGTCTCTTTCATATGTTTAGGTTACATTAGCTTCATGGGAAGAGTTGGAATGTAAATTATCTTTTTTTAGTCTGGTATTACAAGATTTTTAAATTACTGGTTGAAATTTTAAAATATAGGATTCTTCAGATATTTATGAACCAATTGTAAGAAGTTACATGGTTAATTTTATATAGATGGTTTATTATATATAACTTTTCAAGTTTATAAATTAATTTTGTAATTGGAATTTTCTAGTTAACTTTATAATCTATTTTATCCTGAACTGTATTCCTATTTTAATTTTTAATTTTTATTTGTGCCTTCCTTACTTTTTAATTTATGTCTGATTAAATTTGCCAGTGTTATTTTATTTCTTTATGCTTATTCATTCATTCATTTAAAAGTATTTATATGCATTTTGAATTGGAGTTATCAAATAATAAACTTCTTACTTTCCATGCTTTCTATTGTATGTTTGTAGTCTATTTTATTAATTTCTGCAAATATTTTATTTATTTACTTTCTCCTGTATTCTCCATTCCGTTTCTTTGTGCTTAAGTAGGTTTCTGGGCTTGTTTATTTTCGGATTTTATTGTTTTCTGATAAAAAAAATTTACAGAATATACTTTACTCTTTCTATAGAAGTTTCATTGCTACCAGAATTGCTAGAATTCTACTAGAATCGATATGTAGTGTTTTGTTTATTATTCATTTCTGAGAATTATTCAGTTTTCCAATATGACATCTTCTTTTTTCATAAATTATTTACAAGCATGTTTTTAAATCTTCATTTTTAAAATCTTTACTATAGTATACATGTGTGGATGTAAACATTTATGTATTACATTAAATCTCAACTGTACATATAAAGGTTATATGTTAAAAAACCATATATTTTAAAAATGCTCACTAGAAGAAATTATTTTTAATCTTCAACTCATTGTTTTGTCTTTTACTATATGTTATTTTCTAATAGATGATATAATCTTCCCTATTTAAGGAAGACTCGTTATCTGAATTTTTCTCATTTTATTTTTTATTATGTAAATTCATTTAAGTGGATTAATACCTCTTAGGTCCTTAATATTTTCTCTTTTATACTGAATTTTGGGTAGATTATAGCTACTAAAATGAGTCCAATCATTCTAGAATTTACTTTACATTATGTGATAAACAGTAAAACCCCTAGAAAGCCATCACCACTAGATTCATTACAAATGATTTACCATGCCTCACTCTGGAATGAAGTTGGCAATAGACTTAATATAGTGATTTTTTACCTCTTATCGATCAATCAGTACCACCCAAAGACCTATGTTAGTATGAACAGAAATATTACCTTTTTTTTTAACTAAACAATCAGTTATGTTCATACCCCAACAGTTAGTTTACTGTTAATTCCACAGAATCTATACCATGACATCATGGATGGTTTGGTCTTAGATTATTTTTATTAGTGCTATTCATGTATCTTCTATACCAGGAGAAATATCTTGTTTTAATTTGCACTGCTTTAGGGGTCCACCAAGATACTTTATCAATGAAACATGATTCCAAATAAGACACTGAATTAACATACAGGATGGAGTCTTTTAGTGTTGATGTAGGATATATTCTTCAATTTTCTAGTAGTTTTGACTTTGGTGTTGTAAAATCTACTTTTTCCTTCTAATGACAATGAAATGACAGGTGCAGATGCTTCTTCAATTTTTAACTCATTATATTAAAATAAGTTATCCACTGTGAAAACTATTTCTCGTTGACATGAAAGAAGACATCCGTCTATTTAACACTATTGTGGAAGGCATGGAGATTTGCTCATTGAAGTCCAAGACAATTTCATTTTATTTTCATTATTTATGATACATTTTTTGAATATTTAAGACAGGCTCTTGATCTTGGAGTTTTGCTAAAATTTAAAATGCAGAGGGAAATGTGGGTTGCTCTCTATGGAACAAAACCATAATGCATGTTCTTCATTCTCAGATAAAATCTGAAGGTGAGAAAAGAGCAACTAGCACTGCGATCCCACCTTTCCGTCAGGTGCACCATCAACTTTATTGTACTTAATCCTTATTATAGCCATTTTAGAGTGGTAATATTAGTATCTTCAAGATTAGAAAAATATTGAGAAAAGTTAACCGTCCTATCCAATTCACAAGACTTATAAGTGGTGGAACTGTTATTTGAAGCAATACTTTCCATGTTTCAAGTCTGTATCCTTCTTTAAAGATTCTGCCTTTCAGCCAGGTGCGGTGACTCATGCCTGTAATCCCAACACTTTGGGAGGCTGAGGTAGGTGGACCGCTTAAGGTCAGGAGTTCGAGACCAGCCTGATCCACATGGTGAAACTCCGTCTCTACTAAAAACACAAAAAATTAGTCGGGCGTGGTGGCACACACCTGTAGTTGCAGCTACTCAGGAGGCTGAAGCAGGAGAAATGCTTGAACCCAGGGGGCGGAGGTTGCAGTGAGCCAAGATTGTGCCACTGCACTCCAGCCTGGGTGACACAGCAAGAATCAGTCAAAAAAAAAAAAAAGCCTTTCTTTCACTCAGAGTCTAAGAATGTATATTTTTTTTGCTCTTAATGTACATTAAATTAATTCTAAAACTGCCATGAGATTCCTGCCTTTCTCAGAAAAATCTATTGGAGAAGTTTAGAACAGCTTCCCCCCTATGAGAACTAATGGTGATTCACCTTCCTTGTGTAAGATTTGTTGCTGACTCCTCTCTTTAAGCATTTCAGTGGCTCCTTAGAAGCCACAAAATTATAGCTTTTAAATTGCCAATGTCACATTAAAAGAATCAGTAGTTCTGGAAATGGCATGCCAACATTTTCCCAATAATTATTGATAATTATTTTATTATTGAAATGGTTTTCTTTGGGAAGATATGAACCTGTGATTCAATTTAATTATTAGGAAGAGTTTTTTCAAGTGTGTGCACACACACATGGAAACATATACACATGAATAATATTTACATATACTATGGCTCTCATTTTACTATGTAGTGATTATTTGATAAAATAATATTCTACCTGGTGCAGATTTTATTGAGATTGCTTCACTTTCTCCCACATCAGAAATTTTCTCTTGAAGTACTCAAAATATTGAAAATTTCTTTAGATGTTGCCCCAAAATTATTCAAGCTAACTAATCTATAGATTTGTAGCAAGCACATTTCCTTTTTTAAAAAAATCACTTCATTTTCTAATATTCTAATACATTACAAATTCTCTTTAATTCCTTAAAATCCATCAGACTCACAATCCCACTTGAGTTTGTCTGAAAGGACCCTTCTTATTATTGAAAGTGATGCATCCTGATCCAAAGGCATTAACTGATTTAACATAGAACAATTCTCTTGAGTTTTCTTAGAATCAGAGTCACTCAAGTTGTGAAGCCACTTCCAATGTCAGCTGCTATCTACAAAGTTTGAAGTCCTTCCACCAGGAAAATAGGGACTCTTAGGTTATGGACAACACACTGCTTCAATTCATGGGCTCAAATTAATAAAAGAACTTTCCTTATGTGGAACAGAAATTTATCTGCAGGACCACTCAACATGCTATTACTCTTAGCTTTTATAAAACAAAGCTATCCCTATGTCTTCATGAATGCCTTTTCATTTTTAAAGCCAAAATTTATTTGTTTCCTAAATAAGAAAACTCAAGTGGTAATTTTTGTATCCTTAAAAATAAAATAATTCTTTTTTAATCTTATTCCTGAAAACATGACTTTATTTCTGCAATTCTCTTCTTCCCTCCTTCTCAATAGGGATTCCCTTATACCTATATGCTATTTCTGGAGGTCTCAGGTTTTGGCATTTTTGAATGGGTGTAATATTTTCTATATAATAATATTTAGCACTAATACATGGTATCACTTGAGATTTTTTTCTAAACTTTACGCTTTGTTGTATATATAATATCTATTTTAATTTTCCCAGCATTCCTTTGAGTAACCTTTTATTGCCACTACATCTAACTAAAAAGGAGAAATTAGAACATGGAACAGAATGATCTGTAATGTATGACAAATGTTTCTTCATAATAACCTAAGGGTTAGGCTACAATTTACATTTTTGGACTCCCTGTATTGCCACAGCCAGGACACCAAATCTTTCTACCTCCAGCTCTATCCAACGCTGAAATTTAGGACTCAGCAGTACAGGCACTCCAGCTCTGTCCACACCCATGCCAACAGCTCCCTTGATCTATGGATCGGTAAGTGGTACTGTGGTCCAGCCTAGGTTAAATGGATCTGGAAGAAGTTTCACATCAGCCCTGGAATGAGCTTGGAGTCTTTTAGTTATGGCATTTTGGGGACATGTTTAGACAAGAGAATGTACTTTTTATAGGTCTGAAAATCACTTAGAAAATTTCCTAAATTCAGAAGATATGTCATTTTAAAGACAAAGGTCTTTTAAGCAGCTTAGTGTTTAGTGCCCACAGCACAATAAGGTAAGCAAATTTGGAAAATATTTGGCCTACAATCTGCTTAAGAGTAGTTTCTTTTGAAAAGGCTTTATGAAGGTTGTCATTTTAGGACCAAATTTTAATGGAATATGAAAGTATGAACTCTTCCCTTTTATCAAAATAATCTTAAAATTACTAGGAGATTAAAAATAATTCAGTGAAAAAAAGTCTGTAACAAAGCTTGTCAGGGCATAGGATCTAGCATCTCTAAAAAAGGCTAAACTGATTTGGTGGATAGGATTCAGGACTCTGGCATACTCGACAACAAACATTGCTTCTTCTTCTTCTTGACAAGGATGGACGTAGAACTACTCTAGGAAATTCCTCAAACACTGCCAAGTACTTCATGGCTGAAAGCCAAATATTCAGGTATTTAATAACACTGATTTCTTAGCTAGGGTTAAACCCTGTGGGTAGATGATTGGAGTCAGCATTTTCTCTTTTGGTTTCTAAATTGTGTTTTTGTTATTTCTCTCTCTGAATTTAGTCCCCCTGGGATTACAGGAGTGTTGAAGAAATGTTGTGACACATCAGAACACCGCGAAATACATGGACACTTTCAAATCATGGAAGACTCAAGGTAAGACACCTACTTGGTAGGATAGTCTTCTTGTCCACCTTGCATCCCACAAGCTAATTTTCACTAGACCATCTACTATAACTTTGGAGGAATAGTTGTCAAAGATGGCAGGGCTATGTTTTCTGGGAGCTACATCAGTTGTTGCTGATCATCAACAGAATTTTACCTCCTAAGATCACACACTTCGTGGTCTCCATCATCAGGTGTAGATTGCTGGGGCCACTGGCCATACCATTTAGCCCTGAGTTGACCAGAAGCAAAGGCCATGAAGCAGCCAATACAGAATTCTGGAGAAAAAAATGGAGAAAATAAAGAAAATAGCTGTGAATATTAGAACACTGAAAAGCATGCCTAGAAAATAAATAATGAGAAACTTATTGAAAACATAAAATTATACTAATAACTGCATGGTAACCTTGATATCTCAAGCATGCAAAACATAAATAAAAAGAGAGTTGGGAATCTCAAACTTTAATTTTCAAGTCCAGGTCTCTTGTAGCAACATGGATTGTTGAGATCTACCAAAAGAAATGTTGACTCAGTAGGTCTTGCATGGATGCAGGAATGGGGTTTCCAAGCATCCTGAGTCACCCTGACACAAGTGGTCCCGATCATACTCTGACAAGCAATGAAGATGCGATTGGAGTTTGGTGGTGAAACGTAAGGCCGGCAGATATATGGAGGGCATATCAGTCACTTCACTCACCCTATTTCAAGTGATTGTCTCTTCTGATAAATGACCCTCTCCTCTTTGTGTGCCAGGGCAACTGCTCTGTGGAAATGGGGGACAGTGGGCATCCTATTTGTGCGGACTTCTCCTTGCACAGTTCTTGAGCTCCATGGGCACGGGCTGCTCTGGTCTGCTCTCTGGGCCTCAGTCAAGTGTGACCAGTGCAGCCTTACATCCCGAGCCAAGCAGCTGTCTTGGGGATGCTGCTGGTTCAATACATGTTGGCCTCAACTGTGCAGGACCTGGCTGTATCCTGGGAATAGTAAAGCATCTTCTGTTGAAGGAGTCCTCTGAACCAGGTGGAACTTACATGCTATAAAACCTGATATGCACTATTTTCTTCTTAATTATTTTCCAGATATGCTGCATTTGGGGTATTGATTTTGTTTTTCAAAGCAACAAAAATATTAAGATGGCAGTGATTTGCCAAGCACTTTCATTTTTTGTTGTTGTTGTTTGCCTGTTGTTGTTGTTTTATTTTGTTTTGAGACAGAGTCTCGCTCTGTCACCCAGGCTGGAGTGCAATGACGTGATCTGGGCTCACTGCAACCTCTGCCTCCTGGGTTCAAGCGATTCTCCCTCCTCTGCCTCCCAAGTAGCTGGGATTACAGGCGCACATCACCATGCCTGGCTAATTTTTGTATTTTTAGTAGAGACGAGGTTTCACCATGTTGGCCAGGCAGATCTTGAACTCCAAACTTCAAGAGATCCACCCACCTCAGCCTCCCGAAGTGCTGGGATTATAGACGTGAGCCACCATGCCCAGACTAAATTTTTGTTTCCATTTTTGTAGTTATAAAAAATATTACTACACTGTTGTAAAACAAGTGTCACTTGCATCATACTTTATGGAATGTATTGTGGTGTTCCTAGTGACCTAACATAGTCTTTGCAAAAAGAAAAAAGAAACAATGTAAGTAATTTTGAATAAAACATACTCTTGCCATCAAATTAATACCATTTGTAACAGGGGGGCTTCACAGAACATCTCCCAAGCTATTGATTTTCTCAGAATGCCTCCTGAACTCTTAATTCAAACATGATAGAATGTTAGAAACTATAAATATGCTTTTCAACCAGTGTTGATATAGGGAGACTTATAGGCAATACACACTTTTCAAAGCATTTTATACAAAAATCACATGTAGTCATACAAAAGAGTAAACCTGGAACCCAAACTTTTACAACCATATACAAGATTTAACTCCAAATGCATCAAACACTTAAGTTTAAGATCTAAGATGCTAAAACTCTTAGAAAATAATATGAGAGGTAATCTTCATGACATTTGATTCAGTCTTTTTAAATTAGATTTGACACTTAAAACTGAAATAAAAAATTAATTAAATTGGACTTTCTAATTTTTTTAAAAAAAATCCCTTCTAGTTATCATGGGATGCTATCAAAAGAGTGAAAAGACATTCCACAAATAGGAGAAAATATTTGTAAACCATATACAAATGACATGGAATTAATATCTAGATTATAGATGGAACTCCTACAGCTCAAGAATAACAACAACAACAAAAAAAACGCAACTTAAAAGTGAGCAAAAGACTGAATAGACATGACAATAAATACATAAAAATATGTTCAACATCACTAGTTATTAGAAAAATAGAGATCAAAACCATAATAAAAGACTACTGCATATCTATTAGAATGACTATTACTTAAAAAATATAGAAAATCAGTGTTGGTGGGGATGTGGAGAAATTGGAATCCTGCTGTATTGCTGGTAGCAATGTCAAATGGGGCAGCTGCTGCAATTTGGTGTTTTCTCAAAAACTTAAACATAGAATTGCTATGAAATCCAGTGGTTTCACTTCTAGGTGTACAGTGGAAAGAATTGAAAACAAGCATTCACACAAACATGTGTACACTCGTGTTCATAGCAGCATTGTTCACAGTAGCCAAAGGATGGAGGCTGCCCAGGTTTCCTTCAGCAGACAGTTGGATGGATAGATGCAGTGTGGTGTATGCATGCAATGAATACTTTTTCCTTTTAAAAGTAGTGATGTTCTGATACATGCTACAATACTGATGAATTTTGAGAACATTGTGCTGGGTAAAATAAGTTATGCACAAAAGCGTCTGTTTTGTATGGTTTGCCTTCTATCAGCACCTAGATTGGGTGAATTCCTAGAGACAGAAGCAGAATGGAGGTTGCAGGGGCCAAGGGAAAGGGGAAAGGGGAGTTATCATTCCTTGGTGGGGGCTTTTGTTTGGGATGTGAAAGTGTTCTGGAGATGGATGGTGGTGGTGATTGTGCAGCATTGTGAGTGTGTTTGGTGTCACTGAATTGTACACTTGAAAATGGTTAGGATTCTAAATTTTATGTTGTTTTACCAAACTAAAAGCAAAAATGTCAGAAAACTTACATTGATATTCTGAATATGATTCACGGAACATCACGATCTCACCTAGATACTGAAAAACATGTGTGCACCAAGTGCAGGCAAATAGAAAATGTTTTTGGACAGTGACTTTCACTAGGAGAGGCTTTGCTGTGCCCACTTATTAGGAGCCATTCTCTACTGTTTACTGCACTAGTCCTAAAACTGCTTCCACTTTGACTTTCTGACAGAGTCCTTGTTTTTGCCCAGTATTATAAACTGAGTTACATAAAGGCAGAGCAAATGCTAAAGCAAACTGTCCAGAAGGAAGGACAGCAGTAAGTGGAGAGACGTTATTGCAAACAAGCACCTGGCAACAGCTGTGTTAGTTGGTAAGTGAAAAGGAGCTCATAGGCAAAGCTTGTTACACCCCAGCATGGCAGCTTGCTGCTTAGATGTGGGCTTTTGCTGTTTTTGTTGTGCCACTTACTGTTAACTGGTTGTGTGTTTCTAACATTTCTCATTTCAATTTATGGAAAATTGTTACCCAATTACCAGTTTTATGCAGAACATCTGATTAGCAGGATCAAACGGTCAACATTAAGCATATGTATATTATTTTCAACCATCTCCCTGCTCCAAAAATCCACTTAATATATTGTCCTGGGATAGAGGAAGTACCAGATATTAAACTGATAAAAGCAGATTCTACACTTGATCTTAGCCAAAAGACCTAGAAGGGATTCTCTCCTTTAATCTCTTGCACCTCAGATCCTTTAATCTCTTGCTCCTCAGATCCTTTAATCTCTTGCTCCTCAGACTTGGTAGGAGAAATTTTGTCTTAACATTCCTTAGCTTTGCTGAAGCAAGTCTTACACATGCATTCTTCATTAGCCTTATATTCATTATATTCTGATACTGTTTTTTATGCATAAAAAACAGAGGTAGGTTCTAAATAGTTTGTTTTCAACTCATTTTTCTAATAATCAATTCTATCAATTCAATTCTCTCCAAAATCATTTGGTAAGAATTCGAGACAATGAACTGGAACAAAAATGAACTTCAGTATTTCAAAAGAAATTTAATATGAATTTGCTCTAATCTATGCCCATTGTTGGACTTATTCCCCTTTGCTTTTTGGAAATTCTCTATGTTAACATACAGCATATTTTGCTCCAAAGGTTTGCATACCTAAAATTCAGGCTGGAATGCCAATTCTTTCTTTTCAGAAAAGGCTTATTTGTGTTTATCTAACTGACTCTGGTCAGTGATAGCCTAATTAACTCTAAATTTTGTTCTCTCCTGCTTCTTTTTTTACCTTCAGGATGATTCTGTGGGAAACAAAACAAAATAAAACAACAATATCTGAGTTTCAGGGGGAAAAAGTAGGGTGTCTCAATAGCTGAATGTGCATCTGTCATTGTTCAAGTCTCTGATATTCTGTAGTGCACATCTAGATCTATGTTGACATGCTTAAATTCTTTTGTTTCCCTTTTATTCATAAATGACATTCTGATTTGGCTCATTCATATCATATAACTAAGTTTGGGAGAGATATTCATATTGTTAGATATTTAGGGAGATCTATGATGACTCCTAACATCCTCCCTTATTTTAGGCCAAAGTTTACACTATCAAGTACATTATTTACAGTGTGCTTTTTTTGGCTCTTTCCTTATTTAATTGAAGATATATATATATATTAGTGTCTTAGTTGATTCATACCGCTGTAACAAAATTCCTTAGATTGGGTAAATTATAAGTAATAGAAATCTATTGCTTATAATTCTGGAGGCTGAGAAGTTCAAGATCAAGGTGCCAGCGGATCTGGTGTCCAATGAGAGCTCCCTGCTTCACAGATGGTGCCTTGTTCCTGCATCATCACCTGGCAGAAAGAGAGAATGTTGTGTCCTCACAAGGCTGGAGTGCAAAAAGTGCCAAACTTGCTCCATCGCACCCTTTTATGGGAGCACTACTCTTGTCCTGAGTGCAGAGCCTTCATGGGCTAATCACCTTCTAAAGGCCTCACTTTTAATACCATTGCATTGGGGATTAAGTTGCAACATGAATTTTGAAAAGGACACAAATATTCACAGTGATGTATTTTTGTTTTGGTGATTTTTAAGGGAAGGAGGTCATAGGTAAAAATGGTTTGATTTGTTCAACCTTTCTTGAAAGTATTGGATTTTTTAATGAAGTGTTTGCGAAGAGTAGCACATGAATAGTTATGCAGAAGTAAATTCTTGATGATTTTTTCTTTAGAATTCACAAAATTGTGACTAAGGCCTTAATCCCTCCACAGCCTGGTTCATCTTTCAATTTCATTTAAGATGGATTGTATGGAAATATGAATGAGCAATGTCCTTTTAGTTTTACAAAAGTTGTGCAGCTAACCTCACATCTGCTCATTGACTATGTTACTTGTGGAGTTTATCATATCTACATGCAGAGAAAATTTACTAGTGCTGACCTGTGTAATCACTAATTCCAACAAAAGGAAGGCTGGTCAATGAAGAGGTGAGAAATGCATAGAAAGCTGCCTTCTTTCCTCTGCCTCCAGCAGCCTGTGTAACAGCCAGGTTGTTAATATGAAGGGAAATGGTAAAATCCCTGCAGTCTCTGCATTATGGTGAGAATGAGTGGAGGGCGATCTTGGAGGCTGGTGTGAAACGACTTTGTAAGAAGTCAATGAGAAGCTTAACTGCATTGGAAAGGCACAGAATAAATTTTTAAATTTGCTTATTTCTTTTTCAAGCTGTTAATTTCATTTTTACCCTTTCTGTGCTTTAAAAAAAAAAGGGCTGATTACTTACTTTAATCTGTCTTTCCATTTAAATTTCCTTGTATATTCTCTTGAAAATCTTTCTTTTAAAGAGGTGTTCCTCACTCTAACTTCATAGAATGAGAGAAAAGCAAGCAAGAGCTTCACACTACTTGCCTAAAACCCCAAGCAGAAGAAAACAAGACAGATCCACACTAACAAACAGTGTTCATGCCTGTGGAGGAAGGTGTGCCCTTAGAAAGTGTCTTTTTGAAGCATCTTGGTTTTTCCTCTGACGGTACCAGTTGTAAACAGTGAAGCATAGATTCGTAGCTGGAGAGGGACATTTGGGGGAAGAAGATATTCTCCTGTTTCCATAAGGCACTTGGTAGCCTCTTGGAATGGAGAATACTGCCTCATTCTCTGAAATAAGCCATCCATGAACATTCTTTCAACAGTGATGCTCTACTCATTCTTCAAATCTCATTTCCAGGGTTTCAAAGAATCTCTCCAGCACCCTTTAGACCAGGCAAAGGAAGGACTCTTACTCTCTTTCCTGGCAACTTCCGGTGTAGCACTTGCCACGGAGTGTCCCTTAGGAATGAATTTGGACATTTTCACTTCATGTTTGTGGCTCATGCTGGAATACAGTCAGTATGAGAAAGAGATCTATGATCTTTTATTTGCTGTTTTTCTTAAACGTGGTATCTTGAATAATATCTGCTCCAAAATAATCGTAACTAATTTTCCCCACTGCAGGAATATTTTTAAAGCTGGGAAAGACATTCCTCTCCTGCAGTTTTTACAAGTATACTGTGGCCTCCACCTACTTTCTCCTGAAGATTCCTGCTTCCAGGGATGGGAATCACTCAGATGTTTATAAACAATGGGTCCTTTGCTCTTGGGGGAAAGCAAAAAGATCATTGAGGGTGTGCATAGGACTTGGAAATCAGAATGTTTTTCTAAGCTTCTATGCACAAGAAGAAATGCGTATCATTAAATTTGGCATACAATCAAGAAAGCTAGAAAGCAGGAGAGCATTCTCAGATATTTCAAGGAAGGTGGTGTGAAGTGTGAGATCCAGGGTGAAGGATGGCTCTCCTCTGCTCGAAAGGGTCTCAAGGATAGGCTAGGTTCCCTTGCACTGGCTGGAGGGTCCCAAAAACAAAAGGAAACTGACATTGTTTCCTCAGGAGGGTTACAAGCCCAGGAGAGCCGGGAGCTTTCTACCATCAGCTGGCTATGCTAAGGGGTGTGGATGCGAAGAGCAGAACTACAAGAAGCAAACAAATACGTTTGTGAGCACATGCCAAAGGTTTATGTAGCTCATTGTGAACTAATCATGAGAAAGACAAAGTTCAAAGAGAATTAAAGGAGTGGGGCTGGCAAGGGATGCCGAAATGCCATTACTATCTAAATTCCAAAACTGGTTCTTGTTCTCCAGGGAACTAAAACTCTGGCTATTAAGGTCATTTTCTCTAGCAGACTGTAAAACTAGGATGACATCCATGTTTATATAGATTGACTTCCAACTTGATAAGGTTGTAAAATATCTGAACTCTTGCTGTTGAGAATTGTTAGTTAAAAATACATTCCCTGAGAAAATCATAATGGTCAAATGAAGTCATGCCAGTTTATCAGAAAAGACTCAAATCAACTTACAGAAAAAATCTCCATCTCTCCCTCTCTCTCCCTCTCTCTCTGATACATCTATGATATATAGATATGCTATCTATGTGATATAGATATGATACCTATGATATCCATATGAGAGAGAAAGATATAAATACATACATAGATATAGATAAATAGATATAGATACATATAAATATGCAAGCCATCATGATATTTTCATGTTTGGATAAACATATTTTAACCGAAATTTGAACAAGATATCTTTGAGGCCCTAATTGACTTCAATTTTCCACAAGGAAAAGTTTTTGAAGGTACCTAGTTTTAACTGACAGTATGGTCATCTGATTTCTGGTATTTCTCCTGGAAATGTGGATGCCTCACAGTAAAATTAACAGGAGGAGTTGTCACAACTGTCACTGTGCCCCTTGCCCCACATATCAGTTATACATTTACAAGTAATTCTATTTAAACCCACTATTAAAACAATATGTCAATCAGAAACCTGGTTCAGGCCATTAGCACCTTCATGGGTAAAGCACTTAAAATCAGAAGTGATGACCGAGAGAGAGAGGAGGCCCTGCTACCAGGCTTTTTTCTAACCGCACCTGAGGTTGGGACCTGACCTGGGTCTTGTCACAGGACCTGACAGAATGCAATCCATCATGTAAAGACCACTGGACTTTTAACACTAATTACTTTTAGCAAAAAGCATTTGAAAGGCAAACATTTTATTCACATATATTTCCATTATCCCTTCAAGTTTTCTGTGTGATTTAAGATAAAGATAGACATGTTTTTTTTTTTCTGGCTTTGGCTCTGGTCGGTACAGTGAATTGCTGCTCAAAATGAACGCTATTAGGCTGCTTTCTTTTTTAGCCCACCAGGTATTTTTGAAAAAAGTACTCTGTGAAAAACAGAAACTGCAAGCAAGACAGATACCAGGATTAGGGATCACGGTGACTTCTACCATCGCTGGATACTCCCAAAAGGGTTCTCGAGACAGCAGCTGTGTCTGCCCTGCTTTGGCATTCTTTCCCAGGCATGGCGACCGTAAGTCAAAATGTAATCCTTAGCTGGTCATACAAGCCCTGTCATTACTCATATATGCAGATGATATTTTAAATTCTTCCAGTTTTTTTTTAGGGAGGAGTATTAAAACATGAGTAAAAATTAATTTGTGGGCTCACTGACAATGGGGTTTAATTTGCATTTTTATCCTCATTGATTAGCACCAAGCCCAGAAGAACTTGTGTTCATTAAGAACTTGTTGATTGAGCAGCTAGAAAGGGGCTTGTCTTCCATAAGGAGATCTCTACTCTTGTGGGTTTTACTCTCTAGCAGAGGGACATGAGCAACAGACAATAAAATAAATATTACATGGTATATTTGAACAATATAAATGCCACGAAAATGAAAAATAAAAGTGCAGAGCAAGGAAGAGAGATGAGAAGGCCAACTGAGATCTTAAATGAAGTGGGGATGGTGGGCCTCACAGAGAGGAGATGACACACTTGAAGAAGGTGAAGGGGCAAGCACAGATACTCTGGGGAATGTGCATTCCTGCCAGGACCATCAGTGCTAAAGCCGTAAGTGGAGGTGTGCCTGGCACTTGCCAGGAATAATGAGGAAGGGGAGGTGGCAGAGGAGAGCTGAGCTGCCAGGAGAATGGCACAGGACATTGGAGGGCTGATGAGGTCCAGATGACATGTGGCTTCACAAACCATTGCAAGGATATGGCATCTGCTCTGAGTCAAATGGAAATTTATTGCAGGATTTGAAAAAAGAGTGATGGCTGTGTCCAGTGGCTCATGCCTAGAATCCCAGCACTATGGGAGGCCGAGACAGGCAGATCACTTGAGCCCAGGAGTTTTAGACCAGCCTGTGCAACAGGGTGAAACCTCGTTTCTACCAAAAATACAAAAATGCATGGGCGTGGTGGCACATGCAAATAGTTCCAGCTAATCAGGATGCTGAGGTGGGAGGATCACTTGAGCTCTGGCAAGTGGAGCCTGCAGTGAGCTGAGATCACCACCACACTCCAGTCTGGGCAACAGAATGAGATCCTGTCTCAATAAAAAGAAAAAAGCGTTGATGTGGTTTGGCTCTGTGTCCCCACCCAAATCTCACCTTGTAGCTCTCTTAATTCCCACATGTTGTGAGAGGGACCCAGTGGGAGATGATTGAATTACGGGAGCCAGTCTTTCCCATACCGTTGTCATGGTAGTGAATAAGCCTCGAGATCTGATGGTTTGATAAGGAGAAACTTGTTTCGCTTGGCATTTATTCTCTCTTTGCCTGCTGCCATGCATGTAAGATGTGAATTTTGCTCCACCTTGACTTCTGCCATGATTGTGAGGCTTCCCCAGCCATGTGGAACTGTAATTAAACCTCTTTCTTTTGTAAATTCCCCATTCTCAGGTGTGTTTTATCAGCAGCATGAAAACAAACTAATACAAGAATGATATAATTTGGATTTACGTTTGAAAATACTTGAGACTAATCTGTGTGTGGATAGAGGTAGGAAAGGGGAAAGAAATGGAGATCCCTAGGAGGCTGTCAGTAATACAGGTGAGTTATTGATGACCACAACTGTAGTGGCAGCCAGGATCACAGACCAGGTGGAGTAGGGAAAATAGTCAGACTATGGATATTGTTTTGATGAGAGAAGCAACTGCATATCCTACATTTGGATCTGGAGAAGAAGACAAACTGACGAGTCAAGATTGAGGTTGAGGTTGCAGGCATGAACAAGTAAGAATGAAATTTCTATGCCTGAAATTGGGAAAAGCTGCTGCTGGAGCAAGTAAGGGGGTAGAAGAGGGAGTGTTGGGGTAAAATCAGGGTTTTTTGTTTGCTCCTGTGAGGTTTGGGTGTCAAGTAGTGGGAGTTTCAAGCAAGTTAAATATTTGAGGGCAGTACCTCAGGGAGATGTCTGAGATTGAGATATGGATTCTGCTGTCAGTAAGTATTTCTCCAACAGAAGTTTGGTATTGGGGAGAAAAGGAAAAACCTGGATCAGGGAAGCAGGGGGGGAGCCACAGTTCAACTTCATCTCATTGCAAAACAAAAAAGACACAATGGGAGGTGTACATGGGAAGTAAAGTAGATTAAGACATTCTTCTTGATTTCACAGTCCTTTTTTTAAACTACATTTACCTTCAAATAATATTTTAAGTGTTCAATAACCTTGTAATAATTTTTGCTAAGTGCAGCATTTCCAACTGTCATGTTTACCAGTGAATAACCTAAGTATATAAGTGGGACTGAGTTTGAATATTTACTGTCATGCATTACTTCTGTCAACACTAGCTTTCTAGTTCAAACTATATATTTTATCTTCAATTGATTATCTATTACATAATCAGAGAATAATAAATACCATGTGATTATTTCTTTGGAAAACTTAATCTAACACAAAGTATATTCTGCTGCTAAATCTGGTGAGAAACGATGCATTTGGTGAGCTTAAAGCAATTGAGAAAAAGTAAGAAAATATGGTAGACACCATTTTGTGGACTGTGCATTTTTAAATTTGCTACCATATCATTGGATTGCATAAATTGGAGAGCTATAAAACCTAAAAGTGTTTGTTTTTCCTAATAAAGTGCTGCCAGCTCTGTACTGTGATCTGCACACATCAGAGAATGGAGGCTTAAAAAGCAGCTAGAGAATGTAGCTCCTCAGAAAACAGAAAATCCTTCTGAAATTGTAAAGCTTCATTCCCCCTCAGAGTGGTGAAGGTCTGCCCCTGCCTGTCAAGTAGTTTGCAAGGCAGAGAGGTGTCTTGTGTAGTACAAAGACGTGTTCCTAATCGTGGCACCCACCGTTCCTAGAATATGCCTCAGAGGCCCCAGAGCTGAGTGATGGTAAGTGGCTAGCACCAGGAGTGAGCAAGAGTTGAGCACATACTGTCATGAAGGTGAACTTGTCCAAGGGAATACTTGCTTGTGGTGACATTTTTTTTCTATGCAGAGAGGCATACCTTGTTTCTGAAAAGAGCTGAGTGCTTGAAATTTTCTTTGAGCAGAATGTTTGAAATCATGCAAACTGAAGTGGCAAATAAGGCAAAACCATTCCCCACATGTAGAAAAATCAGCAGAAGCTTTCAAACATATGAGTTATGAAACAGCACAGCTGGGATTCTTTTTAAGCAATGTGTCAAGTTATTACTCAGAGCACTGAAGATGTGTTTTTGCTTCCTGCTACATTTCTCTGAAAAGCAGTTGAAAAGGACTGGCTGCCTTCAAAATGTGGAGAGAAACATGAAAAGTGGTATATGCTACTCAAGCAGGCATTTCTTTATTTTATTGAAACATTATCATTTGATATTCATCAAAATTACAATTAAAACACTGCCACTCAGCCAAATTATTGGTTATCTAGGTCCTTCTGTGAAATGCACTGGTAGGGGAAATAGTAAAATAGGATGATGGAGAGAATCCTTGATTTCAGGTCAGAAGACTTGGATTGCAGTATTTGTTCCATAAGTTTCTACATAAGAGAAGTTAATTTCACAATTTTAAAATAGGGACATAAAAACACATAGCAAAAGTGTAGGTGTTTTATGATGAATAAATGACAAAAGATTTGTGAAAATTACTTTTTATTTTACTAATTATTTTAATATTACTTTTTAAAATATAATCCCTCACACCCACTAGGATGACAACAAAACCAAACAGACAAAAGCAGGGAAAAAATTGTTGGCAAGAATGTGGAAAAATTGGAACCCTTGTGCACTGATGGTAGGAATGTAAAATGGTACAGCTACTGTGAAAATAATTTGGCAGTTTCTCAAAACAATTAAAGATAGAATTGCCATATGATCCTGAAATTCCACTTTTGAATATATACCGTAAAGAACTGAAAGCAGCGTCTTAACAAGATGTTTGTTCACCTATGTTCATAGCAGCTATTCATAATCACTAAACCGTGAAAACTACCTGAAGTGTCTGTAGACAGACAGAAGGTTGGATTTAAAAAAATGTGATGCATTTTTAGTTTTTCAACCTTAAGAAAGAAGGTAATCTTAAAACATGCTACAACAGAAATGAACTTCAATGACATTACACTAAGTGAAACAGCCAGCCAGACACACACACACACACCCTCCCATACACACACTCAAATACACACACAAACACACACACAAAATATGGTATGTATGTTTTCACTAATACAAAGTACTTATAGTAGCCACATTCATAGAGACAGAAAATAGAATGTGGTTACCAGGGGTTGGGGGAGAAGGGAATAGGTAGTCATTGTTTAATGGGTATACAGTTTCAGTTTGGAATTATGAAAGTTCTAGAGATCGATGGTGGTGGTGGGTGCAAAACAATACAAGTGTACTTAATACCACTGAATTTTACACATAAAATACTTAAGATAGTATATTTTAAGTTATGTGGATTTTCTTACAATAAAAATTGGATCAAAGAAGAACCAAATAAATGGAGACTTACTCTATGTTTATGAATAGGAAGTTCAATATTGTCAAGATGTTAATTCTCCCCAACATGATCTATAGGTTCAATGCAATCCCAGTCAACATTGCATTGCAACATTCAATGCAATCCCAGTCAACAATCCCAGTCAAGTTCATTTGTGAATATTGACAAGCTGATTCTAAGGTTTATGTGGAAAAGCAAAAGACTCAGAATAGACAACACAATTTTGAATGAGAACAATGAATTTAAAGGACTGACACTATCTGGCTTCAAGACTTACTATAAACCTATAGTAATCAAGACCTTGTGGCATTGGTGAAATAATAGACAAATAGATCAAAGGAACAAAACAGAAAATCACATATCTATATAGTTAACCAATCTTTTACAAAAGAGCAAAGACATTCAATTGAGAAAATACAGTCTATTCAACAAATAGTGCTGAAACAATTGGACATTCATATGCAAAAAAGGAGTCTAGACACAGACCTTACATCTTACATCTTTCACAAAAATTAATTAAAAATAGATCACAGAACTCAATGTAAAATTCAAAACTATAAAACTCCTAGATGATAGCATAGAAGAAACTCTAGATGACTTGAGTTCAATGATGGCTTCTTAGCTATGACACCAATGGCCCAATCTATGAAAGAAAGAAACATGATGGAAGTTTCTCCTCTGTGAAAGATACAGTCACTAGAATGAAAAGACTAGACTGGGAAAAATATTTGCAAAATAAACATATGACAAAAGACTCTTGTCCAAAATATACAAATAACTCCTTTTTTTTTTTTTTAACTTAGAAGAAACTTTAATTAGAAGGAAACAGGAATATTCAACGGACTCCCAAGACAAGAATATAGATGTATATCAGAAGCTGAGCATTGAAGTTGCTACTAGAGTCTCCCCGAGCCCTTATTGGATTCTCACTTCAGGAGCTGCTTTCATTATTTTGCCTCTCAGTTTCAAAATAGACAAAGAACTCAACACTCAACAATAAGAAAATGAACAACTTGGTTGAAAAATGGGCCAAAGACCTTAACAGACACCTCACCAAAGATGATAGACAGGTAGGAAATAAACATATAAAAAGATGCTGCACGTCAGATGTCATCAGAAAAGTGCAATTAAAACAACAATGAGACACCACTATGCATCTCCTAGAATGACCAAAACCCAGAACACTGACACCAAATACTCTTGAGGATGTGGAGCAATTCTCATTGCTGATGGGAATGCAAAATGGTACAGTCTTTTGGAAGACAGCTTGGAGGTTTCTTATAAAGCTAAACTTGGATTTACCATACCATCTACCAGCAGTGCTCCTTGGTATTTACCCAGTGGAGCTGAAAATGTATGTCCCCACAGAAAAACAGGCACGTGGACGCTTACAGAAGTTTTACACATAATTTCCAAGACTTGGAAGCAACCAAGATGTCCTTCAGTCGGTGAATGGAAGAATAAACTGTGGAACAATCAGACCATGGAATATTATTCAGTGCTGAATAGAAATGAGCTAAGAAAGCCATAAAAAAACATGGAGGAAAAGTAAGTGCATATTGTTAAGTTTAAGAGTCCAAAAGGCAACATGCTCTATGCTCCAACTTTATGACATTCTGAAATCGGCGAAACTATGGAAAAAGTAAAAATATTAGTGATGCCAGGGGTTAAAGGAAGAGAGAAAGGGACAGGCAAGAGAACAGAGGATTTTTAGGGCAGTGCAAATACTCTGTATAATACAATAATGGTGGGTACACAACCTTATACCTTTGTCCAAACCCACAGAATGTTCAACACCAAGACTGAACCCTAATGTAACCTGTGGACTTTGGATGATAATGACGCATCAATGCAAGTCATAAATTTGGAAAAATGTACCTCTCCTGGGAAGGAGTTGATAATGAGTGAGTCTATGCATGTGTAGGGGGAGGGGTTATGTGAGATATTCATGTACTTTCTGCCCAGTTTTGCTGTGAACCTAAAATTACACTAAAAGTGGGCAAAGGACGTGAACAGACAATTCTCAAATGAAGACATACATGCAGCCAACAAATATAAAATAAAGCCCAATGTCACTGATCATTAGAATATTGCATATCAAAACCACAATGAGATACCACCAGATGATTATTAAAAAGTCAAAAAATAACAGATACTGGCGAGGTTGTCAAGAAAAAGGAATGCTTTTATACTTTTGGTGGAAGTTCAACCACTGTGGAAGATGGTGTAGTGATTCCGCAAAGACTAGAGGCAGAAATACCATTTGACCCAACAATCCCATTACTGGGTATATACCCAAACAAGTATAAATTATTCTGTTATAAAGACACATGCACATGTATGTTCATTGCAGCACTATTCACAATAGCAAAGACATAGAATCAACCTAAATGATCCTCAGTGATAGACTGGATAAAGAAAATGTGGTACATATATACCATGAAATACTATGCAGCCATAAAAAGGAATGAGAGTATGTCCTTTGCAGTGACATGACTGGAGCTGGAGGCCATTATTCTTAGCAAACTAACGCAGCAACAGAAAAACAAATACTGCATGTTCTTACTTATAAGTGGGAGATGACTGATGAGGACACATGGACCTATTGGGGGGAACAACACACACTGGGGCCTGAGGGAGGATGTGGGGGGGCGGTGAGAGGATGGGGTGTGGGATGCTGAGCTTAATACTTCAGTGATGGGATGATCTGTGCAGCAAACTACAATTGCATACATTTACCTATGTAACAAACATGCACATCCTACACATATACCCGTCAACTTAAAAGTTGGAAATTTTAAAAAATGAGATAAAAATTGCTCTACAAAATGAAGTCTTTAAAAAATGGGAAAATTGTAATCTCTTACTGATATCGCAGTTATTATGCATCATTTCTCAGAACCTTATGAAGATTATTGCTGAAATAGGAACCAACACATTGTTTTTGTTATTGATCAGAAAGAATTAAGAAAGCTTAGGCTGGGCACAGTGGCTCAAGCCTGTAATCCCAGCACTTTGGGAGTCCAAGGCAGGTGGATCACCTGAGCTCAGGAATTCGAGACTAGCCTGGACAACATGGCAAAACCCTGTCTCTACTAAATATACAAAAATTAGTTGGGCATAGTGGCGGACTCCTGTAATCCCAACTTCTCAGGAGGCTGAGGCAGAAGAATCACTTGAATTAGGGAGGTGGTGCTCCAGCCTAGGTGACAGAGCAAGACTCCATATCCCCCATGGCCTCCCCAACCCCCCCAGAAAAGAAAGTAAAAAAGAAAGCTCACCATCTTCGTGGCACAAGCCAACAAGGTTGAAAAAGCCAAAGATGCCAACATTTACTGCTTTTTGATTTTTTGATTATGGCCATGCTTGCAGGAGTGAGGTGGTATCACATTGTGGTTTTGATTTGCATTTCCCTGATCATTAGTGATGTTGAGCATTTTTTTGTGTTTGTTGGCCATTTGTATCTCTTCTTTTGAGAATTGTCTATTCATGTCCTTAGCCCACTTTTTGATGGGGTTGTTTGTTTATTTCTTACTGATTTGTTTGAGTTCGTTGTAGATTCTGGATATTAGACCTTTGACAGATGTATAGATTGCAAAGATTTTCTCCCACTCTGTGGGTTGTTGGTTTACTCTGCTGACGGTTCCTTTTGCCGTGCAAAAGTTCTTTAGTTTAATTAGATCCCAGATATTTATCTTAGTTTTTATTCCATTTGTGATGAACAGGGAACCCCTCTACAATGCTTGTGGGAATGTAAACTAGTACAGCAACTGTGGAAAACAATGTGGAGATTCCTTAAAATGTAAAAGTAGAACTACCGTTTGATCCAGGAATCCCACTACTGGGTGTCTACCCAGAGGAAAAGAAGTCATTATTCGAAAAAGATACTTGCACACACATGTGTACAGCAGCACAATTCACAACTGCAAAATAGTGGAAGCAACCCAGATAGATGCCCACCAATCAATGAGTGGATAAAGAAACTGTGATATATATACACACAATGGAATACTACACAGCCATAAAAATGAATGAATTAATAACATTTGTGGAGACCTGGATGAGATTGGAGACTATTATTCTAAGTGATGTAACCCGGGAATGGAAAACCAAGCATCATATATTCTCAATGATATGTGGGAGCTAAGCTATGAGGACGCAAAGGCATAAGAACAATACAATGGACTCTGGGGACTTGGGGGGAAGAGTGGAAGGGAAGCGAGGGATACAAAACTACAAATATGGTGCAGTGTATGCTGCTTGGGTGATGGATGCACCAAAATCTCACAAATCACCACTAAAGAACTTAGACATGTAACCAAATACCACCTGTACACCAATAACATATGAAAAAATAAAATTTAAAAAAAGCCAAAGACAAGTGAACGAAAGGAGTAATTGATGGCCATGATTTCCAAGTAGATTTGCTGGGTCAAGATCAAGGTCAGGGAAAAATTTACACACTGTGAATTTTTTTTATCTGCACTGAAGTTGAATAGAAAATTTGAATTCATACTTATGGGGTCACAGTATGTCTAATTTTAAAATAGATGCATATGCTCTATTCACTTAATTGTCTTTTATTGTATACAATAAGCATTACATACACAGGGTAAGGAATTAAGTAGCTATAAAGGAAAATAGGATGAAATGATGCATTCCTCTTCTCCATTTTTTCTAGAAACAATGTTAAACCGAAATGATTCTAAAAATATAGTTACTCATTCTTGAGGTATTTTTTTCTATTTTTCAGTAGACTATTAATAATATTTGTAAAACAACCCATTAATAAATAACATAATCTATAGGCATAAAAAAGAAACCATGTATGGAAAACAAAATGCTAACAACAAAAATTTGAACCAAAATACCAAAAATGTCTACTAAGATAATGTAAATAACTAATAATTAGACAGTTTCACATTCTTGAAATGAAAGCTGTAATTAAAACTATATGTATGTATATATATATGTGTGTGTGTGTATACATATATATATATATATAATCCACAAAATGCTACATCATGTTCATACTTTCTTGTTACTCTTAATTAGAAAAACATGTTGGAAAGCAATTAAACAATAAGTGTCAACACATTTGTTAATAACCTCAGTGCAATATTACTACAAACCATACTTCTGAGTTTCTATTCTATGAGTAAAATCTATAATCTGTAATATTAATATAACAGTATTCATTAGAGAAAATATTAGAAACCAATTAAATGCCCAGCATTCAAACACTGAATATGAAAGTTACCATCTTTCAAAATCTCAGGAAAATATATAGCCTTAAAAAAAGTGGTTGTGATGATTTCTTTTAAAACCATCATTTATTACTTTTCTATTGCTGCACAGCAAATGATCACATTTAATGGCTTAAAATATGCACATTTTTCTTAGTGGTACTGGGTGTGGAGTCTGTCCATGACTGGGTCCTGTGGTCAGGGTCTTGCAAGGCTGAACTCAAGGTAGTTACCATGTTTGTGTTTCTTTCTGGAACCCAGTCTTGTGTTCCAAATCTGTGCCTTTGGTCCTGACTTCTTACTGGTGAGCACCTTCCTCAGTCCCAGATGCTGCCCACAATTCAGCCAGGGGGCCCCAACTGTAGGCCTTCATTGCTTCTCCAAGGCCAGCAGCAAAGTCTCTCTTTCTGGATAAGATAAGACTTATATTTTCTAAAAATGCTACGTTATGTGTGCTATTTTGTCACCTTTACTATGTTCTATTGGTTAGAATATCCTATTGGTTACTATATTCTATTGGTTAGAAATAAGTGGCAGTACTACCATCATTCAATGGGAGGGCATGACATATGGATCACTGGGAGTCACCCGAGGGTACATCTGCCACAACAGTAAAGGTATATCTTATGATGGTAAATGAACAAAGTAGAATATGACTTGAATATATAGAATAATGTAAATAATAAATGGTCACGAAAAAGAAAGTATTGGGCTGAAATGAATCAATCATCAACTTTTTGGAAATAATATACTTTGAATTAAAAATTACTTAAAATAGAAAGGAAAGCATTCAAGAAGTCCTGAAGTGAGTCTTAGCTGAAACAAACAAATCAGTTGCTCTAATTGCTATTAAGCATACCCAGAAAAGTTAAATAGGTTTACACATCTATTTCCCTCATATTCTTAGCACAGCCTCCAAATCTCAATTTGGAACTTTATATTATAATCCAATTTGCATGTATCAAATATTAAATGTAGTTTCAGACACACCTTAATATAATACCAGAGTAATTTGCATTATATGTATGTCCAAGATTTTCTGATGACCTGATCCCCTTTTTCGATTTATCTCTATATCTGAAGAAATAAAAGTCTCAAAGCAAAGATATGGTGGATTCAGAATGGTTGAAAAATTTCCTGACAACCCATCTTGCTTATCACAGTTCTTTTATATTAACCATCATACTAGATATGAATGTAAAATGATTTATCCAGATTTATTAGAAGACCAAAAAGAACATAGGGGTCATGAGACAATCCACTTACTTGGGGTTCATCCAACAGAATTCAGTGGAAGAATACTAATTGGAATACAAATGAATTCAAGGAAAAAAAGGAAAAAGGAAAAAAGCCTATGCAAATTACATCTGTTACAAGAACATTTTGTTTTAGCTGGAATAATTTCAGTGATGTAAAATTAGTCCTTTTCTCCCTTGTTCTCTTTGGGGCTGAGCATTGAAACCTGAACTAGATAAAGTACGCACGTGGCACTGTAAACATAAGAGGAAGAAACGTTAAACTATGAAGGCACAGGGGTGTTTCTCTGATTCTTGCCCCCTGTGAATGCAGGTGACTGGCCTTTAGTTACATCCTTATAAGCATTTATGTGACTGTGGGCAGATCAGGAGAGCTACCTGCTGCATTCCCCATCCACTGGCTATTCGTTCATCTGCTGATTCTCAACATTTCACTCTGAAGCTTTCCTTTCACCAAACAATGGTAAGCCACAAATAGCTTGCCAAGAACCATTATCTCTTCTAAGAGCATCAATGTTCTGATTATGTTGGTGATAAAATGAGGATTTTGATACTGCCTTTGCCCACCAGAAGTTAATAGTGCAAAATCATAATAATAAGTGTGAAAAGTTAAATACATCTTCTGGGCTACGGCATTAATAGCAAGGCCAATTCTGTTCATAGTCTCATTTGGTACTTATGGCATCCCATAAGATAAGCATAATTGCAACCCTAGTCAAGAAACCCCGTCTCTACAAAAAAAAAAAAAAAAAAAATTAGCTGGATTTGCTGGTGCATGGCTGTAATCCTAGCTACTTGGGAGGCTGAGGCAGGAGAATCATTTGAGCCTGGGAGGTGGAGGCTGCAGTGAGCTGAGATCACACCACTGCACTCCAGCCTGGGCAACAAAAACAAAACTCCACCTCAAAAAAAAAAAATGGGTGAAAAAATTACATGGTCTTCAGATTCTAGTATTATAAAGTCAACACAAACAACAAAGGTAAAAGGAGAAATGAACAAACAGATGATAATGCTGAAATTTTATTTTGGGAAAGTTTTCCCTCAAGAGGAGCCTGAGAAGTGTCTATGGATTCTGCTGAGGCATCTACCACAAGAGGTGGTACAGTGCTTCTCAAACTAGCTAGAGTGAATGACCTTTCCACTGTTATTTTTTAGTTCCAATACTTTGTAGCTGATTTTTTTTTTTGCAAGACACAATGATGATGAAAGTAAAAATATTAAAGATATATAAAGTCTTATTTTTATTATTATAATCAACAGACATAAAATTACTTTATTCCACAAACATTGGTAAAACGCTTTACTTGAATTTCTTTCCTTTTCTAGTCATGGACCAGTAACAAAATTTCGTAGATCTAAACTTATGTGCAGACTACATTGTGAAGAGTAACAATTTATTGGACAAGTTTCTTGACATGACTGCCAAAATTTATGTAATGAAGAGATTCTAGAGCTGTTTATTGTAATGTCCCTTAAGATAGGTTAATTGAATAATGCCAAATTAAATTTCAATAGCATACATTCTATGAAGGACTAAATTATTGTCCAAAGGAACCATTCTTGAATGTTGTAGATTTAACCTAAGGCTACAATTTAGAATACTTGAGAAAATATTTCACCATGCATTATGTTAGAACATTGTCTACAAATATTATTTCTCTGAAATTATTATTAATAAGGATTAATAAGCAGATGGCTTAAGATTACATTTCCTCTAAAGAGCTACTTCAGATAGATTAACATGGATTGTCAACCAATCAACAATGGAAATTTCGAACATTCCTAAGAAAATTAAGATACATAAATAGACACATTCTTAAATAACCACTTTACCTCTACAAGGAATGAAACAAGGGCCTGTGGAAAGAAAGAGGATTTCATTTTAGATTGTCTTTAGTAATTTTCAAATGATAATTGAAGAACTAAATTTTTGCATTATTGAATTTTTAATATTACAATTGGTGACTTCTAATTGAAATTGCACATTACAGTCAAACCCACATACATGCAAACTGAATTAAGCCTATGGACAATGTTGCTAAGTAATTTCACTTCTTGGTGAACTACAAGATGAATTATTTGATACATTCACCTACATATAACTTATGGATTTTATATATTTTATGCACTTGTTGGAAAAAAGCCAATTAAATATTGGCTGACATCTGCCAAAATAAGTATTACAATTTAAATATATTTGACATTGTGCCACTGTACCATTCTTTCTGCAATTAATGAGGTTGCAGAGCTAATTGTCTGTTGAGTCCACTTATACAAGACAAAAATAAAACCTTTATACTTAGTGCTGAAAGAAGCCATATAATTTTCTACCTAATAGCAAGAAGGACCCTTTAAATTCATTCAAAACTGGGTTTAAGTCATTAAAGTAGGCTTAGGCCATTAAAATATTATAAATATAATTACAATTATAAAGTAGGGTACAATGCATTATGTTAAAATATTAAGTATTTTGACCCATTTTTGTTAAGACACAAGTCCTTTGTCTATATAAAGATAATTTAGGAGATCATATAGATTTGCTACAGCTTCTCCCTTATTGATTTGTGTGGACAGAATTAGAGTTTGAGTGATGAATAACCATTTTGATCATACAGATGCTTCACAGAGTGATAGGACATACAGCTATGGCCTGTAGAGGAATAGCCATGCCCAGATTTTCCCACTCCATGTGGATAATTATGACCTCAGCACCCATATGGCAAATTTATCAAGAATTAAACTACTATACATTTTAGTGTGAATAAAATAATCTCTATTCAATTGGGAGAGAAGGCTGGCAGGTTTCTATTTTTTAAAAATCAGATGACCAGTTAAGAGTGCATTTATCCTTGGCTTACTGAGGTTAGATCTATAGGGAACTAAAGGCCTCTGTTTGGCAAAACAGACTTTCACATGGGAGAAAGTGTTTTATGAAGACTAGTTGAGATGAGGTGACTTTCATTTCATCTCACTCATTGTGCATGTGTTTTGTTTTTTATTGTTAGTGAAATGATGAGTTACATGTAACAAATAAGAGAATTGAAGGCACCTGAATTTTTCTTAAATTTTAAAGCTGAGGAAACAATGCATCTCATGCCTTAATCAGCATCTGGCTTTGGTATTTTACATCGTAACTTCACTTTGGTTTAAGTTCAGAAATTTGGCCTTAGGAAGGAACAGGTAGGCAATAGAACCCAGGGACAGTTACTTCTATTTTTGCAAAGACATCACCTGGGGCTTCACTTGGCTTAGCCTAGGCTCCCCGGAAAGCATAAGCTGATGCTAATATTGACAGCATTATACCCAAGGAACACAGAGAGAGGCAGAGTGAAGCAGGAAAGGAGAGACAGCTGTCTTAGAATGTATCATCAAGCGTGTCAAAACTAAGTGCAACCGATTTTTGTTCTACAGAACATTTGCAGAGAAGTCTCATTACAGTCATCTTCAGATCTTGTATGAGGAAGAAAAGAAAGGGAGAAAAAAATTATTCACCACCCCACCTCTCATTTTCCTCATGGGGTTCCTCCAGTTACAATTGCATGGCAACCTAGCAGGGGGTTTCTAGCAGCAGCACCAAGAGCACTAGAGCAACACCTGGAAAAAGAGACGCATACAAGGATGACACACTTAAGTGTGCATGAGAGGCAATTTCTCCAATTGTACAGAAGCTGTCAAATGATAAACTAGCAGCAAAAGATAACATTAAAAACTGCTACAAGATTATTAGATTGTAAATATGTTTTTGTTGTTTTAATTATGCTAGAGTTATTTGTGTATATAGTCTCTATATTAGTGAATGACTTCTGATTACTATTTCAAAGAGGTGTATAAGGTATACAAGACAAGACTTAAGTATGTATCTCTATTTGATGAGAAACATTTTGTTTATGCTTGAAGTTGGTACACAGATGAGTTTATGAAGTAGTATCAACAAGTGATACACTAACATTCAATCAAATGAAGGTTGAATTCCTCTATGAAATCTACAAATGATGAGTTGAGGCAAAATATGTAGAAAATGGAAATATTTTTAAAAAGTAATACAGGGAATTGAATTTTGCTCTCACAAGAAATAGTGTAGAAGTCAGCACTCCTGTTTCTGTAACAAGTAAATGCTGAACAGATGAGAATTAGCAGCTTTTCTTGGATCCCTCAGACACCTGAGTTGGCAGAGCCAACAGTCACTCTAAACTCTGGAGAGGCAGGCAATTCCAAAGGGTGGCATCCTGAGCTACTTTTGTGGCTTAGAAGATATTGGGACCTTAGCAGGAGGAGGCATTCAAATGGGAATTTCGGCAAACTGCTGGAGGAGGCTGAGTGTGGACTAACATGATAGAGAAAGGCTTCTGGGATTGTTGTCTTAAAAGGAGCACCACTTATTCATGGGTTTTATGTCCAAGATCCCAACATGTTCTCATGAAGAAGAGCTGAGAAAGTTCTTCTGGCTCAAGCAGGGGAAGAAAAGTGATGAAAATTTCATCATTGTGAAATTTGCTCAGAGCATTCTGCAAAACAAAAGCCTCTTCCCGGAAAAATTCTTTACCAGAAGCTTTCCTCATATAGAAGAAAGAAATTCTTTTATTTTTGCCTTCACATCTCAAGAAAGAGTGGTGTGTGTGCACATGCATGCATGTGTGTGTGTGCATGTGTCTGGGTGTGTGTAAGTCTATATGTGTGTGGGCTATACCACTAGAAAAACTTTTATGAAGGCCGCAGCACAGAAACACAAGCCGATTAAAAATCTGAGGTTTAATAATAATATTATAGAATGCTTCTCCTCCATCACACCTTACCATCACACCAGCGGGTCTTCAGTATAGTAATAGTAAATTAAAACTGAAAAAGTGATGTAAGCAGACTCTCTCTGGGAAGTACTTAGAGTTGCCCAAAGTCGAGAAGAAAAACAAGCAAACAAAACAATAGTAAAACTTGACACCTTTGGCACCTACAACAAGAGCAAAGAGTAAAGACCAACTCCTAGGAATAATTATATAAATCCAAACTCTAAAATCACTTTACCTCTCTTACCCTACATAACATGTCTAGCTGACAACAAAAACCTAAAAGAATATCCAAAGGCAAGTGAAAACAGTCTGAAGAGAGAAAACAAAAATTGAAAGCAGACATATGTATGACACCAACATTGTAAATATCAAAGAGGGAATTGATCTGTGATTAACATGTTAGCAGTGCTAATGGCATAAGCAGAAAATGTAAGCAAAGAGATGTGTTTTTCAGCTTGGGCTGCCATAAAAAAATGCCATGCACTGGGTGCCTTAAACCACAGAAATTAACTTTTTAAAAAGAGATATGGACACTGGGAAGTCCAAAATAAAGGGGATGGTCCATTTTGTTACTAGCGAGGGCTTTCTTCTGTCTTGCAAATGCATTTGCAAGAGAGCACCCTCTGGCCTGTCTTCTTATTGGGTTATTAATCCCAGCATGAGTGCCCCATCCTCATGAGCTTGTCTAACCCTAGTTATCTCCTGAAGACTCAATTTCCAAATACATCACACTGGAGGTTAGGGCTCCAACTTATGAAATTTTAGGGACACAAATTCTTAATCCCTAACATTCTGCCCCTGGCCACCCAAAATTCATGTCCTTCTTGCATACAAAATACATATATTGCATCTTAACAGCCACCAGATTCTTAACTCATTCCAGTAGCACCCTTAAAGCCTAAAGTCCAAATTCTCATTTAAATATCATATAAATTGGGTATGGGTGAGGCTCCTGGTAGAATTTATCCTGATATAAGTTTTGTCTCCAGATGTGAACCAGTGAAACCAGATGAATTTTATGCTTTCAAAATATCATGATGAGATATGCATTGGGTAGACATTCTCATTTCAAAAGGGAGATATAAGAAGGAAGGAAGGGGTGACAGGACTCAAGCAAGTCCCAAACCTAGCAAAGCAAATTACATTATATCTTAAATCATGAGAATAATTCTTTTGGCTTGATATTCTGTCCTGTAGTCCAGCTGAGAGGTGGTGTCAACTTCTGTGCCCACTGGGACCATGGCCCTGCCTCCATGGCTTTGTTAAGCAGGGGTGCAAACCCCAAGGCTCTATGAGGTAGAGGCCAGGCCCCAAGATGCTGGGTGGCCCAGATCCAAAACCCGCGAAGGGCTGTCCCACAACCAAGCCTCCTGTTAACCATAAGGTAGTGGCCGTGGTAATCTCTGAGTCACATTTGAAGTCATTTTTTTTTCTCTTGAAGAACAGTGCACATTTGCAGCCAAATGGCTCTACTGTCACATCCTGTAAAATCCAAGGAGTCCAACAGCCTTCATTTGTTTCATTCTGTCTCCATCCCCTCCAATTCAGACTGGCAGTGTTTCTGCTCGTATAATCCTACAAATTATCAAGTAATAGTGCAGCCACATCCTTAGGTGATCTTCAGGATAGGCTTTCTCTCTCTCTTTTTTTTTTTTTTTTTTTTGCTTATGATATTGATGGGCAGATAATTTTTGAAATCTTCAAGGTCTGTTCTTTTTTTGCTTAGCAATTTTTTCTTCAATCCATCTTACTACCCTCACGCTTTATGACAACCATCCAGGAGGAACCAAGTCACTCCTTCAACACTTTACTTATAAATTTTCTTAGCTAAATATCTAATTTCATCACTTGCAAATTCTACCTTCCACAAAAGATTAGAACACAGTTCAGTCAAGTTTTTTTGCCACGTTATAACAAGGATTAACTTTCCTCAAGTTCCCAATAAGATTTTATTTATTTCCATCTGAGACCTCAGCAGAATCACCCTTAACATTCATATTTTTAGAATTCTTAGTACCTAAGAACTCTTTTAGTTTCTAGTCATTATCCACTCTAAAAACAGTTGCAGATTTTTAGGCATTTGTTCTAATACATCAGCACTCGCTCCCAGTGCAGAAACCTGTGTTAGTCTGTTCGGGCTGTCATAATAAAATACCATAGACGGTGTGATTTACACAATAGAATTTAATTTCTTACACTTCCAGAGGCTTGGAAGTCTAAGATAAATGTGCAGCCAATTAAGTTTCTGTTGAGGGTTATTTCTATCTTGCAAATGTCCTCTGTGCTGTGTTATCATATGGTTAAGAGAGACAGAGAGAGAGAGAGAACTAACAAGCTCTCTTGTGTCTTTGCTTATAAGAGTAATAATCCCTGCATGAGGGATCCACTCTTATGAATTCATCCAACTCTATATCTCCTACAGGCCCTGTTTCTGAATATTATCATATTAAGAGTTAAGGTTGTAAAGTATGAATTTTGAAGGAACACACATTTAGTCCTTAACAGAGGAAAATTCTAAGAGCAGAAAGAAATGCTTTAATGGCTCATAAGTGGGCTAGACAAAGTTAAATAAAATAATAAGTGAGCTTGATAGTAGGTCCACAGAATCTACCCCAATAGAAATGCAAAATGAAAATAAAATGAAAAACAAAAAGAAAAAAAGCTTCCAAGAACTGTGGGGCAGTTTCAGAAGATATAATCGTGGGATGTATTAAAAACAGTGTTTAGAGGGAAATGTATAGCACCAAGAGCATATATTAGAAAAGGGAAAAGATATAAAATCTATACGCTAATTTTTCAATTTAGGAAACTAGATAAAGAAGAGCAATTTAAACCTAAAGCAAGCAGAAGAAATCAAGTAATAAAAAGGAAAGCAGAAATCAATAAAATAGAAAATATTTCAAGAAAGTCAATGAAACCAAAAGCTGCTTCTTTGAAAAGATTGATAAAATTAGTAATTATGCCAGACTAACCAAGAAAAAAAAAGAGAGAAAGCACACATTACTGTTAATAATACCAGTAAAGAAAGAGTGTCATCATTACTGAGACCATTGGTATTAAGAACATAATAAAAATATATATTATGAACTCCATGGAGACAAAAGTGACTCTGTCTTGGATGTTAATATGCCATGTTGACCTATAATTAATTCCATATATGCCTCCTGATTCCTACATTATTTACTGTCCCTAGTGTAAGAACAAAGCAACCTTGATGTTATCACACAAATTAAAGGCTATGAAGCTCATAGCACTCTTGCCTGTTCTGGAGGGTCACCTTTAATTGTATCTCTAGAGCACATACTCTTTTCCTGCGGTATATGAGCCTTGTCTGGGGAGTGACAGTGCAGAGATCTACCTGCCAGATGGCTGCCCCAAGACCATGCTTTTGTCTATAAGTTCCCTTAATAAATCAACCAATACCAACAAACTGGATTTGCCTGCCTCCTTTGGTTTCTTGTCTCCTCTGGCATTTGGGGGTTGCTTTGCATATATGGCCCTTCCATAGAACAAACTCTGGACCATTTCCTTGTAATACAAAACCTAGCAAAGTCCACACATGGAAAAATAGATTATTTGAATAGATATATGTCAACTAAATAAATGGCATAAATAATTAATAACACTCCAAAACAGATAATGCAAGGCCTGGATTGGTGAATTCTACCAAACATTTAAGAAATAAATTATACCAATTCTCCACAATCTCTTCCAGAAATTATATCAGAAGAAACACTTCCAAATGTATTTTATGAAACTAGCATTTTTCTAAAAACAGAACGTGATAAAGACATGACAGGAATGGAAATGTAGAGACCAATACTGATAAACTAAATGAAATGGATGAATTCCCTGGAATGAACATGAACATAGATGCAAAAACCCTCAATAAATTTATTAATAAATTGGATGCAACTTATTAGTAAATTGCATCCAATGATGTCTAAAATCATTATATACTAAACCCAAATGAGATGTAGTACTGGAATACAAGGATCGTTCAACATTCAAAAATCAATCTATGCAATGGTATACCATATTAAGAGGCAAAAATTGTATACTTATAACCACTGATGCATAAAAAATAGTATTTGACAATTTTAACACCCATTAATAATCAAAGCAGTGATCAAACTGGGAAAAGAGGGGAACTTCTTCAACTAGATAAAGAATATCCACAAAAATTATAGGTAATGGTGAGAAATTTGACAATTTTCCCCTAATATTTGAGAACATGGAAAGTGTGTTCTTTCCCTACTCCTATTCAAAACTATACTAAAATACTAGCTAGTATAATAAGACAAAATTAAAGGAAAGAAAACATAGAGAGATTGCAAAGGAAGAGTTAAAACTGTCCTTTTCGTGGATTACATAATTTTGTTATTTAAAAAAATTACAAAAAATCTACAAATAACTCCTGGAACTAAAAAATGAGCACAGCTTCATCAAAAAATAAAGCATTACTATGAAAAAGTAAACTGGAAAAGATAAAAAAAGTAAGTATGTCTAAAACATGCATAGAATCTATATGTGAAAACTAAGACTTCTGATAAAAAAACAAAAATCTAAATAAGTAGGCACATAGTATATGTTCACTGATTGTAAGACATAATATTGTTATCAATTATTTGACAAATTGATTCCAAAGTTACTGTGAAGAGAAAATAGCCAATACAATACTGAAGAAGAATAACAAAGTAGGATGATAGAATGATATAAATTACTTGATTTCAATATGTATGATAAGGCTATAGTAATCAAAATAGCATGGTATTGGTAAAATAACAGGCATATAGATTATTAGAATAGATAGCCTAGAAGTGGAGCCATACAAATAGAGTCAATTTATTTTTTGTTGAATAATCAATCCAGTGTAGAAAGCTTAGTTTGTTTTTTTTTTTTTAACAAATGGTGCTATATATTTGGAAGTCCATCTGCAAACAAAACAAAAAGTAAACCCAGACTTTTTATCTTTCACAAAGAAATTTTCTCTAAATTGATCATAATTTTAAATATGGAACCTAAATTATTTACAATTCTAAAAGAAGAGATTTACGTGAATGTATATTTGATAATGAATTTTTGGATACAATATTAAGAGCATGACCTATGAAAGGAAAAGCTGATCAATTAGACTATATTAACATTAAAAAATTTTAGTCGGTGTAGACACAATTAAGATAATTAAATTCAAGGCACAAACTGGGAGAATATACCTGCAGAACATGATTCAGATAAAAGGCTTATTTCTTAGATACAAGGAAAACTCATAATACTCAACAATAAGAAAATAATGAACCTAATAAAAACTGGACAAAAGGCCACACCAAAGCAAATATCCAAAGAGATAATAAGCATATAAAAACATACCAACTTTTTAAATTTCTTTTTTAACTTTAATTTTAGGTTCAGGGGTACATATGCAGGTTGGTTATACAGATAAATTGAATGTCATGGGGATTTGGTGTACGAATTATTTTGTCACCCAGGTAATAAGCACAATACCTGATAGGTAGTTTTTTGATCCTCACCCTCCTCCCAGGCTCCACAGTCAAGGGGGCTCCAGTGTCTGTTTTCCCCGTCCTTGTGTACTCAACATTTAGCTCTCACTTATAAGTGAGAAAACACAGTATTTTGTTTTCTATTCCTGCATCAGTTTGCTCAGGATAAAAGCCTTCATCTCCATCCATGTTTCTGCAAAGGACATGATCTAATTCATTCTTATGGCTGCATAGTATTCTATGATTATGTGTGCCCCATTTTCTTTATCCATTCTACCACTGATGGGCATTTAGCTTGATTCCATGACCTGGCAATTGTGAATAGTGCTGTAATGATTACACACATGCATTTGTCTTTGTGACAGAACAATTTATATTCCTTTGGGTGTATACCTAGTTGAATGTTAGTCCTGTTCCAAGTTCTCTAAGAAGTTGCCAAGCTGCTTTCCACAACGGCTGAACAAATTTTCCTTCCCACTAGCAGTATATAGGCATTCATTTTACTCTGCAGCATCACCAGCATCTATTATTTTTTGACTTTTTAATAATAGCCATTCTGACTAGTGTGAGATGGCATCTCATTGTAGTTTTGATTGGCATTTATCTGATGATTGGTGGTTTTGAGCATTTGTTCATATGCTTATAGGTCTTCTTTTGAAAAGTATCTAAGTAAGTATATTTCTTCTTTTGAAAAGTATCTATGTCCTTTGTCAAATTTTTAATGGGGTTGCTTGATTTTGCTTGTTACTTTGTTTAAGCTTCTTACACATTCTAGATATTAGACTTGTGTCAGATCCATAGTTTACAAATACTTTCTCCCATTCTGTAGGTTGTCGCTTATTCTGTTGATAGTTTATGCTTCTGCACAGAAGCTCTTTAGTTGAATTAAGTCCCATTTGTCAATTTTTGCTTTTGCTGCAATTGCTTTTGGTATCTTCATCATAAAACCTTTGCAAGGGGCAATGTTCTAAATAATATTGCCTAGGTTCTTGTCCACAGTATTTATAGTTTTAGGTCTTACAGCTAAGTCTTTAGTCCATCTGGAGTTGATTTTTGTACATGGTGTAAGGAAGGGGTCCAGCTTTAATCTTCTGCATATGGCTAGCAAGTTATTTCAGGACCATCTTTACTGAATAGAAAGTCCTTTCCCCATTGCTTGTTTTTGTCAACTTTGTTGAAGATCAGATGGCTGTAGGTGTGAAGCATGATTTCTAGGCTCCTTATTCTGTTTCATTGATTTATGTGTCTGTTCTTTTTTTTTTTTAACCAGTACCATGCTGTTTTGGTTACTGTAGCCTTGTAGTGTAGTTTAAAACTGGGTAACATGATGCCTCCAGCTGTATTCTTTTTTTGCTTAGGATTGCCTTGACTATTTGGGTTCTTTTTTGTTCCATATTAATTTTAAAATAGTTTTTTTTCTGATTCTGTGAAGACTATCATTGGTAGTTTGATAGGAATAGCATTGAATCTGTAAATTGCTTTGGGCAGTATGGCCACTTTAATGATGTTGATTCTTCCTATCCATGAGCATGAAGGTTTTGCCATTTGTCTGTAATACCTATGAATTCTTTAGTAATGTTTTGTAATTCTCATTGTAGAGATCTTTCACATCCCTGCTTAGCTCTATTCCTAGGTATTTTAGTATATTTTTGGCTATTGTGAATAGGTTTATTCTCTTTATTTAGCTCTCAGCTTGGAGACTGTGGATTTACAGAAATGCTACTGGTATTTCTACATTGATTTTGTATATTGAAACTTTGCAGTTGCTGTTTATTAGATCTAGCAGCTTTTGGCCACAGAAAACTGTGAGGTTTTCTAAAAAACTATGAAAACCCTAGAAAACCATGGGGTTTTCTAGTTATAGAATCATGTTATATGCAAACAAAGATAATAGTTTGACTCCCTTTCTTCCTATTTGGATGTCTTCTATTTCTTTCTCTTGCCTGATTGCTCTGGCTAAGACTTTCAATGCTATGATGAATAGGAGTGCTGAGAGTAGACATCTGTCTTTTTCTGTTTCTCAGGCAGAATGCTTCCAGCTTTTGCCCATTCAGTATGATGTTGGCTATGGGTTTGTCATTGATGGCTTTTATTAATTTGAAATATCTTCCCCTCCATGCTAGTGAGTTGACAGTCTTTAACATGAAAGGATGTTGAATTTTATAAAAACATTTTTCTGTATTTATTGATATAATCATATGGTTTTGTTTTTAGTTCTGTTTATGTGATGCATTAAATTTATTAATTTGTGTATGTTGAACTAACTTTGCCTCCAGGAATAAAGTATACTTGATTGTGGTGAATTTGCGTTTTGATGTGATGCTAGACACAGTTTGCTATTATTTTGCTGAGGATTTTTGAATCTGGGTTCATCAAAGTTATTGGCCTGAAGTTTTTTTATTTTATTTTATTTTATTTTATTTTATTTTTTTCTTTTTTGGTTGTACCTCTTCCAGGTTTTAGAATTAGGATGATGCTATCCTCATAGAAGAGTTAGGGAGGAGTCTCTCCTCCTCAATTTTTTGGAATAGTTTCAGTAGAAATCACACCAGCTCTTCTTTATACATCTGGGAGAATTTGGCTGTAAATCTATCTGGTCATAGGCTTTTTCTAGTTAGTGGGCTTTTTATTACTGATTCAATTTTAGAAATCATTATTGGTCTGTTCGGGGATTGTATTTCTTCCTAGACAGGTTATATATTTACAGAAATTTATCCATTCATTCTAGGTTTTCTGGTTTGTGTGCATGGAGATGTTCATGGTAGTCTCTGAGAGTTTTTTATATTTCTGTTGGGTCAGTGGTAATGTCCCGTTTTTCATTTCCTATTATGTTTACGTAGATCTCTCTTTTTTATTAGTCTAGCTAGTGTCTAGACTAATAAAAATCTTATTTGTTCCTTCAAAGGACAAACTCCTGTATTCACTTATCTTTTGCATGGTTTTTTTCCCTCTCAATTTCCTTCAGTTCAGCTCTGATTTTTGTTATTTCTTGTTGTCTACCAGCTTTGGGATTGGTTTGCTCTTGTTTTTATAGTCCTTTTTGGTATGATATTAGGTTGTTAATTTTAGATTATTCTAACTTTTTCACGTGAGTGTTTAGTGCTGTAAAATTCCCTCAACACTGCTTTTGCTATGTCTTGAAGATTCTGGTATGTTGTCACTTTGTTCTCATTAGTTTCAAAGAATTTCTTGATATCTACCTTAATTTCATTTTTTACCCAAAAGTCGTTCAGAAGCAGGTTGTTTGATTTCCATGTAATTGTATGGTTTTGAATGAGTTTATTCGTATTTATTTTTATTTTTATTTTGCTGTGGTCCCAAAAGTGTGGTTGGTATGATTTCAGCTTTTTTTCAATTGCTGAGGATTGCTTTATGGGCAGTGTTGTGGTCAATTTTAGAGTATGTGCTATGTGCAAATGAGAAGAATGTATATTCTCTTTTTGGGAGTAGGAAATTTTGTAGATGTCTGTTAGGTCCATTTGGTCAAGTGTTGAGTTCAGGTCCCAAATATTTTTGTCAGTTTTCTGCCTTGATAATCTTTCTGATACTGTGAGTTGGGTGTTTCCCACTTAGGGTTATCTAAATCTCGTTTTTCTAAATCTTTAAGAACTGGCTTTATTAATCTGATTCTGCCTGTGGTGGGTGTGTATATATATTTATGATGCTTAGGTTTTCTTGTTGTATTGATCCCTTTACCATTATATGATGCCCTTCTTTATCATTTGTTATCTTTGTTGGTTTAAAGTCCGTTTTTGTCTGAAAATTGGAAGAGCAAACCCTGCTTTTATCTGTTTTTCAACTACTTGGTAAATTTTTCTCCATCCCTCTACTTTTAGCCTATGCTATTGCATTTGCAAATGCTATTCCATTTGAAATGGGTCTCTGGACAGCATACGATTCTGTATTGCTTCTTTATCCATCTTGCCACTCTGTATCTTTTAATTGGGGCTTTAGCCTCAATTAAAAGGTTACATAAAAGGTTAATTTTTACATAACAGGTTAATATTTACATAAAGGTTAATATTTTACATAGAAGATTAATATTAATACATACAGATTTGATCCAGTCATTTTGTTGTTAGCTGGTTATTTTGCAGATTTGTTTTTGTGGCTGCTTTATAATGTCAATGCTTGATGTAATTAAGTGTGTTTTTGTGGTGGCTGGAATGGTCTTTCCTTTCCTTATTTTGCACACCCTTAAGACCTTCTTGTAGGTCAGGTCTCGTGGTAATGAATTCCCTTAGCATGTGCTTGTCTGAAAAGGATCTTATTTCCCCTTTGCTTACTAACCTTAGTCTGGCTGGATATGAAATTCATTGTTGCAATTTCTTTTATTTAAGAATGTTGAATATAGGCCCCCAACCTCTTTTGGCTTGTAAGGTTTCTGCTGAGAGTTTCGCTGCTACCCTGATAAGGTCCCATTTGTACGTGACCTGAGCTTTCTCTCTAGCTTCCTTCAGGATTTGTCTTTTGTGGTGACCTTGGTGAATGTGCCTTGGGGATGGTCATCTCATGTAGTATCTCACAGGATTTCTTTGTATTTCTTGAATTTGTACGTCCTCTCTAGCAAGACTGGAAAAATTTTCATGGACTATATCGTTAAATGTTTTCTGAATTGCTTACTTTCTCTCCTTCTCTTTCAGGAATACCCACGAGTCACAGATTTCGTCTCTTGATAATCCCCTGTTTCCTGGAGGTTTTGCTCATGTAAAAAAAAAATCCCTTTTTCTTTATTTTTGTCTGATGGATTTCATTTGAAGAACTGGTCTTCAAACACTTAGATTCTTTCTTTAGCTTGATCTATTCTGCTGTTTATGTTTCCTATTATATTTTGGAATTCTTGAAGTAAATTCCTCATTTCCAGAAATTCAGTTTGGTTCTCTTTTAAAATGGATATTTTGTCTTGTGGTTCCTGGATGATTATACTAGATTCCTTGGATCTCTTGGATTAGGTTTCAAGTTTATTCTCAATCCTGATGAGCTTCCTTGCCATTATCTCAATCTGGCTAAAAAGCATTTCTGGGAGACTGGTGTGTTCATTTGTAGGTAAGGGGGCACACTGGTTTTTTGAGTTGCCAAAGTTCTTGCATTCATTCTTTCTCATGTGTGAAGGCTGGTGTTCCTTTAACTGTGACATAAATTGAGTATAGTCAGTTGGCCTCATTTCTGAGTGTTTTTAGAGAGCCAGGACTCAGTACAGAATCTTGATTTGTGGCAGGAGCCTTTGCTTTTGCTTTCACTGGCACTTTATACTGGCAAAATATTTTGGTGTTGTATTCTGGATTGTGATCGAGTAGGTAGTGCTTAACAGTGTTGGCTGGCAGATAGGCTCTTAGCACCAGGCTTTTTTATGTTTTGGCACAGTTGGCAGTAGTGTTCTGTGGGTGGGGGAGAGAGAGATGACCCCTCACATTAACTGCTCCAGAGCCTCAGATGTGCCCCCTCCAGTCATTAGCTCCACACCCATGTTTCCTTTGTTAAATATTCTGGTTCATGCGACTCCCTCAGGCAGGGTCCGCAGTTGGTAGACCAGCCTATGCTTCCTGGGACTGCCCTGTAGAGGGAGGCACACCCTATTCCTCCACCAGCCTGCAAACCTGGGCATCTAACACCTCTCAGTGTTTCAAGAGTGAGGGCTCCCACCTGCTTAGGCAATGCCTAAACTTGCAAATCCAACTGGGCTAGCAGCAGTGGTGGTGGGTGGAGTCACCTGATTCGTCATCTCAGTGCTACCCAGGGCAACATAAAGCTGCACCCTCCCACAGAGTTTAGGTAGAGGTGAGTCCACTGTGTTGGAATTCCCGACTGATGTGTCTTGCCCACCTAGGAGGAGTGTGAGTGAGTGGGGTCACCCAATCCACTGTGCAGGTGTTTCCTTGGGCAACACAGAACTGCCCCTACCCACGGAGTTCAGGCAGAAGTGTGGCTATTGTGCTGGGAGTCCCAGCAGGTGTGGCCCACATGGCTACAAGCTGCAGGGTGGGTGGAATCACTGGCTATGCTGTCTGGTTGTTTCCCTGGGGGAACACAGGGCAGCGCCAGCCTGCAAAGCTCAGGCAGAAGCAGGGCTGTTCTGCTAGAAGCTTGTGCTGAGCCTTGTCTGGTGAGGGGAGTAGAAAAATTACTGCTCCTGAGCCCTGTCCTTATTGTGGCTATGAAAGTAGCACCAGGCTACTCTCGGGTCCAAGGCCTGTGGAGTTCCCCATAAAGTTACATACTATCCCCTCAAAAACTCTGGGCATTCTCTGTATCAGTTTAGAGGCCCCAGTGAGTTCAGGACCTTCCTCCCATTTACAGGCTTGGGCAGGTCCCTGCGGGAAGCGTGAATCCCCTGGGGGCTGTCACTCACTCACTGTTTTCCTGTGTTGGGAGCTTCTCCTGGCTCTGCACTGATCCTAGGTGGGCTGCTGCCCAGCTTTGCTCGTCTCTGTCCTCTGCGTCCCTTTCTGCCTTGATGGAGCCTGCAGTGCTTCTCAGGTGATTGTCTCACAGTCATCACTCAGGGCCAGTGTTCACCATCCACCTCATTTCCTCGTCCTGAGGGTGGCTCAAGAGCTGCTTCTAATCTGCCACCTTGACTTGAATCTCATTTTATTTTGTTTTATTTATTGCTTGCTTTAAGCTATTTTCCTACTTTCTAGCTTTTCTTGAATATATTTAGGTATTATACTTTGTTTTCTTCCTTTTTCTCTTTCTGCATCATTGCTTCTTTCTTACCTTTTATGCTACTAAATGTTTTGCACCTTATTCCATTTTTACCTCCTACCAGCTTAGAACTACTGCATTACTACTCTATTACTGCTATTTTAGTGGTTAATGTAAAATGTTAATTTCTCTATTAAAAGATTAAAATTAGCATAGTGTTATATAAGGTATACATTACACTTTAGTATACCATTGCTCCATATTTTATCTTTATCCTAATTTCTAGATTTAGGATTTAAATGTATTGTTCAATAAATAAATATTTTTAATTTCTGTTTAATTTTTTTTTTATTAGAGATTGGTTCTTACTGTCACCCAGGCTGGAGAGCAGTGGCTTAATCATAGCTCACTGCAGCCTTGAAAGTCTGTGACCAAACAACCTTCTCGCCTTAGCCTCCCAAGTAGCCGAAACTACAGGCACAGTCTACTTCACGTGAATAAGTTTTAATTTGATTTTATTTCAGTTTTGTAGCAATGAGGTCTCTCTTTGTTGCAGAGGATAGTCTCAAACACCTGGCTTCAAGCAATCGTCTCTCCTTGGCCTAGCAAATTACTGGGATTATAGGCATTAGCCACCTCACTTGGCCCAATAATTCTTTATATTGGTCAAATGTTTATTATTTTATTTTTCATTTCTTCTTCCATTTCACATTTTTCTCTGGAATTTTGTTACTTCTTAAAACATTTTTTGAAGATCTTTAGTAAGATTATTTTGAAAGTAAATATTTTCAGTTAAACTTTTAATTGAAACATCTTTATCCTGTCATTATTTTTAAAACATTTTGGTACACATTTCTTAATTGAAAGTTATTTTCCATTAACATACAATTAAGATATTTTCCTACTGTCTTCTAACTTTTAATGATTACACTCTCACATACTTATTTATTGCAATTTTTCTCTCTACCTTAAAAATAGTCTCTCTCACTTTTTCTCATTTTCTGTCACTGTTTCTCTGTTTCACATAAATATTCTATTCTACTGGAATATGTTGCGTTCCCTGTATATACAGGGCAGTCTGTCATAAATTCTAGAATTTTCTCATCTATTATATATTGAAAGGTTTACTCTCATAACTTTCCCCCTTCCTTCTTTCTGCAGATCTGTGTAGATGTTTACTAGACTTTGTTTCTCTAACTCATCATCTTCTTATGCCTCTATGTGCATTCTGGGTAATTGCTTTTGATCTACAGATCCAGCCCAACAAAGCTCTTTGTGCTGAAAGGTTTGCCGTTTGCCCGATGGTGTTTGCTTCATAGGTAAATTGCCCCTTCTCTCTAGCTGCCTTTCACATATCTTTCTTTCATTTTGACCTTGGAGAATCTATGTACGTTGAAGACATCTTGTCAGCATCTCACAGGGCTTCTCTGTGTTTCCTAAATTTTAATGTTGTCTTCTCTAGCAAGGTAGGAGAAATTTTCATAGATGATATTCTCAAATATGTTTTCCAAATTGCTTACTTTTCCTCCCTCTCTTTCAGGGATGCCAGTGAACCATAGGTTTGGTCTCTTTACATAATCCCTTATTTCTTAGAGGCTTCATTCATTCTTCTTTATTTGTTTTTATTTATTTTTGTCTGGCCGCAATATTTCAGAGTACTGGTCTTTGCAATCTGAGATTCTTTCCTCAGCTTGGTCACTTCTGCTGTTAACACTTGTGATTGTATTATGAAATTCTTGAAGTGAGTTTTTCAGCTCTATCGGGCCAGTTTGGTTGTTTCTTAAAATGGCCATTTTGTCTTTCATCTCCTTTATCTTTTCATTATATTTCTTAGATTCCTTGGATTGGGTTTTGACTTCCTCCTGAAACTTGATCATCTTTGTTGCTGTATATATTCTGAATTCTCTTTCCATATCTGAATCTATTCTGAATCACTGCCTGGGAACTAGCGTGGTGAGAAAATACTCCAACTCTTTGAGTTGCCAGAATTCTTGCACTGGTTCTTTCTTATCTGTGAAGGCTGACATTCCTTTAATCTTTGAAGTTGCTATACTTTGGGCAGATTTCTTTTTGTGTGTGTGTGTGTGTGTGCTTTTATCTTCTTTGATGCCCTTGAGTATTTGATTGTGGTATAAGAAGGGTTCAGTCAACTGGATGTCTTTCTGGAGTATTTTGGGGGGCCAAGGCTGAGCTCAGCATTCCTGGGCTGCGTGCTTTACCTCTGGTGGATTGCTACTAGTCCCTGACTTTTTTCTCTGGCCCCTTGAGGTTAGGAACCTGCTGAATTGGAGCTGCCAAGGTGTTCCTAGTCCACTGGCCACAATATTCTGATGGGTGGGGCCGGCCAAAGCATTCAGAGAAGTCACAATGAGGACTGTGCTTACTCATGCATGCCAGTAGCCATGGGAGTGCGGTGGGGAGCACATATGTCAGCTGGAGTGGGGTACTGGCTGGTGTAGGGCTGTAGCATTCCTCTGCTGTGATGTGGCAGAGATGGCATGCTGGTGGGGATGGGAATACTAGGCTCCATGCTTGTGTTTGTGATGGTGGCTGTGGCATCAGTAGGTGCAGGGCCGCCAGCATCCGTGCATGCGTTTGCAGTGGTAGCAGTGGCGGCATGGAGATGAGGTGGGGCTGCCGCCGTCTAAATTTTGGATAATAGCTGTTTTAACAGGTGCAAGCTGGTATCTCATAGTGGCTTTTATTTGCATTTTTCTAAAAATTAATGATACTGAGAGACTTCATATAATGATTTGTTATTTTTATACGTTCTTTGAAAAAAAATGTTTATTTGGGTCCTTTGCTGATTTTTATTCAGGTTATTTGTTTTTCTCATATTAAGTTGAATGAGTTCTTTACATCTGATACATGGCTTGTAAATTTTTTTTTCCAGTCTGTAAGCTGCTGTTTCATTTTATTGATTGTTTCCTTTGATGGCCAGAAACATTTTTAGTTAGACGTAATCTCACCGTTTTATTTTTGTTTCTGTAGGCTGTGCTTTTGGTATGATATACAAAAATTCATTGCCATCGCCATGTCCAGGAGATTTGCTTCTATGTTCACTTCTATGAGTTTTATAGTTTCAGATCTTACATATATATCTTTTATTCATTTTAAATTGTTTTTTGTTTATGGTGTAAGATAAGAGTTCAATTTAATTCTTTTCCATGTGAAAATCCAGTTTTGCCCAGACAGTTTATAATATTATTCCATCTCCAGGCCTCCACAATAAAGTGAATGTTGCAATAAAGTGAGTCACATAAATTTTTTGGTTTGTCATTTCATATAAAGTCATGTTTGCCCTATACTGTAAGCGTACAATAACATTATGTCTAATGAAAACCAATACACATACCTTAATTAAAAATATTGTATTGTTAACATATGCTAATAATTTTTTGAGCATTCAATGAGTTATAATATTTTTGCTGGTAGAGAGTCTTGCCTCCATATAGATGGCTGCTGACTTATCCAAGTGGTGGTTGCTGAAGGTTGGGGATGACTGTGGCAATTTCTTAAAATAAGATAAAAATGAGTGGGCCACATCCATTAACTCTTCCTTTCATAAAAAATTCCTCATAGCATGAAATAGTGCTTGATAGCATTTTACCTACAGTACCACGTTTTTTGTTTTTTTCAGAATTGAAGTAAATCCTTTCAAAACCTGCCACACTGCTTTACCAACCAAGTTTATGTAATTTTTTAAATCCTTTATTTTCATCTGAAGTGTGTTTGTAACATCTTCACCAGAAGTAGTTTTCACCTAAGGAAACCACTTTCTTTGCTCATCCATAAGAAACAACTTCTCATCAACTCAAATTGTATTATGAGATTGTGGCAATCTAGACCCATCTTAAGGCTCCTCTTCTAATTCTAGTTCTATTGGTACTTTCACATCTGCAGTGACTACCTCCACTGAAGTCTTGAGCCCCACTAAAGTCATCCATGAGCGCTGGGATCACCTTCTTCCAAACTCCTGTTAATATTGATATTTTGACATTCTCTCATGAATCACTATTGTTCTTAATGGCAGCTAGAGTGGTGTATTATTTCTGAAGGGCTTTTAATTTACTTTGCCCAGATTTAGCAGAGGAATCACTATCCATGACAACTATAGCGCCTTGTAAATTGTATTTCTTAAATCATAAGACTTGAAAGTCAAAATTGCTTTTTAATCTATGGGGTACAGAATACACAGTATGTTAGCAGTTGTGAGAACAACATTAGTAATCTCCCTGTAGATCTCGATCAGCACTCTTGGGCTAACAGGTGCATTGCTGATGAGCAGTAATATCGTGAAAGAAATTTTATTTTTCTGAGTGGTAGGTCTCAACAGAGGGCTTAAAATATTCAGCAAACCATGCTATAAACAGATGTGCTGTCCTCAAGGCTATGTTGTTCCATTGATAGAGCACTGACTGAGTAGATTTAGCATAACAGCCCTAGCTTTTCTGGGCCCCTTAAGGGCACTAGCTTTTTTGAATTAGTAAATGAGCATTGGCTTCAACTGAAACTTGCCAACTACATTAGCCTCTAACAAGACAATCAGCCTGTCCTTTGATGCTTTGAAGCCAGGAATTGACTTCTCCTCTGAAAGTGCTATGAAAGTCCCAGAAGGCATCTTCTTTCAATAGAAGACTCTATTATCTACATTTAAAAATCTCCTGTTTAGTGTAGCCACCTTCATCAATGATCTTAGCTGGATGTCCTGGAAAACTTGCTGCAGCTTCTACACCAGCACTTGCTGTTTCACCTTTCACTTTTGTGTTATAGAGGTAGTTTCTCTCCTTAAACCTCATGAACCAACTTCTGCTAGCTTGAAACTCTTCTTCTTCAACTTCCTTACTTCTCTCAGCCTTCATAGAATTGAAGAGAGTTGGAACCTTGCCCAGGATTAGGTGTTGACTTGAGGAAATGTTACTGATTTGATCTTCTATCCAGGCCACTACCTCAGGCTGTCTCACTTCTTATTATTTCTATGTCAACTGGAGTAACACTTGATTTTTTTAAAAAAACTTTTCTTTTGCATTCACAACTTGACTGTCTTGTGCAAGAAGACTAGCTTTCAGCCTATCTTGCTTACTAAGCTTAATCATGTCTAGCTTTGATTTAAAATGAGAGCCGTGTGACTATTTCTACCCTGCAAACACTTAGAGGCCATTGTAGGGTTATGAATTGGCCTGATTTCAATATTATTGTGTCTCAGGGAAGACGGAGGAACAAGGATATGGAGAGAAAAGTTGAAATGGCTGATTGGTAGAGCAGTCAGAACACATACATTTACCAATTTAGTCCACTATCTTATATGAGCACAGTTTGTGTCATCCCAAAACAATTACAATAGTAATATCAAAGATAACTAATCACAGATCACCATAACAGTTAAAGTAACAATAAAAAAGTTTGAAATATTCTGAGAATTACTAAAATGTGGCAGAGACACATAAAATGAGCACATGTTGTTGGAAAGATGGCATTGATAAGAGTTACCTGATGCAGGGTTGCCCAAAGTTTCATTTAAAAAATGCAATATATGTGAAGTAAAATAAAGCAAAGCACCATAAAACCAAGGTATCTCTGTTTCTCTTGCCTGTTGTGTCCTCATGGTGACCTTTTAAAAAATTAGTTGATTGTATGTTTGGTTTTATTTCTGGGCTCCCTATTCTGTTCCAGTGGTCTGTGCGTCTGATTTTGTGCCAGTACCATACTCTTTTGATTAGTAAGGCTTCGTAATATAATTTTGATGAGGTAGTGTGATGCCTTCCCCTTTGTTTTTCTTTCTCAGAATTGTTGTGGCTATTTGGGTCTTTTGTAGTCCCATATAAATTTTAGGATTGCTTTTTCTATTCTGTGAAGAATGTCGTTGGGATTTTGATATAGATTACATTCAGTCTGTATGTTGCTTTTGGTTTGTAAAATTTTTAACATTAATCTAGTCTTAAATCAGTGAAATGTGGTGTTTAAAAGTTTTAATATAAAACACATAGAATAAGGTTAAATATAAATTATCATATAGAAAGAATACAATATGTACATATATTTGGAAACATTCCTGCATAGTATGCTAATGCCTTGTGGGTTTTGAATGTATTCTTTAATTATAGCTTCAATTCCTGATTGTTCCCTTCATATTCAAGAGAGATATATTTTACTGTAAAATTGACAGACTTTTCTGTATTTTGGTAACACGTTATTCCTAATATAAACTGTTAACTTCAAAAATCAACCCTTCTGATATCCTGAAACATAAACATTGGTGCATTTTTAAGCATCTCTCAGATGCACTGCCTTATTAACAAGATCAATAACCATTTATGCAGAATTTCTTGAGCAGATAATAATCTATGTGGTATACTAAGAATTTGAAATTGCTTTTGGTTTGTTTGTTTTTAGACAAGCTTTTACCTAGGAATACTTTAGGTGGACATTTGCAGATAGTACAGGAAATTTCACTTACCCAACATTGTGTGTCCTCTGTTGTTAATATATTATGGTGGTATCTTTGACACAACAAGTGAATTAATACCGGCACATTATTAAGCAAAGCCTATACATTGTTAATATTTACTTGGTTTATTTAGTGTCCTTTTGATGTTCCAATATCCTATCCAGGATACTATAATTTATTTAGTCATTATATCTCCTTAGCCACCTCTTGGCTTTGACAGTTTCTCGTATTTTCATTTGTTTTTGATGACCTTAAGCGTTTTGGGAAATATTGTCAGGTTTTAGTAAAATGGTCCTCAATTAAGATTTGTCTGGGGTTTTCTCATAAATAGACTGGAATTATGATTTATTAGAAGAATGACTACATCATATCAAGTGTGTGTGCTATGATCCTGACTTATCAGTTATACTGTCAACTTTGGTCATATGTCTTAGTTAACACTGGCCAGGTTTGCACACTGTAAATTTAATCTCTGTTACCATTTCTCTACAGTATTCTTTAGAAGAAAATCAATGTGTGCATCCTACTCTTAAGTGGTGGGAAGATATATCACCTCTTGGGTAATGTCTATGTAAACTATTGAAGTTTTACTACGTGGGAGATTTGTCTATCATTTCTTATTTATTTATTTGTTCAAATATTTTCTTTTTTTTTTTTTTGAGACAGAGTCTCACTTTGTCCCCCAGGTTGGAGTGCAGTGGCATGCTCTCAGCTCAGTGCAACCTCTGTCTCCTGGGTTCAAGCAATTCTCCTGCCTCAGCCTCCCAAGTAGCTGGGACTACAGGCGCATGCCACCACACCCAGCTAACTTTTGTATTTTTAGTAGAGACGGGGTTTCACTATGTTGGCCAGGCTGTTCTCAAATGCCTGACCTCGTGATCTGCCCTCCTTGGCCTCCCAAAGTGCTGGGATTATAGGCATGACAGATATTTTCTTATATCTGCATATACTCAAGGATATTTACCTTTGAGTTGTACTCTAATACTATTTATTTATTTTGTTGCTCAAGTTATTCAAGCATTGACAATTGAAGCCTCTGCATTTTTGACATACGCCATCATTATTTTTGTTTGAACACTTCTTTAGTTTTTGGCACTACATGATAATCCAGGTTCAAATCTGGCAGTTTCTACACCAACCCCATAATATACCAATAGATAAACCAAGGAAAAAAGATCCTGTTTCTTTTCATTGGAGAATGCTGTGAGAAAACAAGATCTGTGGGTAGGATATACTTCTTGCTGTCAAATATCATTGCTTCTAGGCCTTCTTTGCTGAAAAAGCAGGAAAATATGCACGTATATATTAATCAGTGTATATAGACACTTCTATAAACATGTTTATTATATCCATCTATATATTAAGCTAAGTATGCATTCATGCTAATGTCTCCAACTCTAACGCAGTGTAAAGAAGTATGACATTATTCTAGCCTTACCCCTTCCTTGTCTGTAACCTTCCACCAAACCTGGCTCATACCATCTGCCAGCAAGTTACTTAATTGTTCAATCTCAGATGCGTATTTAGTGGTTGTGGAATTGTTCACCCATAACCCTGTAAGGAGCAACTTTGTCAATAGAGTACAGTACTTATATGCAGATTTTGTTGCTTCTTGTCTTACAGACTCAATTCATTTCTAGTTATTTACATAAACATCACTTTCACCTAACCCTCAGAAATGTTATTTCTGAGATCAGCCTGGGCAATATAGCAAGACCCTGCTTGTACAAAATTATTACAAAAATCAGCTGAGCATGGTGACACATGCCAGTGGTTCCAGCTACTCAGGAGGTAGAAGTGAAGGATTGTTGGAGCCTAGGAGGCTAAGGCTACAGTGAGTCATGATTACACCGCTGCACTCCAGCCTGGGTGACAGAGGGAGAACCTGCTTCAAAATAAATACATAAATTTGGAAGACAAATACCACTTGATTTCAATATTAATTATTAAATTACTGTAATTCAGTCCATTCAATTTTAGTGTAAATATATGCAAATAAATCAGTAGAACAGCATGTAGAATCCAGAAATAGGTCCCTGTACATCTGGAAATTTTTGACATATGTGCTAAGGCAATTCAGTAAAGAGAAGATGGTTTCTTCAGTAAATAGTACTGAAACTATTGGATAACTATGTGCAAGCAATCAAACAAAAACTTAAACAGAAAAATAAACAAAACTCCAGTCCATGGAGTAACTCAAAATTGATCTGAGACCCAAATATAATACCTAGAAGAATTAAATTTATAGAAAAATTTACAGGAGAAAACAATTGTGACCATCATTAGGTTGAAAAAGGAGTTTTAAGATACACCATAAACAACAATTTTTTTCTTCAATAAGGAGGATAACCTGGATCTCATCAAATTAAGAAGTCTGCTATTCAAAAAACACCATTAACAATCAAGAAAAATCACATATGAAACAAAAACATTTGCCAATTACATACCTGAAGAAAGACTTGTATCTAGAATATATAAGAACTCTCAAAAAATCATAATCATAAAAATCAATACTCTTAAAATAGAAAAAAATACATTGAAAAATTTATATAGAAATATATGGATGGTAAATAAATATATTTAAAAATACTCAACATATTAATCAGTAGGGAAATGCCAATTAAAACCAGAAGGAGGTATGACTTACATACCCACTAAAGAAGCTAAAATTAAAAAGACTGACAATACCAAGTGTTTACAAGACTATGAAGGAGCTGAAGTTCTTCTACACTGATAATGTAAATGAGAAGAGGTGTGGACATTATGGGAAAGTTTGGCAGTTTATTTAAACATTACACATAAACCTACCATATAATTAAGCCAGTCTCCTCCTAGATATTTACCCCAGAGAAGAAAAAAAAAAGCTTATTTCTATAAAAAAATTTGTACAGTGATATTAACAGCAACTTTATTTGTAACAGCCAAAAAAATGGAAACAATTCAAATATCACTAACATGTTGATAGATAGACTGTCATATATTCATGCAATGGAATACCACAAAATAATAAAAAGAAATGGACTATTGATATGCAGGATATGGATAAACCTCAAAATAATTGTGTTGTATTTAAAAGGTGAAAAAGCATACTTTTTAGAATTCTAATTCTATAAAATTCTAGAAAACGCAAACTAATCTACAGTGACAAAATAGATCAATATATAATTTTGAATGGCATTTGGTGGGAAAGAAAGGACATCAATGATAAGATTAGGAGGAGACAGGAGGAACCTCAAGGCAATGTACGTGTTGTGTCTTCAAAGTGGGGATGATTTAAGAGTATATTCACATGTCAAAGTTTATCACATTATTTTAGTATATACAATTTATTTTAGGCCAAGTATACCTCAATAAAGCTTTAAAAATATTACAAAGGATTTGGGACCAAATATGTCATTCATATCAATTGTGTAAATGAGCACAGTTCTTTTATTAAAAGTGGTTTATTTTCAAATTTGCTCAATAATTAAAATCCAACTGTGTGCTGTATACAAGAGACAAACCATAGACAAAGGGATTTAGATAGACCTAAACAAGAGATGGGCAGATACGCCAGGCATATTAAAAACACAGTTATTCATAGGAAATCCAGTATCAGAAAAGTTTACATTATTATGTATGTATTTATGTATTTATTTATTTATTTATTTATTTTGAGAAAGAGTCTCACTCCATTACCCAGGCTGGACTATAGTGTCACCATCTGAGCTCACTGCAACCTCCACCTCCCGAGTTCAAGCAATTATCCCACCTCAGCCTTCAGACTAGCTGGAATTACAGGTGTGGCCACCATGCTCAGATAATTTTTGTATTTTTAGTAGAGACAGGCTTTTGCCATATTGGCCAGGCTGGTCTTGAACTCCTGACCTCAAGTGATCCGCCCACCTTGGCCTCCCAAAGTTGTGGGATTACAAGCATAAGCCACCACACTCAACCAAATTATGCTTTGTAGATTTAAATGGGAAAAAGAATATTTGTCAATGCTAAAAGTTACCATTGACCTTGATATATATCTATGCATCAAGTCACATGTATTGAAAATTATAAGAAAAAAAGAAAGTGTATAAGGTGAATGGAAAATTAGACAGAAAAGTACTCACAATAGCAGAATTTATCATCCCATTTTTATCGCATAAAAGGTCAGAGCAACAAGTATGAAAATATAAAATGTTACTAACATAATTAAATGTAGGCTTTATGCATGTACATATAGATATTATATGACTTTACTAAAGAATAAAACTTCTCTCATTGCACATAGAACATTCACAAAAATTAATCAGATATTAGGACAACAAGAAAACCTAAGAATGCCATAATTTGAGAATAATAAAAACAATTTTCATTAACTATAGTGCCGTACTAATGGTCAAAAGTGAAGCAAAAAACAGAGATTATTCCATCAGGAAATGGGAAAATCTACTAGACAACTTTTGGGAAAAGTGAGTCAATATAAACTAAAATTGTAGAATTTATAAGAAGTAATGACAATGAAACACTATCTATATGAATTTATATAAAATAAATAAAAGCAATTACCAAATAAAATGTATAGCTTTAAATGCTTTATTGACCAATAGTAAATAATAAGAGTAAATGAACTAAATGCATAACTCAATAGTCTAGAAAAGTTATAATTCAAATTTAAAAAGTAAATGCAGAAAATAATATACATAGAAAAAACAAACAAACTGAATTTTATTCTGTGTAAAAGCAATATGGAATACCAACCAAAGAGGAGAATCAAGAAAAAAGTAAAAATACTTCAAAAATATGTTGGAAGGGGAATAATCATTGGCTCAAACAAAATTATTATAAAAATAAGACCAGTTTTAAAATGCAGATAAAATTTAAAAATTCAAAGTAAATTTTATTTACCAAAATCAGACCCAGTAAAATTCAAACATTGAGCTAATTTGTGGCAATTAGATGCCAATTAATACAGATGAAATGGAGAGAGGTAAAAATACCTATTTCACAAAAAAGTGCCAGAGCCAGATGAATTCCCCAGGGAATTTTTCAAGCATTTTAAGGTCTGGGTAATCTCAATGCTACTTAAAATTATCTAGAGAACAACATTAAAAAATGCTTCTAATTACTTTTATTAATCAAATATAATGTTTATACCTCAAACTGATGTTAATTGCACAACATCGAAATAAAAGACCAAAATGTAACAACATAAATGCAACAATGACAAATATGTTATTAAACAGATTCTAGCAATATATTAGTAAAAAATAACATACTGTGGAGATTAACTACAGAGACATTAATGTGTCTCATTAATCAATTAATATAATCATAAACTACATTGGAATACAATGCATTGTATGATAATTCCTTAAATGTTGAAAGGCTGCAGGAAAACATTATTTGTTGTTGTCAAATGCACTCAATATCATGATTCTATATCGAGAAAACCCCATAGTCTTGTCCCAAAAGCTTCTTCAGCTGATTAACTTCAGCAAAGTTTCAGGATACAAAATCGCTATACAAAGATCACTAGCATTCCTATACACCAACAACAGCCAAGCCAAGAGCCAAATCTGGAAGACAATCACATTCATAATTCTCATAAAAATAATAAAATAACTAGAAATACTGCTAACCAGGGGGTGAAAGGTCTCTACAATGAGAATTGCAAAAAACTGCTCAAAGACATCAGAGAAGACACAAACAAATGAAAAAACATTTCATGTTCATGGATAGGAAGAATCAATATTGTTAAAATGGCCATACTGCCCAAAGCAATTTACAGATTCAATGTTATTTTTATCAAACTACCCATGACATTCTTTACAGAACTAAAAAAAAAAAAATTAAAATTCATATGGAACTGAGAAAGAGCCCAAATAGCCAAGGTAATCCTAAGCAAAAAGAACAAAACTGGAGGCATCACGTTACCCAACTTCAAACTTGCTGTAGGGCTACAGTATCCAAAATAGCATGGTACTGCTACAAAAACATATATATAGACCAATGAAACAGAATAGAGAGCCCAGAAATAAGGCTGCACACCCACATCCATCTGATTTTCTACAAAGCTGACAAAAACAAGCAATGGGGTAAAGACTCCTTATTCAATAAATGATGCTGGGATAACTGGCTAGCCACATGCATGAGATTGAAGCTAGACCCCGTCCTTACCTCAGGTACAAAAATCAACTCAAGATGGATTAAAGACTTAAATGTAAAACCCCAAACTATTAGGTTGGTACAAAAAAGTAATTGTGGTTTTGGTCATTACTTTCAATGACAAAAACTGCAGTTATGTTTGCACCCACCTAATATAGAAACCCTGGAAAACAACCTAGGCAATACCATCCTGGACATAGGAATGGGCAAAGATTTGATGACAAAGACACCCAGTGAAATCACAACAAAAGCAAAAACTGACTAATGGGATCTAATTAAATTTAAGAGCTTCTGTACAGCAAAAGCAACTATCAACAGAGTAAACAGACCACTTACGGGATGGGAGAAAATTTTTGCAAGCTATGCATTGGACAAAGGTCTGATATCCAGCATGTATAAGGAACTTAAACAATTTTCAGGAGAAAAACAAATGACCCCATTAAAAAGTGGGCAAAGGACATGAACAGAAACTTCTCAAAAGTAGAAATACATGCAGCCAACAATCATATTTTTAAAAGCTCAATTTTACTGGTTATTAGAGAAATGCAAATCAAAATCATAATGACATGCCATCTCACACCAGTCAGAATGGTAATTATTAAAAAGTCAAAAAATAACAGATTCTGGAGAGGTTACAGAGAAAAGGAAACATTTATACACTGTTAGTGGGAGTGTCAATTAGTTCAACCATTGTGTAAAATGTTACGGCAATTTGTCAACGAGCAAAAACAGAAACACGATTACATTATACATTATTCGTTATATGGCCAGAGGAATATAAACCATTTTATCATAAAGACACATGCACATGAATGTTCACTGCAGCACTATTCACAATAGCAAAGACATGGAATCAACCTAAATGCTCATCAGTGACAGATTGCATAAAGAGAATGTGGTACATACACACAATGGAATACTATGCAGCCATAAAAATGAATGGGATTGGCCAGGCACGGTGGCTCATGCCTGTAATCCCAGCACTTTGGGAGGCTGAAGCAGGCAGATCACCTGAGGTCAGGAGTTCAACACCAGCCTGACCAACATGGTGAATCCCCTTATCTACTAAAAATACAAAAAGTAGCTGGGCATAGTGGTGGGTGCCTGTAATCCCAGCTACTCAGGAGGCTGAGGCAAGAGAATCACTTTAACAGGGGAGGCGGAGTTTACAGTGAGCCGAGATCACACCATTGCACTCCAGCCTGGGGGACACAGGGAGGCTCTGTCTCAAAAGAAAAAAAAAAAAAGAAAATGAATGGGATCATGTCCTTTGCAGGGTCATGAATAGAGCTGAAGGCCATTATCCTTAGCAAACTAATGCAGGAACAGAAAACCAAATACTGGATGTTCTCACTTAGAAGTGGGAGTTAAATGATAACACATGAACACAAAAAAGGGAACAACAGACACTGAGGCCTATTGCAGGGCAAATGGTGGGAGGAGGGGGAGGAGCAGAAAAAATAACTATTGAGTACAAGGCTTTGTACGTGAGTGATTGAAATAATTTGCACAACAAACTCTGTGACACGAGTTTACCTATATAAAAAATATTCACATGTACCCACAAACCTGAAATAGAAGTTAAAAAATAAATAAATAGACTATCATATTAGAAATTTTTTTAAAGAAGACAGGTTGACTGTTATTTAATTTATACTGCAGCCCCAAATTTAGTAAAATTGTCACTTAAGTAATGAAACAATAGAGGTTATTCCCAATGAATCAGGGCCAAAGCAATCCTGCTCACTCTTTATATTATTTCTTTTATTTGTTTTTAATATGTTACTGAAAATTCTTGCTAATGCAATTGGATACTAGGAAAAACATAGAGACAAGATAATTGGAATATTCTAATGGCTTGGGTTAGAACAGTACAGATAAATATGAAGGTGAAAAGAACCCTTTCATAAGTATACAAAAATTAGAGAGGTTAGCTCTTTTTCTTGGACCTCTTCTGCTTTATGAGTTTTTAAAACATTATGAATGAACTTAATGCAAACATCTCTACTTCTGCAAATATTTAACACTATATTGTGGCTATAATCCTACCATAAGAGGGTGGTTAAATGGAGCTATGTTAAAGTAAACTACAGATTATCTCATTTACAAAAAGAAGTGACAGAACTCTATAGCACAGACCCTTGAATTTAAACAGCAGTGGATTAAAAAAGATTAAGGCCAAAATGTAGTTTGATAGATGGCTCTGAATAGGGGTACGAAGCACTCACCTTGACATCCTGACTCCACCCAAAAGAATTACTTGTACTTTGGAACTAATCCCCACCTCCTGCTTCTCACCCACACAAGCAGGATGGACACACTCCTATAATGATTATAGCCATTTTAGGACGTGCGTCCACATAGAAAAGTCACGTAAAAAAAAGGAAGGAATTGCTGGGAGTGATGAATGGAGAGAAATATGGCAAAGAGAAACTTAGTTGAACATACACATAATAAAGGTTATAAAAATTACCCAACTTGATTTAGAGAAGTTCATCAATAAATATGGAAGCTGAAGATGCATGTTTCCACTGTCTAAACAATGCAACTGCTAAAACATTCTTGCTTGTGTGCCTCAAACTGACACGTGCAGGGATGATCATTGTAGCACCCTTTATAGTAGCCAAAAAAAGTATAAATGCCCTAAATTGTCAACAGGCAAATCAACACTTTAAATTGTTGATATAATAAAGAATTATGCATTGTGAGAATACATTTGTAAAGCTATAAGTATTAACTTAGAAAAATCTTAGAGGAAAACAAACCCTGTTGGGTAGAATAAAGCAAATTGTCAGCTGAAACATGCAGTATGATAGCATTTTTATAAAGTTTAGAAACATGAAAAATAATGCTACATATGATTGTGACATATTTGATGTGATAAAAATGCATGTAAAATGAACACTTGACTCTTTGGTGAAAAATTGAGGTAGGATAATTTGATTAGACAAGATACACATGAACACTACTATTTGCGGTATTTCTTAAGCTGGGTACATGCGTCTTTTGCTAAGTTTGAATTAGTTCATAATGCATTTTGAAAAGATATAGTTTAACAATACAATAAGCAAACTATTAAAAATGGTTTCTGCACTAAAATAAGATTGTATTTTTAAAGAAGATTATTAGAGAACATGATGCACCTAGGATATATCGACTAGGAAATAACTGAAATAATATTAATGCCCATAATCCCTGACCTGCATTCTCCTGGGAACATAAAAAAATGAGTGTATTAAACAGTGAAACCATTATCATTTGTACAGAACAGATAGGGAACAATGTAATCATATAGGATATTTTTTAGTTTACCCAGGGGAACTGCAGCTAGACTAGCATTTCTTTAATTGGAGGGACTCTGGAAATGGTGAACTGCACAGGAGAAGTTGTAAGGTAATCTTTGCCTAGGAATGGATAGGCATTCATGTGAGGTGTAGCTGCACATGCAAAAGAGATGAAGGAAGAGCAGAAAGAAATGAAAAGGCTTATCTACTTTGCTTTTATTCTTAGCCCTCTTCTACTTTATGAATGTTTAAAATAAGGAAATTCAGTTGATGTATACCTCTCACTAATACAAATCCTATCTTAGGAGGCCAAAAACTTTAGAAAGTGCTGAAAGGTGCAGCTGTAAATTACAAAAAGAAAAAATTAACATGGAATCAGACTTTTATTCTTAGAATAAATTGCACTTTGCCATAATTTTAATATACTGCTCAATTTGATTTGTTAGAATTAAATTAAAATGTTGGCGACTATATTCAGCAGTAAGATATATCTAGAGTTTCATTGTTCATCCTGTCAGTTTTTGGTGTCAAGGTTATTCTGGTATTCCTTAATAAATCAGGAGGTTTTCTCACTTTTTCAATAATACAGAACATTTTGCTTATAACCTGAGAACTTTATAGTCTCTTTAAAGTTTTCTCAGAATAATATGGGAATTGCCTTAGTTTAAAATTTTTGCCATTAATTAGCCCAATTTGTTTCATAGTTTATACAGGTTTCTGCTTTTGGTGTATTATTTTTATTAATTAGTTTTCCCAGAAAATGTCATCCATTTTGTCTATGTTTTCAAAATCATCAGTGTAATATTATCAGTGTATGACAATGGGCATTTTGGGAGTATTTTTGCTTTAGTTCTATAAAGTACAATTCATAATTTTTAAGTTACCAATGCATTTTATATTCTAGCAAAGAAATATTTGGCTATACCAAAGACAAAAATTTTTATCCCACATTTTTGTAGACTTTTTTTATTTATAGATTTAAGTTTAAGGTTTAGAACACCTTCAAGTCAATTTTATATGTGATGAGAGGTAAAGATTGAGTATTTTTTTAATTAATACTTGGTTGTTCCAAATATTTTTTAAAAGACTAGCTTTTCTGTGTTAGATACATATGAGTTTTGTCAAAATTTAATTGTTCACATATAAATGGATTTCTTTCTAGGCTTTTTATTCTACTCCACTCATCTATGCGTCTGTCCTTCTGCCAATAACATACGATGTTGATTATTGTAGCTGTATAGTGAATCCTGAAATTAGGTATTTCAAGTCATAACACTTTGTTCTTTTCAAATTTGTTTTAACTATCTTAGCTCCTCTGTACTTGTTAATAATTTTACAATTTGTTAGTCTCTAAAGCTAATCTGATAAGATTTTGATTTGGATTGCATTAATTTTGAATATAAATTTGGAAAGAACAGACATCTTAAGATACTGTGTGCTCTCATTTGTAAGAAATGGGAAACAAATTGTTTTCCTAGTTTTCCACTCACCCCTCTCAATACTTGCAGAACACTTTTGACATTAAATGTATCAGTATTTTTCTCCACACACCAAACAATTCTATAGCAGGGACCAGCTGGGTGCTCCATTATTTAACTCAATTCTGACACTGTCTCTCAGGGCATAGGGTTAAGGGCTCAGTCTTACAAGCCTGCCCCCACTTCATATGACAGGTGCAAGTCTCAGGAGAACTTGTATTTCTGGCCAGCCTGCTATAAATCTGGGGTTTCCACGATGCCCTCCTTGGCTTCAATTAATTTGCTGAAGTCCTCCACAGAACTCAGGGAAATACTTGTGTTTATCTACTCATTATAAATAATATTACAAAGGTCACAGATGAACAGCCAGACAGAGGAGATGCACAGAGCAAGGAAGCTTGGAAGGAGGGTGGAGCTTCCATGCCCTCTCTGGGCCCACCCCCAAGACATCGCCACCTGTTCAACAATCTGGAGGCTTTGTGGATCCAGGCCTCTTGGGGTTTAACGAAATTGTATTGTCGTGATTGACTAAATCATTGGCCATTGATAACCAACTCAACCTTCACTTCCTCTCCCCTCCCAGAGGTTGGAGGGTGGGGGTTGAAAGTTCCAACCCCCAAATCACACAGATGATTTCCTTGGCAACCAGACCCAACCACTGAGAGTCACCCCATTAGAACGAAAGATTCTCCTATCACTCAGGAAATTACAAAGGTCTTAGGAGCTCTGTGTCACGAACTGGAGTTAAAGAACAAATAGTAGAGTAAATGATTCTCCTAGCATCTCTGCTATTAATACAATACAAGGATTTCAGGAGCTCTGTTTCAGGAACCTGGGGCAGATGTATTCATCTACCTCTCTCTCTCTTCTCTCTCTTTTTTTCTGTCTCTTTCTCTCTCTCTGTCTACTCTCTCTCTCTCTATATATATATATTTATATATATGTATATATACACACATATATATTTATTTATGGTTCATATTATATCTGAATATCACTCTATTCATGAAAATGACAAACTTCTTCAGTTCTTAACATTTTGCCATGTTGATCTACCTTTCACTTTATTACTTCACCCTGAAATACATTAGTATGTATATCCTAAGAACAAGAAGATTCATCTACATAACCACATATAGTAAAACATTCAGAAAATGTAACACTGATCCAATTATGTTATATGCATTCCACATAGTTTTCTTCTATCTTTGCAATAATGTTCTCTATATCTTTCTGTTTCTTTGTATTTTCCATTTTTTTGGCCTGAAGTTTTATTTGTTTAGTACATCGAAATTAAGAACACTGATATTTTAAAACTTCAGACCTTATATCCACCCATTTGCATTCATTAGATTGATTTCTCATGACTAGAGTCTAAACATTTAGCAGGACTGCTACTTAGCTGGCTGATGTGTCCTTCTCAGTCTATCAATTAAGGGAAGAAAGGTCAGTTTGTCCTAATAGTGGGGAGGTTGAATGATCACTTAATTAAGGTAGTGTCAGCCATATTTCTCAATTACAAACTCAATATTTTTTTCTGGTTTTGATACCCATAGTTTCAAATGTGCTTTGATACCCATAGTTTCAAATGTGCTTTATGATATATTTCACTGACAAATGGGGAATGTTCTATAATTTCAAATATAAAGTTTACTTCTGGATGTACATTCAAATCATTGTTAATTTGCTTGAAGAGTAATGACAGAAAAGAAAGATAGAAGCATTTGGCAAATCAGTAATGAATAGGCAGCACTTTCTAGGGATGGGATTTGGAGAGGAATAATCAAGGCAGAGTTACAGGCTATCTACATCTACCAGCAGAAATAATAAAAGTTTACCAGAATGCAGAAGAGAAGTGAATCGCCTTCTTATTTTCTAATGATCGTGAGAGAGAGAGAGAGAGTGTGTGTGTGTGTGTGTGTGTGTGTGTAAGAAATAGAGAGAAAGAGAGATGAGGTGGGGTGGGTGTATAATGTGAACGTTAGTGAGACTCTCAGTGGGTCACAGAGTTAAAATACAGGCCCCAGTTTTGTCACTGAAGGAGGTGGAATGCAACCTTTTTCTCTCTCTCATCACTCCATCTTGGATATTTTTCATTGATCTGTCTTCAAAAATACTGATATTTTCTTTTGTAAAGCTCTCAGGTTCATCTTTACCAGCCTTTGGAGTTTCACTTTATGCACAGGTAGTTTTTATTTAGCCACATAGTCAAGAAGACTCCTAGGAAGATTTTTGGAAAGCATTTTCTGCTAGCTTCCTCTGGTACTCTGACTGAAAATTTCAACTACAATGGTCTCCCCAAGAATCTCAACCTCCACCTCCGGAAATCATGATAACCCCTATCCTGGGCTCCATGAATTTGATAGTAATGGTTCTAAGGAGACCGCTTGGACAATAGGGCACCTCTCATGTGCTTCTCTTTTCTCAGGGGTCACAGTTCTTCATTTTGCAATGAGTTGTGTTACATATTAAGTCTAGTTTTTATTTTTTTAATGACTAGATGAAAAGTTAAGTCCTTATTACTCCACGCTGGCTGGAAACAGAAATTCCAACATGTGCTTTTTCCTCATATTACTATTTCTATTGTTTTTTAATTGAATGAAATTGCAACCCTTAAACCTATGAATGCAGTTCAAACAGCTTTTCTCAACTTTTTTTTTTTCCACACTTCTGTCTTTAACCTAAAGACATGACAGTGCTGTGATAGATTCTTAAGTGTGTCTGAAATGTATCCCAAATCTAGTTTATTTCATGGGTATCCTATTCCAGTTAACTATAAGCACCTGGTAACTATTTGCTCAATTCATTATCAGAAAGTTAGCCCAGGATCTTTCTTCTCTGCTACACTTCACTTAAAAAGAAGATTAAACCTGAAAAATAGCATGGTTTTGCAGTTAAGAGAACATACTAGTGCTGCACTACCAGGCTTCAAACCCAAGGCTCTTTCATTCACCAGGTCTGAAGCCTTAGCGAAATTACTTCATCTCTCTATTTATGTTCCTTCATCTATAAATGGGATGAGAATGATAATAATATGATTATTTTAAGGACTATAAAGAAGCAAATGTTTATAAAGCAAATAGGCTTATACCTGGCAAAATATAATATATAAACATGTGCTTTTAAATACATGGAAAAATACTTTTACTTTCTCGAAATAGTTTTCCATGGCTAATGCCTACACTTGAAATTGTCATATATTCTTATATTAATTTCATAGCAACATTTTGACAGGAAACTTTACCCTCTTTTTATTTTTTTATTTTTTTTTTTTTACTTTTGAGACAAGAGTCTTGCTCTGGGCCCCCAGGCTGGAAGCGCAGTGGCGGGATCTCGACTCACTGCAAGCTCTGCCTCCCGGGTTCACGCCATTCTCCTGCCTCAGCCTCCTGAGTAGCTGGAACTACAGGCACCCGCCACCACGCCCCGCTAATTTTTTATATTTTTAGTAGAGACGGGGTTTCACCGTGTTAGCCAGGATAGTCACCATCTCCAGACCTCGTGATCTGCCTGCCTCGGCCTCCCAAAGTGCTGGGATTCCAGGCGTGAGCCACTGCCACCAGGCCTACCATCTTTTTAAATTTGATTTCACAAGGAAATAAAAAAAAATCTATAAAATATAATTTCCTGTTTACTATATGTGACTTTTCTGTTCTAATATTCCTAAACTTCCTACCATGACATAATTTGACCTTTACTTATACTCCTTGACACATTGACTTTCCATCCCTCTTTTTCTTTTTACATCAAATTACTTGCAGTTCTTGAGGTGTAACATGTTCTCTCATGTCGCCATGTATTTAAACTTATTTGCTTATTAAGTCCTTCATCTACCTAGTAATTGGGATTAGTAACTTCTTAATTATCAGCTAGCCATTATCTTTGCTTCATAGTTTTACTTGACCACTTCATTCTATTGTAGTATTAGCTTGTCATTAGATGCAACATTTGCTTCTACAGCATATTTTTAGACAGCCCCTACCACTACATATTTATAATAAGTACTTTAGATATTTACCTACCTTTCGTAAGAAATGATGCATTTTTGAAGGTCCTGATTTTTACTTATTTTTCCAATGTTTAATATGTATTTCCTGTGTACAGCATATTCACCAAACCAAAATTTAATTGGATGCTTCTAAATTAATAAATAAAATAGTACATGTATAGTGTTCAGAAAATAGCTGTCATTTGTCATGGGATTAGTAATCATTGCAGATAGTTCATTCATAATGATGAAGGTTCTCTTGGGATAGAAAAATTCCCTGAATTCTGACCATAAGAATTATAGAATTATGAACACACACACACACACACACACACACACACACACACACACAAATAAGATTAAAAAATGAATTTTTTTGGTTGTGATACTCAGAAATAGTATATTAAAGAATCTTATTTTGTACATTTTCACTGGTAAATCACCTTCAGTTTTTTTATGACAGGATATTTAAAATGTTAGTGATTTCGGACATCAGGCTGTGTGAAATAAAGTAACTCAGAAGAGTGGAAAGTTTCCTACTAACAGTTTTCTAAGTAATCACTTCATGGTAAAGCATGGACAAATAAAGGTTATGTTTGTAACAAGGTGCTGACAAATAAATGAAGGTATTATTTAGATTTTATTTGATGAGCCAGGAAAATTTCCAATGGAAAAAACAAATGGCTCTGTTTTCTAAATTCAGCACAGACAGACTCGAGCAAATCAGTCTGTGAAGTGGTGCTTGCATGAAAAGATGTGCTTCCAGAAGAGTAAATGAGATTCTCCACAAATTCTCCGTCACTGCTTTGACACAGCTGTAATTATCACAAAACTAACTCCTGATTGCTCCATCACTCAGTTCCCTGGAGGAAGCTAAAGATGTTCTCCACTTACAAAAGGAAAGCAAAATGAAACAAAAGAAAATCCCCTGTCAGAGAGGTGGCCCAAGAAGGTCTCTGCAGAAACAGGAAATTGTCACCGTGGAACCTGTTGGTGTGCCCACTACCCTCCACCTCCCATGGTCATTGTCCACCTGTACAATGAGAATCCCTTGACACCCATTGCATCTCAGAGTGTAGTGCAGCACCCTCAGCAAAAGGAAGACCCAGCGAGTGCAACAGTAATCAGTCACTCACGTCTTACATAAAATGAACTCAAGATTTTTATTCATCATGATTCCATGTTAAACATATTTATATTTTAATAATAGTAAATATTTATTGGATTTCAAAATAAAGTTTACTGCTCTTAATGGACCCCCTCCCCATTCACGCAACCACAGACATGATTATAACATACAGTACATTACATGAGGAATGAAATGTGATTGGGATCAAATCATTTAATAAATTATATATAATATTTTATATATATGTACACACACACACATATATATATAAAACTTTTTTTCAGTAAATGTGTTGCCCATCCAGGATGTACCAGAGATATAAAGAATAATTGACATCAAACTACTACAAAGACATGGCAAACCCCAAAATAAAACCCATGACAATGCAAAGAGACTACAAAATATGAAACATACAACAACATGAGATCCAGAAGAAGGATATGCTCAGGTGAAGAGATGAAAGTCATCCCAGTAAGGAGTTCTGCTTGAGTGAAGAATTGAAGAAGCACAGGGTTAGCCAAGTTGATGAAGGAGGAAAGTGCTTCCTGGGCAGAAGAAGAATGCATCCGTTCTGCTGCTATGGGAGAAGGACATGTCTCAGGAGCTGGGGCTGCTACTGCTGAAGCTTAGGCCAGTGAAGCAGCCTGAGGTTAGAGTGTCAATGCCAGGCTACAGCAGGACAGAACCTTGAGGATTATGGGGAATGGTAGAAACAGCAGTTTAGAAAATGCTAGTTGGGGCCAGGTGCGGTGGCTCATGCCTGTAATCCCAGCACTTTGGGAGGCCAAGATGGGTGGATCACGAGGTCACAAGTTCGAGACCAACCTGGCCAAGATGATGAAACCCTGCCTCTACTAAAAATAGAAAAATTAGCTGGGTGCGGTGGCAGGTGCCTGTAATCCCAGCTACTCTGGAGGCTGGGTTCACCTGAATCCGGGAGGCAGAGGTTGCAGTGAGCAGAGATCACACCACTGTACGTTAGCCTGAGCAACAGAGTAAGACTCTGTTAAAAAAAAAAAAAGAAAAAGAAAAATGCTAGCTGGGGAGAAAGCAAGAGTGCGGTTGGTGGGTAACCCTGAAGTGAGCCTCCAGACTTTTGGAGGACATGGTAGTAGTTGAAAGAGGAAGTGTTAAGGACTCTAAATAGGCCATTTATAGTGAGATGCATAGGGACAAGATGATAGATATATTATCAATGGGCCTCAATGCCAGATTGGATGGATTTGAATGCATTAAACAGCATTTACAGGTGAACGTAGGAGTTTAGTTGGAATATTTTGAGCTTGAATAGCAAATTGATGTACACTGTAAGATGAGAGAAATGGAAGAGATTTGATATGAATTGAGTTAAATAAGAGAGATCAGAAGCAAAGGGGTAACATTGTGAGCAACTGAGCAAGATGCCATTAAAATATTCCAACAGAATGTTTTATTAATCCTTTCCTGAAACTAAGGAAGAAAGAAATCATCATAACAATTAAACCACTGAGCTTTGCAGCTGTCATGATGACCATCAGGAACCATGTTCCAGCTAATCAGCAGCTCCTAGAGCCAACACATCTAGCTAGCAATACAGAAAGTGATTAGAGTCCCAAAGCATCACCACCAAAAAGGTGATAAAATATCTATTTATAAATATTTATGGTTGATTCATTTGAAAAAGCATTAAAATTATCACAATGGGGAAAAAGACTTGCTGGCTTTATTATACTTCATATATTTTATGAATTATAAGTTTCACTTTGAATTACGTGTGTGTTGGGAGAAGGGGTGGCTAAATCATCTCTGACTCATGCTCATGAGTTATTGCTCTCACCAAAGCCATAATCTTCCACTATCCCCTCTGCAATGTCAGATATAAGAGGCTCTCTTGAGGTGCAACCATCACTGTATGTTCTTTGGAAGTGAAGAGGAGCTGTTTCCGTGTGCATACTGCCCAAAGTCAAGAATCCTATGATCGAGAACTAACAAGGATCTAATATTTTCCCCTATTTCTAAGCTAACAAGTTAGCCAGCCACAATTTCCTTGATGTTGGCAGAAGACATGAGAATCCTATTTCAGAGACAAAGGACTTCATTCCTTATGGCACTGTAGGCAGTGTGAGCTTCACATTCACATTGGTTTTCTACCCCCAAGTCTCTTTGGGGAGTGGCTTAGATGATGCTGATGCCACATCAGCAGAGGGCTTGTGTAACAGCTTAATAAACAGAGCTTAAGAAATGCCCATTCTTAGAGAAGAGATGCTTGCAAATATGCCCACCTTTTGTTTTAGTGGGACATATTTATTACATTTCTTATCTTGGTCAGGAAACAAATCTTCTTTTTGCCTAGGAAGGACACATTATCTCTGTCTTCCAATGTTATTTGCTATTAACATATAATATCATCAAAATGAGCCTATAGTCAAACCATTAATGCCTCTTCATGAGATTTGCAGAAGCCCAGAGATTATGTGGAACTTTCTCCACAGCACATCTTAATTTTTCCCTAGACATCTTAGGAAAGGTTGCAATATTTTACAAATAAATTAATTTAAAAAGAATACTACAAAGACATTTTACAATGAGTTTAACTTACAGGGTTTCCAGATGTGACAAGTTTAGAGTCCTTTCCCTATGATGGTCTCAATAGATCTTTCAGAGGTGGGATCTTTAGTTAATGCCAGAAGTAGAACATCAATATTATAGCTGTATTGATCTTTGACAGTCCTATCACAGATGTGTTTAGATACTGCTGTTTCCCACAGAGAATGTCCAAATAATCAAATACTCTAAAAAAATACAGAAACTTAGCTTAGATTACATGAGAAACTATAAATACCCTACTCCGTTGAAAATAACATCTGCCACTTTGGCTCTAAAATGATCCCAGATACAGCTTCCTCATCATTTAAGAGAAAATTTAGAGTTATCTATATATTTCTTCTCATTCAGTCAGTTTACAACTTGTTCCAGAAGCTGCAAACATTTTACTAGTATTGTATATCACTGAAAAACCTCCAAATTAAGTTATAACACAGTACCTTCATATGTGATCTTCCTATTTCTCTTTCCTCTTAAAATCTGTATTAACAACAATTGCAACTCAAGAGTGTCAAGTAATAAAGTGAAAGGTATAGAATTAAATGGACAGCCTACCAATGACCCCCTGAATCTATTTGTCCCTGCTCCTCTGGGCCTAACAGTTTAACACTCTTCTCTGGAAATGGGGCAGATCTGCCCGAAACGCTCTGCCCTCTCCTCTTCTAGCCCCAGTTCCTGGTTTCTAGGAATATCTGCTTGAACATAAGCACTTGTCTCTGCGAGGGTCAATGATGGATTTTAATCAGAGCTCGGCCTACATGTATATTAGGAAAAGAGTTATTTCAAAGACTTTGGCACTTCCTTAAAACAGCTAACCTTTCACTTTATTACTTGAAACAATTGAGTTGCAACTGAGCCTCAGAGGAACTCCTATTGAGCTTCTCAAATATTCTCATGCCAGAAAGGTTCTTGCATAACTTAATGGCACATTTTCATAGTTTTCCTAGAGCAAAGGAACGATATTTATGTTGAACAACAAGTCCTCTTTCCTATCCAGAGAGGAAAACTTCACAGACATGTAATCATAGTTTCTAGCTTTCACTCTTCTCAGATTCAAAAATCTTGTTCTCAGTTTCAACCAAATTGCTTACTGTACACATTTGCTAATTTAATCTATGTTTTTTCTTTCTGTGCTCTATAAAATTAAATAATTTCTGATAGTTGCTAAATAGCCTCAGACAAAGTGATAGTTGACAGCTTTAAAACAGATAGTTCTAAAGTAGCAGAGACCAAGGCCAGTTCAGTATTTCACCCATGGCCAAGTGGCATGCATTCAAACAAAGATGATTCTCATTTTCTGGTCAACAGCCTCACAGTTTTAATCTAAAGTTACATTTTTATTAAGCATAGCATCATGATTATAACAATGCACAGTTCATAGCTAGCTTTCAAAATGTAAAAGTAATTTGGTTTCTCAAACTCTTTTTGTCTGGTAAATTCATAAATGAAATTCATCTTAAACACAAATAAATCTCTGCCTTCAATGGAAATAAAAAAAAATTGTATTCCTTTACCTTATGGAGATAATTTTATTTTATGTCCTCACCCCACATACAGGGGAAACATTTAGCCTCAGGTGCCAAGATGCTGGGATCTCTCCTGGCAAGAGAGTTCTATGAGTGAGGCCGTGGGAAGGTGGGATTCTAATTCCATGTCAGCTCTCCACCACTGGTCCCTCTAAGGCACCCACCATCCCTGACCCACAGCTAACCTGGTGGTTGCGCTGCTTCTGTAACAAGCTCCTGAAGTAGTCAGTCACCATTCCCCATCCAGAACTTTCGGACTTTTCACTCTTTCAGGCTTGTAAAATACATTTATTTCATCAGAAAAACCCACCACCTCCCCTGACTCCTTTCCACATCTCTCTTATTTCTCTCAATATTCACCCATTATTTGTTCATAGAAAAATTTTACTGTGTATTAGGCCCACAATCAGGATTATTAGGAAGCTAAAATTGCTAAAGATAAGCAAATCTGGACACTAGGTACAAGCAATAAAGACAGATGTTATTTAGTTATAACTGCTGCGGTGGGGAAGAGTCCATTGTGTACTCAGCACGACTTCGATTGGTATGGAGGTGATACGGTGCTCCAAAAGGAGGGTGAGGAAGAAGTTGGAGGGTGGTCAGTAGCTCAGCGGAATCAGAGAATTAAAAAATTCCAAAAAGTTGGTATGAGAGCTGATCAGTGTCAATACAGATAGGCCAACTGTGTCTGCTTATTGGAGCTTATCAATGTTAGACTCTTACCCTCCCACAGAGATGGGGAGACATGGCCTTAACCCTTCCTAATGATGCCATTTCAGAGGAATAGCTTTCAGGTCCCTGAGAAAGACACTCCTGATTTGAAGGAGATACATAAACATCTCAAAGGAATAGAGGAAGCATTTGCAAATGCATGTAATTTTTAAAAAATGCTCTAAGAAAGGGAGGTCAAGAGCCTATCATCAAATGTTGGTTGGAACAATGGGTAAATTCTTTTGGTACCCTTGAGTTTTCCAGACAGGAACTCAAGGGAGCCTGGATGATCTCAGGGACAGGGCCATAGGCTGCTAGGAGCCATGAGTTTGGTCAAAGGGAGAATTGAGAATCTTTTTCAAAAGCAGATACCCTTCTTTGAGGGTAGGGCAGCTTGGCCATTCTGCACTGCTAACAGGTAAGCAAGTGCAGGGATTGATAGGTACTTGGATTCCATTCTTCTACTGCAAAATTAAATTGCTCATGTTGAGGAAATACAAGCAATTTAATTTATCTATTAATACTATCTGGACATTCTTAGGGGCTATTGTTTCTTCCTGACAAGCAATACTTCTTCCCCACTTTGTCCTTGACATTTGCGAAACAGATTATTTCATTTCTCTTCATTTCTTTATCCCAGACTTTCATCTCACAAGGTCCCACACTTAGAAGTTTCTGTGGCCTTTCAAGCAAACTTCCCTTAATTGCCAGGGTCTGGAAATGTCACCAGGATTTTTATTATGTGAAGGTTTCCAGGTACTTATATTTGGTATATTTCAGAGTCTTCAGGTAAGATATTAACCGTAATGTTTCTGAAATTTCGAGTCTTATTCTGTTTCTCACAGCTTTAGCCACACCTCACAGAAGAGTTCTAGCAGACCTTTTCACACTATCCATTATACTCTTTGTTGTATGAGTAGTAATTCATTTATTTTCTTTACCAAAAAAAATTATACTTAATACAAATGTAAATTTTGAGCAATCTGAATGCTTTTATATGAATGTTACAAAGGTGAAAAAATTAATGTCTTGATTTCTTCCTATGGGAATTGATTTACTAAAACATTTTATAATCAACTACAATTTTTAACTATTAGAAAATTAGAACAACTATATATAAATGTTACTGCATTTCAATTTTCAGCTTCTATATATGAAATATTACATACCTTAATATCAAGATTTTGATATGAGTATTCAAATTGATTCATTGATAATTATAGAAAGGCTGCTGATTATATTAGGAATATGTTGGAACAATGAAATTGTGAAATTATTACTGAAGATAGACTGCATTATTCATTATAGCACTCTGAGAGCCAGAAAGAAATTTGGAAACTTTCTACTTATATAATTACTCTCTACATGTATAATTAGAATTTTAAAATTCATCTTTGCTAACAGGGCAGATATAAATGACACTGGTTTCAGACTGTGATGTAAACTGAAATAAAAATTCAAAAATTTCGCTGAACAGAGTTAAAATATCAATATAAAATAACAAATCCGCTGGGCTTGGATTTCCAGGTGTGATATTGAGAGCTGATAAGGGCATCACTCCAGCATTTATAATAAGGGAAAGAAAGACAAACTAAAAATTATTTTTTCTTAAGCTCATCAGAAAGCGAAGTTACAGGGCAAAAATCCAACTCAAAATCTAAGAAATGACAGAGCCCACAAGGAAAAACAGGTCCTGAATATTTGCTTGCTTGGGACAGACATCATCAAAAACCATATAAGCCAGTAAGAAGATTTAGCTAGTGTGGGAGGCAGAATAATGACACCCCCACACATGCCATAATCCCCGAAAACTGTGGCTATGCTATGTTACATGGCAAAAGGGATATTTTGGTGTATTTAAGGATACAGATAACAAAATAGGGAGATTATCCTGGATTATCCAGTGGGCTCAATCTAATCACATGAGCCCTTAAAAAAAGAAAAAAAAAAAACTTTATCTGGCTTGTAGCCAGAGAAATGTGGCAGAAATAAAAGTAAAATATGTTTCAAGCATATGAATGATTCAACTTTTTGTTGCTGGCTCTGAGATGTGGAAGCCCATATGCAAGGACTGGAAGGAGGCCTCCAGAAATCTAGGGCAGCTGTCCTGGCTCACAGCTGCAAGGACATAGACATCTCAGGCCTACAGCAACAGGAGCTAGATTCTGCCAGCAACATGAATAAGGCTGGAGCTCAGGATGACTGCCACCTTGATTTCAGCTTTGTGAGAACCTAAGCAGAGAACCACCAAGTTACTCTATCCAGACTGTGACTCATGTATAAGTTGACAAAATGAGTTTCCATTGTTTTTACCAAGTTTGTGTTAACTTGTTATAGCAGCAATGGAAAATTGATATAGCTAGAAATTTTAAATGAGTAGCTGAGGATACAGTATGAGCTAGTGTGAGAGTGTGAGGCTCTTGAAGGCAGCAGGCACAGGGAAGTACTATGGCCTGAATGTCCCTCCAAAATTCATGTACTGGTACTTAATCCCCATTGTACTGCTATTAAGAAGTGTAATGCTATTAAGAGAAATTCAATCAGAGACCCAAAACAAAGTATCCTCAGGGGAGTCTGAAGCCTTATGCACTGAATGCAACCATAAAAACAACCCATCCCAAGTCCTAACAAGATCAATGCAAATCACCACATTAAAGACTAAACAGAAAAAAGGCATGCTCATCTCCAAGCATAAAATAACATTTGTCTTAATATCTATAGTCCCTAAACAGGTATATATTGCGAGAAAAAACTGCAAGACATGTCAAAAGGCAAGGATCACACAGTCTAACAAGACAAAGCTGGTGTCAATATAAAATTGATATTGATTTATCAGCCTGGAAATTTTTAAATAAAAAGCAGTATTTCATATGTTAAAGCTGCTAATAAAAAGAATAACCGACATGTATGTGCACACAGATAACTTCAGCAAAAGACTGAAACCTATGAAAATTCATTAAATTAACACCAGAAATAAAAAACACAGTAAGTAATATGGAAACTATATTCCAAGGAATCATCAGTAAACCTAAAAGAACTGAGAAAAGAATTAATGAATTTGAATGTCAGAGAGCAATAAAAATTACCTAATCATAATTCCTTCAGCCCTGCAGAAATTTAACATTTCATAAATGGTAGGTCCTTTCATTTGTTTCAGAAAGTATTTATTTCCACTTAACTATTGAAGGATACTTTTGCTGGGTATAGAATTTTGGGTTGATGGGTTTTCTCTTCAACATTTTAACAATGTGCTCCTTGTATCATTTCTTGGCTGCATCATTTATGATGAGAAGTGGTCTATAATTAATATTCTTATAACTTGGTAGAGAAAGTAATTTTCCCCCAACTAGCTGCCACCAAGATTTTATTTCTCTTTGGTTTCAGCAATTTAAAAATACTATTACTAGTTGTAATTGTCTTTTTATTTATGCAGTGTTCTTTGCACTTCTTGGATCTGCTTAGTGTCTGTCACTAATTTTGGTAAATTTTTGGCCATTTTTTCTTCAAGTTTTATTCTGTCATGTACTTTGTGTCTTCATCTTTTGAGATTTTAATCCAAACATCACAGGAAAATTTGGGGGTGACATCAATTTTGAATACTTTTTGGTGGTAAACTTCTGATTCTATGCATTTATAAAACCAATACCAGCATATGCCACAAAAAGTAAACTTTACTACATGCAAATTACATAGGAAATATATAGGATGCTTGATGATCCCAGGCTGGAATTCACATCATGACAAATGAAACTTTTTGTATTATAAATGTTTTATATAACCTCACTGAAGTGGGAGGGGAGAGCAGTTGAGCTATACAGCTTTGGAAAAGAATGTTTTACCTGCAGTTGAAATCAAAAAATTAAAGAAACTGCACAAAAATACTGCACTCTAATAAGTAAAGTTGTTTCATATGAAGATGTGGGTTTGCAATTCTGAAACAGCTACACATGTATACTTAGATTGAAAAAATAAGTAAATGGATAAAGGATAATTGAAACCAGATGTCTAACTTTTGGAGAGTGAGGTAACATATAAACAAGGTGGAAAGGCTAGAATAAATTCATTGTACTTGTTTTAGTCTGCTTTGTGTTGCGATAACAGGATACCTGAGATTAGGTAATTTATACGAAGCAGAAATTTATTTGGCTCACATTTCTGGGTATCCAAGATCTAGGGTTCATATCTGGTGAGGGCCTTCTTTCTGGGTTACTCCATGTTGGAAGACAGAAGGGCAAGAGAGCTAGTGTACATGAGAAAGGACACTGAAATTATCCTTTTAGGAAACTACTCCCACAATAACTAACCCACTCCCATGATAATGGCATTAATAACCTATTTAAAATGCCACTTCTCAACACTGTTGCATTGAAGATTCAATTTCCAACACTTGAAATTTGGAGTTGTATTCCAGTCATAGAAGTACTTCATTATGGTCAGAGAAGTTAGCATGAATTCATGTATAGCTATAGTTACACACACACATACACACACAGAGAGATATGTATGTGTGTTGTGTATTTGTGTGTGTATATATATACACACACACACACACACAACTACTTAAGTACAGTATTCGATAAATTATGTGAGACAGTCAACACTTTATTATAAAACAGGCTTTGTGCTAAATGACTTTGCCCAATTGTAAGGTAAAGTGTTCTGAGCACATTTAAGGTAGGCTAGGTTAAGGTAAGATGTTCGGTATGTTAGGTTTATGAAATGCAATTTCTTCTTACAATATTTCGACTTATGATGAGTTCAGCAGGATGTAACTTCACTGTAAGGTGAAGAACATCTGTGTATATATGTGTGTGTGTGTGTGTGTGCATAAATAATAACAGATGTATTTGTATACATGGATTAGTATACATGTGTACAGTTGATCCTTGAATGACATGGGGTTAAAGATTATGATCACCAGTAAGATTGAAAATCTGTGTATAACTTAACTACTAATAGCCTACTATAGATTGGAGACCTTACTGATAACATAAAAGTTGATTAACACATGTTTTGTTTGTTATATATTTTATATATTACAATCTTATAATAAAGTGATCTAGAAAAAAGAAAATGTTATTAAGGAAATCATAAGAAAGAGAAAATATATTTACTGTTCATTAAGTGGAAGTGGATCATCGAAAAAGTCTTCATCCTCATCATCTTCACGTTGAGTAGACTGAGAAGGATGATGAGGAGAGGTTAGTTTTGCTGGCCCAGGGGTAGCAGAGCAGAAAGAAAATTCATACATAAGGGTCCCAGGCAGTTCCAACCTGTGTGCTCAAGAGTCAACTGTATATTACCTGACACTGCTCACTGAAATATCCTAGAGGCAATGACATCCCAGGAGAAATAAACGCACTCAGCACCCAGATCCTGATTTATAAATATAATTCTCTTTAATTATTTTTTTCTTTAGATAACCTACAAACATAAAATACAGACATCTGATTGTATAAATTACTATGACTTCTAATATTATGTGAGTATCTTCTCCTTAATATTTTCTTCACAATTCCATATCACCCTTACCTTATTTTGGCACATGGGGCTCATTAAATAATAGTGTCATATTTTATTCATTTTGGTACATAAAAGTGCTATTTTCTTAATGAGATCATGGACAAAGTGGAAGATAAATCTAACTATATAACTCAAACTGTAAAACTTTTAGAAGACATAGGAACTCATCAGTGCCACTTTGGATTAAATGTTTCTTATGTGATGTCAAAACTATTATCTTTAAAATAACTGATATACAATAGGAATTTATTAAAATTAAATCCACTTTGCTTCAAAATACATCTTTAATAAAATTTAAAAGACAAGATACAGACTGAGAAAATAGTCCAGTATTATATCTGATAAAAGAATTACATGAACAATATGTAAAATTTATTGATACACAATAGTAAAAAAATGATAAAATGGTCAATTTGGACACTTCCTGAAAGTAGATATACATATGGAAAGTAAGCACATAATAGTTACAATTTTTCAGTAGGAAAATGCATACCACTATATACCTATTGGAATGGCTAAAAAGACAGACCAAAACAAGTGTTGGCAAAGACGTGGAGCAACTGGAACTCTATTGTACTGTTGAGGGTAATATAAAATGGAACAACTACTTTGGAAAAGATTTTAGAAAGTTAAATGTCCACCTTAATGATACTGCTATTCCACTCATAATTCCTTACTCAAGAGAAATGAAAACATAACTTTATTCAAATACCTATGCAAAATTATTCATGGTAGTTTTATTAATAAACAAATCTGAAGCCTAAATGTTTATCACATTAGAGTGGATGAGCAAACTGTGGAATATCCACAGACTGAATTATCACTTAGTAATTGTATTAGTCCATTTTCATGCTGCTGATAAAGACATACCAGAGACTGGATTATTTAAAAAAGAAGAGGTGTATTGGACTTACAGCTCCACATGGCTGGGGAGGCCTCACAATCATGGTGGAAGGCAAGGAGGAGCAAGTCACATCTTACGTGGATGTCAGCAGGCAAAGAAAGAGCTTGCGCAGAGAAACTGCCATTTTTAAACCCATCAGATATCGTGATACTCATTCGACAAACACTCACTATCATGAGAACAGCGTGGGAAAGACCCACACCAATGCTTCAATCATCTCCCACCGGGTCCATTCCACAACACATGGGAATTATGGGAGCTGCAAGATGAGATTTGGGTGGGGACACAGAGCCAAATCATATCATTAATAAAAAGGAATTACCTGTTGATACATGCTCTACCATGGAGGAATTTCCAAGTAATTATGATGAGGAAAAATTCTTGGAAATATCATTTACCCTATAGTGACAGATATATATGGATGTGTGCTTGTATATATATTGTGTACTTAAATTTTAATAACCTTGAGAATACTTACTTTTTTCATATATAAATGAAATACAGAATTAAATATGCCTTGTTGAGATCCCATAATTTCATTTGGACTCATACCTACCTGCATAAAGCTAATGATATTTTTAACAGTAATTATGATGATAACGGTAACTTATTCCTTATGACGCCTTCTTGGCTAGGCACAATCATTATATTGATTTTACATACAAGAAACTGAGGCATTGAGAAATCTGCCTGTGGTCACGAGAGAATGTAAAGCTTAACATGCAACCAGACTATGTTACTTCAAAACTCATTGCTGTTTATGAAATCACTCTGCTGTCACTGAATAAGCTATTCATATAGATCTTTTGTAAATTAACTGATGTTAATATAAATGCTAGTATGAGGTGTTGAGAAGAACATAGAGATATGAACAAATTTGTATTTTTTAAAAGAAATCAAAAGTAGAAATCATAGGCAAGAAGCTGTTAAATAAACGTAGTTCTCTTCTGAGTGATGGAAAATAAAATTATATAGTAACTTACGAACACTGTAGTTATAGCCACATTTTGAGGTTGCACTCGAAGGCAACTTCACGGATATCACATAGGTCCCAATAGAGCTGTGGTTAGAGTGAATTATTCTAGGTCCCCAGTTGTGTGTTATTTCCACCACACTACATCACATCTGACAAATAGCTTACAATGTTATTTGATATCAAAGAATTACTGAGAGCTAAACACAGGTAAACATGTATCCCCTGAGAATGGCATCTTGATGAAATAATTCTAATAATCTACCAGGAAAGAAATGATGACATTCAAGAAAACCTACTCAAGATTCCTGAATCCCAAAATTGCCAGAGTGTGTTGGGACCACATTGGAATTTGTTCAGATCATTAATTAAGTGTGCCATTCAGCTATCTCTCTGAGAATGTATGTGTAAAATGTACCTTCATTAAGCTACTCTTACTTAGCAAATTCTTGTCCCTATTGTCCATGTTGAGAAGGATCAGCTGTGCTGCACACATGTTGCCCACCTTTGTGACACCAGGCTCCATCAACCCTGTGTCCATTGACACTTTCTGAGTCAAAGTAGTTATTTTTTCCAATTAAGAAGCAACCTGGAGTTATACAGAAGGTAGCATTACATGTCGATTATTTAATGAAGCAAATGACACACTAATTCAGTAAGGCACAGAGGGAAGGAATTTGGCAAGATAGAGAGGTTTAATTCAGGCCACTGAGTATATTTAGTGAATTTTAGCCTTTCATTTTCCACACGCGAGTTTTGTACTGTCCTTTGAAATTTATATTCAAATAAAATTAGGAAACATTTATTAAATGCTTATTAAGTGTAATTTTTATGCAAATGATTGTAAATTTCTAAATTAGTAGCATATGGAGAGATAAAACAGAAAAGGCACAGCAAGTTTTGGACATTAAATGATATAGACTACTTGGGTTTCATAAGTTAGATCATTACAAAAAGTAAAAGCAAAAATTTAAAAAATTGAAAAGCAATGCATTTCACTGGGGCACTTAAATTAGCATATATAAAGTTTATGTCATGTAATTTACTGGCTAAAATTGTTCATGCACAGGATATTTTTCCTCAGGACTTATATGATAAAATACAATATATTCTACATTGGAGGCAGACATAACGTTAAAAATGTTTTACACTTTTCATTTGTTTTTTGATAAAATTAATCAGAGTTAAATGCAAACCCAGAGACCAGACTCATAATTTCTTTCTGTATTGATTAGACTTTAAAAGAGAAACAACTCTTTCGATAGTAATATATTTTAGATAATTTTCTTTCACTGAATCTATTCCACTTCTAAAAGGTCAAATCCTAACATTTTAGAAATAATTATTATTTACTGAGGACATTAAACTAATTACTTCAACTTCTCTATTATTTATTTTGGGATTTAGTGGTAGACGCATTGCCTGACTGGCAATAATTGGAGCATCAATGTATTATTTGAAACTTAAGGGGACAGGAACACTTTCACCATGAATCTCATTTTTAGCAGCTATAAAGTGGTTATTTTAAATTTTTTCATGGAAATAAAATTTAAATCTGGCCTTGTGAAAGCAATTAGAATACCTCAGAAAATTCACTTCATTTATGAATTGAAATACATTATTAGGTAATTTCACACTTTGTAAGTAAAAGTCTGTCTTTTCCATTTGTAACAAGATCTGAATTTAATTAGGTAAATGTATGCCCAGAGACTCTAGGGTAGTAGACTCATTTGAAATAAATTAGGTAACTGAAACTTGAAATATATTTTCTAGGAATGTTCATGGTGTGTTTTTAAGACGTAAACAATGAAAGTACATAATGTATAAAAAGAAAACAAGAAACAATTTTTTGAAAAGTTTGTTAAAATTGCATATTAATAGGTTTTAGTCATAACATATGATTATTTAAATTATAATTAATGAAACTTTAAAAGAAACCTATACTTTAAAATAATGCCATATCAAACCATCTAAGAAGTAATACCAGATATTTTAAATAAAAGTGATGTATAGATTACCTTGATTCTGGTGCTTAATGTCATTTTTTCATTCATTGAGTATTTATTATGGTTCCCTTAGTGATAAACACTGCATAGGACAATAGGCTACACACAAAAAAATAAGATTTAATCCTTGCCCTCCAAGAAATTATAGTCCAATAAGGGCTCACAAGCTGCTTTATTTGACTTGCTGCTCATTGAGTTTTCTGCTGTCATAAATTTGTTTGATTATTGTTTCTCACCAAAACTCTTTTGTCACACTCTGTCCTGTCTTATTGGGTGTAATTCTTCACTGTTGCCACCACTACTACTCCTGACTGTAAACATTTCTGTTTTCTTACCTGTTCTCTGTTATAATCCATTCCTCCACAGTCCGTTCTAGACCCCGCAGCACCAACTGTTCAGTATTTATCAAATTCATGTCAAAAGTTGTAATCAGAAAGTTGTCGCCAGATGGATTATTGATATGGATTATATACCTGTATATTTATTCTTAACCACTTTCACTGATTTCTTGTGAAGTATCATGAATCAAGTGTACCCTACAACCAAGTCTTCTTTGGATATGTTTTATTTTTTTTTTCAATCAATAGCTTTCATCTCTTTTATTGACCACTACAATGTTTTTATATACATACTTATTTTGAAAGACTTATGCTTACAGTTTTGTATTTTTGTTCCTATTGCATATTGGCTTTAAGTTTACATTACTTATCCCAGCACTTTGGGAGGCTGAGGTGGGTGGATCACTTGAGGTAAGGAGTTCGAGAACTGCCTGGCCAAGATAGTGAAACCCTGTCTCTACTAAAAATACAAAAATTAGCCAGGCGTGGTGTTGCACACCAGTAATCCCCATTACTCTGGAGGCTAAGGCATGAGAATCACTTGAACCCAGGAGGCAGAGGTTGCTGTGAGCCGAGATCATGCCACTGCACTCCAGCCTGGGTGACAGAGTGAGACTCTGTCTCAAAAGAAAAAAAAATTATATTACTACATGAAAATAAACATGTAATTCTTCTGTTTTGTAATACATTTTCTAATTTGTATGTATTCTAAACCTGAATTTGCCTTCAGGTTTGTTGGGCCACATCCCATCTCAAAGCCTTTCAAGAGGTCAATGGCACATCTGAATATTGTGAATAAAGACAGTCTACCACAGACTTTTTTTCGGATGCAAACTAAACTTTAAATTATGTACATGCAGACATAATAATAAATTCCAAAAAAGCAAAAACAAAATGACTTTTTCACTTCTCAGGACAAGGAAGTAAGGCAAATTTTAGAGATTTTTAAAAATGAATTTTGTGACAAAGAATTTCAGACCAGGGCTACATGACTATAGCAGGAAGCAAGGGGAAGCAGGTCTCATATCGCTAAGGGAAGCTTTCACAAAGAAGCAATTAAAAATCACGCAAGAATTATACATTTGTGTTCTGAAATGATTGGCATATACGTGTCTAAAAATGCCAACTGAAAATTCAATACAAATTAAACTCTAATTGTTGAAATAAAAATTTTTAATATATAATAAAAATGTCCAGGAAAAGGGATATAATAGATGCATTTGAACTACTAGTAATTAACAAATACATGTTTTTGACAAAATGTTTTAATGAAAGAATAACGATGTCATAAAAACAAAGTATGGAATTAAATATGACTGTAATATAAAATAAATCTCTTTAAATAGAAATTTGCCATACCTTAACTAGAAATTAAATTTTTTATTATAAAGAAAAATAAAGATTCTCATATTTAGTGAAACAAAAATATCCACCTGGATTTTTTCTAAAAAGTACATAACTAAAAATAAAGCAAAACAATTACCATTAAAAAGTGGGCAAAAGGCAATTATAATAAAATATTATATTGGAACTATTTTTAATATGAGGACAATAAAAATGAAGGAAAAATAACATTAAGTATGACAACATGCATCAATATATTTTTTCACAGTGTCACAATGTGGAGTCTCCAATGAATGAAGACTCGCAGAAGTTCGTACTCTAATGGAATGCTTAAAAACATTTATCATAAGCACAGAGTAAAAGTCAACACATCTTTTCTCTACTTTGGATAATAAAATGAAGTGCACATGGTTTTTTCATAGAACATTATGTTTGTGTGTATATATATATATATATACACACACACACACACATATATAGATATATGGGTTGAATATATCCTACCATTTGAAAAGATGTGGAAACTGATGGACAGAATGGTTAAGTAACTTGCTCAAGGCGACAGACATTACCAGGAGGGCTATAATTTGAGATCAGGCAGTGTTCAGAGGCTGGGCTCTCATATGAATCCAGGAATCCTCTCAAACTTCTAATTGGAAAGCTACCACATCGACAAATACTGTAAGTAGCCTACATGAACTGTAACGCTAAGAATTCAACTCTATGGAAGTAACTAAAACTGAAGGAAAACATGAGAGAAAGCTACAATCTGTGAAGACTTATCCATAGTGTTAGAAGGCTGGCTGCTTTCTTTTTTCCATGCTTTCTTTTCTTCCTTTAAATTTTCTTCAGTTTACAAAAAGAAAATGTCCTAATAAAATGCACTAGTGAAATGAAGAGACAAAATCACACGTCCTTCCCTCACTCACTTTGTTACTGCACGTGTTGCCATGTTCCTCTCCTCCACTGCCATGACCATAACCTGTTTCTAAAGACATAGGGCCTGCTTCTTACACATGTGTATTAAAACACACACACACAGCACACACACACACACACACACACACACACACACACACATATGAGTATTCTTACAGACACATATACCTGTGTGTATGGGTATATATACTTTTAAAAATTTTGGAAATTTTCTACTACTATAACTTTATGTGATTATGGAATATTTCATCAGATGACTATACACTATCTTACATTAAGTAGAATACTTAATTCTGGGGTTAGTTTATTATATTTCTTTTATTAATAATGTTTTAATTATATATATAATTTTAAACAAATATTTCTAGATTTTATAAGTCTTTCAAGTTATTCTGCAGATTGATGACACTGATGTGAAATCCAGTGGCAGTTTATGGGCATTTTTATTTCCCTCAATACTTGTTATTTATTAATTAGCTCACATATTAAGCACAGCTCTTCTGTGACCGTTTTTCCTGTAATATTGCTACAAATTATTTAGTCTGTGATTTCCCATTTGCCTTTTTATTACTATCCCAATTTTTCAATTCACTATTTTCTACTATTTATGTTATGTTTTGGAGAGTATAAAGCAAAATATTAAAAAGATGGCATGGGTGTATAACTAAATAGCTACTAGATTGCCTCAGTACTCTTCACTGATGTTCCATTATGACAACACTGATATATCTGATATGCTATCCTACTGTATTATAAGATGGTATTCTCATGCATACACTTGAGTTTGTTCCTGGGTGGTCGTTTAATTCACTGGACCTAACTATTCTTCTGCCCTTTCCACATCATTTCATTTAGTACATTGTCTGCTTTCATATGTGAAGGTTCAAGTGCACTTCTATTATTTGTGGTCAATCTATCCCAGTCCTGTCTTTCCCTACATTGCTTAATATAGCACTTATTAAATACTTTTATTAGAAGTATTTAACTTATTAGAATACTTTAATATTCTAATTTAAATTATTAGAATAATTTAATTTATTAGAATACAGCACTGGCTGTCCTTATAAGCAATCTATATTGCTTAATATATATAAAAGGCAACATATGGGGCCGGGCGCAGTGGCTCACGCCTGTAATCCCAGCACTTTGGGAGGTCGAGGTGGGCGGATCACAAGGTCAGGAGTTTGAGACCATCCTGGCTAACACGGTGAAACCCCATCTCTATTAAATATACAAAAAATTAGCTGGGCATGGTGGCGGGCACCTATAGTCCAAGCTACTTGGGAGGCTGAGGCAGGAGAATGGCGTGAACCCGGGAGGAAGAGCTTGCAGTGAACCGAGATCCTGCCACTGCACTCCAGCCTGGACTATAGAGCAAGAATCCGTCTCAAAAAATAAAAATAAATAAAAAGCAACATAAGCACTTTTAAATTTTGAACTAGTGACATTTTAGAAAGTCCCTAGTGATATTTAAAATTTTTAAACATTTTAAAAATAGAAATAAATAAAATTAATGTTAATAATAAATTTCATTTAATCAAGTACTTTAGAATTTATCACTTTAATTTATAATAAAGATAAAATTATCAATGAAATATTTTACACTTTTTCCCACTGCGATTGAAATCCAGTGTTTTACACTGACTAGATGCAGACAGTCCCCAGTTTGTGATGGTTTGACTTATGACTTTTATAGATTGTAAAGTGGTGTGAAAGTGATACACATTCAGTAGAAACCACACTTTAAGTACCCATACAACCATTCTGTTTTTCACTTTTAGTAAAATATTCTACAAATTACATGAAGTATTCAACACATTACTATAAAATAGGCTTTCTGCTAGACGATTTCACCCAACTGTAGGCTAGCTTAAGAATTCTGAGCACATTTATGGTAGGTTAGGTGAAGCTATGATGTTCAGGAAAGGTTAGGTGTATTAAATGCAGTTTGACTTACAATATTTTCAATGTACAATGGGTTTATTGTGACATAACCCATCATCAAGTGACATCTGTATGTAATTACGTATGTGTGTGTGTATCTGAAGAATTAGACAAGACAGATTTCAGCTGTTCAACAAACACATGGATTTATCAGCTGCCATATTAGAAAGTGAAGTAAAAACCCTTTGTTTTAAAGATGAACTTTAAAAATCATTTTATCAAGTTCTAGAAATATTGTGTTTAGTGGAATTTGGTTAGGATTGTAGGTAAATTTTGAAAAGATATACAACTTTACACAAATCTTCAACAGGGAATTGCTTGATTAATTGCAGACATGCATTAGATACGTTAACATAAAAACAGTGCTACCCTCTGGGATGGCAATGATACTAGGTTTAATGTTTTGTACTTTTTTGTAACTTACAACCTTTCTATATAGATAGAAAAATAAAGTAGACAGAAATATAGAAGGGACCACTATTCTTATAGGAGTGGATTTCCACAAGAATTTGAGTAACAAATAAGATAGTAGAAATGCTAGGAATAAAATTATCTCAACCATAGCAAAATTAAAAAAAAACTAAAATTAAACACTGCAGCCATCAAAATACCATACAAGAAGCTTTTCAATAGATTAATACATGATAACGTCATTGCTACCACTTCTACCAGTATTTTCAGTGAGTAACTGATGTATTCACTGTGCTCCATATAGGAATTTAACTGTTCCAATAATTTGGCTTGCTGTATTTAACTAATATTAAATACTGTGCCATCAAAGTCACATAAAATAAAGGAAACTGCTACCTTACCAAGAGCATCCATTTATGTTGGGAAAGGTCACTACGATTTGTTGTCTGGGTTGTTATAGGATTGTGACAAAAGCAAAATATTTGGATTCGAACCATCAAACTAATCTCACTGGCCATGCATGCCACTCCATCATGAGTGTAAGCCTGTTTCTGAGTCAAGATGTCAGTAATATTGTTTCATCAAACAGGTTTTAAATGGAAATATCAGAATGCTTAATTAGTATTCTTATAAATATTATTGTCTATTTTAACATAAATATTGAATTGAAAACTGAAGCCCAAATTATACAGGATGTTTTGGCTGCATATGTTTTATTATTAGAGTATTTTATTTTTCCATTAGTTTGTAGAAATGTTCGACTTAAACCTTCATTTTCCTTACGTGGACAAAGACTTTCATCACTTCTGCATGTTGCTGCAGGGTCATTTTTCACTCACTCAATGCTTTCATTGGTCTTCACAATCGATTTTTGCACAGCCAATTGGATAGATCATGCAGTTGATGAAATTTAGTCAGAGCAATAGACACGGAGTCTCAGCCACATTCCATCATCTAATATTATATTTTGATTGGAGATAGGAGTACAGGTGTTCTCTGCTCTTGCCACCCACATAGTGTCTTAAAAATATGTCACAGTGAAAAATATTTTGCCTTTTATCCTCTAAGTATTTCAATTCATATTAATATTGGCATAGTCCAAAGCTGAACTCTTATTTATATTTCAACTATGTTTAGAACTAGATTATTGCTTATTATTCAGTATTTATTTATTCATATATTTGGTCACTTAAAAAAATTCTTCCGTTTGTTTTGTGTCCCCACTGTATAGCTCAGTATCCTGCATATAGAATTTGCTGTATGTATAATTTTGAATGAATTAATGAATCATTCAATCAGTCAATGTATGGAATGTTGATGAAAAATGATACAATATTTCAAGTAAGAGTAAGTACATGGTCTAATGGCAGCCAATGTCAGGTCTACTATAATTGAAAGGATAAGATTTTTCCTATATCATCTTCTTAAGCTGCTTCTGTTCTAGATCGACTACCTTCCCTGTAATATGCAATCAGAAAATCGTGCTGGCTTCTGCTTTAATGTCCTCACTGTCAAGTAGTTCCTTGTCTATGTACTAGGTAGATCAACATTTACACAAAGATATCGGATCTTTCAAATCTTCATTTTTTCTTCTGCCTATATAATAAAATGCTGATCATGACAGATAACATATTTCACAGAGGACTGTACCTACTTCTCTGCCTCAACTATCATGACTACAAAACAAAACCTCTACCTAAGTCACAGTGGGTCCCTCAACAGTTTACAGTGTCCAGTGGGTGCTTTGTTTGCTTAGGCCATTTCCCACATGAAATTTTTTTCCTCCGCTCTTTTATCAAAACAACCAACAGAGCTGGTGAGTGATCAAGACAAATGTCACTTCCATTTTTTCTCTCTTTGATTAAATACCTAGAATGACCTTTGTTACCCCAGGAAAATAATAACTAAATTTACCCTTATTTTTTAAAATAAAAGGACATGCCCCGTGCCAAAAAAATCTCATACAATCATTCATTCAAAACATAGTCATTGAATGCCCATTCTGTGCCGGGAAAAATGATGAATGACCAGAGTACAGAACTGATGGAAATTGGCTTTCTAGTGGAGATAATGATGTACAGGATGATAATAAACACATAGTTGATAAATACACAGTGTAGCTACAGAAGGGAATCAAATGGGACAGATGCCTAGCACATCTTTGCTGATCCCTGAATGAAGAGGAGTCTTTTATGAGAAGTTCTGGGTATGAGTTTGAAAAGAAGTGCAATGTTCTTGAAGTGGGATTGAATATGGAATATAGAACATGAATATGGAATATGCATGGAATACCAAGACCAAGGATGTGACATGAATGAGGAGATGAAGACACTTGCCTCAGGAGCAACATTCAAACGAATGCTAAAAAAAAACTCAATGATGAAGATAAATATTGTAATGTAATATATTTTACAACGCAAAGCAAACTTAATGCAGAATATTCATGATAAAGTATTAAATATTTTCCAGAGGCAGGCTATTGTGGCATACTTTTATTATGTAAAGGAGCAGCCTGTCTGGTGTGGTCTGCAGCCTCTGGGCTCTGCTGTCCTCCATGACACAGCTTTGGGAGCGTTGGCGAAGGTGCAGGAACAGATTGTATAGCACAGGGCTTTTATATGTAATGCTATTTTTAAATTGTAGATATTTATTAACTCTCCCACTTGGTTCAAAGTATGGGAGGAATTTTGAGAAGTGTGTATGGTGTCGCACAATTTAGCTTTTGTCTCCTGCAAAATGGTTCAGGCCATGTCACTGGAGCAAGTGTGGGCGGAGGATGGTGAGGAGGAAGTTGGAGAAACAGAAATTTGTACATCACGCTAGAGCCATCATAGAGACTCTATGATGAGTTTAGGAAAATTTACTCTTTGTGATTTTTCCCAGTTCATTTGGAGAAATAAAGGTGAAATGAGTTTTGTCTGTGAACTACATTCAACCAATTGACATTCTGTGCTCTTCAGCTATTTATTTATTTATTTATTATTTATTTATTTTTAAGACAGTAGCAGCAGCTTTTTGATACTTCAGAATATAATGTATCCTGTTATATATCTGATATCATCTTTGCCTTGAATTCAAGCATGTATTCTGGTGTGTCTAACACGTAGAAACCTAATAAACCTCTTATTTAAAGTCTCATATAGTTAGAATTATTCATGTTATTTAAAAAAGATTGCATTAGGTTAATACTCTACCCAGAGATACATTTGTTGCTTAAAATACTTTTATATAGTTGTATCTAAGACTTTATGATGTATATACAATTAACACAATGTTATATTGAATGAGTAAAACATGTTTATTGACTAAGTTTATAAAGATAAAATGTGACATTATTTAGCATTGAGTTTGACTACTCTTTGAAAATGCTTTTTGGCTCAGCAGTATTGTGTTCTTATTTGACAATACATTTGAAGTAATCTCATTACAAAAATGCTTTGAATTACAAAAAGCAGATCAAGAAATTGTACTGTTTAGTAAAATTGCTTAATTAGCTAAGATTACTGAGAATAGAAATAAAGATTCAGACACACTCTTCATTTTATGAGACAAGAATTAGTATAGCTCCATTTTGATTTCATTTGATAAACTGTCACCTATGGAAATTAAACTGTAACCCTGTTTACCCCCATGCTAGAGAAAGCAGATGCTTAAAACTTTTCCATCTTCACATAAGTATATGGAGAGTCACACAATTTGAAATCTAATTAGTGTTTAATAAGCCATTTGAAAATGATGTCATTCAACTCTTACAAATTAATCCTGCTCTTTCAACACCTGCTGGTATTTTGCAACAGTGATTTTTTCATGACAAAAAGAGGACTGAACCAGTCCATATTAAGATAAGCATCTCTTATGACTACTCCACAAATTTTTCTCTGAAAGATATTAACAGCCTCCTCCTGGCTTGAGAGGAAAGTAACTGCTACCAACATAATGAGACTTGTTCTGAAGAGAAGAGAGTTTACTATCCTAAAATACAATTTTGAAAGATCAGTGGGAGCCGAGGACCTTCTCTGAGCTGGTAAAAATCTTCCAGAGATTTCTTAACTAAGCACATGTTGGTTGATTTCTTGAAAAACAGACTTGGAGGGAGGGTGTCATAGACAAGAAATTTAAGAGCAAAATACTCTTTCACTAAAAGTGTGAATTTTAAAGTGAATCCAAATATTTCCTTTAAATTAAACTCTGACGTAACCCAAACCGTCAAATAATTGTAAAATCATTTGTGAACTAATACTTAACGTCTCAGAATGACTGACTGCTTTGGTTTATCCTAAATTCAACTTAGATGCTCCCATTTCATTATTATTAGGTTTTCATCATAATATTACTAGTAGCAAAAAGAAATGAACTAACTTCTCCAGGCTTCTGTGATTATTAGACAGTCATGAATGTGTGAGTTCTTCCCACACATGAGGCATTAATAAGCACTTGTGTTGTTCTCTCTAAGGGACACCACCCCTGCAGAAGCCCAAGAAAGTCTGGGATTAAGAGAAACTGCAGAGTAAATTAAAGCCCATGAACTGTACCTTTATTTGAAAGAAAATTGTTAGCATAGATTGTTAATTCTGGGTTTAAAAATCATTACAGTTCTAACTTGACTAATTCTACTAGTTTCATCATTTTATTTTTTGTAAATAGAGGGAAATGCATGGTGCTATCGCACAACTCATTTCACTTGGCCATTTACCATGCCCAGAGCCCCATAATAAATAATCTTGAATCAATAGAAATGATCATCATTTAGCTTAGTTCTTTATTTTAAATGTTTTTTTGGTGTGGGATCAATTCCCTTCCATCCACATAAAGGAAGACCTGTGTTATATTATGGTAGTGTTTGCAACTGAGTGAAAAAAAAGTAAAAAAGAAATATTATTTTCAGGATAAATCTTTGCCACACAGATAAAGCCTCAGCAGCATGTGGCCCAGGCCCCCAGTTCTAAACTGAATGACCCCATGAAGTTATTTATATAGTCAGCCAACTGGTAGGTTTCTCATTTGTATAGGTATAATGAGGACATTAACCAACTTTGTGTTTGTGTGTGTGTTTAAACCTTTAGTGTGGTTGGATAGAAATTGCTATTTGTCAAACCAATATTAAATTTTTTTTCATTTTTTACTCTCAGAACCTTGATGTTGTTAAGTATAACAATGCACCCAACATCCCTTGATGACAAAGGATAGTAGGTAACTTAATTCTCAGAATGGGTATCTGCAGAAGACACAGATCTGCAGAAGCAGGTAGATACCACACCGCCACCTTATATACCTTTCCCCTTTGTGAATTTCTATGAAATGTAGGATATGGGGGAGAAAAAAAACTATCAGACAAAAGCAGAATGACCAAATCTAGGTCCTCAGCTTGGCTGATTAGAGAAAAAAGAAACAGGAGCTTGGATCTCTGGCACCTCCTGGGAGCTGCCTGGCCAGCCATGTACTGCCTCCCTCCTCTCCCAGCTTCTCCCTGAATTCTTGTTATGTGAGAAAAATGAAAAAAAAAAATTTCAAAGATATGACATGAACCTAAGTGCCCAGCAACCAGTGAGTGGGTACAAAATATGTGATAGATATATATACGTATGTATGTACATCATATATATATACATATATATACACATATGTGTATATATATACATATGTGTATATATATACACACACATACATACATGCATCATGTAATACTACTCAGCCATAAAAAACAGTGAAATATGTCTTTTATAGCAACTTGGATGGAACCAGAGGCCATTATCTTAAGTGAAGTAACTCAGGAATGGAAAATCAAATACTGCATGTTCTCACTTATAGTAGGAGCTAAGCTATGGGTAAGCAGGGCCATATGGAGTGATATAATGGACACTGAAGACTCAGAATAGAGAAGATCAGGAGAGGGGTGAGGAATGAAAAATTACCTATTGGGTACAACGTACACTACTCAGGTGGCAGGTACACTAAAACCAAGACTCCCCCACTGTACAATTCATCCATGCAGCCAAAAACCATGTGTACCCCTGAATCTATTGAAATAAAATAATAAAAATTTTAAAAAGGAATCTGGATTTTGTTATGCTACTGCAAATAGTATTCCTGGAACTTGCAACTGCATGTGACCCAGTTGATAGAAGGAGCCAGAGAAATAATATCCACTTGTACATAAAACAAGTCATTAAAAGGAACTTTTCTTATGTCAAGAAACATTTGCAGAAGCCCAGAGTTGTAATCCAAGGTCTATCTTTAGTCTTAAAGAGAGCGGGGTGAAAAGGATTTCTTTTAAGAGGATTGTTGGCTTCCAGAAGAGGATCTACACTTCCCCCATTGCCAAGCCAAGTCAGGGAGCTTTAAAAACAACTTGAAAAAGTAGGATTCTCCATCTCTGTGAAGACTGGCAAACTCCCTTCCTGAAGAGGAATTATTTTTTATCTATGCATCTGGACTCTTCTATTTCCTTCTAGCAGATATTATCTTATTATGATTTCCACATGCAGGTCAAGACACTTAAGCAACATAGCATTTTCTTTTCTTAAAAAAAAAAAATGTCTTTCTTATTTTCAACTCATTGAAGGGAATGATCCTCTTAATTTTACCCCCAGCTGACATTCATTCTTCTCTATCATACAGTCCCTAACATTTTGCCTCAGGGTTTCTGATAATAAGCATCTCTTCCTATGCACAACATTCTTCAAAATGTTATAGAGAGTTTTGGGAAGGTAGATAATTTTTAAGGTGTAAGATACATCTTCTCAATAACAAAACAGTTTGGCTTACAGCTAAATTAAAGATTTATGTATTTTGTGCTTCCATTTGCTGATTGTCAAATGTTATTAATTAAATTTATTTGTTAATATTGCATAGGACCATAGGATATTTTCTTAGCCTGTTGTAATGAATTGCAGTTATTTAATTTCTGAAATTAAAACATCCTGACACATCCCATTTGATTGTGGTGTATAATTCTTTTTATTTGATCTTTTAATTTAATTCTTATATTTTAATTATATATTTAATTCTTTTTATTTAATCAAATTCTTTAGATTTGACCTAAGTTTTGTTGAGGATTTTTGCATCTACATTAATCAGTAGTCTGTAGTATTCCTTTTGTATAGAGTCTTTATCTGATTTTGGTATCAGAGTAATACTGTCTATTTATAGAATGACTTAGGAAATATATTCTGTGCTTCTATTTTCTGCAAGAGACTGTAGAGAACTTGTACCAATTATATCTTTACTGATTTTTGCCTGATGGATTGACCATTATTGAAAGAGAAGTGTTGAAGTATCAAACTGTAATAGTATATTTGTCTATTTTTTCTTGGAACTGTTTCAGTAACAACTGAAACAGTCTGAAACCTCATAGTCTGATGATCTATTGTTAGGTGTATAAATATTTAGGACTGACATATTTTCTTAGATAATTGATGACGGTATCATTAGGCAATGTTTATCATTATCCCTGATAATCTTTTTCTAAATTCTCCTTTTGCTGAAGTTAATTTTGCCACTCCAGCTTTCTTTTCATTAGTGTTAATATGGCAAATCATTTTCTACCACTTACTTAACCTATCCGAATTTTTACACTAACAGTGGGTTTCTCACAGATGACATATAATTTAGTTTTGTGTTGACAACCCTTGTTCTTTTAATTGGTTTATAAACCTGACATATAAAGGTGATTATTGATTCTATATTAATATTTAACGTATTTGTAACTCTTGTATATTTCTTTTTCTTTTTTCTTTTTTTTTATTTTTATTTTTTTGAGACAGAGTCTTGCTCTGTCGGCCCAGGTTGGAGTGTAGTGGTGTGATCTCGGCTCACTGCAAGCTCCGCCTCCCGGGTTCACGCCATTCTCCTGCCTCAGCCTCCTGAGTAGCTGGGACTACAGGCGCCCGCCACCACGCCCGGCTAATTTTTTGTATTTTTAGTAGAGATGGGGTTTCACCGTGTTAGCCAGGATGGTCTCCATCTCCTGACCTCATGATCCACCCGCCTCGGCCTTCCAAAGTGCTCGGATTACAGGCGTGAGCCACCGCGCCCGGCCCTGTATATTTGTTTCATTTGTTCTGTCTTGTCCTCCTTTTCTGTCTTGTATTTAACTGAGTATTTTATACGTAATTCCATTGTAGCTTCTCTTTTGCCATATCAATTACACTTTTAATTTTTTTAGTAGTCGTCTTATAGTTAGCAAATTTCTGTAGTCTAAGTCCACCATTAGATAATGCACTACCACTTCCCTTGTAGTGCAGGCAGCTTAGAACAAAGTATTTTCAATCCCCTTTCTCCCATCCTTTATGGCTTGCTGTCATTCTTTTCTCTTATCCATGCACTAAAGTCGTGTGATACATTGATGCTAGTATTACTTTAAGAAGTTATCTTTTAGATCAAATAAGCATAATATAAGCAGATGATTTTATCTCATATATTTATATTATTATATAATAAATATATAAAAATAATAAATATATATTATTATATAGTAAATATATAATATTAATATAGTACATCTATAATATAAATATTATATATTTATATTAAGTCATCTATAATATATTATAGATATTTATTCTTCTTTTTTCCTCACATGATTTCTGATGAGAAGTTGCTGTAATTCTTAATTCTTAAGTTTGCTCCTTTATAAGCATGTTACGAGTTGCTTTTTGATTATTTATTCAATGATTTCCCCTATATCTGGCACTTTCAAGATTTTCTCTTTGTCTTTGGTTTTCTCCAGTTTAATATAATATGTCTTGGTATAGGTATTTTATACTTACCATGTTTGGTGTTCTCTGATCTTCCTGAATCTATGGTTTGGTGTATGTCATCAATTTTGGAAAACTTTCAGCCCACTATTTTTTTTTTTTTTTGCCCCATTTGCTCTTTCTCCTTCTCTTATTTCAATTATGGACATATTACTCCTTTTGCAACTGTCCAATAATTTTTGGATATTCTTTGTGTTTTTTGTTTACTTTTTTCGGTTTTCTTACTTTGTTTTATTTTGTATTTCAGTTTGGGAAGTTTCTTTTAACCTAACTATGAACTCACTAATTCTTTTCCCATTTATGTCTAGTTTATTAACGACCCCTTCAAAGACATTCTTTACTGCTGGTGCAGTGTTTTTGAATTCTAGCCTTTTCTTTTGATTTAAAGTTGTAAAGTTTCTATCTTGCTGCTTACATCTTGCATTTGATCTTATATGATGATTACCTTTTCCTAATATTAATAATAGTTATTTTGCATTCTTTGTCTCATTATCCAATTCCTGTGCTATATCTGAGTCTGTTAAAGGTGATTTATTTGTCTTCAGATTGTATTTGTACTTGTCTTTTAACATGCCTTATATATTTTTGTTGAAAGTAGATATGTTGCATCAGGTAATAGGAACAGATGTGTTTTATTTAGTGTTTGCATTTTTGTTAATCTTGCTGGAGTTAAGTTGTGTTTAATATTTGCAATGTTTGTAGGTGCCAAGAGATAAAATTCCTTTATTGCCCTTGATTTTGTCACCCCCTATTGTTTCGGGGCTCCCTATGAAGCTGTTTGTCAGGCCGAGTCTGATTACTACGGGCGTAACCCCCGGATGCACTGGAGCACTGGTGCAGTGATGGTAAGGCGTGGTGAAGGGAAAGCATTCTATAGTCTAACATGGAAGTCTAAGTCTTTCAGTGGTCCTGTGTCCTTGGGCAGTAGCCTGTTCAAGTGTTCCTTAGTGTCTCCAGCCATTAGGGAAAATAGTGCAGTCTATTTTAGACTGTAATAGAACAGCCTTTTCCTCCAGATAGTAGGACTTCCTTACATCGAATATTCCAAGTCTGTTTGACTGGTTACTTCTCACCTCCCCCTGCCAGGGTCAGGAGGGCATCTTTCTCGGCTCTTCACTGTGAGAACCTTGTGGGATTCCTGAAGATGAAACCATGAACGCGAGGGAGTCTTGCTAAAACTGCAGCATTCGAGAGGTTTTCACTCATGCTGGCTCACACTTGTCCTCTAGCAATTCATCAAAATTACCACGTAAGTGTTTCAACAGTTTATGGCTCAGGTGGCCTCAGCTGTGATGCTCCAAATTTGCCTGTTTCTCCAGATGCAGGGTAGCAGTTTGCTGTTTCTCCTGAGTTCTTTGATGGATTCAAGAAAAGTCATGATTTTCAGTTTGTTCTGATTTTTTCTTGTGAGGGCAAAGTAATGACTAAGCTTTAATGTGTTTCAGCTAAAACTACATGTATTTTAATAGCAAAATGAGATATAATTCACATGTCATAAAAGTCACCATTTTTGGGTGCACAACTCATTGGATTTTAGTATATTCCAGGGTTATGCAAGAATAAATATTCTCTAATTTTGGAACATATTTATCTACTCAGAAAGAAACTTTGTGCTCATTAACAGTTACTTAATATTCTCTCTCCCCTAACCTATGGTAACTACTAGTCGACTTGCTATAGATTAGGTTACTTTGGATATTTCATATATGTTGAATCATAAAATATGTGCCTTGGCTTCTTTCACTTACCGTAATATTTACAAAATTCATTCATCTTACAAAGTACTTCATTCTATTTTTGATTTTATGGGTTAATAATATTCTACTGTCTGGCTATATACATGTATGAATAATGTGGCAACATTTTGTCCATACACTCATCATGTGATTAGTATTTGCTTTGTTGTTGTTGTGTGTTTTTTATTTTTCAGTTATTATGAATAATGATTATGAATTCAGTTATTATGAATAACTACAATAAATAGTTATGCATAAGTTTTTGTGAGGCTATATATGTGCAGTTCTTATGTGTTAATTCCTAGGGGTAGAGTTGCTGGTGCATGCGATAGACTGAATGTTTATAACACCCTCCAATTGATATGTTGAAATCCTAACCCCCAATGCAATGATATTTGGAGATGAGGTCTCTGGGAAGTGATTGGGTCATGCCTACTCAATGAGTATTTTTTGCGTGTGCATAGGTGAGCCTCCATATGGATCCCTCGGACTCTTCTTGACTTGACTTGTCATGGTATTTTTTTAAGTTGGGAAACAGTTCTGTCTCTCATGAACAATAGCTATGCCCTTCTATGACTTCTGCACGACTGAAGCCCTCATCAGGCTCCAGGTGAAGCCTTTCATTCCATTGCTACATGCATCCCTGTGAATCATAATTAATTCCATTAGGACCTGGGTGCCTTAACAACCTTTGTTTTTCATTTAAACTTTGAAGACATTTCTTCAGTAAAATATCTATTTTTAAATAGTATGGGATGAATCTTGGTTTCCATGGATACCCAGTACATTTTTTGCTTATTTGCTTGCACTGAAGTTCCTGCGGCCATGCCTTCAACACATCCAAAATGCAGACACTCCTCATTCCTCTGGTGCAAGCCCCCATCATGTTTTGCCCAGAATGCACTAATGGGTGATCTCTCTGCTTCCAGCTTTGTTCTCTTTCCATCATTTTTCCTAAGTGCAATCGGAATTATCTTTTTAAAAGGTAACTGACATTTCATAAGTAGCCAAACAAGCTGAGCAGATTGGAAGATTGCACAAACTCTAGGTTTTACTGAAATATTTTGTTCTGTTTAGTTCTACCACGGCCTCAGCAGGGTAGTAACTCAGGTTTGTGACCTTAGGAAAATCTTTCTTGTCAGTAAGATAACTTGGAGGATCCTACTGAGAACTACAGCCCCAGGCAATACCCTACACCGGAAACACGAATATAACATTTGAATCCTCTCTCCTCCCCAATGTGTTTAATTAATTGTGATGCCCAGCCAATTCTATTTTCCTAAACTGCACTCAAAAAATCTGAAACCATTCATCTAATTGCTGTTTCTGCCTTATGTTTCTTCAGCGCACCTTTCACTTTCAGCCAGAATGAATAGTCTGATGCACTACCTAATCCTGCCACCCCGTCATCAAATCCTTCAATGTTACCAATTGTCTTTTAGAGTAAATTCAAATAATAAAAGGCAAAGTATACTCTAAAAGACAAAGTATTTTATTTGTTGTACAATGATCCTATGCATTTGATAACCTTACCACCTGCACATCTACCTGAGCCTTTCATTGAGTTTTCACTCCATGTTTATCAACTGCTTTTTAATTCCCAAAATGCAAACAACTTTTTATTTTGTTCTTCTCACCTTTTTCATCAGTCTAATCCCAATATATTTTCAAAACTTTACCCAAATGTTAACGTTTTTGCAACGATTCCTGATCCTCAAACTTTGCTAGATTTATGTGCTTTTCACAGGAGTTTAAAAAACACCCCTTATCATTTTTATTATGAGGATATTGTAATGCTTTATAATCCCAGACTTTCCATTTGATCTTCTTCAGTATTCCTCTAGACTGCCCTATGGCATAAATCCTTCTCAAGCTATACTAGAAGTTGCTGAATACATATCTTTTGTGTGAAATACCTTGTTGTGCCTTTGTAATAGGGATATATCATTTAATTTTCTCATTTATGATAATTATATATTTTTAATTTGGACATAATTCAGTAGTCAATAGTTTTTTATCAGTTTCCTATCATATCAATATTTTACAAAAGAAAATGCTTAATTCAATATGAGGTTTTGATTTATTTTACTTGTAGAATCATTTCTGATAATTAATTGAACAATACTGCTTGGATACTATCTTCTTAACCAACAAAACAGCTACCAGAATTCTGAGGTAATTGGTTCTTTGTAAATACTATCCTTCTGTTGCAAAAATGCAGGACCCTTGTAGAGCTCTATGTGTATGTGTGTGTACCTTTGCAACGGCAAAGGTACTGCATAGCTGGAAACTCTCCATCTCAGGTAGACATGAATTCTGGCATTCCATTGAGCTGGTAGGATCTTCACTATTTAAGGATACAACATTTATAATTTTACATGCATAATCATATATATGTGTGTGTGTGTAATTATATATATATAAAATATATGTGTGTGCTTGTGTGTGTGTGTATATATATATATATTATTTTCCTGGAAGAAGGCTAATAGTTTTCATTGGATTAACAAAAGAGTCATGATTATTCAAAATTGTGGACTCTCTATTAATCTGGTGAAAATATACTGTGAGTATGTATGATTTTAATCTTCATCACATTTTAATGAAATTACTAATTTCTGCAACTAAGTACAGGAGACAGTATTTCCATAGAGAAGATTATGTCTTATTTTCCACAGTTTTGCCCCAAGTAATTTGTCACATGAAAGATACTCTTGAATATCTGATGTGAAAATGGAATAATCTGTTTGTTCCAGTACTTCCTCTGATACCTACTTCCTCAAATCAAATAAATACAGCTTAACATACAGTGTACTAAGGAATAATTATTTTTTGTACAACTTACCAGCAGTAGAGTGTTTATTTAATGAGGATTTTATTTCTTTAAAAAAACAAGCTTATTCCTCATTTTTTTCTTATTTTAGCACAGAAATGGTTTTGTTTACTTTTCTGTTATGCTTAGATCTTGCATTTGTAATCTCTGCTATCATTTTGTTTATTTCTCATTTTGGAAGGAAATTACCAACCTCAATTGCACCTCTAAGCCAAGAAACACAGCCATTATGAAAAAGAAATGGCTGTCAGCTTAGCAGAAATGACTTAGTGGCTCAAGTGTTGCAACTCTGTTTCTGTTCTTGTTAAGACAGAAAAAGACATCTTTTCACTATCGTTGAAAAAATTTTTAAAAATGTCGGAGGGTTGTTAAAGAATAGAAAAATATTTACTTCTTGCCTTTTTGGTGAAGAAATAAAAGGAGCTCTGTGTGTGTATGTGTGTGTGTGTGCGTGCATACATATGTATGTGTGTGTGTGCATGTGTGTGTGTAGTAGTGGGAGAGGGTGGACAGCTTAGTAAATGATTGCAGGTCCAGGTATTAAATTATTAATTTGAAAAAAAACTTTTCTGTATTTAGTGTAATTTTCCCTTAAAGTTGCTGCATTTGCCAAGCTCTTAAGCACAGATATTTATACTCTGTGACAATTCCTCTGGCCATATTGATAAGTAAAGATCCCTTTCTTTTAGTCCTTAAGCAGGGATATTTCCACAAGGATGTCATGTACTGGCCACATTGGAATACTGCCTTTACTTAAGATCCCCAACATTAACTGTTTGGGGTATCGTGACATCATTTTTAAACTTAATTATTGCATTAGATTTTCAAAGTTAACCTTTTCTTTTGTCAAGTAGAAACTTTCAAAAGTTGCTTATAATAACAAGGATATTAGTATCATGACAATGATACTTGTCATGAACTTCATGGTTAACAACAAACTCAGCGGAGCAGGCTTTGCTCTTCACGGCCTCTGGCTTCCGAAGTACAATCTTTTTGGAAGAATCGGAACTCTTTGTTACAGAAAGGGCCTCTCATTTTCACCTTTTAGAGCCTTTCGTACCCAGTTTGGATAATGGCTTTGAATTGAGTGCAGTATATTTGATTCCATTCACCACATCAATTTCCACTTCCTAAAACAGTCTCCTTAGGGCATCATAATCAGCTACTACCTGTAATCACTTACAGCCTCTGACAGAAAAAGCTTAAAGCTATTTCAAACAGCTCATTTTAAAGTCAATTTTTCAAATATGATAAAGTCTATATATACAATAGATGTGGTCCACTAACAAATATATTTATGATTTTACATAATTTGAAAATGCCTGTCACTCACTGTCTGCCATGTCCTTTTTTTCTCTGCTAATACTTAGCAATACAAAAGCTTACTGGAACTTTTAAATATTATTTGACTTTCAAAACTAGGTAAATTATATAAATAAAGATAATTCAAACCCATGGGAAGAAGTAGTAATGTTTTAAATTACCTATGCTCATCTACTAAAATTCTGGCAAAAAATTAGCTTCCACTCTCATCATATGAGGAGTTAAAGATTTGGTGAAGTCCAAAACAGTCTGATGACATGTTTCAAAGTCTTCTAGAACTGCTTTATTTCTGGTAAATGACACAGTATACCATGAAATAGCTGACATGTCTTCATGAACTTTTAAGTGCTTAAATCATATTGTAGATATACCACAGAATATATTACATGGGTAGGAATAAAAATCAACTGTGGTCCTTTTTATCCTTTCTCTAGTGAAACAGTTGACCATTTAACATGGACAGGAGTCAAAATTTGTGTCTGATAGGAGTGCAAGTTAATATTCACCAAAAACACAAGTTTGTTTACCTGATAGGCCTGAACTTTAAAGTGTCTGAATACCCAAGATTAATTGCTATTTAGGACTCCAGGACTCTTCCCCATTGGAGTGTTGAAAGGCTAGCAGTTTACAGCAAACTGCTGATACACATCCAGGAGACTGGACTGGAGGCCAGGGGAACAAACAAGAGAGTAGGGAAGATCAGAGAATGATGAAGGGCACCCCATGCCAACTCAGGCTGCACTTTCATGAACTGTAAGGCAGATTAATGAGAAAAATCATGATTTCCATCATGCTCCAGAAATGAACTCTATCTACATGTCTGCCCAATCATAGTAAGACAAAGTGAAGGAAGTTTTTGTTAAAAATACACCTACTATTACAATACCCAATAAAGGCATAATATATCCTAATCAAAGTTAATTTTAAAAATAATTCTGAAAGCTGAATGCCTGGAAGATGTGGTTTCAAAAAGTGTGTTGGTAGAATGTACAGTGTTATGGGGATTAGAAATTGTAAACAACTTACTTTATAAGGTGAAATGAACATTAAGTAATTCATGATATTTATTTAAAAGTGACATGCTACATTAACACTTATATACAGAAGAGTAAAGCACACTGAAAATGGAGAAATATAAGAAATAATGTATCATAAACAATCAACTAGATAAAGCAATACCAGCTTGTTCAGTTGGCAACTGAGAAAGAAAAGCCCATTCCTGGAGACAACTGACTGAAGAATTGAAGTTTGCTTTTGAGCAGTCTGAAGGAAATGTAACGTGGGAGGGTCTGCCGGATGGTAAACCAAATTCAAACGGTTGAATGAAACTGAGATTGAACCTTGCTTAATATTCGTATTTAACGTTGCTTAGCACAAAATAGAATGAAACTAATGCAAGAAAAAGCATTATGAAAAAGCGAAGGAAAGAGGCTAGCTGGAAAAAATAAAAACATAAATGCATTTTGTATTTTATATTTTCTAGACTGTGTAAAAAAATAATCAGACACGTGGGTAAGTGGAATAATTACTTTGCGTAAGCTTAGTTTTGACTAGTTTTGTTTCAGTCATTATTTGTTAATCTGTGACTTTCCTCTTACTAATCTTCCACTTCCAGACAATTCCTCCAATTAATCCCTGAGCGGAATTGACCATATTTTCAAAAATGTATTGTAGGCTTTTGAGTGTCTGCACGGAAATGGTTGTTTACTAAGTAAACTGAATAGCAATATAACTTTCTAGTGGTTTAAAATATGCTTACATATTAACAATAGATGGGATAATTCAGGTTTTATAGCTATCCACATTCTTTCAGAGAGGAGGAATAAAATAAATGCTTTGTAAAGTTTCATAACTAGCTAAATGCTACAAAATGTGCAACAAATTGTAATCTTTGTAATTCTTTCAAGAATCTTGGCCGGCTCTGTATAATAGACATATTTAGTACTATTATATTTACATATTTTTCTATTAGAACAGTTTTAAATGAATAGAAAAATTGAAAAGACAGTGCATTTCAACATACTTCACAGTTCCTCCAATTATTTGTATCTAACATTAATATGAAGTTTTTTTTACAATGAATGAACCAATATTGATACACACTTATTAACTAGAGTACATTTTTTTTTCAGTTTCTTTAATTTTTACTTAATCTTACATTGGGTCAACGTGTCTCCTTAGGCATATCTTTGCTGTGCTAGTTTCTCAGACCTTCCTTGTTTTTTGATGGCATAAAGAGTTTTGAGGAGTATTTGTCAGGTATTTTGTATAAGGTCCCTCACTTGTGGTTTTTCTGATGTGTTTCTAATGATTAGATTGTGGTTATGTGTTTTTGGGAGGAAGATCACAGAAGTAAAGAGCTACTGTTATGACATCATAACAAGGGTATCATGCTTGGCAACATGACATCACTGTTGTTATTACTCTTGATCATCTGGCTGAGGTAGAGTTTGTCAGATTTCACCGCCACAGAGTCACTCTTTTAACACCATCCCACACTGTGCTCTTTGGAAGGACGTAACTGTGCAGACCACACTTAAATCGTAGCAAGTTAAGCTCTAGCTCTCAAAGGGTGGTGAATCTACATAAATTACCTGAAACTTTTCACAGGAAATTTGTCTCTTCTCCTCTATCTATTTATTATTATCTTTAATTTATAGATCCTCTTTATATTCAAATATTACTTTATAATGCTGCTTAAATTGTTCCAGCTTTGGTCACCTGAAGCTCTTTCAGTGGGTTTCTGTGTCCCTTTGACATTCCCCATGTGTTTTGTTTGTTTGTTTGTTTGTTTCACTTTCTTACCTTCTGGCACTACAAGATGCTCTGGGCTTACCTTGTGCATTTCCTGCCCCCAGCCTAGAATCGGCCAGTTATCCCAAGAGACCTACTTCCCTTTACTGGAGAATGGTATTAGAAACCAAGCTCTGGGCACTAGCTGTGTTCATTATCACTAGATTACATTTGCTCATAGACACTTTCAGCTATGGAGTAAGGGAATATATGTACTATCTGCATCATAATTAAACTGAACATGAGTTCATACCAATGTCTTCAACTCTAATCTATTACTACATACAGTATGATAGCCTCTTCCCCTCATGTATCTCTGGGAAGTGTAGTGAGTAGCCTAGATCCTGCCACCATTTACTTAAGTGTTTAATTCCAGCATATTTGCACAGCAGTATCTTAATTGTTACCCTTACCCCTATGGGAAGCAACGTCATCAACTAGAATACAGTGCTTATGTATAGGATTCTTTACTTTTAGTCTTACAGGCTCCACTCATTGTCAAAGTAACTTACATAGGCATTGTTTTATTCCACCTCCCTAAGTGAGGTGTTTCATATGTTTCATATGTCTGTACTATATTTATATTGTTTTTCCACATTCTGCACTCCATTTGGGATCCTCAAAGCTCTTAAGTAATTTGTTAAAATTGACTTACATTAATATTCTTTGTGCAATAATTTTTACAGGGTTTGGGTATGCAGAGTTTTATGTATCCACCATTACAATATCATACCAAAAAGCTGTCCTAAAATTGCCCTGTGCTCCACCTATTAAACCTAACTCCCTACTTCAGACTCCAAGCAACCATTTTGATCTTTTTATGTCTCTATCATTTTGTCCTTTACAGGATGTCATATGATTGAATTCATTGAATATATAGACTTTCAGACTAAATTTTTACATTCAGAACATGCATTTAATATTTATTCTATCTTTTCATGGCTTGATAGCTCATTTTTGTTTAATCGCAGAATAATATTCTGTTGTATAAATATATCACAGTTGGTTTTTCCATTTACTTGTTGAAGGCCATTTTGTTGATTCTGATTTTTGGCAATTATGCAGAAAGCTGATATAAACATTCATGTACAGGCTTTTGGGTGAAAATGAATTTTCAAATAAATAAGCCAAATGCCTAGGAATTATGATTGATGGAATATATGATCTGACTATGTTTAGCTTGATGTAGAATTGTCAAACTGCCTTCCAAACTTGCTGTACTGGTTTGTATTTTCAGCATTAGTGAAAGTTCCTGTTACTCTAAATGTTCACCAGCAATTGGTAATATCAGTTTTTTTTTTTAATGTAGACATTCTAATATGTATGGAGTACAATCTTACTGGAGTTTAATTTGCAATTTTCTAATAACAATTGACAGTGAGGAGCTGCTCAGAGAACCCTACTGTTTGTAGATTAAAAGAAACCAGTCAACTGAACCCACCTTATCCACAATCACACCCCCAAGGGCATAAACAAAAAAAAAGAAAGCAAAAGCAAAACCTAAATAACCTCATCCAAAGTACAGCAGCTTCAAAGACTAAGGGACCATCAGCCCACATAGATGAGAAAGAACTGGAGAAAGAACTCTGGGAACTCCAAAAACCAGAGTGTCTTCTTATCTCCAAACAACCACATTAATTTTCCAGCAATGGTTTGTAACCATGCTGAAATGGCTGTAATGACAGAAATATAATTTAGAAAATTGATAAGAGTGAAGATCATTGAGATCCAGGAGAGAGTTGGAACCCAAACCAAGACATCTAAGGCATACAGTAAAATTATACAGGAGCTGAAAGATGAAATGTCCATTTTAAGAAAGAATCAACATGATCTGTTAGAGCTGAAAATTTTACCTCAAGAATTTCATAATACAATTGCAAGTATTGACAGCAGAATCAACCAAGCTGATCAAAGAATCTCAAGCTTGAAGACCAATTCTGTGAAATAGTCAGAAACAAACAAACAAACAAAAAAGAATGAAAAAGAATAAAAAAAAAACCCTCTGAAAAATACAGGATTCTGTAAAGAGACCAAATCTGTGACATATTTTAAACCCTGGAAGAAAGGAAGAGAAAGCAAGGAACTTAGAAAACGTATTTCAGGATATCACCCGTGAAAATTTCTCCAACCTCACTAGAAAGGCCAACATTCAAATTCGGGGACTGTAGAGAATCCATGTGATGGATACGCCTTTTCGGTTTCCTTTTTAGTTGACTTGCCCCTGCTCTCTAGCTGCCTGTAACCTGTCAGCAGAAACCCTACAAGCCCAAAGACATTGAGGGTTTATATTCTGCATTCTTGAAGAAAATAAATTCCAACCAATAATTTCATATCCAGCCAAACCAAGTTTTATAAATGAAGAGGAAATGAGATTCTTTTCACATAAGCAAATGCTAAGGGAATTCATTACCATAAGATCTGCCTTCCAAGAGGTCCTTTAGAAAGTTCTAAATATGGGGCTGGGCACAGTGGCTCACACCTTTAATCTCAGCACTTTGGGAGGCCGAGGCAGGTGGATCATGAGGTCAGATGATCAAGACCATCCTGGCTAACATGGTGAAACCCCGTCTCTACTAAAAATAAAAAAAAAAAAGTACTAAATATGGAAAGAAAAGTCTGTTACCAGCCACCATGAAAGCATTAAGTATTGATTTCATTTTGTTAATACAATTAATCAATATTTACTACATTGTATTAATACAATTATGTATTAATATTGCACATATTAATACAATTATGTATTAATATTGCACATATTAATACAATTATGTATTAATATTGCACATATTAATACAATTATGTATTAATATTTCACATATTAATACAATTATGTATTAATATTGCACATATTAATACAATTATGTATTAATATTGCACATATTGATACAATTATGTATTAATATTGCACATATTGATACAATTATGTATTAATATTGTACATATTGATACAATTATGTACATAAGTACATAAATATTGACCCTGTAAAGCAGCTAAACAATCAAGCAAGGTTGCATAATAACTGGGTAACAACACCATGATAGATTTAAATCCACACATATCAGTATTAACCATGAGTGTAAAAGGAATAAATGCCCCAATTAAGAGGCACAAAGTGGCAAGCTGGATAAAGAAGCGAGACCCAATGTATGCTGTCACCGAGAGATGCATCTCAAATGCAGTGGCATCAATAGGCTAAAAGTGAAGGGATGGAGAAAAACCTACCAAGCAAACAGAAGAAAACAGGAGTTGCTATTCTGATTTCAGACAAAACAGATTTTAAGCCAACAATGATCACAAAAGACAAAGAAGGGCACTGCATAATGGTAAAGGTTTAAAACAACAAGATCCAACATTCTGAAATACATACGCACCCAACAAGAAAGAACCCAGATTCATAAAACAAGTTCTTTAAGACCTACAAAGAGACTTAGATAACCACACAATAGTAGTAGGAGATATCACAACACCTCACTGAAACAATTAGACAGATCACTGAGGCAGATCACAAACATACCAAATGGACATAATAGACATCTATGGAAACTCTCCACTCCAAAACAATAGAATATACATTCTACTCATCTGTACATGGAACATACTCTAAAATTTACCACACAATCAGCCATAAAACAACTCTCACCAAATTCAAGATAAAAAATCATACCAACCACATTCTCAAACTAGATGGCAATAAAAATAGAAATCAATACTTCATACATTCATTCAAAATCAAAGAATTACATGGAAATCAAACAACCTGTTCCTGAATGACTTGGGTCAATGATGAAATTAAGACGGAGATCAAGAAATTTGTTGGAACTAATAAGAACAAAGAGACAGCATACCAGAATCTCTGAGACAAAGCTAATGAAGAGTTAAGAGAGAAGATTATAGTGCTAAACGCCCACGTCAAAAAGTTAGAAAGACCTCAAATTAGCAATCTAATATCACACCCAGGGAAACTGGAAAAACAAGAGAAAATCAACACCAAAGGTAACAAAAGACAAGAAATAACCAGAAACAGAGCTGAACTGAAGGAAATTGAGATGTGAAAACCATACAAAACATCAATGAATCTAGCTGTATGTTATTTAAAAGAATAAATTTAAAAGAATAAACAAGATCAATAGACTGCCAGCTAGACTAATAAAGAAAAAAAAAAGGGAGAAGATTCCAATAAATGCAATTGGAAATGACAATGGGGTCATTACTGCCAACCCCACAGAAATATTAAAACCTCTCATAGACTACTAGAAACACCTCTATTTCTTCCAGTTTTTTTTAAACTTAGAAGAAATGGACAAGTTTCTGGAAATATACAAACTCTCAAGAATGAACCAGGAGGAAACTGAATACATTAACAGAGGAATAATGAATTCCATAATTGAATCTGTAATAAAAAGCCTACCAACCAGAAAAAAAGCCTAAAACCAGACAGATTCACAGCCAAATTCTCCCAGATGTATAAAGAATACCAGGGCTATTCCTACTGAAACTATTCCAAAAATTTGAGGAGGAGGGACTACTCCCTAACTCATTCTATCAGGCCAGTATCATTCTGATACCAAAATCTGGCAGAGACACAACAGTAAAAAAAGGCAACTTCAGGCCAATATTCTTGATGAACACAGATGCAAAAAATCTCAACAAAATACTAGCAAACCAAATCTAGCAGCATGTCAAAAAGCTAATCCACCACAATCAAGTAGGCTTTAACTCTGGTTTGCATGGTTGGTTCAACATATGCAAATCAATAAATGTGGTTCTTCACATAAATAGAACTACAAACAAAACCACATGATTATCTCAATAGATGCAGCAAAGGCTTTTGGTAAAATTCAACATTGCTTTATGTTAAAACCTTCAAATAATTAGGCACTGAAGGAACATACTTCAAAATAATAAGAGGCATCTATGTCATTCCCATTACCAACATCATACTGAATGGGTAAAAGCTGGAAGCATTTCCTTTGAGAACTAGAAGAAGACATGAATGTCCCCTCTCACCACTTGTATTCAACATGGTAGCAGAAGTCCTAGTGAGAGCAATCAGGCAAGAGAAAGAAATAAAAGGCATCCAAATAGAGAGGGATTCAAACTATCTCTGTTTTCAGTGTGATTCTATTCCTAGAAAACCCCATGGTCTCTGCCCAAAAGCTGATATATCTGATAAAATAACTTCAGCAAAGTTTCAGAATACAAAATCAATGTACAAATATCAGTAGCATTTCGGTACATCAACAACATCCAAGCAGAGAGCCAAATGAAGATAATTATATTCACAACAGCCACAAATAGAATAAAATACCTAAAAATGCAGCTAACAAGGGAGGTGAAAGATTTCTACAAAGAGATTTACAAAACACTGCTCAAATAAATCAAAGGTGACACAGACAAATAGAAAAACATTCCATGCTCATGGATAGGAAGAATCAATATCGTTAAAGTGGCCATACTGCCCAAAGAAATTTACAGATTTAATGCTGTCCCCATCAAACTACCAATGATATTCTTTACAGAATTAGAAAAACCTCTATTAAAATTCATATGGAATCAAAAGAAGAGCCCTAATAGCCAAGGCAATCCTAAGCAAAAAGAACAAAGCTGGACATATCATGTTACCCAACTTTCTAAACTACAAGACTACAATAACCAAAACAGCATAGTACTGATTAGAAAAGAGACACATAAATGAAAGAAACAGAATAGAAAGCCCAGAAACAATGCTGCACAAGTACAACCATCTGATCTTTGTCAAAGTAAACAAAAACAAGCAATGGGGAAAGGACTCCCTGTCAATAAATGAAGCAGAAATAACTGGGTAGCCATATGCAGAAAATTGAAACCCTATTTCCTTACACCATATACAAAATCAACTCAAGATGAATTGACATCAAAACCTAAAATGATAGAAACCTTTAATGATACCTAGGAATTACCATTGTGGACATAGGCCCTGGCAAAGATTCAATGATGAATACATCAAAAGCAATTGCAACAGAAACAAAAATTTACAAATGGGACCTACTTAAACTAAAGAGCTTCTTCACAGCAAAAGAAACTATCAACAGTGTAAACAGGCCACCTCTAAAAGGAAGAAAATATTTGAAAACTATGTATCCAATAAAGGTCTAATATCTAGAATCTGTAAGAAACATAAATCAAGAAGCAAAAAAACAACCCCATTAAAGACTAGCTTAGGACATGAACAGACACGTTTAAAAAGAAGACAAACAGTGGCCAACAGGCATATGAAAAAATGCTTAGCACCACTAATCATTAAAAAAAAATGCCAATCAAAACCACAATGAGATACCATGTCACACCAATCAGAATGGCTATTATTAAAACGTCAAAAATAACAGATGCTGGCAAGGTTGTGGAGAAAAGGGAACACTTAAATACACTGCTGATCAGAATGTAAATTAGTTCAGCCGTTGTGGAACACAGTTTGGCGATTTCTCAAAGAACGTAAAACAGAATTAGCATGAAATGCAGCAATCCCATCATTGTGTATATACCCAAAGGAATAGAAATCTTCTACCATAAAGACACATGCACACTTAGGTTCATTGCAAGCAACACTGTTCACAATAGCAAAGACATGGATTCACCCTAAATGCCCATTCATGGTAGTCTGGATAAAGAAAATATGGTTTATATATGCCATGCGATACTATACAGCCAGAAACAAAAGAATGAGATCATGTCCATTCCAGCAACATGGGTGGAGCTGGAGATCATTATCCTGAGTAAAATAACACAAGAGCAGCAAACCAAATACCACATCTTCTCACTTAAGTAGGAGCTAATCATTGAGTACACATGGACACAAAGAAGAGAACAACAGACACTGGGACCTTCTTGAGGGTGGAGGGTGGGAGCAGAGTGAGGATCAAAAAACTACCTATCACATACTATGTTTTTACTTGGATGATGAAATAATCTGTACACCAAACCCTCATGACATGCAATTTACCTGTATAACAAACCTGCACATGTACCCCTACACCTAAAAGTTAAAAAATAATACATATAGTATCATTATAATAAAATAGTCTGTTAATCAAATACAGTGTTGATAGACTGAAAAGTCACTCCACAAACTGGGAGAAAAATCTTTGCAAACCACATATTTGATGATGACTAGAATATATACAGATATCCAAAAACTAAATTATAAGGGAAAAATAGGCAAATGTGCAATGTCATGAAATCATTACATTTTAGTTTCTCAAGATATTTTTGCATTTTTCCATTGTGCATTTTTTGTGTTCTTACTAAATTTGCATGTCATTCTGAAAAGTTAGATACATCTAAAAATTGATTAATTATAATTGTACAGTTTAATGAATATAAAAGGAACATCCATTTAAGAAAAAAAATTAAAGATGAAAATGCTGGCAAGGGTGTCGAGAAAAGAGAACCCTTGTACACTGTTCATGGAAATGTAGATTGGTGAAACAATTATGGAAAACAGTATGAAAATTTCTAAATAAATTAAAACTAGAACTGCCATGTGACCAGCAATCCCTCTTCTGGATGTATACCCAAAGGAAATGAAATCACCACCTCATGAAGAGAGATGTGCTCTCATGTTCATGGCAGCACATCAAAAAGCTAATCCACCGGCTGGGTACGGTGGCTCACGCCTGTAATCCTAGCATTTTGGGAGTCCAAGGCAGGTGGATCACCTGAGGTCAAGAGTTCGAGACCATCCTGGCCAACATGGTGAAACCCTGTCTCTACTACAAATACAAAAGAATTAGCTGAGCGTGGTGGTGGGCACCTGTAATCCCAGCTACTTGGGAGGCTGAGGGAGGAGAATTGCTAAAACCCTGGGGGCAGAAGTTGAGTGAGCCAAGATCACGCCACTGCACTCTGTCTTGCGACAGAGGGAGACTCCATCTCAAAAAAAGAAGAAAAAAAAAAAGTGAATCCACCACAATCAAGTAAGCTTTAACTGGGATGCAAATTTGGTTCAACATATGCAAATCAATAAACGTGGTTCATCACATAAAGAGAACTACAAACAAAACCACATGATTATCTCAATAGATGCAGAAAAGGCTTTTGGTAAAATTCAACACCCCTTTATGTTAAAACCCTCAAATAATTAGGCATTGAAGGAATATAATTCAAAATAGTAAGAGACATCTATGTCATTCCCACTACCATCATCTTTATTCATTCATCCATCAGTGACCCCTTAGGTTGTTTCCATATCTTGACTACTCACAATAGCTGAGATATGAAAACAACCTAAGTGGTCATTGAAGGATGAATGAATAAAGAAACTGTAACATGGATACTTATTCCATCAAATGTATATGGAATAGAATATTATTCAGCCTTAAGGAGAGCCTGCCATTTTCCACAACACGGATGAACCTGGAGGACATTATACTAAGTGAAATATAAGCCTGACACAGAAAGAAAAATATTGCACAATCTTACATATAGGTGGAATCTCAAAAGTTCAAATATATAAAGAAAGAGAATAAAAATGATTACAAGGGGCAGGAGTGGGGGGAATTTGGGAGATGTAGGTCAGAGGATAGATTCAATGTGGCAGATATGCAGGATGAGTAATTCTAGAGATCTAAAGTACATGAAAACTATGGATGATAAAACAGTACTGTATTTGGGATTACTGTAAAATGAGTAGATTTTAGTGGCTCTTGCCACAAAACAAGGAAGAGTAAATATGCAAGATTATGACTATGTCAATTTCCTTCACTATAGTAACCATTTTACTAATGTTTCACATAACTTCATGTTGTATATCTTACATCTGCACAATAAAATTTATTCAAAAAGACTAGTCCAAAAGACATCATTTTGTCCCATTTTATATCCTGTCTGTGAGCCAGTAGTTCACTGTGTTTATTTATAATCTACATAGCAGGATTGTTTCTCTAATCATTTGCATATATTTTGCATTTCCCTTATAGATAAAACTGTGAAATATGGAAACCCAAAAAACCTTGAATGTTTGTTCATCTGACTTAAGTTGGTTTATCTAGAACTCATTTGGACAAAGTAAGATACAGCAAATAAATATTTAAAAATTCTGTGTGAAGATAAATTATTAATAGTATATTAATACCAGTTTTTATTATTAGAAACAAAAATAGACTGAGAAAGTGAGACTGAGAAACATGTAAAACTATTGTTTAGGAGAGTCATATAAAAATTTGATAGAACTGTTGTACGTTTCTCTTAATGGAAACATTGCTGCAGCCATGCTATAATAAGTCTGGTATATGTACTCTAGCTGTGCCAATAGAAGGAAAGGAATAGGGATTTGGTAGATATCTAGAAATCTCTGCCATAATAAAATGGATAATTTTGTCATAGTGAAACATCTGTTCAGACTACTGAATTCATAGATGAATGCAACAAGCACACACTGATCACCCTCTTTGCATACGACATTGAGAATGCCCTGGGAATGCATAGACAACTTAGTCACATGCCTGCTATTTAGGACCTTACAGATAGAAATAATGTAGTAGTTTCTTCCAAGAGCAATCGTGTCTGCTTCTTGTATTTTTCTGGAATCCAGAGAAGGAGGACTGTTTTGCTTTAAAATTTGCCTTAGATATTTTGTCTTTATCAAGGAATTTGCTTACTGTAAAGAAAAGTTGTCCAGAGATCATCAATAACATTAATCATTAATCTAGTGAAAGACATAAATTAGGCCACTGAACGGTCTTGCTTTATTAATTGAAAATTTTTACTAAAAACACTCTAAGAAGTGTCTTTATTAAGAAAGTGCATAATTTATTTGCTTTTCAAGCTTTTCTCAATGTTTCCAAATTTTCTTATGGCAGAAAAATTTGCTCATATACTTAGTATTCACAGTAGGGCAAACTGTTAAATATTTTATTGCAATTTATTGTAGTGGTTAAGAATGTATGCTTCTGAAACAAATAGATTTGGTTTTATGTTCTAGTTCTCTGATATAATTGAGCTATGTAACTGGGAAAAGTCACTAAATCTTTATATGCTTCATTTTTCTTAAGATTAATAGAATTCTTTTGTGAATTAAATGATGTAAGTACATAAAGCTTTTAGCACAGTTTCTGGCAGAAACAGTGCTCAATACAAATTAGCGTTCACTATGTATAAAACTTGGGGACCTTTAAAAAACTATAACTTTAAAAACTAAAAAAAAAGATTTTCGAGAAATAAAAGAGGTGAATGAAGCCCAGAAAATGAAAAATTTACTAATTTATTAAATACAGAATCTCGAAGGTGAGTTACATATTACATATCTCAATGGAATTTTCACAAAATTTAAGAAATAAAAATACTACAGTAAATAATTTTATAAGAGTGTTATTTAAGGAAAAGAATAACTGGTTCCTTGTGAGCTACAAGGATTTTATTAGACTTCATGCAAAGTAATCTTGCTTTTTTAGTGAATGTGTTAATGATATAATTAATAATATCTCATAAAGGGAAAAACTCCCGGAGATAATCACTACCGGCAACATAATGTTTTGTCATAATTCTTTTTATCTTAACAATTGATTGAATTTTATATATTACTTTTAGCTTCTATTTAGAATCACTACTACAAATGTTTGTGTAAATAAAATTAGGTCGTATATTTTTTTGTAATTTAACATGAAGTCAAGGTTTGCCTTTTGTGAGAAGCCCCACTTTTTCCAAAGACAATTGGATAATTAATTTCCCCTTTTATTTTGATTGAAGAAAATACACAGCGTAATTTTCTTCCAAAATGCAGTGTATACATTTCGTAGGTTTTAAAACTTGTCTGTGTGTGCATGTATAAACTTATTTTTAGATCATTTCTGAGTTTAAATTTTTGAATGTTTTTATAGGTTGGTTTGCATTTTGAAATGGAGATATGTAGTCATATATCTTTCTATAATATATGAAAGAAAAATGTTCTTTGTCATATGCTTTATGTGGCTGTGCTTATAAGAGCAAAAATTAAACATTTGCTACTTATAATTTTGTTGCAGTTTCTTGGTAATCTACTTAAATATAAAAATGTGTTTATTATATAGTTATTTAAGTAGAGTACAAAGGTTTAGATTGTGCTAAATTGGTTCTTGATGGCTGATCCATCAGGATATTTCTGGGAACTAACACATAGCATAACAGTTTAGCTTTGAAAATATGAGTTTCATGAACACTTGCATTTGAAATAGAGGTACTGCACAAAGACAAAATGTAACCTGGGGAAATTGACTTATTTATATCCTTAAATTACTAACTGGTTTTCTGTTTCTTAAAGGAAACAAACAACAATAACTCACATTTTGATGTGTGACAATGCTCATGACAAATTTTTTTTTTACTGTTAAATTCCAATTAATCTTTTGATGGGAACTATGCTTCACAAGATCCAATAAAAACTATGTGCACAGTATTGAAATTATTTGCCCATTTTCTACAGCAGATCTACTTAAAGAGTCAGCAGCATCTGGAAGATTTTCTCCCTTTTTATTTTTAGTTTTATAGCAATGCTGTGGTAGCACTGGAGAATGTGTTCAGAATGTTTATAAATAAGTGCAGGAAATAACTTTGAAATCAGCAGCTGTTCAGACACATGCATCTGTTTAAGTGAATAGCTGCATACATCTCTCTAGTAAAAAGGGAATCTGAATTTAATCCAAGCTCTAAGTGTTACAAACAAGACACTACCTGTTTTTAAATGTTAAGCTAATTGCTGTGAAATCTGCCCAGCTGGCCAAAGGCATAGCTACTTGAGAAGTGACTATCGTTGAAAAAAAGATGATGTAGAATATAGTGTCCCAGTATAATAAAACTAATTCGCTTGGTGTTTGCTGTTTCTATCTCATGGTTCAAATATCTGTGTCCCCTTTTCTCACACGTATTTTTATTGCATTTCAAAATAATTTGTTTAATAATAAATTCTTAACAAAAATATGACATTGAAATAGAAGTGGACTCATGCACATTTAGCAAAAGAACCAAAAATACCTTCAAATGTATTGTTAAGACATCTGCGTAAGCCAGGTGCAGTGGCTTATGCCTGTAATCCCAGCACTTTGGGAGGCCGAGGCAGGGGGATTGCCTGAGCTCAGGAGTTTGATACCAGCCTGGGCAACATGGTGAAACCCTGTCTCTATGAAAATATAAAAAATTAGCCGGGCATGGAGGCATACGCCTGTAGTTCCAGCCACTCGGGAGACTGAGGCAGGAGAATTGCTTGAACCCAGGAGGCGGAGGTTGCAGTGAGCCAAGATCGTGCCACTGCACTCCAGCCTGGGCGACAGAGCGAGACTCTGTCAAAAACAAACAAAACAACAACAACAACAAAAAACAAACAACAACAAAACACATCTGTGTGAGATTCAGATGCATAACATGAGCAGAAGCAGAGATTTCAGAGGACCTGATAGGTTGCTAATGAAACTGCGATAAGAAAGAATTCTCATTTGCTGTGGTTTGAATATTTGTCCCCTCCAAAACTCATGTTGAAACAGTCCCCAATGTGGGAGTGTTGAGAGATGAGGTATTTGAGGTGACTGGGTAAAGAGGGCTTTGCCTTCATGAGTGGGTTAGTTCATTCATGCATTAATGGATTAACAGGTTAATGGGTTAGTGGATTAATAGGTTGTCATGGGAGTGGAACTGATAGCCCTATGAGAAGAGAAACAGAATCCTGAGCTAGTATGTTAGCACCTTCTGCCCACTCACCATGTGTTGCCCTGCACTGCCCCAGGACTCTGCAGACAGTCTCCCTCAGCAAGAAATCTCTCAACAAATGCAGCTTCTCAGCCTTGGACATCTCAACCCCCATAGCTGTAAGAAGTAATTATTTTCTCTATAAATTACCCAGATATCATATGCTGTTATAGCAACAGAAAATAGACTGACAGCATATTAGTGAAGAGCTGGGGCTACAAAATATGAATTAAGAAGAAATGCTCTGCTTCATTTCTGGTTACTGGGTTGATTACTTCAGAGACTGAAGTTGCTTAGTTTTATTATAAAACAACAGAAGCTCTGGCCCACCAGCCAATTCTCTAAGTAGATACAATTATAAACACGAATATGGCAAATACCAGACCTCCAAAATACATGATTCAAATGTCGCCAGAATGAAAGGGACAAATTAACAACTCTCCAACAATAGTTCTAGACTTAAATCTCTCACTTTCAATAATGGATAGAAAAGAGAGATAGAAAATCAACAAGCAAATAAATGACATGAGAAACAGTGTAGACCAATTAGAGCTAAGGGACATAAGTAGAACACTCCATCTAACACTAGCAGAATATACATTTTTCTCAAGTTAATGGAATGTTCTAGAAGATAGGTCATATATTACTTCATAAAAAATAAAAGATTAAAACCATATAAAGTATATTTTGCAATCATAATGTAATAGGAACAAAAATCAATAGAAGGAAAATGAAAAAATCCACAAATATGTAGAAATTAATCACACTCTCAAACAACCAACAGAACAAAGAAGAAATCATAAAAAAACTGGAAAATGTATTGTGGAAAATGAAAACAAAACACAACATACCAACAATTATGGGATGTAGAGAAAACAGTGCAAAGAGGGAAATTTACAGCTATAGATGTTTACTTTAAAAATAAATACCTCAAATAAATAACTTAAATTTTCACCTTAAGTAGCTACATAAACAAGAAATTAACCCCAGTCTAAGGATAAAGAATAGAGTGAAGATAATTAAAATATAAAATGAAAAAGTAGAGAAAATCAACAAACCAAAAAGTTGATTTTTCAAAAAAAATCAAAATTGACAAATATTATTTAGTCTGACTAGAAAAAGAGAGAGACAGAAAGAATATTCAAATGTCTAATATCATAGAGTGGGGACAATACTATTTAACTTAAATAAATGAAAAGGAGTATAAGAAAGGACAATGAAAAACTGCACACAAACTGATCGAGTTAGCTAGATGAAATGGACACATTTCTAGAAACATACTGTCCTTCAAGAGTGAACCACGAGGAAATAGAAAAGTCTGAATAGACTTACAACTAGTAAGAGATTGAATCAGTCATCTACAACTTCTCAACAAAGAAAAGCCCTAGCCAGATGGCTTCATTAATGAATTCTATTAAACATTTAAGAAGAAATTAAACCAATAATCAAACCTACCAAAAAACGCAAAGATGTTTCCTAACTTATTCTGTTAGTTCAGCATTAATTATCCTGATACTGAGACTAATGATCTATCACTCTCTCCATATATATGTAATATAAATATTTACATACATGTAAATATAAATATAAATTTATATACAACTACAAACCAGTATTTCTTATGAACATTGATGCAAAATGCCTCAATAAAATACTAGCAACCCAAATTTAGCAGGATATTAAAGGATCACACACCATGTGCAAGTGGTGTAATATTTATTCCTGGAATGCAAGGATGGCTTAGCATATAAAAATCAGTGACTATAACATACCTCAGTAACAATGAAGTAAAAGAAGTACAAATAATTCTCTCACTTGTTGAACAAAAAGCATTTGGAAAAATACAACATACTTTCATGATAAAAACATACAACTAAGAAGAAGCAGATAGAAACTACCTCGAAATAATAGAGGCCAGACCTGAAAAGTTTGCAGCTACCACTAAACTAAAGGTGAAAGGCTGAAAATATTTCCTCTCAGTTGAGAAGTGTGGCAAGGATGCCACTTTCACTTATTTTATTCAACATAGTATTGGAAGTTCTAGCTAGAACATTAGACAAAAAAAGTAATTAAATACGTATTGAAAATAAAGTATTAAAGTTATTTCTGTTTACAAATGACATAATCTTATATGTAGAAAACCCTCAAGATTCACCCTCCCTGGGGGAAAAAATACTGGTAGAACCAGTAAACATACTCCACAAAGTTTCAAGGTACAAAATAAATACATTAAATTTAGTTGTGTTTCTATATGCTAACAATGAACAGTCTTAAAATGGAATTAAGAAAACTACTTTATTTAAAATAGAATGAAGAAATAAAATATTGGCTCGGTGTAGTGGCTCATGCCTGTAATCCCAGCACTTTGGGAGGCGAAGGTGGGTAGATCACCTGAGGTCAGGAGTTTGAGACGAGCTTAGCCAACATGATGAAATTCCGTCTCTACTAAAAAAGGAAAATAGCCAGGCATGGTGGTGGGCATCTGTAATCCCAGATACTCGGGAGCCTGAGGCAGGAGAATCACTTGAACCGGGGAAGCAGAGGTTGCAGTGAGTTGAGATCTTGCCATTGCACTCCAGCCTGGGTGACAAGAGCAAATCTCCATCTAAAAAAAAAAAAGAAAAGAAAAGAAAAAAGAAAAAAAAAGAACATTAAGGAATAAACTTAACCTAGAAGACATTGTATTTTTATACTAAAAACTTTAAAACATTGCTGAACGAAATGAAAGAGAACATTAATAAGTGGAAAGATTCATCTTGTTCATATATTAGAAGCCTTAATATTATTCAGATATCAAAGCTACACAAAGCAATCTACAAATTTGATGAAATAACCTCTCAAAAACTGAACTACAATTTTTTGCAGAAATAAAAATATACCATCCTAAAAATTCATGTGGAGTTTCAATAAATAGTCAAAATAATTTTGAAAAGAAGTGGAACGTTAGAGGATTTACACATCCTGATATCATAACTTACTATAAATACTTATTAATAAAAAGTGTAATGCTGCCATAAAGACAGACACATAGAGAAATGGAATAGAAGAGAGCCTAGAAATAAAACTCATGTACATGGTGAAATGACTTTGACAAATGTACCAAAACCACTCATTGGAGATAAGATAGTCTTTTCAACAAATGATACTGAGAAAACTAAATATTCACATGTACAAGAGTGAAGTTGGAAACTTATCCTATATCATTTACAAAAAGGATCAAAATGGATAAAATAACTAAACAAAAGAGCTAAAACTACAACAATTATTTTAAAAAACTCTTACCCAGAAATACATATGCTATGTAGCCACCAAAATTAAAAATAAAAAATTTTAAATAAAACAAAACAAAAACTCTTAAAAAATTGCAAGGTAAAGCTCATAAATTGGTATTTGGCAATAATTTCTTAAATATGACACCAGCAGTATAGGAAACAAAAAGGAGGCATATATCAAATTGTACTTCATGTACACTAAACAGTACTATCAAAAAACTGGAAAGGCAACCCACAAAATGGAAGAAGTTACTTGCAAATCATACATCTGATAAGGTCTTAATATCCAAAATATATAAATAATTCCTTCATTTTAACAATATTGTGAAACAAACACTCAATTAAAAAATTGGCTAAAGACTTCAATAGACATTTATCCAGAGATGATATACAAACGGCTAATAAGCACATGTAAAGGTAACTGAATGGCACTAATCATTAAGGAAATGCAAATCAAATTCAAAATGATATGCCACTTCACACCCACTTGGACAGATATTATAAACACACTTGCACACACGATACACGCACATAAAGAAAATTACAAGGCAAGGTTGTGGAGAAATTACAATCCTTGTACATTGCTGCTAGAAATGAAAAGGGTGCAGCTGCTGTTGCAAACATTGTGGTGGTTCCTCAAAAACTCAAACATGGAATTACCATGTGATCCAGCAATTTCATTTCTAAATATGTAAGAAAAATAACTAAAGCCTTGTTTTTGAGATCTGAAGTTCTTTCTTCCACTTGTTCTAGTCTACCCAAATGAAACACACACACACACACACACACACACACACACACACACACAGAAAAGTAAATCTGGTAATATGAAAAAATAAAACTTTATAACACCCCCAAAACTAAATTGCTAGAGCAATCACACTAGCTCCCCAGCAATGGATCCCAACCAAGAAGAAATAAGAAGAAATCTCTGAATTGCCAGATAAAGAATTTAGCAGGTTGATTGTTAAGATGCTCAAGGAGATACCAGAGAAAAGTGAAAACTAACTGAAAGAAATTAAAAAACAATACATGCTATGGATGAAAAATTCTCCAGCGAGACAGCTGTCATAGAGAAAAAACAATCACGACTTCTGGAAATGAAAGGCATACTCAGAGAAATAAAAAAATGCGGTGGAAATTTTCAATAATAGACTAGAACAAGTAGAAAGAATTTTGGATCTTGAAGACAAGGCTTTTGAATTAACCCAATTAGACAAAGACAAAGAAAGAGAACCAAAATATTGAACAAAGCCTTCAGGAAATTTGGGGTTATGTTAAGCAGCCAAATCTAGGAATATGGTGTTCCTGAAGAAGAAGAGAAACTTAAAAGTTTGGAAAACCTATTTGAGGAAATAATTGAGGAAAACTTCCCTGGTCTTACTAGAGATCTAGACATCCAAATAACAAGAAGCTCAATGAACAACTGGAAAATTCATTGCAAAAAGATCTTCACTTAGGCACATAGTAATCAGGTTATCTAAAGTCAAGATGAAAGAAGGACTCCTAGGAGCAGTGAGACAAAAGCATCCACTAACCTATAAAAGAGAACCTATCAAATTAACAGCAGATTCTTCAGCAGAAACCTTACCAGCCAGAATGGATTGGAATCCTATCTTTAGTGCCCTAAATCAAAATAACTCTCAGCCAAGAATTTTATGCAGTGAAACTAAGCTTCTTAAATGAAGGAAAGATACAGTCTTATTCACACAAAAAACGCCAAGAAAATTTGCCACTACCAAGCCAGCCAGCACTACAAGAATGCTAAAAGGAGTTCTAAATCATGAGGCAGAACTTCAAAATACACCAAAATAGAACCTCCTTAAAGCATAAATCTCAAAGGGTTTATTAAACAACAATGTAATACAAAAAATTCAAGGTATTTCACAACTAACATGATGAATAGAACAGTACTTCATATCTCAATACTAGCATTAAATGTAAATGGCCTAAGTGCTCCATTCAAAAGATACAAAATGACAGAATGGATATTGATTCACCAACCAAGTAATTGCCTTCCTCACAAAACTCACCTAACACTTAAAGACTCACATAAACTTAAGGTAAAGGGGTGGAAAAAAACCTCCACACAAATGTAAACCAAAACCGAGCAGGAGTAGCTATTCTTATATCAGACGAAACAGATTTCAAAGCAATAATAGTTTTTTAAAAAAGACAAAGAGGATTACTATATAATGATAAAAAGATTAGTTCCACAGGAAATTATCACAAACCTAAGTATATTTGAACCTAATACTGGAGCTCCAAAATTCATAAAACAATTACTACTAGACCTACAAATTGAAATAGACAGCAACACAGTAATAGTGGGGGACTTCAGTACTCCAATGGCAGCACTAGACAGGTCATCAAGAGAGAAAGACAACAAAGAAACAATGGAATTAAACTATATCCTACAATAAAGGGGCTTAACAGATATTTACAGAACATTCTACCCAACAACTGCAGAATATACATTATTTTCATCAGCACATGGAATATTCTTCAAGATAGACCATATGACAGCTCACAAAACAAGTCTCAATAAATTTAAGAAAATTAAAATTATATCAAGTACTCTCTCAGACCACAGTGAAATGAAATTGGAAATCAACTCCAAAAGGAACCTTCAACACCATGAAAATATATAGAAATTAAATAACCTGTTCCTGAAAGATCATTGGATCAACAATAAAATCAAGATGGAAATGTAAAAATTCTTTGAACTGAACAATAATAGTGACATAACTTATCAAAACCTCTGGGATACAATGAAGGAAGTGTTAAGAGGAAAGTTGATAGCAATAAATGCCTAACATCAAAACATCTGAAAAATCACAAATTGACATTCTAAGGTCACACCTCAAGGAACTAGAGAAACAAGAACAAATCAAAACCAAATCCAGCAGAGGGAAAGAAGTAACAAACATCAGAGCAAAACTAAATGAAATGGAAACAAACAAACAAATAACAACAACAACAAAGGCAAATGAAACAAAAAGCTGGTTCTTTGAAAAGATAAAATTGATAGACCTTTAGCAAGATTTACCAAGAAGAGTGAAGAAGCAAATAAGCTTAATTAGAAATGAAATAAGATATATTACAACTGATAATAGAAATACAAAAAAAAAACATTCAAGGGTACTAGGAACACCTTTACATCAACAAACTAGAAAATCTACAGGAAATGAATAAATTTCTGGAAATATACAACCCTCCTGGATTAAATCAGGAAGAAATAGAAACTCTGAACAAATGAAAAACAAGTAATGACACTGAAACTATAATTGTTAAAAAACTGCCAACAAAGTAATGTCCAGGGCCAGAAGGATTCACAGCTGAATTCTGTACGACATTCAAAGAAGAATTGTTACCAATCTTACTTAAACTATTCCAAAAGATAAGGAGGGAATCCTCCCTAAATCATTCTATGAAGGCAGTATCACCTTAATACCAAAAGCAGAAAAAGACATAACAAAAAAAGAAAATTACATACTAATATACCTGATGAATACAGATGCAAAACTCCTCAACAAAATACTAGCTAACAAAATCCAAAAGCATATCAAAAAGATAATACGCCATGATCAACTGGATTTCATAGCAGGGATGCAGGGATGATTTAACATACACAAGTCAATAGATGTGATACATAAACAGAATTAAAAGAAAAATTATATGATCATTTCAATAGATGCAGAAAAAGCATTTGACAAAATTTGGCATCCATTTATTATTAAAACTCTCATCAAAATTGGCATAGAAGGGACATACCTTAAGGTAATAAAAGCCATCTATGACAAACCCACAGCCAACATTATAATGAATGTGGAAAAGTTGAAAGCATTCCCCTTGAGAACTGGAACCAAAACAAGGATGTGCATTTTCCCCACTTCTATTGAACATACTACTGGAAGTCTTAGCCAGAGCAATCAGATAAGAGCAAGAAATCAAGGGCATCCAAAGGGCATCCAAATCATTGACGAGGAAGTCAAGCTGTGACTGTGCAACGATTATATGATTGTATACCTAGAAGACTCTAAAGACTAATTCAAAAAGCTCCTAGATCTGATAAATTAATTCAGTAAAGTTTTAGGATACAAAGTCAACGTAAAGAAATCACTAGCACTACTATACAACAACAGTGACCAAGCTGAAAATCAAATCAAGAACACAATCCCTTTTACAACAGTTGCAGAAACAAAACAAAACTTTGAAATTTATCTAACCAAATGGGTGAAAGATCTCTACAAGGAGAACTGTAAAACACTGCTAAAATAAATCTTCAATGACATAAACAAATGGAAACACACTGCATGCTCATGGATGGGTATAATCAATAATGTTAAAATAACAATACTGCCCAAATCTATCTACAGATTCACAGCAATTCTCATCAAAATAACATTATGATTTTTCACAGAACTAGAAAAAACAATCTTAAGATTCACATGCAACCAAAAAAAGAGCCCGCATAGCCAAAGCAATGCTAAGCAGAAAGAACAAATCTGGAATCATCACATTACATGACTTCAAACTATACTACAAGGCTATAGTTAACAAAACAGCATAGTACTGGTATAAAAATAGCAGGTGGACAAAATAAACAAAATAGAGAACCCAGAAATAAAGTCAAATACTTAGAATCAACTGATCTTTGACAAAACAAACAAAAACATAAAGTGGGGAAGGACACCCTATTCAACAATTGGTGCTGGAATAATTGACAAGCCACATGTAGTAGAATGAAACTGATCCTCATCTCTCACCTTATACAAAAATCAACTCAAGATGGGTAAAATACTTAAATCTAAGCCCTGAAACCATAAAAATTCTAGAAGATAACATCAGAAAAACTCTTCTAGATATTAGCTCAGGCAAAGAGTTCATAACCAAAAAGCCAGAAACAAATGCAAAACAATAACAACAACAAAAACATAAATAAATATATGGAACCTAATTAAACCAATAATCTTCTGCACAGCAACATAAATGATCAGCAGAGTAAGCAGACAACCCACAGACTCTGTGTGGGAGAATACATTTGAAAACTATGTATCTGACAAAAGACTAATATCCAGAACCTACAAGGAGCTCAAACAAATAAACAAGAAAATACCCCAAATAATCCCATCAAAAAGTGGGAAAAGTGGGAATTGAATAGACAATTCTCAAAAGAAGACAGACAAATGGCCACAAAGCATATAAAAAAGCCCCACATTACTAATCATCAGGGAAATGAAAATTAAAACAGCAATGAGATACTACCTTACTCCTGCAAGAACGGCCATAATTTAAAAAAATCAAAAAATAATAGATGTTGGCCTGGATATGGGGAAAAGGAAACACTTTTACACTGCTGGTAGAAATGCTAACTAGTACAACTACTATGGAAAACAGTATGGAGATTCCTTAAAGCATTAAAAGTAGATCTACTATTTGATCCAGGAATTCCACTACTGGGCATCTACTTGAGGAAAAGAAGTCATTATATGAAAAAGACACCTGCACACACATTTTCATAGCAGAACAATTCACAACAACAAAAATATGGAACCAACCTAAATGCCCATCAATCAATGAGAAGATAAAGAAAATGCAGTGTATATATTCAGCCATAAAAATAATAAAATAATGGCATTTGCAGCAACTTGGATGGAGCTGGAGACCAATATTCTAAGTGAAGTAACTCAGGAATGGAAAACCAACTATCATATGTTCCCACATATAAGTGGAAGCTAAGCTATGAGGATACAAAGGCATTAGAATGATATAATGGACTTTGGGGACTAAGGGGAAAGGATGAGAGGAGGGTGAGGGATAAAAGACTACACATTGGGTGCAGTGTACACTGCTCAGGTGACAAGTGCACCAAAATTTCAATAACCACTAAAGAACATATCCATGTAACGAAAACCACTTGCTCTCCAAAAAATATTGAAATTTTTTAAAAACCATGAAATTCACGTAGCATGAAATTCTGATGCATACTACAACATGGATGAACTCTGAAAACATTATGTTATGAGAAATAAACTAGACACAAAATGACAAATATTACATTATTCCACTTCTATGATCTTCCTAGAGTAGACAAATTCATAAAGACAAAAGTAGAATAAAGGTTACTGTGGGGTTAGAGTGAAGGAGGATTTATTGTTTAATGACTAGAGAATTTCAGGTTGGGATAATAAAAATAATTCTAGAAACTAGTAGTGGTGATAGTTGCACAGCAACATGAATAAACTTAAGGCCATTAAATTGTACACTTAAAATGATTAAAATTTTATGTTCTGGTAAAAATGGTAAATTTTATATTACACATATTTACAATAAAAAGAAAAAATATTTTTTAAAAAAGCAGGAAAGACATGGTCCCACTTATTTTCCTATATAAGATCATATGGAAACATGATACTTGGAACTGCTGCAATCATTGCTCAGCAGTGAGTGGAACCAGCCCAGGACAATGCCATCTCACAGAGGATGACAGAGACAGATGGAAACAACTCAATTCCTTGGTGACATCATGGAGCCGGACTTCCTTTTATGAGAAATAATAAAATCCTTTATTGTTTAAAAGAAAAAAAGAGATAAAAGTGAGCCAGGAAACCACAAGAATAATACAGGAAATTTAAATATATATTACAAAGTGAAAGAAGCCAATCTGAGAAGGCTACTGTATGACTCCAACTGTATGACTTTCTGGAAAAGCCAAAACTGTGGCGATAGTAAGATCAGTGGCTGCCAGGGACTTCCAGGAGAGAGTGAGATGAAAGGGATGAAAGGTGGAGCACAAAAGGTGGATGAAATAGGGTAGTGAAAGTATTCTTTATGATGCTACAGTGTTAGATGTATGTCATTAAAATTTTCGAAACCCGCAGGACTGTGCAACACAGAGTGAACTTTGATGTTAACTATAGTTTTAGTTAATAACGGTGTATCAATATTGTCTCATCAGTTTTAACAAATGCACCACACCAAAGCAAGATGATAAGAATAAAGGGAATGAGGGGGCAGTGTGGGAGTAAAGGAGGACTTAATTTTCTATTCAAATTTTCTGAAACTCAAAACTTCTCAGAAGAAAAGTCTGTTAATTTAGGAAGTAGCTATGAGTGGCATTTATGGCAGAATAACATCTGAGGAGAGCCACTCTAAAATGGAAAGCATTTTCTCAAATCATGCACAGCCAAGGGTTGCCTGCCTCTGAATGAGGCTAGCACATCGAGGATACGGTAATGGTTTTTAAATGACCCCTCTCCTAGTGATATATCCTGTACAAGACAGAGGGTTGATACATCATACTTACCATTGTTAGACAAGCCCTTGTGTCTGGAGAACAGGTAGTAAAAACTAAGAACCATGGTTCCCACTCTTCAGGGTATGATAGGAGCACCTACTTTTCTGAAGTTAACAGCTGCATATAATATAGTCTCACTAATATTTGTTAGTAATTTTTATCACCAGTTCTGGAAAACTCTAATGTAGGTTACTTTCAGCTTAATTTATCTATTTATCTATTGCATTCATGTAGGCTTGCTTCCCAAATCAATTCCCCAAATTCAATAGTGCAGTTATGTGGTTACCTTGCCCAATAACTAATAATGACCAAAAGAAAAGGAAACAGAAATATTGAACTTATTTTCATCTCAAGTTCTAAATAAGATGAATAATTAATTATTTGTTTTGGAGGGCTGCAATGAGCAAGTTTCTCATTAGCATGTTCACATGCACATGCACCCTGAATTCTCAACTCTTTTATTTCACTTGACTATCTTTCCCAAAATGTCAGGTTCTTATAGATTTGAGTGTAAGCAAATTTTTTCACTGCTGACACTAGGTGTGGACTATGTTCCCTTTGTCATTTTTTGATCCAGATGTCGTGCATTATAGGATAACACGCATGTGAGATCAGAAGACTCAGGTTTCAGTCTTGACTTCACTACTTTTAACGTGTAAACTTTACTTGCCCTCCCAGACTCTTAGATTCTTTTACTTTTAAAGAGGACCATTATACCTTGTTGAATATTATTTAAACCCCGGGAAGTATATAATACATGCCAAGAAGTACCCTAAAAAGTATGTCAAATGTTCATGCAAGAAATGGGTTTAAGTTGAATGAGATTCAGAAACTGTTTTTTTGTTGCTATCTTAAAACAAATTAGGATGATACAGTCAAGTAAACTTAAACTTTTCCCTTTCTGCCTGCTTTTTCCTCTTCTTCCTGGGGACTAACAAGAATATAAATTGGGGAATTTCCTTTCATTGACAAGTTAATGTAGCATGCTCTGTGATGTGAGGGAACCAGAAAGAGGTTCAAAGCACTTAGCATACAAAATGTAACACATAAATAATTTCTAAGAAACTAAGTCTTTTATGTGAATAGAACACTAGGAATTTCTTATGTAGACCCTGAAGGATATCTTTGCAATAACTTGATTTGTGCTATGAAATACACACCTAATTTTAAACATTTCAGGAGACAATAATGTAAAGCCTTATTTTAAAGTTCCCATTCTTTACTTCCACATATAATCAATGCATCAGTTTTAGTCTATACTCAATTTCATAAGCAGACTTATCACATCAGTGCTTTGATCTAACAGCAGGGCATGATATGGGTGCAAATCTGATTAAAACCAAACCACCACCATCACCACTAACAACAACAACAATAGATATTGATGGTGTTGAGGGACATTGATGGCATCTGAGGAAGGCTACAATCGACTGTAAAATTGGGCAAGACAGGATTAACTAAATCCAGGGAAGTGATTACATGAAGACTGAAGACAAGAAGAATTTTCCTCTGTCCGTAAAATGGATTTAACGTCTCAGATGTGGATCTTCCTGTCTCTTGAGCTGTGATGGGCATTTGTTGACACACTTACAGAAAATAACTTGCTCTGTGTCTCTTCTGGACCAAGGAAACCCTGTTCTGTAAAAATTTACCTATAGGATTAGTCTAACCTCTGCACATACAGGCAGAGACTAGGGCAGGGGTGTTGAGGGTTTTGCCTAAGGACAGACAATAATGGGTTTCCGAGGAAGGAATTGAGATCTCTTGCCAAGGCTTTTCTTCAGTATTGCTCAGTCTCTCTAAGGAATGGCCAGATGACCAGCGGTTTCTGTGTCTAAAAACTGCACACAAGAAGGAAAGGGCCGTAGAGGTTACTCCCTGAAACGACAAGTTCACCTTCTATCCTCACCAGCTTTCCAAAGCAGATGAACAGAAACAGAGCAAATAATTACTCCTCCCATTTGCTTCAAAATGATGGTATATGATTAATCCTCCAAAACAAATTATCCAATAAGAAACATTTGAGTAATTACATTTTCTTTGTATCCTACCCTGCATTTCTTTCTCTGAATGAAATGTGCTGAATAAGCTTAAGTAAGCATTGACTCACTACTGGCATTGTTAGCCTACTGAGTTAAGGAAAATAAGTCGCATGAGAAGTAAAGGAGAAAATACACATATGTGAGAAATATTAATATAAATGCACGCAAAAACCCAACCAAACTTAAGTAAAAATATTGAGATTTTATTAAATAAATTTTAAAATTCCCAGAAATTATTTAAAAAGTTAACCATCAGAAATCCTTCATGCTTCTTCAAATTTAAATTTGCATTCTACAGTTATTTTTCACTTTTCATCTGGCTCACCCACTACTTTGCATTTGAAAAAATACGTATTTATTCTGAAATTTAAATTGGTGCTATATATTTTCAATGTGATAATAATTTGCCTACTTCTACGTCTTAAAGTCCTTACAAATATAACTATATGTAACCATCAGATGGAAAATAATACTTTGTATGTGTTTTATATATAGTAATATGTATATACAACATGTATATATTAATATATAAGTATATTACTAATGTGTGTATATTATATATACTTCTATACTTATGTACTTACATGTCTGTATATATAGATTATACTTAAAAAAGAAAACTATTTAAACACTTTCCCCCAAGAATTGCATACAAAATTATAAATTTTTGATGAGAATAGTTGAAACTTCAAAATATAATTTTAGAGCCTAGAAAATATTTTTATGTCCAAACAAACACTTTTGAAGTCTGAATATATTTTAATTTGCTTAATAATCAACATTAAGCAGCATATTTAACTTACCCCACTTCCAATAGAGTAATATATTTTTAATCCCTAAAGTCAAAAATGCATTATATACTTTTCAAATAGTTATTTAAAATTATATAAAAGATTTTAAAGGACAAGCTGTTTATGTTTTCCTAGAACTTTCACAGAAGAGCTTACACATTTTAAATATGAATTAATAAGTAATTGAAATATGAAATGATGAAGCTAGGAGAATATTTTTATAATGATGATTAATATTTTAAATAAAAAGTAAAATAATATGTACTTCTTGCTCTCTCATACATCAAAAATTGCTTTTATTGGAATCAAGGTGAAGTAAAATAAATCCATAAGAAAGCTAAGCCTTGTCTTCCTTGCCACACAGCTCTGAGCATCATGGAATCAGAAAATTCCTGATGATTTAGTGCAATTATAAAATAACTGATTGCAGCTCATATATTCTACAACGTCAGCTCTTCAGGAATCCATACATCTAAAATAAGTCAGTCACATTACTTGTATATTTCTGAATTTAGAATGGTAACAAAAAATGATTTTATATCAACTGTGACTCAGAGTGACACAAAACCCTGTGTGTGGGGGGTTAAATTTCATTCTTTATTGCTTAATTTATGAGTAATCATTGAAGTGTACATTACTTCAAGGAAGTAATTCTTGAAGTGTATGTTTCCTGGCTGCACTTACTCTACAAGCCAATTCATGTTTTTTGACCTAACTCTGCTTCAACCCCAAATTACAGAACTTCTTTTTTCAAATCAGCATCAATCTGAGATCAATACTTTAGGCAGGGTTCTGTGTTTGTTTTGGTTTGTTTTCTTCCCCACGACCACCCCATCCCAAAACATCCTAATTCATTTAAGAGAGAATTCCTCAAATCACAGCATCACTTTTGATGTGAATGTTCACACATATTCTATTTGTGACTATCACCCTTATTGATTTGCAGGACAAAGAAGACAGAAAATACTACACACTACCCAGAGATTGAAACTGAAGGTGTGAACAACAGAGAAAAGAGAGGGCAAAGAAAAGGAAAACAAAGAAGACGTGGGATATGAAAGGTGTATGCCATGTGTGGACATCAAGAAATGTTTCAGCTCGCACTTCTGCCACCAATTGAGCCTGGAACCTCACTACTTGGAGTTGGGGGGAGGGCAGTGCTCATTCATCACCTGTGAAAATAGGGATTGAGAGTTCCCTAACTTTGCCATTTTTCCTCAAGCACTGGCATTGGTCTTCTGAATGTCAGGCTCTGTATAAGTGAGTCCTCAGCTGAGCCACAGGCTCTGCATTCCTGGCAGTCCACACACTTCATATCCTTTGTTTATGCTGCTCATTTTGGAATTCAAACAGGTTGGTGGGGCACATTTCAACAGATAATGACACACACTGACTGCTCATGAGCTATTTTATGGTGTGAGAATGTTGTGATGTTATGAAATGCGGAGGCATTAAAACATGGGGACATTTTCTAGAAGATCCTTAGCAGAGAGTACAGAAGACTAAGGTCCAAATCTCTGAAATGATGTTTTCCAAATTATTGCACAGCTATGTCAAAGTACCTTGATCCAGTTAATGTTAACAAATAAAAAATTATGAAATGTTATTTTCTAGGTATGGATAGTAGTGGATAGTAGTAGATCTGTTGTGTAGTGGAGATTACTTAGGAAGAATAAATTTCAACTTTACCAAGAAAGTACTACATTAATTGCATTAGGGAATTGTGAATTGCATTAGGAAAATGCTCATTCTTCTTTCAATAGCCAATATCTGGATACTATACTCTCTTGAATTTCTAAGATTTGCATCCAATATTCTATAATTAGCTTTCCAGTTTATTGAATGATTTAATTTACATACAAATATTTTCTAATATATTCCCTGTAAAATAGTTTAAAAAATTAAACGTTTCTCTAATTACACATTCCTCCCTAGCTGATACAATTTCATTTATTTGCTTACTTTCCCAGCTGGACATTCAGAAATTTTTTACTCATATTGTCTTCAATTGCATATTTGCCAGTTTCTAGCTTTTATTTTATTTTTTATATCCATTTTGTTCTAGGTGTGGAAATTGCTAAGTGTAGAGCTTAATAATATTTCACCAGAAAGATATGTGTCTAACTCCCTCATGAAGAAATAGTATGTTACCAACACTCCCAAATTTCCTTTGATGTCAAAAAGCATTATTTTTCTCGAGTCTTTTTTTGTGTTGGTATGATATATAAACGAAATCATATACACATTTATTTTTTCATTTAGATACTTTCCTTCAGTATTATGATTGAGACATTAACCTCAGTTTAAGTATTTATGTCATTTTCATTGCTAGTTCATTGTAAGAAGCACACCTTTTATTTATCTATTCCCTTAATACATATTCCTGTTTCCAGTGTTAGATTAATGCAAATAAGGCTATCGTGAGCATTCTTTTACATGTTTTTCAGTGTACAAATATATGCTGAGAGAGGAATTACTGAATCACAGAAAGCAGTATATGCAGCTATAATAGATATTACCATATCCACCAAACGTTTAGCATTTCCTGTTTCATTTTATTCACTCTGGGGGATGTATAGAGATTTCACATTACATTATAATTTAATTTCTCTAATGTCTAATGATGGGGAGCACCTTTTTCATGTTTTTATTGTCAATTTGGCTATCTTCTTTTTCTAAATGCATGTTCAAGTATTTCATCCATTTTTATTGGTCTTCTTTTTTTACTGGTTTAATTGAATTCTTTACATATTATGGATATGAGCTCTTTGTCAATTTTATATGTATGCTTATATTCACTCCTACTTCACTCTGCAGCTTGCTTTTTATTTTTATGCTTTTAATAATGAACATAATTTCTTTATTTTAATAAATATCATTATTTTTCTTTATGGTTAGTGTATTTGCAACTAGGTTAACAAATATTTATCTCCTTTACAGGCACTAATATATTTCCCAACGTTATCTTCCAAAAGAGGTCATGTTGTACCTCTTGTATTTAGGTATACAATACATCTGAAATTGATTTTTGTGTGTGTTGCAGTTAGTAATGAAGATTCTCTTTTGATATAAATATCTAACTGATTCAGCATTATTTCTTTAAAAGGCCACTTATTTTCATTGCTGTTGTAAGGAAGGAACAAAGGTTTCTTGTCATGGCTTTCCTTCTGTATTGCTCAGTCTCCCTAAAGTAAGTCTAGAAAATTAAAGAATTTTTTGAATTGTTTTTTATGAATCAGGCATTTCTCTAAATATGCCAGTCTATTTCTAGACTATATTTGAATTTGTCTTTATGCTTTGTTCTAGTGCACACTGTCTTGAACATTATATTTTTATAAGTATTGATATTTTATATTTTTATTCTGATTAATTCATTTAACTTGCTTTATAAATCTTTTGTGAAACAAGAATGTTATTTTTGAAGTGGCAGCATTTAAAGAATGTTACTTTATTCAGCTCAAAATCATGTATTACATACTATACTGTACTAAGTATATATATATACACACACATATATATACACACATATATACACACACATATATATACACACACACACACACACACACACACACATATATATATATATATATATGCACATTTAATACCCAAAAAATCCCAATCAGGTGTGCACTATTAGTATTCTCATATTGTAATTGAAGAAACAAAGTCACAGAGGCACAGGCACAAAGAAGTTAAGCAGAATGTGAATGCGAGATACCTAACACATGGTGAGTGGAAATGTCTGTATTTGAATCTAGGCACCTGGCTGCAGACTAAGTGCTTTTAGAGACTATGCTTTGCTGATTTTCATTTCAGAGGTGATTTTACTTTTCTTCTTAAGGTTTTTCAGGAAAGAATTGGTGGCTGAGAATAGATTTTAGATGTAGAAATTGTAAGAAGAAGCTGGGGGAGGTGGCTTACACCTGTAATCCCAGCACTTTGGGAGGCCGAGGCGGGTGGATCACCTGAGGTCAGGAGTTTGAGACCAGCCTGACCAACATGGTGAAACCCCGTCTCTACTAAAAATAAAAAAAATTAGCCAGGCATGGTGGTGGGTGCCTTTAATCCCAGCTACTCAGGAGGCTGAGGCAGGTGAATCGCTTGAAGCCAGGAGGCAGAGATTGCAGTGAGCCGAGATTGCGCCATTGCACTCCAGCCTGGACAAAAAGAGTGAAACTCCATGTCAAAAAAAAAAAAAAAAAGGAAATTATAAGAAGAACTAGGTTAAAGTTTTCTTTATTTTAATCTGGCTTAATAAATAGAATTTATTATCAGATTGTGATAGAAGATGAGAGAAAAAGCAGGAATCTTGAGTCACTATGAAATTTGGGGTCTGAGATAATAAGTGGATGGCACACTCGGTTGTCAAAGTAGGAAGCACTAGGGAGGCAAACATATAGAATGGAATGGAGGATTATGTTACTTGGGAGATGCCTAAGAGACAACTAAATTTCAGGTTTCAAGTAGGAAGCCTGAGGTATACATGAGATACTTAAAACCATGGGACAGAATGAGATCATCTTGGAAGAATGTGTACAGAAATAAAATAACTGAGAATGAAATTATAGGAGCATGGCACTTAATTTATATGAAAAGAGGATGGTTTGGACTATTTAAACTTCTTTCCCTCTTCTGGGATTCTAAGAGAGACATGAGAGACCAAGTAGCAATTGTGGCATCATTACAATATCTGATAAACTTGTGCTATAGCCTACTCTTCTAGAATACCTGTATAGAAGAGATTATGAAAGGGAAAGTGTATAAAACAGAGTGGTTGAAAATGCTTACCATCATTGGAGTAATATAGACATACAGAAGGAAGAAGGTGAAAAATACAGGCTAGTCTTGAGGATCCTGACTGCTTTGTATGGGAAATGTCTGGCTATACCATTGTTAAACTGTTTCACTACAGCATTAAAATGAGTCAATTATGCATTTAAATTTATGGATAAAAAACTAAGCTACCAACAGTAAGCTACAGAAGAAAAGTTGTATGCTAATGGAATATTTTTAGAATTCTGGATTATTTAGGAAAAGTCTGATGTCTTACTGAAAGAACACCTCAATAATAGAGCAAATATTAAAAAGTGATAATTTTATACCACATTCCTAAAGGTAAAATTACTATAGTAGAATGCCTGGCAGTTGAGAAGTACTTTAACAATGGCATTAAAAAATATGGCTTATTTCTAAGTGTTTAATCCATCTTGGGTTAATTTTTGTATAAGGTGTAAGAAAGGGGTCCAGTTTCAGTTTTCTGCATATGGCCAGCCTGTTTTCCCAACACCATAGGGAATCCTTTCCCCATGGCTTGTTTTTATCAGGTTTGTCAAAGATCAGATGGTTGTAGACGTATGGAGTTATTTCTGAGTTCTCTGTTCTGTCTGGCTTGTTTTTGTCAGGTTTGTCAAAGATCAGATGGTTGTAGATGTATTGGGTTATTTCTGAGGCCTCTGTTCTGTTGCATTTGTCTATATATCTGTTTTGCTACCAGTACCATGCTGTTTTGGTTACGGTAACCTTGTAGTATAGTTTGAAGTCACGTAGCATGATGCTTCCAGCTTTGTTCTTTTTGCTTAGGATTGTCTTGGCTGTACAGGCTCTTTTTTGGTTCCATATGAAACTTAAAGTAGTTTTTTTCCAATTCTGTGAAGAAAGTCAAAGGCAGCTTGATGGGGATACCATTGAATCTATAAATTACTTTGGACAGTATGGCCATTTTCATGATATTGATTCTTCCTATCCATGAGCATTGTTAAACTGCTTAAACTGTTTAACGTTTTATGTTAAATGTTAACATAATGTTGTACATTATGTAACAAATGTAAAATAATGTTAAAATGTTCTTCCATTTGTTTGTATCCTCTCTTATTTCCTTGAGCAGTGGTTTGTAGTTCTCCTTGAAGAGGTCCTTCATATCCCTTGTAAGTTTTATCCCTAGATATTTTATTCTTTTGGTAGTAATTGTGAACAGGAGTTCACTCATGATTTGGCTCTCTATTATTGGTGTATAGGAATGCTTGTGATTTTTGCACATTGATTTTTTATCCTGAGAGTTTGCTGAAGTTGCTTATCAGCTTAAGGAGATTTGGGGCTGAGATGATGGGGTTTTCTAAATATACAGCCATGTCATCTCCAAACAGAGAAAATTTGACTTTCTCTCTCCTATTTGAATATGGCCTATTCCAATTCAGGTACACACTTGGACATAGATAGCATTCAGCATTGAACATGTTCTTGAATGGTTGGATTTCACCCTTGGCATGTTTGATATATACCTCAGCTTCTTCAGTACAACATTAACTTTTCACTTTTGTCATTTTTGTCTGAGAGAGGAAAGAATAAAAGTGAAAGAAAAAAGTTCAGGGGTATATCAAATTTAAAGTTCTCAGGAAGGAGGTCCTGACAGACAGGATATTCAGAGGAAAACTAGGAGAATGTGGGAAGAGATAAAGCAAATGTCCAATGTTGCTGCAAAACTGATTACAATTAGGTCAGAGTATAGGTCAAAGTCTATGGCAGGCTATAGGGTAATAATGACCTGTATTTAAAAAATAGATTCAAAGTAAAAAATGAAATGAAACATGATTAAAATGAGTTGAAGGATGCTGCAGAATTGAAGGCAAGGACATAGAAAACTTTTGAAGATGCTACGCTTCAAGTGGCAGAAAAGAATGAGGCAGCAGTAGAATTGAAGACTCAAGGGAGGGGATTAAATATGTACAATCTGAGATGCATTTTGATAATCAAGGCAATAATCCAGTGGGAGAGGAGAGCTTAATTGCAGTAACAGTGTCCATGAAACCTTCAGAAGGCGTAGATTCAAGGACACAAGCCAAAGGACTGGCCTTCTATAATTAGGCTTTCCTAGGATAGTTTCTTTTTTATACTTAGGTCTCTATGTACTATGAAATTTATTTACCTAAAAGGGATGGGTTATGAATCAAATTCTATTTTTCAAATAAGTAGTAAATGTTCTAACACCATATATGGAGGAATATTTCCTTTGGTCATTAATTTTATATACCTTCTACTCATATTAATGTATAAAATATGCATATAACATTATATAAAAACACATGTAGTATTAAACAATGTCTATTTCTGAGCTACAATAAATTATTTTAATTATATTTTAATAATATTTGGTTCCATACATTCACGCATCCTTTAAAAATATCATTGTGTTTTCCTTGGGCCTTTATTCATTTCTATTAATTTAAAAATTTTACAACGAGTTATAATTTTATTAAGATTTTATATGAATGTGAATGAATTTGACATTTTTATAGAATGAAGTTTTCCCATTCATGAACTTGATATATTTCTCCATTTAATCACTTCATCACAAAAGGTCTATACTATTTTATTACACCAGACGAACATAATTATAGTACATCAAAAAGCTGGTGACCAGGTTTGGAAGAGTCTATAAATCATGTCATAAAGAAAAATGAATGTATTTAGTTTGGAAAATAGTAACTTAAGACATCTATAATAACCTTCTAAGTTTTTGAATGAATCTGTGGTTAAAAAAAAAAAGGAACTAAATCTTTTTTAATTGCAGAAGACAAAAAGGAAGAAAAATTATGGAAAAGACACATTTTTATCAATTAAAGAAAAATTATATTGAAATTGACTTCATGAATATGTAAGTTCTGTATCCCTGGCAGAAACTGGTATTTGGAGAAAATACAAAGCATTCCTACACTGAAAGAAATGATGCACCCAAGGATCAGAGGAGAGTCCTTTGTTGGCTCATGTATCACCTGGATCTGAAATGATGTGGAGTATTAGATAGGGTGGGAAAAGATGAGTATGAAAAGGGCACGAATGAAAACAGGGAAAAGGAAACAAGCAAAGGATTCCCAGGAGACATGAAGCAAACATGGGATAGGTTTCGTACATCGTGGGGTATTTGGAGTTTAATTGCGAAGGAGGGTGGTAGCAATATTGGATTCCCTCAAGTAGTAAGCCATAGATACTTAAATACTTTTTCAGTTAACTGTGCAATTCAGGATTGGATTTTGGGTAGAATTGTGACCATCTTATTTTCTAATTTTTGTCTTTTTAAAGTAGGTAAAACACTATTAAAATTAATAGATGTTTTCCATTTTTTACACCCTGGATAATTAAAGCTTTATAATACAAATAAAGATATATCTCTGATGAATACTGATGTAAAAATATTCAACAAGATGCTAACAAACAGAATTCGACAACTCATTACAAGAATTCTACACTATGAGCAAGTGGAATTTATTCCTGAAATGCAAAGATACTTCAACATATAAAAAACAATCAATTTAATACAGTATATTGGCAAAATGAACAACATTCTGTTTAAAAAAAATATGATTAGCTCAATTGATCAGAAAAAGCAAATGACAAAAATTCAACACATTTTTCATGATAAAAAGACACAACATACAAGGAATAGAAGGAAACTACCTCAACATAATAAAGGCCATATATATCAAGCTCACAACAACATAACAATCAATGGTGAAGAGTGATTTTAAACAAAGTTGCAAAGCTCATTCAGTGGGTAAGGACACCAGTCTGGGCAACATATGGAGATAGCCCATCACAAAAATTAGAAACAAAAAAAAGCTGGGTGTGGTGGTGCACCCCTCTGGTCCCAGCTACTCAGGAGGCTAGGATAGTAGGATTGCCTGAGACTGGGAGGTCAAAGCTGCAGTGAGCCATGATTACACCACTGCACTCCAGCCTGAGTGACAGAGTGAGACCCTGTCTCACACACACACACACAAAATTGAAATAGGAAAGGACAGCCTTTAGCAAATGGTGTAGGCAAAATTGGAAATCTACACACACAAAAATGAAGTTAGATGCTTAACTTACACAATATACACAAATAAATTTAAAATGGATCAAAGACAAGCATAAGACCTAAAACTATGAAACACTCAAAGAAAACAATGAAGAAAAGCTTTATGACTTGAATTGGCAAAATTTCTTTGACATCACACCAAAAGCACAGGTGACAAAAATATAAATAGATATATTGCACTACGCTAAAATTTAAAATGTCTGTGCACTAAAAGACACAATTGAGAAAGTGAAAATGCAACTGACAGAATAGCAGAAAATATTTTCAAGTCATATATCTGATGAGGGTTAATATGCAGCATGTTTTCAAAATGTTTACAGTGCAACAAAAATAAAAGAACCCAATTGAAATTGGGCCAATGACTTAAATAGACATTTCTCCAAAGAAGACATGCAAATAGCCACTAAATATCTGAAAAGATGTTCAAAATAATTCATAATTAGTACAATGCAATCAAAAGCACATTGAGATATAACCTCACACCCATCAGGATGACTACTACAAACAAAACAAAACAACAAAAACCCTGAAAATAACAAAGTAGGAAGCAGAATAATGTTGGAAGCTGAAATCCAGCCAACCCTGCTTATTTTAATTCAGCAGTGACATAAGCAAGAAATACATTTTAATAGGCCAAACATGTATTTTAGGTATTTACCAGCTAACATAGTGTGTTTTTAATAATACAAGCATCTTTACCTAGAGACCCTTGTCTATGGTGTGTAAGAATGTAAAATGGTACAGCTGCTTTAGAAAATAGTATGACAGCTCCTTAAAAAATTAAAAATAGAATTACCATATGATGCATCAATTTTATCTATGAGTGTATATCTGAAAAAACCAAAGGCAAAGTCTTGAAAAAATATTTGTACATACGCCCATGTTCATAACAACATTATTCACAATAGCCAAATCATAGAATTTATGCAAATGGCCATTACTGGATAGATGACTAAACAGAATATCTCTATCTATAGGAATAGTAGCCCTAAAAAAAGAAAATTGTGATACATTCTATAGCTTGCATGAAACTTGAGGACAGTATACTAAATGAAATAAGTAACAAAGAGGTTTGTTTGACTCTTCCAGATTTCATGTTGCAATTTGAGCACCGATGTTAGAGGTGGGGCCTAATGGGACATATTTGGGTCATGGGGGTGGTTTTTCATGGATGGTGTGGTGCCACCCTCATGTTAATTAATGAGTTCTTACTCTATTAGTTCCCATAAGAGCTGGTTGTAAAAAGAGCCTTGACCTCCCACTTCTTTCTTTTGCTTTCTTCTCTCATGATGTGGTCTCTACACACCAGCCTCCCTTCTCCTTTCACCATTGGTGGAAGCAGTCTAAAACCCTCACAAGAAGCAAAGGCTGGTGCCTTGCTTCTTGTACAGCTGGCAGAATCATAAGCTAAATAAACTTTTTTTAAAAAAATTACATAGTCCTAGGTAGTCCCTTATAGCAATGCTAAATCGACTAAAACATATGAGATATCTAGAATAGTCAAATTCAGAGACACAAAGAGCAGAATAGTGGTTGCCAATGGTACGGGAAGGGGGAAAGTGGGACTTGTATAATGGGTATATAGCTTCAGTTTTGGAAGATAAAAATATTCTAGAGATTGGTTGCACAACAAATATGCTTCACATTACTAAACTGTGCACATGAAAGAGGCTAACATGGTAAGTTTTATGTTATGTGTATTTTACAACAATTTAAAAAATGGAAAACCCCCAATAAAGCAGTGAAATCTTTAATTGCATTAAAATTTAAACCTTAAAGAAAGATATTTGGTAGTTTAATAAAAAAAATCATTGATGACAGTTATGAAATCAGTTTAAATGAATCTACTGAGTTCTGACTACATGTCACTGAGTGATTAGGTACATTCTGTAACAAATATGCTTTAATAAAGCTGTTCTATAGGGAAGGTATTTGTTAGAGTAACAATTTTGAAACATAAAATTGGGACCAATTTTCAATTGAATTCTGTTGGTCTAAATATCTATTTAGAAGACATGGAGACATTCTTTAATACTGATGTCTAAAAAAGGAGGAGGAGGAAGAGGAGAGAAAAAAGAGGGAGAAAGAGGATGAAGTAAAGGAGAAGAACAAGAGCAGGAACAAGAAAAAGAGGTGGAAGACGAGAAGAAGGAGCAACTATTTAAGATTCACACATGGATTGAAAACAAATTGCGGTTTATTTTACATACATCTGAAACATAATATGTATTTGTAATGAATAATACATATTGTTAATTTTTCCTCTGCCATTAACTTCCAATACCCTTTTCCTATGGAGTTAAAGCTGTTAGCTAAGTGTGGCAACAACAACAACAACAACAATGATAATAACAATAATTCTTTTGTATTACTTCATCTTTAATTTGTACATATTTAATAATATGCAGGACTTTATTAATTATAGGGCATTATTAGTCTTGTGTTATAGATAAAATTTTAGACTTCAAATTAAAAAATACAGACTTTTAAGAAAACTTTGATCTGAAAACTGTGAGGTTTGCATTCCTTTTAATTTATTATTTCTATGTTTTTGGAAGGAAAAATATAAAGCTCTTTTTATTTCCAGAAGAAACTATTGCCTTTGTAAACACATACACAAACACGTACATACACAAAGTCTCTACAGAAAAAACTTGTGATATTAATAATAAGTATGACAAGTTCACAGGGACAATATACAAAAGTCAACCATTTTAGTATATTCTAGCCTTGGGTAATTGGAATTTGAAATTAAAAATATTATATACAATAGTGCCAAAACATACTTAGCTATACATCTTAAAAACATACACAGGATATGCATGTATAAAATTAGAAAGAACTGGTAAAAAAAAAATCAAAGATGATATCAGTAAATGGAGAGATATTCCATGTTCATGGATAGAAAACTCAATCTTGTTAAGATATCAATTTTTCCCCATATAATCTATAAAGTCTATGCAGTCCCAAGCAAATTTCCATGAAGAAATTTTGTAAATATTTATAAACTGATTATAAAATTTATACAGAAAACAAAAAGTCCAAGAATGGCCAACACAATATTAAAGAAAAAGAAGAAAGATGGTGGACAGACACTACCTAACTTAATGACTTACTAAAAGGCTACAATAATCAGAACATGATATTGGCAAAATATAGACAAATAGATAAATTGAACACTAGCAATTCCAGAAATAAACATGCAGAAATTAGTCAACAGATATTTCTCAAAGGAATAAAGGCAATTCAATGGAGGAAGAACAGCATATTAAACAAATGGTGCTAGAAAAATTGGATGATCATATGAAGTTTTATGGAAGAAGAAGAAGAAGGAGGAGGAGGAAGGAGGAGAAGGAGGAAGAAGGAGGAGGAGGAAGAGGAGGAGGAGAAGGAGGAAGAAGAGGAGGAAGAGGAAAGAAGAAGAAGAAGAACAGAACATCAATTAGACCTAGAGATTATACATTACTGCAAAATTATTTTAAAATGGACCATAGACATAAGCGTAAAATTGAAAACTATACCACTGCCAGAAGAAATCATAAGAAAAAAATTTATATGACTTTGGGTGAGGTAATGTGTTTCAGCATCACTAAGGAAAAAAATTTATAAATTTGATTGTATTAAAATATTCTGCTGTGTGAAAGACACAGGTAAGAGAATTAAAAGACAAGCCAGAGAATGAGGGAAAATATTTGCAAAACATACATCTGATAAGTGACTTGTATCCAAAATACACAAAGAAATGATAAAAATCAAGTATAAGGAAAATAACAACCCAATAAAGAATGTGCAAAAGATACCTTGCCAAAAAAGCAATACAGATATAAAATAAGTATATGGAAAGCTGTTTAACATCTTATGCTTTTTGGGAAGTGCAGATTAAAACAAAATACCAGTACATAACTATCACAATGGCTAATGTCTAAAATATAGACATAATCAAATTCTGGCAAGGATGTAGAGTAACAGGAACTCTTGTTTATTGCGTGTGGAAAGGCAAAATGATACAGCCACTTAGGAAGAGAGTTTGACAGTATATTACAACGTTAAACATAATTTTATCATGTGACCTAGTAACTACCTCAAGTATTTACTTAAGTGATTAAAACACTTACATTTACACAAAACCTGAATATAACATTATAGCTGCTGTATTCATATTACTGAAAAGTGGAAAAAAAACAAGATATCTTTCAATAGATAAATGGATAGATTATGGTACACTCACATAATTGAAAACTATTCATTGATAGAAAACGAATCATTAATCATAAAGACATAGGGGAATCTCAAAGGCATATTTCCAAATGAAACAGCCAGGTCAAAAGCTTACATAAAGTATGATTCTGTAAACCAAAAATAGAATTCTGTGCCCCTCGGTCAACTGAATGGATCTTCCTGTCAGCCAAGGGCATTTTAAAGTTAACCTAACAAACTAGTTCAGGACATGATGGGAAGGAAGAGGTGATACATGCCTCATTATACTCTTCTCCCTTTGGAATTCAGGCACAACTTACCTGCATTAACATTAAACAAAGGTCTTAATGCTGACAGAACACTTTGTAGCAATAAAATAAATTCCAACCCAACTCTAGAATACATCAAATGATAGATAGCATGCCCTGAAAGAAAGAAATATTTTACCCCAAAATATATTTCTGTGACATATCTTGTTGAAAATTCATTACAAAACAAAGACTTAATTTAATGTAAGAAAAAATCAATCATATAGGTCAGGGGATCTCAGCATAAAATGTTCACTGTGACAAAATATACTGAAAAAAACATGAAATAACCTCACAGAAATGAATGAGATCAAAAGGTATGGCTCTAAGTGACTTGGAAAATGAATGAAGTCTGGAAAACTAAAGACAAGTCACTCTTATCTAGTTGATAATATTGCTTCCCACACAGGGTTACATGTTAACAGTTCTGAAATAATGAAACATGTCAACTGGGATTGAGCAATTAAGAACGTGAATGCTGGATGATAGGAGCCTGGTTTCTCACTGATGGAGTGGCAGTTTTCAGAAAAGCAAATAGAGAAGGACAGGTTGGTCATGTGGTGATGCTGAAACCATCTTTGCAAAATTATGACTGAGACAGTGAAAGAGATCTAACTTAACTGAATCCATTTTGCTTCTAACTTTCAAGCTGTCCTTGCTCATTCCTGAGCATAGATGGAACTAACTTTGGGGGGATCTTAGTTTATAGTTTATATATTAAAACAAAGATGGTAACAGCCCTTTTCCAAAACAAACTTCCTTCTTGCCTGAGGACTAGGCTGCCTTTTGAGAACTAACATTAGCCACAAGATTAGAAATTATGGTTTAGGAGTCATGCAGCTGGAGGATACAAGATTCTGACCCTCCCTAAATTGCTCCTAAGATCAGTGCTTGAAATATTTTGCAAACCTTGCACTCATGGATCAGCTGGTACCACTCAGATGGATTAACTGGCTTATCTGATCTTGTGGCCCCCACCCAGGAACCGACTCAGCACAGGAGGACAGCTTCAATTCCCTATGATTTCATCTTCCACCTAATCAATCAGCACTCTTGCCTCACTGTCTTCCACCTGCCCATCAAGTTGTCCTTAAAAACTGATCCCTGAATGCTAGGGGAGACTGATGTGAGTAATAATAAAACTCTGGTCTCCAACACAGCTGGCTCTGCATAAATTACTCTTTCTGTATTGCAGTTCCACTGTCTTCATAAATCAGCTCTGTCTAGGCAGCAGGCAAGGTTTACCCATTGGGTGGTCACAATGCATTAATGCTGCAGACATTAATATCACCTCATGTTTAGTGTTGGGGTGCAGAAAATTATTTCCCAAAATATGATGCTTGGCAGGCTGAGTGCTTTTGGAAATAGAAAGGCCTCAGGAATAAGCCTCAGAATCTAGGTTTCTTTAATCACCATGCTTCTCCCGAAGGGCTTCACTTTGGAATTTCATTATCTGACCATGAAAACTTTTTACCAAAAGAAGTAAAATTGCTTCCTATACCCTCCCCGATATCTCATTATCTATTTCAGAAAAAAGACTGAAGAATGCAACCACACCTAGATGGACTTTTCCACAAGATAATGCCTGCTTCTCAGGCTCATTCAAATTCCAAAGAGGATCATTTACAAGTTAATTTGTGTTGCCCTGGTCCATTTCTTCTCTCTGATAATCATTTACAGCCACTGACCCTAAAAAAAAAAGTCTACATTTCCCATCTCCTCCCTGTCCTATGTAAACGGTATATAAATCTTTATGTGGTGTGGGGTGGGGGGAGTAATTCCCCCTTCCCCTCCAATGTTAATAAATGTATATGCTTTTTCTCCTATTAATCCATTTTTGCCAGTTAACTTTCAGAGAACCTTCAGACGGCAGATAGAAAGTTTCCTCTGGGTCCTGACATTAGCTTAATACAGATACAGATGGATATTTATAGCTATGTGTACATACATGGCTATGTGTACATATGGATATGTCTTTGCTCTGTCTGATGTAATGGCCTAAGGAGCCACGTCACCCCAGCAGTAAAGAGAAAACTCACTGCAGGGTCTTGTTTTTCTAAAACCCATCTCCAATAAGTACAAGAAGCCTCCTTGGAAAAACAGTTGATTCTAGGACTAAGGCAGCAATATAAAAGTTGATACTGGTGTATCTTGTATTGCCAGAAAGCAACACAGTGCTCAAAAACAACACAATTATAAGAGTATGTGAAAAAGACAGAAGAGCTAGCTGACAGCTCTCCCTGTAACAGTTAAAGGGGAAAGAAACACAAAAAGTGGCTCAAAAGTCAAAGACAGGTTTATTTTGGAAAATCAACCCAAGAGGGGCTTCAGGTTGATTTTGGTCAGGAGCATTCTTTCTTACAGACTAAGAGTATTTAAGGGTTCAGGGCAAGAGAACTTATCACAGGCTTGGAATGTTTCTGTGTCGTGAAGTTTATTGCGGGTTGGAATGTCTCTGGTCGGAGTGGAGGTTTTCTTGGCATCTGTCTGGTAGGGAAGGGGTTTATCTTATGGTTGGAATGTTTCTGGTCAGAAATGTCATTTGTGGTTTATGGTCATGCTGATCGTAGCCATTAGGCTGATGCCCTTTGGATTTAGGTGGTTTTTGATCAAGGTGAACTTTAAAATGGTGATGCTTGTCCAAGATGGCAATGCTCCTGCTCTGTCACTCCCAGGGACCAAAGTTGGAAAGGTATGAACAACAACGTAAATAAAGTAGTTTTGTATAATCAGTTAAAATATAAAATAAATATTCATGAGTCCATACTGAAATAAATTATTGAATAGATAAATAAATGTATAAGAAAAGACAAATATTTCATCTAGAAACATTCTATATAATTTATTTATATACTGTCCTTTCCAGGAAGTCATGAAAATTTCCCAATCCTTAAATGTGACCTTTTCATAGGGATTTCTTTCTAAAGAACACTGTATAGAAATGGGGGGAAAGAATAAGTTTATAGTGGGGTAATAGGACAAACAAACTTTGGCCACGTGATGAATACTAAAATCAACGAAAGTTATTTTGATATTATATCCTCTTGATGGCAACTTATATCTGTGGTCTTACTTCTCTAAACTCACAACCTAAGTTTAATTATAGGAAACCCATCCGGAAAATCCTATTTGGGGGACATTCTACAAAATACCTGAGAAGTACTCCACAAAACTATCAAGGTTATTAAAAACAAGGAACGTCTGAGACACTTTCAAAGCCAAGAAAGAGATTACTAAGAAGACATGTTGATTAAATATAATGTGGTACTCTGGATGTGATCCTATAAGAAAATATAACACTTTGTAAAATCTGAAGGGTCTAAATAGAGTATAGGCTTTGTAACCACTGGACCAGCCCAAACTGGGCCTACTCTATTAATAACTAAATGTCAAGTTACCTCTGTGTAGGTATACACAGAACCAAAACCACAAGTCACATGGACTGGGCATGCACAATTGAAAAAGGTTTGATTTCTAACAATACCCAGAACCAACAATTCTTCCTTTCGGAACCAAGAAGACTGGGACAGGACTGGAGCCTGAAGGTGGGAACTTTCAAAAATGAGGGGTCTATTGGCCTGGAAGATCTGAGGCTAAAATCTGCCTCAACATACTTTAACACAAATGATCACCATTAGAGTTTTCCAATCAGACCCTGCCAAATCAACATTCCAAATTCTTTCCCTTGCTCTCTGATCCTGTAAATTTCCCCCAGGCCCCAAATTAGTGAGATAGATGTGAGCCTGCTCCTGTCTCCTTGGTGATTAGTTTTACAATAAAGGCTTTCTTTTCTTAAAAGCCAGTGCCATAGTTACTGCTTCTGTGCACATCAGGCAGCAAACCCACTTGCCTGATGATAGATTTGTTGGTGAGAATGTATTTATATGAATTTATTAACTGTGAAAAATGTTTCATATTAATGCAAGATGTCAATAATAAAAGAAATTAGATGTGAGATATTGAAAACACTACTATCTTTGTAACTTTTCTGTAAATCTATTTTAAATTAAAAAGATTATTACGATGTAAAAAAATGATGTTCTTAAGAAATGTAAATAGTTGTCATTGTAATAAAAGCAAGTGTCTAGCATCATGTCAGAGACAGCAAGATACTCAATGACTGTGTCCTCCTCTTCTGGCCTCACCCAGAGGACATTTCACAGCCTCCTGTATCTGGCTGAGACTGTGTGTTGAAGTTGCGTTTAATGTTATATGAGCAGAAGTGACATATGCATCATCCAGATTTTGTCTTTTTCTGTCTCTATTAACCTGGCTGAACAGAGAGCAACCTAAAGTTGAACAATACTGAGTCTCCGAAATGTTGCTGGAGGCAGAAATTTATTCAGCTCTGTTTATGTTAATTGAATAATGAAGTGAGAAAAAATGCATTTTGATAGACCAAACATGAAATTTAGGCATTTATCAGCCAAAAAAATTAATTGCTGATAATCTTTAACTAAAGAAACTCTTTGAGAGTTTTAAGAGACTTGTACCTTCAACTCTAGTCTAACTCTTACCTAGAAGTCAAAATAAATCAAGTCCATTTGTAATTTATCCTGAATTATCAGAAAATAAAAAAGTATCAATATCTGTTTCAATGATTAACAGAGTTATTCCTAGATTATGTTACATAATAAAGCAGTGGTTCACACCACAACAGATCTAAGAAAACTGTTCAGAATTTTATTTTATTTTATAAGTTGTTTTTCATGTTTAAATTTAGTAGGTATAAGATATGTGTAAAATATTTCAAAAGGCCAATTTATTAAATTTAAGACAATGATATTTTGGAAATTGCTGTGGAAAATTGCTAATAGGTAGAATGGTGAATTGCAGTCTTTCTGGCACTAAATAAATGACCCTATCAACTGGAACATGCTATTTGGCAAGGATTCTATAGTGAAATGTTGTCACACATGTATTATTAAATTTAAATGCTAAACTATCAAATTTCAAAGAAAATGCACTTTTACAATTAACAAGAACTCAAGTAGCTTGGGTTACCCTAGGACACTATAAATAAGTATAATCTAAAAAAAAATTGTCTGGCAATAATGAAATATGGTTTATGAAATAGAGATATGTCAAAGTCCTGAAGAAAAAGAAATAATGAGAAACATGCCATTACTTGTAAGCAGAGCAATAAGGAAGTTATCATTATAGTAAATAATTCAAAAGAAAGAATAATGAATTATCTAATGAATGAGGAAACTTACTCAAACTAATGAGCCCTCTGAACATGCTCTGAGATATAACGTTAATTTTTTTAAAAAAATCTAATGTAAAGAGAAGAAATTTGGAATTGTTGCAATCATGCAGAGATAACACAGATAAGTTTAATGGAAAGAGTTACTAGAAGAGCATAAAATAATATATAATCAACTTCAGTAACTAGATAAAATTTTTTAAGTTATGCATTAGCTGAAAACCCTGTTGCTCTGTTGCTTACTTTTTAACCTTCCTACTTTTCCCCTTCCCTTCTACTTCTCTTCTTTATTTTCACATTTTATCTATTTAATTATGATTTCAATATTACTTGACAAGCTAATATTTACAAAACATTGTTTGTTGTGTTATGGGTATAAGAAGTGAACAGTTCAAAGGTAACATTCTCAATAGATTAAAAATACAGATTATTATATAATAATATACAATGCCTCATTTCATAAGGCTTATTTCCTGAGGCATACTTTTTGAGGCATAAACTGAGAGAATAATTGTCAAAAAATATTTCTTAATGCTATTTGAGGGTACGGCTATGATTTTAAATGAGCTTCTGGGAGAGACATGGTGGTGATAGCATTGAATTTTGTGGGAAACATTTTATATTTGCTTAAATGCCCTCATTAAATGAAAAGCTAGGAGAGCAAGAAAAAAGAGTAAAAGAGAAAACCAAACCAAAACCAAAAAACAAACAAAAAAAACCAGATAATCTCTTCAACAAACCTAGGTCAAAGAGGATCTGCATAGATGTTAGAATATGAGCATGTGAGGACAAATTGCAGCCATGCAGGAGTGAGCATGTATATTTCCAGCATGCTAACAGCCATTTTGTTGAACGTTATATACATTTTCCCTGACAATGGCATAGCCCAGAAAGCTGGAATTCCATGTTATGAGATTTTCCTACTAGGATCATTATAAATGCTACATGGCATCTTCTCCCATCACAGACACATCAATATCATAAGATCTCCTGGGTTATATGGCTCAAGAGGCAGGTCAATTTGAGCTGTACCCTGCACTTTCAAAAAAGTGTTTTGTGCTCTAGCCCCACTCAAAACTAGCAACCTTTTGGGTGACTTGATAAATAGATTAGTCAGCATTCTCCTGTATGTAATGCACTGCTTTCATAGCCCAAAGACACCTGCTGAGCATGATGCTTCCTCCTCAGCAATGTGAGTAAATAATGCAAAAATATGTCATTTACTTTGGAGGAAAATTCCTGGAATATCCCAGATCTCTGGCCCTCTAAAAATTGTACTGATGTTATAATCCCTTGAATCTTCCTCAGGTGTATACTCCATCTCTGGATAATCTGTCTCACTAAGGCTTCCACGTTACTTGACATGATTCCTCACTTCTTTAGAGAAGCCTAATGTCATTGATACAGTTTACCAGTGTTAAAATAAACTAAATATGGCTTGAGAAGGACTCTGTACAATATGTGAGTCCTCGTGGATGAACTGTAACCTAGCTTAATAGTCGGACAAAGTTAAAAACCTAACTTAGTAGTATATGTACCTGTAACAATAGCTGGGTGTTGCCCAATCCCAGCGGCCATACTTCAACCACCCGTAGACTGCTGAATGTTCAAATTGCATTCAAATAAGGCAAACACTGAGCTGTAACCAATCTCACTGTTTCCGTACCTCACTTCCAATTCCTGTGTGTCACTTTGCCTTTTTTGTCTATACATTTGTTCTGACCAGGAGGCCCCTTTGGAGTCTCTGTGAATCTGCTGTGATTCCAGAGGCTGCCCAATTTGCAAATTGTTCATTGCTCAGTTGAACTCCTTTAAATTTAATTTGGCTGAAGTTTTTCTTTTATCACCAGTGTGATGTTCTCTGTTTTTTTTTCAGACAATCTCTGTCTCATTAATTATATTAAGAAAGGGAGGAAATATGTTAGCATAGTACTTGGCTGTATTAGTTCATCCTCGAACTGGTATAAAGAACTACCTGAAAATTAGTAATTTATAAAGAAAAGAGGTTTAATTGGCTCATGGTTCTCCAGGATATACAGGCTTCTGCTTCTGAGGAGGCCTCAGGAAACTTACAATCATAGAGGAAGGTGAAGGGGAGGCAGGACTGGTCTTCACGTGGCCAGAGCAAGAGGAAGAAAGAGCAAAGGAGGAAGTGCTACACACTTTTAAAGAACCAAATCTTATGAGAATTCACTCACTCCCATGAGAACAGCAAAGTGGAAATCTGCCCATATGATCCAATCACCTCCTACCAGGTCCCTCCCCCAATATTAGGAATTACAATTCAACATGAGATTTTGGTGGGGACACAGAACCAAACCATATTATCCCACTCCTGGCCCCTCCCAAATCTCATGTCCTTCTCACATTTCAAAACACAATCATGCCTTCCCAACAGTCCCCTAAATTCTTAACTCCTCCCAGCTTAACTCAAAAGTCAGAGTCCAAAATCTCATCTGAGACAATGCAAATTCCTTCCACCTATGAGCCTGTAAAATCAAAAACAAGTTAGTTACTTCCAAGATACAAGGGAGGTACAGGCATTGGGTAAATGCTCTCATTCCAAAAGGGAGAAATAGGCCAGAACAAATGGGCTACAGGCCTCATGCAAGTCTAACTCCCAGCAGGGAAGTCACTACATCATAAAGCTCCAAAGTAATCTCCTTTGACTCCTAGTCTAAAATCTAGGCCATACTGACACAATGGGTGGGCTCCCAAGGCCTTGGGCAGCTCCACTGCTTTATTAATAGACTTATAAAGAAAACTGGTACCAGAGAAGTGGAGCATGCTGTAAAGATATCTGAAAATGCCAAAGCAACTTAGGAACTGAGTAATGGGCTGAGGCATTGAGTGCCTGCAGCTTTTCCAGATGCACAGTGCAAGTTGTCAGTGGATCTACCATGCTTGGGTCTACAGAATGGTGGCCTTCTTCTCTCTGCTCCATTAGGCAGTGACCCACTGGAGACTCTGTGTGGGGGCTCCAACCTCACATTTCCCTTTGGCACTTCTCTATTAGAGGTTCTCTATGGGGGCTCTGCCCCTGCAGCAGACTTCTGTCTGAATATCCAGGCATTTTCAAACAACCTGTGAAATCTAGGTAGAGGCTTCCAAGCCTCAACTCTTGCCCTTGCACAACTGCAGGCTTAACACCATCTGGAAGCCTTGGCAGCTTCCAGCATGCACTCTCTAGAGCAGCAGTCTGAGATATATTTGGAGTCCTTTAGCCATGGCTGGAGCTGGAGCAGCTGAGATGCAGGGTGCCCTGTCCTGAGGCTGCACAGAGTAGCAGGGCACTGGACCTGTCCCTCAAAACCATTCCTTCTTCCTAGGCCTCTGGGCCTGTGATGGAAGGGGCTGCCATGAAGGTCTCTGAAATGCCTTGGAGGCATGTTCCCCATTGTCTTGGCTATTAAACATTTAGCTCCTCTTTACTTATACAAATTTCTGTAGGTTGCTTGTATTTCTCCCTAGAAAATTGGTTTTTCTTTTCTAGCACATGGTCAGGCTGCAAATTTTCCAATATTTTATGGTATTTTTATTTTTAAATGTAAGTTCTGATTTCAGGTCATTTCTTTGTTTATGCAGACGAGCATTGGTTTTTAGAAGCAGCCAGGCCACATCTCAATGCTTTGCTGCTTAGAAATTTCTTCTGACTGATATGCTAAATCATCTCTCTCAAATTCAAAGTTCCACAGATATATAGAACAGGGGCACAATGCCCCAGTCTCTTTGCTAAAGCATAGCAAGGGTGACCTTTACTCCAGCTCTCAAGAACTTCTTCATCTCCATCTGAGACCACCTCAGACTGGAATTCATTGTCCATATCACTATCAGAATTTTAGTTACAACCATTCAACAAGTCTCTATGAAGTTCCAAACTTTCCCACATCTTCCTGTCTTCTCTTGAGCCCTCTAAACTGTTTCAACCTCGGCCCATTAATCAGTTCCCAAGTTGCTTCCACATTTTCAGGTATCTTTATAGCAATGCTCCACTTCTCTGGTACCAATTTTCTTTATTAGTCCATTATTGCGTGGCTATAAGAAAAGCCTTAAAATGAGTAATTTATAAAGAAAAGAAGATCAATCAGCTCATGGTTCTGAGGGATATATAGGCTTCTGCTTCTGGGAAGGCCTCCTGAGACTTACAATCATAGCAGAAGGCAAAAGTGAAGGGAGTCTGGTCTTCACATGGCCAGAGCAGGAGGAAGAGACCACGAAGTGGGAAGTGCTATATGCTTTCAAACAACCAGATCTGGTGAGAACCCATTCATTATCATGAGAACAGCAAGGGGGAAATCTGCCACCATGATCCAATCACCTTCTACCAGGGTATTGCTCTGTTGCCCAGACTGGAGTGCAATGGCACAATCTTGGCTCACTGCCAACACCACCTCCCGGGTTCAAGCAATTCTCCTGCCTCAGCTGCCTGAGTAGCTGGGATTACAGGCACATGCCACCATGCCTGGCTAATTTTTTTTTTTTTTTTTTTTTGAGACAGACTCTTGCTCTGTTGCCAGACTGGAGTGCAGTGGTGCGATCTCGGCTCACGGCAACCTCTGACTCCCTGGTTCAAGCAATTCTCCTGCTTCAGCCTCCTGAGTAGCTGGGACTACATGCATGCGCCACCATGCCCAGCTAATTTTTGTATTTTTAGTAGAGATGGGGTTTCACCTGTTGGCCAGGCTTTTCTCAAACTCCTTACCTCAGGTGATGTGGCTGCCTTGGCCTCCCAAAGTGCTGAGATTACAGGCTTGAGCCACTGTACCCGGCCCCCATACTTAATATCTAACAAACATTTTTTGAGTTCTTCTTTATTCTCCCTAGCTAGAATGATTATAACACTGACATCATTACTATATAAATTTCACGGGGTGGAATATATTGGTAGTGATATTTACTGGTAAAAAAATTTGAAGTCACTCCTCTTATGTGTTCAGATTTACCCCAATTGCCCATGCTACTACCTCAATTGTTACTCTTTTGGATTAATATATGAAAGATCACACGGGCTATATAGTCAATTGATTTAAGGCAGATAGCTGGTAAATAACACAAGTTACAAAATATCCATTGGTTGTTTACATGTCCACCTTAAAAAGAATGACTTTTTAAAATTTTATTTTAAGTTAAAGGGTACATGTCTGGGTTTGTTATATAGGTAAACTTGTGTCATGGGGGTTTGTTGTACATATTATTTCATCAATCAAAATTAAGCCTAGTACCCATTATTTTTCTTTTTCTTGATCCTCTCCCTCCTCCCATCCTCCACCCTTCAATAGGCCAAAGTGTGTGTTGTTTTTCTCTGTGTGTCTATGTGTTCTCATCATTGAGCTCACACTTGTAAGTGAGAACATGTGAACATGTGGTATTTGGTTTTCTGTTCCTGCATCAGTTTGCCAAAGATAATGGCCTCCAGCTCCATCCATGTTCCTGCAAAGGACATTATCTCATTCTTTTTTATGGCTTCATAGTAGTGCATGGTATAGCTGTACCACATTTTCTTTATCCAGTCTATCATTGATGGGATTTTGGTTGATTCCATGTGTTTGCTGTTGTAAAGAGTGCTGGAATGAACATACGCATGCATGCATCTTTATAATAGAATGATTTCTATTCCTTTTGGCATATACCCAGTAATGGGATTGCTGGTCGAGTGGTAGTTCTGTTTTTTTGGTCTTTAAGGAATTGCCACACTGTTTTCCACAATGGTTGAACTAGTGTACGCTTCCACCAACAGGTTATAACCATTTCCATTTCTCCACAACCTTGCCAGCATCTGTTGTTTATTGACATTTTAATAATAGCCATAAAAGAGTGACATTCTTAAGGCAGAAAAACCCTTTCAGAAGGGGAAAATAGGCTTAGTTACATTTCTATAATCCATGGGCCCAAGAATATCCAGTACCTGTTACTCTCCAGTGATACGGAGGTACTGGAAAGGGAAGAGCATAGTCCCTTTAAATGATTCAAAAAGGGAGGACAGGGAAGTAGAGAAAGGCGAGTCCCTGGCTAGGGCTCCACCCCCACAGACCTAGGTGAGGACAGGCACTCCTGCTTTCAGGCCCAAATGTTGCATTTTCCAAGACTACCCTGGCCCACCATGGCCCCATCCTGGGCCTATAATAACCCCACACCCTAGTGATCAGATACACAGGCGGCTGGACATAGAGCGAAGCAGATCAGCAGAAGAGGACACAGCGGCTCGATGGCAAGAGGACGTTGAGGGAGCACGCCGGCAAAAGAGCTCACCGAGAGATTCTGGTACGCCAGATGGCAGGCCATTGACCGGCGGGACTAGGCAGAGTTTGGCTGGGGCAGTCAGAGGAGAGCAGGGGCCACCAAGTGGCAGAACTCTAGGAGAAAACCGTTTCCCTTCTGTCTCCTATATCGACTGAGAGCTACTTTCACTCAATAAAACTTTGCACTCATTCCCCAAGCCCATATGTGATCCGATTCTTCCCGTACATCAAGGAAAGAACCCAGGATACAGAAAGTCCTGTGTCCTTGCGACAAGGTAGAAGGTCTAATCGACCTGGTTAACACAAGCCAGGCTATTAAAAGACGGCAAACTAAAGGAGCACCCTGTAACATGTCCACTGGGGCTTCAGCTGTAAACATTCACCCCTAGACATTGCCTTGGGGTACAGAGCCCCACAACCTGCCTATCTGTATGCCTCCCTAGAGGTTTGAGCAGCGGGTCCCTGAGGAAGTGAGCTCCACCCCCTTGCACGCCCTGGAAGGGGACAAGGGAACCTTTCCCATTTAACCAGCATCCTCTCCTCCCACTCTGGCCACACTCCCCTTGCCTGACATGCTCAGCCCCAGTGCCCTGGCTGCTTCTTCCAAGCATAGGCATTTGCTGCCCAGCCTCCAGCACAGGTGCTTCCTCTGCCTGGACTGTTCTCACCCCAATTTGCTTGTTGCTTCTTATCCTCCTCAGTTCTCTGCTTGTCACCTTCTCAGTAGACCCTCCTCTGACAGCCCTTCTAAAGAGCAAACACTCACCCTGCCATAGCCTTTTCTATCTCTTTCTTTATTCTTCATTCATGGCAGTTGTCATCACCTGTCACTTTCAATGAAGGTTGAGGTTTCTATATTTTTATGCACTCGGCTTACTCCTATCTCTCCAGAGCCTGCAGTGGTACCTGACACAGCTGGTTGTCCTCCTTCCTCTCTTTCTTCATATACACGTGCATGCACGTACACACACACACACACACTTGTTCAATGTATAAATGAATGGCTGAGTGAGATGAAAGGTAGTTAAGACGCTTGACAAAGTCACACACCTAGTAAATGGCTCTTTCCATTTTGAACTCTTCTCTTCATGAGTGATGAGATGTAGCATTGGTACTGATAATCAATTTCGTTTGCGTTAACAATTCAGGTCAGTGAAGCAACAGCCTTTGTTCAAAGACTTAGGGTACATGAAAGCTTTGGCAGGAAAAAAGAAGTGACTGGAAATGAAGACTGACTTGCATATGTGATTGATGTGATGTCCATGTCTGGTCTCTGGCCAGGATGTCTGAAACATGGCTTCTTCTTAGGCACTCTTCATAGCACTCTGTATGCCCAGGTCTTGTAATTTTTCAAAAATATCAGTTGAATTAGTGTTTCTTATTTGCTAGAGACCAGTCTCTACAGAAGCAAAAAAGGCAATTGAGAACCTCAACTGAATAATCAGATTTGATTTGTTCAGAAAGAAATTAATTTTTTTTTTTGAGACGGAGTTTTGCTCTTGTTGCTCAGGCTGGAGTGCAATGGCATGATCTCAGCTCACTGCAACCTCCGCCTCCCAGGTCCAAGTGATTCTCCTGTCTCGGCCTCCCAAGTAGCTCAGATTACAGGCATGAGCCACCAGGCTTGGCTAATTTTTTTGTATTTAGTAGAGATGGCATTTCACCATGTTAGTCAGGCTAGTCACAAACTCCTGACCTCAGGTGATCCACCTGCCTTGGCCTCCCAAAGTGCTGGGATTACAGGTGTGTGCCACCATGCCTGGCCAGGAATTACTTTTAAACTTGAATTTTTCAAGATTTAATCATATACCTCTCCTTTAATGCAGGTTTTTCTGAATCTGAGCCTAGTTAGTTTTGGAAACATCATGGAACCAGTGACAAATGACCTTACATAATTATGTCTACATGGCTAAGTATTCTCCTTAATGCCAAATCTTAATTGGGTGAGGAAGAATTTTCTAATTTATAGTATAAATGTTATAATTTTTGCTTCAAATTAGGGATTAGTTTTACATCTAGTATTATGTGGACTTTTCAGTGAATACATGGCATTTGATTTAATTGCAAGCAACATCTAATTAAAAATGTAGAGTAGTTTATTGCTTAGAGAACTGAAAACTCCTGCTTTCTCTAATCCATAAACAAATTTCAAGTGATTTATGAAAATAGACTGTGTGTTCTATAATACAGGTATAAATTTAAGATCATTGGAGCTTCTGTTATTTTTTTTTTATATTACCACAGGGATTAAGCCTTTTTGCAGGTTTGGTTTAACAGATATTTGACTCCCACTGAAACATAGTAAGTTATAATATTTTCAAATGCTGGTTGCTTCAGGTTTCCAGGCTTATGTAAGAGCTGAGTAACAATCCAATAGCCTTTTATTCCCAAATAAGTTTCTTAGCAAATGGACATTTTGTAAAATTAGCAAGCTTCACAAATTTCTAAAAAGTAATCAGTTTTTCTAAAAATATTTCTAGAATGCCTTTTATACCTTAGAAACTGTTTCAAGAACTAGATATGTGATATTGAGTAAATAAATTTGGAAAGGTATTATATTATGAACAATAAACAATATTTTAAATGCAACAATGAATCAGAGAACCCATGGACCGTTCTTTTTTGAAGTTTCTTACAAACATGATTCTAAGTAACCTACTGGACCCCCACTCTGTGTAAAATGGGGAAACGTGGGGATATATGTCTTCTTAACAGCTCTTTGAGTTGAAATATAGTCATTTGGCATTGTTTTGATATCCCTTGCCTAAATATTTATTGAGAATCCAAGTGAAATATTAAGAAAGCATACATTAAACATAAATAGAAGATAAGTTTATTAGACCTTCCAAAATAATTAGTGAATCTGAATATAAAGGGTATTCATAATCCAACCTTCCCCTAAACAAACAAAAAATAAAAATATATATTTTCAAGAAAAAAACACTCACTTTATTACTTCAAAAATGTATGAATTCAAATAGAAATTAATCAAAGATTTAAAGGTTAAAAAAATGAACTTCATTGTTGTGAAGAAAAGAATTAAAAGTGGAATAATAATTTATTTCCCCTTTCTTAGGAAAACAGGCAAATTGAACCCTCATCAAAATCTCTTGCAAATGTTTATTGATGGAATTTACTGGTTAAGAGAAAAGTGAAGCTCTTTTAAGCGTTTCTATGTGCTCATTACTTTTCCAGGAATGCTAGGATTTTTTTAATATACTTAGTGATGGAGAAAGTTTTTCTAAGTACAAGACCATAGATCAAAATCAGAAAGTAGTATGTCAATTGCTTTTGACTACTTGGATATTTACTTGGATATTGACTTCTAAATGTCAAATCGTATACCCACACAAATGCAAACACTTAAAACAACAACAAAAGTAAAAAAAAAATAGTAAATATTCTAACACATTTGATAATTGATACCTCCCAGAAAGAAGTAAAACATTTTAACATATTTGCCATTAACTATATTAAGGGACAATAATAGTGGTCATTCTATATTAAAAAATTCAATTTTATCATTATCAAATATACGTAAATGTAAACAATTTTTTTTTGTTTTTTTTTTTAAGATAACTCATATAAGTGAAATGATGCAGTATTATTCTTCAGTGACTGGCTAATTTCACTTAGCATTATGTCCTCCTGTTCATCCTTGTTGTCACATAGGGCAGAATGTCTTCCTTTTTAGGTTAAATAATACTCCCTTATATTTATATACCATAGTTGGCTTTTTGTAATCCCTTCTTCTGTCAACAAGCACATAGATTGTTTCTATATCTTGGCTATTATGAATAATGCTGCAATGAACATGACTGTGCAAATATCTTTTGAGATGCTGATTTCAACTTTTAAAATATATATCCAGAAGTGAGATTGCTGGGTCACATAGTGATTCGATTTTTAATTCTTTAAGAAACCTCTGTAATGTTTTTCATAGTAGCTGTACCTTTTTACATTTCTACCAATAGTATACATAGATTTTAATTTCTCCACATGCTCACCAACACTTCTGTCTCTTTGCTAATTGTCATCCTAATAGTATGGTTTTGATTTGCATTTCCCTGATGATCAGTGATATTGAACATTTTTTTAAATACCTGTTGGCCATTTAAATGTCTTCTTTGGAGAAATGTCTATTCAAGTCTCTTGCCCATTTTTAAATTGGTTGATTTGTGATTTTTGCTGTTGAGTTGTAGGAGTTCCATATATATATATTTTCAAACCATGTATAAGGATCATCATTATGGTATGTATGGTTTGCAGGTATTTCCTTCATTCTGTAGGCTGCCTTTTTACTCTGTTGATTGTTTCCTTTGCTATGGAGAAGCTTTTTTCTGCTTGTCTAATTTTTCTTTTGTCATTTGTGGTTTTATTGTCATATCTAAGAAATAATTGCCAAGTCCAGTGTTACGAAGCTTTCTCTGTATGTTTTCTTTCAAGAGTTTTGCAGTTTTAAGTCTTATGTTTAAATTTTTCATCAGTTTTGAGTTTGGTTTTATACATGTTGTAAGACAGTTATAGTTTTGGTGGGTTTTTTTGGTTGTTGTTGTTTTGTTTTGTTTTTTGCATGTGCTTATCCAGTTGTAGTGAATTCCTATAATTAAGTGTTGACTCAGCATCAATTTTGAATATAAGTTGGAGTTTCTCATTCCAGAAGCAGGTTTCGGCCACCCTTGAGACAGTTGGCCCCACAAAGTGTGCTGCCTTCTTCTCACCGGAATCTCTAAATATTAAAATTGCTTCTGTGGTTTTTGTGTCTTGACCTGCGAGGTCTCCTTTGTGTCTCACCTGACCCATACGCCCGAACCTAACTCTCTTCCTGGCCAGGGCTTTCCTAGAGATTGATTATCTTGGTAGGAATAAGCTGGACACAGAGCAGGCAAGAGCCAGAGTGCTGTCTGATAGTATAAACAACTTTTCTCTCAGAGACTTACTAGATCATGGGTTGAACACAAAGGCATTAGGTCACTCACCAGGATAAAGAAGTGCCTAGGATGGGCACACTATTAACATCCAGAACCAAATCCCTGTAGCCCTCTCTGGGCTAGGGTTCACAGCAGTTCTCCAGTGAGAGACCTCATGAAGAAATTAGGAGAAAACACAACACCAGCTTTCCCAGTACCATTTGTTGAAGAGACTACCTCTCCCCATTGTGTGTTTTTGCACCCTTTTTGAAGATCGCTTTAGTGTATATGCATGGATTTATATCTGAAATTTCTATTCTGTTCTGTTTGTCTGTATGTCTACTTTTATGCCATGAACACACTCTTTTGGTCACTGTAGCATTACACTATAATTTACAATCAGGAAGTGTTAGGCCTCCAACTTTGTTCTTCTTTCTCAAGACTGTTTTCCCTATTTGGGGTCTTTTGTGGTATCATATAAATGTTAGGGTTATTTTAATTGTTGTAAACATTGTGTTTTTGTTTATTCTGGCTACTATAACAAAGGAACATAGGCTGGGTGTCATAAAAAGTAGAAATTATTTCTCACAGTTCTGGAGGCTGGAAGTCAAATAGGTGCTGGCAGATTTGGTGTCTACTGACAGCACATTTCCTCATAGACAGACACCTTCTCTCTCTAACCTTACATGGCAGAAAGGAGTACGTATCTCTCTTGGGTCTCCTCTATAACAGCACTAATCCCAATTAAGAGGGCTCTGTTCTCAAGACTAATTACCTCAAAAACCTCACCTCATAATACCATAGACTTTGTAGGCAGAATTTCAACATACGCATTTTGAAGGTGCAGAGGCATTCAGAACATAGCAGAATGCCATTTGAATTTTGATAGGGATTGCATTGAATCTGTAGATCACTTTGCCTAGTATGAACATGTTAACGATATTAAATCTCCCAATTCACAAACACAAGCTATCTTTCCATTAATTTCTTTTATTAAAGTTTAGTAGTTTTCATTATACAAATCTTTCACCTCTTTGATTAAGCTTATTTTTAAGTATATTCTTTGTTTTGATATCATTGTAAATAAGATGATTTCTTAATTTTATTTTTGAATTGTTTTTAGTACAAATGTCTTTATTTTTAACCTAACAATTACTTATTTTCAAATGTTTTGCAGATACATTCTATATTACTAAGAATGTTTAAAACTGAATTCTGGAAGTACTCCTGATGTTTTATTTTGTTTATCTGTAATTGCCACATTAACCACAATGAATATTTATTTCCTTTTATAATCAGATAATCTTATTTAGACAAATAATTCAATTTGAAGCTTATAAGCATTTTAAAGTACTTATCAATGCAGTATTTTGTTTTCCAGTGCTTTATCATGCTACAGTATGCCCATGGAGTGAAATTAATGAACGTAAACATGCAAGAAGGCTTTAAATGCTTGTAGTAGCAAAGAAGGAAAGGCATTTTGATCTATGACAAATTGCTTTGCCACTTATTCAAATTTATATCAGTCCTCAAATGTTTTGCTAATAAAAGGTGATTCTGAGGGCTACGCTCTCTGAATTGAATGAGATGGAAATATCATATGTGCCAGCTAGTATACGGCTTTTCAATCTCATATCCTCTGAATTAGTCATGCAATTTCTACACCTGTCATCTAAATTTGCTCAGGAATTTCAAAAGAATATGTAGTGCTGATTTTGTTATTCTCTACTTGAATTAGGATATTATGAGTTGAATTGTGAAGCAGTAGAAACCACATAACACATTTAAGATAGTTGAAACCGGATAGGTTACTGCTAAGGAAATAAAATACATATAAAACATCAAGTTTGAAAATAAATGTTACCTAGATTGCAATATTTTGTACCAAATTATCATTGATTACAACTCAAGTCTCATTGTTTAAGTATTTGAGATTTATGCAAACTTTAGACATATATGTTACACTGATTTTTGCAAAAATACTAATTCACAGTGCATATTTCACTTTTATAGATACTGGTGATATTCCTCCAGAATTTACAGTAGGTAGTGCAGTAGAGGTTGCAGGAAGATTGTGTTGCTTTTCTATTGCTGGAGAACAAATCACCACAGATACAGTGGCTTAAAACAACACACGTGTGGCACATGCCTGTAATCCCAGCTACTCGGGAGGCTGAGGCAGGAGAACCACTCGAAAACGGGAGGCAGAGATTGCAGTAGAGCCAAGATCACGCCATTCCACTCCAACCTGGGCAACAAGAGTGAAAATCCGTCTCAAAATAAATAAATAAATACAAACAAAACAAACAAACAACAACAAAAAACAAGACACATGTATTTCCTGCAGTTTCTGAGGGTCAGGAGTTCAGGCACAGGTTAATTACGTCCTCTGCTCAGTCTCTCACCAAGCTAAAATTAAGATGCTGATGAGCACTGCAACCTTATCTGAAACTCAGGGTCCCATTCCAAGCTTATTTGGGCTGTTGGCAGAATTCATTTCCTTGCAGTGGTAAGACTGAGATTTCTGTTTTCTTCCTGGTTTGTATCTGGGGATCACTCTCATAATTTAAAAGCTATTCTCAAATTCTAGCCACATGGACCTCTGGCAAGAATCACTTCTTGAAAGTCAACTGGATAGTTTACTGCTCTCTACCACAACAGGATCATATGTAACATAATCTAATGAAAGTGGTGCCTAGAAAATCCTGCTCAGTAGACCTGCTCACACTCAAGGTCAAGGTATTACACAGGTGTCTCCTCTAGTGGGTGGTAACCATGGGGTCATTTTGAAATTCTGGCTGCCACAGAAATGGAGCTTTCTATGGGCTAAGAGACAGATTACATCTTTCCCAAAGTCAGGACAAGAAAAGCCTCTGAGAGCATGGAATTAAAACTACTCTGTGTCACACAGGGTGTTTTGTCCTCAAATAATAACAATAAAAAAAACTCCAACTAAAATTATAGTAAATCATAGGAATGTTTGTGAAGTTATGTTGCAAAAAACCTGGAGGAGGAGTAATTGTAGTGTTGGTGAATTCAGGTGCTCATTGACAGCATGTAGTTGAAAGTGCATTCTCTCCATCACTTGTGCTCACCATGAAGATTATAGATAAGAGACTCTTTGCAGCTAGAATGTAGCTGACTTCATTAACACTGCTTATGTTTAGGTTCTGGATACATCCCACAGCAGATCTGAATAAACTGCCCCTTGTGGAAGGATATTTTATAAGGAGGGTAGAAATCTGTTTGCTGCAGGACAAAATGCTGCTGGATGAGACCGAATAAACAGACAATCTTGGCTCCCTGGCCTGCTCCCTAGTAGGATTCTCAGACCCCTAGAGACTGGTGGAGGTGAAGTGAACAAAGACAAGAAATGTCATCTTCTCTTTTGTTTTCTTTGACTGCTGCAGGTGATTGGACTCTTACATATGAATCCCCATGGAGAAAATGTCTCAAAATTTGGGTGGAAGAATAGGCATTCCATCTAAATTGGAGCAGGGCTTAATAAACTCCATTACATTGAGCACAGAAAACAAAGTCCCCAAAGAAAAAAGGAGTAGAGACAAAGTAAATTTCCAATAATAGTTTTTCTTGTTTTTTTTCTATGGCCCTGGTTAAGGACACGAGAATGTAATGTACTGTGCATGACTGGAATTGTCTGAAAATGACCCTAGTGTTCCTCTTTAATGGATGAGCTCATGGTTAACCAAGTTCATTAATATTCTCTTGGATTGATGACCAAATAATCTGATTAATATATAATTTAATTTAATGATGTATATAAATTACTAATTTAATAAGTCATTATTTTAGTGTTAAACCATGACAAACCCTGCTACTTGAAAGTCACTACTAAAAGATTTGGAATGTGAATTAAGAATTCCTGGATGATGTCAGTGTCCAGTAGGTAAAATGTTATTAACAGACAAAGAAGCTACTAGTTTGAGGTGTAAAATAACTTATAATTCTGTCAGAGTTAACAGTGCATCACATCCTTATGGCCATTTTCTCATATTAGCTTCATTTAAAAATGTTACAAGTAAATTATTATTCATGACCACATTGTCTAATATTGTAGATGATCAACTCGAGAGAAGGGCGTCATTGGTCATAGTTTGGGGGCCGGGACATTTGGCATATGACTTTTACCCCTTCTTATTGCAGCTGATGGCCTCACACTGATCTTTCCGTACTGATTTCTATTTTGGTTCCATAGATGGCATTGATGGCTAATTGTATGTGTCCACTTGACTGGGCTAAGGGATATCCAGAGAGCAGGTAAAATATTACCTCTGGATGTATCTGTGAGGGCATTTCTGGGAGGTATTAGCATTTGTATTTGAAGACTGAGTGAAGAAGATTGCCTTCACCAATGATGGCAAACATTAACTAATCTATTATGAGCCAGAATAGAACAAACATGTAAAGGAGGGGCAAGTTTGCGCTCTCTTTTTGAGCTGAGACATCCATCTTCTCCTGCCCTCTGATATCGCTGTTCCTTGTTCTCTGGCTTTTGGACTCTATGACTTACACAAATAAACCTTACCCCCATTCTCAGGTCTTTAGACTAAAACTGAATTACCCTTCTGTTTTGCTGCTTCTCCCAAGATTGCAAAAAGCAGGCTGTGGGACTTCTGGGCCTCCATAATTAGGTGAGCCAAATCTCATTTTATATGTATGCATCTTCCATTTTCGCAGGAGAACCCTAATACAGCTGGGTATCTTTGAGAGATCCCACATCACTGCAATCTTTACAATGCTCCTTTGCATTTGCAGGCTTTTCAGAGTGAACTCTCTTAGAAACTTGAGAAGACACTAACTTTATGTACATCAGGATTTCTTAATTCTGTTTTCTTCACTTTATTTTGTCATGGATCTTTAATCTCATCCTCTGTTGGCTATACCTGTGTAAATGATATTATTTGAATACATACATTTGGTGCTATTATTTTCCATTTCAAATCCTGTTTTTTGTGCTAATAATGTCAATAATAATATAATAATGGGAGTTTTGATAAAAACATGTTGGCTTATATGATCCACATGAGATGAAGAGTGTGGAATGATCATTTTATGGTAAATTTTATGGCAAAATATATTGCGTTAGTAAAATTTGCATTTACTCTTCTGGTCTTTAGATCTCAAGATTAAGACTGCATACATTTTCCTAACTGTGACTCTGAAGGATAATCAATATATTTAAAAAATGAATGAGTATTCTTCAAACATGTCACTGTTCTTGTGGAGAGTGCACAATGTGTTTTGCACACTGTTAGGTTGGGGCATGAATGCTCCAGTAGATCCCCCTTACACAGGTGCGCTCCTTTCTACATCTATGACCTTGTTTGAGCTCAAGCTTTGAACAAACCCACAGATAGCATTTGTAGAAGAGCTTCATGAAAATCCCCCTGTTGCCAATCTCTTTTTGCCCTGGCCACCAAAGGCATAACTGACACTTTCCTATTATTTAATAAGTATGTGCTCAATATTGTCCCCATCGCCCCCCAATACTTAAGCTGGTTTGAGACTACACCTCATCTGCTTCCAGGCCTGTTAAGTAGCCATCACCTTTATGGGTTAGTCAAGTCGGTCTGCTCATGATTCGTTAATCACCCCTTTCATATTCCTGCCTGAAAACTTGGCCTGGATTCCTTGTCGCATCCTCATAGCTGCCTCTAACATTTTTTCTCTTCCTTTGACATCCAAAACTATGTGTCTCAAAAAATATTTCCAGGTTATCAAAGGTAGAAGTTATGTCTTTATTCCAATACATTGATTGGTATACATTTCAAAAATAATCATCCTGACCTATATTTGATTTTATCTTGAATTATATATTGAATATAGAGATGATATATTGCCAGTTGCGCCAGGAACATACTTTCAAAAGGATGCTTTTCTATGAAATTCTTGTTGAAATGAAAAGTACTAGAGATGGGAAAAAGCTGTTTTCTTCCAAGAAATGTTTGGTTCACCACAGTCTTAAGTAGGTGCAGTACCCTTTTCTCAGTAGGTCTGGCCAGAAGAATGTCTAACAATCTGGATGCTTCTTGTCTTTCTCCAAAAGTAGACTTCTTCCTTATTTTCTTCCTCTCTCTGACTCCCTCCCTCAGTCTTCCCTTACCACAACTGCCATAGATTTTCCATGGGAAGAACAGCTTTGCAAGCCTTCCTGGACCAGCTTTTTGTTTTGTACCATAGGAGCGATAGGAGTGAAGGACTTTAGTGAAGCTTTGCCTGTGGGCACCACTGTTCTCTCCCTTACACTTTCACCACAAAGGAAGTTTGCTTCTGCGTCTCGCTGTGTTCCCATATTTCTCAAGAGGTCCATGAGAAAAGGGTGCTGAGGGTTTCTATACTCTCACACTTGCCCACCCTTGGCCTCAATTATTTACTCGAAATTTAGCAAACTTCTTGTCATCAGCTGTATCTTCTCCCACAAATGCTTGCCTCCTTGTCTCCCTGGAGGTTCTTTTTCTTCAGTTTGTTTTCTTGTCCTCAGCAATCTAGTAGGTTGAAGAAAGTTGTAATTTAATAGACAATCCAGCATGTTTTTGTTGTGTTTATTGTAAGGGTGGAAACAATATTCCTTCCAGCTTTCTATATTCTAAGTCGAAGCTAGATATACTGCATATGTTTAAAGCCATGAAGCAGAATTAAAACTTTTGTCAGAGAAAACTGACAATTTGTTATTATTTGCATATATATATATAAAATCTCAAACTCATTCACTTTCTATTTCCGACACATCAACCACTGAGATTCTCTTTGTTGCTTTTTAGATCCAGAATTTGAGAGCCCTAGGCTTATTTCCATATGCTTCTTTTTTATTTCAAGGTCACCCCCAGGCCGCCTCTCTTCTCACCACTAATATAGATGCATTTCAATGTTCTGTGTGATGGGTGGTATAGATAGGACACTCCATCTTGGCCCTAAGGAAAAACAAAAATATATCATTCTTTCTGGAATAGAAATATTTGGACACAGTAGTAAGACAGTACAATCAATGGCAGGTCTTGGATCTATTTCAAACATTTGGAAAGGTACTCCATCTAGAGGTGCTGAGCAGTGTATTAGAGTGTTCTCACATTGCTAATAAGCAAACTCGAGACTGGGCAATTTATAAAGGAAATAGGTTTAATTGACTCACAGTTCAGCCTGGCTGAGGAGGACTCAGGAAACTTATAGTCATGAAAGGGAAGCAAACACGTCCTTCTTCACATATGGCAGGAAGGAGACGTGCCCAGCAAAAAGAAAAGCCCCTTGTTAAAAAAATCAGATCTCCTGAGAACTAACTCTATCATGAGAACAGGATGGGAGGACCCACCCCCCGATTCAATTATCTCCATCTGGTCCTTCCTAAAACATGTGGGGATTATGGAAACTACAGTTCAAGACAAGAGATTTGGGTAGGGACACAGCCAAACCATATCATTCTGTCCCTCGCTCCTCCCGAATCTTCATGTCATCACAATTCAAAACACAATCATGCCTTCCCAACTGTCCCCTAAAGTCTTAAATCATTCCAGCATTAACCCAAAAGTCCAAGTCCAAAGTCTCGTCTGAGACACAGCAAGTTCCTTCTGCCTATGAGTCTGTAAAATCAAAAGCAAGTTAGTTACTTACTAGACAACCATGGGGGTAGAGACATTGGGTAAATACACCTGTTCCAAATGGGAGAAACTGGCCCAAACTGAAGGAGTTACAGACCCCAGGCACGTCCAAAATCCAGCAGGGCAGCCATTAAATTTTAAAGCTCCAAAATGATCTCCTTTGACTCCATGCCTCACATCCAGATCACACTGATGCGAGAGGTAGACTCCCATGATCTTGAGCAGTTTCACCCCGGTGACTTTGCAGGGTACAGCCCCCATCTTGCCTGCACTCATGGGCTGGCATTGAGTATCTGTGGCTTTTCCAGGTGCATGGTTCAAGCTGTTGGTGAGTCTACCATTCTGGGTTCTGGAGGACGGTGGCCCACTTCTCACAGTTCCACTAGGCAGTGCCACAGTGGGGAGTCTGTATGGGGCTCCAACACCACAATTTCCTTCCACATTGCCCTAGCAGAGGCTCTCCCTGAGGACTCTGCCCTTGCAGCAAACTTCTGTCTGAACATCCAGGCATTTCCATACATCCTCTGAAATCTAAGCAGAGGTTCCCAAACCTCAATTCTTGACTTCTGTGCACCTGCGGACTCAATACCACGTGGAAGCTGCCAAGGCTTAAGGCTTGCACTCTCTGAAACCATGGCCCAAGCTGTATCTTGACTCCTTTTAGCCATGGCTGGGATGCAGGGCACCAAGTCCTGAGACTGCACAAAGCATCAAGGCCCTGGGCCTGGCCCACTAAACCATTTTTTTTTCTCCTAGGCCTCTGGGCCTGTGATGGGAGAGGCAGCTTTGAAGATGTAAAAAGTAAAGTAGAGGTTCCTCTTAAAAGACTTTCCTCACCATCTAATTAAAAATAAATAGTAACTTCTCTTAGAAGCAAAATTTATTCAAAGACCTGTGCTAACATTCTTAAATATATGCTAGCTGTAATAAAAAAAAATCAATGTTCTTTATGTTCTTAGCTCCCACAATTTAGCCTAAATATTTGCCCTGACATGCTTATACTAGTCCAAGTAAGCATTAGGTCATAGCCTATTCCTCTTCCTTATTTAAAAGTGTTTTTACCTTTCTCAACATTCCACAAGTTACTTCCTCCTTCCTTTGTTCTCCTTTACCTTTGCCTCTTTTAAAAGTTCTAAGTTGCTAGCCAATTGAGGCAAATACAAAATATAAAGTCCCGTTCCAGCCAATAAAAACCGGACACAGCAGGAAGGGAAATGCATCAGGTTTTAAATGACCCTGTCTCCTTTATTCCATGTACTCTCGTGGCAAAACTGCTGGCAAGTGTACCCTTTCTGCAAAAAGTAAAAATGGCCTTACTAAATAAATTAAATTTATGTTCAAGTGCTATTTCTTTATGGCACCAGAAAACAAGCATTTCAAACAAAGCCCTCTGATATACCCTGGAGACATTTTCTCCATTGTCTTGGTGATTAAGATTGGGCTCCTCCTTACTTATGGAAATTTCTACAGCTGGCTTGAATTTTTCCTCAGAAAATGGTTTTCTTTTTTGTTTTTTCTATCACATCATCAGGCTGCAAATTTTCCAAACTTTTATTCTCTGCTTCCCTTTTAAACATGAGTTCCAATTCCAAACCATATCTTTGTGAATACATAAAACTGAATGCTTTTAACAACACCAAAGTCAACTCTTGAACACTTCTGTTGTTTAGAAGTTTCTTCCTCAAGATACCCTAAATCATCTCTCAAGTTGAAAGTTCCACGTATCTCTAGGGCAGAGGCAAAATGCCACCAGTATCTTTGCTAAAACATAGCAAGGGTCACCTTTAGTCCTGTTCCCAACAAGTTCCTCATCTTAGGTGGCTAAGGCCACCTCAGCCTAGACTTCATTGTCCATATCACTATCAATATTTTGGCCAAAGCCATTAAACAAGTCTCTAGGAAGTTCCAAACTTTCTCACATCTTCCTACCTTCTTGACTGAGCCCTCCAAACTGTTCCAATCTCTTCCTGCTACCCAGATCCAAAGTAGCTTCCACATTTTTGGGTATTTTTACAACAGCATCCCATTCCTGGTACCAGTTTACTGTATTAGTCCATTCTCATGCTGCTAATAGGGACATGTCCAAGACTGGGGTAATTTGTTTTATAAAGAGGTTTGACTTGCAGTTCACCATGGCTGAGGAGGCCTCAGGAAACTTACAATGATAGTAGAAGGGAAGAAAATACATCTTTCTTCACAAGATGGCAGCAAGGAGAAGAATGACTGCTGAGCAAAGGGTGATGCTGCTTATGAAACCATCAGATCTCATGAGAACTAACTTACTATCAAAAGTACAGGATTGGGGAGACCTCCCCTATGATTCCATCATCTCTACCTGGTCCCTCCCACGAAACATGAGGATTCTGGAAACTACAATTCAAGATGAGATTTTTGTGGGGACACAGGCAAACCATATCAAGCAGTGACTGTGATTTACACATCACATCACATGTTTCACCAAGAGTAGCAACAGAGCTACCCTGCTCTTCCTTCATTTCTCAATGCGCACTTGGTCTAGACCTATGCCTTGAATGCTCGGAAGCGTCTAAGCAAAGTTTTAGTGATACTGAGTTACAATGAAGCATGAGCTATTTATACACACATATTAATGGTATGGCCACTGTGGGGAATGCATGTATATTATTTGTGTTCATTGATCAGAGCTGAGGGGAAAGTGGGAACAGATGCAGCTGACCAAGAGGGAAAGAAAAACCAATTAATTAAGTTCAGTTAAGTGTTACTTGAGAGGTCTGGGTAAGGTAGGGTTAAAGAAGTTGCTTCTGTGTCTTGAAAAACCATCAAGGAAGCAAGCACATCAAAAAAGCCATATTTCTGAATGGGAAGAAATATAATATACTAATGGATTTTATAGCAACAGGAGAACTTAGGTTCCCATGATTTTTGAAATGCTAAGGAATTGGAGAGTAGATACCATTTAATAAAAGTTGATGTTGGCTTAATGATTAAAATGCATTATGGACTGAGCATTTTTTTTTTGTATGTGCAATGCACTGGAACAAGACTGTGAGGAATCTTGTGAGTTTTTGCTTTGCTTTGTGTACTTGCTTCTGTTTTGGAAGAACCTGGAATTGAGAAAGGGACTGGATAACTAATGTCAGAGGAGAATAAGGGACAATGGCCTCTAATTAAATCCTAGGTAAGGAAAATTCATAGGAACTGTCATCTTGACATACCTATTTCGAGGCAGATGAGGCTCCAGGAGATGAAATTATGAATAAAAAAGATCCCTGAGGCCTGGATACACAGTCCATCACCCAGGAAACACTAGGGATCAGATTCAATACTTAAACTGGGAGAGGTCTAGCCATAAATTTCTCAGGTAATAAAGAAACAAATAAAAAGAAGATAGTTCTGGCTCTTACCTGAAGCTTAATACTTGCTTCTGAGGCAAATGCGCTCTCCTTTGTGTAATATAACTTTCAGAGGAACAATTTACAAGTTCAGCAGTTAATGAAATTATAAATACCAGTTTGCAGACTCTTAATGCAAGTGCTGCCTTAATTTCAATGACCTCATCTATGTATTGTAGGTGGTTCCATATTTGCTGCAGAACTACATTGAGGAAGAGATGGGGTAATGTTTGTGATGTATTCAGTAAAGTTTCTAAACATGGTGGACGATCAGAAATGGATATGGCAAGTATAAATTTTTACATTAAATTATAGCAATCCACAATGAAAGAATAATTAGAATCATTTTTTAAAAATCTTGAACACAAGACCTAATCAGTAGTTGTCTATTGGAAATAAAGATTGTTGCCAATAAATTAAGTGAAAAGGACATTTGAGAGTCATTGAATATAGGACTCGAGGGGCAGCACCTACAACAGAAAAGGAAATGACAGCAAGTCAGGTGAGATAAGGTCTAGTATTCCATAGCACTGTAGAATGACTGTAGTTAACAATAACATATAGTTCTGCATAACTAGAAGAAGGATATTTAATGTTCCCAACAGAAAGAAATATTAAATGTTTGAGATGATGGATATGCTAATTATCTTGACCTGATCACTATACATTATATGAATCAAAACATCACTAGGTATCTCATGCATATGTACAATTATTATATGTCAGTTTTAAAATTAAAAAATCGAGCAGGAAAATAAAAGGTCAGAGCAGGAGACTCGGGATTCTGAATATTAATTTCAATGATATTATAGTTTAAACGGGGGCAAAACCCTGGAAGATCAACCTAAACTTATCTTATTCAATAGGCAGCTCCCTTTAGAGTAGCATCAATTTGCCAAGAAAAGAATCCTGGGCCCTGGTCCTCACTGATCCTGAGTGGGCCAGCACATGAAGGGGTGTGTGTGATGGGAGATAAGTGCTTTAATACTTCTGGGCATATTTTCCTCTTAGTTCAAACGAAGGAGTTTAAATTATTTACAAAAAACTTCTTAAAATAATTATTTCTACATTATAATTTTTGTTGCTACTTATAGGCAGTTTTACAACTTAATGGCCTTGAATTGATAGCATATGAAATATACATTAAAATAGATAAAGGTATTCTACATGTCACATTAAAATATCAATCACTCAAATTTAATTTTAATAACCTAAAAATGATTATCTACAGTATGGTTGCGTTTTTGCGTTTGTCATTTTCTTTCTTTTTTTTTTTTTTTTGAGACAGAGTCGCTCTGTCGCCCAGGCTGGAGTGCAGTAGTACGATCTTTGCTCACTGCAAGCTCCGCCTCCCAGTTTCATGCCATTCTGCCTTTCTCCTGCCTCAGCCTCCTGAGTAGCTGGGACTACAAGGCGCCCGACACCATGCCCAGCTAATTTTTTGTATTTTAATTAGAGACGGGGTTTCACCGTGTTAGCCAGGATGGTCTCGATCTCCTGACCTCATGATCCGCCCACCTCGGCCTCCCAAAGTGCTGGGATTACAGGTGTGAGCCACCGCGTCTGACTGCTTTTGTCATTTTCAATTATTCACATGTTCAATAAATATGTATTGGCTGCCTACAATACACAAATAATGTGCTGTGTACTATGAATATCTTGAGGAACAAAGTAGACACCATGTAATGGAATGTAAATCTATCAGAATGGATAACTACTGTTTAATGTAGTAAAGTATATTCTGTAATTTTGAACAATAATTATTGCAGTGAGGGAAGGCTAAGCAGATTTGAGGAACAACATAATACAAAAGGCGTGAGACAGTATTTCTCAACTAGAATAACCAGAGATCTTACAATGATCTTCAATGATAAAAAGTGAAGAACCCTGGGGCTCAACCCAGATACCTGCTGTATCAGAATTTCTGCAGGTCTGGTGGGGAAATATACATTTTTCATAATTTCCTCTATTGTTTGGCTTCCTATATACAGTGAAGTTCAAGAACCAGTGCACCAGGTGGTGTATAACACTTTTACCGGTGGCTAGAAGCAGCTGACTGCTTTTTTAGGTTACAAGTTACAAACTTTCAAAGGAATATTTTTGTTCGCTTGCATTTTACAACTTACAAGGATGTGATATTGAAGTATGTGAATTTGCATTTGGAAATCAGTTCCCACAAATGTTTCCTGTGGAAACACTAAGCTTGAACAATGTCAGGTGTTTCAAGTACCCTCCTTGAATATGTGTAGAATAGGAAAACCTATTACAACACTATGCATATCACTTATACTGTAAATGCTCATTTGACAAGAAAATTCTTTCATCTTCTGATATTCAGAATATAAGGACTTACAAATAACTTGAGAGTCCCACAAGAAACTGAAAACTGAAAAAAATACATGTCTCTACAGACATTCTCCAAAATTACATAGCGCAAACATTAGAGTGCATAAAACCTTTCTAAATCCATGAGGAGAACATACATAGGAGACGAGAGTACTCCAAACTTCAATTATACTTCACTGTGAAAATACTCAGGCAAGCAAGTTCGCTCCATGTGGTGCAGAAGAGTGGAAAATCAGGCAAAGAATACACAAGAAAAAAAAATGCAGCTGTTTGTTAATGGTGATGGGACTAGATAAAATCATGCAACAAAGAACAGGTCCCGCACTGAATGGGGATATATTGTGAGAAGAGCTGAGACATGGAAGATCAGAGCACTCACTACCAACAAACGAAATGGAAGGGCCTCAGAAGTACACAGGGTCAATGGGCAGTCCTGAGAGAACACTGATTCTAGGTAAGAAGCAGTGGCTTGAATGGGATGGTGGCCCTTGAAGTCTTAGGGATGAAGGGAGAGAAGAAAGGAGGTGATAAAACTAAAGAATCACATAGAAAACGGCCAGGCATGGTGGCTCATGCCTGTAATCCCAGCACTTTGGGAGGCAGATGCAGGCAGATCACTTGAGGTCAGGAGTTCAAGACAAGCCTGGCCAACAAATGAAGCCCTGTCTCTACTAAAAATACAAAAATTAGCCAGGAGCGGTGGCACATGCCTGTAATCCCAGCTAGTTGGGAGGCTGAGGTGGGAGAATTGCTTGAACCCAGGAGGCGAAGGTTGCAGTGACCCAGATCGTGCCTTTGCACTCCAGCCTAGGCACAGAGTGAGACTCCGTCTCAAAAAAAAAAAAAAAATCATATAGAAACAAAAGCATCCTGGTGTCACTGGACATACCAAAGCCTTCCCAATGCTCTTCTTGAACCAAAAGGATGGGCACTTTTAAAATATAAAATCTAATAACTCACCCAAGGACCTTACCACTACCATAGAAATGCCTGTGATTTCTGGTCAAGTAACATCTAAGAATGTGATTTAAGAATGTTGAAATACCTATGAAATGACAGATATTTGTGTAAGCTACCTTAAAATGAGGTGGAAAATGAAGAAAAAATTTTTCAGCTGATGAGAATACTTCCCAAAATATGAACCATGAAGCAGAAGAAAGTGACTACAAAATACTCCAACAAAAAATTAAATATTAATAAATGAACGTTTGCAAATGTAAAAGAACAGCTCTAATCAGAATCTTAAAAGTTAGAAAATTAGAAAATGTCCATGTAAAGCTTGTCTAATCTAGGTTTCCTGGCAAAAGAAATATACCACCTTATTTACAATGAAATGAAATCAGGATGGTATAAGATTTCTTTCCCATAGCAAAAAATCAAAGCATGATGGAAATTAGCAACTTTTCCAGAAGGAGGCTGGGAATAAATTTATGAGCCAAAGATTTTATATTTTGTCAAATCATCCTTCAAATCTGAAGATTATAGAAAGACATTGTAGGAAGTTTATACTCAAGGGTTCTTCCTGAGGGACTGGCCCCATCCCAGCGTAATCATATTCTCCCTCTCTCTCTCCTTTCCTCACTCCCTCCACACCCCCATCCACTTCATAATAGTGAACTGCTATTTGTAATTCATCCTAGAGTAACTTTTTGAGAGTAGGAACAATTGTTTTTATGTTGCAAATTGTACCCCTCTCTTTTTTTTTTTCCACTTTTGATGAGCTGTAACAATATTCTATTGCTTCCTTCATCAGTCTGTCCGCCCTTTTTCCTCCTTGAGTCTAAGAAAACCTACCAGAAAAGGAGTGATCAAGAAAAGAGACAGAGAGAACTATGGTAGGAGACACAGAGTAAACTGCTGTTGTGGATCTTAAATTCAGAGGACAATTGTGGCTAGAGGGAGAAATAAGAGCCAAAAAAGAGTAAGAGAAAAAATGTTATTGGGAAAGTGAGAATAGGAAAAGGGAAAATATTCAGTGAAAGGACACAAGATCGGATGCATATTTTTATTTGTGAACTTGTTCAAAAATGTCAAAGCAATCTGCAAGCAATCACAATTTTTGCTGACCTTTGAAAGCCTATGTAGGTCACACGTACAAGTAAGTGCCTCAGCAGGGTTGCCTCTGACATAATGGCATTTCGCATCAAACAAACAAACAAACAAAAATCCTGAATCCAGTTACCATTCAAAAATATAATTATTCTTCTGTTTGTAAAAAGAGTATTTATTTTATGAAAAAGTTAAAAGACATAAAATTCAGTCAAAGAAGGAGTGGACCTTGCAGCATTCAAGGTCATCCAAGGTAAAAAAATATATATATATAACAATAAATATTCTATTACTAATTAGAGACAATATTAGTAGCATTTTGAATATCTTGATTTTTTTTTTTGTTTTTGAGACGTAGTTTTGCTCTTGTCACCCAGGCTGGAGTGCAATGGCACTATCTCGGCTCACTACAACCTCCACCTCCTGATTCAAGCAATTCTCCTGCCTCAGCCTCCCGAGTAGCTGGGATTACAGGTGCCTGCCACCATACCCAGCTAAATTTTGTATTTTTAGTAGAGACAGGGTTTCATCATGTTGGCCAGGTTGCTCTCAAACTGCTGGCCTCAGGTGATCCACCTGCCTTGGCCTCCCAAGAATATGTGATTTTTAATCATACGATAAAGTACTTAAAAATATCGTGATTTTTATCAGACAAACTGGTCATTCTTTTGGCAAATTACATAAGTTCTGGACTCTATAACTATGTATTTTCCATATAACATGTTATTTAAAATTATTAATGTGCCTCATAAACACATTTCTAATAGTCACTGTCTCTCTTTCTTTTATCAGTTGTCTGATAAAAAGACTCTGTAGTCATTATGTAGAGGCTCCAGGATAGTTTAAGAAATATTCTTACCTATCATGGATTCTTGAGATCCCTGTCCGTTATGGAGTAAACATTTGATCTATTGTCCAATTTATAGATGTATTTATATTGTTTTGAAAGATGGAAAATATTATTGATTCTTATCCATCCCCTAAACTGTTTATTCTATATTTGAATACATTATGGTATACATAAAATAATAAACAGATAGACTAATGGAATTGAATAAAGAGCTCAGGGAAACGTCAATCTATGTGTGGAAAATAAATATACAATGAAGTTAGTAACATAAACACAAGGTGAAAAATAAGTTGTTTAACATGATGTTGGGGAAACTGCACTTAAGTTTCAATACAAATAAAAAGGTAAAGATACAAATAAAAATGTAAAACCTAAATAGACTAAAATATAATTTTTAAAATATAGATTTATGTTCTTAATATAAAAAATATAAAATAATATTTTCTTGAATTTCTATAAACGATATATTTTAAGCAAAACATCTAAAGCATAAACCTTGAGATAAAACTGCATTAATATGACTATATAAAAGCAATAAATTATCTTCAGAAAAGGGCACCATCATCAAAGTTAATAGGCAGATGAGCAGATTGAGAAAGTGATTTGCTATGTCTAAAATGAAGAAGAAATTAATCTGAAATCCTGCATGCCATGAAGACACAGACAGTTGCTTCCCTGGGAAAATGGGCTGAGGGTATGCAGGTGCAATGAATAGCAGAAGGAGCCATACAAGCTAACTGTCAAAGAGATGCTTACACCCATTAGTAAAAAGACCAAATACAAATTATACATATAAAAATAATAAAGTATCATTTATAAATATTATTTTTATATATTTTAATCGATTAAACTCATAGGTGCTAAACTGTAGCAGAAATGTGAGCATAGAGAAACCTTCATATTAGTGAAGGTAAGGATCAGTCCAGACCTACATTTGGCCACGAATTGAAGAGTATGACTAACTCAATCTGCAGCACTTGAAGTCCAGACCAAACAAGACAAAACAGCACATAATGACCCCACATCCCCTGTGCAATATACTTGCGTTACCCCATTGTCTTTCTGGATGAAATAACAGATGCATAGCACAGGGGACTTTATTAACTCCAATGATGTAATAATATAAATACAGTAATTCAACATCAGTAGAAGGACATAGAACTGTGTTTCATCATAAAATCAGAGGAACGTGATTAAAGTCAGAGCTACATGGGATATTTGAAGGAAATGAGTCAGTGGGAAGAACGAGGAGGAGGTGACTGAGGAGAGGAAGTGTGAGTGGGGAGAAGGGAGAGCAAGGGCAAGGTCAGGTGAAGGACAAAAGCAGTGTAGGAATGATTTTTTTCTTTTATGTTTCAAGGAATAATTACCACTTTCCTCCTCAGCTGAACTGTATCCCTGCAGTTATCGGTTATGCTCTTCATGCTGCTAATCATCAGGAGGTTTCTTCCAAGAGGAGTCCAGAGGGAAATGCTGGAAGGAGGAGGCTGAGCCATGAGTGGGGTAGCCCAGTGGTCAGACAAAAGCTACTGCAGGGGGAGGTCCCAGGGGACACTAGGAAGGCATAGGGATTCTAAAAGTGCAAGCATCTCTCAGGCTGTGTTTAAAAGGGTGCTGTGCACCTTTTAAAATTCTCCTAGACCATCTGCCAAATTAATATCAGTTCCTGATAATTCAATTTATTGAGACTTCACATTGTGCCAGGCATTATGAAAATATGAATCTAAATAGATTATTCATGCCATTGAAAGAGTCACTCTTAAGTAGGAACTATAAAATGTCCTTTTCTAATTGTGGTAAAATATAAATATTCTGTGTTAAAATCCTCATTGGAATAAAGGAATGAAATTTAATTTAAAGGGGAGATGATACTGAAGCTGAAACTTAAGCCCAAGATGTTAGAGCTGAGATTTACCCATGTCTCCAGGAAGAGGGATTTGTGTGTATAAGTTTCATAAGGTAATTACTACACTTGTTTTTTTTATTGAATAAACACTATGTTTAAATATCTGATTATATTATCTCATTTAACCCATATATAAACACTTACAATTTGCAATTTTTATCCATCTGTAAAGAGTGAAGAAACATTAAGTCAGCTGCCAAGAGTGGGAAGCTCAGCCAGACAGTGACTGAGCTACAGTTGTCTAACTAACTGAATGTCTGCACTTCAGCCTCCCTGAATTTTCTCCCAGCAGAGAAACTAACATAATATTTTGAGGAAAGTTTAGAGCTAGTGCATGGCTAGAACATAGAGGATATTATCCACGTAAATATCTAAGAAAGATAAGTTAGGGCAAGCTTAGAAGGACCTTAATGCCCAACAATAAGATCCTGTACACAGTTGGAAAATAATATCAGAGATATCTTATTTGGCTTTATATTCTCTTGCTTTATTTTTAAATTTTGGGTGATTACCTTTTGGGGATTGCTCACCTATGATTAACTCTTAAGAAGAGAATTTTGACCTTACCAGGGAAGGTAAATTGTATGGATATTCTCATATCACAAAATATCCACAAATATGACTTTTACAATGGTTTAGGCAGGAAATGCTGAATTCCTTAGTAAGACATAAAGGATGTTCGGTGAAGATTGAAAACAGAGGGATGTTAGCAAAAGAAGCAAGTCAAGAACAGTGCCTTAAATAAAATCAATCGACAAATGCCCCAGCTGAATCCAAGAGGCCAGAAAGAAGGCACAGTGGAAGAATCACCAGAGGGTCTTGCTTTTTAGTTCCTTAAACTCTAAAGGTAAGAAATCGGAGTAAAGCTACATTGATTAAATGAGCTGGATTACACCCCCTGCAGAGAATGCTTTCACTCTCCCTACCAGTTCTCTTTAAAGTTGTTCTGTTGATAGTCTTCTCTCTGCCTGTGAATGGATTTTCTGACAAGCCACAACATTTTTCTGTCACAATCAGGCATGTAAATAGCCTTCTAGCCACTCTTTACTGGAGAAAGATCAAGACTAATTGAGCAATCATGTGACTCCAGGCTCTTCCTCCATTTAAGGTTTGTCCCCGCTCAGTGCACCCTCAGCTTATTTCTGCCTGGGAAACCCAGCAGTGGTGGAATGGACTCCTCCTCCTTCTGCCTTTCAGGACTCTGCCCTCCCTTGCTATGAGCTACTACTTGTGTCCTCTGAAGACAATTCTTTTCTCTCACTGAGAAAGGGATTAGGGGCAAAATCATAGCTGTGTCTTATTGGACACTTGTCAGTTGGATTCATTGCCTCTTAAACACAACAGTAAACAGTTTCCTGCAGGACATAATTAATATAGAAGAAATCTAAATAAATGTAACTATCAGGTTGAGAAAATTGAGCCAGAAAAAGTGAGCCAAGAAGAGAATCTAGAGTCATACACTATTATTGAGATAAGATGGATGAAGTCAATTATTCCAAACACTTGCAGACTAGTGTTCCTCCTTGAAGATGAACACTGTACTGGTGCACACAGACTACCTGGCTGGCCCCTGAGAAACTAGTCCACATAAATACATCGCAATTCTCAAATAAAACGAAGTAAGCGAATTGTTCATATTATGATGGAATGATCTTAAATAAAGTTTCACATTTTCTTTTGTATTATGTTTCAGTAACACAATAGAGTGTTTTCTTCTTAAATTTTATGCTTCATATAGAAATCAAACATCATTTAAAAATGTATCTCTAGGGGAAATGGCTTCAAGCAACTCCAAATATTCAGTTTTCTAAAACAATCTTCTGTAATACAATCTATCTGTGAATTAGGGAGTGCTCCTGTGTGCCTATTGCATCAAATTAGGAGAAAATGTAAACTATCATTTGGATATACCATATATGCCACTTGTACTTGATACACTTAAATAGAAACAACTTCATTATTCTCATAGAATCTATAGTAAAATTATTTCTAATTGCCATGACTCGTTTCTAATTCAACACTTAAGCAGCTTTCAGGGGCCAGGAAACTACTTTTCCTAGAAAAAAAGAAAATCAACCTCTTTAAATAGCTAAAATCAGGAACAAACTGAGGTGATTGTCTCCAACATAAAATATTCTACTTATAAAACAATATTATTAATTTTTTCAGAGAAAACAAACTCTTGATAACACAATTACCATTTACAAATATTGAAATATACATTAAATGATTAGAAGTAGTGTGTGTGTGTGTGTGTGTGTATTCTCAACTTTATTTCTCTAATCTTTAATCTGAGGTCTGCACATTTCCTATACATGTTATCATTTGTCACAGTTGTATTTTGCTTTTGAACTGGCAATACCAGTAAGTGGGGCACTGGGTACAATGGTTACTCTGAAAGTACTGGGAAATGTGATAACATATGCCAGGCACATGGGAGGGCCTCAGTAAATGATAATTACTCTCTGTTTTACACAATCTTGTAATTAGCTGGGAATGGCAAATTGACAGTTGTGCTCTCCAAAATAGTAACACTGTAAACGTTCCTGTAACAATAGCCACCATAAGACATAATTCTGAAAACTAAAAACCTACTATGAGTTGAGGGAAAAAAGTTACATTAGAGTAGACAGTATTGTGCTAGAATATTTATCACAAACCACTTACCGTCCATGCTCTTCGCACCAAGTTTAGACCACCCACTACTCCTCAGTGTCCTCTGCCACTGCTTTCTTCGGTTTTTCCTAAACAGGCTGGACAATACTCCCAATTTAATGTTATCACTCATCTCTCTTAGAAGCCAGTGCATTCTAAAAGCTTCAAATAAAGAAGTGGTTGCCTAGAGTAACACTTTTCTGTGTCTTCTATATGAAATAGATTCTTACAAGGGGGTCATAAAACTATGATCTGTTAGAATTGTATCTGTCAGTGCTCACCAGAGAAACAGAACCAAAAAGATGTATAAGATCATTGATTTTTAAGTATGTCAACTGACTATGGATGTTAACCACACCTACAAAGTATCCTCACAGCAACATCTAGCTTAATGTTTGATTACATCACTTGGTCATAAAGATTAGCCAAGTTAACATATGACTCTAATCATCAAAAATATCTAAAAATTGAATTTTTTCATAAATATTTTAATGCAGATTTTATTGATTCATTTTATTTTGTTGTGAAGGCTTTTTAGTGTCTGTTGAGATGATCATATAGTTTTTATCTTTGATTCTGTTTATATGGTGAATCACATTTGTTAATTCATGTATGTAGAACCAGCTTTGCGTCCCACTTGATCATGTTGCATTAACTTTTCTTTGTGTTACTGGATTTGATTTGCCAGTACATTGTTGAGGATTTTTCCAAGTGTATTCATAAGGAATTTTGGCTTAAAGATTTCTTTTTTAGTCGTGCCTCTGCCAGATTTTGGTATCAGGATGATGCTGGCTTCATAGAATGAGTTAGGGAGAAGTCCCTCCTTCTTGATTTTTTGCAAAAGTTTCAATAGGATTGGTATTAGTTCTTCTTTGTATGTCTAGTAGAAACTGGCTGTGAGGATATCTTGACCAGGACTCTTTTTCGTTGGTAGATTTTCTATTATTGATTCAACATCTGGACTTGTTATTGATCTGTTCAGGTTTTTACTTCCTTCCTGATTTAATCTTTGGAGATTGTGTGTTTCTAGGAATTTTTCCATTTCACCCAAGAGTTTCTAATTTGTGTGCATAGAAGTGTTCATAATAGCATATGAGGACCTTTTGTATTTCTGTGAGATTGGTTGTAACATCATGTTTGTCATTTCTGTTTGTGCTTATTTGGAGCTTCTCTTTTTTTTAATTTGTTAATCTAACTAATGGTCTGTCAATCCTATTTATTCTTTTGAGAAATCAACTCTTGTTTTCACTGATATTTTGCACGTACTTATGAATCTCAATTATATTCAGTTCCTCTCAGATTTTTCTTTTCTTTTCTTCTACTAGCTTTGGAGTTGGATTATTTTCTTCTAGTTCCTCTAGTTGCAATGTTAGGTCATTAATTTGAGATATTTCTACCCTTTTGATGAGGGCAGTTAGTACTAAAAATTTGTCTCTTCATTCTGCTTTAGCAATGTCCCAAATGTTTTGGTATATTGTCTATGATTTCCATTACACTCAAATATTTTCTTAATTTCTGCCTTAATTTTGACGTGCACTGAAGAGTTATTCAGAAGCACGTGTTTAAATTTTCATGTTTTTGTGTAGTTTTGAAAGATCTTCTTGGTATCGATTTCTATTTTTATTCCAGTTTGGTCTGAGAGTGTACTTAGTATAATTTTGATTTTTTAAATTTTATTGGGACTTGCTTTATGGCCGAGCATGTGGCCATTCCTAGAATATGTTCCATGTGCAGATGAGAAGAATACATTCTCTGTGGTTGTTGGATGGAATACCCTGTAGTGTCTATTACATCCAATTGCTCAAGTGTTGAGTTTAAATCCAGAATTTCATTGTCAGTTTTCTGCCTTGATGGTTTGTCTAACACTATCAGTGGGTTGCTGAAGTCCCCACTATTAATGTGTGGCTGTATTTGTCTTTTCCTAGGTCAAGAAGAACTTATTTTATGACTCTGAGTACTGCTTTGTTGGGTGCATATATATCTAAGATGGTTAAGTCCCCTTACAGATTTGAAGCCGTTATCATTACATAATGCCCCTCTTTGTTCTTCCTGGTTGTTGTTGGTTTAAAATCAGTTTTTTCTGATATAAGAATAGTGATTTCTGCTCTTTTTCGTTTTCTGTTATCTTGGTAGATCTTTCTTTATCCCCTTACTTTAAGCCTGTGGGTGTTACTTATACGTGAGGTGCATCTCTGGAAGACAGAAGACATTTGGGTATTCTTTTATCCAGCTTGACACTCTATGCCTTTTAAATGAAGTGTTTAAACCATTTATATTCAGCATTGGTATTGACATATGAGATTTTGATCCTATCATTATGTGTTTGGCTGTTTATTTTGTAGACTTAATTGTGTAATTGTTTTATATTATCTGTAGGCTATGTGCAGGAGTATAGGTAGCAAGTTTCAATATTTTGCTTCCATGTTTAGTACTTGCTTAAGAACTTCCTGTAAAAGTTCTGGGGGTAATGAATTCCTTAGGTGCTTGCTTGTCTGGTAAGAATTTTATTTCTCTGCTTTTAAAGCTTAGTTTGGCAGACTATTATATTCTTGGTTGGAATTTCTTTTCTGTAAGAATGCCAAAAGTAGGCCCCCAGTTTCTTCCGAGTTGTTAGGTTTCTGCTGAGAGGCTGCTGCTACCCTAATGGTGTTCACTTTACAGGTGACCTGACTGTCCTCTCTAACTTCCTTTAAGATTTTCTTTATTTTCGACCTTGGTGAATATGATGACTATGTGCCTTGGTTATGGTTATCTTGTGTAGCATCTTGCAGGGGTCTCTGTATTTTTTGAAGTTGTATAACCTCATCTCTAGCAAGGTTGGGGAAATTTTCATGGACTATATCCTCAAATATGTTTTCCAAGTTGCTTACTCTCCTTCTCTTTCAGGAAAGCCCATCAGTCATATGATTTGGTCTCCTTGCATAATATCATATTTCTGTTCAGTTTTTAAATTTCTTTTTTATTTGTTTTTGTCTGAGTTGATTCAAAGAACTGGTCTTTAAGCACTGAGACTCTTTCTTTAGGTTGATCTATTCTGCTGTGGATGCTTCTGATTGTATTGAGAAATTCTTTTCTTTCTTTTTTTTCTTTTTTTTTTTTTTTGAGATGGAGTCTCTCTCTGTTGCCCAGGCTGGAGTGCAGTGGTGCAATCTCAGCTCACTGCAACCTCCACCTCCTGGGTTAAAGCGATTCTCCTACCTCAGCCTCCCAAGTAGCTGGGACTACAGGTGCACGCCACCATGCCCAGCTAATTTTTGTATTTTTAGTAGAGATAGGGTTTCACTATGTCAGCCAGGCTGGTCTGGAACCCCTGACTTCGTGATCCACCCACCTCGGCCTCCCAAAGTGCTGGAATTACAGGTATGAGCCACTGTGCCGGGCCGAGAAATTCTTGAAGTGGATTCTCAAGTTCCAGAAGCTCAGTTTGATTCTTTTTTAAAATAACCGTTTAGTCTTTCAGTTCCTGGATTGTTTTGCTGGATTCCTCAGATTCCTTGGATTAGGTTTCAACCCTGGATACTTGGATTGGGTTTCAACTTTCTCTTTGATTCCCATGAGTTTCTTTGCCATGCAGATTCTGAATTTTATATCTGTCATTTCAGACATCTCAGTGTGGCTAAGAGCCATTTCTGGGGAAGTAGTGTGTTTGTTTGTAGGTAAGCGGGAACCCTGGCTTTTTGAGTTCCCAGAGTTCTTGTGTTGATTCTCATGTGTGAGGGCTGATGTTCCTTTAACTGTGATATAAGTTGAGTATAGTCAGTTGACTCCATTTCTGGGTGTTTTGAGAAGGCCAGGACTCTGTACAGAATCTATTTCTGGCCGAATTTTTTCCTTGGTTTTCACAGGCACTGCATATTGGCAAAATGTTTTGGTGTTGTTTTGGCGTTCTGACCCAGTAGCTGATGCTTAAGAGTATTGGCTGGCAGATAGACTCTTATTCAGCCAAAGGGCTCTTTTGTGTTTTGGCACAGTTGGCAGTAGTTCTCTGTGGTTGAGGAAGAGAGAGATGACCCCTCACCTGAACTGTGCCTGAGCCTTGGAGGAGCCTCATCTGATCATTGGCTCCATGCTCACATTTCCTTCGTTAGGTGCTCTGGCAGGCAGGGGTTGTGGTTGGCAGACAGACACTACGCTTTCTGTGCCAGCCCTGTGGAGGGAGGCACACCCCGCTCCTCCACCAGCCCATGAATCCAGGCACCTCAACACTCCCATTGTTTCAAGAGCGAGGGCTCTGCCGTGCTTGAGTGCTACCATGCTCGTGAGTCCCATCTGCTAAGAGCAGTGAGTGTGGGTGAGGTCACCCAATCCACTATCTGTGTGCTTCCCAGGGAACATGGATCTGCAACCTCCCAGAAAGTTCAGGTAGAGATGGGTCCACTGTGTGGGAATCCCCAACTGGTGTGGTCTGCCAGACTAGGAGGAGCAGAGGTGGATGGGGTCACCCAATCCACTAACTGGGTGCTTCCCAGGGGGAACACAGAGCTGCACCCACCCACAGAGTTCAGGCAGAGTGGGTCTGCTGTGCTGGTAGCCCCAAAAGGCATGGGGCTGCGAGCAACAGGAGTGGTTGCAGTTGCCCACCTTGTTTTCCAGATGTTTCTTGGGGGAACCACAGGAATGCACTGGGCTGCACAGTTCAGGCAGAAGTAGGGCCACTGTGCTGGAATCTGGCACTGAGCCTTGCCTAGTGAAGGGGAGTGGAGCAAATTTACTGCTCTTGGGCACTGCTTCTGTGGCCTCTATTGTGGCTAGGGCACTGGCGCCAGGCTGCTCCGGGTCTGAGACCTGTGGAGGTCTCCATGGATATTGCATGTTGTCTCCTCAACAACTCTGGGCGCTCTATCAGTTTAGAGGCCCTGGGGAAGTTCAGGACATTCCTCTCATTTACAGGCTTGGGCAGGTCCCTGCGGGAAGTGTGAATCCCCTGGGGGCTGTGACTCACTCACTCTTTTCTCTTGTTGGGAGCTTCTCCTGGCTCTGCACTGGTCCTAGATGGGATGCTGCCCAGCTTTGCCCGTCTCTGTCCTCTGCATCCCTTGCTGCCTTGATGGATCCTGCAGTGTTTCCTAGGTGATCGGCTCACAGTCATTACTCAGGGCCATTGTTCACCATTCACCTTGTTTCCTCGTCCTGAGAGTGGTTCAAGAGCTGCTTCTAGTCTGCCATCTTACTTGCATCTCATTTTATTTTGTTTTGTTTATGGCTTGCTTTAAGCTATTTTCCTACTTTCCAGCTTTTCTTGAAATATTTAGGTATTTTACTTTATTTTATTTTCTTCCTTCCTTGTCTTCCTCCTTCATTACCTGTTTCCTTCCCTTTACGTTAATGATGTTTTGCATCTCATTCCATTTCTACCTCCTACCAATTTTGGAAGTTATATACTCCATTACTACACTTTTAGTGGTTAAAACTGAAAATGTTAATTTCTCTACTAAGAAGTTAAAATTAGCAGAGTGCTGTATAAGGTATGCAGTACACTTTAGTCTATGGTTGCTCCATATTTTATCTTAACTTCTAAATTTAGCATTTAAATATATTGTTCTATAAATCAATATTTATTATTTTATTTTATTTTATTTTTTGAGATGGAATCTCGCTCTGTCACCTAGGCTGGAGTGCAGTGGCACGATCTCAGCTCACTGCAACCTCCGCCTCCCAGGTTCAAGCGATACTCCTGCCTCAGCCTACCAAGTAGCTGGGACTACAGGCATGTGCCACCAAGCCCAGCTAGTTTTTGTATTTTTAGTAGAGACGGGATTTTGCCATGTTGGCCAGGCTGGTCTCAAACTCCCGAGCTCAGGTGATCCACCCACCTTGGCCTCCCAAAGTGCTGGGATTACAGGCATGAGCCACCAAGCCCAGTCAAAACAATATTTATTTTTTACTTTTGTTGAGACCTCCCCAGGAGCAGATTCTAGTACTCTGCTTCCTGTACAGCCTGTAGAGCTGTGAGCCTATTAAACTTCTTTTCTTTATAAATCACCCAGTCTCAGATATTTATTTATAGCAATGCAAGAATGGCCTAGTACACAGGATAATTTATTTTATTTCATTTTATTTTTATAGATGCAAGGTCTCACTTTGTTTACCATGCTGGTCTCAAACTCCTGCTTTCAAGCAATGATCTCATCTAGGCCTAGCAAATTGTGGGGATTTCAAGCATGAGCCACCTCACCTGGTGCAATATTTCTTTATGTTTACTCACATGTTTATTATTTTATTTTTCATTGCTTCCAACATTTCAATCTTTTGTCTGGAAGTTTGCTACTTCTTATAATATGCTTTTGGAAATTCTTTACTAAGATTTTTTTTGAAAATAAATTTCTCAATTAATTTTTAAATTGAAATCATCTTTCTTCTACCCTTATTTTTAAAGGATTATTTTCTTATGCATTTCTTAATTGAAAGTTATTTTCCATCACCACACAGTGAAGATATTTTCCTAGTATCTTCTGACTTCCAATACATACACTCTCACATATTTATTTATTGTAATTTTCTCTCTACTTTAAAAATAGTCTTCCTCACTCTTTCTCATTTTCTGTTACTGTTTTTCAGTTTCGCGTAGATTTTCTATTTATTCTACTGAAATATGTTATGGTTCCTGTGTCTGTAAGCCTATCAATCTTAGAACTTTCTAAAGCATTATGTTTTCAAAGCTTTATTCTTATAACTTTTTTCCTTTCTGCAGATCTGTGTAAATGTTCACTGTTCTTCTATTCCTTGCCTCCACATCTCAGAACCTTTATTTCTCAAATGTATCATCTCCTAATATCTTTGTGTGCATTCTGAGAAATTTTTTTGATCTATTCTCCAGCTCAACAAATCTCTTTTAAATTATGTATACTCTGATATTTAACCTTTCCATTGAGTATTTTATATAAATTACTATTTAATACAATTTTACATGAAAATTTTATAACTGTAAATTTAATATAAAATTGAATTAAAGATTTATTCTAGAATAGACTAATAGTTAAAAATTCTATGTCTAAGCTATTAAACCAGAAACATGAGCAGGCAATTTCCATTCTGCTCCCAGAAAAAGGGAGCGGTTGTTTGTTTGTTTGCTTGGTTGGTTGATTGGTTGGTTGATTGGTTGGCTGACTGATTGATTGATATCCACCTGTTCTTTTGCCTGCAGGATGTAGCCTCCTCAAAATGTCCCAGCTGTATGTGGATGTGGTGATCATTTCCTTGTGTTTTTGCTCATTATAACTAAAATTCTTATTTTTGGAAGGCGTTTGTCTTCAAGATATCCAGGTGTCTAGTTTCATACTAGTGTCCATCTTTGAGTGAATTCCTGTACTTTTATGTTGCCTCAGCATTATTCTTTGACTGTAAGTTGTGCTTTCTCATACCATACACAAGGCTTAGTCACCCTTGACACAATTTTCAGTTCTCTGCCCTCCCCAGTTCCTCAAGGCTGTCAATCCAGATAACTGTCTTATACAACCAGCTCCTGGTGACCAGCTTTTTATGGGACAGCTCACTACAACCTACTTGACTTGTCCTACTGACTCCCATGCCCCGTGTGAACTGCACAGATATGGTGCAGTGGCGATCTCTCAGTCATAGCGTGACTCCACAGAGCTCATGCCTGCTTGCTTGAAGCCCACCCATCAGAACGTCACAAGGGAAACCTGCTTGGTACCCTGGGACCCAATAAAAGCTTCAGCTCACAAGTCCCCCCATCTCTCTCTTGCTCTCCACTCAGTACATCAGTGTGTGTGTCCCAGACAGCTCCCGCTTTCCTCTGGGCTTCCAGGTGTGCTGCCCCCTGCTCTGTGGTATCTGTGAGTATTAAACTGATTCTGTTATTTCATGCGTTTTGTCGAGTGGCTTCCCCTGTATCTCACCTTACCAATACACCAAAACCCAATTTCTTTTCTGGTCCTGTTCTCACAGAGAGTGGCTATCTTCATAGGAATAAACTGAACACATGTCAGACAGGAGCCACAAGGGAATCTTCCAATATAAATGAGTTTCCTGTGAGGGGCACACCTGGTCACACTTCAGCATTAGGCTGTCCGCTGCAATAAAGAAGTACCCTGAAAGGCACAATATACACATCTACGAACAAATTCCTTGAGCCCCATCAGGGCAGGGCTGAGGTTTAGATCCAGTCTCTAGAGAAGGAACTCACGATCAAATTACAAAAACAAACAAAGAAGCAAGTAGTCTCCTACCTACTTTGATATATGTCTTATCACTTTTGCAAGCTCAGCTATGTTTCACATCATTTGCATAACATCTAATATTTTTCTTTTTTTTTGAGACAGAGTCTCGCTCTGTTGCCCAGGCTGTAGTGCAGTGGCACAATCTCGGCTCACTGCAACCTCTGCCTCCTGGGTTCAAGGGATTCTCCTGCTTCAGCCTCCCAAGTAGCTGGGACTACAGGAGTGAGCCACCATGCCCGGCTAATTTTTATATTTTTAGTAGAGACAGGGTTTTACCATTTTGGCCAGGCTGGTCTCGAACTCCTGACCTCGTGATCCGCCCGCCTTGGCGTCCCAAACTGCTGGACTTACAAGCATGAGCCACCGCACCCAGCCCACATCTAAATATTTTTTAGCAGAAAGACTTTTTGGCTATGTACTTCATAGTACTGTTGGAAGATGAAGTTTGTGGTTATTTTTATAACTTAGTTATAGACCCTGATCATTAGGGACTCTGCAACTTAATCATTACTATCCTTAAAAACCAATGAGACATTATGACTGCAAACTTTCAAATGTGGTTGTACACATATAATACCTGAAATCTTTAAAGAGAGATAAACAATAAAGTCAATATTTGTTATTGCTGGTCCAAGGCTTCACACAGGTGAATATCCTTCACTGCTAAGTATACATGCTGATATTATACACCTTAGAAGAGAGGAACAGAACTGTTTCTAGACAAAATTGGCAACAAAATAAACATTGAGGTGGCTGTGCATTTTCCATGTTTGCAGGAAAATCAATTTTAGTCTATCAATGACCGAGTTCCAGGATAATATATAATGTAATCAAATCAGAGAGTGTGAATCGAAGTTTAGATCCAAAATTTCATGATTAAATATTGCTGAGAACAGAAATTACAAACTATTTTATTGTTTCCTGTAGCACAGTCTAATGGATTTTGAAGAATGTACCTTCTAAAACTCGCTTTTATGTAGGGAATTTCTGAGATATTTAACCAAATGCACCTGAGAAGGAATGAATACATTTGACACAAGCCTCCATTACTTCAGATATGTGTAATGGTCATAACATTTTATAAGTTATTCCTTTAATATCTTTGATGCAGTCTTACTAGTTTGGGTCTCTTCTTGGCCTAATATAAATGCTCAATACAAATTTTCATTTAGAATTGGGATTGTAAGTCCTGCACATAACTAGGAAACTGTGTATGCCAATGAACTCTTTCACATGTCTCAAAAATAGCAGTTTAAAAACAAGTGTGGTAAACTATGCAGTAAAATCGTAATTCCCTCATTAGTTTGTTGATTTGTTGCATGAAACGTAAACCTCTGAGCAATGACAGATGCCTCTGTGGGAAATAACTTTAGAATATCCTCATAGGTTCATCTAATGTTTCAGTGTGTGGAGAAACAGGATGTTGCTGAAACATGTATGTCATGTGTTCTAATTTTGATCTGTACTGATAATATAAACTATTCATTTGTATACATACTTCAAAGGATATATTAAAAGAACTGTGTATACTATTTCGTTTCTAAAAAGAAAGAGATCCTGCCATTTGCAGCAATACAGATGAACCTGGAAGATGTTATGCTAACTGAAATAAACCAGACACTGAAAGACAAACACTTCATGATCTTACTTATATGAAGAATCTAAAATAGATTCAGAGAAGCAGAGAGTGGAATGGTGGCTGCCAAGGAATGAGAGGAGGGGACAATGGTGAGTTGCGGTACAATGGTTGTAAAGTTTCCTTTATGAAGGATGAATCACTTCTAGAGATCTGCTGTACAACATTGCACCTACAGTTAACACTACTGTAGCGTGCACTTCAAGATGTGTTAAGAGAGTAGATCTCATGTTGAGTTCTTAGCACAATAAACAACAAGACTGCATAGCAGTCCATGGAAACTTTATTGGTGCCTACTCTCTGAATCTGCCCAAAGCTTTCTTCATCAGCTCCAATTCTACTCAAGTGCCACTCTACAGGTAGCATGTGGCTCATCCATCTCAGGTGTGAATATGTTTAGGCTGCTAATGAATCGTGTTCTGGGAACTACAGACATGACGATGCTCCTATCCTTCCTTCGAACTGCCAAATTTGGTCATCCCTAGGGTAGCTCAAACTTGAATTGCTCTCATGGCAGTGAAATGGCAGAAAATCTCACATTATTCCTGTTGATTTCCAAAGCCAAGTCTTACCTAGGTATTACCTGTTCTGATTTTTTGTTTGGAGTGTCAGAAAAAAGGTAAGATTTTAAAGAAAGGCTTCAGACCAAGCAGAATTGGGAAAAGGAAGGAAAATGTAATCCTCAATTGGCATGAGCAAGACAAAGTGAAAAATATATACAAATACTTGTATTTTCTAATTTCTACTTAGAGATAAAAGATTGGAATAACTAGGGTTAAGTAGGCATAGCTTTCATCCTTTTGTTTGTAAGAGTAGATAACTCACAATGATGGTGCAATAAAATAAAACCTGAGGAATTACTAATTATAGATGTTTACATAATAAAATACGAAGCATATGTTTCATTTACAACTTAGTATTAATGAATTATAACAATATATGGATTGCAGCAAATAAATACCATAAAAAGTATAAAATAATAAACATGATTTCTGAGTAAACTATGTTTATTTGAGATTGAATATAGTTTTCTCTCAACATTATTTTTGCAGGCAAACAAAATTTTTAAGGCATTATATTTTTAGGAATCTCTCTTTGATGAAAAAAGGAATGTTTTCTGTGATTTTAAGATCCTCAGCAGAACTCACTAACAGTTTTGCACCTAAAGTAAAACGCTCTCTCAGCTTGACTGTTTTATGTGTGAATTTTCTTCAGGCTAAAAACAATTTGGGAAAAAGAAGAGTAATTTTCCAGGAGGTGCCATCTCCATTCACACTTATATGGACCAATCAAGTGCAAAGATGAGACTAGGGGAAAAAGTTATATGATGCTATAGTAAATAATTAATGCTATGCCTATATTTTCTTATAAAAACTAGAGTTAAGCAGGAGGTCAAATTCTTATTTTTACCCCACTTGAGGTTTTACAGTCCCAAAAAAACCTGTGAAATTCATTTTTTCTCTAATAATTCATGTTTTCCCAACAGGTTATAATTTTCCCTGAAAGCTAAGCTGCAGCGAGGGCCTATTGAAGAGGAAGTCCCTCAGCCCTAACCTGAGATCATTCTTATGTGAATTGACACAAATAGGGTGGCTGCAGAGGCTGCAAGGCCAAGTTCTGCCCACAGAGGCTGAGCTTCCACTTCCTCTCCATGACTCATCCCAGCATTGAACATGCCCTTGAAAGGAGAGAGCTCTGGGTGGACTGCTCTCAGCCAAAATTGAAGAGGAGATAATTCTAGGAGAAATGACTGGATATAGAGAGAAGGAAATAAATCTTAGACATGTAGAAGGGAAATTGTCTATGATATGCCCAGATTGAATTTGGTGACTGCTCTATGTTCTTTTATATGAAGGTCAGCCAGGTACAGTCAGAGGAGAAGACATAGCAGAAGCTCAGGAAAACTATGTTTGTTATGCTCCCCCATCCTAGTTACAGCAATACAGCAGGCACCCATGTTTCACAGGGTCACACAGGGAAGCACAAACCTTGGTCAGGAGGCCGAGGGGCAGAAACTCAGGGATAGCCTAGGCCAGGCCATTATTGGAATTTCTGCAGGGAAGTCAAGGCAGAGCAGGGGAGCAGTTTAGGACTGGCTAGTTTGCATAATTTCAGTGGGCTCTAAGCTGAAAGAATGATCTCCAGTTACCTGGTACCTGGCCCTGACATGATTAAACAGAGCAATATTGCCTCCTGGGGTGCCAGGGGAGATAGAAGAGGTAGGGCTCTGAATCTGTTAGTTTGCATACCAGAGAGGCACTCCTGTCTGGGCCCTTTATATAGAAGAATTGGCTAACCCCAGGAAGGGCAGTTGCTTCCCTAACAGGAAAGTATGTAACATGTCAAAACACCGTAATATAGAGAAAATGAAACGTAAAAATAATCCAGTGACTTATTATTTTTATTGATCATTAGAGGGAAGGATTATTTTTATGTCTATTTTGAAATAATTTTCATTAATTATATGCAAGATACAGGATATAACAAGTGATATTTTCTTCTGCAGATCATCTGTTAAGTATATAGAGGTGTTAGTGCAGGATATCAGGAGACAGTATAGACACAGGCTGTGGTGAGGAAACTGTTCACATTGGAGCAGTGAATGTTGAATTGTGACGAAGACTGGTGGCTCTAAAAGAGTAGATAACTCAGAAGCAGGGTTTCCAAGCAAGAGTTTGCTGAGTACATGTTTAATGGGTAAACCTTTAGAGTCTGAATGAGAAACATGGGGCTGGGCCTCTGCTGCTCAGCACAGGGGCCTGCTGTCTGGTATGACGATGTGATGAGGCAGGCCTGTCCCTGATCATAGGGTGCCATCCGACCTTGCTTTGTAAATACTCTCAAAGGTATTCTTGGGGCACAGGGGGGCCTGGAGAAAGGCAAGAGGAAGGAAAAGCACAGACAGGCGAGCATGAAAGTAAACTCTCCAATTGCTCCTTGATTAATAATCCATAGTACAGTAAAGATGTGTTACTGTCTGCTCAATGCTGCATACAGTGTTATGAGTCGCAATGATATTTTGTGACAATAGCAAATGCATAACTAGTGGTTAAGAAATTGTTAGTAATAATAAGATTTTCATTCTAATTGTCCAATGAGTGTATTCCTGAGTGGCATCTGCAAAATCTTATTGGAATGAATAAAAGTCAATCCAGTCCTTTCAACTGTGCCAACAATGGAATGAATCCATGCATAGTCCAGTTCCAGCCAAAGCATCAGTAAACATTGACCAAAATGGTCATATACTCAGTAGATGAGGAATTACTCTTATTGAAAAACCAATTGCCTCAGAGCAATAACCCCCACAAATACATACATTAAATCAGTATTTCAGGGTATGAGTAGATTTAATATGATCAATGGGTAGTTATTGAGCTGTAAAAAGAGTTAAATCAGATCACAGGTGAAAATTTATTATTTTTTATTTTCTTATATTCCCACTGAAATATTCATGACAATATACAAGGATTTAGAGACCACAGCATCTAGTAATGTTAAGTGATTCATCAAATTATTGAAATGTATTCATGAATAAAGGCTTTTATGCAGTCCTAAGGAAATATAATGGGGGCACATAATGAGAAATGGTAGAAAATTTATATCCAGATGCTTCCTGTAGTAAAACTATAATTATCTCAGAGTTATGGAATTCTTACTATATGTCAGGCATTATGTTAAATGCATTATCTTATTCAATCCTCTTTCAACACAGAGGTAGGAACTGTTATGTACTCAACTTACCAATGAGTAATAGGAAGTTAAAGAACTCACTAGGATCACATAGTAAGTGATAAAAGCAGAAACTAAGAAACTTGTTGCACAGACTACACTTAACTAGAAGCCCAACTCACAGACATTAGGATTTTGCTTACTAAAGGGTTTTGAACCCAGTGATACCACAAAAATATGCTTTCCCTTTAGCCAAACCAGCCACTCACTTTCATCCCTCAAAGTATAACCTCTCCAAGATAACCATTGGTTGGTAAAAGATCATCTATGCAAAAGGAGATGTGGCTGCTCCAGAAAGTGAGGAATGGCCTGTGTGCAGTTGGAAGCAGATTGTAGTAGTCCATTCTCACAGTGCTATGAAGAACTATTTGAGGCTGGGTAATTTATGAAGAAAAGACTTTTAATTGACTCAGTTCTCCAGGCTGTACAGGAAGCATGGCTGGGAGGCCTCAGGAAACTTACAATCATGGCAGAAGGTGAAAGGTAAATGTGACAGTTACTATTGAGTATCAACTTGATTGGGCTGAAGGATGCAAAGTATTGTTCCTGGGTGTGTCTGTGAGGGTATTGCCAAAGAAGATTAACATTTGAGTCAGTGGGCCGGGAAAGGCAGACTCACCCTTTTTGTGGGTGGGCATAATCTAATCAGCCGCCAGCACAGCCAGAATATAAAGCAGACAGAAAAACATGAAGAGAATAGACTGGCCTAGCCTCCCAGGCTACATCTTTCTCCGGTGCTGGATGCTTCCTGCCATCAAACAACAGACTCCATGTTCTTCAGCTTTGGGACTCAGACTGGCTTCCATGCTCCTCAGTCTGGCCTGTTGTGGGACCTCACCTTGTGATCGTGTGAGTCAATACTTCTTAATAAACTCCCTTCTACATATGCATCTATCCTATTAGTTCTGTCCCTCTAGAGAACCCTAATACAGGAAGCAAGCATATCTTATCATGGCAGAGCAGGAGAGAGACAGCGAGCTAAGGGGGAAGTGCCACAAACTTTTCAAACATCAGATCTCCTGAGAACTCACTATCACAAGAACAGCAAGGGGGAAATCTTCCCCCATGATCCAATTACCTCCCACCAGGCCCCTCCTCTAATTCAGACATGAGATTTGGTCAGGGACATGAATCCAAACCATGCCACAGATCATCTCTCAGAAAAAAAGAGAGAAGATATCTGTGGAGATTGGGTGCAATTTTGTCCAATTTAATGTACCTGGTCAATAATTCTATTCAGAATAGAAATGGAGAAGAAGGTACCAGCAAATTTCATTCTAGTAAGAGTGATGGGAATATATCAAGGATTTTGAGACAGTAGCAGAGAATGTCTTTGAGGTTGCATTGCACATTCACCAAGCACACAGTTTGTCTCTGTAAGCCAAGGCACCAGTGCCCAAGGCTGAAGCAGTGAAGTTCTCCACCGCCTAGTACTTATTATGTTGTATGTGCCTGCAGAGCTTCTAAACCTGATCCCTGAACAAACCAGGGTTTCCATGAGCAGCCCTACTGTGCATACTTTCTGCTTTAATTTGTTAGAGTAAATATTGTTGTTTGCAACACAGTGTGTTAGCTGGATTGTTCAAAAACAAATTCCTTCTCTCAAAATAAGGCATATGTCCATTAAGTAATTCCCAAAGAACTTATTGAACACTACTACATGTCAGGCACATTAATATATCAGTACAAGAGAGAAAGAAGAATAACACAATTAATATTTTAAAGAATCCAAACTAGTGGGAAATACATAAAAGACTCATTTGCAGGACAGTGAATTCAAATATAAGTAGGAAAAAGTATTAAATAAACATGGTGGTATGAGAACATACAGGAGGGTCAGAAAATAAAGTCTTGTGTTGGAACTTTGGAATAAGAAAACAAAACAAAGCAACATGGCATTGGAGAATTGACAGTGACTTGAGCGAATTTATGCTTTAATCAGGAGAAGCTGTAGGAAGAGCTCTTCAGTCAGGTACAAATTTGCGTGCAAATCTTTGGAGATGAGAGATCTCCTGGCACTTTTAGGGAACTGGTGATGGTTCCAGAAGAGCAGTTACTTAGATGGAGAGGGGGGATTGCAAAGAAATGGTCTGCAGAGCTGCACAGGGGCATATGATAAGGATCCTCAGAAGCAGCTGGAGCATTGGGGAGGGAGTACTTCATCAGGATGGAGAGCAGACAGCCCACTATGCAAAAATATATCAACTCGGTAAAAGGTACAAAGCCCACAAAATCTTGGCTACAAGCTGTGCCCATCAAACATAATCTCAAATTAAAAACCAAGAAGATTGAATTCTCTCAACAACCAAGGGAAATTTTAGAATGAGCTCATTTAATGGTATTTAATGGTAAATTCCAGCACTAGCTAAAACTCTATTAAGGTGAGCAAACAGGGAAAAATGACATGAAGCCAACAAAATATAATGAATTTGAAATAATAAAAAGATAAAGAAAAGCTTTCCCAGCACAGGTTTGCTTCAGGAAAAAGAATTACATTATAGAAAACGTCTTTGTAATCTTGACAGAATTCAGGGAGAAATTAACTCTATCGACATGGTAAGAATGATATGGCAATTCTATATATAATATAAATCTGCAAACATCACTAAGAAATATAGGGCAACCCTGATAGAAAAATAGTTTCTCAGTGATTTGGGGACTAGGGTGTGGAAATATTAGATTTCTCCATTATTTCCTTTTCCCTAACAAAAAAGTCAGAGGCCTGATAATTTTAAATTGTAACACATATAGGCCAGATGACATCATTCTCAAACACTAGCAAAGGTATTCACATGGAAAAGACGATGTTTATTTTCTGTCCTAATTAGCAAGAATCTTAATTTTCTAGCAAAATAACCCTTCTCATACTCTCTATGCTGATAGTAGTGATATGGGAGCGAGGCAGGGAAGTGCTGGGTAGAAAAGGGTGTGTCCCAGGCTATGGCTTCACACTCAGGCCTGTGTCCACAGACATAGATGAGGACAGGCACTCCTGTTTTTGCACCCAAATTTTGCCTTTTCCAAGAACGACCCTGGCCCTCCATGCCCCCATCCTGTGCCTATAAAAACCCTGAGACCGTAGTGGGCACAGACACAGTGGCTGGATGTCAAGAGGAGCACACTGGCAGAAGAACACACTGGCAGACGCAAGAAGGCCATCCACGGTGGAACAACGCAGACACTGAGGGGAATTTGGTTGGAGGAGAGACCGGCTGCTGGGTGGCCCCACTCCATGGGAAGACGACCTTCCCACTTCATTCTCCATTAGGCCTCCCCATCCACCACTCAATAAAAAACCTTGCACCCATCCTCCAAGCTCATGTGTGATCCGATTTTTCTGGTACACTAAGGCAAGAACCTGAAATACAGAAAGCTCTCTGTCCTTGCAATACGGCAGAGGGTCTAATTGAGCTGTTTAACACAATCCACCTGCAGGTGGCTAGACGGAAAGGGCACACTGTGACATGCACCCACTGGGGCTTCAGGAGCTGTAAACACTCAACCCTGGAGGCTGCCATGATACTGGAGTCCCAAGACCTGCACGTCTGCATCCTCCCCCTAGGGGTATGAGCAACGGGGCACTGAAGAAGCAAGCCACAACCCCATCACACGCCCTGTGAAGGGGGTGAGGGAACTTTTCCCATTTCAGTAGGAGTTTAAATTGGCAGATTTAAAATAAAAATTGTCAATGGCTGGGCTGGGCACGGTGGCTCACGCCTGTAATCCCAGCACTTTGGGAGGCTGAGGTGGGAGGATCACTTGAGGTAAGGAGTTCAAGACTAGCCTGGCCAACATGGTGAAACCCTGTTTCTAGTAAAAATTCAAAAAATCAGCTGGGCATGGTGGTGGGTGCCTGTAACCCCAGCTACTCAGGTGGCGGAGGCAGGAGAATCGCTGGAACCTGGGAGGCGGAGGTTGCAGTGAGCAGAGATTGTGCCACTGCACTCCAGCCTGGGCAACAGGGCAATACCCTGTCTCAAAAAAAAAAAAAATTGTCAATGGCTATGAAATTATTTTTTTCTTTTAAAAATATTTGAACCACCTAGTTCACTTTTTTGAATGTATGAAAAAGTTTCCTATATGAGTGTTCAATAATGTAGCATTTGATATTATAAAAACTAGAAGTATTCTAAAATTGAGGAACACAGAAATTGATTAAATAACATGTGCTACATCCTTCTGGAAGGATTACATCTATCATGAGGCTTTAAGAGCATAGGTGGTGAGAGAATAGATTGCACAATCCTCATGCCCCGTATATTCCATATATTGTCAAGTGAGAAGACCCATTTTCAAAGCCGTATATACAATGTAATTTCAATTATGTAAAAGTCTTGTGTAGCTGTTAATACTGACTTCATCTAGTTGTTTTATAACCAGCAATTCAAAATTTTATCGGATTTTCCACATATTACCAGGTAGAAAATATTATGCACCTCTTTATGTTGATAGGTATTTATTTAAGTCAAAGAGCATATTACACAGAAATTTTATTTGACAATATTTGCTCATCTTTTGCATCATTTTAGCATAAAATTATGTTATGGAAAATAGTTACAGTAAGAGTTAAAAGGATTTCCTCACCGTGCTTTCACCACTGCAGAGAATCTTGATGAGATTTCCAACTGCTACGCCTTCCAACAGATTCCAAATTACCCTAAGAACATCTTACAGAACTTCTGTGGCCCGCTATAGTTATTCATTTCATGCTTTACAGACAGATATGAGACATATGCTTCCCTGCCAGCAAGCTCCCACCAAGGAAGACATGGCTGATTATCGAGTGTTGTTTAAATAACATCATCTTTGGAAATCTCTCTTTTTCAAAACCAATGTTCAGTGTGCTGCCAATAATCTGTGTTGGAGGCATGAACAATTATTATTAATTTAAAAATTCCCCCCAAGAGATGAAATAGTCCTTTCCTCTCATTTTATTATACCTAATGTGCTCACGGGAGATTCAGAATGAGACACCTGGCATAAAGATTACCACGAACAGTTCCTCTCAGGAAAAAAAATCATAAAAAGGCAAAGTAGACAGGAGAGTATTGACTAGGATTTTATTTTGCTTTGATGGCTGAATATCTGAATTACTTTAAAAAATTATTATTAACACTTTTTATGGAACATTAATGGAATATAAAGGTTGATGTGAGGAGCTAAATTATTATTTTAATGATAGCCTGAAATCACAGAAATCCTAAAATTCTTGTTATAGAGAAAAGTTAATATAATAAAGCAAATCTGATAACTTCTAACAGAAGATTTAAAATATTTCATATAAAATGCCTCTAGATAATATAGTAAGGTAAAAGGCAACATTGACATTAAAGTTACACAATTTTCATTATTGTTTTCCTAATCCAAGTAGTTATTTAGTTGTTTGTTTATTTTAGATTTGGGGGTGCATGTGCAGGCTTGTTATGTGGATATATTGTGAAATGGTGAGGTTTGTATCATCACCCAAATAATGAACATTGTACCCAACGGGTAAGTTTTCAATCCTCACCCCCTTCTCATCCTCCCCCTATTTCAAGTCCCCAGTATCTATTTTCCTCTGTATGGCCATGTGTACCGGTTGCTTAGCCTGCATTTATAAGTGGGAATATGCAGTATTTGATTTTGTTTCTCCTAATCCATTTATGTTCCCAGTCTATTCAAATTTCATGCTCTCTCCTCTATCTTGCAGCTCCAAGGCCTCCTTCACCCTCCTTAGCCACTCATTCATAACAGAACCACTCATTCACAACAGAACTTCCAGCAAATTTTCACCACTGCCTCTTCTACCTGCAGGTACCCCAGCCATCCGCACTTAGCTCTTCCCTAAGCCTAGAACAGACCCTCAATCATGCACTAGGGTCCAAACCTCCCTCCCTACCAACAGGTGTTGCTTCAGCAATTCCCAATCCCTCTTTCTGGCGAAAACTGGTGAAACGTGAGTTTTTCACCTCTACACTTTTAATTCTCATCAATCTACAAATATTGTGCTACTACTCCTATAATGAAAGAAAATCTCACTTGACTCCACTTCCAGTATCCATGCACCCTGTTTCGGTGACTTTTGTTTTAAAACCCACTCATTCAATTTCCTCTCAACTCTACTACAATCAGTGGCTTAAAAGCACCATTCACAGACACTGCCTCTGCTTGACTAATGCCAGCGCTCGGTAATTCTCAATCTTTTGTGACGTGGTCAAGTAACAACGGCTGGGGTAGTAGTTGATAGTGTTTTTTTTTTGGTTTTTTTTTTGTTTTTTTTGTTTTTTTTTCTTCTAGAAACCCATCATTCACAGAGTTCTAGAATACCACATTCTCCTGGCCTGTTGGTTTTGGTCTCTTTCTCTTGTTCCTTATGCCGCAACCCGAACTGTCCCAGATCTCAGTTCTGAGAGCTCTCTTCTCAGACACACTTTTGGTGAGCTGTTTGAAATATCTACTCTACTCTGGAAAGTTCATTTACAGACTCGACCACTCCACTGTAGAACAGATCCACAGAACCACGTGCCTTCCCTGCATTGCCACTGCATGTCAGACACCACAATGTAAACACAAACCTAAACAGCATCAATGTCTGCTGCACTTACAGTCTTCCTTTCAGTTTATTTATACTAAATACCTCCAATTGACGAAAGAGACTTCTGCCTCCTTGTGTGTATTTGTTTTTCTCATACACACAGCTATCTCATCATTTGTGTTCCACCTTCAAAATCCAACCTGAGGGTGATCACTCTGCATGACTTCCACTGCCATTAACCTCACTCAAGCCCTGACTCTGATTGACTGATTACTGCAGTTGTCTCTTATTAGGGCCCTACGTTCTACCCATTCCTTTTCACTGTTTATGCTTAGCACAGCAGCCCAGTGAGCCTTCCAAAATGCATGCAAACCTTTGCTGAGAATCATCTCATGGCTTGCTGCATCACTCAGTGGAAAGGGCAACTCATCTAGAAGAGACTGCAAGGCCTTTGACAGGCAGGCGCCCAATATTCCTCTGACTCCATCTCTGCTATTCTCTGCCTCCCCAGCTCATCTCCAGGACATCAGGCTCTGGGCTCTTCTGCAAACATGCCAGCCCTGAACCCACCTTTGGACTTCTGCACTTGCCGGTTCCTCGTTCAGGAACAGTCTTCCTCTGAAGTCCATGAGACACAAATTTTTGCTGAAATGTTACCTTCTTAAATTAACGTTTCCAACAACCTTTATTGCAATGTTTCCTGATATGTCGACTTCATCTTTCCTCATTAAACGGATCACCTTTGAGCACCCCTAACTTACTTCTTCAGCTCGCCACCTGATTCTGTGCTATAATGTCAACTTGGTGAAAGCAGATTTTTTTGTATGTGTTTAACTGCAGTCGTCCATACTTCAAATAGTTTACAACACCTAGTGCGTGCTCAAAACATATTTTTTGAATGAATTAAGAATGTGGTTTTTCAAAGTTCTTCCCAAAGTATTCTTGCTTTTATATTTAAATGTTATGTTTATTGTGCACCTCTGCCTAGTTAGGTAGGGAAAATGGAACATTGTGGCGTCTGTAGTCAGAGCCCTGAGCTCTAATCTCAGCTGTGCACTGATAGATCTCCGTTTCCTTCTTTGTACAATTAGGGATATTCACAAGACCTATCTCATGGGGTTATGGGGAGAACAGAATGAGTAACTCCAAGTAAAATCATTTAAACAACTGAATAAATACTGTATAAGTGCTCACTGTTATGAATTCTGTTACTTTTTCAAGTTTTATTTTATCTGTCAAGGGTGTGTGTTTGAAAAAGAGGTTTTCATTTTTATTTATTTTTATTTTTTGGAGACTTCATATAACATCAGGTTTCACCATACGCTAATGTTGTCACAATTTGCTCTTTGTTATTCTCACAATCTGTTTGCAGGAGCAACTCTTGTCTCCTGGTTGCTAAAGAAGAGCAGAGTCCCGGAACTTATGTAGATATTTGGAAACATAGGGAGGAGGTAGAGCTGCTCTGAGCGGAATTTAGATGTAACTGGCTTAGAGGAATATGGTCCGAACTCATTTGCCTAGAGTTCCTCCTGTCAGGAGCAGTTAAGTTAGATAATTACCTCTGGGGTTAAACATCTCAAATGATGTTTAGTGAAAGCGAATTGGAGGGAATAGACACACTGTGTTCCTAATATTAATTAAGGTTGCCAAAATTTTAGACCTTTTACTCTTATGTTGTTCTTAGCCTCCTCTCTCTCTCACTTTCTCTCTCTCTTTAATCTTTCTTTTTTAGTTTTCTCTATATAAGGTAACTGTGTTGCCATCTTCCCTGTATATTTCTAGAAATAATAAAATTAAATTTCTTAATATAAAATAAAAATTAACTTTTGGATTATGGTGCCATCTGATCAACAGCCCCAATACAGCCTCATCAACTTTTCAGTATAGAACACATAAATGCAAAAGAAGATAAAATTATACAATAGAGAAAATGGAAGTTAAACCCAGTTTGCCCATATTTTGCTGCATGAGCAATTACTTAGCTTTTCTTTTATCAGTGAATGGGAGTTTGGAGGTAAAAATACCTAGCTATGGAGAGGGAAGGTAATGTTTATAAAGCAATTAGCATAATGTCTATAAAATCTAGGAATATATAAATTAAAGTGGACATACCTATAAACATATACATATAATCTTCTTAGAATGACAACTAAATATAAGGCTAATGGAGAAGGGAGTCAGATTAACTACAACATTTGAATAATAAAAGTCTGTCCTTCCTATAATGTCTACTTGCCAGCCCATAGAATGCGTTTCTCTAACAGTCCAAAAATGTAACAACAATTTCTGATCTATGATTAATGTTTTCAAGAATTTCTATTGCACATATGTCCTATTTTTATTGATTATAAAATAGTACAGTTTTCCAGTTAAAGGAGGAAAAAAGAAAGCCTTTTTCTTTTCTAATATTCCCTTGAGAACAATGAAAGACATAACTTAGAGATGAAAGTCCATCTTCAGGGGCCAAAACCATAGGTCCCAGGCTATAAAGAATAGCTAAAAAATTGGTAAAATGTGGCCCAGAATGGTGGCTAGGGTATCAATCTTCTCTTGCAGCACACACATTTCTGCCGGGATTTGAAGGCCCAACTGACAGCCTCTCCCTTAGCCTACGCTTGTGCAGCCTGCAGGGACAGTGAGAGCTCAGAGGGCAGAAGCAGATGCCTGTTTTGGAGGGTCGTAGAAATATTGCAGACAATCATCTTTTCAGCTGATAACTAGAGTCATCTGAAGGAAAACACACTAATGAAATTGTCACTGTTAAGTACCTGAGCCTCCATTGGGGCCACACTCATCAGGGGAGAGTGAAGCTTTGCTCTGACATCTAACTCCACACCCACTGCCCACTGTCGTCACGTGGCTTCTCTGCCCAATCCCCTTCTCCACTCATCCTCACATCTTTTTGCTAGGTAACTTTTTGGCTCAGATAGAGAGGACTTAAAATCCTGACTTCAGGCCTATGAGTGGATATGATAAGAAAAGGGCAGGTAACAAATATCATTTTTTAAAAAAACAAATAACACAGAAGGAAAACTCAGGAAAGAAAAGGTGCTGGGCAATTCCATTCCCAGGGTGAGAAATGATGCATCTCAGAATCAAAGGCTCAGAGAAACAGAAATTTTACAAACTCAGGCAGGAGGAGAGGAAAATGGGCCCAGCAGAGCTGAGAAACAAAGCAGAAGAGAAAAATAACTCCAGTACAGAAATGAAAGGGACATTGGACAAAATGAAATGGAAAATAGATGTTGATGCAAATAAAGTCAGGAACATGAAAGATGACCTTGTTAGACCCAGGTGTAAGGGGTAGAAAAGAGAAGCAAATGGTCAAGGAGTAGAATAAACATGAGAGAGACGAAAGGTGGACACCTTGGCATTTGCTTTCCTACGGACAGGGCAACAAAAGAGACAAATACAAAATTGAAGGTGAAACAAATGATGGTTTCCTAAAAAGATAATCTGTAGTCAGTGTATATTCTCATTCCTGAAGTATCAAGGATAAGATATATCCTGGTGATTAGTGTAAGATTTTAAAAATAATGATAATAAAATAAGACAGAAAAAGAAATTAGAGATCCATTTAAAAAGTAACTTTGAGTGGGAAAAACAGGATTTTCTCAAATTTCCATGGAGTAATATTCCATTTTAAATTATAATGTAGCAATGTTTACCAAATCCAATAGTTGAGAATTTAGGAATCCCATAAAATAAGTAGCCTTGATAGGATATATCTGAAAGAGAAAAGACTAAAATTAGAAATTTATAAAGCAAGACCATACTTTCAGGAAACAGTAATGGAATGGATAAAGTTTTTTTGTATTCATTTACACACAAATATGTACAGCTTATTGTACATAAATATGTATTAATAAAGTTGTCTTAATAAAACAAGTTAGACTTTTAGTTCCCAGTCCATCATGTAACAAGCTTGGAAAACATTACTCTTGTCTACATAACAAGAGAAAACTTGAACAAACTGAAAATCAACAACCCTTCTTACATCCATGAGAGAATGGAGATAGCAGGGCACATCACTGCCCCCCACATTGCAGAAACAGACAGGTAGAAACATAGAATAACAACTTCCCAGAGCAGCTGAACCCACAGAAAGAAACCTCCATGGGCACCGGTATTGTGGAAGAAAAACTCAATTGTTTTTGACAAACGGCTGGAGGATCAGTGTGGAAGAGTTTGAGAGTGTTAAAAGAACAACCTTACACAAATTAAATTTAACATAGTTTAACTGAGCAAAGAATGACAGGTGAATCAGGCAGCCTCCCAAGCCAAAGTAGGTCTAGAGAGACACCAGTGCAGCTGCATGATGGAAGAAGATTTAAGGACAGACAAAGGAACGTGTTGAACAGAAAATGAAGCTGAGGTACAGAAACTGCTGGACTGGTTAGAGCTTGGTGTTTGCCTTATTTGAATAAGGTTTGAAAAGTTGGCCACTCTTGATTGGCTGAAACTCAGTGATTGGCACAAGAGTAGACTACAGTCTGTTTACACCTTCAGTTAGGTTATGGTTGATTATGTACAAAGAAACCTTCAGGTCGAACTTAAAATATATAAGGGATAGCTCTGGGCTAAACTTAATTGAACAATTTCATCTTTTTGGTTATCTTCTCCAATTTGAGAAACCAAAATGTGAGGAACATATATCTCTCTGTCATCATCGTAATGTACTTATTCAGTCTCAAATCCTACTGGGAAATAGCAAAAAAGTGGGTTTGAGGAGGTGGAAACAAGATCTTTAGGTTATTTTTTAGGGGGTTATAGTAGATGGGACTTCCTTGTTCTGGATTCTCCTATTTTGAGAAGAGAAAAAAAACTTATCTGTTTTGAAATCTATCCATTTCCTTAATGTTTTAGTTGAGTATGTCACATTTACATGTGACTCCGTTTTGGTTTGGTCTTGTCTGTTGGGAACTAGTGCATGAGCTTAATCTAAAACAATGGCCTCCCATAATTTTGTTTAACAATTCCCCTCTTTTGGTCAAGTAGTCACTTATATGAGAGTGTGAACAAAGCTTAGGGCCTTGGCACCACTCCGTTACCATCATTTTGAATTCTGGTTTCAGCATGGCATTCATAGGTTAAAGTTTTATAAAATATGGAACAAAAGGAAAATTTATAACATAATACCTAAATTTGTATCTACTCAAACGATCTAAATTCGGTGAATTTAATGAAGAAAACTTTATTCTCTTGAGCAAAGTATGTATTTGTAAAGTATGTATTTGAGCAAAGTGTGTATTTAAAATAATCATATATACAGATATATTTTTTGGATGCATAGACATCATTATAAATGCAGATTTTTTATTGATACAAAGACAACATGGTAGAGCTGTCATATTTCTCTATAGATATGACAATCTAAAAATTTAATTATTTTTAATAAGTGACAGCAGATATTCTTTATATTGATAATTTTTAAAAGATCGTATAGAGATTTAAATGTTTGACAATATCCAAAAACATTCTGAAAAAAAAGTTAAGTAATGACAGAGTACTATCATCATTTGTTAACATGTATTAAAAATTGCTGTAAGAAAAATACCTTATGATTAGCCTGTTATTTGAGAAACTGATCATAGGAATAGAACAGATACAAATAACACAATAATTCAGTCTACAATGAGAAATATAATCAGAGAGAAATGTGCTATTAGGTAAACTAAAATGTTTTTAAAATTCAGATATAATTTTCATACAGTAAAATCTCCTCTTTGGTGCCCAGCTCTATGAGTTTTAACAAATATATATTGTTGTGTAGTTGCCAGAGAGACAAGACTCACCACCCTAATATCTTTGCTCATACAACTTGGTTGTCAAACCTTCTTCTCACTCCCAACTCCTAGGCACAACTAATCTGTGTTTCATCTAAGTAGTTTTAATTTCTCCAGAATATCTCATAAGCTGAACTCTGTAGTATGAGTCTGACATTTTTTTAATTAGCTATGTAAATAATTGTGTCATCTGTGAGCAGAGGCAGTTGTATTTCTTCCTTTCTTACCTATATACTTCCTATTTCTCTTTTTTGCCTTCCTATACAAGCTAGGACCTTGAATTTAGTTGGAATGGCGATGGTGTACATCCTTGATGGTTTACATTCTGAGGGGAAAATAACTCAGGCTTTAACCACAGTATATAATGTGAGTTGTTTTTTGGTAGGCGCCCTTTTTCAGTTTGATGACATTCTCTTTATCTATAGTTTCCTGACATTTTTGTTCTGACTATATGGTGAATTTTTAAGAATGTTTTATCTCTATCCATTAGGATGGTCCTGTGGATTCCTTCTTTAGTCTGTATATATGGGCAATTGCATCAATTGACATTTATTTTCTTTTTCAAAATAAACCAGAATTCATTTATTTACTTGTATGACTATGCACATATTAGTTGTTTCAAATTTGAACTGTTATAGGGACACTTTGATTACCTTTAAGCATGTACTCTTGTGCACCTAGTCATGCATTTTCTCACATTTGCACCTAAAGATACTAAGGAAGAGATTGGTGTAGTCTGTAGGTTTTGTCCAATATACTAGATATTGCCAAATTCTTCTTGAATTTCTATGCATCAAGCAGCAACTTCTGTGAGTTTCTGTTTCCCTACTTCCTCTCCAAGACTTGACATTTCAAGACCCTTTGGTTTTCCCTGACTGGATGGCATGAAATAATAGCTCCTTGTTTTAATTATATTTCCAGATAACTAGTGAGGTTGTGTTGATTTTAATCTTTAATAATTACTTACTTGCATCTTCTCTTCTAAGAGTTGCTATGTTATATCCTTTGCCCATTATTCTGTTTATTTATTTTATATTTGTAGGGGTTTGTTATACACTCTGTATAACAGTTTCTTGTTATTAATATATGCTGAAAACACTTCTTCCAGCTTGCGAATTGCTTTTGTCCTCATGCTACTCTCTTTTGTACAGATTGTAAAAGTTTTGATATAATGAAATTAATTCACAGTTCCTTTTATGGTTTTATTTATTTAACAAATTTTTATTAAAATAATGCATGGTTTGCACTTTTTGTGTGTGAATTTTTTGATTTTATTTTTATTTTTGTGTATTTTTATTAATATATCATAGTTATACATATATTGGGGTACATGTGATATATTGATACTTATATGCAATATATAATGATCAAGTCAGAGTAATTGGGATATACATCACCTCAAACATTTACCTTTTCTTTGTGTTGGGAGCATTACAGTTCTTCTCCTCTAGCTATTTTGAATGTTTAACCCACTTTGCATTGCTGGGATAAACTCCAGTTGAATACAGTATACTATTCTCTTTATATATTGCTAGAAGTGATCTGTTAATATTTCATTGTTTTTTTTTTATAAGGGATATTTATGACTACATTTACTATCTGGCAGTATCTTTGTGTGTGTGTGTGTGTTGGTTGATTTCATCAGCAATGTTGCCTCCAGTGAATAAATTAGGAAACAAACCCTCATCTTTAATATTTTGGAGGACTGTGCATAATTGATATCATTTATTCCTTTAAAATTTTGTTAACTTTGCCAATAAAGCTACCTGAACTTTTCTTTGCTGGAAAGTGTTCAATCACAAATTCAACTTATTTAATATATAGAGAAACTATTCAGGTTTTTTGTTTCATGACTGTACACTGGTAGTTTGTGCCTTTCAAAGAATTTGTCCATTTAATATAAAATTATAAAAATAAAGAAAATAATCAGAATCTTATTCCTTTTTTATACCTAATTATATTTCAGAAGTGCCATATCCAAACTATAAGTGAAACTTTTAGAATAATTGAGATATTGTATATATGGAAGACTTTATTATAAAGGTGTTAAGACATATAAACTACATAAACCATAGATAAATAAAATCATATTATAGAAATGAAAGTAAAACATTTCTGTATTGTATTTTTTAAAAAATTAAATTCAAATGCAAATGACATTTAGGAAAATAATTTTTGACATTTGTGGAAAATTATAAAATTTCTTTATATATAAAGAATTTTTTCTAATATTAATAAGTAGAATAGCAATGAACAGATAGGGCATAAAATGTGAATAGGCAATTGACAGAAAAAAAGCATTAAATGTTTTAAAAATATAAAAAGGTGTTCAATTTCCCCCTAAACTGAATGAGACAAGTCATTAGCAAAGAGATATAACATTTCAGTTACCACATAAAGTTTTGTATTGTTTGTCCTTAATTTAAAAATAATATGCAATAAAGAGCAAGTTGTAGGTAGCTTTCACTATTATTAATTCTTGTTGAAACTATAATTTTTTAAACCAATTTCTTAAAAAAAATTAACAGTTTAGAGTTCCATGCAAAGAGTATGGTAGCACTATTTTCAGCGCCTTTTAGCCAGCTCTGGGTATTTCCTTTTGATTCTTATGACCCTGTAGTAGTCATAAGAACCTATGCAAAAAAAGGAAAAAGCTCAAGGTTTTTAAAAAGACCTTTTTCTCTTTTGTAGCTTTGTGGCATTTTATTTTGTTATTTGTTTATTCTTTGATTTTTTTATTTCCATAGGTTTTGGGGGAACAGGTGGTATTTGGTTACATGAGTAAGTTCTTTAGTGGTGATTTGTGAGATTTTGGTGCACCCATCACCCGAGCAGTATACACTGAAACTAAGTTGTAGTCTTTTATCTCTCACCTGCAACCCCGTCTTACCCCAAGTCCCCAAAGTCAATTGTATCATTCTTATGCATTTGCATCATCATAGTTTAGCTCCCACTTATGAGTGAGAACATGTGATGTTTGGTTTTCCATTCCTGAGTTGCTTCATTTCGAATAGTAGTCTCCAATTCCATCCAGGTTGCTAGGAATGCCATTAATTTATTCCTTTTTATGGCTGAGTAGTATTCCTTTTGTGTGTGTGTGTGTGTGTGTGTGTGTGTACGTGTGTGTGTGTGTATGTGTGTGTGTGTGTGTATATATATGTATAACAGTTTCTTTATCCACTCATTGATTGATGGGCACTTGGGTTGGTTGCATACTTTTGCAATTGTGAATTGTGGTGCTATAAACATGAGTGTGCAAGTATCTTTTTCTTATAATGACTTCTTTCCTCTAGGTAGATACCCAGTAGTGGGAATGCTGGAATAAATGGTAGTTCTACTTTTAGTTCTTTAAGGAATCTCCACACTGTTTTCCATAGTGGTTTTACCAGTTATATTCCCACCAGCAGTGTAGAAGTGTTCCCTTTTCACTGCATCCACACCAATATCTATTATCTTTTGACTTTTTTATTATGGCCATTCTTGCAGGAGTGAGGTGGCATTGCATTGTGGTTTCGATTTGCATTTCCTTGATCATTAGTGATGGTGAGCATTTTTTTCATATGTTTGTTGGCCATTTGTATATATTCTTTTGAGAGTTGTCTTCTCATGTCCTTAGCCCAGTTTTTGATGGGATTGTCCTTTTCTTGCTAATTTGTTTGAGCTCCTTGTAGATTCTGGATATTAGTCCTTTGTCAGGTGTATAGATTGTGAAGATTTTCTCCCACTCTCTGAGCTATTTATTCTCCTGACTATTCCTTTTGCGGTGCAGAAGCTCTTTGGTTCAATTAAAACCCACCTATTCACCTTTGTTTGTGTTGCATTTGCTTTTGGGTTTGTGGTCATGAAGGCTTTGCCTATGTCAGTGTCTAGAAGGGTTCTTCCTATGTTACATTCTAGAATTTTTATAGTTTCAGGTCTTAGATTTGAGTCTTTGATTTATCTTGAGTTGATTTCTGTATAAGGTGAGAGATGAGGATCCAGTTTCTTTCTCCTACATGTTGGTTACCAATTAGCCCAGCACCATTTGTTGAATAAGGTGTCCTTTCCCCACTTTATGCTTTTGTTTGTTTTGTTGAAGATCAGTTGGCTCTAAGTATTTGGGTTTATTTCTGGGTGCTCTATTCTGTTCCACTGGTCTATGTACTTATTTTTACTCCAGTACCATGCTGTTTGATGACTATGGCCTTACAGTGTAATTTGAAATCAGGTAATGTGATGCCTCCAGATTTACTTTTTTGGTTAGTCTTCCTTTAGCTATGCCAAAGGATAGGTTATGCAAAAGGACTTTTGGTTAGTCTTCCTTTGGTTATTTTATGGTTCCATATTAATTTTAGGATTATTTTTTCTAGTTCTGTGAAGAATGATGGTGGTAATTTGATGGTAATTCCACTGAATTTGTAGATTGTTTTTGGCAGTATGGTAATTTTCGCAATATTGATTATACTCGTCCATGAGCTTGGGACGTGTTTCCATTTGTTTGTGTCATCTATGATTTCTTTCAGCAGTGTTTTGTAGTTTCCTTTATAGAGGTCTTTCACCTCCATGTTTAGGTATATTCCTAGGTATTTTACTTTCTTTGCAGCAATTGTAAATGATGTTAAGTGCTTAATTTGATTCTCAGTTTGGTCATTGGTGGTGTATAGCAGAGCTACTGATTTTTGTACATTAATTTTGTATCCTGAGACTTTGCTGAATTTATTTATCAGTTTTGGGAGCTTTTTGGAGGAGTTTTTAGGGTTTTCTAGGTATAAAATCATATCACAGCAAACAGCAACCGTTTGACTTCCTCTTTACAGATTTGGATGCCCTTTCTTTCTTTCTATTGTCTGATTGGTCTGGCTAGGACTTTGAGTACTATGTTGAATAGAAGTGGTGAGAGTGGGCATCCTTGTCTTGTTCCAGTTCTCCTGCTCCTGAATGATCATTGGGTCAGCAATGAAATCAAGATGGAAATTTAAAAGTTATTTGAGCTTAACGACATTAATGACACAATCTATCAAAACCTGTGGGATATGGCAAAGGTGGTGATAAGAGGGAAGTTCATAGCCTTAAATACCTACATCAAAAAGTTTAAAAAAGCACAAATAGACAATCTAAGGTCACACCTCAAGGAACCAGAGAAACAAGAACAAACCAAACCCAAACCCAGCAGAAGAAAATAAATAATCAAGAACAAATCAGAACTAAATGAATTTGAAACAGAAAAAAAATTACAAAAGATAAATGAAATATCTTTTTCCACACTTTTACCTTAAGTTTGTGTGAGTCCTTCTGTGTTACGTGAGTTTTTTGAAGGCAACAGATACTTGCTTGGTGAATTCTTATCCATTCTGAAATTCTGTATCTTTTAAGTGGAGCACTTAGACCATTTACATTCAACGTTAGTATTGACATGTGAGGAACTATTCCATTCTTCATGTTATTTGTTGCCTGTATACCTTGGTTACTTATTTATTGTATTTTTCTTTTATAGGTCCTGTGAGATTTATGCTTTAAAGAGGTTCTGTTTGATGTGTTTCCAGGGTTTGTTTCAAGATTTAGAGCTCTTTTTAGCAGTTCTTGTAGTGTTGGCTTGGTAGTGGTGAATTCTCTCAGCACTTGTTTGTCTGAAAAAGACTGTATCTTTTCTTCATTTATAAAGCTTAGTTTCACTGGATACAAAATTCTTGGCTGATAATTGTTTTGTTTAAGGAGGCTGAAGATAGGGCCCCAATCCCTTCTTGCTTGTAGGGTTTCTACTGAGAAATCCGCTGTTAATCTGATAGATTTTCCTTAATAGGTTACCTGGTGCTTTTGCCTCACAACTTTGAAGATTATTTCCTTCATCTTGACTTTAGATAACCTGATGACAACATACCTAGGCAATGATCTTTTTGCGATGAATTTCCCAGGTATTCTTTGAGCTTTTTGTATTTGAATGTCTAGGTCTCTAGCAAGGCCAGAGAAGTTTTCCTTGATTATTCCCGTGAATATGTTTTCCAAACTTTTAGAATGACCTTCTTCCTCAGGAATACCGATTATTCTTAGGTTTGGTCATTTAACATACCCCCAATCTTCTTGGAGGCTTTGTTCATTTTTTTAAATTCCTTTTTCTTTGTCTTTGTTGGATTGTGTTAATTAGAAATCCTTGTCTTTGAGCTCTAAAGTTCTTTCTTCTGCTTGTTTGATTTTATTGCTGAGACTTTCCAGTACATTTTGCATTTCTCTGTGTCCTTTATTTCTTGAAGTTGTGATGGTTTTTTGTTTATGCTATCTATTTCACTGAAGATTTCTCCCTTCATATGTTGTATCTTTTTTTTTAGATTATCTTAAGATGGACTTCACCTTTCTCTGGTGCCTCCTTGATTAGCTTAACACTCAATCTTCTGAATTATTTTTCAGACAATTCAGGAATTTCTTCTTGGTTTGGATCCATTCCTGGTGAGCTAGTGTGATTTTTTGGGGGGTTGTTAAAAAACCTTGTTTCATAATTTTACCAGAATTGTTTTTCTGTTTCCTTCTCATTTGGGTAGGCTATGTCAGAGGGAAGATCTCATTGGGTAGGCTATGTCAGAGGGAAGATCTGGGGCTCAAGGCTTCTGTTCAGATTTTTTGTCCCATGGGGTGTTCCCTTGATGTAGTACTCTCTTCCTTTTCCTGGGGATGTGGTTTCCTGAGAGCCAAGTTGCAGTGATTGTTATTTTTTTTCTGGATCTAGCCACCCATCAGAGCTACCAGGCTCGGGGATGGTACTGGTGCCTGCACAGAATCCTGTGATGTGAAGCATCTTCAGATCTCTCAGCCATGTATACCAGCCCCTGCTCCAGTGGAGGTGGCAGGGGAGTGAAATAGACTCTGTGAGGGTCCTGTAGATGTTTGATGCGCTAGTTTTGTGATGGTTGACCTCCTGTCAGAAGGTGGTGCTTTCAAGAGGGCATCAGCTGTGGTAGTATAGGGAGAATCAGAGGGTGGGCAGGGCCCTAGAACGCCCAAGAGAATATGACCTTTGTCTTTAGCTCCCAGGGTGGGTAAGGAAGAACCATCAGGTGGAGGCAGGGTTAGGCGTGTCTGAGCTCAGACTCTCATTGGGCAGGGTTTGCTACAGCTGCTGTGGGGGATGCAGTTGTGGTTCCAAAGTCAATGGAGTTATGTTCCCAGGAGAATTATGGCTGCCTCTGCTGTGTCATGCAGCTTGTCAGGGAAGTCGGAGAAAGCCGGCAGCTACAGGCCTCAACCAGCTCCTATGCAACCCAAAAGGCTGGTCTCACTCCCACCATGCCCCCCCGCACCCCACCTAATAGCAAGGAATTTGCTTCCAGACGGTGGGTTAGTGAGGCTAAGAACTTGCCCCAGGCCACCAGAGTCCCCGCTGAGAAAGCAAGCAAGGCTTTTGCACCTTCATGCCTGTTGAGTCTGCACACTGGATTCGTGCCCTCCTCAGAGTTCTGACTAGGAGATGTCACAGTTGGTTGGAATTGTTACAAAGTTTAGCTGGATGTTTCCTTCTCACTGTGGTCTTTTTCCAGTTCTTCTGGCAGCCCTCCCCAAGGACCCCTGTGAGACAAATCAGGAATGGCTTCCCTGGGGCCCAAGGAGCTGACAGGGCTTTTCCTGCTGCTTCTTCTACCCCTGTATTTCACTCAGCTTTCTAAATGACCCAGTTCCAGGTAAGGTCAGAATCTTCTCATGTGATCCAGACCTTCAGGTTCCCCAGTGAGAGTGTGGATGATCTCCATTTCCCATTTTCACAGTTTGGGCACTCACAGTATTTGAGCTGCTTTCTGGGTCCTGCAGGAGCAATCCACTTCCTTCAGAGGGTCTGTGGATTCTCTCAGCTTTCCTGGTATGTTTCTGCAGTAGTTCTTGGAGCAAACATTCATGATGTGTGTCTCCACACGCTGCTCTGTCTGTCCCAGTGGGAGCTGCAACTTAACCCTTCCTCTTATCCACAATTTTCACTCCTCCAAGATTTTAAAAAACACTTTTAATGGGAGAAACAATTGTAAGATTCATGGAGAGGGGCCCAGGGGAACTGAGCAGAGAAACTCTATACACCCTTCATGCGGTGTCCCCAGTACCCTGAGGATCAGGGATTCATCAGACGGACTAATAAGACTTCGAAATTGTTATATTCATGGTTGTAGTTTATGACAGGAAAATGATGGAGGGCAAAATTAGCAAAGGGAAAAGGCATATGGTGGGCATGGGGTGGAGTCTGGAGGAAATCAGGTCTAAGCTTTCAGGTGCTCCTTCCAAGGAGAGAAGCATGGGATGTGCTTAAGTCTTCCAACAATGATGTGAGACAACACATGCAAAATTCTGCCCACCAGGGAGGCTCAGGTGAGCCTTAGTGTTTAGGGTTTTCATTGAGAGTTAGCTTTACAGGGCTATAGTTCCTGTGTGATTGACTTCAGTTACTCGAGCTTCAAACCCCCATAGAAAAAGCAGATGTTCATCCTAAATCACAGTTTTACCATAATTTATCTGGACAAATGGGAAGAGTGTGGCTCAAGGTTTCAGGCATGCCAAAACACTCTTATCAGACAGGATTTTCCAACAGCTTGGTCCCTTGGAGCCAACCAAAATCCAGTTCAGAAAACAGGGCTTTCTTAAAAGTGTTTAGGGTTTGAGCATCTAGACCTGCCCAGTTTACTCTTTCTTGCACACACTACAATCTAGGTTTTCCTATTCCATTCTAAGTTCTCATCGCATGCACACAAGTTTTCTTCTTTTCCTTGTAAAATCTTTCATTTTATAATGTTTGTCTTGCCATTGGTATAGCCAAAAATATAAATATTCAAAAAGCTTGGGCACTGTGCAAGCCCTAGATTTGAATCAACTTTTCATAAAGTCCTTGTCCATTTTCCCAGTGCAAATGAACATTCTGCATCAGTAATATCTTTTTCTCTGAAATATTAAAAACTGTACTCAGCAGAAAATACGTTATAAAAAGATGATACTTTGTCATTATCAGAATTGAGAAAAAGTTGACTTAAAAGAGCAAACTGCAGTGTGTGCCAAATAGTGCAGGGAAAAAATTGAGTTTGTACAAAATCTACTTGTACCTCAAGCTGCAACTTTGTATGATTCCTCCTTATTTGAAAACCAATCCAGAGCCTCCACACTCTGGATTGCTTTATATGAATATTATTTTTAAGTTTGACTGGCATAAAACTCTTGTGCCTGGTAACTTTTATTTATTGTGTTTGGACTTAGGAATCTAAGATTTAAATTTTCTATTGGGAATTTAAAGACTTCGGCTTTTAGCTCATATTTAAATCCACATCCACACTCACTAGGATGAAACAATTTAAGACACTTTTAAGATATTCTAATATAAAAAATAAAACAAATGCCTTCTCAGTTAAATAATTACCATACTATTCATCAGTCTCTATATGGACTTGAGACAGGCCATAAATTCTCAAATACATTGAAATATGTGTTTGATACTCTATAACCTAAAATGCCAATCAAGATTTCCTAGAGAATAAATATCATTTTTGCTCCTCATTAAAGTTCTCACAAAAGTAGTTCAACTGATATGTAAAATACTTAATTTCATATGTAAATGAGCAGTCATAGTTTTTAAGAATAACTTCAATTAGGACACAAAATGTTCTACTTGGGGTTGGGGCTTTATGAAATCTTTAATGATTGAAAATTTTGTCAACCTTTTTCTAGTCCTAATACTAGCTATGTAAGCTAGATCTATCTACACACATATATGTATACATGCACGTATAGGTATGTATATATATGTGAAGATGTATGCATATTAAGCATACACTTTTCCTAGATTGCTCCTATCACTCCAACAGAGAGTTCTTCTTTAATAATTGGCAATTTGGCATTTTTAGTTTATAAGTTCTTGGTGCATGTTTTTCCACTGCCAATAGAATACCCAAATTTCAACAAATAGACAAAATAGATATTAGTGTCTCAGTAAATAGCAATACCGAATATATAATAATCAGAGTTTAAAATATATCCACCTTTACTTTCTTTAAAAAAATTCATAATGTGTTACAAGACAAAAGAAAGAATTTTTCTTCAAGAAATTTCATGCCCTGCCATGTTCTTGTAATTCACATGCCAATTTATATAAGGTTTTCTCTTAACTATAAGAAAATAAAAAGCGCAAATTTGTTTCATGGTTTATAAGAAGGAGTCACCTGTGTTCCCATCAGTCAGTCATATTCAATTTCTTCTAGGGACACATGTCTCTTCTCCCAGGCCAGGAGAGTTGTGAGGCAAGGCAGGGCAGAATTACTGTTCAGCTAGAGAGTATCAAAAATGAAGAAATCCTCCACTGCCGCTTTTCTTACCGCTGCTCCTCCTCAGCTGTCTTCCATGTGGTATTAACTCTGAAATGAGCTGGGCTCACCTCAGACCCAGGAGAAGGAAGAGGGAGCTGCATGATTTTAAGCAAAGTGTCAGAAGAAAATATGTTCTTATTTAGATGTGGAAGTATAATGTGCATATGAATAGGGAAAGAGCATTTCACGTAAACATGAATTTTTTTAAGAATGTAACATTTTCTTAAGGTTAATCAGGAAACTGACATATAAGCTAATATAATTTTGAGAGATAGATTTTAGAGTAGCTTTCAATGCAACCAACACTCAAGAAACACACACAGGCACAAAGAGAAAAAAAAATAGTACCATCTTTGGCTTCATGCACATTTGAGGAAGGAAAAAGGGTGTTAAATTCATTTAATATAATATCATGCATCCATTACAAATGACCACATGAGTCTAGGTTGTCATGGAAATATATTCATAGAATTACATCTGTGGTAAGAATGTTTCAAAAGAGATGCCTATTATGATCTCATTTTACTGAATATCTATATATATATAATTTATATATTTATATGTGAATACTTACTGTTTTGGTCCACTCTTGCATTGCTATAAAGAAATACAAGAATTTATAAGAAAGGTGATTAATTGGCTCACAGTCCTGCAGGCTGTACAAGAAGCATGGCAGCATCTGCTTCTGGGGAGGCCTCAGGGAGCTTCTACTCATGGCAGAAGGCAAAGGGAGAGCAGGTGTCTCACATGGAAGGAGCAGGACCAAGAGAGAGATGGGAAGTACCACACACTTTTAAATAACCAGATGTCATGAAAATCTTATCACAAGAGCAGCAGAAAGGGGATAGCACCAAACTTTCAGAAACCACCCGCAAGATCAAATCACCTCCTGCCAGGGCCCACCTCCAACACCGGGGATTACAATTCAACATGAGATTTGTGCGGGGACACAGAACCAAACCTTTTCACTTACAAGAGAACTCAGGAAGGATTTCACAGTGAAATTATTCATGGATTATAAGATTGTGTGATGGTTAATACTGAATGTCAATTTGATTGGATTGAAGGATGCAAAGTATTGATCCTGGGTGTATCTTTGAGGGTGTTGCCAAAGGAGATTAACATTTGAGTCAGTGGGCTGGGAAAGGCAGACCCTTAATCTGGGTGGGCCTAATCAGCTGCCAGCATGGCCAGAATATAAAGCAGGCAGAAAAACATGAAGAGACTAGAATGGCCTAGCCTCACAGGCTACATCTTTCTCCCGTGCTGGATGCTTCCTGCTCTCAAACACTGGACTCCAAGTTCTTCAGCTTTGGGACTTTGACTGGGTTCCTTGCTCCTCAGCTTGCAGATGGCCTATTGTGAGACCTTGTGATCATGTGAGTTAATACTCCTTAATAAACTCCTGTTTACTTATATATCTGTCCTATTAGTTCTGTCTCTTTAGAGAACCCTGACTAATACAGACTATATGGATTATTTATTTAGTTTGTAAATTTATTAATCTGATTAATGATTTATTTACAAAAATGTAATTTATTAGATTACTAAAACAATAATCTGGAAGTAACAGCTAGTTTTTAAAGAGAGAGAAAAGTGTTAGCATGAAAATAGAGGTCAAAGAATGAGTGGCATGTTAATATGCACATGTGTGTTAATTTATGAAGATAGTATATAATCCAATCTATCTATGAACTGTTTACCATCTATCTATCTACACGTATATAACTAACCATGACATTTTACTGCGCAATGGCAGAACACATATTCTTTTGGGTGCACAAGGTACATTATTAATTTTAACCAAATATGGGCCGTATAAAGCAAATATCAATAAACTTCAAAGAATTGCATGGCTTCTCAGTATTTTATTTAACCATAGAGAGATTAAGATATAATTTAATAGCAAAGGTGAATAGAAAATCCTGACATATTTCAATATTATTCGACACATTCATATTTGCAAATAACTTCTGGTATAATTTTTCAGTGCTATTTGCTCAGCTTCACACCTAGTATAAAGTTCCAGCATGCTACATACTTGCTCTGCTCAAGCTTGAGGATAAGGAAGACTGCTACAGCTGAGGAATCTTTTCATCAAACCACATGGGCAAATGATTACTTTTTATGTAGTCAAGGGGAAGGCTCTATTGAAACTTGTAATAATGTTTAAAAAAAGGAAAAAAAAGCTTGCTACCCATGATTTTTTCTTTCAATGTCTATTCCTTGTTGTGTAGAATATTTTAGTTTGTACTAGCCAAAGTATGTCAGGGAAATAATATTCTTCTATACAGCACATAAATATATACTTTCTGTGTGTATTGAGGGATTGCATGGATAACACATAGATGTTTATTTTACCAACCACAAAACTGTAGAATTTAGCTGGGACAACAATAAATAAGTGAACCCAAGGTTATATTTGTATGTACGCAATGGACCTTGAAGATATGTCTGCAAATGAAGACTTTAGAAGTACTATAGAAAATTGTCAGTCTATTTTTTTACTTAAATTGAGATAACATTATTCAATTTTTTTATGGGATAAATAACATGTATATTACATAAAAACATAATATCATAGAATAATATTCAAATACTACCCATACTTGACTCTTATACATATATGCAAGATTCATAGAATCAAAGGGTTATCAAATTTCACTTCCAAAGGAGGAGTGACATCAGACATGTAGTTTAAGTGACACATTTTATAGCTGGAAAACATATGGTTTATTCAACAAATACCTCACCAATGTCTCACATTTATATTCTGATTGTAAAGAAAGTCTCACCTAAAAAGACTTTGTTATCTTTGGTTTGGTATTTGAGGAAAGTCCTCTTTTAAGGCCTTTTGTAAAAGTTCTTTCTCATTTATAGTGCACCTGCAGAATGTCATCTGTGGTTGTAACATAGATATGACAGGTCTCAACTTATTTAAAAAAGGATATGGTGATTCACTGGCCAGTAGTATAAAAAATTGGCCTACCAATTAAATTCAAGATAGCTTTAAGTCTATTTAATAGACACAGTATAAATGAATTACTACCAAAATCTTAGAATATTATACCTTAAGTATGCACTGACTAACTGTGCCAGGCAAAATTAATTCTTATGTAATTGAAGCCAACAGGAGTAAAACATTGGCAAAAAGTCAATTTGTGTGATAAAGAGGGAGCTAGGCAGTCCCAAACAGCTTTTAGTGAATGCTTTTTTGCTTTTTTTCTATCGTTGCTGAAGCTAAATGAGCAAGAGATAAAAGTCAAATATGTGCAGACTATATTCTCCATGTCATTCTATTCTTTTTCTGAAACTAATAAATTGGACCATGAGGAGTGTTGCTGAGGCTATATCTTTACTCCTCAGAATAAATGAAAGAAAAGACAGAAAAGCCCCTGAGTTCAGGTCGATTTGCACAGCCAAAAAAAGTGTTTCTTTTTACTGTATTAATGATTAAAATTGCCTCTACTGATTAATTATATTGATTAACTTTATAGAAATTCATCTATCAAATTCACAATAGGTTGTGAATTAAAATGGAAAACTCTTGGAATAATGTAAATGGACTGGATGGACATGGGGCAACTTTAAATGTATGTATCTATCACTACGTGCATCTAGATTAGGGCTTCTCAAGCTCAGTACTGTGGATATTTTTTTGCCAGATAATTCTCTGCTGTACAGTCCTGTACTCTGTTGCACAGTCTGATGAACTATGGATGTTTAGTAGCACCCCACTAAATTCTAGTAGCATCTTCTTCCCTCAGTTGTGACATCCAAAGTGTCTCCAAACATGCCCTGGGGTGGAGTGACAAAATTGTCCTATTTGAGAACTATTGCCTACATCTTCTTTCTGAGTCAGTACAGCCTGGATTTGTGATATTTCTAGCTATGTCCAATTACTGTTTTTTTTAATTGTTTTTATCATAATTATTATTTTAATGGGATTGAGTTTAGAGTTATCTCAATTATAAGACTTCTTTTCATGCCTAGCTTGTCCTTTGACCAACCTAGCTTCCTTCATGTATAACTTTTCTTCAGCCAAATTCACACTGTCTGCACAATTGTGTCTGCATGCCTCAATTCTCCCACCAAAGGTCTGATCTTTTAAACATGTCACCAATTCTGATGGCCTGTGTGGCTGGGCTTTGCAAAGGACCCACGTCGCTGTATGTCTTGTGTGCAGAGCCTTCGAGACAAAGTGGGGCAGCCTCAACTATCTCCCAAACTGGCTGCACGACCACACACTGGCCATGTTTTGCCACATTTCCCTGTGGAGGGGGCTGATGTGTAGACTGGTGGTTCTCACACTTTAGAGTCAATCAGAATCAAATAGAGGCCTTGATAAAACATGGATTCCTGTGCCCCAAGCCTAGATTTTCCAATTCTCTACATGCTGGGTGGGACTGAAAATGTGCATTTCTTATCAGCACCAGGGGGATGCAGATGCTGCTTGTCAAGAGCCCCTGGTTTGGAAAAACCCATCTGAGTCAGGCGGGTGGATTGTTCCTGTTCATAGAGAATATGTCTAGCACTTTTAATAGTTAAACTCTTCAATGGCTAGCATTAGAACAGAAGTTAAATGTGAAATGTCATAGCTCAACTAATCTCTGTGAGGCAACACTGGGATTTAGATTTAAGTAAACACTTTTAGATTATCTATTTTTGAAGAATTAAGGAATTAGATAATAGGCATTATATTAGCACTTAGCACAGATATCTTATTCTGAAATCTGGGGTCTGTGTCCTAAGCATATTGCTTGCTGAGCCTGGAAGTGAGAGTGAAACATTTGTAGTGTCCCTTTATCATGAGGCAGCATTGCCCATGTAGGCCAATTAATATCTGTTGAAGTTCTGTGATTCCCCAAAGAGCTTGCTGCTCTTGTTATTGTAACTATAACTGATGCTACTTGGGATCACTGCAGAGCTAATACTATTCGTACAACTTATATTTAAAGAACATGGCCGGGTGCCGTGGCTCACACCTGTAATCCCAGCACTTTGGGAGGCCGAGGCAGGCAGATCACCTGAGGTCAGGAGTTCAAGACCAGCCTGGCCAACATGGTGAATCCCTGTCTCTACAAAAATACAAAAGTTAGCCGAGCATGATGGTGTGTGCCTGTAATCCCAACTACTCGGAAGGCTGAGGTGGGAGAACCACTTGAATCCAGGAGGCAGAGGTTGCAGTGAGCTGAGATCGTGCCATTGCACTCCAGCCTTGGCGACAGAGAGAGAGTCTGTCTCGGGGGAAAAAAAAAGCACTTACTACATGCCAGGTGCTTAGCATTTAACTATTTTAGCAACAAAATGTGATAGATACTATTATTACTATTACAATTTCATTTTGAAAAAAAAATGAATTTAGGTTACAGAGGTCCAGCTTCAGACCCAACAACTCTAGTCATTAACTTAATTTCAAAACTGAAGAATTAATTTCCTCTTTAGTTATGTAAATGATACTATACTTTAGGGGACTGTTCTATTTAGAAATTGGCACTACCAAGGTTTATCTGGTCTCTGAAGCTCAACGTGGGAGAATAGAAGCTATCAGTATACTCTACGCTCATCTTATTTTTCATGAAATCAGTGTAAGATTAGTAAGAATAAAGTAACATTCTTGGAGAACATTTTAAGCTACTTATTTTTCCAGGTATGAAAAAAAAGTTACCTACTTTTCCTCGTATGAAAACATCTAGAGAAGACATAAACTAAAATTGGCAGGTCCACGCACAGATTTTCATCTCTTTTTATATTGAAACAGAAAAAAATCAAAAGAAAAATAATTTTGAGAGAGAGTAACGTGGGTAGTGATTTTTGTTGCCTCCTCAGGTAACATGAACTAGCACACTGTCTTCTTTCCTATTGCCCCTCCCTGAAGATAACACCAGCAACAGTTGCTTTTCTGCCAGTAATGATCCTGCTCTTTCCTGCTACGTCCCCAAATAGAACATAAAACCCATGTATTACTCCTAGAGTCAAAGACTAACAATATGTAGTTTATTTTTATGACATCTTTAAATCTATGTCTAACGCCATGACAAATGGGTGCGAGGGAAGAGGTATTCTTGTATCCCTTATGATATTTAGTTCTGGTTATGACATCTTGACAAAGAAGTGAGTTGCAAATGCTTTATTTTGATTACTGCTCTAGTCTGTGTATTGCTGATATTCTAGCACATTCCAAATATTGGAAAGATGCAGGAAATCCTGTGTGGTGGCCTCACGGCATGTCACACTATAAAGTAACCTGAGCAGCCTAGAATCCCATTTCAACCTGTAATGTCCTTTGATTCTTCTTCTCCTTACTTCTTTCCCTATCCACCATGGCTTCTACCTTTAAGGAGTTCACAGTCTGGCAGTACTTGCAGCAGGCTGATGTTCCAAGCAGAGCCAGCCTGTGGGCCTGCTCACACCCCTACTTGCTGAGCTTCATCAATATTCTGGGCTGACAGTTTTCAAAGTGTACCTGGATCTTCAAGATGTTTCAGGAAGTCTGCTATGCAGAACTATTTTCAAAATACTATTTTATTTCTTTGTCTTTTTCATTCTCTCATAAGTGGACAGTTTCATTCTCTCATAAGTGGAGAGTAGTAGTTTACCAGAGACTACACATAGTATTACAAGAGATTGACTGCAGAAACTCATTTGGCAATAAAGCTATCTTGCATTAAAGCCATATTTGCCAAGTGTAAAGCAATGCAACTCTTCTCAATATATATATTTTTACTTAAAAATATAGTTATTTATCATAAAATATTTATACTAACCTTTAATGAGTTTATTTTAAAATAAATCATTTAATGCATACATTTTAAATTTCTCAGTTTAATTTCTAATATGGTTAACATTGATACATGTATCTGTGAATTTTAAGATAGCAAAGGATTCCTCACATCAAAATGTCCAAGAAGAACTAACATTAGGCATCTATGTATGGATTAAGATTTTCATTATTGATTTTCAGTGTGTAGGCCATTTTCCTATTTCTAAAATAAGTATGTTAATTTGCAGACATTGACAATCCTGGCAGCTGCTAATCCCAAAAAGCTAATTCCAAGTATTTATTGCTTTGCAGGCAGATAAATGAGACTTTTTTGCTCACCTGGAACTTCAAAAAGTGCTTACCAGAGACTGTCTCCTCACTGCTATTTCTTATACACAAATTTCTTGTTGGCTTCCTGACTCAATACTTCAATTTATAGTTATCTGGTAATTCCTCTTAAGAAACTCTCTGCATGTTGGTAACAACTGTCTATCCACTTCACTCAGTCCAAACAGCAGAGAGCAGCTGTTGTCATGAGGAAAGCAATAAGCTCACATAAGCCTTCACCTTATACCTCCTGAACAAAGTACTTCTGGCGTCCAGAAAATACAATGATTTCAGAGATGTCTTCTTAGAAATAACAGATACAGAAATGGAAGAAGTGCATTATATTGCATTGCCAACCAATTGCTGCATTATAGATCTCACTAAAGCTCAAAGCAACCCTATGAAACCAATTTTGTCATCCCTAGGGAGAATGAATAATGAAACTGTGAGAAGTGAAATAAATTGGGTAACTTTTCTCTCCCAGTAAATTGTGATGCTAGACTGCATATCTAGTTCTGGTTCACTTCTAAATCCACCTTCTTTCATTATGCAATGATTTAATTATACTCAGGAATGAAACCAACTAACCCATGAGAAAATATTTCTCCAATAGTAGCTAAACAAATAATGTTTTATAACAATAAAGAGCATAGAGAGTTTGTTAATAATTATAAAGTGTTTACTCATGTAATCACAGAGGTCAGGAGCAGAATTTTAATAGTACAGAATATTTTCATAAGTCCCACCTCAATCCCAAATGCTTCCCTCACCCCAAAGTAATGGTCACTCCATCTGCCTTTTTCATGATCACATTCTTTCTCCTCTTTATAATTTCACCATCCATAGATTATGGTTAATTTATTTGACTTTTGCTTTTTTCACCCAACCTCTGGCATTTTTGTCATCATTTCGTAGTATACTATTTTGTGAATAACTACAATTTATTCTATCCAATTGTTAATTAACATTAAATTTTAGGTAATTTTCATTGATTACAAAGAATATTATTATTAACATTTATGTTCACTATTGCTATTAATATCTATCCTGTTGCACAACTGCATGCGTTTTTCTGTTTTTTGAGACGGAGTCTCGCTCTGTCTCCCAGGCTGGAGTGCAGTGGCGCGATCTCGGCTCACTGCAAGCTCCACCTCCTGGGTTCACGCCATTCTCTTGCCTCAGCCTCCCGAGTAGCTGGGACTACAGGCTCCCGCCACCATGCCTGGCTAATTTTTTGTATTTTTAGTAGAGCTGGGGTTTCACCGTATTAGCCAGGATGGTCTCAATCTCCTGACCTCATGATCCACCTGCCTCGGCCTCCCAAAGTGCTGGGATTACAGGCTGCATGAGCTTTTCTAAGATGGTGGTTCTTATACATTTTGGTCTCAAACTTTTTTGTAATTTAAAAATTATTGAAGACCTCAAAGAGCGTCTGTTTAAATTCTATCTTACCAATTTTTGCATATTAGAAATTAAAAATTATCATTAAAATTGTTAGTACATTTAAAATAATAAATCTACTTATGTTGATATAAAAATTTTTAAGAGATATATTCACTCCACATTCACTGTTGTATTATTCACAATAGGCAAGCTATGTAGTCAACTTCAGCATTTATCAATTGTATGAATGGAGAAAGAAAATGTGGTAGATATGCAAAATGGAGTGCTATTCAGCTTAAAAGAGAAGAAAATACTGTCATTTACAACAATGTGGAAGAACCTGGAGGAAATTGTGTTGACAGTGAAATTAGCCATGTGGTATTTCCTATAGAGAAATACCACAAGATCACCCTTGTATATGGAATCTTAAAAAGTTGAGCACACAAAAGTAGAGTAAAATGTGGTTGCCAGAGACTAGAAAATGGGGAGAGATGTTGGTCTAAGGATACTAAATTTCAGTTAGAAAAGAGGAATAAGCGAGAGAGGTTTACTATATAATATGGTGACTATATTGTATTCCAGAAAATTGATAAGAAAGTAGGGCTTAAGTGTTCTCACTATAAAAAAAGTATGTGCATTATAGAGTATGTTAATTAGCTATACGTAGCTATTCCACAATGTATATGTATTTCAAAACATGTACACAATAAATATATAGAATTATTATTTATCCATTTAAAAACATTATTGGTATATATCACAATCAATGTCATTTTATAAATATAAAACCATATAATGGGCCAAAGAGAAATCTGAAATTATTAATATCAACATATTATGTTTTTTGCTGGATAGTATTTATGTATTATTTTACTTTGCCAAATAAAACAAGTTGGCTTAAATCAACCAATTACTTAATTAATATCACTTTTAATGAAAACTATGAGTATATTCCCCAAAAAAACAGCGAAATTACTGAGTAAATTAAAATTGGCTTATGTTTTTATAAATTCTTTAATGATTGACTTAATTGAAGGCAACTGAAATCTGATAGCTACTTATTCATTAAATTTGTTGGGACACACACAGATATGTAGCTGAAAAGTGGAAGACAATTTTAAAATCCTTTTTAGATTATTATGGATATTCTTATTTGATAACACATTAAACTTAGCAAAAGGTAATTTTTAAAAATTTACTTGCAATGTGGGATTAGTGACTATTTCAATCTCTATAACATTAAAATCTGCTGCTCTATCTTGAACTTTGAATGGACCTTTTATTCATCCACGACCTTGTAACTTCAGACACTGGTCATTTGGAAAATATTGGTTCACCAAGTTACATGGCTCTTCCAAGTGGTAATACCTCCAATGAAAAATTTTAAAAAATCAAATTGGAGTTTACATTTTCACAAAAATCAAATTTGATCTCACATAGTATGAGAGAAGTGTCACTGCTCCTCTCATAAGAAAAGTCTTTAAGATAGGGAAACTATCAAGCTCATGATGATAGATGGACACGTTTTTAAAAATTTTAATTATCACTTGAATGCTCACATTTTATCACAGGCAACAAAGGCCATCAAATGCTTTCCTTGGAATTACTGGCTCCCTGTTAATTTTTATGAAAATAGCTGCTAAAGCATTAGTTTTCCTGCCAGTCTTACAAGTAAAAGTAATATTTCATTAAAAAGTGGCTAGTTCAGCTTGCAACTTACATAGGTAGTGAATAATAAAAAGTGCTAGTACAGTTTGATGATGCCGTGTGTCCTCATGTGTCTTCATGAAGACATTTTTAACAGAACTCCAGCAGTGTGAATCACATAGCATTTGCAACATCAGTGCAAATGTCAACACAGTGAAAGAACTAAAGTAAAACATCATAGTGCAGATGTGAAAATAGCTTTGAATTAATGGACCTCATTAAAAGTCTTGAGGATTCTCAGAGGTGCAAAGGCCAGACTTTGAGAACCACTGCTTTAGGATATCCACTTGTAATTATCCCTGATGCTTCCTAGGGTATATATAATTTAAAATTTACAAGATTGTGCCAAGTTATTTGTTTCAAGCTTATTACATACTAATGTATATTATCTTCATTGTCCACATGGATGAGCATAATAAATTCCTAGTAGGGGTTTTTACTGGTTCAAAATATATATCCATTTCTACCTTTGTTAAATATTGTCAAAATATCCTGATAAACTACATTTCCAATACAAATTTTTATCAATAATTTATGAATGACTGATTCTCCACATCCTCTTCAATGCTATTTGTAATTAATCTTTTTAAAAAACTGACTATGTTAGTCATATTTCACATTGCTATAAAGAAATAGCAAAGACTGGGTAATTTATAAAGCAAAGAGGTTTAATTGTTTCACAGTTCCACATGGCTGGGGAGGCCTCAGGAAACTTGCAGTCCTGATGGAAATCAAAGGGGAAGCAAGGCATGTCTTACATGGCAGCAGGAGAGAGAGAGCAGGAAAATCACCAGACACTATCAAACAACCAGATCTTGTGAGAACTCACTCACTATCAGGAGAAAAGTAAGGGGGAAATCCACCCCCATAGTCCAATCACTTCCCACCAGGTCCCCCCTCCACATGTGGGGATTACAATTTGAGATGAGATTTAGGTGGGGACACATAGACAAACCATGTCACTGATTAAGTAAAAACACCCCAATTTCTCATCATTTTAACACGCGTTGCCTTGATCAGTGGAGCAGTAAGTCATCCATCCTCTGTTATTGTTTATATTTTCTTTCTGTGAATTGCATGGCTGGGTCCCTTGCCCACTGTTTCCTTGGTTAATTTTTTTTTTACTAATATCTAAGGCTTTCTTGAATAGTTTGTATATTGATTATTTCCATGTTTCCTCCTACTGCATATGTTTTCTCCTAATATTGTAAATTTGTTAACAAGTTCTTTTAACGTAATTTAAATTCATCAATAATTCTGCTGTTTCTCCTCAGCTTTGTCCCTGGCTTCAGAAAGCTCTATGCATCCATAGATTTATTTTAAAATGTTCATATTTTCAACTAATACTTTTATAGGTTTTTTATTCTTTTATATTTCATCTACCTGATATTTATTTTTAAGTATTGTAGAGTATCTTTAAAGGGTAGACTGTCACACTTTTTGTTGAAACATCTTCGTTATTCATTTTTCATGTAACATTTTATATAGTTACATTTTATCTTAATAGAAAAAGGAAAAAAGGGAAGTCTTATGAAACTAGAAACATCTGAAAATGACTTAGTTAACTTGCAATGCTAAGTTTAAGTTTCCCTCTACTATTGTATAATTTGAGTTCAGGTGGCAATGAATAAAGAAGCACCAGCCTATTTACGAAGGAGTCCTGCTTCTTTTAGTGGAGTGTGATATTTAGAAATTAAGATAAGAAATAGAGGCTTTAGGCATGTTCAAAGGTACTATGATGTCTCATCTTTGAGTTCCTTTTAGTGAGCAGTGCAAGAAAATACATACTAAAAATCATGAGTTCATATTTATATGTGTAGTTTAAACTTACTACTATGTGTTTTGGCTAACCTTTTGATTTTATATTTTTCAGCTTTTTTTCTTATGATGAGATCTTGGTTTCTAACAACAATAATACATTGACTTTATCCTTCAATATGCATATTTCACAATACTAATATAACTCTTATCAATACCCACTTTCTGAATGTAGTTGAAAATTCATTTGAAGTTCTTTTTATGCTTGAAATGTACCTGCTAAGAATAAACATTATATTGTTTCATTTATTTGAAATAATTTCTTTCATGGGTAAACATACTGCTGATTTGATAAAACATTAGGCTCATGTGTTTCTCTTTATTTCAGGATTTGCTGTTTGATGATTTGAATGTGTCATAAAATCACAAAATTCGAAAGGCAAAATCCTAGTAACTGGAATAATCAGAGAAGTATGGCTTCTAGGTCTGTCACCTCTAATTCATCTCCTCCTCCCCCAAGTGTGTAATCATAGCCTTTAGTTTTTACAAAACTTTCATTACTTTAAGTAAAAATAAGCAAATGTATACAAGAACATTTTTATTTCTGTTTCTTATATAAAGGTAAATTAGTATTGACCAGACATGGTGGCTTAGGCCTGTAATCCCAACACTTTGGGAGGCTGACGTGGGTGGATTACTTGAGGTCAGGAGTTCAAGACCAGCCTGGTCAACATGGTGAAACCCTGTCAATACAACAATTAGCCAGATGTGGTTGTGGATGGCTGTAATCCCAGCTACTCTGGAGGCTGAGGCACAATAATTGCTTGAACCCAAGAGGCAGAGGTTGTAGTGATCCACCACTGCACTCCAGCCTGGGCTACAAAGCGAGACTCTGTCTCCCCCCCAGTGCCCCCAGAAAAGGTAAATTACTATTTACTCTTTACCCTCATCCTATTCTACACTTTGTCTAATTCACTTAATGAAATATCCTGCATGGAAGTCTTCCTCATATTTTTGAAGACTGTAGAGTACTCCATGGTAAAGATGCACTTGCCTCATTCAATGGTCCTTTATTGGATGGCTTCATGGGTTGTTTTAAAATATCAACTATTACAAACAATTCTGCAATGGAAAACACTGCATGTTTTGTTTCACAGATAAACAGTATCCTAGGTTTCTTGGTTCTTTCAGTCTCACACACATGCCACTGTTTTCCATGTGTTGTGCTTCTTTACAGTAAGAGTGTCTTTATTCACCAATAAGACTATTGGCCCTATGGCTGAAAATTTAGTTTGAATCATCTCTATTTTTAAATTTATCAGTAAAGTTATTTTGAATCAAAAATAGACACTGGATATCTACTATATCTTCTTAATTCTTAATTGAAAAAAATAAACATTCTTCCTGACTCACAGGAAACTTCTGAGTTGAGTTCATTTTGATATTCCAAATCTGTACCCCTGGGTTAAAATCATTTAATCATGTACTTAGAAAGTGTTCTTATAAAGTTTTACATTTATAAATCATATCAGTTATCACTATTACTTTCTCAGATAGTGTACACACATTTATTGCTCATTTGCTCTTTACAACGTGTTTATCCTCACTCATTTGAAATGAATTTACATTGGGTTAAGGTATGCATATTGACCTATCTAACCATAACAATGCTATGAAAATGTAAATGTCTTCCTGATTATGAAAATTGTGTGCTAGTCCCTTGCTATTTCCACTACAGATTCATTTAAAAATGTTGCATCGTTAGTGTGTGTCTCAAAAACATGCCATACTTTAATACGTTTCTGTAAAGCGTTTTCTCATTTGTAAATGTTAAGAATTATCCCAGGAGACTAGAGGTAGATTGTTAAGAACTCCAGCTGGGAATGGAAATTTCATTTTGTAGCTGTCCTTTTTTCCATTTAGCTTTTATTTACTATCAATGATATATATTGCAAGAATAACATTCACTCTTTTTTCACTCATTAGAGAAAAATTGTGAAAAGTCACTTTCTCAGAGTATATTTTTACAATTTCCTCCAAGCAAGTGTTGCCCCAAATTATATTTCAAAAAACACTGTTATTCAAAAACCGAAAAAAAATGATTTATTGTTAAAAAATATGTGAAATTCTAATGCTGACAGGTATTTAATAAGCTGGTTGGTAATTTAGAAGTCCTCCAATGAAAGCTTTTGCTTAACTTTATTTAAGATAGCCTTTCTTAAAGTGTTGTGAACATAAAATGCTTCCTTTCAAAGTACAACTATGTGGAGCCTTTTTTTAGTTAGTTATTTGAAATCTACTTATTGAGTATTGATTATCAATAAATTCTCTGCCAGGGTCCTGGAAAATCCATAGTAAGCTGAAAATCAGTTTTAGGTTTCAAGTTCCCAGAGTTTCACTTCCTTCTCGCTCCCCTATTTTTCTATCTCAAAATACAGATGTTTCTTCATGTCAGTGTGATATTTCATACAAAACCTCATAATATAAGCAAAAATAAACATGAAAATAGAAAAAGAAAAGTTTCCCAATTACTTGACCTTAAAAATTAGAAGGCCAAAGTATTAATTGAAATTTTAATTAATATAAGAGTTTATAATTAGTGTCAGCGTTTTCATCAACAAAGAGGTTGGCTTTTATCAACTACATATGCCAAAAAGCCATTATATTTGACTGATCATGAGGTAGAGTTTCATGAACTTAATGATACTTTTTCCAAGGGCTATAAATATTTCTTTTAGTTTCTGTGACATTAAATTTTGGCTGAGAGTTGAAGGAATTTTTTTTCTTGATTCCTGGAATCAGATTTTCCTCTTCTGTATTGCAAGAGACAAAATATTGAAATATTCAAAGATCCTCCATGCTTCAAAGCTTTGAAGAGGTGAGATGTTCCAAGCTGGCAGCTGTGAATTACCATATCAAAAATATCAAAAAACAAATTGTAGAATTATTTTTCTCCTGCCTGAGGATAGAGAAGAAACTTTAAAGTGAAGCCTCAAATATTGTGATTTTTATTGATTATTGATAAATCCTATTGAGTTAACTTTAGTCACAGTTACAAAAGAAAAAAAAAGGAGGAAAAGATAAAGAAATAATAAGTGGAAAAAGTGGGTATGTGGTTCATAGTTAGAACTCAATTATGCAGCAGGATACATTTATCTCTATAACCAGAATGATTGTCATGAGCTTCCATTTTGTATTAGTCCTAAAATTGTACTTAGTTTTTTCTAAGTAAATTGATTCAAACTTGGATTCCTCTGCTATTTTGATCATCAGAAGACATTTTCCTGCACCTCCCCACTCTCCAGGTGCGTGGCTCCATGCCACCTCCTCATTTGTAGGATTGATCTCGTCCTTCCCTGTGTATGATCTCTTAATCCTCTGCTACCTTATTCCTCCATGTAGAACTTGTCCTATATGGTCCTTACATGTATCACCAGGATCTCTTGAGAGATAATCGAGTAACTGAAGTAATGTATAATATCCTTCCTTGCCCATGTCAACAGACCATGTACATAACTGTGTCCTGTGACTTTGCCAGTCTTGGAGTTAGAAGCCAAAGGAAGGAAGCTTCCAATACCTTACTGCACTAACTCTTGGCCACAACTAAATGAGCTGGCTGCCTCCAGGCCTCACACTCTGTCTGAAAGGCCATATGCACAAGGAATGTCCTCTCTTGCCTGTTCATCTCGGGGAATCCAGTGAGTAAGGCCTCTCACACATCCCGAAAATCAGAGCCATTTCTGGGGTGCCTGGCACCAGGACTCACCACGAAAGCTAGCAAATGCCCAGGGATCTCATTCTGCTACTACATTGAGCTTCTTTTCTCATGTTCTCCTGCTTCCTTCCCTAGTAGACACAGTCTTCGTTTAGTTTAAATAATTTGAAAGATAATGATTAACTTCTTTCATTTGCTATCACGCTAGTTCTTAAATTGCTTCACTTTACTAATGACCTCATAGTTTGGAGCTTCAAATATAAAAATCTGCTGCCTTTTTCTCCTGCCATATTATTCTATCTCCCATTGCACAGTAAGTGGTGGCCCAATATCCTATAACCCACACTGGCTATGAGTTCAAATAGTGTAGGTAGGAGAAAAAAAATTTGCTATCTCGAATCATTGAAGTCATAGAATCTGATATTAGAAAGTTCTGTATTTTATACTTGACTCTTCAGTTTTCTAATGTTAACCTTTAGTGGTTTACTTGCTATCAGCTTTTAAATTTACCATGCATGTAATAATAATATTAACTGAGACTGTTTGTATGTATTGTGTTTGTTCTCTTCTTTACATCATTTAATCCTGTCAAAAACTCAGTGAGATGAGTTTGATGGCCCTCATTTTTCCGTATTTATGACATAATTCCCATTAACTGCACTATTGGCGTAGAATAGAAGGCATAAATAATAGTAACTATTTATGAGATGGTTGAAAAATAAACATGACTGGAGATCAACCTGACTCTTAAAACACATTCATGGGGACAATATGTATTCACATAGACGAATTCTAAAGGGATATTATCTATTAAAATATATAACTATTTTCTGGGTCTGATCATATCTATGAATATATGAAAACATAGTTTTTCTTTTATTCTTTATTCCTTTAGTTGTAATTAAGCATCCATTAATATTAATGTATAGAATAAGGAAAATTCTATTTAAATCACTAATTGTTGTATTTCTCTTCTACAATTTATATTGGGAAATTTATTTTGCCTAAGCTTTTCTGGTGAAGAGCAAACTTATATTTATATTTTCAAAATATTTCCCTGAGCATGAAACCTTAGAAGTTTCTTCATAATCAAAGTATTCTTCTCCCATCTGCTTGTGTTGAGATTAATACAAATATTTAGGGTTGGCACACATGGGATGTTCTAAATCTGGAAGCAGTCGTTTGTCCAGAGACTGGGCCATTTAATAATGCTGTTATGAAGGCCTGAACACATTAGACAGGATGGTGGAGCAGTGGTTGGCTAAGGTATCCTCTACATAAGTGTTCTAAACTGTTTTGAGTGCTGAAAGAGATGTCAAGGGTCTGCATTATGCATTAAACCAATGCCATGTGTTTTATCTGCAAATCAGAAGATTCAATGGAAACCAAAGAGGACTGGATAAAGTCACAGCAATATTTTTGTATTTAAGAGGTAGCTTTCACGTTTCTTTTAAGGGTTCTCTTCTGATTACTGATACAACCAGTATGATGTTTGGGAGAAGATCAGGAAATCCAAAAATCAGTGTTTCTGAGGAGAAAGGAATCTGTCCTTTTTTGATCTGCTACTCTGGTCTGGCAGTTTTGTGTGCATTACCTACATTTCCTTTTGCATTTTGTGACTGGCCTTGAGGAAAATAAAAGGTGTAACAAAAAGTGAACACATTTGACACTCTAATTTTTTTTCTTCACTTTTCTACTTGTTTTGTCTTAGTGACTGAGTCTCTCCAAGCCTCACTGAGTGGTTTTGTTTGCCAACTATCCTTTTTCTACGGCTGGAAAAAAATCATTTATTATTATTCTCGCATGGCAATGTTGTGAGGTTTTCATGGAAACAAAGTTAATGAAGTCAGCCCCTTGTGCAGGTACTTTGTAATGATTTCATTAGCAACCATACAAAAACCCCCTAGCAAGTGATATTTGCAATATAAATTCCCAGTGCAGACTAAGCATCTTCCAAACTGACAGCACAAAGTGTAAAATAGCAGTGCGCTGCCTTAGTGTCAGAGTTTGGCTGAACTGGAGATATATTATAGTTTTACTTTCTTTTCTTCTCTTCTATATGGTGTCACACACCAGCACAGAATAATGCTAATGGCATTGCCACAATCAATTGTAAAAGATAGGTTTGTACCTAGTGATGTTTTTAGATATTTCAGTCCATACATTTAATGCCTATGGAAAAATTGTTCAGATTTCAGATGTGGACTTTATTAACAATCTGCTCTATTTTGCAGCAATGTTATTTATTTGATGCCTGCTTAAAAGTAGCACCAAATAGAACCTCCTTTTTTTGTATGTTTGCATGTAGGTGGAGCATGTAGGTAGAGCAGCTAATATATCTCTGAAATCAGTTTCTGGATGTGTCTTGGTGAGGACACACAAGTTGGTGTTTTGAAATAGCCAGTGTTTAATTGACAGCAGTAGCTGTGAAAGTTCTGATACACAGCTCAAATACACAGATATAAAAGTCAAATACACAGATATAAAATTAGAGTTGACTTATTTTACAGTGTTTCTTCAAGCTAGAGAAGATGTTAGAAGAAGGAAGGCATTATACTGTTTTACTATTTTACTATTTTCACACTCTACTGTAAGAGGAAGAAAAAAACAGGTAAAAACAAATTACAAAGAAATAATCAGGCAGGTAGTTTTAGAAATATTTACCATTAGGTAGACATGGTTCAGCCGCAAGCCTAAAATTTTAAAATAGAAATTGGTTCTTTCAAGGTAACAACAAAGTCAATAAATGGAGTAGTAAGTACTTGTATCTTTTAAAGATTCTCAACATCCTAGATGAAAACAGTAAAGAATCAATTAGAGTTTCTTTTAAGCACTGTGGTCACAGGTTAAAGGTAAAACTGGCTAAAATTTGAGAAGCTTGGGCATTTAATATATGCTCCTAAAATGAGAAGCCACCCATCTACCAGTAAAGTCAGGGCATGATGTAGAGGCAGTTTGGGGGCTTCATGCATAAATAAGTGCAACAGTGACCTTGGCTGTCAGGAAAGAAAAATCAACAAGCAAATAGTTGAATGGATATGACAGATGTGAGTTAACAATGTGATTTTACTGTTATTAGTCACTGAAGAGAATGTTTGCTGATTTTGGAAACATGGATTTTAACTCCATATATGAAAAGTAAGCTACAGAGTAGCAAAATTTATTAATAAGTTTGATTTGGTTATGATAAATTAAACTACGGCTTTTTATCTCCTAGAAGACTAATGATAACTAAGCCAATACATTATCATGTTCAAACCCCAAACTGAAAAATCAGCTTAGATGCTCTTGTCATAATATGTGTAAACAGCACATATAACCTTTAAAGGGAATGTGTTATGTAACTCTCGCATCAAGAGACATAAAATATACCCAATAAATAAGTTAAGTTGAATTACATAGTATGCACTGATGAAGGCAGTTGTAATTTCATAATTAATTGTGTTTTATAATCTACCTAGTGAAAGAACCAACACCTTAGTGTATCCAAAGAGATTTTCATATCACTGGGTTTTCTAGTTTATATAAGATTATCTGGGGGTAATTATGACCGTTATTGAGCTACATGTTTCTCTTTTACATTAAATAGTTAACTTGTCACATAATGATTCATCAGATAACAATCAAAGTAATTATAAATGATTTCATATTACCACGATATATGATTATACTAGGGTTGAGAGTAAATAATGGGCATATTCTTCAATGGCTTTTAATTTACCCTCTAAAGCAACTTTTCTAAAATGTGAGCCTGCTCTTTTTATTAAACTTACTTTACCCTTGTTTGCTGAGTGAGGGTGTCTATCAGATGGAATAGCATGCCAACAATAGCAAGTCAATGAGTTAGTGTTATAGTTTTTTTCATTTCTTAATTATAATAAGTACATTTATTTTTTTAATTTATTTTATTTTATTTTTATCTCCTCGCATTTGTTTTAGCAATATAATGAGCACATTTAGAAAATAAAGAGAACAGAAGCACATATATTTCAGTGTAGCACTCGGGATGGTGTCTTCGGATTAAAAAAAAATCACGTTGTCCCAAAAATAAGCCTTAGAAGAAGAGCTTTAAACATTATCTAAAAGACTGTTTATAGCCCACATTGCATTAGTTCATCAAGCCAGGTGCAGCAGGGATCACTACCATGTCTGAGTTTCTCATGTTATTAATATCTTGGATGAAGAGTAAGACGCGTGTTAATAAAACATGTCAGTGCTTTACAAATTGAAAAGAGGCATGATATCACCCAGTCATGGATTATGGAGAACTCACGTGCTCCTCATGGACCTGAGTGGCAAACTGCAGTGCCTGAAGTCTCAACAGTTCCTGTGAGAATGTGCCTTCCACTTTCAGCAACGCGATTCTGAGAGGTTCATGACTTTCAACTTTCCTAAGCCTGATGAATCTGAGAATCTAAGGCCCTGTCAATTTGATCTTTGCCCCTGCATTTGTCCCACAGAAACATTTGATTTTCTCTGCTGCTCTTCATTTTTTTGATATTTCTGAGCTGAGTGGGTTAATCAAAGGTTGTTCTGAAGTGAACATTTTCCTCAGGGAGCGAGTCGCAGGCCATTCGTGTGACAGCAGAAGACCAGGATCAGCCCAGAAGTTATTCCTTAGAGCAAAAGGTCTCAAAGACTTGTCTGTTACATTCTTGCAAGAAACAAATTTAACTTTAATAAATACAAAAAAAGTAGATCCGACAAACCTTATGTAACACTCTCAAAACAGGTATTGTTCTCATTTCTGAAAACTTATTTTTTCCATCTCTTTACTTGTTGATAAAATAAATTCTCATAAGGTTCTAATTTTATTTCTTTATCTAGTGGAAGTCTCCGGAAAAAGGAATTCTGAATCTGAATTATAATCATCTTGCTATTAAAAAAACAAACAGCCCTCTCTGGGTCTTCTCCATGATAGTAGGGGCTATGGAATGCGAAAATAGGAAATTTCAGTTGTAACTATTTACTACATACTAGTACAGTGAACAGTTATTAGAAACAAATCACTCAAAATCGGGCACAAGAACTCTGACACATGATTTTTTTTAAAGTTTCCATTTATCTAAATGGGCTACATGAAATTATTCATTTTAAATTGTTCAAATACTAACATCATTCTACTTTTCTTATTTTTAAGGCATTCTAGGACAATAAGTTATCAGTTGCAATGAGGAGATAGTCAATTTTACCTGAAACTTTATTTTAATGACACACACACACACACACACACACACACACATATATATATATATATGTGAAAAGTTTCTGAATTACAGTCATAGGACATTTTTTCTTCAGCATTTACAATCTCTATGACCTTGAACAAGCCAAATATTCCTTACTTTCTTAATTTTGTAACACATTAAACTAATAGTGATAGAAGATTAGATTTAGGAGTGACCACCACAGTCATCTCGCTGGTTCCACTATATAATCCCTTACAAAAAAATCATCTCTCATTTCTTTCTCCAAAAAATTCCTGTCCTCACAATATTACAGAATATGTAATATAGGTAATGTAAAAAACTTATTTAATAATTTGTTTGGAAAATGGAATAAAAACTTAGAAAATCATAAATTAATTACTCTATTATCCATGAAAGCCAACATGAATTAGAGATAATGTACAAGGTTTGATTTATAAATAAGGCAAATAAAGAAACCCTATGTTATTAAATATTTTCTCTAATACTTATATAGCCTGTCTAATGTCATGAAACACAGGGCATTTTAAGAGTAAGATTTGTAGATTGTAACAAATATAAAATTAAAGTTTTATTTTTCAAACAATAAGCAAAAGTTAAAGGCAAGATATCCAGTTTTGTAGAAATTGAAAAACCAATACTAGAAATGCTATGGAAATAAAAAATAGCTAAGAAAGGTTAAGTAAATCTTGAGGAAGAAATTTAGAGGACTTATACATTTTTTATCATAGCTGTTGAAATGGAATGTAATTAAAACAATGAAGTATTGGTAAAAAATAAAATTAAATAGAGATTTTAGAAATAAGCTTACACATATGATTTCACCTAATTTAATAAACAATAACGACAGAAAAAACATGGGGGAGTTTCACTTCATTACAGTGAGAATAAATGTTCAGAAGATGTGCTGGAACAGTCAGCTATCCAGAGGAAAATGAAAAGTGAGTATTGACCCCTACCTCACACTACACATAACATTCACCTGAGATGGATCATAGGATTAAGCTTGACAGTTTCAAGACACAGGATTGAAGAAGACATTTGCAATACAGGTATTTGTCAAATGACTCAAATTCAGAATGCATAGCTACCCTTTTCACATGAATAAGAGAAAGGCAAAGGATCCAACAGGAGAAGAAAAAGAAGATATCCAAGTGGCAGATAAATAAAAGCAGATGTTCTTAACAGCTCTGGTTACTCATGAAAACCCAAACTTAAATTAGCAGCTGATACGGCTACCTACCCATGTAGAAGGCTAGAAAGGTAAACACCAGTCTTAGTGAGGGTCTGGAGGAAGGAGTTTTATGTTAGTGAGAGTTCGAATTCATACAACTACTTTGAAAAACTGTTTTGCAGGGTCTACTGAAGCTGAGTATGTGCGTATACTCGCTTGCCCAGAAATCCTACTCCTAAGCACACACCCTAGAAATGCATGTATGTTTTCACCAGAAAACCTGTACAAATATTGTAATAGCATCACTGTTTGTAATATAGCCATAAGCTGGAAACAAGCTCAGCACAGTCAACATATCGCCAATACCCCCTGCACTGTGATGTTGTTGTTTACATATCTGCTTCTGCCCAGAGGAAAACTTCACATGATCCATCAAACACTGACAGTTTCTCCCTCAAACTTTCACCCTTTCCTGTCATTAATCACTGTTATTTAAATTACTTAGCCTTGTTCTTTCAATATCTTAAAAATTAGTGGAATACATTTTGCATATTATCACATCTCTTTCAATCGTCTCTTTGAAAGTAAGGCTTCATTCACTTGCAATGCTCCAAGAAAACCTCAGAGAGGGAGCTTCTTACACAGATCCTTTGTGATGAAAACAAATATGTTTGCTGAGTAGAAGTATTTTCTCAAGGGAATAGCTAGCTGATTGATCACCACGTCATTAAACAGACTCTTGGAAGTCCAGCCCAGCAGTCCACTTAATGTCAATGTACAGATGAAATGCATAAGCTCAAAATCTTTTTTTGTATATTTACAAAAGGAAAATAGCAAATGGGGCCAGCCACTGTGGCTCATGCATATAATCCCAGCACTTTGGGAGGCCAAGGCGGGAGGGTCACTAGAAGCCAGGAGTTCAAGACCAGACTGGGCAACATGGCAAGACCCCATCTCCATATGAAATAATAACAAAAATATAATTAGCCAACTGCAGGGACATGTGCCCATAGTCCCAGCTACTCAGGAGGGTGAGGTGGGAGGATCATTTGAGTCCAGATGTTGGAGACTATAGTGAGTTATGATCACACAACTGCACTCCAGCCTGGGCAACAAAGCAAGATCTCCTTTCCAAAAATATTTTTAAAGAATTAAAATAGCACGTAATAATTATATATGCAGTTTAAGAATCAAGAGTATATTTGAACATGTTTTGATGAAAAGTATTTAGTAATCACTTGAGTTAATTTCATACATATAATTTACATATTTGTCTATTGGAGTTGTTATCTATATAAATGAGATATAAGTACAATGAATATCTTAAGTGGATTTTTATAGTGCTTGCCAATACTATCTTCCCAGCGAGTATCTTTGCTTTCCGTTCAAGTGTGATTATTTCTTTTCTCACTCTTTCAGTTTGGTCTTGCCTGGCCATTAGGTTTTAGTTATCAAGTAGTTTAGTTTAAATGCTTATTCGTTGAACTATACAGGCAAAAGTTCTGAAATTCTCTGTGGCATTAACATAATGAGCAGAAAAATCAGAGTAGGCTGGCATGTCCCTTAATATTTAATAAGAAACATAATGAAGGGAAGTACAGAAAAAGCACTAGGAGAAGAAGAAATAAAATCCTCTGAGTTTGAAACCATCATTTAATCTGAGGGGACGTCCTAGCTCATTTTGTGTTACCCAAATGCAATACTCAGTATTTGTTGACTTTTGATAGCATTGTCATCAGAGAACTAATTGCAGCATTAACTGATACGGGGACTGAATAGCTGGGCAGTTTCATTTCACAGATATCAGCTATAGCAGTGAACTGTAAAGGAAAGGAAATAGGAGAATTGGAATAAGGCAAAGAAGGCAATGCTTCTTATTGTACCATGGTCGGATGGAGGAGCTGTGAACCAGCCACAGGACTTAACCTGAGTAAGCTCGCCTAGATCAGAGGCTCTCAGGTAGAGATGGAGCCCTGCACAAGGTGGATAATTGCCTTGTCCCCGACCACATTGTGAATTAGAGCCAGGGTGAAAGACACAATTTCTAACCCCAAAACCAATGGGCTTTTTTTTTTTGTAATTTGTTCACTTCCTTACTATTAGGTTGGTGCAAAAGTAATTGCAGTTTTTGCCATTACTTTTAATTGATAATAGATCACTCTAAAATCAGCTCAAATGCCCTAGAAAAAAAATTGAGAAATTAAAGTATTAACCACAGACTTTCAGTGTTTTAAGCTGAAATGAATATACTCTCCCCCCCACAACCCTGCAGACATTTAAAAGTTTTAGTTTACAGAAATTGCATGTCTTTTCATGAGCATGTTTATTTCTTTATTAGTATTTCATTAACTGGTATTTAATTTAAAAAAGTATTAAATAATATTTAGCCTGCAATTATTATGTTTAAAAGAATAATGATGAAAATATAAGTCTCATTAGCATCATAAATATCATACACAGGCACAACTCAAAGATACTATGGGCTTGGTTTCAGACCATAGCCATAAAACAAATACCACAATAAAGCAAGTCACTCAATGTTTTGGGTTTCCAATGTATAAAAGATATGTTTACACTATATTCCATGAAGCCTAAAAAATCCCCAATGTACACACCTTAATTGAAAAACAATTTATTGTTAAAAAATACTAACGATCATCTGAACCTCTATCAAGTTGTAATGTTTTGCTGATGGAGGGTCTTGCCTTGGTGTTTATGACTGCTGATAGGTTAGGATAATGGTTGTGGAAGATTACAGTGTCCACAGCAATTTTTAAAAATTAGACAACAGTATAGTTTGCTGCATCAATTGACTGCTTCTTTCACAGAGTATTTCTATGTGTTAGGAGATACTGTTTGATAGCATTTGACCCACAGAACTTCTTTCAAAGTTGGAGTCAATTTTATCCCTGCTGCTGCTTTATCAATTCAGTTTATAAAATAGTCTAAATCATTTGTTATCATTTGAACAGTGATCATAGTCTCTTCACTCAGAGTAGATTCCATCTCAATAATTCGTTTTCTTTGTTCCTCTATAAGAAGCAACTCCTTATCCGTTCAAGTTCTATCATTAGATTGCAGCAATTCAGTCACATCTTTAGGATTTGCTTCTATTTCTGCTGCTGTAGATACTTCCACCACTGAAGTCTTGAACCCCATCAAGTCATCTATGAAGGTTAGAATCAACATCATCCAGTCTCCTGTTAATCTTGATATTCTGACTTCCTCTCATGAATCACAAGGGTACTTAATGGCATCTAGAATGGTGAATCCTTTCCAGAAGGTTTTCAATTTACTTTCTTCAGATCCATCAAAGAAATCACTATCTATGACAGCTATAGCCTCATGAAATGTATGTCTTAAATAATAAATGTATGTCTTAATTAATAAGACTTGAAAGTTAAAATGACTCCTTAATCAATGGGCTGCAGAATGGACATTTCATTAGCAGGCATGAAAATAACAATAATCTTCTTATACATCTCCATCAGAGCTCTTGGGGGACCAGGTACATTGTCAATAAGAAATAACATTTTGGAAGAAATTTTGTTCTGAGCAGTAAGTCTCAGCAGTTGTCTTAAAATAATCAGCACATCATGCTATAAGTTTGTCCTTTGAAGCTCTGAAGTCAGGCATTGACTTTTCCTGTCTAGCTGTGAAAGCTCCACATGTCAAAGTCTTCCATTATAGGCTATTACATCTACATTCACATTCTCTTGTCTAGTGTAGCCGCCATCATCCATGATCTTAGCTAGAGCTTCTAGGTAACTTGCTGCATCACCATTTGCTGCTTCACTTTGCACATTTATGTTATAAAGATGTCTTCTTTCCTTAAAAACCTCATCAACCAACCTCTGCTAGCTTCGAACTTTTCTTCTGCAGCTTTCTATCCCTTCTCAGCCTTCACATAATTGAAGAGAGTTGGGACCTTGCTCTGGATTAGTTTTTGGCTTAAGGGAATGTTGTGGCTGGTTTCATTTTCCATCCAGACCACTAAAATTTTCTTCTTATCAGCAATAAGGCTGTTTTGCTTTCTTATCATCCATGCCTTCTTTAGTGTAGCACTTTTAATTTCCTTCAAGAACTTTTCCTTTGCCTTCACAACTTAGCTAACTATCTGATACACGATGCTAAGTGTTTGGCCAATCTGAGCTTTCAACATGCCCTCTCATTAAGCTTAATCATTTCTAGCTTTTGATTTAAAGTAAAAGATGTTGGACTCTTCCTTTCACTTGAATATTTAGAGGTCATCAGTTGGCCTAATTGCAATATTATTGTGTCTCAGGGAATAGGGAGGCCCAAGGAGAGGGAGAGATGGGAGAACAGATGGTTGGTGAGGCAGTCAGAACACACATGACATTAGTGTATTAAGTTAACTGTACTATGTGGGTGTGGGTCATGACCCCCTAAACAATTAAAATTAACATCAATGAATACTGATCACAGAATGCCATAATATATATAGTAATAATGAAAAAGTAAAAAATATTGCAAGAATTACCAAAATGTGACAGAGAAATAAAGTGAGCTCATGTTGTTGGGAAAATGGTGCCAATACAGTTGCTCAACACAGGTTGACACAAACCTTCAATTTGTAAACAAATGCAGTATCTCAGATGCACAATAAAATGCCTGTAATGAAAATATTTGATGTCAGATCTGTTATCCTTTGTGTAAAGAAAACTTAGTGTTTAAAAAATTATTTTAATGTTTTCCAACCTTGCCTTCCCAAATTACAAAACCTCTGGAATAAAACTCTAGAGTTCTAAAAATCTTTATTTTGAAAAAAATCCATCTGTCCTGATTTTCAATACTCAATGTCTGGCAAAGGACAAAAAACTTGCCCTTCATTGCTCCTCTCTCACGCCAGGCTAAGGTCACAGAACACCTGTGAGACTCATCTGCAGTTAGAAAGCCAAATTTTCAGCTTTTTCCTGCCTTCACAACCCACACTGTTTTCCATAACCAGGCATCTGTGAATTTCACCCTGAATTCTAACTCTTGTGAGCTCCTAATTGATAATACAAGACATTTTGAAATCTGTCTAGAGAGCACACCAACTTGGATGGGAGGTGAAAGGAAGTCTCTTCGCAGGAAGACGAGGAGCAGGCTGTCGGTGGTATACAGAGTGTGCACGTGCTCTCGCTCAGTGACGCCAATGAGGCTTTTGGTAGAGCCATACGAGTCCTCTCTGTCAGTCACACTTGTGGACTTTGAAATGACTTCAAGCACTCACACACACTGCTAAAAGTAGAGCCTTGGACTTTGAGGGACCTGATCTTTCTGGGGGAATGGATGCTTACTGTATAGAGGTTTTTTTTGGTTGTTGTTTGGTTTTTGGTGTTTTATTTTATTTATTTTTTTCAAGCACCTTGGAGATCTCAGTAGAGCTAGTGTTTTCGATTGAGAGCTCTGGAATCCCCCTGCTTGCGTGAAATCTCATTGCACGTCCCGCCACTTGCAGTCTAGTGACCTCATCAGCAAAACTGGTATAAAACAGACATCATTAAGGTGAACACCTGGTTTAAGTCCCACTGGCCTGGAGGATAGACTTGCTTGCTCTGTGGAAGCCTTGCTGATTGAGGTCTCTGAGTAGAGTGGCAGAAGGCGTTTTGGTGCACGGCTGTACCTGTAGCCACTACAATAGAGAAAATGTGTGCCCTGTATGTCAGAAGGCCTTAAACAAGTAAATTGTACTATAGGTAAATCTTATTATAGGTAAAACAAAGTAACCATAACCTAGAAAGATTAATTCATGTTAGATTAGCTAAATAGCTAGGAAGAGTCAAATTAGGACACTTGCTTTCTGATCAATATCCCTTCAATGATAGTGTAGTAACCTACTATTTATTAATTACAGACAAGCATCTTTTCTCTCCAATTGGATCAGAATTTCCCTAGGCATGTGGGGTATTGAGCTGTGCCTTCAAACCACACCATATTCACGACACACCTTCCTGGAGTACCCAATGCACTGCATGATATATTATTATACTTAAAAAATGGTTACATGGTAGAATCATAAACAATCTCTGCAACATTTAAGATAAATTAAAAGGCTTGAAATTATTTCTCTCTTGGGGATACCAGCACGTATTTTAAAATTACTATCTGCCTTTATTTACTGAAGTTTCACTAAGGAAAAGAAAATATATTGAAATTTACTGTTCTCCGTCCTACATAATTGCACTGGCTTCAGGTGTATACTGCATCAAAGCCAGGTGTCAAAATCATGAACAGTCTGAGTTTAACTGAGAACCTGACTTTCTTAGTTATGATATATATTTAGAAACACTGACGTTGACTCAAGTGTTTCTTCAATCCTGGGTTTAAATACCATCTTGGAGGAAAACAGTTTTCTATTTAGAGCACCATTCAGCCTCTCTCTCTTTTGCAGACAAAAATGAACAAAATATTCTTATTGTCTTTGTGTATGTCTGACATGTGTTCTGTTCTTTCTTTTAAAGACTTATTTTTACTTGGTGATTCCCCTGCTCTTTTTCTCCTCAACCTGTGTGAGCTATGATGGTAGGTTCTAGTTCTTCCAACTCCATTTGCACCAACATTTTAGATCTCTTAACGTTTTTCCTCCCGTTTTACTCAGTTTTGAGTTCTACTGTTTTGGCTACTTATTGGAGCCATCCTTCCCTTCTTTCTCTCTCTGTCACACACACACACACACACACACACACACAAACACATACATACACACATGCATATGCACACACACACACACACACACATCTTCTTATAACCTTTCTAGCTAAACATTTTCCACATATCACTTTTTACTGTCCAGAGGAAAAGTGAATATATTTACCAGATACTACTCTGATTCAGCATGAACACATGGTTCTTTATGGATTCTTGAAGTTTTACAGCATTGAGTTTTGGGCCACAGTGGGCCAAGATTCAAGGATTGCTCTTGAAACCTGTAAATTCGCTTTTCAGGAATTAGCACAAAATTCCTCTCCCCTCCTTGCTCCTGGTGCAGCTCCTACCTGAAAACATTTTACTTTTGATATCACCTGCAATGTTGAGTAAGATGCGCCTTCATGGAATCCCTGCAAATCACCTGTAACAGGCAGTTTTAGATTCATACAATTTTAATTTCCTTCATTGATTCTTGAACATAATCTTATAGGAATTCATTAAATTTTGACTCTAAAATATAGTTGACATACGAATTCTTCCTTCAGACTAATCTCGTAAGGCAAGCATCACATCCTTTTATTCTTGACTGCCATTCTGCTAACATGGAAACGTAGAAGTCAGTAGTGATATATGAACACGTGACAAAATTGGACTCAGGTCAAATGAGCGACTTTTTCTCTGTTGCTGATTTACTTTGCCCAAAGCAAAATCATCTGTGCTCTGCTATCATTGCATTGAGATAGAAAAGATTCATTTAAGCCAATTTTTAAATGTCTGGTGTGTATTCTCTTCACTTCACAGTTTTTCCATCTCACAGACTGCTTAACAGATTGTATTGTGAGCCACATGTTGAGTACAATATTTATTACATTGGAACACTGTAAAATCTTGCTGGATTTTAGCAAGAAAAAGAAGAGTACATATAATTCACCTAAACAGTAGAATAAAAATGACATTTATTTTTAAATAAAGCTCATTTTATGCAAAAGCAAACACCATCGAAACGATACATTTCTTGAATTTCTCAAATTAGAATTAAAAAGCAATATTTTCATTTGCAATTTTTATTGTTGTTATTCAGTTACAAATCCTTAGAATGTTAATCTGTGATGCAAGTAGAAAGCCTCTTAACTTTAAACAGCCACCGGGATAATATAATTACATCAATAAATCTATAGTAAATATTTTGCCTAACCCTCCTCTGATGTAGACAAAACTGAATTTTGATGTTTAAATGTTTTAAATACAAAATAGGATGTGCTCTGATTCATTTAAGAATGACATCTGCTAGTGTACACATAGTCTCCAGGCTGATTTCTGAGAAAATAGATATCAAAGAACAGAGCAAATACGAGCTTCTCCCTGAACCTGAGAGCAGACAGTTCTCAGCAGCTGCACTGAAAGGAGACACCCGGCTGCTGATGGGGTTATGCAATTTCTGAGTTCACAAAAAAATAAAGTTATTGATTCCAGTGTTATTTCCACCAGCATTATCTGGGTGTTTTCTGTCATGCTGCTGTGGGTTTTTATTGGTAATTTCCTATTGAGTAAAGAGTGTTGCAGATTCAGGGCATGTTATGTTCTGGGGGGATATCCTGACAATCCTAATGTTCATTTGTGTAAAAACGGGAGGAACTCAAGAAAGAAGATCCCATCAGCAACACAAAATTAAATGCTCTGCATCTCTCAATTCTTCAGAAAGTGCAGACACTTGATTCTTTTTCATCTAGTTTATACAGATCCTTATTCCATTAACTGACTCCATTAGCTAACATTCTATAAATTAGCCTATATCTCTTGGCCAGAGATGCTTAAACCCAAACCTGAAGCATGATAAGGACACAAAAGTGCAACTATTATCTTTTAATTGATTTGACATCATTTCTTTTGTCACGTTTCATTCAGCAATACTGAAGCGAGAACATAAGCCCACATGACAGATGTCTTTCCCTTTGAAACGGCCCTTTTCATAAGAAGTAGAAGGAGTCCTGGAGGATGAACTAAAAAAGCTCAAGATTGATGCCAGTTAATTGTGTCATTGATTTACTTTGTCACTATGTATTTAGCAAATATGGACAAAACGTTCTAAAGGAAATAAACGTTGTCAGAAGGCAGGAGATCCGCAGACCCAGGGCTATTAATACTGCTCTCCATTTTTCATTTTAGAATGAACATGAGAGAGGGTGTGGGGAAATCTAATGAGTTAAAGATGGAAAGACATGGAGGAAATTAGTTCTAAATATTTGAGTAATTAACCATCATTGTCTATACCTCATAAGTAGTCAAATCACCCCAAGTCAACACATTCTATTTTCTCTGCATTATATGTTTATTTTACTACATTTTTCTTCATTTGGCCAACAAAACTAAAGTGTCTATTATGTTTCAGACACAAAGATAAGTTCACAGGATATACAGAGACTAAAGATATCATTGTATTAGTTTCATATTTAAAGCAAAAAGGGATCTGACTATGAAATTACAAGCACGTAGCTTATTTTGCTTAAGGCCACCATGGGGAAGCAACGTATCTGTACTTTAATTAGGCCATGGAAATCCATGAGACTGCCTTCACTTGGCTTTCTGCTGTTTATTTTGCATCAGTAAAATCCATAGACTCTGAAGGAGAGCTCAATCATAATTAAAAGTGTTACTGAACTAAACACATTTACCAGTGTTTACCACATTATATAATGCTACTGGCACCAGAAGCAAAGTTCAAACTAGTTTTCTTTTCTGCACCCTTGTTAGGCATGGTTTAATAAATGTCTAATTAAATTTGGTAATGGCATGTGCCAAAATCAGATTTGGAAAATTTGCTGACTTACAGATCAAGGCATCAGGACGTTACTATTCACTTACCATTGCAACCAGGAAAACTCCTAGTTCAACACGAAAACATTGGTGCTCTTGGATAATATTTTCTTTAGGGATTATACTCCTGAAGCCTTATATTTGCACTGTAATCGCCTTATTAAAACCAAAAAGATTTACCATTTAATAGTACAATGAGGTCAGTACTACAAAAAATTCTTGTTTGTGAATATAATTACTAGGCTAATAATAATTTCTTCAGAAAGCAAATACCTGAGTAAATAAAGATAATATCGCAAAAAGTTTTCTTACTTTGTATCAAACTAAATAAAATTTTAATGATGTCCTTAATATATCAGTTATCATGTATTCTAAACAGGGAAAGAAAGATTTTAGTAAGGATGAAATAATCATGACGAGATTAAAGAACTGAAGTATACACATATGAATTTTGCTATGCTTTTCTCTAATATTCGCAAAAGTTCTTTAATCAGCATTTTTCATATTATTTTCAAGACAAGCATGATGTACTAAGCAGTGCAGGTTTGTGTCTTATTCATTCAGAATATAACAGGACATAATAATAAACAGAAAGTTTGTTCAAAACCAACAGTGCAAATGTCTGAAAATGAAGAAAGTGAATCTTCTTCCTGTCTTCTGAATTCTTTGGTGACTCTCTTGGATGCCATAATTGATGGTCAGACCACCTGGACAGTGTTGGCGGCTCCTGTTTCTGCCTTGAGTTACTTACTCTACTTGTTTGCCTGGAAGGCTGGACTGCCCAACACCCTCCACTACCACCCTCACATGTGCTGGGTGGATACCTGCTAACATTTTAGGTTAACTCTACAACCCCAAAATTATCATCACTATAAAGGCTTCTCCTTTTAAAAATGGTAGTCTTCATAATTTTCTCTTAGGCTTTCCTGTTTTATTTACTTTTATCATTTCTCCTATGAAAATATACTTTACTTATTATTCCTTTTTAATTCACTTTTCCATTTATGTCTTAAACTACACTATGAGCCCCTTATGTTCCAAGACTGTGTATTATTTTTTTGTACCTTGACACCTAGTACTTTCTCACAAATAGCAGATGTTTAAGACATATTTAGTGGCTGACGGCATGAAGCTGGACAAACCTAAGGCTACTAAACTATAGTTCATTTATTAAATACTAAGTTAAAAGTCAGCATGATTAATTAACAAAATTTTGGGCAGACAAGTAGTTGAGGAGTGCTGAGATGACATTATTACATCATACAATTATATAATTTGATATTGATCTCCCTCTAGCCTCAAAATAAATGAAAATTTAAAAAGAGTCACAGGAAAGTAATCAATTTTGCTGTGTATGAGTCAATTTCACTCTATTAAAGGTCTTTGAAATTTTAAAAAATTATATGAAAATCACTGTTTTCTCAAGGGCTACTTCATGTTTAGTTGCCCAGTCATTAAAGTTTGTATCCTAGTAAGATCAAATCTGAGTGAATTCTCATTCCAGAAAATTAGAACTTAATCTAAGATAATGCCAACATATTAAAGTTTAAAATAGGTTACTCTAAAAGCTCACTTCCTATATATTAGTATAACTTTATACAAACGTGTACATTCTATGATCTTTCATTTTCTTAATCTAGAAAACATTAAAAATAATATCTATTTTATTTTTACTATGAGTTACTTGAATTTAGCTTTATGTGAAAATTTCTGCTTTCTTAACATTCTTCTTGGTTCCTGTAATGTCAAATTTAGTATGTTTATCTTACGCTGGCCTTTCCATCTTACAAGTTTTATGTGTGGCCTAAATCTTCGTATTCCCAAGGTTCAGCCTCTGAGTTTACTGTCATGAGTCTCTACCCTGATTGTGCAATCTATACTGAAGCCTAGATTTCTCTCCCAATATTCAGCCTCCAAAATAAGATTTCCAGGACGGGACACTCACCTGTCCCCCTAATCTGTCCCTATTTATATTCTTAGTTTTGGTTATCAGCACTACTATGCATGCAGCTGATGAGATAAATTTTTCGTAACTTCCCCTACTTCTTCTCCTTGATACCTATATACAAATTGTCACCAAACCGAACCAATTATGCTCCCAGACTTTGCTTAAATTGAGTCCATTCACTTTTGCCCCAAGTATGACTGCATTCTTTCTCACCTGGCATATTTCGGTCATACTCTCACTGCTATCACTACCTCCACGTCTTGCCCCACAAGGTCATCCTCTGAACCACCTCAGGGAGTGGTGTTCAAAATCCCTAATCTGACCAGGACCCTTCAAGTCCTTGAGATATGCATCTCCAGAACAGATGTCTCATATGTCCTCTAATGGCCAACTCGCTTGAGTCAACTTTTCTTGTCTGGCGCTGTTCTCCTTGGGGTATATTTTCTCATTCCTTGACTTGTTTCTCTCCACAACATGCGACTCAGTTGTTTTCTTACCCAATGACCTTTCCTCAACTCCTCTTACATAATCCTATGTATCTGCCTCTGCAATATTAATGTGTTATTAATCTCTCCACCGAACTCAGGGTCCTTGAGGGTAGAAAATGTGGGGTTCTCTGTCACATCATCAGCACTGAAAATACTTCTTTGCACATGGCAGGTACTTAATAAATATATTCTATATGGATAAATGTCCATACATACAAGAGCATTCATTTAAATAGTTTAATTCAATAAACAGTGACCTGTTTATTGAATTGACCTAAACAGGATGTAGCTGACATCCTTCAAGGTACTGGTGAAACAGCAATGAACAAAACCTACAATAATCTCTGCCTTTGTGGTACTTATATGAAACCCAAATTCAAAGTGATGTATACAATGCTTACCATATATCTGATTAATCTAATTTTAAGTTATAAGACCAAGATTTTTTTAAACAGCAATCGAGTACTGAAGATTCCACTGAAAATTCATTACATATTTAGTTAAGTAGTGTATCTGTGATCACTTTCTATGAGTATTTAAAATGAACGCATGTGTTACTTATTCCTCTACTGAGGGATTTCCTTACCTAGGTTAGGACTTGTGCTACTGGTACTGGCTCCTGAATACAGCTTAACAGTTCTTTGGATCCAAATATGATTTATATTTGGAAATATTTAATCACTTGATGTAAGTCTCTATGGAGTGTAAACATATAAAATTCAGAGTTTGAATACTCCATGGATTTTGTAAGACTTCACAAGCTGTTGTAATGTCGTTGAGCATTATTAATAAGGGCTGAGCAGTCCTTCATGCATGACTATAATTTGGCTTATGTGCAGTAAATTATACTCTTGAATATGTTAGGCCAGAAATCAAAATGGATTTGACTTCCCTAGTTCCCCAAAGAACCAATATTTCATCAGACATATTTCATCTTTCTTTCTACTTTTCACTGTTCTCACCATTTATTTTTTCTTCCAACCATAGCTACTGAGCATTTACTATATGGGTGTTACTGTGCTCATTGGTCTATCTGGCGAAGAAAACAAAATAACTTTAAACAAAAGAGGAACATATTGAAAAAAATCCACAAGATACTGAGGTTATCATAGTAAATGGATAACTATACATTGAAATAAGATTTATGGGAGCACAAACGGAATTCCGATCAGTTTTCAGTGGTTTAGGGATGTTTTAAGGGTGGCTTCATTAAGGAAATGGCATAAGCTAAGGTATGAAACGTTTATTAAAAGATGATAATGGTGCCATTAGAAAAAAGGAGGAGGTCATAATGTCCACAACAGGTGCAAAAAACAAATAATTAAGGTAGCACATCAATAACCAAAAAAGACACACAGGCATGTGTCGAGTTAAGCTACACGTACATTTATAGCTAGATTGTACAACTTGAAGCCTGCTGTGAGTCATTTTGACCTCTACATTTAACCAACTGGTAAACCACCAGAAAGTTCTAAGGAGAATGCTCACAGATATGTTGCTTAAAATTCACTTTTGCTTTGAGCAGATTGAAAGGCCAGAAATGGACATGGAGAAAACTGTTGAGAGAGAATGGCAATAGCTGGGGTAGAGTCAGGGGCAATTTAGACTAGGAAATGAAAGGAAGTAAACAGGATTAAGAAATCGTGGTAAATAAAATCTAAAGGACTTGTTTAAATATGATGAGGGCAGGTAAGGAAGGGACAAGTAGCAAGGTGGAGCCCCACAGATGAGCTTTCCACAATGGATGGATGATGGGACCTTTGCTGAGATAAGAATCACTGAGTGAGAGCCAGATTTGAGTGGAAAATCATGGCTTTCTCTGTAGACATATAATTTTTACAATTTTTGAAATATGTTTGTCAAAATGTTGAATAAACAATCAGAAATGTATATTTGTAGCACAGAAAAATTGGGTGGGAAGATACAAATTTTGATGTCATAGGTATAAAGATGGTTTCTGTGTGTGTATGTGAGTGTGTGTGTGTGTGTGTGTGTGTGTTTCAAGCTGCATGCAGAGATAATGCTCAAAATCTTGGCCTTAAGGGCAATCAGTGGAACTAACAAACCAGTAACTTGAGGAAATGGCACTATGATTTTTGTATTTTAGTACATTAAAAATATGAATAAACTGTATTTTCAGCTTGACGCTTCCCTGCTCAAAAATGCCATGAGTGCTGCAAACCCCATAGCATAAAGTCATAATTCTTTACATTGTCAGTGAAAACCTCCTACAGACTGGTGGCAACCAATTTTTAACAATTTTAATCACTGCTAAATGCTTCTTCTCAGTCTTGACACATTCACACTATGTCCTTTCTTTTTTCCACATCAAAACTCTACCCTTAATGCCTCTCCATCACTCCTCTCCATCAATGCAAAGGCTGAATGCTAAGGGACCAGCTCAAGGGTATCTCTGTCCAGGGGTTCTTTTCCTAACTTTCTACACACTCCCACCCACCCCTGGTCTACGGAGATCATGGTCACCTCCAAATTCTCAAAATTCTGATTGATTTTATAACTTTTAAGTTATTTATAAGAACTTAATAGGAAGTTTTGAGCAGATATACACAAACATTTGTAAATCTTTTATTTTTATGTAACACACACTCCCAGATAAAGCAAAAAGAAAATTAAGAAAAAGCACAATGTGTCCTAGCACAACATCTCCATAATACAATCTATAAAGATAGTAGTTTATATAAGCAACATATTATAAATGTGGACAGTGATTTTTGAGGTGCTTTTAGAAAGCTGAGGTATCTCTACTATAGTAACTTTGGTGATCTTAGAAGTAACTGTCCTCTTTTATCTTTTGGGTTTGAGATGAGATGGCTGATGAAGCACGGTGAAGATCTGGCCTCAGATGGTTCTGTGGGAGATGCTTCTTGTGTTTATTTGGTTGTCATTTACCTTAAAGGGCAGATCTTCAGAGACGGACAAGGGAATTTCATAGCTTGGCCCTATATACATCACAGGACTATTTGGTGCATACCCTACAGAATTGTTTAGAGTAATAGAATTTTTTTTTTTAATTCAACCCCACAGATCCTGGCAATTAACAAATCTTATAGTACACTGGGAATTTGCCATCAAGATTACCAAATATGATGTAAACGACTTTGACAGTTTTTGGATGAAATTTTAATAGATTTTGAATGTCATGAACTCCTAAAACAGCCTTTTATTATGATGAATCTGCATGAGACAATCTTTATCGTTTAACAAAATTTTAATTAAAACTAGGCAGAGTTGTGACTGACATGATCAACTGTACAAGGTGCTGGCCCTCATTTTCCCTAAAACCCAGGAAAGAAATGCTCTTTGCATTCATGTAGTAGACAAACTATATACAAGGTCAGCTTTCTTGTTTTTCATCTTCCCTACTGAGACTTCCAACAAAGTGACCAAATTGGAACATTTTGATGTAAGACTTTAAGCTCTGCATAATGACGAATGTAGTGTAGCTTAAATAATCCAATAATATCATGAAAGGCATTAGTTTTATGTGAAGTGGGAGACAGGAAAATATCTTATTAAGTTGTATAAATGTACTTCAAAGATGATGTAGAATGAAACAAACATTTTCTCAAGACTCTTCATCTCGTTTTGTTGTTTTGTTCTTGTTAAGTCACACTTAGACATTGCTCTCTCCCCGATCCCCCTCCACTGGGCTGATAGCTAGTAAACACCCCTTGTAAAGGCCATAGCAGTTAAAGCGTTGAAATAATGTCTTACTGAATAAGTGGTTGATGAACTCTTCCCCAGCTATTTCCCTAAGACTACTCTGTGTCTTCCAAAGATGCAGCAACTCAAAAATTGACATGCCATGTTTTTCAGCCAGGATCCTGCAAGGACTTGCTTCTGCCATTGGGGCTTATGTCCGTTCTGATAGAGGTGTGTTCATGCAATTCCAAGTAAGAGCATTTTGAATGTCACTGCTGCTCTTTCGAAAGGCTGCTGGAACTATATTTTGAAATGACAGGTGTGGTTTGCTCATGTTATTCAATCACTTAAAATTATTCAATGGTATTTTGAATAGTGATCAGTCTTAAATCAGGCAATGAAGAAGGAAGTGCATAACACAATATAGGTCCTTCTTGTCACTAATTCCAAGATAGAATGTGTATGTTTTTCAAGAACTTTAAAGAGAAGAAAAATAATTGCCCTCCTGTGTTAAACTGCAAATTTTAGACAAAGTAGATTAGCAGACAAAAATTAGTAAATTTTTGAAGGGTTAAATGATTTACAAATTGAATACATAAAGAATTAATCTATAAACCTATCTAAGGCAAGGATACATGCATCAGAAAGGTAGGAGATTGGTTATCTTTAGAATTTTGAAAAATGCAAAAGGCAAAGATTAAAAGAAACAATTTGGTAGTGGCTATGTCCAGGGAAAAGCGAGTTTTGGCTATAAACTTAAAAGTATTCACCTCTCTATAGAATGAAAAGAAAGGAAAAGGAATCCATTTATCTGAGGTCTTAGAACTATATGTTATACACATTCAAATTTTATATAAGGAGATGATTACAAAACATACATATGGATATATATTCACCTAGAACTCACTCGCCTTCCCACGGGAGGAGATAATTCACTGGTCATAAAAGCTTCACAGCTATTTCTTATTGAAAATGAGTAAACTGTCATTTAACCTACCCCAAACCTTGGCTACAGGGAGAGAATGGCCTGATCTTGACAATGTGAATATCCTGGCTCTTTTATCAGTAAATTTTTCATTGTAAATTAATAAATCAGTATAGCAGCCCACACAATTCTTTCGTGATCCACACTCAAACTGCTGACAACATAAAACCTTTGTCCTTAGAAGTCTGAATTTCAAAATTTTTAAAACATAATGAATGTTGTTATGTGAGGCCGCTTGGGAGCAGCCTCCTAATCTTCCCAGGAGTGCACACAGAGCTCCGTGGCATGAGCACTGAACAGTCTTCTCTTGCTATATTAAAGTATTGTCACCTGGAAACCTCATTGGGATTCCAACACAGTGCACTGCGTGGAGCATTCAGAAGGCTCTCGTCTCTGTAATGGGGAAAAATTAGCCCTGACCTCAATGCCAGACTGAGCCTACCTGAAAATCTTAAAGTAGACCCAAAAGGATAGAACTGTTTCTAATTTAATGGTGTTCTAGGACAAAAGCTTAAGAGCATTCATAAAGAAACAAAATTGTACATCACTAAAATGGTGAAATGTACAATGCGGTCATCAAATCACACATTACCAGGCTTTCAAAAGAGTAGGAACATATGACACATAAAAAAGAAGTTAATCAAATCGGACACAAGTGTGAGAGTGGGCAGAGAGGGACGTTCAAACTGTTATTATAAATATGTATTTCAGAAAGCCAAAAAGAAACTTGGAAGATAGAAGAGCCAATCAAACTTCCCGAGAAGAAAACTACACCATCTGAGGTAAAAAATTATACTGGGTGAGATTAATGGCAGATTTACATGGCAGGGGCAGGAGACCTAAAAGTGAGCCTGAGGCATATGGACAAACTATCAAAAACAAACAAACAAACAAACAATCAAAACAAAGAAACAGACCATAAACAAAATGAAAAGCTCTTTGGTGAGCTGTGAGACAACTTGAAAGGGTCCAATATTGGGGTGATTTGAATTTCTAGGGCTGGGGGGCAGGCAAAAACTTTTTTAAATTATGAAGGAAATTTTTCCAAATTTTATTAAAACCATAAACCAAGACTTAAAAAGTTCCACAAAACCCAAGCCAAAGAAATACAATACAAAAGTGCATTATAATAAAAATGCACAAAAGTGATGAGAAAAAAATCTTAAAAGTAGCCAGGCTTTGAAGGGGAGGGGAGCATATTACATACAGGGGAACGGAGGTATGCAAGAGAAAATAATTCTCACTGGAAACAACACAGTGAGAAAAGTCGTCAGCATCCTAAATAAAACAGCTGTGAGCCTAGAACTCTACACATGAAGACAGTGTCTTTCAAAATGAAGATAAAATAAAGACTTTTCTAGGCATGAAATTTTAAAAGAATCTATGGTCAGTACGACAGCACTACAAGAAACTCCTCAGGCAAGAGAAAAGAAAAAAGATTCCATCTGCCAGATGAAAGCAGAGAACTATGCAAGGAAATAAAGATTTTTAAAAGTATCCAAATTGGGAAAAAAATAAGATTATTTCTAAAATTTAAGTATTTTGACAAATAATTGACTGATTAAAATTATATATATATATACGTTGTGGCATTTGTAACTTATAAGTAAATCATATAAAAATAACATGAAGCTTGGAATGATAAATGGAAGTGCAGTATTGTTTCGTTTTTACACTATGCATGAAATGGATATATTGCTTGGATGAACACTAGAAAACATTCTTAAAAGAGCTAAAGATAATTAGCAAAATAGAAAACTAAAATCATAAAAAAATTTAAATTAATCCAAAACAAGACAGAAAAGAGAACACTTTGGATGAAAAACACATAGAGAAAATATAAAGCTAATAAAAAGATAATAGATAAACCTGATCATTCAATTAATGACATAAAATATAAATCACAGAATTGCCAGAATTACAAGATAGTCAGATTGGATAAAAAGCGAAGCCCAAATTATCCTGCTTATGAGACGTATGCTTATGACACGTAATGTCTTTACATTTAACGTAAAGACACAAATGGGTTAAAATAAAAGGTTACAATAATATATACCATGTTAACACTCACAAAAAGAGAGCAGGTCATATCTATTAGGATGGCTATCATCCAAAAAAAAAAAAAGAAAAGAAAAAAATAGCAAGTGTTTTTGTGGAGAGAAAAATATTGACATATTTAAGCATTGCTGGTGAAAATGTAAAATGATGGAGCCACTGTGAGAAACAGTAGGGCAATTCCTCAAAAAATTAAACAAAGCATTACTATATGATCCAGCAACTTTACTTCTGACTATATACCCAAATAAATATAAGCAGGGACTTGAACAGATATTCGTACACCCATGTTCGTAATAGTGTAGGGGAGGACGAATAATTTTTCCTCTACCTTCTGAATTTTTAGTTGGGCTTCCTCTAACAAAGACAGATTTACAAGCGAAAAACAAACATGTTCATTAATATATGATTCTCATATACAGGAGATACAGGAGATACCAAGGAAATGAGTAATTCTCAAATAAGTGGCTTAGAACTCCGGTGCATATGGCATTTTCAACAAAGAAGAATACATTTTCGATAAGAGACAAGACAAAGGAAAAAGACTTTGAGTCTCTAGAAGCAGCAAATTGTGGGGGGAGGTAAATACATGGGAATCTAATAGTACTTAAAAGATAGTAAAGTTTGTTATATAGATTCGTCTGGTGCTGCCTCCAGGCTGATATCAATGCATAATAATCTCCCCCTGAAAGTTTGTCCTTCCCAGTAAAGAGGGAAGGAGGGACAGCCTTGTAAATTTACCTCTTGCTTTTAGGCAAAGATTGGAGAAAGGCTGGAGAGCTTATTTTGTATCTGCTTCTTCAATTGCTTTCAGCTTAAAATAATCCTTAGGCTAAAGGGGATTTGGGGATAGCATATTTGACTACCTTCAGCACAATTATTTATAATAGTCAAAAGGGGGAAGCAACACAATGTCCACTGATGGATAAATCAACTAAATTTGTTATATACCTACCATGGAATATTAGCCTTTAAAATGAAGAAAATTGTAAGATATGTAACAACATGGATAAACCCTGAAGATATGCTAAATGAAATAAACCAGTAAGACAAGGAAAAATATTGTATGATTTCACTTATATGATCCCAAATAGTGCAATACACAATAATAGAGTAGTCAAATTCATGAAGACAGAAATTATGGTGGTTGCCCAGTGCTGATGTCAGAGTGAAGTGGAAAGTTATTTTTAATGGGTAAAGAATCTCAGCTGGGGGAGATGGAAGTTTCTGGAAATGGAGGGAAGTGATGGTCACAAAATGTGAATGTGATTCATGCCACAGAATTGCACATTTATAAATGCTTAAAATTGTGAATTCTATGTTATAAGTATTTTACCATAACAATAAAAAAGAAATCAGCAGTTGTTATATTAATATCAACCAAAATACATTTAGGAAAACAGCAACCATCAGGAATAAGAAAGGGCATTTCATTATGACAAGGGGGCTTTTCATCAAGAAGACATAGTTTGTGTGCCTAATAACATTTTCAAAATATATGTGATAAAAACTGACAGAATTAAAAATAGAATTAGAGAAATCTACAATTGTAACTGGCAATTTTAATACCACTCTCTCAGTAGTTAATGGGACAAGTATAATAGATTTTAAAAAATGAACATGGAAATAAAATACAATTATTTTGGTCCAATAGACATAACTAAAACATTTGATTCAAATCAGCCCAAAATACTTTTTAAATATTATGAATACAAAATATTTACAAAGACAGAACAAATTCTATGCCATAAAATAAATATCATTAGCAAGCAAAGGAAACAACCAACAATGTGAAGAGGTAACCTACAAAATGGGAGAAAATATTTGAAATCTATTGATCTGACACAAGATTAATAATCAGAATATATAAGGAACTCAAACAACTCAATTCCAAAAATAAATATCTGATTTTAAAAATGGGCAAATGATCTGAATAGACCTTTATCAAAGGAAGGCGTAAAAATGTCCAACAGACATACAAAAAATGCTCTACATCACTAATCATCAGGGAAATGCAAATCAAAACCACAATGATCATCTCACCCACCGTAGTTAAAATAGCTATTAGCAAAAAGACAGGAAATAAAAAATGCCAGAGAGGATGTGGAAAGGCAGGACACTTGTGCACTGTCAGTGTGACAGTAAATTAGTACAGCTACTACTGAAGACAGTATGGAAGTGCCTCAAAAAATGGAAAATAGAACTACCATATGGTGCAGCAATCCCACTGTTGAGGATATACCCAAGAGAAAATAAATCACTATATTGAAGAGCTATCTGCACTCCCATGTTTATTGCAGCACTATTCATAATAGCCAATGTATAGAATCAACCTTAGTGTCCATCAACAGATGAATGGATAAAGAAAATAGTATATTTATTTATATTATATTTAATATTTATAATATATAGTTATATATTTATATACAATATAAATATCATCTATTTATATATACAATAAAATACTATTCTGACATAAAATGAAATAAAATCCTGTCATCTGCAGCAACATGGATGGAACTAGAACTTATGTTAAGTGAAATAAACCTGGCACAGATAAACAGGTATCACATGTTCTCACCGATATGTGGGAGCTAAAAAAAGTGGATTTCATGGAGATGGAGAGTAGATTGGTGGTTACCAGAGGCTGGGAAGTTTAGTGGGGAGGAGGGAATGAAGAGCAAATGGTTAATGTGCACAAAAATACAGTTAGCTAACAGGAAAAAATTCTAGTGTTTAATAGCACAGTAGGGCACCTACAGTTAACAATAATTTATTATATATTTCAAAATAGCTAGAAAAGAAGATTTGAAATGTTCCCAACACAAAGAAATGATAAATGTTTGAGATAGTGGATAAATATCCTTATTTAATTATCACACATTGTATGCATACATACCAAAATATCACACGTATCCCATAACTACGTACAAGTATTACGTATGAATAATACATATAATTAAATTTAAATACATTTAAGTAATAGAAATACATTCTTTGATCACCCTTGAATTACATGAGAAATTTATAATTAAAAAATTTTGGCAAATCTCCAAATATTTGAAACTAAATAGGACACTCTTAAATAACTCTGCATAAAAGAAGACATCAAAGGTAATTAGAAAGTATTTCTAACTGAACTAAAACGAAAACAAAAATTACCATAATCTGTGGAATATGGCCAAAACAGCGTTTGGAGAACTTTGTAGCATTACTTGTGTAATTAGAAAGGAAGATATACTAATGCAACTAACTCAGATTCTACCTTAAGAAATTAATTTAGAAAAAGAACAAATTAAAACCAAAATAAATAGAAGAAATGAAGAAAAATTCAGAATAGCATAACAAATAAGAACTGCTGCCTCAGTTCACCACGTATGTTATGAGCTGTACCCTTCCTGGTCTGGTGTTACAATTCTCCGTATGACTTCAGATTACCCTTGTTCAACCACTTCACAATAACTCATAAGCTGCAAACATTCTGATGATCACTTCCATGAGTGAATATCAGGTTTTTATCACAATAATGAGCATAGTTGTTGTAGCATTTATGTACTTCTTAACGTGTATAAAATTATAGTTAACATGCATAAAAATTAAAATTTTCATTAGATTACCATTGTTTTAATATGTCTAAGATTGACGTTTTTGAGTTTTGGGAATTTGGCACCATTTATTTTATAAGCTACGTGGATTTCATCGAACAATTTTGAATGTAATTGTAAACTATATGAAAAGATCTATTGCATTGTTGCAGAATTTGCTATCCATCCATAAAACAGAGCACCAGTCAGAAATAGAAAGAATTAACTCACGATACATCAGGGTCATCATGAGTGATACTAGGGTCATCAAGAGGATACTACAGGACTATTATGAACAACTCAATCCCCCCAAATTATATAACTTCTGAAACTCCAGCCTTATTTTAAGATTAACAAGGCATATCTTTCACCATCCCTTTACTTTTAATATACCTGGGTGTTTATATTGAAAGTGGGTCTTTTGTAGACAACATAGAGTTAGGTCGTGATTTTTTGTCAGCTCTGACAGTCTGTGTCTTATTTTGTTTATTTGGGCCATTCACACATAAAGTGATTAAAAATGGATTGGTTTTTCTGATGTTTATAAATGTGGTGTATTTGCTGCAATTTTTTACTTTTTTCTTCTCTTTTTTCAGCCATATATATATATAATATAATATATTTATATTATATATTTTCAGCCATATCTCTATAATATATTTAGATTTAGATTTAAATATTTTTTATTCCTCTCTTTTTCACTCTTACATGCTTTTCTTTTTGGTTGTTTAAAAATACACATAACATAAAATTTACCATTTTAGCCATTTTTAAGTGCACAGTTCCATGGTATTAAGTACATTCCCACTGTTGGCAGCCATCACCTCCATGCATCTCCAGGATTCTTTTCACTTTAAAATACTGAAACTTTTAACCTACCATACCATAATGTTCCCTACGTTACTTGCCCCAGTCCCTGACAATCACCATTCTACCTTCTGTCCCCATGAATGTGAAAAATCTAAGTACCTCAAAGAGGTGAAATCATAAAATATTTGTCTGATTCCGCTATATTATTTCACTTAGCATGAATTTCTCAAAGTTCATCCATGGTGTAGCATGTGTCAGAATTCCCTTCCTTTTTTAAGGTTGAATATTCCATTGTATGTATATATGCATTACCTGGCTTTAATGGAGCATTTTATGTTTCTAGTTTTCATTTTTTCTTTACTATCAAATATATTTCTTTTTTTGAAAGTGTTTGTTTAGATGCTGCAATGTGCACTTAGAATGAATCTAAATTGGCTGGGCGCGGAGGCTCACGCCTGTAATCCCAGCACTTTGGGAGGCCGAGATGGGCGGATCACGAGGTCAGGAGATCGAGACCATCCTGGCTAACACGGTGAAACCTCGTCTCTACTAAAAATACAAAAAAAATTAGCCGGGCGTGGTGGCGGGCGCCTGGTGTCCCGGCTACTCGGGAGGCTGGGGCTGGAGAATGGCCTGAAACTGGGAGGCGGAGCTTGTAGTGAGCTGAGTTCGCGCCACTGCACTCCAGCCTGGGCGACAGAGAGAGACTCCGTCTCAAAAAAAAAAAAAAAAAGAATCTAAATTTACTTTCAAATAACATTATACCCTTCATGTGTACAAAGCCGGTCAACCATGCATGAGTTACCACTTGAGTCCTCTGCATCTTGGGCTGTGATGTCTACTACTCACCTAAGTCCTGTGAAACAGAGCACTCACACACGCAACTTGCATAAAATGGGTTTGGTACTTACAGATAGGTAACAAAGGACAGCAGAAGCCTACGGTTTAGTGTCAACCTGTCCCCTAAGGCTCAGTAAAGCTGCTCGGGGCAGATGGAATCTTTTCTATGCATGCCCCACTTGCGCTGATGCTCAGTGGCCTCAGGAAGCAGCCTTCCATGACTTTTATACCCCAAAGGACACAGGATCCACTGCACTAACTAAAGTGTTGAAAAACCTCCTTTTTCTAGAGGAGCCAAGAGCAGAGCCTAGGCTGTTCTGACCAGCCCCTCAACTCAGGATGTTGCATTCCCCACACATTCTACAGTTATTCTTGAGAACTACAAGTGAGAAACGGGGAATACATGAGTTAATCTAAGGCAACTGGGAGAACTGTTCTCCGCTACGTAATGTAGGTGCCACATAACGGAATATCTCTCAGTCTTTCCTCCTATCACTTATGACACTGCTGTCATTCATTTAACTTATCTACGTGCTATAATCACCCAATATATTGCTGCTATTATTTTTCCCAGCTATTAGATTAAATTAAATCTTTCATTTTTTTATTTCTTCTCTGATTGTTTTTTCTTTATGTATATCCAAGTTTATAATCTATGTCATTTTCTTTCTCTCTAAAGAAATTCTATTAACATATTTCTAAGGCAACAAATTCCCCCAGATTTTGTTCATCTGAGAAAGTGTTTATATATTTTATGCCTTTGAAAGATAATTTCACTGGAGGCAGAGCAGTGATTTGTTGTTGTTGTTAAACTTTAAATGTCTGACTCCACTCAGTCATTTAGCATGGGTTTTTGAAGTCCAACATACAGACCAATGTCATTCTTTTCCTCGTTACTCTAGAGGTAAGGTTTTCTGTTTTGACTTTTTGCAGAATTTTCCTCACAACTTGCAAAAACTGATGAGATGCAGCAAAAGCTGTTCTAAGAATGAAGTTTTTAGCAATAAATACCTACATCAAAAAGGTCTCAAATAAACAACATAACTTTATATCTCAAGAAACTACAACGAAAAGAATGAACTAACCCCAAAGTTAGCAAAAGGAAGGCCATAAGAAAAATCAGAGCAGAAAAAGTGAAAAAAGAGAATATAAAAGATATTAAAAATGAATAAAACTGAGTTTCTTAAAAATAAGAAAAATTGACAAATATTTAGCTATATTAAGAAGAAAAGAAGGAAGACTCAAATCAGAAATGAAATAGAACACTTTACAATGGATGCCTCGGAAATAAAATGGAATATATGGGACTATTATAAATAATTATTTGACAGTAAATTAGATAAACTACAGAAAATGAATAAATTTTTAGAAAAATACAACCTACCAAAATTGAATAAAGATAAAACAGAAAGCCTGAACAGAGCTATAACAAATAAGATGATTGAAGTAGTAATTTGAAAAACCTTTCTCCTGTAATCCCAGCACTTTGGGAGGCCAAGGCAGGTGGATCATGAGGTCAGGGGATCGAGACCATCCTGTCTCACATGGTGAAACCCCGTCTCTACTACAAACACAAAAAATTAGCCGGGCGTGGTGGCGGGCGCCTGTAGTCTTAGCTACTCGGGAGTCTGAGGCAGGAGAATAGCTTGAACCAGGTTGGTGGAGGTTGCAGTGATCCAAGATCATGCCACTGCACTCCAGCCTCGGCGACAGAGTGAGACTCCATCTCAAACAAACAAACAAACAAACAAACAAAATCTTTCAACAAAGAAAAGCCCAGGACCAGATTGCTTCATTGGTGAATTATACTAAATATTCAAAGAGGAACTGACACCAACCCTTCTTAATCTCGTCCAAAAAATAAAATTAGAACAAATACTTTCAAACTCATTTTATGAGGCCAGCGTTACCCTGATACCAAAGCAAGACAAAGACACCACAAGAAAAGAAAACTTAAGACCAACCTCTCTGATAGAGGTAAGTGCAAAAACCTTCAATAAAATACTAGCAAACTTTATTCATCAAAAATATTACACACCATGACCAAGTAAAATTTATGCCTGGGATGCAAGGTTTGTTTAGCATATGCAAATTGATTAATGTGTTATACCATATTAACAGAATAAAAAACAAAAATTATATGAATATTTTATTAGCTAGAGAAAAAGCATTTGATCAAAGTTCAACATTCTTTTATAGTAAAATCTCTCAAAAAATTGGTACAGAAATAAATTTTCTCAACATAATTTATTAAAAAGCACACAGCTAACCTCATAATCAATGAAGAAAAACAAAGTTTTTCTTCTAATATCTGGTACAAAGCAAACATATCCACTCTTGACACTTCTGTTAAAACACAGCACTGGAAGTACTAGCAAGAGAAATTAGATGAGAAAAGCAAATAAAAGACATCTAAATCAGAAAGGAAGAAGTAAAATGACCCTGGTTGGCAGACATGATCTTAAAGACTACACACACACACACAGACACACACACACACACACATAACAAAAATACCTGTTAGAACTAATTAGTGAATTCAGTACACTTAGTTACAAGATACTAAATAAACATACAAAAATCAGTTGCATTTCTTTGCATCAATAACAGTCTATTAAAAAAGAAATCAGGAAAGCAACCCCATTTACAGTAACTTCAAAAAGAATAAATATTTAGGAATAAATTTAACCAAGGACATGAAAGATCCATACACTGAAAATTGTGAAGCATTGATGAAAAAATGAAAGAAGAATAAATAGAAACATGTCCCATGTTTTATAGATTGGAAGAATTAATGTCAAAATGTCCATACTACTCAAAAAGTTGTGTAAATTCAATACAATCTCTACCAAAATTACAATTATATTTTTCACAGAAATTTTAAAAAATTCTAAAATCTATATGGAATTGTAAAAGACCCCAAGTAGCCAAAGTACACTTTGGTCTTCTATGTTTAAATATATGACTATGTAGAATTATTTTTTGATGTTTATCCTGCTTAGTTTTCTCTGAGCGTCCTGGATCGGTGGTTAAATTGCCTATCTGTTCTTGTGTGTCATCTATTTTTTGCATTAGAGCATTTAATATATTAATCATAGTAATTTTAATTTCCCTATCTGATGATGTTTGAATCCATGATATATCCTTTGTTACTTCAGACTGTTTTTTTTTTTTTTCCTGCCTGTTGCATGCTTTGTAATTCTTTTTTGAAAGTAACTATGATGTATCAGGTAATTTGGTCTTAGGTATGTAGAATTATAGTGAAATGTTTTATGTTAATCTGGCTGGGAGTTTTGCTGTTTAACATTTGCTGTAATTCCAGATACCAGGGGCTTTAGGTTATCCCAGTTTCCTTGTTTTATTTGTTTTTTTCTCCAGTGTTGTCTTTGGGTTTTTCTACGAACTACATCTTAAATAGAGTCTGTGTCTTGCAGCTCTCTTAGTTACAGCTAAGGGACTCTATTTGAGTAGTAGACACAGACTCTATTTAAGAAGTAGTTCATAGGGAAATGCAAAGACAACACTGTTATTGTGCTATAGCCAATTTGATGTGGTGGTAAGGTGCTGCAAGAGGAAGTGGTTAATAAGATCATCATCATTATTATTATTATTACTATTATTTTTTGAGATGGAGTCTCACTCTGTCGCCCAGGGATTAAATCACATTTTTAAAGTGGGCCTCAGTCCCTGGGGCTGTGACTTTTAAAAACATTTCTTAGCCAATTTTTTTCTCTTCTTATATGAGACAAAAAGACTAGAAGGGTTGAATTTATTATTATTTGCATTCATAGCAGAAAAGGTTCTGGTAGGGAATGGTTTTCTCTACAGGATAGTGCTTTGTTATGAAGAAAGCCCTGGGAATAATTCTAATGGTTATCTTCCTCCTACTACTTCCCAGAAGAGCAGGGGATTTTTTTCTGATTTTTACCATGAGAATCTAATGGAACCCCTGGAGGTAAAACCCATGAAAGTGTGTCGCTCTCCAACACTGAACTCTCAAGAAATAGTAATTATCAAACTAGCCCACACTCAGCCTCCAGCATTTATCAAAATTGTCACTTAAGTACTCTTAGCAGTCAGTCACTTGCTCCAGAAGCTTCTGCTCCTGGCAAGCTGAGATTACAGCTGTGATTCTTTGCATTTAACTGTACCTTGAATTTTGCAAGTGGCAACTTGCCCAGTGACTTTAATTATCTAATGGAACTAAGGGAAGTTGTTGACTTTTTTCTTTCTTTTTTTTTTATTGTTGTTGATGTTGTGAAGATAAGAGAGACAACTTCCAAACTCTAAATGTTTAGGCTGAAAATGTCATTCCTTGATTTAATTTTTATTGTACAAATTAAGCATTACTCCTCTTGGCTGCCCATCCATCTTACCCTTAAGTGTACCATGTTTTATTAAATATCTCTGTAATTTTCTTTAGGTCAGCAACCCCTGGCTGTCACTGAGACCTTGTCATTCACTGTGGTAATTGCTTCCACCTTGCTACCTACAGTTAAGCTCTGCACCCTGGCCCCTATTATTTCAAGGTGCTGTTGTGCCTAACGTTATAGAGAGCCAAGTCCTGTAATGCTATCTCCCTCAATTATACCAGCCTAAGAAGATCAGTAACAATGAAACCTCTCAAAATGAATGGTACTGTTTTCAGCACAGCATTTCTTACAAACGGTATGTTCTCTAGAATTTCCCGTGGAGCATAGTCAACAGGTAGGATTTTCAAACTTACGTAATAAAGATTATCTAGCAGGGAAATCTCCCTAAGTCTTTTGATTATTTTCCTCTGCATTTTTTCCTGGAAGTTCTTAACATTTCCACTTCATTTAAGTAGAGTTCTTATTTGCACAAGATTCCAAGAGCCACCCTAGGGCATAGGAATACCTAGGATTCTTGGTAAAGATGTTAACGAGTCATATTTGTCCTCCTTCTCTTTCGATAAATTCTCCTTCATCTAAATGTGTGTTGTCTGCTTTTGTTACACCATCATCAAGATCAAGTTGCATAATTGTGCAACTACTGATCCTGTCTCCTATAGTGTATAAACCCTTTTTATTCCCTTAGCAAACACAACACTTCCCTGGCTGAATTAGTTATTGATCTAATGGGCAGAAGCTGAGTTGGCAGTAAATGTTGCATGGGATGCTTGATGTCTTGTAAGGCAGAAGTCTCATTGTCTGCAAGGAAGCAGAAACACCAGCACTTAACGGAGAGGAGTGGGCTATTTCTGCAGGACCTACAATTTCAGAGCATATTGAGAATTTCAAAGTCTTCAAGTATATCAATCTGGATATCACACTCACAATTGTTGGGTCATATTCCTTTCAACTCACCACCTTCAATTCCACGTAGGGAATTTGCTGGGGTGAGAATTCAACCTTCTTTCGAGCTCACCTACCCTTTTAATTAAGTCCTGCATTTGACATTCTGCTTATTTTTTATTCTTGCTGAAGATAAAAATGCCTTTTTAAGATTCCAAGGAGGCCTTAAATTGATGACTGATTACCCTCAGCCTTATTCATTTCTCCCATGTCAATAGCACACAACAACAGATATCTGATTCCATAATATTTACAATAACTACTTCCCCGAGTTTCTCAAATGCCTGTGATATTATACCAGCCACAGGCATCTTATCACATGGTTCAACACCAGTGACCATCTCATCAATTGTGCTATTGCAACATCTCAAGAGCTATCAGTACTTTGTCTACTACCAGCAAGGAGGACCAGTTAGAAAGTGGGTGATACAACTCTAAAATCTTATTTTGGAGTTTTATTCCTATGGTTGCTCTTGGAACAAAATGTTTTAGATTCATCACCTGGAAATAGACTCTGAGATAGAGGGTGGCATACAGGAGGTTCACTGGGAGAGATCTCCAGGAAACAACCTTATGTGGGTTGAGGAAAGCAGCACTGAGCAGAGGGATAAATAAAAGTGGGATTATGCTGCAAAGGAGGAAACAGCTGATTATATGGAAAATTCTGTGGCAGGAATCACACTTTAAATATGTCCAGGACTAAGGTGCAAAGACCAGACATCATACCCCACATTGACTAGTCACTGGAGAAGAAGTGACTTAGAAGGAAGTCAAATTATTAGGCAAGTTCCCAGAGAGGAAGGCAGCTGTAACCTTGGAGTTTATCTGTCTGGCAGCAGTAGGTCAAAAAACGTTGATCATTCAGAGGGCACCTGTGTGGCCAAGCAGAGTATCCCATCTACTAATCCACATCAGAAGCATTTGCTCTTCTTCTAAAACTGAACTTTACAAACACACATTAACAAGTAACAACACTTAATTTTAACAACATATAGTAATTGCATGATGATTCATATTTTTTTCAAAGCCCTTTTCCATATCACATTTCAGATTTTTTTTTTTTTTTGGTCACCTTTTGCACAGCTTTGAGGTTCCTTAAAGGTGACTCCAGGACCGGGCACGGTGGCTCACGCCTGTAATCCTAGCACTTTGGGAGGCCGAGATGGGCAGATCACGAGGTCAGGAGATAGAGACCATCCTGGTTAACATGGTGAAACTCCGTCTCTACTAAAAAAAAAATACAAAAAAATTAGCCGGGCGTGGTTGTGGGTGCCTGTAGTCCCAGCCACTTGGGAAGCTGAGGCAGGAGAATGGCGTGAACCCAGGAGGCGGAGCTTGCAGTGAGCCGAGATTGCACCACTGCACCCCAACCTGGACAACAGAGCGAGACTCTGTCTCCAAGAAAAAAAAAGGTGACTCCAAGGTCACTACCAAGGGAGTGCTGCAGGACCAAAAGGGAGATGCTGTGCATTCCCAACCCAGAAAATGTTCTTAAAATGTTGTCTAATTTGTTATTTTTTGCTAAACAAACTTTAACACACTGAATTATCTGATTTTCTAAACAATCCCCATTTGACAGAGCACCAGATGGATACAAGGAGGTTAAATATATTTTCTCAATTATATAGGCTAAGAGGCCACAGGGTAGGAGTTGAAAGCCCGTCATTCTAAATTCAAATACAGTGTTGTTGTTATCACACAGCTTTTAGTGATGTTGAAAGAAGTCATTTATTTGAATTCCCTTACTAATAAAAGTAATTAATTAGATTAGTTAATTTGTGTTTCCACCTTTGCAATCCTAAGTGGCTTCTCTATTCGTCCAAGAACTCCAGAAACGCACATTTTCTGTTTTCTATTGTATGATGGAGGAGGTTTGCTGAACTACCCATACCATTTCCTTCATTAGATCTGTGCTTTGCAGCATCACTTTACTTTTACAGAGTATACTATATAACATTCTAATTAAATACAAAAGTATTAAGTATTAAGATACTCTGTTTTCCATCAGCAGAGATGTACACCACTTTGCTTTCTGTGTAAGTGCCTGCAGAACAGCATTACTGTCAATTTTAATTTCAAGTTGCTTCCATGGAAAAGATAAATGAGACTCTGAGCAGATGGTTGTCATCACATAATACAATTTAAAACCCTGTAAAGGGACACAACACTTGCTACTGCACTTAAATCCTATGCATGCATCTCAGGCAAACAAAATAAAATGAGGACAAGAAAAACCTAAGAGTTTGCTAATTTCCTGTTAAAGATTAAAACACAATGTAAGATTAGGAACATCAAGTTAAAGGTAAGCTCATTAAATAAAAGAGAATTGAAGACTCTAGAGAAATTAGCATACTTTAAATTCATATCATCTCCCTTGATGGCTTCTTGGTTGTACTGGGGGACATGGGTTAATCCAGTTGGGAGTATGTATATCCAAAAGATTGTAAATCAAACCTACTTATTCATAGGTTCCATTCTTATCTGTGCTACTGTGTTGCAAATGAAAAGTAATGAACATATTTGCAGTAAGCAAGCAAAGTTATGTACCTTTGGTCTATGGGAAAATTGGAAAATTGCAGTTTACCTTATATATATATATTTTATTTCTGTTGGTCTATGGGAAAATTGGAAAATTGCAGTTTCCTTATATATATTTTATTTCTGTTTTGCAAAATCTGCTTTCATTAAGTAACTGTTTTACAAATAAAAATATTCCACATGTGCAGTGTAGGCTTCTAAGAACTTTTATGTTGATAATGACCTAACATTCCAATTGTTATTAATAAAATAAGGATGATACAATTGACTCATTCTTTCCACATGCCCCAGCAAGAAAAAAGAATGGTGCTTTGCTAACAAATGCATAGATTAAGATTGGCAGCACAGAAGCAGTTTTATCTGTGACATTAATTCTCCAGGCTTATTTGTTATTTTTCCCAGATTTCTTTCTTCTTATATATCATTTAAAATATTTTTCTTCTAACTTATTCTAAATCTCCTGCAGTTATTTTCCGTAGCTGCTGAAGGTTACTTATTTTCTCCTGGAGTTCCTTCAATTATGTTTACATTGTGTTTTGAGTTAGAAGCAAACAGCAATAAACAATCAAAGATACTTACTGACAGAAATTAAAGTTAAGCATAAAGTGAAAGATGTAATAAAATAATCCAAAATAGTTTACTTCATTCTATGATATTCAATGAAGGTATTATATGAGTTTTTTCCAATTTCCCCTCCAAGTTCCAGGCTTCTCTTGCACTAGGAAATGCTAATGAGTTTCCAGTTCTGTGGCGTAAGTATAGGCCACAGTTTCCATACATCTGACTAAGGATGGGAGGCAGAGGCAAGTCGTAACTGACATTCCCAGCTGGTCTGCCTCCAACTGCCAACAACGTATGGCTAGCAAGGCCCATCCATGGGCACCTCAGCTTCTAAGACATTTCTGTCTCTCGCTAGTTGTGACCTGAGATGACAAACCCTAATCACTGCTCTCTGTTATCTCAACAGTCAACTGAGTTTGGGTAAGTTGGGGCAGCCCATTTATTGGCATGAACATGGGTAAATAGATGTCCAATCTTTGGGTATTTTGCATGGCAACTATTCCCAAGAACTGTTAGCTGCCCAGAAAAAAAAAAAAAAAAAACAGATCTCTGTATATACTTCTATACAATCATCTCCAGCTTGTCTTCTTCATGATAGAAGCTCCTCTTTTTAACATATCTTGCATTATTTCTCCTTAACATTTCTCATGGTTGAAGTGATATGAGCAAAGGAGATAATGATATAAGCTGAGATTGAAAATGCAGGAGGACAGTCGTATGCAGGGTTTGCCATGTATTCCTAAAGTGCCAAAATTTAATTCAAGTGCACAGAAAAAGAAGTCATTGAAATATCTTAAATAAATGTGGCAGGACCCATCTAATTTTAAAGATCACTCTTGCTTCTGCATAGAGAGGAGAAAATTAGTGGGAACCAGAAGATCAGCAGTCCAAAAGAAAGATGATTGTGTCTATATTAACAAGATGGCAATAGAGATGGAGATAAAATGATAGATGAGGGATATTTTATAGATAAAATTGCTTCAAGAGGAAAGTAATAGAGAAAAGAATAATAGAGAGATGAAGTATTCAGCATGGCTCAGCAAATTCTGGTAACAGTGGTGCCATTTAATGAGATGGGGTGACAGGGAGCAGACAAAGGGCGTATCTTTGTGGGTCAAGAGTTGAAATTTAGCCCAGGAAGTGATGTTTGAGCTTTCTAGTCACATAGAACCATCAACCTTCTTCTAATGGCTCACAAATACTTGAAAAATACAAATGTGTCAAGTGGCAAGTCGGATGTTTGGAAATCTTTAAAGTCAAGATTAATACTTATCAGGTCAATATCACCTTTATTTGGCAAGCACTATCAATGTTAAAGCTCTCTAGGATTTTCCATTTATCTGCTATTTTCACTCATTAAAAATAATTTATTCCACCAATTTTCTTATTTAATCGAAACTTTGGAATACATGGAAACAGAGAGCAAAAGAAAATCACTTATTCGTACCAGTAAAAGGCATAATTTATGTAATTTTGATATATATTCTTCAATATGTTCTTATTTTTATATGACAAGCATGATACAGTGTATGCAATTCTACAAACTGTGGATCAACACAATAGAAATCTGTGTTTCATAGGTGATTATCACAAGACATCCCCTCTAACTTGGCACTCTAACCATGTTTCTTACCAAGTTGTCTAAGAACAATCCTGTGAAGTGTTCACTAGAGACCTATTGATAGTAGAAGAAATGAAGTGCTGTTTTCTTCTGCTTCCTTCATGATTTATGTAGGCTCTTAGCTTCTACACTGGCAAAAAGTGTCCAGGTTGGCGTAAGCTTTACACCTCCGTTTTATGTAAATGTGCTCCTGTTCAGCAGAGTAGTGACAGAGAAGTGCTCTCATCCTTAATGGGAGTCTAGTAGGCCCCCTGAACATTAGTAAAATGGCCCCACCTGCCTGGAACACTCCATTCTCCTCATTTAGGCGAAGAAACCACTCTTCTAAGTGGTCACTTGGATGGCTCATTATCACTCAGTTATCATTCACGGATATGGTCTTGTGAAATCCTGTTGCTAAAATATTGACAACACTATAATCACTTTGCACTTCAAGGAGCAACAATAGAGGAAAACTTCACTGAAACCACGAGAATAGATAGTGCATACAAGATGTTCATCTCAGTAACTTTACAATAACTTTGAGTTAAAAATAGTGTGTTTAATCTCTTTCTCCAGATACATAAACTAATATGAAATACTTTAGGACATGCAGAAAAAATTTTGAAAACAGAGAAAGAGAAGCAACCCAAGGAAAACCAAACAAGAAAGCAAAATAAAAAACTGTCTTGTGAAAAGGCCAAGGCCATTATTAAGAAGCACATGCCAGCCGTCACCCAGGCCTCCTTGCAAGTTTACTGCCTTTTATTCTACATAAAATATGTAATGGTTTATAACTATTTATGGAAATAATGCATGCTAATTTTAACTTATCCATACAATAAAGTTTGAAAACAAACAAAACCTAAACTCTCAAGCCATCACTTCGGGTTCACACAGACATGTTTGCAGCTCATTTAATTTCCATAGGCGGTGCAAGGGCTGAACTCTGTCAGACTGGTCAGCATTTTATCTCTGATATACAAGGTCAAGAAAGGGAGCCCACACTCTTGAAGACTAACTTGCTGGCATAAAACTCAAACTTGCCAGGAGCGGTGGCTCATGCCTGTAATCCCAGCAATTTGGGATGCCAAGGAAGGTGGATCACGAGGTCAGGAGATTGAGACCATCCTGGCTAACACGGTGAAACCCCGTCTCTACTTAAAAAAAAAAAAAAAAAATAGGTGGGCGTGGTGGCACTCGCCTGTAGTCCCAGCTGCTTGGGAGGCTGAGGCAGGAGAATCACTTGAACCTGAGAGGCGGAGGTTGCAGTGAGCTGAGATTTTGCCACTAAACTCTAGCCTGGCGACTGAGTGAGACTCTGACAAAAAACAAACAAACAAATGAACAAAAAATAAAACCTCAAACTTGGGTAGTAGTTTATTATGTAGTTTGTATGCTCAATAGCATTGGGCTTTGAAAATCTCATGTGTTCTTCTTCTTCTTCAAAAAAAATACTCTAATGGGTTAATATCAATAAGCAAAAATTAGGAAGCCATAACCCTGAAAAGGTCCCTTTCCCCAAGATCTTTGGGTTTGTATTTCAAAACTCTAAGCTTATCTTCCTTTTTCTCTTTACCTACACTTCCTCACGCAGTCTGACATAGTTGATTACATTTTTGCTTCTTAATTCCAAATACATTCTATTTCACCTTTTAAATTTTATTCCTAAATTAATTGAATACCTTCATGTTAGGACTCACCATTTTCCAAAACAGTTTTTGAATTTGCCCATAGGGAGCACCTATACCATCACCGTGGGACGGTTTTGGTACAAATATTTATCCTTGTCTCTTTGTCTTAAGGCCCTGGGGAGTCAACTGGGCTCATGTCCCATGGACTCTGTGTTTAACCTGGGCTTGAAGTGGAGCTTAGTGAGCACAGTGCCTTGTGTATGTATTTAAATCCTGTTTATCATCTATTTCGTTGATTTGGTTTCTCTATCAGTTTTTTCAGGTCAACAGGTTAGGGTATTGGGATTTCATACAATTAAGAGAATAGAATGAATATAGATAATCTGAAACAGGACCCAAATTAAAGTTTAAAATGTTAGCCTCTGTGGTAGGCTGAATAATGGCCCCCAAAGACATCCATGTCCTAAGACCTAGAACCTGTGGACCTTGTAGTGTGACCAAGTTAAGGATTTTGAGATGGAGAAATTATCCTGATTATGTGCTTGAACCTAAATCACAAGCATTCTTGTAAGACAGACACAGAGGAAAATCTGATATAAAAGTAGGAGATGTGATGACAGAAGTGAGAGATTGGAGTGAAGGAAGGAAGGGGCCATGAGCTAAGGAAAGTAGGTGACCTCTAGAAGTTGAGAAAGAAAAGAGAAGAGATTTTCCCCTACAGCCTCCAGAAGAAATACAGTCCTGGAAACACCTGGATTTTGGCCCAGTAAATTTGATTTCAGACTTTTGGCCTCAAAACCTGTAAGAATAAATGAACATTGTTTAATCCACCAAGCATGTAGTGATTTATTACAGTAGCCATGGGAATCTAATACAATCCACATCGGGTCAGAAAATGAAGGCAAGAAAGGAATATGACACAAACTAAAAATGTAAAACTGACAGTAACAGAAGTGACTGGTGTGTGCATCAGTTTCTTAGGGCAGCCCTCATCAATTACCACAAATTTAGTGTCTCAAACAACAGAAATTTATTCTCTTGTAGTTCCAAAGGTTAGAAATCTGAAATCAAAGTGCCAGCAGGGCCTGCTTCCACTGAAGGCTTTAGGAGAAAATCCTTCCTTGCCTCTTCCAGGTTCTTGTGTCCACAGATTTCTTTGGCTTCTAGAGAAATCATTCCAATCTCAGTGTCCATCTTCACATCACCCCTTTTTCTATGTAACACCATATCCTCTCCTCTTCTCATAAGGGGCAGCCCTATATAAGAAGGGTCAAGTGAATGAATAATATCATCTTCAGGATCATTCATTCATTACATTCTCAAAGATCCTATATCCAAATAGGGCCATAATCTGAGATTTCACATGGATGTGGATTTTGGGGAGACAGTAGTCAACCCATTAGAGTATATATTTGTTTTGTTTTTTCAAAAGTACCTACATATAAGAAAGATTAAAAAGTGCTGAAGGTTGCATAGTGAGTTAAACACTTTGCATACCTTATCTAGTTGTGCCCTCACAGCAACTCAATGAGGTAGGTAATTTTTTCCATTTTATACTTGAAAAACTGAAGCTAATGATCTTACTGTGATTTAGGAGCAAGACATTTCAAAAAACAACAAAGAAATACTAAATTTCAACTCTTGTTTCTATAATACATGGTCGATTTTGGCCAGAATATGTTAAATTATCAATATACTAAATATCAATATCAACATATTGAATTTAATATAGTTTAAAACTTTTATGAAATTATCAGTGGAAAATGTCATGGAGACAAGTTCTCAGTGGGGAAGAAAGCATATCTTGTGGAATAGAATAGAATGCGATATTCATCTGCCTCCAAAGAATTAGTAAAACCACTGCCTCTCTCTTTTTCTTTCTCCTCCCTCTCCCTCCTACTCTGCTTCTCCCTTCTCCTCATTTTCATTTTCTTCTCCTCTTCCTTCATTTTCCTCTTTCCTTTATTTTTTCTGTCTGGTCTTCAGCAAGTGTCCAAACACATATATCTTTAATACCGTACATTAAAAATTAACTATTAGCTATATTATATTAATAACTTATTAAACTGTATTAGATTATTGTTATTTGTATATTGTATTATATTATTGTTGTAATATATTATAATATGTTATAATATTATATTATTAGAAGAAACTGAGAAGCAGATAAAGCTAGAAATGAAGGCCAAATATAATTTTGGGGTCCAAAATACCATGTCTTTGATTATTTGTTTGTATATTAATAACAAGACATAAAGACCCTCATTAGGCAGTCCTTCCCAGACTAAAGTTTCAGATGGATTCACAAGACTTTCAAACTGTGGCTCTGACACATGGTCTCCTGAGCAGGAGCATCAGCCTCATCCGGGAACTTCTTAGAAATGCAGATTCATGGCCGGGCGTGGTGGCTCATGCCTGTAATCCTAGCACGCTGGGAGGCCGAGGCAGGTGGATTGCCTGAGCTCAGGAGTTCAACACCAGCCTGGGCAACAACGGTGAAACCCCGTCTCTACTAAAATACAAAAATGTGGCCAGGCGTGGCAGCGTGCACCTGTAGTCCCAGCTACTCAGGAGCCTGAGGCAGGAGAATTGCTTGAACCCAGGAGGCGGAGGTTGCAGTGAGCCAAGATTGTGCCACTGCACTCCAACCTGGGTGACAGAGCGAGACTCCATCTCCAAAAAAAAAAAAAAGAAAAGAAAAGAAATGCAGATTCATAGATTCATGGGCCCCTTTGCATGCCTCGTGGATCAGAAATTCTAGATGTAAGGTCCAGCAAGACAGATGCTTAGAGCCCTCTCACATGTAAGAACCTCATGCATGTAAACGTTTGGAAACCACTTTTTTGAAACAGATAGTTGATCTCCTGGGGGAACCCAGGCAATTTTCTGCGAAAGTGTTCCAATCACATTGGAGATGCCAGAATTTAGCATTTCAAGAAAGAGAACAAAAGTGTATCACATTGCTAAAGGTGAAACCTTAATGGGAGGAACAGAAATAAGATTGGTAATAGACTTTAAAAAAAAAAAAAAGCTTTTCTTGTTTATCTCTTTGCTTCGCTTCATCATTATCTTGTGGAGGGGATCAGTCAGGCTATTTTTATTCTTAATAAAGGATATAGGAGAAAAGAGTCTTTAGAGCCTTATCTCAATGAAAGATCCACAGGGTAGTGGAACCACAGCTGAGTTATCCTAAGAATTATGCATATTTCTCAACTGTTACATTAACTGGCCACTCTGCTTCAATTCTTCATGTAATCTGTTTTCCATCATAAGCCATAGTAATCCCTATTAAACTCCAATTCCTACCTATTATAAAATTCCCTTTGAAAACCCTTCAGTGTTTTCTACTTTTCATAGGACCCTTCCTGGTCCTGCTCTTCCTGTTTTGATGCTGAGCCCCCACCACTTGGTAAGGAAGCTCCAGCCACAATGGTTTCCTTTTCTTTCTCTCCTAAATTAAGCTATCTCTCATCTAAGAAACTTTGCAATTGATGTGCTCTCTGCCAGAGATGCCCTTGGTTTTAAGATGTAAGATATCATTCAGAATACATATTATAAAAAATATTTCTCCTGTTTATGAATCCCCAGTGCTAAAGCAGTACCTGTTACGTGGAAAACTTCATACGAGTATCTGCTAAATGAAAACGCCAGAGCATTACTGGGTGTATAATAACTGAGAATAAATGATGACAGCCAGTATGGAATTTGCGATGCTATGTTCCAGCCAAATATTAAATTCATGCCTCAGTCATATGTCTATCTTTACATAAAAAACTTCCAAGAGAATTAATCAGTTGTGGAAGAGGTATTAAATGCACCCTCATGCCTATACAAGATTGAACAAATGCAATTTATAAGTTTGAGTTCATAAAACATGGGTTAACACATCAAGATTATACAGAGGTTGCACTCCTTTATTTTAATGTCACTCTCCATAATGAAACCTCCCACTTACGTGCACATGAGAACAAAAGTCTAATTCCAACAGAAACTATCCCAAATAAAATTAAATTCAATAGGTAAGACACCTACTTTTTTGTGTTTTCTACTAAGTTGTGGTGGCTTCTTGGTCATTTTAGATCATCAGCCTTTTTCTGAAACTTAAAATGTTATTTTCATAAATTACAACAAAGGCCATATATTATACAGAAATGTCTATTCCTAATGAATCAGCAGAACCCATAAGAAATCTAGTTGGGAAGCCTACAAGCTGTCTCCATTAGCAACAGCGTACCACTGTGTAAGTGAAGCGGGTGTGTGCTGTGTAAGAGGCTATAGTTTAATGCAAGTCTCATAAATAAAATGCCTGGAGCATCAAGAATACCTAAAACATAAAGCTCTTTTCCTAGAGAGACTTCAGTGTTGGGCAGATTGATGTAAGAGTCATTTTCTTGTAGGGCATAATTAGATGAAGGATTGAATAGAATGACTAAGTCAGGGAGTTCAGCGAAGAAATGAAAAGCAAAGGCAGGAAAATGGCAAGCCTTCATTTTGAAGGAGCAGTATTGCCTAACTTCATCTCTGAAACAGCCTAAGAGTTAATAAAAAAATTATGTAAAAGGTGAAAAGTGAATTACTGCACCATGAAAAAAAGCATTGCTAACATAGAACAGATGAGATGGTGAGTAGGCCATTCAGACGTGGAGTGGACAAAGGCTTAGTCTTGATCAGGGTGTTTGTAACCAAACAGAGCACAGGATTCAGCTATAAGTTCATTTGTACAGAAATATTCAACTAAGTGGAAAAGAGATACAAAAAAGGCACCCAGATGTATGGAATACGTAAACTTTCAAGGGCCACAAGAGCACCTTTCTTGTCTATATATCTTCATGTTGCCCAGAAAGTCACTTCATCCAGAATTCTAATAATATACACCTTTTTATTCATTAAAATTAAGAAAACCAACATCAGCAAAGATGAGATTTTGTTGGATTATGAAGATGAATCCCCAAAAAAGTGAAAGTAAGAAAGATTAGGATTGAGATTACAGGCTAGAGCTTCTATGTCTAGATAGATCATCAAATGAAAAGGAGAACAGAGAACATACGGAAGAGAAAGAAATCAATGTTAAGCCATTCAACTCATATTCCATGAATGTCTACTCTGTGTGTAGATCTTATCAATGAACATTGAGTTTTATAAACACATGCTTCCCATAGACCATTGTTTTATCAGTATTCTTCATCTAAAAGGAACACCATCTGTAAAGGTGAAATAATAAAAATTAGATAGCTGGTAATACCAAATAACTGCATTAATCATAGGAGGATAGCCTCTGTTGATATAACATGTAAATTCAGGATCTCAAGGATTTAGTATTAAAGACAAATAATGCTTGCACTGTCCCTCTCTGTTACTGTAATTAAGAATAGGATTCCTTCAAGGATTCCACATTATTAGACAAGAAGAACCAATGAGATATACAGTGTGTCAACAGCCTTGGCCTGAAAATTATACATTACACATTTGCTCAAAGCTCTGCAAGGGAAGCCAGGAAATAGAAGACATTAAATGGCTACTTAGTGAGCACTAAATGTCCCTGCCACAACAGTAGTACAAAATATTTTCCAAAGGTAAAATACATATACCAAAGACTATACATTTGTTACAAAATGCATGTATGTATATGTGTATATATATACAAATATATATGTATTTTATACGAATATACACACACGTACATAAATGTTTGTGTGTGTGTACTAATTGACCTGAACAAGCGTTAAAGGTGTTTTAAATATAGGAAATGAGTAGCATGTACTCAGAATTAATTGAGAACCTTTTATTGATAAGCATCTTTCTAGATACTGGTGATATAGCAGTTAATAAGGCCAAAGAAAAACCTCCATTCCTTAACAGAACTTATGTTACTGTAAATAAGCTGTTTATTACATGGGTCTTTAAGGAAGGGTGAAATTTGCATGATCATAGAAAGCCCTCTAAAATTGGCCTACAATTAGTATAATATTTTAATAATAATTTAGGCTGATGATGAAGACTTTGATAATGTGTGGGTAAGTTTGTGAATGCTATTAATTTGTTCTCCCTTCTACTTTATCATTACTTTTTGTTTTCTTTGGCCATATGAGAATTTGAATTTTTCTGAAATTATTTCATTTCTTTCATTTTTTGTTAAATGTTATCTCTCATTTTTTTCTAATAGATGTAATAAAACTTTAATTAGGCTATTCAACTCAATACACAATTGGCTTATGAATATGACTCAAATGTATACAATGTGTAGCGTGGATAAAATACTTATTCTATTGTTCTGGTCATACCAATACTTTCTTATAAAATAAGTTTACTTTGAATGCTGTTGGTCATACTTTTCAATGTTTATCTGACTCATTGTGTAACTCAGAATATTTTATAGTCTCACAACTGCTTCTACCAATTTACAGTACAACATCTTTTCAGTGTATTTTTCTCAAAATTACTGGCCATGGGAAAATGCAGAACTCCTAAAATGATGAGTACCTTGCACAATTCAAAATTCAATGTTTTCTAAAGAATGAAGTCATATCTTAGCCAAATAATATACTATGATTAAGGTACAGTGAGAATGTTGAAGAAAGAATAAAAACATGCAGAATCTTTGTAACAGTAAGACATCTAAGCAACGTGATTTCTCAGTATTGTTCATGCATATGATAGTTATTTCTGTCACTTTCATATCTCTACTGTTTAAATTTTTGGCATAGTAATTTTTCTAAGAGTTTATTTATGTACTGATAATGTAAACTGATAATTAATGCTTAATGACTAGCAAAAAAACCCAACCTGTCTGAATACCAAACAAATATTTACAAGTAATGTAATTATCTCAATTAACTCAAGAGAGAAAATACTAGAGACTTTGTCATTTCTTTCTGAGTGATCCTCAGAAAGTCTCCGGTAAAATGTATCAGTTATCCTTTTCATAAAAACAGTCAGCAAATCAAAGGGTTGTGGCTATAAATTATAAAGACTAAACTTTACATTGTAGGGGCAAATGTGTTGCCTTTACGTAGAGATCATTCTACCGTGGTATTTGAGGAACACTATTCCCCTTAGCATGAACCAAGTATCCATAGAAGTACACTTTTCACAATCAAATCTTGCTCTATTTCCAAAAGGCAGTATAAATATTTATTACTTACACTCTCAGTGGAAATGCCCAGAAAGAAAATAGTCCTTAAAAGGTGCAAGTCCACTTCATAGGTTTATAAATAAGTGTGTGTATGTATGTCAAACACTATGTGTTAGAAATATTTTTGTGTATGGTATCGTAAAGGAAGACAGGCAGGTTTATACCCTAGCGGTCTATATTAGAATACTTGAAAGAACTATAAGAATGTAAAGAACAGTTCTATAGACACACAACTTTTTTTTTTTTGGATTTACAAGTTTTTTTAGTAAGAAATGGGCAAAGCCAGCTTTCTTTTCAGAATCAAAATGCAGAACAAATGGAAAAATTATGGTATTTAGCCTTCACAAGTTTGAGCCTCCACAAATAATGCAACCAAGTTTTACATTTTTAACAGCCCTTCTACACACACTACATCTTCTCTATCTTAGTTCCAAGTTTTAGTTTTCAATCCCAATTAAACCAATTCCATTGTTACTTAAGAAAAAGCCTTCCCAGTTATTGTCAGAAACTATGATTTAGCTTACCCCCTCCGCTACCCAGCAAACTACAGAGAGGATGGAGTGTAATATGAGCAATACAGTCTTAATGCAATTCATGAGGACCACTTAGTCCTTACATGAATCTGGTTGCTAACATTTCTATTATATTGTGACAATGACTCCTGACTGTTATTCTCTGTGAGAAATGGGGGGAGTAAATTCTTAATAAAAGACACCAGGTACAAAGCAACATTTTACTTCTGTTGTAGACACACCACTTTTCAACTACTAAATTTTGTTCTTTGGTCTTGGGGCCACCCTTCTGCAGTAGTGGTTCTCAACACTGGATGCCCATGGGAAGGAAGGACATAAAGTTTTGCTTCCAAACAGGCCAAATCCTGAACAGAATCCTATTATCTTTTTTTGTACTCTTCATGACTTGAGAATTTTTGGAAACATTTTAAAGTTAAAAATAAATAAAAATAGAATATGTGACAGAGACATTAAGACTTTACGGTATGCAAATTCCAAAATATTTACTTTCTGTTTACAGAAAAACGTTTCTTAATTTGTACTTTAAATGAGGACAATGCTTTCCCATTGTCTATATAAAAGTTTTTTTTTAAAAAAAGGGAGCAAGAAAATTACTAACACATACAAAATTTAACTCAATACAGTTTAACATAGTTTAATTCAATGCAATAAATTGGTTTTGGTTACTTACAATTTGCAAGGTACTCAGAAAGCCTGGAAACTATATTAAATAGTAAGGTGAGAATACTGCATTTTGCAAAGTATACCATTAAGAAGGGGAAAATGAGACAAATGGAACCATAATAATCGTAAAGTCATGATATATATGACAAAAATAGATACATGTAAAGAGCCATTGGTAAAATGATGATTTAAAAAGATCAGTTTATATCTAGAGACATTAGGAAAGGCATTTGGGATTGAGATGTTACTTGACATAGAAACTGATAAAAAGTAGCCTTTTATTCTCCAACACAGGAGGAGGGAAAAGACATCCCTGCAGTGGAAACTATGAGGGAAAGGGCAAATGTGGGAAGGTAAAGGTTGGAGTGTGTTTATGAAGCAGAGTCCTGAAATAAGGGATTAGTGCTACAGTGTACAACAGAGTTGGCAAACTTCTCTTGCAAAGGCACAGATAGTAAATATTTTTGGCTTTGTAGACCATGTGGTCTCTTTGCCATGAATCAACACTAAAGTTATAAGCATAACATTGCCATAGACACTGTGAAATGAATTGCTGTGATACGTTCTAATGGAAATTTATTTACGAAAAGAGATGAGATTTGACTTGTAGGCCACAGTTTGGTGAACAGAAATAATAAAGGACATCAATAATTATTAAGCAACAGGGACCATCTGATGGTTTCTGATTAAGTGCAGTGGTACACATTGGGGAAGTGTGTAGTCACTGACCCTTACCATCAGGAGTACAGACACATGTGACTCATGTCCTCTCATCTAGCTGTCATGCAGGAGCCAATTCCTGAAATAGTCTAATTACGCAAGAGACCCATAGCTAGGAATCAATGGAATTGACAATTACTGAATGAAAGACAACTGGAGTCCTAAATGCGTTCAGAAAAAAGAAAAATCACTGTGATGGTGGATTTTGTGTCACTTTGGCTAGACTATGGTGCTCAGTTTTTGGTCAATACTGGTCTAATTGTTGCTGTGGAGGTATTTTTTAGATATGATTAGCACTTAAATCAGTGGACTTAACATAAAACCGTCTACTCTCCATAACGCGGGTGGGCCTCATCCAGTCAGTGGAAGGCCTTAAGACAAAAGCCTGAGGTTTCCCAAAGAACAAGAATTTCAGCCTCAAGACTGTAACATAGAAATCCTGCTTGAGTTTCCAGCCTGTCTGGCCTGCCCTGTGAAATCTGAACTCATGACTGCAACATAAACTCACATGAGGACTTTAGACCTTCTGGTCTGCCCTGCGGATCTCTGCCTTGCTAGAGTCTGCCCGAGCACTGGAGTTTTAGAGATGAAGAAGCTCAGGAATGCAGTGCAGCTATTAAAATTGCACGTGGATTTGAAGCTAAAAAGAAAAAACTTGCCGGGCGCAGTGGCTCATGCCTGTAATCCCAGCACCTTGGGAGGCCGAGGCGGGCAGATCACGAGGTCAGGAGTTCCAGACCAGCCTGACCAGTATGGTGACACCCTGTCTCTACTAAAAAATACAAAAATTAACTGGGTGTAGTGGTGGGTGCCTGTAGTACCAGCTACTCAGGAGGCTGAAGCAGGAGAATCACTGGAACCCAAGAGGTGGAGGTTGCAGTGAGCCGAGATTGTGCCACTGAACTCTAGCCTGGGCAAGGGAAAAAAAAAACCCACAAAAACAAAAAACAAAATAAAACAAAACAAAAAACAAAAAGAAAAAATCTAACAATTTAATAGATTTAATTCCTAGAATTTATAAAAAATATTGTTTCCTCAAAGCAACTAGAAATAAGTACAATATATTCCAGCTGGTAAGGATTAACCTGGTTATGACTTGTATGGGTGGTGAATTGGGAGTACTTGGGAAACACTTCGAAACTGTTCAAACACTTTCACAACTCCTACTCCACCCAAAGAAAATAGTCCGACATGATGGAACAATCCAGTTTACCATACTTTGCCAACTTTAGCAGAATTTTAAGTTATTCATTCTTGTTTTCATTGTTAAAGAATCCAGACAATTGTTCTTCATAGGAAAAGAAAGTGTTTTTTCTTTACAACAGTATTTATTGTAATTTTTATAAAATAGAAAACATTTTGAAATAGCCCAAATAATCAAACTAAGAAAATGGTTGACAAAAATGGTGTGGGTTTTCTGTGAAGTTTACTAAACAATCAACATTTTTGAAATACATTTAAGGAAAACACAAATTAATGTAATAATATTGGCCAAGCATGACGGCTCAGGGCTATAATCCCAACACTTTGGGAGGCTGAGGCAGGCAGGTCACTGGAGGCCAGGAGTTCGAGACCAGCCTGGCCAACATGGCAAAACTTCATCACTACTAAAAATACAAAAATTAGTTGGGCATGGTGGTGCATGCCTGTAATCCCATCTACTCAGGAGGCTGAGGCATGACAATCACTTGAACCCAGGAGGTGCAGGTTGCAGTGAGCCAAGTTTGTGCCACTGCACTCCAGCCTGGGCAACAGAGCAAGGCTTTGTCTCAAAAAAAAAAATTAATTTATAACTAAGGTTATATTAACCTAAAATTTGATGCAAGTATATTTGTATTTACACATATAGAAGCATTGGAAATATATATATACACACACATATGCGTATATATACACACACATATGTGTGTGTATATATACACACACATGTGTGTGTATATATATACATGTGTATATATGTATATGTGTATATGTATATACACACACATGTGCGTATATGTATATACACACACATGTGCGTATATGTATATACACACACATGTGCGTATATGTATATACACACACATGTGCGTATATGTATATACACACACATGTGCGTATATGTATATACACACACATGTGCGTATATGTATATACACACACATATACGTATATGTATATATACACATATACTTATATATACACATATATACATGTACACACATACATGTACACACATATATACACACACACACGCACACACATACACCCATACACACAAATCTTCACTCTGGTAATCTCATTGTAGGATTACCTATCATTTCCATATTTTAATAAAACATTTCTATAATTTTTAAATTTTCACTAGTGCAAGGGGTTTGTATTTATAAAAAAGATAAAAATGGAATATTTAAGGTTCTGCAAACAAAAAGATATTTAAAGATAAATATAAGAAAATAGTAACACAAATGCATGTAAAACTGACAATAACAATGCAACACAATTGTCTTGGAAACAGAAAGCCCTGGGCTTGAGTTCTTGATTTGGAGGTGATCAGCTATGTGTCCTTGATCACACATGATCTCAGCCCTCCTCAGTGGAGTTAATGCCCTAATTCCTGGAATCTGAGCATGTGCTACATTACACAGAAAAAAAGAACTTTGCAGGCAGGATTAAGGCTATTTTAAGACAGATAGAGTAGCCAAAAGTATCCAGGTGGACCCAATCACATCAACCCCTAAAGGTGAACTTTCTCCAGCTAGAGATGGAATAGACATGGCAGAACAAGAAGTCAAAAATTTGAAACCCAATGACTTGACACAGCCTGTTGGCCTGAGAATGCAGGGGGCCAAAAACCCTCATCCTGCAAAGACAAGAACCCAAGTTCTGCCAATAGCCTCATTCACAGGGAAGCAGATTTTATCCAGAGTCTCTAAAGAAATGCAGCCCTGCTGGCACCCAGACTCCAGCCTTGGAAGATCAGCTGCACCTATCTCCAGCAGAGAAATCAGCTGCACCTATCCAGATTTCTGACATACAGAAATACAACAAAATAAATTTGCATCATTTCAGACAGCTTAAGTTTGTGGTAATTCATTGCAGCAACAATAGAAAACTAAGGCAATATCAAATAATTTCAGTCTTTATTAAAATAAAGTTTATTTGTGAAATTGATACCGTATCATCTCTTATGCAAATGTTGTCTGTATGTAATATCACTTCTCATTACATATTTTTAAATTGACGTTAGGTGCACATGATTGATATATTTCCATTGTTATGATATTTGTTATTATCATTATAATTTTTTAAATACTGATAACAAACCTCAAGACTGCAAAATATAACCAATACTGAGAAAAAGATTTTAAAACCTATTAAATATAAGTTTTATATAATAACATTCAAATAATGACTTTATATCAGAAAGGCATGCACATTTATATGCATAGATTAATAACACTTTACAGAAATGAATAGTCTTTTATAGAATTTAAAAAGAAATACAAAAGTCAAGTCAAAATAGAATCAAGATCAGGATTTCTGCCTATAGTGAAGAAAGTTGCCAAGAAGAATAATAAAGCTGAATATAGCATTGACAAACGCAATCACTTAGCAGCCTGGAAATCAAATATGGGTGTCTTCTGAATGGAGACAGCGATGATTTTACTAGTCTTACTCCAGAGCCCAGAGAGGGTTCACAGTGTCCACGTATCCCAGGCAACACTGAGGCTGCAAACATAGAGAAGAAAGGCCCCACCAAAAAGAAAAGCCAGGGCACACTTGAAAGCCCTGCAATTCTCACACACTCACCCACCCTCACACAAATCCAGCAACATGGAGGATCATCAGGATCAGCAGAAGCATCACAGGTCAGGATGGAGGCTGGACCCGAGGAGTTTGAGGAAAACTCTGCCAATCATTGGCTGAGCACTAAGCTGGGCTGAGAAAATAGAAACCTCTAGAAAGCCAGGCTAAAAACAAAAAGAAGCAGAAGAAGAAAAAGTGACTGAAGAGATATATTGATGGCTGCACTTGTAAGACAGACAAATTTCAGACAGAGCCTAAACAAGTTACTAAACAAAGTCCAAAGCTGCTAACTCAGGAATAGAAAACGAAACAGTGTATGTTCTCACTGATAAGTGGGAGCTAAGCTATGAGGATGCAAAGGCATAAGAATGACATAATGGACTCTGGGGACTCAGGGGGAAGACTGGGAGGAGGAGAAGGATAAAAGACAACACAATGGGTACAGTGTACACTGACCGAGTGATAGGTGCATCAGAAAATCTCAGAAATCACCGCTAAATAACTTATTGATGTAACCAAACATCTGTTCCCCCAAAACTATTCAACACAAAAAAAGTAAAATAAAAAAAGGAAAATAAAAATCTACTTGATAATCATAAAAAACCAAATTGCTAATATCTATTTGCAATATGTAAAATGATTCTCAACACAAAATAGCAATACGTGCAAAGAAATAAAAAAATGTTATCCATGTGACATATATGTAGGGAAAAACAAAAAGCATTATTATTTTGATTTTCAGTATGATGGCTTAAAGATTTTTGTTTACCTGATCACCAGTGAAACTAGTGAAAATTATTATTTTTTTTTAATGTTAAGCCTCTGGAAATGGTCCGTAGGTGATACAGCAAATGAAGAAACATCTATTCAAGAAATCTTTTAAAGTTTCATAGAAGAGCAAGATCTATGATATTGGATGCAAGAACGTATGTACCCTCTCTCTGCCCTCCAAGCTCAGTAAAATGAAAACTTCACTCCAGACTGATGCAGCCAACACTCAGCTCCTCTTCCAGGGTTGACTATTCAGAGGAGCTGAACACTCACATTTCTCATTCTTCCCCCAGCTGCCTGTTTGAACAAGTACACCCAAGAGGTGAGAGGACTCTTCTTCTGGCAAGCCCATACTTGTGAGGTGGAGGCTCTATCTCACATGACTACCACTGAGAACACTTAGGCCCCATTTGTCCTAACACTGACTGGTGAGGCAGAGGTGTTAATGTCTGGAGAGGCAAGCTGAGAAGACCTCAGGCTACTACTCCCCACACCACCAAAAAACTCTCAGGTCCTAATGTGGGCATGACACTAAGAGAAGTTTGCCATTGTCCCCACTCTCATTTCCAGAGGAGAATTTGCCTGGGAGGAGAAATAAACTGTGAAACAGATAGTTCTCAATCCTTTCCCAAGAAAGGAACTTTATTTGCCACTGAATATGGAGAAGTTCAAGTCTAAGAGAATTCTGTTTTTTTTTTTTTTTTTTTTTTTTTTTTTGACAGAGTCTCACTCTGTTGCACAGGTTGGAGTGCAGTGGCGTGATCTCGGCTCACTGCAACCTCCACCTCTCAGGTTCAAGCGATTCTCCTGCCTCAGCCTCCCAAGTAGCTAGGATTACAGGTGCTTGCCACCATGCCCGGCTAATTTTTGTATTTTTTGTGGAGACGGGGGTTTCGTCATGTTGGCCAGGCTGGTCTCAAACTCCTGACCTCAGGTGATTCACCCGATTTGGCCTCCCAAAGTGCTGGAATTATGGGCATGAGCCACTGCACCCGGCCAAGTCTAAGAGCATTCTCAAAGTTAGTGGAGATTATAGTGGAATGCCAATAGAAGAAATTGGTAGATTCAATGAAGATAGAGGTTACACTACACACTGTGTAGTTTTCTAAAGGGAATCAGGGAAAGAGAGTTAAAAGAAGCTCTCTGGAAGTCAAAACAAATGTCAAACATACGTCAGAACTGTTCATTCAAAGGATATCAATTTCGAATGTATTAACCTGTAGAGCAATATATGCCACTGGGCATTGTTAAAAGCAATAGAGTAATCCACCAAAAACTGGTGGAGCTTAAAATTAAGGTGTGGTCAGCAAAGGAAACAAAGAAGGTCCTGCCAGAGAGCCCTACAAACTTGCAGAGTAATAGAGAATGCAATCTGGATCACAGAAGAAAAATACTAAAGAGAAATAAACAAAGCCTCAAAGAAATATAGGATACCATTAAGCATACAAATATACACATAAAGGGAATATCAGAAAAAAGGGAGATAAAAAATTATTTTTAAAAAAATCAATGCTAAAAACTTCCCAATTTTATTAAAAGTTATTAACCCACACATCCAGGAAACCAAACAAACTCCAAGTAGGAAATACAAATAGATCTTCAAACAGATACATTTAAAAAATGTTGAAAGTTAAAGACAAGGAGAAAATATTTATATCAGGAAGAAAAACATAACTTATTATTTAAAAAAGAATCCCAATTAAGTTAATAACTCATTAGTCATCAGAAATTGTAGAACTAGAATGTAGTAGTATAATATATTCAAAGTGCTCAAATAAAATAATGTCAACCAAAAATCCTACACCCAGCAAAGTTATCAGTTAATATATTTTATTATATCAATAGGATGTTTGTTTTTAAAATAAATGTAAAATATAGAGATTTCCAAATAAATGAAAACTACAGAATTTGTGGTCTTCAGACCCACCTTACATGAAATGCTTAAGGAAGTTATTGAGATTATTAACAAAATTGGCAAACCATTTACATAGGCCAACCAAGAAAATAAACATAGAGAAGATTCAAATTACTGGAATCAAAGAAATGAAAGAAGGACATTGCTGGAGACCTTACAAAACCAGAAAGGGTTATAACAATACTAAGAACAATTGCATGCCAGCAAATTAAGTCACTTAGTTGAAATGGATAAATGTCCAGAAAAGCAAAAACTAATGACTCAAGAAGAAATATACATTGTGAATAGACCCATCACAAGACGAGATTAAATTAGTGATCCAAAAATTACCCACAAAAAAGCCCAGACATAGATTGCTTAACAACTGAATTCTACCAATCATTTAAAAAAGAATTAATACCCATGCTTTACAAAACATTACCAAAAAATGGAGATAAGAGAAAACATGCCAATTTATTATATGATGCCAATATTACTCATATACTAAATGAGACAAATTTCTCACAAAAAGAATACTACTGACAAATATCGCTTATGAATTTGAATGCAAATAAATGCTTCACAAATTACTTGCAAACCTAATTGATCAGCATGTTGAAATAATTATATATCTTGGCCAAGTGGGATTCATCCTAGGAGGCAAATTTTGTTTAACAGCCAAAAATTAATATATTATAGCATATCAATAGAATAAATACCAAACTTATTATCTCTATCGCTGCAAAAAGGACATTTGACAAATTGCAACACCATTTCATGATAAAATGTGCAACAAAATAGGAACAGAAGGAAATTTCCTCAACTTTATAGGGTATCATGAAACACCCCAGTAACATTGTACTTAATGGTAAAAAGACTGGATGCTTTTTCCTTATAATGAAGAACAAAACAAGAATGCCTGCTCTTGCCACTTCTACTCAGCCTTGTACTAGATGTTCTAGTCAAGGCATTAAGCAAGTAAAATAAAATAAATGTTCCAATTGGAAAGGAAGAAGTGCAACTATTTCTATTCATAGATGACCTGATATTGCATGTAAAATATCCTAAGGAACACACTAAAACAAGTTACTAGAACTAACAGACATGATCATGAAGGTTGCGAGATAAAAGATCAATATTAAAAATCAGTTATGTTTCTATACAGCAGCAACAAATAACATAAAAATGAAACTAAGAAGAAACAAATCTCATTTACAATAGCTTCAAAAGATAATAAAATACTTAGGAATAAATGTAACAAAAGGTATAAAATGTACTTTAAAAACTATAAAAGACTTGTTGAGCATAATTAAAGGGATCTAAGTAAATGTAAAAATATCCTATACTTCAGAAAGCTTAGTATTATTAAGATGGTAATACTCTCCAAATTGATCTACAGTTACAACTCAATTCATATTAGAATTCCAGCTTATGTTTTGTAGAAATTGACAAATAGAATATAAAAATTCATGTGAATTTGGAAGGAACCCAGAAAAGCCAAAACAATCTTGAAAAAGAAGAACAAGTAGGCGGCTCAAACTGACATGTACACACAACCACACACACACACACGCATACGTACATACACACACGCATGTGCACACATACATATCGAACAGAATTGAGAGTCTAGAGATAAACGCATACCTGGATGGTCAAATGATTTTTGAGAAGGATGCTAACACCTATCAATGAGGAAAGAATAAGTCTTTTCAACAACTGGTTCTGGGACAACTGGATAGCCATATTGGAAAGGACGAAGTCAATTCTTTTCTCACACCATATACAAAAATTAACTAAAAATGTATCAACACCTTACATGTGAGAGCTAAAACAATAACTCTTAGAATGAAACGTATAGTACATTTTATAACTTTGTATTTGGCAACTGATTTTTAGGTATGGCACGAATCCAAGAGCAAGAGGAAAAAAATAGATAAATCAGACTTCATCAAAATTTTTTAAAATGTGTTTTTAATAGGGCATTACTAAACTAAAAAGACATAAGATCTGGAATTATAAAACTCTTAGAGGAAAAATTAGGGAAAAATCTTCTTGACATTACTCTTTGCAATAACTTTTTAGATATGAACCAAAACACAAGCAACAAAAACAAAAATAAATAAGTGGGACTGCACCAAACTGAAATTTTCTGCATAACAAATGAAATAGTCAGCAAAATGAAAAGACAACCTATAGAATGGGACAAAATATTTGCAGATCATGCATCTAATAATAAGTAATAGCCAAAATATATAAGCAACTCAAACAACTCAAAAGCAAGTAATAATAATAGCCCAATTAAAAATGATCAAATAACCTGAATAGACATTTTTTCTAAGAAAACATAAAAGTAGCCAACAGGTATATGAAAAACTGTTGAACATCACTAATTACAAGAAAAATGCAAATCACAACCATGTGAGCTATTGCCTTACACCTGTTAGGATGGCTATTATTGTGTCCGGAATTGGTGGGTTCTTGGTCTTACTGACTTCAAGAATGAAGCTGCAGACCCTCGCGGTGAGTGTTACAGCTCTTAAAGCAGGGCGTCTGGAGTTGTTCGTTCCTCATGGTGGGTTCATGATCTCGCTGGGCTCAGGAGTGAAGCTGCAGATCTTCGCGGTGAGTGTTAAAGCTCATAAAAGCAGCGTGGACCCAAAGAGTAAGCAGTAGCAAGATTTATTGCAAAGAGCGAAAGAACAAACCTTCCACACCGTGGAAGGGGACCCGAACGGGTTGCCAATGCTGGCTTGGGCAGCCTGCTTTTATTCTCTTATCTGGTCCTACCCACATCCTGCTGATTGGTAGAGCCCAGTGGCCTGTTTTGTCAGGGTGCTGATTGGTGCATTTACAATCCCTGAGCTAGATACAAAGGTTCTCCACGTCCCCATCAGATTAGTTAGATACAGAGTTTCGACACACAGGTTCTCCAAGGCCCCACCAGAGCAGCTAGATACAGAGTGTCGATTGGTGCACTCACAAACCTTGAGCTAAACACAGGGTGCTGATTGGTGTGTTTACAAACCTTGAGCTAGATACAGAGTGCCGATTGGTGTATTTACAATCCCTGAGCTAGACATAAAGGTTCTCCACGGCCCCACCAGAGCAGCTAGATACAGAGTGTCGACTGGTGCACTCACAAACCTTGAGCTAAACACAGGGTGCTGATTGGTGTATTTACAGTCCCTGAGCTAGACATAAAGACTCTCCACCCGGTCCCCACCAGACTCAGGAGCCCAGCTGGCTTCACCCAGTGGATCCCGCACTGGGGCTGCAGGTGGAGCCACCTGCCAGTCCTGCGCCGTGTGCCCGCATTCCTCAGCCCTTGGGTGGTCGATGGGACTAGGCGCCGTGGAGCAGGAGGTGGTGCTCGTCGGGGAGGCTCGGGCCGCACAGGAGCCCACGGAGGCGGGGGAAGGCTCAGGCATGGCAGGCTGCAGGTCCCGAGCCCTGCCCCGCGGGAAGGCAGCTAAGGCCCGGCAAGAAATCGAGCACAGTGCCAGTGGGCCGGCACTGCTGGGGAACCCAGTACACCCTCCGCAGCCGCTGGCCCGGGTGCTAAGCCCCTCATTGCCCAGGGCCGGCAGGGCCGGCCGGCTGCTCTGAGTGCGGGGCCCGCCAAGCCCACGCCCACCCGGAACTCCAGCTGGCCCGCAAGTGCTGCAGTCAGCCCCGGTTCCCGCTCGCGCCTCTCCCTCCACACCTCCCTGCAAGCTGAGGGACTGGGCTCCAGCCTTGGCCAGCCCAGAAAGGGGCTCCCACAGTGCAGTGGTGGGCTGGAGGGCTCCTCAAGTGCCGCCAAAGTGGGAGCCCAGGCAGAGGAGGTGCCGAGAGCAAGCGAGGGCTCTGAGGACTGCCAGCACGCTGTCACCTCTCATTATCAAAAAGAGAAGAGGTAATGTTTTGGTGAGCATGTGGACAAAGGATGTCCTTTGTACACTATTGGTGGGAATGTTAATTGGTGCAGTCATTATGGAAAACAGTCCAGAACTCCTCATAAAACTAAAAATAGAACTACCATATGATCTATCAATTCTACTTTGGGGTATATATCTAAAGGAAATGAAATCAGTATCTTGAAGAGATAGTTGTAACCCCCATGTTCATTATAGCATTATTCACAATAACCAATATATGGAAACAATCTATGTGTCCATAATTTGATGAATAGATAAAGAAATTGTGGTACATATATGCAAAGAAATATTATTCATCTACAAAAAAGGAAATGCTGCCATTTGCAACAATATGTATGACCCTAAAGGACATTAAGCTAAGTGAAATAACCCAGACAAAAAAAGACAAACGCGACATGATCTCACTTATATGTAGAATCTTAAAAAGTTGGCCTCTTGGAAGCAGAGTAGACTAGTGATTGTCAGGGTTCAGGGAGTAGAAGAAATGGGAAGATATTAGTCAAAGGGTACAAACTTTCAGTTATAAGACCAGCAAGTTCTGGGAGGCTCTGTACAGCATGGGTGGTGATATAATTTAATTGTGGTAAGCATCGTACAATATATACATATATCAAACCATCATGTTATACACCTTAAATAGATTCAATCATTATTTGAGAATGAAATACTTTTAAATAAGGAAAAAAGGAAGTGAAAAGAAGGCCCACAGAACGGGAGAAAGTAATTGCTAATAATATACCTGATATAATACTTGTACATAGAATTTATATAGAACTAATATAAGTTAATAACATAAAAAACAAATATCACAACTGAAAATGGACAAAGAATATGAACAAGCATTTCTTCAAACAAGACATACAAAAGAGCAATAAGCACATGAAAAGATGTTCAAAATCATTAGTCATTAGGGAAATGCAAATTGAAACCACAATAAGAAAACTATTTCAAACCCACTAGGATAGCTAAAATCAAAAAATCACATAATAATAAGTGTTGGTGAGTAGATGTGGTAATCACAGCCCTCAGATACTAGTGATGAGAATGTAAAATGATGCAGTCACTGTGGAAAACACTCTGAAAAATCTTCAAATGGTTTAACACTTTTTGACATATGAACTTACAATTCTCCTCTCAGGCATATACCCATGAGAAATGAAAACGTATGTCCACACAAAAATTTATATGTGAATGTTTACAGCAGCATTAGTCTCAATAGCCAAAAGCGTAAACAACCCCAATGTCTACCCACTGACTAATGGAAGAACAAAATGTAGTATGTGTAATTCTCATCCCTAAAAAGGAAGGAAGTTCTGACACATTTTATAACGTGGATGAGCCACGAAAAAGCCCTGCCAAGTGAGAGATGCCAGTCACAAAACCAATGCACTGTATGATTCCATTTACAATTGACCCTTGAACAACATAGGTTTAAACTTGGCGGGTCCACCTATATGCTGATGTTTTCAATAAATACAGTTGGTGCTAAGTATTCACAGGTTCCACATTCACAACCAAATGCAGATCTCGGGATGGGAGAAACAGGTGTACAAAAGGCTGCTTTTCATACTCGGCTAGGTTCCACAGGGCTGACTGTGAGACTTGAGTATGGGCTGCTTCTGATGTCTGCTGTTGATCCTGGAACCAATACCCTGCATATATCGAGGGGTGACTGTACATGAAATGGTCAAAACAGGCAAAATGTAGAGACAGGAAGTAGGTTAGTGGTTTCATAGGGCTGGAGGGGGAAAAAGGGGCAATACAAAAGGGTTCAGGAATTCCATTTAGATGACAAAAATGGTCTAAAACCGTGGTGATTCTTGTGCATATCTATATCTGTACCTTAGAGTTTACAAGGGCTGCTATACAAAATATAATGGACGAAGTGACTTAAACAATAGCAGTTTACTTTCCCACAGTTTTGGAGTTATTTGTCCCTCAGCTGGATGTCTGAGATCAAGGTGTTGGCAGATTTGCTTCCTTCTGAGGGCTGTGGGAGAAGAGGTTTTATGCCTCTCACCTGGCTTCTGTTGCTTTGCTGCCAATCTTTGCTCTCCTTGGCTTGCAGAAGCATTCCCCAATCTCTGCCTTCATCTGCACACAGCGTCCTTCCTACAATATGTCTTCAACTTTCCCCCTTTTAAAGGACACGGATCTTATTAAATTAGGGCCCATCCTAATAACCTTGTTTGAAGATACTTCCATAAAGATCCTGTCTCCAAATGAGGTAACATTCTGCAATACTGGAGGTGAACACTTTATCCTATGAATTTTAGGGCACACAATTCAAACCATATTACTGCATATATATTGAAAATAAATGTGCACTTTAAATCAGCAAATTTTAAGGTACATGAACTGTATCTCAAAAAAGCGGTTAATAAAAATAATAATAAATAGAAATTGTCTGAGTATCCCTGTACATTGTATTTAGCAAAGGCTTCAAAGCAGCTACTAAAAATATGTTCAAAAACTAAAAGAAACAATATTTAAAGGATTAAAAGAAGGTATGACAAAGTGAATTAACAAACAGAAATTGTGAGAAAAATTGCAGAAATTATAAATGTATTGAGAAAAAAGAATCAAATGGAAATTCTGGTGTTAACGAGTACAGTAATTGAAATAAAGAAATACTAGAAGTGTCAATAAAAGATTTAAGATGGTAAGGAAATGAATCATAAAATTTTAGATAGATCAAGAAAAATAATCTAACCTAAAAATACAGAATGAAGAATTAATGAAGAAAAAAAAAACAGAGCCTCAGACATCTGTGGGAAAATCTGTAACAGAAGTCAGAGAAAGGGGCACAATATTTAGAAGAATAAACCCAAAACCTATTCAAATTCAATGAAAAACTTCATGAGTCTAAGAAGCTCACTGTTATCCAAGTAGTATAAATACAGAAACATTCATACCTGGAAACTTCAGGTTTCAGTGGATAACAAGACGACTCCTAGGTGAAAACTTCTACTCACCTCCCAGTTTGCCCAGATTTTAACACAGGGAAAATAAAGTTGCAGTCATTTTCTGCAGCAAGAGCCATGAACCACATTTATCCAGCTACCGCCTAAGGTAGAAAGAGGAAAAAGAAACAGCCAAGCAACAGCAATCTATGCCAAGTCGCCCAGTGACTTAAGAACCAGATTCCTTGTATCTCCACTAGCGTAGTCCTGCATCAACAGAGTCAATAGAAATCTGCTGTTGAATTGGAAATATTAGGTAGGAGAGTCTGAGCCTATAGAAAGGGTAAAAAGCACAGACACACACACAGGAAGATCCTAATCAAGATGAATTATAAGCTAAAATTTCAAAATGTCAGGAAAATTATGATGTACAAATGTCTGCAAATTTAACAAAGAATATATTTCATTCTGAAGGCGCTTCGGAAATCATGGGATTGGAAAACCAGGCATACAAAAGGCCTACTTTTTATACAGGGCTGTGTTCCACAGGACTGACTGCAGGACTTGAGTATGCACTGATTCCGATGCCCGCTGTTGGTTCTGGCACCAATTTCTAACAAGAATGTTAGAAATGTTCACATGTGCCTGTTCATCTTTCTTCTCCTCCATGCCATGGCCAGGCAGAGCTGCAGAGTCAGCCACACAGATCTTTATTAAGAGCCAGCAGTCAACTTAACCACACGACACTGTCCGTATTGTCAAAGAACTAATCTAAGGCAGGGAAGGCTCTCCTGCTGAACAGGGCATCTGATGTTTTGCTGGCCAACAGTTGGAGGTTGACAAGACTCTATCAATCCATAGCTTCCAGAAAGAGGCCACCCTGAATTTGGGGTTCGTCGCAGGAACTTTATGAAGAAGCTCTCCTTCTTGCCTAGAAACATGTTGGTGGTAGGATGACCTGCAGCAAATGTCACACACCCCTTCACTCATACGCTCCCCAGATGCTGCAAAAAGAACTTGTGGTCAAACTAACATGCTGTGCCCCAACAGCATGAAATAGGGGCCCTTATTTATGCAAATAAATAAGGATCCTGATTTATGTGCATACCAAGAAGTAGCCTCAGGAATGACTCTGCAATCTCAGAAATTTTTTCATCTCATGAAAAAATTTCATGAGATGAAAAGTGTCTTTGAAAAGATAAAGCTGAGACAAGGAATTTTAAAAAAACAGATACAAGAGAATGTGAGTTAAGAGTAATAGAAATTTAAACAGCAAAATAATAAACATAGGAAATTGAGAATGTTTTCATATAAATTTAAAAACTCACTAGACTGAGAGGTCAGAGGATTCTTAATCAAGCTGTATGTGAGGTAAAGGCCTTGGCCACTGGGCAAAGCATACACGGAATGGGGCAGCAAAGAGTTGTGTGTTCTTGTTCTCATAGATAATTGGTATAAGGTGTGCAGTCAATCTGGTTTCAACAGCTGTCATCCCATTGGTTGCCAGGGTTGATTTGGCTGATCTGACTGGCTAGGTGGGCTGTCCCCTTCCCTGCCCTCACTCTTCCCAAAGCCGAGCACTTGGTGGAAGGGGACAACCTTCCCTGATAGAGGAAGATTGTTCTTTGGTCAAGGATATATGAGTAGCTGCACCTCCCCTGACAGTTCCTCCAAACAAGTTGAAGACATTTCATATAATGCCTAGAAGTGGAACAGATGAATGTGTAAGATACTGGAGAGTGTTTGTACTCAGCACTGCATTGGGCAAATACTACATGTGTATATCTTGCATTATCTTTAATAAAGGATGAGGAGACATGTTTCACTATTCTAACTATGAAAATAAGAACTAGCCAGATTAAAATTTAAAAAGAGAGTTGAGTATGTAAGATACAGTTTAACTAGTAGGTAGTTAGGAAAGACAGAATAACCTTTTATCATGAGAGTAAATGCTGATATGGGAAGTTATATTTGAAACTGGGACAGCAATTTAGAGATCTTTCAGCCTCCAGAATTATAACTGGTCACTGCAAAGACAGAGTGATCAAGCTTTACCTTTGTTTCCTTTCTAGGCCTTTGGTCAAATTTATTTCTTCTTTCTCTAAGAATCACATCATAAGAAGAGAGAAGATCCAAATAAACTCAATTAGAAATGAAACTGGAGATATTACAACCAATACCACAGAAATATAAAAGATCATAGGCTACTATGAACACCTTTACATGTGCAGACTAGAAAATCTAGAGGAAATGGAAATTTTCCTTGAAAAATACACCCTCCTAGATTAAATCAGAAATAAAAAGAAGCCCTGAACAGACTAATAACAAGCAGCATGACTGAATCGGTAATTTAAAAAAAATGTCAAACAAAACAGTTTAGAACCAGATGGATTTACAGCTGAATTCTACTAGACATTCAGAGAAGAATTAGTACCAATTCTCTTGAAAATATTCCAAAAGATAGAGAAAGTGGGAATCCTCCCTGTATCATTCTATGAAAACAATATCATCCTAATACCCAAACCAGGAAAAACACAGAAGAAACAAACAAACAAACAAAAAACCCTGCAGACCAGTATCTCTGATAAACATAGATGCAAAAATCCTCAACAAAATACTAACTAACTGAATGCCACAGCATATCAAAAAGAGAATACATTATGATCAAGTGGGTTTCATTCCAGGGATGCAGAGATGATTTAACCTATGCAAGTCAATTAATGTGATACATCACATTAACTGAATTAAAAATAAAATCATATGAATATCTCAATAGACACAGAAAAGCACTTGATAAAATCCAGCATCACTTTATGATATAAATCCTCAACAAAATAGGCACAGAAGGGACTTACCTCAAAGTAATAAAAGCCGTCTATGACAAACATACAACTAACATCAGACTGACTAGGAAAAAGTTGAAAGTATTCCCCCTGAGAAATGGAACAGGACAAGGATGTCCACTTTTAGCTCTTCTATTCAACATGTTACTAGAAGCCCTAGCTGGAGGAATCAGTCAAGAGAAAGAAATAAACAGCATCCAAATTGGAAAAGAGGAAATTAAACTGTCGCTATTTGCTGAAGATATGATTGTATACCTAGAAATCCTAAAGACTCATCAAAAAGTCTCCTATATCTGATAAACAAATTCAGCAAAGTCCTGGGTTACAAAATCAATGCACATAAATAAGTAGAACTACTATAAAGCAACAATGACCAAGGAGAGAATCAAATCAAGAACTCAATCCCTTTTACAACAGCTGAAAAAAACAAAAATAAAAACAAAAACAACAACAACAACAACAAACCCTAGAAATATACTTAACCAAAGAGGTGAAAGATCTTAAAAGGAAAACTGCAAAACACTGTTGAAATAATTCATAGATGACACAAACAAATGGAAACAAATTCCATGCTCATAGATGGGAAGAATCAATATTGTGAAAATGAACATACTGCCTAAAGCAATCTACAGATTCAATGCAATTCCCCTCAAAATACTATCACCATTTTTCACAGAACTAGAAAAAACAATCCAAAGTTTATGTGAAACCAAAAAAGAGCCCACATAGCCAAAGCACTACTAAGCAAAAAGAACAAATCTGGAGACTTAACAATACCAGACTTAAAAATTATGCTACAAGGCTATGGTTACCAAAACAGTATAACACTGGTATAAAAATAGGCACTTAGACCAGTGGAACAGAATGGAGAACCCAGAAATAAATCCAAATACCCTTACAGCCAACAGATCTTTGACAAAGCATACAAAAACATAAACTGGGAAAAGGACACCCTATTCAATAAATGGTGCTGGGAAAACTGGCAAGCCACATGTGGAAGAATAAAACTGGATCCCCATCTCTCAGCTTATACAAAAATCCACTCAAGATGAAACTGTAAAAATTCTAGAAGATAACATTACAAAAACTCTTCTGTACATTGGCTTAGGCAGAGAATGTATGACTAAGACCCCATGAGCAAATACAACAGAAACAAAGATAAATAAATGGGACCTAATTAAACTAAAAAAGCTTCTGCACAGCAAAAAAAAAAAAAAAAAGAAAAGAAAAAAGAAAAGGAAAAAAGATAAAGGAAGACAGGAAGGAAGGAAAGATAAGGTAAGGTAAGAAGGAGGGAGGGAGGGAAGGAAAGAAGGAACGGAGGGAGGGAAGGAGGGAGAGAGGGAGGGAAAGAAGAAGGAAGGAAAGGAAGGAAGGAAGGGGAATGAAGAAGGAAGAAGGAAGGGAGGGAGGGAGGAAGGAAGGGAGGGAGGGAAAGAAAGAGTAAACAGGCAATCAAGAGAGTGGGAGAATATATTCACAAATTATGCATCCAACAAAAAACAAGCATCCAGAATGTACAAGGAACTCAAACAAATCAGCAAGAAACAAATAATCTCCTCAAAAAGTGGGCAAAGGACATGAATAGACAATTATCAAAAGAAGATATACAAACAGCCTACAAGCATATGAAAAAATGATCAACATCACTAATCATCAGGGAAATGCCAATTAAAACCACAAGGAGACATCACCTTACCCCTGCAAGAATGGTCATAATTAAAAAGTCAAAAAACTACAGATGTTGACATGGATATGGGGAAAAAATACTTTTACACTGCTGGCTGGAATGTAAATTAGTACAACTACTATGGAAAACAGTATGGAGATTCCTTAAAGAATTAAAAGTAGATCTACTATTTGACCCAGCAATCACAGTACTGGGTCTCTAACCAAAGAAAAAGGAGTCATTATATGAAAAAGACTCAAACACAGGTATGTTTATAGCAGCACAATTTGTAATCATAAATATATGGAACCAAACTTAGTGTCCATTGACCAACGAGTGGATGAAAAAATGTGGTATATATACAACATGGAATACTACTCAGCTATAAAAGGGACAAAATAATGTCTTTTGCAGAAACTTAGATGAAGCTGGAGGCCATTATTCTAAGTAACTCAGGAATGAGAAAACCAAATACAGTATGTTTCCTCTTACAAGTGAAAGCTAAGCTAAGCTATGAGGATGCAAAAGCATACAGAGTTATACAATGGACTTTGGGGACTTGGTGGGTGGTGGTTATGAGGGGGTAAGGATCAAAAGACTACATATTGTGTACAATGTACACTTCTCAGGTGATGGGCGCACTAAAATTTCAGAATTCACCACTAAAGAACTCATCCATGTAACCAAAAACCCTGTATCCCAAAAAACTGTTGAAATAAAAAAATAAAAAATTAAATTAAAATTAATTTTAAAATCAAAAATTAAAAAAATCACATCATACTTCCCCAAAATATATATCATGATGAATGAGAAATTTCAGAAGAAAAGATATCAAGGCTCATTAAAAAATAATTGAAAACAAATGTGAACTTCACTGAGAAATCTCCATTTTGGCATCAGTGTACAATCAAATATGATGATAAAAGTCATGACTGCAACAAGACATGACTGAAAGATTAGAGGGAAGATAGATTATACTCAAGTGGTAAGAAAATTTAATAAACTTTATATCGATGAATTAATAGCACAGAAATTGATCCCAACTGAGTGTAAGGGAGAAAATTTACCATGTAAAATTCCAGAAACAGGTTTAGGGAAGTTAGAATGGGCAATCTCCAGGCATCTGTCTACTTTCTGTTCCAACTTTGCATTGAAAAGAAAAGAAGTTACTTCTTGTTTCTGTTCCCTCAAACTGACAACCTATTTTCTAAAAAAGAATGTTATTTTAATGGCTAATAAGGGGAAAAGGTAAAAGCCAGTGCAACACTCTCCCTGTGCAGCCAATGCCCAACATAGTTATACTATTTTGTGAGTCAAGTCATACACAGCAAGGCACTTAAAAGTGTACCTAACAAATGGCAAACTGTAGGCTCGCTCTCCACACTACCGCGTGAGCGTGTGAAACAGGGTTGGAGTCCAGGAGAATTGCACAAGGTCCCAAAAGCATACTAAGTTGAAGAAACTAGGGATAGTCTGTTTCCTGCTTTATACCTTTTACTGGTCAGATTGGACAGTCCCTTAAGGCAGCTAGAACCTGTGATTTACTTTTGAATTATAAAAGATGCAATCAGATTGTACCAGTTGTGCTAATCACAACCAGCATAACCACCTGCTGGTTTCCATATCTGTTTTTCTTGGTTGTTGCCAGGACCAGTATTTCCCCTTCATTGTCTCACTGAAAAGGTATATGGATTAAATTGTGTCCTCCCACCCTCTAACAGATACATTGCAGTCCTAACCCCATACCTCAGAATGTGGCATTGACAAAACTGTCGTCGCAGATATAATTAAGTTAAGATGAGGTCATACAGAGGCCAGGTGCAAACACAGAGACATGGGGAGAGGGCCATGTGCTGATGGAAGCAAAGATGGGCATCAAGTTACCATATGCTCAGGAGACAGTGCTGGCGACACCAGAAGCTAAGAAAAGGGCACTGATCGAGTTTCCTCCTGCAGCCTCTGAGACAGCATGAAGTAGCCGACACCTTAACTTTTTCCTTCTAGTTTCTAGAACTGTGGACATTTAACGTCTACCATTTAAGCCACTCAGCTTGTGGCACTTTGTTATGGCAGCCCTGGGAAACTTATGAAAGGGATGTTAACCTTTTTCAGAATATGATGTTTCAACTCCATCAGAATTTATAAAGGACCCTAATATTTTAGAAGCCAGATGGGCCCAGAAAAAACCTTACTGCAGACTAAATCATGACAGAAATAAGACCATTCAATATGTGAATTAAGAAAGCTTTACTTAAAGTTCTTTCCAGTATAGCCCTCAATCCTATTTATTCTGATGATGACTACCCATGCCCTTGTTGGTGTCTTGGTCCTTTAGGGCTGTGATAATAAAATACCACAAACTGAGTGGTTCATAAACAGCAGACATTATCCCCCAGAGTTCCAAAGCCTAGGAAGTCCACAACACATCTGGTGTCTGGTGAGGGCTCATTCTCTGCCTGGAAGGCAGCACCTTCTTGCTGTGCCCTGCCATGGAGGAAGGGACAAACAGGCACCCTTAACCCTCTCTATAAGTGCACTAATCGCATTCATGAGGGTTGAGTCCTGGTGTCCTAATTACCTCCTAAAGGCCCTCTTTAGGAGGTAAAGGTGATGGCCCTAATGCCATCACCTTGGGAATTAGGGCTTCAAAATGTGAATTTTGGAGAGACACAAATATTTAGATCATAGCAGTTAGCTTTAAACTTGATATTTCCTGATGGACCAAACAGTGAATTTGTGTGACTTGAAATTTAGAATTCATAGTTACGGTGAGAAATAACACAGCTGAACAAGCATCATCTAGTGCTTTATTCAATTGTGCAGACCAATAAGAGTTACCATGACAGGGGAAACTTCAGAGGGAGACAGTCCATAGAATACTTTATTTTTATTCCTCCCTATCATTAAATTCTATCAGTGAAAATGATATTAAAGGGATAATTACAAATAACATATAGTGAATGCCTAACTAGCAGATAGTTTTTGAGTGCTTTATATGCAAAACAGATTTACAACTCATGATAGTATTATCCATATAAAGCAAGTTCTGTTATTGTCACTTTAGAACTGCAGAAACTGAGACACAGAGGGCTTAGATAACTTGCCCATAATTACCAACAGGAAAAGTAGCAGACTTGACAACTATTCCAGGTGCTATAAGTCCAGAGCCGAGGCTTCCTCCCATTAAATTGTACTCTGTAATTAAGCTTCCCTGTGTGTCAGTACATGAGATAGAGAAGGTTCATTTTCACTGCTTAACCCAAGACCCTTAGATTCCTGTACACTGCAGGTCCTATAAAATTATCTGGCTTTGCTCTGAGAGACAATGAGTGCCATAAAGGCTCACAAGACTGATGTGGGTAAATAATGAACGATTCTAACACTGGGCCAAGTGTTTCTGGTCACTTTAATTAAAGGAACTATACTTACTATCAGTGCCCCTGAAAAGGCTATGGCCTGCGAGGTTATAAAAATCTTATAATAGTAGCACTTTATTGGCTTAATAAAATGGTGCTACATAGGGATTGGAGTATCGGCCTGTAAGCCAACGTGAGCACTGTGCTATCTTAGTTTCTAGGTCATGTTAATCTGGAACTACCTTACAAGAAACCTCTTATCCTGCACTTTATGGTATGTTAATCCAGGAAAGATAATTTATAGGGTTGGATATTACATGAACCTACCAATGATACAAATACAAATTAGTGGCAAATTTCATACTGGTGAATGACGGTCTCTGAGCTTAGGTAGAACAATACTCATTCCTGGAAACTTAGCCCTTTAAAATCAGAGTCAGTGTTGTTGTTTTGCTGCCTTATATGTTTGCTAAGCCTGAAGGATATATTCTCTGCTTTAATTTTACCTTTCATAATGGACAAATAGAAGGGTTTCTATAATGTGGAGTACTGCATGCATCTGTTCCCAATGGAGGAGAAAAATCAAGCGGTGGAAATTTCCAATTACAAAAAACTCTGCAAAGATGAACACATGTGTCTATTTGACATGTGTAATGGGAAGATACCGACACAGTAAACAGACACTGGGCACCCATGACACACAAAAACTTAAGCAAATCATAATCCCATGAGATAATTATGTAAATTTGACAAAAGGAAGAAATTAAAACATGAAACTTTCTCTAGTCTGTTTAACTTAGGTTAACTGACATGAAGAGAACATGCTTGTCCTAAGATCTCATTCAGACCTGACTCACTGTGCTCTGAATGAGAAAGAAAAAGTTGTTACTGAGTATAATACCATCCATGGGTCTTTCAGTTACCTGTTTGCATAAAAATCCACTTCAGAACTTAGTGACGTAATACATCAATGATTTATCACTTCTTGCAAGCCAGTGTTGTTGACTATGATTGGCTGGACACTTCTGCTCCACTTGGTATCCACAATCTCATACCTGCATCTGCATTTAGCTAGGAGCTCAGGGCAGGGTGGGACTTCCAAGAAGACATTTTGAATCCAAGATCTATCTCTATATAGTTTCCATTATTCAGTATTTTAGCCCACATTTCTTTAAAGCATGGCGACTGGCCCCAAGATAGAACATTCCAAGAGGACAAGCTTCAATTCATAGGCACCTCTCAATCCTCTGCTATACCATTCTTGCTAATATATCATTTGCCACAGTAAGTCACATGGTGAAGGCCAGGGTCAAAGCAGGTACATACTATTCAAGGGCATGAACATGAGGTAAATGTGGCTCACCTGGGTCACAAGTTAATAGTACCTCCCAAGGAGAGAAGCAGTAATCTGATCATATACACAGAGTTTGACTATTGACAAAGTCCTTTTTCTTGGCTTTTCTTCTTTTGGTGGATGGGCTCCCCCAGGTCTGCTTGAACTTTGAAAACTTACCTCTCTAGCCAAAAGTATGAAAGTAGTGTGGATTTATCTGATTATATCTTAATATGATTTTAAATAGAAAATAAATAAATAAATAAACAATATGATTTTAAATAGAAAATAAATAAACTATTAAAAATGTTTCCAACTGATAAGTGACTTTCGAAATTTTGAATATTTCCTTTACAGACTTATAGAAATAAAGTTCAGGGGGAAAGGGGTATCATTTTGTGGTCTCTTAAGGAGCCAGAGTCTAGGGGAATCTCCAGCCAGACTCTAGAGGCTGGAAAAGGGAAGGAGATGGATCCTCTCCTAGAATCTCTGGAAGAAATCAACCCTATGGACACCTTGACTTTATCCCATTAAACTCTTTTTCTACTTCTGGCCCCCAGAACTTTAAAATGATAAATGTGTGTTGTTTTAAGTAACTGAATGTGCAGTAATTGTTATAGCAGCAATAGGAAAATGGCTGAATGTTTTTGAAGCAATCAGCTCAGTGTTAATCTGGACACAGGCATGGATACTATTGAGTGGAAAATGGTACTGAGATAAGCACCCAGAATGCAGCTCAAAATAATGAAGAGATGAAAAATGTGGAACAGAACTTAAGAGATGCAGAAGAATTTGACAAGTCTAACACATTTCATGACAGTGGTAGTAGTAGGAAATGGAGGGAGTAACAGACAATATAATGGGTAAGAAATTGAAAGTACCAAAGAACCAAACACAAGAAACCCCTCCAAAAAATAAATCAGCACCCAGTTATCACAAAGTGAAACTATGAAGCAATAAGGATGAAGAGAACACCTTATGAGGCTAGGAACGATACACAAGTATCTGTGTATGCTCTGCACCTAGGCCAGCGGAGGATTCCCCAGTAACAAGAAGAAACCTTGCAGGGAAATTGCATACATTCATACATATATATAGTATATAGTATATATACTATATATATACTATATAGTATATATATGTACACGTGCGTGTGTGTATACACCCATATTTAAATACACTAGATGAAATTATAATCAATCTAGAACTCCATATTCAGCCAAATTTTGATTCAAAATAAAACAACATAATGTCATAACTCCTGTTCATTGATGAAAATTTGCTAAAGGAAATAATTTGGCAGGAAGTGAACTCAAATGAAGAAATGAGATGCAAAAACAGTCCTTGTTGGAGGCTGATAAAATACTTTCATAACCCTAATTACTGAGTGAGAAGAAATAACAAAATATAAAATGACTAAATTATATTAAAATAAATGTGAATTACTGTGCAGAAGCTCTTTAGTTTAATTAGATCCCATTTGTCAATTTTGGCTTTTGTTGCAACTGCTTTTGGTGTTTTAGTCATGAAGTCTTTGCCCATGCCTATGTCCTGAATAGTATTCCCTAGGTTTTCTTCTAGGGTTTATCATCAGAGTGAACAAGCAACCTACAGAATGAGAGAACATTTTTGCAATCTATCCATCTGACAAAGGTCTAATATCCAGAATCTATGAGGAACTTAAACAAATTTACAAGACAAAAACAAACAACCCCATTGAAAAGTGGGCAAAGGATATGAACAGACGCGTCTCAAAAGAGCACATTTATGTGGCCAAGAAACATATGAAAAAAAGCTCATCATCACTGGTCATTAGAGAAAGGCAAATCAAAACCACAATGAGATACCATCTCATACCAGTTAGAATGGTGATTTATAAAAAGTCAGGAAACAACAGATGCTGGAGAGGATGTGGAGAAATAGGAACACTTTTACACTGTTGGAGGGAGTGTACATTAGTTAAACCACTGTGGAAGACAGTGTGGTGATTCCTCAAGGATTTAGAACCAGAAATACCATTTGACCCAGCCATTCCATTACTGGGTATATACCCAAAGGATTATAAATCATTCTACTATGAAGACACATCCACAGGTATGTTTATTGCAACACTATTCACAATAGCAAGGACTTGGAACCAACACAAATGCCCATCGATGATAGACTGGATAAAGAAAATGTGGCACATATACACCATGGAATATTATGCATCCATAAAAAAGAATAAGTTCATGTCCTTTGCAGTGACATGGATGAAGCTGGAAACTCATTCTCAGCAAACTAACACAGTAACAGAAAACCAAACACAGCATGTTCTCCCTCATAAGTGGGAGTTGAACAATGAGAACACAGGGACACAGGGAGGGGAACATCACACACTGGGGCCTGTTGGGGGGTTGAGGGCAAGGGGAGCAAGAGCATTAAGACAAATGCCTAGTGTATGTGTGGCTTAAAACCTAGATGATGGGTTGATGGGTGCAGAAAACCACCATGGCACATGTATACCTATGTAACAAACTGGCATGTTCTGCACATGTATCCCAGAACTTAAAGCATAATAAATAAAATTTTAAAAAGATTTAAAATAAAGGTGAATTAAAATTTACTCTATATTGGTAAGGTGCAGTGTGTCACACCTGTAATGCCAGCACTTTGTACTTTGGGAGGCCAAGGCAAGGAGATGGCTAAAGGCCAGGAGTTCAAGACCAGCCTGGGCAACATAGCAAAACCTTGTCTCTACAAAAATATAAAAATTAGCTGGGCATGGTGGTGCATGCCTTTACTCTTAGCTACTTGAGAGGCTGAGGCAGGAGGACTGGTGGAGGCCAAGAGTTTGAGGCTGCAGTGAGCTATAATTTTGCAGCTGCACTTCAGCTTGGGTGACAAAGCAAGACCCTGTCTCAAAAACAAAACAACAAAACAAAAAATCAACAACCACAAAAATTTACTCAATATCAAAATGAGGGAGTTAGGAGAAAGGACAAATCAGGTTGTGTTTGCTGTCTCATTTATAAAGAGTAGAGATACTGTGCATATCTTTAGATTTTACAAAAGTGTTATGTATATATATATATGTGGAATTTTGTCTTGATAAGTAAAATTTGAAATCATTTTAAGACATGATTATTTAATGATGGTCTGTGGCAACAGCTTGGTGCTCTGTGAAAACAAGCAAACAAACAAACTAGACATTTCCCATACGCTTTATAGCAAAACAAAACCCAGATGGGTCAAATCCACTTAGTCATGCAGTAAATATTTATTGACTACCACTTGTATGCCAGACACTTCGTTGTAATTGGAGATACAAGACATAGTTCGTATGATATGCTACAGAGTTAGACAGAGTAATAAATATAGGAATATATCACAGTACAATGTAATATCATGGATAGGATAGGAAAAGCTAACAGACACATATTGTGAAGAAAAATAAATCAGGCTTAAGTGCTAAAAAGCATTTGGGTTTGTTATTAAATAGGGTGTTTAGGAACATTATCTCTAAGGGAAGACATTTGAACAGATACTGGGATGAGCTGGTGGAAAGACTCACGAGATGAATCAAAGGAAGTGCATTCCAGGAAGAAAAGATAGAAGTGTATAAGCCCTAAAGTGGAAATAGACTTGAAATTTTCTGTGGAAGCAAGATGGTCAACGTGGCCGTGTGCGGTGGGTGAGGGGAGTATGTGTGGGATGAGTTGAGACTCAGGCTTTGTAGTGGATCACATGGGTGGGCTCCCTCTGGAGGAGTTTGCACATTTGTCTGAATGCAAAGGGGGTTTTGAGTAGGGCAGTGATGTGCTAGGGCTTTTTGTCGATTTTGTCTGCTGAGGCTATCACCTTGGGTGTCTTTCACAGTTTCTGATTTTATGAGGGAATTTCTGATTAGACTTTCTCCTTCCTCAGAACTTAGAATCTGTCTCCCCTCACCTTCCAGACTAGTTAATTGCCAAACTCTGCAACTCTGGTCTCAAAAGAGAGCTCCTAAGGCAAACAAAGGCTTTGCCACAAACTTCTCTCTAAGAATGCATGCCCTGAATGGACTTCTGATTTCAACAACATTTTCTTAATATACTGTCAGCTCAGCTGTAACTTGAAGAATTTCTATGCTGTTAAGTTTTTATCACTGAGAGTATTAACAGTCCTCCTAGGGTGTTGGATAATCTCAGGAAAACTTAAAGAACTCATTCTTTTTCCCTTCACATATTGAATGAAAAGAATTCAGTCAGGATCACACACTATTATATCTATTTCACTCTGGCTTGAAGTCTCCTTTTGTGTTTGTTTGTTAGTTTTCATTATAGTTGCATAATTCTACTTAATCTTGTGAAAGCCTGAGTTTCCTTTTTAAAATTAAATCATCTCCATCTGCAAAGATTTTCTTTGGTTTGGATTGTCTCATTATTAACTTGGTCAACCCTACATTTGCTGAGAGTCAAAGTAAAAGTAATTGAATTGAGAGGGGGGATTGCTGGTGTAAAGGACACACAACAGCCTCTGTCCTCATTGCACTCACAGATTAAGAGCAGAAATACACAAAATAGAGTAACTGCCGTGGATCCAGGGAGGGAGTTAGAAGGATCTGGCCTGGCTGGATGATCCAGGAAGGGCCACCTGTAGATGTGAGTAGCAAGGTGGCAAAATAAAATAATACTTAAGGATACCAAATGCGTTCTGTAGAGACAGAAAGAAACAGCAGGGATACCTGCAGAGCCGAACCCAGCCTGGAGTAACTGCAGCAGAGGGGACTTCCCATGTGGAGTGCACAGTTCTGAGCTGGAACATCCTACCACTGAGGCAGGACCTTGGATGTCAGTGGACAAAGTTTATGTAGTTTTGTCATCTCTGGAAAGATTTGTATTTGAACATTTAAATAAATATAACCTTCTTTACTTTTCTAATCTATGAACATATGAAATACATATAAAACATGAAATAAGGAATTTTTATATACTTATTATTTTTTAAAGTAATTATTTTCATGTTTTCCAAGAAAAATTAACACCAGTGAAGAGGGATATTTACTTTTAAATATTATAACAGTGTATGTCATGGAAACATGAACATCATGATTGAATCTTCCATTTGTATCCTCATACCTTTGTGAACTATCATTCCAAGTATCACAGCCATTGTGGGACAGAGGCAACTTAAAATAGCCAGACTAGTATATATCACTGAGCATTAAGCCAAGATTTAAGCAATAATAGTTATATTCATTCACCTTAACTTGGTTGACCAAGTTAATAATGAGACAATCCAAACCAAAGAAAATCTTTTCAGATAGAGATGATTTAATTTAAAAAAGGAAACCCAAGCATTCACAAGATTAAGTAGAATTCTGCAACTATAATGAAAACAAACACAAAAGGAGACTTCAAAAAATAAGATCTTAAAAATAAGATTATTAAAGTAAGTTAGCACCAAATGAATGTTTACCATTACTAAATTGTAAAATTAAAAAATTAGACTACACTCTTATAGTCAGAAATATATTTAGTATGTTTTTTACAACTGATTTAATACATTAGGACAGTGGCTCGTATGTATATATTTATTATGTATACATGTATACGCACATGTATCTATGTATATACATGAAACAGGAAAAAATAAGGGGGATGGATTTTGCGTGCTTTAAATAATCATGCATAAAGACATCCTCTAATAAACAGAACCCACTAGACTAGGGCAGTGATATTCTCTATGGAAGGAATTGAAATGAGTCTCCTTTGCCTTTCACGGTTTCAGAGACATTGGGAAGCGTCCCTCTTCTGTGGGCTGTAACTCTCATGGCCACAGTGGAAGTTCTAATGGGTTTCACTTCACCTGGCTCTCTGAAGGAGCACTGCCAAGGACTCTATTTTGCCCCCCAGCCATATGTTTCAGTATGTCTCTATTGCTGTTGAAGCCAAACTCTGACGTGCTTCATAAATTTTTGGATGAACTTGCAGAATGTGAATTTAAAAATTAATGAGCATGGATTAACACTCTCCCTGGGCAGTCTTTGTTTATGTGCTTAACACATTAGACCTATGACCCATTCAAATCATTTTCATTGCATTATTGCAAACCTATGATCCAGACAGGTGCAGTGCAATTGGTAATGCACCATAATAAATAACACCATTGTCCTAGCAGCCTCATTCCCCAGTTTCAAATGTGTGAAACTCAGGGCTATGCATAATAGACTCTTACCAAATTTTCTCAGGAGAAAGGAAATAAGTCAGTGCAAATTTAACTATAACATCAGATTTTAAAATTATATTGAGAGTAATTGGAAAATACAGGAAATACATTTTAACATTTTTAAATAATAATGCAACAAAATGAAACTAGGCAGAATGTAGACAAATTTTGTAAATTAGATGTTGACTTGGTAAAGCTTTTGTTCTGTTTTTTGTCTTGATGTCCAGGGGCTGGGAGGAGAAAAAAACACAGAATGAGAACATTTGGAACTGGACACATTGCTGGACCCTTTAAAAATGCCTTAGCATAAAGTGGATATGAAATAGCCACATATACAAGCCAGTGGAATTGGCCAACTCATAGGCTGTATCTAAATTTTGCAAAAGGAAGCTAAAGCCAGAACTTTCTGGCTATTATTTTACATTTCTAATTCCAAGAAATTACATAAGTCCACAATTTCAAAAACTACAGAGATATCTAGTTTATTTGAATTTTTACAGTATCATTTTCATGATCCCTTAGGACTTATCTGTGCTTATACTTTTAGTGATAGAAATAAAAATGGGTTGAGCAATCATAGTCAAAGAGAGATGAGTGAGAAGCAAAGGCCCACTGAATTGGATTATCTATGAAATGACTTGTATTAACATCCTTTGCCTTAAGCTGTTCAACATTTTTATCAAATCACAGATGGCATAGATGACATGCTTATCCAATTATAGGAGTCCCAACTGGAATATAAAGCTTAAAATATGTAAACGGTGTATAATGGTGTTCACAACAAGCAAGCTTTGATTCTTAAACAGAATCCCCTTGCAAAAAAAAAAAAAGAAGAAAGAAAGAAAAGAAAAACACACAAAAAAACAAGCACCACACAGCACTCAATATCGTCCACATTTTTTAAGGCAGAAAATAGGGAGTTGTGTACAAAGGACTAAAAGTGCAACTGAAACCACGTAGGTAATTATTTGCTATTTGTCCAGATAACTCCTTGACTTATGCTGCATTCGCCGTACTCTAGATTTAAGAAAAGAGTGATAGCGATCTATTTATTACAAGGCTCCTAGATGAAAAGGTTGAAGAAGACAATCAGTGCTGTTTAAGCATATATCCAATACTGTACAAAAAAGGACATGACTTCAATCATTATTAAAACCTTCTGATTAGTTCTTCTTGTTGTTCAAACTCCTCTTATTCTTATAAAATGCTTTTCTTGCGTTTATTGCCATGATTTGTCTTCTAGTTTAGTGCCCTGGGAGCATGACCTTTAAATAAGTTACATTTGTGTTGTTGTTAACCTGTGGTAGTTTTGTAAATAAACATTTCTAACTGGGAACATTAGGCCTTTGAAATAATGGCTCATGTATAGGATGGTTTATTTTCCTGCATGTATCTCTTCATGTGTAAGGCACTCAATATGTGAATTGAGCCACGGGATATTGGCCTAACTTCAAAAAAGAGGGAAGCTGGAGATTGAGTCCAGTTCGGTTCTGAGACACCTATTTTAAGATGTCACAGAGAAAATGAAATTTCCATCTTGATTTTTCTAGGAAGATATCAAATTTCCAAATGCTTGGATGAATATCAAAACATATGAAATTTCCTTTAATCTGCAATATAAAATAAATACTTTGTAAGTTTTGATTATAAAAAATAAAACATTGAGGTTGCTAGCAGTTTTGTGGGCAAATGTAAAAGTGTGTTCATTTTCTAGTGTTTTATAACAAATTAGTGCAAAGTCAGTGAGGCAAAATGCCCATGCATTATCTGAGAGTTTCTGTGGGTCAGAAATCCAGGCACAGTGTGTTGGGATTTTCCCCTCAGTGTTTCAAATCTTGAAACCAAGATGTCTACCTTGTTCTCATCTGGAGCTTGGAGTCTGCTTCCAGGCTTATTCAGGTTATTGAAAAACCCAGCTTCTTGCAGTCGTGGTGATAAGATCACTGTTTTCTTGTTGGTTGCTGGCTAGGGATCTCTCTCAAACCGCATAGGCTATCTTAGGTTCTAGATACTTGGCATTCTCGCAATATGGGAGCTATTCTTGAAAACTAGCAGGAATCTCCTTTCAGTCTTCTGAAAAGGAGTTTTATATAACGGGAGTGACCCTCTCATCACTTTTGTCTTATAACGTAATCAAGAGAGTGACTATCTCTTCATATTCAAGGTCTTGCCCACATTCCAAGGGAAGGATGCATACACCAGTGACTAGAATCTCAGTGGTCATGTTAGAAATCTGTCTACATACAAGAAAATATATATAGTTTGCTTGAAGACTCCAATTCCTTCTGAAAGTTTAGAGACTCTATTTTTAATATATTCATATATTTATTCATTCCTTCAGTAAAGACTTGAAAGTGCCTTTGCAAGACTGCAATGCACTGCCAATGCTAAGTAGCTGGAGTTAATACAGACTCCACGGGTTAAATGCACAGTCCCCAATATCACTGCCACCACTTAGACACCAGCCATAAGTTCTGGGGTCTCTGGGCCACCCACACTTCTGATCAACTGGCTGGCTACAAACGTGGGCACTTCCACAATCCTGTCATGTTTGATAATTTCCTAGAATGGCTGATAGAAGTTTGGAAAGTGCTGGAATTATAATTACAGTTTTATTTTAAAGGATACGTATCAGAATCAGAAACATGAGGAAACACACAGGGGAAAGTCTGAAAAGATCCCACATACAGAGCTTCAAGTCCTCTCCACTGTCACCCTTCCAGAACATGAATGTGCTTATCAACCAGGGAGCTCCCCCAGTATGGATTTGTATTGGGGTTCCATTACCTAGGCATGACTGATGGAATCCTTGCCCATGTGATGTGGTTGGACTCAATCTCCAGCTTCCCTCTTTTTTGAAGTTAGGCCAATATCCCGTGGCTCAATTCCTCAACTTACACTCACATCATTGGTCATTAGTCCTGTGACCAGCTTCCATGCTGAGTCCTGCTTTTAGCATAAGGTCAGGTGTGGTCCAAGAGTTCAGCAGGAATAACAAAGTCATGCCAATCACCTGGAAATCCCAGGGGTTTAGAAGCCTCCTCTCAGACACCCAGAACAAAGATCAGAAAAACATCCTTGTTATAAAACCACCTCTTCTGTGCCTCTGGCAAGCATGGCAGAGGCAGCTTTTTGTCCTCATGAGGCTAAGACCCAAGAAAAGAATCACAAGAATGTTAACAAATTGTTTTACAATGAAATGAGATAGATAGAATATAGGGAAAAAAAGGAAACTGTGAAAACATACATTAGGGAGAGTGGCACTCTCCAAGAGGAGAGAAAAGTCTTCCTTGAGAAGTGATATATAAACTACGGTTAAAAATAAATGGGTAGTAAAAGAGAACATATAAAAGGAGAATATTCTAGCAAAGAAAACACCCCATGTAAATTTTCAATATAAAATAAAGCATGAAACATAAAGGAAAAATGAAACATTGGTGTCTGTTAAAAATATAGTTTGAAAGTTAGAGTGGTGATATCACAGGAAAGCGGTCCCGATCCAGACCCCAAGAGAGGGTTCTTGGATCTTGCACAAGAAAGAATTCAGGGCAAGTCCATAGAGTAAAGTGGAAGCAAGTTTACTAGAAAAGTAAAAGAATAAAAGAAGGGTTACTCCATAGTCAGAGCTCGTTGCCTATTTTTCTGGTTATTTATTGATGATATGCTAAACAAGGGGTGGATTATTTGTGCTTCTGCTTTTTAAACCATATAGGGTAACTTCCTGATGTTGCCATGGGATTTGCAAACTGTCATGGTGCTGGTGAGACTGTAGCAGTGAGGATGACCAGAGGTCACTCTAGTCGCCTTCTTGGTTTTGGTGGGATTTAGCCAGCTTCTTTACTGCAATCTGTAATCAGCAAGGTCTTTATGACCTGTATTTTATGCTGACCTCCTATCTCATCCTGTGACTTAGAATGCCTTCACTGTCTAGGAATGCAGTCCAGTAGGTTTCAGCCTTGTTTCACCTAGCTCCTATTCAAGATGGAGTTGCTCTGGTTCAAACGCCTCTGACAGTTAGATGTAGCCTGGATAGGCTGGAAGGCAAAGGGCCATGAAGCACTCTGTAAGACATTTAAAGAAATAAGAATTTAACCCAGAAAGTGGGAAATAACTGAAGGATTTTGAATGATGGTTCACCTGAGGTGTATTGGGATGCTTCAGCCCTGGTGAGAAAGGATGTGGACGGTGCTCTCTACAGGACGGGCATCACGGATGAAAAGAGGAGACTATATCCGAAAGGTAGATAAGAAATACAATTCACATCTGGCCATTTTGAGTAGAATTATAGTTGTAGAAGGAAAAGGCAAACAAGTGTGTGGCTCCACTTTTCTGACCTGAGTGCTGCAAGGCAATGAGGAGTACTGCAGGAGAAATTTAGGGAGAGGGAATAAAAATTCAAGTGGGGAACATCGTTTCTAAGCTCACAGCAACTCAGAAAGAAAGGGATTATGAACCTCTTTGGACAGAAAAGGAAATTGATAGTAACAGAGGTTGAGTAACTTCTCAATCTGAAAAGTAATTCCTGTCTTATTTGTTAAGTGTCTGTGAACTATTCTTTGTGTCCCACTTGGAATTTTAAATGACTATGTACACATAATTAATATTGCATCAAAATGGGGCTATTAGTGTTTAAACTAACATAAAGAGAATTGGAGGTACTACATTATTTCTATGTGATATCACGGCTTACACTCTGTTCATGCCTAGCATGCTAGTTTGCCTCAAGGAGAAAATATTATATTGGAAAGTGTAGCTTCCAGTACCACAGTCATCACTTGGAGAAAACCAGTGGATGGATACATGAACCCACACCAAATGCCACAAACCCATAACCCTTTTACTTGCCATATTTTATTTTTTAAATGAATTGTAAAAATTATTTTTCTGGTCATTTTGTGCTGATATTATAAATATGCCTGTGGATTTTCTCTAGGATATATATCAACCTCAATCATAAACTTTGTATTGGGTGTCATAACACAGCAGGATTCTCATTCCTACTGCTTCCCATTTATTTTAATGAAAAAGCACAAACTGACAAATTATAATAGACTAGGAATTGAAGTTAAATGTGCCATAAATTGTCGTCAACATGGAGATTGGCCTCATAAATTTAGAAAAAACAATATCAACACATGCTAATTTATATATATATGATCTTATTTTTGCTCAATATCTTTGCTTTAAAATACATTAATTCAAAAAATAAAACTCTCTTGTATTTAAAAATACATATACATTATTTTGTCTAAAAAAAGTCATTGATGTAATATGTCTATGTGCCCTTTATAAATGATTCACCAGAGTGCCTATTATCTTAAAGGCAGCTAGGAAGATGCCGAGGTTCTTTTCTCTCCATGGGATAGGATTTATAGCTTGGATGTCCTAAAACTGTCAGAGAGATGCTTTGAGGGACATAACAAATAAGCTAGTGTCATTGGCATTTTGCCATATTATGCATAAAATTATAAATTTATCTACCTCAAGATCCAAATTTTAGTTTTATATGAACTGATATAAAAACTGGAGAATTTAAGGAATATGCTGTATATGTAACTTCCTATTTATTCTAGACAATTCTCATTCTTCTTATTTATGTCACTTATCTGATCAGAGATGTTAAATGACTTAGTATTTTCATAAGCACCTGTTTACATGGCAAGTATCTTAGTAACACCACCGGTTTGTATTCACCAGAGGCATTTCCTTGGACACTGTTTTGACCATCTGTGCATAATGCCCTAATTATGTTATTTTATTTTCATGATATTTGAAGCTGCTTAACAGCTTATAGCTAACATTTGGAAAACATCTACATTTAACTCCAGCCAATTGGAAGCATTGACAGAGGTAGGAATTGAAAGGCTGTGGAGCATGTTTCAAACCATGTAAGCAAGGAATTACTTTAGCTTGGTCAGACTTACTGTTATTTTAAAGGGAAACCAGCTAAGCATTACCAATGACCACCAGCAAAATGAATTGGTAAGTTATTCATCTCCAAAGACGTTTGAGCCGAGGCACAAAGGCTATGCAAATTGTAGGAGATATTACTTTAAAATACGATGAGATGAATAAGGAGAATTAGTCATCAAAGCATGATAGCAGATTTGTAGCCAGTGTCATTTCCTTTTTTGAGAAAAAATATTTAGATCAGAGAGAAAAGAAAAGAGTTTCTAGTTTGTCTTTAAAAAATTAAATACAGAATCATCAATTGAGACTGGCAGTTTAAAAAAAATAGTCTTGTAATAGAAGTTTGAGGAAGATAAAGTGTTTTAGAAATACAAAACATTTGTGCTGTATAACATAATGAGCTCAAACTGATATGAAAATATTAGTGTTACAATTTCAAAAGAATGCCTATCTCAAAATTTGCTTCGTTTCCATAGAAAGCATGACTATATGATATTTAGTAAAATCAAGAATCTGCCCCATAGACCACCCTCTTCATATTCAGACGTCATTTCTCTAAGGCTACTTTGTGGTGCAGTCATCTCACAGAGCGTAGGCTACAGTTTTTTGGGTTAAGGACAGTACTCTTGCTTTAACATGTAATCTTTATCTGTTTTGGGTCTTCCAGCCAAAGGCCTTGAAACAAGGATGCAATTGCCGTAGTTTATTTGAGAAGTGCAGATAATACCATTTGGAAAGTAAATGAGGATGCAATAACACAGTATTCCAAATAAAATATAGCAATGATATTGAAAAATTTTAAACATAATATATTATCTACATTTTCTCTACTTTGCTAAAGGGAAACTAAGACAATAGTATATACTACCCTATATGGGGGTGGTGGAATTGTTCCTAATTCACATTTTCATTGACTAAAATTGACCTTATATGACTTTGTTACTTACTTATTTCTAGCCTGTAGTTTATTATTCAGGTCATCTTTTTTTGAAATTTTGTATCACACATTCCATAAAAATAATATACATTCTGAAAAAAGTGCACTTCAATTTTGGTCATCACAGAATAGAAGAAAATGTATAGTAGGAATTTTTGACACGTATAATAAGTTTTTACTTCACCATTTAAGACAATAAAGTAAATAATGTCAAAACAAAAATACACCTTGAAGAAGAACAATTTTCCAGCGACTGGGTAAGTTTCTGTAGCTAAATAATTTCTAAGAATATTTTCATCTTTAAATGTGACTGTTTGCTGACAAATGCCTTCTTGGACATAACTCAGTCATTACAATAACATATTAATATAATAATTTTTCTAATTATTTGTGGTTGACTCTATTTTCACCAGCTAGACAATATTGAATATGTTACTCTATTTTTAAACCTAGTTGTTACCTGCCATAAAATCAGAACTCAAAGAATATTTGTGAAATGATTATTCATTATAGGACTCAGGTGCATAATTTAGATTAATGTTAATCATTAGTTCAAGAAAATCTGCTATTTTTAGTTTATTTGTGCTTCTGTATGTATTGATTTTTCCATTTGTTCTGTTTTTTTATTTGTCTTTATTAAAGATAATGACACTTTGTATCTATGCCCAACTTATAAGCAGTACTTTGAAAAAAAATTTATATCAACTTGCATATTTCTATGCATTCTCATTCCACTTCTTTTTTTATGAGGAAGAAGAGAACCATAATCATAATTTCATGTGTGTATATATACATATATGTACACACACACACACACACGTAGTATTATACACACACCTACAAATTTGCAAATTGCATTGCAGAAATTGTGGGGAGGAGAGGGCTTACCAGCTAGACACTGAGGCCCACCACACCGTATATCCCCGACACATCAAAATGATGAGTTTCTTTTAGATGTGGGTCAAGCAGACCTCCACAGTTGTCTCAGGGTAGACAGGAAGGTGATCTCTTGTGAAACTACAAGGAGGCGGCGAGACCTGGTGACAGCAGCAAGGGAGGGGAAAGCCGCTTATCATTGGCTAGAAAACTTCCAAAAGGCCATTTAGAAGAAATAAGGAAGATATATATTTAAAGGAGATTCCAGCATTTGTCCAATAAAACATTTAGGATCTTGTATTAGTCTGTTCTCATGCTGCTAATAAAGACAGACCCAAGACTGGGCAGTTTATTAAGGAAAGGGATTTAATTGACTCACAGTTCCACATGGCTGGGGAGGGCTCAGGATCATGGCGACAAGCTAAGGAGGAGCAAACTCGCATCTTACATGGCCGCAGGCAAGAGGCCGTGTGCGGGGGGAGCCATTCTTTATAAAACCATCAGATCTCATGAGACTTATTCATTATCACGAGAATAGCATGGGAACAACCCGCCCCCCATGATCAGTTACTTCCTACTGGGTCCCTACCACGACATGTGGGGATTATTACAATTCAAGGTGAGATTTGGGTGGGAACACAGACCCAAACCATATCAGATCTATAAAAGGGTTACAAAATTGTCCTAGGAATTTAAAACATGGAATATCTGTAAAAGGAGTGTAGTGAGTGTGAAAGGGAGTAAAATGTTAAGAATCCCTTCGCTAGTTTAGATAGTTCGTTTTTTTTTTAGATTATGCGACGTCCATTTTTTATTGATTACCAAGAGAATGATTTCCTTATCAGTTTTCACCTCAATAATTAATATTCTCAATTTTCTATTTTTAATTATTTGATATATAGAAATACACACATATTCACATATATATGTGCATACACACCATATGTATATATATTAATATCTGTTAAGCACAACTATGTGTTCAAATAATATGTAATTTTGTTTTAATTGCATTTAATTTTTATTAAAAGAATATTGTGGGATTTTTTGTTTGTTTCTTTTCTTCCGGACTTTTTTTTTCACTTAATACCATATTGTGAAAAGTTATTTGTCGGTGTATGAAGATGAAGATCATTCATTTGAGATGGAATGTGTTATTCTGTTGTATTGATTCTGTAAAATATAATTTAATAACATTTTGTACTGTTAATGAGCATTTGGAATGTTCCCAGTTTTTTGCTATTTTGAGTGTTTTGATGTATGCATTGTCTTATATCTGCTGCACATGTGCAATAATTTGTTTTGGATATCCACCTAAAAATGACATTGCTGTTTTATAGAGTGTGCATATTTCAACTTTAGTAGATAATGCCAAATAATTTCAAAAAGTCATGCGTAAAGGATTTTATTAGTCCTCATTCTAATACATAACTTTAATAGACATTCATTTTTGCCATTTTTTATGAATGAAAAAGAGTGTTACATTATGTGTCTTATTTGCATTGCCCTGATTCAAAAAAAAAACTTTAAAAAGTTGATTTTTTCTGAATAAGCCATAAATGTTGATGCTGTAAAGAAAATAAAAATAAGCATTTGACCTAATTATAATATAGGTAGTCTTTGCCTAACTGAGCAAGAAGTTATGATATCTGACATCTAGTAATACAGGTGAAAAGTAGATTTGGATTGGTCAAAATACAAATGCAGTTATGACAAATTTGTTTAGGATTGGAAGCAAGAAAACTGGAGTTTATATCCACTTGACTTCCATGTAACTGTAAAAATATTTCTCACTCTCATTTTAAAAATAAGATATTTTGTTCTTATTGTATCCATTATATCTTTTATTTTGTGATCTAAGTATCCACCAATTTACCAGTTTATGTTGTTATACTTTATAGATCTAAGATTATATTTCTATTTTTATTCTCTTGATAAATACAAAATATATATGATATGGTATATATTATATTACTTCTATTTATTATATTTCTTTGTTTTATTTTTATGGAGCAGAGATTACTTTTTAAAGCTTATTCTCCTGAGAAGCATGGAGCTCTATGTTATACAGCATTAAGCATTTTATATTTATTCAGTGGAATTCGAGATTACCTTCTACTGGACAGATGGTGAAGGGCTTATCAAGACCCGTCTCCTGTAGTGAGGTCACACTGGCAGCATCATGGTTAAACAGACAGGAGAAATGCACTCAGCCTCACTGGGTGGCAAGACTTATGGATTATTTACAGGCACATACTGAAAACAATAAAAAGATCCTCCATCTGTTCACTCCAGCAGTAACTGAAAGAGCAAATTCTCTAAAACTCCTGAATGCCCAACAATGGTGGGGATGTTTAGCATAGTAGCTTTTGTTTTAGGTGAGATATTATTCTGTTTTTAAACTGAATAAACAATAAATAATTGAGGACTGTGGAAAATACATGTTTGGTTATACCAAATAAAAAGTAGAGTTGTATAAACATAGCTAAAAACCACAAAAAATAGGAGAGCATAAAAGAATAAGTAGAAAAAAATGCATCTTCATAACTACATTGGGACAATGAGTCCATTGTTTTAATTTAAAAATCTAAATTGATTATTTTTTTTCTATTTAAAAATCTAAGTGTTTATAAACTTTATCAGAGTAAATGAAACATGGGGAGTTAGGCCTGTAATCTATCCTCCAAGACCTTCGCTGGGCCAAGTGACCCAAAACCACATTTAAATGCACACACCCACATTAGTAATTAGCAACACAGTGAGACCCTCGCTTAAAACTGAGACTTCAGATGTCTCTCCCAGATGGCTGAAACTGGTTTAGGGAGAGTCAGAGACTGGTGGAGGGTGAGAAATGGGCATCACAGTAGGTTTAGGATTGTGGAAGATTAATAGCAGCAGTTTAGAAAGAAGGCACCTTTACTCCTGCTACTAACATCCCTGAAGACACTTGATTTTCTCTATCCTTCATTTACATTGACTATCTATTTATTCTCTTATTTCCTTATTCTGCAGCAGTATCTCCATATAACTTATAAACTGTATTTGTCTCCTAGGCCTATCATTAAAAAGTACTGCAGACTGGGTGGCTTCAAAAACAGATATCTATTTTCTCACAGTTTTGGAGGCTAGAAGTCGGAGGTCAAGGTGTTAGCAAGGTAGGTTTCCTCCGGGGTGTCTCTCATTGGCTTACAGATGTATGTCTTCTCCGAGTGTCTGCACGTGGTCTTCTTCCTCAGTAATTTCTTCTTAATCTCTTCTTATGAGGCCATCAGTCATATCGGAGTAGGATCCACCCTAGTAACCTCACTTTAACTTAAATACTTCTTTAAGGTCTTATCTCCAAATACTGTCACATTCTGAAGTACTAGGGGTAGGGACTTCAACATATGGACTTTGAGCTGACACCATTCAACCCAAAACACAAACTAAGTCATTTATCTGTTATAATGGATACATATGTAATAATCAAAAGGGGAATATATTTTTGTTTTTAAAATCTCAGTATCAAGCAAGTATTCTAAATAAACATCAGTATAATGAGTAGCATCTAACATGATGCTTAAATCAAACAGGAGCAAAATTACAAGTGGGAAGAAGTGAGGGCAGTTCAGAACACAAAACACACACACACACACACACACATAGCACTTTTAATTAAGTAGGATAAATGCACAAAAATGGCACAGAGAAAAGTCTCTGCAGAGGTTGGCAAATATACACATGAGACTGATGAAGCTTCTCTCCTTTTCACTGAGGTATTATCTTAAGAATCTAAATCCAATGTTTTTCATATTTCAACCCTTGATTTCTAAAAAATTTGTGGATTTCAAACTATATTCCTAGGAAATAAAAAAAATACAGGTAAAATGTTATATGGCATTTGCTTATTTCTTCAGAAGAATCAGTACATATCATTAATATGGGCAGCAGTTTTCTGGCTGATCCCCTAAGGAATTAGGTGACACCTATCCTCTATTGCATTGGTTAAAGACACGTTACATCAACTGGATATTCCCATAATAATTATGTGATGTAAATTGTCACAGAATAATATCAACTAGAGATATATATGGCCTATTTAGTTCTCCTCTTGAGAGAAATACAATTTTCCCTCAAACACATAAGTACCTGAATGGATGGCTGTAGGATATATTTTACAAATTCCATATCGTAGTCAGACATACATACAAGTTGATATGGTTTAGCTGTGTCCCCACCCAAATCTCATTTTGAATTGTAGTTCCCATAATCCCCACATGTTGTAGGAGGGACCTGATGGGAGGTAATTAAATCATGGGGATGGTTTCCCCCATCCTGTTCTCATGATAATGAGTGAGTTCTCATGAGATCTGATTATTTTATAAGTGGCTTCCCCCTTCATTGGGCAATCATTCTTCTCCTTCCTGCCACCATGTGAAGAAGAACATGTTTGCGTCCCCTTCCACCATGATGGTAAGTTTCCTGAGGCCTCCCCAGGCATGCGGAACTGTGAGTCAATTAAATCACTTTTCTTTATAAATTACCCAGTTTCAGGTATTTCTTCATAGCAGCGTGTGAAGGAACTAATACACAAGTATTGTACAGTCTGTAACATCATTTACAGGAGATAATTAAAGTAAGCATTTTTGACACTTATTATTTACTGATAATATGGAATTCACAAGCATCCCATATGTCATATAAAACAGGTGTATTGGATGTATGGCTTGAACACAGTAATTGAAATTCAATATTTGTCTGTTCAAATCCTGTAAACTAAGAACAAAGGAGAAAGGAAAATGCAGCTCTAGTTTTAGCAAACGGGAAAAATAGAAACTCCTTACACATAAAATAAAGCTGTAGATGGGCTCAGGTGAGACGGGCCATGCAGGGAGGAGATGAGCAGGTAGATATGTCACAGAGAGGACTAATAGTAAGAGTAGTGTGCAGAGAATAAACCAGCAGCCACACTTCCTAATGGAGAGAGGTCCCGCTCGGGGCACAGATCTGCATCTATTGTTTGCAACAGGAGGCTCTAAAGTGCATGGCCAAAAATAATAATAATAAACAAAATTCTATGGCCTAATAGCAGACTAGCACCAGCACTCATTTTTTTGTGCCAAGGAGAACTAAGTTATATTTGTAGGAAGTAAAAGAAGGATTGAGAGAAGTTTTGCTTTGTGAACACTGGACAATCTGCGATGCTATTCATGGGTTGTCCTCACCCTCCAGAAAACTCCTCCAAAGCTGGACCAGGAAAAATCCACTGCTCTAAAAATAAGTACAATCTTTAAAAAAAACTGAAAGAGAATCCATGTAATAATGTCAAACAAAAGCATGGAGAGGGAAGAAAAAGTACAGGCAAATCTATCAACAGAACATATTCAAAAACAATTACTGAAGAGATGAAAATTTAATCCAACCATTGAGTCTCAAATTTAATTATCATAAGTCAATCATTCACATCTGTGAATACAACAACTAAAGAGATACAAAAATAATCAGGGAAAAATTATAAAACATCTGTATTTATGCAGTGGAACCGGTAGAACAGAGAAAAGAAAGGGAAAGTTCATCGTATATATTATGGCAAATGGGAAAACTATAGGAAAATAAACATTATGAAATACTTAATAAAGGCAGTAAATATGGATATGAGAAATGTATTAAAAGGAACAAGAAATTTAAAATGAGTATAGATAAAATGAAAGTCAAGTAAATTAGAGCCAGTGTAAACATTTGAATTCTGTGAAGAAAAAGCCCACATTTTAAAGAATGGAATAAATGTTAAATTACGCAACATATTTTTTTAAACTTAAAGACATATAAATCTCCATATCGAAAGGTATATCCTATAGTGAGAGAAACATTCCAAGATTATTCACCATTGACTTTTTTTCTGAAAATTTAAATATAACAACAAAAATTACACACGACATGAATGTGTAGCTCAGTGAACATAATGAACACTTGTGGGATTACCACTTAGACTGTGAGGTGAAACAGCCAGCACAAGTTCCTTCTCAATCATTCATCCTTTTTGGCTCTGTAAAGGAAACCACTTACCTTAAGTGGTTACCTTAAAATCAACTGAACTTGAACTTAGTTTTGCCTAAGTTTGAGTTTACGTATATGGTCAAGTAATATGTATTATTTTGTGTCTTGCATCTTGTCTTAACAGTGGCCATGAGATTCATGGTTATTGTTAAAAAGTGTTCTAATTTATTCATTGTTGCTGATGTATATTATTTCTATCAGTAACTCTATTATAATTTATTTATCCATTCTTATTGGTGACAGCCACGTGGATAATTTTCAATTACGCTATTATAACTATTGCAGCTGTGAAAATTCTTGTACATAAATTCATCTACAAGAATACACAGGTGCACCAGGTTTTTTTGGTGATTTAAGTAGAAACAGAGTTGCCGAGTCATGTGACATGGGTATGTTCAAAGAGACATCCAACTCTTTAGGTACATCCAAATAGTTTTCCAAAGTGGTTTTTACTCCCTCCAAAATATTATGAGAGGTCCATTTACTCCACAATTGATTCAATATGTTATATTATCAACTATATCATACTTGATATTGACACAATTTTGTCAATATTTAGTATTATTTCTTTTTACATTTTAGCCATTGTTATACATGTTATTGTTATTTACACTCGTATTTTCCTGACTGAGAGTAGGTAGGTGCCTTTTTATATGTTTTTAGTCATTTGGGCATGCTCTTTTCTGACGTTTTAGCTCAAGTCTCTCATGAATTTATTTCTATTACATTGTCTGGTTCTTATTGACTTGTTAATGTTTGTTATATATTTTACATGCAAGCCCTTTGTCTCCTTCAATTCTGTAACTCACCCTTTTTTCCTCTAAATGATATTTTTAATAGCTTAATTTTGATTTATACTTCTTTGTTTTTTTTTTCACCTTAACATTAGTATGTTTGTACTTAAGGAATCTTTCTCTGCATTAAACAAATAAAATATAATATTCATTATCTTAACTGAATAAAATATAATACACAGCCCAAATTCCACCATTAAGCTTAATGGGACAATTATTGATGTTTTTACACTATGGTCAAAGATACTAAACAAATGACTCTTATTATCCCTATAATCAAACATTTTTCTGGAGATATTACTCAAACAACTAAGCAAAATAATAAGATTAACATATACAAACTGGAAATAAGGAAGTAAATTTATGACTACACAAATATTATGTTGGTTTACCAAAAATATTTAAGAGAAAAAACTAAAAAAAGTATTTCTTACAATGACTGAATTAATAAGAAATTTGCAAAATTAATAAAAATCGATATGATTTATATATGTAACCAACACAGTTGAAATACTTAGTAAACAAAAGACTCTATAGGACACCAAAAAAAAATTAAAAATGCCAGTGTGTAAACTTAATGAGCTAATAAGTTTAAAACTCTCAGGAACACTCTAACAAAGACCATTGTAGTATTTGTACATGAACACAGACCAATTAAAAAAAAATAGACTGTGAGTAGACACAAATAAATTTAAGAGCTTAGAGTACAATATAGATGATGTCTGAATCAATGCAAACAATTATTTACACTCTTACATATAAGTTTACATAATTAAGAAGTATTTGGGAGACAAGTAACTTTGATGTAAGCCTCCCAATTCATTGAAAAAAATGTCAAATAAAGCAAATAAATGAATTATTTTAAAAAATACAATCATAACAATGCTAGTTATTTTAAAATTGTTTATTGAGAAAGCGGTTTATAGTTACTACCTAAATCAAAAATTTATAAATAAAAGATTGATTAATTTCTGTTACCATAATAAATCTGCCTCTAAAAAGTATCATAAATCAAGTGGAAAAAGCAGACTAATCATGAAAAAACAGACAATGCTATTATAGGCAAATAGATATTTCCTTTTACTTTTTTTCATTTTTATTTAACTTTTAAGTTCAGGGGTACATGTGTAGGTTTGCTATATAGGTAAGCTTGTGTCATGGGGGTTCATTGTACAGATTATGTCATCACCCAGGTATTAAGCATAGTACCCATTAGTTATTTTTCCTGATCCTCTCCCTCCTCCCACCCTCTAGGCTACAGTCTGGGTTGTTCCTCTCTATGTGTCCATATGTCCTCATCATTTAGCTTCCACTAAATGACGAGAACATGCGGTATTTGCTTTTCTGTTCCTGCATTAATATGCTAAAGATAATGGCCTCCAGCTCCACCCATGTTCCTGCAAAGAACATAATCTCATTCTTTTTCCAGGGTGTATATGTACAATATTTTTGTTATCCAGTCTACCATGATGGACATTTTTTAGGCTGATGCCATGACTTTGCTATTGTGAATAGTGCTGCAATGAACATAAGCATGCACATGTCTTTATAAGAGAATGATTTACATCCCTTTGAGTATATACCCATTAATGGGATTGCTGGGTTGAATGGTAGCTCTGTTTTCAGTTCTTTGAGGCATCTCCACACTGTCTTCCACAATGGTTGAACTAGTTTACACTCCCACCAACAGTGTATAAGCATTCCTTTTTCTCCACAACCTTGCCAGCATCTGTTCTTTTTTAGTAGCCATTCTGACTGGTGTGAGATAGTATCTCATTGTGGTTTTGATTTCCATTTCTCTAATCATCAGTGATGTTGAGCTATTTTTTAAATATACATTTTGTCTGCATGAATATCTTCTTTTGAAAAGTGTCTGTTCATATCCTTTGCCCACTTTTTAATGGGGTTGTGTTTTTGTTTTGTTTTGTTTTGAGACAGGATCTCACCCTGTCTCCCAAACTGGAGTGCAGTGGTGTGATCTAGGCTCACTGCAGCCTCGACCACCTGAGATCAAATGACCCTCCCACCTCGGCCTCCCAAGTAGCTGGAACCAGTGGCACACACCACCTTGCCCAACTAATTTATTTTTGGTAGAGACAAGGTTTCACCATGTTGCCCAGGCTGGTGTTTTCCTTTAATGCAAATTACTCCTTTTCCTTAATTTGAAAAAAAAATAAAGATAAAAAATGATAAATATATAAACAAGAAAGAAAGTTATGTTGCTATCATTTTTCCCCAATCATTGACAGAGACCAGAAAGCCTGACAATACCCTATGTTTGGCTATGAGGGAAAAAAGTTGTGGGGTAAACAGCATATGTAGACGATGAGAATAAATTTGGGACAATTTGTGTGCATAGTTACTTGTGAAAAGGTATAAAAAGTCAAACCCAATAATTAAATTTCTAAAATGTATCTTCCAGACACATGTACACATTTGTAAAATTATGTTAAAAGTAATCTACCTTAAAAGTAATTCATTACAACATTGTTGATAGCACCAAAAATGTAGACACAGCTTAAATGCCCTTAGGCAGGGGTCTAGCTATAAGATATGTCAATAAAACGGTATTTTATTCCTAAGTCAGAATTAGGAATCTCATTACACATGATAAGAAAATATAGGCAAGCTATTACTCTTTAGGAAAAAAAGTAAAGTACAGAATATTACATTTGGTATGCTATCACTTTTTGTAGAAAAAGAAAACACATACTATCTCTTTGAATTTCCTTGAACATGTGTAATATGTTTCTAGAAGGATAAATTATAAACAATTAACAACAGTGGTTATCGTGCAGAAGGAGCTTGTAATTACAGATATATAAATCTTCATATTTTTTCTCTTGGAATAATGTGATATCAAAATATTAAATAACTGATGTTAAAAGAACTATGTATGTCAGATTGCAATCCTTAGTTTGTGCTAGCCTAATAAGTGTTATTTCTTTAGATTCAGCAGTTTACCCATTAAAATATTCAGTGATGTCCATTCAGCTGCAGAATTCTATGATTTCAGAATATGAGTCCATGACCAGACACCCCAGAAAATCTGCACAGGATTATTTAATTATTAGTCATAATGCTAAAAATTGAGTCCCAACATCAATAGTGAATAACCCCAGGGCAGAAAGAAAGCAGAAGATGTCAAACAAAATCAATTTAACTTCATACGGAGAGCGCTGGTAATTTCAGAACTGAAAGGTCATTCTCTCAAATTATTATGGCCCTTTAGTTTACAGACATACATTCTCTCATCATCCTATTTGATCATGTGCAAAAGCAGAAGGAGGAGCAGCAAACCCAAAAGGACTTAGCGTGTGAGCAAACCCATCAGTGAGGAACGCAGAAGGTGGGATTCTGGATTGATCTAAGGCTCAGAGAATGCAAGTTAAAAAACACTGTTTTCTAATGAGAAAAATTGCATGTATTAATTATAACTTAATTTAGGAAATATAGAAAGGTAAATAAGAAAAATAATATTCCTAAACCCACTGCCCATGGGTATTAAGTAAAAGTAATCTATATGTAAGAACTGTAAATTTATAAATTATAATGACATATCATATGTCTCCTTTTTACTTAAAGTTATATAACAAATATTTTCTGATGTGACTAAATACTTTAAATAATGATGTTAATATTATTTTCCCATAAATGAATATTTGTAATTGAAATAATGCGTCCCTTATTTTTGGCACTCACATACTATTTAGTTTTTCTATCAAAATAAAGCTCTTTACAGCTGCATTTATATAAATATAACTTCAAATACTATGTTTCTAGTAATTTTGATATAAGCAGGATAAAAAATGAATTTTAAACAAATTTATTATACACTTTTTAAGAGCAGTTTCAGGTTCTCAGCAAAATTAAGCAAAAAGTACAGTGTTCCCATATATTTCTGCTCACCCCACCACCCTCTCCTATTATCAATTTCACACACTATAGTGATACATTTGTAACAATCATTGAACCAACATTAACCCATTATTATCACCCAAAGTTCATAATTTACATTAGGGTTCACTCTTGATGTTGGTCATTCTATGGGTTAGAACAAATGTATAATGATGTGTTCACCATTATAGTATCATACAGAATAGTTTCAAAAATGTCCCCTAAATCCTCTGTGCTCTGCCTATGTATCCTTCTTTATATCCTGGCATTCACTGATCTTTTTACTATCTCCATAGATTTGCCTTTTCCAGAATGTCATAGAGTTGAAATCATGCACTATGTAACCTTTGCAGATGGTCTTCTTTCACTTGGTAATACGCATTGAAATTTCCTCCATGTCTTTCCATGGCTTGATATCTCATTTCTTTAATAATATTCCATTGTCTGAATGTACCACAGTTTATTTGTCCACTCACTCTCGCTTACTGAAGGATATCTTGGCTGCTCCCAAGTTTTGGCAATTATAAATACAGCTGCTATAAACATCTGTATACAAGCCTTTGTGTGGGCACAGGTTTTCAATTCATTTGGGTAAACACTAAGAATCACAATTTCTGGGTTGTGTGGCAAGAGTATGTTTAGTTTTGTAAGGACCTGTCACTCTGTCTTCCAAAGTGACTGTGCCATTTTCCATTAGTAGCAACACTGAATAAGTGAAGAGAATTCCTGTTGCTCCACAAAAGCTATCAGACCTTGTCAACACTTGATGTTTGTGTTTTGGATTTTGGCAATTCTGGTATATGTGTCATGATATTTCACTGTTGTTTTAATTTTCAACTTCATCATAATGACATATGATGTTGAACATCTTTTAATATGCTTGCCATTTAAACATCTTTGGTGAAGTGACTGTTAAAATCATTTGCTGATTATTTAATCTGGTTGTTTACTTATTGTGGACTAGATATAAACTTTGCAAATGTTTTCCCTGTGGCTTGTATTTTTATTCTTTTGACAAGGTCTTTCACAGGCCAGAGGTTTTTAACTTTAGTGATGTCCAGCTTATCAATTATTTCCATCACAAACTGTATCTTTAGTGTTGTATCTCAAGGGACATCACCAAACCTAGGGTCATCTAGATTTTCTCATATGTTTCTTCTAGGAGTTTTATTGTTTTACTATTACATTTAGGTCTATAATTCATTTTGAGTTAATTTTTATTAATAGTGTAAGATCTATATCTAGATTCATTTATTTGCATATGAATTTCCAGTTATTTTAGCACCATTTGTTGAAAAGACTCTACATTCTCCATTACATTGCATTTGTTTCTTTGTCAAATATCACATTATTATATTTGGTGTGGGTTTATTTCTGGGCTCCATATTTAGTTCCGTTGATCTAATTGTCCTTTTTTCACTAACACCACACTGTCTTGATTACCATAGCTTTAGAGTAACTCTCGAAGTCAGGTAGTGTCAGTCCTCTGTATTTATTCTTCTTCAATACTGTTTTGACTATCTGGGTCTTTTTTCTTCAGTTTGTCAATAGCCACAAAAAAAAATTTCAATTTCAGCTGAAATCCCAATTATGTGAATATAAAGGTTAATTTAGGAAAAACTGACACCTTGACAATATTTAGTCTTCAAATCATCAATATGAAATATCTCTCTAGTTCTTTGAATTCATTCATCTGAATTTCATAATTTCTCTCAAATAGACCTTATACATATTTTGCTAGATTTATTTTGGGGGGTACTAATGTAAATGATATTTAGTTTTAAATTTTAAATTCCACTTTTTTATTGCTAGAGTATAGGAAAGTGATGAATTTTTCTCATTAATCTATCCTGCATCCATGCTATAAATCACTCAGAAGTTCTAAGAGTATTATTTTGTTGATTTCTTCAGATTTTTGTATAGAAAATCATTTCATCTGTGAAGAAATACAGTTTTATGTATTTCCTCCCAATTTGGTTACCTTTCATTTCCTTTTTTGGGGGATCTTATTCATTAGCTAGGACTTTCAGGATGATATTGAAAGGGAGTGATGAGAGAGGACATCTAGCTTTGTTTCTTAGTGAAAGGGTTTTAATTTCTCAAAATTCTTGTTTATATTTGATATTAGTTTTTCTAAAAACCCCTAGTTTCAGGCATCAGCATTTTTTAATCCATTCACATTTTCTGAGTTACCAGTGAAGTTAGGCATATCCATATATTTATAATTGCATTTTAGATTACTTGCTTTTGTGAATTGCCTTTTCATTTATCTCTCCATTTTTTAACAACAGGCATTGGGCATTTTATGAATTGCTAGAAATAATTTTGAAAGCTAATATACATCCTATTTAAGAATTTTAATAAATACAGACACTTATAAGGAGAACATATAAAAACTATAATTTTACTACTCAAATTAACCACTTTGGTATCTGTTGGTATCTGCCTATATACATATATAGGCCAATTTAAAATATTTATATCATATCGCACATACTTCATAGAACTGAATTTTATTTAAAAATATAAGACAACTAAAAAATGTCAAATATTCATATATCATTTAAATTTTAAATCAAGCAGAAAGACTTCAGCAATGTTATTATATTATGATAAATTTAATTATAATAAAATATATATTTCACTTTTAAATTTACTGTTATAATTGATTTCATAATTAGACAAGAGGAAAAAATTAATCTAAACATGAGTCATCTTGATCGGTACTCAAACATAATATTCACCATCTACAATGTTTCTAATAAAAAGTCCACGATAGACATGAAGTCGAAGAACATTTTATCAATTTAATAAATAATATCAATGTCAAAGAAAAATTCAAAATAAGGATTCTTAGTGGCTGATACAAAGTCTGGCACATAACAGGCATTTGACAAATTAACAATTGTTTGAATAAGCAATGAATTAATTTATAGAATGTTGTTAAATTCTCATTAAAATCCAGGCATGAGTGGCCTCTATCACCATACTGATAGACTTTATTTTAATACTCTACTAATGTAATAGTTTGAGAAAAGGCTAAGTATAAACATCAGGTGTTATGAAGCAACATTATCACTATTTTCTTATGTTAAAATTGTTATTTGTAAAATCCAAAATAACTGACTGAAAAAGTATTAGAATTAATTATACGTCTCTGGATGTGACCTACTGATGCAAATACATTGATAAATAAGAAACTAACTGAATAGAGATTATGATGAAAAATGAAAAAACTGAACTAATATTATTTATGAAAATATAACATACTTAAAGTTAACAAGGAAAAGCTACAGTCAGTATGAGTCTTCTTTAACAAATGACTTGTAAAGGTACAGACGTGTATAGATTCGTTTCTAGATATAGAGAAAACTATTATGTGGGATTGTTTCTGAGGTTCCTAATTACATATCTCTTTTTTAAAAAAACAGTTCATTTATTTACTTTAAGATTGAGTCTCACTCTGTCGCCCAGGCTGGTGTGCAGTGGTGCGATCTCAGTTTACTGCAACTTCTGCCTCCTGTTTTCAAGTGATTCTTGTGCCTCAGCTTCCCCTGTAGCTGGGATTACAGGAGCACGCCACAACGCTCACCTAATTTTTGTATTTTTAGCAAAGATAGGGTTTCACCACGGTGTCCAGGCTGGTCTCGAACTCCTGACCTCAAGTGATCCACCTGCCTGGGCTTCCCAAATTGCTGGGCTTACTGGTGTGAGCCACCACTCCCGGCCCAAATTACCTATCTCTGAATCATCAACTAATTCTGCGTTATTACTCCCCTATCTTTCTTAGAAAGAGAGAGAGATAATATATATATATTTATATTTATATATTATGTATATATTATATATTATACATATATATTTATATTCTATCTATCTGTCTATCTATCTATCTATCTATCTATCTATCTATCTATCTATCTAGACAGAAGGCAAGGCCCTAGAAATACTCCTCACTAGTTATAGAGGCTTTCTCTCACAAAACAAAGTAGTCCCCTTTGGACTCTCAGTTGCACCTCTTTTGCCTGCACCAGAAGGTGACAAATTTTATATCTTATAAATATAGTTGGGGCAACATTCTATCCATCTTTCACCACCAAACTCATACTGCATACCCACCTGTACTCAGATCACCAGGAAGGAAAACAATTCTTATAGCAACAAACCTGAAAGAGTGAGAGAGAGAGAAACTAGAGAAAAAGCTCCACTGTAGCCTCTGAACTATAGTAGTAGACTAACAGAACATTTCATGCTTCATCTACCATTTATTTAAAAAATCCCTTTTGTCCTTTTCGTTCCTGTTCTCCTAATTATAATATTTAAACTATGCCAATCTTTAATTTACTTTCATTGCTACCAGTTAGAAATCCACCCAGAAGTGTTGCTACTAATCTGAAATCACACAAAGAAAGGGAAGCGATAATAACCCCACTTCCCTCTACCCGCAGAAAGAAGGGGTAAGTCTTTGTCATGAAATTAGTTCAAAGCATGTGATCTTGAATTTTAACTCCATGAAGGTATACACTGGACATTCAATAAATACCTTTTAAATAAAAAGTAGATACATAACATGTTACATTGGGCACATTCATAAGGGTCACTGGTTCATTTCTCCTCTCTAGGGTAGACAATTGCATTCACACAATACGATTAACAATGACAGCTTTAAAATGAAGACATCCACAGGACCTGTTTTACATTGTTGTCATAAGGATGGATTAAAGCAAGTATTATTATCATTATTAAGAGAAGGAAGAGATGTCGTCCTCCATCAAGAAACTATTCCCTGAAAAGGAAACTATTTGCTGCTCCTTCTGACGAGGAGCAATGTCAAAAAGGAAGGGAGAAAAGAAATCTGGCTGTCAATATAAAAAAAGCAAAGGGCTGAAAATTACATAAAACAAAGAACTTCAAACTTTTTGTTTGGATTAAGACTCCAACAAAGGAGTGGTTTTTATGCCTTCATACATATAGGGAGAACAGGGAAGAAATGGAAAGCAATTGTACAATTACATATAATTTTAAAGATAAAGAGATGTCAAGATCTTGTATTATCAGAATAGCATTATCAAGCAAAACAACCAGTTAAAATTAAAGACTTTTTAGACAGTCAAGATAATTGTGCAGGTAATAGCAACAATAGCTGCATCTTAAGAGATTCTTTCTATAAATAAAATTCCCAAGTATAATTTTATAGACACACACAGAAGTGATAAGTATAGTTGTTAGTGTGAGGACCTATCATGGTTCTAAGATTTTCTCTCTTTCTTTCTCTCTCTAACAATGTTGTAGTTTTAATCACTTAATTTTTTAAAGAAATAATTTACATTAATTATTTGGAGTTTTTTTTATTTTGGATTTAAAGTGTTTACATCAATAAATTAATTAAAAATAAATTACTTTAATTTAATTAGTATAAGTTTTAATTATGCTTCTTATGCCTCTCAAGAATTTTATCTCTAGAGGACCTTTATATTTCTTATTAAACTTCTTTCTGACACTTTTTTCCACCTGTGATCAGCGGTAGTTTTTTTCTTTTTAAATTACTGCCTAATCTTTCTGGTCATAGAAAAACTATTGGCTTTCATATATTAACTTTTTATTTAACCTTAATCACAGAAGGTTTTATATGTTTTATTACATTAAAAAAACTCTTATTTAGGGGCTATAAGAAGACAATACTAGGCAAATTGACAAATAATTATGTGCTCTTTTTATGTCCGAACCTTGCTCCACTCAGGGAACTTTTTCTTTTTCTGGGTTGTTGAGTAATTTTGAAAAAAGTAGAGTGAATCTGATAGTTTAAATCATCATTGTCTGGATATGGATGATCTCTACACCTTCCTCGCAATTTTTCTGTGAACCTAAAATAGATTTAAAAATATAAAGTTTTTTAAAAATCAGAGTAATCTTGCTTTATTGAATTAATTTCAATACCTTATTTTTTATTTGAATTAATTTCAACACTTCATTTCCTATTTACTGAATTATTATGAAACCATAGAAATTACCTGTATCTTTAAAAATGAAATTACAACAAGATTGTTTTAGAAACTTTAAAAAACTCTCTCATGACTTTTGATCATTGACATGTTTCTAATGTGATTGATATGGGGGAATCGTGTCCCCTCAAGATTCATGTGTTGAAGCCCTAACCCCAGCACTTCAGATGTGACTGCATCTGAGATTGGGTTTTTAAAGAGGTGGTAATGTTATAATGAGGCTCTTGGGCGTGCGTTAATCCAGCGTCACTGGTGCCTTTATGAGAAGAGGAAATGTGGACACGCAGTGAGGTCAGAGAGACCAGCGCACAGACACAAGACCATACAAGGACACGTTAGAGAGGTGGCCATCTGCAAACCAGGAGAGGTCTCAGAAGAAACCAATTGCACTGTCATCTAAATCTGGGATTTCCAGCCACAGGAACTGTGAGAAGATGTTTTTCTGTGGTTTAAGCAACCTCTCTCGTATATAGGAATGATAACTAGCAAAGTCATATAATTGTTATATGTTCTTTTAGAGGTATATCTCATACTACCTTTTAAACAATGATTTGTTTGTTGTTAATCCCATATTATCATACCAAGATGTAAATAAGAGTTTAACAATTCTAGTAAGCAGGCTGATTGTATTCATAGTAATTGAATGACTTCATAATAATCACAGCGAGGACAAAGCCACTATTTACATATTTTAGTAATATGAATCACTGAATAGACACAGAAATGTTTTCTCTTGCAAGGGGGTTCATCTTGGAGACCTCTTCATAAGTAGGAATTATTTGCTGCCCAGGCTAGAACTTCCACCATGAGGATACTTCAAAGCCTCTTCTTACCGTGGGGGGCTCCAGATGCTGCAGATGTAAAGCACAAGAGAGCCCAGTCCATGGATCGCCCTTGATGCTGTCTCCTAAATCAGCCTTATACCTCGCCCTTTGTAATCCAAATCACCAAGGTCAGTGGGGCCTCTAGAACTTCCTACTCCTTAGAGCCTGGGCTAGACTTTATTTTGTAGGCCAGGAAGACTGTTCTTTATTTTCACTGCTGATTTTCTTTTTCTATTCATAATTTTATTTTTACCATTAAAAAGAAAATTTAGAAAGCAATGAGCCAGAGTCAAGGTTTAAGTCATGACATTTAAGAATGTAAGGCTCTTCTTTATAATATTTTCCCCAAAAGAATGTCTAGCACTCCTTAATGATGCTAATAGCAACAACATTTCTGAGATTATTTTTGAATAATATTCCCAGTTTTATTTTTCTTTTAGGTAGATTTTGTGAAATATTTTCCCTTCCCACTTTTGCTATTTCATCTGATGTATGGTCTAGTTTATTTCTAGTACTACTTATTTTTGTTTTTCTATAACCTTGTTCCAAAAAGAAGCTTCACAATACACGTTTATTATCTTAAAAGTAATAAATAAATATTAAATTTCTCATCCATCCTCTTTAACAAAAATAAGGTCCAAATTTGGTATTTTGACAAAAACCATACTTTATGCTGAAGTTTTGGAATGTTAACTTTTATTTTCACCTTTTCTATTTCATCTGCTTTAAATAACAAATTATGTGTTGTATCACATGTATGATCTGTCTGCTGTTACTTCTTTAATAAACAGAGAAAAAAAAACACTTTGGAAATCAGTCTAAGGAGAAACGGAGGTGATGTCCTCTAAGGGAAGTTCAGAAGATTGTGTCTATTGGATTTGAAAGTGCAAGTATGTTCTTTGTTCATGATAAGAGTTTATTAAAATCCTCAATGCTACCATTCTTACTCATCAAAGTGTACCTGAGGCTAAGGCTGACATCAGTTTGACAGACACGTTAATTTAAAACAATCAGAAATTGCCTTAGGAACCTGAATATGTGAAGCCAGTGCTATGTTTGAATTCTTTTCTTTAGGGAGATTTGGTTATAAAACCATACACAGCCCAAAATTTGAATGTTTTGCAAATAGTTTCAAAACAAGGATAAGTAGATGCCCCAATTATTTAATGACTTTCACTCTACCATTTCACAGTGGAGATGGCCTCAAACATTTGCTTTTCCTCTACAGGAAGAATTTGCACTGGGACTGGAGTCTAAAAGTCATTGTATGTGTACATGAGTGTGTGTGTGTGTGTGTGTGTGTGTGTTTGTGTTACAGGTTGACTTAAACTCATTATGAGTCCTTTCAAAAGGAGTACTAATTTTATTACTAATTTTCTAATATATAATTTTATTTTAATAACAGTCAAAAAATAATAAAGTATGGCCAGGTGTGGTGGCTCATACTTGTAATCCCAGCAGCTTGGGAGGCTGAGGTGGAAGACTTGCTTGAGGCCTGGAGTTCAAAACCAGCCCGGGCAACATAGTGAGACACTATCTCTACAAAAATCAGTTAGGCGTAGTGGTGCGTGCCGGTAGTCCCCAGATACTTGGGAGGCTGAAGTGGGGCAATCTCCTAAGCCAAGGAGGTGGACGCTGCAGAGCTATGATTATACCACTGCACTCTGGCAGTGACAGACAGAGACTGTCTCAAGAAGAAGAAGAAGAATAGGAAGAAGAAGAAGAAGAAAAGATGAAGAGAAGAAGAAGAAGAAGAAATAATAATAATAATAATAATAATAATGGCATATTGTTAAGACAGTTCACGGGGACACATACTATTTTTAATAAGATACACACCATAACAGCCCAGCGGATGCTGTTCCATTAGTGATTTTCATTATTTACGTGTTTAAACAAAGAAAACACAACAAAAGTCCTTGTTACTGGAACATGAGAGATATAATGATTTGTTTATAGGTGTTGCTATAGCCAGGCCTGTGGAAGTAATGAGGAGTTCCCATGTGAAACAATTTTTAAATCATAGGGTTATTTAGGTCAGTTATTGCTATGACAATTTGCTGTTAAAATATCAAAACCTACTTAAAGATTCTAACTTGGTTCCTTTCAATCTCTGATTGTATCAAATGCCATTCTTCCCAATATAGATTTAAAGAAGCTGATTACAAAGCATCAATTTAAAATGCTACAGCTTTTTAAGACACTATCTCTAATCCATTGCAAATATACCTTCATCTGTCCTAGCATTCAATATCCTCCTCTATTCCTGTATCCTAATCCTGTCTATTGTAAAAAGCAATATTAATTGAAATATATTACCTATTAATAATAACAATATAAAATATAAATGGTCATGTGTATAAATTGAATCGGTCAGTATATATTATTATTATATGTACATTTTTAAAAATAATTATGTGTGTATATGTATACATGTGTGTATTTATGTTATATTCCTGTACAAAAATGGTATGGAAGAAAGTGTATGCCCTAGATTTCAGTGCTAAGATTGATACCCATTTGTATTTCTTAGTATCTGGGCTTTAGCTCTTTAGTTTCTTGGTCTTTGAGATGGGTGTAATTGCAGCTGCCTTACATTTTGCTCTGAGCTTGAGAGGTTATTTTTGAGAATGTGTTTTAGAAGTTTAAATTTTAATTCAAATGCAGATAACATAATAAAATATCAGAATATTACTAAGTCAATACCGTAAATGAGACTGATGAGGTTGAAAAGCACTCTGCAGATTATACAGCTAGTTCATAATTTAACCAGCTTTTCTCCCTTCCTTGAGAGTATATGTTTGTAGGAAGCATAGCAATATGATTTATGTTTATGATGCAAACAATATACGCTATAAAGGCTTAGAATAGATAACACTGACCATTTTTAAAGGCCAAATGGAGGTTTTTAAAACCTATTTTTTCAATGTTAAGATTATTTTCATATGAAAAACATTTACTGATTTTGTGTATAAAGTGGTATATTTATATTTGGATTCAATGAAAATTTCTGAATGCTGCGGTAACTGAATTTTATAATACTATTACATACAGATAGAGAAAAAGACGAAGCTAGATGTATATAAACACTACTGGGAGTTGTAGGACTCCAACAGAGTTAAGAAATCTTAATAATGCTTCATGTGGAGTCTCACCCTTAAATAGCCAGTAATGTTATTGCAGCTTATCCAAAATTAATCAGCAAAATCCCAGCTGATGCCTGCTGATTGCTTTATAAATATTACCCAGTAATATGGTTCTTTGAATATAAAGAAATGAAAAAAATGCACTTTTAAACTTCTTGAAAATGTGGCAATTCTAGATAATTCGAACAAAGAATGCACTGGCTTCCACTGATGTATATTCAAGAAGGAACTTATTTTTCTGAACTAACTAAAATGGCATTTTGTTTCAGTTATTCTGTTGCTCACAGCCTCACTCCTATGGTTAGATGTTGACAGGAGATTTGAACTAGAAGTTTCCTTATTCCTCTTCATATCTCTTAATACTGTGCCATGCTACCACTTAAGTATGGATTTAACTAAACTTAATCAAAAGAGAAAAAATCAATAGTTTTTATGCTAAAAACCTTTCCCTTTGGAAAGCTCAAGTCATTAATCAGTGGAGGGACAGTAAAGGGCACTTATTAAAGCATAGGCTTTGAACTAAGACAGGGTCAGAAGCTCATTTTAACGTCCACACTTTCTATCTATGTTGAATCACAAAAGTTTATAGTCTGTCAGCCTCCATTTTTCATCTCCTCTGGGATGAGCCTTATATGTTAATGTTATAATAAGCATGTTAAGGACTAAAGTATATAAGCAAATGAATTAATATAAGTTCTGGTGTATAGTAAGAACTCAATAAATGGCAGCTACTATTATTTTTATTGTTTTCAACATTTTAAGTTACCAATGATATAAGTAAAACTATATATTACATCATTAATTACCAGCTGTGTTCTAATAATTAATTAAACATAATCAAGAATCTTCTATTCATTCAGGTGACATATCATTTGAATGAGAACGACAAAACATTTTTAGGCGAAGTTAGATATGGAGTAAACAAGGCTAGCAGAGTAAGCACTCTGGACTAGCAGAATAAGGACATTCAAAAATCTATTCTTCCAAAAGAGCTATGAAAACGCTGGTAAAAATTGACAAAATAAAAATTTCAAACTCTCAAAATTATCTAAAGGCTTGCATCAATCTCCCAAAAGTGTATTCAAGAAAAATGGCAGGATCTTGGTAAGAAAAGCGAGGGTTATAGCATTGTAAACTTGGTGTATTCCTTTCCATCTTTCCTCAATTGTGTGGTAGCCTTGAAAACCAGCAGCCTCCCCATCATGACACTCAAGAGAACCAGCCAGCTAACAAACTCTCTAGGGGTTGAATGGGTTTGGATTCCTTGAAAGACAATTCTCAGATAATTTTCAGCATTTTACCTGGTTGTCAGATGCCTAGAACCTCCTGTCACAGGGATTGGTTTTATTTGACCTGATCAAGGTAAACAGATTTATCTTGGGCTTTTGTTTAAAACAAAACAAAACAAAAAACAAACAAACAAAAAACCACAAGTCAACCACAGTTTCCTCAGGTGACAATGACAACTGGGGCAAACCGAAAGTTTGTGAGTAAAATTAAAAGGAAAAGTAGAGGGGATAATTCAAAGACCATAGGAGATTTTGAAAATCTCTAAAATACTCCTGAGACCCTAGAAAGCCTCACAAATATACAGGGCTGTGTGGATGACAAGGAAAAGTCAGAGAAGGGTCTACATTCTCACAGCTTACTGACCTTGAGGCTTAGCACAAACAGAAAATGAGTCATTCGAGTTTTAAATGCCTGCAAAATCACTGGAGATGTGTCCAAAACACACATGCAGCCGTTTGGCAAAGACTGAGGGACATAGGTTGTAGGTATCTAGAAAATCTCTGTCCCAATAATCTAGCTAAGCAGAGATTGCAGTGGAGATATATAACAAAGAATACAGAATTTACAGAAGTCATTCAGGTACTATACAACAATAACATCAGCACAACAACAGCAATAGCAACGTGCAGCAACAACATACATCTGAAACGAGGGAGTAAATAACAAACATCAGGAAAGAGGGAATAATCTGACTTCCAAAACTGCCATATTTTGTTATTTTTAAAGTCCAGTTTTCAACATATGAACAACAAAATTATTAGACATTCATGTAAGCAGAGAAGTTTGGCCAATGACTGTTCTTAAGGAAGCCCAGACATTGCTTACTAAACACAGTCTGTTATTCATCTATTACAATAAAGATGTTGAAAACTAAAGAAAACCATGTCTAAAAACTGAAGAAAAGTATGAAAATTAAATCTCACCAAATAGAGTATAAATAATAATTTGTAAATTATACAAATTACCAAAGAGCAATTTTTTAATTGAAAAGTACAATGCATGAAATTAAAAAAAAATTGTCTGCGGGAGATAAATAGCAGATTTAAGTTGGCAGAATAAATAATCAACAAACTTGCAGATAGTTGTGAGATTATCTAGTCTGAAAAAGAGAAAGAAATAAATATTCGCAGAGCCAGCCACACATGGAGAACCATCAAGCATATTAAGTTACACAAAATGGGTATCCTGGAGGAGTAAAGAGAAAGGTTCAGAGAGAAAATGATAAGAAGTAATGACCAAATTATTCAAAATTGATAAAAATCAGTCATCTACTCATCTCAGAAATTCAACACACTCCAAATAGAACAAACTCAGAGATTTGTGCTTAGAAATATCATAATCCAACTCTTTGAAGCCAAAGATAAAGATACAATCTTTAAGCAGAAAAGAGAAACTAGTCACATCCAAGAAATAGTCAGTAAGACTAACTGCTGAATTGTCATCAATAACTACGCAGTGCAGAAATTAGTGGGAAAGCATGTTCAAACTGCTGAAATTGAAGATCCTCAACAAAGAATTTTATGAACTACAAAACTATCTTTCAGAAATGAAGATTAGTTAAGCCATTCTCAGATAAACATTAACTGAAATAAATAATTGCTAGCAGACATGCCTTACAAAAAATTCTTCAGTTTTAAATGAAAGAACATGAGGCAGTAATTCAAATTCAGTCAGAATAATAGAGATCACTGGCATGTGTAACTACATAGCTAAATGTAAAAGACAATGTAAGTGTGTATTTCTTTGTAATGCTTTCCTAAACTTATCTATTTTTAAAATAGTTGTATAATGCAATAATGATGATGTATTGGTGACTTTATAATACATAAAGGACGGAGAAGAAAAATAATTATATAGAACAATGTTCTGTATACCTTTAAAATTAAGTATTATTTTTTACTTTTAAACTGATTTATTTTTCCCAAGAAATTTATTTATTTATTTACCTATAAACAAAAGAACAGAAAACCAAGCACTGCACGTTTTCACTCATAAGCAGGAGTTGAACAATGAGAACACATGGACGCAGGGAGAGGAACATCACATACTGGGGCCTGTCGGTGGGTGGAGAGTTGGGGAGGGATAGCATTAGGAGAAATACCTAATGTAGATGATGGGTTGATGGGTGCAGAAAACCACCATGGCACGTGTGTACCTGTGTAACAAAGCTGCATGTTCTGCACATGTACCTCAGAACTTAAAGTATAATAGTAATAAAAGTTATTAATTTTTATATACATTTGCATTTTTGTATGCCTTTGAAGATTGTTATTAATCTAAACTTGACTGGTTTAGCTTAGTATATCAGTTGTAATCCCCAGGAAAACCACTAAGAAATTGAGTAAAAATTTGTAGAGAAGGAAATAAAATGGGAATTAAAATAGCACAAAGAAAATATCTATTAAACACAAAAGAAGGAAACAGTAGAGGGATAAAAAAAGACATAAGATGTATCAAAAATAAGTAGTAAAATAGTGGATATAAGTCCACTAGTATCAGCAAGTGTATCAAAAACCCACAACAAGAGACCATTTTATATTCCCTACTATTTCTATAGTTAGAAAAGAAATGGAAAATAATATGTGTTGGTGAGGATGTGGAGATGTTAGAACCTGCATACATTACTGTTGGTAATATTAAATAGTACATGCACTGCAGAAAACAATTTAAATATTCCTCAAAAGTTTAACAAAATTACACGTGATCCTGCAATTACACACATAATTATACCCAAAAGAATCAAAGTTTATATGTTCAAACATAACCTTTGTACATGAATGTTCATAGCAACAATATTCACAATAACTGAAAAGAGAAAACAACTTAATATCCATCACCTCATGTATGGATAAGCAAAATATGGCATATCCATAAATTTAAATATTATCCAGTCAAAAAAAGAAATGATATACTGATAAGTGATACAGCATGGATGAGGCTTAAATCATTATTAAGCCAAAAGAATAAGCCAGGTACTCACCACCTCAAAAAAAACACCACATAAGATGCCATTTATACAAAAATATTCAGAAAAGGCGAATCTAGAGAGACAGAAAACAAATTAGTGGTGTCCAAGGGGTAGGCGAAAGAGAAATGAGTGACTACTTAATGGGTTTGGAGTTTCTTTTTCGGTGCTGAAAATGTTCTAGAACTAAAGAGCTGTAATAATTTAATGACATTGTCAATACACTAAATGCCACTGAAATATACACTTTAAGTGTTTAAAATGGTAAGCTTTATTACGCACACATATAATACTACATATATATACATATGTAAATAGATCAAAAACTCTAACCAAAAGGCAGAGATTCTCAGAATAAATTAAACATGATACAACTATATACTGTCTAAAGGAAATGTACATTAAAAAGATATAATATGTTGAAATCAAAAGAATGAGAAGATATGCCATGCAAACAATAATCTAAGAAGTTGCTACACTAATATCAGACAAAATAAACTTTAAAAAAAATTACTAGCAAGGAAATGAAGATTTCATAATGATAAAAAGTGTCTATCAAGGAGACATAAAAATATAAATATATATGCACCTAACAAGAGAGACTTAAAATACACTAAACAAAAATTAAAGGAAAAGTAGAAAAGAAAACATTAACAGTTGGGGATGGCAATAGCTAATCTTCAGTAATGTATATAGAAAAAACTAGGCAAAATATCAACAAGGAAACAGAAAATTTAAACAATAAACCGCAATATGCCAACTTGACCTAAGAGATGTTTAGAAAATTCTTGTTCTAGAACAGCAGAATGCACATTTTTTACAAACACAGATAAAATACTCTCTGATTAGACCAATATGTTAGCCCATGTAATATGTTTTCATAAATTGGAGAAGATTGAAATTATATAAAGTATGTATTCCCACTACAATAGAATGAGATAAAAATATTAATAAATGTTAAAATTTGAAAAACTAACAAATATGTATGAATTAACAAATACATTTCTAAATCACCACTGAGTTAAATAAAAAATTACAAGAAAATCCTGAAAATATTTTTATATGATTAAAATAAAAAATGTAACATATAAAAATATATGAGATGCAAAAAAAGGAGTACTTAGAGTAATATTTATAGTTGTAAGTGCCTACATTAAAATTTAAAATAAACTCAAATCAAAAGCCTAACTTTCCACCTTAAAAAAATAGCATACTAATTCCAAAGCAAGTAGAAAGCAGAAAAATATTATATCCAGAGCAGAAATAAATGAAGTAGGCATAGAAAAATGGAGAAAATCAGTGTAACAAGATATTAGTTCTTTGAAATAATTAACAAAATTGGTAACCATTAGCTAGAGTGAACAAGGAGAAAAAAAATGAGAAGGTTCACATTATTAAAGCCAAGAATGAAAGAAGAGCCATTAGTTTTAACAATACAGAACCAAAAAAGAGTTATAAAAGAATGCTGTGAGTAATAGTATGCCAACAAATTAGATAACCTAGATCAAATGGAGAAATTCCTATAAAGGCGCAAACTACTGAAAGTGACTCAAGAAGAAATAGAAAATTGGAATAAAAAATCAACAAGTAAAAAGTTGTAATTAATGATCAGAAAAATACTCCAAAATAAAAGCCCAGACCCAGATGGCTTTGCTGGTAAAACCTACCACACATTAAAATAACAATAATTAAAAAAAAAAACAAATCTTGCATAAACTATTTCAAAAGAAAGGAGCTGAGAGAATACTTTCCACTTCACTTTATATAAAGCCAGTAGTACCCATATACAAAAACTCATTCACCCAAGGAAAAACTGATGATCTGTATAGTCCTATTATCTATTAAATAAATTGAATCAATAGTTAATAGTCTTCCAAATCAGAAAGTGCCAGCTCCAGATGGATTAACTGTTAAATTTATACTGATAATTTAAAGAAGAAATGATACCCATTTTCTAAAATCCCTGCAAGAAAATAGAAGCAGAGGGAATAATTTCTAACTCATTCCACAATGCCAGCATTACAATAATACCAATATTAGACAAAGAAATTTCAAGAAAGATAAATCTATAAATTGATATTTCCCTTGAATATACTCATAAATACCAAACAAAATATTACCAAATGGAGTCCAACAATTTATAAAAATAATTATACCACATTTCTAAGTTGGAATTATGCCAGATATTCATGACTGGTTCAACATTCACAAATCATTCAAGAAGTCTACCTTAACAGGTTAAAGGAAAAACATCAAATGATTATATCAGTACATGCAAAAAATTGACAAATGCATTTCCAGTTTATACTAAAGCCTTTCAGCAAAAATAGGAATAGAATGGGAATTTCCTTAACTTAAAAAAATCTATATAACCTCCAGCTGAAATCGTTTTAAATGGTGAGAAACTGGACAATTCTCCCTTGAGACTGCAACAAGGCAAGGATGTTCCCTCTCATACTCCCATTAAAAATTATAGTGGAAGTCATAGCTAGTGCATTGAGACAAAACAAGGAAATGAAAGCTATATAGATAAGAAGGCAAAGTGAAACTGTCTGTTTTCATAGATCACAATTGTCGGTGAAGAAAATCACAATGAATCAATAAATAAATTCCTGAAACCAATAATTATAGCAAAGATGCAAAATACAAGGTTGATACACAAATGTCATTGCTTTCACATATAATCACAGTGAACAACTAGAATTTTGAATAAAACTCAATAGCATTTCCACTAGCACCAAATTAATAAATGATTGATATAAATCTGAAAAACTATATACATGATCAAGTTGAAGAAAATTACAAAATTCTGATGAAAAATCAAAGAATATCTAAGTAAATGGAAAGATATTGCATGATTGTGAATTAGAAGGTAAAATATTGTTAAGATGTTGATTATTGTCGACTTTATAAAATCAAAACAATATTAAAATTCCAGCAAGTTATTTTATAGATATTGACAAATTAATTATAAAGTCTATATGGAATGTCAAATGTCCTAAATTAACCAACACAATGCTGAAGAAGAACAAAGCTGGCTTTCTACCTTGTGTTAAGACTTGCTGTAAAGCTACAGTATTGAACACAATGGTGTACAGAATAAACACGTAAATCTGTAAAACAAAATAGGGAGCTTGGGATTAAAGCCACACAAACGACTTATCTGTGACAAATGTGCAAAGTCAGTTAATCAACGGAAGTATAGTATTTACGACAAATAGTACTGGGATAATTGGACATCCACATGCAAAAAAATATGTAAATGAACCTAGACACAGAGCTTACGCCCTTCACAAAAATTAACTGAAAAGGGATCATTGAAGTAAAAATAAAATGCAAAAACATAAAACTTCTAGAGAAAACAGGAAAATATATATGAGACTTTTGGGTTAGGTAATGAATTTCACGTAAAACACTAAAAGCATTACTCATGGAATAAGAAATTTTAAGTTGGTCTTTATTGTGATTAAATATTTCTGCAACACAATACATTGTTAAGAGAAGGTAAAGATAAGTTGCAGACTGAGAAAAGATATTTTCAAAACACATATCTGGTAAAGGACTTGAATTTAAACTATTTAAAGAGCTTTTCAAAGTTAATAATAATAAGGCAAAGAAATTTAAAAAAATAGGAACACATTCTAAGCAGACACCTCACCAAAAGAAATATACATATGTCAAAGAAACCTATGAAATGATTCTCAGCCTCATTTGTCATTAAAGTACTGCAAAATTAAACAACGAGTTACCTCTAGACAGTAGAATGGCTAAAATTAAAAAAAAATAGTAATTTCTTGCAAATATTCAGAGTAATAGGAACTCTCATTATTTGTAGAATGCAACATGGTACATCCACTTTGGAAAACAATTTAACAGTTTCTTACAAAGCTAAACATAAACTTACTGTGTGATCTATCAATTGTATTCCTACGTATTTACTCAACTGATATAAAAATTTGTGTTTGCACAAAAACCTGCCAGTGAATGTTTATGACAACTTTATTCTTAGTTACCAAAAACTGAAAACTAAGATGTCTTTCAAAATATGAATAAATTGAACTTTAACACAATTATACAATGGAATTTTATTCAACAATAAAAATAAATGAGCTATCAAGCCATAATGGATGAATCTTAAATGCATACTGTTAACTCAAAAAAGCCAGTCTGCTAGCGGATCAGGAAGAGGACAGGAGGGTTGAAGAGGTGAAGTACAGGAGACTTTCTATTATTGTGAAACTATTCCATGTGGTACTTTAATGAGAGATGCATGACAGTATGCATGTTTCAAAAACCATAGAAGTTTATAGAACAAAGAGTGAATTTTAATATATACAAACTAAAAATAAATCATTTAGGAGGTTGGGGGATCCAGAATGGAATGCAAAATGGGACAACAATGTAATCGTTTGTAACATCCTCAATGAAAAACATGGGGAAAAAGGGTGCTGATCTAGAAACTTTTCAAATGAGTGGAGTCTGTAAGGTCAAAAGTGCGTATGATCACTGCAGTCTAGTTGACAAAGTTCGCCCGACTCCATAGGAGTATAGGGTAACAATTCTAAAAACACTATATATGTACACGGAAATTGAACATTTAAATAAGTAAATGGCTGACGGTGGGGGCCAGACTTCCTAAAGTTGGAGAGGGAGGTCATAGATTAGCAAGGAGATGCAGCTAGAATGATCTCTATGGCAATGAAACAGCGTTGGAGACAGCAGTATAAACTTTTCTGTAGCTTAATATACATACACATAGCTATGTGTGGAAATGTTTATGTGTAAGCGTATGGGTTAGAATACTCACATGCATCTCCTTGCTCTGTTAGCAGAGAGTGCTTACAAGCAACAAAGCCCCAGCAACAATGAGAACACCTCCTGCCCAGCTATTGGCATCTAAAACCATTCTCCATTAAAGTAACCTGGGCTCCTGAAAGATATACCTGATTCTAAGACTTGTGCAGGAAATACATAAAATGAGTCTGTATCACGTTGCGGCGCAAGAAATTACTGAAGTGATTAAAAATCTTACGGCGACTGTCATATGTCAGAGTTACTCAGGAGCCTACTGAAAGAGCTGTCATGACCGAGGCTGGAGCTATGTGAGCAACAAAACACATAAAGCAGTGATGAATTATAATCTATCATATGAAAGGGGAATATCCACATGTATTACTTGGAATTCCTCTGTGAAGGAGTTCTACATTTTCCCTCATTTTTATTTATCTCATTATTTACTTACATAGACTCTATATATAAGTAAGCAATATGTGTGGATACTCCACTTTCAAGGTAGAGAATAATTTCTCACTCTTTAAGAGTGTGCTATGAGTAGTGACTGAATACCCTCCAAAGAGTTTAATATAGAAAGAGGAGAAAAGGGTCAACCTTCCCCTGTGGAAGCCTCACAAACACTCTTTCAATCAGATGAACGTGGTTAATACCAACAGTGATGAGTCATGTGGTAGTATGCACCCTTCCTATGATGAAAGAAAATGGCACTTTACCTCTGTGGTCTTCCCACCAAAAAGCCAGCAACCCCAGTCTAATCATAAGGTAAACAGAGAAAAATTCCTATTGAGGAATATTCTACAAGATATCTAATAAATAATCTTTAAACTTTTCAAGTTCATCAAAGAAAAGTCATCTGAGAATCTGTCACATCCAAGAATTAGGGAGAGGTCACTGCTAATTGTGATGCAGTATATCGAATGAGATACTGGAACCAAAAAATTAAGGTAAAATCTAAGGATTTTATCTGAATATCTGAATAAAGTATGAACTTTATTTAACAGTAATGGTTTGATTTTTTATTAATTGTATCAAATGTGCCATATTAATATAAAATGGTGCTCATAGAGAAAACTGGTGTTGAGCAACATTGATGTCTCTGGCCTTTCTCATATTGGTGATCCACTCCTATAGTCTCTGTTTCTAGGGCACATTCTCTACACAAAACTTATCTGTACTAACTTTCCAATTTTTCTGTAAGTCTGAAACTGTACTGAAATAAACACTTATTTAGGAACACAAACATGTAATCCTTACTATGTAGACTCAACAGTGAGTTAGATGTATGTGAAGCCAGAATTAGGAAATGGGATACTCTAGGGAATCATAATGTGTTTTATTGCCTAGAAACAAAATATGAGTGGCGTGATGGACATTGGAGGCACTCTCCAGTTTTACCTTTGAGGATAAATTAATCCAACTGCTGGGAATGTGCTCAGAAGATAGACTGCAGCTGTCATCCTTTCAGGGATTGCCTCATCAGAGAGTCAAGGTCTTCCTCAGATGACTCACCTGCAATGACTGAGAGGAGTTACGAAGCTCTGACCATCCTGACTCCACTCAGGAAAACTGCTCACTTAAGCTCCAAACTCCTCATTGTCATTGGCCAGTGCTGTTGTCAGGACCGAATCACAGGTTAGTTTCCCTCTCTGGCTACACCTGCTCTTTTCATCCCTTCTGCAGCGACAGATCCCAAAGACACTGTCATTCAAATGTCTTGCTTCTTAACCTCTGCCTTAGAGTGTGCTTTCTAGAAAAGCCAACCTGTGGCAAGGGTTATGATCCACAGAAAGAGGAAGTTATTTTGGTTTTGGAGATGTCTACTGGGAAGGTAAGAATAATAGCCTGGAGATAGAAAGGAAATTATGCCTGTAAAATTTGGTTCATCTTAGGTAGAAAATGAAGGGATGAGAATGAGTGAGATAAAAAGACAGTACAAACAGCTGAATAAAAGAACTTGGTTAAAATAGGAATCTTGGAAACATGAACATTTAAAATAGAGGAAGAGAAAGAGCTCTCCCAAAAGAACAAGGATGAGCATTAGAGGGCAGCTTCAAGAGATTCTGAAAAAGCAAAGGAAGAGAAAGACCAAAGCAGTGGCAAGCCACGTCTCATTCATTCATTCAATCATATTAATTACATTTAGCACTCAATACCTCCTGAACACTTCAATGAGATATAAAATCAAATAGTACATAGAAATTATTTTAATGTATTTACAATCTTATTGGTGTCTAGTTAAGATGACTCAACAGAGGGATACACTGGGGGCTACTAGGATAAGAAAAGCTAACATTTTACAATTAAACTGAGGGGTTCATGGGAAGATCTCTAAATTTTTTAAGAAGCAAATTTTGAAGTAGGAGATTTCAAGATACGATTGTGAAAAGGGTCAATGGCAAGATCTCTAGGTAGACACTATCCCCATACAAATATCATAATATTGAAGAGGGGAAGTGAAAAGGAGGAAGAGGAACTATGGCCTCAGAGTCAAGAAGGACTAAAGAGCTAATTTAGTGAAATTATGGACTGGGACAGTAAAATTTTTCCTGGAGTTCCAGTTGCTAGCCTGAAAATTGTTTTCTTCAGTCGTTATCAGTCATATCAATTACATAATTCAGATTAGTCAAAACCGCATAGGACTCATATTCTTGCCTCTGTAAAATTATTTTAGGAAATCACCTAACTAAGAGAGTGGAACTTGAAATAAAAAGCGTAACAGTTGAAGCCGATTTGACCACAGTGATTATTTGAATTTTTAAATTGACAACATTTTCAAGAAATGGCAATAGTCGCTACGGTAAAACTTTAACATTTTATTTTTCCAAAACTACAGGCTATATTTTATAAAAGAAAATGTAATTTGTTCATCCATTTAGAATATGTCCTAATATTTTTTATCAGTGTTAGGAGTTATGAGATATAAATTCTGATTAATGGCTATTCATTACCTTCTACCTAATAATAAAGGCAAAGTGCATTTATTTTCCAGGGCCATATTAATTTTAGTACTACTAAAATATTTTATTCTAAAACGTTAGGAATAAATTGACGAGTTCCCCATAACATTCTAAAAGTATATGTTGTGAGTGAAAGCATAAAGCCCTTGCCAAAAAGAAATTCCTAATGACAATTTTAACCTTTTCTTTGTTCACTGTGCATGATGAATATATTACGCCTTTTCATACTGGTAGTCATCATTCTATTATAAATGTGTCATTTATTCTAAACATATAAATTAATATCTTTTAAAAGTATTGCTAATAAAATTTACTTTCATGGTCATTTCTTAACGTATAATTCATTTTAGTGGAATATGAGATTTAGAAAATAACCTAAACTCTACATAACTGAAGATTCATTACCCTTTCCTAAAATCTCCCAAACGTGGTCATTCAAATTAAGCTTAACAATCACTAATTGCAATAATTCACTACATCCTTATCATAATAAATATTATGTTTTGGCACCTTTTGCAGCATAGGAATTCGGGTATTATATCAAATAAATTACATAATTTAGATCTCCTTTTGTGGCTTTCATATGCTAATCGTTTGGAATATGCATGGGGTTCTTGGACCACATTCACTTTGGTTGACTGTTTCTATATTTAAGATATTTACTGTTGCAAAATGAACATCGGAAGTTGATTTTCTTTTTACCCCTCTGCAATTAGCTTCTGATTTTGATGAGAATATTCAAAAAAATTTGATTTTTTTAAAGGAATTTCCAGGTGGTGATTTCTGATTCTTTGCCCAGAACATATGGATTACTCTAAATGTAAAATATCAGATTTTGTATTTAGTATTTTTCCATCTAATTATTGAAATTGTTCCACTATACCACTTGTAATAAGGACCCCATTTTAATAAAAACTGAACTGCGTTCCCTGGAATATTCCAGACACATCTTGGTCTGGGAGAGATGGGAATATGGATTGAAGCGTTCAGCCCCTACTAGTGACCAAAGCTTATGGGGAAAAGTTAATACCAATGGCAAAGGGTAGGATGTAGATGAACTCATGTATTTAAAGTCAAAGGGAAGCAGAACAAGACATTTCTGAACACTGTATTAAATGTTTGAGATTCCCTTGTGGCATAATCACGTGTATTTATGCCTACATCAGAGTGAGGTGTTTGAAATACAAACCAGGTGAAAATTAAAAGAACGTTGGACTCTAATTTTCACAGCCTTTGTTGCCACAAGAATTTGTTTTCAAAGACCTTATCTGCTTAGTTGACCTCTTGCCTAGAGCCTATGACAGGGCTAGTGAATGCTAAATAATTATGTGTTAAATACATTGATAACTAGTTGAATTAATTTGTTAATGAGTGATTACTTTTAGTATTTGGATAAGATGAAGACACCTTCCAGGATCATTCAGTCTTGTGATGTGGACCACAGGGGACCGCAGGAACAGTGGGGCACCAGCTCCCAGCAGCAGGGCACCAGCTCTCGCCAACATCGCAGTCAGTGCCATCATGGAACTCGCGAAGCCTCATTGCTCCTTTCAGTGCTGGTAGTAAGAAGCAGCAAACCACTAACGGAATCAGGAGGGGAAGCAAAGTGGCTGATGCAATGCAGCAGTGAAGAGGGAGTTCCAGAAATGTCTCAGAATTTTCAGAATTAGGGAATGTGGTGATAGAACTAGAGGTCTTGCGAGAGAAAGCCCAGTTTTATGTTATGATTACCCTGCTTTTAATACCAAAATGCAGTTTTAGCATTTAGAACGCATGCGGTAGTCACACTAGTTGTCTTTTGGATAGTATTTTTTAGTTACTCTAAACACTTGTAAGTTGAATACTGATACTCTCCCCCTAATGTCTCTAAATGTCTCGCTCTCATTCTGTCCATGGGTTATTTTTTGTCCACTTACTCAATGTTTTACAAGTGTATCTTCCGCTTCAAGTTTTCTTTAAGTTTGTCTTCAGCACTACAGATTTAACTTTCTGCTGCATAACTGATATTATAGACTGCTTTCATTTTGTTGAAATGGGAAAATAATAAATAGGTAAAACCTAATCTACACATATTTTTAGAATTGTTATTGTTGTACTAATATTTTTTCCTTTTGATTCAGATCATTCTATGTGAATGAAAACTAAATAATAATACAATTAAATAATTTGTGGTGAGTTTTCTCCCTGTTTTCTTAAAAATAGTGAACTGCACAGAGAGCGTTTTTGTGTATTAACTAACTTCATATAATAATTACTTTTATTGAGAATAATGCTTCAAAATTCCAGATTACTCTATTTTCTCCCAATCTCTTACTCTTCAGTTACCACATTTTATTATTTTGAGCTTTTCCTGACACTTTTTTTCTCACTTTCAAAATAAGCTTTATTGAGCAATCATTTGAGTGTAATGAACACAATTTGGTGGATGTGTTTTGATGAATGTAAATAATGATATAATTACCATTCCATTCAATATCTAGAAGCTGTCCATCACCACAAATAGCACCCTCATGCTCCTTTGCAGTCAACCTATCCCTCAGCCTTCTGCTGTAAGCAGCCACAGCTCTTCATTCTCTCACTCTGTATTCACTGCTTTCTGTTCTAGTCTCACATACATGAAGTTATACACTATGTACTCTTTTCTGCCCAGCTGTAGATTTTTCATAGATGCCCTTGATGAGGATGAAGCAAACTATAAGGATTGATTTTCAATGCTAAATCTCCCTTGAATTCCTGCTATGGAACCAATTAGTTGTAATGTTTTATCATTTTATATTTTGTAGTATTATATTTCCTAAATCTTAAGAGATGTTTTGAAAATATGTTCATGAGGGATATTGCTCTATAGTTTTCTTATTTTGCAGTTTCTTCTTCTGACTTTAGGATGAGCATAATGCTTGCCTCATATATTGAGCTAGAAACTATTTATATGCTCTTGAATCATGTATGCAGAATTGCTATTATTTTTCTCTTCTCCTATTTCTTTATAGAAGGACATTTGTGTGTCCTTCCAAATCTGCCACACAGAAGTCAGGCAGATATCACTAATATCTGCCTGTCTTCTGTGTCTCCCATATCCAAACTATTACCCTGCTATTTGTATATTACCTCTCATCTATACATGAAGTGGTCCTCTTTGCTCCATAAACCCCATCCAAAGCACAAATTGTTCCTAGCAGGACTAACGCAAAGCATCCCGTTGTGCTCCTCAGACACACTCTGAAAACACAAGAATCACTAAAAATATAATAACATCTCTTTTCTGATTATATTACACTGGTTTAAAGAAGACAACCCTTACCATGGTCTACAAGGGCCTGCATATTCTCACTCCTACCAGACCTCTGTCTTGTCTACCTCCACTGTCTCTCCACCGTCTGTACTCCTTCACTCCAGCCATTTCTCAATTCCTTAAAAGTGCCATGCTTCCTCTCACATCAGGGAAATGGGATCATGCTGTTTCCTCTATGTGAAACATGTCACCTCATTTTAACTAAATAAATTCTATCCACATTTCAAGATCTCCATAGTGTGACTCTTTTCTCAGCATGTCTTTACCTTCCTGCAGCATTGTGCATACGCTTGTGACATACTTAGCTGCCACTCTATACTCTTTATTCATAGCAGGAATGCAGTTCATTTATTTGGTATTCCTTCATCTGACTATTTGAATAATGTTTATTTTTCAATTTGACAATAAACCTCTTGAGAGAGGGATCATATATATTTGATAACTCTTTTTTTCCTCTTGTAAGTGCCACAGGGCCTACCTAGCATATAGTTGTCTTTTCTTAATATTTCACAAATGAAAAGTAAAACCTGGTGTTATATTGATGTAATCACCACAAAGAGAGAGAATCATGGCTTAGACTGCTACAATACCCATGCAAAAGATGAAACAACTAAAATAAAAGAGGTCAAAAATATTGAAGCAATGAGACTCGGTGAGTCATTCACTCTTGGTTTTGAAAGTGAGAGGAGAGAAACTACAAGGCTTTTTGTTTGAATGACTCGGTCACGGATGCTGTCATTTTCTACTGCTTTATTTCTAGTACCATAGTTTAGCTTTACCTGTTCTTGAGCTTCAAGAAAATGATAAAATTAAACAAAAACAACACCTATTTTCTTTTGCGCCAGGGTTTCTTTATTCAAAACAATAATTTTGAGATACATTTTTATTTTTTACTTTTAAATTCTTTAAGTTTAATTTGCTGCTTCTTCACTTACTAGGGTGAAAACAATTATAATTTAATTTAAAACTTAATTATTGATTTTAAACCTTCCTTCTTTCATAATACTAGCACTTAAATATGTATATTTCTCCTTCATGGTGCTTTAAAATGTGACTAATATTTTTCAATTTTCACTGAAAATTATACTATGATCCATGAGTTATATTTAAAATACATTATAATTTTCAGATATTTAGATACTTTACAAGTATTCTTATTGATTTCTATTTTAATTTCGTTTGTACAGGGTACACACCATATTATTTTGACCCTTTGAGAGTTACTGAGATTTGCTTTGTGACTCAGACTATTGTTATTTTAGTGAATGTTTCATGAGAAATTGATAAATATGTGTATTCTATAGTTATAAGGGTACTTTGTTCTATAAATGTCAGTTTCTTTTGATTCACTAATTATGTTATTCAGATGTTTCATATCCTTATGAAATTTTGTTTATTTGCCCTATCAAATATTGAGAGAGGAGCATTAAAAGTTTTGACTGTGTTTAAAGATTTATATATTTCTTCATTTATTCTATCATATTTTGCTTCATTTTGAAACTATTTATATAAGTTACATAGCTTTAGGGTACAAGTACTTATTGGTTACCTAAATGAATTGTATAGTGGTGATGTTTGGGCATTTAGTGGCTCCTATTACCCAAATAGTGTACACGGTACTCACTAGGTAATTTTTCACTCCTCACCCCCCTCGTGCCTTCCCCCCAGTCTGAGTCTCCAATGTCTGTATACCACGTTGTATACCTTTGTGGATCCGTAGCTTACCTCCCACTTTTATGTGAGAACATGTGGTATTTGCTTTTCCATTCCTGAGTTACTTGGCTTTGAATATGGCCTCTAGTTCCATCCAAGTTGCTGCAAAAGACATATTCTTGTTCATTTTTATGGCTGAGTAATATTTCATGCGTATATGTACAACACTTTCTTTATCCACTCATTGGCTGATGGGCACTTAGGTTAATTCTATATCTTTTGATGTGCATTCCCTCTGCTCATATTTAGATCTTTTTTAATATGAGGTTTTTCAAATATTTTCTGACAATCTGTCTTGTGTTTAGAGTGTTTAGTTCACTTACATTTAATGTAATCATACATTACTGTGTGATTATCTTAATACAACTATGTATAATTAAATTTAAGTATACCACTTTACTATTTATTTTCTATGTATCCCATTTATTTTCTTTCAGTTTCAACTTTCTTACAGTGGTAACTAAATAATGTTCCTCCACCCTGATATGTCTACTTTAATAATGCTCAGAACCTGTGAATGGCAAAGATAATTTTGGAGATGTGAAGGTGGCAAAGGTAATTTTGGAGATGTGAATAAGTTAAAGATACTGTTATGAAGATATTATTCTGGTTTAACCATGTGGACCTATTGTGATCACAATTTTCAGTATGAGATGGATATGGGAAGAGTGAGAGTCAGATGGCAAAACTTGAGATGACAGAAGCAGATATTGGAGTGATGCACCCATAAGCCAAGGAATGCTGCAGCCTCTAGAAGTTGGAAGTCAAGTAACAGATTTCTGGAATCTCCAGAAAAAAACACCCAAATACTTCAATTTTAAAAGCTTTTTGAGACTTATTTTAGACTTCTGACCTCCAGAACTGTAAGATAAGTCTCTTGTGTTCTTGAAGCCACTGAGTTTGTGGTAATTTGTTATTGCAGTGCTAGGAAACGAATGGACTTGTCTTTATTTTAGTATTTTAATTCAATTAATTCCTATATTTTAGTTATAATTTTTAAAAATCATTTTTAGTGTTGCTCTAAAAATTACAGTAGTTTTATTTAAAATATCATAGTCTACTTGGAGTTCATATTGTACCACCTCATATAAAATATGAGAAATTTACTACAGTGTAATTCTTCTTATCTCTTGCCTTATTGCTGAAATATATTTTATATATACATACGTTATGGATCCCACAATGTTACAATTATTTCTTTAACCTGTCCATTGTGTCTCTTTAAATTTTTAAGAGAATTTTAAAGAAACTGTTATAATTACTAATATATTTGTAATTTCATGTTTTCTTCATTTCTTCAGATCCAAGTCTTATCATGTGTCATTCTAATTATACTTGAATTCACTTATCAGATGAATTTTCTTGAATTATATTCATACAATTGTTTCCTTTAATGTAATGTATACTTTTCTTCTCTGTTGACTTTTCAATTTTTCTGCATGATTGTTTTACAGAAGTTTGACTGTGGTGTAACTCGTGGACTCTCCTTTTTCCTACTTAGGGTTCACTGAGTTTCTTGTGTTTTTAGGTTGGTATATTTCACCAAGAAATACTTAGCCATTACTACTCCAAGTATTTTCTTTCCTGTTTTATTTTCTCACTCTCTGTACTCTGAGACTAAAATTACAGGCATGGAAACCTTTGTGAATACCTGCATAAATTTAGAATGCAGACGATTCTAAGGAAAGGGTTATATGGGTAGAGTAGATTTGATTATCTGAATTAGTATTAAAATATGTTCTTACTATAAATAAATATATTTGTTTTACAGTAGTCATATTTAACAAAGATAAGTGCTGTTTAATAATTAAGAATGTCTTTGAGTATTTACTTTTTTGGCTCACCTTTGTGGTTGTGGCATTTGTTATTTGAAATTATTTTTGCCTGTTTCTTGACCTTGTTGTCTCTAGTAAGATATTGGATTAAAAGTGTGAAGAACACTTGTTCTAATACAATAACCATGTTAGGTAATATACATAAACGATATTTTCCAGTTAGCGATGACATAAGGATCACAAACTATTGCAATGGGCATGAAGCATTGAGCCCTTGGGAGCATTTTTTAAATGCCGAATTTTACTTAATGCCCTTTCTATTTTAAAACAACTGTTAAATTGTTCATGTTTATTTTGGGAACAAATATGTTTTATGTTTATTTTGAGTATAGTTTTATCCTTAACTCCTTTCCACAGGTGTTAATTCAAAGAACCTCCTCTAATAAGGACAAAATTCAAGTTGTATATTGTTGATCTTTGATATTGTCCTCATGGTGCTCAACATGTTCAAATCAAACCCATCACCATCCAACCAGGCAAATAGTTCCATTTATTTATTCATTTTTACAAACCTATTGAACAACTAGAATCTGCAAGGTTGTGTGATATAGAAAAATGGTTAAGAAGACATTCATTTTATTGCTTTCACAGTCTATAATGAAAAAGCTCAAAAGCGTTAGAACTTCATAAATAAATCAAGAGCTACCTATAAAATGTAAATTGCATTATTCTAATTCCAGTTTCACCATCATTCTGTGGTTTCTCATTGTTCACCCAATGAGATAAAAATCAAATTTCTTAGTGTGACATACATAGCGTGTTCCATATCTCTCCAATCTCATCTACTGTCTCTTATTATTGTGGTCACGGAAAATACTGGAAATTTCCAAATATATTAAATTCTCATTTTAGTCTTGGGCCTTTCCACTAGCAGACAGGAATTTTTCCCCTTTATTTTTCACTTGACCAACTAATCACAGTGTGGCAGATTGTGAGATGAGCCCACGACATATTCTTGCAGGAATGAACGACTCCCTTCCCCAGGTATGTGATACTTCCAGCAGAAAGCCTGTAGCTGTCACCCCTACAGAGATTGCCTCACTTCAGGAGTTGTGCCTTACCCAGAGTCATGCCTTCTTACGGAATGACACTCATGGCCTGACTAAACCATGTGGGAGAATAAAGTTCTGCCTCCTTTGATTCAACTCAGGGTTTCTCTTTACGACTCTGTATGCAGTTTGTTAAGGATTCCTTATGGCAGCATCACAGATCAGTTTTATCCTTAATTCCCTTCTGCAGGTGTTAATTCTAGGAACATCCTCTAATAAGCTTCCTAATGCTAATTTTCATCTTAGAATCAGCTTCTCAGAGCACACAAATTGCAACACATTGCATTACCAAAGTGCAATGTAATTTGTTCTTTACTTATTTGTCTTAACTCTGTACTCTTGAATCTATGTGGTTTTGATCCTCAAAGTGTTTGATTTATCTAGTATTTTTCAATTATTGTTACTTTAACCTTTTCCATTTCCATCACAGAAAGACTTGTAATCTATGAGACAAGATGGGACTGGAGATATGTAATAAAGATTAAAAAAAAACTAGACTATAAAACTCATTACTTTGTGTTTGATATTGTGTGACATTGTGCAAATGTACTTCAGAAAAGAATCTCAGCCAGGTGCAGTGGCTCACCCCTGTAATCCCAGCACTTTGGAAGATAGAAGCAGACAAATCATTTGAGCCCAGGAGTTTGAGACCATCCTCGGCAACATGGGGAAACCCTATCTCTACAAAAAAATACAAATATTAGCTGGATGTGGTGGCATGCACCTGTAGTCCAGCTATTCGGGAGGCTGAGGTAGGAGGATCACTTGAGCCCAGGAGGCTGAGGCTGCAGTGAGCCATGATCGTCCCACTGCACTCCAGCCTGAGCAATAGAGTGAGACCTTGTATCAAAAACAAAACAAAACAAAACAAAAAAAAGGAAAGGAGAATCTCTACTCTACTCCCAGCGATGTACAATTTAATTTGAATTGGTTGTTTAGGTGGAGTATACAGAGAGGCAGATTTTATAGTTTTCCTGATATGCTACAATTGGGGACTGGAATCGGCGGCACTAAAGGAATAAGCAAAGCGGGGGATATTATGTAGTTTAAAAGCAAAATACTTTGAAAATAGACTAAAAGTGAAGCAATGATTATCCCAGCCTCTTTATAGGTGGTGTGAAGAAACAACACAATTAACTACTTAATTTGCAGCCAGGTTATTCTCCTGTTAATTTAAAACAAAATGCATTTTATTTTAGATGCAAATGTAAAATAGTAATTGGGTACGAATCAAAAATTAGTTCATAGTCTGCAGGATTTAGCTCATCTGAGGGTCTCCCAGCTATTTCTGAGAGTTTCTCAGATTTTTTAGTCATTTGTGAACTTCATAGAAGCCTTTGCAATTTCTTTCTTCTTACTGCCTGCCTCTTCTAATGTTCAGGCTGCTCACAACATTCTCATTCTCCTGGCCAGGGGCATGTGCTATTAAACAGCCGAAGCATGCGGTGGCATAGAGAAGGGGCCATTCTTCTCCCTGCATCAGTTTTCCTTGTAGTTCTCTAGTAGAACTGAAAATATGGCCAACCCCTCCACACTCACCTTTCTTGAGCTTGAAATTAGTCACTGCTAGTGCCTCTGAATGCTGGTTTGCTTGCCCTATTTTATGCTACAGAGGTTGGTTGAATCCTGATCAGCCCCCTAGTGTTACCAATGGAGGGTGTCCAGGGTCTTAGCTCTTAAACAAAGAATTGGACAAAATACACAAACAAAGCATGGAAAGAATGAAACAATAAAAGCAGACGTTTACTGAAAGTGAAAGTACACTCCACGGGGTGGGAGCAGGTCTGAGCACAGGGGCTCATTTAGTTTTAAATACCCTCCAGAGGTTTCCCATTGGTTACTCAGTGTACACCCTATGTAAATGATATGGTGGCTGGCAATCAGTCTTTTGGTTGTGGAAAGCAACCAGTCAGAGGCTGAAGTGAAGTTGCAAAGGTTACACCCTACGCAAGCATCTGATTGGTTGTGAAAAGCAACCAGTCAGAGATACTTTGAATTTTCCGAAGTAGCCTCAAGTCCTTTTGTTACTTAGGTGTGGAAAGTCGGAGTTTTCCTTTTGATTTAGTTCTAGGAAGTCAGCGTGAATCAGCCTTAGGTTCCCTGCCTCCAGACCCTATTCTCCTGCCTCACAGGCAGCCATGGGCAACCCAACTCCACCAACTGAGCCCTCCTCTCAGCCACTGCAGATTGGACATGCTTCCCGCCTAGATTGAAGGGACTGTCTCATTCTCTTACAATGGAGTGATGTTCTCTGGTTCTCTGAAAATTAATGTGTGAAAGGTGAAGAAATCTTGGCACCCCCCAAATCACTGAGCCAAAGGGAAGTAAGGCTGGGAACTCCCTCAAGCAAATCTGCCTTCCGTTTTATTCCTAAATAAGATATCTACAAAGATTAAAAAAAAACTACATACCTCCCTCACAATTTGCCACAAGAAAATTTCTTGTGGACAAAAGACAGACAGAACTGGAAGTCATCCCTCTGCTTGTATGAGACAAATACACATCTGATTGCTTCCTCTGCCCTACTGTTTCACTAATCCAAACTAAGGCATGTGATTATGCCTCTACCCTCCTCTCATATGTAAAGCATGTATTCAGTGAAAGGCTGATCAAAGAGAAAAGAATGCAACATTTCATCTCTAATCTACCTCAACCTGAAAGTCCCTACTTGGAGTTGTGGGGGCTTTCCTTTCCAGACCAAACTAATGTACAACTTACACATATTGATTGATGTATCATGTCTCCCTAAAATGTATAAAACCAAGCATTGACCCGACTACGTTGGACACATGTCATTAGGAACTCCTGAGACTATGTCAGAGGGATGTCTTTAACCTTGACAAAATAAACTTTCTAAATCGATGGAAATCTGTCTCACATACTTTTGGGTGCACAAATATATCCCCTATCCAGTAAAATAAATTTCAACCCAAGACCTAACTAAGCAATCACAAACTGGTCAGATGTAGGATCTGGCCTCTTTCCGGTATAATACGACTTTGATATAATTTGGTGTATGAGGAAGGAGCAGTGAATGTGATTATCTTCATCATCTCTCTTCATGAAGCACACATACACACACACAGTTAAGGTGCTGAGGAAGCTGGGAGAGCCAATTTGACCTGGCCTTTATTTTGCACAAGAGTAACTGAAGCTTCAAATACAATGTGTGTTACATAGGAACCAATTATGTATGTAGGATTAATAAAGATAGGAGACCTAAGGCCATTTACATGAGGGCAAGAATAGTAACCTTTTGATCCAGAGAGGTAGTTTAAAAAATAGTAAGTTGTTAACATATACAAATAATAAAGTTGGGGCTTTAAACATTTGAATTTGAAGGCTCTGAGTCATGGGATTAGCTTTGTACCCCAGGTCACAGGTAAAGTCTACCCTTGTGCATAAGTTATTGAGGAAGCTCCTTGTCAGTAGTTCCTATAAAAACCGTCATAAAACCAATGAGAAAGCAATCTGCTTTTCCTGATAGAACTGAGTGCTGGCCTTTCTAAATGATGTCAGTGATTATTCTTTTCCCCAAAAATTCTGTGTTGAGCTAAGTTTTGAACAATTACTATGATTTTTGTTGAGTTTTATTAATATTCATTAAAGCTTTAAAATACCACATTTTTATTACTTATCCTTTAATAAACATTGTGTGGAAATTAACATGGGGACCTCCCAGTTATACTGTTAGCTTCCTATAAATGCAGACTGAGCAGCAAACTTTGTTCAAGGTAGTAAGAGGAAACTGAAATATCCAGCTTTGCCTTCAGCCCCTGTGGGTACGTGTGTGTGTGTGTGTGTGTGTGTGTATTTGTGTGTGTGTGTATGTACATATATATGGTACAATTAATAATGATAGCAGACTAGTTACAAATACAATCCAAAATAACTCAAATTACACCAAATGCATCATAGTATACAAAATGACTTGGCATTTTAATTTGCGTTTAAAATGTCCCGACTATGGAGGTATATGACACCTGCAATAATCTTCCCAGTAAAAAAGTAATGGGCAATATCTCCATTTCTGGAATTTGTCGTGAAATTGTACTGTGTGAGCTCTTTACAAATGTATCCTTATGTTTAATACTTTTTCTAATATTTGCATATCTGTTGTTTTATGGAAAGAAAATATTAAAAATAAAAATGAATGAATGTAAAAGTGTTAATCAGCTAAGAAATAAACAATATTGCTAATTCTGACTATACTGTGTATAGAACAAGAAAATGCAAAAAAAAAAAAAAAGAAATCCTCAATTTTGCTAAGCCAGTAACACATTTCCACAAGTTAAAATTTAACAGAAGTGGTAAATGTATTTTTCACTATTGTGACAAACCAAAAAAGTAGGTACTCTTGGTTACTTTGTTTAAAATGCACTAATACAATTTAAATTATCAATTTAGATTATTCACTTTTGTATTATGTTTTATTGTGTTTTTATATTATTTATTTTAAATGATTTTATTATATATATAAATTTCTATGAAATGAAAGATTCACCATTTGCAGTTTTTCTGTCCATTTGTATTATGTATTTCAAGATTACTTAAAATAATTTTGTTAAATGAAGTAGAAAGGTGTAAATATTACCTACCTCAGATCACAAATATGTAGATATGCTACTTGATTAAACAGAATATTTTTCATTTTTTATTTTATTTATTTATTTATTTTTGAGATGTAGTCTTGCTCTGTCACCCAGGCTGGAGTGCAGTGGCGACCAGATTCTGCAACCTCCACCTTCCAGATTCAAGCGATTCTTCTGCCTCAGCCTCCCGAGTAGCTGGGATTACAGGCGTGTGCCACCACACCTGGCTAATTTTTTGTATATTTAGTAGAGACGGGGTTTCACCAGGTTAGCCAGAATGGTCTCGATCTCCTGACCTCATGATCCGCCCGCCTTGGCCTCCCAAAGTGCTGGGATTAGAGGCATGAGAATGAGCTGATGAGTAGAGGATATAGTAGAAAATCAGTTTTAATACATTGTTATTAGAAATGCAAAATAGCACATTTCTCATTAAAGAAACATTGTGCAAATATCTGGCATAACACGTATGTATTTGTCCTGACAATCCTTTTCCTAAAATTCTATTCTAAACATGAACTTGAAGAAATACAACTTTGGTACATGTACAATATGATTAATTGTGGCATTGTCTATGATAGTTAAAGATTGGGGAAAAAAGAATATTTATGTTACATATATTTAGTCATAAAAACAAACAAGGAAGCTGCCTGTATCTGATACAGACTGATTTCCAAGTTACATAGTTAAGTGAAAGTGTGCATAGCATGCTTAATCTTGTGTAAGAAGGAGGAAAATAAACTATATATATATATGCATACAATGTAAGTATTTTATAAAGAGTTGTTGTTACACTGTGTTTTATTTGTGTTATATTTATTGTTGTATTGTTATTTTTTTTCAAATGTTTAGGTCTGTATTTGCTTGAATTCACAGATGTGGAACCCATGGATTTCCATGATTGACTGGATATTTCTCTCAGATACCATTACACAGCAGCAACACTGGTTCCTCGTGATAATCAAGGTTTATTGCCCCTCCTATCACACTGTTGTGGCTTTTTCTCTCCCATAGCTCTGCAAGCAGGAGGAGTGTTAGAGCTCTTTGACTCCCACCACCAGCAGCTCAGCAAGCAGGAGCTTTACAGCTCTTTTGCTTCTGCAGTTCAGTGAGTTCCGGGTTCTTGGCCCACGTCCAAGAGGAATAGGGTATGCGGACACTGGAGAGTGAGTAAGGCAGAGTAGAATTTTCCTGAGTGACAGAAAGAAAACTCTCAGTATTGAGAGAGGACCCAAAAGTGGGTTGCTCTCTGTGAGGCTGAGTCCGGGGTTTTAATGGGCTTAGAATGGGGGAATGTGTGCTGATTGGTCAATAGGTAGGCTTGGAAAAGGCACCATTCAATTGGTTAAAAAGCATCATTCAGAAGGAACCAATAGAGAGAGAGTGGATAAGACGGGGATGGAAGTTCTCACTCCAGTCATGGACTGTGCCTAGAACTGTCCTCTCAGTTTTTAGGCTTCAGACTATCCTTGGCTTGAAGATAGAGCCCCACTAGGAACACATCCCTGTCTGCCCAGGAATCCATCTGTTTCTCATTGCCATCAATACTAAGCCTTTATTTAATTAAATTAATTTTTTTTCTGTGCCTGCTGGTCTACCATCATACACCAAATTAATCACATAGTGGAAAATTTTCTAATTACCTTTATGCACATTTCCTCCTCTGGAGACTAATCCAGCAGAGATTAGGGTTGTGGAGAAGGAAAGCAAAAAATATGTCTTCAAGTCAGTCACTGGGATGATGCAGAGTTGAGAGGGGTCACTCAGACTTCCACTTCTTCATTTCTGGCGCCATGTATTTTTACCATGGAGACCCACAGCAGGATATGGGGGTTGGCTGAATGCATGCGCCACATCCTGGAAGCACTGTTTCAACCTGTAAGGTGTCCTGTCACCTTGGCAGAGCTTTCCATAGGCCTTTCCAACGCTCTGCGAGGTCAGCTGCTTCCTGTGAATGCAGTATAATAGGGCCAGTGGGTGTCATGATTATGTATGAAACACTCCACTTCCTTCAGCATAAAACCCATCTCGTGGACACAGGCAATATTATGTGGGATACCCCATCAGTATATTAGGTATCTTGTAGGCCTTCAGATAGTGGTAAAACCAGAGAAAACTCAAACAGAACAACAACCACATATGTGGGCTAGTTGTGAATTTCATTGTGTGCAAATCCAGAGTTGAAGGGCTCCAATCTGCCACTTAGTGAATATCTAGTGTCCTCAAGAGACAGTAGTAGTCAGGAACAGGCGGCCAAGGCCAGCCTTGGTAAGAGTGAACTTTTGCTATAGGATCCAAGTGTTATCTCTGTCACCCACATAGCTACTCTCTTTATGGCCACATATCCAAGTGCTGGCAGACCAAGGATGGAGTCTGGCTGACATCCTCTGCACGGGATGATTACTTAATGGTTAAATTCCTGCTCTGTGGTGTTCTCCTGAAGGCCTTGCCTTGTGACCTCATAACTACACACTATGGACCTACTTTTTAGGTCTGTCCTCAGGCCTTTTGCCTTTATCTCAGACCTTTTGGTCTAGTTCATTCCAGGACCAACTCTTTGCCACAGCTCAGAAGTCCATGTGTATATTTATCAAAGGTATCATAATACCTTTGTTGCCCCATACAAAGTAGACAATCACTACATACCATTCACCATTTTACCCTCAGGGAATATTATTTTTCACCTTTAAACCTCCTCTTCTTTGAGTGGGGATTAGTACATCAGCCCATAATCAGATCCTTCAACTTATATTGAGCTGAACCATCTCTGAGCCAGATCTGGGTTTAGTTCTCAGTGTGCCTCCAAATACCTGATGCCAAAGGTGTGACCTTGGTGTGCCTCCGTGGTGCAACAGAGGTAGGTGACATTGGACTGTGGGTCACATATCCACATAACTTAATGGTGGCTAGAAATAATGCCTCTAAGAATTATTCATATAAAGAAAAGGAGAATGAAGCATTGTACTCAAGAGTGTTCCCTCCTCTAATTTTCAGGCTATGTTTTTATGTCAGCTAAGCATGTTTCCAAGAAGGTTGGAGATGATTATTAGGAAAGAATGACAGTGATGTGGGATGCTTTCACCCTGAGGCTGAGTTCTAGGAAACTGTTCCCCCTAGCTGCAGCTGAACTCAGCTGAGGAGATTTCACTCGGATTCAAAAGCATGTGACATAATTTACCATTTTTCACTCCTGGAATATCTGTTAAAATTACAGTGCCTTGATAGATTCATGTGAATGGGTGACATTTGGAGTGTGGAACATCAGAACATTAAGGATTTGGGGTCAATTTTAGGAAGAAAGACATGAGTGGAGATATACTAGGGAATTTAACCAGTATAGAAGAAGGTGGACACCTGAATGTCAAGAAGGAAGTGTGAATCCCACCAATCTGTAGGAGAAGCCCTGGAAAAGTCTGAAATTGAAAAGAATGAGAGTTACTGAAAAATGAAATTGTCCAACTTATCTGAAGGATGTTTATGAGAACTATATTAGTCCATTCTCATGCTGCTCTGAAGAAATACCCAAGACTGGGTAATTTATAAAGAAAAGAGTTTAACTGACGCACAGTTCCACAGTGCTGGGGAAGCCTCAGGAAACTTACAATCATGGCAGAAGAAGAAGCAAACATGTCCTTCTTCACATGGCGGCAGCAAGGAGAAGTGCTGAGTAAAAGAGGAGAAAGACCCTTATAAAACCATCAGATCTCACAAGAACTCACTATCGCAAGAACAGCATGAGGGTAACCACCCCCATGATAAAATTACCTCCCACCGGGTCCCTCTCACAAAATGTAAGGATTATGAGAACTACAATTCAAGATGAGATTTGGGTGGGGCCACAGCCAAACCATATCAATAATCCTGCCCCATATTTGTATGAAGCAGTCAAATTTGTCTAAGGATTGAAAGCAAAGAAATACTCTTTAAAATAATTCACTTATCTGTGTGGAAGAGTACAGGGTTCTCAGCTTACAAGTTGATGCCAAGATTCCACATAATGTTGGCTTTTTGTTATTGTTATGAGTGCTCAAGGGTCCCTTTCTATAATTTTATTATTTTAACATTTCTTATTATCTTTTAATATATCTGCTATATATCTTAACTACTTCTAAATTAAAAGATGATTTAATATAGTATTATCTTTACTGAGAGTTTTGGTTAACCTATGTTTGCCTTCTTATTTCATAGTTTCATACCTCTGTAGACTGCAACTTCAGAAAGGATAGTGGTATTAACATGATAGGAGAGGTTATATCTACATGAACTAAACTGTCCCAAGTCCAGTTATCTGACCCTGATTTGGATAAACTCTTTGTAACTTATTGATTGCTGTCACAGGCAGCACTCAAAGCAGCAAGTGTTTTCTGGGGAAATGAATGTCAGAATAGGATTCTGTCCAGAAAAAAATATTTGGCGGATGTCTTATCAGTCACCACAGAGCTTGAAAGTTGGATTCAGGCTACTGAAGTGTAAGAGGAGTTTTATTTCAAGCAAAATGGAAATTTGAACAAAAATTCCTGCCTGGGGCAGCACATTTGACTTTGACCTGTAAGTTAATGTATCATTCAATTTCCATGAATTAGTCCCAAGAGGTAATGGACCAAAAAGATGGTTGGGCACTTGAAATTTAATCAGTTAATATTTCACAGGAAGTTACTGGGATGCATCCTGTCCAGACAAATTCTGGTTTATTTGCATTCATAGGAAACACCTAAGGACTTTTAAACCTCAAAGATGAGGGTGGGAACAACAGAGAAGAACCTATTATTGGGCCACCTATCAAGCAAAAAGAAAATACAGCAATGTAAGTTAAAGGTTATTTTTCTAAATTAATTTTTGAAATGGACTCAACAAGCTAGAGTTTATCATACTAGTGCTGCCAAATTGAAGACAACAACTTACTTTATGTACCTGAATAACCTTTTAGAGACTTGAAGTAGCAAAAGCCGTAGATCCAATTACTCTATGCATTGTGTTATTATAGGATTACAAAATTAAGAAAACATAAGCATGTTGACAGAAACAGACTAGAATCACAGTATAAAAGTGCCATAGATTTCTTGAGGATGTTTGACTATAAAAGACTTTAAAAATACATACTTAAACTCAAGCATGAAAGTAACTCACATTTCCGATGCTTAACTATTTTTTCCTTATAGAATCTATCCTTGTCTTAAATTTTTCTAAATCTCCTTTTATCTTTCCAAGCTTATCTGTATGAAAATCTTTCATTAAATGTAAACACAGATAGATACATGTAGCATTTATAGAAAAAATTCACACTTCCACTGTCATTAACTTGCTCCCTTTTAAAAAGGAGCTTAGAAGCTCCTTTTTAATGAATATGTGTTTGACTTCTAGACAATACTTTCTATGTAATTTGTGGGGCCCAGGGCAAAATGAAAAGCCAGGACACCAGCTGAGGAAGAGGACATTACCATCCCTTCCCAGAGCCTACCTTCCCAACCCATGGGGGACAGGTGCCACCCAAGGCATTACAACCTCCCTGTAACCTCTCTACCTGATGTGCTCAGTACCTAAATTGTGGGTGGGTGAGAGGCCATTGCAGAGTTGTCCAGCAAAGGCACCATGATCTTGTAAGCCAAAAATGGGATGGTCACTGATTTGATCAGCACAGAGCTGCCCCAATCCTCCCCTGAGTTCAAGTCCTCAGCAAGGAGCAGAGGGTGACAGCAGAATGTACTCATCCACATCCACACCCCTAAGACTTCTTGATAACTGTTTCAGTTGGGGGGTAGTTGTGGTTATGGAGCAGTGGCAGACGGAGGGAGCTCAGTGGGCAAGGAGACAGTGAGAGCTGGGACTGCGTGTGGCTGAAACACCAAACCCCTCATACGTGCATTATTGTTCTATCAGACATATCTTACAAAACGCAAATTCAATGATAAAACCATTAAGAATTTCAGAACAGCAGCCACAGAACATTAAGCCCCTAGCACAAGGCTCTATGTGACTGTATTAGTGGCATCCTATGAAGCAGGTCCTGCTTCTAAATTTATATTCCTCCTTACCTTAGAAACATTAAGATACCCTCAGAAACAATCCCCAGAGTATGAAGATCATAATCGAATCATGGTATCTCTGAGATGTCTTACTGCAAGCTTAACCACATGCTTGTTTTTATCCCTACTAATGCCATCAGACAGCCTCAGAGTTGGGGGATATGAATATTGGTGTAGACCAACAACAGGTGCTGATATCATTTCTCCTGCATGCAGATTAAGATCCCACCATTACCCCTGGCAAAATTGAATTCAGGTTTTGAATAATATACGTGAGTCTCAAACCTTTTCAAGTGTCTTCAAAGTGTTCACAATGCAGCACATTTTTGTGGAATCCTAATCAATCTCGCTGCATGAATGAATTGCCTGTACATGATTCCTCCATGGTCAGCATGCAGCCTTGGATGTGCGGGATTCCCATCCTCCTAAGTTCTGACATTCTATGTCTAGACATTTCTGACTTTTAGAATGTCTTCAGGGTTCTCAAATGATTTTTTCTTCTTTATAACTTCTGCTTTCTAATCACGATGCTACACTGCAAAACCATAAGTTATTGAAGTATTTAAGAAGAGTAAAATGTCTCCTTTATATTAACATGTTCTATATTTACTATCTGAGAAAAAAACAGTTAATTTATTTTACTAACAATTATTGGGTATCTTCTCTTTATCAATTTGTAAAAATAAAAATTATATACAAGAGGTACTTATCTCGATTTCAGTGAAATTAATAATATTGTCAGTTAGACAATTCTTCAAACAAAACAAGTAGGATAAATGGAGCCTGGATGGGGTACCAGGAGCTAGAGAAACAGAGTGGGAAGAAGTGTCAAATCCATGCATATGTAAATGCTACTCAGGGAAAAATGTCTGATTGTGACCCAGAGTGACCTAGAAGAGGTCAGAGGAGGAGACAGATATAACTGTAAAAATCAATTCCAAGAGCAAATGAAAACATGACTTACCTAAAAACTAAACAGATATTCTGGTCTATCTGGGCAATTTAAGCAGAGGATAAAGTGATTGGAGAAAACCTATGAAATAAAATGAAGCTGGACCTTGTAGATCATTATAAAACATTTCAACAAGTATGAATTTGACTTGAAGGTTAAAGAAAATCATTAAAGTGTCTTAAAACTAACCTGCTCATGTTTTGATTCGAGAGAGATCACACTGGATGCATGGTGAACTGTGGCAGATGGAGAAATGGTTGGAAGCCATGGGACGAATGCCTAGAGTTTTGAAGGAATGTAGGTAAGATATAGTAGGACCTGTTCCTAAGGAAGAGCTGAGGGGAGCAAATAAAGTGAAGGGAGATAAGCATTTTTAAGATGCATAAATTTCAGGGCATGTTGGTGCTTGTGAAAAATAGAAGGGAAGAATTAAAGACAGTAAATATCCCTGATGCTAATTTGGGCTAATCTGTAGATTGTGATGCCTTTTGTTAAAATAAGGAATCTCAGAAGAGTAGAGTTTAAGGAGAAGGTGAGCTCAATTTTGAACAGGTTAAGGTGGATGTGAGTCATCCAAATATGAAAGTCTTCTAGGCAGCTGTGACACATAGGCCAGAAGCTCCAGGGAGACAGTGGCTGTAAATATGTATTGGTGTGGGGGGAATTACTTACCGATGGTAATTGAAGCTGAAGACATTGGAGACACCGATTAAGGAGAAAACCAGTAAGAAAAGAAAAGGGCATTTGCCAGAGAGTGGAGGAACTGCTAAAATTTAAGGGACAAGTTGAAGAGAGTGGTGAAAAGAAGTTAACACCAAAAATGTGTTGCAGCAAGAGCTGGGGCTTCAGTCCACTTAGAAAGGTGTTAAATCCAGTCTAAAGAGAGAAAGGATTAGTCTTGCATAAGAGATACGTCTATCAGTAACATAGGAGAAGGAGACATTTAAACATGCATTTGTAGGTGATAATGTAGTTTTGGAAGCGTGTGTGTGTGTGCGTGCACGTGTGTGTGTGTGTGAGACAGGGTCTCCAGGCTGGAAGCTGGAGTGCAGTGGCACAATCATGGCTCACTGCAACCTTGACTTCCCTCGGCTAAAGCAATTTTCTTGCCTCAAGCTCCAAGTAGCTGGGACCACAGATGAGCACCACCACCTCCAGCTAATTTTTGTATTTTTTGTGAAGATGGGGTTTCTCCATTTTGCCCAGGCTGGTCTTGAACTCCTGGGCTCAAGTGATCCACCCGCCTCAGGCTCCCAGAGTGCTAGAATTATAGGTGTGAACCACCACGCCTGGCCTAGTTTTAAAAGCTTTTGCCTAAACATTCTGCTTTCATTGCAGAGAAATGAAGGTGATTGCTAAGAATAAAGAGGAAATGTTTGAATATGAGGAATATAGAAGGTGTGTAGCACAGGGAGAAGACAGGAAGAAAACTGACTCCCAAAATAAAGGTTATTGAGTAATGGAGTAGCCCAGCTGAAATTGTCATCATAAATTTATAGTTGCATAAGTGTAGGCTTTTAAGTGAAATTCTCCCCCAAAAAATCAGTATCTTTGAGGAATACAGTCATATGAACCACAATGGAAGTTTTGTCAACTCTCTGCAGGAAAATGATCAAAGGTCTTAAGTTAAAGAAAAAGATGAATCAGGCCGGGCGCGGTGGCTCACGCCTGTAATCCCAGCACTTTGGGAGGCCGAGACGGGCGGATCACGAGGTCAGGAGATCGAGACCATCCTGGCTAACACGGTGAAACCCCGTCTCTACTAAAAATACAAAAATTAGCCGGGCATGGTGGCGCGCGCCTGTAGTCCCAGCTACACGGGAGGCTGAGGCAGGAGAATGGCGTGAACCCGGGAGGCGGAGCTTGCAGTGAGTCGAGATCGCGCCACTGCACTCCAGCCTGGGCGACAGAGCGAAACTCCGTCTCAAAAAAAAAAAAAAAAAGAAAAAGATGAATCAGAAGTTTGGAATCTCCGTAATTATTTGAATGGGGCAAAAAAATGAAACTATATATCTATATGTATATCTATCTATATCATGCTGTGCTAAGATTAGAGAATCAGACTTTTATTTTTATTTGAGAATCAGAACGGTTCTGGTGAGTAAGAGATGTTGGGGGTATCCATGGTAGTGAGCAATTAAGGTGGAGTGCTGGTAATTAGGATGCTAGGGTTTCAGGGGAAATTGATTATTGGGGAATAAACAATTGTTTCTATAGTCATTCACCAATGAGGTGATATAGCAGCATGATCTGATTTTTTAATTAACAATATTCCTCTGTTTGTGGTGCTGAGGATAGATTGAAAGAGGTGAACAGATAGACAAATCCTCCCCCTGAGGGCTCCGTCTTAACTGGAGTAAGAAATGTTCAACCACCAATAACAAGAGAGAAGCTGGAATATGTGGGAACCCATCTAAGAAAATATAAGAAACAGCAATTTCCCAGTGAAATAGAAAGTAAGGGTTTCAACTGAGTATGAATGGGTGAAGCAGTCTTGTAGGTTAGAGAAAAATAGAAAAGATATAAAGTTTTGAGAAAGGGGTAGAGAAAGGTAGAACAATTGCTGGAGAGAATGAATGACTCCACTCAACGCAGGGACTGGGAACTGAAAAGGGTAGCTTTCAGCATTTTTCTTTAGTCACAGTAGCTTCCGGGGCACAGGAAATAAGGTTGTCAAGGTAGGAATTTAACCAGCATTTTTATTGTCCTTTCAAGGGGTAAAGGTAGTCTTGATCACGAGCAAGGGAAAGGGTATAAGGAATGACCAGCTAATTTAAACTGGATAAACTAAGTGGAACATACAGAATAAATGGGGTTGTTGTTAGTAAATTGTGGCAAGATTAGTACATCGAGGACTATGTATTTGGAGCCAAACTTTTGATAGATTTTCAGTACGTGAGAAGGTGATATGAAAAGGCAGGATTCACTAGGAAGACCATGAAATTTTAGGAATAATATTCGGGGAGGGGGACTTGAGTAGGTAATGATAAAGTCTCAGAGTATAACTGTTGGAATGTGTGGCTGAAGCAGGGAGGAAGACAAGTTCGTTGGAGATGAGCTGAAGAACCTGGTAGGCTAGACCTCAAAATAATCCATCTGTACAGATAGATAGATGATCAGCTGAGCACTGTGACTGGCATAATTTTAAAGAAAATAAGAGTGAGCCAGAAGGGGAAAACTCTTCTCTATGTTCATTTGAAAGCTGTGGAACTTTGAGTAACGTATCCAGTTCTTAGAAATTACATATTTGAGGATTGACAATTTGATTTAGAATGGAGTATGTTGGTTACTACAGGCCCAAATCACATACTTTCCAACTCTAAGATGCATTCTCATTTACTGAGAACTCTGAGATTGAGACAGTGCACTCTCTAAATGTGAGATGCTAATCAGATGTGACTACCTATTGATTGTGTGTTACTGCTGTGCACTGAAAGTGCACGATTATAAAGAGACTGGCTGCTCATGTTGCTTGGAATTTCTTTCTGCACCAAAGACTATAAATTAATTGTGTCTGATTAGTTGAGAAATCCATTAAATGAATTATTGCCAATGCAAACTAAGTTTCTAGAGGTCAGCTTCAAATTAGCATCAAATACTACATGCATTTTATTTCATCAGTAAAACATAAACACCTGGAATGAAAGAACTCTTGACCCAAACACTCAATAAGGATGTAAAAGTTTGACCCAAGTTCTACTTAATAGGAGATGTGTTTCAAGATTTCTAATTTAAAGCTAAAAGTAACCAACACATCAACTTAAATATGATAATTCAGAGATATCACAGATTACAAAAATATTGGAAATATAGAATTCAGAAAACTAGTTTCCTATCTGAAAATATTATGAAAATGTATGTCAAAGGAAAGAAGCAATAAGTGTTTGAGGTGATGGATATGCCAATTGCCCTGAATTGATCAATATTGATTGCATACATCTATTGAAATATAATACTGTGCCTTATCATTATGTATAATTATTATGTCAATTAAAAATAATAATACAAAAAGACTGATTTTTATTCTATAAAAGTTGGTTGTGTCAAAGACTTAGAAATATAATTGAAAAAAGATATGAAAAATAGAAAACAATAATGTCCAAAAATTAACATGATTATAAATAAAGAGATTTAAATTTATTCTATTTGTATTTATTTCCTTTTAATATTATTATTCTTTCAATAGTTTTGGGGGAACAGGTGGTGTTTGGTTATATGCATAAGTTCTTTAGGTGTGATTTCTGAGATTTTGGTGCACCCATCACCCAAGCAGTGTACACTGTACCCAATTTGTTGTCTTTTATCCCTCAACCCTGAAGTCCCCATAATCCATTATATCATTCTTATGTCTTTGCATCCTCATAGCTTAGCTCCCACTTACAAGTGAGAATATACAATGTTTGGTTTTCCATTCCTGAGTTACTTCATTTAGAATAATGGTGTCCAACTCCATCCAGGTTGCTGTGAATGCCATTATTTCATTTCTTTTTATGACTGAGTAACATTCCATGGTATATCAAGCCACATGTAGAAGAATGAAACTAGATTTTCATATCTCGCCTTATACAAAAATCAACTCAAGATGTATCAAAGGCTTAAATCTAAGACCGGAAACCATAAAAATTCCATATGATAACATCAGAAAAATTCCTGCAAAGAGTTCATGACCACGAACCCAAAAGCAATGCAACAAAAATAAATAGATAGGACCTAATTAAACTAAAAAACTCTGCACAACAAAAGAAATAATCAGCAAACAGTCAAACCACAGAATAAGAGGAAATATTCATAAACTATGCATCTGACAAAGGACGAATATCCAGAATCTACAAGGAACTTAAACAAATCAGCAAGATAAAAGCAAATAATTCCATCAAGGGTGCGTTGGCTCACGCCTGTAATCCCGGCACTTTGGGAGGCCGAGGCGGGCAGATCACGAGGTCAGGAGATCGAAACCATCCTGGCTAACATGGTGAAACCTCGTCTCTACTAAAAATACAAAAAAATTAGCCAGGCATGGTAGCGGGCGCCTGTAGTCCCAGCTACTTGGGAGGCTGAGGCAGGAGAATGGCGTGAACCTGGGAGGCGGAGCTTGCAGTGAGCCGAGATCGTGCCACTGCACTCCAGCCTGGGCGAGAGCGAGACTCCGTCTCAAAACAACAACAACAAAAAAAAGTGGGTAAAGGAAATGAGTGAACAATTCTCCAGAGAAAATATACAAATGGCCAATAAACATATGCAAAAGTTATCACTAATTATCAGGGAAATGCAAATTAAAACCACAATGAGATACTACCTTACTCCTGCATGAATTCCCATAATTAAAAAGTCAAAAAATAATAGATGTTGGCATGCATGTGGTAAAAAGGGAACACTTTCACACTGCTGGTGGGAATGTAAGCTAGTACAACCACTATGAAAAAACAGTATGGAGATTCCTTAAAGAACTAAAAGTGGAACTACCGTTTGATCCAGCAATGCCATTACTGGGCATCTACCCAGAGAAAAATACGTTATTATATGAAAAAGATACTTGCAGACGCATGTTTATAGCAGCACAATTTGCAATTGTAAAAGTACAGAACCAGCCTAGATCTAAGTTTAATATTAATAATATTATTATCAAATTGGCAAAAAGTTTTAGAGACAGGATCTTATGCAGCTTTCATCTGGTGCATGGGTATTGTTATCTCACTCACTAGGCAACAAAGCAAATTAAGTTTCATTTAGAAAACAATAATATAATATTTACTATAAGTAAATACTGGAACACTAAAAAATAAGTAAAGTTGAGGAAATTGAAAACACATGTCAAGGGAAATAAACACAGATAAATACATAGAGATAAATGTCTATATTTCATATACTTTCATAATTTTTGTTTCATATCTAAATCTAATATATACTCAATATAGAAAAGTTGTAAAATTAAAAATGGTCTTGAAAAATGTGTGTATGATCACTCAAAGGTCACTACAATTTTTATCTAAATGCATTTTACTGACACTTGTGGCCATTCTCATTGTTATGGCTGAGATAAAAGTGCACGTGTACTCACCTATCCTGCTGTATCCATTTAATATACAATTACAAAGAGAAAGTATATATATGTATTCAATATATGCACACACATGTGCACATACATACATGTAAATGTGCATGAAAAACAGATTTCTAGGCAGACATTTAAAAAGAATTATGTGTCTGGCATAGTGGTACATGCCTGTAGCCCCAGGTGCTCAGGAGGCTGAGGCAGGAGAATTGCTTGAGCCCAGAAGTTTAAAGCTATAGCACACTATGATCTCCAAGTGAATAGCTACTGTATTCCAGCCTGAGCAACACAGTGAGAACCCATCTCTAAAATAGAAATAAATAAAATAAATTACTTTTAAAACAGTTATAAAGAATACATTGGATTTTGACAATGATACATTGCAGAGAAAAAATTCATGAGTATGTATACATTATTTTAATAATAAAAATACAAATTACAATGTTCAACTAGGTTCACCATGACAAGTATGCTGTCCTTGAAGAAAATAGGAAATGAAACCTGATTGACTAAATTTGAAAATAAATGGAATACAAAAGTAAGGCAAAAGACACTACATAGGCATTGTATTTCCAATGATAAAGTTATTTCCAGGTCTATGGTTAGCAATTTTATTATTCCAATAAGTATATCCTGGAATTTCACAATGAAGTTAATAGATGGCAAATAATGGTGTGAGGTTTCTCATTGTTGGAGAAGGATTTCATAGATAAGAAGCGAATGGAGATTAGAATGATCCTAGTGATAATCAATTAATTAGAATTGAAGACATCAGTATGAATTTATACTTAGTCAAATATAGATACAGGTATTTACATACAAACATATTTATAGGTACATGTAAATGTGCAGGTTAGTGTACACTCAAACATTTTTTTTGCTCTGTCACCTGAGAGGGCTTAGAAGTTATGAAACCTAGGCAATGATGAGCTTATGCACCTAGGTCTCAGATCTAAAACCATTCTCCAATAAACAGAAATCAGCGTCCTCGGAGAAATGGTAGATTCTAGGGCTGAACAAGAAATATACAAGATAAGCCTGGAGCAGCCTATTGTGGCAGGAAGTAAGGAAGTGAAGAAGTGCTGGGTACACACACACACACACGTACACACAATAACGGAATATGTCAAATGCACCCAAGAGCCCACTAAAAGTCCTAATTGTCAAAGCTGAAGCAACCCAAGCAACAACATGAAAAAAGTGCTAATGGATTATTACTAAAGTTTGAAATAAATATTCATGAATTCACCCTGACAGAAATGGAACATTGAATAAAGTTTGAAAATGGGGAAAAAAATGAATCTCCCATGCAGAATAATTTTAAGTAATTTGTTTGGATACTTCATCTCAAGAAGGTGAAGCATAACTCTCCACTCCTTAAGTTCAGGCTGTGCAGATTGACTTCCTTCCAAAGAGTATACCGTGCAAAAGCAGGTGGATTTTGGTGGAAAACAGGGCAAACATTATCTTTGCCGTGTGATCAAGCTCCATATCAACCATGAAAGTCACGTTGATAATTTGTGTATCTTTGATATCATATGATAAAAATTGTACTTAATCTGTTATCTTCCTCCCCAAAACACATGACTAAATGGAATGTGGTATCCCAAAATAGAAAAAAAAGGGGATAAAAAGGAAGGAAATCCCAATACAGAATGAATTTTAGTTACTAATGTATGAATTAAAAAAAGTAATGAATGTCCAATACTAATGTACTTTCTTCATAATAGAGGGAACTGGGTGCAAGTTATAGGGAAACTCTATACTTTCTTTGCAAATATTCTGTAAATCTAAAACTATTCTCAAAGTTTATTAAAATCTTGATTACCTACTTACCCATCTCAAAAAGTAAAAAAATAAATTAAAAACAAATAATAAATGTAAGAGCAAAAACTGGGATTAAACAAGTATAATATAGAAAGTCACTATGTCCTGGATTTGTCTTTTGAAATAATAGGGAAATGGGAATACTTATGGTGAAATTAGACAAATAACTAAACAAACAGAAAAAAACAATAATAAAAATAATAATGGGGACATAATCACAGACCATGTAGATATTCTGTAAATCATAAAAGTACAATGAACTACTTCACGTCAATAAACTTCAAAGATCACACAAATAGAAAAACAAACAAAAGACAATTCTTAAGGTTGTTCCAAAACTGGTTAAAAAAAAAAAAAAGAAAAAAGAAAAACAAATTTTAAGGAACCAAGTGATACCAAGGTAAGATAACAATGTAGAAAATATCATTAGGAACACATATTCAAGCTGTTGAAAAATATAAAATGAGAAAAATCTTGACAAGGACAAAAAATCTAAATGAAATGACAATAGTATCAACAGCTCACTTCTCAAAAAAGAATGTTGGAAACAAGAATACATCGAATAATATCTTTAATGGTGATAAGTAAACTGTTAAGTTAGAGTCAATGTCCAGTAAAAACACCTCCCCCTTAAACTAACTAAAAACACATATTATAAAAATTAAAATATTTTTCAGATATTGGACATTTGGCAACTCTAGACAGTGATCCTTGAGATAAAGGGAAGAGACTGAGCTAAGATTTTCCCAGCTAACTTCTGGGAGAGTTTCAGGTCACTGACCAGTAAGAACACAATCAAGTAGAGGCTGGTAGTCTCCCAGAATTGAAAGAATGGAGCCAGGAGGCCAGGAAAGTCAAGACAGCTACAATTCACAGGTTAATACCAGAGAGGGGTGAATTGCACAGTGGTCAAGCTTCAGAGCTCTGGAGGGGCCCCATGGGCATCTAACCATGGGACAGATCAATGCATGTGCTGGCTTCCTGAGACTAGGGAAGGAACCACTCACAAGGAGGCAGAAGGAACACATTTGGGAGCTCACACAAATGTTATTGGTACTCCCTCAGCATCATGGAAAGCTTTGTAAATAAAGCACACTCAGATAGATGCTCAGAAGTGTATGGCCTTGAGATTGGTGAAAAATTATCCCTAGATGAAAGGTATCCCTTGTTCTGCCTAAATAGCTCCCAACAACTAAAATCCACAAGATCTGTAAACTGATTTAAAAATAAAGTCACTCAATAATGGCATAAAATATGACTCAGAATAAGAAGAAAAGTCAATCAACAGAAGCAGATGCAGAATGACACAAATGATAGGAATAACAGAAAATGACTTTAAATATTTTGTATAATTTAATCCATACCTTCAAGAAGATAAAGATTGGGCATCTTAAGTAAAGATATGGGAAATATTTTAAAAGACCCTATATGGAAATTTTAGAAGTAAACAAATACAATAGCTGAGATGAAAAGTAAACTGCAGAAGAAAAATATGTACAAATATGAAGTCCTCACATCAGTGAGCTGTGCGAAAACTTCAAGTGGCCTAATAAATGTGCCATTGGAGTCCTTAAAGAAGAGTCATAGAAAAAATATTTGAAGAATAATTACCATTTAAAAAGGAATTGAGGTCAGGTGCAGTGGCTCACATCTGTAATCCCAGTGCTTTGGGTGACTGAGGCGGGAGGATCACTTGAGGTCGAGTTTGAGACCAGCCTGAGCAACACAGAGAGACCTCATCCTTACAAAAAAAATTTTTAAAAATAAGCTGCATTCATGCCTGTAGTACCAGTTACTCAGGAGGCTGAAGCTGGAGGATTATTTGAGCCCTGGAGTTTGAGGTAAGAGTGAGCTCTTATCTTGCAACTGCACCACAGCCCAGGTGACAGAGTGAAATCATGTCTCTTAAAAAACAAACAAACAAAAAACTTTTGAAAATTATGAACCCACAGATTCCAGATTCCAGAAGTTCCATGAACATCAGGCAAAAGAAACTACACCAAGTGATACTGTACTCAAAATTCTTAAAACTATCGACAAAAAGAAAACTAAAAATCAGTCATATTTGAGAGAAGAAAAGACAAATTCATTGTGTATTAGCAAACATATTTCTCATCAAAAAAAATACGTAAACCAGAAAGATTATTGGTAGTGGTTTAGGTATATTATAGGTAAACTAGGAAGAGTAAAATCTTTAACAAAGTGAAAGAAGGATCAAAAGCACCCTATAATTGCATACAATAAAGTGTAATACTTTGTTGACTATCTTTCAGAAACAGGCAAAAATAAGGACTATTTTGCTTCACAGAAGCTGAAAGACATCATCAACAGCAAACCCACACTATAAGAAACTAAAGGAAGTCTTTGGGGGGAAGGAAAAATGTAATAGACATAAACCTAGATCTACAAAAAGAATAATGAACCCAAAAATGGAACATGGGCAGGTGACATAATATTATTTGAAGGCTGATTGTTGTAGACTAAAGCTATATATTATAAACCATAAGATAATCACTGTCTTAGGCCATCTGTGCCACTATAAAGACATTCCAGATTGGGTGATTTATAAATGGTAGGAATTCATTTCTCACAGTTCTGGAGCTGGGAAGTCCATGGTCAAGGTGCCTGCCGGTTCAGTGTTCTGTGACGGCTGCCTTCTGATTTTAAGATACTGCATTACTGCTGTACCCTCTGGACAGGGGGAGCACTGTGTCATAACATGGCAGAAAGGAGGGATGGGCAGAAAGGGCAAATGCTTCTTCCCTCCAGCCCTTTTATAAGACTGCTAATCCCATTCATGAAGGCTTTGCCCTCATAATCTAATCAGCTCCCAAAGGCCTTACTTCTTAATACAATCACAATGGCAATTAAATTTCAACAAATGAATTTTAGGGAACATATTTGGACGATATCAATTACTAAGTAAACAAGAAGGAGTTCAGCTAATATGTTTTGAAGAAGATAAAATGAAAATTAAAACTACTCAATTTTTTATTAAATCTACAAAATTCCATAGGCTTCTTTCCTAATTTGTGCAGCACTACTCATAGTATATAGGTTCGGACATAACTGAAATGTTCATCGACAGCAGATTTGTGGAATAAGCCCCCAACTGGGCCTATTAAACAGCTCTGAAATGCTAAGAAGAAACTATACACTGTTTTGGATTGAACTCAACAAATAAAAGCAAATTGGACAGAAATGTGCAGGTTATGTTACTTTTCATCGAAAAACTAAAGAATATAAGCATATACATACACGTTCATATTTAAACATGGAAGAATCAACCAAAATATTTTGAACAGTTATGAAAAGAGGAAGGGAACAGTATTGAGCAGTAAGGAACAGAAGTTCATCCTTTTCTAACATACCTTATTGAAATATAAAAAAATACATATTTTTAAATCAAGCTATTAAAAACAAGTAAAAAGTGAACTAAAAATGAACTAAAGTGTATCTATTGGTGACAAAACCTTGCAGAGTGGAACTATTCCAAGTACTTTTAAAATGCAACACACGAAACGACAACTCAAACACTATGCAAGCTGAAAATAAAAGTACTATGAGAAAATCTAAAATTACCTCCTTTCAGTGATCATATTGGTGGTGGCACTTTTCATATAGTTGTTTTAATATTCTTAGATATAGGATAGATAATTATGTTGTGAACCAGAATTTTCAGTAGAGAGTGGAATTTATCAATCTAAGTTTGATACTGGAAAAGTAAATGTATGTTAACAGTCAATGGTGATGTATTTGGAAGTATCTATTTCATCTTATGTTGCGATTTTCAAATGTTCTTATTTTATCTTCATTTTTCTTATCTTTACATCTTTTTATTTATTAGTGACTTTAAAATATATTGTTCTATTTCTCAAAATGGTTTTCTTCCTTAAGATTAGAAGCTATCCGTCTTATATATGGCCAGTGAATGGTTGCTTTAGAATTTTTGCATGCCTTTTTAACATGACAAGTTATTGAATTCCTAATTTTTCTCTTTCTTAATCCCTTATACAATAAATACTTTCTCATTTCTAATCTTATAAGTTGTTATTGTTCAAACTGTAATTTTTATCTTGTTTTATACTAGCCAAATAAGGCCTTATTGATATCATTTTATTCAAAGATTTTATTAAATGTTATGCTTTCGGAATTCAGATTTTATATGTCTGAATTGTATTGATCATGATGTGACAAGAAATACTGTACACACAGGCTTGTTCCTCAACAATAATATTTTGGTTATAGTCTACTGAAAATAATGATACCAATTGACCAAGTCTCTTTAAACCAGCTGTGCCCAGGGTGTTCCATTGGGAGCCACATATTGTCTCATTTAGTAAGAAACAGGGCAGAAGCCCAGGCAAACTATTATATAAATGATAATTAGAGAGGCAAGAGTTATAGACCTTTACTATGAAATGTGAGTGAGGTGCAAATAGGGTATCACTAATTAGCAACAACTTATTTAATCATCAAAACAGCCCACATATATATAATATATAATATATATATATATATTTTTTTTTTCCTATTTTTTCCAAGGACGCCCAGGCCCTAGTCTGCATGGGCTACCATCACAAAGTACTACCTAGGTGTCTTAGACAACAGAATTATACCTTCTCACAGTCCCAGAGGCTGGAAGTTTGAGGTCAACGTGCTGGCCGGGTTGGTTCTTGGGAGGCCTCTCTTCTGGACTTGCAGATGGCCACCTTCTTCCTGTTTACTCACATGGTCTTCCCTCTGTGTGTGTCTGTGTCCTTATCTCTTCTTATAAGGACACTAGTTGTATTGAATTAGGGCCTGCCCAAAGACTTCATTTTAAAGTAATCACTTCTTTAAGTACTCCATCTCCAAATACAGTCATATTATAAGGTACTGGGCATTAGAACTTCCACATATGAATTTTGTTGACACAGTTCAGCTGACATCAACTCATCTCAGGCTTATTGAAATAAGTAGCTTTCTAAAGTTGGACAAGCCTCAATAAACTAGGTAGCCAGAATTCAAACCAAGCCCTGTCATCAGAACCCATGTACGTGTGATGAAAACTACCTACCAGTCAGGACTCTAAAATCTTAGAAAATCATTAGAAGTAAGCAGGTAGGATAGTATCGTTAGAATACATTTTCATCTAAAATTCTAACCATTTCTTTGTATGTTTATGCTCTGAAATAAAAAGATATCATATTACTTCCCATGGCACAACACTTACTAAAGTAAATATAAAAATAAAGGCAGAAAAGATTTTCCCAATATTCATTTTGTAGAAAAGATTGTTTTGTAGCTATTTCATTTTCATATATGAAGTACACAGTTTTACATATTATATAGCAAGTCAGAGATAAATTTGTTTTGAGAAACTAAATTTACCTAAAATCAAAATGGTTTACATTTATGGGTATAATTTATTGCCACTAAGCATCACTTTGATGTGTCCTTATCCTTACTGATCAAAAATATACACATTTACTTTCCTCATTTAGGAATTTTTATGTAGCCGTTTTTCATATGTCACCCCTTTTATGGGCAAGCCTTCCTACAAGTCAAATCTGAACACACCAGGCTTACCTGCTGATACCTGTCATGCTTTCCATGACAGGTAAGAATATGGATTTAATGCTTTTCCTTTGCTTCAATTTCCAAGGCAGCAGACTTGCTCTGTGTGCACTCTCACAGAGACAGCAGTATTGCCTTTAAATATGTATCTATATATGTAGCAGGTTACTATTACACATTCCAGAAATACACTAACATTGTTTTAATTATCTTCTCAAATGAGGAATTCACATCAGATTTTATTCATTCTGATACTTCCATTATGAGTTTCATAAAATAATAGTATTGAGAAGATAGATTATTGAGGACATTGAAATTAAGAAACATTGATAAAATTAAAAAACGACGTTTTTACAGAAACTCATATTCAAAATAGATACGCATTTATAAAACAGTGAAATAATCCTTTATTAAAACCATTGCTATCTCAAAAATAAAAAAATAAAGCTCCCTTGAAAGTTGTCAGTGTTGGTGATAAGATTAAATTAGAAGGTAAGAAAATAGAGGCCATGGCTCAGGTTGAAAGATAAGATGGTTTCCCAAGTGCTTTTATTCTTGCTGCTAGTGTTTTTGTTTGTCCCTGAGGAAAGTGTACAGACTTGGATTGTTGCCCTCTGAGTCTCTACGGAACAATTAAGAATACGTGAACATGGATTGTCAACCTGTAGAGTCAATGCATTGAACTTCGAGGTCCTAATGGGTGAATATTGTTTATACCTTACGCATTCCAGGTCTATCTAGTTGAGACAGGAGCTCTTAAATTCAGATAAGACTATCATTTATGAATGTTTTGGGCTTCATTATCAGTAAATTTTTGTACATTTGAAAGGGTTGCCCAATTATAATTCAATTCCTTTTGAAAAAAAAGTATTCTTCTACTAACAGTTTCTAGCAGGTTTTATTTAAAATAAATGAGAGAGGGGAGTGTGAATATTACTTCCAAAAGCTTACTGGATTCCCAAATCCAAGATATTCATAGTTGTATTTTCCTTTAAATGTATATGAATTTTTACTGTAACTCTCTTCCATTTTCAAACTATCTCAACATATCTAGCACAATGCTCAGAGTATTGTTGCAATATTTAAACTTTGTACACGTCATAAAGAGCATTTTAAGAATTACACAGTACAGGCCGGGTGCGGTGGCTCACGCCTGTAATCCCAGCACTTTGGGAGGCTGAGGCGGGCGGATAATGAGGTCAGGAGATGGAAACCATCCTGGCTAACATGGTGAAACACCGTCTCTACTAAAAATACAAAAAAATTAGCCAGGCGTGGTGGTGGGCGCCTGTAGTCCCAGCTACTCGGGAGGCTGAGGCAGGACAATGGCATGAACCCAGGAGGCGGAGCTTGCAGTGAGCCGAGATTGCACCACTGCACTCCAGCCTGGGCGATAGTGCGAGACTTTGTCTCAAAAAAAAAAAAAAAAAAAAATTACACATTACAATGGTAGACTTCTAAATATTGGTTGAATGTTATGTTTTTAAATGAATTCTGTCAATCACGGATATTTAGTGTGTTTCTCAATGAAAACTAAAATGCTTATATAGCAGAGCATTTCTTTTATAAGTTTTTACTGATCTAACAAATGAATAAAGGACCTAAGATATTTCACCCAAATAAAATTTTCATGGGACACTGTGGAACTCCAGTTACGGGATGAGTCCTATGCATAGTCACAGGAAGACCCTTTGCCTGTAAACACCAATTTGGAGAAAGATCTTAGATGCCTAGACAATGCATAGGAACTACAATGGAGTCTGACATGTAGGGTAATATGTGACTATGACGTATTCGCTGGGGATAAATAGACTTCTAAGTGGCCCTAGATGATTTTCTAAATGATCCTAGACAATGCTTTATAAATGGAACTAAATGATTGTTGTAGTGTTATTTTAGTTTGAAACAACCAGGACACTATGACCTATGGATGAGATGAGTGAAACTAAGCAATGAACAATATTTACTGGAATTCTACAAAATTACAGAAAGCTGTTGTAGCAAACACCCAAATCTCATGTTGAATCACAGTTCCCACAATTCCTACGTCTCATGAGAGGGACTCGGTGGAAGGTAATTGAATCATGGGGGTGGATCTTTTCTATGCTGTTCTCATAATAGTGAATAAGCCTCAGGAAATCTGATGGTTTCAAAGGGGAGTGTCCCTGCAGAAGTTCTGTTATTCTCTCTTGTCTGCTGCCATGTAACATGTACCTTTTGCCTTCTGCCACGATTGTGAGGCCTCCTCAGCCACGTGGAACTGTGAGTACATTAAACCTCTTTTTCTTTATAAATTATACAGTCTCCAGTATGTCTTATCAGCAGTGTGAAATGGACAAAAACATTAGTATACACCTCTGTGCAAATGCCAGCACCCCTCATTTGTGCTAGTAGCTGCAGGTTATAAACAGGAAGAAGGAAGCCTCAACAACAGTCCTGACACTGAACCAAATGATAGAGTGTATCCTTATCCAGAAGTGCACTAGAAACAGGAAAGAAAACAACAACTCTCAGAACTACTAGTCTGAACCAAATGATAGAGTGTATCCTTATCCAGAAGTGCACTAGAAACAGGAAAGAAAACAACAACTCTCAGAACTACTAGTCTGAACCAAGTGGTAGAATGGGAGAACGTGATGTGGATGACTAGGAGGTCTACACCCAGATGCTTCAGGAGCTAAAAGCTGGGGAGGGCCAGGCACGGTGGCTCACGCCTATAATCCCAGCACACTGGGAGGCCAAGGCGGCTGGATCCCCTGAGGTCAGGAGTTTGAGATTAGCCTGACCAACATGGCGAAACCCCGTCTCTACCAAAAAATTTTAAAAATTAGCCAGGTGTGGTGGTGTGGGCCTGTAGTCCCAGCTACTCGGGAGGCTTGAGGCATGAGAATCACTTGAACTCAGGAGGTGGAGGTTGCAGTGATCAAAGATCATGCCACTGCACTCTAGCCTGGGCGACAGAGAGAAATTCTGTCTCAAAAATAAAAATAAATGAATAAATAAATAAATAAATAAATAAATAAAAGCTGGGGAGCACAGTTGTCTCCACCCACCTCCAAGCATCCAAGCATCCAAGTCACTGAAATATAGATCACCTTTTACAGAACGTAACAGGTTTTCACCTTTCCACCTTATTCAAGTTCTTCATATTTTGTTCGTATTACTAAATACTTATCAGGGGACAACTTAAAAGATAGTATTCCCTTTTCAAGACAGTGAGGTAAGAGTTCATGCTGGTTACAAAAATTGCCAATTCACAAAAGTGATATTTTCTTAGTGTGTTCAATAAACTGACGTACATTTATTATTCATTCTACTCTCATCGATTTTTTCTTTGTAAACGGTATTTCACCAAATGTTATTGCATATTTTGCAGACTGTTTTCTCATCACCCTCAGTTTTAAGGTATGCTAGATAGTCTTACAGTTGCTGCATCACTATGATTCTGAGGCAATGACATCCTTGAAAGGATATACTATACATACTTATCAGTTTAGCCATACTCAAGAAATAAGGTCAAACTAAATTTTTAAAAGACACTCAATAAAATAAAGCATAAATTGAAATTTTAAAAAATGTGTTCCCCTTTTACACTGTTGGTGGGAGTGTAAACTAGTTCAACCATTGTGGAAGACAGTGTGGCAATTCCTCAAGGATCTAGAACTAGAAATACCATAACCCAGTCATCCCATTACTGGGTATATACCCAAAGGATTATAAATCATGCTGCTATAAAGACACATGCACACGTATGTTTATTGTGGCACTATTCACATCAGCAAAGACTTGGAACCAACCCAAATGTCTATCAGTGATAGACTGGATTAAGAAAATGTGGCACATATACACCATGGAATACTATGCAGCCATAAAAAATGATGAGTTCATGTCCTTTGTAGGGACACGGATGAAGCTGGAAACCATCATTCTCAGCAAATTATCGCAAGGACAAAAAAACAAACACTGCATGTTCTCACTCATAGGTGGGAATTGAACAATGAGAACACTTGGACACAGGAAGGGGAACATCACACACTGGGGCTTGTCGTGGGATGGGGGGAGTGGGGAGGGATAGCATTAGATGTACCTAATGTAAATGATGAGTTAATGGGTGCAGCACACCAACATGGCACATGTATACATATGTAACAAACCTGCAGGTTGTGCACATGTACCCTAGAACTTAAAGTATAATTTAAAAAAATGTGTTCCCGACATAATTTTTCCAGGAATAGTAAAAAGAAATATATTAACTAGTTTTTCATTTGTACATTAATATACTTATTTCTATAATGAGACTGTGTTTCAAAGACACTTATTAACAAAGTCTGTTGAAAGCATCAACTATCTTGGGAAATGTCGTCTCCAGATTTGAGTCATGTTTTAGTGTAATGTTTAATCTTATGTGAGGATGTTGGAGAAACTACAGCAGGACACTAAGGAATGAAGGTCAAAACCACAAATGCAGGGAGCTAGATGTATCATTAACTTTTTAAATATACTGAGTTATAAGGTCAAAAAATTACAGACAGAACTTCCAGCTTCTGCTGATGGTGTAGGCATCTGGAAAATGTGTCTTTATTAAAATTACATTTAAAAACGAGTGATATTCAGGGTCATGACTTTCTGAACCCATCAGAGAGCTGAATTGCAGGGCAATTAAATAGTTTAAAATGAAGGAAAGAGAGGTGCCTCCTACAATAACAGAGATGGGCTGCAAACATTGGATGACCTGTGGCAGAGCACGGAAAGAAGGCAAGGATGACAGCTACATGCAGGTAGGAAGAATGTAGCTAAAAGAGTTGGTGGGTTCCTAAAGAGCAAATATAGCTCAGGATGAAAATAGAGTAACTCTAGCGGCCACAGATACAAAGGAAATTTGTTTGCTTCTGTAGAGTTTACTTTATGGACCAGCTGCAAGATGTGGAGTTGATTTAAATAATGGGATTATGGGCTTTGAACCGCCACTATCATGAAATGAGACTTCTAAAGCCCTCAGGAGGAAGTGAATGCATGGTGCATTTATAAGAAATGTGAATCACTGAGGGACAGAAATTGCAGTGTGGCAGGCAGCTTCTAAAGTGACTGTCAGTGATTCCCCCTCCTGGTATTCACTGCCTTGTGTAATCTTTGCTCTTTTCGTGTGTGCTGGACCTGGGGACTTGCTTCTGATTGTTAGAGCACAGGAAAAGTGATGGAATGCCCATTTAAGATTGGGTTGTAAAGAAAGATTACTTCTGTCCTGCTTGCCAGAACTCTCTGTCTCCAGCTCTTCTTATGTCCTGGTCCTCAAGGTCCACAAGTCGGGGTGACCCACCTGACAAAGGACTAATGGCAGCCAATGCCCAATTGCCAGCAGGGAACTGAGGCCTTCAGCACAACAGCCTTAAGGAATTGAACCCTGCTAACAACTCTCAAGTGAGCTCTGAGGCAGATCAATCCCCCACAAAATCTGTAGCCCCAGCCAGAATCCTGCATGCACCTTGTGAGAGGTCCCTTATCACAGGCCCAGTGAAGCCGTTGCCTGCACACCTTCAAATGATGAGATCATCTGTGTGTTGTTTTAGCTGCTAAATGTGGATTATTTAGGATGCAGCAATAGATAACCAGAATAGATTTAAAAGGTGAGGTGGGAGACCTGAGAAAGACCCCTCAGTGGTACAGCCTGAGAGAGGGAGTGGCCACTGCTATGGAGTGGAATCCAGCTCTGCCTGGGCCCTTCTCCCCTAAAGAGTAGAGGGTTGGGCCAGACCCAGTGGCTGACGCCTGTAATCCTAGCACTTTGGGAGGCCGAGGCGGGTGGATCACCTGAGGTCAGGAGTTCGAGACCAGCCTGGCCAACATGGTGAAACCCCATCTCTACTAAAAATACAGAAATTAGCTGAGTGTGGTGGCAAGTGCCTGTAATCCCAGCTACTTGGGAGGCTGGGGCAGAGAATCACTTGAACCTGGGAGATGGAGGTTGCAGTGAGCTAAGACTGTGCCACTGCATTCCAGCCCATGAGACAGAGCAAGACTCCATCTCAAAAAAAAAAAAAAAAAAAAGTAGAGGGCTGAAGTAACTCGGTGAAGGCAGGGAATACCATATCCTTCAGGGCATATGTAAAGACTAATTGAGGCAGGGAAAGGGAAAAGAACAAACCCTCTACCATAGAAGACAACACAAAGCTAAAAGAAAAACAAAAAAAAAACAAACAAGTGTCAAATACTTTTAAGTAAATTAAAAATACATATGTTATTAAGTGAACCAAAAGCTGAAAGAATGTATTACCAGTAGACTTACACTATAAGAACTCTTAAAGCAGTTATTTAAGCAGAAATGGTACCTGAGAGAAGCTAGGATCTACACAAAAGATACAGACTTTTGAAAAACTGTTAAAGTATATGTAAACATGAAAACAATTTTCTTATTTTAGATAACTCAAAATAGAAGTGCCTGAAGTAAAAATAATAGCAAAGCTTTTGGGGTTTTATTTTATTTTTTATTTATTTATTTTTTGAGACAAAGTCTTACTGTCACCTAGGCTGGAGTGCAGTGGCACTATCTCAGTTTACTGCAACCTCTGCCTCCAGATTCAAGCAATTCTCCTGCCTCAGCCTCCTGAGTAGCTGGGATTACAGGTGCCTGCCACCACATCTGGCTAATTTTTGTATTTTTCAGTAAAGACGCGGTTTCACTGTGTTGGACAGGCTGCTCTCAAACTCCTGACCTCAGATGATCCACTCGCCTTGGTCTCCCAAAGTGTTGGGATTACAGGCGTGAGCCACCGTGCCAGGACAGCTTTTTGTTTTTTAACATAAACAGAGGTGAAATGTACAACAAAATAGCATAAATACAGGAATTGGAAATGTAAGAGAATAAGATTCTCATACTGTTGTGGAGCAGCATAATATTACATGAAGGTTGACTATGATTCATTAGAGTTTATAGTGTGTAAAATAAAATAAAATTTCAGAACCCTCTAAATGTATTATGCTAAGGGGAAAGTTAAGCTCTGGAGGCTGAGTCAGTAGCATGTTTGCAGTTCTACTTCTAAGATTAAACTCTCTCATTGTTCTGGTTCCCATAAATGCCTATGAGAGGCCAGAGACTAGACAGCCCCCTTCCTATCATGGACCTTTGCTGTGGATTAACTGCCTGCTTTATCATTCTGTAACTTTCTCAGACCAGATGGCACCCAAGAGGCCATGACAGTTGTATCTTCAGTGTAGAATGTTATAGTTTCCAGAAACAAAAAGACCACCTCAACTAGTCAGATTTTTGTAGTTATGCATTATGCCTTATAAAGAAAGATGAAATTCTGTTAAACTCCCCTAAGCTTTACCTATATAAGCAGTCCCAGACTTCTACACTTTGGAGCACTGACTTGCATTCTTTGGAATCCATGCTCCTCAGGCAGGTGGCTCTTCCTTAAATTTTGTGCTGGAACTAATTTCCTTAAATCAGATTCTGACCTTTCTGATTATTTTAGATTGACCAATGTAAATCCCAAGAAAATAATGAAAAACTCTAAAATAAAGAGGCGTAAATAATAAATAATAGCTAGTAGTGAAGATGAAATGGAATGATAAAATTTACACAATCAAGAAGCAGGCAAAAAAGGAAACGAGATAAAAAATATGCAAAACAACATCATGGTCAATATTTATCCAGTAAACCAAAATTTGTATTAAATAAAATGATCCAAATGTATCAATTTAAAAACAGAAATTGTCAAATGGGTTTAAGAAAAAAGGCCTAGTGATGCATTTTTAAAGTCTATTTTAAACATAAAGACACGGATAAGTTAAAAGGATGAGAAAAATAAAAACGCTGGCCGAGTGCAGTGGCTCACGCCTGTAATCCCAGCACTGTGGGAGGCTGAGGCAGGCAGATCACAAGGTCAGGAGATCGAGACCATCCTGGTTAACAAGGTGAAACCCTGTCTCTACTAAAAATACAAAAATAAGTGGGGCGTGGTGGCGTGCACCTGTAAGCCCAGCTACTCCGGAGGCTGAGGCAGGAGAATTGCTTGAACCCAGGAGGTGGAGGTTGCAGTGAGCCGAGATTGCACCACTGCACTGCACTCCAGCCTAGGCGACAGAGTGAGACTCCGTCTCAAAGAAAAAACAAAAAAAAAGGCCCAGTAAATGCTAGCCAAGAGACAAGAGCCTCATTGAGATAAAATAGACTTCAGAACCAGAAAATTTATTAGAGATATAAAAGGATAATAAAAGTACCTAATGATAAAGACATCAATTTATCAACACACTGCAGTCCTAAATGTGTACACACCTAACAACAGAGCTGCGTGATACATGAGTCAAAAACTGAAAAAACTGAAAGGAGAAATTGACAATTGCTCAAATATATATGTATATGTGTGTATATATATATATATATATATATATATATATATATATATATATACACACACATACACATAATATCATGCCCAAATGTGATTTATCCTGAGAATGCATGCAGAGTTGGTATTTACAAAATGGTATCTCCATATCAATCAATGGAAAATAACAGAGTCCAAAAATAGAGGCATTCATATATGGCTAATTGGTTTTCAACAAAGGTACAAGGGCAATTCAATGGATAGGAGACAGTCTTTTCAAAAAATATGCTTGATCCTTTGAACATTCCTACACAAAATAATTAACCTTGATTCACACTACATACTTAATATAAAAATTAACTTGAAATGGATCATATACCTAAATATAAAACATAAAATTATAAAATTTCAAGAGGAAAACAGGATAAAATATTTTTGGCCTTGGTTTAGAAACACATTTCTTAGTTGTAATCCCAAAAGCATGATCATTGAAATAAAATATTTGATAAACTGTACTTTATTTGTTTGTTCATTTATTTATTTATTTTTGAGATGGAGTTTCACTCTTGTTGCCCAGGCTGGTCTCAGCTCACTGCAACCCCTGCCTCCCAGGTTCAAGCAATTCTGTCTCAGCCTCCCAAGTAACTGGGATTACAGGTGCCTGCTGCCACGACCGGCTAATTTTTTCATATTCTTAATAGACACGGGGTTTCACCATGTTGGCCAGGCTGGTCTTGAACTCCTGACCTCAGGTGATCTGCCCACCTTGGCCTGCCATAGTGCTGGGATTATAGGCATGAGACACTGTGTCCGGCCAACTCTACTTTAATAAAACTAAGATATTCTGATTTTTAAGAAGCGTTATTAAAAATTAAAAGAGACGATAAAAACTAAGGAAAATGTATGCAAAACACATTTCCAGTAAGAGATTTGTATTCAGAATAAACAAAATCTCACAACTCAATTACAACAAATCGGTGATTATTTAATGTGGGCAGGAAGATGACAACAAAAGGCCACCATGGAATTCTTTTTTGGCGATGGAGCTGGGCTATTATCTTGATTATGGTGGTCATTACATGGATGTGTACTTTGTCAAAACATACAGAGCTACAAATTAAAATGGTTGTATTTTACTGCAGGTAAATTATACCTCAATAAACCTGATAGAAAATAAAATAAAATAAAACTACTGCCAAAAAACCTGATATATATACTATAGCAGAAAACACATTATGTATTTAAACATTTATTTAAAGACAAACAATTAGTTTCTATCTTTATAATTCTCCAACATGTTAATATGTTCTCTGATTTAGAAATATGAAGTTTTCACAAACAACTTAGTAATATAAAATTTTAAAATATGTCATTTAATTTTTGCTAAACAGATAAGGTATGTTTTGTTATATATTCCTTCCAAATTATTTTTCTTACTTGTCACTTAACAATATTTCTATCGGTGTATTATGCTAGTCTCTGGCAAATAGTGATCTTCAAAATGCAGTGGTTTCTAGAAAAGAACTATGGTATAATTAGGATTTTCAATTCTTATGTGCCATTCCTGATACAATAAAAAACAAAAACCAGGCTTTGACGGCAAGCCCATATTATTTTAAATTCCCATTCCTGGTCTTTCTCACTCTTATACCTTTTGAACAAGTAATTTATGCCTTATCTTTGCAAATGTACATTTATATTTATACCACATGGTATTAGTGAACGTTCACTCAATGCATAAGTAGAACAAGTTTGCCACTGTATCGTATATTGTCAATAAATAACAGTTCCTTTTTTTTCTCAAGAGAAAAGCTTGAAAGTTTGTCTCTTTATGTGATGTTCAACTCTTATTCCACAGTTCCTGTGCGAGCCTGTGTTTGTACGTTGCAAAATAAAGCACATATGGAAAAAAAAAGATTTAGTCTATGTGATTTAAAAAATAATCATCTTTTGAGACCTTTATTTTATACATTTAAAATTAGTGTAATATTTATTTTGCAAAACTTTGAGAAAATTAAATAAAACAATGCTTGGGAAGACAATATGTAAAATTAAGTGCTATTTGATGATTTATTATTACTATATTAATCAAAGCAAAATTAATATGTGAAAGGCATATTATTGACAAAATCTTACTAAATAACTCATTCATTTATATATTTCATTAAAATTTAAGCTCTTTTAGATCATTTAGTTTAAAAAGAAAAATAGTGGAATCAAAATGGAGACTGTGAATAAATAATTGGAAAATACAATTAATATTTAAAGCTACTTACATTTCTGTTCAATGTTCTTCAGTTAATAGTAAGTTCAATGTTAGTAGGTGTTAAGACATTTATGCACATCAGATAAAATAAGTATAAGAATGTATATATATACATATAATTTAAAAAGTCATTACAGCCTCCTTTACCAATACCCTTATGAAAAATCCAAATCTTAATTTCAAACTTTATTCAGTGAATGAACTAACCAAGTTGGTAAAACTTGATGAATTGTTTCAATGACAAAAAATGGTCATATTTGGTGACCAACTGAAAAGAATCATGTCAGGTTGAGAATAGGCCCAATCATTCATGCCAATGAGGATTATTTTCCTATTAAGCCATTTATGCCTGAGGTTACAATTTTTTGAATTTTTTTGTTGAGACCTTGGCAATGACCTTCAACGGTAGGATAAAAATAACTCCCACAGGCTTAGCGTTCCAATAATGCAACACTAGGCATAAATGGGTTTAGCAAAGATTTGTATCAATTATTTTTTCCTGAGGATGAACTCAGAACAGGAAAAAATATTCAATGTAAAGATCAGAAGCAAAAGAAGTAGGGAAGGCCCTCGGCAAAAGTTAACTAAAATATTAATAAATAGGCCCAGAAATATAAACTAAACTAAATATATCTCTTTATTGTGTGATTGTTTAGATCACTGACAGATTAGACCAGATTAAAATTAGTAGAGAAAGAGTACATAACTCTAAACTCTCAACTCCTACAGCTAATAGATGAATCCATTAAAGTTGTAAGATACTAGGCCAATATAAAAATTAGTTGTGTTTCTATACAATAGCAATGAACAACCTTAAATGAAGTTAAGAAAATAAACTCCATTTAAAATAGTAACAAAAAGAACATAATACTTAGGAATACATTTAACTGAATAAATATGAATCTTATCAAAACTATAAAACACTGTTGAAGGAAATCAAAGACAATCTAAATAAATGGAAAGGCACCTATGTTCATGGATTGGAAGATAATCTTGTTAACATGATAATACTCCCCAGATTCAATGCAATTTCTAGCAAAATTCTAACTGCCATTTTGCAGAAATGGATAAGCTGTTCCTTAAATCCATGTGGAAAAGTAAGGGGCCCAAAATAATCCAAGCAATATTGAAAAAATAAAGAACACAGTTGGAGAACTCACAATTCCTAATATCAAAATTTACTACAAAGCTACAGTAATAAATACACTGTGATAGTCATATAGGAATAGATACGCAAAACAATGAAATAGAATAGATCCCAGAGATAAACGCTTACATGTGTGATTTTGAGGTTACCAAGTACATTCAGTGAGGAAAGAATCATCTTTTCCACAAATGCTGTCGGGACAAATAAATATCTACATGTAAAAAAAATAGATTTGGACTCCTACTTTACATCATATTCAAAAATTAATTCAAAGTCAATCAAAGACCTAAATGTACAAGCTAAAACTATAAAGCTTTAGAACATATAACTATAAATCTTTGTGACCTTGGACTAAGCAAAGATTTCTTAGATATGACAATAGAACCACAAGTGACCAACGAATAAACACATAAATTGAATTTTATCTAAATTAAAATCTTTATTCCATCAAAGAGTACTACCAGGAACATAAAAAGACAACCCATGGTATGGGAGAAAATATTTACAAATAGATAAATATATATAATAGATATGAAGAAACTGAAATGCACATGCGTTACTGGTAAAAAATCCAAAATAGTTTAGCAACTATGGAAAACAGTTTCGCAGTTCATCAAAAAGATAAACCTATCCATAGGATTTAAAATTCCACCCCCTAGTTATACACTGAAAAGAATTAAAAATATGTTTGTGCAAAAACATATATATATGTGTGTGTGTGTGTGTGTGTGTGTGTGTTGTAGCATTATTAATAATAGCCAAACAGCAGAAAGCCTAACCAAAATGTCTTATCAATTTATAAACAGATAAACAAAATGTGGTATACCTCAGAAACATTAAGGAATAATATGGAGCCATAAGAAATAAAGTCCCAGTGCTTTCTACACCATGGATGAACCTTGAAAACATTGTTAAGTTAAAAAAGAAAACAGACAAATAAGGCCATATGTTGTATGATTCCATTTATATAAAATGTCCAGAATAGTCAAATCCATGAAGCCAAAAAGTAGATTAGTGGATATCCGGGGTTGGGGAAACAGTGAGAGTGGAGAGTGACTTCGAATGGGTATAAAACTTATTTTTTAGGTGTTTCTGCAGAAAGAAAAAGATCAAGCAGGATTACAGGTGTTGGCTGTGTGTGTGCCCTACTGGCAAAGGAGGTACACAACGAGGGCATATAGGGAAGACACTGACAGCGTCTGCCATAGCATGCATGTCAACCCAAAAGGAAAATACATCAAAGAACAAGTGTCATACTTAAACGGAAAGACAGCGTGGGCCAAATAAAAACACCTGTAAATAATCTGAGTTGTACCAGTTATCCCAGTGAAGTATGATTAAAAGCACCCCTTTTCACTCACAAAGAAGGTGAAATCGTTTAGAAATACAAGATCATGTATTATATACATTAACACATAAACTACAGTCAATAATAGGACCTCAGGCTGGTTGTGGTGGTTTGAGCCTGTAATCCCAGCACTTTGGGAAGACTAGGCAGGCAGATCAACTGAGGTTAGGAGTTCAAGACTGGCTTGGCAAACATAGTGAAACCCCGTCTCTACTAAAAATACAAAAATTAGCTGGGTGTGGTGGCATACGCCTGTAACCCCAGCTACTCAGGAGGCTGAGGCAGGAGAATTGCTTGAACCCAGGAAGCAGAGGTTGTAGTGAGCTGAGATTGCACCACTGTGCTCCCGCCTGGGCGACAGAGTGAGACTCCATCTCAAAAAAAAAAAAAAAGAATAGGACATCAAACATAAATTGTAAATATTTGCATAAACAAAAGTTGAAGTCATCAGAGTAATCCATGCAGTTGCGTGAACTTGACTTTGGAGCACCCAATGTCTCCTCTGGAGAACACAAAATACCAGAAAACTAGACTCAAGCATGTTTCTGTCATGAGGTATCTTTATTCCTCACCCACCTCAAGATTCATGGCAGACACACCTATAACAAAAGACAGATTCACAAGACAAAAGCATGCATGTTTATTTGATATGTTTTAGATGAAACAGAACCTTCAGAAAGAAAGACTCAAAAAATGAACAAACCTGTATATTTTTCATGCTAGGTTTGATTAAGAAGTCATAGAGTAGTATGATTGGATAAAAAGGCAGGATCTGATGGCAACAAATTGGGGGAACTTAGCAAGACCTGTTTGTTCAGACTCATTCCTTCCCTCCAGCTACAGGGAGAGCAACCCTGGAATTTAGGCTTTAAGATCTGCTTCAGGGAAGAAAGGGTGAGGGAAGGCTGAGAGTGATCTTCTTGCTTTTGCTGTTTTCTCAAATGCCAAGGTATCATATTTTGGAGTAGCCCGTCCTGAATCCCATCTCTGTACAGAAAGACAAAAAGGTTTTGCTCCAAATAAAGTAGTTAATTTATTAAACAAATGATTTCAGCACTTGCATAAACTGTAACTAACCTATTGCTCATAAGCACCTGAACAGGAAAGCGGAATGACTTTGTGCTCTAGACAGAGAGATGGGGTGGGCTGTAGGAGGACTCCAACTCACGTAGCTAGGACAGGGCAGAGCTGGGACTTGTACAGAGGCACTTTGATTTTTGAGTCCTGGCTTTTAATCTCCAGGCTATCCCGTTTGTATAAAATTAACTGAAGCATTATATTACCAATAAATTGTCAATCCTTTCCTTGGCCACAAATGAAAGTAATACTTCAAATTTCATTGTTTTATTTGTATTGTTCAAATTTGACTACACAAAATGTTATGTTTTTATTTTCAGCATATTTATTTTATGAATAAACGACCTCATTAATAACAATAGTATTAATTTAAATGAACTTTGTCAGAGGAATCATTTCTTTAAAGCCAGAATAATCATTTTTAATTAATTTATTTATATTCCCTGGAACTCTCTTTTTTGTTTTATTTCCATTTAATGACTTCACTTAGGTTTCCCTTCTGAGAGAAAATTTAGATGTTCAAGAGATTATATTTACCAGGAAAAAATAGTTTAGGGTACTTTGAACTTAAAAAAAGACTACGAGTTTTATAAAACAAATAGATTAGAAGTAAACCTAGACTCTTGCTTTCCTACTAATTTACACCTGGGCAAGTCCATAATTTTGATAAACGACGTCTTTGGAATAGCCAAGTTATCAGAAGAGAAAGGACAGCTTGGTGGTGTTAGGATTCGCTGAACTGGAGAGGGCTGAGCCCGCAGGGGCAGGTGGTCAGTTACAGCAACAGGACAAACATAGGCACACCTTTCCTCCCTCCATGGGCCCAGGAAGCCAGAACTCGAGCCGAAGAAGCAGTGACTCCTTGCTCCCCGCTTCCCATGGAGTGGAGTCCTAGTCCAGGGTCAGGCAGCTCTGCACAGATGTGGCCGTCTTCTCACCATCAAGGGAGCCCCAAACAAAAGGTTCCTGCAGTTTTTTGGGCCCTGGAATAAAGGAGAAGGGTGAGGGAAGAGGGTTAAGAATGGAAATTGCTGGGGGAGGGCTCAGAGTGGGAAAAGCGTCTCCAATTTTTCTCCATCCTTGTGGCAAAAGGAGGACTCAGCAGAGGAACTCGAAGAAGACTTTTGTCCAAAATCTCAGCTAAAAAGCCTTAGAAATGAAGGGTTGGGAATGTAAATGTGCAAAGACCACAGCCAGCCTGGTCCGGAGGCCTTGACTGCAGCTTCCTTCAGACGGTGATGCTGGCTTGCACTGAGCCAGGTGCCCAGGTGCCTCAGGCGAGGCCGGCAGTTGAGGCCACGCAGGTGAGGCCATGCGGATGAGGCCAGCAGGTGAGGCTTCCGTTGACCAAGGGCAGGCCCAGACACCATGCATAGGTTTCCAGCCAGGAGCCAGGCTCCGCAGGTGGAGGCGGTTTTGCAGATAGCTCTCGGTGTCGATTTGACTACTCACTAAGATTTTCTGAGTAACACTGTACATAACTGTTTCCATGTTTTCTATTAATGTGCTATGATTTCATTCCCTCCAGTTGTGAATATTAAGCCAGTGAAACATGGAAAAGGAATGACTCTCTGTATCCATATGGTCACTTAGAATATTTGCATGAACTTTAAATGTTCTGCAGGTTTATTAATGGGAAAATGTAGAAATAGAAATGTGGGCAATTTGGCCTCACTCAGCCAGAGGAAAATCAATGCTGCTATACATATCGATATCTTAAATTCAGAAGAAATAGGAGTTGAATATTACAAGGTTTCTGCTGATGGCTTCCTATCAGCCATACGATTCTGATTCCAATCCTTGTTATGATGACAAATGGTGCCGCTGGGCATTGGAACTTGGACAATAACATTGATGGAAAGGACGCAGAGAAGCTGGTCTTGGGGATGACGAAATGTTAGAGGTTGAATGCAACCAGTCAGTAGGACCTGTTAAAGCCAACTAAATATGGCCTGAAAAGGACTCCGTACTTCTATTATTTGAGTCCTTGTGGATGAACTGTAACCTAGCTTAATAGTCAGACAAAGTTGAAAACCTAACTTAGTAGTATATGCACCTGTAACAGTGGCTGAGTGTTGGCCAATCCCAGCGGCCATACTTCAACCACTCATAGACTGCTGAATGTTCAAACTGCCTTCAAATAAGGCCACTGCAGAGCTGTGACCAGTCTCACTGTTTCTGTACCTCATTTCTGATTCTTATATGCCACTTTACTTTTTTGTCTATAAATTTGTTCCGGTCACGAGGCACCCCTGAAGTCTCTGTGAATCTGCTGTGATTCTGGGGGCTGCCTGATTCAAAAATTGTTCATTGCTCAATTAAACTCCTTCAAATTTAATTCGGTTGAAGTTTTTCTTTTATCAGACCCAATGGCTCCATCGTGCCTTCGCTGCTCCACCAGAGACCTGTCCCTTTCCTCTCCGGGACCACATTCAGACAGGGAGGGACTTGTATATTCTAGGTACATTTGAGAAGTGTGTATTTTGGGGTGGGGCAGAAAGGTCAGCCCCAGTCTGGGTCTGATTCATGGCCCAGTCAGACCACAGGGCTGGAGCAGGGAAGAAGTGGGCACCCTAATCAGAGCAGTGAAGGGCGTCTTGGCAAGCAAGCCAGTCACAGGGGAGCCTAGTTCTAGCAGGGCCCACAAAGTCTGCTATTTTGGAGGTCCTCTTGAGTAGAAGATGAATTATGAACATGGAATTGTGTGCAAAGATGGGAAAGGGGCCCCTGCTTGTTACCGGAAAGGGGTCCAGATCCAGACCCCAAGACAGGGTTCTTGAATCTCGCACAGGAAAGAATTCAGGGCAAGTCCATGGAGTAAAGTGAAAGCAAGTTTGTTAAGAAAGTAAAGTAAACGAATAAAAGAATGGCTACTCCCTGGTTGCCCATTTCTATGGTTATTTCTTGATTATATGCTAAATAAGAGCTGGGTTATTTATGCCTCCCCCTTTTAGACCACATAAGTTAACTTCCGAACTTTGCCATGGCATTTGTAAACTGTGATGGCGCTGGTGGGAGTGTAGCAGTGAGAATGACCAGAGGTCACTCTCATAGTCATCTTGGTTTTGGTGGGTTTTTGCCGGCTTCTTTCCTGCTACCTGTTTTATCAGCAGGGTCTTTATGACCTGTATCTTGTGCCAACCTCCTATCTCATCCTATGACTTAGAATGCCTAACCATCTGGGAATGCAGCCCAGTAGATTTCAGGCTTATTTTACCCAGCCTCTATTTAAGATGGAGTTGCTTTGGTTCCAACGCCTCTGACGGGCCCACAAGGAAAGGCTGATGAAGGTCATGCTGAGAGGTGACAGCATGCTGGCAGTCCTCACAGCCCTTGCTCGCTCTCTGTGCCTCCTCTGCCTGGGCTCCCACTTTGGCGGCACTTGAGGAGCCCTTCGGCCCACCGCTGCACTGTGGGAGCCCCTTTCTGGACTGGCCAAGGCTGGAGCCCAGTCTCTCAGCTTGCAGGGAGGTGTGGAGGGAGAGGCACCAGCGGGAACCGGGGCTGCGTGCAGCATTTGCGGGCCAGTTGGAGTTCCCAGCGGGTGTGGGCTTGGCGGGCCCCGCACTCGGAGCAGCCGGCCAGCCCTGCTGGCCCCGGGGCAATGAGGGACTTAGCACCAGGGCCAGTGGCTGCGGAGGGTGTACTGGGTCCTCCAGCAGTGCCAGCCCACCGGTGCTGTGCTCGATTTCTCACCAAGCCTTAGCTGCCTTCCTGCGGGGCAGGTCTCGGGACCTGCAGCGCGCCATGCCTGAGCCTCCCACCCCCTCCATGGGCTCCTGTGCAGCCGGAGCCTCCCCGACGAGCACCACCCCCTGCTCCAAGGAGCCCAGTCCCATCGACCACCCAAGGGCTGAGGAATGCGAGTGCACAGCGCGGGACTGGCAGGCAGCTCCACCTGCAGCCCTGGTGCGGGATCCACTAGGTGAAGCCAGCTGGGCTCCTGAGTCTGGTGGGGACATGGAGAGTCTTTATATCTAGCTCAGGGATTGTAAACACACCAATCAGCACCTTGTGTCTAGCTCAGGGTTTGTGAGTGCACCAATCGACACTCTGTATCTAGCTGCTCTGGTGGGGCCGTGGAGAACCTTTATGTCTAGCTCAGGGATTGTAAATACACCAATCAGCACCCTGTGTTTAGCTCAAGGTTTGTGAGTGCACCAATCGACACTCTGTATCTAGCTGCTCTGGTGGGGCCTTGGAGAACCTGTGTGTCGAAACTCTGTATCTAACTAATCTGATGGGGACGTGGAGAACCTTTGTATCTAGCTCAGGGATTGTAAACGCAACAATCTCATTTTAGATCTTTGAGGAATGCCAGCTTCATATGAATTATATACATCCCAGAGAGAATATCATAATGTATATTCCATTATTGAAAAAAATGACCACTGTACTATTTTTCATTTAAAAACAATTAGAAAGATAAACATAAATAATGTAATAATTTCCAAAAATTTTCACATCAGTAGTTCTTATAGTTAATATTCACCACTGTAATTTGTGTGACAAGGTTCGTCACAGGAACAAGATTTTTGTTTTTGTTTTTTAATCAATTATTAATATTTTTGTGTTTTTTTTTAGTCTTAGTCTAACAAGCTTCTCATAGATGAAAATTATAAACCAATAGGGTTGGAAGAGTAATATTTATTCTACTTGCTAGGGCTATTAATTATTTTCTTAGTGTTTAACTGTGAATACTTATGTTTACTAAAATAAGTATGTTTTTATACATACACCAAAAACAAATGTTTGAGGCAAAACTGATCTCTGTTCTCAGATAGCAGGTTAATGGGTGCTCTTGGTGAGCTGTGGTGACTGGGGGCATAAAGAAGAAAGCTTCCAAGTTGCTAGGCATGTCTTGTTTCTTGACTTGCTGCTGGTTATATAAATTCAGTTTGAAAAAATTCATCAAGAATACTACTGGTATGTTGAGATATATAATGATATGTGACTTTTCTGTATTTACATTAAACTTCAATTTAAAGGTTTTAAAAAATCCACAAATGTTGGAAACCGTTCTTTAAAAAGTTATTTTGTAAATGATAATTTTGATGTATTTTTAAGAAAACTATGGGGCTCAGTGAAATGGAGATCTACAGCTCTTTTGGCACATAGTACTCCATAATTCACTCAAGTTTTAAATATTATTGGTTTCTAAATATAAATAGAGCATCTTCACGACTTGATTTAATTTTCCCAAATTTATTTATTTGACCCCAGACCTTGCTGACCTCTAATCGTCTCATTTTCAAAATGAAATCAATAGATCTATAACTGGAATGATTTTAGGGTATTAAAATTATGTTTCAAAGTCTTTAATGAGAAGTGATTGATAGTAGCTGCAATTTCCCCATAGTACTGATAGGCCCCGCAGAGGGAGCCCACGCTCATACTGTCTCCAGTTGAGGGATTGAGTTCCTCCTATTATCATGGTATCTATGCTACTCCCAGAGTGTCTCCAGTGTAGACTTCTCTTCTGAGATCCAAAGCCCTATGTCTAATTGCCTCCCTGATCATTGTACTTGAATATCTAACAGCTAAAGAAAGATGAGACCTGATATTCCAATCTTGTCCTGCCAAAGCCCTACAAACCTATTCTTTTCTTCCTAATTTCAGCAGGCAAGGCTGACATCCAACCAGTACTAATTCTGGATGCCTCTTGCCATTCCTTTCCTATCTCTCACCGCTCACGTCACCACATCCTGTGTATTCACCAGGCAGTGGATTCCCTCTCCTCTTTCATCGGAACACATTACCTTCTTTTCATTCCTTGAACACTCCAAGCTCTTTATTACCTTAGGACTTTCAGGTACAAAAGTATCCCTGGAAGTATTTTTTTTTCCCATTCTCTGCACAGTTGAGTTGTTCTCATTTGTAAGTCAGGAAGTATTTTTAAAGAGGTATTTTAGTCTACCAAGGAAAAAGCTCATTCACCTTTTTTCCTCTAACATCATTTTTCTTTCTCATAACAGTCTGTTATTTTTCCCCATAGCAATTAGCACAATTAAATTATAAATATATTTGTTTACTTGCCAGGCCACATAATCACACAAGTCAATGCATGAGCCATTTCCTTAAAATAATATATATACTCCATATTTGTATTTTGTGGAATATATATTATACATGTGATATATATTTAGTTATGTGAATCAATTATATACATAATTATTATTATATTCGTTCTGTTTCTCTAGAAGCTAATCCTTGACTAATTCAATTAACATGTTCAGAAATTGGCTGATTTTGAGTTTCAAGTGGGGAACCAAGGCTTTTACTCAGACTGTAAAAGCTGTGGAGAGACTCTTCCGTTCCTTGAGACGGGAAAGACAAGAATCCTATTTTGGCTGAAAGAAAGTGAACATTGTGCCAGTGTTCACTTTCTTTTGTGTTCACTGGTGTTTCGTGTTCATTTCAGTGTTCACTGGTTCACAGTGAAATGAACCAGCCTTGGAGCCTGTTAAGAGTTCACAAAACGTTGTTCACAGTCCAACAACTCATTGGAAGAGCAATGCACTGGCTTAATTCTGGAAAGAGGCCATGTGAAACAGGCTCGGTGAATGAGAACAAGGGTAAAGCTAAACCTGTGGGCCTGGACTCAAAGCACGCTCCATGTGCTCTGTGTGCTTGTATGTGCTTTCATATAGTCTCGCCCTGAACACTGATTCCTTTGACAAAAGCGAAAATGAATTTAAGTCCGGGCGTGGTGGCTCACGCCTGTAATCCCAGCACTTTGGGAGGCCAAGGCAGGTGGATCATGAGGTCAGGAGTTCGAGACCAACCTGACCAACATAGTGACATCCTGTCTCTACTAAAAATACAAAAAATTGGCCAGGCGTGGTGGTGGGCACCTGTAATCCCAGCTACTGAGGAGGCTGAGACAGGAGTATCACTTGAACCTGGGAGGTGGAGGTTGCAGTGAGCTGAGATTGCACCATTCCACTCCAGCCTGGGTGACAGAGCGAGACTCTGTCTCAAAAAAAAAAAAAAAAAGGAAAGAAAAGAAAATGAACTTAAAAATCCAGAGCACACACATATCAGGGGAGTAGCAATGGCACATCAAATTCAAACTGAATATTTTCTGTGATCTGACTATTAGAGTGCTGGGAATATTTAATAATTCTATTGATGAAATGGATTATAAAGATATAGTAGTACATATATATTGCATTATTTAAGGAGTTCTAACAATTTTATAGCCATTTTTGAAGTAATTAATATTCAGTTTTAGATGTAAGAAAAGGTGACAAAGAATTGCTAGCAGAGACTTTAGTCCCATGGGGAAAATCTTAAAGTGCCAATATTAAAATTTCATTTATATGTCATACCTTGTAATGCAAATGGCAAAGATGAATACTTTCATCTGACAAATAAAGATATAAAGCACTGAGAAGTTCCAGTTCCTTATCTAACGTAAACCAACTTTTCAGTGCAGAAGCTGAGGGAAAAAGGACACAGTTTTTTCCTGCAAGTGGTGTTGGCATTCCCCGTGCTGAATTCCAGTTATGAGAACAGGAAGCAGTGACAGCAGCAGGCTGATGGAAATCTAGGAGCAGGGACTCTTTGAAGAGTGTTGGTCTTTGTCAGATTTCCTGAGCATATTGCTTTTTTTTTTCTTTTTTGAGACAGAGTCTCGCTCTGTCACCTAGGCTTGAGTGCAGTGGCGAGATCTCAGCTCACTGAAGCCTCCGCCACCTGGGTTCAAGCACTTCTCCTGCCTCAGCCTCCTGAGTAACTGGGACTACAGGCGTGTGCCACCACGCCTGGTTAATTTTTGTATTTTTTAGTAGAGATGGGATTTCATCATGTTGGCCAGGATGGTCTCGATCTCTTGAACTCATGATCTGCTCGCCTCAGCCTCCCAAAGTGCTGGGATTGCAGGCATGAGCCACCGTGCCCAGCCGCATATCGCTTTTATAGAAGTATTTCAACGAGTGAGCAGGAGGCTTCACACAGACAGACAATGTCTGTTCCACAACAATTCCATAATGCCTACGCAGATGAATTAGGCAATTGTCCCTTTTATTATTTGATTGGTCAAAGTCTAAGTTCCACTTGGACAATTATTTATTAGGAAGGACCAAAATGTCATCTCTACATCATTCTTTTGCAGGCACTAATTCCATTTATTCTATAGGAAAATAGATGTGCATCTTCGTTCTAATTCACAGTGGCAGTTAAAGGACCTACAAAAGTAAGAACCTACAAAAATAATCTAGGGTATATTAAATACATCAGACATTTCATCTAATTTGACTCCTTTTCTTTTGTTTTCTAGACAAGGTCTCCAGATTTGCCACCCATGCTGAGTGCCGTGGTGTGATCATGGCTTATTTCAACCTCAACCTCCCCCACTCAAGCGATCCTCCTGCCTCAGCCTCTGGAGTAGCTGGGACTACAGGCACGCACCACCACACCCAGCCATAATTTGCCTCTTGCTGTAACTAAAAGGTCACAAAAACAAAGAATTCTAAAAAATCTTCTTCTTAAGTGGTATGTTTAGTATTTATCATGATGACAATGTTCTAAATTGCACCTGCCTCCACTAGCAGAATGCCAGGATTACTGCCAGACAGAGAATTCGGACTGCTGGTCCAGGGACATAGCTATGAAATGCACCAAGGACAGCAGAGTGTGTTTTGGAGAAAGCCAGGTAGCTCTTGATAGGGCCTATATGAGTACTTATTCCTGCTGATAGGAAAAAAATGATTAGAAAAATCTCATTTCTTTATTCATTTCTACTCTGAGAGCTTTTTACTTCTAGAAACACGGTCTTAGTTTTCTGTGTTATTATGTTTTTTTTTTGAAACTGACAAAATTTCACAATTAATTTATGTTCATTCAAATGTTTAATAATTATACCTTGAATTTGTCTTATAATTAGTATTTTCTTGTTATTTCCAACAAGAGAAAGTGTGCAGGAAAAGGGACTAGATCAGGTTGAGAGAGCCAGGGGTGTTCAGTCAAGCAGGCAGAACTCAGGACACTGAACGGGGTGAGTATGAGGCAGCCAGAGTCCCCAGACCCGCAGAGGAGGGTCCAAAGGACAGCTTTTCATGATCCAGGAAGGAAATCTCCTTCAATAACGTCTCTCCTTCAAGAAGCTGGGGGTGTCGCTGGGATTTAACGTAGAGATTCCAGTCTTAGATTGAGGGAAGGAAGGGAGGCAAAAGGAAGGAAGCCTCGCATCCTCATGCGAAGAAGCCAGCTTGTAGAAATGAAGCTCAAAATGATCCCTACAGCACAAGCAGTCCAGGGCATGTGGACTCCTGCTGGGTTGGGGCCAGGACAGGAGAAGAAAGTTTGATACAGGCCTGAGGCTCGGGAGCCCTGCACTGGCTGTGCGTCTCTACAACCATCCCAGAGTCGGCCCAGGTACCAGGTCTTCTGGCTCAGATAAAGATCACACATGACTCGCCTGAAAACTTGAGGCAGAGGTGTGCCATTGTCACAAAAGGCGCTGTCAGGGTGGAGGCTCAGGGAATGATAGAGGAGCTCTTGAATCACCCTGGAGAAATTTTACCTCGGTCAGACAGCTACAGAGCCGACTTAATATTTTTATTTAAAATCTAGATTATTTGGGGGCTGGTTTGGAAATGGGGGAGATCTGTGAGTCCAGGCATGGTAGCAGGAAGAGAAGAGGCTTCCTTGTAACCCTACTGACTCTTCCTCTCACTTGTCCCAAAAGCACAGGGTGAGAGACAAGAACATTGGTACAGTGCGTTCAGGAAACTTTTCAACTTTTTATGTGTAGTGTACCAAAATATTTTTTCACACATGCAAAGACAGTGGTCAGGGGCTATTCTGGCTTGTTAGAAAAAAGGATGTGACGTTTTCCAGTCCCTGGGTGGGTCTCAGTTCTCTTAGAGGCTCTGCCTCTCACTCACACCTCTGCTAGAGGAATGCGAGGAAGCTCTGACAAGATTGTGATCTGGGGACACGTTTGCCACCTCAGCGCCAAGGCTGACGTGGGGACATGGGCTACTCAGTGAACGCACTTTACCCAGGATACCAAGGGCACTTAATGATACCGACAGTTCTGTTTACATCCTTCTCCACTGCCTCCAGCATCATTCAAGGCGTAATCTCTTGGAAAAGTTTGATTAGAATGAATTCTAGTTTGGCGTAGGTTATTATGCACCTAAATTGGCTAAACTTAGCTTCATATATCAAACATAAGATATACATCTCTAGAGATGCGTCTGTGGAGACCTCCATAGGCACCAGTATATATTATTCTAAGTTTTACCTCTTTTCTTGTGGATTACTAACTTTGTGGTTCTCCCTTGATTAGGTTTATATGCAATTTTCTTAGAAAATGTCAACTCCAATTCTGCAACATACTGAGCCCCTTTATTGGAAACTTCAAAGTTCCTAGTCCAATCCTAATTCTAGATCTTACTTCATATGTTGCTTTTATCTTCTCTTGGGTAATGGGTCATTTCAAGGGTGATTTTTTTGACTTTATCTTATTGGGGATATAAGTGCAGATAAAGGAGATACAGACGAGCATTTAATTTTTTTTTTCAGTGCAGTGATTATGGAGTCAGGGTAGTATTTCTGCTGTGTATGGTAAACTCCATAGGATCTCATTTATTCATGGTTAAAGGCTTTCCTGGGGAAACCAGTATGCTAACTTCAGGCAGATAATAAAACCTGAGGTATATGGAGAGTGTCTACTTTGACACATTCAGGGCTAGCCCTCTCCTGCTGGTGCAGTTCAATGTGAATTTAGTCATTTGTGGTCACTTAACAGCAAAGAGATCTTTCTACAGAGTCTAGCTGTGCTGATTATCAAACTGGGGAAAATTGATGGCCATTTGTTATGGCTAATAACACAGGTGCCGGTCAACTTTATAAAAATGTAGAAAAGTATTTGCGGTGAAAATTATCCTAACCATTGTGGAAAAATGCCCATCCCACTTCAATTCATAGCTGAATACATATAGGAACTACAGTTCTCAGACCTGCAGTGAGTTCTGACCAATGGAATTCAGTGGGATGATAGATGCTGCCTTTGAAGCCACCCCATCAACTGGCTCATCTCCTCCTGTCTCAGCTCTTTCTCCTGCTGCATCCTGATGCAGGACCACTGCACAACCTCACAAACCTTATGTGGAAAGTAGTGGAGCCACCAGATGTTATGGGTATCCTTTAATGGAGAACTTTACACTACTTTGAAATGACAGTTTTATACTTTTCATAAGAAAGAAATAAACTTCCATTGTACTAAGCCACTGTGTTTTGGGCTTTGTTGGTTAAATGGTGAGCAATATCCTAACGATTGCACTGAAACACCACTTCTCCACCATGGGAGCAATGGAACTTAGAATTGTAGAGTGAACAAGGTGGATGACAAGGAAAATAATGGGAGCAGGCATTTTATATATACAATTATGGAAAGCACACCAGAGTCTTCTTTCTTTTAATGTAGCTGCTATGCTCCTCGGATCTTCCAGTTAGAAATGTGTTCTAGGAGATACTCAGAACTGATCTTCGAGGTAGATTGACTCTAGGTGGGTTAAGGTCTGTGACTACTGTGTTCACTCAGCATGCTGGGGCTCTGAGGCAGAATTAAATAAAAATAATCACCATTACTCCTAGATGGCATGTCTAATGTGCCTAAATTTAGGATAAATGGCTAACTGTACATACACACACACACACACACACACACACACACACACACACAGAGGCACACTTATGTAGCATGTCAGTTATATAATACAAGATATTTCACTAACCAGAAAATAAACAAAAGAAGCCAAAATGTGACTCATTCCTGGTGGTTCCCGGGATGGCTTTATAGTTATGACCCAGACTGGGTAACCTGTTGTCAGCAATCAGAATGTGGTATTAATTAGAAGTACTAAGCTGAGGGATTACCAGCCCCCGGGCCAGAAGCAGAATCTATAATATTTAAACAACAATATGTGAGTAGTGTAAGTATTAGCTCAAAAATCATTTGTTTTTAGAAAAAGGAAATTAGGAATTGCCTGCCTGTGTTACAATTTTAATGTCGTGATTCCTTTTGTCCAGCTGATGCTGTGTCTGCTGATGTGGCAGCACCTTGCCTGGGCTGTTGTGATGGCTCATTCGTTCCTCAGCAGTTTCAAAGTGGCTAATGAAATTCAGGCAACCTCCCCTCAGAGTTTCTTGGTCCACCAGTTCTTCTAGTTTTTGTTGTTTTGTTTTATTTTGATTTGCTTTTACATTTCCTTACATTTATTATGGATGAATAGCAATTAAGATCTTCAAGGACAGAGTGGGAAAAATAAAATTTATTGTTTTCTAATGTTCAAGGATTTTAAATAAATTGTTTTGGGAGCTGTAGAATAAGAATTTTAATAACCCTATGGTCGTTGTTATAATGCTAAAGATAATTTAAACTTGTACAATAGATACATATTTGGTACTTTCTAATACATTATTACTGTATCATCCATCATAGATTGATTTCTAGTGTAAATAGAATGTAATTCTGTTTAGGTATGGAACAAATTACTTCCGCCATAATGGTATAAATAATTGTGAGAGAAATTGATTTATAAGAAAGAAGTGTGATCCTAGAATCCAAATATATTAGTGCAAGAATTTACAGGTATTCTAAAATAGTTTCTTTACCCTATAGGTGAAATCTCAAATCTGGTTTCAGATTCCTCAGCAATGTTTCTTGATCTTATCTATCCAAAAATACATCATTAGTTACCAGTACTTCTTTTGCATTCTAGTCCATTATTCTCACGGAGCATTTCAGGACTATTTTCAAATTTTAATTTAACTTTCTTCCACCAACCATAAAATATCCTTACTGCTATCTCAATCAATTAATCTTCCTAGCCCCTTCTTATCTCTATTTATTTTTATAAAACATGTATAGCTGCAACCACACAAATACAACAACAAAAAATGCGGACATTTATTTTAGCAAAATTTACATATAAATATTGTTAACATAAAATGTGATTTAGACAGAAAAAGACCACCCAATTTTTTATTTGATCCTATTGGCATTATGGATTAGGATTTATAGTGAAATTTATGCTGAATGAAAATGATTTAAGTTCTGAAAATGTCACATGAAAAAATAATAACCTATTCATTGAACATGAGTAGGTACTATTGTATATGCATATGTATACGTATACGTATACGTATATGTATATAAGCCTGTGTGAATATTTGTAGCAACTTGGTTCATAATTACTAAAAAATAAGATATCCTCCTTACCTTTTTAATATCTGTAGGACATGTAGTTATAGTTTCTTTTTCAATCCTGATATTGGTAATTTGTGTTTTCTCCTTTTCTTTTTCTTGTTCTGCCTCACTAAAATTATTGGTTTAATTAATTTTTAAGAAAATCACTTTTAGCTTTTTTTTCTTTTTATGTTTAACAGCTTTATTGAGATATAATTCATATACCATAAAGCTCACCCACTGTAAGTCTACCACTTGTCTTAGTCCACTTGGGCTGCTATAACAACAATTCCAGAAACTGGCTGGTTTGTAAAGAACATAAATTTATTTATTACAGTTCTAGAAGCTGGGAAGTTCAAGACGGAATGAATTAACAGCCTGTCATATACCCATACAATGGAATACTTAGTATTCAAAAAGAAAAAGAAAAATACTATCAATTTACACAACAATTTGAATGAATTTTAAATGCATTTTGTTAGGTGAAACAATCTAAACCCAGAAGGCCACATATAGCATGATTTCATTTGTATGACAATAAGAAAAAAATCAAAATGATAGAGGCAGAATATAATTCAGCGGTTAGTGAGAATAAAGGGATTAATTCTAAAGAAAATGTTTATAATAAAAACACTGTTCTGTATGATATAATGGTGCTTGATAAAAACTACATTTGTTTGTCAAAACCAATAGAAATGTACATTATACATTTTACTGTGTACAATTTTTTAAAAAGCAGGATGTCAGTGGATCCAAGAATAAAATGTACTCTGCAAAAAATTAGCCTAAATGCATTAAATATGTCACTTAAGAGGGCGTAGAGAAAGGAAGTGACCTAAATTCCTTTGGAAAACAGTATCTCCAGTGAACACCAGGAAGCTAAGAATAAAAGAAACTGTACAAAAACATTGTACCCTAGTTGGCAAACTTTCTTCTTACAGGGATATATGTTGCCAATTCTGAAACTATTTTACACATATACTAGAGTTGAAGAAATAAGGAAATAAATCATAAATAACAGGGGCTAGGATTCTCACTTTCAGAAGAAGAAGTTACTCATAAACATCATGGACAAATAAAATCAATCCTATGGTGCTGAATTAGCTTTGGAAGTATCAGTATAAGCTCATTTATCTTAATGTATATTTAGATAACACACAAATAAATACAAATATGAATGTATACCTGGGCTGCTATACATACCTGTATCTCTTAGCTCTGTTTGCCAAGAGTGCCTAGAAGCAGTGAGCCCCCAGCAGCAATGAACACGCCTAGTGCCCGGATTTTGGTTTCTAAATGCCACCCTCCAATTAAAAGAAACAGAAATTTTGGAAGAAGAGCTGATTTTAGAGTTGGGATGATAAATACACGATGAGCTTGTAGTATCTTGTTATGTCAGAAAGTAAGATGTGCTTTGTTTCTACCAAAGAAAGAAAGAAAGAAAAAAGATAGAGGCATTTCTAAAGGACACAGAAGATAACCTAAAAAAATCCCTCAATGTACAAATCTAGAATTTGAATTTGAATAATAATAATAATGGTATTGTTGTAGAGATCTCAAAGAATGAAATATTCATTTCAAAGAATGAAAGTTCATATTGCTGTAAATAAGTGATTAAATAAATATATTGGCAAAAGACACAATTCTTTACAGGAAAATTCAAATAAAATATGAAAATAACTTCCTTCCAAACACCATGAGGTGTAGCTTAATTCCTCTTTCCTGGAGTGTGAGTTTGACTTAGTGATTCTCTTTTCAAGGACATAGTCTGGAAAGTTAGGATAGTAACTTTATGCCAGACAATGCCTTAATCAAGTGACCAAGGTGAATGCTGTGTGATAAGTCATGCTGTGTTGGTGTCACATATTCTCACATTTTATGTGATAGAGACACTTCATCTCTATGATGCTCTGAAAAACAACCTATAGCTCCAATATAGCCATGATAAAACTTCAGAGACTCAAACTGAGGGACATTCTACAAAATGCCTGAACCATACTCTTCAAAATTCTCAAGGTTATGTAAACAGGAAGATTGAGAAATTTTCACAGACTGGAAACTAAGGAGACATGACGATTGAATTCAATGCAGTCTCTTAAGTCAGATCCTGGAGAAATAAAAGGATATTAATCGGGAAGCTCATAAAATCTAAAGATGCTGTTTAGGTAATAGTATTATGCCAATGGTAATTTTTTAATTTTGCATTAATTTAATAATTTTGGATTACAGTTGTGTAAAATGTTAACATTAGGGGAAGCTAAGGGAACGTCCCTGGGAACTCTTCATACTATCTTTGCAATTCTTCAGTGAATCTAGCATTATTCAAAAATTTTTTAAAAGTTTAAAATGTCTGAAAAGTATATTTCTTATATATCAAGTACAACATGTTTATAATTTGAGAAACTTTAAATATATGTCATGGAAATGACCTGAGATGATTATCACCCTGCATGTTCAGGGCTTCAATGTGAGTTTAGTTTATGCATTAAGTCCTCTAAAGAAAGCAACTATAAATATTAATCAGAACTCTTCTCTGACCTATATCATAATTTAATATAACATTCTACATTTAGAAGGGAACTTAAATAAAATCTTTTCAAATTCCTTATACAATATTGTAAAGATCTCTTTCAATGCTTACAGACACAGGCATGTGTCATTATCCAACACTCGGTTCAGAAAATCTTTTTATTGAGCTAACACAAATATGAATTTCATTTTTATCCACTATGTCACTCTAAGCTTCTTATTTTGACAGAAAATAAATCAATTAAATAGCTGTAGCACTTGTATGTGCACATCACAAGGGTAAATAATCCCAAGCATTTTTTGTTTGTTTCAAGAACCCTTGTCACTCTTTAAACTGCATTTAAAAATCTTTATGTATTCCTCACAGTGTCTTACAATTGGAACGAAATGTATTATACCCATTGTTGTTTGATTGATCAAGATTTAAGAGGAACCAGAGAGCTCTTATCTACATATTTTCATTCTGTACCATAACCTAAATTACCATAAGCTCATCACACTATTGAAAAATATTGATGTTGTATACTCAAATTACTTCCACCTATATTTCCTATAAGTATTTTGATCCCACACTTTTGAATTAGTTTTTCCTAGAATGAATAAAGCTTTTTAGTTATTGTCATTATACGATTCATCTTATTGTTTTGCCTTTCAAAATTATTTTGAATAATTATATTCCATTTGTTTCATAATCTTAAAGATAGAATGTTATCAATGCCCTCAGCTGAATCATAGATAATAATAACTGTGGGTGAAGGACAGAATTACAAAATACAACTTGTGCGATTCTCCTCCATGTTAAAGTCTACTGTCTTGGAATTTACTAAGAATGAACCAGTCTAACAGTGTATGTAGCATACATGCTTCCATTTTTTTCATTAACTTAAGAGAAATAGTATTCAATCCTTTGGTGAAATTCGATGTCTACCAAATGTGTGTCTGTCTAGTACTGATTACAAGATTATAAAAATATAAGTTAAATGTACTCTGTGTTAGAGAATAGATGTTTGTCCCTAGTGATGGAAAGTGCTTGTGTGTGTGTGTGTGTGTGTGTGTGTGTGTGTGTGTGAATATATTTTAATAACCAAAGCTAGATATTGGGCATGATTACATCAGAGTGACTGGTATAGATCTATAGAATCTATGCAATCTACCTTCTGTCTTTCCAAAGATATAACAACTAATTTTGTCCTTTTTAGACTAAAACTTTATTTCACATAATCTATTATTTTTCAAGATCATTGACATTGTTTTAGAAATATATTTTTGTGTCATTATTTTCTTATAAACTTTATAAAACACACTGAAGAGTCTTAGATTATTTTCAAAATGAACATATAGGCATCTTAAAGACAATAAAATTTATAAATATTGATGTATAGAAATTAGATTATATGGATATATCTGTTATATACAATTATTATGTCTGTTATATACAGATTATTGTTATGATCTGAGTTGTCTTGCCAAAGTTTATATGTTGAAGACCTAAACCTTGGTATCTCTCAATGAAACTGTATTTGGACATAAGATGTTTAAAGACATAGGTAAGTTAAAATGGAGTCATTAAATGGGGTTAAAATGGGGCCCTAATCCAATATGACTTTTAACAAGAGAAGATTAGCACATACACACACACAGAGGGAAGATCATATGAAGATACAGAAAGATGATTCCCATGTTCAAGCAAAGGACAGAGGCCTCTGCTTGAATAATCATCATCATCATCTCAGAGTTCTAGCCTCTGGAATTGTGAGAAAACTAATTTCTTTTGTTAAAGCCACACAATCTGTTGTTTGGGCATAGCTTTGTTATGGCCAGCCCTAGTAAACTCATAAATATATAACTAAAGATTATTTAGTTCTCATTTTACAAAGATGGCAATTTTTTTTCAACTTTTATTTTAGGTTCGGGGTACATGTGCAAGGTTCGTTACATGGGCATATTGTGTCTCACTGAGGTTTGGTGTACAAATGATCCTGCCACCCAGGTAGTGAGGATAGTAACTGATAGGCAGTTTTTCAACCATCCCCTCCTCCATGTGAGTGTTTCCCAGCAGCTATCATTTCCATCTTGTTGCCCATGAGTACTCAATGTTTAGCTCCCACTTACAATTGAGAACATGCAGTATTCGGTTTTCTGTTCCTACTTAAATTCACTTGGGATAATACACTCTAGCTGCATCCATGTTGTGCAAATACATGATCTTGTTCTTTTTTATGGCTGCATAATATTTCATGGTGTATATGTACTACATTTTCTTTATCCAGTCCACTGTTAATGGGCATCTAGGTTTATTTCATGTCTTTACTACTGTGAATGTCTTTACTATTATGATGAACATATGCACACAGGTGTCTTTTTGGTAGAATGTTTTATTTTCCTTTGGGTGTATACCCAGTAATGGGATTGCTGAGTTGAATGGTAGTTCAGTTGTAAGTTCTTTGAGAAATCTCCAAACTATTTTCCGCAGTGGTTGAACTAATTTACATTCCCACCAACAGTGTGTAAGTATTCCCTTTTCTCCACAGCCTCATCAGCACCTGCTGATTTTTGACTTTTTAGTAATAGCCATTCTGACTGGGTGAGGATGGTATCTCATGGTGCTTTTGATTTCAAAGAAGGCAAAAGTTTTGCTGAGAATTACCATGCATATGTCGCATACACGTTTTAGTAAAATAGCAAGCACATATGCATACACATAATAGCCTATGGAGGCTGCTCAGACTACATCTAATACAAATTTTCAGTTTTGCTTCAATAAGGGTGAGATCACGAACCACCCAGTGATATCAGGAAAGAGCCCCTGCACTGCATCCAGCTGGGTCAGCACTCCTGCCCTGACCGCGTTCAGTTTGCGCCAGTGGCTCCCTGCTGGAGGTCCCTATTACTAATCAGAGGCATGAGCATTTGAAAGCACTTTCTCAATGTAGCTTTTAAAAATGGATTTTTTTATTGGCTTTATTTCCTACATATTTTGCAAAATGCTTGCTATATACTGTTTCCTCATTTTACGTGATGAAAGTAAGAGAATGATTTTCTTGTTTTCTCTAACCTCTGTATTTTGATTTTGTATTTAACTCTTCCTCATTTTCCCACCTTCATTCTCTGTCTTTATCAATGTTTTAATGCTGCAGTGGTGCGACGATTATTTAATATCACTTTTGTGGAATAATTTTGTGTTTGAAGTCATCAATATCAAGACATATCATTGTGACATCAATGGTCAGTCAAAGATTCCTAAGAACTTGACTACCCAACCTTGTGACAAATTTGACGACTTCTCCTTTTCAAATATTGCCTAATACTCATAAACATTTTGTTATTTTTTTATATCAAAGGTGGACGTAAAATAACAAGCATGTCTGCTATTTTCATTTACAGATTCTTTTCCTTGTAGATGAAAGAGATAGTTGGTTCCTCAGACTAGCATAAGGCTGTCTTCTGATCATTGGCAAATACTAAGCACCAACTTTTTATTACCCTGAGTCACCTTTGAATAGTATCTTGGCTATAATCATGAACTAGATGCTATTTCTACATAAAGCTAAAGTAAAAAACACTTATTTAAAAATCTATAGGTGATGTACTGCGGAGTGCATAATTGTTTAAAGCAGCATAGTAAAAAAGAGCTCTTTTATCTGCTAATGGGTAAAAAATGGGTTGGTGAAAGTTGCTCTAGCATCCCTGGAAACCAGTAGTTCTCAGTGCCAGAAACAATGCATTAACTTTTAACGTAAACTATTTTGGAGTCCTTTGAGAACTCTAAGAACTGCTATATAGCCGTTGGAGTATATATATATATATATATGGCAGTTCTTGGAGTTCTCAGAGAGAGAGAGAGAGAGAGAGAGTGTGTGTGTGTGTGTGTGTGTGTGTGTGTGTATGTGTATAGCGGTTCTTTGAGAGCTCAAATATATAGAGAGAATATATATATATATAAATAACAGTTGGAGTATATATATACTCACATATAATATATATATTCTATATAGAGAGAATTACATTATCATATGTAAGCATAAGCACATATTATATATAATTACATAAGTTATAGACATATATACATATAATTATATATTCTCTAAAGTTATATATTATAATATATAAAACTTTCATTAGAATCATTACTATAACTTACCTGAACAAATATGACATGTGTGACTGAAAATGGTTCACCTCCCTGGCAAATGTGGCACACATGATGGACAGCGGGAGAATAGAACTCCACTGTCTCTCAGCTGTGATCTATCCTGCCTCTTTGTAATCTTGACATTAACCTTAATTGCTAAATTGGGGGAAAAAACAAATGGCACTTCAGGTTATCCTCTCTTTGGGAGTCTTCCACCCAAAAAGGAGGCTTCAAATATCAATTGGCTGATATACTCTAATGGCTGCTATTTCCTAAGCAGATGCCACTGAATTTCATATAATTACCCTGACTCTACTATCCATAATGATTTTTAAGCCACTGATTTTGAGCTATCCATTTTGATTTTGATGGAAGTGAGCTCATCTTGAAAGGGATGTTGACAAGCAATAGAATAGGAGAGCTCTTTTATCCACATATACTAAATAAATCACTGGAGTTGAACTTGAGCTGAACTGTAACGAATGTTCACCTGATTCTGAAATGAGCTATATTGAATCATGATGCCACAGAATCACAACTTCTACAAGAATCTCAGCTCTCTGACGTCAGTGTGTTGTCCCGCAGCTCTAGGCACCTGCTGAGGTAGGCTTGGGAAAGAGGACTAGTGCAGAATCATGGACCCATTTCACCCACTACATGAAGCCATCCCAATGAGAATAACATTCCTGAAAGGAACCCTCTTGGATGTATCTGGGCCAGGCACTGGAATGATGTTTTGAATAATTATGAAAATGCAATTTTGTTTTTTTTCTAAAAGAGTTGTTTCTAATCCTTTTTTGTATTTAAGGTAGTAAACATAAAATTTATATCTGCGTTTTCTATTCTCTTAGATATTAAATTCATTGGTGGCAGAAACCATACTATTTCAAAGAAAAAGTGCCCCCCGAGGCAAGGCTTTTGTGGCGGAGGAGTTGTTGGGCATGGTAGTTGGGTTCTTCCTGCGAGCCACGGTTGCATGCTGAAATTTGTAGACAAAACTCAAATGTCTGTCAAGCATGCTCATAATTATATTTTAAGGTATAGTTCTGAGGTTTTCATATCACATTTTTAGGGCTGCCTATTAATCCTTCTGCTTCATAATTCTACTGAAACAGTTTGTATCTTATAATTTTAGTTTGAATAGTTAGACTTTAAAATTCTCTTTCTTTTAATTCTGCAACAAAAAAACCTTTTGCCATTGTGTAGAAAAATATAATCTAGTCAGGTGATAGCTGTATCAGTTTATAAATCTTAACAGAACACCCAGGAATACCATATTCAAAGAAAGGCCTCTGTATGTCTCCCTAGCATCACATTCTGTTTAAGTGAAGCAATGGACAAAACTTCCTTTCAACTCCCTGCAACATTAGTCCTGGCCACTCTGGGCCATTTGGAAGAACCTTCTTTTCTCCCCACTGATTAGTGCCTATTAGGGTTTTCTGGACAAGAGCAACTTTGTTTATACTACTCAAAATGTTGCCTTCGTACAAATCTCCACCCCTTTACCCAAGTCCCCAGCCTGCCCATGTGGCTTCACACAGAGGGCTGTCTCACCCTGCCCTGCTCTTCCCCACACCCACCTGGCTGCAAGAAAGACATGGCCTCACCCTCAACTCCCTTTCCGAGTTCAGGCAGCCGAGTCCTTACGCTGTCCTGGTGCCTCCTCAGTGCTTTCTAAGAGCACAACTCGAAGACCCATCAAACTCATCAACATCAGGGCATTCCGGACAAAAAGATAAAACCTGTTGCAGGTTTTTTTCATTCTGGGTATTACAGTCTTATATAAAATTCAAGGTTAATGTTTGAAAATTTGTTTGAACCAAAACAAAAATAGAAAATTAAGAAAATAATTTTTAAATAGATATTCAGTTGTACTATTTTTTTCAGCTTTAAGAACCCAAGTATGGGCCCAATGAAAAGTAATTAACATAAGTTTGAGATGAGTTTTAGGGAAAAACATCCCCCCCCGCATTTAGGGAACATGTGCACTGACTGGGTATTTGGTTATGCTGAGGAATTATTGTTGTATTTTTAGAAATGATAATGATATAACAGCAATGTTCATCAAAAAGAATCTATCTTTTAGATACACATAATGTAATGCCTACAGAAAACTAGAATTACATGTGCAGAGTTGTAGAGTTCGCTGCAAAATAATCAAAGAATGGGAATAGGACCAGGACTTAGACAAAACCAAACAGAACAATATTGGTTAAATTTTTCTAAATGTAAATAGATTTTTAAAATTTCAAAATTTCTCTTAAATATGACCAGCCAAAGAGAATATTAGAAGGAAAAATTATAGGCTTATTTCATGGATGAACTAAAACTTTTGTAATCTAATCGATTAAATATAATCTAATAGCAAACATTATTAATCAATGTGTAAAAAGCTTAATATGTCATCCATTATCTCTATTTTATGATTCTAGGTTTCTATTTGTTTCTAGGCATAAAATCCTCCCACCCCTTCTTCTATGTGATGATTTGACCTGAAGTTAACTTTCTAACTCTGCTCCCCGGTAAATTGATATAGTGGTATGTCAGATATGCAGCTAGGCCACATGACTCCTAGTCAATATCACCCTTGAGCAGTAGATTGAACCTGGACAGGGAGAACCATGATGGCAGCTGTCTCCCTGGGCCTCCCTGAGGGCAGTGACTCTTGGAACTGGCTGATCCCTTCTGGGAACACTGGTAATTATACCTATGGACCTATAAGCCTGTGCACAAGAGCTACTGGCACTTTGGGGAATGAAAGTTTTAGTCAAGGTGACTCCTACATCTCTTTTCCCCATCTGAATCCCATTTTCTTGGCCCTAAACTGTACTGCTCTGTGTACTGTGCAAGGTCTACTCATAACAACTATGGCTTCTATTTTATTTGACTTAAGAAAACAGAGCATGTTGGACTTATAAATTATATGTATGCATTTTTTTTTTTTTTTTTGCGAATGCAGTGCCTCACTACCACAAATTATGCAGTCAAGTCTCCCATATTTGGGGACATCGCAGGGGTCAGCATGTCCAGAGTGCAATGGATAAGCCTTGCCCTGGGAAAACCACCTTCGTGATCATGGTTATCTCCCCTGCCAGGTAAGTATGCTTCACCATTTTCTTAATTTAGGAAAAATATTGTTCTACCATGATGTTTATTCTTGAACTTTTTAAGTAAATTTCATAAAATATCTTATATTGTACCTTTGAATGAATGAATTTCCAAAATAGTTCTTTTATTTCATAAATCAGATAAAAAATCTTTGAACTAATTTTGAAATTAACTGAGCTTATTTTCTGTTTGAAGCAACTGATGACACTAATTTACACCTGGCAGCATTTAACTATTAGCGAAAGTTTTCTCTTATAACAGAATGAAGATAACACCGAAAGTGACAATGTCAAGTCAGACCCATAGGACTCAGAGATTTTACTCAATAGCAACATTTACTAATTCAAGGGAAAAGATAACTGTAAGACACAGGTGAAGCTCTGTGACCCACTCAGGTCCTCACTTTGCTTCTTGACTGTGTGCCAGAAATAAGAGTCTCTCTGTGAGCTCTTGCCCTCAGCCTTTAACTGCTTGCCGATGGTCACCAGTTGCTGGTGGTGAGCTCCCTGCTGATGTCCTGTTTCTTTGTTAAGCATAGGAGATGACTTCAGGGTCATGAAAAATCTTTGCAGAAGGGATGAGTGCATTTAGGGAAATTGTGACCAGCTACTGACATCCACGAGTCTGGTTGCTCAAGGTGCTATCTGAGACTGAACAAACACAGACTTTTCCTCTTTCAGGAGTTCCCTGAAACTCCTCCAACTTACTCTCTAGCTGTACAAAAACTGTGTGCTGCTTCTTTCTGTTAAGATAGATTTGTGAGATCTTGCCCCATCCCACCATCTTCTTGCTTTGGCCAAATTGAATAAATCTTTTTTTCGAAGCACCTGTATGTCAGTGTGTTTGCATCAGCTGTACATTGGCGACACAAGCTTGAACTTGGGGTTTTACAACAACACCTGGATAGATTCTCCTGAGGACATTGAGTTTACAAATGCGTACCCTCTTTCCTGCAGCCCTCAGGGCTTGCAGAAGCAGCCCATTCTTCCCTGGTGAAAGCTGGGACTGCCTTCAAGCTGGAGGTCGTGGCTGCAGAGGCCTCTACCCGACAAAGCATTAGGTGTGCTCCTGGAGAATAGCCCACTTCTTCCCAAAGCTGACAGGACCATAGCTAGAAGTAACACCCAGCATCAGCCGACGCAGAGAATGACGGACTTGAAATTGACTGTACGTCAAAGGGGAAACTTAACTGCTACAGTGGACTTTAGAAGAGATGGCCACCATAGATTCACGTGGAAATGTTCCAGTTCCCTTGGAAAATGTTAGAAGAAATGCTGACAATTGAGAAATATGGGAATTCTGGAATGGGCATATTGCATAAGACCAGAAAACTCACCTAAATTTTGTGTTGTCTGGGAATGCCCAAAGGACACATTATTCACCAAGGCCATTCAGAATGCTTTGGAGAGGCAGGCACCGGAATTACTAACAAATTCGGTCATAACTGTCCTCTGCATGCCACAGCTGATAGTAAAAAAGGGAGTTACAGTTTTGGGCTCAAATATATATAAACACGCCCCAAAGCATTAGAGGCTAGGTGCAGCTCTTAACTGCTGGAATCCAGAAAGTGGCAATTACCACAGTGACCAGCAGGTCCTTTGCTTACTTTTTAATGCCATACATATATATGTGTGTGTGTGTGTATATATATATATATATATATATATATATATACACACACACACATATATATACGTGTATCACATGTATATACGTATATATACACGTATATACACGTATATATACGTGTATATATATATATATTTCTGTTGAGTGTTTTGGGTTCCTTGCACACTGGATATTAGTCCCTTGTCAGATAAATAGTTTGCAAATATTTTCTCCCACTCATGTTGTCTCTTCACTCTGTTAATTATTTCCTTTGCTGTGCAGAAGCTTTTTCATTTAATATAGTCCCAGCCAGGCACGGTGGCTCATGCCTCTAATCCCAGCACTTTGGGAGGCTGAGATGGGCGGATCACCTGAGGTCAGGAGTTCAAGACCAGCCTGAGCAACAAGGTGAAACCCCATCTCTACTAAAAATACAAAAATTAGCCTGTGTGTTGGCAGGCACCTGCAATCCCAGCTACTTGGGAGGCTGAGACGGGAGAATTGCTTGAACCTGGGAGGCAGTGGTTGCAGTGAGCTGAGATCACGCCATTGCTCTCCAGCCTGGACAATGGAGCGAGACTCCGTCTCAAAAAAAATAAATAAATAAATTTAAAAAATATATATATGTGTGTGTGTGTGTGTGTGTGTGTGTGTGTATAGTCCCATTTGTCCATTATAGATCAAGAAATTGTTTCTAGACACAGAAACATGGAGAAATCTTAGGAAAAAAATAGAGCTGAGTGAAAAAAGTTGGGAATAGAATATATAAAGGTCAATATTACTTACATAAATTTGGAATACATGTAAAAAGCAGTACATGTTTTATTGGAAAGGCTGAAATGAAATAGTAACCTCAAACACCTTAGGAGGTTTGCATGGTGAAGGAAAGGGATGCAGCTGAGAGAACAGAGGAAAAGGGAAAATGCAAATTAAGGAAATGGAGAGAAGTTCTTCATAGACAAGTGATGGGTGCTGCCTCTTCAGACTGAACGATGTGATCATTGATCCCGTGTTTTAAGATGGAAACAAAAGACAATTTGACTAAGTGGTGTGGTGAGGAGCTACTCGAGCTCATTAGCTAGCTTGAAATTCATAGTAAAATTCATGATGATATATCTTTCCACATCTGCCCAATTAGGGGAGAGGAAATAGTCTGACATTATCAAGTGGTGGTGAGTATGTGGTAAACTGACACTCACATACTCTGTTTTTAGTAAACGTAAATTTTATTTAATGGATACCTTTAATTTATTTTAACTTAATAAGAAATTTCATTTTGAAAACAGTTTTGAGTAGAACAATTTTCTAGTTTCACCAACAAAATGAACATGTGTTTTCAATAAATATTTTCAGAAATATGCATAATCTTAGTCATTTTAACATTCATTTTTACTCTCAAAATCTTCCCAATGGGAAGATAAAGTATGTCGTCAATTTTGCCTTGAGTTCTTAGGAAGGCATATGTGAGTTATTCGTCTCGGGTTTTTTTTTGTTTTCTTTTTTGTTTTTTTGTGGGGTTTTTTGGTGGTTATCAAGGCATTGAAGGCAAACTAGGAACACATAGGAAAAAGTTGCAAAGGAGTTTGCAATTTACCTCGTGTATTAGTCAGGCTTCTTCAGAGACTGGCTCACCTCATGAAGGCTGAAAAATCCAGAGGTCTACAGTAGCAAGCTGGAGACCCAAGAAAGCTAGTGGTGTAGTTCCAGTCTGAGTCCAAAAGCCTGAGAAATAAAAAGAGCTAAAGGTGTAAGTTCAGTCTGAGGGAAAGAAAAGACTGATGTCTGAGATCAGCATTCAGGCAGGCAAAGTTCTCTGTTATCCAGGCTTTCGTTCTAATCAAGCCTTCAATTGATTGGATGAGGCCCACACACTTTAGCTGCTGTGTCAAATTTATCTACTGATTCAAATGTTAATTTCCTCCAGAAACACCCTCTGAGACACACTCTATGTTTGACCAAATATCTGGGCACCCTGTGGACCAGTCAAGATGCCACATAAAATTAACCATTACAACGTCAAGTATTTGAAAACATACATATTTTATGACACAGAAAGTCTACTATTAGATTTATAACCTAGAATAACTCTCCCATATGTGCACCAAACATTTCAACTCCTCATCAACAGAAGAACAGATAACTACATTGAGATATTAACATACAATGGAATATTGTAGGCAGTGGAAATGAATAAGTAGATGACTTCAACCAGCATGGTTGAATCTCAAGTACTAAATACTGGGAGAGGAGTCACAATGCAAGGCATACAGAGTGTTTCCAAATTAAAAAAACGTATATAAAAACAGGAGAAATTTTCCACATAGAGAAAGGGAACAATAATATAAAGAGATTTATTAGCAAAGCCAGTTCAGGAACAAGATCACCATGGTGAGAAAGGGAGAAAGATGGCAGGAGTTAGGACAGGCTTAGGACCATGCATAGAGCAGAGGCATGAGATGTTTTTCAGCCTGAGGGACAGGAACAGGATGTTCTTTTATTATTCTTTAAAATATGCATCTGTTTTATGAGCCCTTATGAGCCTGTGCTACGTTATATAAAACTTTTACAAAATGGAATTTGGAATACCATGTTAGATTATTTGTGGGGCTTTTTAAGAATCAAAACTTGTTAAAATCTTCATGCAATACTGTTCTGCTTATCTTTAAGGAATTTTATATCTAAGTGCCACTACAAGCAGGCTATTTACTAACAAGAACAAAATTAAGGCTCAGTGTGGGCAGTGTCTGTTACTCAGTTCCATGATGAAAATCCCCAGGTAACTCTGATCTTGGCCTCTAATCTACAGGAGAAAAAATCTAGAATGGTGAGATTTTCAGTACTGCTTCCTCCAATGCAAACACCATGCACTGAAATTACATTACTCTTCCCATTCTAGCTACTTTAACATATGGTCTCCTTCCACATCTATGATGTTAAAACATGAAATCTCACACAGAAGAATGGGAATGGACCCTACATAACGTTCATCTAAGAGGCTAGAACAAGCTGTGGCCCACCAGTGACAAAATGGCAAAGATGCCTTGTTGTCAAAGAGAGAAAGAAGTCCTTTCACTTTGCCAATATTCTCAACTTCGCATAAACTATGTCTTAGCACAACGACTTTCTTAGTTATTTTAAGCGCCATTATTAGAGATTTATTAGGCATGGTGGGAGTGGTATCGATTAAAATGGAAACACATGTTTAGAAATGTAGACCTTTTTAAAACCAGAGGTCTTTTGAAAGACATGGAATAACATGTTATAATACATAAAAATATATATGTAAAACGGTTATATTCTGTATTTCCTACATTTTATTATACATTCTCTAGAATCTGTTGCAATAGAAATATATTGGCTAACCCTCTAGAATATATTTTATAAAAGCCATTTTAGGAAGATAAACACATCTGAGGCCACAGGATACATTTTAGAAATTCTAAGTAAGTGTAAATATAAAAGTCTATTATGGGCTTATCACCTGAACATTTAATCAAGAGAAAGAACAACTGCATGTTTACTTGGGAGTTCTAAATTATGTCCACTGATGTTTTGGCCCTTTTCCCATTGAGAGGCAGGGTCTAGGTTACTGGACCAATAGAACAAGGAAGTGACATTGACGTTTTCCAGTCCTGGCCCTGAAGACCTGGCAGCTTCCACTTTCACTCTAGGTATGCTTTTTTGACTCCCAGCCATCTTGCTAAGGGCAGCTCCATGTGCCTGGGAAGAGACCAGACCAGGATCCAGAGCTGTGTCTTTCCGGCTCCACATGTGCCTTTACTTCCTAGTCCTACTCTTTCTTCTGAGCTACAGTTCCTCTACTTGAATCAAAACTCAAAATGGCTAAAATTGGACTCATTAACTTGTTTTATTCTTTCCCTTGTAGGATCTAACATTGTGATCGACACCATCATCCAGCCCATCATTCAAATCTGAAACTTTGGAGAAGTAGTCAACAACTTCTCATTCAGTTTCACCATCCAATCAGTCATGGAATCCTGATGATCTTTAACTTCCTCCACCTGGCCCAAATATCTCCTTTCCTCTCTCTTCCAATTTTGTCTTTATTCTCATTGTTCTGTAATTACACAATTTTCCTACTGATTTCTAGAATGAAAAACTGCTGCATTCATTTCCATTATTAACATTCTTCCACGTTTGTGTGTCTTTTGGGATAACAACCAAGTATTCTCAGAACAGCACTATAAAGCAGTATAATGTCAAAGGGATCTGAGATCAAAGCTTTGTTCTAGATAACAGACGAGATTAGATCTTGGCACTGTTAACACGAACAGAGGCTGATGAAAGAGAAATAATCTGAGGAGGGTATAAGGTTGCAAAGAAGGAAAAACAATGCTAAAACGTTAAAGTATAAATAGCAGTACTAATAAAGCCTACGAGGTGGTGGCCTAGCTCCAGATAGTCTTTTGTTTAGCAGAATACTTTGATGGACCAGTTCTTTGAGGGAAATTATATCGCAGAGCCTAATCAAAAGATGAATAAAGATATTACTTTCCAGAAGCCAAGTTTTGAATAGCTGGCCTTTGAGGGTGAGTGATAAGCAGAGTAGAGAGGTTAAATGGTGAGGTGAATGCCAGGTGTGATCCTGGGAGATGATTCATGGACTCATCCTGCAGAACCTCGAGAACACAGCCCTGTGAATGTCCAGTAAAAGGTACATGGGGGCACGTGGATCTGGCAATATGATTTTTCCCTACACAGATTGACTTAGACCCTAAGAAGTATGTTGCAGTACCATTCAAGCAATAGTTTTAGCTCTTTCATTTATCAACCCCCAAAATAATGATCGGGCAGCTAAAGTGTGTACAGTTCTGTGCTGGAAGCTTTGAGAAATGCCCAAAACAATACGTTCATGGAATTTGTGGACTTGCTGACCAGGAGTTCTCTATAACTTTTGTTAAAACCAACAATCTATGTTTCTACGTATTTTCAGCCATTCCCATATTTGATTGACAATAGATATTATTACTAGATGGTCATGAGTTAGGTGTAACATAGAAGAAAAATGGATTTCCATGAATATGAGTGTATTTCATTAGTAAAAAATATTTATTAATGATAATATTAAAGTGACAAATATAGTTTTACTACATAAATTGCCTGTATATACAAGTAAAATACATGCATTAATACTTTTCAGTATATTGTTTGAAATATGCTTCCTTTGCACAAATGTTTTAATCAATTTGGTTAATTTGACAGGTCTCGAAATATCAAGGAATGGACAATTTAGTTGAAAATACCTTTAGAAATTCATAAAAACCAGCAAGATGCTTTTGCCTAGTGTGCCAGATTTTTCCAGTGCTGAATTTTAAAAGGTTGTTAAGGTTGCTGTTAGATGAAGTTTCCTCACACTATCTAAAAATAGATTATCTACATAGCCTCTTCAAGTTCCGAACATATTATTTTCCCCCAAGAACTTAGAGGACAATCAAATTCAAATAAAAATTTAAAAAGCACATCAAAAATCATCTTGTTCACTGATTCTCTTTGTTCCGAATAAAGGACATTCTTGTCTACTACTTTGGTAGGGATTTTGAGAATAGCCTCTGAAACACTTCTTTTCAGAGAGAAATACACACACACACACACACACACACACACACCCCAGTATACTCACCTGCCTTTTTGCAATATATCTTGTGTTTTGCTTATCCATAGAGCTTTTCATTTTAACATCTCTGAAATACAGATAAGACACACAGTCAAGGGTGCCTGGCAATCACTCTTGGCAGGGGTGCATTTTCCATATATGCTTAAAACTTCTGAGACCCATGACCCAGGCTGTCCTCTTCCACGCTGTACTCCTAGGTAGGAACTGAAAAAGCTATGTGGATAATAAGCAGGGCCAGCCCGGAAGGGTAGGCTGTCCTGTGCAAGAAGCCTGGCCTATGGGGAGCACTGCTTTGCATGGACCTCACCACACTCTGGGGCTCAGCCACAGAGGGGCAGTATACCTGTTTTTCCCTCTAATACATACAACACAGCCTATTGGAGCATTTCTGTACTAGCCCCAAATGTCAAAAAACATCCTTTAATCTCTTTAATCTCTGAGCTTAAATTTTGGTTTTACTTTAACTCTGTGATCTTGGCAAGTTACATAACCTTTTAGTCCAAATGATTGCTTATCTGTAGAATGGAAGTAGTCATCCACTGTATGGATTTTTGTAAGATTTTTGGTACAATGCAGATTAAAATTTTTGCATAGTGACTGGACCATAGTAGGGGATAATATAAGCCAACTATTGTTATCATTTTTGTTGTTAGTTACCACCATAAAATCTATTTTTAATAATTTCAAAAATTATATTGAACATTGTCTTTGATAACATCTGCTTTCAACACTTACGATATGTCTTCAAACTCACTAATCATAAAAGATTTAACATTCCAGAAGCCCATCGGCCAGATATATAAGTCTCTAAAATATACTTAAAATAATCTCCCCTCTAATGAGCCAAGTAAGAGTATTAGGAGTATTGTGATAAAGAATTGGCAAAAAGATTGATATCAAAGTGGAAGTTTTTATTTGACTGCTCAAATACAATGAAGGAATGATTTATTTCTTTGATGTAATATGAAAAGTGGCCAGAGCCCTTTGAGGACAATGAAGAACAATGACCTCACCGATGTACATGCAGCCTATTCCCCAGTAATTAGACAAATCATCCATTTTTGTTTACTTTGCCTCATATTTTGTGCTTTGACATCAGAACTTGTTCCATGTCCAAGTTTCCAGATTTTTTTTCAAACTTTCAAAACTGAACATTCAATATGTTTCTCCTGCGGTCTGTCCTAGCTGTCATAGAGCACTTTACTCATCACATCAGCTGAAGAAGATCACACCATTGATGAAAGCAATAATACAGCCAACATTGTGCCATAGAAATATTAATCTGACTTCTGCTTATTAGATATGCCAGAGGGCAGAAATAATGGAAACAAGTATATAAATTGGAATGCTATTTCAATAGTTTAGCTAATATATATTGGACTTGCTACCATAATGAATATGATTGTTGAGAGATGGGCACAGGTATAAGAACTGATCTCAGGAATAATAACTGATATTAATTGATTTGATGATGGAAAAGTATAAAATCTAGTAGTGAAGTTTGGAAAATGATACAGTTAATATAAAACACAATTTAAAATTGGGAACAGGTTTAATAGGTCTGGAACATTCTGGATTTATGTTCAAGTTAGCATAGAAACGAATAGGAAGTGATTAATATTGAGACTAGTGCTTGAAAGAGAGAACAAATATGTAAGTTACTGGTAAAGAATTTTCCACATAGAGAGTGGTTCAGAAAAAGTAGCACAGCATCAAAGAAAGAAGGTTGAAAACGTACTTTCTAAGACGTCTGGTGAAGGAGCTAAGAGGAATACTCAAAAAGTGACAGAAACCTGGCTGTCCCATGTCCCATGTCATGTAAATCAAAGAAAGGGCAGAGTTCAAAAGAAATATTCCAGCATTGGAGACTGTCATATAATGAAGATACAATGCAGTAAACTGAGGAATGGAAAAAGCCACTGGATGTATCTAATATGTTTACTACGGGTTTTCAAGAGAACAGTTTTTGTAGCCAGGATCGAGCAAAAGCCTGGTTGAAAGGACAAAAGGTGTAAAACTGGAGAAGGAGGTGGAAAATTAAAAGAATTTGAAAGAGTTACAAAAATGCCACCCTAAAATATGATGCTTTGCTCTGCTGATTACTTGGAACTGAGGGCACTTTGGAAACAGCAAACACAGGCAGTGCAGGCAGAGGCTTTCTCTGGGCTCTGCTCATCTGTCCAAAGACGGGTCCTCCCAAAGGAACTCAACTGTCATGAATACCCTCCCTCGGCATTCAACCAGGAAAGATTAAAGGATCACTGGAGAGAACATTAGAATTTCACCCCATGCCCATTCAATCATTTATTCCTCCTAAAGCTGCAGAGACTGAATCGGCATAACAGGACAATCTTTGTGCCCCATACCTTTCCTCCCTTCACCCTTCTATAACTTGTGTCACCACCACCCCCCAAGAACCCCACAATTCTATGCCTCTCAGCTCAGGATGCTATATAAGCTTCAATCATCTGACCATTCTTTGAGTCTCATATATTATGGGATTCTCATGTGTACATAATTAAAATATTTTCCGTATTAATCTGTCCCATGGCAATTTAATTTTAGTCCAGTCAAAGAACTTAGGAAGGTAGAAGGAAGCTGTTTTTTACTCCCATGCATACCTCCATAATAGTAAAAGTAATATATATTATAGAGCAAAATACAATAGAAAGAAATCCTGATAAAGAATAAAGTCCAGAATAAGAGCGAAAGTCATGTTTTACAAAAGGAAATACATGATAAAGTAAGATCTACAGAGGTTGGAGAGAATGCTGTTTAGTAAATACATTGTAGGTAACTTCTCAAAATAAAATCCTCAGATAAAAATGTAAAAATTAAATAATCAAATATACAATTTTTATCATTTAAATTAAATACAATTATTGATATAGTTACATTTAAACCCATCATCTTACTATATATTTATTTTCTATTTTTTCATTTTACTTCCATTGTCCCACATGTTCTGGGTTTTTAATTTTCTATTTTCTTCCTTCTTTTGATTAATTAATTGCTTTTTGTAATTCAGTTAAAATGTGCTGGCTTATTAGCTGCAACTCTTCACCATTTTAGCATTTGCTGTAGTGTCTAGAGCATACATCTTTAACTTTTCAGAGTCTACCACAGTCTTTCATGTTATATCCCAACAATTCCTATAGTATAAGAAACTTACAATTATGTACTTCCCATTTTTTAATCTACATTCTTTGTGCTATTTTTTCATGTATTATACTTTTACCCAACATACACACAATATATACACTTATATCTATATATATTTGTACATACATATACATTTAGATGTGCTATAAACGTTACAATATATTGTTATTAATTATACTTACATTCAATTTTATCTTAAAAATTTTAAATATGGCAAATTGTGTATATTTGCTCAGGTAGTTCATATTTCCAGTGTTTTGCATTGTTTTTTCTGTATTCTTATTTCAATTTTATACATTTTCCTTCTCTCTACAAGATTTTCTTTCATACTTCAGATATGCAAGTCCGTTTGTGACTAAGTCCTTCAAACACTTTGGCTAAAAAAGTACGTATTTCACTTTTAGTTTGGAAAGACATTTTTGCTAAGTATAAAACTTGAGGTTTATGGATTTTTTTTTCCTTTCAGTACATTAAAAATGCTTTTCTATTGTTTTCTCTCTTGTATTTTTAACAGTGAGAAATCAGGCATTATCTTTTATCATTACTCCATACATAGCAATAGCAGGTTTTATTTTTCCTGATAACATTTAATACTGTTTCTTTATCCCTGGTTTTGAGCAATTTGATTGTGATTTAAGTTGCTGTCATTTTCTTCATATTGCTTTTTCTTTGAGTTTATTCAGTGTCTGTGATCTGTGGATTTATAATTTTCATCAAATTTAGAAAATTGTCAGTAATCTTTTACAAATATTTTATGTATCAATTTTTTCCTTCATTTGGGGGGGCTCTCTTGATACAAATTGATCAAGTAATTACACTGCTTAATTTCTCACAGCCCTCTGTTGCCCTCTTTTTTATTTTTATTTTTATTTTTAACTTTGAGTTGTTTTGTTCTCCTTGTGTGTCATTTTGGATAGGTTCTATTGCTATATTTTTAACTTGATTAATTTTCTGCAATGTCTAATCTACTGTTAATACCAGAAGTGCATTATATTTTTAAAAATCTCAGACGTGATAATTTTCTTCTCTTTGTCTTCATTTGGGTCTTTTTATATGTCAGATAGTTCCACTTATCATTTTCAATATTTGCAACACAGTTATTTTAACTGTATTAACATCCTTCTGTGTTAATTTTAAAACCTATCCCAGTTTTCAGTTGTATTGATTAATTTTCATTATTCTTGTGAATAATAATTTTACTTTTTTGTATATCTGTTAACTTTTAGTTGAAAACAAGTTATGGTGAGGTTTACATTTCTATATGCTACATATATTTGCATTCAAATAATTTTTCCTATGGTTTGTAGTGGGATAAAGATACATTGCTTGAGAGCAGTTTGATTCTTTCAGGTTTTACTTTTATGACTTGTTAGATAAGTCCAGGATAGTTCTTGGCCAAGGGCTGGTCAAGTCCCATTTCTGGAGCAAGGCTTCCTGCATGCTATACCGCAGGCTCCATGACTGATGAAGTTTCCACCTGGCTGAAGAACGGTCACCTCTCAGATTTGGGGGCAGTTCTTTCTCTAGCCTCAGGTAGTCTTCTCACAAGCATGTGCTTATCAGAACTTTGCTAAATAATCACAAGTACCCTCTTTAGTTCTCTGGTGTTCTGTCCTTGAGCAGTTTGTTCTTCTCTGACACTGTGCCCAGCAAACCCGAACTGCATGGTTTTCCTAGCCTCTCAGCTCTAACTCCTCAACCTCAGGAGTCCACCAAGCTATGCATGGGCTCCCCAATGGTAATTTTAATTTTATGGGTCAACTCAACTAGACTATAGTGCCCAGTTGTTGGGTCAAAATCTAGTGTAGATATTCTTGTGAAAATATTCTGTAGATGTGATTAACATTTACAAACACTTGACTTCAAGCAAGGGAGATTACTGTTGATAATGTGGGTGGGCATCATCCAATCAGGTGAAGGACTGAAGATGAAAATTGAAGTTTTCAAAGAAGGAATTCTGCCTCAAGGCTGTAATGTAAGAAATCCTTCCTGATCTTCTGGCTTACTAGCCTGTCCCACAGATTTCAGACTTGCCAGCAGTCCTCCCCAACAACTGTTTGAGCTACTGCCTTAAAACACACACACATATACAAACACACACACACACACACACACACACTCTTCATCCTATTGGCTCTGTCTCTCTGTAGAACCCTAAGTGATAACTGATACACTATACTTATATTTTGCCCTGGAAGCTCTTTTAAAAATCAGACTTACCTCATTGTTTCTCACCTATCAGGATTTCTATCCTTGCTGCCTTTTGCCCAGTGTCTTAAAACCCATTGTTTCATAGACACTGCCATATTTTGTTTGTTTCAGGAGAGAAGGTAAATCTGGTTTCTATTACTCCTTCTCCTGGAACTGGGAAGTTTTTAGTAACGTTCTTAGGTATCAGTTTCTCTAAGATGGCTTCACTCTCTTTGGGCCAAGCAGCTACTTAAATCTGGCTGACCTCTTTCCCTTTGACACCCTTTTATGCATCCTCTGGATACTTCTTGCTCAGTGCTATTGACTTCACTTTCATGGATAGGATTCTACTTCACCCTTAACTTCAGACTGCACTAGCCAACCCCCCAACCTCTTAATTCTAGTGTCCATTCGCCCCCTTACTGGGGTACGGGACTCTCCTGGAAAAACATATATTTTATAAGAATGATAAGCCCACATCCCCAAATGAGTTTGTTATCTGATTACCAGGACTTACAGATTTGGATTACTAGATAAAACCCTCTTCATTTTTACATTCATCTGCCAGAAATAAGTAGCATTTACTTATCTCAGGGTACATGTCAAGGTGCAAAAAGAGTGACTGTGCTATGGTTTGAATGTTCATCCCCTCTGAAACTCGTCTTGCAACGTTGTTCTCAATTTTGCAGCGTTGAGAGGTGGGGCCTTTGAGAGGTGATTGGGTCATGAGGGCTGCCCTCATGAATGGATTAATCTATCCATGTATTAATGGATTAATGAATTAATGGGTTATCATGGGAGTGGAAATAGTGACTTTATAAGAAGAGGAAGACAGACCTGAGCGAACATGCTCAGCCTCCTCACCATGTGATTCTCTGCATGGCCTTGGTATTCTGCAGAGGGGCCCCACCAGCAAGAAGGCCCTCATCAGATGTGATCCCTTGATCTTGGACCTGCCTACCTTTGGGAAATAAATTTTGTTTCTTGTAAGTTACCCAGTTTCAGGTATTCCGTTGTAAGCAACAGAAAACAGACTATGATGAATACCATTTTTTCTGGCATTAACTCACAATGTCAGTTCAGGTTGCTCATTATAGTCTTCTGTGTCTTGGTGTCCACCTGTCTTCTTTACCTTTATGGACTTTTATAAAAAGGTTGTCTAACCATCAATCATCTATCTAGCACCTAAATCTCTATATGTGTTTATCTTTCCACATTTAAATATCTAAAGGAAAAATTGTACATTCCATTTGAAGAAGTCATCCACTTACATTTCAGCAGAGAGTTTTGGGAGGAACTCAAGAACACCTAAACAAAAAGAAACCTGAAGACCAGACAGTAGCATGTTATAGCCAAATTCTGATTAAAATGTGTTCTTTGACATTTGAGAGGTCTTTTGATTTCTAAGTAAATGTGTTTTGATTGACTTAGGTAGTCCTGTTGAACCTGTTAGGTAGTTCTGTCCCGTGTCCCATCTATTAAAGCTTCAGTTGTCCTTGATATTTAAGAGTTAATGGTGTAGTAATTTGTGCCATGACTAACAAGGCTGAATTACTTGTCAACACTGTGGCAGGTATCTGTTTCCTAGTAACTCTTCATGGGTCAGATATTGAGGTCAGTTCTGAAGAACTTGAGGAAATGAGAGTAAGTAAGGAGAGAAATGCTGGGTCGGACCTTACATTTAAAATTTTTTTTCATGGAGAAAAACATGATCTTTGTGAAGATGGAAGCAACTGTAAGTAAGCACTTATGGAATGTCTAGAAAATTACTATGAGGTAACCCTAAGGTCAATGGAATGCATTAGAATATCTCTGCTTCTAGAGAAAAAATAAAATAAAATAAATGCTTAGCCAGAAAAAGAAAACATGAGATCAAACTTCTGCGTGTAATATCTTAAAGAGATATGATTCACTTAAATAATTTTCCAAGCCTCTGTTATTTACAAGGCAAAAAAAGAGATCATTTGATTAAATTTAAATGGAAGTTTATTTTGCCTTTCATGTTCATTTCATACCAAATGTATGACGGTGTTCAACATATTTTATGTGCTTTCTATACCCCCCGTTTGCAATACAAGTTGTCTTAAATATGATCAATAGATTCAGTATATTGATGTCCTTTGAATGATACTGAGAGCACAATTTTGTGTTTGTTTTCTGTCTAATCATTTTCAGAATCTGCTATGATGACACATATGGCAGGATCTATGATAAAGCAATTGTGCGTATACAGACAGAAATGAACCTAAAATATAACTTTGTATTAATGAAAAAAATTGACATTTGATGGCGAATATTGTTAATTGCAATAATAAGTAGAACACTGAATGTATATGTAGAGGGCTGAGCAGTGTCCTCCCGAAATAAATACCTATGTGGGATCTTATAATGTGACCTCATTTAGAAACAGGGTCTCTGCAGAAGTAATTAGTTAAGGTGAGGTCATACTGATTTAGAGTGGGCCTTAAATCTAAAGAATGGTATCCTCCTTATAAGAAGGAGGAGGATACACAGAGAAACACAGGAAAGGCCAGATGACCACAGAGGCAATGGAACAGACACTCTCCCAAAGCCTACAAAAGGAGCCAATCCTGCTGACACCGTGATTTCAGACTCCTGGCCCTCTGAGTTGTGAGAGTACATTTCTGCTATTTTAAGTTTGTAGCCATTTGTTACGGCAACCCTAGGAAACTAATATAGTGCATCCTGATTACACTTAAAAATTAATTAAGTTAACTCTACCTCCATATTTCCCCATACACTTTGTATAATCTAATTTTTAAATCAAGATAATATGATAGACTTTAAAAAATAATCTTCCCAAGCTACCTAATTAATTTTCTTCCAATAACATTACTCAGCATAGTTTTTATTTCTAATGAAAAATATACAGCAAAGGATTATTTATAATGTGATGGTTAACATCAGTGTCTTGCTAAGAGTGTCTCACTCTTAATACAAGAGACCTGTCTTTCCAATGCAGTGCACTTGGTGGTGCACCTCCCACCGCCCCCTGGAGGACAAAGTGCTCATAGCCCAATTGCCCAGAAGGTTGATCACAGGCAGCTCTCAGCTGAGACCCTCTCTGCAACTTCCCTTTGCTAAAGACAGCCACTTTGCCCCAAGACCATGCCTCCTTTTTGGGGCAGCACACATAGGATGCCAAACAACAGCGGGGATAAAGGCCATCCCTTTTGTTTTCATTAGGCAATGCTCTAGTGCCTTTCCAGTTAGACAGAGCCTGCTGGGGTGGGTCGGTGTGACTGCTGAGGTCTTGTGAGAGCGTGAAAGCTTTCCACTTCCTCCTCTGCCCAGTCCTCCTTGTTCCTTCATTACCCAAGATGTGTTCATCCCAAAAGCACCCCCAATACATTTCTTGCACACAAATATCAGTCTCACTGTTTTGCTTTCCCAGAAACCCTGAGTCACAGGAGAAATATCTTCAAGTCCAATCTAAGCCACCAGTTCAATCATATTTAGAAAAAGTTGATAGAATATTCTGCCACAGTTTTCTCCCCAACAAAAAGAAGTCTGTACTCCTTGGTTATTTGGCTTAGGTCTCCTATAGGTCTAAACTACTGAGCAATTCTATAGCTATTCCATATATTTTCTCCCAAATAATACAAGCCCAATATAATGGCATATGCTGGTTATGAAATATGGAAAGGGTTGAGCTGCGGATGTGAATAATAGCACATAAATACATATTTTCTGACCATAGTCTGTTCAATATTTAGGATTTTGCAAAATGAAAAGAGATAATAAACATAAGAAACATGAAAAGGAGAGAAAGAGGGAAATGAAGAGACTGTGTTTTGAGACAAAAAACTAATTTTTATTAACTGTGAGTATTAATGCTATGGTCAAACTTTAGCAGTCAGTGTTAGCACATGGTAGATATAAATCACCTGAAACAAAGCTTACCTTTTCTTCCCAGTCTTCTCACTCTAATCTAAAAATTATGAAAAAAAAATGGACAAGGAAAGAAACATAAGAGGCTTCTTATTTCTTGCATGCTCACTTTTATACTGTAACTAGAAGATTCCAAACAAATACTGATTGCAAATTATATAAGGGATGCTGCATTTTGAAATAAGTTATAACCTCAACTCTTTTTTCCTATTTAATATAAGTTTTGTAGGCTAAACTTGCCCTCTGAGAAGATTGTTGAACAGGCAAGTGAAGTAATTTGCTTGGTGTAATCTTGGTGCTGAGGGAGATAACTCCTTCTGTATGATATTTATATAACGAGTCTTATACCCACAATTAGCTTTAGGATGCCATCTTAAAGGTGACCTTGATTTATTTAGCTGGTTAGTCAGTAGATACTTTATGGAGTTCAATATTCTAAAGATTGATCAGAAAAGGAAACTTTTAATGTCCTTAATGGGGTCATTAGTGATATTACGGAGTGAAATTAAACTGAAGGACAACCTCAACAAACCTTTTTTTAGTTCTAATAGCATACCCCTGGGAAAGTTAATAGCTAGTATAAATTGGTGCCTATTTCCTTTATCTCATTTTCATTATCTAGCTTAAATAGATAACAGATGATTATGTTGAATATAAATTAGAAGCATTGCCTGTTTTCTAAACTTGACTCTTATAAAAATAAATGCATAAACCTTTATAAAGTCAAGGAGAATTTTTATGGAGATTCCATGGTACTTTCCAAAAGTTGGTACTTTTTTATGGTCAATAACAGAACTGTTAACTTTTTTCACTGTGGAATGACAGCAGTGGATGCGTGACTCAACCATTGATTTCAATTTTGATTTGTGAATAATTACTCCAGATGATGAAGTGTGAGTTGCAACTCTCATCAGGAAGGAAAGTATCAGCCAGAGAGACAGTTTTCCACATCCTAGGACAGAACACAGTTTCATGTGCTGCACCCCAGTGAGGACTCTGTGATACCTGGAGTGAACTCTGGATAGAGGTGAAAGAGTGCTGATTTCTACCCAGGTTTTGCCAAGCTCTCAAGAGCACTGTCTACTGAGTCTTTTCCTGCCTTTCTTTGGGTTGGGGAATAAGTAGGCATGCCTTGCTTTCTGCCGTATGGTTTATGTAAGAATCAAATCAGATAATATGTGTGAAAGCAAGCTAAAAACTATAAAACAATACATGGACAAAAGCACTTGAAAGATATCACTATTCCTTATTCAAATCTGACTTTATTTTGCTTTTCTTTCTTTTTTTTTTTTTAAATAGAAAGAGATTTAAAAGAACACCTGAAGGGAAATAAGAAGAGAAACAGAATATGAAGAGGATTCAACCAAATAGAGCCAATGAAGGAGACAGAGCAACTTAAATAATAAGAGCAATTTTAAAAAATGGGACAAAAAGGAAAGGATACTCAGTGCATAGTTGATGGCTTAAGAAAATAAGATTTTTTTATATTATACTTTAAGTTCTAGGGTACATGTACACAACATGCAGGTTTGTTACATATGTATACATGTGCCATGTTGGTGTGCTGCACTCATTAACTCGTCATTTACATTAGGTGTATCTCCTAATGCTATCCCTCCCACTTCCCCCACCCCATGACAGGCCCTGGGGTGTGATGTCCCTCACCCTGTGTCCAAGTCTTATTGTTCAGTTCCCACCTATGAGTGACAACATGCAGTGTTTGGTTTTCTGTCCTTGTGATGGTTTGCTCAGAATGATGGTTTCCAGCTTCATCCATGTCCCTACAAAGTAGGACACGAACTAATCCTTTTTATGGCTGCATAGTATTCCATGGTGTATATGTGCCACATTTTCTTAATCCAGGCTATCGTTGATGGACTTTTGAGTTGGTTCTAAGTCTTTGCTATTGTGAATGGTGCCGCAATAAACATACATGAACAAAAAAAGTCCTTTTTTCATGATGTTCTCTTATTTCTTGCTGAAATAAATGAAAAGATTCAGTATGTCCAAGTATCCTTTATAGCTAGGACCAGTGGTATAGGAAGCTAGCCTCAAACTGTTTATAATAAATATGCAGGGAAATCCAGATATTAGAAAGTCCAATGATAAATCCAGTATAAATTTATCATAATACATATTAAAAAATAAAGCAAATAAAAGCACCAAAAAGCCAACTAGAGCTAACAAACAAGTTTGCCAGATCACAGAATACAAAATGAACATATAAAAATAAATAAAACCCAGTCACAATAGTATCAAAGACAATAAAATACTTAAGAATAAATTTAACAAAAGAAGTGTAACACTTGTATGCTGAAAACTACAAAATAATGATGAGAGAAATTAAAAATCTAAATGAATCAAGACACATTCTATATTTATGGTTGGAAGTCACAATATGTTAAAATACCATTTCTACCTTAATTTATCTGTCAATTTCAACAGAATCCATTTCAAAGTCGCTGTGAGCTTTTTTTGTAGAAATTAAATGTTGATCCAACAAATTTATACAGAAATGAAAGTACTTGAAGCTTGAACCGTTTTCAAAAAAATGAACAAAGTTGTAGGACTCATATTGCCTAATTTAAAAAATTACTATAAGGTTGTAATCAAGACATTATGATATACATAAAGGAATAGGTTAGATCAGTGAAACAGTGTCAGAGTCAAGAAATTTACCCCTACATTCATGGTCAATTGCTTTCCGAAAAAACTGCCAATTCAATTCAGTTTGGAAAAGATTGTCTTTTTACCAAATGGTGGCAAGACAATTTAATATCTACATAAAAAAATAAGAAGAAGAAGGAGAAGGAGGATGAGGAGGAGGGGATGGAGGAAAAGCTTCATCCTTACCTCCTCATGCCATACACAGAAAAGAACTCAAAATGCATTACAGACCTAAATGTAAAATCCAATAATAGAAAGCTTCTAAAAGAAAACACAGGAGAAAATCTATATGACCTTGAGTTAAACAAAGAGTTTTAGACGTGACAGCAAACACACAATCTATAAAAGAAAAAGAAAAAATAAATTATATTTCAATAAAATTAAAACATTTTGTACTTCCAAAGATACCATTCAGAAAATAAAAAGACCAGTTACAGACCAGGCAAAAACATTTCCAAATCGTATATCTGATAAAATACTTGCAGCTTAAATGTATTAAGAACTCTTATATCTCAGTAACAGACAACTCTATATTAAAATGGACAAAAGGGTTTTTTTTAACAAAGAAGACATATGCATGGTTAATAAGCACATAAAAAGGTGTTCAACATCATTAATCATTTTGGCAGTTTCTTAAAAAGTAAACTATGAGCTTATCATAGATTCCTACAATTTTTCTCCTAGAAATCTACTCAGTAGAATATGTGTATCCACACGAGGACTTGGACATAAGCACATACTGCAGAATTATTCGTAATAGCCAAAAATGGCAACGTTCCAAATGTCTATCAACTGATGAATGAACCAACAAAATGTGGTATATCTATGCAGTGAAATGGTAATCATGATAAATGACATGAATGAACTGCTGACATAGTCCATGACATGGATAAAGCTAAACTATACTAAGCCAGGCATTGGAAAACTTTTTTCTTAAAGGGCCAAATAGTAAATGCTTTAGGCTTTTCAGGTCCTATTGTCTCTGTCAATAACTCAATTCTATTGTTCCACAAAAGCAGCCATAGACAATGCATAAACACATGAGCATGGCGTGTACCATGAAAACTTTACAAAAAGAGACAGCATGCCCACAACCCATAGTTTGCCCCAATCTGTGCTAAGTAAAAGAAAGAAAATGCAAAAGTCTACATATTATATTATTCCATTTACATTACATATCCAGAAAAGGCATATTACAAGAATAGAAAACGGTGGATTCCTGGGTCTGGATGAGAGAACTGAGATTGACTGGAAATGGACTTGGGGAAAGTTTTAGGGGGATATAGTAATTTTGTAATCATGGATTATGGTGATTCCAGCACCGCTATATAAATTTACTAAATATCATTAAATTTTCCACTTACAATGAGCAAATTTTGTGGCATGTAATTTAAACCTCAATATAGCTGTAATGAATAAACAAAAAGAAAAATCAAGACTAAATAAAATAAGCAATTGTTCAATTCCTATCATTGGAAAATGGAAAAGTAAGAAATATTTACAGAAAATAACTTAAATGTCCTTCTTGCTACTGTTGTAAGAAAAAGCAAATATTGGCAGTTAATTATGAAAATATTTCTCATGAACTCATGACCAAAAATGAAGAGAAATTTCAGAAAATTTGCCTGCTCTGTCTGATTGATTTGTCGGCTTCTGAATGATCCTCTCCAGTCTCTCGATAACTAGCAAGATTTACAAGCTCTGCCAATGTCAATTGTCACCCACGTTGCAGAATATTCAGCATAGTCTGAAGACCCTGGTCAAAGGGGAAAATATAATAGATTTTCAATAAGTTGGTGTTGACAACTAGTAAAATGACTATACTTTTAAAATTTAATTAATATATGTAAAAGTAGTAGTAGCTGAACTGTCATATTCTGTCTTGAAAGCATATATGGAAATATGATTATAAAACATGCCTGTGATATAAATTTGAAAAAATTCCAAAAAATAAAATAAGACTGAGAGAAGTTGGTAGTTAGTATATACATTTCAGATCAAAATATGAATTTCAAAAAAGCTGTCAACAGTTTTAGGACATCATAGACTCATTCTGTCATGTATGGAAAGAATAAAGGATCTACCTACACTTCCATGAGCTGACAAAACTAAACCTCATCCAAGCTATTTTGTTCTTTGTACCCTATTTAAGAAAAATATTTTTTAAAATTTCACAGAATGAAAGCACATAGTCAGAGTGAATTACAAGTGCTCATGATGGACAGTGTGGTGATGAGTTCAGGAAACTTATTATATAAGGAAAGGGAAAGTTGAAGAACTAATCTAAGCTTTGACCAAATATGAGATATCTTTAGAATCATCTAATGATGAAATGGTTTGGCTCTAAATGTAATGAGTTTTCTAACATGGGATGTGTGTAATTAATAATTTATTCAGGATTGCAGCACTGTATTAGAGAAACAGCAATAAAGCCACTCATTGACTCAAAGGAGCTCCAAGTCTAGTGCTGAAGGAGGCAGGTTAAAGGACAATTATAATGAGTAATGACACAAGTTCAGGACAATGGGTGTCCTTGAAATCCTTTACAAAACTGAGACCTGGAGGGCAGGAAAAGCTTCTTAAAACAGGTTACAACTGAGCTGATATTTTAAGGAAGGAATAGGACGTACCCAGACAAAGAAAGGAGGATGGGATGTTACAGACAAAGGGATGTGCAAAGGCATAGAGACATTCAAACTCACAAACATTTATTATTCACAAACATTATTATGCACTATGCACCAAGCATTGTAGGTGCTGGAAATACAATAGTCAATAAAAAATACATATGTTGCTATAAGTATGGTTTACTTGAAAATAAATACTACATGAGAAATATAGCAGGACACTTCATGTTGTGTCCTGAGGGGAAGGATCACAGTTTTCAGTGGAGCAAACTGGAAAGTTCTCACTGAGAAGGCAATGTTGAGTAAAGATCTAAAGGAAATGCAGGAGTGGAGCTCTCAGGCAGAAATGGCCACAGCAGTGCAAAGGCCCTGAGCAGGAGTGTGCCTGGACTTCCCAGAGTGAGTGGTCCCGGGAGCTGGATGAGAGTTGAAGGAATGTATCTTAGATGAGACCAAAGAAGCAATTATTTGCTCTAAGAGGACACATTGTTTCAGCCTCATTAGAGGCCTGATAAAATGAGAGAAAGTAGCTGTGAACTCCAAATATTTGAGACAGGTCTCAGATAATTTAGAAAGTTTATTTTGCCAAGGTTGAGAATGTGCAGCCATGACACAGCCTCAGGAAGTCCTGATGACATGTGCCCAAGGTGGTCAGAGCATAGCTTGGTTTTATGCATTTTAGGGGGACATGAGACATCAATCAATATATGTAAGATATACATTGGTTCCATCTGGAAAGGCTGGACAACTTGAAGCAAGGACTGGTTTCCAGATCACAGGTAGGCAAGAGACAAAGAGTTGCATTCTTCTGAGTTGCTGATTAGCCTCTCCAAAGGAGGCAATCAGATATACATTTATCTCAGTAATCAGAGGGGTGACTTTGAATAGAATGGGAGGCAGGTTTGCCCTAAGCAGTTCCCAGCTTGACTTTTCCCCTTAGCTTAGTGGTTATGAGGCCCCAAGATTTATTTTCCTTTCACATTTCCCCCTCTTTATTTTTAAAATTTTTTTGGAGAAAGCATTTTAGAATAAAATGAGTCTCTTGTCTGAGGCTTCATGTGATCTCTCATGGCTAGGATGGTTTATATTTAGATGGGTAGGTCCCCAAGTTATCAGGAAAGCTCACTTTTAGCATGTTGTAAGTCTCATGACCTACAAAGAGAAAATAGGGGAAGGAGGGGAGAAAAACAACAATCAAAAGGAACAATCCTGGAAAATCAATATAGTCCACATTACTCTGAAGTCCATAATATAGCAGTAGGCAGGTAGGAAAGTGGCTTATGTATATAGATAGGTTTTTGTTATTTTCTTCTGAAGTTGAAGTTGTCTAGCTTCAGTTTGCAGGGCTTTAAGAAAGTACAGCTTAGTTTTCAGTAATTTCAAACTAGGAAAAATGATGGGAAAAGGAAAAGAAAGAAGAAAAAAATTGAAAACATTATTTTGGAGACTTGTAGCCAGGAAAAATTAAAATTCAATCCAAACTGTAGAAAATAATAAAAATTGTGAAACATTAGGCAAGACTAGAATTTAACAGCAGGTGTATTACAGTTTTTGAAACAGAATTTTTCTCTCTCCAGTTTCCCATTTTTACTAAGACAAATCATGGTAGGACTGATTTGCTTTATTACACTTGGCCTGATTATTTGTATAAAATGAGGTAAGAAGAATTATGTTTTATGTAAGCTTTTTAAATTGGCTTTCATGGAACTTTGTTCCATAGAAGGAATCTCAGATAAGACTTTTTTAAAGCTGAGGCCAGCCATGGCTTTGTACCATTAAATGCCTATGAGTTGGCTAAATTCCTCTCCTCTTGAGGTCCCAAGATAACCTGGGGCTCCTGGACCTGTCAGAAAGTGACATTCTTTGCTTACCACAGGTCAGGAACCCTGTACATAGACTGTGCAGACATGGTATGAGGCCAGTTTTCCCAAGGAGCTTTTATTGACTCTGTAAGCCAAGTTTGATTCCTTAAAGGAAAGCACATCAATCCAGTTAAAGCCTTAGAAAATGACCAGTTTCTCCAATGGTGTTCTGTTGCAAAAGAAAACATTCTTATTGGCACTTACGCAAATAACTATATTGCCATAAGTTAAGAATACTCACAAATAGTTAACAAATTCTGGACAAATCAGGTAGAGAGAAACAAATATGCTCCAAATTCTGTTCACAGGAGTATATTTTACTCAATTGCTACATGCGGTAAGTAGCTCAAAAGTTTTCTTGACTCTGAAAAACAAAACAAAGAATTAGCAATGTCTTAAGCAAAAAACTCAAAAGATTACTTTAGTCTTTAATTAGTTCAGTCCATGCAGTTAACTCTTGTTCTTCATGTTATTCACAGACTTTCCAACTCTCCATGAGAGTCTTGAAAATTTTTTTTATTCTGATTTTACAATCTCCAAAGTTATCAGAACCCTGCATTCAAGAACACCTGTTAGAATTTATAGCTGATCATAAAACCACCTTCTAAAGAAGACCAAAACAAGGCAACAATTGTCTGTAGATGACAATTGTTTGTCCAGCAAAAAGTTTCAGGACAACCATTGCCAAAGACACAATTGACAAGGAAATTTGTTACCTATGTGGCATGCAATAATTTAACATAACAATTATAAGTATTACTGATAACGTACACTAAGTCATATCAGAATTGCAGGAGTTTCCCATAATTTTGGAACACATACCAATAACATATTTATACAAATACAGTTCAAAGAAAGTCAAACACCATTTCCTATTTGGCAATGCTTCCTTTATAATTTTTATAACAAATAAGCCAAATATATAATTTTTGGACTTTAGATAAACTAATATCTTAAATGATCAATTAGGCCAGAAAAAGACATAACTTGTAATTTGATTTTGGAAAGTTTGTCAAATATCAAAGGTTTATAACACTTGATATCACAAAATAGAATTGCAGGTTATTGTGAAATAAGTCATACATTCAACCAAAGTGATAACTCAAAGATTTCATGAAAAGGCAAAAACACTCTTTTTTTGAGAGGGGACTTAATTTTCCAAACAATAAGCCCCAATAAGAACAGCATAAAGCCAATTAAATTTGTTTTTCAAAATTATATAACAATATACACAATTTTAATTAACTTGACCGTAAGAGATAATTTCTGTAAGTCTTTTTTAACTTTTATTAAGGAGTTGGTTAATGCTTCAAGAAAACCTTGTTATTCTGACACAGGGGCCCATATGTTGGTTTTGCATCATTGTGCGTTTCACATTAATGGCTAATTTATAGAGAAACTGAACTTACTTATGTCTCAAAATCGGTCCTTACAATCTCATGCACCCATCTCTTCCACAATTGTCCCAAGACCTTGAGGAGTTAAATAGCTTTAATTTCTGGTACTATGTCTCAGAAACACAGTTTACTTGGATTGGCATCTGCTATAGGGACTGAAGATGAGGCTTTGACTGCTATCAGTGTAAAGATTAGCAGTACTTGGTGTCCTTTTAGACCCAGGCATCAAAACCCTGTAACTTAATGGGACAAGGACTTTAAAAGCACACACAGAAAGTTACATGAGTGTAATAACCTAAAGAAAAAAAATTAATCTAATTTTTTCCTAAGGAAACCAAAACTTTATAATAATGGCATAGAAATTATTTCAATAAAACATTAAACCTGTTATAATTTATTAAGAGTAAATCAATCCCTTAAGAAAATTTTATTTTTCTAACCAATTATTTAATTTATAAGTGAATTTTTTTACATTAAATCCAATTTCTAGAAAGACCACTATAATTTCCATTTAATTATAGACAACTTGATTATAGAACAACTTTGGTTGTTTTTAATAACTCCCTTTATTGTGACTTACACAGACCATTCATTATATGCTTGGACTTTGTGGTTTGACCCAACCATCCCTCCTTCTTAAACAACCAGTAATTTTATTCTAAGACTAATTCCCATATAAGATTCTTTCTCACATAAAATTATTTCTGTTTAAGCTTTTTACCAAAAAATACCCCTTTATTTTTATAACCGTTTTTATATATCTCTTATTTCCTGGTTACTTTTACCTTGTTTTATATACAACCTTTAAATAAGCTTTGAAGTAGACAAAAATTATTTATCTTTTTAAAAAGGATGCTTTGTTTTCAGAAAGAATGTTTTCCTACCATATACTTTTATTGGAAAATACTCCAATAATGAAATATCTATTATTTAATTTAACATAACTTTAGATTCTAAATTATGAAAAGTTTGTCTACAAGTATTTACTCAATACATTTACCAAATTATTTTAATTATTTACCTAGATTATTTATGAAAACTGTGATAATCGTTAAAGTTATGAAACCACCACTGTAAACTTGTAACTGAGTCAGTGAAAAAGATTTGAACTAACTGACCCCATCTTGCTTGTAACCTCCAAGCTCTCCTTGTTACTTCCTAGGTGTAGACCAAACTAACTTTGGGAAGAAATTGTAGTTTAACTTTGAAACAAAGAAGATAACAGTCCTTTCCCAAAACAAACCCGCTTCCTGACTGGGGACTAGGCTGTCTAAAGCCACAAGATTAGAAGTTATGATTATTTTATTAAATAATCCAAGATTTAGCTATTTTTTTTTTAGATTTAGCTATTTTTATTAAACCAATATCAATATATTATTTATCAAAAATTACACAAGCAAAGATCATTATGTTTGGGACTGGGTTTTATAGTTTTGTAACCCCTATGCCAAATTTTGACACCTATGGTATTTGGCAGGGATAAGTATGAAATTGCTTAATTAATAAATGCAAATAAAAATGTATGCTGACAATACTTAATAGATCACTAATATTAGTTTACCAATAATTTTAAAGCTAGCTTATTTATTAAAGATTTTACTTAGATTACATAAACTTGGAAAAGCATTTGACTAGTCTTTCCTTTTCTCTGAGAAAGTATTTGATTTAAGTGTTTTTATTTTCCTTCAAGCCAATTAATTAGAACTCTTTTATATAGTTTTAGTAGTGAAACATTGTGTACACAACACATAAATACATAGATGTTTTAGGCATGCTGATAGAAGTACATCTTACAGATTCATAAGACCTTTTTTTTTTTCCTGATCTTAGACTAGTGAACTCTTGATAACTTGTTTCATTACCCTGGCAGTTGTCAGCTAATAGCCCTAAATCTGCATATTGAAGGCAACAACTCTTAGGTGAAAAATCAAATAGCAAAATTTGCATCTCTCAAGATTACAGAGAGAAAAAGTGTAGTGATGCTAGAGGGAGATTAAAGATGGATACCAAATCAAGCATAAAATTATTAGAAATCTATCATAGGAGTATACAATGAGATCAATTTATTTAGATTGGGACTACCTATCTTTTAACTGGATCTCTGAGCTCTGGGCAGAGCCCACACTGAATCCTAGGTCTCCAAAAGGGAAGAATTATTATGAGGCTAGACCATGTGGTGCTTTTACGGTGCACTTAAAAATTTTTTTTAAACAAAGACATTTCTAAGTGTCTAAACTACACTCTCCCTTAAAAATCCAAGAGTAGCCTCTGTTACAATAACAGTTTTAGTCAAAAATTCAGGTAACACAATACAAAATCAAGCAGTTTAAGTGCTGAGATGAACTTTTCTGCTTATACTCTTGGGGTCCCATAAGAAATAACAGAGATTTGTCCCTTAAAGGGAGTCTGGCACCTTCTCCATTTTCTTTAAGAAATCTCAGGCTACTTTAAACTATTTTAGTTCCCTCATGCAGCAGAGGGTGCAAGAGAAAGGAAAGACAGCAGAAGTAATTGAAGAAAATGGAATTTAGTCAACTGAGAAGAAAAAAAAATTTGCTCAAAAAAGACAAAGTCCTAGGAGAAAAAAACAAAAACAAAAACATAAAGGCCTTTTAAATCCAAACATGCACACATAGACACACATTTTGGATGTTAGCTTTTAATTAATCTGAGTTTTAACCATTGAGCTTCTCTAAAAAAATGTTTTATCTCATTACCATATGTCAGCTAGGACAAATTGCTGCTATTTCAGGGTTATCAATATGAAACCAGAAAGGGCTTAATTTAGGAATCAAACCCAGGCTGTCACGATGAAAAAAAAAGGAAGGCAGAACTTTAGGTAGGGAAATGCAGCGTGGGGTGATAGTTGTTGCTCTTTCAGTTTGACATGGCTAGCAAAAAGGTAAAAAGCTGGCCTTGTTACATAAATAAAGCCTCTTAAATAGTCAAAATCGAAAATTGTTTTTATTTTTTTCCCTTTTGCTGTTGTTTTTCTCCCCCCACCACACCACCTTTTGTGTGTGCATGTGGTGGGAATTTAGCCACTTCAGAGGCCTTCTTCCCCATTATTTGGAACTTTCCTTCAGATTTGATTGAATCGAACAGAATTGGTCAAACCCAATGGGAAAAAGACTGAAACAACCACAAAATCAGAAACAAACAACAACAAACAGTTAAGCAAAACAAACAAACAATCGCACAAGTTCTACGGTTACTGAGCACTCTAATCGTAAGGAGAAATGAAGACCAGCTGGTTGTTAATCTTAACTTTAGCCAAGACAAACCCCAATTCTTACCTAGGCTTAGGTCTTAGGCTGAAGACTACTCTCTACCACCTGAGAAACAGGAAAACAAAAACAAAAACAAAAACAAAACAAAACAACAACAACAAAACAACAACATCGTCATGGAGGCAGGAAAATTGTCTTTCTTGTGTTGGAAGCAACTAAATCTCCAAAAAAAAGGAGTTGTATAGCAAAATAAACTTTAGATATCAATAAAATTTGGGGAGATCAGAGATTCTCTGGAGGGGTTGCCTCCAGGCCTTAGCAAATTATCTTATTGGTTTGAGCCATAAAGATAGCTCAAGCTGGTACCATGCATAGATATGAGATTTGTCAAAGGTCAGGGGCACCTCCCCTCAGAATCCTGTCATGGTTGTCAAAATATGAACCCTCAATATCTGGGACAGGTCTCAGTTCTTCTAGAAAGTTTATTTTGCCGATGTTGAGGAGGCATGTCCATGACACAGCCTCAGCAGGTCCTGACAACATGTATCCAAAGTGGTCAGGACACAGCTTGGTTTTATACATTTTAGGGACACATGAGACTTCAACCAGTATATGTAAGAGGTACATTGATTCTGTCTGGAAAGGCGGAACAACTCCAAGCAGGGCAGGGGCTTCCAGGTCACAGGTAGGTGAGAGATAAGCAGTTGCATTCTTTGAGTTTCTGATTAGTTTCTCCAAAGCAGGCAATTATGCATTTATCTTGGTGAGCAGAAGGATGACTTTGAATAGAATAGGAGGCAGGTTTGCCCTAAGCAGCTCCCAGCTTGACTTTTCCCTTCACCTTAGTAATTTTGGGGCCCCAGGATATATTTTCCTTTCACATAGTTCTTTCACAAAACTTGAGTGTGTCCAGAACACTCATGGGAAAATGACCAGGAGTTGCAAGAAGTAAAGATAAAATTGGGCAAGCAGGCACAATTCTGTTCTGTAACCCCCTGCGTAAGATGACCACTGACCAAGTTTACTCACAACAGCCTAGCATGCTCCTGTTGTCCTGGAGCGATTTTTGGTAGTACCCTATTTTACTCTCAATGGTGTCCTGATTTAGAGACTACAATTTATGGTGCCTAAATTTTAATGTGTATGATCCCACTACATGAAGGAACATGCTTTTGGTCTTAGAAGAAAAGTGAAGTGCTGGAGGCTGGCAGCACATGAGCTCAACGTGAAGGCAATGTGATCAAAACCAGGCTGGAGGCCAGAGACCTGTGCCACAGTGCAGGCGAGACCTGCTCAAGGCTGCAGTCAGTGCAGCGCTGGCATTGAGGGCAACTCCAGCCACAGAGAACCCTGTGCTCATTTAGTGACTCCATTCTCCATCGTAGCTTGCACTTCTCCAGGGGGCATCCCGGAAGAGAGTCTGCTGTCACACGTGCCGGTGAGTCTTTAACTGGGCTGTGCATGTGTGTGTGTGTGTGTGTGTGTGTGTGTGTGTATGTTTCCTTAAGAGGGGATTAGTGTTCTCTATAGAGAGCAGTAAAGGTCTGTGCCTTGGTATCCCCTTCAAGCTTCACGAGCAGTGGTTCTGACCCCAAAATTAACAAGTTCAGAAACCATTAGATGATTTGGTTGAATATTCTGGAATGCTATCAAGTACAAAACACCCTACTCAAAAGTGCTTATATCTGCTGAATGCCTCTGAAATGGAGCATAATTCACTATTAGCATTATAGTTTTATGCCACAGCATCTGTTATGTAAGTAAGTTCAATCTCATAAAAAATTTACAAGCAATAATGCTACTCTGATTCTAAGGAACTCCACCAGACAGCTGAATCAACTAAAGAGCCAAAGACTCTGGCTTCTTAAGCAATTTTAAAATCAAATAAATTCTAATTTTTGTTTTCAATAAACTTCACACATAAGAAGACTATTCATCTTGTGCATGATGGGGGAAGAAATTAGCATTAAGTAAGTAACCATAATATGTTAGACAACATTTAAGTACTATCTAATTTTTGATTTTTTAATTTTTAATTATTATGGATGCATAATAGTTATACATATTTATGAAGTAAATATGATATTCTGATACAAGCATACAAAATGTAATGATAAAATCAGGGCAATTGGGTATCTATTTCCTCAAGCATTTAGTACTTCTTTGTGTTAGGAAGATTTCAGTTCTAGTCCTTTAGTTATTTGAAATAAACAATTATTTTTGTTAACTCTAGTCACCAAACATCTACATTTTATTTTGTTTTATCTCTCTTTTTTTTTTACAACTTATTCTTTCTATTTAATTGTAATTTCATATCCATTAACCATCCCATCTTTATCCCTCTCTCCCACAATGCTTCCCAGCCTCTGGTGACCATCATTGAACTCTCTACCTCTTATATCCTGAGGTCATTTTCATGGTAAAATTAGATAATACCATAATGGCCTCAGAATGTAAGTCTTATATAATTTAAAGATTAAAAAACTGAGACTCACAATGGTTCAGTAACTTGCCCAAAGACATTTGAGTAGTAGGTGGCACAAACTTCATGCAAAGCTAGTCCCTTGAACTTTAAAGCCCCGCTCATTTCACTAAAATGCAGTCTCTGTTACTGTTTACAACAAATATTCTACTGTGTGGTTGATAGATCAACAGTTTCACTGTCTTTAAATATAGAAAATACATTCCATTAAATGCACTGGTATTTGTATCCATTTTATATGTAAACTGACTGGGCAATTTCCTGGGATGATTGATATGTTTCACAGAATAAATTGGTAATAATTCTAATGGACACAGATAGACTTCACTACATTCAAGGAACTGTTCAGCCTGCTTTGTATATGAACTCATATAATCTTTTCAATGATGCTGTAAGGTTACTGGCACCATTCTAACGATGAAGAAAATGAAGTGTCGTGATGCAAATAGGGAAGCTGTCCGAACCTGGTTTTGTTGATCACCTGGGCTGCCTGGAAGCTGGTGAGCTGGGACCCTTCCCCTCAGGGGCTGGCACTGTCAATTAATTGACTTGAGTCAAAGGTGGTGAGACTAATTTTTCACTTAGTCTTGCAAATAAGTGGTTATTATTATTTTACTATAAATAATTTTTTAACAAATTAAAAAAATAGAAGGCAGCTTTTGAGTGCATAGGCAGAAACAAACAACAGTACAGCCAGAATAACATAACATTTAAAAACAAAGAAATAAGTGACTTAGACATTGTTTCACTTAACAAAATTCAGAAAAAAATACAGTTCAAAATATATGCCATAAACATTGCAAAACCTAAGATCTGCCTCAAAGTACAGATTGGATTGATTATTTCTGGCAAATGCCTAAGGTGTCTCTCACAGGAAGAGCCCATGTGGCTTCATTTCTCAGGTTATGCTTTCACTAATAATGGTTTCAGTTAGATGTAACTTTCTACTAAGTTGAGAAACAAATGTTTCACCTCTGCAAATTAAAAGCCTTGTCCTGGCCTATACTGTGATATGAAAAATTATTTCAAAGGGAAGGGCACATCTAAACATGAATGACCTTGGAAGTGAAAATTGGAAATTTCACTTTCTGCTCTAGATAAATCAACACTCCCGATAAGATATAGAAAATAGACACCATATTAATGCATTGTTTTAGATTCTTTTCATATATTAGACAGCTTTGTGTACCACAATAAACAGAATATTCAATTTTGCTTTGGAACACAAGATATTTATTTATAACTTCTACAGTGTTAGAGGTATTAACAGGCTGCCCTATTATTTACTTTTATAATTGATTGTATTCAAAGTGCTCTATGGATTCCACAGAAATGAAAGTCAATGAGAACAAAACATTGAGCAAATTGTTTTATTTTGGTTATTACTATATTGGAAAATTGTCTTCTTAATCTCATAGATTTTTAGATAGAAATGTATGATTTATTGCACATAAAAATTTATATGAGTATGGATTTTCTTTAGTGTTGGTCCTCAAATGCAAAGAACACTGTGTTTCAAATAAAATATTTTATACATAGAAAAGATTACACATTTATCACATATAAAAGTCTTACAAATTTAATTTTTATTGATCTGAAAATGCTGAGAAATTATAGTGCTATTATCAATTGCATAAGTAGAATCAGAGAGGAAGAACATAAGAACTATCAGTGTACGTGGTGGAAATAGCAAAGAAAGACCTTTAACACCTAAAATGGATATGCTTTGTCATTGACACTATAGTGTTTTGTTACTACTTCTATGATATTAAAAAAATCCTACTTTCATATCCCTTTATAGAAGTGGGAATTTTATTCAAAACACTATGCCTTTTAAACTACAATTTTCTAATCACTAAATATATAAATAAAATATGTTTTTACTTTAATAATTTGTTCTGATTTCCAATTTTTTTTAAATTTTACTTTAAGTTCTGGTATACATGAGCAGAATGTACAGGTTTGTTACATAGGTATACATGTGCCATGGTGGTTTACTGCACCTATCAACCCTTTGTCTAGGTTTTAAGCTCTGCATGCATTAGGTATTTGTCCTAATGCTCTCCCTCCCATTGCCCCACCCCCCGACAAGCTCTGGTAGGTGATGTTCCCCTCCCGGTGTCCAGTGTTCTTATTGTTCAATTCCCACTTATGAGTGAGAACATGTGGTGTTTGGTTTCCTGTTCAATTTTTTAAACTGTAGAAAAATTCTAAATAAACTGTAAAGATCAATACTATGAATACTGGCAAAGTATTAGTCACAGCATTGCTTTCCATTTCACTCTTCTAAAAATTTATCATGAATTATTTCTCCAATCAAATTATATGAGGAGCTTACCCACATACAAGAGGGTTGAGCATTTTCAATGAGCATTTTCATGATCCATTCGATTATATCAACATGGCAGTCTCCACTGGCTCATTTTCTGTAGCCGCACACACTAAGCCAACACTACTGAAAAATTTGGGCAGTTTCCTAGGCACTTCAAATCATGAACATTTTGTTCCAACATCTTTAGTAATGCTGTTGTTTTTCTGAATGATAGTGCACTGCTCTGCTCTATACTGTAAATTTAAATGGAGGCACATTCCCAGTTCAATTAACGAGTGTGCAGCATGGGCAAGAGAGCAATTTGGCTACTCCAATGGGCAGATCAGGGCACTGCAAGACCCAGCTGCATGGCTGTGAAATGGGAGGATGTGTGTAGTAGTTGAAAATGCTCAAGAGTTGGCAACAAAAGCTGTAGTTCTTTCATAAGGTCTTGTGTTTATGTTTCATTGTTTACTTCTTTATCTCTTTCACCTGTTAGACTGTAAGATCTTTGAGGGCACAACTTGATTTTATTTACCCACTGTAATTTTATTGACTATCTTATTTTCTACCACATGGGACAAACTTAAAAATTAATTTTTGGTTTAACAGATTAGGTCATTTTTGCTATACTGCAGCCTTAATTTAGCATTTCCATATATATATATGAACATATACTATAAAGATTAAATATAATTTGCATTTGCATTGGAAAATTGCTTCTGTTAAAAAAATAAATAATATGTAATTATAAACATAAAAATTTGCAGATCTTTTAAAATAAAACCATAAAATTTTATATACAGGCATAAAAGAAGACTAAAAATGCACAGAATTTCTTATGTAACCAGAATCAATAGTGAACAGGTATCTACTCTAGAAATTTTCTACACATGTCACAAAATTAAATTAAAATATAATATAGTTAAGGAAAGACTAAAATCAAGAGTTATGATGAGAAAATATCTCTATCCAATATTGAAATGAATTATGAAATAATAATGATTAAAACCTTATGGAGCAGACATAGTATTAGAACAGGCAAGAAAATTTAAAGATAGCTTCAAATCACAAAGGAATTTTTTGTAATTTGATGTTCTAATAAGTAGGAAAATTTGCTTATTTGGTAAAAAACTGCAGGATACTGGCAACCAACATGAAAACTAATCCAGATATTGTAAACTGAAAATGAAATCTTAAGCTCCTTACCAACTGAAGGAATCCCCTCCTGGCAAAGGGGACCCTGGAGAAACCTGAAAAACGTCGTCCCTGGCCATGACCAGAAGGGAGGTTGGACAAACCTTGTTATATTCCCTCTCTTCTGGAGTTTAGGCACAACTGACTAGGTTAAAAATAGAAATCATGAAACTGACAGAACAGACTCTCTGTGGCATAAGATAGCAAATTGTCAACAAGACCTAAGGCCATGCTGGGCAAGGCTTCAGTTATTCCCTAAAAAAACATAAAATCTCGTTAAATGGATTTTCTATTAACCTGGCTATAATGTGGCTGACTTTCCATCTTAATGCTGGTACAGCATCACACCGCAGATAAAAGCCCGTGAAGGATATCAAAATATTTTATCCCAAATACATGTCTTTGACATAGTTTGAAATGGCTCTGCAAAGCTGTCTTTTTTGGGGAGGAATTTGCATCTTTAGGGAACCTCCATTAATGCAATTAGGCCTTTCTCAGATCTAGGAGTGATTAACTGAAAGTCTAATGTCATTAATGTCTGAAAAGCGATGTCTACCATCAATGCTCTTTGGGACTGCTACTTATGAGGCTTCATCTATGTAACAAGAACCTTGGCTCCCACAATCCCCTTATCTTAACCCAAGCATTTCTTTCTACTGGCTTCAAGTCCTTAGACAATATCTTAATTCTCTCAGCCAGTTGTCAAATAAATAATCCCTAAAACCACCTATGACTTGTGAGCCCTTGCTTCAAGATGTCCCACCTTTTCATGCTGAACCAATGTATATCTTCCATGTACTGTTTGATGTCTTTGACTGTAACCCTTGTCTCCTCAAAATGTATCAAACCAAACTGCAACCCAACCACCTTGAGCAGGTTTTCTCAGGACCTCTTGTGACTCTGCCCCAGGTCCTGGTCAGTCATATTATCTCGGAATAAACCTCTCTAAAGGAATGGTACCACATCCTCCTTGTACCTCTGGTAGATTCGGCTGTGAATCTGTCTGGTCCTGGACATTTTTTGGTTGGTAGGCTCTTAATTATTGCCTCAATTTCAGAGTCTGTTATTGATCTATTCAGGGATTCAACTTCTTCCTGGTTTAGTCTTGGGAGGGTGTATGTGTCCAGGAATTTATCCATTTCTTCCAGATTTTCTAGTTTACTTGCGTAGAGGTGTTTATAGTATTCTCTGATTGTAGTTCGTATTTCTGTGGGATTGGAGGAGCTGGTACTATTCCTTCTGAAACTATTCCAATCAATAGAAAAAGAGGGGATCCTCCCTAGCTCATTGTATGAGGCCAGCATCATCCTGATACCAAAGCCTGGCAGAGACACAACAAAAAAAAGAGAATTTTAGACCAATATCCCTGATGAATATCGATGCAAAAATCCTTAATAAAATACTGGCAAAATGAATCCAGTAGCATATCAAAAAGCTTATCCACCATGGTCAAATGGGCTTCATCCCTGGGATGCAAGGCAGGTTCAACATATGCAAATCAATACATGTACTCCAGCATATAAACAGCACCAAAAACAAAAACCACATGGTTATCTCAATAGATACAGAAAAAGCCTTTGACAAAATTTGACAGCCCTTCATGCTAAAAACTCTCAATAAATTAGTATTCATGGGACGTATCTCAAAATAATAAGAGCTATTTATGACAAACCCACAGCCAATATCATACTGAATGGGCAAAAACTGGAAGCATTCCCTTTGAAAACTGGCACAAGACAGGGGTGCCCTCTCTCACCACTCCTATTCAACATAGTGTTGGAAGTTCTGGCCAGGGCAATCAGGCAGGAGAGGGAAATAAAGGGTATTCAATTAGGAAAAGAGGAAGTCAAATTGTCCCTGTTTGCAGATGACATGATTGTATATCTAGAAAACCCCATCGTCTCAGCCCAAAATCTCCTTAAGCTGATAAGCAACTTCAGCAAAGTCTCAGGATACAAAATCAATGTGCAAAAATCACAAGCATTCCTATACACCAATAACAGACAAACAGAGAGCCAATTCAGGAGTGAACTCCCATTCACAACTGCTTCAAAGAGAATAAAATACCTAGGAATCCAACTTACAAGGGATGTGAAGGACCTCTTCAAGGAGAACTACAAAGCACTGCTCAACGAAATAAAAGAGGACACAAACATATGGAAGAACATTCCATGCTCATGGATAGGAAGAATCAATATCATGAAAATGGCCATACCGCCCAAGGTAATTTATAGATTCAATGCCATCCCCATCAAGCAACCAATAACTTTCTTCACAGAATTGGAAAAAACTACTTTAAAGTTCACATAGAACCAAAAAAGAGACCGCATTGTCAAGTCAATCCTAAGCCAAAAGAACAAAGCTGGAGGTATCACACTAACTGACTTCAAACTATACTACAAGGCTACAGTAACCAAAACAGCATGGTACTGGTACCAAAACAGCATGGTACTGGTACCAAAACAGAGATATAGACAAATTTAACAGAACAGAGCCCTCAGAAGTAATATCACACATCTACAACTATCTGATCTTTGACAAACCTGACAAAAACAAGCAATGGGTAAAGGATTCCCTATTTAATAAATGGTGCTGGGAAAACTAGCCATATGTAGAAAGCTGAAACTGGATCCCTTCCTTACACCTTATACAAAAATTAATTCAAGATGGATTAAAGACTTACATGTTAGACCTAAAACCATAAAAACTCTAGAAGAAAACCTAGGCAATACCATTCAGGACATAGGCATGGGCAAGGACTTCATGTCTAAAACACCAAAAGCAATGGCAAGAAAAGTCAAAATAGACAAATGTGATCTAATTAAACTAAAGCGCTTCTGCACAGCAAAAAAAACTACCATCAGAGTGAACAGGCAACCTACAGAATGGGAGAAAAATTTTGCCATCTACTCCTCTGACAAAGGGCTAATATCCAGAATCTACAAAGAATTTAGACAAAGTTACAAGAAAAAAAAAACAACTCCATCGGACAAAGGGCTAATATCCAGAATCTACAAAGAATTTAAACAAACTTACAAAAAAAACAACCCCATCAAAAAGTGGGCAAAGAATATGAACAGACACTTCTCAGAAGACATTTATGCAGCCAACAGACATATGAAAAAATGCTCATCATCACTGGTCATCAGAGAAATGCAAATCAAAACCACAATGAGATACCATCTCACACCAGTTAGAATGGCGATCATTAAAAAGTCAGGAAACAACAGGTGCTGGAGAGGATGTGGAGAAATAGGAACACTTTTACACTGTTGGTGGGACTGTAAACTAGTTCAACCATTGTGGAAGACAGTGTGGCGATTCCTCAAGGATCTAGAACTAGAAATACCATTTGACCCAGCCATTCCATTACTGGGTATATACCCAAAGGATTATAAATCATGCTGCTATAAAGACACATGCACACGTATGTTTCTTGCGGCACTATTCACAATAGCAAAGCCTTGGAACCAACCCAAATGTCCATCAGTGATAGACTGGATTAAGAAAATGTGGCACATATACACCATGGAATACTATGCAGCCATAAAAGAGGATGAGTTCATGTCCTTTGTAGGGACATGGATGAAGCTGGAAACCATCATTCTCAGCAAACTATCCCAAGGACAAAAAACCAAACACCACATGTTCTCACTCATAGGTGGGAATTGAACAATGAGAACACATGGACACAGGAAGGGGAACATCACACACTGGGGCCTGTTGTGGGGTGGGGGGAGGGGGGAGGGATAGCATTGGGAGATATACCTAACGTAAATGACGAGTTAATGGGTGCAGCACACCAACATGGCACAGGTATACATAAGTAACAAACCTGCATGTTGTGCACATGTACCCTAGAACTTAAAGTATAATAATAAAATAAACTCTCTAAATACTTTATTTTCTGTTAACAATATACATCTCCCTCATTAATCTATTTCAAAATAAATTCCAGGGGTCCAGTGATTTAAGCATAATAAAATGAAGACATAAAAGTAACCAGACAAAACTTAGAAAAAAATTGACATTTCCAGGGCTGGGCACAGTGGCTCATGCCTATAATCCCAGCACTCTGGGAGGCTGAGGTGGGCAGATCTCTTGAGCCCAGGAGTTCAAGACCAGCCTGGCCAGTATGGTGAAACCCTGTCTCTAATAAAAATACAAAAATCAGCCGGCACACACCAGTAGTCCCAGCTACTTGGGAGGCTGAGGTGGGAGGATTGCTTGAGCTGGGGAGGTAGAGGTTCAGTGAGCCAAGACTGAGCCACTACGCTCCAGCCTAGGTGACAGAGTAAAACCTTGTCTATCAAAAAAAAAAAAAAAGACACTTTTGGTAGTATAAAATATTGTTAAAATGTTTAAATTTTTTTGCTAATAAAGATACTCATTCTTTCATAAAAACAAATTTTGGATAATTATTTTTCATGCATTGAGATAAGAAAGATTAGTTATCACTTTCAGTGGTAAATAAGGAAAGAGAAACTGGTACTGTCATGCATAGTTCCTATGAGTGTAAAATCGTGTGAGCTTTTTGGAGGACAATACAATGCCCTGTATAAGATTCAGAAATACACACATCTCTTTACTGCACAGGTCTATTTCTAATAGTCTATCTTCATATTTATTCTACAAATGTCTGTTGATGCTGTAGAGGCCAATGAGAACTTCCCCTTTGCCTTCTGAGGGTTTTCTGAAAAATCAACTGACAGAAGGCAGGTTAATAGGAGAAAAGGCCTACAATTTTTTTTAACTTGCACGGGAGTCATACACAATATAAGAACTCAAAGAAAGGCAAGATGGTTGACACTTTTATACCACTCTAAGGTTACAGGAAGAATGCGGGCTCCAAGCATGACACAAAAGAGGTTATAGTGCTAAATCTATTTTAGTGGCAAGACAGGTTAAGGGGTGGAGAGGCGATCTTGTTATGTAGATGTAACTCCATAGGTAGCAGCCCTCTGACAGAATAGATGGTCATTGTTTCTTTCAGACGGTTAAAGCTGGCAGTCTTTCCGTTAATCTTTCTAGATCTGTAAAAGGTAGGACCTCAGAAAGCTTGACTGCATCAGCAAAACTCATACACAAAAAACAGCTTTGCAGAGATACTTCTGTTTGCAGGCCGCCTCAACAGCCATCTCAAAATATCAGAAGTATTATATTTTGGAGTGAAATAGTTTAGTTTCTTTCAATGCAAATACAAAAATTATACTTGAGGCATTATATGAATTGAAAAAAAAAAAAAGAAAAACCCTGAAAGTCCAACAACGGATTCTGGGAAGGTAACTGGTAGCACATCCATACCATGGAATTCTATATGAGAATTAAAAACTCAATGCATTTGGAATGTGGTCATGATAACAAATAATTGATGTTTTCTAAATTTCTGTGTGATATATTCCAAAAATATTATTAAATGATTGAATATGTAGGAGAAATGTTTCACAATTTATTATGCAAGATTATAGTACAAATTCACCCTTGCTAGAGATAGGAAAAGAATTAATACTTAAAAAATTCTACATCTTAAACTTTCTATTTTTCTTGTAATTCATTTCCAGTAAGTTAAAATTTGTTCATAATTCATTTGCTGGTGATAAATTGTCTTACATAATTCAAATATTTTTTAGATATTTTAACAGATGTTCCTTAAACATTGCAATAAAGAGAGAAGTACTTTTTGAAAAGCACTATTTTGTGGAATTAAATAGCACTCATGAGAACAGCAAATCACCTAATTATTTTTCACAACATGGGAAAACGATTGTCGTCTGGGTTCAGTTGGTCTGGGCACTTTTATGTGTTTGGAAATTTCAGAGCTGTGTGTTGGATGAACTTTTTAGATTTAGTTTTGAAGGAATCTAGTAACTCTGCTGGTTTAATGATTTAATATTTCTGATTTTTCAGAGATCTTGGTTGTTTAATCCAACATTAGTGTGTGCAGATCAGAGGAATGGAAGAAGACAATGTGGTTATTTTCTAAACCCTTTCTATAACTTAGCTGAATATTTACCCACTCAAGAAGTGTTTACCAAGCCTATTGTTAAAAATATAATTTCTGAATATTTCTAACAGTTTAGAAAAATAACCTATATTCCTTAAAAAATGACATGAAGAAATTGAATTTTGTTCTTTGAGGGAAAAGCTTTTATAATTCCCAAGAAAATAAGTTAAGGTATTGAATTATACAAAATTTAGTCAAGTGGACCCTGTTAAAATGTTCATTTTCTAATTTTAAGATAGAATATTTGGAGTACATGTATATATAATTAAGTATTATTTAGTATTGTGAAATTAAATAATTCCACCTTAAAGTTGTTGGAACTTTATTCTGAGCCTTGGGGGGAATGTGGCTATGCAGCCTGAGTCATGCAGCATGCAGCTCCAACTTTTGCCTTTTTTTTTTTTTTTTTACTGTAAACGATAAGGAAAACCAAATGGTGTCAGAGATAAGACCTCTTCAGATTACTCCTCAGATTACCTCTCCTTAACAAGTAATACAGTCATCTTCCTTGGAATGCAGCAGTCTGTAACAGATCAAATCTCTATCAAATCTCTGTCACATATGCACTGGTCTTGCATGGGAAATATCATTATCCTGTTAAAATATCTCTGTCTCTACCTTTGTAAGTGAAACTTTAACTTCATTTTGTAACACTGTGTACTAGTCCATTCTCATGCTGCTATAAAGAAATACCCGAGGCTGGGTAATTTATAAAGGAATGATGTTTAATTGACTCAGAGTTCGGAATGGTTGAGGAGGCCTCAGGAAACTTACAATCATGCCAAAAGGGGAAGCAAACATGTCCATCTTTACACGGTGGCAGCAAGGAGAAGTGCTGAGCAAAAGGGAAAAAGCCCCTTATAAAACCATCAGATCTCATGAGAACACACTCACTATCATGAAACTAGCATGAGGCTAACAGCCCCATGATTCAATTACCTCCCACCAAGTCCCTCCCACGACATAGGGGGATTATGGGAACTACAATTCAAGATGAGATTTGAGTGGTGACGAAGTAAAACCATATCACACTGCCCATTTATTTGGAGCCAGTGTTCCCGAATGACATTCCTCAAGTTTTATGTTCAAATAAACTACTTCATCCTACTTTCTGTTGACAGTACACCCATATATGCACAAGTTGAACATTTTTATCATAGTTGCTCATGTCACATCTCCTCCTCTCCTCTTTGAGTTTTCTTCATATAACTCATCCAATGTATTAAGTATGTAAGTGTCTATTTGTTTATTGTCTGTCTCCCCAACTAAGTTATACATTCCATAAGAGCAGAGATTTTTGCTTACAGATAAATATTTGTTTCATAGATGAATATCTAAAACTAACAATCTGAGGCCAGGCACATTGGTTCATGCTTGTAATCCCAGCACTTTGGGAGGCCAAGGTGGTTGGATCACTCCTAACACCTAAGGTTAGGAGTTCAAGAGCAGCCTGGCCAACATGGTGAAACCTCATCTCTACCAAAAATACAAAAATTAGCTGGGTCTGGTGGAGCACACCTGTAGTAACAGCTACTTGGGAGGCTGAGGCAGGAGAATCGCTTTAACCTGGGAGGCAGAGTTTGCAGTGAGCTGAGATTGTGCCACTGCACTCCAGCCTGGGCAAAAGAGCAAGATTCCATCTGAAAAATAAATAAATAAATAAATAAATAAATATTAAAAAATAAAACAGTCTGGTTGATAAATACATCTTTAGTCATAACAATATTCCCTTGATATCCAACTTCTACAATTCTCTTATGAATGGAAAATAAACCGTTTCCAATTTCTAAATGTTTTTATCTACTGAGGATTTTAGATAACATTTATTTATACAAATATTTTCCTGAATATACTACAGATAACATTTTTAATTTTCTCATGGAGATATTATGAGGATTAATAAAATAATACACTTTATGTTTCAAATCTAAGCAACCATAAAAACAAATTACTTTCACCACTATGTGGGAAGTGCATTTAGAATTTGCATAGTATAATGCAGAGGAGTTTAATATAATAATGACTCTTTAACAGAGATATTGAAGGCAAACAGGTTTATTTGTAGATAGGTTCTAAGATAGAGCAACATTAGCTTCAGGGTGACACAAAACTGTAGGAAATTATTTGGAATGGCAATAAGACCATTATAGATCATCTGCCAGACAAAATAATCCACCATTTTGATTATTAAAGTGCTTTATAAACATCTTCGCTTAATTATCATAAGTTACATCTCTAGCAACTAGTTCCATCCCTGCTCACTGTGTAATTTTGTCAAGTTATTTAACCTCTCTGTCCTTAGTAGCCTCATTTGTAAAGGGGGATAAACGTATCCTTACTGAGTAGAGTTTTGAGAAGGATCATCTGTATCAATTTTGTAAGAGGTCTGCTATACAGGAAACACTGTGAAGGTATTATTATTATTATTATTATTATTGTTATTGTCATGAGGAGGAGTGGTCATAAAAATTAAAATATGAAGTTTATTACTAACTAGAAAATATTAATATATATTAAAACCACAAGGTGGCGGGCATTAAATAAATCCTATTCCAATGTGTATAGTAGGACACTATTTGTTACCTTTACAAAATCATAAGAATATCAATAAATTTAAGAAGAAAGATAAAAGACAAATATGAAGCAACAATATGTATCAACCAACAATTATGGAATATATTGAAAGGAAATAAGTAGTTTTTATTAACTTGTGTGGCCTAGATAATTATTTTCCAGTTTCATTTCTTTCAGTATAACATTGCCTGAATATGCTGCAATTTTCTCAACCCTTCTGCTATTGAGAGGTGAAGCCAGCTGGGCTTCTGGGTCAAGTGGGGAGTTGGAGAATTTTTGTGTCTAGCCAAACAATTGTAAACTCACCAATCAACACTCTGTGTCTAGCTAAAGGATTGTAAATGCACCAATCAGCACTCTGTAAAATGGACCAATCAGCACTCTGTAAAATGGACCAATCAGCAGGATGTGGGTAGGGTCAAATAAGGGAATAAAAGCTGGCCACCCAAGCCAGCAGTAGAAACCCACTGGGATCTTCTTCCAGGCTGTGGAAGGATTGTTCTTTTGCTCTTTACAATAAATCTTGCTGCTGCTCAGTCTTTGGGTCTGCACTACCTTTATGAGCTGTAACACTCACCGCGAAGGTCTGAGGGTCTGCCGCTTCACTCCTGAAGTCAGCGAGACCATGAACCCACTGGGAGAAACAAACGACTCCAGATGAGCCACCTTTAAGAGCTGTAACACTCACCGCGAAGGTCTGTGGCTTCACTCCTGAGGTCTTGCGAACCCACCAGAAGAAGAAACTCCGGACACACCTGAACATCTGAAGGAATAAACTTAGGACATACCGTCTTTAAGAGCTATAACACTCACTGCAAGGGTCTGTGGCTTCATTCTGGAAGTCAGCAAGACCAAGAACCCACCGGAAGGAATAAATTCCGGACCCACTATCAGCTGATATTCCTGTATTTCCAGTGTTCAGCTATTATGAAGAGGTTGCTAAAAACATATGTATATGTTTTGGCTCAGAAAACAGTATGCATAATGACGGCCTTAGCAGCAGTCACAAGCAAGAGTTTTTCTCTGCCCTCCTGCCTCCTGTTCCTTAGCTCCATTTTCCCCTAAGGCAAGCCCTGGAAACCAGAATTCCTTTCCCCAAAGCCAACCATAAAGCCTAAAAATATTACTCTAAGATTTCCTCTGTCGTATCTGTGTAAAAACTGTCCATCAAGAAATTATCTCACCCATGATTTTTGACTGTACATCATAAGATCCCCACATTGCAGAGACTGCCTTACCATATGTCCAGAAGAAAGGAGTACATACTCTGGAGGCTCAAAGAATCCAGGTGGCCTTGCTGGGTCTCCCCAGTCTGTCTACAAGTATCACATTATATCGTTTTTTGTCCAATCACATTTCTACACAGATCTCCACATTTGTTAAACCTAAGCATAAAAATGGACGATTTCCCCTGTGCCTTTGTGCCTTCATTCCGAAGACTCCCGTGTATACAAATTAAATAAATCTGAATGCCTTTTCTCCAATTAATATGCCTTTTTCTGAGTTAATTTTTCAGAGAAACTTCAGAATGCCAAGGGTTTCCCTTGGCCTTTACGTATACATATGAAAATATGCAAATAAAAATGTGTATTGAACTAACAAAACAGAAATATAGCCTAAAAGCATAAAAAAGCATGAAGCAAAATGACAAAAATGAGAATATTATTTAATTATGAGAGTACATTTAAATCAATTAAAATGCTCTATTCTTACGAATTGACAGAGATTATTGAATTGCATTAAAACACAACACTTTTAGCTCTAAAGAGAGCTAAACAAGTTAACTAAAGAGAGTCTGTAACAGTGACACAAAATATTTAAGACATCACCAGCAAATATTGTAAAAAAAGAACTCATTCTGAAACATTAAATGAGGCACAGAGGATATTAATGTTTTATAGACACAATTGACAATAAAGTCATTCAAATCATAAATATTTTTCTACTAAATGCTATAGCAATTGCAAAAAAGAAATTAAAATTGAACCTTCAATTTTAAATGCGATGTTAAATATGTTAAGCTTTAGGAAACTGGAAATAATAATTCTTTAGGATAATAAAGGATATTTAAGTCAAATGCTAGTATCTTATTTAAGTATAAAAGTAGACCTATAATTATTAAAATAAGCAATTAAAAATGCATATTTATCAGCAAAACTATCAGTATTGTTGAAGAACTTCTAATTACTATAAATATCAGTCAATGAAAACATTTGATGCAACTGTCAGAAGGAAAAAGAGAAATATTGTTTTTATATAATTTTGTTGACTTCGTGAAAGACATATGAAAATCTATAAAAATGAATGTAAGTCTTCAGTAAATTGACTAACCACAAAAGTAAATTAATATTTTAAGGTGTAATAGTTTTCCAATGCACAAGTACTGTCCACTAGAGTGAGACAGACAGAGATAAATGACAGATGGAAGGATGGAGAGACAAAGCGGCATTCCATAGAGAAATTAGATGCTTTCGTTTCTTAATCACACTCCACTAATTGGTTAAGATTTCAGAAATGGTTGGAATTAGATCTCTAGTTTATTCTAAAATTTCAAAACTAATCATAAAATTTAATATAAAAATAAATCATGGAGGTAATAGATCCACGTTTACGAAAACTTGTGGTAAAAAAGGATTTTTTTCAGCGTGACATCATGGCAAATATTACAGAAATGTTTGATAGCCTCCACGAGATTTTAATTTTTCTTCCACTGACTGAATAGAATGTTAAAAAATCTGTATAAAAAATTGATGAAGAAACATGTTTAAAGTGAAAGGACACACTATAGCACAAATATTTTCAGAGAAGTGATTAATATGTTGCGTGAAGATCCTAACAAAACACTGATATTGTGATAAAAGCCCAGTAGGATAATGGGAAAACATGTGACCTTACAGTTCATGAAAAGAAATAAATCAGCCAGTTATCAGAATGAAGAAGGAAGGAGAAGAGGAGAAACAAAGTGAAGAAGGAGAGGGAGGAGAAGAAATTTAATGGAACAATATTCAAATAAAAGTAGCAAATATAAATTTCTGAATATGAAAACAAACAAGCAAATGACTGCTCCCAGCACTTTATATTGCCCCCATCATTCATTTATACATTTATTCTTGTATCCATTCACCAGTGAATTCCAGTGTTTTCAGCCCCTTATGGCATTGCCATTGCAGGACTAGCTTACAGGTTTTAAAGGTAAAAACACACGAAAAAAAAAATCTCTGATTCTTGGTTTCAAAATTCTATGGAGGCCCTTCTCACACCATTCCGTTTTCTGCGTTTAATTAACTACTGTGCTAGAAGGTCCTCAGGGCCATGCTTGTGTCTTCTTCATCATTGTAGCGCTAGTATTTAAAAAACAGCTGGGATATATTAGATGGGAAATAGATATTTCAGGGATTAACAAAGAAATACAGTGCTACAATAGCAAGGGTAAGAAAATGTGAAAATAGTTTAAATTGCTAACAGTATAAAAAAACAAATTGATATTCAAAAGACTGGTTTCTATTCAAATATTAAAAGGATAGTTACAGAAGAGTATTTCTGGATTTGAAAAGATACTAAAAAATTGCTAGAAAAAATCTATTATTCTACTCAAAAGAAAACTATCTGTGGTTGAGATGGCAGATATAGGGACCACTATTTTCACTCTGGTGGCTTGTCTTGGTGTGCTTAATATTCGATATTTTTTTCTTTACTTCTATTTTTGGAATTTTCTCAGATTACTCAATAGTAATTGTGAAGTGGAAATAAAAGTGAAAGTACATTTTAACTCCTTAAAACATGATTATTAGAGTAAAAATCACCTCTATACCATAACTTTTGCACAAACAAACGTGTGAAACCAATTTTTAGAGAATTTTTCCCTTTCTGTCTGTGTTTTTACTATTATTATTATTACTACTATTATTTTAGAGACAGAGTCTTGCTCTGGTGTCCAGGCTGGATTATAGTGGTATGATCATAACTCACTGCACCCTTGGATTTCCGGGCTCAGTTGATAACTCCTGCCTCAGTCTCCTAAGTAGGTTGAACTATGGGCTTACACTACAATGCCTGGCTAATTTTAATTTTTTTTGCAGAGACAGGGTCTTGCTATGCTGTCCAGGCTGATCTTGAACTCCTGGGCTCAAGTAATTCTCCCATCTTGGCTTCCCAAAGTCCTGGGATTAAAGCTGTTAGCTACCACACCCAGATTTATGATTTTTAATATATGTTTGAAGTTGCTTTTTAATTTTCTTATCTGTGTGTTTCAAAAGTATTACCACTATTTTAAAATTAGACTTACGCGATTATAATTATTCTACATGAATGTCACAGAGAAATTTATTTATTTACTTTGTAAATTTTTTGCAAGGTCTTGCTATGTTGCCCAGGCTGGACTCAAACTATCCTCTGCGTTGGCCTCTGAAGTTGCTGGTATTACAGGTATGAGTCACCATCCTGGTCCCATTACAGAGACATTTAAGGTACAAATTTGGGAGGAATGTTTAAAACGTACTGGCTTCCACAATCCAGATAAGAGCAACAAAGGCACATATAGCCACAAGAGTTGTGGTAAAAGCATTTTCTATAACATTCCAAATTACTTATAGTATTATTAAGATCTGCTGCTTAAATACTGCATAACTATGCTTCAATTTGGCTGCACTGTTTCTTCTTCACATGTTAACTCTGTTTTTCATTATTTTACTTTTATAAGATTACAACTTTACCTTCAAGCCCGAACACTTCATTCTAGCTGTGTAGTCTTGATAATATGGTTAAATAAACTCAATGCTGATCACCTAGATCATTCTGCCAAAGTTTCTCCATCCCTGAGATTTTCCTGTGATTTACTTTGTATTGGCTGGATGTTTGGGTTGTTGTTTAATTATCTTTTGTTTATTTTGTTTTAAAGAAGTGGAACTGAGTACCATTTTGCTGGATTTATTTGGCTATTGTTGCTTGTTTTTTTCTTTGAGGTATATAGCAACGTGACTGGTTATAAATATTATTAGATTAAATTTGATTTCCTGAGTTTCTTCGTAAAGGTGATTCTCTACTCTTCTGGCATTGAGTGATCTGTAAGAAATTCTGAGGCAAGAATGAGTTATCTTCCATATCTGTAGGGTGACCTCCACCATAGGTAACCTGCTCTTTTCTGCCGTGGTGCTGTTTAAGGTCTGTTTTCTTTTTGAGAGGGAGTCTTGCTCTGTTGCCCAGGCTGGAGTGCAGTGGCACAATCTCGGCTCACTGCAACCTCCACCTACCGGGTTCAAGCAATTCTCTGCCTCAGCCTCCTGAGTAGCTGGGATTACAGGCACCCGCCAGTATGCCAGGCTAATTTTTGTATTTTTAGTAGAGACGGGGTTTCACCATATTGCCCAGGCTGGTCTTGAACTCCTGACTTTGTGATCCACCCACCTTGGCCTCCCAAAGTGCTGGGATTACAGGTGTGAGTTACTGCGCCCAGCCGGGTCTGCTTCTTTAATGTCCTTTTTATCCACCTAGAGATGAATTCTGCTCCCATGGGATTATTCCTCCAAATCAGATGGATTGGGCAAAGATGGACTCCCTGATGGCCCATTCTGCCTCAACTAAAATCTCCATTTACTGTGGTGGGCATCATTATTTTCTCCAACCCACTTCACCATTCCTTAGTCTGTTTCTCCCCCATGATGTGCTTAATATCAATGAGAAATTGTCTTTTACTGACCCTCTCTTTTCAATATAACTTTAGCGATTTGGACATAGGTAAGGTCAGGGGCCACATCATGTTGCAAGGCAATATTCCATCTAGTTCACGCCTTGCTTGCACTGACTGACATGGCACTTGGTTTTATCACCTTTTCATTTAACTATCTTCTGTTGTTATTTTCTAGCAATAGATGCTAATTTGACTTGATTTTATCAAGATCTTCTAATTTCTATTTTTAAATTAAGTAAGATGCCCAAATTTAGGAAGCCTGTACTTTTTTGTATTTTACAAACAGAAAAAAATTTGTGGAATGAAAGGTATTTGCAGATAAGATGATATAGAACAGAGTTCAGCAAATGTTTTCTATAAAGGGCCAGATAGTAAATAATTTCAGCTTTATGGGCCAAATCATCTCACTTTCACACCACAAGGCGCAAGAAGCCACAGTCAGCAGATGGCATGACTGTGTTTCAAGAAGGCTTCATTTACGGACTCTTACATTTGATTTCTACATAGTTTTCACATGTCACGAAATAATATTCCTCTTTTATTTTGTTTTGCTTTTACCTGTTTTAAAAAGCAAAAGTCATTCTTAACTCATGGTACAAAAACAGGTGGTGTATTGGATTTTGCCCATAAGCTGGTAGCTTTCTAACCCCTGTGGTCAACAGCTACACTTTGGAAGTTTAATCAGCGTGGTTCTTGAACAGATGTCTTGTTTTGTTTCTTCATCAGACAGAAGCTTTCTCACCATCCAATATGCATTTAGGATTTAGATGAATAAAAATGCTGAGTGTTTAGCTCAGGGTTTCCCCATAGATGAGAAACACAAAACAGACACAACAGGAGACTTGTTGAAGTGTGCAGGTAAAGGCTGCCTTGGTGTAGTTTTCTTTGGATGGAAGAGACTTTTAAACATGTGATACCCAGAAGACAAAGATTCCCTTTGAGACTTTTCCTTGCTGTCAGCTGTGGATGCTTCGCTCCTGTTTAATGTTCCCAGCTGAACCCTGAGAGGTTGGAATTATAGACACAGCACTGTATTCATCTTGATCTTTTTTAATAAGATTTGTAATGATATCTCTTTTGCTAGAATTTAATCTGTTTTTACAGCATCCACAGATACTAAAAAACTTCCTTGTGACATTTTCAGTGTGTAAGGTTCACTCAAGACATGACTTCTCTCTTCTGGTCCTGTTTTGATGGCAGATATGAAGATTTATTACGCTTTCTCTCATCTCAGTAGACACATTTTTGTTACTAAAGAATAGCTGCCCTGTTACTCTGTGGAATGTTTCCAACGCCTCAGGGCACAGCAGGAATGGTTGCTGGTGAAGGTCTTGGCTGCGAGCTCCTCAGGCCCGGCTCTGCCTGCCAGACACAGAGTCCCCATGCCACCTAACCCCTAGGCTTGGCAGTGTCCCCAGATCTGAACCCCAGGGCAGGGCTGTTTCCTTTACAGCAGCAACGCGGTTTAGTCCTAGTATTTGTGTTAGTCAGAATGTCTATGCTTTTCTATGGTAACAAATCAACCTCTAAATCTCAGCGATCTAACACACTAAAGACTTATTCATCCATTTCACTTTCTAGACATTTAGCTATTTATAAATTACTAAAAATAATTTTTGAATACTTTTTTTTTACAAAATATTTTGTACTTTTCTGTTTATTAATGATGGTTTGAGATTTACAGGTGCTTTTGAAGTATATTAAAATGTGTGTATACACACATACACCCACACCCACATATATATATGAGTTTCTTAAATGTCTTTGTGCTCATACTAGCTTTCAGTACATGGGTATTAGTTGAATATTATCCTAAATACTCTATCCTTTTTCTGATTTCAGTTTTTAGATGTTAATCGTTTTCTGATAACAAAATCATTATATACTACTCAAAAGAATGTGGAAAGGGTCCAAAAGTCCAAGGGAGAAAGTGAAGAGCGTCTACACAACCGCAGACCAGAGAATGCCGCTGCAGTGTGCTGCGCTGTGTTCTTTCAGTCCTTGGCATTATCATTTGGAACTTTAGACAGTTTTGAAGCAAAAGTGGTTAATGTGTTGTCATTGTTTTCATCTACATTTCTGTAATTACTAATAAAAAAAGCCATCTATTTGTATAATTTGAAGTTATTTATGTTACATATCATCATGTTTTGAGACTTTTGTCTGTTATGGAATTAATCATTTTCTAAATGGTTTGTCTGAACTTTTCAGGTTATTGATTTTAGCCATTTTCTGTCACATTTGCAATGATTTTTCCAGCTTATCTTCTCAGTTATAATTGTATTCATTACATTTGTATTATTTGCACTTGAATGTCTATGCTTTGTTATACCAAAAAATTAACCCCTAAATCTCAGTGGCCTAATACACTAAAAGTAAATTTATCTTCAGTTCCTAAAGCAGGTGTTGTACCATCCATAGCAAATCTGGTTAAGTAAGGAGGACGGAAATATTGGGCTTTTTGGACATTGCCATCACGATACAGGTCTTGTATGTGTTGTCACACCAGGACAGAGAGAACCCCAGGAAGGACAATGCATCCTCTTCTGTTCATCAGCCTGGAAACTGCACACTTGCTACACTTGTCTAATTGGGCAAACCAGTCCCTGGACTCCCAGGCACATGGCAGAAAAGACAACGTGAATCTTCAGCGAGCAGCAAAGGACTCCGCTGCAGTATTCTGCTGCAGAAATTTTATGATTTCATTTGGAAGCATCCAAACTTACTTTGGCAATTGCTTTGTTAGACCGTTATGTTGTACCCTTTCCTTCCTTTCATCTGCTCATCTCTTGGCTTGGACTAACTTCATCTTTTTTTTCAACCTGAGTGCTCCAGTTCTTTCTGCAGGTCACAGAGCGATTGGCACTTCCCCTTTCATGACTTCTTGGTCCCCAGAGCAAATCCACCTTTTTATGCTTCTATGCAGAAATCACACTGTATTTCTGAAACATCATTTTTTTATTGTGTGCATCTCTTCTCTGGGTGCCTTGGAGGAAGGGACATATTGTTTCTGTGGAATGTCTGATTCCATGTGTGCACCTCAAATAGCACTCTATACAGTGGGACAGACTGGAGTGCAAATGCCTTTCATAGCATTTATTATTGATGGAGCTTAATAATTAAGTGGTCAGCCACGGCCTTTATTATCTCATCTTAAAACTAAAGGTACAAAACCAAATAACAAATTTTCATAGGAATTAAATAAAACGGCTTATGCAAAATACAAATTATGGCACCCAACATAGATTCAAATATTAAGTTTCAATTTTTTTAAGTTCTCCTTTATCTTCTTTCTTGCACAGTTTCTTATGTGATAGAACACTAGAATATTTTAAGACTCTTTATTATATGGCAAAATGCTTTCCAAATTTCATTTATTTATTTACCAATTATACCATCTTGTAATAACTGTCAACAAGATATATTATACCCTACTTAATATTACTTTTCTTATATTGACTCAATTTTAGTTACAAGACATACTTTAAATGAAAGTTTTATATATTAACCTTAATGGAAAACCAGTAACACTTGCTATAAATAGAAGGTGACAAAACAACCTTATTAAATTAAAAATTTAATTGTAAAATAAAAGCAGACTATAAATTGTAGAACACTTTAAAATGATTGTGAAAATGCTCATTGGAAAATAAGTTCTTTAATGAGAACTTTTGAAATATTTGTGATGATTCAGTAATAAAAAGATATTTGGCTCAATATTGCTTAGTTAAATATGCCATGGTGAACTGTCTAAAAGAAAATTCTTTTTTGAAATTTTCTGATGTTTATTTGCACTGAAAGAATCCAGACTCAGATATGTAACTTAGGGAAACACAAAAACATTTAATGAATTTCTTGAGAGGTGTGAACACTGACACAAACTACTGTAACAAAATAATAGAAATGACTTTTGGTGCACAGATTTTTATTTCAAGATGCTGCCTTCTTAAAATGATCTATCCTATCATTCATACTGAAAGGTTTAATAAAATAATGGAAGTTCTTACAATGTAAATAAAATAAGAGAATTTCTCTTAGTAAATCAATGAGCTTCATAATAAAACAATAATCAATTTAGTCTCTACCCACTTATTTATATAAAGCTGAGAAAAAGTAAAAATTTTCAATATCCTGCTCTTAATATGGCTGGCAATTATCTAGCTTTCATCAGTATATCTCCAGAGTGTTCACACACGATCAACTGGAGTACCCTTTTTATATTACACTATGGTACATGGATGAAAGTCTCAGATTTGACACATCGTTGCATTTGCATTATTCTTATTTACACAAGTGCATTGCTTATTGTGTGTTTTACTGTTCACAAATCTCATTTTATTTCTACAAATTGGCAAATGTTGAAAAAGTACTATATGCTCAGGGCTTTTCTTTACACCTCCAAGCTGATAAACACCAAAAGATTTGCTTCACAATAATGGTAGTTTCATCCATGTACAATGGAAGCTATTGATTCAAAAAGAAAAAAAAAAACAGAAATTACAAGTTTATATATTTTGGCTGAATTTCTAACCCTATTATGCATAGCGGTTTCTGACAGAGGTATCTTAACAATCAATTTATTGCTTTGTTCATAATTATAAGTTTTACCATTTCTTATAATTTTTGCTATGTGTCTTTCCAATTATTTTGGCATCTCTGGCCCTTGAAACTAAATATGAAAGTATAATTAAGGCTTCATGGTTTTTCCATGTTCGGATTCTGTCACACTGAGCATTCATTTCCAGGACACTAGAAAATCTTTCTACTTTCTTTAAAAAGTTCAATTAGTTTTGCATGATATTCTTTGTGGGGTTTTTTTTTTTTTTTTTTTTTTGAGACGGAGTCTCACTTGTCGCCCAGGCTGGAGTGCAGGGAGTGCAGTGGTGCCATCTTGGCTCACTGCAAGCTCCACCTCCAGGGTTCACCCCATTCTCCTGCCTCAGCCTCCCGAGTAGCTGGGACTACAGGTGCCTGCCACCACGCCTGGCTGATTTTTTTTTTTTTTTTTTTTGTATTTTTAGTAGAGAAAGGATTTCACAGTGTTAGCCAGGATGGTCTTGGTCTGATCTCCTGACCTCATGATCCACCCTTCTCGGCCTCCCAAAGTGCTGGGTTTACAGGCGTGAGCCACCGAACCAGGCCTCTTTGTATGTTTTAAAATGAGCCTTAAGGCCTGATGCTTTCACTACAGAATATGAATGTTTACAACCATAAGACACACAATGAAATAATTCAGTCACATCCTTAGAAAATGGAAACACATATTAAAAACAATAATCACCTTCACATTGTTTTTATTTTTTTATAGCTGGAAATGTAATAGCATATGTATACATAGAGAAAGAGTGGCAATTTAATCATCACCACCACTAATGCATACATTATAATCCTCAATATTGAACATTAAAATGCTCTGATTTTTAGATTTTTGTAGCAGAATATGTATGTGTATATGTATATGAATTTCCATTAAATTAAACCCTTTAATTCTCTTCGTCAAAGAGTCTATGTTCTTCCTAGTGCTTTGCCTACTCGATTGATCAATGTCTAAGAGAAATTTATTAAAATTTTCCCCTCGTTGCTGTGGAATTCTTATTTTTTCTTGTATTAGGATAGACTTTTGCCTATGTATTTCCTGTAAATACATAAGTTACAACTTCTAGTCCCTCTTGTTGGGTTGCCTCATGTATCTTTATTACAGTACCCATATTTCTCTATCATCTTTTGCTTTAAATTCTACTTTGTCTGGTATTAAAGCACCACTTCCAGGTTTTAAATTGTATACAGGCTCGTAGCCATTGTTATGCTGGTAAATATTTAACAGCTCGTTATCATGGTGAAAAGCCCTGATTTGAAGAGTTCGCTGGTTTCCATGCTGTAAATACTCCATCCACAGAGAACATCTGCTCCCCGGGGCCAGTGCTGGCTACCAGCACACCGCGATTTACATCCTCTTATTTCCCACATGGCAAATGTTTTTTCCTAAACCATGTTAGCTTCCCCCAGTTAGGGGGCTGCTCCATTCCAGTCTCTGCCTCTCAGCTCTAGTCTTCACTCTCCAGGGTCTGACCTTAGGCTGTCTCCCGTTTGGGGATCTGCAGTCTCATCTGTCACGCCTGCTTCTGGTTCTGAAATTCACCCAGCCTCAGACTTCAACTCCTACTCATGGTTTTGCATCTTTTATCATGGTACCTTTCTACAATAGCACATTTAAAATAGAATCATAACTATTTTAGTCACAGTTTTTGCTGAGTTTTAGCTGATGTATTCTGAGTCAGGTATCAGACAGTAATGTTCCTTTCATGAAAAGAAAGTGCCTGAAAATTAGTTCTTTCAGTCATATCTGATCTCCACCTTATAAAATAGTTTGGAAAGCTTGAGCAAATAATTTAAGGTTAGGAAAGTGTATTAGGAGAGCACTATCTGTGTGCAGGGAGTCTTGCACTTCCCCCAGGTTGGAGTGCATTTATGAGTGTGTATGGAGGGTGGGCGAATTTGACTTTTGTTTTGTGTTAGAAACATCAGTGGAATCACCCAGAGGAGGCATATCTGGTGCCAGGACCTTAGCACACTGCATAGCCTGCTCTCCAACAAAGATGAGTAAAATAAAGGTGTGAGCACAGAAATGGCTAGCTGCAAAGGAGATAAAACTGAAATGGGATGGACTTGTGTTGCCAGAATTTGTCAGACCAAAATATGCATGAGTGTTTTCCCTGGCCTGGAAATGGATTAGATGAGAGAGTAGTCAGGGCTCCCCTGAGCTTCTACTCCAGAGGGCCCCTTAGAGGACTGAGGGGCCTGCGAGATGATGTGGAAGGGCTACCGTGAGATGTCTAGCAGCTAAGAAGGAAGTCATAAGTGACCAGCAAGGAGAGAACGGTATTTATTTATTCAAATATAATGAGGGAGATTGCAAAGAACCCATAAGTGCACACTATGACAGAAAAAGTCAGCTTCAACTCTGGCGGAGCCCAGAAAGCACTGGAACTCACCATTATATTGGTGGAAAAGTAATTTGCCTATTCCCTTTCCTCTCCTCCCTCCTTTCACCACTCCCTATTCTTCTCTGGATGGGCCCAAAGCAGCATTGGTTAGAAAAACATGTTATAGTGGTAAAAGCAATCAGCAAGGACAGAGGGGAAAAGCCAACCACTCCTGTCATCGCCTTAGTGTGGACTGGAGAAACTATCTAAACTAAGGCTTAGATTGTGACGTAAGACTGGACATATCAATCACTGAACTGAGACTATTTTGCAATTACATGACATTGGAGGACTTTTTATTATCTGAGAGTAACCAAAGAGTAAGTAGAACCTACCCCAAATTATGTCCACAGAGATGGAAAAAGTAGTCCTGCAAAGTGAGGTTTTACAGAAGTAACAGTGGTGTAGAGGAGGTTATTGTGTTGCTTTTCTGATTTCGATCTAGGACTCTTAACTATTCAATGTAACAGATTAGTTGAAGTTAAACTTATGTGTGTCTCTTTTCTTCCTTTCTTTATATGCATATTTTCTATGATAGCTCCACGGGTGGTGTAGGGAAGTGATCAAGCATAATATCACCGCAATGCATTGACCATGAAGCCCACCAAATTTGCTTTACAAACAGAACATAGCAGCAGCATATCTGCCTTTTAAAATATCTTTGGTGAGATATTTAATGGCAAGTTAAAAATGAACAAATCAATAAATACTGCCCTATTGCCACTCTCGGTCACTTAAAATATAAAACCTGTTTTTGAAGACTATGAGTAATTAAGTTTATTCATTTGATCCAATGTTTCTGGATGTAAAACAAATACACAAAGTGTACTTTGAGTTCTTCTGAATGGTTACTAGAGGTAGCGTCACACTGTCTCACTGTTGAAATACCTTCTATATCTATGAATGAATAGGTCAATGTTGGAAGGAAAGATAGATATTGCTAAGTCCAAAACCTTTGACTCCACAGGTAGAGAAACAAACTCAGAGTGGTAAAGAGGCATGGTGATTTCACATATTTCCATCCATCCACTCTAGTGGAACTGACTTAAAAAGATCTAGAGTCTCTTTTCACTCCACCATTTACCAGCTGCACTACTTGTGGAAAGGCACTTGATGTAACAAAAGCTCTATATTCTTATTATAGAATGGGAGAAGTGCTATCTCTCCATCTCATAGAGTTGTGTTGTAGTTGGGATGATGGACATGTGTGAATTCACTGGAGAACCTGTACCTTTAATACATTGTTAATGAAAACAATAGCTTCCATGCTACTAAACTATAAAAATTTTGTTAGGTACCTGCTTAATGATATCCTAAACAATAGTATTTTTTTTCCATAGCAATATAACATCAAAATTAAGGGGAATTGTTGGAAGAGCTTGCTATCTAGCTGGAGCCCAGAAAGAAGATGCCAGCCAAAGAAGGTCACTTGTCCCACAGTTTTGGCATATCTGCAGTAGAGTTGAAAGATGTCTTCACAGGAAACTAATGTAAATACATAAAGAGAGGTTAGAATTTATTCTGACTTAATTATCTTAAATACTTTCCTCTTGCTTTTTTTTTCAAGAGTTTACTTGTTAAAGAAAAAGAGTTTACTTGTTAAAAAAAGTTTACTTGTTAAAGAGTTTACTTGTTTAAAAAAAAATGTAGTCATTATTTTGACAGTAAAGACAAAAGCACTGACACCTAGAGGTATTTCTTAAGTCAACAGTAAGGATGGAATAAACCACCTGCAAAACCTTCCCAGAAGCAGCCCATTCTAGCCTATACTTTGAAGAATGGACTAAAAGTTGAGCCAGGTTAAAGATCATCTCTGACAGTGCCAGAGATTTGAAATCTCATTGTAGGGGCACCAGGGAGTTGCTGTACAACTTCCCTCATTAGGAACCTGGAGACTCTCTTATGGCTCACTTAGAGATTTGACCACTTGGTTTTAGACACACACACAATTTCCCATAACATCATGGAGAAACTTGTAAAGAAAATGGGAAAATATGCTTTAAGTTGGCCATCCTGACAGCCAGTAGTAGTGACCACTGAACCATTACATTACACGTGTTTGGAAGTATTCATTGTATCTGTATACTCTTCATTTTTCAAATTACAACAATCCTCAGGAGTGATTTTGTCATTGTTTACTCATAAAATTAATGCATCATTTAAATAAAGAGCAGAATTAACATATCCAGTGTACCATAACTATAGAAATATGTTACTATAACAAAGTATAAAAGAAGTAACAGATGGGTATGTATTACAGAACAATTTTGCCTTTCCTTAAATGTGCTTATAGTAAAACAAAGAAATGCAGATTTAAAAATACATGAGTAAAACATCTTTAAGAAGAGATTTTAAACATTTATCCATTAAACATCAAATGGTCTGTTTTGTTTTATTTCTGCAGAACATTAAACTTACGGGTTTTTTGTATTGCCCATTGAAAGTCCCTGGTTGGATATATTTCTTGCTGTAAGTAACCACACCAATCACTTTGTTCAACCTGTTTACTTTACAGATTAATAAACAGAGGCCAAGAAAAGATTATGCCTTGCCCACAGTTTACAGTTAATTGTTAGGAAAGGCAAATATAAAGCCCAGACATTTGGCCCTAGGTTTTTCCCCATTTTCTACACTGGATATGTTAATTCTGCTCTTTATTTAAATGATGCATTAATTTTATGAGTTGCAGGTGACTGGCACCAGACATAAAGTCATTTTTCTGATTACACCCTATTCCTACAAGCTTTTGTATATGTTTTTCCTCTCAAGCCCTTCAATATTACTGCGCTGTAACAAAAAGTAATAAAAACTGCACTCATAAAATAAGACATTATTTGAATAGTTTTTATCTCTCTCTCACAAACAAAGGGTTCAGGTAGTTGGACAGATGGCTCAAGGAGAATTGAGAGGGTTTAAAAGTAATGAGGGGTTTGGAAAAGAGTCCTGACAGGAAAAAATTGAAAGATTTTGAGGGGATACTAAAAGCCTACCTCAAAACAGTAACAATGAGTTTGTCATGGGATTAATCTGTAGGGTGATGCTATTTTTTTGCCCAGTTTTGCCATGGTCTCCTAAAGGGGGAGAGATATGGCCAAGTAACTGAGCTTATGTTAAAGGGAATTTGTAATAGATTACAAAACTAACTACAACTATTCACTGCTCTCTGATGCCACACTCCTTGCAATGCAATAATGCACCTCCTCCTAAGGCATGGAGTCTATTTCTCTTCTCTTCAAATCTGGGTGGTTCTTGGGACTTGCTTTGATCAGTACAATGCAGCAAAAGTGATGATATGCAGGGTTACATGCCTGGGCTCCAAGGAGACTTGCGTGCCTTTTGTCTTTCTCTCTTGAAATCCCTGCTTACTCCATAAGACCAGGCCCAGGCTAGCCTCACTGAGAATGAGTGAGCATGTGAGCAAGACCCAAGCTGATGCAGCTGTTTCACCTGAAGCTCCCAGTGATGTGATGACGAGCACAGCCACTGTCAGGAAAGCCACCCGACAGCTCACTGCTGAGTAAGATACATACTCTAGGGTGGATGAGTGAATGTATGAAAGATTCCATTCAAGACAGACTCAATTACTCACTTGAAGAATTATGAAATAAATACATGATTGTTGTTTCAATCCACAAAGTTGTGGTGGTTTATTACACAGCTCCTTTTAGTGCTTATTAGGGAAACTGCTTTGGAAGAAACCAAAGTGAGATAAGAATAGGGATGATAAACTTAGTGGAGGTGCACCAATATTGTTAGAAGGATACTGAGGCAAGACACTAAATAAAAGGAAAAAGTTAAAAATCGGGCTTTCAGGGATTAGGGTGCCAAGATATATTTGAGGAGCTCCACATAGGTGATAACTGACCATTGCTTTTGTAATCCATGGCTACATCACTTTTCACGTCTCTGTGACCCTTTATTCAAGTTTTCAGAAAAGCAAATATAGATAGAAGATAGAAGAAAGGAAAGAAAAAGAAAGAAAGAAAGAAAAGAAAGAAAGAAAGAAAGAGAAAGGAAGGAAGGAGGGAAGGAAGGAAAGAAGGAAGAAAGGAAGAAAGAAAGAAAGAGAAAAAGAAAGAAAGAAAGAAAGAAAGAGAAAGAAAGAAAGGAAGGAAGAAAGAGAGAGAGATGTCTTCCGATGATGAATGAATTATTTGTCTCCTCTTGGGTCAGGAGTCCACTCTGATGCAACCACACTCATCTATGGATATAGCATAGATCAACACTGCCCATTAGATCTTTCTGAAGTTACACAAATGTTATATAGTAGATTATGAACACAACTGCAAGGACTCAAATATATTGTACTATTTTCCTAGATAAAGGAAATATGGGAAGTTCAGGAATGATAAACGTATCTATTTTAGTTAGTTGGAAAAAATTGAGAATGAGTAGGAAGGTATAGTTAGCATGACTGGTTGGCCTTATAGAAGACAAAAGAAAACTTCCCCTTAGTCCTCCGAGGGTTCACTGGAAAATCAACTCACAAAAGGCAGAGTAACAGGAGAAATGGAATACAAATTTATTAGTGTGCATGGGGGAAATTGCAGAGCGATTGCCCCACCATGCAATGGGGTAGAAATGGTTCTAGACTTTCTTAGGGGTGAGGGAGATGGGGAGTGTGGATGACCTTAGGGAAGTAGTAGATAATCTTTGGAAGAATTCCATGGGCTTGAAGAACATACAGTGGCCTGGGACAAAGTCTGCTGTGCTTACAGAGCAGACAGAGATTTGTGGCAAATCTGCTCAGGTGTGTTGACAGACTTCAGTCTTTCTTCCTGCAATATGAGTTCAGTTAATAAAAACTCAGGAATAGGAACCAGAGGAAATTGGCAGGTGCAGACTTTAGGCAGATAAAGGAACTTCAGAGAACAACTTCATCCTGTGCTTTGGGAGAGACAGAGGACAGAGAGATAAGAGGTTGGGGAAGGTCAGAAAGACCTTGAAGCTTCTTCTCTAGTTCAGCATGTCAAAGCGCCATATTTTGATGTATCTGTTTTTGAGTCCCAACAGACTGAAGTTTAAAGTAAGAAGAGTTTTAGCACAAAGTGAAAAAATTAGGGTCTTCAAAAGTTTGGAAATGGGTGGATGGATCTGCCAGGACATGGGTAACAGGAAAGAGGAGTTGGATTATGACAAGAAATCTTCTCTCGTTTCAGTGTCTCCTGGCTCAGCAGTTTTGACCATGGCTGCCTGGTAAGTTGACAAGCCAACCTAGACGACTGCAGTAAAGCTGCAGAATCAAATAAATGGCTCCAATTCTGGAAATTGGCAGACCCTCAGAGTGACAAGTTACCTATTACCACAGTTTCTTATTTCCTCTTTTTGTAATATCTTGTGCATTATTGGGAAAAAATGTAGAAATGTGTTTATATAATTGGGAGAATACCCGACTAGAAGTAAGTCTGGAAATTAATACTAATAACAAGTGGTACTGGAAATTACACTTGTATAAGCATTCAATTTGAGCTAGAATGGGAACTGTTCTAAAACACACGTGCGCGCACACACACACACACACGCTACTCCATCTTCATTATACCCACTAGGAGGTAATATTACCTCGTATTACCTGATGTTATTATCTTTATTTTGCAGATGTGGTAGCTGAGGAAGAGACAGTTTAAGTTTCCTAGAGTCAGCCTATGGTAACTGGACAGGCAGGATTTGATGGATGGGCTGTTCATCTAACCACATACTGTACTACTGCATAGGGCTCAAGGTATACTATTAATAACCTACTAATAGAAGGCAAAAAAAAAAGCACAAAAATCCAAAGAAAATATAGGTTCTGAAGACAATATAGTAAGAGAGAAAATTTCCATAAGTCATTTGAGAAAGGGTGTGATGTACCATGTACCAACCGTGAGGTACGTAATAACATGGCTTTTGGTTCACCATGTGGGCTCTTGGGGCAGGATACTTGCATTGAAATCTAAATTCTGCCACCTACAAGGTGTATGTCATGTTTACCCTCAACTTCCTTATTTGTGAAATGAGGCTAGCAGTAGAAACCACACAGAACACTGTTGTGAATTAACATGCTTAGAACAGTGACAGGCACATAGTAAGTACTGGATAAAAGGTAAATTTTATTATCACAGGCAAAACCAGAGACTTAATTAAAAACTCATCTTGCATAATTAAGATCTCCACAGGCTGAGAGCATTAGTAAAGACTGGAACAGAGAACGTTTTAGGAAGTAAGCCAAAATTATACAAAATTGGGACTTGGGAGAACTACTGCTGTTTAAGTACATTAACATCAGACCAGGGAGAATCCAGAGTCACATGCTATAAAAGTTAATGGGGGTTTGGTATTTTTTTAAGTTAGGAGTAAAGCTAACTAAAATCAAATCTGGATGTTTCAGTGACTGCTAGCACAGCCTCATGGCAAAAGGCAGGTCTGGAAAGTGAGAGACTGGAAGGAGAAGGCTATTGCTCCAGGGTGACCTGAGTTAGTGAGGCCTGGCTTACAGCTGAGGCAATAGGCATCACAACGCAGTCCTACCAAGAACTGTGGGGACTTGCATCTGCAGGACATGGTGCCTGGAGGCAGATAAGATTAAAGAAGAGCCAAACATGACTCCAGACATACTGCTGTGGGACTACAGGAGGTCCGTTTCCAGGCTAGAGGTTGAGAAGACACTGCAGCTTAGCAAGGCATGGTGGAGAAGAAAGGGGAAATCCAGAAGTGGGCAGCAGAAGAATTCTGACAGATGACACAGAAGAATCCAGAAAAAATATTTACTCTTGACAGGTCATATGTTTTAAGTACAGTTGTCCTGGAATAATGTCAATCTCCCTCGCCAGAAGTCATTAGGTACTTCTGATTGTTCTTGGAATAAAACCTCCAAATGTTCACAGATCTGAAGAGGTAAGGCATGCTCTGCCTCCTCACCCAGCCTCTTTTCCACCTTCCTTCTGTCTATTTGTATTTGGGCCATAACGCATCTTACTTAAAAATGGCAGCCCTAGGCTGGGCGTGGTGGCTCATGCCTGTAATCCCAGCATTTTGGGAGGTCGAGCAGACGGATCACCTGAGGTCAGGACTTCGAGACCAGCCTGGACAACATGGTGAAACCCCATCTCTACTAAAAGTACAAAAATTAGCCAGGCGTGGTGGTGGGTGCCTGCAGTCCCAGCTACTCAGGAGGCTGAGGCAGGAGAATCGCTTGAACCTGGGAGGCGGAGGTTGCAGTGAGCCGAGATCATACCACTGCACCCCAGCCTGGCAACAGAGTGAGACTCCGTCTAAAAAAAAAAAAAGGCAGCCCTGTGCTTCTTTTCATCCCCAGACTTTTTTCATTTTCCTCCCACCTCCTTCTTATAGTAAGATTTCCATTCAGATCTTGCTTCTGTGATGTGTTTTCAAAGAAATGAACCTTTGACCCTCCTTACATGGTCTCTTAACCCCTCATGGCAGATTCACCTACCTAATCTGTCCTCTGCATTTTTCCTGACATTCTTCCTTTTCCATTGCATAACCATGGAGGCATATGCATGTGTATGGCTGAGAGCATCCATAAAGGCTGAAAAAGAATACATATTTTCTTCAAAATCAATGACAAGAAATAACAAAATAAACTACTCTTTTAATTGCATGGCTAATAATATTTATAATTTTATTTTGATTCCTAGCATTTTAGGAGAGTAGGTAAAAATGAATAGCAAGTTAATTCTGTATGGAATAAACTCACAAAGCTCGAAGTTAAGCCAGTTTGTTGACTCACAGCGAGTTTCCTTGGTAACTACATATCTTCCATTTTCAAATGGACCTCTATTTGAATTTTCTCCAAGATGCAGCCTGCATTCCTCATCAGGATAGGTGTTCATTACAATCACACTGTGTTTGGAGCTGAGTGGGGAGGAGAGTGGCATTTTTTCCGGAGTAACAGCTGTGAAGATGAACAGATGCAGTTGATTAGCTGTGCGGTGTTGCTGATTCTAAGTAATTGTTATGAGTATTGAAATGTGGCTGAAATGATAAGCTTGGCAATATCAATTTCTGTAGCATCTTATTCCTATTCATCACATTTGTAATTCTTGTGTTTATCTAGTTCATGGGAATTTTCCTTTTATGACTATTTAGATTTCATTAGTCATCTCTTCTGTTAACATACCAAGCCATGGGTATGTTTGTTAGTAAATGATCATGAAGAAGAAATCTGAAAAGAAATAGACTTCTCGAACTAAAGAGCCAAAAAAAAATGAGACGATGCATTCTTATCTATCTGGAGTCTGGTATTGAAATAATACAGAGCTGTAGAATAAACATGTTAAATTAATAAATATTGAGCCCCCAATCACTCAATGAGATTCGGGTTTGTGATTTGGATGGTGCTGCAAATGAGAACAGGTTAAATCCCTATGTGAGCCCAAACTGTTACATGTGTTGTGTGCTGTATTGAAAACACCAACTGTCTGATGTGCTCATCTTTGTCCCATCAAAAAAATATGCATCTTGATGTGTGTGAGTACGTACTGACAGCACATTCTTTGTAAGCATATTGTAATTTTAATCTCAGTAGAAGGGACAACGACTGTCTACTGCCTTTGGAATATATTTATGTGACATATCTCATGTAAGGATTCGCCTTCAGACCCGTTATAAAACTCAAGGGAGGGGTATCAGGAAATGTATGAGCTTGACTTTTTGTAGTTTCTCAACTGCTCTCTTCCCCCATTAAAAAAACAAAACAAAACAAAAAAACGTACTGGCCTGGCATGGTGGCTCATGCCTGTAATCCCAACACTTTGGGAGGCCGAGGAGGGTCAATCCCCCAAGGTCAGGAGTTCGAGACCAGCCTGACCAACATAGTGAAACCCCATCTCTACGAAAAATACCAAAAATTAGCCAGGCATAGTGGCAGGCACCTGTAATCCCCAGCGACTCAGGAGGCTAAGACAGGAGAATCTCTTGAACCTAGGAGGCAGAAGTTGCAGTGAGTGTTGCACTCCAGCCTGGGCAACAAGAGCAAAACTTTGTAAAAAAAACAAAAAACAAAAAAAAACTCTATTATTAGCAATTTTTTAGGTCAGGGTAAAGATAAAATGGGGAGACTTGGTGGGCTTTGGTTTGGTGCACTTAATGGTGACAAGGTTGGTTCTTAGGTTCATAGTTGCATTTCTGTCTTTGCATGTCTGTCCTCCAGTCTTGCTTCCTATGATGTATGCTTTTTGTTGCTATTTTATAGAATTTTTAAATATACAGCACTCAATATTAATGAGAATCATCTCCATGTAAATATTAAATTATAGCTTTGATCAATAAGATATATGAAGGCATAAAATTAACTTAGATTTTGTATATTCACCTATGTAGAATAATTTGAAAATGTACAGAATTGAGTACTTAATAAAAGCAAGGAATGTGAAAATTCACCTTTAGCAATGTCAATATAATGGGAAAAAGTCAGGTTGATTAATTAAAATGGGGAGCTAATCGAAAATCCTATATAGGACAACCTGACACTTGAGTGTGAGAAGCTTTTTCTATTTCATTTCAGTCTGGAATAATTACATTATGCCACAACGTTCATGTGGTACTGAAATAACAGTTACTGTTTATAAGCTCTCAATGTGGATTTAATGTCAAAAAAATCCCAAACTTACTCCAAATATTACCATAGGCAATATTATACCAATGTGTCATATTTGAATAGACTACACATTAGATTAAAAGGGACCTGTATATACATGTTTTCACCCATGTCTTATAGCCTTAGTTGCTGAAGAACACATTAGAATGTGCCACTGATTTAGAATGACATGAGAAATCTCATGAGTATATAAGTTAGAGAAGAAACTATTTCAATGAATGTGTCAAAAAGGAAACCACTTTTAGAAAAACAAGAGAAGTATTTGGGTGATCTAGTGACAGAAAATTCAGATTCTGCAACAGTGATCTAATGAACTTCTATCAGTTGTAAGACCGATGTTGGGTATTGTGAGTGAGCTCAGTCTAGGTTTGTACAGATGACAGTTAATGAGGGTCTGTCTTCAGTTAGTTGCTGTCATTGTGTTCAGTTTCAACAGAATGGTATTATCACAATATTCATTATGTCCATGTACATAATTAATTTTAAGTTTAAACAAATTGGGAGGAAATCTTAATTTATAAAACACCAGTTGAGTATTCAGGAAGTTTTTTGTTTTAACCATTTAGGCAAACAAGTTTTTAGATCTGGGAAAACTGGGACAACTAATCATGTCTTAAACATTGAGTGTAGCCCGGATGCAGAGACAAGGTAGATCGGTCTATAGCCATACTGCCACATAACAAGCAATGCATAACCTGCTCTTAATTTTTCTGACGAAGTCCTCCTTTTAGTAGTAACTTCTTCTCTTATCCACAATTATGCAATTTTAAAAAATAGCAACGTGAAGGTTTGTAATAGCTTATTTGGTAGTAATACTTGATGGAAAATGAAATGAAGTTACTTATAATGTTTGTCTCACTTAGCATGAAGATTCATACATTTCTATACAGAATATTCATGACTGATTCGAGCCTCCTTCCAGCAATTTCTGCAAGAGGTGTTTACTATGTTTCTATAGCTGAAACATTCAGGGTTTTGGGCTAGATTTGGTCCCAAGTGTTTTGGATAAACTACTGTACACTCATATAGCTGCTACCTCTATGAGTACTGAAGCACACACATAACTTCCTTTTGATGTTAGGTGGCCTTGGATGTTCCCTGGAGAGCCACAATCCCCCTGACCACATGATTTGCAGCCATCCTGGTGGGATGAACAGTGCAGGCACAGCAGCCAGGTCATCAAGAGTGCTGCCCAGAGCTCGAGCTGGTTACTAGCTGTGTGAACTGCAGTAATTTTAGTTCTATTCATGTTTTACCCCTCATGTGCAACATGCACGTGGCCTTTCTTACCCCATGAATTAGCTTTAGTAATGGAGGTGTTATGTCTACGTACATAAAGCTCAAGAGACACAGTAAACACTTTATAAATGGCAATTATCAATATAATATGGGATTTTTAAAATGTTAGCGATTCAGTAAAAAGATAGCAATCCTATTAATGCAAAATTAAAATTGTTTTTGTTAAATAATTGAGTGACTAGGTCATGAAAAGTTTCTGGGAGATCAGTAATTGATAGAAGAGCTTCCAGGAAATTAAACTGATGACTCCAAGCGTACACAATACTTTTAAATAATTCTATCCTTCTTCCTTATGTTTGAATGTGGAATTAGTACTCAGAACTCTGAAATTTGGATATAAATCACACAAGGTGGGAACAATCAGATATATACACAGAAGCAAGATTAGAAACAATTTTCCATTTAAAACGTGAACACCACAATCCATCTTGGAGTGTTAAAACCATAAGTCTCACCTAATTTTGAGTAAATTGAATGCATACATGCATATTAATAAAATAAATGGTGATGGAAAACACTTTAGTATAAGTTTCTGAACCTATTTTTCAGTGTTTAGTGCCAACTTGACACCAATAAATAACAACCCTGTAAAATAAGCCATATTTTAATCTCATATCCACTTTGAAAATTAATATATTCCTTTATAATATGAACAGGGAATTATCTATGGGTAAAAGCATACAACAAACTGACAAAATTAGTATTAAATTGTATAATTATTATTAATTTAAATTGAACTTTACATCTTTGGAATCACTTTTTTGTTTAATGTAGATTTCTGTATAATGTCATTTTAACAAGTGAATTTAGTTATTGAAACTAAAATGACAAAAAAAGTAATTATGGCAAACGAAATTGTTTAAATTTCAAATGTACAACAGATAATTAGTAGCTCAGTATAATTCCATCACATAAGTACTTGCTTTGTAATTCTAGAGTCAGTAAGGAATTAAATTCTGTCCATAATGGATTTACTAGAAGAAAAATAAAGCCTCTGGAAGTCAGTTTTAATGTCTTTTCATTTGGGGTAGTACTACTATCCATGAAATTATTATATCAGCAAGAAAATCTCTCACTTCAATAGTTCCAAATATTGCTAGCAGAGCAGGGGCTCTTAAGGAATATCAAGGTTAATTATTTAGCAGTAATGACCATTGTGGAGGACATTACTACAGCTTCCAGTATAATTTTTAGCAGGGTGGGGAAATATATATATATATATATATATATATAAATAAATATAATTATTCAGTTCAAATTGTAAATTATGGCTGTAAAGGCTGGAAAATATTTCATCTTAAGACAGCAAGATATTTATTAACATCTACTATTTTATATATGGGTATCAAAGCATGATTGTCTAGTACAGTCATGTACTGTCTAGGTGTATACTATATGATATGCTGGTCGATCATTTAGGTTTTCTAAATGATTTTGTTTCTTTACTACTTTCTTCTGGGTATTTAACTTAGTGTTTCCAAAAATATTTACTATACAAAGAAGAAAACTGTGTGATGATACACCCTCACTGCAGAGCACTCTTCCCCTCTCTGCACCTGAGGTCAGGGAGGAGGCCGTGGGGCAGCGGGAGCAGCAAACAGAACCCCACACACATAACCAGCTGGGGGCAATCCACTGCAGGGCCGCAAAGGCAGAGACCACAGCCGGAATGCCCGCACCTCACCCTGCTCTATCAGTTTGTCAGGCTGTGTTTTAACTCTTCTCTAGCAAAAAGTAAAGGAGTCTAAATCCCAGAATGCATAATTTTCATAGTCTAAAATTAAGACCTTTACAGACATTTATATTTTAAATTTGAAAATTGATGGTCCATTTCAGGTTAAATTGTCATGCAATTGGGATATATAGAAACACTTTGTCACAAGAAATGAAAACATTTAATTTAGAATATATTTAATTTTTAAAACATGTAGCAATTGAACCTAGATGGTAATTTACTGATGTGAATTATTATATTCAGCTTTTCTTTTCTAGAATCAAACCGATTATTACTGGCATGACTCAGGGGATAAATCTAAGTGGCTGAGGCTTTGATTATGAAGACTCCAACATACCAGAATCAAGGAGGCTTCCATGTTTTATGGATAGAAGAGAGGGTGCCAATATCTGACTTTCTTGAATAATTATTACTGCTGTTATTATTATTAATATTTTCATTATGCAGTATTTATATGTCATGGTGATTGATAAATCTTTATTCCTATCAACTTCATAGTAATTAACATTCACATTTTGCCTTATTAATTTCTTGAAAAATGCAGAAGTGAAGTTATTAGTCATATCTATCAGAAATACAATCTATAGCAGTGGTCCCCAAACTTTTTGGCACCAGGGACTGGTTTTGTGGAAGATAGTTTTTCCACAGACCAGAGGGGCAGGAGAGATGGTTTTGGGATAATTCAAGGGCATTACATTTATTGTGCATTTTATTTCTATTATTACATTGGAATATATAATGAAATAATTATAGAACTCATTCACTCTGACTTTCTTGAATTTATTTTGTGCATTTGTTGTGCATTTTATTTCTATTATTACACTGGAATATATAATGAAATAATTATACAACTCACCACAATGTAGAATCAGTGGGAGCCCTGAACTTGTTTTTCTGCAGCTAGACTGTCCCATCTGGGGGTGACGGGAGACAGTGACAGATCATCAGCCATTAGATTCATATAAGGAGCATGCAATGTAGATTCCGCGTATGTGCAGTTCACAATAGGGTTCGCACTCCTATGAGAATCTAATGCCCCCGCTGATGAAAGGAGGTGGAGCTCAGGCAGTAATGCGAGTGATAGAGAGGGGCTTTAAATACAGATGAAGCTTCACTTGCTCACCCGGCTCACCTCCTGCTGTGTAGCCCAGTTCCTAACAGTATCGGTCCATGGCCTGGAGCATGGGGACCCCGATCTACAGGATATCTTCTTATCTTCCTCTATCTTGCTATTATCAAACTGTAAAATATTACCAATCATATTCCATCATTGATTTTTATGTTTGCCATTAAGGTTGAACAACTTCTCATCTGCTCAGTAGCTGTCTGATTTCTTCTTTCTTGATTAGACTATTGATAGTCTATGCCTACTTTTCTCCCCCCTTAATCTATTTCTTTTACTCTTAAGGACTCATATTCATTACATTTTCTGAATATGTATCTACTGTCAATTTATTCTTTGTCTACATATTCTGTTTGTCTGTGGCTTGGCTTTTATCTGTGTAAGGGATCTTTGGGCAGCGCTAGCATTAATTTTTAATGTAATACTCTAGAACATATCAATTTGTATTTCACTATTACTTTTTGTGTCATGTTTGAAGTTACTCCCTACCCTACATTCATGAAATAGTCTCTTATATTTTCCTCTAAAATATTTTTAGTTATTTCTTTTCCCTCTTTAACAATATAACTTTAATGCATTTTACCTTTTTATTAGATATAAATTTGGTTCCAGTGATGAGGTGAATTCACACAAGATTTGAAGCGGCAGCCATGTTCTTTGTCCTACTGCTGCTGAAAAGAAATGCAAGAGACATATGAATATTTGTGACTCCCCTCAAGGCTGCAGTGCCTAAATGAACCACCACGTATTGAGGTGAGAGATGGCTGCGACCCAGAGAGCAGAGGTGGCACTAGATGCCTGCAGATCTGTGGCCAAAGGGAGGACAGTGGTTGTCAGCTACTTTCCCGGAGGGTATCCTCACCCACCACTCTCCAGTGCCCCAGAGGAAATTAATTTTAGGGAGGTATTCTCTTTCCAGTATGGAGCAGCTTTCTGTTGATCAAATTTGGGAGCCTATAGGTTGCTTTTAAAAGCCAACCTTTTTATGAGCCATAAAATTCCTTCAAAATATTACTAAGATTGTATTTCTGAGTAATGTGATAATAAGGAAATTGCAACACTGACAATTTCTCTTCCCAGGTTGTGTCTTAACTTGACAAACTTTCTTTTTTTTTTTTTTTAAGACGGAGTCTTGCTCTGTTGCCCAGACTAGAGCACAGTGGTGCGATCTTGGCTCACTGCAACCTCCGCCTCCCAGGTTCAAGCGATTCTCCTGCCTCAGCCTCATGAGTAGCTGGGATGACAGGCGCCCACCACCACGCCGTCTAATTTTTGTATTTTTAGTAGAGACTGGGTTTCACCATCTTGGCCAGGCTGGTCTCGAACTCCTGACCTCAGGTGATCCGCCTGCCTCGGCCTCTCAAAGTGCTGGGATTACAGGCGTGAGCCACTGTGCATGGCCAGCTTGACAAACTTTCTAATTGACTGGCTCCTGTGCATTGCTCATCCTTCTCTCTCATTTGTTAGTGGCTAGGAAAAAGAAAGAAGTTTGTTATCTGAGAAATGTGAGTCCTTTTAAAGTCTCAGGATAACAGAGGCATTTAAAATGCAACAGCAGTCTCTTCTCACTCTTCCTGGCACTAAATAATGACCTCTTGAAGCCACTTGCTATATGGGCTTTACACTGACTGAAGCCAAGTAACCATAAAATGCCATATGCTGGACACCATAACCCATACCCTATAGTTCAGCAATCTATAGCCAAACCCTATCCAATGTTATCTCTGCAAACCAGTGAGAATTTCTGTCAATCAACTGTGTCAGCCCACTCCTTGTCCCCTTTTTGCCTGCAAGAACCTGCTTGTAACAGAGGTCTAAGGGAGCCCTTCCAAGGCAATGCGGAAGTGCGTCCTGAGAAGCTATCCTCACTTTGGCTCAAGTAAGTGCTTTAAAATTATTGTTTGTGCCTCAGCCTCTTCCTTTAGGATAACACTAATTAGGGCCCTCTGAATCAGCAGGTTGGAGAGGAAAGGGCCTGATCTTTGCCTTCAGGTTGGTTCCCCCTGTTTCAGTGAAGCAGGAGGAATTTGGGGAAAGGCTCTGATGTCAGTCCTATTTTCTGTTGATTTGAGAATAGAAACAAGTGCCTTTTCTAATTTTGTAAGACCTTACTTTACGGATTCTTAAAAATGTAGATTTCAGGCCACTCAAGGTGAGCCTCCCTCTCTTCAGGACTCCCTTAGTTCACCTGTTTGCAAACTGGCACCCCCTTGCCTGAGATAAGCTCACTTGTAGTGTCTTCCTCAATGCAGCAGAGGAGTATCTGACACCCATAAGCATTTTGCTTTTCTCAATCAATTTCTCTACAACTTGAGGCTCTTGGGCAACCTGATCTGTTTTCTGATCATTAAAGTGGCTGTTTTAAGAAAGCTTTGCTGCAGCATGACAAGGGGCAGTTTTCCAGGCTGGAATATCTGTTTTCTTACTGCCACTGTCCAAACTCTCTAAAAAAATAGATTATGGTTCCATTCCACCCTTACCATCTTCAGAAAGAAAAAAAAAAGAAGTTTTATCTGGGAAGGGAGAGCCCAGGCCACCCAGTTTTAGCTAGGTCCACGGCAGCCAAGCTCCAAACTAAATTTCACATGTAGGTAAATTTACATTTTTCTCCTTAGGGGTGAGTCCATAAAACAAACTGATAGTACACACATTAGCAGAAAAATAGGCTTACATATTTTATTATGTGCACAGGAGTTATACAAAATATAAAAAAAACTCGAAGAAATGACCAGATGGTTGCCCCTTTTACACCACCTTGAGGTTACAGGAAAATTGGGTCCGTGTGTCACGTTCAGATGGCTATCTTGGGTAGTCACCCCGCCCCTGAGGTCTGATGGGCATTATTTTGACTTGAGGGGATAGTGATGGACTAATTGTTAGCAGTCACTCCCCCTAAGCAAGAGAAACAATGGGGGCTCTGAGCCTGGTTTGTTTCAAGATTAGCCTCTGGGAGAGAATGAGAGAATGGCCCAGTACAGTTTATGGGAGAAGACAAATCATGGGATGGGGAGAAGAGGAGCCTGGCCCCAGCGGTAGTCTTGTTACATAGATGAAACCTCACAAGTAGCAGTCATCGGAGAGAATATTCAGGAAATGTTTCTTCAGACATTTATGGTCCTCAGACTCTCAGTTAACCTTTCCGGGATCCAGACAAGGGGGCAGACCTCAGAGAAAGCCTGGCTGCATCAAGGCAGATTCTCCACGGATGTATCAAGGCAGAATATCTACAGCTCTCCCCGCAAGACAGTTTTGCAGGGCCATTTCTGTCTGCAGGTCCACTGAACAGCCATCCCAAAATATGCCAAAGTATATTTTAGGATGAAAAGTTTTGGCTTCTTTTATTCAGACCCCCACCTTATGTGAACACTGTTCAGTATTGTGCCCCACAAATACTGAACTCGGAAGCACAGCTGCTGATCTTGGTCCCAGATCCCAGCAGGCCGTAGCTGCAGGTCTTTCTTGCCTTGCATTTCTACTCTATTGATGGGACATAGAAACAATTTCCTATGTGTGAACCCAATTCCATATTTTTGATTTTCTCTTTTTATGTTTAGTCTATCAATTTAGGTGTTTGGAGAAGATAGAATGCATCAAAGTAAAAACTTACTGAATTATTTTGCTTTCAGATTGTGGGATATGGCCCTCGGAATAATTTGAAAACGTGTCAGAGTAACAAAGTTTTATATACATTGTTCATTTCTTGGAGCATAAAGTGAATGAAACATTTTTTCTTTTTTAGACATTGTCAAATTTAAGAGCTTTCTAACTAAACAGCTACATATTTAAAATGATAAGTGAGTAAGAAGCTGAGGGAATATGTTCCCCATGTGGGAAAGCTTTGGAGGTCTTTGGAAGTCAGCGGTGCTGAAGTTATATTTACAGGTATCATCTTGTAACCAGACCTAGGTTTGGCTGCTCATCACTGAAAGCCAAACACAGGAAGCAAGGGTTGGCAGGAGGAAAAACAGGTTTAGTTTGAGAACCAGCAAACTGAAAAGATGGTGAACTAGCATCCTAAAGAACCATCTTAAATTTTAAAACTTACCGTAAGGTTTTTTAAAGGGAAACTTGGTATGGGAGAGTGGGAAGGGTGCAGGGTGCAGGGTCTGTGTGTCTTGTTTGATGGTTATCTTAGGTAGTCACAACTCCCGAGGTCTGATTGGCATTATTTTGACTTGAGCAGATGGTGGTGGACTACTTATTCCCAGTAACTCCCCCTAAGCAGGAGGATTCCACAATGGGGGCTCTGAGACTGGTTTGTTTCAAGATTAGCCTCTGGGATTTCTAGGTAAGATCATAATTAGATAAGCACGCACTGCCAGAGGAGAGTGTCTAGAGAGAGAAGAAATAAAGAGGTGAGAGAGAAGAAATAAAATGGTGAGAGAGGAGGCAAGGACGAGAAAGAAAGTGTGTGATTTTTAAAACTGAGATCCCTGGTTACAATCTCTGGCTGATGGGACTGTATCTCCCCTTTCATTCTTGTCACTTTTATTTTTCTCCATTGAACATGCATTGCTTTCATAAGAAAATTATTATTTTATTTGGTTTTAAAAGAAACTTCTAGGAAACTACTCTACAGGTGTTTTTAACTTTTGCTATAAAATTGTCAGAAAAATAAAAATAGGCTGAAGATGATAACGATAAAATAGTTTTCAGCTGAAATGTCATAACTTTCCTGCACTATATTGTTATGATTTCCACCTCTTGGAAGAAGAAGTGCAAGTGTCATAACAAGTTTACGTTAGATATTATTTGGGGATTATCAAATCAGGCCAGAGGGAAGACTTATTTTGTTTTGTGTTTTAACATTAGCAAAAACACTCTGTCTTACCAAGTCAGGTTATCTGGTGGTGCTGTGGTGAGCAGCCATCATCTCTGCACTGCCTCTGACTGGCTTGCAGGAGAAGAGAATTGCGTGTGAGGTGACTTGCTGCTTTGGAGATGTTCCCAGCCAGGACAGCTCCACAAGGAGCAGGCATGGGATGTGTGTGGACCTGCACCAGGAAGAGGGCAGCGGGCCTGTGATGACTGGCTGTTAGAATGAGTGCCATTAGAATTGCCTTTTTTTCAAGTTTTCATGAGACTCAATCTTGTTTTTCTGCCTTTTCTCGAGAAAAGAAAGAAGGGGACATGCAATATTAAGCCAACATCCATGAGGAATTGTCAACACCTCACCTGCCATCAGTTGTATTCATGATGAGAGAAACTGTCCAGAGAAAGCCACAGCAGCTCAAACCATCTTAGTTCAAAGTAGTCAATTAAAGTACTATTCACTTTTGTTATAGATTGTAGTATGAAAAGTATTTAGTTTGGTACAACAATAATATGTGTTTGCAGGAGGAATTCAAAAAAATTAAAATTTGCTGCAACATTCTTCAAGCTAATCCCAATGGTCTTCTGCAAACCTCCCTTTTATATCAATTTTCTGTAGCTTTTCCAGTTGGCAGACAGATAATGGGATGACTCTTCTCATTGGTTGCATAACAGAAGCCCACACAGATCCCAGGGAAAGTTCTCCCAGGCTTGAGTGGGCTTTAACATACCATTTGGTATTAGTGATCTTTGAGGGTCTTATCTTCCTGCTAAATAAATCATCCCAGCCCCTTTAAGCCTGGTGTTGATTGTAATTTTTTAAGTTTCTTTTCTCTTTCTTTCATTTCCAACCAGTCAGCTTTGAAGACGTCAATTTACTCTACAAATCATAGCCTCCAAAGTTACCCATCGTAGATGAAATTACAGTAACAATTTTGTTAAATATTCTGGAGGACATTATGTCAAATTAAATAAGCCAGGCACAGAATGACAAATACTGCATGATCTTACTCACATATAGCAACCAAAAATGTTGATCTTAAAAGTAGAGACTAGAATGTTGGTTACCAGGAGTTGGAGCAGTTGGGGCAGGCTGGGGAGATGTTGGTCAAAAGATTCAAAATTCCAGTTAAATGAGAGGACAAGTTCAAGAGATCTATTATACAACATGGTGACTATAGTTAATAGTATAATGTATTCTTAAAAGTTGCTAAGAGTGGACATAAAGTGTTTTCACCACAAAAAAAAATGATAGCTATGTGAGGTAATGCATATGTAAATCAGCTAGATTTAGTCCACAATGTATATACACTTGAAAACATCATGTTGTACATAAGTACATACAATTTTATTGTCAATTTTTTAAAAACAAAAATAATTTTTAAAGCAGGCAAAAATACTCACCTATGTGTAATTTGCTGCTGTAATGCAAAATAAAATTTAAACATGCTTTGGTAAAATATTTTTTAACACACAAATATGTTGTTACTTTATGCATAATAGAGAATACCAGTCCACATTTGTATAGAGCCAAGTGATATGTAAAACATGCTTTCTTATTTCTTGTTTTAAATAGAATCCCTACTTACAGAATACTTAGAGGAATAAAATGCCTCTAATCTTTCAGTGCAAGCTCTCTGTGTTATCTTCTTCTAGAAATATTTATTTGGGCTAACTTAAAAAATGTTAAAAATATCAAAAAGCTTTTCTCAATATAAGAAATACTTATTAGTATAGAAAATCTAATTTTGTATTAATTACATTAATATGATTGTGCTTTGAAAAAACCTAATGCACCTCTATAATTGCCTAAATTAAACTTAGAGCATAATTAAGTGCTGGAGAGTTTCATATTTCTTACCTTAAAAGTCAATTTTAATGCTACTGCCAAATTACATATGTAAAAGACATCCCATCAAACCTCAATGTAAGTTTGCAACTTGAAGATTTCTTTGTTTTCCAGTCTTTACTTCAGGGATTTCATTTTACAACTTTCACCTTCTAGAGGAGGTGAGATCCTTACACATTACATAGGCATCTCTGCCAATTTAGGTGCTGCATACTCTGTCATCGGACACTCCAGCCATGTGATTTTCAACTTTAACAGGTAATTCAGGGCAGAAAATTACTTTTCATAACATTTTTTCATCAGTTATCATTTCTATTATTTTTGTAATTGTTGTATTACTGTGTGTTCTCTCGTACAACAGGTTACTTACCTGAGACTCAAAGACAAATATGTTTCTCCCCATCCAAATGCATATGTTAGATTTGTTATTTTAAAGATACTAAAATAGTTTAATTTTTTAAAAATCTTATTTGTTTGTTTTCTATTGTTTTGTTACTTTCTAGTATTTACTTTGTTACTACTCTATAGTTAGACTATTGTAAATCTTCTCTTAAAAAACTTATTTTTTAAAGTGTAGAATACTTTTGTTAAAGAAAAATATTGGTTTATATTTCATTGTTACCAATGTTTTAAAGATTCAGCAATTAGACCACTTAACTTATTTATGTACTTTTCAGCTTTCCTATTAATGATGAAAAATATGTCAATAAAGTTTCATTAGGAATTTACAAACTGAAAATTGTAGGAATAAACAAGGTGGGTTTGAGGGGCAGAAGGAATCCTGTATGATTGAAATTGTATTGAAATTGATTGTATGAAAGAGAGTTTGAGGGTTATAGGAGATGTGGTTAGTGGAGATCTTGGTAAGGGCTTTAATTTTGTTCTACAAGTGAAGGGGAGTCATTGGAAGGATTTTGAAGGAGTAATGTGATCTGATATGCAGGTTCGAAGATCATTGTCAGCTGTGCGAAGAAAAGAATAGGGAGAGGGGCTGGTGCAGAAGCAGGGAGCCCAGAATGGTGCTTGCTAGGGAGTTCAGGTGACAAATGAGGATGTCATGGCTTAGACACTGAGAGGTGGAGGAGAGAGGAGTCTAATAGGGAATATATGTTACAGAGAGACATGGAAGAATTTGCTGAGGAATACATTTGAGTTATAAAATAAAAATAAAAGCAAAAGTCACTCCTAGAATATTTGGTCCCAAGAAGAATGAAGAGTATTATCCCATATACTCTAATTGGAGACCCTGTTGGAGAAGTGAGTTTGGGAAAGAGATGCAGAAAAGGAATTTTGCTGTGGACTTAGTAATTTGGAGGAGTTTTTAGATATTAAGTGAGGAATTCAAGCAAGCAGTTGGATATATGAGTCTGGAACCCAGGGATATAGCTGGGCTAGAAAATACATTTGTGAGCAATCAGTGCTTGAGTTGTACTTACAGCCACCATTATGAATGACAGTATGTACTATGAGAGAGAATCAGCATGAAGACGAAACTCTCCCAGTGTGATGTTCATTTACATTTTCTTCTAGTGCTTTTATTATTTTCATTCTCCCTATTTGGTACATATTTTAGTTGTAGGGAGAAGATATTTAAAGTCAGCTTGTTTTTTAGCTTAAAAAAGTGTTTTGCAGGGGTCCGTTCCAAGATGGCCGAATAGGAACAGCTCCGGTCTGCAGCTCCCAGTGTGATCAACGTAGAAGATGGATAATTTCTGCATTTCCAACTGAGATACCTGGTTCATCTCATTGAGACTGGTCAGAAAGTGGGTGCAGCCCACAGAGGGTGAGGAAAAGCAGGGTGGGGCATCACCTCACCTGGGAAGGGCAAGGTGTCAGGGGATTTCCCTTTCCTAGCTAAGGGAAGCCGTGACACACTGTACCAGGAAAATTGGGACACTGCCACCTAAACACCACGCTTTTTAGCAAACGGCACACCAGAAAATTATATCCTGCACCTAGCTCAGCAGGTCCCATGCCCACGGAGCCTAGCTCACTGGTAGTCCCAGATCAAACTGCCAGGAAGTAAGCCTGGTTGGGGGAGGGGTGTCTGCCATTGCTGAGGCTTGAGTAGGTAAACAAAGCGTCTGGGAAGCTCGAACTGGGTGGAGCCCACTGCAGCTCAAGGAGGCCCGCCTGCCTGTATAGACTCCACCTCTGAGGGCAGGGCATAGCTAAACAAAAGGCAGCAGAAACTTCTGCAGACTTAAATGCCCCTGTTGGACAGCTCTGAAGAGAGTAGTGGTTCTCCCAGCATGGTGTTTGAGCTCTGAGAACAGACAGACTGTCCCCTCAAGTGGGTCCCTGACCCCTGTGTAGCCTAACTTGGAGACATCTCCCAGTAGGGGCCGATTGACCCCTCATACAGCCGGGTGCCCCTCTGAGACAAAGCTTCCAGAGGAAGGATCAGACAGTAATATTTGCTGTCATGCAATATTTGCTGTTCTGCAGCCTCTGCTGGTGATACCCAGGCAAACAGGTCTGGAGTGGATCTCCAGCAAACTCCAACAGACCTGCAGCTGAGGGACCTGACTATTAGAAGGAAAACTAACAAACAGAAAGGAATAGAATCAACATCAACAAAAAGGACATCCACACCAAAATCTCATCGGTAGGTCACCATCATTAAAGACCAAAGGTAGATAAAACCACAAAATGGGGAGAAACCAGAGCAGAAAAGCTGAAAATTCGAAAAACCAGAGTGCCCCTTCTCCTCTAAAGTATCACAGCTCCTCGCCAGCAATGGAAGAAAGCAGGACAGAGAATTACTTTGACAAGTTGACAGAAGTAGGCTTCAGAAAGTTGTTAATAGCAAACTTTTCTGAGCTAAATGAGGATGTTCAAACCCATCACAAGGAAGCTTAACACTTTGAAAAAAGATCAGACAAATGGCTAACTAGAATAAACAGTGTAGAGAAGACCTTAAATGACCTGATGGAGCTGAAAACCATGGCACAAGAACTACATGACGCATGCACAAACTTCAGTAGCCGATTCGATCAAGTGGAAGAAAGGGTATCAGTGATTGAAGATGAAATGAATGAAATGAATTGAGAAGAGAAGTTTAGAGAAAAAAAGAGTAAAAGGAAATGAACAAAGCCTCCAAAAAATATGGGACTATGTGAAAAGACCAAATCTACGTTATACTGGTGTACCTGAAAGTGACAGGGAGAATGGAACCAAGCTGGAAAACACTCTTTAGGTTATTATTCAGGAGAACTTCCCCAACCTAGCAAGGCAGGCCAACATTCAAATTTAGGAAATACAGAGAACACCACAAAGATACTCCTCGAGAAGAGCAACCCCATGACACATAATTATCAGATGCACCAAGGTTGAAATGAAGGAAAGAATGCTAAGGGCAGCCAGAAAGAAAGGTCGGGTTACCTACAAAGGGAAGCCCATCAGACTAACAGCAGATGTCTCAGCAGAAACCCTACAAACCAGAAGACTGGGGGCCAATATTCAACATTCTTAAAGAAAAGAATTTTCAACCCTGAATTTCATATCCAGCCAAACTAAGCTTCTTAAGTGAAGGAGAAATAAAAACCTTTAGAGACAAGCAAATGCTGAGAGATTTCGTCACCACCAGGCCTGCCTTATGGGAGCTCCTGAAGGAAGCACTAAACATGGAAAGGAACAACCAGTACCAGCCACTGCAAAAACATGCCAAATTGTAAAGACCATTGATGCTAGGAAGAAACTGCATCACCTAATGGGCAAAATAACCAACTAACATCATAATGACAGGATCAAATTCACACATAACAATATTAACATTAAATATAAATTGGCTAAATGCCCCAATTAAAAGACACAGACTGGCAAATTGGATAAAGAGTCAAGACCCATCAGTGTGCTGTATTCAAGAGACCCATCTCATGTGCAGAAACACACTTAGGCTCAAAATAAAGGGATGGAGGAAGAACTACCAAGCAAAAGGAAAACAAAAAAAGCAGGGGTTGCAATCCTAGTCTCTGATAAAACAGACTTTAAACCAACAAAGATCAAAAGAGACAAAGAAGGCCATTAAATAATGGCAAAGGGATCAATTCAACAAGAAGAGCTAACTATCCTAAATATATATGCACCCAATACAGGAGCACCCAGATTCGTAAAGCAAGTCCTGAGAGACCTGCAAAGAGACTTAGACTCCCACGCAATAATAATGGGAGATTTTAACACCCCACTGTCAATATTAGACAGATTAATAAGACAGAAGGTTAACAAGGATATCCAGGACTTGAACTCAGCTCTGCACCAAGCAGACCTAATAGATATCTACAGAACTCTCCACCCCAAATCAACAAAATATACATTCTTCTCAGCATCACATCACACTTATTCTAAAATTAACCACACAGTTGGAAGTAAAGCACTCCTCAGCAAATGTAAAATAATAAAAATCATAACAAACTGTCTCCCAGAACACAGTGCAATCAAATTAGAGCTCAAGATTAAGAAACTCACTCAAAACCACACAACTACATGGAAACTGAACAACCTGCTCCGGAATGACTACTGGGTAAATAACGAAATGAAGGCAGAAATAAAGATGTTCTTTGAAACCAATGAGAAAAAAGTCACAATATACCAGAATCTCTGGAACACATTTAAAGCAGTGTGTAGAGGGAAATTTATAGCACTAAATGCACACAAGAGAAAGCAGGAAAGATCTAAAATTGACACCCTAACATCACAATCAAAAGAACTAGAGAAGCAAGAACAAAAAATTCAAAAACTAGCAGAAGGCAAGAAATAACTAAGATCAGAGCAGAACTGAAGGAGATAGAGACACAAAAAACCCTTCAAAAAAATCAGTGAATCCAGGAGCTGGTTTTTTGAAAAGATCAACAAAATTCATAGAGTGCTAGGAAAACTCATAAAAAAGAAAAGAGAGAAGATTCAAGTAGATACAATAAAAAAGGATAAAGGGGATATCATCACCGATCCCACAGAAATACAAACTACCATCAGAGAATACTATAAACACCTCTATACAAATAAACTAGAAAATCTAGAAGAAATGGGTGAATTCCTGGACACATAAACCCGCCCAAAACTAAACCAGGAAGAAGGTGAACTGCTGAATAGACCAATAACAGGCTTCAAAATTGAGGCAATAATTAATAGTCTACCAATCAAAAAAAGTCCAGGACCAGATGGATTCACAGCCAAATTCTACCAGAGGTACAAATAGGAGTTGGTACCATTCCTTCTGAAACTATTCCAATCAATAGAAAAAGAGGGAACCCTCCGTAACTCACTTTATGAGGCCAGTATCATCCTGTTACCAAAGCCTGGCAGAGACACAACAAAAAAAGAGAATTTTAGACCAATATCCCTGATGAATACCGATGCAAAAATCCTCAATAAAATACTGGCAAACCGAATCCAGCAGCACATCAAAAAGCTTATCCACCACGATCAAGTTGGCTTCATCCCTGGGATGCAAGGCTGGTTCAACATATGCAAATCAATAAAAGTAATCCATCACATAAACAGAACCAAAGACAAAAACCACATGATTATCTCAGTAGATGCAGAAAAGGCCTTTGACAAAATTCAACAGCGCTTCATGCTAAAAACTCTCAGTAAACTAGGAATTGATGGAACGTATCTCAAAATAATAAGAGCTGTTTATGACAAACCCACAGCCAGTATCATACTGAATGGGCAAAAATTGGAAGCATTCCCTTTGAAAACTGGCACAAGACAGGGATGCCCTCTCTCACCACTCCTATTCAACATACTGTTGGAAGTTCTGGCCAGGGCAATCAGGCAAGAGAAGGAAATAAAGTGTATTCAATTAGGAAAAGAGGAAGTCAAATTGTCCCTGTCTCCAGATGACATGCTTGTATATTTAGAAAAACCCCATCATCTCAGCCCAAAATCTCCTTAAGCTGATAAGCAACTTCAGCAAAGTCTCAGGATACAAAATCAATGTGTAAAAATCACAAGCATTCTTATATACCAATAACAGACAAACAGAGAGCCAAATCATGAGTGAACTCCCATTCACAATTGCTTCAAAGAGAATAAAATACCTAGGAATCCAACTTACAAGGGATGTGAAGGACCTCTTCAAGAACTACAAAGCACTGCTCAACAAAATAAAAGAGGACACAAACAAATGGAAGAACATTCGATGCTATCATGAAAATGGCCATACTCCCCAAGGTAATTTATAGATTCAGTGCCATTTCCATCAAGCTACCAATGACTTTCTTCACAGAATTGGAAAAAACTACTTTAAAGTTCATATGGAACCAAAAAATAGTCCACTTTGCCAAGACAATCCTAAGCCAAAAGAGTAAAGCTGGAGGCATCATGCTACCTGACTTCAAACTATACTACAAGGCTACAGTAACCAAAACAGCATGGTACTGGTATCAAAACAGAGATATAGACCAATGGAACAGAACAGAGGCCACACCTCTACAACCATCTGATCTTTGACGAACCTGACAAAAACAAGAAATGGAGAAAGGATTCCCTATAATAAATGGTGCTGGGAAAACTGGCTAGCCATAGGTAGAAAGCTGAAACTGGATCCCTTCCTTACACCTTATACAAAAATTAATCCAAGATGGATTAAATACTTAAATATTAGACCTAAAACCATAAAAACCCTAGAAGAAAACTTAAGCAGTACCATTCAGGACATAGGAATGGGCAAGGACTTCATGACTAAAACACCAAAAGCAATGGCAACAACAGCCAAAATAGACAAATGGGATCTAATTAAACTAAAGAGCTTCTGCACAGCAAAAGAAACTACCATCAGAGTGAACAGGCAACCTACAGAATGGGAGAAAACTTTTGCAATCTACCCATCTGACAAAGGTCTAATATCCAAAATCTACAAAGAACTTAAAAAAATTTACAAGAAAAAATCAAACAACCCCATCAAAAAGTGGGCAAAGGATATGAACAGACACTTTTCAAAAGACATTTATGCAGCCAACAGACACATGAAAAAATGCTCATCATCACTGGTCATCAGAGAAATGCAAATCAAAACCCCAATGAGATACCATCTCACACCAGTTAGAATGGTGATCATTAAAAAGTCAGGAAACAACAGGTGCTGGAGAGGAAGTGGGGAAACAGGAAAGCTTTTACACAACCATTGTGGAAGACAGTGTGGCGATTCCTTAAGGATCTAGAACTAGAAATACCATTTGACCCAGTGATCATATACCCAAAGTATTATAAATCATGCTACTATACAGACACATGCACATGTATGTTTATTATGGCTCTATTCACAATAGCAAACACTTGGAACCAACCCAAATGTCCATCAATAATAGACTGGATTAAGAAAATGTGGCACATATACACCATGGAATACCATGCAGCCATAAAAAAGAATGAGTTCACGTCCTTTGTAGTAACATGGATGAAACTGAAAACCATCATTCTGAGCAAACTATCACAAGGACAGAAAACCAAACACCGCATGTTCTCACTCATAGGTGGGAATTGAACAAAGAAAACACTTGGACACAGGGTTGGGAACATCACACACTGGGGCCTATTGTGGGGTTGGGGGATGGGGGAGGGATAGCATTAGGAGAAATACCTAATGTAAATGGCAAGTTAATGGGTGCAGCAAACCAAGACGGCACATGTATACATATGTAACAAACCTGCATATTGTGCACAATAATTTTTTAAAAAAGTGTTTGGCTTCACTTTTCTTTTCACATCTATTTTTATTTAACATTCCCCTTAGGGGTAATGCTAAAATTCCCAGGTTGAATTTTCCCTTATTTCCCTTAATTTTGTCATGTAAAAGACAATTTGGATTTAGATAAGGAGAGCGTTTATTCAAAAAGACTATTGCAGTGGAAGGAGAGGATTGTTGCATAAACGAAAGAGGACGTTGCAAGAGGGAGATCACACCAAGGGTAAGATCTGAGGGTCTCAACTTTCAAGCAGAAAGAGGTTTTCTTATATAGGGAGGGAAAAACAAGGCTAGAAATAACTGGGCCTCTTTGAGTTAGGTGAGTCCCAGGAGTGAAAAGTAAATTGGTCAAGATCTTTTCCCTGAGGTCAGTTGATTCTTTCAGGGAGTTTGTAGAGAGATTGGTCCACTTTCTGTTGCTGCTTAACCTCAAGGGCGAGTCAAAGGCCAGGGGCCTGGAGGAGGCATTTATCCTGACTAAAGTTTGGTCAAGTTAATAGGCATTTTGTCCAGATTGGTGGAGACAAACAGTTCAGCTAATCCCTTGGAAGACAAAAAGTGAGGATTTAGAGGACCTGCGTCTGGCCTGGTCACAGATATACAAGGGGGTTTTATCTAAATCATAAGGAGGAGGGTGGTTCTTTACAGTAAGATGACTCACAAGGATGGAGTTGTTTCTTAACCATCACTGCTTTCCAGGAGTGCAGACTCCGGTAAAGCGCAACATTGTCTATTTCAATATAATGTTTTCTTTTTATTTTTCTTTTGCATCTTTATTCTGGGAGAAAAGTCTAAGGATTGTTCTTGACTCTGCTGATTCTTTTCCATACTGTCCAATTTGCATTTTTATTCAGTTTCCAATAAGAATTTTTAGTTTGCAACTGCATTTTCTATTTCTTTAAGTTTTGGGGGGTGACGTAATCATTGATTTGTCTGTCTGTCTCATCCTATTTTAGGCTTGCCTTTTAGATCTCTTTTATAGAAGCTTTGTCTTGAATCCTATTGTATACACTAGGACACCGTACATTTTATTCTCGCATTTCCAGTAAACATTCAGAGCTATGCCTTTCCTCTGACTCTCCAGAATAAAGCTTGGATTTCTCATGTGTTTTATAAGTCACCTTGTTTATTTTTAAAACTTTTATTATTTTTTTCCCTTTATTCAACCACTGATGACTTGTGCTGGGTTCTGCTCTTTTTTCCATTGCTTGTTGTCAGAATCCTCTTTTTAAATCCAAAACTAGAGAGCAGGTTTGTTAAACACATACTCCAGTTTTCACTCTGTAACCTACTTTCCCAGAGTCAGACTTACCTTATGCTTGGTTCTCTGACACTCTCAAACATTGACACATATATGGAGAGTGTGGAAATGCACTCTAATTATTGATTTTCCTTCCCCTGTCTCCTCCATAGGTATTTGTCAAGATGTGATTCTTCCCTGATACTCAATCTGCCAAATTTCTGATTTACGAGTTTTCTGTGAGATAGTCCATGGATTCAAAATGACAAATTTATGTTTCAGAGAGAGTTCTGCTTTGGGTTTGGCTGGTAGGGACCATGAATCCCAGAAGCCAAGGATACTGTAGGAAACAAATGACTGATGAAACTACCGTCTTTCAGGTGGGCAAGACTCAGATAATAACACTCCAGTCGTTGCTGCAGTATAATTCCCTCTTCCATTATTTTGGTTGTATCGTTAGTGGGTTAGGTCCTTTTAGATTTTTAGAGTAAGTTAAATTATAATTTTAACTTCTTGTGTTATGCTGTTTCTTTTTGTCATACTCTTTAACACATTTTTAGTCTTTTTTATTTTAAAAGATGTAGCTGGCAGGGAGGTGGGAATTATGCTTAAGGGAGGCTGGAGTCAGTGCTGAGAACAGTCAGCTATCTTCCATTTCAAACCAAAAGCCAAAATTTACCCAATAGGAGTGGAAAGGAATATTGAAACTATGCTGCACAATAATCCCCTCTCAGCCACACATATAATTTAAATCAAACCACATCAGAATCATGGCAAATTGGGCTACAATTTTTAATGTACTAAGACATTATTCAGTAGCAAGTTAAAACTTAAAGAATGCATTTTAACAACTTTTAGAACTATTTAGTCAATTGCAGTAGCAACATGCCTAGGTTGTATCTACTCACTCAAACTGAAACAAAAGAATTGGAGAAATTTGTAAAGCATTCAAGCAAAGTAATAACCTTTCAGAAACACTGGCATAAATAGGCTTTGCATCACCTTCCAATCCAACTGATATTGTAGTCATTTAGTCTTTGCCGTTCACATTTTATATCTTTTAAGACTATCTCTATAGTGCTTCTTTTTCAAATATTTTAGTCCAACATTCCATGCTGGCATGGAATTACCTGATAGGAATAAAATAAAATGCTATCAAGGTATATAACAAATACTGTGGCTGAATTTTCTAGCAGCTTTTCTTGAGTTATAATTTTCACAGTATAATACAATTATTCTTATGCAATTAAAGCAAATGAGTAAAAATAATTTAGTATGAATTTAATGACTACGTTTTAAATATTTGATTTACAGCCTTCTGTATATGCTTTTTCATATAAACATAAGTGTTAGGTTGATACTTAACCAGACCCAAGAATGTTCTGGTTAATCATGAATGCATTAATACTTAAACAAGTTCTGATTGATTTGATATTTACATAGAAGTTGTGTATTTAGAGTGTCAAGATGTTCAACAGACGACTTTACAGGATGTATTGTCAACAATACCACTACCAGACAGATTGACTTCTTATGGTGATTTTAGCTATTATCTGTCCACAACTTAAGCCATATACAATTACTTTTGATTTTTTTCCCCTTAACACTCTGTTTTACTTTTGCTTTTATTTCCATAGTAACCAACTAGCACAGGTATGTTCACACAGTTCTGTCAGCCTCAAATCTCTTGCCAAGTTACTCTGCTGAAAAGGCGCTACCTTTATCATAAGCATGGCTCAGTTTTCTATTGAGTTATGTTTCTGGTTATTTAATGTGCGTTATTATAAAATTTTATTTATTTTTTATTTCAAAAGGTACCATATTAAAAATTTAACAGTTAAATCCATTTATTATACCAGTTAATTTTGTTTTTCAAATTTAATAATGCTTCTTCATATATCGAATGTGTGAGTGTCTTTTAATCAAGATAAATAGGCTTCATTTAATCTTCGAACATCTAATATATTTTGGAATGTTAATAGTCATAAACAGGATTATTGCACTCTGAAAATCATATTTTGTGAGGAAAAAGTCATGAAAGTAATTATTTTAAAATAAGATTTTAAAATGTAGACTGTACAAATTATGATTGATTTATAAGAGAGAGGAAGATTTATTCTGATTTGGGAGGAACCTCTGCATAAATGAGCACTTGCCAGAAAGAAAACTTAGGGGAAGACACTTAAGAGGAATAATAGAATCAGGGAAGACAGGAGATTGGGAAAAGACCTAGGTGTTTAGAGAAAATAAGAGACATAATGTTCCTAAAGTAGAGAATAATTGGAATGTTAGATGCTTGAAAATAATTCAACATAGATATCTAAATGAAACTACAGTTTGTGAACAGAATATTTTGCTAAAGGTAAGAAACTGTCTGGATTAGGCAATCAAGAGCCAAAACATTCCTGAAGAAAGGAATCAAAACATGTGTTTTGAAAAAAAAAATGGCAACGATGTGGGGAATGGGATTCAAGGGAAGAGTGTGTACAGGGAACACATTTGGAAACAGCTATGTGGTTTAAGGAAGAAGTGGTGGTGGCCTGAACTACGATGTTCCACACAGATATGAAGAGTAGGAAGAGATCTGAAAGATATTTGATGTATAGAAGCTCCATGACTTATGTGCAAAAGGGTAAGAAAGAAGAATCAAGAATGACGTAACTTTGACAGGAGTGTGGCCATGCCTTCAATGGATAAAACGATACTAAGAGGAGATTTCTGGGAGTGGGGAATGAAAAAGTCTTATTATTTTGGTTTTATATTTTCCAGGTGGCCTAAGGTTTTTTGTTTGTTTGTTTATTTGTTTGTTTTTTTCTTTTGAGACAGAGTTTCACTCTTGTCGCCCAAGGCTAGAGTGCAATGGCATGATCTCTGCTCACTGCAACCTCCACCTCCCGGGTTCAAGCTATTCTCCTGCCTCAGCTTCCTGTGTAGCTGGGATTACAGGCACACACCACCATGCCCAGCTAATTTTTGTATTTTTTGTTTGTTTGTTTGTTTGTTTTTTGTAGAGACGGGGTTTCATCACATTGGCCAGGCCGGTCTCGAACTTCTGACCTCAGGTAATCTGCCCTTTTCAGCCTCCCAAAGTGCTGGGATTACAGGTGTGAGCCACCGCACCTGGCTGGCCTAAGGTTTTTTAAGCAGTCGCGAATATGTGTGTTGTGCTTTAAGACTGGCATTCTGATATTAGCTGTTATTAGTGTTTTCTTGGTACCCTAGGTTTGTTTTACTCAGGCATGGAAAGGCACTTAGATACAGAAAAGAAAGAGGTTTTGATTATTCTCATGGAATAATCAAATTCTAGAGGATGCCCCCTAGAAAGAGGACACAGTGCACCCTACAAGGCCACCAAGTGAGATGGGAAGGCAGAGAGATAAAAACTGTAGACATCTTCCTTTACTCTGGTTTCCCCTAGGAGAAATGGGCAAGGCCAGAAAAGCAAACTGAGCAGCTTTAGGATTGGATAGTTTCAATTATTTCTGCAGGCTCTGAGCTGCAGGGGTGGTCCTAGTTGTCTAGTACCTGACCCTGGTGTGCCAGAATTAGAGTACCCAATAAAAAGAGGTGTTTGGGGCATGGACTCTGGATGGGTCAAGGTGTGCTTCGGGCAAGTTCTTTGCTGTCTCTAGGAATTAGCTAGCCTTGGAAGTCACAGCCCTTCCAGTCAGGAGAGCCCCAGATGTCAAAGCATCAAGAATACAGAAAATAAGAAAATATCGGCAGGGAGTGGTGGCTCACACCTGTAATCCCAGCACTTTGGGAGGCCGACACAGGCGGATCACAAGGTCAAGAGATCAAGGCCATCCTGGCCAACATGGTGAAACCCCGTCTCTACTAAAAATACAAAAAATTAGCTGGGCGTGGTGGCATGTGTCTGTAGTCCCAGCTACTTGGGAGGCTGAGGCAGGAGAATCTCATGAACCCAGGAGGTGGAGGTTGCAGTGAGCCGAGGCTGCGCCACTGCACACTCTAGCCTGGTGACAGAGTGAGACTTCGTCTCTTTCTTTTTGGATTTCTTTCTTCTCAATATATAAACTCTCCTCAAAACATCACATTTACTTCCATGACTTTAGTTTATTGTATTAACCATATATATTGTATTAACTATATATATAGTATTAACTTATATATAGTATTAACTATATATATATTGTATTAACTATATATATAGTATTAACTATATATATATATATATATATAGTTAATTGTCATTTGGAGAGGCATGACCTGAAAAAGAGGGCCTATCAGCACAAGCAGAGACAGATGCACTCAACTCCTTTCTTACCACTTTAACAACAAAGTGATGAAATATCTGCAAAAAGACAGCAAAGAAATACAATTTTTAAAAAATGTTATGACTGGGCATGGTGGCTTACCATTGTAACCCCAATGTTTTTGGAGACAGAGGTAAGAGGATCCCTTGAGGTCAGGAGTTCACAACCAGCATGGGCAACATAGAAAGACCCTGCCCCTATAAAAAGTAAATGAATAAACAAATTACCATGCATAATGACCTGCACTTGTAGTTCCAAAGAAAGCTATGTCTGTTATGTAAGTGTGAGCTTCATGTTGAAAGACTATCTGTATGTGGTTATGATACTTAAGAAGTTTTCTGCTTGGCTGGGCATGGTGACCCACACCTGTAATCCCAGCACTTTGGGAGGCCAAGGTGGGCAGATTATGAGGTCAGGAGTTCAAGACCAGCCTGGCCATTATGGCAAAACCCCTTCTCAACTAAAAATACAAAAATTAGCCAGGCGTGGTGGCACACGCTTGTAGTCCCAGCTACTCGGGAGGCTGAGGCAGACGAATTGCTTGAACCCAGTAGGCGGAGGTTGCAGTGAGCCAAGATCATGCCACTGCACTCCTGGATGGAGATGGAGCCTGGGAGACTCCATCTCCAAAAAAAAAACAAAAAACAAAAACAAAACAAAAAAAAAGAACATTTCTTCGTTAGATCTCTTTGTTGTGTTGTACAGACTAAATTTTCTGCTGCAGAAATGGACAATCAGGTACCAGTCCTGTAGTCATTGTCACTCAAAGATCTAGGCTGACAGAGGCATCATCCCAATAAGCACCTCCAGGGTCTCCAGAGCAGTGGGAATGGACCACAGCAGCCTGATGGATGTCACTTCACTCATATTTCACCAAATAAGACAAGCCACATGGCCACATTATCTTCAAAGAAGGAATGTGCAATCCTGCATGGTGTGTAGAAGCTGGGAAGCTGGGACTATTTGGTAAACAGAAGAATGATATCTCGGCCTACTTTTCTTGCAGCAAATATTCTACTCACTTGTGCTCCCACAGGAGAATGCCCTCACTCACTCTGTAAAGGAGACAATACCCAAGCATTATCCTATGCCATGCCGCAGGAGCAAGATACCCCAATTTCAGTACTTAAAACAGCAAAGCTTTACTGCTTATGTGCACTCCCCGTCCAGAGGTGGATGGGGCTCTGCTCCAAATTGTCCTGATCCTCAGGCCCAGGCTGATGCAAGCCACTATCTGGAACATTGATAGTCATAGTAGAAACACGTGTTCTCGGGGCTGCAGCCAAAATGGGCACATTTTGTTTCCACAGCAAAGGCAGGGAAGGGATTCCTAAGTTTTCCAAGGCCCAAAAAGTCTCAGAAGTAGATAATAGGGGGAATGGTGGGGAGTGAGTGAGGAGCAGGTGCCCCTGTTGGAAAAATATAGGGTGAAGTAAGGAACCCCCATCCGGGGTTTTGCAGACACTGGGACTGGTACAGGCTATGGCCCCCTTATCCCACAGAACCCCAAACTTAGAAGGCTGAAGAGAAGAATGTTGGCTCACCCCTGCATCTCCATCCAGGTCCCAGAGAGCAGCCTAATAAAGACCCTTCAGAGATGGTGGTCAGAGTCCCTCCCTTCAGACTCACGGTCAACACCACCCCTTATCCACACAGACCACCACCAGCAACCTGGGGCTGCAATGACCTCCCTCTCCCACCCTATCTGTCCCCCATCTCCCCTAACTCAAATCCTTTGCTTCATCAAAGGCTCACCTCATTTCACTTCCTCCCAGTTTTTCATCGTTGCCTGAGTTCTTTGAGCCCACACGTTCTCCTCCATACATTTATCATATTTAGGTTTGTATTTGTTGGAAGATCTGCAGAATGAGTATAACTATGAGATGTGACTCAGTAACTGTGAAACTGAGGAGAGTTAAGATTTGAATAGGATTCCTTCAACTTTTCTCAACAATACGGCATCTATTCTTTATCTTTCCTGGATGATGCCATTTTTATTTCTGGAAAATCTTTTAATTTAAATGAGTCATCTTCTACTCTTTTTAAAGTCAAGATGCTGTATAAGGTGGTTGTTGTATCCTACCTTTGACATAGGTTGCTGGCTTCAGGAAGCTAAGTGGTGGTCTGAGAATTATCCATCTCTGCAGAATACTGACTCCCATGTGGGAGAAGCATTTGAACGCTGGCTCTTCAATGCTGCTCATTGTGGTCATCTTGAGAATGCTGACCTAGAAGGTGAATATAGTCATGAATGTTTAACTCCAGGGACAAAACCCACCAAATTAAGGGTAGCAAGGCCACTGAAATCCATACTCACAGTGAGTCAAGGGCTGGGAGAGGTCCCAATGTGTTTGTGTGGGTTTTCAGAATCGTAAGGTTTTAGAAGGTTATGAATCACTATGATGGAGGAGGAAAGTATATTTCTGAGGATTAAAAATGAGATTCAAGTGAGAAGTAAAAAGCTTTGGTCAACAAAAATGCAGGCATGTGGTGATAGTTTCCCTTCTTTGTCAAAGTTGGCATATATCACATTTTTAGTCAACTTGTTTTAAAATCTCTAAGGCTCATGGGTGTCTGTAGTCACCATATTACTTCAGCAAGCAGAGAGGAACTGGACAACTGAGAGACAGCCCTTCTATTGTTAAAGCTATTGTTATTTGTTGTGTGATTTTCATGAAATTATAAGAAATTTTGTTAAAATCTTGTCTCTTTACTGATCACTAAACATATAGTAGTTACTGAATACATTAATTTTAGAGCTTCCAAATGAAATCTCAACTTCTTTTATACCGGTAAGTTCTTTACACTGTTGATCTTGGGAATTTACATGAGGCCAACTTTTTGCTACCCAGGCTACTTTCGTTAACCTAGCTCCAAAAGATGTTACATTCCCCCGGTGTGGCTCCCGCATTGCAAAATCACACTCATAGTGAATATAATTTGCAGAGGTTTTACAGTGGCTTTGGGGAAATTAAAAAGTAGTTTTTGATTACATTTTGTGATTTTCAAGCTTTAAAGATCTTATCAAGAGTAAAATTAGGCTAACTTTCTCCATTTTTTTTTTCTTTTTAGGGATCATGCATTGAAGTAGTTCTTTTCTTCAGTGGTTGGGATAAAAACATCTTAATTCAGGTGTTTTAAAGGGTGATAAAACTGGCCCTGCATGTTATAGACCAATCAGCTTCATTAATGCTGCAGTTAAATTGCACATGAGAATTTTACTGCAGTAGTTGGAGCTAATGAAGAAATTTAAAAGGACAGATCTAATATGTTAATGGTAGTTACGTAATTTCCCAAATATCCCAAAGCAAAGCAGTTTTTCTTATTGAACAATGATCTTGTCTTCACTCATATTTCAGTATATTTATTCAAAGCAGGATGACAGGCAAAATGTAATTTGTGTAACTGTCACAGACAAGACTCACTTTTGTTGGAATCTCAGCCTGAGCTACTTGCAGTGACCTCTGATTGCTTTCTGGTCTTCACTCAGGGCTCAAGATATTAAAAATTCACAGCTTAGTGAACAATAAAGTATTATTTGAGAGGGATTGAAAAGCCTTGCTTCCACTTTATTAATGTGTACCTGATTTGCTTAGACAAATGTATTTATATACACATCCGCATGCATGACAATAAGTATTTGTCTTTGAATGAATGCTTATATTCATGTACAGCCAACACTTGCAAGTGATTACAACGTGTCCAGGATTGTTTTAATCGTTTTGTATATATTCATTCCTTCGGTACTCAGAAGAAAGCAGCCTCTCAGTGCATGAGCCCACGTGTCTATAAATAGCATGTGTATGTAAGGAAAATGAGCCTGGGCCGTAGAGATCTAATCTGGAGTGCGCACACACCTTCTGGACAGCTCCCCCGCACACCTGCTGCATCATCTCCAAGAGTGGGGCTTCAGCAATTGTATTTTTAACAAATTTTTAGGTAATGCTGGTGCTTACCAAAATTTATAAATCACTGTTTCACACAGACATTGTCTTGTTTTTCTTATACTGTTTTCTTAATAGGAATTCTAAAACTAGTAGTTAACAGTTTTTGTGTCATGACATTCTGTGGCTTCAATTCAATCCTTTCTGACATTTCAATAGTTCTCAGATTCACTCTGCACACAGTAATCATGTCTTAAAGATTAACTACTCCATACGCTAGAAAGCTGTTATCACTGATAATATACTCCCAAACCTTTATAGGTTTTTTACTGCATCACCTTATAAAGACCTCCTTTCCTCTGTATAATATCATTCTGCACGGCCTGGTCCATTCTCACTTAAGTCCACATTCCCTTTTTTAATCATCTAGGCACAAAAGCAGTTCTCATGCACCCCCATTCCAGTTGGACCCTTGCCTTGTCACGCAATCATGTGGCCAGGTAATGTTTTTCTCATGGTCCCTTGGAGGACTCTGCTGCTCCATCACTGGCCTGTGTCACTCTGTCAAGCACAACATTACTGTCCTTGTAGAGGCTAGTCCATCTTTTATGAAGAGATAATCAGCTTTGCATATCTACAGGTGTTCTTTCCTATCAGGTGAGATTATAGCAAAACAAAACAAAACTGGGCCTTTGTTACCTCCAGTATCAGTTCCCTCCTCCCTGCTGGTGAAAGCATGCAGCTAAGTCATGACACTCTGGATGGAGAGCTCTGATCTACACCAGGCTCTGGTTCTCACGTGCCAGGGATCCCAAGCTCTCTCTTCCCAGCATGAGGTGGGGTCGTTTATCCGCTGTTTCAGGCTTGGGAGAGAATGAACAGCTTCCAGGCCGATTCACCCTTGGAAATACAAACAGACACTTTCTTTATGATCTTTTTAGTTTCATTTTCAGATTTATTTGTACAGACAGCTTCATTGTAACATCCTTGGAACTAACTTTTAACCGGGTGGCACAAAAAAAAAGGTATTTATTACATTTTTATTGCTAGGTATAGATTTTTAGAAGCAGTGATTATAAAATATCAAGAATTGGATTCCAGCTCCAATTCTTCATTTCCCTGATGCCATAATGTTAAATGGAGCTAAATGCATATACATCTCTTACTATAATGTGTAACTCTGGAGAGGCTATGTCAAGGTCAATAAAGGGCATAGTCATCTGTAAATGGAACTCATATATGTCACGTTATTGGAGACATCCCTAAATGGCAGTTAGTTAGTTTATTTTATAGTGTATCACAGAATGGTAGAACTTGGAGGGACATTTTAAGATAATCTCTTCTGATACCTTTATTTTAAAGATAAGGAAATGAAGTGCAGGGAAATTACAGTATTTGCCCAAGGCTACAGAACTACCTAATTATTATTTTCCATAAAAGTCATAAATCTATATTTAAAACTTGCATCCATTTTCCTGCAGAGAGAAAGTATGCAAAAGGAGTTTATAATTCATAAAGTAGAGAATACAGGGGCATATGTAAACATGAAAATTGTTGCTGAAAATGATTGGGGATTTTTCAAACTCATAATTTGCTCATGCTCTATCAATCTTTTTTAATTTTAGGAATTTGAATTAAAATCCTATTTTCATATACCTGTATATGTAAATGTAAATAAACCTGTATATGTAAATACTCAAACAGGTTACACAGAGACAGGTTAACTCGGTGTAAGAGTTAGGGTTGGTTGCTTAGCTTTTATTCTATTATATTTTTTGTTGAATATAGCAGGGCAGCAGGGGAAATCTGAGAGCTGGTGTCAGTTGTAGTGTCTGGTAAGTACTTACCTTCTCAGTAGGGTAAGGGAAGCTGGCCATAGAACCACAGGACAAGATTTCCAATACTAGTTCTAATGAGACCAGGAGGCAAAGTGAGATGAGAACAATTTGTTATAATTTAAGGCTGTTTCTAGATAGCTTTTCTTCTTGAAGTTAAATAACAATGTACCTGTAGAATTGCGATCTGCTTCTTCCTTTTCTTAAAAACAAAACTTTCCATATGAAGTTATTTAGTCCTAAGTCTCAACTTGTAAACTTCTGCAAATTATTCTATGTCTTTGAGTCTCAGTTTCCTCATGTAAGAATTAATTGAATAAGTGCATATACATCACTCAGAGCAGCACCTCACAAAGTGTGTATGATCTTCATCATCTGCCATAATAGTTGGTAGCTTGAGTAGTAGTAATAGAACTGTCCACAGGCATAAATTCTCAAGGAAACATTAAGTTCCCTGGAGAAGAAATATTTTAAATTGGCTCATGTTTGTTCTACACCTGTTTTACTTCGCCTATATTCTACCATATGGCAGCTTCTCTGACCAACCTTTTCTAACTTAAATTATCATCTCTTTCCTACATTCACATTAATGATGTCTTGGAGTTTCCAGGACTATTTACAATAGAGTATTTTGTGACATTGATAAAGCAGGCATCATAGGAAGAAAATAGGTGTGGGAGTAGATAGTGGCAATAAGTAGATAAAGAGTACAGTTTTGAACATGTTGAGATGAAAAGCTCATTGAAAATCTACATGGGCTTTGTCCTACAGGTCATCTGGAATTTGTGTCTGTGGCGCAGGCAAAAAATCAGGATTAGAGTAATGGCTTCGTCTCAAATTATTATTACAGATGCAATATTTTTATTTGTGAATATGAATAAAATCATAACCTAGGAAGAATAGGTAGAAAAGAGAAAAGCATCAAATTCAAAATATTAAGATTAAATTGGCCAAACATGTAAAAGGAGAAAGAAGATAGTGCAACATCATTTCGGGATGTGGGGAGTAGACCATAGTAACCAATGCTCAGGAAACTGGGAACTCTAAACTGGATTATGCTTTCAAGGATTAAGGATAAAACTTTCAGAAAAAATTTTCCCAATTCTGTAATTTCTGTAAGGTTTTACAGATAGGTAAGAAATTTACAGAAAGGCAGATAGTTAAGGAATATCGGAAATTTACTTAAATATCTGAGAAGAAAAAAAAGTATGAGAACTTGCAGTGTGACTTGCAAGAAGAAACAGAGAAGCGTAGGCACTCACTGTGTATTTATTGCTTTCAATGTATTTTTATTTATTTCTATGCAATCTTTCCCATTGGCTGTAGTGTTTGCATGTTTTTGAATTCCCTTTTTGGGATCCCGTGTTTTCATATAACATTCTGTGCATTGCACAAAACACGGTTTTCAGCAGCCTTTTAAATCTTTTTGTTTAGGGTCATTGGGGATTAGACATAATTAACAAATGTAGCCAAGTGGGTGCAAATGCTAGAGTCCCCCAGGTCCTGCTGAATATATCTGTTATTCTCTCTGCTATAATTATATCCACATACTCACATGTTTATTTCCATTCAGAACTTACACACTTATTCTAGTCTTTCATCTAATCAGTATTTATTGAGCATCTTCTAAGCATTTTTGGACCTCTGAGTCTAATAAAGAAATAATAGATAACTCAGACCAAGCCTCCCATTCACAATTTAAAAATCTTGAGAAAAAAATAAAAAGCCATCTACTGGATTGAATGGGAGAGCTAGCACATTATGGAGGCATAACTGGCTGTGATTTGGGGAAGGATTAAAAAAAGGCAAATTAGCTCAGTGTGTGGTGCCACTTTGGGGCAATGAGATTTTGCTTGCTCCAGAATGAACAAAAATGAGAGGATCAAAGGTTGCACAGAACTTTTGACAACCTCTGGAGTCTCGGAGGAAGAGACAGTAATCTAGAACCTCCCCAAGTGTCAGATCTATGGTTAAAACTCTCCACTTTGGGCTGGAAATTCACAGTGAAAAACCTCTGACTTTGTGTGGACAAGAGTAAGGCAGACACTCACAGACTGCAGCTCATGTTTAAATCATCTCAGTTTCTGAAATTGAATCAAGCTGCTTCTGGATTATTGGCTACTGAGGAGCCTGATGGAAGTACAGAGAAAATTCTCTTTTGAAGGAGGAAATATCCTAGTTTCCAAATTATTTCTGCAAACAATTTTGGAAATTAAATGTCTATTTTAAAATAAAAAATATCCAAAGAAGATGAGGAGATGAGAACAAGGAAACCAAAGAAAACAAAACAGACAGCAGATAAGACACATAACAAAAAAAGCAAGACTTCAGGGGCTCCAGATAGAGGTTATTAGACACAAACTTTAAAATACATGTGTTTAAAGAACTAAAACAAGACGGAGGATTTTGGTAAACAGTAAGAGTCTATAAAATTATAAGCAAAAATAATAGGACTAAAAAAAAACTAAAATTAAGAACTAACGGGTACATTCCAAAGCAGCATAGGCACATTTGCAACAATAACAAATTGAAAAATATACCCAAAAAAATTGTTCATGATGGGATACCAATGGTGAAAGAGAGTAAGAGACATAAGAAAGAGTGTAAGAATTCTAATATACATTTTGCTGAAGTCTTAGAAAGAGAAGCAGGACTAAGAGGTGGAAACAAATTTTTGAAATATGAGAATTTTCCAAAATTAAAGAATGACATAAAGTCAAATATTCAAGTATCACTGTGAATAGAGGGCTGAAAACATGAGTAAATAGAACTTAGATGATTATATAGACACTGTAGAAAAGTAAAAAGGAAGAAAACATTTAAATATATAGCCAGAGACAGAAAGAGAAAATACTATCTTCAAATGTAAAACAAACTGATAGGTATGTTTTCACATATGGAAACTAGAAAAAAATAGAATTATATTTATAAGGATCTGGGGAAAATTACCTACCTAGAATTATATTTCAAATGAATATGTCTTTTAAGAATGAAATGGAAATAATGACATTTTCAGATTAACAAAAACTAAGAGAATTCCTCATCACCGGACCCACAGTAAAATACACATGAATTTCTTCATGCTAAAGTTAAGTGACTGGCAGGAAGGTCAGAGATTTAGCAAGGGATAAATAAAATGAAAATAATGAATAGCTAAATCTAAGTAAAAATTGAACAAAACAAAATGAATTTCTGTTGGGGCATACACACAGGCACATGCATATATAAAGGGAGATCTCTGTCTCTTTCTCTGTCTCTCTCTCCACACTGAGAAAATACAAAGGATTTGTATGGAGCATACACAAAGAACTCACACTGAATAATAAGACAAGGAATATAATTTGTAAAAGTGTGCAAAATATTTAAATACACATTTTACCAAAGATATACTAATGGCTAATAAATAAATGAAAATATCCTCAACATTATTTGTTGTTAAGGAAATGCAAATTAAGATAACACTGAGATACAGATGCATTTTATTGTATGTCAGTTATATCTCAGTACCCTGTTTAAAAATATAAAAAAAATTAAATGGGCTAAATAATGTTATTTAAAAGCAAATTAGCCAGACTAAATAAGAAAACCAAACCATACTATAAAATATTTAATGAAATATATCCATCATGTAAAGATACATAAAAAATGAGAAGGAAGTATAGAAAAGCTACCACATATAAATAACCAAAATAATTGTTTTAATAACGGCCAAATGAACCCAATTAAGGTAGAAGGAAGGAAGTAATGCAAGAAAGAACAGGAAAATAAAACAAAAAAATATGAACATGTATGGTATGTTGCTAAAGCAGTCCTTGGAGAGACATGCATAGCTTTGAAAACCTCTATCAGGAAGTAAGTAAGATGTCAAGTCAATATTCTAACTTACACTTTAAGAAACTAGAACAAAAAAAGCTAATTAAACTTACAATAAGTGGAGAAAAGGAAATAGAAATTAGAGGAAAAAAGAACTAGGAAATAAAAATTATGAAGAAAATTAATAAAATAAAATAATTAAAACAAAACAAAATTCACAAACACTTAGCTATATTGAGCTAGAAAATAAAAAGAAAAAGACACAAGTTTCCAAATATCAGAAATAAAGAAGGGGACATCACTATTGACTGTACATATTAAAAAAATTATAAATGAATATCTTGAATAATTCACTTAGACACCGAAAATAAAATGATAAACTCTAAGAAAAACACAAATTAGCAAAACTAACATTCAAAGAAATGAAGAATATGAATGTACATATATCAAATAACATAATTTAATTAATAGTTAAAATTTTTCCTGCAAGAAAATTCCAGATCCAGACATCTTCACCAGTAAATATTACCAAATATTTAAAGAAAAGGTAATAACAATCTTTCAGAAATTCCGTCAACAAGTGGAGAACACCTCCCAAATTGTTCTACAAGGCCAGTATTACCCTGATACTAAAGACAGACAAAGACATTACAAGAAAATAAAACTACAGATGCCCAGCCCTAACAAAGACATATGTAAAATCTTTAACAAAATATTAGCAAATAAAATTCAATATCTTAGAAAAAGGACTATAAATCATTAACAAATGTCCTGTATCTTGGGAATGCAGAGTAAATTTCACACCTAAAAATCACTTAATAAAATGCACAATACAGGCAGGAATAAAATAAAGAACAAACACTACATGGTCATCCCAATAGATGAAGAAAATGCTTTTGAAAAATAAAAAACCATTCATGAGAAAACCTCTCAGTAAACTAGCAATAGAAAAGAAAATTCTCAATCTCATTAAGTGTCTCCAGAAGCACAGTAACATAGCAGGAGAGGTGTGAATGTTCAGTGCTTTCCCCTAAACAAGACAAAGATGTTGACTTTCTTCAAAAGTAAAATAATAACAACAAAAACAAAAAAGACTCTAGATTGGAAAGAAAGTCATAAACTTGACTTTTTTCACAAATAAACCTGAATCCCGAATGTACAGAATCCTTGGGAATTCACACACACACACACACACACACACACATACACACACACACAGAACTAATGAGTTAAACAAAGTCTCAGAAAATAATATCATATAAATATCATTTGTATTTCTATACTACCAATAAAACAAAGAAAATAATATCAAGAAAACAAAATCTATATCATCAAAAGAAATAAAATATGTCAAAATAAATTTTTAAAAAGCAATGCTAAATGTATGATAAAAAAGACAAACATTACTCAGAGAAACCTAAGATGGAAATGAATTGAGAGGCATTACATGTTCATGGGTTGGATGACAATTTTTTTCCCAACATTGACAGTAAATCAATGTAATCGCACACACAAAAAAAATACCAACAGGCTTTTGTGGGTAGAACTTAACAAACTGACCTAAAAATGTATTTAAAAATGCAAAGGACCCCAAATAGCCAAACCAATTTTGAAAAAGAAAACCAAAATTGCTGATACAAACTATCCAATTTTAAAATTTAGTCTAAAGCCACAGTAATCAATAGAGTGAGGGATTGGTGCAAGGAAAGGCATAGAGATCAAAGAGACAGACCTGAGACTCCAGAAATAAGTCTTCATTATTATGGTCAATTGAATTTTGACTAGCATGCCAAAAAAATTCATGGAAAGATAGTCTTTTCACAAATGATGTTGAGGTAATTGGATATTCACACACATACACACACACACACACACACACGCACACAAATAACTTAGATCTTTGTCTCACACCATGCACAAAAAATCAACTCAAAATGGAACATTGACCTAAATGTAAGAGCTAAAGTTACAGAATTTGCAGAAAAACATAATAAGAGAAAATGTTAATAACATTGAGATGGGCAAATTTCTTTCAATATTACAGCAAAGGCAAACTCATAAGAGAATGCTTTGATAAAACTGAATTCATTAAAATTAAGAACTTTTGTGCTCCAAGTACATTAATGAGGTGAATTTTTTAAAAAGTCACAAACTAAGAATACATTTGTATGTTATACATAGTGTTAATGACATTTGAATGTGTAAAGAATTTATAACTCAGTTACAAGACAGAAAACCGTATTCCTCTTTTTTTTTTTTTTGAGACAGGGTCTCACTGTGTTGCCCAGGCTGGAGTGCAGTGATGTGAGCACAACTCTCTGTAACCTTGAATTCTAGGGCTCAAATGATCCCTCTTGGTCTTACAAAGGGCTGGGATTATAGGTGTAAGCCACATTGCCTGGCCAATTTACCATATTACTTGGCATCCTAACCTGGGAATCTTCAAAGATAAATGAAAACATATGTCTATACAAAAATATATAGTCAAATCAAATATTCATCATAAGATTATTCATAATATTAAAAAGATGGAAATAATTTAAATGCCTACCAACTGGTGAACTGATGAATTAAATATCCATACAATGGGCTATTCTGCGGTAGGGAAAAAAGAAGAAAGTACTGGACAAAATACAGAAGTGCACAATGGAATCATACAATATATGTAACCTTTGCCATCTGGTTACATACATTGTATGATTTCACTTATATAAAATACCAAAAAATGCATGTTTTATAGATAGAATGATTTGTGATTACATAAAGTTGGGGTGGATGTGGGGATTAACCTAAAAATAAGCACAAAGAAACTTTTGGGAGTGCTGAAAATGTTCTAAAACTAGATTTTATTGATGCTTGCATAACTCTACAAATTTACTAAAATATCACTGAATCACACGTAAGTGAAATTTATGGCCCATCATTTGTACCTCAATAAAGTTAAGTTAAATATTAGTTGAGTTAAAGTTAAGAATGTGAAACAATTAAAAATAGAAAAATATCAGGGATATAGACTAGGACAAAAATAATAGCCACATAAATGAGAAATATGCCTTCTATTCAATATATCACATTCTATATACAAAAAGCATAAATCAATAAAACTGAAACACCATATAAAAATACACAAGTGAATTCACAGGTCCTTTTCAAAAGATGGTATTTAATTGCTCAATAACCATAGGAAAAAATTCTCAACCTCAACACTGCTTAACCACATTAAGATACCATTAGAGTAACACTAAAATGGCTAAAATCTTTGTCTGAGGAAGTATCATTGCTTTTGAGTACATCAATCATGTGGAGCTTGCATGCACTTTTGGAGGAGGTAGGTGTACATTGGTACACAAGTCTGGAGACCTAAAGTGTGCAGCACACTCAAGAGATGTGGCGAAGAGACTCTCACAAGGACTGCAGAACATCCTCAGCAAAGCCAAAGCCTGGACACAAACCACATGCTCATCAAATTATAATGGATAAATACATCATGATATATAAATTCAATGGACTGCAGAAATAAGCACCAGTAATTTACAGGCATCTACAACAATGAGGTCCTATCATAGAAACATAATGTGTAAAAGAAGACAGGTGTAAAATATATATTGTATGATTCTACTTCAAAAACTTAAAAGTTCAGAATACTATAGGATTCAAGAATACAAGCTCATGTAGTATAATTATAAAAAAATCAAGGAGGTGGCTAACAAAACAAAACAATTAAGGAGTGGAAGGGGTATTGATTGTCAAAGGTATGAAGGGATTCCTGGCAATTGGCAGTGCTCTCAGCTTGCACTGGATGGTGGTTATGCCAGTCTTAGCTTTGTGAGAAACCATTCATCTGCACATTGATTCTTTTGTGCCCTTTGTCTATACATATATCTGGTATTTCACAATGATAAAGAAGAAGAAAACCAGAATTTTGTTTAGTATGGTACTCACACGGAAGTGTATATTTTTGGTGGAAAATTTATCTCAGAAGACAGAATAAGTGTTTCCTGCCAGGATGACATCTGAACACTTTTTAGAAAATGATAATCATCAACACATCCATAACTTATTAATGTAGCTCTCAAAAGTTTTCTGTGTTGAAATATTCCTTTGGGAGAAAAGGGGCTACAGAAAATGAAAAACAAGTGTGCTTGGATAGTCACACCATGATATATTAATTATGCTTCTAACTTTCTACATGCTGTGTCACTCCCATTGGTAGGGGGAGGGAGATTGGAGATGGTTAAAGAGAACTAGTCCGTTGCTCAGATTTATGATGTTTTGGTCTAAGTAATCGACATCATGGTGTTACCAATAAATATCTGCTAACAAGTCTAATAAATTGGACTTTACCCTATTATTTTAACATGCTTTAGGGAGCAACCCCCATCCTATAGGCTTAATAATATGATTTTTGTCCCCAGCCCTTTCCCTATCTCTGGACAGGCTGGTGTCTCCACTGAACATGAAGCAGCACCTGACCACTCGCTCTAACATAGGCCTGCTATCTATCAATATTTGGAATTACTTGTGTATATGTGTGTTTATTTCATAACTCCCTTCCCCATCAAACCGTATGCCTCAATAAACAGCATGAGTGTACAGACCCAATTGCACCAGGAACAGTGAATTTGTTAGCTGAATAATTTAATTTCAGTGCCCCTTCGCTGTCCATGCCTGAATAAAAAGAGTCACAAGAAAATAGATGTTGATTTCCTTGGCTTTAACACCAATAGTAAAGAAATTCTCTCCAGCAGCCTACGTGGCCTGAGAATCGTGCAAAACATTTTTCTCTTGTTTCTGTCAAGTATGACCTTAAAGAGGAAAGTTGCTAAACCAGTGGTGTGTAGGAGATGTGACTGCAAGCAGCCGAAAATTCCCTCAGCCGTTTTTTACAGTTTGCATCTCGGTGTAACCAGTTATCTGTATTTTCTGGGTTCACATAAAATTCTAAGTTTTTGAAGAAGGAACACATGAAAAAGGAGGAGACCAATTTTGTCATTAGCATATCCACATTTCCAATGTATAATATTCCTTATGTCAGAAAACATAAATTGTATACTAACAGAATGATTAACTATATTGACTTCATAACAAAACACTTCTGAACCACTAAAACTCATAGATGTTTGAATAAAATAAATAGAAGAAAAAAATCTTCAAGGAATAAATAGTGAGATTCCAGTATCCCAAAAAAAATAATTTTGTATGTAGGATTCTGGAAAAAATATCTGCTCAATAATTTTCCTGACAATTTAATCATGTCTAACTGATTGGCAACTCAGTGGAATAGATAATTTTTGAGATACAATTTCAAACTTTCTCATAACAACTCAACAATAAACATAAACCCAATCAAAAATGAACAGATAACTGGACTACACACTTATTTTAAATGTTTGATTAATTCATTATTTTTAACTTCAGATTCTGGGGTTACATATGCATGTTTGTTACATGGGTATCTTATATAATGGTGGGGATTGGGCATCTGGTGTTACCATTATGCAATATTGAACACTGTACCCAGTACATAATTTTTCAACCCTGAGCCCTCTGTCCTACCCTCCCCTATTTTGGAGTCCCCAGTGTCTATTATTTCCATTTATTTATTTATTTATTTATTTATTTATTTATTTATTTATTTTTTGAGACGGGGTCTCGTTCTGTCACCAGGCTGTGTGCAGTGGCAATCTTGGCTCACTGCAACCTCCAGCTCCCCGGTTCAAGTGATTCTCCGGCCTCAGCCTCCCGAGTAGCTGGGATTAAAGGCACGTGCCACCACGCCCAGCTACTTTTTGTATTTTTAGTAGAGACGGGGTTTCACCGTGTTTCCCAGGATGGTCTCGATCTCCTGACTTCGTGATCCGCCCGCCTCGGCCTCCCAAAGTGCTGGGATTACAGGCGTGAGCCATCGTACCCGGCCTATTATTTCCATTCTTTATGTTCATATGAACCCATTCTTTAGCTTCAACTTGTCAGTCAGAACATGTGATATTTGATTTCCTGTTTCTCAGTTCACTTAAGATTATAGCCTCCAGCTCCATCCATGTTGCTACAAAAGGATGTGATTTTATTCTTTTTTTAATGGCGGAGTAGTATTCCGTGGTATAAACACACCACATTTTCTTTATCCAATCAACTCTTGATGGACACTTAGGTTGGTTCCATAACTTTGCTATTGTCAATAGTGCTGCATATACATAGAAAAGCAGATGATTTTTTGGTAGAAGGAAGTCTTTTCCTTTGGCTAGATTGCTGGGATTGCCAGTAGTGGGATTGCTGGGTCAAATGGCAGTTCTATTTTTTGTTCTTTGAGATATCTCCATGCTGTTTTGCAAAGTCGAACAGACATTTCTCAGAAGAAGAAATAGAAGCATCCAGCAAACACATCCAGAAATGCTGAACATCGTTAATTATCAGAGAAATGCAAATTAAAACCAAACTGAGATATCATCTTAGCCCAGTGAGAATGGTTATTATTAAAAATTTTTTAAAAAAGCAAAAAACAGATGCTGGGGTGGATATGGAGAAAAGGGAATGCTAACACACTGTTAATGGGAATGTAAATTGGACTAGATATTTCTTCCAAAAAGACTTACAGATAACCAACAAGCACATAAAAAGATGTTCAACTAATCATTAGGACAATGCAAGTCAACACCACAACGAGATAGCACTTCACACCCATTAAGATGAGTATAATGAAAACAAAAATATCAAGTATTGGCACAGTTAAGGAGAAGATAAAACCCTGTACATTGTCAGTGGGAATGTAAAATGGTGCAGCCTTTATGGAAAATTATATGCAGCCTTTATGGAAAATTATATGCATGTTCCCCAAAAAATCGAAAGAAGGAACTTGGACAGATATTTGTACCCCCATGTTGTTCATAGCAAGATTATTCAAAATAGCCAAAAGATGCAAACTCAAATGTCCATCAATAGAAGAATGGATACACAGAATGTGATAGATAGATACAGTGGAGTATCAATCAGCCTTAAAAAAGGAAGAGGATTTTGACACATACTCGAAGTTAATACACTAAGTGAAGCAAGCCAGACAAAAAGAACAAATATTATATAATTTCATTTATATGAGGTACCTAAAATAGTCAAATTCATAGAGACAGACCTTAGAATATGGTTGCCAGGTATTGGGAAGACAGGTAATGGTGAATTATTGTTGAATGGTTTCAGAGTTTTAGTTTGGGAAGATGAGAAATTTCTGGAGATGGATGATGATAATGTTGCATAGCAATGTGAGCATATTTAATGACAATGAACTGTACACAAAAAAATGGCTAAAATGGCAAATATTATATTAGGTATATTTCTACACAGCAAAGAAAGTTCTCTAAGTTTACTTCTTGACAAAATATTGTAGTCAATGTGTGTGCTTTATATGTCCTTCCCACTTTGGAGTATGCGAGGCTTCTTACATTTTTTTATTCCTGAGCACTACATATCTATCTAGATCTAATTCTTTTTTCTGGATACATCATTCCTTTATGTTCTTCTTTCTAGGCACCCAGAAGTCTTCTATTTTCCATTTCTTTTAAATTTCATTTTGGGCACATTACTTACATTAGCTAGTAGAACTTGTTGCTTTCAGCAGAAGCATTTCATTCCCATTGTTTGATTCTCCAGCTCTCAACTCCCTGTTGGTAGAGAGTATGGAAGCACATACTGGTATAAAGGGAAAACTGGAGTCTTTGCATGGAGAAAAAACGCTGTGAAAATCACCCAAACCTGAAAGTAACTGTACATGCAAGAAATAAACTTTTGTAGTTTTAAGCGCTTTCTGATTGAAACAGCAAATTCAAACACTCATCATGTCATCAAAAATAAAAACATTTGACAGTATCATATGTGAGAAACGAATGACTTCTCTCATGCTCTACTGGTAGCAGTAAAAATTGATGCCTATATATTGGAAGATCAATTTATTTATGATATTTAAAATGCACATATCTCATCAGGGAGTGATTTCACATCTCAATACATGATGTGGAGAATCACTCCCACATGCCATGAAGATATACATGTAGAGATGTTCAGTATAGCATTGTTTTTAACATTCATACATCAGAAATAAATTAAATGTCAATTAATAGAGTAATGACATAGAAATTATGTTTATAAACAAAATAAAACACTAGGCTGCCACTTAGGAAACATAAAATAGCTCTCTACGTGTGAAATAATGAGTTTCAAGATATGGTATTGGAGAGTCTCATGATAATTTGAGCTCAATGATACAATTTATGTAACACAAGTTCAAATTCCAAGTATTTAAAAGGAACTATTAGGTAAACTCCTTGGTATGTAGGTCTAGAAAGATTCCTACCAAGATTTACAATTATAATTACAGTTCTAACATAAGTGAGAGGAAAGGAATTGGAAGTGCTGCAGAAAAGGACTTTGTCTTCTCTAACAATGTTTGATTTATTGTGACAGGGATCTATTCACATATTCCTCATGTATTCACAACACAATACCTGTGAGTTCCCCCTTTGGTGATAGAAGACTAGGTAATTCAGACCAACCAGGCCTATAAGAAAAACTTCAAAAGCCAAAAACAACTAAATAACTGCTTCTGAAATAATGAGAGAGCTTAAAGGAAGTGAAGAATTACACAGTCAAGATCCAGGAAAGAAAACGTCTTTGGTGAGCTGGGCATTTGGGATCCCAAATTTAGATGTTGATTTAAGAAATTACAAGCTGAAAATCTGAGCAAGTTTTGGAAGTTTTGACAAGTGTAGACAAACACAAATTGAAATCCTAGAACCCACCAATCTGAGGAAGGACTGTTCACCCATATATTTTGGGGACTGAGACGTGAAAGGCTACATCATCAATAAGGATTAGACCAGATACAGCCAGGCACATAATGGATAGGAATTTATAATAAGTTATAAGAGGATAAATTAGATAATAGAAATAGACCAACAAAAATCCAGATAATGAAGTTTTCAAATGCAAACTTTAATATAACGAAGTAAAGATATAAAAGAAAAATAAAGAAAAAAGTTGGAATTTCAGGAGAATACTGAAAAAAATCAAAATTCTAAAATGAAAAATTAAAGTAACTGAAGTTAAGGAATCAATGGAAGGATTTAACAGCTGGTTAAACATACAAATTAAGACAATGGTATACTGAAATGAGGAGTAGAAATAATACTCTGTGAAATGTGAGGAGAAGAAATTAAGGTGTAAAATGTAAACTATAAGATTACAGGGTTGCTACAAGAAGAATGCCATTAGTAGAATCTCAGCTGGAAAGGGGAAGATAATGCAGTGACAATATTTGAAGATATCATAGCGAGGATTTCCCAAAATTGACAAAGGACATCAAGCCAAAATAGAAGATGCATTATGAACCATAAGCAGGACATACCCAAACAAACAGAAACCTAGCCACATAAAAATGATATAGCTAAAAGACAAAGAGCATGTGTATTAGTTCGTTTTCATGTTGCTGATAAAGACATACCTGAGACAGGGAAGAAAGGAGGTTCAATTTGACTTACAGTTCCACATGGCTGGGGGAGGTCTCACAATCATGGCAGAGGGTGAAAGGCACTTCTTACATGGTAGCAGCAAGAATGAGGAGGAAGTAAAAGCAAAACCCCCGATAAACCCATCAGATCTTGTGAGACTCATTCACTATCATAAGAATAGCATGGGAAAGACCAGCCACCATGATTCAATTACCTCCCATTGAGTCCCTCCCACAACACGTGGGAATTCTGGGAGGTAAAATTCAAGTTAAGATTTAGGTGGAGACACAGCTAAACCGTATCATTCTGCCCCTGGCCCCTCTCTAATTCCATGTCCTCACATTTCAAAACCAATCAGGCCTTCCCAACAGTCCCCCAAAGTCTTTCAACTCATTTCAGCATTAAGTCCACAGTTCTATGTCTCTTCTGAGACAAGACAAGTCCCTTCCACTTATGAGCCTGTAAAATCAAAAGCAAGTTAGTTACTTCCTAGATACAATGAGTGTACAGGCATTGGGTAAATACAGCCATTTCAAATGGGAGAAATTGGCCAAAACAAAGGGGGTTTAGGCCCTATGCAAGTCCAAAATCCAGTGGGACAGTCAAATCTTAAAGCTCCAGAATGATCTTCTTTGATTCCATGTCTCACATCCAGGTCATGCTGATGCAAAAACTGGGTTCCCATAGTCTTGGGCAGCTCTGCCCCTGTGGCTTTGTAGGGTACAGACTTTCTCCCGGCTGATCTCACAGGCTGGCGTTGAGTGTCTATGGCTTTTCCAGGTGCACAGTGCATGCCGTTGGCCGATTTACCATTCTGGGGTCTGAAGGACAGTGGCCTTCTTCTCATAGCTCCACTAGGCAGTGCCCCAGTAGGGACTCTGTGTGGGTGCTCCAACCCCACATTTCCCTTCTGCACTGCCCTAGCAGAGGTTCGCCATGAGAGCTCTACCCCTGCAACAAACTTTTGCCTGGACACCAAGGCAATTCCATGACATCTTCTGAAATCTAGGCAGAGGTTCCCAAAGCTCAGTTCTTGACTTCTGCGTATCCACAGCCTCAACACCACATGGAAGCTGCCAAGGCTTGGGGCTTGCACCTGAAGCCTTGGCCTGAGCTATACCTTGGACCCTTTTATTCATGGCTGGAGCAACTGGAACACAGAACACTAAGTCCCTAGGCTGCACACAGCACAGGGACCCTGGGCCTGGCACATGAAACCATTTTTTCCTGCTACACCTCTAGGCCTGTGATGAGAGGGGCTGCCTCAAAGACCTCTGACATGCCCCGGAGACATTTTATCTATTGTCTTGGAAATTAACATTTGGCTTCTCATTACTTATACGAATTTCTGCAGCCAGCTTAAATTTCTCCTGAGAAAATAGAATTTTCTTTTCTATCATATTGTCAGGCTGCAAATTTTCTAAACCCTTATGCTCTGCTTCCCTTATAAAATGGCATGCCTTTAACAGCACCTAAGTCTCCTCTTGAATGTTTTGCTGCTTAGAAATTTCTTCCACCAGATATCCTAAATCAACTGTCTCAAGTTCGAAGTCCCACAAATCTCTAGGACCTGGGAAAAAGGCCTCCAGTCTCTTTGCTAAAATATAGCAAGAATCACCTTTACTCCAGTTCCCAACAAGTTCCTCATTTTCATCTGAGACCATCTCATCCTGGACTTTATTGTTAATATTGCTATCAGCATTTTGGGCAAAACTATTCAACAAGTCTCTAGGAAGTTCCAAACTTCTAGAGTTCCAAAAACACTAAAGTTCCAAACATTCCCACATTTTCCTGTCTTCTTCAGAATCCGCCAAACTGTTCCAACCTCTGCCTATTATCCAGTTCCAAAGAAGCTTCCACATTTTCAGGTAACTTTTCAGCAGCGCCCCACTCTACTGGTACCCATTTATTGGGTTAGTCTGTTTTCACGCTGCTAATAAAGACAAACCTAAGACCGGGCAATTTACAAATGAAAGAGGTTTAATTGGACTTACATTTCCACGTGGCTGGGGAAGCCTCACAATCTTGACGGAAGGCAAGGAGAAGCAAGTCAAGCCTTACATGGATGGCAGCAGGCAAAAAGAAAGATTGGGCAGGGAAACTCCCCCTATGATATCTTCAGATCTCATGAGACTTATTCGCTTATCACAAGAACATCAGGGGAAAGACATGCCCCCATGAATCAATTAACCCCTACTGGGTCCCTCCCACAACACATGGGAATTCAAGATGAGATTTGGGTGGGGACACAGCCAAAACGTATCATTATGAGAAAAATTAATAAGCATTCAGAGGTAGAAGACAGATTACCTTCAAAAGACAACTGACTTTTCAAAAAAAACAAATTAAATAACAGCCAAAACCAATGGTATGCATTATCAACTTTGAAAGAAAATGCTGGCAAACCTATTATTCCTTATCAATTATAAATGTATGTTATGGATGAAGCTGAAAAGAAAAAAAATAGTGACAATAACCCTGTGCCAACAAGTATTCAAAGGTTTTCTTCAGGCAAAAGAAAAGTAATCCATGTTTTAAAAAATCAATTAAAAGCACTGCTTGATCTCATATGCAAGAATAAATTCCAGGATGATTGTTGATCTTAACTTGTAAAAGATAAAATTTAAAATCATAGTGCTTCCTATGTTCATGGCAGCACTTATCATAATAGCAAAGACATGGAGTTAACCTAAGCGCCCATCAATGGTGGATAAGAAGAAGAAAATGTGGTGCATATTTATCGTGGAATACTACACAGCCATAAAAAAGAAAATAATCATGTTTCTTGCAGCAACATGGATGCAGGTGGAGGCCATTATCCTAAGTAAATTAACACAGCAACAGAAAACCAAATAATGCATGTGCACACTTAGAAGTGAGAGCTAAACATTGGGTACTCATGAACACAAAGATGGAAACAATAGATACCAGGGACTATGAAAGACAGGAGGGAGAGAGCAGGGTAAGGGTTGAAAAACTAACTCAAGTACTATGCTTACTTCCTGGATGATGGGACCAATTGTACCCCAAACCTCAGCATCACACAATATATCCAGGTAACAAAGCTGAACATGCACCCACTGAATTTAAAATAGAAGTGGAAATTATGAGAAATTAATAAATAAAAATAAAACAATAGTCCTTCTAAGAGACATTAAAGAAAAAAAATCCTGTGTCATGTCAGGCTGAGAAAGGTATTGTAACATAAAAGAAGTGTAAATCATAAGTGAAATTTGATTAAAATAAACCACCTTAAAATTTTAAAAAATTTTAATTAATTAAAATTAAAATTTAATTTAATTTAAATTAAAATAAGAAATAAACCACCTTAAAATCAGAATAACAAGCTACCAGACAACGCAAAAGCAAAACATTATGACACGAACAGGCGCTTTTCAAAGTAGGTACCTTCTGTGGTAGGCAGCTTCCAAATTGGCTTCCAATGATACCTACCTCCAGGTAGTCACACGCTGACCAATTCCCTCCTCTTGAGTTTAGCCTGAACATGGATACTAATTAGATTCTGACTATAGAACAGAGCAAAAGTGAAGAAAAATCATTTCCAAGATTAGGTTTTAAGCAGACTGTAGCTTCCAGCATGGGCACCTGCTCTCACTCTTTGTCAGCTCATTCTGAGGGAAGCAACATGTATGTGTCCTGAAGGGCACTGTGGGGAGCCCACAGGGTAACTGTCAGCGAGACCCGAGGTCTTCCAATCACAATTTTAAGGGACCTGGAATCGGATCTCCCCACTGCTGGGCCTGGAGAAAATTACAACCCCAGTGGACACACTGATCATGGCTTTGTGAAATACCCTGCAAAGACACTTGCTAAGCTGTGCTCAGACTCCTGACCCACTGACCCAAGGAACTGCAAGGTGACAGGTGTATGTTGTTGCAAGCCAGAAAATGTTGGGTGAGGTATTAGGCACCAATAGATAATTAATACAAACCCAGGTGTTCAATAAATATTTATAAAGCAGCTTAATATCATTATTCATTAGGAATAACCAAAATAAGATACTACTATACACTTAGCAGAAATACGAAAACCAGCAATAAATTCTAACATTAGTATATACTGACAAATATTTCAAGCAGTAGAAATTATCGTGCATTGCTGGTTGGAATACAAATTGGTATAAACATTTTGGAAAACAGATTAAATATGTGTATAATCTTTAACCCAGCAATTACATCTTAGTCCTATAGCACACATGAAAGAAATGAGCATTTGCAAAAATGACACACTATATTGCTCATGTCACTGTTGTCTTTATTTATAATATCCCAAAACTAGAAACACTTAAAATATGGATCATGGTTAGAAAGGAAAAATTAGTTATAAGAACACAAGGAAATACGGTAACTGCCAATGAAAAAATACACATACCGTTACTTGCAAAGCCACAGATGAAGTCACAAAATAATTCACAGCATCAAGGAATGATTAGTACAAAAGAACATAGGTTGTTTTATAAGGCGAGGTCTAGAAACAGGCATTTGGTTATCATCTAATCTGATGAAGGCCTAAATAGAACAAAATGTGGTGGTAGGGTGAATTTACTCTTATTGCTTAAGCTGAGACGTCCACCTTCTGCCCTCCCACATCAGTGCCCCTGGTTCTTGGGCCTTCGAACACAGACCAGGACTTATACCAGTGGCTCCCCTGGTTCTCAGACCTGTGGGCTTCTCCTGAAATATATGGCTGGCTTCCAGGGCTTGCAGACAGCAGGTTGCAGGACTTCTCAGCCTCCATAATCATGACAGCCAATTCCTCATGATAAATCTCTATCTCTGTATCCATATGTATCCTATTAGTACTGTTCCTCTAGAGAACCCTGACTAATACAAATATTAAGGCAGGATTAGTGAATGTCAGATGTGTAAGAGACCATCTAAGGTATTGAAGGTAAGGATTTTCTAAGCTCCATGGGGTTACATGGATGTCCTGTGGACTTTGCTGTGTATTCCTTATACCTCCAAAAATTAAACATAAATAAAAAGCAATTATTTAAAAAGAGAAAGGAAACCTCTGCCACCTTTCTGTTTCATAGAGGGAAGCTTATTTTCACTGCCAATGGCATGTCTAAATGGAACCCTATCAGCCTTTGGAAGGAAGACAGTTCTCTCCAATTTTGATGACATGTTGACTGCATGCTTGTTTCATTGTCAATCGTCAGATTTGTCTGCTATTATAGATATTTTAGTAGGAATCTGAGAGAAGTCTTACTGGAAACCATTAACTTGTTGAGAAAATACTACCTCTCTAGAATTTAAATATCTCTTTTTTAGATTAAAGTTATTGAAAATGAATAAAGTGATTTATTATAAGGCACCACTATTTCTACATGTTAGTAAAAGTTCTTAAAATGATAAAATGCCACTTCTGTAAGATATAGTAAAACTCATAAGCTATGCATTACATTTAGAAATTAGTGGTGGCAATCAAATTGGTAGAAATCTTTTTGTAAAAAAGTAAAATATATTTAAGAGCTGTAATAGAGTTTATTTCCTTCACAAATATGTTTCTTTGAGAAATTTATCATGAGAAAATATTATGTTAATAATATTAGAAGCAAAGATAAATTGAAAATGACTCAATTTTAAGTAGCAAGTAGTTATAACTATTTACTGTAAAAAATGAGATACTAAGAGAAGACAAAACAGAAGATGTTAATGAAATGATTGAAAATATAAATGTATACAATTGTTGAATTCAATAAAATATGAAACAGAAAATTGTTGATAGAATGAATAAAGTGGTGTTGAAAAAGAGGAGTGACTATGTTATTGCGGTTTCATATATTTTCTTTCTGAAATTTTCAAATTAAAATAGTTCAGGTATTTACATCGACAATGCAAAAATAAATGTCTATCAAGCATTTTAAATGTCTAAGGCACTCACTACACACGAGCCCTACAAATGCTGTTTTCCTGGTTGATGTTCTTAAAGACAGAAAACTTGAGAGCTGAAGATTGTTTGGGATAATATTCTGAGGGATCATCATCAACCTCTTTTACTATTACTAAAAACTGACTATTACTACAACTTTGTCATCTGATTTGATTTACATTTCTATGCAACTCTAGCCAAATGTAATAACCATCTTGGAAGCAATTCTGACAGCATAAGGGTAATACCACTCTTAATTTGTTTTTTTGCAGTTACAGAATGAAGGGTAAGGAGACCCACAATTTATTCCAGTTTTCTAGGTTCTGGCTGTGTAACCTTTGGTATAATCTTTCTATTTCTTCCTTCATTCCCTGAAAAATGAGTGAATTCTAATATAACAGTACATTTATAAGGTATCTTCACACTTCCAGTTTTTCTGGATCAGTGTAAAATTTCACTAGCCAAGTAAGCGTGTTATATTAATTTGCTACTTTTATAATTCTGATTCTGAAAACATTTTTTCTAGTTAACAGCAAACTGGAGCTTATTTGCAATTACCAGGAAACTCCCTAGAGAGAGTAGTTATAATGGTAATTAGCACCACAATTTGAATTAGATTGATCATTATCTAAAAGATTAACTGATTTGCTAACATTTTGATGATTTATTTTCTTTCTCAGATGGCAGCTTACCCAGTCACATTTAAAGTTATCTGTGAATTGTATAAAGTCACCATCAATTTCGAGGTATTTTAGTTTAATGTTGAAGCATAAGATTTTTTTTACAACATTACAGTTAACCTAATGGAGCATGTTTTGGTTTCAAGTTGTAACTAATTGACAGAAATATTATTACACTTCTCATTGGAAGTCCTGCATTGGACTTCTCTAAAATACACTATTCTACTCTGCTGTTTTAAAAATCCGATTTATATTTTATTCTCTGCTGGCTAGCTTAGAGTGAGATACAATAATTTATATAGGTACTTATCTTTTTCTTCTTTGTTAACTTCTGTGAAAGACATACAACATGACAGCATGTTCTATGAAGTCATTACTTTCCAGAAATACCCTGCAGTCATGGAACACAGACTAAAGTTATTTGACAGAGTTTTGCAATTAAATTGACAAACAGCATGTTAAGGTCTAGAAGCATAGCCTGTCATCTTTGCATTTGATTGGTCTCTTATAATGACTCTTATTCATATTTTTAAAAAAGGCTTTAACATGTAAACAAATTTTCTAGTTGCCTAATTTTTACAGTTTCTTTTAAGATCTTCTGCATAGGACGGGTGCGATGGCTCAAGCCTGTAATCCCAGCACTCTGGGAGGCTGAGGTGGGCGGATCACAAGGTCAGGAGATCGAGACCATCCTGGCTAATACAGTGAAACCCCGTCTCTACTAAAAATACAAAAAATTAGCCGGGCGTGGTGGCGGGCGCCTGTAGTCCCAGCTACTCGGGAGGCTGAGGCAGGAGAATGGCATGAATCCGGGAGGTGGAGGTTGCAGTGAGCAGAGATCGTACCACTGCACTCCAGCCTGGGCGACAGAGTGAGACTCTGTCTCAAAAAAAAAAAAAAAAAAAAAAAAAAAGATCTTCTGCATCTGTTGCCTTATTAGGAGTAATCAGGTAACCTGAAGAAGGCAAAACAACTTAAAGACATTGTCTGCCACTATGGGACCTGTAGGGACAGGGTAGCTGTTACAGCCAGGGTCCTATATCCAGGGAAGCGGATGAGCTACAGGGAAAGACATGCTTCTAGGAAGGCTACCAGGGCTGGAAAACATTCATCAATTCCTTCTTTCTAGACGTGTTACCTTGTTTGTTTTTTTCATTTAGGAGTCTTATGCTTCCTACCTGATTAAGTGAAAAAATTTATCTGAAAGTCTACTTGTTCATCCATCATTCATTCATTCATTCATTCATTCAGAACGTACTGCAGAACTCAAGGTACGTTCTGCAAGAACATACTGCAGAACTCCTCTCTAGAGGAGAGGCCTGTACAGACTATGAAGACTGCGTTTTATTTCTGAGCCACCTCAGAATGCATAGGAGAAACAGAGGAAGTCAACACACCTCTGGGCAGCAACTTCCATGAGCACCCTGGGCTTTGGGATGGCAAAAGAAGGAGCTCTCTAGCTTCGACTGCCCTGCATGAGGCTGGGCCAGCACAGGGTGCTTCTGCAACTGGGTGCACACTGTCAACAGGGTTTTGGTGCCTAAAAGTGGTGGTGGCAAAAAGCAGAAAACTTAGAAAACTTATGTATTTAAAATAGGCAAAGTGGCCATGGAATAAAGAATGTAACTAAATATGTTTTCTGGCTTTCTGCATTAAAATATGTTTGCTGGAAAATAACTATTTTCTTCAAGAAATAATTATTTAAAAATAAAAATTACTTAAAAATGATATTTTGAATACAATTGATTTACTATAAAACTCTGTTACTATAAAACTCTGTGTTACTATAAAATGTTGTATTACAAATTGAGTAGTCATTCAGAGTTTTCATTGCTTCCCAGAATAATGCACAGTACAAATATACAATAAAGCTTCCCACAGTATTCCCATATAATGAAATTCCTTTATTAATATTTTTTGATATTTTCTTTAAAATGTTCTATGCATTTTACCTATTTGAGAACATATGTTATATAAAGTTTTGTCTTCCTTTTTCAGCAATGGCCTCTTTGCCTTAGGCCATCACTGGAAGCTTCCTGAGGCCTCCCCAGAAGCTAAGCAGATGTCAGTGACATGCTTGTGTAGCCTGCAGAACCATGAGCAAATTCAACCTCTTTTCTTTAGAAATTAACCAATCTCAGATATTCCTATAAGCAACACAAAGAATTTCTCTGTTATAAAATTCTATTTCTATTCTATTCTATTTCTGTTATAAATTTCTTGTGAAGTCATGTTAAAATATATTATTTTTTCCTGTTACATCTTTAATAAATTGAAAAATTTAGAGAATACAAAAAATCAAATACTAGATTCAAAACAAAAAAAAAATCGAAAATGATGCCACTCCAGCTAATAAATTTGTGTTATTCACATGGCTGTCTTTCTTTACCTCATAATTCAAAATTAAAATCATTAAGCTATAATTACTGCACAGTTTTCTATTTATATAGTCTCTTTTTATGCATGAACATGTGATATATTATTTTTTACAAGAGGGTGATTCCACTATGAATATTGTTTTGTAACCTGAATCTTTTATCCAAAATGTGTATCATGATTATTTTCTGATTTCCCTAGTCTTATAAAAACATGTTTTATATTGCTGCAGATGAGAAAAAAATATGCATATATATATATAATTAATTATATACTATTTCTAACATTCCTTAAAAGCTATATATATATTATAAATATGCTTATGACTCTGGGAAATTTACTTAACACTTTTGTGCTTAAATTTTCTCATCAGTAAAATGGAAATGAGGATAATACTGCAAAAGTTAGGTTACAGTCAACAGAAACCACTCTGGGTATTTCACTTAGGAAATCTAACATTGGAAATTGGTCATTCAGTTATGGGAAAGCTGAAAAATCAATAAGCCAATAATGCTAAAGGGAAGTGAGATTAATATCCTCAAGAAGCAGGTATGCCCCATAGAATTTGGGGAATAAAGGGCCTCCAACTGGCAGAACCTAAACAAAAAGCCAATAGGTGAAGGGGTGTGAGTAATACACAAATTCCCAGGACACGCATCAAAGCACATATAGTATAGGATGGCCCCAAAGCTGAGAGACCGCAGATAAATAACTAGCGCAAGTCCGCCTCACAGGGATGGTGAGAGAATTAAACGAACTGATACACACAGAGCATTTACAGCAAAGCCTGATAACAGGGTAAAAACCAAATAACTGTTGACTGGTATTATTATTACTTAATTAACTTAAATCTCTCATTACTTATTTTCTTCATTTTTTATCTTAAATTTCAAAATCCTTGTGATGAATTAGCTGAAGAAAAATTGAACTCTAAAAACTACATGGTGCAGGAACTCCGAGCAGTCATTTACTCTGATTGTGTTTCCCTTTCTCCAGTAGGAAGATGCTCCCGATTGAAACTGTATCAAACCAGTTCTCTTTGTAAACTTTTCCCCACTCTCTCTGTAGGGTTAAATGCTTTGTTTGCTTATAATTCTTGAGGAGTCTTTTTTTTTTTTTTTTGGAGACGGAATCTCTCTCTGTTGCCCAGGCTGGAGTGCTTTGGCGTGATCTCGGCTCACTGCAACCTCCGCCTCCCAGGTTCAAGTGATTCTCCTGCCTCAGCTTCCCGAGTAGCTGGGACCACAGGCGCCTGCTCCCATGCCTGGCTAAGTTTTTTGTATTTTTAGTAGAGACAGGGTTTCACCATGTTGGCCAGGCTAGTCTCGAACTCCGAATGTTAGGTGATCCACCCGCTTTGGCCTCTTAAAGTGCTGGGATTACAGGTGTGAGCCACCGCGCCCGGCCGAGTGGCATTTTGAAAACAACAGACATGACCACTGTTGTTTTCTGCTGCACAGTAGTGACGATGTGGAAAGAAGGCTGGAGGTGCACACATGAAATTCATGGCAGAGCCACACAGGAGGGGTGGAGAATGGGTGCCAGCAGATCACGCTGCACAAGTCCCTGTGTCACTGCAGGGTTCTAATCAGAGAGTGGCTTCGTTTGACTTATTTTTATAAAAATCACTTTCACATCTGTTTGCAGTCTGATTGGGTGAGGATGACAAGTGAATAATCAGGGTGAGGATTTAGGAGTCTACTGATGTAATCTAGGTGGGAAGTGACTGTGCCCAGACTCAGCTGAGGAAAGTGCACCTTGATGGAAAAGCAAGTTTTGAGATCTATTTTTAAGAAATAAATGACTCACAATAAGTAATACTTCCTTTAGAAAACAGGAAATTATCTCATCAGTACTTCAATTTTTATATATTTTAGCTGCATATTTTATTCTATTGTCTATACAGAGGACCTAGTTTTACTTACCATTATTTGAAAATAGAAATTGATGACTACTTTGATCTTATAAATGACAATTTCTATGATATATACATATCCAATATATACTTATCTTAGAAATAATATATAATATATATATTAGTTGTTATTTTAACATATTTCCAAGTATTTACAAGCAATGATACTGTAAATACCATGGCTTGGTTGGTTGTAATTTTATTTGACTGGAATGAAAGAAAAATTAGAATGCCTTACAAAAAAATTGAGTGTTAAGAAAAACTAGCATGAATAAATGCTAAATATTTCAATTAGGCCACACTGCGGCATACGTTTTAGATTTAAAATGGCCAATTTTAAGTCATTTCAGTGCATTTCCTTATTAATAGATTCAAGAAGAGAAACCTATATGGAAGACACTTAGTAAGTGAGATACTTAGAACTTGCAATAGATTGAGAAGAAATGTGTGTTTCAGGATAGTAAATGCTACTTCTTTTTGGAGGCCTGGAATGATCTGAAATATAATATCTATTAGCAAGTTAAGCAATATAAGTATTTAAAGAATAATGCTGAAAGATACTATGAAGCTCTTACTTCAACAATGGAGGACTAGTCTTACACTTTGGGAGTTAAAAGCTAAACAAAATTATGTTAAAAAAGCTAGAAATCTAACTTTTGGTCATTTTAGAATCACCCTATGAATTGGAAAAGTAGTGTGATAAATAGCCTCTTCCTGACCTCACTATTGCTACAGTTACCAACTAGAAAGCAGAGAATAGAGTAACTTACTTAACAAAAGCTGAGGGTCAGTCAGTGATCTCTTCTGGCACCTCTGTAAACAAAACCAGAAGAGAAATCACAGCAGTTTCTACCACATGCGAGTTCTTAAAAAGAAAAAAAAAAAAAAAGAATGGAAGCATATGGCAGTCAGTAGTATTTGTCTTAGTCTATTTAATATTGCTAGAAAGAAATACCTGAGGCTGGGTTAGTCATAAAGAAAAGAGGGTTATTGGCTCTTGATTTTGCAGGCTGTACAAGAGGCATGGCCACGTCTGCATCTGGAGAGAGCCTCAGCCTCCTCAGGCTGCTTCCACCCACGGCAGAAGGCGAAGGGGAGCTGGCAGGTGCAGAGGTCACAGGGCAAAAGAGAAAGCAAGAGAGAGAGTAGGGAGGTGCCAGGCTGTTTTTAACAACTAGCTGTTGGGAACTAATAGAGAGAACTCACTCATTCCTTGAGGCTTGCACCAAGACATTTATGAGGGATTCACCCCATGGCCCAAACATCCCGCACCAGGACATACTTCCAACACTGGGGATCACATTTCAACATGAGGTTTCAGGGTGACAAACATCCAAACTATAAAATATTCCTTTCAAGATGTAAACATGTTAGTTTATTTTTAGGGTCTATCAGTCTACAGGATGTTAGAATGCTAGCACCTCTAATAATTTATTGTCTGGAAATGCCAGAGAAAAGTTAAAAGTCAACTAATTCAGATCAATCTATTGCATTAATAATGAACATATTATAAATTTGCACATTACTATTTGGAAATAAGTTGATATAATGCCTTGAAGATGTCACCTAGGGCTGGGCATGATGGCTCACGCCTGTAATCCCAACACTTTGGGAGGCTGAGGAGGGCGGATCACCAGGTCAGGTATTTGAGACCAGTCTGGCCAACATAGTGTAACCCCATCTCTACCAAAAATACAAAAAATTAGCCAGTGTGGTGGTATGCGCCTGCAATCTCAGCTACTCGAGAGGCTGAGGCAGGAGACTCACATGAACTCCGGAGGCAGAGGTTGCAGTGAGCCAAGATCACGCCATTGCCCTCTACCCTGGGCGACAGTGCAAGACTCCATCTCAAAAAGAAAAAAAATAAATGCCACCTAGAAGGAAAAGGCCAACAAATTGGTTTACCTCATAATAAAAACTATGTTTCTTATAATGCACTAATTGATTTACTTCCATCAATAAAGACCCAAGTGGTCCAACCTTTCACACAGCATCAGAAGACGATATTAGAAATTAAATTTCAAATGAGTTTAGAAAACATACGCAAAATATTTAAGAAAATAATCTGCTGGAAGATAGCTGTGGTGGTTATTTGGCCACTTCCTCAATGCACATGCTGATTTCAGGAAGGACACTGAGAAGCTGAGGAGCACATCAGAACTTTGGACAAACCCACAAGGGTAGGGCGATACCTTCAGGAGCTCCAGCCTGCTGAGGGAGATCTGCTAACCCTTCCCAGGACTTTAGGTCAGGCCAAAATGAACTAAACTCACATCTCAAGGAAATTCTTTCATATACTACAACATGAATGAATCTGAAGGATGCTATGCTAAGTGAATAACCCAGTCACAAAAAGACAGCTTCCATTATATAAGCAGTCAGACTCACTGAACCAGAAAGCAGAGCAGTAGTCAAAAATTAGGCGCTATAGTTTGCTGAGAATGATGGTTTCCAGCTTCATCCATGTCCATACAAAGGACATGAACTCATCATTTTTTATGGCTGCATAGTATTCCCTGGTGTATATGTGCCACATTTTCTTAATCCAGTCTATCCTTGTTGGACATTTGGGTTGGTTCCAAGGACAAAAAACCAAACACTGCATGTTCTCACTCAGGTGGGAATTGAACAATGAGAACACACAGACACAGGAAGGGGAACATCACACACTGGGGACGGTTGTGGGGTGGGGGAAGGGGGGAGGGATAGCATTAGGAGATATACCTAATACTAAATGACCAGTTAATGGGTGCAGCACACCAACATGGCACATGTATACATATGTAACAAACCTGCACATTGTGCACATGTACCCTAAAACTTAAAGTAAAATAATAATAATAAAATTAAAAAAAAAAACTTAGGAGCAAGTGGGGAAGGGAGAATGGGGGGAGTCGTTGGTTGTTGAGTATGGAGTTTCAGTTTTCCAGGATGAAAAGCGCTCTGGAGGTGAATAGTGGCAATGGCTGTACAACATTACACATGTATTTAATACCCCCTAATACACTTAAAAATGGCTAACATGATAAATTGTATAGTATGTGTCTCTTACCACAGTAGAAAAAATTGGAGGAAAAAAACTGAATTCTTGATTAAATTAAGATGAGATCAGTTCACCAGAGTTCCTGATTAACTCCTGAAAGGAAAGCTAATCTCTAAAGGAAAATATCATCTAAGGTTGCAAATAATTTATAAAATCTTAATAGTCATTGACCAGCAAAAATGATGCATAACCAGAAATTGGAGGAGGTAAGATGATATGATATTCAAATAAGAATAACGTAAAATGAGAGCACACTCACAGAGCATCCAGATAAAACTATTATCATGCCGGGTGCAGTGGCTCACGCCTGTAATCCTAGCACTTTGGGAGGCTGAGGCAGGCAGATCACAAGGTCAGGAATTCGAAACTAGCCTGGCCAATATGGTGAAACCCCATCTCTACTAAAAAATACAAAAATTACCTGGGTGTGGTGGCGTGCACCTATAGTCCCAGCTACTCGGCAGGTTGAGGCAGGAGAATCACTTGAGCCCAGGAGACGGAGGTTGCACTGAGCCGAGATCGCACCATTGCACTCCAGCCTGAGCAACAAGAGCAAAACTCCATCTCAAAAACAAACAAACAAACAAACAAAAAACAAAGAATGATGAATACAGGAAAAAGCATCAGAGACACAGGGTACCAGTGAGGGGTCTAAAGTACATGTAATTGGTGTTCCTGAAGAAGAGGAGAGAGTGCAGGCAGAATTCACAGACATGGGGATTACTATATAAATCCCAGGCTGGACAAATAAAAAGAAAATTATATCTATTCACTTAGAAATAAAAGTGTTGAGGGGGTGCAAAAAATATAACTTCACAAATAATACATTACCAAAAATTAAACTGACACCTGACTTCTTAATGGAAACCATGTAAGACTGACGTGACATGATGTACTTGAAATCACCACATGGAAGGTCAGAGATGCTGGAAAAAATAAGAAGAAACAAAAGTGGAGGCCGGGCGCGGTGGCTCACGCCTGTAATCCCAGCACTTTGGGAGGCCGAGGCAGGCGGATCACGAGGTCAGGAGATCGAGACCATCCTGGCTAACACGGTGAAACCCCGTCTCTACTGAAAATACAAAAAATTAGCCGGGCGTGGTGGCGGGCACCTGTAATCCCAGCTACTTGGGAGGCTGAGGCAGGAGAATGGCGTGAACCCGGGAGGCGGAGCTTGCAGTGAGCAGAGATCGGGCCACTGCACTCCAGCCTGGGCGAAAGAGCGAGACTCTGTCTCAAAAAAAAAAAAAAAGTGGAAAACAAAGGAATAATAACCTATGTCACAACCGTAGAAACATAGAAAAGCTATTGAAGGTCCTTTAATTTTCTGAGAATAAGTACAAGAAATAGCTCATTAGGATTTGTTAAGTCAGAGGTTCATGTTGGAATCTCCAGGGTAACACATGAAGTAATATTTGAAAAGAGTGTAATTTCTAATATACCAGAGATAAACATTAGAATTACAAACAATACTCTGTCACCTCAAAAGAAGGTCGTAAGTAACAGAAATAGAAACAGAATATTCGGAAGAAGTAAAAGAAAAACAAATGTGAAGAAAGTATATTAAACACAAAAATATCAAGTCTCACATTAAATATAAAAACTAAGATTATCAGACTAGATTTTTTAAAAATCATGTACTGCTTTAAAGAAATACCTAAATTTATAAGGATATAGAGATGGTGGAAGTGAAAGAATGGAAATCGATATATAAGAAAAACACAAGAGCATAAACCAAAAAATAAATAAATAAGTTCTGGATGTACCATAATAATATACTACACAAAGATCAAACAAAGTAGATGTTATTATGCATTATTAGAGATAAAGTTGAACATTATAATAATAATGTTTGAAATCACCAGACAGATATAACTGTTGTAAATTTTGTGTGCACCTGATAACAAGCTTCACACTACAGAAAGAGGTAATCTATAAACCTCAAAGGAAATATTTTTTTAAATCCTAACTGTACTAAGGGATTTTCATGTTTCTCTCAATATCAAATAGTCCAATCCAATAGCAATTTCAAGCACTAAGGACTTACATAGCATGATTTCAAAAGCACACTCATTGATATTCAAGCAGCACTATGCCCCCAAACTGTAGAATACACCTTGTTTTCAAGTGCACAATTGACCATGTTGAATAACAAAGCAAGCCTTGACAAATAGACAAGATTGAAATCACATAGAGTATGACACCTGATGAAAGTGCAGTTAAAGTAGAAATCAATCATTAAGAAGAAAGACAAAGAGTAGGAGGGGAAGGAGAAGGAGAAGAGAAGGGGAAAAGAAAACAGCTTGGTCTTCATTTTCCCCGCTGACTTCCCATCCTATTATCCAGAGGGAATGCTGTCAATTATTTTAGATTTGCTTATTTTTCTTTGAACCTAGAGTTTTGTTTTCTTCACATCCTCTAACAGGTCTATACAACAGCTCTCATTACAATTCTTACAGAGTCCAATGTGTCACTTCCTTGGAGAAATGACTGATTCTACTGCAGGGGCAGAGGAAATGCAAGATGAAACTGGAGCCAAGAAAAGGTGTTTTTTAAACACCAAGAAAAGAAGTGTTTAAAAAAGACAGAGAGAGAAAAAATAAAAGATCAATGCATTCAAAATGACAGAGGAGCCAACCTGAAAGAGCTTAGTTACCAAATCGTGATACTACTGGATTTTAACACAAAGAGTACAACCCATATTTGTGAAGCTATGCTGATATAAGTAAACCATAGCATAAATGATAAGTGGGGGGAAAAGGGCACATCTTTCTTATAGAAGAATATCAAACAGTAATTATGGGAGGAATGATGGAAATAGAAAGTCACCATCTCTGTGGTAAGCTGACCAAAAAACCACAAACCCAGTCTAGTCATGAGAAAACATTAGGCAAACCCAAATTGGGAGACATTCTACAAAATATCTGACCATCACTCCTCAAAAGTTTCAAGGTCACGAAAGCTAAGGAAAGACTGGGAAAGGGTCATACATGAAAGGAGACTAAGGAGATAGAAGCAACTCAAGGTAATATGGGATCTTGGATGAATCCTGGAAGAGAAACATCAGAGATTTTGCAAAATCTGGGTAAATCTTTATTTCAGGTAGTAATACTGTACCAATGCTAATTGCTTAGTGTTGATAAACAGACCATAATTTGTTATATGTTAACATTGTGGGGAAGCTGAGTAAGGGATATACGAGGACTCTAGACTTTATTTGCAACTCTATAAATCTAAAATTATTTCAAAATAAAAAAATGAAAAATAAAAATCAATAAATATAATTCTTCAAAGGTAATATTATAAATAAACATGTGATGGTTTCAGGAGAGTCATAGTAAGGGTTTGTCCGTGGAGTTTCTGATGAAGTTTCTCTTTCTCTCATAGCCTGGATTTTTGGACGGAAATTGTTCTCCATACCCAAGAGAAATCTGGGAAGAATATGCTGCAAAACTTGCACATTTAAATTTCACACATGGTATTAATACTCTGGAATTAATTTTTTGTAATTTGTTTTATATGATAATTAGTGAAAATGACATAAATATATTTATAATATAAAGTGTTATATTTTTATTATAAAATGTAAATCTATCTATATTTTGCAGATAATTAAAACATAAATGAAATAGTATCTATCTAAATTTCTCATTTGCAAATGCCAGCATTTTATGAATTTATGTATTAGGTAGTAAAATAATATATTCATTATTCTAATTGCCTATTCTTGTTATTTATATTACATATAGATTGTTCTTTTTAGATACCCAAGGAATATTTCTGTGATATCTTATATTTAGATTAATCAATTGTCTTTTTTAATCTGTTTTTGCAGTTGAAAAACTGAATGAAAATATTGTTTCCTACATAGAGAAAGATTCTTTATGGGAATAAAACTCAGATTACTTTCTTAAAGATATTGGAATAAAATCTGTTTTTATAATGATATGGGGAAACATTACATGTGTAAGTGGAGAATTTTTAAATTAATCAAAACACAGAAAAAATAAAAATTATATTTTGAGGTTTATGAAGATAAATTCATTCATTTTGAAGAGTCATGTAAAACACCACTATTTTCTCATAATTTAAAAGTACTAACTTAAAAATCTAAATATGTAGATCATGTACAAAACACTTTCAACCACTTTGACACTGTTTCAGTATTAATCACATTATTAAGAGCATATTCTTCAAATAATGGTTACACTGATGTTAGCAACATAATTTTTCTTTGGATTGTTTATATAGATTGTATGCACATTTGTATATGTAGAATCTCAAAATATTTAAAAAAAAAACCCTCAATTGTGTAAAAAACCTTTCAATAAATATAGATATTTTAATCTTGATAGCGTCAGGCCTCTGAGCCCAAGCTAAGCCATCATATCCCCTGTGACCTCCACGTATACATCCAGGTGGCCTGAAGTAACTGAAGAATCACAAAAGTGAAAATGGCCTGTTCCTGCCTTAACTGATGACATTACCTTGTGAAATTCCTTCTCCTGGCTCAGAAGCTCCCCCACTGAGCACCTTGTGACCCCCACCCCTGCCCACCAGAGAACAACCCTCTGACTGTAATTTTCCACTACCTACCCAAATCCTATAAAACGGCCCCACCCCTGTCACCTTTCGCTGACTCTCTTTTCGGACTCAGCCCGCCTGCAGGTGAAATAAACAGCCTTGTTGCTCACACAAAGCCTGTTTGGTGGTCTCTTCACACGGACGCAAGTGAAAGATAGTAAACTAGAACTAATTTTAAAAGTCAGCTAAGGAGGTCAGCGAAGTAATATCCATATTTTTTTCAAACTTGTATTAAAAGTTCAAGATGCAATATTTTGAGGGACCGTATTTTTGCTATATCTTTCAAAACACACATGTGCACACATACAGAATTAGCATATTTCAGTGACATATTTATATTTATGTTGTTTAAAGATAATGCCTGATATAAGTAATATCTTGACAATTTGGGAACCACCACCCAAGGTTTAAACTTTCAGTAAATCACAAAGTGTAGTTACAAGTTATTGCATGGAAGCTTTTAACACAGGTATTCAAATATGAGCACTAATAAAGCCACGACATTTTTTATTTCTGTATTCTCTTGCAAAGGTACTGTAAACACAGACATAAATTACAAATGCTATTTTTGGGGATTTTTCTGGTTGAAATTTCTATTAGCATCACTGTGTTTGGGATGTGATATTGACAGGCATCAACCAAGGAAGCTGTCCAGATGTGTGGCTTCTTATAAGTGCTTTGTGGGGGTCACTGATCGTTTTTGTTTTAGTTTGGTTTAACTATTTCAGAGCTGGTTAGCACGTGGCTTCTGTCTATGTGATCCCAAATCTAACATTAGATAACCTCTTTGTTGAGGACCCTTAGTAGTAATTGTTCTTGTTTTGCATGCCCAGCTAGTGTCTACATTCAGCAGGAGGTACAAGAAGAACTGAAGGCTCCTCCATTTCCACCATTCATCTCAGAGTTAGTTTCAGGAAAGCCCTTGGCCTGGACAGCTGAAGAATCAGTACGTTCCGGCCTGGACTTTGTGGACAGATCTGCCTTGCAGACAGAGCTCAACAGACCCCCAAAGGGCTGTGCCTGAGAAATGTTTGTAATAAGACCAGCTCGTACCCTGCCCACTTTTTAGCATAGCCTGTTTCCCAGACTCCCCCGTTGTGCCCCAGGAAATGCATTGCCCCTTCCTTAGGTCCTAACTTTTTAAGCACAGAGACCAGGGACACGGTGTCATCTGAGGTACTCTCTGCTTCTTCAGCCCATTCCTTCCGCTTGCTGTACACTGAGGTTTTGAGTGCCAGAGCTTTTAATACTAAATTCACCAACTTTTATAATCTATACCTTATTATAAGGTATTAATAACATAATATCCTCACCTTAAGGATGATAAAGTGTGAGATATGGCAAAGTTTCTCTTCAAACAGCCTGATCAGTCCTTCACTCTTTAATTTGAAGTACCTCTCCCCTTGTCTTTCCCCTTCCTTCCTCCCTCCCTCCCTCCCTCTCCCTCTCTCTTTTTCTCTTCTCTTCTCTTCTCTTCTCTTCTCTTCTCTTCTCTTCTCTTCTCTTCTCTTCTCTTCTCTTCTCTTCTCTTCTCTTCTCTTCTCTCTGCTATTACTACATGGCCAGGCATGCCACAGCACCAGTGTTGTTATCAGCATAGGCTCACATTCCTTTCCTTATTGGGGAAAAGACTGACTCTGTAGCTTGCCACAGACAACCCCTTCCCCCTCTCCCTTCTCTCCCTTATGTGCCCACCTTATCTAAAAAAAAAAAAGTTTAAATATTTAGACAATCGGGTCTAGCTTAGATCATGAGGTCCAACCCCAGCCAATGGGGAAAGGGCACAGGGGCAGAATTTGCGTCAGGAATAAAAACTTTCACTCTCTTTGTTCTGAGTGTCTCCTGGTGTCATCAGTCTCCTGGTGACTGGCCATATGGGACGCACCCCTCTGCGCAGAAGGAAATTTGCTTTGCTGAGAAACCCTTTGTCTGAGTGTTCATTTTCCTTATGACTCCAAGCTCTATTTCTAACATAGAGTTTATGACAAATTCCTCATGCACATTTACTGCAAATGTTAATCCATTTTAAATGCAGTCAATACAGGGAAGAATAATTGTCTTTAAGTGTTTTTATTGTGCATATCAATGACAAAGGTCAGTAGCAAAAATTAGTTTTACATAAATTTTTCTATTTTTTACTAGTGATGGTTTTAAGTCTAAAAACAATTTTACTCTTCTCCCTAAAGGACTCTAATCCAAGTAGACAATGATTTCTACACCCTGTCAGTAAACACAATTTTTAAAAAGTTTTGTAAGAAAATATGTCAGTCTGAAAGAGATACCTGTAAGGAGAAATATTTAGTATACATAATTTAAAATGGAGCAGCTAAAATAAGTTTTTATAGAGATATTGTATATTGCTTGTTTAACTTTTTATTAGGTATAGCATTTTTGTATTTCTAACATTAATAAAACAAATGTTAATAACATTATCATCACATACAAAGAATTATTACCGTCATTTTTAAGATAGTTTTAAATAATATTTTTATATGCTACTATCCCTGGATTATAAGACCATAACTTAATTTAATGTAATTTTGTTCAGCTGTATAACCCTGGACAGCTACCCAACTTCTCTTTTCCTTAGTTTTGCTATCTGGAGAAGGAAGATAGAGAAGGAAGACAGGAGGGCCTGCATCAAAAGACTGCAGTTAGAAAAAAAAAAAAAGTAACATAGAAAGCACCAAGAAAAGCATCTGACACACAATGAGCCTCAAAGAATTGTCCATCATCATCACTATCGTTTATGCTATAAAAGCCCATTTATCTTCTATTAAAGAAAGAAACAATTATTCTGACTCTTGTTAAGTCAGGAAGGCCGGGCATGGTGGCTCATGCCTGTAATCACAGCACTTTGGGAGGCTCAGGCAGGCAGATCACCTGAGATCAGGAGTTCAGCACCAGCCTGACCAACATGGTGAAACCCTGTCTCTACTAAAAATACAAAAATTAGCCCGGCCTGGTGGCAGGCACCTGTAATCCCAGCAACTCAGGAGGCTGAGGCAGAAGAATCACTTGAGCCTAGCAGGTGGAGGTTGCAGCGAGCTGAGATCACACCACTGCCCTCCAGCCTGGGCAACAGAGCGAGACTCTGTCTCAAAAAAAAAAAAAAAAAGATAGCAAGACTTTCCTCAGAACCACAGAGATGAGCATAGGGATTTCCTCAAATACAAAAGGAAACATTGGGATATACAGCCAAGGAGCAGGATAGGGGTCATGGGACAGAAAATGACCAAGAGGAAAATCAGGGGTGAGTAGGATTCTGGCTAAACAAATCTGAAAGGATTCTTGCTGCAGGCAGGCCAGGGTGATCAGACACAATTTGGGGGATGAGGAATTTGACCCAATATCCAGGGCAATGTAGTTATCATAGGTGTGGATACTTCATAAAGTGACTTAGCAGGATCTTTTAAACCTGGGTGATGCGGGCCTGACAAGGACAGACACTGGAGGCCGACATAAGTTTTTCTTTTAACTCATGAAAAGCTCATTGCTGTTGGTTGTAATAGATGTAGTTTACCCAATCTACATTTTTATTAACTGTCACCCCCAAAATATTGACTCAAATCCTGAAGCTATTTGATTTCGGGCTTTAAATTGATCTGGTTTTCCCCGTGGGACTCCAGTTGCATCTCAATAGACACGAGCGTCAAAAGACCCATAAGGGGCTTCTCTCACTTTACAGTGTCTTATTTTTCCTCCTTCTGGCTGATGAAATGCCAGGGTGAAAGGGATAGCCAAATGGACTAAAGCACAAGTGCCACTCCAGTTATTCAGCAGCGTGCCCAGTAAAGGCCCAATCACAATACCACCACACATCTGCTCAGGGATGAACAAGGGCTGACTGATTGATAATCTCTTGAAAATTCTTAAGCTCACTGTATCCCTTCAGGTCTCCAAGAAACACTAAGTTTTCTCCCTGTCATGAGAGACACGAAGTGAACTTAGAAGCTGGATGGCCCTCAGGGGCTGACCCACAGGGTGCCAGACTTCAGGATATAGCAGAGAGAGCTTGGCATGACCTATTACTCCAGGCTGTAGAATCCTGGAAAAGAGCTATCATGCAGCCCACACCTGGTCAACTGGAGGACCACTCTAGTGGAAAGGGGACAATTTGGGCCTCTGGCCTGCCATGTGCACAAGCATAACAATTGCTTTTGTTTAACATGTGGACAAATATTTGATCTATTCCAACCAGGCATTTGCATCTTGCTATCCTGTCTTAATTGCCAAAGTTTGTTTTACCTCTTTAACTTCTATGATCCTCTAGTTAAATGAATGTATGGTTTTAGGAAATTACAAAAACCAGTTGGGGCAGTCCATCCTTGCTCTTTAGTGGTCCACAGAACATTGGACCAACTATGACATAAAAGCTCTACATCGTGGGGCAAGGCTCCTGGTTGACTCTGGGGTCTTTATCGAATCTCCCCGGATTAAATGGTTCCAATTTACTAATGCCCAGTCTGAGGAGAGTCAGGAGGGACAGAGGTACTTTTCTGAAGTAGATAGCTGTCTTTGACTTGGTGAGTCCCCACAGGGTATAACAAGGCAAGCATTAAATGCAATACTTTGAGGCGAAATTGACTTGGTTATGTTAATAACTAGATATTCAGCAGTAGAGTGAGGAAAGAAGAAAAAGTAATAGAATAGATGAAAGAGTTAAATTTTTCTTAGCTTTAGTTTGGTAGGGTTTTCCCCTGGGACTGTGGCCCACGACTCTGGAGGGCGTGGCGCTTTGACTCAGGTGTGATGATTCCATCCCTTTTTCGCTGTACGAACAGCAGTCTTGGTAGTTAGCAGCACAAGGTAGGGTCCTTCCCAGGCTGGCTCCAGTTTTTTTCTTTCCATCCTTTGATTAGAAAGTGATCTTCAGGTGGCTGGGCGCAGTGGCTCACGCCTGTAATCCCAGCACTTTGGGAGGCCAAGACGGGCGGATCACGAGGTCAGGAGATCAAGACCATCCTGGCTAACATGGTGAAACCCCGTCTCCACTAAAAACACAAGAAATTAGCCGGGCGTAGTGCCCGGCGCCTGTAGTCCCAGCTACCTGGAAGGCTGAAGCAGGAGAATGGCCTGAACCAGGGAGGCGGAGCTTGCAGTAAGCCAAGATCGCACCACTGCACTCCAGCCTGGACAATAGAGGGAGACTCCATCTGAAAAAAAAAAGAAAGTGATCTTCAGTCTAGTGCTTACATTACTAATTGTCTCTTGGTGGAATTCTTTCTCCCAAACTAGACAAGAACTGAGGATTCCTGAACTTCCAGGTAACAAAGGCAGAGTCTTTGTCACTCCTTGGTCAAAACTGGGCTTCCTAACGTAGCACCTATATTCCTTTCTGGAGGCTGCTGAAACAAATTGCCAGAAATGGGGCAGCTTAAAAAGGAGAAATTTATTCTTTCACACTTTCAGAAGCTGGAAGACTGACACCAAGGTGTCAAGAGGGCTACATGGCCTCCGAGGGTTCTAGGGAAGAACTTTTCTTGCCTTTTCTGGTGTACAGAGGCCGCCAACACTTCCAGGGTTTTCCTGAGTGTTGGTCGCATCACTGTGGTCACTCCCTTCCTCTTCACGTCAACTTCTCTGCTCTGCGTCCCTCTACTGTGTGTGTCTCTCGTGAGGATGTGTGCCATTGAATTTAGAGCCAACTCAGATAACTCCCTATTGCATATTTCCAAATTCAGTGCAGAACTGAATTTTAAATGCTGTGTTTCATTTTTTTCCAGTTTGCAAGGCTTCCTTTTTGTTATAAAATGAGTTAATAAAACTTATTAAATTAACCCAATTACGCCAAATACTCTAAACATATTTAAAGTAAATGCACAGCATTCAAAGATAACAAATATTTGAACATAAGTTGTTTGCAGAAGCCTAAGTGATATATTTAAAACTTTTTTCTGCGTCATTTACTCCTAATAAGAGTTTGGAGCTAAGAAATCCAGAGCTTTTAAAAGGTCCACTTCCAACCTCTCCCATGTTCATCTAATTGTAAACTATTTTAGGTTACTTTTGTTTCAGAGACAGATATTTAATGTTGTAAGAAATGGCAATCATGATCCAAATGGAAATATACTTAAATCACCTTAATTGAGTTGAAACATCCAGCTACTGGGAATTTTCATGTGGAATTTTCCCAGGTAAAGAAGCACAAATTGTTCAAGTGCTTGAAATTACTTTTGTACTTTCCCTCATTCATGAAGTTTTTGTATCCTTTTTTCCCTAGTTTTTTTTTGTTTGTTTTATCATTTTCCCTTTCTTTCAAACTAACTATAGTCGGAACATAATTCCTTATTTTAGTTGGAACAATAAGAGAATTCATGTAAGCGCATCATGGGAAATCTCTTATCTTGAGAAATAGTTTACACCACCTGCCTTTTGCAATCAGATGCATTTCCCGCGTTTCTGACTGAGCTCCATAAACTCATCTGTAAATCCGGCTAAGGACATTCCATTTCAAGCATTACCTGAGTGTAAATAGTGAGCAGGGATTTCTTTGTAATCTACAATGAGTATGCAACAGAATGCAGATTTCAACCTCATTTTTTCTTTATTCTGACTTGAGGGATAGATTGAGTATCTGCTATGTTCTGTGCTATTCATTTAAAAATTAAATATTTCTAAGTTGAATTAAAATATAAACAACCCAGGACATACACTGCTTATGAGACATATGCCTTAAGCAAGATAGAACCAGAGTAAACAGCTAATCTACACAAGGCGAATATCAATTTTTAAAAAATGAATGGATGACAATATTTATATCAGAAGAACACGTGGTTTAATATGTCAAATAGGGTTATATTTTATTAATAATGTATACAATCACAAAGATGAAAATGGCAAAAGCATATTTTTGTGATAAAAACATCAACCTATAAAAAATGAAGTCTGGGGGAAATAGATAAAAGAATATTCAAAATCAATATCCTCATGTAAAATATTAGTATAATTACTTCAGTTAATGGCTGATAAAATAGGAACATTAAAGAGAGATGTGGTTCTTAAATTATTAAGTAACGGGCTCTAACAACATGAAAGAGACCTCTCTCCAATGTGCAATTCTTGCACATTGCTTTATGGGATTCAGGTACCACCTAAGGCTCTAGTTTTGGAAATTCCAGTGAATTAGCTATAAATAATATATACTTAAATTTTTGAAAAAAAACATATTAATGTCAAATTTTACATTTTAACCTATTTTTCTCATAGAAATCTTATCACTTATTTCAATTTATATTTATTTTTAAGTATCTACTTTTGTAAGCTTCTTGAAAACAGGTGTTATGTCTATTTAACTCATAATAGTATAAAAACTATTATGTGGTATCTATCAATTCTTATTTGATTTTTTTTTGTATTAATCTAGGACTTTGTACAAAAAAAGTCATAGAAATAAGGACTAATGCTGCAGAGTATCCATGGCATCTAGATGACGGTCTCAAAATGCCATCTCACTGAAAGTCGCTAGGGCTCTGTAGAGCAAGGTTAGAGTGCAGTCTGGTCAGTAAAGGTACACAATAAGCCTAATGGTCTCCTCACAAAAAGCAAGGAAGCTACCGCTGATCGCCAAAAGGACACATTTGACAGATTTGCTTAAATACATTAACTTATAACGACACAAAATACACACACACACACAAACACACACACACACACACACAAACTAATCCCACAAATATTCATGCACACTCACACCCCTAATTTTTCCCATATGGATGATATTTACTAATTAACTTGTTATCTAAGTAAATTTGAAAAAAAGTAGCATTTCTCTTTATTTTCTTGTTCACATTTTATCCCAGGCAACCATAACATCGATGAAGATATGTGGGTAAGCAAATAGTTGATGAGGAAATGTGTCTTCTATAGAATATTTTATTTTATAAATAAAAAAGGAATGAAAGAATTAGAACAGACCCATTTGCAACTCCTATTGAGCTAATGGTTTAGTCAGTGGTCATCAATAGCTGCTTACACACACATAAAGGGAGACGAGCATTTACCAACTGGCTCCTTTAGAAAGGCAGAGAATGCCAACTATGACACATTCCTGTGAAAATATCAAACCTGAGTCTGATTAAGATCCTGGATACAATCACAAATTTCTAATTACAGGGATCAGAGGAACATGTGAAGTGGCCCCACAGTGATGCAGTCAGCAAAGTCCAGGCTGTGGGGAAAAAAAAAAAAAAAAAGGTACAGGACCATAAGATTTAAGTCCTTCAATGAATAATTTGAAAAGTTATTAATATACACCATATAAAAGATTTAAAAGACACACCAACTAATTTCAATATGTACTCTGTAATCTGATAGATTCTTGATTTGAACAAATAAGCTATAAAAACAAATTGAAATAAAGAAAAATGAACACAATGTTACAATATTAAACATTAATTTTTAGGTGGGATACAAATATTTTACTAAAGTTTAAAAATGATCATGTTTTGAGATATATTTTGAAATATTTCCAGATAAAACAATATGGCATTTCGTTCAAAATAATTCAAAGGGAGTGAGGAATTTTGTAGGAATAGAGTTGAAGTAAGATTGTTCATGATTTGTAAATGTTATAAAATCATGGCAATTAAATAGGGCAAATAGCAGTTTATTATGTTATTTCTCAACCTTTATAAATGCTTAATATAGTCCTTTATTAAAATGTTTTTAAAATGTACCTCGAACTAAATGACATTTTTGAAATAATTTGAGTAAAGAATTTTAATAAATGTTTACATTATTCAACTAATTTTTTACAGTTTATTTGCCCACAGATAGACTTTATTTTTGGTGAGTCACATTTATCAAGTCTTTCTGAATTATTTAAATTAGTCATCACAAATTCTTAACTCTTTATTTGCCCATTATTTTTCAGCAATTTAATTTAACTGTTTAATTATCACAAAAAGTATAAGTGATATAACTATAAGAAATAAACACAGCTGACTTTTAGTAAGTAAACAGCTCAGTTGCTAGAAAATATGTTGGAAATTTATAAGATGTCCTATTAGGCATTCACTTGCTGGGCATTAGCAGTATGATTTCTCAAGAAAGTAAAGATTATTAATCTGGTAAATCGATTAAGCACAAATTGCTCCTACTTCTTCGCAATACATCCACAAAAATCACCTGATGTCTTTCTGCAAATAAGGCTTTACATGAAATTATAGGGCCGTTGATACCTAAAGAGTTCAATTGTCATTTTCAAATCTTCCTTTTATTTTCATCAATAAGAAAATAACATAAAAGGCCACTTATTATGTTTGGGGAGCACATCTAATGGTCTTATCCTTGATTCTTTACTTTTTTCTATGTCAAAATCCACAGCTAGGCTGGGCATGGTTGCTAGCACCCATAATCTCAGCACTTTGGAAAGCTGAAGTGGGAAAATTCCTTGAGCCCACGGTTTGAGACCAGCCTGGGCATAGTGAGACCCCATCTGTACAAAAGGATAAAAACGTTAACCAGGTGTGGTGGTGTGCTCCTGTGGTCTTAGCTACTTAGGAGGCTAAGGTGGGAGAATCGCTTGAGCCCAGGAGATCAAGGCTGCAGTGAGCCGAGATCACACCACTGCACTCCAGCCTGGCTGAAAGAGCAAGACCCTGTCTCAAAACATAAACAAAAACAAAAATCCACAGCTAGATTATCAGTTAATCAATTATAATCCAATTTATTACTCTTCTTGGCCCAGCAGTTGATGTGAAATGAACTAGTTAAGGACTGTTTCTAAAACAAACAAAAAGTAATTATAGGGAGATCAGGGCAGGATCTCTACAATAAGCTTGAAAAGTGATAGTTTTACAGCCCCATGGAACATACATACTGGAAATGCAGCTTTAGACTTATTCGACATGAAAGACAGCAGGAAAGATCAAACCCCATTCCAAAACCAGACTTAACAAAACTATCTCCCAGCTATGTGTACTGGCTTCTTGCTGATGTCACCTGCTGAGCAAGTAGCCAACTGGCAAAATAAATCTGCTGAGTATGTGATTAGGCGAGCACACAGACGCCAGAAGAGAGGGGTTGGAAACTTGCTAAAGGAAAAAAGGGAAGTAGAAAAGACCCATATCATTCCCCAAGCGCCATGAGTATTGGAGGTATGTTCTTCTTTTGGAGAACAATGTTAGGAGGAATTGACTTTTAGAGTCCATGTGCTAAGGATGAGTTTCTATAGAAACCCTTGGACTCTTCACCTTTGAATGCCCTATAAAAATGATACATACCTATCATTAACTTATTGTGATTGTTCCATTACTCACAGTCAAATGCATTTTTATCATCTGTATAAATTGAATCCTCAATAATATTAAATAAATTATGGAACTGTAATATTCTGGGAAATATTACATTTGATCCATAAAACCTGCCTATGGAAATGTCAATATAATTTTAATTGTTACAAACTAGTATATTTTATATCAAAAAAGAATGACAGGATATAGTAGTATTTAAATAATTACAAAATAAAAGCATTTGCCTGAAGCAGCTGTTAAAAATAATAAGCTGAATACAAAATTAGCTCATGTTATATAATTTATGGAAAAACTGTGTTGTAGAATATAGATTTCATGGTTATATATCTTTGTAATTATCTGTTCTTGAATATCTGATTATTATAGCATAGTGTACCATATTTTATCAAATTATATGAATTTGAAATGTCACGCTATTACACCAACAAAGCTGCTAATAATGGTTAACTCTGAGTAGATGGATTAGCGCAGTGAGGGTATATTCATTATTTTGACTGCATTTGCATCCAAATTGTTGATTATTTTTCAACAAAGATGCATTATTAACTTGATGTTTAAAAATGAGAAAGAAAAACTTATAATCATTCCACCTCATTATGAAATAAATGTCCATTATTTTTTAAATTTAGTATTTTCATGCCTACTACTTAGCAAAAAATATAAAAGTATATTACTGCTGCATGTAAATTTTTCGTAAAAAATCAAATTTTCAGCCATAACTATTTCTTTCAGAAAGCCACTTGCCAATAAATATGTTTCAGTGCATTTTCAAGGAATTTTATTCTAAAGAATATTTCTTAAGAAAATAATATACTTAAAATATCTATATTTTTCAATCATATTTATATATTTATAATTAAAATACTAATTGCAACATGCAAGTACAAAATTGATACAATTAAAAACAAATCATGTATCTTTGTGAGGTAGTGGTTATGATAAGAAATTAAATTTACAAACCAGATGAATTGCTTTTCATACGAAAATGATGACTATGTGGAACCAAAGCTAGCACAGAATGAGCTCTTCATAAGTGTCATGTACTTCTCCAGGAAATGTTAATTTTGCTTATTTCATAGAGGAGAAGTCTTGAGTTTAGAGAGTTCTACTTGCCTGCCCAAGGCCGCAGAGGTAATCAGGAACAGAGTTTGTATTTTAGACCCATTCTACTGACTTCAAAATATTTTTAAAATATATTTATGATAAAGTAGAGGAATAAATAATTTGCAAAACCAGCAACTGAAAAAACTAATTTAATCTTCGCCTGTTTGAGCTAGTTACCTTAGGTTAGACTATAACAAAATACCATAGTCTGGGTAGTTTAAACAACAGACATTTATTTTGTACAGTTGTGGAGACTGAGAAACTCAAGATCAAGGTGCTGGCCCTTTAGGTCCTGGCGAGGACTCTCTGTCTGGCTTGCAGATGGCTGCCTTCTCCAGTATCCTACAAGGGAGAGGGAAAGGAAATTCTGGTGTCTCTTTCTCTCCTTATAAGGGCTCTGATGACATCATGGGGATCCCAACCTCAGGACCTCATCTAAAGCTAATTACCTGCCCACCTCTTAATGCCATTACCCTGTGGGTTAAGGCTTCAACATGTAAATTTTGGGAGGACAGAAACATTTGATTCATAAAACCTGCCTATCTAAATGTCAACATAATTTTAATTGGTGCAAACCAGCATATTTTATATCAAAAAAGAATGACAGAATATAGTGGTATTCAAATAATTACAAAATAAAAGCATTCACCTGAGTCTATTCTTATCATACACTTCTATTGAACTCTGAATTTTGAAATTAATCATGGAATCATGGAACAAATCCAGGGCATATGAAGCATCTCATTTCCGTGTGCAGTTCCACCGGATTCCATGTTCTCTGCACAGAGTTCCCACAACCAAGCCACTGGCACACACACTAGAGTACCAGGGACTTCCACCCAAGTGCAGATGTGAAATCGTGTCATTAAATGTTAAATATGTACCTAAAATTGTATAGTTTGCATGATAGAGTGTAAAGGGAATATATCCTTGGGTTTCATATACAATCAAATTTGGAAACTTGCTTTTTTGAACATTTCCACGTGAGGTATGATCACTTATATCTTGCAATGCACCCACCCAAAATCACTGGATGAGAATTTTTTTTTCCTGGTTTTGCAAAGTCTTTAGCTAAGAAAATGTGGCCTTTAATTAATCTCGGATAAGTGTATCAATAGAGCATTGCTCTTTTTGCTCTACTCACTAAGGAATCCAAATACAATTCTGCCTGATGATAGAAACTTTCTTTAGCTTTTGTTTTATAGTTAATTATTTCAAGATCTCTCCTTTATTACTTGGCTTTTTCCATTTTATTATTGGGCTTATTGTTTTTAAAATTATATTAACTATTTGTTGTATCTCAAATCATCTTGGTTCATTTGGGAAGTCTATATGGTATGTTTTAAAATTATATTTATTTATATATTTATTTTTCAGAGATGGGGTCTCTCAATGTTGCCCAGGCTGAACTCCTGAACTCAAGTGCTCCTCCTGCCTCAGCCCCCTGAGTAGCTGATACTACAGGTGTGTGCCACAGCATCTGGCTATTTTCTGAGCATCATTAAGTAGCTAGCGAAGTAACTTACAACTACTAGGCTTTAAAAGGTACCTTGTTTCATTATTTTGGAAGACAGAACATGTGCTATTACTGAATATCATCTTAAAGAGTATTCAGATTTCAAACAGCATATTAAGTATCAAGATTTTGATGATTAAAAGATACCTGCTTATGACCAATTGGCTGAATTTGAATGGACAGCCATCCTCTTTTAAAACACTTTAAATAAACACAGAGGCTCCTCCTGCCCTTGCTTTCTGTGCTGATTGATCTAGAAGGGGCCATCTCCATACTCGTGTTGCCTCATGTCTATGTATAAACTGCAGTGCCACACTTATTTACACAAACCTTGCCACCTGAAGAGAGTAATTTAAAAAGTAAAAGAATTTGCTTATAAATACTGAGTTACTGCCGCGCAGTGGCTCACATCTGTAATCCCAGCACTTTGGGAGGCCGAGGTGGGCAGATCACCTGAGGTCGGGAGTTCGAGACCAGCCTGACCAACATGGTGAATCGCTGTTTCTACTAAAAATACAAAAATTAGCCATGCATGGTGGCACATGCCTGTAATCCGAGCTACTCAGGAGGCTGAGGCAGAAGAATCGCTTGAACCGGGAGGCAGAGGTTGCAGTGAGCCGAGATCACATCACTGGACTCCAGCCTGGGCAACAAGAGTGAAAGTCCGTCTCAAAAAAAAAATAAATAAAATAAGTACTGGGTTACCTATTACCTTCTAAGACTCAGTTCCTGGAGGCAAGGGCGTCTATGAAACGTGCACAGCAATGTGCAGATGTATACTGCAGGTTGTGCTGTCAGGCAATCTACAATCTACAGAGTTCGACCCTGCTGCTCACTCTTTGTAAGTTAACTTCTAAAATCTAACTTTCTTCTCATTTGCATTAAAAAGAAGGATAATACAACACAGGACTGTTGTGAGGACTTGATTTTGCATTACATGTAGGAATTAGTCTAGAGAAGGCTTTTTACACGGTGGCAGCTGAATAAATGTTATTTCCCTGCATTATTTTTTTAAATTTCATTTTTAGTGTGATTTTAATAGTGTATGTTGCACATGCATGTGTTGCTTAACTGTGGATTTGTATTGTACTATAACATGAACCTTTTATTTAATTTTTTTGAAGATCAAACATTCTCTAAGGTTTAGTAACGGAAAAACAAATTATGTATAACTGAGCAGTTGAGTGTCCATCTAAAGTGAAGGAAAACCTTCCTAAAGGGACATCACACTTTTGGGATAGGAAAGAAGCCTGTGTGTAGAGAATGAGGAGTAAGCGCTGGTGACTGGCATTGTCCTGGACATGTTCTGAGAGGGATTTTATCAGAACAGAGGGCCAAAGGTGAGTAGATCCACCTAGAGCAAGCTGACCAAGATGGTGCAGTAATACCTGGGAGCATGACTGAAGCAAAGTGCCTGCCATCCAGGTAATCACAACACAATTCTGAACCTCACACCATCTGCACTGGGAAAGCTTGCTGACTGCATGTCAATTACCTGAGAGGAGCAATCCCCTGTGCAGGATCTGTTACCTGCCATTTGATGGCCATGCTCAAAATTCCCCAAGACAATAAGCCAATGTGCCCCATGTCCAGGGCATTTTGGAGAAAGGGTGCCCACTTATTGTTGGGTTAAATTAAGCATGAAAAGAACTTTTTCAACCAGAATAAGAAGATACTACAAGATTAAAACCAACCCATCAAATGGCTATCAGTCATATTCAAGGATAATATTAATACCAACCATTTCATAGATATTTGTGCATTGTAAGAAGTTACTGCAATCACATTTATTTTCCTGCAAATATAAATGTATGCTTGACTCTGTTTTCAAGATACTCTTTAATGAAGTCATTGTTTTACTTATGTAAGATGACAAATATCATTTTACATAGTGAGCTAACCTTTTATTATGCAAATTATAAAAAGATAAGTAATAAAAATAATATCCTATATGTGATACAAGGCTTTTCTATTTCCTTTCTGTTCCTGTGCACCTGCCATAATGGCATTCTTTTGTTGCCTCTGCCTAAGATGTATATATATTTATACACAAACACACACACACATATACACACACATATACACATATACTAACTCTGCATCCTTTGTTGCTATGGCTTTGCTTTTCTTCCAACATGATAACTTACAATAAAATTCTGCTATCTCAGCAGGAAGATTTTACTTCTATGGCTCTTGGGGGCTTAATAGATTGCAAATTATTTATCCTGTAATTCCTTCAGAAGATATTATTACCTTTAATTTTGTTTAAAAATTCACAAATAATCTATATTGATTTTAAGACACATAGGGTCACTGAAAGTTTGAAAGTATGATTCAATATAAATTTTTTTTGGTAATTTTAAACTGGTCTGCAACTATTTTGTTGAACAGTTTTATAACTGTCCACTTCTTATAACCTAATATGGTGTGTTTCCAGGGAAGAGTAAACAACCATTACCTTCTCATCTGTTTCAATTTTCTCTTCTTGTCAGTTACCTCTTTCCTTGGCTAACCATGGAAACTCATAAACATCAAAGTTGGTTCATTTGTATTCCTGTTTCCAAACATCAAATAAAGCCATCCATAAATTAATTTTATGAGCAATTAAGTTCTTCCAAGTCAATACTTTCTAAATTGATTTCTCTTTTACAATCAAGACACAGTTTAGCTTCATTTTATAACATTAGGCACAGCTCTCAGATAGTTTTCCATTTTAATTTTGGTGTCTACTTACTTTTTTTTTTTAAGTAAAAATAAAATTTGGCAAGAGAGAGAGTGAAAGAGAGGAAGAATACTTGAAAAAGGTTGGTGAAGGGGAGGGCTGATGCCATCACCTGAAGAACTAAGTGGTGAAGGCAAAGGGGTACCTGCAGGAGGGACACTGTGGGGGTGGCCTCCAGAGCTGACACTTAGCGGGCACAGGGAGGGGATTCAAATCAGCCAGCAGCCCGGGACAGACACAGGACATTCAGCATGTGTTATGGATGTCAGGAGATGTGGTTTGGGATAAATATTTGGCTTCTCCAAAGTCTTCGTATGGTCACCTGGAAGAAATTTTCACAGAACATTGACAACTTTGATTCTAAGAGTGTTTGAAACAATGCTAGAAAAAAATAAAAAAAGGAAAGTGGGGAGGTTCCCCCAAATTGTATGCCTGTTCCAAAGAAAAATAAACAGTGTTGGTCCAAGGAGAAATAGAAGTCAAATATTACTTCAAATGGTTGCTACGGAGATTAAATAAAATGAGATGATAAAAGGATTAGCACAGTGCCTGTTTATAATAAGCTGCCAATGTTTACAGATCATATGCTTATGACTGTGATTATCGTTACTATCTGTATCAAGGTTTGTAATTGCAGTAGCCTTTTCTTTACTTATACTTCCATTCTTGTTTCATTTTATCTATGTTCTTTACTTCTCTCTTTTTTAGGAAATTACTGCTGGCTAAAACTTTTTGCCTGATCCCCATGGGGGAAAGGTATGGTGCAGATTCAAGAAATCGCTCAGCTGTTGGAACTCTGACTACACTGCAAGAAAGAGTCCCCCAAGCTTATCGACTAAAATCAGGCAAAGCCAGCGTACATTAAAAGCTTTAGATCAATTTGTTGAAAGGAAGGCTGAATCCATTATCAAAACACCATTGCAATAGCATAGTATAACGGTGACAAAGGAAAAAATCAGTTACATGGGGAAAACGAGTACCGAAGTGTGAGTCCACACGTGTCATTGAAGAGGTTAGTATTAGGTTGGTGCAAAAGTAATTGCAGTTTTTGCCATTAAAAATAATGGAAAAACTGCAATTACTTTTGCACCAACCTGAAATGAAAAAATGAAACAGAATGGAAGTATAGCTATAGCATGAGAAAGAGCTTGTGAAAGCCAGGAGCCAGGAAATAAGATGCATCCCTTCTCTGGAAATCACTCTTTTGTACACACTATGGCATATTTAGCATGAAGCAGAAAACACCTATTGTTGGTTTGGGCTGCTATACCAAAATAACTTAGACTGGGTAATTTATAAACCACAGAATTTCACTGCCCACAGTTTTAGGGACTAGAAAGTCCATGATCAAGTTGCCAATAGATTCAGTGTCTGGTGAGGGCCCCTTCTTTCTGGATGGCATTTTTTATGTGTCCTCACATGGCAGAAGGGCAGAAAGGAGCCAAGAGCTCTCTTATGCCTCTTTGGGTACTCATCCCATGCATGAAGCTCTATCCTCATGGACTAATCCCCTTTCAAAGGCCCCGCTTTCTAATAGCATCATCTTTGTGATTAGGTTTCAATACATGAGACTTGGAGAGACACAAACACTCAGACTACAGCACACCCATTTTTCTCATGCTCTTCATTCTGGATAGGGCAAAGCCATGGGCTGCCTGGGTCCACCCACTGCAACAGCACTATCTCACTTGGGAAGCCCTAGCCACCTGTGGGTAGTGACATTTTGACAGTCATGAGTCTGAAAAAGGATATGTTATAAATGTAAAGCACACTCCATATTTTGAAGACTTGGCACACAGAAAAAAAATGTAAAGTATCTCATTAACAATTTTTAATATTATTTATGTTGAAATGATATTTTGGATGTTTTGTGCTGAATAAAATATATTAAAATTAATTTTATCTGTTTCACTTCACTTATTTAAATATGCCTACCAGAAAATACAGAATTGTGTCGATGGTTAGCATTATATTTCTTTTATGTAGAACTGCTCCAGGGATCTTGCTCTACTCTCCTAGTTCTAACTATAATATTTCAAAGTACTGGGCTTGGCTGTCATGTCATTAGGAGTGCAGTATTTCTCTCAATGCATCCATGTTCAGATGCTCTGTCAAGGTAGTTATTATATTAAGGTGTGGTCTTCAGGGCAGGATGTGAGTGAATCTGGGAAACTGACACAAAGGAAGAAAACATATAATTAAAGTTAAACAGGTCATGAAGTTTCCATTATAAAGTTGTCATCATTAGCCCAGGTACACATTCTCCGCCAATTTAAATTTATTTCTTAAATTTAATTGTCAAAGCACTGTTACGAGCTTGACACTACTAGCTTTGTTTTACAGATAATAAAACTTACACTTCCAGAAGTCCAGTAACTAGCCCGAAGTCACAATTTAGGCAGTGGAGCTAGAATTTCAATAGAGTTCTATGCTGAACTCAGTGCCACAGTCTCTACGAGCAAGCGCCTACTGCACCCAGCTCCAATACAAAAGCATCGTACCCAGGAAGTGAATAGTCTAAAAATTTCTTCTCAAAGGAATTATGTAAGGACTGAATAGGTCTCCAAATCCATTTGTGTCTTTATTTGGATTTCAAACTATCTCCTAATACTAAATTTGTTCAGGATGTACTATTAAATGAAAGGATCAAGAATCTCTGAATAACTTCTAGTCTTAAAGAAAAAATGTATACACATTCCAGCGAATTAAATATTCTACTGGAATTAATTCAAGTAAAACTCAATACCTAACCTTGTTTTGAATGTTTTAATTTGAACAGTTGTAAACAAGTTGTGATTAATATACTCCTTCAGCCTATGTTAAGCGATTTGTGCTTAAGTAATAAGGAAAACAAAGATGATTAAGAACTAGTTTTTGTTCTTTTAGACTAAATAGCTTGTAGAAGAGGGAGGGAATGCAAGAAATTAATGTGATGAATTTTTGTAAATGCCATCATAAATGTACAAGACAGAAAAGTGACAAAGTTAAAATATTAACATGGATTGGAGGAGAACAGAAAATGCTTAATGGAAGACTGTATGTAACAAGACAGAGAGGTGAAACAGCAATGCACAATCTGGAAACCTTAGATCCTGGCAATACCTTTTTTGCTCCCAATAACATCCAACAGGGGAGGTCAGGCTGGTATTGAGTAACAACCTTGAGGAAGCGTGGAATGTTTCTAACCATAACTGTGGGGTTGGAAGATGAAAATAGCATTGAGGAGACACACAGTGAATTAATGGATCGCTGAACATCTTAGAGTCTCTAATTATCTTGGTCATGGGCTTTTCTTTGCTCACACTCAGCTGCTAAATCGTAACAGCAAGAAAGGCAGATGGGTGATCAATACTGTAGTGTCAACTTATACTATCAGAGCAAGATACAGTTAAGGAGGCCAGGTGTTTTAAGAGTTTTAGCAAAAGAGTGGATAAATTGGCATTCTGAGGGATTAAACTTCTTAAGGAATAAAGCTAAGAAAAGGTTGAAGAAACAGACAATGGGAGTGGCCAAGAGCCTGAGAATAGTATGTCTTGACTGTCCAAGTAGAAGAGTATATCCCGACTGGCCAAGTACAATGGGTTAAGTGAGGGATAGAGGTGAAGATAGATTAAAAAATAGGTTGCTAGAATTCATGCTTTATTAGTTTATTGATTTTTAAAAATTTGTATCCCTAAATATCCGTAAAATGGCATTGCTTAAGCAGTATAATACTTCAAATTGAAAGACTACACAGCTAATATTTTCTGTAAATTTATCCGGGGAAAATAACTTAAAAATACAAATAATAATGATCCGGCATTGAAATTTACCTCTGCAGAGACTATAAAAAGGCAATATACTATTAGATGACAACAATGAAATATCAAAGGTCATATATTCTTAAGGATATTGTTTAAATTTAATATATATTCTATCAAAATACCCAAAAAATTCAATTCCTTTCACTTTATTTCTTAAACTGTTCATATATAAGCAAATAATCTATGCTTTTTTTTAAAAGAAAGCATTTGCTGTGTAATGATTAACATAAAGTCAGTGCAGAAGTGTTTGTGCAAATGAAAGGGAAATTCACCCGTGGGGGATTCCAGCAGCGGGGACCCGATTGCCCACCCCCTGGAGAGAAGGACTCCAGTCTTCTGCTGTGGGTTCCTGTGAATTTCTCTCATCCCAGAAATTAGTCCTGCTTGGGCCCAGACCTGATTTCAAGAACAGGTTCAGTAGTTTTAACAGCAGAGAATCTTAGCGGCCCCCTCGGTCTCTTCCCCACTCCTCTGTCCCATCGGACGCCCGTATCTCGGGCCCTTAGTCCGGGGAGCTGGGCTTAGCAGGACTCGCGGGGCTGCGCCGGGGCTGTGCCGTCTCGCCTGTCCACGTCCCCTCTGGTGGAGCCCCAATAACCGCCGCTCAGCCGCACACAGCGCAGAGAGAAACCCACCGCAAAACCGGCGTCTGGGTACTCGCCTCTCCCCCCATGTCCAGCTTTCAAGGAAACAGGAAGAATTCTGTGAATTCCACCCACCGGGCATGGGAAAGTGCGGCATTCCCAGTCCCGCCCCGCAGCTCCGCGAACTAAACCCGGGCCATGGCCGCAGCGCCCCGCAGTGAGGAACCTGAAACCGCGGATCCCAGCTGCCCTGAGCGCCTGGGGGTTTCTGGTCTCGCTGATGATCCCTGCAGCGTGGAGTGCTCTCCGTCCTGGGTACTCTCCACTCTATTTTAGCCATCTAGTAATAATGGGGGGAGGGAGGGATGACTTCAGAAAAGAAAGGAGAAAGTCACGACAAAGAACAGAAATAAACTCATTGTAAGTACAGAGCGGGAAGGGAGACAGCTGGGGCCAAATGGAAGCCGGGAATACTGGTGCGGGGAAAAGGTTTTGCGAGGCCGCCAAAAGCTGAGCATGGCCTGAGTTATAAGGACAGATTCAAGATGCTGCAGCTCCACAGATTTTAATCTTCTTCCTACTAGTGAGCATTCGAAGTTACTGGTCCTACGGAGCATTTTCTTCCACATTCTCTGATTTAGACATAACTGATAAAAACGACGATATACCAAAATTAAAACATGAGCATAGCTATCTATCTGTATATCTGTAAATATAAAGGTGAAATGTGAGCTTCTGAAATTTATTAGGTAATAAAAATTGAAGAATACTATTAAGTCATGTATTGGCAAACTTTGTTGACATAGAAAGCATGCTTCAAACTGTGAGTAAAATTGATTTCTGATATCTATGTTCATGGAACAGAGAATAAATTCTTTTTCAAGAGCAAGAACACTTTAAAATTAAATCTAATGCAATTTGTCGAGAAGACCCTTTTTCAAGGACTAGATAATTATCTCTGTTCCTAAAATAAAACCTCATTTCATAACCGTATTGAATTTTATAGAAGAGGATAAAATAGGAATTGTTACAGTAAGCATTTCAACAAATCAATTGACACTTCAACTAAAATCAGCTTAAATTTACACAAATAGCCGTCCTTTGAACAGCACTTAGTGTCATGCCAGCCCCAGTGCTAGGTGTTTTTAATGCATTATGTCATTTATTGTTACACTTATGGTAGAGATGAAGAAATGAATTCTGAGATTTAACAAATTAAATAATACCCTAGTGCCATTTTTAAGATTGGCAGAGGTGGAATTCCAGCCAAGGCGTTCTAACCCCGAGGCCCTTGCTATGAAGCTCTCAGCTATTCTCCACCCTGCCTTTCTCAACAAGGCAAATAGAGGAAACTTTAGAATAGATCCATATTTATCCAAATAAGTAGTGGATACATTTTTCCATTAATGTCTCTGGGTGGAATGTTTAGTCAGTTAAACCTTTGTAACAAAGATTGGCATCATAAAATGTTACAGACCCTTATACAGACCCCCACCCTCCGTCTCTCATATGTGCATACAAAAGTGTGAGCGCCTCCAAATACATGCAACACTCATTTCTACATTCTGGTCATATTTTGTCCAGAATTGGTTCCTTCCAGTGCGTTTTTTTTTTTTTTTTTTTTTTTTTTTTTTTTTTTTTTTTTTTTTTGAGACGGAGTCTCGCTCTGTCACCCAGACTAGAGTGCAGTGGTGCGATCTCGGCTCACTGCAAGCTCCACCTCCTGGGTTTAGGCCATTCTCCTGCCTCAGCCTGCCGAGTAGCTGGGACTACAGGCAGCCGCCACCACGCCCAGCTAATTTTTTTGAATTTTTAGTAGAGATGGGGTTTCTCCGTGTTAGCCAGGATGGTCTCGATCTCCTTACCTCGTGATCCACCCACCTCAGCTTCCCAAAGTGCTGGGATTACAGGCATGAGCCACCACGCCCGGCCCCATTGGGCTCTTCGTCTCGCGGACTTCAAGAATGAAGCCACACACCCTCCCAGCGAGTGTTACAATTCTCAAAGATGGTGTGTCCCCAGTTTGTTCCTTCTGGTGGGTTCGTGGTCTTGCTGACTTCAGGAATGAAGCCGTGGACCTTCACAGTGAGTGTTAACAGCTCTTAAAAGTGGCGCATCTGGAGTTGTTTGCTCCTCCTGGTGGGTTCGTGGTCTCGCTGACTTCAGGAGTGAAGCTGCAGACCTTTGTACTGAGTGTTAGAGCTCATAAAGGTAGTGGGGACCCAAACAGTGAGCAGCAGCAAGATTTATTGTGAAGAGCTAAAGAACAAGGCCTCCACAGCATGGAAGGGTACCCCACTGGGTTGCCGCCACTGGCTTAGGTGGCCAGGTTTTATTCCCTTATTTGGCCCCACCTACATGCTGCTGATTGGTCCATTTTACAGAGAGCCGATTGGTGCATGTTTACAGAGAGCTGATTGGTGCGTTTACAAACCTTTAGCTAGACACAGAGCACTGATTGGTGCATTTACAATCCTTTAGCTAGACAGAAAAGTTCTGCAAGTCCCCCCCCTCCCCCAAGCCCAGCCAGCTTCACCTCTCAATATGATGATACATTTACAGCTCAGCAGAGGTCTGATTTTGGCCTGATGAGAAGGAAGGTGCCATTTTTTATTATACATGTAATGGGTTTTCCCAGAGCAATACCTTTTCACACTTTCCATTTGCCTTCCAGTGGTCTGCACGAGTCCCTGTTTTGGAGCTGTCCACTTTACACTGCAGCTTCCTTGTCTCACCAGTTTCAAAGCTCCATGGTCCACGTTGCTACCAGTTATCTATGTTCATTGGGATTGCTCTCACTAGAATTAGGATTGAACTATTTTCTTTCTCTCTTTCTTTCTCTCTCTTTCATTTTTTTTTTTTTTGGCCTGCAGAGAATCATACTTGAATAATTGGTTCTATTCAAACCTTAATCTGTTAGATTTTCACCTTGTAAGAGTGTAAATTTGCACATCCTTTTTACACAAGTCTTTTCAAATTTTTTCTCTCTGATTGGCAAATAATACTGTTAATAAAAACTAAAAAGTAATTTTTATTTTACTATTTTACCACTCATTGCAATTATAACATAAATTATTGAATATTAAGATCATTATTTCCCTTTCTTTCTTCTGTAAGTCACGTGCTTTCCTTTCTCATTTCGTGTGATTTAAGGCAAGCTAGCAGGCTCTTCTGTCTGGTCTTCCTCTGCCATTAAATTTCTTCCCAAACACTCCTGTCTCAGTGACCAATTTCTCTCAGCTCTTATATCATGTATAACTGGTATTGCTCCTTGAAATCTCAGACAGAGTGAAGCACCTCTCTCTTCTCAATAAAGTTGTAAGCCTCTCAAACCAACAAATGCTTTGTGAGACAAAGAACCTACCACTGCTGAAGTTCTTTCTTTCTCTCATGAGGAATAATGTCTTTCTAGTTGGAACTGCTTTCTGCTTCTTTTTTTTTTGAGACCGAGTCTCGCTCTTGCTCTGTTGCCCAAGCTCGAGTGCTGTGATGTGATCTCGTCTGGCTGCAACCTCCACCTCCTGGGTTAGAGTGATTCTTGTGCCTCAGCCTCCCAAGTAGTTGGGATTACAGACACACACCACCACACCTGGTTAAATTTTGTATTTTTAGTATAGATAGCGTTTCACCACGTTGGCCAGGCTCATCTCAAACTCCTGACCTCAAGTGATCCACCCCCTCAGCCTCCCAAAGTGCTGGGATTACAGGTGTGAGCCACCACACCTGGCCAAAAACTGCTTTCTTTGATGGTGTCTTTAAATAAGTTGCTTTTTGTCTGATTGTGGCACTAAGCACAGTAGGTCCTTGCGGTTACTGGGATTTCATCTTTAGTATCAGGAACATTAACTGGTCAAGCAATTGTGTCATCTTAAAGTGTAAGACTATCTCTCTGTTGATAAGAATTTGGTGAACTAATCTAAGCCAGCATCACAGTATATAAGGAGCATACTCAACGGGGATTTCTATTAAATTAATGGATACTAAAAAGATTAATAAATAAAATATACAATTCTTAAACAAACATAACCTTAATATACAAAATCTGTATTTCACTAATTATTTTGCCAATTCAGGATGTTTTCTGTAAGTTGTGTTAAAGTCTAAGCTTCTAAAAGACTATTCTTGTTCCCACAGCATTTTGTATATGTTTAGGTACATTTATGTCAGATGCCTATATATTTATGACTGTTATAATCCTCCTGATGAATGGACTCTTTTATCACATATGATTACCTAGATTACTTACTTTGGCTCTGGAGACATTTCTTGACATAAAATCTATGTTGTCTGATGTAAGTATTACTAGTCAGCCTTCTTTTGTTTACCATTCACATGGAATGTATTTTTTCATCTCTCCACATTCAGCCTGTCTTTAAATCTTGAGTTTTATTTTTGTAGAAAGCAAATAGTTGGATTTTGTCTATATATTTACCTTTACAAACAAGTTTCATCATTTTTTATGCTATTTTGTTGTTGTTTAGTTGTCCTTTCATGTCAACTTGAAAAATTAACTTTTTGTAAGGCAAGTCAAGTAGTGAGGCATTTCTTTAGCTTTTGATTGTCTGAGAAAGTCTTTGTCTCCCCTTCATTTTTGAAGGACAGCTTTGCCAGGGATGGTATCCTTTCTTGGAAGTTTTTCTTTTTCTTTTTCTTTTTTTTTTTTTTTTTAGAGAAAACAGTTTATCTCATTCCACTCTTTTCTGGCATACTATGTTTCTACTGGAAAATCCACAGATAGTGTTATAGAGGTTCCCTTGTATGGGACAAGTCATATTTTTCTTGCTGCTTTCAAAATTCTCTGACTCTGAGTTTCGACAGTTTGATTATAATGTATTTTGGTTTGGGTTTTTTAGGTTCAGATTTTTGGTGTCCTCTGGGCTTCCTAGATCTGAATGCTTTTTTCTTTTCCAGATTGGGAAGCTTTCAGCCATTTTTTTTTAAAATAAGCTTTCTTCTTATTTCTTTCTCTTCTGCTTCTGAGACTCTCAAAATATATTGATCTAGTTGATGATGTCCCATAATTTCGTAGGCTTTCTTCACATTTTTCATTGTATTTTCTTTATTCCACTGAATAGATGACTTCCTATGATCTGCCCATGTGTTCATAATCCTTTCTTCTACTTATTTATTCTGTTGTTGAACCCCTCTATTGACTTCTTCAGTTTACTTATTGTATTCTTCAGCTCTATAATTTCTGTTTGGTACTTTTCAATATTTTCTATCACTTTACTGAAATTCTTATTTTGCTTATGCATTGCTCTCCTGACCTCAATGAACACACTTATGCACATTATTTTCCGTCGGGTAAATCACATATATCCTTTTCATTAGGATTGGATAGGATTTACCTTTTTTTAATTAATTTTCTTTGTCTGCATCAGTGCATTAGATAAAACAATGACCTCTCTCAGTTTTCACATACTGGCCTTTTACAGGAGAAGACCCTCATCAATATGTCTAGGTAAAGATTCTGGTCCCTCTCAAATGTCTGTGCTGGTCTCAACCACCACCTTTGTTTTTAGCAGCCCCTGGAGTCTAGGTATGTCAAGTCCCATGAGTGCCCTGAGCCAGGCAAGATAGAAGCTAGTGTCTTAATAGAAGCCAGAAAAGTTGGGGCACTAGATGTGTGTTCTAATAACTTTTCTCTGCAGAGAAACTGGGAGCTGCAATTCTTGCTCACTCACTTTCTACTAAGCTGGAGAGGGGAGCTGCAACAAACATCTACATACTTGTTCATAGTGCACCGTCTTTTAAAACAGTTCTATTCTCTTTGTAGCCCTCAGGGCCTAGCCAATGCGAGGCCTCATCAGTTCTTGGAGACAGGCAGGTTAGAAGCCAGTCATTCAGTTCCTACTGGAAAAGTAGAGAAGCCAGATGTGTAGTAAAATGCCTTATAGAAAGAACCAAGAAGAATTAGTTTTATTGCTGGAGCAAGCTGGGAGCAACCAACAGGAAGTGCCCCCACACACTCATTCAGGCTTTCAGGGGACAAGTGATTGCCTGTCCCATTAGCTCCCAGAAACAGGAGAGTTAAAAACCAGGTCCTTGGGAAGCAGATGGAAAAAATAAGGCACTAGATGTATAGTATAACACCCAGTCAGAAACAAGAATCTGGGTTTTAGTCTCTGTTCACTGTGCTGAACTGAAGGGATAAGCCACAGTGAGTGCTTGCATTCCCATTCAGAACTATCCTTTGGCTCGTAGTCCCTGGAAAACTAGTGAATCCTGCACCCACTGGCTTTCAGAAACAGGGAAATTAGAAGCCAGACCCTCACGTAGCAGCTGGAAAATTTGCAGTGCTAGATGTGTGGTTCAAACTTTTCACTCCTCAGGGAAACACTGGAAGTTGTGACTTCCCTCCTGATTGCATGTCCTGTGCTAGGGAAGGGGTTTATATTGAGATTGTGACTCAGATTTTCATATCAATTTCAATATGGGTATTGTCTCACTCTCTGAATGTGCAGCAGTTCAAATACTTACTGGATTTCTCTCAAAGAGAGTTAATCCATGTCTAGCTGGTAATTTGGGGGAAGGGAGAGTCTGAAACCTCCTATTCAATCGCCTTGAAGATCATCCTTTCTCCCCACAGCATTTAAAACATGTTTTACTGACTTCATTTAACACATGACATTTTATGAACTATCAGAACTTCTTAAATATTGCATTAGATTGCTATAGCTGTAATGACAATGTACCACAGATCAGGTGGCTTAAACAGCAGAATTCTTTTTTTCTCTCACAGTTCTAGAGGCTAGAAATTTGACATCAAGGTGTCAGCAGGGTTGGTGTCTTCTGAGTTATCTCCCTTTGGCTTGTAGATGGCCATTTCCCCCCCTACATCTTCACATGGTCTTTCTTTTGTATATGTCTGCATCCTAATATCATCTTCTTATAAGGACACCAGTCATATTGTATTACAGTTCACCCTAATGAACTCATTATAACTTAGTCACCTCTTTAAAGACCTTATCTCCAAATACAGTCACATTCTGAAGTATTGGGAGTTAGGACTTGAACATAAGAATTTTTAAGGGACACAATTCATCCCATACCACTCAATCCTCTGGCCCCACAAAGTTTATGTCCTCACATGCAAAATGCGTTTACCCATTCCCAACAGACCCATTTGATGCTTAACCCATTCTAACATCAAATTTAAGTGAATGTCTCATCTAAGTATCGTCAAAATCAATTATGAGTGATATGAAGGCATTATTCATCCTGAGGCAAAATTTTTCTCTAGCTGTGAACCTGTGAAACCAGACAACAGATTTGTGAATTCCAAAATACAAGGGTGGGACAGGCATATGATAAACATTTGCATTCTAAAGGGGAGAAATCAGTAGGAGAAGGGGACTACAGGTCCCAATCAAGTCTAAAACTTATCAGGGCATATCTTACAATATTTTAGAGCAATTAAGTGAACTACCCTGGAATGTAAGTTGAAAAAGGAGGGAGATTTCATTACCCCGGAGTGTTGTCAGGACTCTATCTTAAGGGAGACATTATCTCTAGCTTCCAGGGCTGTTGTTATGCAAATACGTTTGTAGATGCTCAGAAGACTTGGAGAGAAACCAGAATTATAAATAATTATCTTCAAAAGAAATGATGTCAGATTCCACATTCAGAGAGTTCAAATTCCCACTTTCAAAAAGTTGAAGCCTATTCCTTACAATGTCTAACTTCAACTTGACTGAAACAAGAGATGAGAATTTTATAAACACTGGGATACACTAAATTAAAAGTACTGAAAGACATTAAGGGGGGAAAAGTTTGTCAGTGTGATTAGGTCGTCAATGTCTGCTAATTGGCATTTATCAAAGTCAGTTTCCAACCCTCCCACAAAGACTCCAGGACAGAGGTTCTATCCTTCTTGATGATGACATTTATAAGGAATGCTTGCAAGGTCCTTAAAAAAACATTTTGGATTGCAGAAGATTTACATCTCAAAGAGCAGAGAAAGGTTACAAGTACATTCTAGTACTTCAGAATGTACATTGCATGTTTACTAATGTAAATGTTCTAAGATAAAGGTCAGGGGCTTATAGTCAGGTTTTGGCTGGAACAGATCTGGCATGTTAAGGGAGCTGGAATCATCTGAGGGCATGGCCTGTTGCTGACAGCAGCCATCCTAGAGTTTGTTCTAGTCTTTTAGTGTGGGACAGTTAGATGGACCCATTTGTACTGGGCGTGCAGTTCTCAGCAACAAGAAGCTAAATCCAAAAACATAATATATTGATAAATTTGGTATAACATTTTAAAATAAATGCATATTTTAATGTATTACCTGTTTTCAAAGAATGAATAATGGTGAAGTACAAATAATATCATAGAGTCAAAAGTGTCAAAAGGAAATAATGTCATTAGAGGCAGGTGAGAAATGGGATCTCCACATTTGTTTATGGAATGAGGACATTGTGTAAGCAAAGATTTCCTTTCAGTGTTAGTGTGAGAATATTCTCCTGGATTAATCTGTTACATATTCAGTAGAAGATGGAAGGCAACATTTACTTTGGATTAATCTATTAGATACTCAGTGGAAGATGGAAGGCAAAATTTACTTTTCCTGGAGAATTATTAAATCATTTCTGTGCAAGATTGTGAAGGAGAATTATTGACAGCCGGAGCACTTGGAAGATAATCCTGTTTATAGTATGAATTTTCTGGTATGATGTCTTTTTATTCTGGTGATGGGAGTATGCATTTATCTAAATATTGAGACTATATATATATATACATGTATATATTTAAGTGACATACAAAGGCATCAACTCAGAAAATATTTATTATATTTAGAAAGTATTATAATTATTCTGACTTTAAATGAAGTTGGTTAAATTACTTAATGTTTCCTAAAGACATTTCCAGTAAGTGATTTCATTTTTATATGTCATCTTAAACCATTTAAAGAGGCTATAAGAAATTTTATGTTGGATCAAGAGAAGTAGGGTAAGACAGTATCACTAAACAAAATAAAGACAGAGAATCTTTTATTTCTGGGCAGTAAGTGCCAAAGAATTCCTTGTGGCTATAAAAATATGCCTGAAAAACATAATTCCCAAGGAGCTCTCATTGTCTGGCCTCTGCGTGTCATTATTATGATCTGCTGCAGCTACACCTCAGAGAATCCAGGATAATAAGTATAAAGTGGCATCAGTGCTGCCACCTTTTATTTTATAATAAAGTTTATGTTTTTCATTGCCAAAGAATACATGTAGAAATTATTGAATGTGCAAAAGATACGGAGATTGAGAAGCACGTATTGTCCTATCTACTGAAAGTATTCATTCTAATCATTTTATTGAATGTATGTCTTAAGTATAATGCTAGAAATATATAATTTTATATGATAGTTTTAAATGGCTCTTTTGTCTATCAATGTGTATGTTATTTTGGAAAATGTAAAAGAGAGAAATTGAGGGGCAGTTATGTTAAAAAATTATTTAAAACTTACTTCTTAGAAGTAGATACAATTAGTACTTACATTTGGGTGTGTTTAGTCTTTTTTCTATGAATAATTACATATCTTAGCACATATGCATATTAATTTGTATATTTAATGTAGAAGTTTTTGAAATTGTCAAATAAAATAAGTAGGATGGCTTAGTAATATCTTATAAAAATGGATGCAAATTTTGTCCACTCTTGTTTTGTCTAATAATTGTAGGCACATGTTAAGTGAGGCCTTTTCTGCCCCTTTTAGCCAAATTGTACCTTAATCTCAGGACCTCGTTTAATCTAAGGAGAATGTATATTATTTCCAAATGTCTACAGGGAAGCATTAAGTAAGATAAGGTCACTTGTATTGGTAGTATTAATCAAAAGAAGAATTTAGTATGTGGGATGAGGGAAACATTGGTTCTAACTAGTAAAAATACAATATTTGGAGTCAGTAAATTTAGATAAGTGAACATGGGTTAACAGACTGTGTGTGAGGACAAAATATAAAACTCTGATAGCATGCTGGTATTCCTGACATGAAGTGATGTGAGCCAGGAAAAGCTGGCTTTAGGAAAATGAGGTAGGGATCCTAGTAAAGCTATACTGTACCTGAGAAAGAGGACCCCACCTGGTGGTAATGATAGCATAAAACGTGCCTCTCTATGAACCTCAAGATCCTTTTTCTGTTAGCAGATCTTGATGAGGGCCATCCTAAAAGTTTTCTCAGATTTTTATTCTCAGGGGTGAAGGGTTAGGTTTTAGTGGGATACTCATGTCAGTGAATCCATTTACGCCACGGTAATGCTTTTTCCAACTAAAGATTATTTCAAAAGGTAAAGAGTGTAGGAATATTTTAAATTCTTATATTTGCATAAACAGGAGACCAACCAAGCCACTCTTCTCAGAATTTAGTTAATTTGGTTTCAAGAGGACATGACAGATTTAAGAAGTCAGAGAAGTAAAGGCAGAATTTGAGGGATCAATCACTGGTTCCTCTTTATATCAATTTGTTTAAAATGTTGTTTCCTTAAGTATTATTTTAAATTATGCCAAACATCATTCCTTAACAATGCAGGAAGGCACACAGAACTCCAGAATTGGTATGATTATTTTAACCTGAAAACGTGTGGATTTATTTAAATTTATCCTACTTAAAATTTGTTGAGCTTTGTGGATAGCTAGATTCATGTATTTTATCAAATTGGAGACATTTTCTGCTATTACTTTTTCAAATATTCTTTCTACCCCTTTTTCTCTTCCTTCTTCTGAAATTCCAGTAACACGTGTGTTGGTGTCCTTGGTGGCATCCTACAGGTTCCCTAGGCTCTGTTTAATTTTCTTCATTCTTTTTTCCTTCTGTTCCTCAAGCTGGATCATTTATCTAGTCTTCATGTTCACTGACTCCTTTTTCTTTCTGTTCAGATCTTCTGTTAAACACCTCTAGTACATTTTTTAATTCATTTTTTATAATTTTCACCTCCATAATTTCCACTTGAATCATTTTTATCATTTCTTTCTCTTATCGATAAACTCATGGTGTTCATATATCATTTTACACATTTCTTTTTGCTTTTGGTCCATGGTTTTCTTTAACATTTTTTGAGCATATTTAAGAAAGTTGGTTTAAAGTTTTATCTAATAATTTTAATGTCTGGTTATCCTCAGGAACAGTTTCTGGCAATTTCTACTTTTCCTTTAAATTGCCCATATTTTTGTTTATTTGTCTGACTATTACTTTTATTGTTGAAAACTGAGCATTTGAATTTTATAATGTCATAACTCTGAAAATCAGATTTTCCCTCTTTCTGAAAATTTACTGTTTCTGGTTATTCAGGTCTGCAGTCATACATTTGTTTTATACCTTTTCCACACTTTTATTGAAAAGAGTATAGCTCTTGTCATCTGGAGTCACAGAAGTCTGCTCCATTATCTGAGTGGTCAGCCAGTGACCTGACCTGAGACAGATTTTCTTAAATGCCTGGAGAGAGAGAGAGAGAGAGAGAGAACACTACTCTGCTTGTCATTATGTTATTACAGCTTAGGTTCTAATACAGCTGAGCTGGGATACTGCTCAATGCTAAGCAGGCTGCCTACGGCGCTCCCTTTTCCTTCACGCTTTGCTTGAACAAAGCCCGCATATCTGCCAGACATGCAGGTCTACGTCTTCTCAGATCCTTTCTGAGCATGCATCCAGTCCTGGGCATATGCATCACACTCTTTCTTCAGAGCCCTTAATTCCATAAGAGACCTGCTTCCTTGCCTTCTCCTGCTCAACAGGCTTGAGCCTTCATACCACTTGCCCCATCTGCCATCTCTTATCCCAGGTGGGTGCAGAAAATATGTATTTATACCTTTCAACAGACAGTATCACTGCCCTAGGTAGAGGGGAGGAGCAGCAAAACAAAGATCAGCCTCTGTGCTAGTCCCCCAGGGAAACAGCAGACATGTCAAATAATCACAGCATTTTAAGAACAAAGCCCTTTTCACTACCCTGGCACCAGCGAACAGCACCAGAAATGCAGAAAACCCTCCCCCTGGTTGCTGCCACTGCCCTAGAAAATGAAAGATGGTAGGCAGGTGGATGAAAGTGCCACAGTACTCTCTCACCAAAAATCAGTTGTCCTTTTCTCTATTGGTAAATTCTCTGGTTGCTGTTAAATTTTAGATTAGGGCCGGGTGTGGTGGCTCATGCCTGTAATCCCAGCATTTTGGGAGGCTGAGGCAGGCGGATCACCTGCCAGGCATGGTGGCACATGTCTATAATTCCCAGCTACTCAGGAGGGTGAGGCAGGAGAATCGCTTGAACCTCGGAGACGGAGGTTGCAATGAGCCAAGATCGCCCCATTGCACTCCATCCAGCCTGGTCGACAAAAGCAAAACTCTGTCTCAAAAAAAAAGTTTTAGATTAGATTCTTGAGTTCTACAAAAGTTGATACTATTAGTGTTTTATAGCCTATGGTTGTAAATGGTATGACATTCTGTGAGTGTCCCACTCTGCTATTTCCCTCTATCTTTACTTTTCTATGTCAAATTTTTAAAATGTTCATTGTTGATATTTTAGGGATGCCATTTTCAGTCTTTAACATTTTTTTTCTTTTTCTTTTTGGTTTTTTTTTTTTTTTTTTTTTTTTTTTGAGATGGAGTCTCGCTCTATCGCCCAGGCTGGAGTGCAGTGGTGGGATCTCGGCTCACTGCAACCTTTGCCTCCCAGGTTCAAGCGATTCTTCTGCCTCAGCCTCTGGAGTAGCTGGGACTACAGGTGTGAACCCCCACACCTGGCTAATTTTTGTATTTTTAGTAGAGACAGGGTTTCACCACATTGGCCAGGCTGGTCTTGAATTCCTGACTTCAGGTGATCTGCCTGCCTCGGCCTCCCAAAGTGCTGGGATTACAGGTGTGAGCCACCATGGCCGGCCTCTTTAACGTTTTTATTAGTTATTTTTCTAATTCTAATATGTCCAACACTTGATATATTCGCTTTTTTAATTGTTTTTGAATTTTTCTCAAAAGCAATAAAACAGCGAATTTTGATTTTGTTGTTGTTGTTCTGTAATTAGTTACTGTTAGAACTAATTCAGTGATGCGGTTTTGTGTGAATGGTTAAGGGATCCTGTACTGCTGGGCTTAGGGAGTATCTTCTGCTTTCCCATTTCCTGGCTTTAAGTTTTATATAAGTTCCTTAGCTTACAAATTTTTTCTCCAGATAAGCAATATAAACTCTAACTTCAGACCAATTTAACATACAAGATCAGAGTTTGAATTTCTCATGGTAAACTTTATTGTATTTAACCTGTAGCCTAGACAGTAGCAAAAATCTTCTTTGTCTTTTTGAGTCATCAGACAGATGTTTTTTCTAAATTCTGCTAGTGGTTCTATCTTTTATGAAGGTTTTTAACCTTCATGTTTTCTTTCAGGTGTATTTAAAGCCATCACTATGCATAACACAGTCTACGTTTTCTTGTGTGGCTCTCAATTCTCTTTCCAATAACTAGGTATGTCCTTTTCTTTTTTACAAGATACAGAGTGTACTCCTAAAAAACTTCTAGTTGCACAGTATTTCTAAAGATTTACCAAAATCCTACATAAACTTATCTCATGTTGCTGAAGTTGAACTATCATTATTGACTCTTTAACCCACTTTAATCTGCATCTATTCATATCCCTTCACTGAATTACCAAATTCAACAATATCACTTATAGTGTTATTTTACTTGATGTCTTGGAAGAAAATGGTGTGATAAATCAATTTCTTCTTTTTAAACACATTTCTGTTTATTTTCTGTGCCCATATATTGCTTTTCCTGTCTGATCAGTATTTCAGTATTTTTTTCAGCTACTCCTTGAATAATCTTTTGTTATTGAAAGTTTCCTACAGTTTATTGTTTGATTCTTTCTAATTTCACTGAAATCAATTATTTTTTGTTACTTTTGATATTCTAGATTTGATTTCAAGAGGGAGCAAAAAACTATTTTATCACATTAACTTTAAATAGAAGACAAAGAATTCTCAGCACTGTTTAGGCTTTTGGATGGATAGGTTTTCTACCTTAGTAGCAGCTGGTCACTAACTGATCTAAGGCATGTCCATGGATATAAAACAGGTTAAACCATGACCTAATTGTGTCATCCGAGTGGTAATGGTGATATGCCTAGTAACAGAAAAACTGTTCCAAAACATATTCAGTTAAATATTTTAAAGCACTTATTTCATCAAGAAATCTGAGTAAAACCAATTCCAGTGGGAGTCTCTTGGCTTACATATTAAGACTATTAATAAATATAGATTCCGGGACAGAGCTGCCTTGTGGCTATAATCAGAGTGATTGTGGAAGCACAGATTTCCATTGACATCTGGTTGACCTAATTCTCCTACATTTATAGATATTGGTAACTGAAGGGAATTTTCAATAGCTGAATATTTCTCCAGGGCACACCTCGTAACCATTTTTGTAAACATAATCGTGTTCATAATTTTGAATAGATTACATTCTTTTATTGGAGAAAATTTTGTTACACTGACAATTTTAATGCTTCTTCAGAAAAGTTTGCTCTTCTTTCTGTTAAACGATTCAGTTTAAATAACTTGTAAGTTTTGTTTCCCTCTGTAAAAATGGAAAACTACTTCCTCAAAATAGATCTAACACATTTATTCTTTTAAAAAACTTTATATGGAGCTTATGAACTTCACATTTACATTTTCAAGATAAACAAATTTTTAGTCCATAATGCTCAAACATTCTAAGAGAAAGAATGTTAAATTTTCACAACAGTGGGAAGAATGTCAATGGGAGAGACATGGCCAGAGCTCTCTTCCCCTGCCTTAAAGAAGAGGATGGCAGCTGCCAAGTCACATGGGATTCAGGGACACAGTGAATTTCCTTCTCACTTTATAGATGCATGAAGATTCTCTTGACAGGGTCAAGAATAACAGCATCATTGTTCCAGGGAGCTTTATTATATTTTATTTTTGTTTTGAGATAGTAAAAATTTTATCTGATTAAGGAATTGAGATGTGCTATAAGTTACAGCACATTTGTAAAGACAACTGCAGTTCAAAGTTAAAGGAGACACTCCACAGAAAACCTTAAATCAGCTTGTTTTACATTTTAGGGCCTTTGTCTACAGCATCTCACTCCTGGCCCAAAATTCTCTATATAATTCAGAATGCTTTCAGTTAGAGGTATTAGAAGTCCTTATGGAACCACCAGCATTTCTAAATAGATGATATATGGTTCACTAGAGGTCCAGATAATAGAATGAAGGCAGTAGTCATGAGAATGATCATGATTTCCAGGAACCTCAAACACAGGAACCACACACCGAAAACTACAATCAGTTGACATCAGAAAGATGTTTCACAAGGATGAAACTGCAAGGAAGGTAACTGCCAAAGTACAGGCAGCATTAATCTTTCCATAAAACATTGTAACAATGGCCAGATACAAAAGAGGTATTCACAGTTCTATTGCTGTGTTACCAAATTCTCACCAAAAGGTAAAAATTTTAACTATGAAAATATCTCTAAATATATTGCACTCTTTCTTACTTAGAAAATTACAATAAGCTTAATAATTAGCATGTGCTATAGGAGCATGTGCTGACCTTGATGGTAATTGCACCGAATAACTGGTTACGTCCCTCAAAATTTCTTTTAGAAAATACTAGAAACATTGCTTTTAGGAGTTAAAAGTAGGTAAGATGTCAAAATAAAGTGGTTTTCACTATGTTTATAAACTACCCAACAATAAAACAGGTATATTTCACATGCACCGGTAAGATCATTTTGATTCTCCCAAAGTTGAAAGCCTGATAATACATATGTTGCCAACAAATCCACATCTGTACATGTAGCAGATATTAATATCAGTTACTAAATCTATTGTGAGTGACTATTGGGTGGCAGCAAATGTTCTGGAGCCATAATATAATTTTCTCTTTTGGGAGAGGAGTCAGCCAAGGTCAAAAGTTGTCAGGAACTTGAGAGGATATGGAAAGTAGAAGTAATGTTGGAGTAAAAATCAAGACAAAAAGAAATGATTTAATGTGGCTTTCTGCCTCTTCTTTTTGTATATTAATTCTCTCATCCAGATTTAGTTTTGGAGACAGTGGAGGATAAAGGTTAAGAAATGCTGGGGTTTATTCCTTGCCTGACTACTTGTAGCTTTGTAGTCATAGGCAAATTACTTAATGTCTTTATATTGTTGGATTTTCCTTTAAAAGCCCAATTGTTTACGCTCAAAGTATAGAATAAAAGCATACTCTAGCTCAGAGGGAGGACCTTCTTCCTAATTTCCCCTTCTCCAGCCTGTGGAACTAGAAGCACTTCATGGAAGATGCCATCTGCCAGGAACCTTGAGTGTCTCTGCTCATTCTTGCTCATTATTCCCAGAAAGCAAGATGGGGCTGGTTTTTATCTGGACCCTGCCTCAGGGTTGTGTTTCCACGGAGCAAACTTGAAGGATTAGGCAACAAAGATGATGCTTGTTTTTATTCACTGTAAAGGCGGTAAATCTCCCAGCTCAGCATTCCTATCCAGAAATACTGCCCACCACATGTCCGGGCCGGGCCTCTGTGTTACACTTGGGGAGTGAGGAACCAGCATGAACACTGAGCATCATGCCTGCGATTCCACCATTGCTCTTCCTGTGAGTCTCACAGTCTTTGACTTTGATTCAGGAATCTTGTGTCCACGAAACTATGTATGGCAGGCTAGTTTGTTAGCTTAAATGCTGCAAGAAATTTAATTTTCTCACACCTTTCACAATTACTAGCAGTCACACTTCCCTATGGAAGTAAAATAATTTCATTTTTCAAAACTGAAGAGGTAACTTTTTTAACTTACAGAGAATGAACAGTTTGCAAGAGGGATTTCTGAAGTGCACAGAGCCTGATCTGGAAAAAAAATATTGTAGGACAAAACAGAGACTTTGGGGTGTGTTCATAAAAGAGCAGGAAAAAGAGTTAGCATGTGTAGAGGAAGCAGTTTTAGTATGGAAAAATCTAAAGGTATGGGTAGTAAGGTTGTTATGGTTCAAATGATAAACTGAGTGTGCAACAATTGGGTTTCCTGTTCCATATATTGGAAGACAGATAAGAGGCCTCACAGGATGGCGCATGGAGAATGATCCATAACAAAGGAGTGCTATTGCCGGGGGCTGATTCAAAATGCTTTGACATGCAGTAGTGAGAACAGTGATGAATATTCCATGATCAACAAAACCACCAAGTAACAACTAACATTCAATACAATACGCCATCAATGGTTTATAGCTATGAAGAAGTGTGATAATCTGTTTTGAATTGCTTTATTTTAGAGAGTGAAATTTAACAACTTAAAAAAATTGCTAGGAAAAAAAGCAAGCATACTGTACAAATCCATTTATTATCCTTATTATAAGCTACTTACAAATTGGCAAATTTAACCTGTGGTCATGAATTCAATAAATATGGTTAGACTAGTTTAAGGAATACACCGCAAAAAATAAATGAAGACAATTTCAGCGTGTCTTATAAAATCAGAAGACAGACACAAGTTCCCAATTAGCATAAGTAAGATTAAAATATTGATTAAGCTTTTGCATATGGGTAGCATGGTATAATATATGGCAGGCCAATGCTCTCATTCAAATAAGCTGGATGAATTATGAAAATCATATGTTTAAAGGCTTCAGAGAACTTCAGAAGCAACCCAAGAAGGAGAAAATCTTTTATACGGCAGCTGAGGATCTGCAGCTATCCACAGGGGCATTTACCAACTCAAGGAAAGGCCAGAGTCTAAGAATTTAGGATAGGCTCAGCCAGTAGACATTACTAAAAGACACAGAGGTGAGACAGTACCACCGTTGATACTAGTTGTCACCAGCGCACCTTATTAGCACACCTTTGTGGGATGTCTTCCTTTCTCTGGCCCACTTTCTAACTTCTCCACCTCCAAAACTTACCTTCGCTCAGAGTCTGCTTATGAAAACCTGCGTTAATTTTACTGTTTTAAATTTAAGGATGTTCTGAACATTGTTGGTAATATGACAGCTAGCATGAAAACATGAGTTACAGCAATACAATGGCATGCTTGATACTCTGGGCTTGTATAGTTAAGACTTGAGGGATTGTATGTCACGTGAGGATTTCTTAGACAACTGTGATTATATAATCAACTATGACCACCATCCTTGGGGTACTATACACACTGCTGCCTGAACCTAAAGAGAGACACTCCTTAAATAAGGTGTAGTATACATAAAACTGTATGTGAAGTTTCATATATCAACTGATATTAATCAAATTAAAAATAGTAGTAACAAGCTGATAAGAGATGAATATTTATACATACTGCACATATGCACATGTAAATGTGTAAATAGTCTTGAATTGAAATAATTTAACTTTTAATTTTCAAAATAATTTTAAGTGTAGAGAATTTACAATCAAAAAGTGAAAATAGCTACATGTACCAATAGGATAAGACACAATTATTTTGTAAACAATTTTTCTATTGAAAATATATTAGAAGTACATCTGAATCAATCAAATACTTCAATGATTCATAATGCAGACAACTACATTGAGTATCTAGTGTTTGACTTATAATTGCAGGACATCTACATCATGCTGTATTTGGCTCTTCTAAACAATGATTCTGAAAATTTTTTGTGGTAAAACAAAACATATTTTCAATTATTCTCACAGGCTATTTGTATCAAAGATAATGCATATATCGAAGTCTTTTTCTAAAATTTTCCCAGTGAAAAATATAAAATTTACATTTTCTTCTAGAATATTTGAGTGTGCACGCTCCCCCAGACATAGACTCATACTGGGATTTATCATTATTTTTATCATAATCTGCTAAGAAGGGTAAAATGTGTTTGTGTTTTATGCATTTCTGAATTAATTAGTTTATATATTTATTGGCCACATATATTTTTTCTTTTGAGAATTGCTTTTTCACTTCATTGCAAACTGTTTTTTAAAACCCATTTATGCCTAGTGTTCCATTATTGGAACACTGAGCATTAGGAATTATTTATATCCTACTGCTCAAGGTCATTGCCAAGGTCTGATTGCAAAAATTCAAAAAATTGCAACCTCAGGCATAAATGAGTTAATTATGTTTTCGAGGCTCTTTATATATACAGATATTAGTTCTTAGTCTTTTATACATTTTTTATTTATTTTTTCCCATTTTAAATAATATTTTAATAACAATTGCTATTCTTTGTTTTGTTTTCCTTATATATCTTTATTATTTTATTCATTCCCTTTTTCCCTTCTTCTTACCTTCCTTCACTCCTTCCTTTTGTTCCTTTTTTTATTTTTCTTTGTTTCTTCTCATTTTGCTTATTTCTTTTAGAGAAGTATTATTTTAAATTGTCAAATGTATCAATATTTTAATTTATAAATTTTATTCTTGAAGTCAGGCTTAGAAAGCCCTCAATCATGTTAAAATACATAAAGTTTCATCTGCATTTTATTCTGGGTTTCATATTTTTACATGTTCACTTCCTAAATCATTTTTGACATACCATGCTGTAGTAATTGCTACATTTTAAAGGATGTATAGAATTAGTGATTATGGAAATACTGCATTTTAAGGCTGAATGATTCATTTGAGGAAGCAACAGACCTAAGTAATTTAAACAATTTATTATTATTATTAATTTAAATTAAAGAGGGACAATCATCTCTGGAAACATTATTTGGGAGCTTAAAGTTACTTCTGGTGAGCCCTTAGGTAAGGAGTTTATGGCCAAACATAAGGGAGAAAGGAGCTGATAATGCAGAATCTAACCTGAGGAAAAGGTCCCAGCAGCAAACCAGCAGGCCAGGCTGAGTCTAAGCAAATTAAATGTTGATAGGGTTTCCATTTACTGAAGGAGCAGCAACATTTTGGTGGTGCTAGAAAATATGCTATTTAAAGTTTACCTTTTCATGTTATAAATCCCTTCCAAAGCTCTCAATTCTTCTATTAAGTGTATTATACAATATGGACTCAATGCCAGCTGCTTATTAATTCCCTTTGGATAATGAAAGAATATGTGCACTAGGGTGATTAGCTGAGATGCAAGGGTGAGATTATTTGAGAGGATGCTGGAGAAGCATGAACTCACAGGTTGGACCAAAGGTCACACATGGCATCATGGACACGTAAGTGTTCTCTGGAAATCTCCTAAAAAAAACACTGAAATAAACAGAACTATTTAGCAGTCAAGCAAGATATTGCTTAGGTGGGCAGAAAAATTTGGGAAATTCAGGTAAAGGTGAATTTAGATACCAGAAATTTCAATACTTGTTAAGACAGGGGCCTTTCTTTTGCTCTGCTTGTGATATTTGTGTTATGAGTCTATGTTACTAGATAAATTGTTAAATCACTTAATCACATGAAATACTTCTAGAGTTTTTACTTAAAATGTATTCTATTTAAAGATTAATTTGGGGATAATGTACCCATTCTTAACATGCATTTTTTTTTTTTTCACAAAAGAACAAGGCAGTCTCTTTTCCTGCTCAATGTTTATTTATATTTCCCAGCGCCATTTTGTGATATTGCTTAGAGGTCCTGCATAGCAAACAGTTGTTCCTAGTTTTCTGAAATATTCACCTACTACTCTGAATGAGATTCTTAATAGTGTAAATTGTTTTGCCACATATGCTACAAAGGATATACTTTTGACTTTTCATTTGTTTGATTTCCCAACATAATTAATTCTCCTTTTAGTCCTGGTGTGTTTCAGCAGATTTGCTTGGGGTTTTGGTTACAAAATCTCTCCAGTGACAAATAATTATAATGGTACTTACTTGATTGTTATGTGTATGTTTAATTGCTTTATTCATACTCTATTTCAATGGCTAAAATCCAAGAAAATATTTAAAACAAACAACCTGGCATTATTAAGGCCTTTTATTGGTAAGACTGCAATGTTTCAGTATTTTTATGATGCTTGCTATTGACAGTGTACCATACTAAGGAAGTGAAATTATATTATTATTTTGCTTAAAGATTTATTTCTTTAAAATGAGAGGTTGTTAAATTTCAGTTCTTTTTCTATGCATAGTAAAATACTAAGAAGTCTTTTCTATTGAAAATTTATCCATAGTGTAATTAGCTTGCAGTATTTTAATAAACTTTATTATCATGGGGAATTATTTCTTTAGATATACTCAATACTTCACTACTGGGTGTGCATATATCATAATTGAGGACCTCATGGTTTTATAGTGATTTTTTTCATCTGTTACCATCAGGATATTATTGGTCTTGTAAAATGTATTGAGAAAAATTTCTATCTTCTGTGTCCAGAAAATTCAAAAAATAAAATTTATTTCAATGGAAATCATCTAATCATGAAAAACTTTAATGTTATTCTAGCTCATGTGACCATCTGGCTGGTACTTTTCTAAGAGACAATTTTGCAACTATCTTTTTTATTGTCTGTTCAATTTTTCGAATATTTTGAGATAAATTTAGAAGTTATTAGTTTTTATGGGAACTTACTACAGAAAATCAAAATCTAAAAGCACAAAAAGAATAAGCTGTAATTTTGCAAGCAACAAATGGGTTTATTTCCAAAGATTCTATTCCTTCCCTTTCATTTAGTGTTTTGGCTCTGCCTATTTATTTATTTATTTATTTATTTATTTATTTATTTTTAAGCAATTTTTTAAACTTTGATTTGATCATTCATTTACACCAGATTTCAGTTTCCTAATTTAAAAATAGTTCCTTTTAATTTTCTTATTTTTCTGACTTTTCAAAGTTCATTTTATTTTAGAATTTTAAACCCTCTTAGTTAAACTTGTAATTCATTTATTCTTGGGCTTTTAAATGTGAGCACCATTGGTGGGATAAGTATTCCTTTTATATGCCTTTGGCTAAACACTGTTTTTCACATTTCATTCGAATTTGTCCACTGAATGTTGTGCTATGTTTGTTTATGATGGCATTAAATAGACTGCATTACTGTTTTTGCCAATAGTTATGCCTGGAAGACTCTCGCATTTCTCATATTCCTGATTGCACCTTACACACCACTATTTAATATAGTACTTTCTGCTCCCTTGTTCCTTTGAGACTATTGTTACCAGAAGCTACAATCTCCTGAGTGGATGTAGAAAATGAGATATATCATTAGGTTCTCTGTAGAAGGAACTCTGTTGGGAACAAATGCGATGATTTGTATCTTATTACCAGGCCTAATTGTCTGATATAAGGTTGGAGGGTGGGCATGGGGTGGAAGCTAATGCCATTTTTTATTTTTTCAAACATTTATGGGTGAGTTTGCTACCAGTTATCACTTTTCATGGCCCATTCTTTTGGAATTAGTGGTAATTCTTCATGATATTTGGTACATTATTGAACAATACGTGCTGTTTCAGCATAGGTTCTTCTTGTTTGTTTGTTTTGTTTGGAGTTTGCTAATTTTAACAGGAAGATTGAAAAAAGATGAATCAATGCCATGTAATTAACCAAAATTGCATTGCAGATATCTTCTGGATAGCTTGTTTGCAAGCCTCATTATATACATTGAGATAAGGATTTTTATTGGAGTTTATGATATATGTTATTTTATCAGTAATTTTCTGATTCTCTATTTAAGAAAGATCTTGGATTGGCCAGAGAGATATAAGTTTGAACAAATAATATTGGATGTACTTGTCTGGACTTATGCCCAAGGACAATTTATGTCCAGGGAGATGGACATAAGCTGAGGTATGACTGTTTTTGCATTACATACAGTATATTGGCAAATGTTTAACAATCAACATATGCAAATGGAAAAAGCATATACATATATGTAACAGATATATAGCATATATATAAATAGATATACTTGTTTATTATAATTATTACTAATATAAAAGATATGTAACAACACTCAATTTACAAATAACAATAAAATATTTTTGATAACTTAATTTAGCCATCTGATTCTCACAGAATGTTTAATTGATTTTTGCCAAGCTTTTCTTGTGTTTGTAGCTAACTTACGGCTGAAATTAACACATGACTATAGTTCCAACATAAATATTGGTTGATTTTTTTCACTTGCATAAGAAAGATGAACATAATAAAGACATACACATGTTGGAGCTTTGCTCATCAATTGTTGTTGAGAGTAACTTTATTGAACTATATATGATATTACTTTTCTAGTACTAAATAATTTTCAGCATTTTTGTGCTATTCATAATGTAATGGCTGCAGACACATACCACACTTTTAAGCTTAATCTGCATTATCTTTAGGTAGAAAACTTCAAAAATGTATAGGCAGAATTTCATTTCTTCATCACTTCCTAAGTATAGTTAAGGTAACAATACATCAAGCCCTGATGTGGAGAGTTTTCAGATTTCTGGGTGTGACTCCTCCTACTGTGGCTAATGTGAAGCTGGACAACATGACACACAGTGGCACCTTACTGTGCATGGTTTCTCCCACACAGGTTCTTTGGAGGGATCTAACCACAGGGTGAAGAGGATAGTATAAAACATAAAATAACTGGAAAAGGAAGTTTAACTATGTATTAACTTGTTTTTGTAATATATTTATTTTTCTTTAATCTTTAAAAATCGCCATGTTTTAAACCAGCTCATAATGTTTCTGAAAATGTAACAGTTGTTTCTGTGAGCCCAGGTGAGTTAGCTACCACACACCATCGATTCCATACTCGTCCTGCCATCTCAGCTCAATTAACCGGAGCCTGCACCTTCCAGTGGTGTGTTCGCTAAGTGCTGGCAGTGCGGTCAGTGTGATTACTTTGGTAAAGTAATTCACAGCAACAAGAAAATGAGTCCTACTTATTTACTTGTATTCATAGGAAACTTATTAACCCAAGGTTTGAATAGAAGCCATTGGGGAATAATTTTGAATAGTGATTTTCTTTAGCCCAGGATAAATTTATACCAATAAACTCTCCTTAAAAAAAATCTCACAGCTAGCTTGCCTATATAAAGAAAAACACAGAACAGGCATTATAGCCAAACAAATAATCAACTCTCTCCCCACAAAGGCAAGTCTCCTCTCAATAAACACAAAATCACAAACATGAAACGCACTGTTACACCATGTTGAGTAAACATGTAGAGTTAAACACGAGGAAAAGCATGTAAGGGAATTATGAGTATAAAACTAGAGGAGAATTTCAAATATTCCCATATTCCATGTAAACATTTTGTGTAAACTCTTTCTGTCCTCTGCTTTCCTCTTCTCAATTAGGTGTTATGAATGTGAAGAACTGGACAATAATTTGTCAGTTAAATTGCAAGTCAAATCACAATAAACTAACATGATTACAATTATATTTTAATTTAATTATACAATTGAGGTTCCTTAACGTTTGTTTCATTAACTGAGTGAACTCAATTTCAGTGAGAGCAGATTTATTGATAATGAGGACTGATTTGCCATCATGTCTATATGTGAGTTAAGTACTGCATGTAATGTATGTCTTCCGGACTCTCCTCAACACTTCTTTGAATATAACCAATAAAACAACACACTATTTTCATATATGCAAGCATATTCATTGTGAGAAAACTCTAATTAGGATGGTAAGATAGCTTTGGAGTTTTAGTGCTTCCCTTGTCTGAGATAATGAGTAAATTTGAACACTCACCTTTAACTTACTGACCCATCGAGGTTTCTACCAAACTTAGATTGTACCAAGGCATGTACATTTTTAAAGTTTTTTACCTAAAGCGACATTGTTGCTAGCGGTGTTTATGTTTTAATTTGACTTATCTTTTGATTTTTCTCTTTAAGGTAGGATAATTCTCCTTCTCTATCACTAAATTCACAAATTAACCTTAACTGCCATGAGAGTATTATTTCTGCCTTAAAGCAGTTTCCTTATTAGAGATGTGTATTTTAGATAGATTTTACAAATTGCATGGACTCCACATACTTTATTTTTGTGATAATAAAATTAAATGTTATTAGGAAGAACATCTTTCCTACTATATTCTTACTCTATCTTTTAATGCGGTATTTCTTATAAGGCATATCTTTCAAATATTTAAATTGGATTATTAATTTATCCTTATAGCTCAGGGGCAGAGTTTAAATTTATATGCAAATGTCACCACTTCTAAACGTCTGAATTCATCTAGTTTGTTGAAGTGTGACTTTGCATCTCAGTCACAAGTGTGCATATAATCCCCTGGAAGAGAAATGACTTTCTCCAGATATCTTTAGTATAATAACTGAACAGGAATATTTGAATACTTAGAAATGTGTAAGATCTATTTTATAATTCCACAAATATTTCATACGAGAAAACCTTGCAATATGCATTATCATTCACTTTCAAGTTGATATCATAAATATCAAGATTAAGCCAAATAAATATCTCCTTGAACTTATGGTCAAGCACTAATAAAATTAAAATTACAAAATATGCATAAAATAACATGTAAACAAAAAGAGTATTTTGACATAATCCCTTGCTGAAAAAAATATATGTACAAGTTGATTCAGTCTTATTTTGAAATAGCACCAAAAATAAAAATCGTGCACCCTATGTTAACCTACTTTTTAACAACAATTATTTATACAAACTTATCATTCATATAGTGCTTAATAGTCTTTTTGGGTCTTCAGAAAGATTGAGAGCAGTTTAATGCATCTCCTTTTCTAACCTTAATATGATCACAGTGTGTTATTAAATCATCCCTAATGGTTCTGTTTTTCAAGCGAAGTGCATCCAGAATTTTTTTTATAATAAATTTTTCCTGCAGGTCAAACTGCCTCAACCACTGGGCTATGGAATCATTCCAGGGCAAGGACCAGGTCTTGTTTATCGTCAGCCTGTTTCTCACAACTCATACCATCACCTACATTTATAGTAGACACTCAATAAATGTTTGTGGAATGAAAGATTTCCAAATCAAAATTAGTACATCACTTAGTCCCAATCATGTATTGGGAAAGGCACTAGAAATAAACATAATTAAATACAATCTTTACAACTAGAGGGATTTCAGACACGGACAGAGCATGTTTAGAAACAAAGTAATAAAAGAAATCGTGAAATAGTATACAAGTCCCAGTGGAGTTCAAAGAAGGGAAAGAAACGTCAATCTCAGAAAGCTGAAAATGACTTGAAAGATAAAAAGTAAGGTAGACTCTGCAATAGGATCATGTGGGACCTGAAGTGGAAGAATTGTAATATTCAATAACCTGGAGCCATGGAATAGGCAGCAGTTTTCCATGAAATGCAAGTAATTGAGTATTTGTAATGACCCCAGGACAAGGGAAGTTTATGTCGGTGTAGGCCTGAGTGTGGCATGGAAACTCATGGCTGGTCAGGCATTCTCACAGCACGCACCTTATCACCTTTCTGTGTCTCCACGGCTGTGAAATGCCACTTCTGTTTTAAACTTACATTTGTATATATACTTGCTTTATCTTTATGTTTGTATGTATTTGGCCCTAGGTTTTGGATTTTGCATTACACTTAATCAATTCATTGTCTATCCTTATGCTATTATACACATATTAATTCTTCTAGATTTATAATTAATTGGATTTGATTGTATGGTGAGACTTCTTTGTTATTTTCTGTTTTCAATGATTTGCTGAGTGAAGAGGTGTGGGAATGAATTTGGTTTGCAGAGGATGGGGAGAGATGGAACAACTGCTATAGGGTATAGAGAGAGTTTCTACATAAGCTTACATAACAATTTTGCTGGCCAGGATTGAATGAGACCGAATTGAGACCCTAGCCATGAATCTGAAAATGCCTTACCCTTAAGCCATGTGGCTATTTCCCTCAGCCCTCAGAATTCCAGATGTAGAACTGAAAAGGCAAATGGTAACATGTATCCAACCATGAGTTGTGGAAGTTTTGAATGTTAGCAAGAAAGTGGCTGCATCCTTGGGCCATTGGCTTAAAGCTTCTATGAGTGTAAATAAATTCACAGTTGAGGTATTGTACTTGGTTAACAAAAGGAAACATCTGTATTTACAAAATAGAAAGACTAAGAGTAAGGCAGTGGAAAAGAGGAGAGATAATGCTAAGAGAAAGGAATATTTCAGAATTAGTTTTCAGTGTTAAAGACGTTCCTAGTAAGGAAAACATAAAAGTGTGGCCATGAAGGTCCATGAAAAAGTGAATTAAATATGTTAGTCTAGGAATTAAACAGGTCTAAAAAATCAGAGGTTAGAATGTTACAAGTTCTTTCTTCAAAGATGTTGAAACCCCACCCCGCCTCCGCCACCCCGCTGTAGTGAGAGATTTTATTCTGAAACATGGGACTGAGGTCCCTGTTTTGTTCTCTTTCTTTGTTTGTTAGGCAGGAAATGTGATAAGCAATGCATCCAGGAAATCCTAGATAAGAGAAGTGAGGGAGGAAAGAATTGGGATGAGAAGAATTGTGGCAGTTGCGGTTATCTCTGGAATTACCTGAGCTGTTTGCACAGCTTCATGCTGGATATGATGAAGATTCTGAAAAAGATTATTTGGATTGCTGAATACGTACTTAACAAAAGAATTCCATCTAGTTTGCTAGAGTCAATCATGATTACACAAGTAACATATAGTGAGGTTGTAATAATGACCTCCAATACTTAATGGTTAAGAAATCCTTGGCTTACTTTTTTTTCAAGGTATTATTACTTAGCTGCTATTTCTGTGTCATGTTTTCTTCACTCATGCCATTCTAAGCTGGGGTGATATCACCATGTATCTGGGCCCTGCTCTCCAACTCTCTGTATGTACTTAATCAAATAATTTATATGTTAGAAATGGATCAATTTTATTTTAAAGGGTCTTTAATTTCTTTCTTATATTCTGCCAAATCCTCACCAGTGGTTACTCAAAATTAAACTAAGATGCTCTTGGTGTGCTCCAGTCTCCAGTGACAGCACTTATGGGAGCATATCTGTCCCTCTCACTTCTGCTCTTGCTGTGCCATGGGGAGGCTGTATTTAGATTTTGTAAGTGCACACATAAGGCGGCACTGTGGTTTTTGGCAGCACTACCAAACACGCTCCGTGGCTTGGGAGTTTATTGTGCTGTTTTATCCCTACCAGCAATCATTCTGGCTGATACTGCACATATTTGGCACTCACTGAATTCCTGTGACTTTATTCCCATTTTGTTTATTTAATCTTCTCTGTGATATTGTGGTTGTGGGCCACAAAGTGTTAGAGGAGGAAGGAAAAGTGAGACCACTTTGCTTTGGCTGGAATATATCAGTTGAGGCTGGCAGAATTTCTGTGAGTAAAAACAAAATATGTTTATCTTTATTTTTATGACTTCACTAGCTTAGCAACTGGACAAATTTCATTCCAAATTCCTGTTGTAAAGCACTTTGCTGTTCATCAAGCAAACGTGAAGTACGTCTTCTGTGCACAACCCTCTTTTCTGGGTTTCCAAACTAAAAGCTCATGCTGCACCCAAGAGTTATATGGACTTTGGATTTTGCCTCGCAGGCTTGCTTACACTTTTTAAAAATTGGTGGTTTATTTATGAATACATAAGTGCACCCAGATAACTAGCTTGGAGCTTAGCCTTATGTCGGAAGACAGACTTATTTCAAGGGAAGAGCAGGGAATAATTTTTTCTGTAAATAAGTAAGCTGAAATGGTGTCTCATTTAATTCAATTTGTTCATGGATTTATTGGATGTTTATCTTTTTTGTGAACTGCTTCTTTTTAAACTAATTTAAAAATATTTTTGCAGAATTAAAATTTTAATATTTTTTGGCATTATGTTCATCGCAAATGTCATCATATTTTATCAAGATTTTAAGATGAATAATCAATTAAAGGACATTTTATAGGCTTTTGTCATTCAAAAATTTCAAATTAATTTTACAAGCCATTGAAATTAAAAATAGGGCATACTCAAAATGGATCAAAGACTTAAGAATGAAAACCATAAAATGCCTTCGTGTGTATACTCAGTAATAGGACTGCTAGTAGAATGGTATTTCTCTCTTTAGGTCTTTAAGAAATCTCCACACTGTCTTCCACAATGATTGAACTAATTTACACTCCCAAATGTGTATAAGCATTCCTATTTCTCCACAACCTTTCCAGGATCTGTTTTTTTATTTTTATTTTATTTTTTAACAGCCATTCTGACTCGTGTGAGATGATATCTCATTGTGGTTTTGATTTGGATTTCTCTGATGATGTTGTAGCAAAGACATGGAATCAACCTAAATGCCCATCAATGATAGACTGGGTAAAGAAAATGTGGTACATATACACCATGGAATACTATGCAACCATAAAAAACAATGAGATCATGTCCTTTGCAGTCATGGATGAAGCTGGAGGCCATTATCCTTAGCAAACTAATGCCAGAACAGAAAACCAAATACCACATGTTCTCACTTATAAGTTTGAGCTAAGTCAGAGGGCGGAGGCTGGGAAGAGACTGAGGATCAGAAAAAATAACTAATGGTTGCTAGGTGTAATAGTTGGGTGATGAAACAATCTATATAACAAATTCCCATCACACATGTTTTCCTATGTAACAAACCTGCACACCCTGCACATGTGCACTTGAACTCCAAATAAAAGTTTTAAAAAATTGAATGTGTCAATAAAAATTGAAAACTATAAACTCTTAGAGAAAAACATGAGGGGGAAACCTCATGGCATTAGATTTGGCAACAATTTCTGGGTTATGACATCAAACAAGAGCATAGGTACTTCAGGAATAAGGTATTGCTTTTGGTTTCCTGTTTTTCTAAATAGAGGCAATCATATGTCAGGGAACCAGCAGGGAGATTCTGCCAGCTGCTGAGTGTATGTACTTCAGTTATGCATTCTGGACCTGGGGAAGTAACCACAGGATGGGCCTGGAACCACGTGAAATGGATCTGACCTACATCTCCATGGATCGCTTGCTTCCATGAGCCCTACTTTCACTAGAAGGCCACAGGGTTGTTTTGTGTCTTTGGGAATTAGTGTTAGGCAGGGCCAGTAATCAGTAGATCCTAAAAAGTCTGATTATTTCGTTTCTTCTAATTCACAGTTATTCCGGTAAAAGACCATAGGACCCTTTAGAGAAGGCTGCAGAAAATAAGATGGACACTATACATTTTTAGCAGTATAGCAAAATTCATTTTCAAGATGACCCAACCTCCCTTTCATTCAAGGGGTTCTCAGCCTGTAAACTGGCTCAAATATGAGCATTTAATGAGGGGCCAAACTCTCTATTTGAAAATTCAACTTAGAATTATGTTCCCATGACCTGTAACTTTTTTGCTTAAACACATTGAGTATGAATTCAGTAGGCTTCCTATCTATTTAACTTTAGGGACAGCATGATCAGCTAGCTGACACCATAGGGTTCTACAAGTCAGATGTTTCTGATTGCTGCTTTGATTCTAAACTCTGTTATGGTAATCACCCATCTTATCTTTGGTAATTAAATGTCACCTCTGGCCCCTGCCACTCCAGGATTCAGTTACCCTTATTATATTTATGGATTCCAGTTCAGTGAATAGCAGTTCCCATTGCAATTTCTGACCTACAGGGCAAAGCAACCACGAAGATCCTGAAGTTTTCTGGAGTACGGGGAATCTGATTCCTTGTTAAGAAGGGGTTAGAACCCAGAGAGTCAATTAGTTCCTCTAATTTTATTTCTTTTCCTTCAGAGAGCTGTGGTGAATCAGATAAAACTGCTCTGGCAACCTCTTCTACCAGATGATCTTGCTCTTTTTGAAATGGATCACTTTTTTTAGCTGGTAAAGACCCTCCAAATGCACTACTCTCTGTATTCTTTGCAACATCTGATAATGGAGAATTTTCCACTTCAAATTCTGGTATTTTCTTAGAAATTGCTTCATTTTTTTCTTTGGGAGTTCCCATCTTTGTGTCCTTTTCAAGTAGTGAAACACTGTTTCTATCTGATGATGAAACTGACTGCGACAAGAAAGAGGCAGGGCTGTTGGCTAGATCATGTAGAGCTCCCAAGGTATCACTGTCTCCTCTGCAACCATTTTCTTGGTTATGTTGCTTATGTGTATCTGGAAATGAAGCAGGATACTGACAAAGAATACTCTTTGCATACACTTCTTCTGAGGCAGGATCAAACGAAAGGGGAGACATTGGTGGTAAAAGATCTACAGATGGAGTCCAACCTTTAATTAGACTGAAAGGAGACAAACCAAGAAATTCTTTCCACTTTTTATGCCATTCTCCTTGCTTTTCAACAACAGAATGTCTTATAGTTGTGAGATCATCTTTTATTCTATACCTCATATGTTTCAGATCTGACAATCTTTCCTTCTGAAATTTGGTCTCTTTTTCAAGGTAGTGAAGGTCTACCGTCAATCTTGCTTGATCAGCCTGACAACGTTCATATTTCATCACCTTCAAGACTTCATTTAATAACTGAATAACTGTTAAGAGGTTCAGTTTTCCAGCCTCATAAACATTTCCTTTGTGCAACTGAAACATTTGTTTCTCAATTTTGTCAAGTAAGAGCCTTGGAATATTAATAGCAACATTAGTTCCATCTAAAGCATATTGGTTAACAAGACTAAGGACCGAACTAACAACTTCTCTCTCTTTTTCCAAAAACATGAGCGTTTCATTCACTGAAGCCCACAAAGACCGAACCTTTTGAATTTTTTCTTCTATGTTACTGTGGTCATCATAGGGTTCCATTTTCTTTATTTGGTTTTCCAATCCTATACATTCAGATGTCAAGTTTCGTATCTGCTTAACTGATAATTTTTAGAATTGGATTTAATATATTCCATTGCAACAAATCTTGCAAAATGATACATCAGATGAATAAACTTAGGACCACCAGGAGAAAGAAATAGTGAACCAACAACTTGAGGAAAGCTACTTCCACATTCACCAGAAATCCTTTTTATCCATTCACAGCAATGTTTTCGGAATTCAGTATCACTTTTTTGGTCAAATGGGGGCCAACAAAATTTGAAAACTTCTTTGGCGAGTGACTGGTCCAGAAACTCCGAGGTGCGTGTGCGACACGATCTTTCCGCAGGCAATGGTTGCTGGGCCTGGCTCGAAGCCGAGCGCCTGCAGATACATCCAGAGATGCTCCTTCTCGAAAGCGGTGACCGAGGCCGAGCTCATCCTCGCGGTAGGCACGGTGGCTACAAAGAAAAAAAGCGCAAGCCCCGGGGACTCGGAGGGCCCTCAAGATCCCTCCCTACGGTCAGCCTGAGGTCGCGGTGGTCCTTCCATTGCCAACGCCTGCTCCTTTCACGCCCAGAGCCATTTCACCTCAAAGGGCCTTACAACCTCCGGGAAACTGAGTTTCTAACGGTACAGTGCGGCCACCACTGCCTCAGCGAAGCCACTACAAACCGAGACTCCCGCCCTTGGAAGAAATCTTACTTTGTTATTTTGTATCAAAAAATCTTCATATGATGCTGAATTCTACTAATATTTTATTAAGACTTTTTCCATCTATATTTATGAATTATATTAGTCCATAATTTTATACTTTGGACTGTCATTGTCTGATTTTGGCATCTGCCTAATACCAGTTTCATAATATGAATTTCTATGTGTTTTCTTCTATTTTCTAAAGCATTGTAGAATTGTCATTTTCTTAAGTGTTTACAAATGTACTACAATTACAATAACTGATATTAGGGAATTTTTTACCAAGAAATTTATTTCTTTAATATTCACATGGTTACTCAAATTTTCTATTTCATATTGAACAAGTTGTGATAGCTTGTAGTTTTTTGAGGAATTAAACGAAGTTGTAAAAGTTATATATGTAGAGTTCTTTGTAGTATTCCCTATCCTTTTTAAGTCTGCAGAGCCAATAGTGATACCGTTTCTTTCATTCTGAATTTATAAATCTGTAATTTGTGTCTTCTCTCTTTCTTTAACTTTGTTGACCTATCTAGAGATTTGCCAAATGTATTGATCTTTTTAGCAAAAGCTCTCTGTTTCATTGACTTTCCTTTATTGTTTTCTGTATTCAAATCTGTTGATTTATCTTTATTATTTCCATCCATCTTTTATTTTTTCCTTTCTACAATTTTTGGGTGAGATCTTAAGTTACTGATTAAACATTTGTTCTCTATTTTAATGTACGTATTTAGTGCTGGAAATTTTCCTCTCAAACTGCTTTAGCTGTGTTATAATTTGGAAATGTTGTATTTTCATTCTTTTTTAGTGCAATGTACATTTTTATTTTCCTTGAGATTTTCTCTTTCACCCACGGATTATTTCGAAATTTGTTTACTTTTCAAATGTTTAGAGATTTTTCTTTTATCTTTCTGTTATTGATTTCTAATTTGAATTAATTGGGATCAGAGATCATAATGTCTATTATTTTCATTCTTAAAAATTCATTGAGGTTTGCTGTATAACCCAGGATATGGTATGTCTTTGTGGATGTTCTAAAATTCCAATGCCATGAATTTCTAGGTCTCTGTATGTCTCACAGATCTCTATTGTTCAGATTGGTCATTTTAATTGCTCTTTCTTCTGGTCTACTGATTTTTTCTTCTGTCCTCTCCACTCTGCTCTTGACTTCATCCACTGAAGATTTTTTTCAGTCATTTTATTTTGACTAAAATTTCTATATTTTTAGATCTCCTTTTTTGGTCAAAGTATTCAATGTGTTAGAAGATAATTTCTATTTTCTCATTGATTTAAAATGTATTCATAATTTCTTACTAAAGATTTTATGATATCTGCTTTAAAATTCTTGAGACATATTTCCAGCATCTTTGTAATTTTGGTGGTGGCATCTGTAACTGTCATTTTTCATTCTGTTTAAGGTCATGCTGTTCTTGGTATAATGAGAAATTTTCTGTTGAGACCATGCATTTAACATCTCACTCTGTTTAGGTCAAGCTCATGAGTGTGACATGATTAGCCAGTTATTCTTATTTCTGATGCACAAAGTTGAGAAAGAAAAGGATGGGCTTAGAAATTCAAATTCTTAGCTCAAGAACTGCACAGATGACCTGAAAGTTTCTATGTATGTTTTGAAAGAAATTTTTATCTCCTGCAGTCACACAGCTGAGATCTTGGAAAAACAAACCCACAGTCTCATCCTGTGAGTGGCAGAATTACAATGGAAATAGAATCCCCAGCCTCTCAAGGTATCTGCTCTTAAAGTGGTTGCATTGATTGTAAAGTGATGAAATCCTGAAAATTGACATTGTGACATGTGTGTAGATCCAGATGAAGGAGAGGACAACTATCCTTTAAATTCACCCAAGTCTTCTTTGCCAGTAGAAGCTACCACTCCACTCCTGTAAAGGTTAATCCTTCTGTGCCTGATGAGCCTATAATGGCCTTTGCTGGAGGATTTTCCATGCAAGACAGTGCGATTCTCCTCAGGACCCATCCATACCATGCTGCTTTGCTTCTAGACCTACAACTGGACTCAGTCCCAGTAAGTCCTAAAAAGACTCATGAAAAGATTTGCTACACTCCAAAATAACTGCATGGCTTTTGCAATTTACCCAAGCAGAAATCTAGGGAATAGGTGTGGGAATGGAAATCAAGGGTGTAGAATAGTGGTGGAAAGAACACAAAGTTGAATCAGGCCAAACTTATTGATATGAGCCCACGAAGCAGAGATTCTGGATTTAATGTTGTAGCTTTCGAGGTCAGAAATAACTCAATTAATTTGTTTGCTTGATTGGCTAAAACATGGACTAAAAGGTGGCCAACACTAAATGACATTAAATGCCAGAACTGTCTTGGTATACTGTAGAGGAAGGTATTGAAAGGCTTAGTGAGATTAGAAGAGTAGATTTCTCATGTGATGCCTGGTTACTTGCCCTGGAAGGATCCAGAGGACATATTTTTTTTTCCACGTCTGTGAGGAATAAGGGTGAGATGGGAGTCCCTTATACCCTTATTCTCAGAGGGAAGGGAAGCTGAAAACGGTACACGACAGGAAGGCAATCTTCCCCTGAAGTCCGGCCAGCTCCAGTCAGATTCTTCTCTGAAGTTATGTCATCAAGTTGTGCCTTTGAAGTCAAGCCCCTTCTCTCTGACATCCAGCTGCTTCTCCCCTCTCTGCCAGCTGAGTCTGAGGTTTTTATAGAAATAGGATGGGATGGGGTGGGGTGGGGCCATGGGTGTTTTGGAAAAGGCAATATTGGCACAGGAAAACAGGGATGGAAGTTTTCACTTTGGGCCACAGTTTCAGGCTCGAGAGTGGGGTTTTGTCCGAGACCCGCCCTTTTCTGCCTAGAATTTATTTGCCTCCTGTCTCTATGTCACTACCTTAGGGACACCTTGGCAAGGCTTTGTTTCCCATCCACATGTCTGTGGTCATTAGTCCCAAAGATTGTTGGATCTGGATGCAGTGTTTGCTCTGAAGCAGCCCTTAAACTTCAGTCTTCCTTTCCTTGCTCTTCTGATCTCCGAACTTACTTTATTTGTTCCTTGGCAAATATTGGCACTTTCTCATGAGGTCAACAATGCATTTAATCTTAAGTTTATGATAGAATATTTAGTATTTCTGTAGTTTCATAGCAGGCAATATTTCCAATGATTTCCTCTGCCTAACTGCCAGATGTAGTACTTCTAGGATCTTTTTTAGCTTTTGTTGACAATCTGTAGGAAGGTCTTTATTTTGCTGACTAAAATTATTAAATATTTTTTCATATATTGCTATTTGCTATGGCCTGAATGTTTGCATCCTCCAAAAGCCATGTATTAAAACCCTCGAGAACAGACTGCAGAGAGGGACCTGGCCCTTCTGCCATGTAAGGACATAGTGAGAAGATGGCCGGCTTTAAAAAGGAAATGGGTTCTCACCAGACACTGAATCTTCCGTGACTTGATCTTGTACTCACCAGTCTCCAGAACTGTGAAAAACAAATTTCTGTTCTTTATAGTCTACACAGTTTATACTATTTTGTTATAGCATGCCCAAGTAGATTAAAACACAATTAAACTGCATCTTCCACGACTTATAGCTATTTGTTATTTTGTTGGAGAGTAATTTGGTTAATCATTTTATTGTCTTCTTTGCTGTATCATATTTTCCTCTCACGACTTACTGTTATTCTTCTGGTGATGATTTCATATGGCCTTGCTGTCATGTTGACCAAAACATTCTACACATCAGTACCTCAGAATTTATTTTTAACAATGTGCAATGAATCTTCTTGTTGGAGCAAGTTTTCACCACCTATCTTAGTTCTATGGGACATCTCTAGTATGAGTGAAAATTTGAGTCATTTGGTGCATGGATTTGAAATAATCTAAGAAATTTATACTTCATATGCATGATACATTGTTGTTTGTTGCCTTAAAACCTATTACATTTTTGTATTTTAATTAATCTACACAAAAGTTTTCTCCTGTCATTAAGCAAATTCCAGCCCCAATGCCAGAGATATCGAGTCATGATGCTGAAGTGTAGATTTCATATCTCTAGATTTAACAAGCACTGCCTGTGATTCTGATGCAGGTCTTCTCAGGTTCATTTCTTAAGAAATATTACCAATATCAAACCTCCAGGAAGTTACTTATAACTTGCTACAAAATGCAGATTCACATGGAAACTCCTCTGTACATAACTACTTGAATGAAGGGACCCTCAGGGTTTTATAAACAGGGTCATGTTTCTTTAGGAGCAGTTATCCACCAGCACCAGCCTATTTGGAAGTGTGTTTCATCACCCCAGGACCACCAAAGACAGAGCCTGGCCTCCATAAAGATAGTCCATTTGGTCTAGTGGAGAGAGAATCCAATTTGTCTCTTCATAGGAAGACCAAAAAATAAAGGTTAAGAAAAAGGGAGCTTTGACCCAGATTCCTGGGCTCAAAGGCTAGCATTATTTTACTATCCATCAATTTAGGACATTCACTTGACTGTTATAAGTTGGCCATTGCCCTACTTGTAAAATGAGATAAGAAAATGACCTAAATCCTAGGTTACTAGAGAGGTTTAAGTTAGGTAACATAAGCATTTATAAAGTACAGAATTTTCAGCTTGTTACAGAGGAGATAATCCCCAAACATTAGCTAGTAGGATGGCACCGCTCAAGTAACATGTTATCTATAATAGAAATAAAGATTTTAAATCCATTTCTCAACTATCTAATTAACTCTCTCTTTAATGCGTTGGTTAATTTGTCTGCTGCCTCAGACGTAGATGGCTGCCAAAATGGGCGCACATTGTTTCAGAACTGAAAGCTTTCTGGGAAGTCCCTGAAAACTTTTGAAGGTCTTCTCTGACAACAGAGAAATTTTCTGCAGGAGAACCATAAACATCTCTGATGTCTTTCTCAGTAGGAGTTGGAAGGTATTTAAACCCAGTAACCACAAAGGATCTCATATGTAGCTTCAATCTCTGGTCTTCTGAACCAACATAGGGAACTAAAATAATTCACCAAACTGTAACTTTGGGTAATATTGCCAGAAAAAGGAAATGTGGAGAAAAATATTTATTTCAGTATTTGACACAATCTGAGGCCTACCCTAGATTCTTGATTTCCCCAAATGTCATCTAGGTGATCATCAATAAGGTAACTCATGTCTTATTGGACAGAATAGCTAAGTGGTAAAAAACAGAAACAAACAAACGATGACAAAAAAACCCAACTAATTCAGCACCCGTAACTTACAAGAAACAATTATGAACTCACAACTAGTGCTGGTCAATTTATGGTACCTACTTTTGTCCCCATCCTGTATCAACTTTTTATAACTTGACTTATCATAACATCATTAAATGCATATAATTAATATGTACAATTTGATGAATATTAATATGTGTAAACCTATAATACCATCACAATAAAGATAATAAATATTTCTTTCACTCCCAAAAGTTTTCTCCCTCTCTTCTGCATTTCTTCCTTACCTGCCCCCACCCAGCTCCTACTCTGAAACAACCATTGCTCTGCCTTTTGTCACTACAGATTATTTTGTATTTAATGAAATTTTGTATAAATGAAAATATGTAATAAAGACTCCATTTTCTGATCTTTTTTTTTTTTTTGAGACAGAGTCTTGCTCTGTTATCCAGGTTGGAGTGCAATGGCACCATCTTTGCTTACTGCAACCTCCGCCTCCCAGGTGCAAGCGATTCTCCCGCCTCAGCCTCCCAAGTAGCTGGGATTACAGGCACATGCCACCACACCTGGCTAATTTTTGTATTTTTAGTAGAGATGGGGTTTCATCATGTTGGCCAGATTGGTCTCAAACTCCTGACCTCAAGTAATCAGCCCACCTCGGCCTTTCAAAGTGTTGGGATTACAGGCATGAGCCACTGCGCCCAGCCTGATCTACCTTTCTTTCACTTACTGTTTATCTTATTTTCATACTCATATATGGTTTTTGCATCTATCAATAATTTGCTATTTATTCCAGTATACCATACTGTGATGCTTATGGTACCTTTTATTTACTGTACACCTTATTATACTCTGTTTGTTTATCCATTTACCTGTTATTGAACATTTAATTTGTTGAAAGTATTTGACTCTTGAAAATGTAGCTGTTGTGAGTTCATGTACTAGTTGTTCCCTGCTTATACACTTTCGTATCTCTTGGATTTCTCCTACGAGTGGAATGCAGAGGTTACATGGTAGATGTATGTTTAACTTTTTTAACAAGTCATCAAACCCTTTGCAACAGTAGTTCTACCATTTTGTGTAGACTAGTTCAAGTTGTTCTATATTCTTAGCAACCCTTGCTATGTCCAAACTTTTAAATCTAACCATTCTAGTAGGTGTGTAGTTGAAGACCACTTAGTTTTATTTTGCAGTTTCTTAATAATGAATGATGTTTAAACATTTTTTTTTGACACAGGGTCTTTCTCTGTCACCCAGGCTCAAGTGCAGTGGCAGGATCATGGCTGAGGTGCAGCCTCAACCTCCTTGGGCCCAGGTGGTCCGCCCACCTCAACCTCCCAATTAGCTGGGACCAGAGACATGCACCACCATGCTTGGCTGAATTTTATTTTATTTTATTTTATTTATTTATTTTTTTTTTGTAGAGACAGAGTCTCATAATGTTGCCCAGGCTGGTCTTGAAGTCTTGGGCTCAAGTGATCCCCAAATCTCAGCCTGCCAAAGTGTTAGGATTACAGGGGTGAGCCACCACACCCAGCCTGAACATCTTTTAATGTGCTTTGTTGCCATCCATATATTTTATTTTGTGAAATGTCTGTTCAACTGTTTCCTTTTTTGTCAATTGGGTGATTTCACTTTGTATTTTTGAGATATATGTGTTTCTAATATGTTCTAGATAAAGAGTCTTATTTGGATATATATGTTAAAAATATTTTCTCACAAACTGTGTTTACCTTTTCACTTTTTTGACTATGCCTTTTGACAAATTCAATTTCTCTATGTTGTTCCACTTGTGTTTCATTACATTTTGGCCCATTTGAGAAATCTTTGCATAGTCAAATGTCACTAATGTTTTCTCTTTAGTTTCTTTTTAGTATATTTCTGCTCTTGAGTTTAGTCTGTGATGCATTTTGATGAAAAACAAGCTTTTTATTTGGTATACATTGTCACAGCAGGATTTGTTGATAAAAATATAATTTTACTTATTAAATTGCCTTGTCATCTTTGTTGAAAATTAATTGGAAATCTGTGTTGGAGTCTATTTCTGAATTCTTTATTCTGTTCGCTTATCAGCATGACTATCTGTATAACAAAACCATACCGTTGTGCTTACTGTACTTTTACAATAAGTATTAAAATATGGTAGTGTATGCTCCTCATCATTGTTATTTATCAAAGTTGTTTTGGATATTTTAGGTCTCTTTTTATATATATAAATGTTGTTATCTGCTTGTCTATATAAAAAATGCATACTGAGATTTTAGTTGGCCTCACCTTGAAATTATAGATAAATTTGAGGAAAATTAAGGAATCTTAAAGGTATTAAACACTTTAATCCATGAGTATGGTATATCTTTCCATCTATTAAATTAAAAAATAATACAGCAATGCATTTCAGCTGTTTTTTTTTTTTGTTTTGTTTTGTTTTTTTTTGAGACGGAGTCTTGCTCTGTCACTCCAGCTGGAGTGCAGTGGTGCGATCTCCGCTCACTGCAAGCTCTGCCTCCCGGGTTCACGCCATTCTCCTGCCTCAGCCTCCAGAGTAGCTGGGACCACAGGTGCCCACTACCACGCCTGGCTAATTTTTTGTATTTTTATTAGAGATGGGGTTTCACCATTGTTAGTCAGGATGGTCTCGATTCCAGCTTTTAATAAAACTGAAATTTTGTTGTCAAATTTATCCCTAAGTAATTCATATTTTTATGACACTGTAAATTATTTTCTTTTACAATTATTTTCTAAAATTTCATTATTAATAGATAGAAATACATGGATTTGTTATATCTACCTAATTTCCTGTAAACATGCTGAATATGTTTATTAATAGCTTATTTTCCTAGATCACATAGGATTTGTTACATACACAATCATATATCTTTTAAAAATAAGCCATTTCTTATTTTTTCACAGTGGCTAGAACTGAAATTGCAACATTAAATATAAGTGATAAAAGAAGACATATTAGGTTGGTGCTAAAGTAATTGCTGTTTTTTTCAATTGGAAGTAATTGCAAGAACCACAATTACTTTTGCACCAACCTAATACTTACCTCGTTTCTTATCTTAGAAAGAAAACATTTTGTCTTTCATTATTAATTACGAAGTAATCTATAGGTTTTTATAGATGCTCTTTTTACATTGAGGAAATTCCTTTATATATCCATTTTACTGAGTTCATATATATGTATATATAATGATGTTAATTTTTGGCTAATAGTTTTCTTGTATTTGTTAAAATACTCTTATTTCCTTTTAGGTTACTAATATGGACATTACATTTAACTGACTGACTTTTTAATGCCACTCCAAACTTGCATTTCAGGGTTGAACCACACTTGAGCATCATATATCATCCCTTTATGTATTGTTGGACCTGTCATATTAAATTTTGTGATGATTTTTAAATCTATGTTTGTAACAGATATTGATCAGTAGTTTTCATTTTTTAAATTTCTTTGGTTTGGTATCAAGGTAACGCGGGCTTCCAGATGCATTGGGAAATGTTTTCTGTTTTCTGGAAGAGATTGTGTAGAATTGATATTATTTCTTATACATATTTTGAAAGAATCCAAAAGCAAAGATCATAAGTTTGGCTTTATGAAAAGTTTTTAATTACAGGTTTAATATATTTATGTTAAAGAGTTATTCAGGTTATCTATTTTGTAAGTTTTGGTGAATTTTGTCTTTCAAGGAATGTTTCTATTACATCAAAAGTTTATAATTTATTGTAATTGTTTCCTCAGAATTTACTTGTTATTCTTTTAATGTCTGTAGGATCAGTCATGATGTTCCTCTTTTTTGTACCTTCTATAGATAATTTGTGACCTTATTCCCTTAGACTTTGTTATTTTTTTTTCTAATTTCCCTTTTGATTTCTTCTTTGACCCACAACAAAACATAGAAATGTGTTGTGTATTTTATACTTAGTGATTTTAAAGGTGTCTTTCTGTTATTGATACTTAGTTTAATTGTATTAAAATCAAAGAATATAGCTTTATGTGTTTAATTATTTTAAGTTTATTGAGAATAGACTTAAACCCAAAAATGCATTCTATTTGGGGACATTTTCATATGCACTTCAAATTCAGGTGTATTGAGCCTTTTGTGTGTGGAATGTAAAATGTTCAAGCTGACTGACAGTTTTGTTCAAGTCTTGTATATCTTGACAAATATTCCTACTGATGTAAATTAGTATGAGTGGACTGTTGAAATTCAAAATCTCATTATAAATTTGTCCTTTTTTCTTTTATTTTCAATTTTTTATTTAATACACATTGAAGATCTCTATTTAAGTAAATACATATTTGTGGCTCTTCTATTAATGTTAGTTAATGAAATTTTTTAGACAAGTTAAAAATATGAGTCTGAACATTTTAATTACAAGGTAGCTAGCTTCTTGGTCATATTTGTATATGCTGAAAATTGATGTCACCTATAATATATGACTATTTCTAAAAGTATAGAACCAATTTCCTCCTTTGACCACTTAACAAAACTATGTATTTTAGTTCCTATTAGTCAGCTTCAAAGAATCAAAGAACTTTTGAAGAAATTTACCTTTTTCAGCAATTAGAAAGCACAAAGAAGACTAATCAACTTTCCAACTATTGTTTCAACTAATCTGGCTTCTGCATTATCATTAGCCACCTTTCAGAAATAAAATACTGTCCGAAAATTATTTTCAATCTCATTTCATTTCAAGAAGTCATCCAACTTTCTAATACTGTCTGTGGGATTTATTTTCCTCTTCTATATTCATGAATCTTGAGGATGAAGGTGGGCAGTTTCTTCCTCCTTCAACTGAGAGTTAAATTAGCATGTTCAGAGATTTGAACTACACATTCAGTTCTATGCTGGGATACAAACTCAAAAGTCTTTTCTGAAAACAGTGGAGATCCATATCCTTAGAAAAAGATAATGTGGAGATGCATTCACTATTTTATATGATCTTTATTTTTTTATTTTTATTTTTTCTTTTTGAGATGGAGTCTCGCTCTGTCACCAGGCTGGAGTGCAGTGGCATGATCTCGGCTCACTGCAACCTCCGCCTCCTGGGTTCAAGCGATTCCCCTGCCTCAGCCTCCCGAGTAGCTGGGATTACAGGCGCCTGCCACCATGCCTGGCTAATTTTTGTACTTTTAGTAGAGGCGGGGTTTCATCATGTTGGCCAGGATGATCTCAATCTCTTGACCTCGTGATCTGCCCGCCTCAGCCTCCCAAAGTGCTGGATGGCCATGATCTTTATTTTTAAACCTTTTCTTCTGGTGCACAATACAGTATTGTTCACCACAGGTACAAAGTTGTACAGCAGAGCTCCCAAATATTTTGATCTTTTGTAACTGAAACTTTATATCCTTGAACAGCAACTCTTCATTCTCTACTCCCCCAGCCCCTGGCCACCACCATTCTACTCCTTATTTCTATGAGTTCGACTATTTTGGAAATCTCATCTAAGTGGAATCATGAAGTATTTGTTCTTCTATATCTGGCTTTTTCATTAGCGTAACATCTTCCAGGTTCATCCATGTTTTTGCAAATGGCAAGATATCATTCCTTTTTAGGGTGATGCTTATTCCATTGTATGTATATGATGCATTTCAAAAATGTATTCACCCCTCATGGAAATGTAGGTTATTGTCATAACTTGGCTATCTTGAATACTCTTACAATGGACAGGAGAGTGCAGTTATCTCCTTGAGATATGGACATATCTTATGGACATATACCCTATAGTAGGATCGGTGGATCATAAAGTAGATCTATTTTTAATTTTTAGGGAATATTCATACTGTTTTCCATTGCAGCTGAAACATTTTAAACTTCTACATAGTGTGCAAAGGTTCCAATTAACTTACATCTTTGCCAACGCTTGTTGATCAGTGGTGTTGAATATTTGTCTGTATATCTACTGGCCATTTTCATGGATTTTTTGGAAAACTGTCTTTTCAAGTCCATGACCCATTTTAAAATCAGGTTATTATTATCATATTATTGTTATTATTGCAACTATGTTGTAAGAATATCTTGTGTATTTTATATATTAACCCCATAATAGATATATGATTTGCAAATATTGTCTGGGTTGACTTCCCTCTGCCTATTGTTTCCTTTGATGTGCAGAAGCTTTTTCATTTGATGTAATCCCCTTTGTCTATTTTTGTTTTCCTGCTTGTGCTTTTGGTGTAAAATCCAAAAAGTCACTTCCAAGACCAATGTCATGAAGTTTGCTTTCAATGTTTTCTTCAAAGAGTTTTATAATTTTGGCTCTTACATTTAAGTTTTTAATTTTTTGTGTTAGTTTTTGTGCGTGGTGCAAGATAAAGGTTTAACTTCATTACTTTGCATGTGGATATCCAGTTTTCCCAACACCATTTGTGGAAGAGACTACCTTTTTTTTTTTTTTTTTTTTTTGAGACAGAGTCTCACTCTGTCACCCAGGCTGGGGTGCAGTGGCACAGTCTCAGCTCACTGCAACCATGGCTTCCCAGGTTCAGGCGATTCTCCTGCCTCAGCCTCCTGAGTAGTTAGGATTACTGGAATCCACCACCATGCCCAGCTAATTTTTGTATTTTTAGTAGAGACGGGATTTCACCATATTGGCCAGGCTGGTCTTGAGCTCCTGACCTCAGGTGATCCATCTACCTTGGCTTTCCAGACTGCTAGGATTACAGGCATGAGCCGCCACACCCAGCCAGGAAGAGACTACTTTTTCTGTATTGTGTTTTTTTAGTATTCTTGTTGAAGATTAGCTGGCCATATATGCATGCATTGATCTCTGGATTTCCTAAATATTAGAGCAGAAATAAATAAAATAGAGAATATAAAAACAATAGGAAAAAATCAACAAATCTGAAGGTTGGTTTTTTAATAAAAATCAATGAAGTTGACAAATATTTAGCTGGGATTACTAAGAAAAATGGAAAAGACCCAAAAAATAAAGTCAAAAATGAAAGAAAAATCTTTATAACATGGAAGTAAAAAGGATCATAAGAGAGTATTATGAACAATTATACACTAAAAATTAAATAACTTAGAAAAAATGAATAAATACCTAAAAATATGCAACCTACCAAAACTAAATTGAGAAAAAAAGAAAATATAAATAGACCAACAGTGAGTAGAGACTGAATCTGTAATTAAAAACTGTTCAAAAAAGAAAAGCCATGTCAGGTGACTTCACTAGTGAATTATACCAAACATTCAAAGAATGAACAATATTTTTTCCTAACTCTTGCACAAAATGAAGAAAACTTCTAGATTCATTTTATGAGGCCATCATTAATCATTACCCTGGTATCATTACTCTGAAGTCACACAAGACACTACAAGGAAATAAACTGCAAGGCAATATCCCTAGTGAACGTAGATGCAAAAATTATCAACAAAATGCTAGCAAACCAAGTTCAATACCACATTAAAAGGATAATGCTTGACCACCAAATGAGATTTATTTCTGGAAGCAAGGATGACTCAACATATAAATATTAATTGATATGATATATCACATTAACAGAATAAAGGATAAAAATCACATGATTATTTCAATAAATGCAGAAAAACGTTTGATAAAATTCAACACTCTTTCATAATAAAGTCTTAACAAACTGATTGCAGAAGAAATTTATCTCAACATAATAAAGACTATTTATGAAAAGTCCACATGGTATTCAAAGGTGAAAATCTTCAACTTTTCCTCCAATATCAGAAATAAGATAAATGTTGCACACTCTCTCCGCTTCTATTCATCAAAGTACTAGAAGATCTATCCAGAGAAATTAGATAATAAAAATAGAAAAACACATTTGAATCAGAAAAAAAGAAATATTATAGCTTTGCTTACAGATGATATTATCTTATATGGAGAAACCTTAAAAATTACACAAAGAAATTGTTAGAACTAATAATTAAATCAAATCCAGGAAACTCTCAGGACATCAAAATCAATTACATTTCTATACATTAATAGTGAACTATCCAGAAAAGAAAGTAGAGAGGCAATCCTATTTATAACAGCATTACAAACAGTAAAATACTCAGGAATAAACTTAACCAAATAGGTAAAAGACATATACTGAAAACTACAACACATCGATGAAGGAAATTAAATATGCAAACAAATAAAAAATATATTTTATGTTCATAGACTGGAAAACTTTGTATTGTTAAAATGTCCATATTACCAAAAGTGATCTAAAGATTCAATGCAATCGCTAAGAAAATCTCAATGGCATTGTTTTTTACATAAGTAGAAAGAATAGTTCTAAAATTCGTGCAAAGCAACAAAAGAACCTCTAGTAGCCAAAGCAATATTGAGAAGGAATAAAGCTGGGGGTATTACATTTTCTGATTTCAGAATATATTACAGACTCACAGTAATTAAAACTGTATGGCTTCATTTGTGCTTTAATGGCTTAAAAATTATAAGAACAACTGGGATACAACATTCATTTGAAACAATTGAGAGCTACAATTCAGAGGAGTATCAAATTTATTAAAGATTGAATATAGAAGTAAAATCACAAATTTGCAAGTATTATATTTACCATATTTTATAATCCTAGAGGTTGAAAAGACTAAGTTTGAAAAAATTTTTTAAAACTGTATAGTCATAGATTGTAAAATTTCTAATATTATACTAGTGTTTATTCTAAATAATGTAAAAAGGTAAATGACTAGCTCGTAGAATACGCATTACATAGTAAAAACAATGGTTAATAATATGTGAGAAAAATTTTATTATTTTATTAATAAATTAGGAAAAGAAATTAAAAGTTTTAACTTGAGTAACAGTCATAAATCAGAAATTTATACTAGAAGATATATGAGAATAAAAAAGTTTTTAAAAGATGTTCACTACAAATAAATAAATAAATAAATAAATAATTATATACGTATTTTATTGCATTACATTATATTTTACTGCCTATAATTTTTTTAAATGTTTAAAATAAAACATACATCTGACCACAATTAGTTTGGGTTCTGATATGGGGAGCCAGGCACTCTTGGTCAGAGTATAACGGTTACAACTATATTATAGGATAATTTGTTTTAATTAGAAGCATTGATAAATTTAACTCTGCAAGCAAGCCAATAGATACACAGTGAAAAACATAAGTAGGAATCTCACAATAGAAAACTGAGCAAACAAACATAGTAAAGTGCCAGGAAAAATGAAAGAATGACAGGACTTCACCATCCTAAATTATTTAAACATTTTAAAAATGACACTATTTTGTTTTTACGAAAAGTGGAAGAAAAACCCACTTAAAAAGAGCTGGTAAAAGTACTAATTTGTATGCACCATTGGAAACACGTTCTCGCCATAAAATAAATTTTAAATAGACATATCTTGTAATATAACAATGCTACTCCTGGATATATAAATTTAAGCAGTGATTCTTAAATTAACTTTAGTGAAGGACTATTTATTTTCCAGTCTTTCAGGAGAAAATACTTTTATAAAATGCAATGAAAAGAATTCCTTGATACTGAAAATTAAAAATATATCACTAAATAGCCAAAAGTCATAAAATCATTCTAATAGGTTGCTACAAGCTTTTCTAAATGATTACTCTCACTTTATGTATTCACACTGTTGTAGACTGATCACCATTTCAGACTCTCCTTAGTCTGCAGATGGTACCTTCAGTGGTACGGCATACCTTGCACATATACACCAGGATCCTTGAAAAAAATTCATTGATGCACTGTTCAAATAGCAAAATACCAAAACTTTGGGACCTCATGGGCCCATTTATAAATAATTGTACACAATAAAAGCACATTAATAAAATAGAGTGATATTTAAAATTAAATATTAAGGACTGAGTAACATATTTCAACCTGAATATATCTCACAAACATAATATTAAGTAGAAACAAGAGACAAATGATCCAAACTACACAAAAAGAAGTAAAAGAAATAACATCACATAAGAATGCATGTGATATATCACCACCCATATAAATAACACCACCCATATAAATAAACAATATGTAATTATTTCATGAAGACCTTTCTATATGGAGCCAAAACATAATGAAAGACATAGAAGTGAAGACACAGAATAATGTGTAGGTTGTTTCAGTCTTCATAATCTTAAAAGGAAATATTATGTCAATGTATTTTCAATAGTACCATAAGATAAGATATACTGTATGAGCTCAGAGATTCCTCTCACAGAAATATATCCAGATTGCGTAGGAATCTCACAATAGACACCTGCACGAACATTAAAAATTTCAATGAAAATTAAGTAAATGACACTATTTTACAATCACAAATTTTTCAAAAATTCAAAAAATCAAACGATTATGTTTTTGTAGAAACATGGAACAAGAGCCATCTCATACAGAGCTGATAGGAGTAGAAATTTTCATAAACATTTGGAGAATAACAAATGTATAGGGCATTTTAACATTTTCATAAATTATAAAAGGAATACCATGTCAATGTATTTTCTAATAATATCATGAAAGAAAAATATTACTATGTTTGTTCAGACATTCTACTTACAGAAATATATCTAACGCAAATAAGTGAATAATTGCAGATATTTATATGCAAGGTTTTTATTTTTATGTCATTCACAGAAAACAAAATTACATAATTTTGAGTGTCTAGCAGTAGTGGCTTGTTTGAGTTTGTGATACGATAATCATAGAGTAGAATGCATGGAAATTAACATGCTATACACTATGATTAAAATTAAAACAAGGATCTCTATTATTTACTTAAAAATAGCACTGCAATATTTTTCAGTAAAATATTGCAGGTATAAACTCTGAATTAAAAAAGAGTAAGATTTCATTTTTAAGAAGTTCACATTCATGTGGGAATATACAAGTAAACAATAAAATGAAAAAATACAAATACATTTACATTGATTGTATGTGTATAATGGAATCTGAAAATAACAATAATTTTTATATTATCATAACTTCTTATAATTCATTTAAATACTATACTGTAATTTTTAACCAGAAAACTGTTTAAGTAAATCTCAATATACATTTAATATATATCATAGGCATCTTTCCTTTGATTCATGTAAAAATACACATTATTATTAATTGCATTAACTACATAGTATTATGTAAATTTTACTGTATGACCAAAACCTATAGTAGGGTCTGTTTTTTACTGACACCATGGATGAACCAAAAATACTTATTCATTTTTTTCTTGGCATCCTTCTAAGAGTATTTTAGTGAGGTTAATTTCTAAAAATAAATTGCTGTTCAATGGATATACAGTTGGCCGTTGCACAACAGGGGTTTGAACTGTGCAGGTCCACTTAGCAAAACCAACAATTCTACATCTTTCTCCACACCCTGCCCATGAAAGGATGAGGATGAAGACCTTTTTGATCATTTACTTCCATTTAATAACTAGTAAATACATTTTCCTTATGATTTTCTTTTTCTTTTCTCTGACATGTTTGTAAGAATACAGTATATAAGATATATAACATATTAAATATGTGTTAATTGACTGCTTGTGTTATTTGTAAGGCTTACAGTAGGCTATTAATAGTTAAGTTTTGGGGGAGTCAAAGTTATAGTGGATTTTCTGCTGTGCAGGGGGGCCAGCACCCCTAACCTCCGTGTTGCTTAAGGGTCAACTGTACATGCTATTTCCTTTCCTGTAAGAGAAAAATGATGAGAAGCTCTTTTCTCCAGTAAGTGTATTCAAAATGTAGCAGACTTGAAATGTGTTGGCGCCACGATTTTGCATCTCACTTTGAAAACTTATTATTAAAAATCGTACTAAAGCCTACCTTACTTTTCCAACCTTAGTAAAAATGTTACAAAGAAAAGGTGTGAAACCATGCTAGTTTGCACTGAAATTTGAAATTATCTTTTAAAAATATATTTTTACTTTAATTACTTCCAAAATAGAGATCAGTTGCATACAAACGGCAGGTCACCCTAATCCAACCTATGACTGCACTTAGATTCATGAGGAATTGTGCCATCTAGAAAGGACAGAGAAGAGGAATAGAGTGCTCTGCGTCTTGAAATATAAACATGCACATAGCCACATGCTTTGATTCTGTTGTCACTGTGTACTTATTGCTAGGAAGAGGGCATATTTGTGTATTTTTATTCTAATTATTATCCAAGTTGTTAATGATTTAGACTTTCAGAACCATATAAAGATTTTTTTTCCTTTCAGATATAAACTATCTTGCATTGTTCTTCTGATCATATGAGGGATAAATTTACCTAAATATTGTTCAGACCATAATATTATATCCATATAAATGCCAGTAGCAAGAGTTGAATCAACCACAACTGCCTTTGTAATTATTTAAAGCATGTGTGCCTATAAGTAATTGGCCTTTTATATAATCAAGAATCTTTGATATAATAATCTCTCAACTATTTCAAACATGGGTCACATATATTAATTTTATATACAAATATATATATAATATCATTGTATATGAAACTAAATTTTGGACTTTAGAACAACTTCCTAGAATCTTGACTTAAATGTCTACAGTAATATTTGACTTAAAAAATTTAGCACACTGTCACTATGATGAAAAAAATTACTATAAAATTATTTTAAAAATTTTTCCACCCTGACATTTAGAATATCCTCACATTTGTAGTTAAAACCTATTGTGATTGTTCTTAGAATTTTGATAAAAAATGTTCCAGAAAGTTTGAAGAGAAGCACTTTAGTCAATTTCTAGTTGTTCAAGCATGAAGAAATGGCATTTCATTGACATTTTAAAAACTATTCAGATTCTCTCTTTGAATTCAAGTGTTTCAAAGATGTCTTATGTTGAAATACCAAAATAGGAATAGAATATGAAGGGCTGATTATGAGTAATATGATACACTTTTAAGAGAGGATGAGATTACAATAACAATACCTCCTCTCATAGAATAGCCAGCAAGTCTCCACTAAATAACAATGCCTTGATTTTATGGATGTTTAATCATGGATAGTGAGTTAATCTGAACCATTTGTAGACACAGGAGTTTATTAAAGAATTATGTAATATCTTTCAAGTATTTAGAATAGTGTTGAAATTAATCCTGCATCCCCACGATTTTCAGAGGTCTGATGCTTAATAAATTCAACCCCTTGCATGCCAAAATTGGCTTAAAGCCAACCTGTTACCCAAGCTACACTTCAAGCATCAAGGTTCAAAAATGTAATTTTAAATATGCAAGAGTTTGAGGAATTCACTACTCACACTTTCTTGAATAGTCTATCCAAGTGCATCAAGCAAAATGTGAGTAAAGAAATTTTGACCAAAGGATTGATAGTAATGTTGAATACATTTAATAGTAGATCTAAGATTAAAAGGTGAGAGTGAGGGTGAGAAGAGTGTATGAATGCTTCGTGTTCTGACAAAGAGAATGTAGCACCCATATCCTACCTGCTTGGTTGCATTGCCAGTGCCCACGGTAGGCTATTTTATCCAGGCTTTTAGGTTTGTTTTTTGTTTGTTTGTTTGTTTGTTTTTCTTTTCAGGAGAGTTAGTACAAGACCAATAACTCCATAACTGGTAGAATTGGAAGATTTTAATAGTGCTTAACATTTTGTACGTAGCTTTATAACAGTTTTCTTTTTCTTTTTTTCTGAGACATTCTTTTCAATATACCCCATCATGGTTGAACTCAAAGTCACTCCTTATTTAAAATCTACAACTGCTGACATTTTGTATCCTTCGCATTCCAGGTAATTGGTTTTTTGTACATTTTCTGTATTTTTCTCCATCAGTCTACCTAGATATTTGTTAGATTTAATATTTTAATATTTTTCTGAAAAAGCGAGCTTTTGCATTTTTAAATATATACTCAATTGCTTTAATTTCTGCTTTTTCATGTACAATGTCCTCCTTTCTTTTTTGAGATGGAGTCTTGCTCTGTCGCCCAAGCTTGAGTGCAATGGCGTGATCTCTACTTACTGCAACCTCCACCTCCCAGGTTCAAGCAATTCTCCCACCTCAGCCTCCCGAGTAGCTGGGATTACAGGTGCATGCCACCACACTAGGCTAATTTTTGTATATTTAGTAGAGAGCAATTTTCACCATGTTGGACCAGGCTGGTCTCGAACACCTGACCTCAGGTGATCCACCTGCCTCGGCCTCCCAAAGTGCTGGGATTACAGGCGTGAACCATGGTGCCTGGCTATTTCCTTCATTCTTTATGTTTATTTTAATGGTTTTATCTCTCTCTCTCTCACTGTTTCTCTCCTTCTCACATTCACTTTGCAGTTGTCATATAGCCCAGGTGATGTTACAGATTTACTCCTTATAAAAGGAAGCATTACACATTACACATACATCTTAGTGGCCTTACAAAAGTGTTTGGTTCATTTGTATTGACTATTCACCTTTAAAATATTTCAATATTCATTAAAATAGCTTCCAACCAATATTATTAGACTTATGTCTCTCGCTTTCTTTTTTGTATTGATATCTACCTTGATTGCTGTTTGTTTAGGAAATATATTCTGTGTCACGTTATTTCCATGAAAATTGTTTGAATTTGTGCTATGGTCTAGAAAATGTTAATTTTTGTAAGTATTCTGTATGAACATGAAGATAACACGAATTATAATATTCGTGTTCCATATATAACATTTGCCCTTTTTAAAATCCACTAGCTTCTTTTAAAACTTACTCTTTTAATTTTTTCTTTTATCTATTACTGAAAGATGTGTGTTTGAAATGTCTGTAATGATTTGGGGGCTTATCCATTTCTACTTACTTTCTGATATTTTTGCTTTATATAATTTGACTCTCTCTCTAAATATGTGTGTGTGTGTGTGTGTGTGTGTGTGTGTGTGTATGTATATATGTATCAGGCTAATGCACATTTAAGTCATCACATCTTCTTAATAACTTAAAACTTTTATCACACTGGTTAGCCTAACTTATTTTAATAAATGTTTCTAACTCACATTCTATTTTGTCTACATAGCAACTTTTTTAAAAATTATATTCATGTAGTATATTTGTATGTATATCATATATACACAGTATCTGTATTGTTTGAACTTCAAAGTTTCTGTAAATTTATATATTAGTTGCCTCTCTTGTAACTACGATAGAGAGGGATTTTTTTAATTTTGCCTATCTTTCTATTTTAACAAAAACATTGTCTACTTATGTTTAAGTTAATCTTTGATCATTTGTACTTAATTTGTTTTTTAATTTGTTGTATATATATATATATATATATTATGTCTCATTTTCTCCTATCAGTTTCTGTCTTCTTGTTTTTAAATTATTACTTTTATTTTTATTGTTTTCATAGATACAACAGAGAAATGCCTAATGTCCAGTGAATTTGTTAAAGTTCCAAAGTCGGTCATGCGCAGTGGCTCACGCCTGTAATCCCAACACTTCGGGAGGCCGGGAGGCCGAGGCGTGTGGATGACGAGGTCAGGAGTTGGAGACCAGCCTGACCACGATAGTGAAACCCCGTCTCTACTAAAAATACAAAAATTAGCCGGGCATGGTGGCACGCGGCTGTAATCCCATCTACTCAGGAGGCTGAGGCAGGAGAATTGTTTGAACCTGGGAGGCAGAGGTTGCAGTGAGCCGAGATCGCGCCACTGCCCTCCAGCCTGGGCGACAGAATGAGTGAGGCTCCGTCTCAAAAAAAAAAAAAAAAAAAAGTTGCAAAGTCATACTTACCTTTCTGCTCTTGTCAGACAATTAAGGGGTTTTTGAATACTTCAGCACTAATTATTTGCTTCCCAATATACATATTGCAGTGCTTATCTAATTTTAAATATCTTTTTGTTTCAACACCTAATTATTTAGATCTATCTGTATGTTTACAATAGATTTTGCTCTTTGTTCATTCTTTGATTTCAGAACTTCAACCGTTCTGAAGCATCTTTTCAGAGTTCCTTTTTAGTTTCTTTAGTGGAATTCTGCTGGTGGCATTTTGGTTTTTGTCTCTAAATATTTTATTTAGCCATAGGTTGATGAATATTTTTCTTAGTTGAGAATCTCAGAATGGCATTATTATTCTTAACAAATAATATTGTTTATTTTACCTTTCACTCTTTCAGATTTCAATATGACTAAAGGTAATTTGATTTTTCTAGTGCTAATTGAAATATTTTTCCCTTCCTGATTGTTTACTATTTCTCTAGGATATACATAGGTGTAGGTTTATCTCCATTGTAGCTTGCTTAGCAAGCATTGAATTCTTGAATATGCAGATTAGTGTCTTACAAAAGTCTAGAGAACTTTCAGCCAAAATACCATCACATATTGTCCCTTCCCAGTTCCTTTCTTCTATGAGAACACTCACTAAACACATGCTACACTTTCTCACTGCATCTTCCATGTCTCTTAATGATTCTGTCCACATTTTGCATTTTTTCAAATTATCTGTAATGCATTCTGAAATATTTATTAACTCTCATCATGGCCATGTCTAATCTGATGAGTTCATTTTTGAGTTTTTAATTTAAAATACTATATTTTTATACAAACTACTTTTTGAATTTGCTACATCAATTTTTTTAGTCTCCTAAAAATATGTTCATTTTTTAAAATTTTTTTAAAGCAAATGTGCTTTATAATCTAACAATGATATTTCTACTAATGAACCTTTGTGGATCTGTTTGTACTCTTTTTCTGCTTCCCTTTCAAATGGTGGAATATCATTTCCTTGTGTACTTAGATGCCTTTGAATGACAAATATTTATTTTTCTTTGAAAATTATTTTTGTGCACTTTTGAGGATTAGTTGGAAGAAAATTTGCCAAAGAGAATTTGAATTTTTTTGTGAGTCTACTAAAGGCACCACCATTCTGGGACCACCTTATGTTAATTCTTGGCCTAAAGGTGTTTGGACGTATGTTTGGACTGCACAATTAAACACTTTTTAAATTAATTGCTGTAAATCATTAATGATTGAGTTTCTTTAAATCTGTCCAATCTCAAGTCATTTTCATTGGCATTTGCAGGGAATGTGAAATGGGACTAATTTACCTCTGATTCTTCTTTATACTGAGGATATAAATTTTGGTCCTAGCTTTAGGGAGGAGCTCCTGTGTGATGCCCTATCTTGGGAAAAACTATGTATTTCTTTACTGTCCTATGTGATGTATGACAGGAGGAATCTGCACTCATTCATTTTGGTACATGTCCGTAGGTCAAAATCAGTTTCAGTGTTCAGGTATATTTTGTCTGCTCCCTGCATTCCCATGGTTTTGACCTTATATTTTACTTTTTTTTGTTAACATACCAATGCTTCAATTTTTTTCCAGTAATCAACTATATTATAAGAAAGAGAAAAATTTTGATAAAACACAAATTTCATGTTTTCCTACTCTAATTGGCTTTTACATACAGGTAAAACTTATTTCTGCCTTTTTGCTATTTCTGTTTTGCTATTCTGTTTGTCTATGTCTCCACATAGCCTCAATTAGGGAATTCTGTACACTCTTGTGCCAACTGCTTTGATAGTAACAAAATATATTTCTCGAACTCCTAGGTATAAAACTCAAATATCCACAATTTAAATTCTTTTTCCCTCACTTCTATTATGTTTCCAGTCCCAATAGAAATCAATGCCAATCCAGAAATACAAGCATTATTCTAATGCTTCTCACACACTAGAGATACAGATTAAATTTTCTAGATCTCCTTAAATACTATCATTTTTCACTACTTTTATCTTAACTGTTAAGTTCAACATTTTCTATAATATTAATATATTGTGAAAATGTCCTTACTTTCTTATTTGTCCCAGGTTAAATGTTTTGCAGTCCCTACCTCACCCTGTGAAGCATAAACATTGTACATGTTGTACAAATAATACATAGTTCATGTGCTTAGAGATTGCACAATTTTTATTTGGTTGACAATAGCTAGTGTTTTCTTCTTCATTTTCTATTTCCTGATTTTTCTTTATTTTGTATATAATACATTATCGTGAAAATAAGAACGTTTTACAAACTAAAGCAAAAACAACCCTAGGAATAAATGCAGAAATAAAATATATAAACATACAATTAGATGTACCACGTACCCTTCTAATTTATTTAGACATTTAATTTTAGTACAATCTTAATTAAAGTCTGTGTATTATGCCATCATCTTAGTATTTTTTATATAACAAATTTTGTAAATCAAAAAGTCTCAATGTCATTATAAACTATCTTGGCAGGGGTTGATCTCCAAGGAATAATTCCTCTCCCAAATTATGCCAATCAGAATTTCACTATACCATAATTCTTTTAATCAGTTTCAGAGGAATAATAAATTTCAAAATTGTTCAAGGTACTTGTAGTTCAAGTACATTTTGACAGGTTTAAAACTGTAGACAGACTGATACAAACATATTCTAATTGACTCAAAAATATATGGGACCTATTTTAAAATCTAGATTTTAAAATGTCATCTCAACATATACATGTTCTCCTTGTGAAATAATTGCTTTTTATTCTCTGGATAGAATCTTTAAACCTTCAATTCACTGTTAAAAACAAAACATTACATAAGGATATGCTTATAAAAATAATTCACAAGTAGCTTTTCAATTCAGAAATATATGTAAAAAATCATTAAGCATCTAATGGATTTCAAGGAGAAATGGGTTAGTAATTTATTCCATATGTCTCAATTTTTCCTGGACACACGGCTTCCTTTAAAATAATTGTAGGCATTTAAGAAACCTGGTAAACTAAAAAGAAGAAATTATGACACTGCCTGGTTAGGTTTTTTAAAATCTTTGGACATGAGTCAATATTTTTTAAATTTTATCTTAACTTAATTAGACATTGTGAGTTCACCATCTTCCTGTCAGTATAGCATCCAAGCTGATTATCATAGATTACAAGTTCAACTATCAACTGTGTTCTGAGAGTGTAAAAAAATAAATGAATATATTTATTTGGGTATTCTTAAAGCAGGAGTGAGGACACAGTGAAAGTGAGACAAGGAAGAGAGAACAAAACAAAACAGGAAAGATAGAAAAGCCAATGCCACACGTGTTAAGAGGCAAGTTCCTGTGTTAGATATCTGGACTTAATTCTGTGGGAAGCTATGTGGAACATGCCTCAGAATTACATCACTGAATCCAGGGAGAATCTTCTTAGTTACCATCACCTTTTCTTCCCACTTCATGCCCAGTAACAAGCTCCCGTGCTGCTAGAGAAAGTCCTCAGCTAGAAACAGGTGCAAATTCTGGAGATGAGACCTTGTAGAGTGTTAAGAATGGTTTTCTTCCCAGCAGCTACAGGTAAGGGATAGGGGCTGGGCTATTAATACATCTGCTACAAATCAGTATACCCCTTATGCTCCTTTTGGTGATCGACAATGTAATTAAAATATTAGATGATCAAGAAGGGCTGCGGAAAGGAAGAAACAGAAACGAACAGCACACCTCTTGGTTTATTTTTATTCATTTCATCAGTTTCAAGGAAAATGCACTGGGGCTTCCTGGCATAGAGAATGTCACAAAGACATGTTTTCAATAGTGGTGCTATCCCTAGGGCAGAGAAGACCCGGAGAAAGCCCAAGTGGCTGCTGGAACAAAGTCAGACACCGTGCCACCTGTCCACACTCCTTGGCTCTGCCATCATGCTGAAGATCAGTTTAAAGGACTGGTTTCCTTCCCCCCAAAATTAAAAGAGCACAAACTGAGAAACTGAATGTAGGAGACAGTAGTGAATTATGCTGTTCTCAGGGGTCACCTCAGGTGTGGAAGCATTCTTTCAAATTAACCCATGTCAGGCCACCTGCAGAGAAGAAAGGTGGTACCTAACTTTTTTTCTTGTCAGCATTTGGTAGGGGTGTTTTATTGACCAAATATGTTCCCACAACCTAGTTTTTTGTAACTAACTAAATATAGTAGAGTTTTAAATTTTATCATCAAAATCTATAGACAATTTTTGATTAAAATAGACTCCACACTTATGTCCTGCTTTTCTTATTATTAATTATATTGCTGTATAAAAGAACAAGACTTCAGAATCAAGAGTATCTTGTCTCTTGGCATTGAATTCATACAAGGTGCTCTTTCTTTAATGCTGTCTCAAAGGACATATTTTTACTCATTAAAAAAGAAGATCGGAATCTAGTTGTATGCACTGCTCCAACATATTAATAATTAAAATTAGGAGGTAAATGTGGTCAAAGCCATAGAAAGACTTGAGATGTCATCTATATTGATTACTGTATAGCACTCTACAAACAGAAATTGTTAAATAATAATTTATGTAAATATTTTATAGCATTTCAAATATTTTAGTGACTGAAATTTCTCCTCTTATATAGTTCAGATTATCAATTTGAAGACTTACTCCACTAGTTAATATGTTTTTAGTCTCATTCGAATATTATATAAAAACAATTTTCAGTTAAATGTGTTCTGGTTACATAAAACATTACAAATCAGTGAGTACTTAATTACATTTTCGTGTTCCTGTAATGTCTTTAGAATATTTTCATATTATTACCTATCAATATATGTATGCTTTGTCAAAGAAAAATCAAACATATATATCATTGAAATTGAAAATTTTTAAAAGTACTTATTAATTCTATTGAAAAACCACATCCATAGGAACAATTACAATATAATATTGTGAAAATGTAAATATATATCCTATGTCTATTTTATATATAAGCATATATGATTAAAGGTATAGTTAAGAATTTTTAAGCCTAGTATTATAAAGTAAAAATTAGTTAACTTCTGATGATTATTTGTTAATTAAGATATAATTATTTTGATTTGGGTGATTTTAAATAAAAATATTAAATTACATGACAAAAAGTTCTTTATAAAATGTTTATGATTTTAACATTGGTTTTATCACTTTATTCCACGATTTCATTTTAAGATGACCTGCCTTGTTTAAAACACTGTATTCATCTTAATTAAATCAAGGTGTTTCCATTTGTAAAAAAATTAACAAATGATTTGCTCTATTATACAGTGCGGTTATAAACTGTGTCAGTATCTCAAGATTTGATCCCCATTATCATCATCTGTGGCTCTATTTGTTTTATAAATGTATTGTCTTTTTCCATGCCTGTCACATCTCTATTGCTCATTGATTTTTCTCTTTTTCCCTTATAGGGAGCATTGCCTATCTCTAGATTGAGCAAAAGTTGCATCTTGAAAAAAGCACAATAACCTGCTCAATCTTTCTCACACAGAGAAATGTTTGTTAAGTAATTAAAGTGTAGATGATGATACAAAGATCTTGATTAAATTAGATGCCAAAGTACCCTTGTGATTCAGAATATGAATGGTATTTAATTTCTTTGAAATCAATAATTGCTGAGTGACATTAATTAATGCCAATATTTCAGAAGTTGTTCTAGTTAGTAAAATGTATACAACGTGCAAAAGATTCAGAACTCTGAAGGGGAACATTATTCTATAATTAAGAGTTAAGAATTCACATTAATTATTGGGGAGAAATTATTAAGAATTAATGACTGAGAAACTGTTTTTATTTTTTATTTATAAAATTATTTTGTGCATGAGCATTACTGTAAGTTTTGCAAGAAACATAAATTTAAGGGAAACAAAATTATGTGCACAAGATGAATTTAATAACATCTTGATATTTTCCTCTATTATAGTTTTATTTGGTAAATCTTTAAATGCACATCATCTAAAGATAATAAATGAATCTTGGAAATCTTGTAGGTAAGGGTAAATGTTAGGATGCATTTGGTTTAACAGCCCAAAATCCATTACGGTAATACATCTTATCCATAGAATAAGAAACAAGATTTGCATGATCATCTCAATAGATTCAGCAAAGGCATTTAACAAAATCCAAATGTTTTAATGATTAAAAATAAAAATGAAAATAAAAACTCATTGAGCCATGAATAGAAGAGAACTTTCTACACCAGATACATGGCACCTGTGAAAAGCCAACAGCAAACATTCAACTTAATGGTGAAAGAAAGGATACTTTCCTGTTATGGTCAGAGATAAGAATAGGATATATACTTTGACCTCTTCTAGTCAACATTGTAATAAAGATTTTATGCAGGGCAAATCAGCAAGTAAAGAAATAAGAGTCACCCTTATTGAACAGGAAGAAATAAAACTTTATTTGCAAATAACATATTCTCGTATATAGAAATTTTAAGGAATCCACTGAACGATAGAACTAGTAAATTATTTCAGCAATATTACAACATACAAGATAAATATACAAAAATCAGTTGCACACATCTACAATGAAAACCCCAAAATGAAATTAAGAAAATACTTCAATTTACAATAGCATCAAAAAATGAAGTAATAATTAATTTGGAAAATGTAATACAATATTTTACTCTGAAAATTAAAAATTATTGTTTAAAGAAGATCTAAATAATTAGCAAACATCTTACAGCCATGAATTGGAAGATTTAATATTGTAGTACTTTACAATTTGAACTACAGATTTGATGAAATCCCTGCAAGTATCCCAACAGACTTCTGTCTAGAAACTGACAAGCTGATTCTAAAGTACATATGGAATTGTAAGGGACTCAAAATAGCCAAAATAATCTTGAAAAAATAAAACATGTTAGGATAATTCACACCCCTGTGCTCCAAACCTTACTGTAAATCATCAATAATCAAGACAACATGATACTGATGAAGGAAAAATATATAGATTGATGGAAGAGAATTGACAGTCCATATATAAAACTATGTATCTATAGTCAGTGGATTCTTACAGTGGTGCCATGTGCAATTCAATGAGGAAGAGACAGTCTTTGAACAAACTTTGGGTCCACAACGTACATGTGGATCACCACTTGCAAAATAATAAATTCAAACCCTTACCCCAAAGCATACAAAAATATTAACTCAAATGAATTAAAGACATACATGCAAAAACTAGAATAAAGCATATGGGGAAATCTTCAGGATTTTGGATCTAGCAAAGAAATAGCTATAACACCAAAAACATGAGCAACAAAATAAAAATTAGATATTTAAAATTTCTTGAAAATTAAAGACATTGGTGTTTCAAAGGACAACCAAGCAAGTCAAAAGGCAGCTCAAAAATTGTGAGAAGATATTTGAAAAACACGTATCTATATGTCTGTATATATATGTATCTTGAATATAGAAAAATTGTTTTAACTCAGTAACAAATATCCCAACTTAAAACCGATAAAGGATAGGAATAGATATGTTTCCCAAGAAGATACACAAACGGTCAATAATCCCATAAAAAGATACTCAATTGCATTACTCATCAGGCAGTTACCAATCAAAACCACAGTTAGATACTCAATGGCTAGAACTTGCCATTTTGGAAAATAGTTTGATGGCTTCTAAATATATTAAACATAGAATTGTCATATGACCTAGAAATTTATTCCTAGGCATACACCCAGATTATTGGAAAGAGGTGTTCAAACACAAATCATACACAAGTATTTTAGCAGCAGTATTTAAAATAGCCAAAGGCTGAACACAACTCAGATGTCAATAAAAATATTATTGGATAAACAAAATGTTATATCCATGAAATTGAATGTTATACAGTTATATAAAGAAATAAAGTACCAATACATATATGAACCTTGATAGCATTATGCTAACTGAAAGAAGCCAGGCACAAAAGGCCACCTATTATATGATTCTATTTACATGAAAATAGAATAGGAAAAGCTATAGAGACAGAAAACAGATTTGTGATTGCTTAGGATTGAGTAGGGGATGGGCGCATAGGAGGTTAACAGCTAAAGAAGGTGGGGTTTCTTTTTGAAGTGATGAAAATGCTACAAAATTCATTGTGATGATGGCTCCACTTATCTGTGCATATACTGAAAGCCATTGACTTGTACACATTAATGTGTGCACTCTACACTATGTAAATTATATCTCAATAAATCCTTTCAAAAACACACAGAAGAGTAAGGGGTTTTGGAGTGTTGCAGCTGGGAGGCAGTTTGAAATACCGAATAGGTCTCACTGAGAATGTGAAGCTTCAGTAAAGACTTGAGGAAGTTGAATGAGCTGATCAATGGATATATGGAGGGCTATCTTTCTAAGCCAAGAAATTAACTAGAGTCTTGGTCATAAGGCGGCAGCATGTTGGCATGTCCAGAGGACAGTGAGGTGGCCAGGGCCACTGGTAAGATCAAGGGTGAAGATATAAAAGAATTTTGGTGGTTAACATGGGGCAGATCATGATGGGCTTGCAGACCATTGTAAGAACTGTGGCTTTTAGTGTAAATGAAATGAGGAGACAAATCATTATCCCATTATCAATATTTTAATAAATTGGATCCATGAACCAAATCCAATGAGATTAAATTAATTAGTAATAATATGCAAATTTGTATCAAAATTACAAGAATTACTTGCACATTTCAGAACAGGAGAGTCATGATTGTTTATCAGCAATAATAAACATTATTAATTTTAATTGTGATCAGCTAATTGAGATTAATTGCAATACATCATGCTTTATAATGTGACTGTCAAAAGGAAAATATGATTGTAATCTTATACTACATCTATCAATGTTTTTGATTCATAAGACTATACAGTAAGCCCCTAGTTTTCAAAGCCAACTTATGAGGCAGTGACATCTTATGCAAGTTTGCTGCTTTCTGCCACAGTGGTCCTTGGTCAGCTGGCACAAATTGTTTTACAAACACCGCTAGGTCTAAAAAAAGTTTGGATCACAATGAACACAGACACACCTTCTTCCCTTCAGAAATACCTATCAATTACTTCCAATATAGAATGAAAAATTGACAAAGAAAATATGTAGATTGTAAAAATGCCAGTTAGCTTGCATCTATGTGAAAGAAAAATGCCATTTTTATTACCTTAGATCATTGTTTTACACGAGTTTTGGTATAGCACAACGTTGAACCAAGGGCAAAGAGAGATGAATTAATTAAGTCTTAAGATATCAAGAATTTAAAAGAAAAGGAAGGTCATCTTTGAAGGTTAGTGACATAGCATTCATCTTCTGTTGTCGCCTTTTCCGTAATTCCCCTTATGCCTGATGGACAGCTTTCACTCAGGTTCAGAGAACAGCATGCAAAGATTAGCTACCAATTAATCTTTATGAAGGGAGCTTAATTTCTAGCCAGACTGAGCTTACGTTTTAGCAGGAAGCATTTTTAGGAAATGTTTATGTTAGAGTTTGCCCTTCTTGACAAGGTGAGACATAAATGTCTACTTCATAGACATGAATTAAGATGGGAAGATATTTGGGGGAAACATTTACTCAAATGCTAAATAATAAAGGTACACAAAGGGCAAATTATATTAGATTTCTTTCCCACTTGTTTTCTATGTCTCATGCAATTCACCTTGATTCCCTTCAGTTTCTGTTTAATGTAGAAAGTGGCGTTTTCATTATTTTAAGCTTCTAGCACAATGAAAGAATTTCTCTTTTTCATGAACTGGATCATAAATGAAAGGTAGGAATAGTGTCCTATATCATATTTATTGTTCAACAAAACACTGCTCCACAGCTTAAATTCAGTTTAAAAAAGAGAATTTATTGAACATCTAACACATACATAAAAGGCAGTAAAGACAAATGAGAAGAGGGCGGGATATTGAAGTATACAGACTTTAATGCTGAGTTCTGTATCTTACTAAGATACTCCACCTTACAGAGGCTCAATTTCCTCTGATTTAGGGAAGCGATGCTAATGGGTATTGCATAGGTGTAAGTATAAAAATGTTATATTTAAGATAACCCTACAAGCTTGGTATAAGGCAGAAAATAAATAGATGTAACATTAATAAATAGTTTATTACATTTGTATGCTACCTGCAGACTACAGGAAGCAAGAAACACAGCCACTGTGCTTGATTAGCGTTATATTCTAATTTGGAATATAAATAGAAAAGAGAAAAATAGAAAGCTATGCATAAACACATGCATTAAAATGAATTTTATGTGAACTCTTTCATGAAAATGTTCCTAAGGTATTTTATTTTTTATTGTGGTAAAATACACATAACATAAAATGTACTCTGTTAACCATTTTAAGTGTACAGTTCAGTGGTACTAAATATAGTCATAACATTGTGCAGCCATCCCTACCATCCATCTCCATAACTCATTTCCTCTTGTGAAACTGAAACTCTATACCCATTAAACAATACTTCCCCATTTCTTCCTCCCCCCAGCTTCTGGCAACCATCATTGTACTATCTCTATGATTCAGTCCACTTTAAGTCCCTTATACAAATGGAATTATACTGTATTTGTCCTTCACTGACTAACTTATTTCACTTGGCATAATATCCTCAAGTTTCCTCCAAGTTGCAACATACGTCAGAATATTTCCCTCATGTTTAAGGCTGAATAATATTCCGTTGTATGTATACATCATATTTTGCTTATCCATTCATCTGTTGTTGGACACTTCAATTGCTTCTACATTTTAGCTGTTGTCAATAATGCTGCTGCAAACATGGGTGTACAAATATTTTTTCAAGACTCTGCTTTCAATTCTTTTGCTATCCTGAGATGTGGCACTGCTGGATCATATGGCAATACCATTTTGATTTTTTGAGGAACTACCATACTCTTTTCCACAGCAAACATAGTGTTTGGCATTCCCTCCAATACTGCAAAAGGAATCGCCACATCCTTGCCTGTGGATTTTATTCACAAGTCCTGTGGCTCTCTCTACATCCTGGCTACCATGTATTATTTCCTGTTTATATATATGACATCAAAGGTGCAGGAAGTAATGAACTAAATTGGAAGGATAAACATGTTGAAAAATAGAGGTAAATACTGACTACATAAAACCATAAGAATAATAATTTTGGATGATCTAGTTATTATATAGCTATTTATCTAACATCTGTCTGTTCCTCCATCTGTAATTAAAATATATTACAGTTAGAGAACAGAAAAAAAAGTAGGAATACATGAATTTAAAGTTTTAACTATTCTTAGATTGTCTCAAAGCATCATTATATGAAAGAAAATTTATAGGTTAATATCTCTTAACTATAAATGTAACATTCTTAAAGTATTCAAATACATTGAATTACAGCATGAATAATATATTACAATCCATTCAAGTTTATTTTATTCCAGGAACACAAAAATACAAATTTCATTTTCAATTAAAAAAACAGAAATCGATACATATGACTGATGTATATACACATTTAATGTATCTTTAAATATACATTTTTTAAAAATAGAAATTTTTCTAGGACAAATACTTACAATAAAATATCACTGAAAATAGTGTTATTAGCTAATACCTTCCTAATAACTGTGGTATTACATAAGAAACCAAAATTAAAATTTCAGATAAACTTAGAAACTAAAAGTTTTAAAAATATTATTCTGTTCTCCATATGTTCATATTTAATCATATTATTTCTTGTTTTCATTATTCTTCAGTGTTGCTCTACTAAAATTTAACATACAAATCTAACTTTTGATTTCTGTTCTTATTTCTCAAAATTGTATACATTTTCTCATGCTCTTAATTTAGTTATGCTACTTTTTTGTACTCTTGGATTTTTCACATTTGTGTTCACTCTCTTTTGAGTTCCCATATTATCAAATAAGCTTTTTTCCCTCTTTTTGATTTGAAGGTTCATCTTCTCATAATTATTTTGTCCACTCAGTTTCTTTTTATTCTCAGTTAAGTGCCTCTCATCTGGCTTCTTATCATTTATAAGGTTTCTTTTCATCTTAAGCCAGTCTTTTATTTATATTTTGATTCTGTTTTGTAGAGGACATGCTTCCCTGAATTTTATGGAAGAGGCCAAAAGGTTTGTTCAAGTTTTTACCTGATACATTGGATTAAATTATCTAATGTACACACTCTTAATTTAAGTCTAGAGGTGACCGTCTACTCTTGATTTTGTATAGTATTATTTTTCTTACCATCCAAGTCCATCTTCATCTATTTGTATAAGATCGGTAAAAATATATTTGTCCAGAACCTTGCTTTGGCGGAGTTACTTCTTTCTAAGTAGTAGAGGTAGCAGCTGAGATATGAGCTGGGTTTTGGGTCAGTTTAGAGGGCTGGGCGACATTCCTGCTTTTGGTCGGTATGACCGAATGAATGCAGTTCTTGCTGTCTCACTCCTCTCCTTAACACATTGAACCATTGCAGCAGATGAGAAGTAATAATCATGATCTGCCATTCATGTGGGACACGTGTTCTCTCCAACCACACCCATACGTTGTACTCACACTCGGCCAGAAGGTATCCTGTCAATGATATGGAGATGTATCTATCTATCTAGATAGATACCTACTTTGGCTTATGCTCTCTGGTTTCCTGTAAATTATCTCCTTAAAGTGAATATCAAAAGAGAGCTTGGTGATGGCAGTGTTATAAAATCCTCAAAATGCAGCACCCACACCCCGAGGAATTTGTAGATTCTGGGATTCTAATTCAGATACCAAACTATATAAAAAGGGAATTGGTTATTGAGGGCTGCTAGCCTCTTTGTTGAGCATATTTGCTCTTTTCATGACTTTGAAATTATTTTAAAAATCTAACCTTTTGCTCAGTGTGCTGCAAGATGATTTGATTTTAATGCATAAGCACTAATTCGCTCCTAAGATTTGTGCAACATATTTGCTCTGACAAGCCATAGCCAGCAACTCACTTCACAGCAATTTATAGCATTTCCACGATAAGTTGAATTATTTTTAACTAGACTCTTGTTGCCTTAATAAAAATATGAAGAAGCAATATACTTGTTCTAATTAGGTTCAAAAGTTGGCAATCTCTCTCCTGGAAAGAATAATAAAACTTTTCAGTGGCCTAACATGCATCTATAGACACACACACGCAAGCACTATTCATAATATTTAAAGCACATTCTGTTCTATGACTTCATTTGTCTAGCACAAAATAAAACGATCTCGGTATATGTCAAGTACCAATTTTTTTTGTATGGCCAATTATAGATATTTTATTTTTTAAAGATTAGAGTGTTCTTGATGCTCTTTATATTTCTTTGTCAATGGACTAAACATTGGCAAATATGTAGGGTTTCCCACATAAGAACATTATTAACATCAAAATAGAAAGCTGGTGGTAGAAATAACAATTGGGAACACAGAATCTCTACTCAACGTTCTAGTTCTACCATACCATAACTTTGTGATCTCAGGAAATATCTCTCCATGTTGTCAGCTCTATGTATAGTTCTGTCATTTTTCAATAAGAGCTTGTTGCTTGATTATGAAGTACTAGTTACTGAAACCATTATTTTGAGCTTCATGTAAATCAAGAACACATGAACTCCATTTGCAAAACATTGAAAATGTAGTTAGGGATTGGGGGCATAAAGGAACATTTTAAAATATGTAAAGACAATGAGTAAGCAACAAAGTGTCCAATTTTTTAGGGGAAAGATGCGTACATTAGGAAAAGGCAGGATTAGTTAACAGAGAATTTGAATGATAACTGGCCAATTGGTGTCATTTACAATTGCAAGTAATACAAATGAAGTTTGCTTTCTTAAGGAGAAAAGGAGTTATTTAGAATGGGTCAACCCATTGGGGAAGCAATGCCCAAAACCATGTGAGCAAATGCTCTGTAGAGTGCACCCCTGCAATGCTGCCATTGCAGCATTCTGAGCCCTCCATTCTGCCTCCCTCATTGCCACTGTAGCTGCCACAAAATGATCCCTCAACCACCATTGCCCAGGAACAAAGAAAGAATTCTGTCCTTCTGTGCTCTCAGATCAATTTCCAACATCAGGTGAGCCTTTGATGGGCACTATTCAGTTCCCATATCCATGAAATAGATGCACTAAAAACATAGAAATTGCCTATGAGTTTCCCAATAAGACATGTATGGAAGCCTGTTTTCCCACAACAGGAAGGGGTTTGCACAATGGGTGTTCAAAGGAACAATATTCCCTGTAAACCATACTTTACCCATATGAAGAAAAGCACTAAGGATTATTTAGTAAATACACATGGAAACTCATCCAGGGTTGGCTGATGAGAAGCTGGTTAGCAAGGGGGTCTGTCTTCAGTTAGGACAAGGTCTGTGCTTCCCACAGGTTATCTCCACAGCAGGAGGGATGCAAACTTCCCTTTCCTCCCCTGCACCTACCCTCAAATGGCCCTCAAATGGCCCAGAGATCTTCAGGTGCTAGAATTTCTCAATTAACGCTGCACAAAATAACAGCCTTGACTGTCACAGTCTGTTCTCATGGAGCTAGTCTCTGCTCACTACATAAAACAGGAGAGTAAGAACAAGGGTGTTTAACGCTAACCTAGCTCAAACATGTTTCTCTCTGTAGGATGCCAAGAACCTGGGAACCAGTGCATATGCTGCTTTCCCTTCCTGGATTCTAGCCCAGACAAAAGATGCAAGGGGCATTTCTTCAGAGGCCTTGAGCTTCACTACACAATGACCCAGGCTCCACATGCACCATCTTTATATATTTCTACCTTGAAAAAAATTTTTTATATAATATTAATAATATATATTTTTATATAATAAACATGTTTATCTATTTTATATATATAGGCAGATACACATAGATATAGATATCTAGTCAGCCTTTTTTAAGGCTGGGCTAATTGGGGTGCCTCAAAACTATAATCCCAGCACTTTGGGAGGCGAAGGTGGCCAGATCTCTTGAGTCCAGGAGTTGGAGATCAGCCAGGGCAACATGGTGAAACCCCATCTCTACAAAAATTAGCTAGTATGGTGTCATGCACCTGCAGTCCCTGCTACGCAGGAGGCTGAGGTGGGAGAATCACTTGAGCACAGTATATGAAGGCTTAAGTGAGCTCTGATCACATCACTGCACTCCATCTTGGGTGACAAAGTGAGACCCTCTCTCAAAAAAATAAAAATAAAAATATAAAGGCTACCACCATACTCACAGATAAGTGTGTCAGGTATATTTGCAGCTATCTTTCCTATGTTCTATTCTGCAAAAAAAAAAAAAAAAAAAAAAATTGCAAAGAACTGTTCTCATTCTAGATTTTTGTATTAATTAGACATTTGAAGTTTATAGCAGAAGAGCTATAATCATGTGTGGTATGTGTACTCTACAGACCAGATAGTCCAAACAGATATCAATGCTTTTTAAAAGTCTATAAGGTCATTAGAAATATTTTAAACTACCTATAGGTATATATGTATGTAATTGAACTATCATGCAAGTAAGATTATTTCCTTAGAGTGTGAAATCCACTCAATTTATTAAAATATTTTCTAATATCTATTACAATAATATTTCTTAAGTAGCTAACATAAGAGGAGTTTTAAGACATTTATTTACATGTAGTTACTAGATTCAAACTCGATTCCACTATTTTCAGAAGTCATACTCTGAGACAAGTCCTTTTTTTATCTAACTATGTTTCTGCCTATATTAAAAGACAGATATGTCAATTTTGCTAATCATGCTGTTCCAAACCTCTACATCCTGATTAATTTTCTCTTTGTTCTACCAGTCATTCAGAGACTTACTTACATTCAAACTTCTCTCTAGGTTTAACATGTGTGTATATATTCTTGTGGTTTTGTCTATTTTTGCTGTATATAATTTAAGACATTTTATTGACATATATCATACATCCAGAAAAGTACTATGATTAAATATGGACAACTTGATTAATGAAACACATTTATTTGCTTATAACCATATATGAAAATAGAACATTACTAAAAATAGTGATACTTCCCCTGCCCCTTTCCAAACACTAACCCTCATCCTCAATAGTAACAGATTGTTTTTAATCATAGAGTAACTTGGTCTATTTTCAAATTTTTATGAAATAAATCAGAGTATATACTCTAAGGCTATGTTTATTTCATTGTTGCTATTTTGCTTATAGTATTTATCTGCTAATGGACATGGTAGATTAAAATGGCTACATACACATTTTTTAATTAATAGATTTTTTGAGCACTTTGTGGCTCACACCTAATCCCATCACTTTGGGAGGCTGAGGTGCCTGGATCATGAGGTCAGGAGATTGAGACCATCCTGGCCAACATGGTGAAATCCCTTCTCTAGTAAAATACAAAAAATTAGCTGGTCATGGTGGCATGCTCCTGTAATCCCAGCTACTCGGGAGGCTGAGGCAGGGGAATTGCTTGAACCCGGGAGGCGGAGGTTGCAGTGAGCCGAGATCTCACCACTGCGCTCCAGCCTGGTGACGGAGCAAGACTTCATAACAAAAAAGAAAAAAAATAAAAATAAAAAAAGGAAGAAAAAACACTTTAGATTTAAAGGAAAATTGACCAGAAAGTACTAAAAATTTCCATATACTCCCGCATGGCTTCCTGTTTCTGCTAATACTAACATCTCTCACTAGTATAGTGCATTTATTACAATAGATGACTAACTGAATTATGATTAATTAAACCCCATAGTCTACATTAGAGTTCATTCTTTGTGTTGTACACTCTACAGATTTTGACAAAGGCATATATATTATCATGTGTCCACCATTACAGTATCATACAGAATAGTTTTACTGCCCTAAAAATCTCCAATATTCTACTTGCTCACCTGCCCTACCCCTTAACCTTGATCGTTATACGGTCTCCAGAGCTTTGCTTCCTCAAGAACGTCATATAGTTGAAATCATACCGTGTTCTTATGGTTTGATAATTCTTCTTTTTTTTTTTTGTCAGTCTTGCTCTGTCACCCAGGCTGCAGTGCAGTGGCATGCTGTCCACTCACTGCAACCACCACTTTCCAGGTTCAAGAAATTCTCCTGCCTCAGCCTCCCAAGTAGCTGGCATTACAAGTGCCCACCACTACACTCAGCTAATTTTTGTATGTTTACTAGAGACAGGGTTTCGCCATGTTGGCCAGGCTGGTCTCAAACTCCTGACCTCTGGCGATCTGCCCGCCTCTGCCTCCCAAATTGCTGGAATTACAGGCATGAGCCACTGTGCCCGCCTGATAGTTCGTTTTTATTGCTAAATAACACTCTATTGTATGGATGTGCTATAGTTTGTTTAATCACTTACCTCTTCAAGGACACCTTGGTTATTTCCAAATTTTGTATTATAAAGAAAGATGCTGTAAATATTCATGTGCAGGTTGTTTTGTGGACGTGTTTTTAAGTCATTTTAGCAAATGCCTTGGAGCATGACTGCTGGATAGTATGGTAAGAGTACATTTATTTTTATAATAAACTACCAAATTGTCCTCCAAACTGGCTATACCATTTTGCATTCCCACCAGCAATGAATGAGAGTTCCTGTTATTCTACATCCTCACCAGTCACTTTAATAAAAGTGTGGTGGTAACATACTGATGCTGTAATTTGCAATTTCCTAATGACATAGGCTGTTGAGCATTTTTATATGTATATTTTCCCTCTGTATATTTTATTTGGTGAGGTGTCTGGCCAGATATTTTTGCTAATTTTTCAAATGAGTGGTTTTCCTGATGCTGAATTTTAAATATCTGTGTATATTTTGGATACCAATCCTCTATCAGATATGTGTTTTGTAAATATTTTCTTTCAGTCTGTGGCTTGTCCTTTTATTTTCTTAACAGTGTCTGTTGTAGAGAAGAAAGTGCATACACTTTGGCACTCCTTTTACAGAAAGATAATCAATTTCCTTTCCCTTTGAATTTGCATGGGCTCTATGGCTTTTTTGATCAATAGAATACAGGAAAGTGAAGCTCGGATTTTTCACAAGAAGCTTTTGGTCCTAGACATTGAGACAGGCAGCATTCAATTCCAGTCCCTTAAGACACTCTATCTGAGGGTCCTGAATTGTCATATAAGACCTCTGATGATGCTATGATGTGACCACCACACTATAGAGGTTATGTGTAGGTATGCGGGTCAACAGTGCCAGCTGATTCAGCTTTCCAGTCATCCCTACGAATGTAACATGGGAATGAAGCCATGTTATCTTTCCCAGAATGGCCCTTCTTCCTCCCAAGTGGGTATTACATAGTGACCTCAGCTGGCAGTGCAAGCTTGGAGCAGAATAATTGCCCAGCTGGTCCCATACTAAATTCCTGACCCACAAAATCTTGAGATAAAGTGGTTGTTGCTTTAGCAAGCTTGTCCAACCCACCTTATTTTGTTGTTGTTGTTGTTGTTTTGTTTTGTTTTAGGCTTTTAGCAGCCTGCAGACATGGTTTTTAGCTTCTGTCTCTAGCGATAAGTGGAAAAGAGGGATGAGGAAGGGGCTTTATTGGCCCCTTATACAGTCTGAGAGCCCATGACTGTATTCTCTCCCTTGGACACCCTTGCAAGGTAGTCAGTTTTGTACTGTTTACTTATGCAGTGATGGATAACCAGAGAGATGGCTATTGGGGCCATTTCCAGTTAGAGGGGGACTTGTATACTGTGTGTGTGTGTATATACATCACACAGTCATTTAGTTTTGGTATATTAACCCAAATATTTGTCCCAAGTGGTATTGAGGTATAAGGCAGGACTAGACTCGAGAGTTGGGGATCAGACATTGGACCAGATGGAGGACTAGCTAAAACAGGGTCAGGATAGAAGCAGCTTTCCATCAAACACACCCACCAGTGTGCCATGTCAATTTGCTGTTGCCATGGCAACTCCCAGGAGTTACTGCCCCTTTTCTTGGCAATGACCCAACGACCCAAAAGTTACTGCCCCTTCCCTAGAAATTTCTGTGTAAACTGCCCCTTAGTCTGCATGCAATTGAAAGTGTGTATAAATTATAACAGCAAAACTGCCCTAAACTGCTACTCTCAGCCTACAGGGTAGCCCTGCTCTGCAGGAGCAGTCACAGAGTTGTAACACTGCCACTTCAATAAAACTGTTTTCTTCCACCTCTTAAGAAACATTACAGGCTACACTCCATTTGGGGGCTCACCTGCAAGTATATTCCTTGCTACCAGCAATATACTTAATATGAAAGATCCAGTTGATTTATATCCTTGTCAAGGGTTAGTGTATATATATATATGCTTACAACATGGTGGTCACATCATATCATCATCAGAGGTTTTATATATATATATACACACACTTTTTAAAAATATTAGTCATTATGTAGTGAATGAGTAGCGATTTCATTTCATGGTGATTTTGTTTTTCATTTCCTTATTTCTGACTGGGTGGAACACTTTCCATGGGGAATTTGGATATGTTTCTTATGAAGTACATGCAAACATCTTCCTATTTATTTTTAATATGAAGTCTTTTGCCTGAAATGGCACATTAGACAATTTGGAAGAATCCTCCTGCTCAAAAAATCTGATATATGGATCTTTTAAAAATATATATTTGAAGACATAATGCTGACATGGCAGTGAAGAATGACAAATCCCAGGTCACAAGGAAAAGAATCACAAAGAGAAGAGGTCAGAATTGAGGACTAAATGTTTCCTGGGATCATTTTTACATGTTTGCTTTGAGATGGCAGACACCCTGAGAAGAGCTTTAAACAAAAGTATAAACAGGGGAGGGGATGGGCAGGGGAGGACAGGATTAAAAGCCCTGCCAAAGAGAAGAAAGCATTGGTAATTACCCCAAGCCTCACTTTGTATTAATTAGCTAGTCTGTTATCAGGGTAAGCAGCAAATAGCCCACCTTTTGTAGGGGCTAAAAAATTAGCTTTGAATCATCTCAATCCTTGATTCATTGGAGAGGAACAATGAACCGAAGCTTTGTGTCTGGTAAAAAGCAAACAGGAGGGAAATCACATCAATCTAAGCCTCAAATTACATCTGAAAGTATTCATAATAAATAGATGGCATACCACTGGAAAATATCCAGGCAAAAGAAGAGATAACACAATATGACTAGAAATAAAGAAAAGGGATAAACATTAGTTATAAACACACATAACTTTGCATGAATAGCAAATTTGTTAAAACTGACTTTAATAACTCTTATTATAGTCAAATAAATAAAAGATTGAGAACTTCAGCAAATACACGTTTAAGTATTACATGTGAAAAAGGAAAAGAATTCAATTTTTAGAACTGAAAAATAAAATAGTGAAAATTTAGATAATATTTGATGTACTTTGAAGGCATACTAGAAAATGAAGTGTGAAATACAACAAGTCAGAATAAAGCATTCAGTTTAGTGCACAGAAGGACAAAAGAAATGAAAATTTAGAAATATTACAGTACAGAGATAAAAAGAGAAAGGTCATTTAAAAAATATAAAAGATACAGTAATAATCTAACATGTTGAAATCTAAGAAGAAAACAGCTGGTCTGAACAGCATTTTAAGTGGCAATGTTAGGGGTTTTATCAAAATTGACCAATAATATTAAACCACAGGTTCAGGAGGCTTTGCAAACCAAAGGAAAACACACACAGAGGACACACCTAGAAACATAATGGGACAACCTCTGAAAAGTAAAAGAAAAATGTAAAGAGCACTTGACGAAAAAATTGGGCTAACTACAAAGAGAAAGAGTTGACTGACAACAACCTTCTCAAATGAAACAATGAAAGCCAACAAGTGAGGTATTGATATCTTTCAAGTCCTGAAATAAAATAAGTGCCGACCTAGAACGGTCTACTTGGTGGACACATCCATCAAAAGCAAAGATACAATAAAGAATTTTTCTCAAGCAGACCCACAGGAAAATAAATACTAAAGATTATTCTTCAGGTAGAAGAGCAATGATCCTTGATGAAAGTTTGCAGTTAGAAGAACGATTTTTTTTTAATGAAAGAAATAAACATGGAGAGAAATTTAATTAGATATCGACTGTATAACAGAATGCTATCTCATAAAGTTTAAAATTTATCTTTGATACAATAGCAGAAGCATATAAGCTGTGAGTTGGATAAATTAATTTAAAAATATTGTCAAGTATTTTTTTGCAAATAGATTAATGTACCAATTATATTAGACCCTGAAGTCAAGAATGCACATTGTAATAAACCAGTTAAAACATGATCAGACCAGATTTTTTTAAATGGACTCTTTCAAAGATTTTATAATTTATATTTATATTTCGCATATGTTGAAAGTAAATAATGGAAAAGCATGCAATGCAAATATTAACCAAAATATAGCTTTAGTTGTACTTATATTCACATTTAAAAAGTTGGACACAGTTAAGTCTCAGTGATTTTTTTACACAACAGAGGCAAGCTGTGCAGTTATAACTAGTATTATATTATGCTCTTGGCCTGATTACAGAAGGGAAAGGGACGATCATACCAGACAACGGCAGAATGAAGAAACAAGGAGTAGAGTTACAGAACATGATGCTATAACTGGGACTGGAGTTACTCTTTTAGAGTTAAAGAATAGTAAACTGGACAAAATATATGAAACATTTTTTTGAAATACTGAACATGAGGCAGCACAGGACTGTGTTCTGCAAGAGAAGAGAAGGAGCCAGAATGAGTCCTGCTTTCTTCCCAGGTTCTCCGTGACAGCAGTACAGAGGAATCCCAGAGAGAGCAGACATTGTCATTGCATTGAGGAACCAGATAAAAATCAAAAAAGGTTAAGCAGCCAGAATTTGTAGAAGAGAGCATTTACAGAAAAAGGAACCAAGAATCAGCATAAGGTTTCTCCCAAGTCCCTAAGCCAAATGTACATAGGATGAAATTCTAAGGAGCTCAGCAAAGGACTCTACCAGGGATTTGGAAGAAGAACACTTCCCTGGCATCACATGACAGGAAGACATGTTAGCTCTGATCAGCCAGAGAAGGGAATCCCCTCTGAACATCCAGGATATTCAGTAAAGACCACTGGAGGTTCATTCCCTAGTGATAGTGCTCATTTAGCTCCAAATTACAGATGGCTCTAGACTAATTCAACAAAGTTTAAAGAGAAGATTTAAAACAACAACAGAAAAATACTCATCCTGAAGTTACTGAACTGCCTGCCACAACATTGTTCAAAGGTAGATAATAAAATCTAGATATTCAATAGCATAACATCAAAATACCCCCCAAAAAAACTCTGATATGCGAAGAAGCCGGAAGATATATATTATTAAGATATATATTAACAGGATAAAGATAAGTCATTTATAAATGACACAGAAGAAGGAATTTTCAAAGTCCTTGAAGTAATATATATTTTATAAATACATATAGATAAATACATATATATGTCAAATTACTTAAATGAAAATTGAACATAGGAGAAAAATAGAAGTTATAAAATGAAAATGTGACATGTATAGATGAAAAATGAATATTTGAAATAAAAATTCCATGAGATAGAATAAGTAATGGATATTACCCTAACATCAGAAAATTTATAGAAAAAAATAGAAGCTTTACAAACTGAAGGACAAAGGCTAAACTAAAATAAGAAAGCCAGAAACTCACTAATACGTGAGACAATATGCGGCAGTGTAACATACATGTAATTGATATCTCAAAAAGGATGGGTGGGGGACTTATAGTTGAATAAAGAATGGTACACTCATTCCTAAGGGCACCAAAGAGGGAGGATAGCTTGAGATTCCTAAGGGAGGGTATTATCCATTAACGAAGGTCCATCCCCATGACCCAACACCTCCCAGTAAGCCCCACCTGCAACACTGGGGATCAAAGTTTAACATGAAATTTGGAAGGGGCAAGCATTCAAACCATAGCAAGAGTTAAATTTCCTTTTTAAAAAATCACTGATATGATTCAATTTCACCATAGATAAAAACTAATATTTTCAGCCTACCATTGAGTGTACTTATAGCTAACCAAAAGGGCACTCTGTCTCGGGGATACAGATTTGCCTAGAGGTATCCTATCACAGTCAAAGAAAGAGCAATGAGGGATATAAAAGGTTAGTGATGGAGACACCAACCCTGCGTTTTACAACAAACAATGTAAAAGCTTTACGGATTGCTTCTGCTAACTTACTACAGTTTACATTCCTCTCAGGTGGGAGAATTGTTGAGTTTTTTCTTAAGATAGAAAAGCAATTCAGATAATCTGAAATCTCCACAAGAAGGACAAGAAGCACAGCAGAAACTATTCTAGGCAGGAAGTCAATCCTTTCAACTGTCTCTGCTCCACAGAAACAATTGTCTGCACTGGGAGTCATATGAGGTACAGACAACAGCCAAACCTCTGATCCTCTCATTTGTGATTTCAGAAGAAATTACCAGTCAACTGAGTAATTCACTGAGTAAAGTAAACATTTGGCACTGAAAGAGGTTAGACGGATAACTATTTGTATCACCATATTCATGAAGCTGGAATATTTTCCATTACTGGTATCACATCTGAGTGGAAGATGTTAAAAGGTCTCTCATCTTGTAAGATGGATATGAAAGAACATTTTCTGAGAAATGAAATTATTAACACACCTGCAAGGTGGATGGAAGAGAAAAAAAAGAATAATCAGCTTGAGTTCTTCTCCTTGATAAGACAACTTACGAAAAACATAAAGAGAAAAATACAAGTTTAAAATAATTAACCAGAAGAAGACAACTCTAGATTTTTTAAATTGCTGATAAGATTTTAATTTGCTCCAAGTTGAAAATAACTATATTGCTTGTCTTTTAAGGCACATAATGAGCAATTATATCACACATGATAGATTCAGCAGTAAAATATTATCTGTTAACAGCTGGAACTCATAAAAGCATAGCACAATGTGAAGATGGAATTTGCTAAAATAAACCATCTGCTGAAAAATACTATTGTGCAAATTTAAAAATAAAGTTAAAATGTTATTTCTCTTATTTAATAGGTCTGTGAAAAAAGATATTTGAAAAGTAGGTGCTACCTTAATTAGTTCTTTATATTAGACTGTTGGTTACAGTAATGCACAGTAAGGTGCCACATACAAATATTGCTAAATTTTCTGTATATATTATGTATTTAGCTTAAATTATTTGTAATTTTATAGTTAAAGTAACTAATGTATATTTAAATGTTTTGACACAAATTGCAAATATACCTTTAAAAAGCTTTCAGCGACTTACACTCTAAATATTGTCACATATATATTTGTCTTTTCTCTATAGGAAAGTTTAAATTTTTCCCTTGAAGCTTTAATTATTTGAGTCTATAAAACAAACTGGTAATGTACAAATTAACAGGAAAAAAAGGTTTACAGATATAATTATGTGCACAAGTATGCACTTGGAGTTTACATAATATATAAAAACATATATACACAAATATATATACAAATATTTGTATATTATAAATATACAAATATTTGTATATTATAAATATATATAAATATTTGTATATTATAAATATATATACAAATATTTGTATATTATAAATATATATACAAATATTTGTATATTATAAATATATATACAAATATATATTATATATATATAAACTCCAGGAACGGCAAGGTAGTTAACACGTCTATGCTGTCTTGAGGTTACAGAAAACACACAGCTGTATGTTGGTAAATCAGGCTTTGCGGAAGACAGGTGACGATGAGGAAGAAAGAGGAGCCTGGCAGCAGAGGTGGTCTTGTTATGTGGATGAAATCTCACAGGGAGCAGCCCTCCTCTTGGGAAGAGTAGATAGGAAATGGTTTTTAGAACTTTAAAAGTGCCAGACTCAGTTAATCTTTCCTAAACCCAGACAAGGGAGTGTCTCAGGGAAAGCCTGTCTATATCAATGCAGATTTTCTCTACAAATGCAAATCTCCCCAATGAACACAGCTTTTCAGCTATTCTTATAGAAGAAGCTATTTCCAGTCTTCTGAGTAACCACCTTGAAATATGTCAAAAAGTTGGCCAGGTGCAGGCCTGTAATCTCAGCACTTTGGGAGGCTGAAATGGGTAGATCACCTGAGGTCAGGAGTTCGAGGCCAGCCTGACAAACATAGTGAAACCCCATCTCTGCTAAATACAAAAAATTAGCCGAGTGTGGTGGCGCATGCCTGTAATCTCAGCTACTTGGGAGGCTGAGGCAGGAGAATTACTTGACCCTGGGAGGCTGAGGTTGCAGTGAGCCAAGATTGTGCCATTGCACTCTAGCCTGAGCAATAAAAGCAAAACTCCATCTCAAAAAAAAATGTATTTTAGGGTAATATTTTAAGTATCTTTACCTCCATATGTACAATAAATATTATTGTGATTTTTAATCTTTACTCTTCTGTGGAGAAAAAACAGGTGTGATTTCTAGTGTAGCTGAACACTTGTGTGTGTGTGTGTGTAGCTACTCCTTACTTTTGTTCTCACTTAATGATTAAATAAGAATATTAACAATTAATACAGTAAAATGTATATTTTCCAATATTTCTCCATGTTATTATGCTTTAAATTAGTTTAATCATGCCACTATTAAGTGTACATTTTATCCTTTTACTATAGGTCTCAATCTTACTTTGGTTCCTGTACTTGAATTCATGCTAATAAAGTCCTACAGATAAAAAGGATTACATAAACTTATCTACATTTTTACTAGTATTCTGGTGTCATTTTAAATTACGTAATTAAGTCAAATTTTAATTTGGATTATTGTTATCTGAGTTAAGGATCTAAATTTTTAATTTTCTTATAAATATTACATCATTATTTCTGAATCATATATTCACTAATCTGCCCTTTATATGATGTTCATTATAAGAGCTTGGGATTGATTCATCTGCAAAGATGAATGCTTGAGAAGTAGATATTTCATCATAACATTTCAAAATCTACTGGATAACCTAGAATTGAAAACTAGTCTATAGGCTGAAAAACTCCTATAGTGAAAAAAGAAAATAACTAATATACAGTGACAATATAAATAGAAGTATTTATCTTATTATTGCCCTGAAATTTGGAAATACAAACATGTAAGATCTACATATCATCCATATATCAGGTCATAAAAAATCACTACATTCTTGAAAAATTTAGCATAACAGAAAATGCACTCTCTATCCTTGATGGAATTAAGTTACAAATAAAAGTAAAGATAAGTAGATAAGTAGATGGAAGTAGATGTTTAAAAACAAAGAAAAATATTTGTTTTGGATAACATAAAAACTCAGCTCACAATTCCAATATTTCAAGAACTTTGGCTGTCAACTGGTGGAGATTTTTCCCCAGGAGACATTTGGCAATGTCTAGGGTTATTGTGGGGATGTCAAGACTGCTGGGTGTGTGAAATTTAGAGGTCAAATGAAACTTCTAGCATTGCTAGGGCAGCCTCCCACAACAAAGAATCCTCTGGTCCTAAAGGCAAATAGCACCAAGGTTGAAAAGCCATAATCTAGAAAGTAAACACCATGTAGCTATTCGAAGTGCTCAGGAAAACACATCAATGCCCTCGAGGGGAAAAGTGTAAACATTTTAATTGCTGTACATGGTGACACAAATCCATGTTGTTAATCTAAGTGGAAGGGGCTGAAGCACAAAACGTAATTCAAAGAGATTACTTGAGCCACAATGAGGACAGCTGCCTGGAAGAAACAGACCCAAGTATCCTTGGATATGAACTCCCTTTGGAGCTTTGCAACAAGCAGTTTCTTAAAGGCAAAAAGGACAAGGAGTGGGATGATGCAAAGAGGTTTGTCACAAATTCTCATTGGCTTATGGAAATAACATTGATTAGTGACTGGCTATACACTGTTAAGCTATTATTGGGTGTGGATTATAGTGTCTGGTGTGGCATTATTGGTTAATTTATAGCTACTGTGGCAACAGCAAGCAGCCTGGATGAACACACAGCTCAAAGAGGAGTAGGACAGAACTGCTGTCTCATTTTAATATCTCTCTGGGCCTGATTATTTAAAAGGACTTGCATTTCTCACATAAAAGTTATTTTATTTTCTCAATGTCAATAAATGAGAATAAATAGACATAAAATAGATCTTTTCCAGGATGAAGTAAATGGAGTAAAAAACAAAACCCTAGCTGACCAGAAATCATAGAGGGAAGAAAAGGTTATAAATATATAGATTTTTCAAAGTGATTTTAAGCTATTAGGAATCAGTTAAATGTTGGCGGATTTTGTCTGAGTATGGGCTAAAGGAGAATGTCCCTTTTGCCTTCTGAAGTTTCCCTGAAAATCACCAACAGGAGGCAGATAAATAGTAGAAAAGGCATACAGGTTTCTGCAATGTGTGTACACTGGAGCCCTTAGAATGAAGACCCAGACACACGATGGGTGCAGAAGCTTATTGACCACATTGAGTTTACAGAAAGAATGGGGGCTTGGATCATAGGGGAAAAAAAAAGGGTATGTGAGAAAAAGATCCTGGCTAGCAACAGTGAAACCTCACTGGGAGCAGCCCTCAGAGAGAACAGACAGAAAATGTTTCTTTCAGACCTTTGGAGACCTCAGACTCTCAGTTAACCTTTCCTACATCCAGACAAGGGGGCAGACCTCAGAGAAAGCCTGGTTGCATTAAGGCAGATTCTCTACTGATGCAAATCTCCCCAAGACAGCTTTGCAGCTATTTTTGCATTTCCAGCCCTTCTGAATAGCCATTTTGAAATATATCAAGGAAATATATTTTGGGATAAAATATATTGGTTTCCTTCATACAGCTATAAAACATAGAGAAATAATTTTTGTCAGCATCTACTACAAATCTAATATAGCAGTAATTATAAAATCCACCAGATATTGAAGAAAAAATATGTAGAGTACATCACTTACAAATATTGATACTAAAATGCCAAATAAAATAAAAATAATCTCCAACCGTATTTGAAACAGTAGGACAAGAAATTAGCAAAAAAATAAAACAAATATCCACCTTGGGGATGAAAGTGTGATTCCAAATTTGGTAATCCAATAATATTAATAATCATATTGATTAGCCCAAATAAAAAATAAATAGGGGATTCTCAGTACATGCGAAAATATATTTGTTAAAAGGTAATATTCATGTCTTTAAAGATTTTAAATGCTATAAAGAGTCTGATATTTTATATGCAAACATGTGTATGTCTATTAGAAGAAGAGAGGCTTGATTTTCATATGTTACTACATAGAGATAGAGAAGTGGCTAGATTAATTTGCATATGCATAGAGAAAATATAAAATACAAATTTACTATCATACTTAAAGGAATTTAAATTCAACAATAAAATAATTCAACTGTAAAATTTTAAATATTTTTAACAGTTACATTATTAATATTGGATAATATTTATAATAATTGTGAAAATATTCAATGCTAAAATAAGATAGAATGTCTAAACATCAGTATTAAAACTAGTATAAATATTTACATGTTTATACAAGGAAAATTCAAGCTCAACCTAAAATTATATAGGAAATAAAAGAAAAATTTTAAGGGAGCTCATTAATAACACAAACATATACATATATATACACACACACATATAACATGTATATATGTTATATGGGATAGATATAGATTTAACATGTTATATCTATATTTGTATCTATAACTATAGCTATATGTATCTACATTCCTATATATTTACTCAGTGATATAAATATAGACTAGAATAAATATAAAGGCACATATGATTCTTGGATAAAAAGGATTTAGTATCATAAAGACAAATTCTTTCCAAATTCATCTATCAATTCACAACAATGCCAGATACAGTTCTATTAGTGTAACTTAAAATTTTTAAATAAATTCCAAGATTCATTTAAAGGAATATACATGTATACCAGCAGTAAAGAAAGAAGCAAGAGTGCACTAAACTAACTTGCTATTAAAATACATTTTTAAACTTAGTAACTAAAACTGAGCAGTACTGATTTGGAGTACTGGAATTTAGGTATATGGGATCTCAGTAGAACAAAGCTCAAAGGAGACCCCTGTATGCACGAGAGCTTAGGATGTGTTTTAGAAGGCATTACCAAACCACGGGCAAAGTTACTTTAGTGTCTTAGTCTTACTAGGTTTGAAAAGCCAGAGAAAAGATTCAAGGCCACCATATAAGAGCAAAACAAAAGAACAGGGAGAGAATGTGAAGATACGGAAACATTTTACATAAAGTTGTATAAAACATACTTTAAAGAAAATGTAAAGTTTAGGATATACATCAAAATCAGCAGAACCATTAAATAAATAAATAGGCATTGTAAAATAGCAAGAGAAAATTTAAATGGATTTCTAAAAAATATTGACACCTATGATTTTAAAAATATGTTTAAGAAATCTCGCATTTCACAGGGCGGCCTTTCACAACATAGAGATATTTGGACATAGATGTCCTTCTGTTTTTAATTTACTAGTGTTTATAAGGTTAAAAATGTCTTCTATCCTTGTCTCTTGTCTGATGGTGCAAAAAATTTTCATAAGCATGTATTTCTGAATGCCTGATGGATTGACATATATAATATGCTGCTAGTATTAAAATATGTGATGGAAAACGCATCCAATCTTCTCACTGTTTACATAAATTCTAGGTTTCTCCTATTTACCTCGAGCACATTGGAGTGAATTCTTATATTTTAATGTTGCCACGGCATTCACATTGAACGTAAGTTGAACGCTCTCATGTGGTAGCTGGGTTCAGCTTCCCTTGACAATTTCCAATTCTAACCCTCCCAGTTCCTCAGTGCGGCTGGGCCCAGATATTGACCCTACACAGTTGCCTCCTCCTGGTGACTACCTGCTATGGAACCTTTGGATACAACCTACCTGACTCACCCCACAGACCTCACGGCTGGAGTCCCACAGACCCCTTTTCTCTCTCTTGCTCCCCACTCATCTTCCCCGTTTTGTTCAGCCCTATGAGGTGTGCTAATGTATTAGTCCATTTTCACACTGCCGATAAAGACATGCCCAAGACTGGGTAATTTCCAGAAGAAAGAGGTAATAGACGTACGATTGCACATGGCTGGGTAGGCCTCACAATCATGGTGGAAGGTGAAAGGCACGTCTCACATGGCAGCAAACAAGACAAGAGAGCTTGTGCAAGGAAACTCCCCTTTATAAAACCATCAGATCTTGTGAGACTTATTCACTATCGGAAGAACAGCATGGGAAAGACCTGCCCCCATGATTCAATTACCTCCCACCTGTTCCCTCCCACAACATGTGGGAATTCAAGATGAGATTTGTCTGGGGACACAGCCAAACCCTCTTCTCAGCTTCCCTCTTCTCCCTGGATCTGTGAGTAATAAAACTACTTCTGTGATTTCCCATGTTTGGTCCTGTGGCCTCCATGTGTGTGATCTGACCTACACTGGAACCTAACTCTCCTCCTGGCCAGGGCCTCTGAGAGTGGCTCTTGTCAGAAATACACAGGACACAGGTCAGGCAACAGCCACCAGGCATCTCCCAGTCTCAACAGATATTCTGTGAGAGGGAGGCCTGGTCGTGGGATACACACCTGGTCACTGCTGGGGTAAGGGAGTGTCCTGTGAAAGGCATATGTTAAGCATCCACAACCCCCTGCCCAGAACCCCAGAAAGGCAGGGCTCCAATTGACAGCCACTCTCCAGAGGCAAACCTCAAGCCCTAACTGGAGGAAAATAAAACAATGTAAAAATTTGAATTTATCTTACTATTTCAATGATCCAGTAAAGACATTCTATGCCTGTACACCACATATTTTCTTTGATTATTGATATATTTTAGATAGAATTTTATGTCTGGCTGTCACTTTGGCCTGGTCCCTATCTCAAGTATAAGGTAAAGATTTTCCATGGGTTCTTTTCTGGTACTACTAACTACCAGTGTGGGGTCATGTCCTAGTCTATCTTGAGGGAACCCCCCTATTCATTTTTGTCAGAGTGAGACTGTTAAGTCTTGATTTCCCTGGACAACTTCACTGCATGACTTTTAATATGATTTTTAAATATACCCTTTACTGGACAATAAATTGTATAGTTACCTGAGTAAGAGATATGGTCAGGAAGAGGCATTGCCTCACTCAGCTTTTCTATTTGGTGAACTCGCATATGTTCTCCTCACCCACCAGTCACCTCTAAACCATATTGTTCCAAGACAATAAACACAACTCGAGTGTGTATCTTTCACCACTGGATTTGTCTTTGCTCCATAAAGCTTAATAGGGTTTCTGTTAGCATTTTCTCTATTTAGTTTCCCATAAAATATCACAGGCCTTCTTAATATGGAATTATGGGTGATTTCCTTTGATCTGCATCATATCAAGTTGAGGTTCATGTTGATGGAAAGTAAAACATACGTTTAAAATATCAGTAATGATGTTTTCCCCTCCTTTTTAGCACATGTGCTTGTGAGAATCATTGTAATACAATTCTAGTCTCGTGCTTTGATCATTCCTAAGATGAAAATAACATTTTTAGATAAAATATCTGAGTTTTATGAAGCCTTTAGGATATGATGTGATAGAATATCAGAAGACCATATTTTTTTCTAGTTTTCCATGCAATTCTATCATTGTTTCATCTTTACTCCTACCAGAGTAATTTTCCAAAATAGATATCTTGTCATTCTTCCTGTTGTTACCAGTAAATAAGTGAAATTAAAAGCTAGATTATATATTTTTTCTAGAAGAAGAAAGTAGAATTGAATCTCTATTCATTAATGAGACTAACCAGTCAATTACACAGATAGGCATTTTACATTTTGAAGATCATATGGACCCAGTCAGATATATTATTATTTGTATCTATATGGACATAACCTATGCATATTTATGTAGAAATCAATGAGAGCAGACTTTTATTTTTATTATATATATTTTTTGAGATAGGGCCTTGTTTTGTGGCCCAGGCTGGAGTGCAGTGGTGCAATCACTGCTCACTGCAGGTTCAACCTCCCAAGCTCAAGCAATCCTTCCACCTTGGCCTCTCAAATAGCTAGGACAACAGGTGCACACCACCATGCCCACCTTTTTTTTTTTTAACTTTTGGTAGAGACTGGGTCTTGCTATGTTGCTCAGGTTGTCCTTGAACTCCTGGGCTCAAAGAATCCTCTCATTTCAGCCTCTTAAACTGCTGGTATTACAGGCATGAGCCACCATATGGGCTGGAAGCTGATTTTTAAAATACTGAAATCATATAGATGACAGTACCTGAAAAATAGACAACACCAAGCTTTATGTTAAAAGGTGTGGGGGTATCAATATTGTTGTGGCTATTGGGGAGGAAAAAATTAGTAAAACCAGTGAGTTAAAGCTGTTGCTTTAAACTTTGGCTTTAATTTAACAAATGTTCTCTGGGGTGACAGCATATATGTATCCATGTTATGCCCATTCATAGATGCACTAAAGTGAAGAATTTCTCAAAGACAACTGTTCTAAGATTGAAATTAAACCGTACTGGGTTTGAAAAGAGAAAGTCCAGAAATTAACAAATATTTTAGATATTAAATAAAAGAGAGTGCCAGGTATGCGATGATAATCAGCAATGGTTGTTAACACAATATATCAAATCAGTATTTGAATTAGCTTTTGAATTACAAGGACAAATGGATCAAGTCTTGACTCTTTAGTAGATTAATCTTATTATGCTGAGATGTCTTTTCCCCTGTTTTTCCACAAGGAGATTACAAATTTGCAAACCTCAGCTGCTCTCATTTTATGCTCTCACCAAGCCAAAAGCTGAAGTTCATCAATCAATGTCTCTAAGTGTTCACTAGTTATATACCATTTTGTAGTTTAAGCTATCTTTCCAACTTCCTAAATCATCACCTTCATTTGTTATTTTTTTCCACTATCACTTCTTTATTGACCATATAAAGAATATAAGTAAGCTCTTATTTTGTTGTTGTTCATTTTAGTCTAATTTCATCAAAATTTAATAATCCTTTAATTTCATTTTAATTTCAAAGATTAAATTAAACCTACATATAAATGAGTGAAAGATTTGCATTTGCATTATTTTGGCAACAATTTGCTGTCCTCTTTCATACACACAGAGATCATATCCATGTACATGATTTCAAACATCCAAGCAAGAAGACGGGAAGGTTATAGTATTAAAAGCAGTTGTAAATTATGGTTCTCATTTTCATGATACAATTACTATATAAACTTCCTCTTGCTGCTGTAACCAATTACCACAAACTTCATATCTTACAATAAAGTGACCGTTAATCCTACAGTTCTGGAGTTCAGAAGCCTTAAATGAGACTCACAGGGCTAACATCAAGTTGTGGGCAGGGCTGCAGTCTTTCTGAGGGCTATGTGGCAGAATCTATGTACTTGATTTTTTTCAGAATCCAGAGGCCACCTTTATTCCTTGGAACATGGCCTCATTCTTACATCTTACTTTTTTTTTTTTTTTTTCTGAGATGGAGTCTTGTTCTGTCACCCAGGCTGGAGTGCAGTGGTGTGATCTCAGCTCACTGCAACCTCCGCCTCCTGGGTTCAAGCAATTCTCCTCCCTTAGCTTCCTGAGTAGCTTGGACAACAGGCACGTGCCACCACACCCAGCTTTTTTTTATTTTTAGTAGAGATGGGGTTTCACCATGTTAGCCAGGTTGGTCTCGATCTCCTGACCTCATGATCCACCCACCCCGGCCTCCCAAAGTGCTGGGATTAGGTGTGAGCCACTGCACTGGGTCCTCATTCTTATATCTTAAAAGTCAGCGATGTTGAGTTATTTCTCATGCCACCACCTCCATGGTTGTCTTTCTTCTGCCTTCTTCTTTCACTTATAAGAAAGCTTGTGATTTCATTGAGCCCACCCATTTAAGATAATCTCTCCATCATTTTATTGCAACCTTAATTTCACTTGAAATCTAATTTCCCACTGCCATGCAACCTAACACATTTGTATGTTAGACTCTGGGAATTAGGCCATGAACGTTTTTGGGAGGCCATTATTCTGTCTACAGCAGACATAATCTATTTACCTGCAGATTAAAGTGTTCTTTATTTTTCTGCCTCTCTCTCTTAATTTTTTTTAAATAATATGAATTGTAGTAAAGAGAAAGAAAGAAAAGAAAAGAAAGAAAGAGAAAAGAAGGAAGGAAGGAAAGAAAGAAGAAATAAAAGAAGGAGGAAATGAGAGAAGGAAGGAAGGAAGGGAGGGAGGAAGGGAGAAAGGCAGGAAGGGAGAAAAAAGAAAGCAAGAACACCAGAAAGCAAGCAAGCAAGCAAGAAAGAAAGGAGGAAGGGAGGAAGGAAAGGAGGAGGAGAGAATGGAAAAAGGGAGGAAGGCAAAGAAACAAAGAAAATAAAGAGGAGAAGGAAGGAAGGAAGGGAAAAGGAGGAAAGGAAGGAAGGGAGGGAGGGAGGAAGAAAAGGAGGGAGGGAGGAAGGGAGAAAGAAAAAAGGAAAGAAAGCAAGAAAGTGAGAAAGAAAGAAAGAGAGAGAAAGGGAGGGAGAAAGAAAGGGAGGGAGAAAGGAAGGGAGGTATGAGGGAAGGAAGAAAGGAAGAAAAGAGGAAAGAACGAAAGAAGGAAGGAGAAAAAAGAAAGAAGAGAAAAAGAAAAAGAAAAGAAAAAAGAACAGAAAAGAAAGAGAAAAAGAAGAAAGGAAGGAAGAAGGCAAGGGAAGGGAAGAGAACAGAAAGGAAGATGGAAAGAAGGAAGGAAGACCGCAAATATTAGAAATTCTGGGTTTGTTAGAGAATATGCTATACTGTTTTTTTTTTTTTCACTTGAAAGGAAAGAGTATCTGCCATTGAAGATTGGATGTCTTGTTGGTGATATTGTTGTTCTTGTCTTCTATACGATTACTGAGTTTGTGTCTAGTCTGTCCATTACTAAGACAAAATTGTTGAAGTCTGCAAATATAATTTTGGATTTTTCTAGATCACCTTTGATTTATTTCATGTTTTACCTCATGTATTTGGAGGTTCTGTTGTAAGCTGCATACCCTAATTAGCAGGATGTTCACATCATCTTGAGAATTGATTATTATATTATATATTATCTCTCATCTCTGATAATATTTCTTGTTCTGAACTCTGTTGTGTCTAATATCAATGTAGTCCTTCCACAGCTTTATTTTAGTGTTTCCATGATATGGCTTTCTCCATACCTTGATTATAACCTATTTATATCTCTATATATTTGGAGCAAGATATAAAATTTAGAGTTGATTTTTTAAAGATATTTTCAAGATGTAATTCTTATTTATTTTTGTTCTATTTGACATTCTCTGAGTTTCCTATATCTGAAGTTTGATTTTCTGTCACTTCTTTTAGACTATTTTTGACAGTTATTTTGAAAAATATTTCTTCTATTCCATTATTTTTTCCTCTTCTTTTTGGGATTTCAGTTATAACTAGGGTAGGTAATTTCATCTCAGTCTTATGCAGGTACTTTTTCTCAAGGTCTCAGGAATATAGCCTTCTCACACTTCTGTTCCTTTTCCTGGCTGTGTTGGTGAGCTCAGTGATATTCCTCCTTCACCTTCAAGAGTAGTTTTGTTTTGTTTTGTTTTTCCTGTTTTCATACTCCGAGCATCAGGAGTATTCTAAGTGTGGCAGTTTTTGTGGCCTTCCCCTATATATTAAGTGGAATATCTCGGTCTATTTGGACTCTTATAACAAAATAACATAAACTCGGTGACTAAAAAACAACAGATACTTCTTTTTTTTCACTTCTTGAGGCTGTAAGATCTCAGGTCAAGATGCTCACAAATTCAGTGTTGATGACAGCCCATTTCATGGTGCATAAATGGTGCCTTCTTTCTATGTCCTCACATAGTGAAAGGCACACTAGAACTCCATTGAGCTTCTTTTATAAAGGCACTAATCCCATTCATAAGGGCTCAGCCCCCATGACCTGGTCACCTCCCCAGTGTTCTGCTCTCCCTGAACTGTATCATATACAGACTGTCTTGGAGTCCTTACCAATTGCTTGAGAGATCCCAGTGGATTTGTGGGGAAAAAGTTTTCAAGATGGTGGATCTTTCCCAACTTCTGCAGCTGTCAGTGGTTTCCCAATCTGACCAGCCCCACTTTGTCTTTAGGAATTTATTGATTATTCCAGCTTTACTTGTCATAGTGGTGTCTATTTGCATCTGTCTTATGTAAGTGCATCCGTCCTCTTTCTCCTTGCAGGTGCTTATTTTCCCTTACATTTTGACTCAGTTCTTGGCAACCTGGTTGCTATAAAAATAAAGTCATGACTTTGAAGTTAGTTTTGTTCTTTCATTGTTGTAAGATTAGGAGCCCTATTCCTTCCCAGCTCTCCAAAACCCAGAATTTTTTTTGGTTTGAAATTTTAGCCTTTCTCTTTGAATTGTAGTTTTATCTTATTCCAGTTACAATTTGCATTTTCCTAATGATTAATGAGACTAAGCTTTTTTTTGTGTAGTTGACTGTACCTTTGGATTTTTTTCCCAAATCCCTTTTCATTTCATATTTTCTTTATGATTTTAGAAAATGTAGTTTATATATTGCAGCTTGATTTTTTACTCAGTTAATGGCATGCTTAATGGAGAGAAAAAATATTAATAAACTATATTTCCCTTATTAATTACTGTGTTTTTTCTTTTTTAAGGAAATATTTCATTATGCTAAATTTTAGTGTTATTCTACTTAGCTATTCCTTAAATATTATAGTATTTTGGATTTCACATATAAATTTGTAATACATCTTGAGTTTATTATGTATAGAGTAAGGCTATTTTCTCTTTTTTGTTTTTTAAGGTAAAAAGCACACAATATAAAATTCACAACTTAACCATTTTAAAGTATACAATGCAGTTGCTTTTAGTATATTCACAATGTTCCATGATAATTTCATCATGTCCCTTCTAAAAACCCATTATGCATAAAGTTGTTAGACCGTATTCTGCTTCCCTGAGCCCTAATGACCACTAATCTGATTTATATCCCAGTTGATTTGCCAATTCCTGATGTTTCATGTGAATAAAATCAAGTAATATTTGTCCTTTTGTGTACTTAGCATAATGCTTTCAAATTTCACCAATATTTTACCATGTATAAGTACTTCATTCTTTGTTATAGCTGAAAATTGGGTGTCCATTTATAAGTCGACAAGCATATGGATTGTTTCCACTTTTTGACTGTATGAATATTACTGCCATAAATATTCATGTACATGTTTATTTTTTGAGCACCTATGTTTTGTAAGATTAACAGCTGACTTAACAGAAACAATGGAAAGCAAGAAGCAGTAGAATAATATATTCAAAAGATGCAAAGGAAAAAACTGTCTACCACTAATTCCTTATTCAGTAATTATTTTTCAAAAATGAAGATAACACAAAGACTTACCCAGATAAACAGAAATATTAACTGAAGTTGTTGCTGGCAGACCTACCATACAAAAAAAAAACACTAAAATAAATTCCTAAGGCTAAAAGCAAGTTACACAAGACAGTCATTTGAATCCACATTTTTTAAAAAGCACTGGCATAGGTAATAATAACATTATAAAAGACAGTAGAAATGCATATTTTCTCTTTACCATAATTGTTTATAAAATAATATGTGCATAATGGCTGGGCACAAAGGCTCACGCCTGTAATCTCAGCACTTTGGGAGGCCGAGATGGGCGTATTACGAGGCCAGGAGATCAAGACCATCTTGGCTAACACAGTGAAACCCCGTCTCTACTAAAAATACAAAAAATAGGCCGGGCGCGGTGGCTCACGCCTGTAATCCCAGCACTTTGGGAGGCCGAGGCAGGTGGATCACGAGGTCAGGAGATCGAGACCATCCTGGCTAACACGGTGAAACCCCGTCTCTACTAAAAATACAAAAAATTAGCCGGGCGTGGTAGCGGGTGCCTGTAGTCCCAGCTACTCGGGAGGCTGAGGCAGGAGAATGGCGTGAACCCGGGAGGTGGAGCTTGCAGTGAGCCGAGATCGCGCCACTGCACTCCAGCCTGGGCGACAGAGCGAGACGCCGTCTCAAAAAAAAAAAAAAAAAAAAAAATACAAAAAATAAGCCAGGCGTGATGGCAGGCGCCTGTAGTCCCAGCTACTTGGGAGGCTGAGGCAGGAGAATGGCATGAACCAGGGAGACGGAGCTTGCAGTGAGCAGAGATTGTGCCACTGCACTCCAGCGTGGGTGACAGAGTGAGACTCCATGTCAATAATTATAATAATAATAATGATAATAATAATAATATGTGCATAATGTATTGCTGAGTATTTGACATGTAGAAATGTAATATGTCTATAACATATTTTCCAATAACATCAAAAAGGCGGTAGTTGGAAGAAAAATGTTTTGTGATAAGGTAATTACTATAGATGGTAAAGTAATAATTACTAAAATGTACTGTTGGCTTTATAACTTTAATAGATGTAATGTGTAAAGTGATAATACTTTAAAATGGAGGAAATAAAAGAGATTTGTATAAGAATGATGTTTCTATGTATTACTAAAATTTAGCTAGTGTAAATTGGAAGATGATTTGAATAATTAATTTTCCATATACCTATGTGGTAAACTTACATCAACAACAAAAATTCTCAAAAATATATAGTAAAATAATTCATTAGTAATCTAACATTCTCTATTTTAGAAAATATTCATTCATTGCAAAATAAAGCAATAAAGAAAAATATTTGAGAAATATACAAAACAAACAGTAAAATGGCAGACATAAATAGAATTATACCAATTATAATATTAAATGTGAGCAGATTAAAATCCAGTCAAGAGGTAGAGATTGTCAGACTGGATTAAAACAAGTGATCCCAATATATGCTGTCTAGAGAAGGCACATTTGAGATGCAAGGATACTAATGGATTGAAAGTAAAAAGGTGACAAAAAATATCATGCAAAGAGCAATCATAAGAACACTGAACTCATTATACTCACAACACACAATATAGACTATTAAAAATGTGAATAGGATTTTAAAAATTTATATTGTAGTAATAAGGGGGTCAATGCTTTAGGAAGACATAGCTATTACAATCATATATGCACTGATATGAGCTAAATTGTTTCCTCTATATAGATGCTGAAATCCTAACCTCTGAATACGACCTCATTAGGAAATAGGTTCTTCGCAGGTGGTCAAGTTAAGATAAAATCAGATGAGCCTTAATTCAATATGACTGATGTCTTTATAAAAAGAAGAAATTTGAGTAGAGGGAGACATACACACAGGGAGAGTACCATGTGATTATGAGGGCAGAGATTAGCCAAGGAATGCCAAAGACTGCCACTAAACCACCAGAAGCTAGAAACAAGGCATAGAACAGACTTCCTCTCATAGCCCTTGAAGGGACCATCCCTGCTGACACCTCAATCTCAGACTTTTAGCTTCCAGGACTATAAGACAATAAATTTATGTTGTTCAAGGCACTCAGTTTGTGTTACTTGGTTATGGCAGCCCTAGAAAACTAATATATGAACTAATAAAAAAGCATAATAACACGAAGCAAAAGTTGACAAAAGAGGAGCATCAGCAAAATGGCAATGGAGACAGCTGCAATCTTTCATTTCCCCACAGAAACATCAAACAACTAAGAGAAACTCTCAGAGTAAACTTTGCCAAAACTCTGGAAAATGGTCAAAAGATTACAACAACCAAGTGAAAGCAGACTCAACAAAAAGACAACTAGAAAACTTTATGACATTTTTAACTTGCCTTTGCCCCAGCAAAGGCAGTTTTGAAGTGTTAGAAGCCCATGTTCCCAGTGTGGAACCCTGGTCCATGGCTCCAAAGGAACAAGAGAAGCTCTTACCCGCAAATTATTATGTATGTCTGTTCTGACTGGTCTGGGGGATACCTGAAGGACTAATGAAAGGCTTTTTTTTCTGTGTTGCTAGAATACAGAACAGATAAGGAATGGACATTATTGAGAAACTCTGCAAGGAGACCTAACAAACAACAGATGCTTAGGGCAAAAATTAGAGTTTACACATATAGTAGATCACCTTCAGCACAGGAAGAAAAGTTGGAGAAGAGTATTTGGAAAACTAAGACATTCAAAATCATTCACGTACATGGGAGAGTCTAGAAAGTCACACGTATGCATAGGTTAAGCCACATGCTGACAAATGTCATAAGAAGACCCTACACTTTTACCTTGGCTGATCCTTCCCCTCAGTGCAAGCTCTGTGCAAGAGTGAACTTGAACTTCACTCAGTGCAAGAGTGAACACACACTTTGCGCCAGCTTCAAAGAACTCAGCACAAAGCCAGTCTGCATGGCCTAGAGCCATATTTTCCTGGATAATGATTACTCGTTTTTCTTTTTGTTTTTGTAGTGTTTTTGTGTTTGCGTAGTTCCTGACATACAAGAAAATCACTGTCAAAACATTAGCTTAACATTTGTTAAGGAAACAAAAAGACTTCAGTGACCACACCTTATAAAGCAAACAGTTTTGTAAAAACACTTTGGAAAATTTCACTAAAAAAATACCTTAACAATATAATAAGTAAATAAAATTTAAAACCACAAAACGTTAGTGTGTTTGTGGGGGGGGTGGGTGTGTCTGATTTACAGAGTAACCACATAGTAATTATAATTATTATAATGTCCAGTTTTCAAAAAAAGTTACAAGGCATACAAAGAATGGGAAAGTATGGCTCATTCAAAGGAACAAAATAAACTGACAGAAAATATCTCTAAGGAATCCCAGACATCAAACTTACTAGACAAAGACTTTAAAACAACTCTCTTAATTATAATCAAATGTCAAAAGGAAAACATAAACGAAGAAATAAAGGAATCAGAAAAAAATGTTAAAAAGTAAGAATATCAACAAAGAGATAACAATTTCTGGAGTTGAAAACTACAGTGATAAAAATTTAAAAATCACCAGAGGGATTTAAGAGTATATTTGCACACACAGAAGAAGTCATGAGCTTGAAGATAAGAAAATGGAAAATATTGACTCTGAGAAACAGAAAGAATAACAAATAAAAAATGAACAGAGACTAAGGAATCTGTGGGACAACATCAAATAGACCAACATTCATATTCTAAAATGATAAATTATGTTGTTAAAAACTTTACCATTCTTTCTTTTCACCTTTCTTTCTTCCTCCCTCCACCTCTCCTCCTTTTTATTTTTCTTCCTCTTCCTTTCTCTTCTTCTTTCTCTCCTTCATTATCCCTTTCACTCTGTTTCTCTCTCTCCCTCTTTTTTTTCTTTCAATTTTCTCAATTACTAAGAGATGTTTAAATACCCTTACTGTGTTAGTAGATATGGTTATTTATCCCTTTAGTTCTCTTTTGAGATTGATAGTCACTCTAAGTAAAGAGATAATCCAAACATAAGCCTCACAAACAGGCTTCCATACCATTCTTAATTTGGTCCTGTCATTCCTCATTGCTGTATTAACTTTCTGATGCTTTTAAGGATGTTTTATAACAAATTGTTTAGTTTATTCCAATGGAATGTTTATTCTGAATTATCTAATTCATATTGTAAGTATATAGGGAGTTTAATACAAAATTATTAAACTAATATTTGTGAAAGAATGTATTTGTCCATTTAACAAATATGTTAATCCTCAAACTGTTATTGGGCAGCTGAGCATACAGCAATAAAAATAACATAATTTTTATGTGTACAATATTTATGGAATACATTATTGAAACAAATAATTTAGTTAATAACATGACAAAGAACAGAAATTGTATACACTATAGAGCATAGTAATGGAATAATGAATGATTAAAGTTATTAATATTAGGTAGAAAATGAAGGGTATCTTTGAGAGCAGAACTCAAGGAAGCAAGCAATTAGCCTTATGAGGAAAGAGTTACCTGTGGATAAAGGAGAAACTGAAAAATTTACAAGTCAAGACTTTTTGAGCAAAAACAAAAATATGACTATTACTCACCAATTCTGTATAGTGAAAAAAAAAGTTGAAGAGATATCTTGGAACTAAACCATGTTGTAGAAGAGCATGTAGGGTTTTGATAATCATGGGATTATTTTGAATTAATTTTAAATGCAATAGGAATATATGAGATAATTTCACCAGAGAATAACATGATTGTGTTTGCATTTCAAAGGGGTGTATTTGGTGCACCGTGTAGAATAAATAGGTTATGTGGGCAAATAAATTGGGGGGCTATTGTAATCCAGAGAAAAAAGGTAGTGACTAAGGTGAGAATGCTGTTAGTATGAGTGGTATTAGTGGTGAGAATTCGTTAGGCCATGGATGTATTTCACAGGACTGGCCAAGAGAACTGCAGCTAAATTGGAGTGTAGGGAGTGAAATGGAGAACTCAAAGATGACTCTCAGCACTGGAAGGTGACAGCTGTCACTGAAGCATGCTGATGACTTATTAAGAGAGTTACTTGGGAATGGCAAGATCAAAACTTCTCACTTTCAAATTTATGAAAAATATTGTTTTCAGAACGAATGACTTTGGGATCAGAAAGCCATTATTCTAATTGATGGTTCCATGACTACACAGGCTCACAGTCACAAAAGCAAAATTAAATCATCACAAAGGTGCTTCCTGACAATTCTAGAGAATAGAGAATTACTGTAACATCTTTCTGATTTTAGGAGAAGTAGCAGTTCCCTTTTTAGCCTAAACGCTATTTTTTTTAAAGCTCAGCCAAGAGACTCCATTATAATTTTCAAAAATTGTGTAACTTAACTTCTCATATTAAATACCACTATGCTTAAATTAGTCAAAACATTTTCCCCATCTGCAACTCTATCTTTTCATTGCAATCATTTTCACAAAGGTGACTGCAGCTAACAGACCCTAAAAGGTGAAAATCTAGGGTAGGTTATCTGATCTAGTTAGTTTTGAAGACAGGATCTAGAGATTATTTAGGATCTAGAGATTATATGAAATATGTCACCTGAAATGAAGTGTTTACTGAAAACAGCTTGGATCAGCCCAGTTTTCTACCACTGAACCATGCATTTGGTTTAAAAAACACGACAACTCTGGGCATCATTGGCTGCTTCCAACTGTGTTGAAGATGTTATAGAAAAGAGCATAAAATTATAAATGATCATCTGAGGCCTTTATCGTCTCTGCTCAAGGGACTAGAGTCTTCCATTCTTAACAAAACACCCAAATATCTTAATAATTGGGCAAAATCTAAATATCGGAGAGATAATTTTATCTTGAAGATTGTTAAATTATAATGGTGATTCACTACCTTGCCACGTCTCTGAGTCAAAAATTAGATCTTTGCTTAGGAATCAATGGTACTCTGCAACTTGGAAATAGGAAGATTTTAGAAGACTCAAACATTGACTTTCTTGTGTGCAAAAAAGGATGTATTGAGATAAGACAAGTCTTTCCTTGCAAGGATACCTCTAATGCTCATACACCACCTCCCCTAACGTTAATATAGCTTCCAGATCACTAACCAGTGTCAGAGAGCAGCCTATGCAACTACAAATTCAAAAGATGTCGAACACAGGGTCAAGCCTAGAATGAGAAGTCTTAGTTAATTAAGTATGCTTTTTTCCCCAAATTCATATTAACAAAAACATGTGGATATGTCAGAGAATGCATTCTAAGTTCACTCAACCTAGGAGGGAGAAACATAATTTTAAATTAAGAGCTGAAGCATTCTCTTCCTAACAAAATAGCAAGTAAAATGAAATATCACACCACAGGAGGGATTTCACAAATTAGTGTCAACATCAAAAGCTTAAAACCGGTAAGGAAAATGCAGATTCACAATTAACTCTTCTACTTGTTTTGTTCAGAGAAGAGATGGTTCTGAGAGAATGACAGTGAATTAACACCAGCTGGTTTAGTTGGTGCTTTCAGTTGCTGCTTCTGATGAACTCCTTTATCTAGAATAAATTTATGAGGATTTTGGCATGTGGTATTAGATATGGTTATTAATTTTTTCCTCTAATTTGCATTGTTCAATGTGGTAAATACTAGCTGCTGTATATGGCTACTTAGATTCAAATTCATTACAATGAAATATACTTAAATATTCAATTTTTTAGTCACTGTTGGTTCATTATTTAATATCTTCAGCTAAGATTTTCCATCTAAATACACTAAGAGGTGGCTTAGTTAACTGGTTGTCCCACAAATATTGAAGCTGTTGTTAACTCCTGATATATTGTCTGCAAATAGACTATTCATGAGCTTCCTCCTGAAATCAGCAGCCTAGGGATAATTTTATAAATTGGATACAAGTTGGAAATCTATACTCTTTAAGGTTTTGAAATATTAGCTTCCCACGGAAGAAAATCAAATTCTTAAGATATGTTAGGACAATTTAACTCAAGACGTTCAAAACTGAAATGACATATTCTACAATATGTTATAAAACCACCCCCTAACAACCTAAAGCAAAACAGGGATTGAACTTAAAGGTCTGCCTTTTCCTCATCCCCCAGCCAATCAGTTTTCAAATCTTGCATTTTGTTTTGAAAGGTCGTTATACCCCTAGTCCCTTGTTTCTAGACTTGGCACATATCTAACTTTGTTACCTCTGTCTACTGACTTTCCTCTCTTCAAACAGTATCTATGCCTGCCAAATGTGAACATACAAAAAACAAATCAGAATGTGCCATTCTGATTTAAACTCCTTGTTAGTTAACACCCTCAAGATAACATCTGGGTTCTTAGCTGCACTGAGTCAAGCCTACTTACATCTTTTTTTGTCTTCTGCTGCACTGTTCCTTCCACATCACACTCCAGCAATGCCAAGCTTGCGGGCCTTCTACCCCACTTCCACTATTTTCTGTCTGCTCAAGCTTGACTCTGAAGTACCATGCTCACTTTAATCTCCCTAACTGGCCAGCTCTAAATCCAGCTCCAGTGTTTGGGGGAGAGGCTGCTGCTGTGTCACCAGGGCCTTCTTCAGACAGACAAACTTTCACATTTCCAGTGTCCACAGCAAACGGACACAGGAAGACTCACACACCGTGTAACTAAAATAAAGATTAATCGAGTTGATAAACTGCTAAATAAAAAGTGTTTTGCCCTACTAGAATGGCAAAAAAATGCTGTATATTAACAAATTGAAAACTAGATGCAAAGCTATACTTATGTGACCTCTAATTGCTGAAATACCAACCGCTGTTATTGCCATTGGGTGTTCTGTTATGGGCAGGAGAGGTTTGGATGAATAAAATAAACTTGGTTAATAAAATAAACTTATATAATGTATTTGATTAATAAAATATAGTTAAAATATAAATGTAACCAAATAATTATTTGTTTAATAAACAGATAATTCATACATTTATATATGTTTCCTACGTATAATTTGTTTCTTCTACTTCCACTGTAACATTACAAATTATGTAATTTTTATCGTGATGTTTACATAATATTTTCTTTCGAAAGTAATGGTCAAACTGATTAAAAATATAAATATATTCAAAATGTACAAAATTTGACTTTTTTTTTTTTTAAGACGGAGTCTCACTCTGTCACCCAGGCTGGAGTGCAGTGGTGCCAACTCGGCTCACTGCAAGCTCCGCCTCCCAGGTTCATGCCATTCTCCTGCCTCAGCCTCCCGAGTAGCTGGGACTACAGGCGCCCACCACCACACCGGCTAATTTTTTTTATTTTTTCGTGGAGACGGGTTTTCACCATGTTAATCAGGATGGTCTTGATCTCCTGACTGCGTGATCTGCCCGCCTTGGCCTCCCAAAGTGCTGGGATTACAGGCGTGAGCCACCGCGCCCAGCCTGAATTTTTTAAAATACAGTTATTAAACACAAAAGCTTCTATATAGGCTTTCAAAGTTTTTTTTATTCTAATATTCAAAATGGCTTCTTATAATAAAAAGGCAAAGGTGAATTATGACTAACAAATATTTAAAATGTAATTAGAGCTAAATTGTGTAATTTTTGATACTTTGAGTAGATCTAATTAAATGTTTCATAAAAACAATAATGTTCACATTCAGTGTCAATGTGGAAACTCATGTGAGCAATCGATAGGATACTTCAAGCATGTTACATGCAGAACTAAATCTATGCAAATTTAATGATGACAGAGGTTGTATAGTATTCCAAACTACTCTTCAGACACCATGTGTCACTGCCATAATGAGCACACTAACTTCTCAGTACCTTAACACCCACAGTTTGGAAAAGGTGGAGAACCACGAAGACGGATGCTGTACACTACTGAGAAAAGAGAATTCAATATGTAAAATTTGATTACATTTATATGATTTGTAAAAAAAAGATTTAAAAAGTTAAATAATGCATCTTTTCTATTAACTAAACACACCTGTCACTCAAACCTCAAATTTCTCACTCTGCCTACTTCAATAAACCTGACGCATGTGGGGTTTGTTCATTATTGCTTGTTGAACAGTAGTTCTTGCCAGCGTCTGTCTCTGCCGGCACAGGCGCAACACACAAGCTTTAATGGCATTACTTTTCTATGGGTACAAAGGACAAGAAATGTTGGAGAAGTGTAAGAAGCATGTGCCTGTGGACTGATTGCTGTTATTCACAGGAGGGAATGTTTGTGGTATAAATCACGCTGAGGCAGAGCCAGTTCACCCTGCATTTTAACCAGTTCCTTAATGCAGAATACAATGAATGCGGAAACAGGGCCACAAGCCATCTGTAACCCTAAGGCCCAGGTCCTGCCTGACTCTCCTTTGCTTAGTGACAGCCTAGTGCAAAGCTTATGTTGAATAAAAGAAATCTGGGTCAGGAAAAAGCCAGTCTGACTCTCAAAAAACAAACTCTCAAGAATAGCTTTCAGACAAACCTTAGCAATGAGTACCTTGGAATGTACTCATTACGAATGATTCATTACGGAAAGAAGGGGTTATTTTTAACCAGAAAAAAGTGGAATGTCCAGAGAGATAAGTAAAAAGTGGTGGTAATTAAGCTCTACAGCTAAGACAGGCAGAACAGAGTGATAATGTTTATCAAAGAGTGTAATTTAAGAAAAAAACTGAAATCAGAGAAAGAGCAGATAAAATAAATTTTTGTTTTGTTTTATGATTTTTGAGTTAAATGCTATTTCTAACTCAGAGAAGACAGATTTTTTAAAATTTACAGGAAAGGCAATGAAGAACAACATTTTAACTAAGTTACTATATATTTTGTTTAAAAATCCTATAATTCGATTTTAACAGCAAAATAGATGTTGCTTGTTGAAATAAAATATCAAAAAGAAAAAATTTTGTGTCTGTGTATGCATATATATATATATATACACACACATATATGTATGTGTGTGTGCGTGTATATGTGTGTGTGTGTTAGTCCATTTGTGCCGCTATAACAACATTCCACAGACTAGGTAATTTATAAACAGCAGAAATGTATTTCCCTGAGTTCTGAAGGCTCAGAAGTCTTAGTTCAAGGAGCCAACAGGTTTAATGTCTCTGGAGGGCTTAACCTCTACTTCCAAGATTATGCCTTGTTACTGCATCCTTCTGAGGGGACAGAAGCTATAGATTCACACAGTGGAAGGGATGAAAGGAGGGAACTCACCCCATCCAACTTTTTATAAGGTTGCTAATTTCATCCATGAAATTGTACCCTCGTGATTTAATCACCTCCTAAAGGCCTCACTTCTTAATAATGTCAAATTGGCAATTAAGTTTCAACACATGCAATTTGGGGGACATTCATACAACAGTAATGAGATTATCTATTTAGTTATCTACCTATACTTTTGTATAAATTTTTATAAAAACTATCTTTAATGTATTTAGCATGCTTAGCAAGATTTTTGTATACATTTTATCAAGTATTGAACATTCCATTATCAATTTTAACAAGTGGAATATTTTAATTCAATTCCACACCATGAAAACTTACTTTACTTCCAATATTTTACAACTATATCTTGCATCTAATTTTTTTCAAATGTACTTTACTATTTTATTAAGGCAAATTTCTAGAAGCAAGATGACTCTGTCAAAAAGCATACATCTTATTAACCTTCTGTTAAATGTTGATTGCCATCCCCAAATATTAAACTAATTTAGGATCCCATCATTAGTGCATGAGACTATTCAGGGCTGTAATTGTTTGATGTATTCATCTTTAAAGTGTGTGTAACCTTTCTTTTTGCACAGCCTAGAGAAGGAAATGACATGCAGGGAGGAAAAAATCACATAGAAGTCTTTTGATTGCTTGAAGCAGTATAGTTGTAAACTCTCCTTTTGGACTACATGACAAACAAATAAACCTAACATCATTCTGTAAGGAGGGTCTTACCTGGTTTTCTTCCCTCTTTAGGCCATGACCATGGCTGCATTTCTCTGGGAGTACATGTTTAGCCCGAATATACATGCGTAATCCAAATAATTGGGAATAAACAAAAAAAGGAATTCTGACAAGGCAATAGTATTTGGGAATGCGTTATTATATTTTACAACCTAAAACCTTGGATAAATATATTTACATGTGCATCTATAAACACTGGGGTAGCTACCCCATTTCTCTTATTACCATCCTAGACCACATCACCATCATCAACTAGGCACTTACCTATTCCCCCACTTCTTCCTGTGTCTAGTTGACACACATGCATGCACATGCACACATACACACACACACACACACACACACACACACAGTCCTCTCCATGGCAGCCAGAGTGACTCTTTTTAAACATGTACCCAATTGTATCACTTCTCTGCTTTACCTTCCAATGTGTTATCTTCTCATTTAGAATGAAAACCAAAGACCTTACATGAACCTCAAGATTCTTTTAAAAGTCTGCGTGTCTATTACCTTCCTGACTCCACCCCATCAGTTTCCCTGTCACTCACTGGCTTTGGCTTCATTGGCCTCAACGTTTCTAAAACAGCCGCAGCACACAGCCGCCTCAGGACTTTTGCATTTTCTTTTCTTTTTGACTGTAATATTATTCCTCTCAGGAATCCACACTCCACTGCCTCACTTTCTTTAGGTCCCTTCTTAATTGTCACCTTACCAGACAGGCATTTCATTAAACGCACACACATAAGCACACAGATTTTCTTGCACTTTTAGAGTACTGACAGCCTCTTGATATGGTACAGTTAAATATTTTCATTTGATGTCCCCATTATTCAACAAGATTTATATTGTCAGCAATGCTGGTAACAGAGGTTTATTTTCAAATTCTTGTGTTATTACTTGCAGATTAAGGAGCGAGCTTAAAAAATAAATTATTTACTGTCAGAAATATAAATGACATTATACTTTTTAAATAATATAATTAATTATCCTTACTTTCTCCACACATCAAGAGTTGTTAATTTTGCTCGTTTGAGCCTAAGTCTCTGTACTTAGGTAAGAAATGATTATTTAACTGGTAGCTGCTTTTCTTAAAACATTAGGAAATGGACACTGACACTGATCACTGTTTGGTGATAATGTGTTTTAGCAAAATGACCCCATTTTATCTTCACAACAGTCTTTTGGGGTAGATCCCACTTACGGTTAAACTGAGAACCCTAGAGTTGAAATGACTCAGAAGTCACAGAAAGCAAAAGTGGCTAAAATGCATATTTTAAAAAAAAGTAATTCTAAATCTGTTCCTACTGTTATATCACTAGTTTTACAGGAAGGAAAGTATTTTTTTCCCATATGCCCTCCTCTCCCCCAGCTTCCAGATACAAGCATAATTTCCACCTATTTCTACCCATGCTCCTCTCTGCTACCCTTTTTTGGGCTGCTGACATATTCAAAATATTACTGAAGTCTTAAAGAACAAATAAATTTGTGCCCTGCTATGACATATTTTTATGATATAAAATCTCACTAATATTACCACACCAGGAAAACTAATTTAAACACATACAATGTTTCTTCATCTCTTTTTTCCAGAAGCTCTAAGCCTTTCAAAGAGCACATATATTTTGGAATTTTGTTTATTGGTTTGAGGAATGATGTCTACCATGAAATTTAAGTTATAACCAGTCAATCTTCTAGTTGTTTTTCGAGCACAGTATATAGAATTTTAATTCCTTTTTCTTTATTTCTGCAGGTTCTTGTCTCAAATGCTCTCATCTATTTATACACATCCTTCTGAATCCTACTAATTTTTAGGGGCTATTTCCATAAATCCATAAAATCACAAACTTTGAAAGTATGCATTGAGCTCCCCAATCGGAGAAAGCATGTATTAATTCCCCTAATATTTATATTATGTATACGTACACAGTTATATTATTCCTATATATGTGTAATATTTTATATGTACATAGTTATAGAACACCATTAATACTATTTATAGTGTTATATATACATATATACATACACTATATATAATACTAGATATACAACATATAGTAAATATAATATTATACACACACAAAATTATATAATAAACACCAAGGCAGCCAATAAACAGAATTACAAATGTTAAATTGTGACACAAAGCAATTTCTGAAATATTCATGCTAACAAAATGTTGCCTACAGATGATTAGGAAGGGCTGAGCATCTCTTCAAATAGATAATTTTTATATATCTCTTACAGTAGTAACATGTCAAAAAACAACACTTAGTATTTCTGTTATCTTTATTTTATGTTGTGAAAGAATAAAACTTTGTGATTTTTCAGGAACCCTATGGGGAATCTCAAAGGTAGTTTTATATAAAAGGTATCCAAAAGTTATTACTTTTATTATTAATATTATTATTAGGATATGATAATGCACTTATTACAATCTGAATTGTCAGATGACATGTGAGCGATTGGCTAAGGGTCATGGGTGTTAGAGAAGAAATTACCCTGACAAGTATTTAATTGATGTGCTAATAAACATTCAAAAACAAACATTGAATCAGATGAGGCCGAGGCCCTGCCTGGCACGCCACAGGACAGCTAGTTACTTGTTTCTGTTTCAAAACCTTTCAAAATGAAAATACAGCTAAGGAATTTACAGTGAAGGTGAAATAAATGTTGGAAAATAAAATAGATTCAGGGCCAATATCATTAAATATCTGTTAGTGATAGTTCTTAAATATATGTATTTCTTTCCTCTTTAGCCCAGTACTATACAATGAAAATATGTGAACCACGAATGTAACTTTAAATTGCTAATAAGAACGTTTCTAAAAGTAAAAAGATACAGGAGAAATCAACTTTTGGTATATTTTTTAAAACTTTATCCCCATATATACAAAATAGAATAATTTCAACATGTAATCACATAAAAGTCTTAAGATGTTTTACATGTTTTATACTTCAGCACATCGCAACACTTGGTCTCTATACACATTCCGTAAAATGTGCAGGTGAAAAGTAGACCCACAAACCCAACTTGTCGCAGATATAGTTAGAAGTTTCCCCAAAACTAAATTGCATATTAGTTTTAAAATTCAAACTAATTAAAAATTTTAAAAATCCGTCCTGCCACACTACCCATCTTGCTGCCAATCAGGAACCACGTGGGTGGGCTGCTACCACACTGCAGCAGCGCAAAGCTGCCTGAACTTCCCTACTCTGTTCCTCTCCCTGTGCTTCCCCAGCTGAAGGCAGGAGCCAGTTTCACTAGTCTAAGAAGGAAGATGTGCTTGTGGAGGGTGTGCAGAGGGAGAGGCATGGGAGAGAGGAAAGAAGAAACAAAATAATTGTCTAATCCATTTTAGAAAAAGTATGAAAAGCCAAACTTCTTTTCAAAATAACACAAATCAAATAATGGTGAGGACTTTTGAAAGGTGGGGGTAAATAGGCATTTGCACACGTGTGTACATGTTCACGCTCTTGTGGGACTGCTTACATATACCCTGCAGCTGTGTGCAGCCATCTATACATGGGAGTGAGTAGAGTTGGAGTTGAATCCTGGCTTGCCCCATTCTAGCCATCTGACCTTGGGTAAGTTCATTGCACTTATCTTAGCTCAGGATTCTCATCTGTAAAGTGAGGACAATCACATTTACCACCTGTGTTCACTGTGACAATTAAATGTGATAGATAGGTAACCTGGCTATATAAACTGTAAATTCCTACACGTTCATGTCAATGATCTTATCAGCTCCTCCTTCAGCTTTGGTGTCCTGTGAATATACAAAGCCTTGGAACAAAGGGGCACTTCTTTTCTCCTTCAGCCTTAGCATTGATCGTTTACCTCTTCCAGCAGGATCAGGGATTCCATGCAGGTCCACTTACCCCTTCTGGAGGGATGCATAATTTCAGGATGCTTCAAACGCAAGAAAGCCAGTAGAAAAATTACACCAGTTATAGATTTTACTGTTATTTCAGGCACCAGCTAATGGGGTTTCATAAATATCTCTCAAAGAAAGCTTTAAGAGCCTCTTAGGAAGCAAAGTTTTGGCTGCTCTTATAGAGAGGCAGTTGATGTAGTGGAAAGCGCACTGCACAAGTAAGTCACTAGGAGCCCCTGGTCTTGTCCTTGTTCATGATTTACTTTGAGATTTAGGTCAAATCCCTTCACCTCCCTGGGCTGCAATTTTTGTTCATGTTTTGATGGTGATATTTGTGTTCATTTGCATATTAATGGCAATAATAGCTTCTATAACTCTTAAAAATAATATGAAAATCAGATAAAGATGGCACTTATGGAAATATGTTACCTGTTTGTAAAGCCGTTGGCAGGAGAAAAAATATTTTGTTTTTAATTTTTGTTTTTAATAATGTCAGAGAGCACCAGGGAATCCACTGTGTCCCCAAATCACACCGCCTTTTCTAGGACACAGCAGAGTTGGGGGGCAGAAGGAGAATTACAGTTCTACAGAATAAGTCAGCACAGGGCTTCCCTATATACAAGGCTCACAGCCGGCTCACTGCTGTCAACTGCTGTCACGGCTGTCAAAAGCACTTCAACGGCAAGTGGACTTCTCCTGAAAATGGAATGCTTTATTACTCTTTTTTTTCTTTTCAAAAGCAAAAGTTTATCTATTAAAATGTGACTTTTACAGAAGTTCATCAGTGATAATCATTAAAGTTTCCTTAATTGTACTTTTAATTAGATCACAGAGATTATTTTAAATGTTTCCTTTGATTATGTGTTGAGTACTGTGACTTGTTGCCTTGTAGAAATAGCAGAATAGACATTTACTTCCTTAGCTTCTTTAAAGCATTCAGATAAGGATTATTTCATTAGTTTTGTCTAAATGATGTTTCAGATCTAGGCCCTCAAGTTGAGACAACAATTTGTAATGGACTGCATTATTTAGGCTATTCATTTAGACAAATTAAATTAATCCCAATATATAGAAAAAGCTCTAAAAATCCATAATTATGAACAGCAAAAATCTCTTTATCTTTTTCTTTGAAAAGATTATGACATTAAGAAAAATATGTAACTGATACTCAGAATGAAAGTGAGTTCTTGTCAATCTCTAGTGAGTTTGCCAAGGGAAATGTCAATTACATGCTGTTTTTTATCTTTAGATGTTTGCTTCATTATCTGCATAATCAATTATTTATTCCGTAGCACAAACGAATTAGCTTTTCATAAGTAAACTATCTTGAAGTTGTAATATACTTCTAGTGTTAATGTGATTATATCAAACAAATCAAACCTGAATATGAGGGTGAAAATGGGAGGTTTTGCATTAAATGATGGACAATTACAAGTCTGTGAAATACAGCTATCATATTGCTGAGACACATTAGAGCAAGTGGCATAACTGACTTGTAAAGTGAAATGTAGAAAACACTGTTCAATCTGTTTTGCTGGATTTTGACTTGCAAGTGAATTGTTAATGGTTAAATCAAGAGACATTCTGGGTTCAAGTTTTTATCCAAAATCTTTGGGTCAAAAATATTTGACCATAAAATCTGTATTTAAAAATAAATGGCATGAAATACATACACATTTACAAAATGTGAGAAATAATTCTTTTAAGGTACCTAAAAATATTACATAGAAACCTTCCTACATCAGAAACTACACGTGCATATTATATAGAGAAACTTAAAACTTAATAGTTAAGGGAGAATATACATGATTACATAAATCTTGGAATAGTCTTCTTTCTATGTTATTATTTATTACAAAAATGTAATAGAAATGAAATCATATGATAGGCATATACATTTGTATATTTGTCTTAATTAAACACAACATAAGAATATCTTCCCCTATACTCAGAAGGCTGCAAAATAGAGCTACTTTTCTTGAGTTCTGTTTTCGTGTGACAGTGATGCCTCTCTGTGTATCGCCTGCATAGGGACTGGCTCTCCTTGTGGATTCATTTGTTTGGGTTTCTCCCCCATGTGGCTGGGAAGGATTCCCCTCTATGATAGGGATCTGCTTGTCATGAGTAGGTAAGTCAGGAAAACTTATATGAATTTCACTGCTGTAGGTAGGAAACCTTATTCCAGGATGATGCTTAGGGTCTTCTTCGCTCTTCTGTGCCTTGGTTTCAATGACACCAAACCCATTGCAGCAGCCCCACCCTCATCGCCCCCCACACAACTAATAATTCCGGACAATATCATTTTTACTTAATTTCGACAACATAAAGATTTATTTGTGAGGCAGAGAAGCTAACAGGCTTTGCAACTATCAAAACACAAATTTTAAAAGTTGTATCTAAACTCTAAAATTACCTATAAGACCGCATTCTTTAGCCCATTCCATTCAGTTTCCTGCCAGAGAACTGGACAAGTAAATGTCATCTCAAAATCGATGTTGTGATGCTTCCATGTCCGGTCTCAGGTAGCCCAGGTGGTTAACATGAAGTTAGTTCACATCACATTTCTCGCTATAGGTAGGGGGATGTTAGGAATACATCGAACTCAAAGATGGGGTGGCCCTCCTGGGTATCTTAGTGTTCATCTTTCAAGATTCTGAAATTCTTTCCAAGAAAAATGTATTTGTATGATACTGATACATCTTTAATTCTCTAGGTCAATGATACCAGCCATAAATATTTCTCATCAAGCTCGCTAATAATTTACTTTCATGTGGACGGTTGGTAAGATATGGAAAGAAAGAGAGCAGGAGGAAGAGGGGGAAAGGAAGGAGGAAAGGAAGAATGAAGGGCACAAGGGGAGAAAGGAGACCAAGAGGGAAAGGAGGGAGGCGAAGAGGGAGGGAGGAGAGAGAGAGACAGAAGCAGAGGAATGTGTTGTTGCCAGATTTGTCATGTAGAATAGAATGCACTGGTATTTCTTGTTGCAGCCAAGAATGACAGCTGGCCCTATTCTCTTTAGGGATGTAGATGCAAGTTCCTTCCACAGCACATAATCTCTACAGCTCTCCACTCTGTCATCCCTGTGGATTTGGTCAGCCCCTGTCTTGGCAGAGTTCTTAATGCCAAATGTAAGCATGTGCTTAATTTGTCTCTGAAAACCCTTTGCTCCAGCACAGCTGTGTGCCAAAACAAATTGGCCAAGATCCTTCATATAGGCCAATTTTTCTATGTATACCACCCATATTTATTGTGGCCCTTCTATGCGCTTGTGATGACTGCACGTGCTGGGGACACAGCAGGAGCCAGTCTCTCTTCTTATGGAGTTTTCATTCTAGTTGACACATATGTCTCTGCATGGTTTTTGCCAATATTGTTTCTGTGTAATAGAAAGTTTATCGACGTCAGGGACTCTGCCTGAATAATCAGATTTACCTCATGCACAAGGACTAACCTGGAATTTTTAAAGCTAATCAATATTTTATGCAGAGCTTTTTTTGCCAGCATCTGTGCTAATCTTTTTACAAGCTAAGTTATTTAAAACTCAGAACCAGTATTTATTACCTTCCTCATTTTATAGAATAGGAAAGTGATTCAGAGACACATTAAGAAACTTGCTCAAGAGGAAACAGAAATTCAGAGGCAGCTGACTCAACCTATGCTCTGGACTCATGCACTAGACACGACGCCCACCCAGTTCATAGGCCATTTTCAGCTACTCTTTCGTTCATTATTTTCTCTGTGGTCATTTGATGGGTATATTTTTATTTCTCTGCGTTCTTTTTAACAATTTCATCTAATTGCTCTAGTGCAAGCAAACAGACAGGATTAGCAAGAAGAAAGTGTGGGGTCCCATTCAACTGCAAGCAGGGTGTTGCCCCAAATGTCCAGCCTCTCTTAGGCCTCTACTTCCCAATTGGTGAGAATGAGTCTCTTGACGGGATGAATTTTTGGAGGAGTCCTGGGAAGAGATGAAGCATGAGGCGCATCTTTATGTAAATACAAACTATGGCTATTTCTGCATGGATTAAACGTACTTTCTCAGTTTCTTTTAAAGTCAAAACCCTTGAGCTTATCAATTAGAAAGCACTAGATTTCTGCCAGGTCATGTGACTAAACACAGGCTATGACCACCCCCATATGCAATGTGTGTTGGTCGCATCTCTGCATACGGAGCAGACATATTCTTTCTATAGGCAGACGTGTCATGTCTAAATATATGTTCTCAGGGTATCATTTACAACTTTCTCATTTTTTAAATTTTTGTTGGGGTAATACTGGAACAGGAACCAATCCTAAGTGATTATTGAGCCTACTTAGAGAGACAAAATAATATAATCTAAATTTTGAACCAAAATAATAGTAAAGGACTTATAAAAAATAGATAATATTCTCAATCAGAGATCTTATTCTCAGAAACACTCACATTCAATTTCAATATTACATAGAATAATAGTTAAATACTGTAAATAAATGTCTTGTGCTCAGATATAACTATTTTCTACATTGAGCTTTATTTTTGCCCTTAGTTCTTTAGCCAAATTGGCTAAACTGTGACTAAACTATACTTTGCTTTACCTTTTCTTTTCAGCTTCCCATCCATCATATTTTACAAGCATTATGTTTTACACTGTCGATGTTTCTCTCTGCCTTTCTGGAGTCCATGCAGGCCACATGATGCATGACGTATTCTTGATGGGAAACTGTTTCGTTAAGATGTTCTGCACATTACACCATCATAAGAATTACATAATTCTTATTATACAATACGGCCTAGAGGGCTTATGTTTGTCTTCTGTGAAACATAGTATTTGAGATACAGCTCTAAGTTAACAGTCTGGGCTGGTTGGAGAAGAATAAGTTTGCTCAAAGATTAAGAAATGCTAAACAGAGGCTGAAATAAATAGAGATAGAGGGAGAAATGAGCGAGAATGCAAGAGAGGGAGAAAGGGAGAGGGGCTGCTACTGAGCAGCTGCTGTGTAGAAAGAACAGAAGACAGTGCATTGCCAGTTGTATTTTAGTAGGCACAATAAAAATAATTAGAAAAGGTAAATTGAAGCTATTTTTAATGTAAAAGCTAAATAAGATTGGTGGAATATTAATTCAAATATAATTATATTGAGAGAATTATATTGGTGGACGTCACTTATTTTAAAGTAAATACTCTATTAGGGGAAGAGGGTAATTAGAAGAGTTAGTGAAGATAAATACCAGGATATTATTTCACCATGCAGTTCTCACATTGAAAATGTTCACATTATTTTTTTCATTGTATTAAAAATTATGTATATTTATCAGCTGTAAATCAATATAGAAAGAGAATGATAATGCTATGGTAATTAAAAAAAGTTAAGCTAATTAAGGATAATGCTAATAGGCTGGACGCAGTGGCTCACGCCTAGTCCCAGCATTTTCAGTGGTCGAGATGGGCCTATCACTTGAGGACAGGAATTCGAGACCAGCCTAGCCAACATGGTGAAACCCTGTCTCTACTAAAAATACCAAAAAATTAGCCAGGCGTGGTGGTGCATGCCTGTAGTCCCAGCTACTCAGGATGCTGAGGCACAAGAATTGTTTGAACCCAGGAGCCAGAGGTTGCAGTGAGCTGAGATGGTACCACTGCATTCCAGCCTGGGCGACAGAGTGAGACTCTGTCTCAAAAATAATAATAATAATAAGATCCCTCATCCGTTTCCCCCTCTCAGATGCTAAATTTGCTTTTTATTTCATTGAGAAAACAGAAGCAATGACAGGAGGATCTTCACAGCCCCCCCGCCCCTTGCCCCTGCAGGTGTTCAGGTGTACCTGCCCGGTGCCTCCTCCTGCCCTCCTGCTTGTCTGTAGATACTACTTACACTCCCATCTAGATCCAGCCTCTGCATTGCACCTGCGAGGTCACATTCTATCTCCCCAACTCAGGGACATTGCCCCAAAGTCGATAGTTTTCTCTCTCTCACCATAATTTTATTTTTTCTATTGATTCATTTCTATCAGTATACAAACATGTTGCAATGAATATCTTTTTTAAAAATAAAAATCTCTGTATTGACCACACTGCAATCTCCAGCTCCCACCTCATTCTTTGCTTCCCTCTAAATCCAATCACCTCACAGGAATTTTCTAAGCAGCCTCTCATTTTCTCTTGAAGCCACTCCAGTCTAGATATTTGCATAACCAACTGAACCTGCTCATGATTATAACAAGTCCTCAAATAACATTGTTTTGTTCAGCATTGTTTAGTTAAAACACTGATGAAAAAATATGATACCTAGCCCAGGCCCCTGTCTGTGTGGAGTTTGCACCTTCTCCTATGAATGGTAAACCTGGTTTTATTATTATTTCATTTCATGTAAAGTCAAACTTTCCAAGAATCTATCACTGAAGTTAAGTAGACTTACTCTCTATCCCCCAAGACTTCCATAATGCTAAACCCAGTGATCAATTCACAGTCCAAGTTGGATTGCTCCCTATTCCCTGAAACTCCTCCTTCACATAGCTTCCATAGGACCACATTATTCTGGTCCTTTTTTCACATCAGTAGCTCCTTCTGAATCATGTTTGCTGCTTTTTTTTTTTCATATCCCCAAATACAACTTGTAGAAATCTAAGACTCACCACTCAGAATTCTCCCTTTTTCAATTCAACCCCCTCCCTCAGTGAACTATAACCCAATCTCTGATGTTTACAATACCCTCCATACACTAGGGATTTCCAAAAACCTGTTTCCAGGTTAGAATTCTCTACTATCCACTTACCTGCCAGATATCTTCCCAGGAATGTCTATCAGTCACTCAACTTTAACACCGTCAAATCTCAATTCTCAATCTCTCCTCTTTCAATCTTTTCCACCTAAATAAAAAAACACCTTCACCTTTTCAATTACTTGGGAAAAAATCTAGGAGTCATACTTGATTTTTTTTCTTTATTTTACACCCTAGGACCAGTTAGCTTCAGCCATCATTGAGTATTCCTTGGCTTTCTGGGAGAATCCTCTTTTCCTATCCTTCAGCTCACCCTCTTTCATTTTCAACATGGCAGACAGAGTGAGCCTTTAAAACAGACACATTATTCCACTATTTTGTTCAAAATGCTTTAATATTTCCCATCTCACTCAGAGTAAATTCCTAAATCCTTCCAATGACTTAAAATTATTTTCAAGGTATCATGTTCTGCAAATTCCCCTGATCACCTCTCTGGCCATCCTCCACTTTTCTCTCTGTGCTACAACCAGGTGGACCATCTTTCTCTTTCTCAAATGGTCCATTCATACAAAATCTGGACCTTTGCACTTTGTTTCTTCTTCCTAGAATGCTCACTTCTAATAACTTTGGGGTTTTCTTCTTCACCTCCCCTATTTTTTCTGCTACTCATATCTTACAAAGTCAGTTAATCTTTCCTTTATTACTTTCTCATTTTATATCAAATAGCCAACTCTTTCCCTTCCTTTTTCTCCACTTTATTTTCTACATGATACTCATGATACTCAAAGCTATTGTATACTTTTCTCATTTTTCCCTAATCTTTTTACATACATTGTCATATATTAACTAACGTATATTTTTACATTGTAATTGCTGAATAGGTAACATGGTCACATGGTTCAAAGTCCAAATTGACTAGGAAAGGTAGAAAACAAAATTATTCTAACAATGGTATACCCCTTCTGCCCTTGTCTTCCCCAAAAGAATGTCTATTATTTGTTTTATTACAAGTTTTGAACACTTAATATCACTTAGTTTATCTTAAATTCTTTCTTTCTTTCTCTCTCTCTCTCTCTCGCATACACATACATATGTTACAAATTCAGTTTCCATAATCTTGTTTTGTCATTCCTATCTCTCATTCTACAGTAAGGCTGAGGCATAATTTATTAACCTGTCTATTCTTGATGGATTTTTTTCCCAACTTCTACTGTTACAAGAAAAGACCTTATTAAAAATGTGTTTTTAATGGTAGAAAGTTGTGTGAAAGTTGTCAGAATCAAAATGAAGTCAATGTGTTAAAAAACCCAGACAAATGGAGCCGAGGAAGGCCATGAAGGAGTGGGTCTCATGTACGAATGTCTCATAACAAGAACTGTCACAAAAGACTGTTCAAAAGCCACAGCCTTGCACAATGGCCTCGCCAACTTACAAAACAAACAAACAAACAAAATACTTCTTCTAGGACTTCTGCCCAGGAATTGCCTGTCCACTCTCAGACTGGTGCCACCCTTGTTATTGATTCTTGTAGCCAAAGATACTTATTTCAAAACAATGATTTAATCCTCTTTCCTTCTTCATTGGAAATCTTTGTATCCCCTTACCTCCCTGAGCATGCGCATGGACACACAGTGTATGATGGCATGTGTACTGCCATTGCAATGCTCATTCCCAAAGAAACATAATTTTCTGTTAGAGACCTTGCCTGTTATTCAGACACACAGTGGTTTTATTGTTATTGTTGTTATTTTTACATATTATCTATGTTAATTGGGTAATTATTTTCTTTTTCGCCTTCTGGAGTTTTGTGTTAGAGTATAGGTAAAAAAGGTGATTGAAAAGATTATAAAGAAGATTATAAAGATTATAAAGAAGTTCTCCCAAGTTTTCCTTCTTGGTTTGGGGTTTTATGATTTATGTTTACATTGCTGATCCACTCAGAATTTATTTTGTTACAGGGTATGATATATAAATCTAATTTTGTTTTTTTTTTTAAAATGGCTATCCAGTCATCCTTACATCACTTCTTGAATTATGTTCTTGTGTGTCAATACAACCATACCCTAAATTCCTGTACACAACTGTGTCTAATTCTGGAGTTTCTACTTTACTTGGTTTCTCTTTGTCTCTCTTCATACATCAGTACTACACACTTTGAATACTGTAAATTTGCCAATATATCCTTAAACCTGGTAGGGTACTAATCTGCTTTTTCACACTTCCTGCTTATATTTGTTTGTGTACCTTTCCATGTAAATTTTAGGATTACATTTTCTAAGTTCAATTTGAAAATGCCTTTGTTATCTATATTGAAATTTTACTGAATGGTATAGGTTAACTTTATAAATTGATTATTTTATGCAAGAACATAAATTTTCATTTATTTTTTCATGTGTGTGTGTCAGCAGTTTTCTAAGCATTTCATTAAATTATTTGTTTTTCATCTTGCATTATTAATTGAAAAAGCTATTGATTTAAATACATTATTTTTGTACCCTGTTTTTTACTTTTTAAAGCATCAAATAATTAAATTTTTATATTAAATAAAAATATATGATGACTTAACTCATCTCCAATTACGAATGTCAAATTTCCTTTGCTTTTCTAGTTGTTTTGTCTAAAGTGTTCAGTGAACATTAAATAACAGTGGTCAGCTCGGATTCTGTAGGGACTGCATCTCCTATGCCTTCTGGGCTGAGACACACATTTTTAATCATGTTCAAGGACAAGCCAATTTATTGTATTGTTTTTCCTTTTTCTTAAAATCAAGGAAATCAAGGATGCTTGTAACAGATTTTTTTTTTTTTTTTTTTTTTTGAGACAGAGTCTTGCTCTGTCATCCAGGCTTGAGTGCAGTGGCGCGATCTCGGCTCATTACAACCTCTGCCTCCCGGGTTCAAGCGATTCTCCTGCCTCAGCCTCCCAAGTATTTAGGATTACAGATGCATGCTACCATGCCCGGCTAAGCTAATTTTTGTATTTTTAGTAGAGACGGGGTTTCACCATTTTGGCCAGGCTGGTCTCAAACGCCTGACCTAAAGTGATCTGCCCGCCTCGGCCTCCCGAAGTGCTGGGATTAGAGGCGTGAACCACCATGCCCAGCAACAGATCTTTTGAACATCTTTAAGTATATTTGATTTTAAGTGTATTATAACAGCTGTCTTGAGAAACTCAAGAAGCAAGCTACTTGTACTCAAAATGCATCATGTAATAGGCAAACGATATCAGTTATAAACATTCTAAGAGGGAGAAAACTGAAGAAATAATGGGGTCTTTAATCTATAATCTTTTTTCTGTCCTTTGGCTTTTAGCCTGTCTGTGTCTTTGCATAGAAATTGAGTCTTTGTCACTACACACTGGGCACAGTATACCCTGCTCTGGCGATAGGTGCACCAAAAATCTCAGAAATCACCATAAAAGAGCTTATTCATGTAAGCGAGCACCAACTGCTCCCTCAAACCTATTGAAATAAAAAAAATATATATATTTTTAAAAATGAGTCTTTTTGGACAGCATATAGTTGGATTGCAAAATTTGTTTTATTTTAATCCATTTTGCTAATCTCTGCTTTTTCCTCATAAAGTATAATCCATTTACATTTGAAATAATTAGTAAGAAGCGAGAGCTTATTTCTGTCATTTTGACATATGTTTTCTGTATATAACACCTTTCTCCCTCATTTCCACCATTCCTGCCTTCTTTTGTGGTTAGCTTTTTGTAATTAAACTAAACATTTAAATTCCCTTCATAATTCCTTTTGTGTATATTCTGTATTTTCTATGTGTTCCCAAAGAAATGACATACAATCTCTCAGCTATTATAATCTAATTTGAATTGATACCACCTTACACAACATTTTTGTCCTATGCCACTCTGTTTCTCCCTTACGTTATTGATGTCACGAATTACATCTTTATATCTTGTGTGTCCAATAACATAGTTTTATAATCATTTTTATCATTTGCTTTTGAAATTCTGTAGAAAAAAGTTATAAACAAAAGTTACAGTAACACTGGTTCTTGTTTCCCATGTATTTAGCTTCTCTGGAGATCTTTACATCTTCATACAACTTGGAGTCACAGTCTAGTGTCCTTTCATTTTAACACAAAGATCGCTCTTTAGCGTTTCTTGAAGGATAGGTCTAGTGGAATTCCCTCCCTAAGCTTGCGTTTGTCAGGATTATCCTTCATTTTTAAAGAACAGGTTTGCTAGGTATAGAATTCTGTTGATAGTTTTTTTTTGCCTTGTTCATTGTAAATTATCTTTATCTTGTTGTTTTCAAGATTGTCTCTTTGTCTTTGACATTCGACAGTTTAATTACAGTGTGCTTTGATGGGAGCCTTCTTGGAGTCTTTTTCTTTCTTCTTTCCTTCCTTCCTTCCTTCCTTCCTTCCTTCCTTCCTTCCTTCCTTCCTTCCTCTCTCTCTCTCTCTCTCTCTTTCTTTCTTTTTGGCAGTCTTGTTGCCCAGGCTGGAGTGCAATGGCACGATCTCATGATCTCAGCTCACTTCAACCTCTGCCTCCCAGGTTCAAGCAATTCTTCTGCCTCTGCCTCCCGAGTAGGTGGGATTACAGGCCCCCCACCAACCACACCTAGATAATTTTTTGTATTTTCAGTAGAGATGGGGTATTACCATGTTGGCCAGGCTGGTCTTGAATGCCTGACCTCAGGTGATCTGCCCGCCTTGGCCTCCCAAAGTGCTGGGATTACAGGCATGAACCACCACGCCTGGCCCAGTTTTTCTACTTGGAGTTTGTTGAGCTTCTTGTATTTATATATCTATGATTTTTTTCCTCAAATTTGGAAATATTTCAGCATGTTTTTTTCTTTTCTTTTTTTTTTTTTTTTCTTGAGATATTCATTCTTGTTGCCCAGGCTGGAGTGCAATGGCATGATCTCGTGATCTTGGCTGACCACAACCTCTGCCTCCTCGGCTCAAGCAATTCTCCTGCCTCAGCCTCCCGAGTAGCAGGGATTACAGGCATGCATCACCACGCCCAGCTAATTTTGTATTCTTAGTAGAATACAACAGGGTTTCTCCATGTTGGTCAGGCTGGTATCGAACTCCTGACCTCAGCTGATCTGCCCACCTCATCCTTCCAAAGTGTTGGGATTACAGGCGTGAGCCACCGTGCCCGGCCATGTGTTTTTTTTCTTTAAATAATCTTTCTTCCTCTTTTTTTCTTACTTCTCATTTGTGACTACACTTATGTGTATGTTCGTCCACTTGATGGTGTCTCTTAGGCTCTATTTATTTTTTTAATTATTTTTTCTTTCGGCTCCTCAGGCTGGATAATGTCAGCTGTCCTATTTTCAAGCTGCAGATTCTTCTGTTCAATCTGCTGTTGAATCCCTCTGATGAATTTTTAAATTTAAGTTATTATAATTTTCACCTCTAGAATTTCTATTTGACTCCTTGTGATATTTTCAATCTATTTGCTAATATTCTCACTTTATTTGCATAGTGTTTTCCTGACTTCTGTTTGTTTTGTGTTCAATTATTTCCTTAATTCTTTGAACATACCTAAGACAGTTGCTTTGAAATCTTTCTCTGTTAAGTTTGAGATCTGGCCTTCCTTTGGATTAGTTTTACTTAATTTATTTTCATCCTTTGAATGAGCTACATTTTCCTGCTTCTATGTATGCCTTGTAATTTTGCTGCTGTTGAAAATGGGGCCTTTGGTTTAATGTGGTAACTCTGGAAATAAAATTCTTCCCCTTTCCCAGTTTTTGATTTTTTTAAATTTTTTAAGGCTGTAGTAATCTATTTGACAATTTTCTAAGCCATTTTTGCACACACTATTTTTTGGCGTGTATGATCATTAAAGTCTCTCTTCCTTTCACTCCTGTGTATTTAATATCTTGACAGAGATTTCCTTGAATGACAAGGGCTGAAAAAAAAAAGCAGAATACAAAACATCAACAAAAAATAAAAAAAGAAAGAAAGAATAGAAAGAAGAGAATAACCCCCTCTGTCAGTCTTTGCAGATCAATTCTGTGCCAGGGAACTTTTTCACTGCTTAGGCCTAATCTGGGCATTGGGATCAGCCCAAGTTGAAAGCGGAAGTTCTTCTTGGGACTCTTTGAGCACACATCTTACCTGAGTATATGAGCAACTTTCTAAACCACAACCCCCCGCCCCCCATATACACGGCTGCTTTTCAATAACCTAATTTCCCAATGATTTTCACCCCAACTTTTCCTTCAGACCTTAGTTTATCTATTGTCATCTCCACTCATGATCTCTTGTCTCAGGTGTCTGTAGGTTTGACTTCTCCTTGTAGCTTTTTCAAGTCGTGCTTGCCAGCTTTCCCACCTGCATTCTGAGTAATGCAAAGTACGTGTTTGTATTATTTCTTCAAATAGCCTCCAGGCATATGAGAACACTTTGCAAATATGGTTTACTCTACTCCCCCTGGTTCCGCGGCGGGGGGGGCGGGGGGTGCCTAGGAAGTAGATTGCAACTTATTCAATGCTGATACACCTACTATGCCCAAGAAAGGAGTGAGGCAAGGGTGATTTAAGAAAGATTTTTATGCCATTTTTAAGCTGGCGTTTTCTTGATTATCTCCTTAGTTGTAACCCTTTGACTGTTCCCAGAGACCCTGCAAATCTAGTTTAGAAAACTTCTGTTTTTTTTTTGTGTTTTTTTTTTATTTTCTACTTTTTTATGTTTCTATGGTGGAACAAGAGCTTAGAGCTGCCTACTCTGCCATTTTGATCATAATACTCCTGTAAAATAATATTTTTAGGAAGGCTTGTGCCCACAAGAATTGGTAGAACTTTAAAGAAAATAATCATAATGCATTTATGAACACTGGAAATCAGATGGATATGCAATAACAGTTTTATTAGAACCAGTAAACCAGAATCCCCAAATAGAGAATGATAAAACTTAAGAAACTAAACTCTCTACACTGTAGAACCTCAGGAAGTGGTGATACAATAAGGGGCTATAAGAAGTAGAACTCCATTTGATTGTGTTAATATTTTCTGTCTGCTACTATCTGTATATCATAGGAAGATTGCTGGAAGGGAAGTGATGGCTTACTCACTTGGGAAAATAGTGGGCATCAGTGATTTATTTTTTAAAAAGGTATGGATAAACATCTAAGGAACAACAAATTCAGAAAGACTTTTCCATTTCTAAATATGAAGGGCTAGGCATAGAGTGGTTATTAAAACCACTGGTAGCTGTATAAGGAGGCAGCCAGACAGGAATTATGGGCTTTGATAATTCACAACTACTACCAGACTGTGACACATCAGGGAGGAAACCAGAGAAATAAATGCTCACTCAGACGTCTCTACTACTGGCCTTTCATCTATAGCTAGTAAGTTCCGTTGGTTGAACTAAACCAGGAACCAGAGATCAAGGCGGCCAGTCAGTACAGTACATAAAGTTCAGCCTCCTGGGTCAGAGGTGAGAGAAAAAGGTGGAGGATGGATGTGGCGTTGCAAGCACATAGTAGATCTCAAAATTGCATGAAAAACAAAACATGCCTAAATTGGCTGTTTTTGTGCTTTCTAAAATCTAGCCTCTAAAGTCTAACATAGTGATCATTTTGTCCATTTTATTGCCAAAATTCTGGCCATCAGTGTTGCTATGATAAAGTATTTTTTCTCCTACAAGGAAGTCTTGTGCTTCCTGCCAGCCCCAATGAAACCGTGGCAGAATAATTTCTTAATTTGAAAGTACAGCAAAAGTTCAGACCTTATATAATTTCTGACACTGTTGGGGTTGAAGCTGAGGCACTGACGGAGGCATGACTTTCTGGAAAAGGAAGGGTGAGCATCTTGTGGACTTATTTACAGGATTTGAAGGAAGTCCATGGAAATCAGTAGCAAACATGTTAACCAAATTGTGTGCTTAAACTCTGATATAAATGATCTTCCACCTACTGCCTCTTATTAAGAAAGAATAGGGAAATGGTGGTGGCCACACACAGGGAAATAGCTTTAAAGACAGCTGTCTTCACTTTGTCCTGGGTGTTGTGTACTCTTCTCCTGATGGGAGGACTTTACTGACAATCTGGCAGCCAGATTCAGATTTGTCTCAGTGTAACAATTAGTGTGAAGAGTTTTCCTGGGTGGACAGAAGGTCCAGAATTCTTTCAGGCAACAATATCCAAGCAGCATACCACAATGAGCATTAAAAAAAACAGAGAAATCTGTGAACACTATGGGCAGAAATTAGACAAATTTTAGAACCTTGATTGTTGGTTGGATTGAAACTGTCCCAGTTGTCCCACAGAAATGGTATTTACACTTTTTTGAATAAACATAGGAATTGAATCTCTGGATCTTAAAGCTTGAAATGTACATGTGTCTTATCTGAGTTCCTCCCTTAGGAAACCAACCTTCAGGTAAAATCTGAGACTCAACAGATCATGGCATCCAGACCCCTTGTTCTTTGTAATTGCTTCCTTACCCCTTCCTAATTTCTGTTTTGCATTTCCCAATTTTAATTGGTCAGGGAGCTGGATTTAAGACTGATCTCCCCTGTTCTCAGCTGCAGCACCTGAATAAAACCTTTCTCCCCAGCAATACTCCACTCACTACTTGGCTTCTGTGCAGCGAGCATTGGGACATAGACTGCACTCCTGGCATTTTAGTAACAGGTTCACTTGGGAGATGAAGAGACAACGAACATAAAGCTTGCTATGGAAGAATGGCAGCCAATGGGCCTTCTTCAGCACTTCTTTCTGTTCATCCTGCAAACCTTGGATCCATTTACCTAAGGCAGTAATAGATCTCCAAATGTGTTGTTTTGCAGTGGGTCCTGGCTGCTGTAAGGAAAATTTGGACCTCCCGTAAAATTACCCCAACACAGGCACACTGCCCCAGGAACCCATAAACAAAACACCCTCTAGTATTCAGGCTTTTAGGGTCTTGGCTTGGGAACACCCTTCACATATTTGGCAAACTCGAGGTGATACATTACTTTAGAAAGAACATCAAACTGTGTGTCAGAGTAGTAGACGTGGTGTGGAAAAGGAGGCTGATTGTTTCAGGCAGGAAATAAGTTTGGAAGGAGTGAATGAGTAAACTTGCTAAATGAGTAAAAACTCCGGTATCAATGTATAATTTTCCTATAGAAAGAGAGTGGATTCTAGCTATTTTACTTCCCATTTCTAAGCTGATTACAGTGCTATTTCTGCCACTTAGAGACTCATTTTACAATGGCTTAGTTTCTGGGTTTTAGGTATTTTTTATTGTTTTATTCTAAAATGAAGATATTTGTCTAATTGAAAATGTTATGTGAAACCCAAAAGATATATGTTTTAAATAAAGTGTGAAATTGTGTCCTTGGTTATAATTTTTAAATGGTAGGAATTGGTTATTAAATGTTGCCAAGGCACTGAACCACGTGAGCTTTTTTCAAACTCTAAACTTTATTTATACCATCTATATTATTTTTATGATATGCTAACTTAGTAAAATATGAGGAGATACCTCAAGAAAACACATGTAACAAACTCAGGGAGAAAATAAGGACAGTAATGGTGTCAATGTCATTGGAAGATATTAATTTAGATTTAGCTCTGAGCTCCCTGAACTTGAAGATGGGAAGAGAAATTAAAAACAGTTTTAAAATTCCCACTCCATCTTTCCTTCAACTTAAAGTCCATTTCAGTATTTATAGATTTCAGACTTCTTTACCCCAAAGGCATTTTGATCTAGGCCACAAGTGTCAGACACAACAGAAATGGCAAGAATTTAAATTTATCCTGACAGGTTTGGATCCTAGCTTTGACCACAGGCTATCTAAATGTCAACATGGCTCAGTTTGTTTACAGAAAAGAAAAACAAGAGAAGTTACAATAACCATTTAAGTATTAACTAACATGTGAATAGTAGCTAATAATGGAAGGCTTACTATAATAATATTTATTGATTATTATGCCAGGTATGATGCCAAACATTAATCATATCTTATGAGATTAGCACAGTATCTCCCAGATTTTATAGTTAAATAGTTTAAGTAACTTTCCGGCAGTCAGAAAATTATATATTGGATACAGTTGTTGGCCTTGAGTTCCAGACCTGCCAGCATTCTGAGCACTTCCCTACACTGCCTCTCACATAGTATTTGACACAGGAGTTTGAAAAAAAGTGATGGCTTCATCTCCTTATTTTCCAAGATGCTCTAAGATTTAACTCGAAAATATGTCAGATCAGAAGAAAATTGTATTATGCTGCTTTTTCACAGAATTGTTTGAACAAAACATAAGATATTGCACTCCATCTGTAAAAGTGTATGATTCAAAAAAAAATTCTCTAAAAAAAAAGTAACATTTTTGTTGTTTAATGACCATAACTATGGAGCCAATAACACTGTTTTTAGAAGATATTTATTTTTCCTGTTAAACTAATCTTCCATATGATGAAAACATTGAATAATACTGATGGTTTCCTTTGCAATTTGCTATTAATCCCAAGTAAGATTAACTTATACATTGAGAAAAACCATTGGCTCCCATCAAATTTGTCTTGAGTTAAAATTTGTCCTCTTTGATTTGAAAACATGGTTCTCTCTTTTAGTGTGTGCACGTGTGTGCGTGCATGTGTGTGTGCATGCGTGTAAATGTAATGAGCTGAGAAAATGCTCATGTCCTAGACATGCTTCCCTGATAGCATTATAGGTCCTATGTTGGTGTCTTTTATTATTAATTTGTACATGGGTTATCTTCTGTGTCAGCATAGGCTTTAAGGCAGTGCCACTAAAACTTGATATGTTGTATGTTGACATTGGCACATAACTCATGCATTGAAAGATCCAGTATCTAGGAAATGTGCACCAAAGTCCTAAAAAGGTCACATATAAGATGATTAAATAATTTTTGTTTTGCCAATTTGGGAAGGGAGGAATCTTATGAATAAAGACCTTCTAAAGATTAAGGAGTGAAGAAGCCTCCAATAACAAGGCTTACTTTTTACAATTGGTTAGTCTCTGGTTTTTAGGTATTTTTTGTTTGTTTGTTTTATTCAGAGGAGCTGAGCAGTTGGAGCCTGTTCCTGGACTTCAAAATATAAAGCCTTGCATCCAGTAAAGCAGGTCAGGACAATTCTAATGGGGCCTTACAGGTAATTTAGAGGTTGCCCCCTACACACAAACACATGTCCAGAGTCTGAATTTTATGGTATTCCTGGAGAATATTCATGGGTTTCTAGCACAACTTTGCAGCTGACAACAGTACAGTAAGGGCTCATTTTCACAAGTCGACTTCCCTTCTTTCTGCATCACTAGTTCGAACAATCTTGTGCAATCCTTAATGCAACTTTCTCTCCCAATTCTGAGAGTGTCCACAAATAATTTCTTCCAAGGAAGGAAGTTACTGTATAACATAAGCTACACCCCACCTCTCCTTAATTTCTTATATATATATGGATATGGAGATGCTTTGGTAAATGTACTTGAAAGGTTAATAATAAAGGAAACACAAAAATAAGACTAATAAGATAGAATTTTTAAGGTGTGGTGTTTTGTATAAGGAAAATTCATTCAGGAAAAGAACAACTGTTTCATACCTCCTTTCATTCATGAAGTTCATGTCACTGACTTATTTGCCATGTCTCATGTTTCCTCTGATAAGAAACTGAAACAAAGACATCATGTCACCTGTCCACTGAGGGGTCACTCCTATCATCAGTGTATGTTTGGGTGTAGACAAATTATTTATGTCTTATACTGAATAATCTTAACTTGGGGAATTATATGAGGAACTCGGCTGGACAAACAAGGAAAACCTTTGACCTTTAACATCCAGGTCTAGGAGCACATCTCAAGTAAATAATGATATAATCATACAAGTATGTGTTTGAAATTTCTAAATAAAGAATGGTCATTGGATAAAATGAAATAGTAAACGGGAACAAAATATGATTCCATGTAGCTATTCTAACTGATAGGAAATATGTCAGCAATATTTTGAAAGATAAAAGAGGTAGCTCATAAATTATTATGTTTTGGTGTTTATAATTGTTAAAATATATAATTATTTAATAATTATATATTTTATATATAATTATATAACTTTAGATGATTTTTATATACACATATAGTGCCAGAGACTGAAAAGATAATCATCAAAATATTAGTTCTTCATGATGGAATTATGGATGGTTTAAAAAATTTCTTCTCTATACACTTATGTACTATTAGAATTATAATGAAAATTATCAGTTTCATAATAAAAACGTTAGAGCTATTTCCATTTATCAAAGACAAAAATAAAATTAAGGCAGAATAAAATGTTTAGTAAAGAAAATCGGTATAAAAATACCATTGAGCATAAAAGGTATGATCTTTAGATCACATGATCATTCCAGTCACAAGACATCAAAATCTTTTCTCAGATTGATTTAATTTCACAGATAGCATTTATACAGAGTTTGTGTAATATTTAAAGCACTCGTACAGGATGAATTGAAATCATGTGACGTAACAAGTCTTCTAATGCCTTAAGCTTGGACAGTCACCAGGCATTGTTCTCATCTTTAGTCATCATGTAGGATCCTCAAAGTGTCTGTGAGAATGGCCAGACTCCCCTCTCCTCCCTGGCTTGAAGCATGGCACTTGAGATTTCCTGACCTTTGATGATTACCCCATTCCTGCTATCTTTGGAGAGAAACTCTTTCCTAACCACCCTTAAGAAGCCTTGCCTGAACTTGGTATCACATTTGACCATGCCTAGGATAAATCTAAGAACTCAGAGAATTATGAGCACCAAAACATGGAACAAAATCTCAGAAGGTTTTTCAAAGGACAGGAGGCTTTTTAGAGTGGCAGGTACATACTTCAAATAAAAGCTGCTGAAGAAAAATTGTACAAATTACGCAAATTTAATCATCATCCTGGTTGGCCATTTTTCATATGCTAGAGACCACACTCTACTTGGGTGATATTTGAGTGGGGGAATCTACCAATGTTTGTATCAATTCATTAATTATTAAATAAACATTTTAAAGATTATAATTTTCTAGTCTTCCATCTTCCAGGCTAGTCCTAATCAGCTAGTCCTAATCCAGGAATTACTTAAAGATTAAGGAAACATGTAACAAGTATAAGCAAAGAGTGGAGTCAGGATGAGAATCCACTGGCCTCATGAGGAAAGCGCTCTCCACATCAGTTCAGAGGCCCACAGGATGCTGAGGCACAGGCACTAGCAGGGCAGGCACTCTTGTCAATCAAACATTCCACAGCCTCACAAAGAACTGGGGCCCCTTGACCATATGCTCGGGACTAAAACCTGCCTCTGTTTACTATATCTGGCTCAAATGGAGGACTGGAAAAACATGGAAAACCACATATGTGGAAATGTGGAATATCGAATAATGTTAGATATTTAGAGGAAAGTTAAATGGTATGAAGAAATAAATTTCTTTTACGGTTTTAAATTATCAGAAGGATGAAACTTTGGAATTTGAAAATTCGATTTATATAGGTTAATACACACACACACACAAATACTATCTAAATTAGAGAAGCAAGCCTTATTTTTAAATCCCAATGTTTAATATAATGATATTTTGGATTTCACTAACATTTAAATATGCTTATCTCAGAAGGCTAATAAAATATCTTTGGAAAACCCTTACCTGTGGTGCACATTCATAATTCAATATTATCTTCGCATTTCACATGTGCAAATTAGAATAGGTGCAAGAATTGTAGATTAGAATGTCAAAGGGGCTGGTGATAATATCCTATACGATGCATTGTCTCTGCTAATATCTTAATTAGTTATGTAAAATAAATCTCTGAAATATTCTCAGTAGCATAAGTGATCCTCCAGCTTTGGTGTGTATGAAAATCAACAAGGGAGCATACATGAATGTTATTTTTTTGGCTCCATTCTCTGAGATTCTCAGTTAGTAAATCCAGAAGAAGACACTGAAATCTGCAATTTCAGCAGGGCCCCCAAGTAATTCTAACTCAGGAATTCAGAAACAAAGTTTGGAAAGTGTTGCTCTAGACATTGATATGTGGTTTCTTTCTGGAATGTATCCACAAAGAAACTTTTTCATTTTCTTTCTTAATCAATTGTTAATTTTGTATTCTTTCTTTCTCAGCACATGTTATAAACAAGGCATTGTGTGGTACACTGAAAGAAAGACAAAGAAGAGGGACAGATGATCTAGTCATTTAGACAGATATTGTGTGATTTGTAAATTCTTGTGTCATCCAAAAGACCACTGGAATGACTACATGGTAGAAAGGTGAGCTTTACTGGTGATATTGCTTTGCAAGTTGGGAAGATAAAGTCTGCAGCATGGGCCAAAGTTCCCCTTTCTACAAAAAGAACAAGTTGGGTTTTATAACTTACAGGGCCTGTATTATACATATCCAGCAGGTTTTGGGGAAAAGTTTTGCATATTTATGAGGGACATCAAGTGCATGTGCAATAGGTAAACATTCATATAATATGCATCCCATGTTCACTTTGGAGTGGGGTTTTAGCATTAAAATGGGGTGGAATTTAGCTCTTATGGGAAAGGTGAATTATAGAACAGAAAGACAGTTTATGCACACTCTCTATAAGCTGGCTGAAAATGGCTTAAGTTCTGCAGCTGTTTATCAAAAGAGAATGTTTGTGAGGCCGGTCCTGTGTTCAACCAGAATTGTAGTAGTCTAGGTTGTAAATCAGAGTTAGGAGACATCTGGTAGCTCTTATTGTTAGGGAGTTTACCAAGTGTGGTTTTTCTTGTAATTGTAGGAATTTAGGCAATTGCCTTCCCAGCCAGGTCCTGAACCCTTGACATGTAGGTAACTGCATCCTTAAGCTTAGGGTCTGCCTTAGTTGATATAGGGGCATCTATTTTGGTGTCTCAGATCACAAGCACATACTCTAAGGATTTACAGGTAAAAGTTATACAATTAATCTAATAGCAACGTACAGATTGGTTAATTCCACTTTATTAGGAAATAATGTGCCCATGGAAGAAGGAATACCTAATGAAGACCTTCAGAGATGTTAGTCCAAGTTTTGTTGAAGAGGGAAGAAAATGTAAAAAACACAGAGGCTGGAATTTTAGGATGGGTTTGGAAATTGAATATAGTCTATTATTTCTAAGTTATATTTGTATACCTGGCTTAAATGTGATTTTGACAAGAATCTGAAGAACTTCCAATGCAATATTCAAGAATGAAGGCTCAATAGTTTTAAAATTGGAAAATATCAGATATTTCATAGTGGGCAGTGACAGTTTCAATGTTGTGTTTTAGAAGAAGATTTATCACAGCTACAGGAAAATGGATGAGAAAATGAAAAGACTGGAGGCCACAAATGAGCAAGGGCTAATGGTGGTTGTAAGTATGGGGATTTAAAAGGAAAATAAACATTGAGAATCAATTCTGAAGTAGAGGTGAAAGCACTTTGTGACTACTTTAGCATGCAAAACAAAACAATGTTGGAGCTGAAATGCATTCTGGAGTTTTCTATTTTGAGTTTTAGAAAAGATCCGCATGTCTTTAATCCGGACGAAGAGTGTTAAGAGAAGTTTGAGGCATGATGCTGGAAGCCACAGGGCATGCTGTATTTTGGCCATGTGCCTTTCATCATGCTTTTGTCTCTCTATCATGTACAGTTAAACCCTTCATTATCCCAGACTCAAGCCAAGGATATTCCCCTCTCTGCTCTGGAGCCTCTTTTAAATTCTTGCACTTCTTGATCACAAGGCCGGATATCAGTGTATTCAACAGAGCAGAAATAAACTTTATGATAAACTCCATTAGAAAGGATACCATGTAATAATATATATTGAGGATTCAATTATCATGTATAATATTTGCCTCTTATATTTTCAAAATTTGACAAAAGCAAAGGAAGTGGTAGGCTTATTTTGCATCTCTTACATGTAGTTTCTCTACCTTAATTTGAAAAACACAAACTATATATTTACACAGTTATATTAAAAGATCAAAATTAAATTCCCATTTTCCGAAAAGCAGAAAGATGGCTATAAAGAATTTTTTTTCATTTTAGATTTCATATATTGCTGTGAATTAGCTGTCAATATTCAATAAAGTACCTTCTGTTACTGGTGATATGAAAATGTGATTGCTATTGAACATTAAACAAAAGATGCTGGTAATTTTATAACAATTATGTTTTAGCTTTCCATACCAAAACAATGGTAATCAAATGTCATGCTTGAGAACTTTAGCTGATTGTCATAGGGAGAAACATCCTGCCACCAATGGTGCAATTATGGAGGAACATTAATGGGATATTTCACCTTTCCTTGAAGGGTAGAGCTAAGTCATTATAGCTGATATAATGCAGCTTGGGCTGATGGGCTGATGAAGCTTATCAAATCTTGTGCTCAGATGTATTTGCCATTATATTGCATTTAAATGCCATGTGTTATATAATTCAGTTACATTTCCATGTTTAAGGGAATGAGCTCAATACTCCCATCTGCCACAGAGAATATGGGTCTTCTGAGAATAGAAAAGAAAGAACTACCCTTGTATGCCATTTCACATTTCCCTGGAGTGAGACTTACTCTAACTTACATAGGACTCTAAGCAAAATTTCTGCTTTCACTAATTTTGTTCACCTCTCATACTTCTTGGAGCCCTCTCCCTGGAGAAAAGGGAACTTTTCTAGTCTCCAAAAAGTGGGTGAAAACCTGCAGAGACAATGAGTAGGTATGTGTAAGCTATGTAGGAATCAACATCGTGCAATCTGAAGGTTACCACATAATTTACTTTCATGACATACCAAAAAGTAAATCATTTCAGAAAACATTTGTAAATATTTTTATTTTGTCCTGCATTTTCATGTGCCAGTAAGCTCTGTGTACATACTTGTGATCATGGATTATGGAAGCTCACACCAGGACCAAATAAAACAACAAGAATCTTTGTGTTAAATTTTAAAGATGATATCTCCATGTAAGATTTCAATTTGTGAGTAAAAGAATGATCACACAATGCATGCAAGTCTCAGCCTTTTAAAAAATAAAAATATAACTATGTACAACACACATTGGATTTTATTACACATGTGTTTAAAATTTTAAAGGTAAAATGGAGCACAGGCACATGTCGAAAACCATTTGGAACTCTTCAATATGTAAACAAAAATGCTGAGACTCCCCCAAAGTTCTTTGTTTTTATTCTGTAAATTAATTATTCATGCTATACCAGGTGATCCCATGTTAAAGCAGATCAGAAGCAACCAGTAATTGGTATTAGCAGTCATTATAAATGGCAACTCTTGCCCTAAGTACCTTCGATGGAAATGAAGATCACATTCAGTCAGCTCCATTATTTTCTTGTCTAAGCAGTGGAGTCAATTATTTGGCAGCAGGAAGAAACTAGACATATCTGACTTCTAACTATATCTCAGGAATTAAGAAATTTTAATATGAATTAAGGTCATTATAGCTACCATTTAAGAATTTGCAATGGATCATACACTTTACACATATCATCTCATTTACTGAAGCAATCCTCTGGGATAGCTATTATTTCCTCTTGTGCTACAATGTAGAAGCCAAGGCTCACAGAGGGTTAAGCAATTTGCTGAGAGGTTCACTCATCTTGTATGTGGTTGGGGAAGGATTTAATAACAAATCTGTCTAACTTACTGGTATGATGGCAAATTGCTAACAAAGAACTCTCCAAAATATAGACATTATTAGTAGGATTTGCCAATGCCCATGTGTCAATTCCCACTATTGCCAATTTAAAGCTTCCGGAGTGACATCACAGAGTGCAAGATAAGGTAGATTTGCACAAAATCAGCTCTCATAAACTGGTTAGAGCCAGCCCAGCACATTAACAAGCTGTGACTTCAAAATCAAAATTTCCACCATTAGGTTTTGCTACAAACTATAAACAAAACAACAAGAAGAAAGAAAGAAAGAAAGAAACTAGCAAAAGAAAAAAGTAATCTTAGGCAGGGTTCTGACACATCTCCCTTTAACTAACGGCTTGGAAGATTTCCTGCTCAGATTTTTATTACAACCCGAATGTGTATTGTACGAGATTAAAGGACTTTCCACTACAATTGAGTATGTGTAACAGTTACAGGTATCAATTCTGTAGAGTTAATATACAGGACAAACCTGCCTATTTATTAGAGATCAACATACATAATAGAAAGAAAAGTGAGTGAGAAAAATAAAGGAATAAAAGTTTGAGAAACTCTTTCTAAAAAAGTTATCTATGATTCAGTCAAAAATCTATATCAAGGCCGGGCATGGTGGCTCATGCTTATAATCCCAGCACTTTGGGAGGCCGAGACCTGTGGATTTCTTGAACCCACTAGTTCGAGACCAGCCTGGGCAACACGGGGAAACCCTGTCTCTATAAAACAATACAAAAAATTAGCCAAGCACAGTGGTGCACACCTGTAGTCCCAGTCACTTGGGAGGCTGAGGTGGAAAGATTCCTTGAGCCCCCCTAAAAGTGTATATCAAAACATCACATTGTATATCATATATATACACACACACGCACACACACACACAATTTTTGTTGGTGAGCCTCAGTAAAGTTGGAAAAAATGTTTAAGAGCCAAGAAAGTAAAGGTGATTTTAACTGATTGCCTGCTGTTTATGATTGGCATTTTATATTGGCTTGATCATTAAATTATCACAATAATATTTAAGTTACAAATTATTATGATCGTGATTTTATAAACAAATTGAGGAAGATAGCAGAGATCATTTTCATCTCAGATTTTCCTTTATCCTCTGCACTTTGAGCCACACCCACTGTAAACAAAAAGGAAAACAAAATCAAAACAAAACAAAAACCTCTCCAAATTGTGTCCACACTCTCCACATGTCCCTGACTACTTCTATGTTGTCTACCTCTTTCACATACTGATGCAACTGGTTTCAAGCTTTATATGGCATTATCTTCATTCTTTCCTGCATTATAGGGTTCTTCTATTTTCCAATTAACCTAGATAAGTGAAAAGTACATGGAGAATGTACAGTTACATTTATTAAATGATTGGCTCTTCTCCACTCTGATCTTCATTCTCTCACAGTCTTAAAACGAATGCTCTTTAATCTTTCCAATTACATACTTCTATTTTCACAAAATCTGCCGTAGCATCGGTAACTACATGCCCTCATTGTCTAATGAAATCTTGGTCTCCCAGGTTGAGTGCAAGCATAAAAATGCAGCTTTACTTCATTATTTCTCTTTTCCATTTTTTTCCAGCTCTTACTCCTTCCACCTTAATGGCTGTAAATATGTATAAAAACGTGCTAAATAAATGGTTGTCACCTGGTTGTTATGAGATGTGAGTGATTAAATATTCAAAAAAGAAATGGAAAATCTCTTTAAAATGCAGTGTAATTTAATGTAATCATAGAATATGCTTTGGCAGGAAAAATGGAGACTATCTATTTTAAACTTTCGATTTATTGAAAATTGAAGAATTTGATAACGGAGAAGGCTTTATTTTTTTTGCCACAAATTAGTCTTAGGAACATGCACCAGAGGATCAAATATTTTAAGCACAGGCTTTTTGAAAGAAATCAAGAAAATATATATAATTGTGAAAGATACATTTTTTCTGAGATTGCATATCTGGGGGAGAACATGGGGTCACAATCTCATGTGTGAAATGTACGGAGACTTTATGACACCCAGACACGGGGTGCACACTTTACATGAAGAGCTATTCAGGGTAGGTCCGCTGGAATCAAATTGTCTTCGTTCGCTTTTGTCTGAAACTATCTTGATTTGCTCTTCACTCCTGAGCTCATGAAGTGTTATTTTAACGCTTATGAGCAGCTGGCATCCCTACTTTTAGAATGCAGAGAATGAAGCTTAGAGAGGTTGACCAAGTCCCCAGAGCTTACCCAGATCCTAACTGGCAGAGCAGGTAAGTACATCCACACTGGCCGCCCAGCCCCACGGGCTTGAGCATGATGTCAAATATGCGATTCAAGCTTTACATGAGCTCGATCATTCCAAGGGCCCAGGGAGGCGTCATGTGCGCACATGGGCAGCGACAAGGCTGCCAGGCAGTTTTCATGGGGCAAGCTGACACCCAGCCCACAGGCGTGCACGTTAGCGGATGAGGGGCATGCAGCCCAGGCCTCTGTGCTGAGTCTCCGCTTTCCCAACCCAGGCACCTGCAGCCCAGGCCTCCAGCCGACCTTCTGTGCTGAGTCTCCGCATTCCCAGCCCAGGCACCTGCATTTGGAGGCGCCCTCCCGGGGCTGGCGAAGGCTCATCGCTCCGCTCTGGCTCAGTTCTTTGCACCCCTAGCTCCTTGCCTCTCCCTCCTGGTTCCCTCGCCCATGAAAAGGCAAGGCGCGTTTGTTCGGGATTCCCTCCATAGGGGGTCGACAATGCCCCCGTCTGCCTTAAGTCACCTGCCCCTCCAAAGTATTCTTCCCAGGAGATATATGGGACACCAGGAGCCCCCAGGTCTTTCCTGGCCTCCCTCCTGCAACATCCTGACCGACAACGATGAGGGTGGATTCTGACTCCGCCTCTGGCTCATGGTGATTGGGCACCTGCACACCTGGCTGCACAGGTTAGTCAGCCGATGCACGCCTACCTGGGCTGAGGTACAACTGAAGTCCAGCCCCATGATGTCTCCTCCTGTCATCCTCAAAGTTGTTGATGTGAATGCTTGCAAAAGCATTTCTTCCCAACCTACTACGCCAGTTCAGGGAAATGCTCTGAATAATCTGTTTTTATTGACTTTCATTGGCCGCCTCCCTCACCCTTAGACGTCAAAAACTTGGCGGGTGCCGATGCCAATCTATCTATTTGGAGGATACAAATAAAGAACTGTGTGTTTTGAACCATCCCTTGGCCCCTGTTTGTTATTGTTATTGTTGTTATTTGTTTTGTTTTCCTCTAATATTTATGTATGCTGTTGTGGGAAGTCAGGGACCCCGAACGGAGGGACCGGCTAGAGCCACGGCGGAGGAACATAAATTGTGAAGATTTCATGAACATATGTCAGTTCCCCAAATTAATATTTTTGTAATTTCTTACGCCTGTCTTTACTGCAATCTCTGAACGCAAATTGTGAAGATTTCATTTAATATGGACATTTATCAGTTCCCAAAATTAATACTTTTATAATTTCTTATGCCTGTCTTACTTTATTTAATCTCTTAATCCTGTTATCTTCCTAAGCTGAGGATGTACCTCACCTCAGGACCACTATTGTGTTAACTGTACGAATTGATTGTAGAACATGTGTGTTTGAACAATATGAAATCAGTGCACCTTGAAAACAAACAGAATAACAGTGATTTTAGGGAACAAGAGAAGACAACCACAAGGTCTGACTGCCTGCAGGGTCGGGCAGAATAGAGCCATATTTTTCTTCTTGCAGAGAGTCTATAAATGGACATGCAAGTAGGGAATATATTGCTAAATTATTTTCCCAGCAAGGAATATTAATAATTAATACCCTGGGGAAGGAATGCATTCCTGGGGAGAGGTCTATAAACTGCAGCTCTGGGATTGTCTGTCTTATGCAGTTGAGTTAAGGACTGAAATAGGCCTTGGTCTCCTGCAGTACCCTCTGGCTTATTAGAGTGGGGAAAAAATCCTGCCTAGGTAAATTTGTGGTCAGACCAGTTCTCTGCTCTTGAACCCTGTTTTCTGTTGTTTAAGATGTTTATCAAGACAATACATGCACAGCTGAACATAGATCCTCAACAGTAATTGTAATTTCGCCTTTTGCCTTATGATCTTTGCTTTTGTCCTTACCCTGTTTCCTCAGAAGCATGTGATCTTTGTTCTCCTTTTTGCCCTTTGAAGCATGTGATCTTTGTGACCTACTCCCTGTTCATACATCCCCTCCCTTTTTGAAATCCATAATAAAAACTTGCTGGTTTTGCAGCTCAGGTGGGCATCACAGACCTACCAGTATCTGATGTCACCCCCAGTGACCCAGTTGTAAAATTCCCCTCTCTGTACTCTTTCTCTTTATATCTCAGACCAGCTGAAAAATAGGGAAAATAGAAAGAACCTATGTTGAAATACTGGGGGCGAGTTCCCCTGGTAGTATGCCTTTAGCATTTTCTTCCCTTTGGAAAAGTTTGGGCCAAAAGTTTTCATGGAAAGGATATGCCCAGTCAGCCTCCCACTTACTTGGATTCACCACTGTCCTGTGAGGTTCAGGCAGGCCTAAATTCAGGGAGAAAACATCTCCAGTGAAACCTGGATCTCTACTACATTCATTAATCCAAAAAGAATATGTTCTTATTGTATTACCATTTACAAAGCTCTTTGATATAATTTTCTCATTTAAGCTTTGCAATAACCCTACAAAGGAGGTAGGGAAACATTTCCTGTGTTGCAGGCTCTAGACCCCAGGCTCATATCTATTTAGCACCTCGCTCATGGCCTTCTGTTTTGTGAATGATGAACCATGAGTTTGAATTCAGTTCTTCCAGATAAAATCCATTTTCATTCAACTAAACCATATCATGCTGTCTTCAAAATACATAGTTCCAAAAACTGAAATGAGCAGCAGAGTTGATTTGTTTTTTTAATGATAGGCTTGAAAGATGTCAGTTAGCAAAAGAGACTGTGTAAAGTAGTATATCTGGTTTCTCAGGGGAGACCTCGTGCAGAACACTGGGGAGTGTTGCACAGCAAGTAGAAGGCATACTTTCATTTTCTTTCTTTTTTTTTTTTTTTTTTTTTCTGAGTTGGAGTTTTTCTCTTGTTGACCTGACTGGCGTGCAATGGCGTGATCTCAGCTCACCACAACATTCGCCTCCCGGGTTCAAGCGCTTCTCCTGCCTCAGCCTCCTGAGTAGCTGGGATTACAGGCATGTGCCACCACGCCTGGCTAATTTTTTCATACTTTTAGTAGAGATGGGGTTTCTCCATCTTGGTCAGGCTGGTCTCCAACTCCCGACCTCAGGTGATCCACCCGCCTCAGCCTCCCAAAGTGCTGGGATTGCAGGCTTGAGCCACTGTGCCTGGCCCTATACTTTTGTTTTCTTTTTCTTTATGTTTTTTTTTTTATTTTATTTATTTTTGTTGCGACAAAGTCTCGCTCTGTTACCCAGGCTGGAGTGCAATGGCACGATCTCTGCTCACTGCAACCTCCGGCTCCTGGATTCAAGTGATTCATCTGCCCCAGCCTCCCAAGTAGCTGGGATTACAGGTGTGCACCACCATGCCTGGCTAATTTTTGTATTTTTAGTGGAGATGGGGTTTCACCATGTTGATCAGGCTGGTCTCAAACTCCTGATCTCATGATTTGCCCACTTCGGACTCCCAAAGTGCTGGGATTACAGGTGTGAGCCACTGCGCCTGTAATTTAGATTTGAAACAATGTAAATTTTCATTTACAAATGGAAAAAGAAATCCTGAAAGTAAAAATTAAGTAAAGCCAAGCTGTAGAAACATATACATTGTACCTGTGTTAATGATCTCTGGCTGTTGACTTGAGGAATTGGATGATAGGCAAAAAGGCAGCTAAACACTCCCATTTAGATCATAAGAAATAATTCTTATTTTTTCAACTTATTCTTGTTTCCACAACTCATGTAGCATGAAGGAGTATAAATTAATAGATGTTATGAACAATTTAGGTCATCTTTCCCAAGCTAAATCTTAGCAACTCCCTCTGATATGTCTCAGTCTATTTAGAGTTCTAGTATATTATTTTAGTAATTGACATTAAATCAAATCACTATTTTATTACTTCTGAATATAATAAAAACACAAAAGGGACATCATAAAAGGGAATAAAACAAAATTAGCTTTAGTTTTAAAATGTCTACAATTTATCTTGCAAGTACATTTTAAAAATATGTCCAATGAAACATCATATTAAAAATGGTGAACCACTTGGGAATCTTTATATTTTATATCTTTAAGGATAGATATTTCATAAGTATCCCAAATAAAGTACCTATTTTAAACATTTATTGTCCTTCAGTCTGGCAGACCACTGAAAGCTGTAAAAAATTCCTAGCAACATCAACTCATAAAACTAATTACAATAAATGTTTCTAGCATCTGCTCTTTTTTCTTCTTGTTTTTCTTATATAAAACTATGCATACAATCCATTTAAACTTATCATTACATAACAAAAGTGCAAGTTTTGAAGAGGATGAAGCATCTGTTGTGATGCTATTCCCGTTACTGCGTTAAATAGATTTAACTAAATAGATTATCTCTAATCTTCAGGAAGTCTGCATACTAAGTAATAGTAAGTAACAAAAGGTTGAGTTCTTTAAACATTATATCACTACCCTCATTACACCAAAGTTCAGGGCTTATTTTTTCACTTGAAAAACAAGATTTTAGTCATTAACTTTAATGTCCAGCTTAATAAGGTATATTATTAGGTTGATTATTGATTATTTTAACCATTATTTCAGATTTTAATGCCTCCTGTAGTTCAAATTGAGTCTAGGTACTGACAATAGAGTGGTAAATAAGAAGTCAGCTTTTTTTCTCACGGAATTCGACAGCAAAAGGAGAAGAAAGCTGAGGAAATCTGAAATTTGGTGTTACGTTCTAGCATTTGAGAGATGTATTCTAAGTGTGTTTTGGTGCCTTACTTAGTCTGGATAGTGGGTCAGGAAAAGATGAAAAGGAAGCCACACTTAGGGTACACCTGGAAACCATAGCTGGTGGGCTCGTTACTGGGTTACTGGTTTTTATACATAACGTATTGTTGTCACACAGCCACACCTATTTGTTTATGTTTAGTGTATGGCTGCTTTCTCACTACAATGGTGGATTTGAGCGGTTGTAACACTGACCATATGGCCCACAATGTAGAAAATATTTACTAGGTAACTTTTTATAGATAAAGCATAGGAAATATTTTAGGCTTTGTGAGCCGTTCAGGTTGTTCAGGTTGGCCGTTTTATTACATGGAGCAATAGCTTATCAATTTTTGGTCTAGGGAAACTGGCTGTGGCTATATTTATGGAAAGGACTTTTATACAAGATTTTTTAAAATTTTAATGCCAAATGATAAGGTTTAATAGGGGAATAATGTGATAAACATATCTTTTTAAAACCATATAGGTTTTAAACCATTTAAAACCATGAGATTGGCTTAACATTAAGCATTGATTGTCACTTTTGCCCCAAATATTTACTTTCCTAGATTTTTAATTTAATTTCTGTAAGTTTACATACTGAGAAGTCACCAAAGTTGCTATAATGAACATGTATTTATCCTTCAACTACATTCACTAACCACTTTTTTTCTCTTTTCTTCTTTCTCATATGACACTTTATTTCTGCATAGTTTAGGATATACAGTCTAAGAATAAAGATGTTCTCCTGCATAACCACAATAAATTTACTGGATATTGCAAAAATATACTGTCCTGTGAAACCTCGTCTAACTTCCCCCAAATGGAAACATCTTACATAACGGTGGTAAAGTATCAAAATCAGAGAATTGATATTGGTACAGGAGTGTTAACAAGATTACACACTTTATTCATCTTGTACCACATTTAACATGCAAACATTTCTAAATATCTGCTTGTGATTACATGCATAGATTTGTGGAAACATGACAAAAACCAGCTCCTGGTACTGTCCATCACAATGCATGAGTGGAATTCTCTCATTGACTCCCTTACGGTTGCTTTCACTCCTGTCTGTGTACCTTAGCAAGCAATAGTATTCTATTGAGAATTGCATTCTCTGTCTCTATCATTTTGTCATTTAAAAAATATTATATGAATTGAGTATATTGAATGTAACTTTTTGAGACTGGCTTTCTAACATTAAGCATAATACCCATCTAAGTTGCTGTATGGATTAATAGTTTGTTTCATTTCATTTCTGTGCAGTATTCCACCATACACATGTACCATATTTTTAAAAATCTCCTTGCTTCTTGAAGGATATTTGGGTTGTGTCCAGTTTGGGACTATTTTGGTACAAGCTACTATGAATATATGCGGACAGGTTTTTGTGTGAACATAAATTTTCTTTATTTTTTAAAATAGATTTCTTGGGCTCTTCTAGATACATAAACATGCCATCTGTTAATGAGGATGGTTTTATGACTTCCTTTTTAATGTGTACACAATTTATTTGCTTTTCTTGCCCTATTGCCTTGGTTTCAGTATTATGTTGAATAAGAGCGGTAGGAACAGACATTCAGCATTCACCACTGAATGTTATATTGGCTGTTTTTGCAGATGTTCTTTATCAAGTTGAGGAAATTGACCTCTATTTTGAGATTGCTGACAGTTTTTATCATGAATTAGTGTTGAATTGATGCTTTTTCTGCATCCATTGGTATGACTAATCATGTGGTTTGTTTTCTTTAGTTTTTGGCATAGAGGATTATATTGATTGATTCCAAATACTGGACCTGGCTTATAAACACGGGATACAATCAAATCGATTTCAGGGTATAATTCTTTTATGAATTAGTGAATTCTCTTTATTCATAAATTATGTCTAAGTTTTTGAAATATATTGGTTGTAATTTTTTTTCGGTGTGTGTGTGTGCGCACAAAAGTATTTTCTGGTTGTGAGTAGCAGGATACTTATTAGTTTCATAAAGTGAGTTTGAAATTATTCTTTCCACTTATGTATTCTAGAAGAGACTGTAGAATTGGTACTAATTCTCTTTTAACAGTTACATACACTTATGTTTCCTCAATAGGTATATAATTATTCAGATTGTCTGCTTCATAGTGAGTGAAATTTGTTATATTCTTTTTTGGGGGGGGAATTGGCCCAATTCATCTAAGTTTTCAAATATGTGTTGTAGAGTTGTTTACAATGTTCATAGTATTTCACTATTATATTTTTAATGACTAGGAAATCTGTAGTAATATTCCCTCTTTCATTCTTAATATCAATAAATTGTGTCTTTTCTCTTTTAACCTTTGTCAATATTGGTTGATATTTATTCATCCTATTTACTGTTTCAAAGAACCACATATTTGTTTTACTCTTATCCGATGTTTTCAATTTCAGTGAATTCTGCTTTTATCATTTCTTTCATTCTGCTTGCTTTGGGTTTCTTTCCCTTTTTTTTTTTTCTAGATTCTTGAGGAGGAAATTTCCATAACTGATATCAGACTTTCCCACTCTCTTAGCACCAGCATTTATTATACAAATTCCCCTCTCCTCGATTTTCTTGATCTGGATCCCACAAATGTTTCATTTCTACTTTTATTCATTTCTATGCATGTTTCACAATTTTAAATGTTATTTGGCTTCTTATAATTGAGTTTAAGATTACTTATATAATCTCAATACAAAACCTCCACCAAAAATATAATTTGCACATCTTTTCTATGAATACTTATTTTTCCCATTTCATAATGCTGTCTTTTGAAGCACAAAGTTTTTAATCTTGATGTGATTCTCAATATTCATTTTTTTCATGAATAATTGGTAGTTCTGTTGAAAACTTTTCTAATGTTTTTAAGTTTGTAAAAATTGACATATCATAATTGTACAAATTTATTAGGTATATAGTGATGTTTTAATACTTATACAGTGTTCAGTTTGTGGGTATTTTTCTATGTGTTCATATATATGAACATATATGTAATATATATTTTTACTTTTATTATTAACATTTAGTATGATTTATGATGAATTAATTTTTGAGTATAATGTAAGGTAAGGTGTCTAAATGCATCTTTTTGCACAGAGATAGATAATTCTAGTATGAAATGCTGAAAAGATTCTACTTTATTCATTAAATTTCCTTGGCACATTTGTTGAACCTCAGCTGACTTTAATTGTAATCTCAAATCTATTTCTTTGTTTTTCAGGTCTCTATTTGTCATAATACTGAAGTATCTTTATTAGTATATTTGTTCAAATTTTGGACCCAGGAATGCATTTCTTCCTTTTCAGATTATTTGGTTATTCCGTCTCTTTTGCTTTTCCATTTAAAATGTGGGGTTAGCTTGTCAATTTCTGGGGCGATACACACTTACACACACACACACACACCCTGCTAGGATTTGATAGGGGTTGTATTGAGTCTACATATCACTAAGTGAAGATTTGCCATTTAAAAAATAGTCTTCCAATCTATGAGCTTTGAATGTATCTCCAATTATTTAGGTCTTTACGTTTTGCTATGTTTTACAGTTTTCATTATATATGTTCTATACTTCTTTTGTTAAATTTACTTCTTTTTTATCTTCTTGATATTATTATAAAATGAATTGTGATCTTAACTTCATTTTGACAATGCATTACTAATATATAAAAATACAATAGGTTTTTATATTGCTCTTGAATTCTGCACATATGCTTCACTTACTTATAAATTCTTGTAAGTTTTATTTCAGAATCCCTAGTTCGTTGTTGTTGTAGTGTGCTTATTTTTGTTCTTTGGTTTATCCTACTGGCTAGAATTTCGAGTACAGTGTTTGTTTGAAGTTACCAGAGAGACCATTCTTTACTTATTCCTGATTTAGGGGAAAAACATTTAGTCCTTTATCATTAAGGGTGAAGGCATTTCTAGGTTCCTGTAGATACCCTTAATCAGTTTGTTAAAGTTTCCTTTTACTCCTAGTTGTTGGGAGTTTTCATCCTGAACTGTTGGAATTTGTTGGTTTTTAAAGACCATCTATTGAAATGATCATGTATGTTTTGATGTTAATTTACTGACTTCCTGATGTTAAAACAACTTTGCATTCTTGGCATAAAATTCACTTAATCATGCTGTAAAATGCTTTTCTATATGTTGAATTTGGTTTTATAATTTTTTGAGGATTTGTGTGTCTATATTTGTGTGTCTATATAAATGTGGGGTAATGATTGGTAGTTTTCATTTTTGCTAATATCTTTACTATAGATTTAGAGTAACACTGTTTTTACAGATTGAATAGGGAAATAGTCCCCTTCTCCTCTATTTTCTAGAAGAGTTTGTGGAAGATAGATATAATTTCTTCTTTAAATCTCTTAATAGAATCCACCCAGGGAGGCCATCAGGGATGAGGATTTTTGTAGGAAGATAATAATAATTATTTTATTTAGTACAAGTCTATACAGATTTTCTCTTTCTTCTTGAAGAACTTTTGGTAATTCCTGCTTCCTAGGAATTTTTCGAAGTTGTATAACTTGTTGGCAAATAATTGTTCATAGTATCACCTTATGATCTTTTTAATTTCTGAAAGGTCAGTAGTGATTACCTTTTTTTCAGTTCTAATTTTTGCAATGTTTGAATTTATGTCTGCTGCTATTTTGCTATTTTTCATATATGTCATTTTTTGTTTCTCTGTTCCACTTGTACTTCAATTTTTATTTTAGCTATATTCTTGTGCATCATTTTAATTCCTTTGTATGACATTTTACTACATTTTTATATTCTTAGAATTTGATCTCTGAATTTCAGTATATATTTTAACTTACCAAAATCTACTTCAAATTAAAAATAACATTACTCTGCTAAAACATAAACTTTTGTCTTCATTGCAGCCCATCTTCTCTTCCTTCATTTGTGCTTTGTGTGTAAAAGTATTCACTTTTTTTGTCATTTCAAATCTGCTATAAAACCTGTTGAGTAAAATTTTTCTTGTGTTTTTTATACTTTTCAACTCCGTAATTTCCATTTAGTTCCTTTTAATTATTTTATCTCTTAATCAACATTCTCTGATGAGTAATTGTCACCACACGCTCCTTTAATTCTTCAAACCTGAAATTTATTAGCACTTTGAAACAATTTATAATTATTGATTTGAATCCTTTGCGAAGTTTAATTCCAAATCATCAGGGGTAAACAAAAAAATGTATATTGACTTTTTTTGTTTAGTTTTGTTTTGTTTTCCTGGGATGGCTCAAACTTTTCTTTGTGTTATGTATCTCATATTTATTACTTAAACCTGGATATTTGGAATAATATAGCAACTCTGAATTGAGATTCTCTTTCCTGACACAGTGGTTGGTACAGGCCTTCCTCATCTTCTACTTTCTACCAGGGCTTCTTGTGCTTCTCATGTGCTGGTGGGGACAGAGGGCAGGGGTCTTATGTTCAGCTAAGGATGGAGATATAACCTGACCTCCTCCAGTCTCTCCTGCAGCATTTAATTTGACAATTTTTTCTGGTATTATTGATTTTTAGGAACAAGATTTCTCTTGTTCCTTATTCCAGAATTCCAAAAGTCATTTTTAGATTATTAATTTTCTTTAGAATCAAAACATTAATAAGTTGAAAGTATAATAGCAACAATTTTATTATTTTGAACCATTTGAGAATAAGTTGCCAACAAGATGTATCAACAGCCCTGAAATCTTGAGGGTGCCTTTCCTATATGTGAGCACGTTCTTCTACTTAACCAGAGTATAATTCTCTAGATCAGGAAGTTAACCTTCCTGCCCTGTTGGGATCTATGGCAGCTTTGTGCTGGGATTGTACTTTCCCAGAGTTCTTTTATTTATGTGGCTCCTAATTAAGATTGGCCACTAGATCTATTTACACAAAATTTTCAATTTGGAATTTTTTAAAAAAAAAGCCATTTTTATGCTCTGAATCAATTCAGGGCTGGTGCTTCGGCAGCTTACACGTGTAACTGATCTGTTGGCTCACCTTCTTGGCATTGGTAAACAACCAAACCCATGTTTTCTTCATCTCTCACGGGATTTCACCCATCATCCTCTCTAAACCCTGGGCTAGAGCATTTACTAGTTCATAGTCAATAGCCACAGCCTTATCCTTCAGGTCACTTGCATTTTTGAGATTGTAAGGGATGAGGGAGAGATGTGCTTGCAGCCATAACTCCTTTGTTGCAGTTCATCTTTACTCTCAGTTGTTCATATCCATCTTCCATGACCAACAGCCAGCCCAGCTAACCTCCAGCCCAGCCCCAGACCAGAGACAGATGACCTTACAAATACTGTAACCACCTCCCACAGGTGCAAATGTTCTAATCTCTATAGTGAATCCCCAAATCTAAATCCTTCCTAGTCTCCCTGATCTTCTGTTGAAACAGTTATTGATACACCATCTATTCTTCGCAGACCATTCAGGTTTTACTAGCTCTCCGAATAATATCATTTTAAGGAAAGCATCCACTCAGAATCACATATTTTTTAAAAATCTGGAAAATCTATTCTCTTCCAGCCTGGAATAGTTGCATGACATTTCCATGAGTTTCATTGATTTGTGTTGTTCTTTAACAAATTATCACACACTTAGCAGCTTAAATCAATACTCATTCATTATCTCACAGCTTTTCTAGGTATAAAGTCTGGCATGGATAGCTAGGTTCTCTACTCAGGGCCTCACCTGGCTTAAATCACCATGTTGTCTTGGTCACATGGTGATTTAATGGTCAACACTCTCACAGGGAGCTTGGGGTCCTCTTTCAAACCCATTCTTGGCAGAATGAAGTTCCTCTTGGTCATAGGATGGAGGTCTCGTTTCATGCTGCCTTTCAACCAGGGGTTGCTCTAAGATCCTGGAAATCACCCACAGTCCTAGCCACATGGCCTTCTCCTAGCACAGCAGTGTATGTCTTCAACGTTAGTAAGAAAGTATGTTTTTCAGTCTTTCACCTAATTAATCAAGCCCACCCACGATAAACTTCCTTTTGACTAACTGAAAGGCAACTGATTTGGGGCCTTAAATGCACCTATAAGAACCCTTTACCTTAGCTATAATCTCTTTACTAAACACAAAGCACATCTCCTATACATATGAGAGAAACAATCTATTAATTCTATTAATTTCTATTTATTGACTGGTTTAATCAGAAATGGGAACTGAATTTTGAAAAAGTCCTTTCCAGCACCCATGAGCATAACATGAATTTTCTCATATCAATTAATATAGTGAATTACATTAATACATTCTCTTATATTGAAGCATTCCTTCATTTATGCTATAAATACCAGTTGATCATCTTGTACTACTTTCAAAATGAAGTGGTGGATTATCTTGCTAATTTTTTTTTTTACTAATATTTATAAGTAGCACATTACCTTCTTCCTTGAATACTTTTATGTTACTTATCTTAAATCTTATTTTTACATTTCTTCAGGTGGAACCCATTGTCTGAGGATCAAATTAATAACACATCTTTAAATTAAATATCATCCTTGTACCCAGTAACTAAATGGATAACTTTTTAATAGAAAGCATATGCATACAATCAAATTACAATTTAATACAATGGTGATTATTATAGATTTACATACAAATCACTAACTTAATATGATAATTATCAAGAAGAATATGAACATACTTCATATAATGCATACCCGAGTCAGAATTTGAAATAAATAAAATTTTTAAATGGATAATCACAAATTTATTCACCACATTTATAATATGATGGAAATGATAGAACAACATGACCTTTGGAGTCCAGATTATGTTTTTAAATGTCATTGCAGAATAAATTCATTTCTCTTTGACACCAGTGGTGAATGAACAGAATTATACACATATTACATATTTTAATGCAGATCGTAGTTTTAAGGTAGCCAAATTCTCTAAAGATTTTGTCTAGAAGTGAATCAATATCAATCTTCCGAGAGGCTTTTAGTGAAGAGCCAAGGTCTCTGTTCTCTATCCTTCATTTAATAATGTTTCAGGTTCACACTTTACTATCAGGACCATACTTGATAAAGACAGGTAACTTAAATGGTTTCAGTATAACTTTTATAGTTTCCAATCACATTTGAAACAGTTGATTTAGCTTATTTAGGAAGTGAGCTTAGGTTTAAATCCTGATAAACATAAGCAAATTGGTTTAAATTTTTACCAGCTTGTATCTATGACTGGGGTGCATTAATAATCCTAGAATTAAAATCATTTTAGAGCGAATTGAAAGATGCATAGAATAGTGTAGACATGAGCATATTGGGTAGAAAGTACTTATGAGACGTTGACCAAATAAATCACCAGAAAATTTATTTTATGAGAGAGATTTGAAGGAATATAAAAATGAGCTAAGGAAGACATGACACCTGCTTTCCCATATCTCAATAATGCTTATGCAGAAAGGAGTCTAAATTTATTCTGTCTTATTTCAAAGGACGTCATCTGGACCAGCTCTTTGAAGACGCATGGGTGCTGCGATTTGTCAAGTGTTTAATATGTGCCAATCTTGATGAGCATTTTGCAAGCCTCATCCCATTTGTGCCCTGCAGGACACCTGTGAAGTGCATAATTACTGCTAATAAATTAATTTCCATTCCATGCTTTACTAATTACATCTATTTTTTCTTGATTTTATTATTCATCTCCTTACTTTTAATTTTGTTCATAATCAGTGCCAAACAAAAGAAATAAAAATCAAAACAAGTTATGATCTGGCTTACCAACTTAGCAAATGTGTAATGTGGTTTCAGTGTATTCTTTCTTGTGTTGTATGTGGGTGTCCTGTGTGTGTGGGTGTGTGTCCTGTGTGTGTGGGTGTGTGTCCTGTGTGTGTGGGTGTGTGTCCTGTGTGTGTGGGTGTGCATGTATGAACAGAGTCACATTGCTGGCAATGGACAAATGAAATAATTAACATAAACGGAAAATGTGAATGGAAATTAGGACAAAATTATTTCCAATCATTTTGAAAAAATCAGTAAAAATGTATCTTGAAAGATATATAAAATGTAGAAAATATTTTCTGTGCTAATGTATTTTGTTTGTTTGTTTGAGACAGAGTCTCACTCTGTCGCCCAGGCTGGAGTGCAGTGGCGTGATCTCAGCTCACTGCGAGCTCCGCCTCCCGGGTTCACGCCATTCTCCTGCCTCAGCCTCCCGAGTAGCTGGGACTACAGTTGCCAGTCACCGGGCCCGGCTAATTTTTTGTATTTTTAGTAGAGACAGGGTTTTCACTGTGTTAGCCAGGATGGTCTCGATCTCCTGACCTTGTGATCCGCCCACCTCAGCCTCCCAAAGTGCTGGGATTACAGGCGTGAGCCACCGCACCCGGCCGCTAATGTATTCTTTATGCTACAGTTTATAGTAAAAATGTTAAAAGTATGAAAATGTCTAAAAATATAAGCCTGCGGCCGGGCACTGTGGCTCACGCCTGTAACCCCAGCATTTTGGGAGGCCGAGGCAAGTGGATCACCTGATGTCAGGAGTTCGAGACCAGCCTGGCCAACATGGTGAAACCCCATCTCTACTAAAAATTAAAAAAAAAAAATTAGCCGGGTGTAATCCCAGCTACTAAGGAGGCTGAGGCAGGAGAATTGCTTGAACCCGGGAAGGCGGAGGTTGCAGTGAGCCAAGATCGCGCCATTGCACTCTAGCCTGGACAACAAGAGCGAAATTCCATTTCAAAAAAAAAAATTTCTTGTAAGCTAAGGTGAAATGAACTGGAGGCCCACACCATGTCACCAGGACTAAAAGCGAGGGGGAGATCAGAGCCCTATTCATCCATTAGATTAGTAGCAGTGCCCTCAAACTCAGCCTCCCAGGGCTCCTGTGTCTTCCTCTCCCTCAGAAGGCAGGGTGATTCCAGTGCACTTCATGATTTACAGGTACTGGGATGCGGCTTTAATGAGTAGCGGTCACCCAAACCTGAATGGAATGTCCTCAAAGAAGTCTAATCATTCTCCCATTGAGAAGGCCATTTTCTCTCCACTACCTTATAAAAAGTATGGAGACAGTGTTGTTCCTGGTAAGCAACAATGTTGAATATTGATCCTGCAGAACCTAGCCTTCTCCAAACAATCCCCTTGCCTCTCTAGAGTTACAGGAGGCTGGGGAACATGTGCTTCCTCTTCTTTGGCTGATCTTGGCCTGGTAAGATTCCTCCTTCTCCCAGTAAAGCCAATTCCTAAATCTGTAGTAGAAATCATGCCAAGCCCTACTATATAGCCAGTAAACCTAGGGCAGACTTATCTTCATGGCATCAGCACAAGTAGAAATGCATCATAATTGTTGACGCTGTGAAGTACACTACTTTAAAACGTAAACTTTATTTAATAACTTATTTTACATCATCTCCCACTTTGATTTGTATTTGTACATGTATCTCTTGGTTTAATTTCCAGATGTGAAAACAGTTTTCCAGTTATTTTTTCAAACAGAAACAATTTTCCTGTTTAAAAGAGCCTAAATTTGGGGCATTGTCTTTTTTAGGTCTCTAGGTAGGATGTATCAAGAGTACTGATTTTTCTTTGTTTCAGTTGTTTTCTAATTATTTAAAGTATTTTTTAAAAAATAGGTTTGAACATTAAAAATGCCACAAAAGGAAGAAAACTACATAATCACACACCTAGACATAGGTATTGTTAACTTTACATCATGTTTGGTTACAACAATACTAAGCTTCATATTTTACATAGCTAGGATGGCATATATTTAATTTTGTAACCTGCTTTCTAAATTTAATTTTTTGTATAATTCTTTTCCATTTTGCTAGAAAATCTTACCATTATTTTCATTGGTTTTATAATGTGGAGTTTTATATGCATATCATAATTTATTTTATAATGCATATATATATATATATATATATGCATTTTTTTTGACAGGGAGTCTTGCTCTGTTGCCCAGGCTGGAGTGCAGTGGCATGATCTCGGCTCACTGCAACCTCCTCCTGGGATTACAGACGTGAGCCACCGCATCTCGCCAAGAAAAGATTTTTGAGAGATGTTCCATGGTGTGAAAACAAACATATTAACAAACCCTGTTTGTGAGTGTGGAATGGTATGTACAACAAAATAATTGTCTTGAACTGTCCATCCACACAGGGTGTGTAATTGGGTGAGGTGGGGGCAGGAAGCAGTGGAGACCTAGGAAGACCGGAAGAGTGCTGAAGAAGGACTGAGCAATGCAGAGCTTCTGTGATGTGAATGCAATCATGCAGCCAGGAAGCCACCTGGCGTGCCAGGCACCACAGAAGGGCTTGCTAGATGCCTGCAGTAGCACCTTCCATACTAAGGACCTGCATTGTAGTAACTAGAGTTTTCCAATTGTTTAAAGAAAGACATAGCATTTGCCTAAGAGAGTTGGCCAGTTTCTTGATATAAAGAAAAAACAAAGACAGAAAAAAAGAATAAAATCTACTTTACCATCAATGGGATAGAGGATGCATGTTGCCTGATATTTCATTAGTTACAGACTTCAGCTTTGCAGGTGGCAAACCTCAGTAAATGCCACGAATAGCCTACCTGTAGGAAAAGAAAGAGTAGGGTTTTTTTCTGCATTTCATTTTTAGCTTGACAATTTAGGAGGAGCAATTTGTTTGGCTTATATGATTCAGAGGAGGGATTAGGAAATAGAAGTCAGTACTGAGTTGGATACTGTGAAGATGTAGGACAGTCCTGTGATTGAGGGTCTCTATAAGTTTTTTTTTTTTTTTCTTGGAGACAGAGGTATTAATGTAGGGCTGAGAGCTGTCATTGGCACAGCAGCAATAACCACTCCGAGAAAGACAGAAGATAGAAGAAAAGATAGAAGAGGTTACCTAGTCACTTTGGCTATTTGCAGACAGGTCCTGTCAGTGTCTTGTTCTGAGCTTGGTTGAGGCTGCTATGAGGAATGTTAACTTTGTTGCAAGAACCAAAAAGGACATTCGGTGACCAAATGAGACCAAGGAACTTAGTCATTTCCTTTACCAAAAGGTCAAGAAAAACACACAGTCTTCTTTATTCCCATACTCATGTGCCTTTAGGAGAGACATGGAGGGAGGTAATCAGCAAGAGAGGCCAAGAATGTTTTTGTTTGCTTTTTGTTTAGATTTTTCATGAGGAGACATCTAGTGTTACCTGAAGAGATATTTATACTATTTAAACATGCTAATCTAAACAAGCACACTAACCTAGCAGTGAAGACTCAAGAAGAAGACCTAATTATTCAGAGATGAAACAAATATATATATGTGTGTGTGTGTGTGTATATATGTATATACATATATACACACACACATTATTCTAACTTAGGTAAGGTAAAGTTTTGATGTTTTTACTTAAAGAACAGAAATCTCTCTATATATACACATAGATACAAGTGCATGAATTTAAATTTCCAGAAAATATACACACACCTACATACACACACTCAGCTGTTGACTAAAATTGTCTGTAATAACAGAGGCTGGGTGAGTGGAATGGGGATGTGATACGGATGATGACAATTTCATCCTAATTTCACATTCTTATTTGTTTCATGTTTTCAGCATATACTATTTTTATCATTAAATACTGGCTCACATTTCTGAAATTGTAGATAATATATAATCTTAAAAGCATATATTTTTGCATTTAGATAAAAAGTATTTTCTAATAAGTAATATAAAATGACTCATAAGCAGTTTTGCTGTTTATTTTATTTAGTTCTTCAGGTATTTGTTTCCATCTTATTAAGAAGGGTAGTGGCGTGGTATAATCATGTGATTTTTCCATTTTTCCTTATTCACAGGGTAGCACTTAACAGTTTTTAGCCTGTTCATTCACAATGGAGCACAATTTTCAGATGGTCGCTGCAACAAACCACCTCAGACTTAGTGGCTTGAAACAGAAGATCAATCTGCTCACAGCTTCGGTGTTCCTGGGTAGAGACTGAGAAGCCTGCAGGGCCCACATCTCTCGGGAGGCACCAGGAGAACCTTTCCTTGTAGCAGCCTCTGCTACCTGTTGGCATTTTTTATCTTGGGACCTATTCACTTCAATCTCTGTCTCCATGGATACTCGCCTTTTCTTCCTCTTTCTGTGTCAAATCTCCTTTGCCTCTTTATTATAAGGACACTCGTGATTGGATTTAAAGCCTACCTGGATAATTCAAGATAGTCTCCATAACTCAAGACCTTTAACTTAGTGTCATTTGCAAAGATCCTATTTCCTTATAAAGTAATTTGTATGGGTTGCAGGGATTTGAGCCTAATATCTCTGGGAGGACACTCTTCAGCCGAGCACAGTGGCTGACCAAAGAACTAAAAGAAAGTCAACCTCAACAACAAGAGCTCAGTACTCTAAAAAGGATTCAATCACACAACCATCCTAGAGCAAGCATGATTATAACTGCAGCATATTCCCCAAAGATTTCTTTCACAGAGAAGACTGTAGAGAGTTCACCTTTAACTATAATTTAAGAGCAATAATTTTGCTGCTATTAAATATTACGTGGATGATTATTTTTGTTTTCAGTATTTGGGGAAAGAAAATTTCCATAATATAAACTAAAATGCTACCTAGTGTCATCAACTATTAGCCTAAACTTTTAGAGTATTTTCACATGATTGTATCAAATGTGAGTACTTCTCTAATTTAAAATAAATCCTGCCCAACCTATACAGCATGAAAAGAAAATTAAAAATCCCATAATTAGAAAAATGTGCTTGACCCCCAAACAATTAGGGAATTCCCACATAATTATATAGTTTTCAGGCAAAATTACTTAATATGTATTGTAACTGATAACTGGTTTGACTGATATTTTCAAGGAGGATTTTAGGATCAGAAAGAAGTGTCATTAATGTTATCATTTCCAGAAAAAGAATAAATGTAAAATAAATATTACACTTACTTATAATTTTTGACTTATTTATCATAGGTCAGGAACTTGTCTTGACTTTTTTACTTAAACTTATGAATTATTAGTGGCCAACATTTAATCAATACATTGGAGGCAAATGCCAAAGGCTGATGTCAGAGTAATTAGAAATGATGTGTGCTGTAATGTTTTGAGATCCCAGGAGCAAACACATAATTGATAAATGATAGCTCCCAAGCATTACCAAGATGGAGCTAAAATGTCACAGATAATGAATGTTGGAGCTGGGACTGTATTGTAATTATTTATGTGGACTCTGTCCATGACACATTAGTACTGAGCCGTTATGTTATAAGGGAGTAGCTAAGAGTGCAGTAAGCAATACACATGCGCACCTGCTGAGGGGTTTCCAGACTCCAAATGTGTCTACTCAATCTATGCCATAGGCCAGATTTATCCTACAGAAATTATTAGGTTTTTTCCAGGTGACTAAATTGAAAAAGGAATTAACCTCAAAAATGAGAACCATGAACAGAAGAGAAATTTCTTCACATATAAAGTAATGGGAAAAGCAAGAGCATCATGCCAATCAAGAGGAATAATGACTGTCTTAAAATATCTACTAAGACTCAGTTGATTTTTGTGGTCATACAAATAAAAACAACCTGAGCCATTTTTCTTACTAGAAAGCAAATGGCATTAGTTTCATTTGTCCTTTCAATCGTCATTTTTCTATAAAAGATATGAGATATTTTTTTACTTTCCTTTCCCTGTGCCCTGGTGCACAAGCATGAGGTTAACTTGTGCAGATGCCAACCTAAGCTGGTGTCACATGAATAGGTTTGTGTTGAAATGAAGCCCTCAAGACTGGATTTTTCACTTTCACTTGTTTTGCTACCTGTGTTTTCAGGGTTGTACTTGTTACTAGTTTTTGTGTGTGGCAGACTCATAAGTAATAGGGAGAGATGAATCTGTGAATGCAGCCAATGACAGCAGTTCAGGGGATTGGAAACCCTCCCAGCCACATACTGGCCTCGTAATTGTGCGGTTAGGAAAAGATGTGAGGCACATGGTGCGGAATGAGGCTGAGAAAAACAACATAGGTTGTGTTGTGTGTCTGAACCCAGCCATTTATATTCAGTGCGTGTAAGGAATTCCACTTACAAATAGGAATTTGTTGATTTGGACATCTGAATTTATCCAAAATTTCAGTGAGTGCTTTACTCTTAGAAGGAGAAAAAGTACGTGTCAGTGGATGGATTTTCATGCCTTATATAGGTGAAGTTTTTTTTTTTTCCATCCTCATCCTTTTTTTTCAAAGGGGTGATGTGAGCAGTAAATAATAGTTGTTGAATATAATAGTCATTTTTTTTTAATTCACAGATATTTGGAGACAATAGTACACACCTACAATAGTGGCTGACTAACTTTGAAAATGAGAGTGTATATCATTAATTTAGCTATCAAGTGAAATCAAATGTGCTCCACTATAAATAGTGCATAAAGAAGGGGGTGAACAGTTGACCAAGTTGTTGGAATAAGTAGATGAATCAATCATTAAATTAATTATGAATTTTTGAGGGCTGGCTAGGAGGCAGAAATGTTTAATTATGAATGGTAGTAGAAATCCCTGTGAGAAAATAATCACATTTAAGAGATAACAATCTTTACAAAAATATGTACTGAAATACATTTTACCAATTCAAGGTTTTACAACCCTGTTTTAGAACTGTATGAACTATTTTGATATCTTGGGTAGCCTGGAAAAGCCTTGGAAATTTACGAGATAATTTAAGTTGTGAAGAAAAAATAATCAGAGTCTCCCTCTCTCTCTCCTCCCCTCTCTCCCTGTTCTTCCTCTCTCTCCTACTCCTCCCCCTCTCTTTCTTCCTCTTTTTGTTTCTCTTTCCCACCTTCCCTCTCTCTCTCTCCTTCTCCCCTGCCCCCTGCTCCCCTGCATCTTGCTCTTGTTCTATCTCTTCACAAGGAAGCGTAAAGCAAAACAGATGAAAACAAAAACAACAAATAACATTTATATTGTCCATCCTTACCTGTGTTACTTTGTATACGGTGCTCATGGCCATAGGGGGATAAATTTTCAGGGCAAATCTGTGAGACTGACAAATTTTGAGTCTTTACTGGTCAAACCTAATAAGCTCTTATTGTAGGCATCAAGTAAGCCAAAGTTAGCTACAATTATAGATATGAAGTAATGCAATCATTTCTGTTCCTTTCATCAGCATCAGTAAGTAGCCTCAATTAAGAGTCATGACCATAGCACATGTTCCATTTGCAACATTAATTTCATCTTGAAACAATTGAACTAATTGTCACAACATCATAGGCTGTAATTAAGGATGCAAATGCTGTCTTCTGGTTTTGATAACATTGGTCAAGTTAAACTACTGAACACCAATGTCAAGAATGGAAGCCAGTTTAAAAGGGACATAGAAACCAGACTGGGAACAGGTTCAAATCATTAGACGTTTCATGCTGTTTGGGGAGTAAAAGAAAATTTGTTGACGAAAAAAAAAATCAATGACTCTCTTATCTATAGTAGGTAATAAAGTAATTAAACTATACAGTCTCCTAGTACAGCAAATAAAACAGGAACATCCTTTTTGATTGCCTTAAATGTCATATAAAAATATGGGTGAGCAGTTCATACACTTTGCATTGATAAAATTTGTCAGGGACAGCAATTAACTTAAACATAATATAAGTGTATGAGAGTTTTATGTTTTAGGAAATTTTGGTACTATTTACAAACTTTACCTAAAATTCTAGTACTAACTCAATATCTCTAATGAAACCTAATTCATTGCAAAATAAAAGGAAAATTTCAATTATATTACCCCTGTTAACTATCATTTCACCTAAGTAAGGTAGGTGTAGGCTCATTTATTTGTCATTACACTCTAGACACAAAGAGATTGTCTTAGGCCATTCAGACTACTATAATGAAATACCACAAACTGGGTGGCTTGAAACAACAAACATTGATTTTTCATGGTTCTGAAGGCAGGGAAGTTCAAGATGAAGGCATCTGCAGATCAGTATCTGGTGAGAGCTGATTTTTGGTTCATCAGCAGCTGTCTTTTCTCTGTGTCTTCACATGGCAAAAAGAAAAAGATCTGTCAGGCCTTTTACAAGGGCACTAATCCCATTCATAAGGGCTTCACCCTCATGAGCTAATCACCCTGAAGGCCCCACTTCCTAATACTAAAGTCTGAGGCCTTAGGATTTCAACATAGGAATTCGGGAGGGACACAAACATTCAGATCATAGCACAAGTAAAATAGTTTTTCTTAATAACAACAATAATTGTATTAGTAAACGCTCCAGAGGTTAATGGTGTGGAGTGTCATTGCACCCATTACCTTCAATCCCCTGAGCAATCTTGTAAAATCTTCATTATGCAGTCATCAATAATTTTCTTTTTGTGTATGATGATATCCTTGTTAAGTATCTTTTTATAAAAAAAAGAATTATCAACTTTAGAGGTAAATACTGATGTATTTACAGATAAAATCTTTATATTTTACAACTAAGAAAAATAAAACTCAGAGAGAAAAAGCAAAACTTCTAAAATCAAACAAGTATGCATCAGTGATGTGATTCAACTTGGTTTTCTCTAAATCCCTACGTTATCATATTTGCATTGTTCCACTCAATGTCTCTATGAGGAATGTATTTACAATATTTGTCTACTCCCAGGAGATTTCTTTAAAGCCTATTTCTTTGTCCAATTAACTTCACCATTAACATGGATTATATACGTAATGACTCAATACTCAAACTGCATTACTTGTAAAAATAATTGTTGAATGCCAGAATCAGGGAGGAAAGAGAGAAACGCACATAGAACTTGAGGAAAGTTTAGGTATTTTATTGATCTAAAGATTTCATGGTAGGCTGGGCGCAGTGGCTCATACCTGTAGTCCCAGCACTTTGGGAGGCTGACGCAGGTGGATCACTAGAGGTCAGGAGTTTGAGACCAGCCTGGCCAACATGGGGAAACTGGGTCTCTATTAAAAATAGAAAAAAGTAGCCAGGCATGATGGTGTGCACCTGTAGTCTCAGCTGCCCAGGAGTCTGAGGCATGAGAATCCCTTGAACCTGGGAGGTGGAGGTTGCAGTGAGCTGAGAACATGCCACTGTACTCCACCCTGGGCAACACAGCCAGACTCCATCTCAAAATTAAAATTAAAATTAAAATTAAAAAAAGGATTTCATGGTAGCAGCTAGCACATAGTATCTTCCAGGCACTATTCTAACACTTTACTTATGTAACTTTAACAAGACCCTATAAATTTGCACTCTTAATACTCCAATTTAATAGATGAGGAAATAGAGGCAGAGGTTGAACAGTTGAACAAGACCCCGACTTGGCTGGCAAGTGGTGGAGCCAGGAGTCCAGAGTTTGCATTCTTAAGAACTAAATACTTCTCTATGATTCCTAATACCATGAAGGCTGGTCCTTAACTTAGATCAGGATCCCTCTACCTCATGTTCAGCCATTCTTTCCCACTCACCCCTTATGTTAGCAGTATGCTTATGTTGGGGACTTCCTGGGAAAACACAGACCTGGAACACTTTATACCATCTTATCATCATTTTTCTCTTTTGTCCATTGGAACACTTATTAGATTATAACCATTTTAAGTAAGATCAACCAGTGTTCTTAAACTCTTTCTTAAAACAGCGATGGGATAGAGCTGGTTCACACCAGCTCAGAGGGACTATTGATAAATTGTCAAGAATTTTGTAGGCATTTTGCATTATTAAAAACTCAATTACAGAAACATAAAATTAAATAAATTATACTAAAATCAAAGGTCATGAATATTCAAGACATTACTTTCTAATTATTGGGCATACGTTAGCAGGTACGCTCTTGAGATTAGAGACTGCTTAAGTATGCTCTTGAGATTAGAGACTGCTTAAGTCTGTGGCCTCTGTAGGATGGAAATCCTATCAGATAGTGTACTCATGGGAGTCTTTTCCCACCTCTATATGCAGTGTAGCTTTGTGGGTCACTTAAAGCAGTCATGACTGGAATATTTTATCAGATGCAAAGGTTAAAAACCAGGGTTTCATTTATTGTTTTGTAGATTGTCTAGACTTTAAAAAATGAAACAGAAAAATATTAATATTAATAAATATTAATAAATTGTTTCATGTCTTTAGCCATTACATTGTGCATAGCTCAAAAATGTGAGAAAATATTATTTCAGTGTTGAAAATTATTATCTGATTCAACAAAGAAGTTGCTCATGTCTTTGACAAGGGAGGGAATTTCCGACGTACATCTGCCTTGTTACACCTTCACCATACCCTTTAACATAAGCAAAACCTTCATGGCAGACTTGCACTCATTCATTGATGACATTAGTGACATATTTGCTGAATCAGATAGTAATCAAGCCTTTATTTGTAGTCTTGTTTTAACAAATAACGATAGAATTGCACCAGAGATTGGTTACATAGGCAAGAGTTTAGCCAAAATCAATGAAAGCTTTCATTTAAAATAAATTGGCTAGAAGAATTTACAATACAGAGTATGATATATTTTAGAGTAATTTGTAAATTCAGTGCCATGCATGTTAATATCAGCAAAATTTTTTAAATATACTCTTGTGTGTATAAACACACACATACACATTTTTTTTTCTAGAGAATCAGTTGTTAAATATTTACTAACACTAACACTAAAAACTTTTATTGCCTGTGACAACGGAGAATTCCCATTTGAATAGATTCTGTGAGTTTCTGTGTGTGTGTGTTTGTGTGTGTGTGTCTATGTGTGTGTGTGTGTATGTGTAGCTTGCTTATTTATACTACAAATGTAATTCAATTTACTAACTGGATTTAGCCCTGCTAAGACCAATAAGGGTATCAGAAAAAACACTTTTATTTACTGTTAACAGATATGAGCAACTCTCTATATGATCATCAGTGTAGATTACCAAAACTCCTGTTCTTCAACCGCATTGACAGAAAGAACAATGTTGCCTCCAGGACTAAAATTTTTAGTGTATATTCCTAGCACAGGTAATAGTTGGACATTGCTTAGTCACTGCATTTAATAGAGACCAAACTAAAAAAAAAAAAAACAAAACAAAAAAAAAAACAAAAAAACCACTGTCTCAATGTGATCACCCAGTGAAAGAACCATTGTTTTGTCAGTCCAAGAAACCCTAATTTGACATTTTCTACCACAGCTCAATTACATAAAAGTGCCAAGAATTCTATTCTGCCTTTGGCCTTTGCCTGGAGTGAGACTGCCTGTTGCTCATTGCTACCTGTGTCAGACCCTGACTTCTCCATCATTCTCTTAAGCAAACAAACAAAAAGCACATAAATAAATACTCTGAATTTTTTATTCTGTATTTGCCACTCTGTGCTCTTCTTTGCTGCTGTTCTCTGTTGCATTCTTAGCTGTTTTTCTTTCAGTTGCTACGAAATTGGCAGGTGTCTCTTAGACTTCTTCTCTGTTGTACTTACACATCCTCTATCAACCTAAACAATTTGAAGACCCACATTCATGACCCATTCACCAGCTTCAGAAACTTTAATTTTGTTACCAGAAATAACTCCAGTAATCTATTTTACTCAATTTCTATAACCTCCCCAATATGCCCACACTATGAGCCTCCTACTTTCTTGTTCTTGCCATCCCCCAAAATAGTAAATCCATACAATCCACTCTCTGTTCACAACTTCCTCTATTCCAGATCACTTGATAATTTATTCCCAACATCCTAGCCCTTTAAGCTTTGTGAGTACCAATCTATCAACCCTCCACTTAGCCTTATATAGCCATATCCTGCCATATCTACTTACAGCTCCAGATTCAGAAATTTAACCCTGTCTTGCCTCTATCTCAGCCTTACCTGTCTCATTGCCTTTCTGACATATCTGTCAATATTCATGCCCTGAATGAACCCAGTGGTCAGTTAACTCCATGCAGGTACCTGGGATGCTGAGCAAAGCTGATGAAAATTTCATGCTCATGAAAATAGAGCCACTATAAACACATGGGCACCAGCATGAGAAGATACTGCACACTGGTTAATGAGCCTATTATGTTTCTGGGCCAGAGCTTGCATTTGTCCTTAAAAATCTTCCCTCTCAGAGTAAAAGATTATTCTATCTTTAGGTGGACTATCAGTAAAGACCACAAGACTTGGTTTTCTTCATGAGTCAGTGTGTCTATGAGATGGAGTGCCCCAAGATAGAAAAAACTTGTCTCCTTGCAGGAACTGGTGGAGCAGAGGTACCATCCTCATTGATAATTGTTTCCATCTAGCTATGCATGCCTGACATAATCTGCAGACAAGTGGAGTCTGTGCACTTAGCAGTCCATAGTGGGTTAGTAAGCAAGTGAGAGTAACATTTAGAAATGCTTGCAGCAAAACTTGACATTGCTGAGATATATTCATTCTTTTTACAAAGTCACCTTTCTATGTTGGATCACAAAAAATTACTTCTTCATTGATAGTTGGAGAAGCATTATCAATTGTTACATAAAAGATAAAAGCACTTGTATGTATGTGAAGTTGTTTTTATTTTGACTGAATATGTATTTTAGATATAATTTCCTCACTTTGGCCTCCTTCCTTTCCTCCACAAATCTATTTCAATTGCAATATCTTCAATTCTCCATTCCAACTTATATTCATAGTTTTTCTTAGGAGATCATCTGATTTTCTATTAACAGAGACAAGAGGAGCCACCTACATGGAGCTCCCATTTCACATCCCCAGACACAGACATACATGTGCTTTGGAACCAATCTCATTTGAGATATGCCTTCCTCAGTGGAAGAGTTTTCCCTTCCCTGTGCATTGGAATTGGCCCCACCTGGCTTCTCTGGGCCTGTGTGTTCAGTTACATCCCACATTCCTCCCTGTGCACCTCCATTCCACTTCGGTACATGTCTGACTCCTTCCCTTTGGCTTAGCCGCATAACCCTGCCACTTTGCTGAAACTGTCTTCCTGAGATGACTTTTGATTCTTCGGAATCAATTATTCTAGTGGACAAATTGTAGCTCTTCTATTTTGCTAGACCTTCCCACAGAACTGCTCATCTACCCTTGACCTCTGGAAGTCCTTTCTCCCCTTGGAGCTCCTGAGGACATCCTCCTGTTGTGCTTTTCGGGGCTGGTCTCTAACCACTTGTTCTTCACGTCCTCTGCAGGCTGCTCTTGCAGAACTCATTCCTAAATTCATGGATCCTGAGCATTGTGACAAGCACAGGGCACCTGACACGGCCTTCCTTTACCTTTAAAACAACTTGCAAATTGCTTAACATGCCTCTCCAAACTTATCTTACTATGCTGACTTTAAATTCTGTTTTATTCAATTTTGTTTTTGTTTCTTTGAACATCCATGTCATCACACTGGCCTAAAAAAATGCCTTTTCCCAGTCTTCTTTGGTGCTCTTCCAAACTCCAAGGCTTTCAAGGCTTTGTTGCAAAGCCTTGCAGAAGTTTTCTCCTCTGAGTTAACAATCTTTGCTATGGGCTTACATAATAGACTTCACCTTCCATACAAGAAACTTAGTACATCACTTTCTAAAGGAATTGCTTATTTAATTTTGTTTTCTCTCCAGACTACAAACGGAATTATGGAGGGTTTGTGTCTGTCTTAACATCTTTGGTATCTACAAGAACTAGCACAGTACCTGGAAGATAATATGTTGAATGAATACCTGCTAAATGAAAATGCCTTAATATTTCAGAATCAAACTGAGATGTGCATTCTAGAGTGAATGAGGAGCTGGGATCTTAGAACTGAAATGAGTCAGGAGAATTTTATAGCAGAAACTATATAAATCTTGTTCCTTCTGCAACTAAATATTTACGCTATTTTTCAACATTCTTAATCTATTTCTTTCATCACATCTGACTTAGCCATTACATAAACCCATAGCCTCTGGGTGTTATTTTCACACTGATGAAAAAGAGCAAAATTTGTACAAACTGTATCACAGTACATTCCCAAAACTGTCTCATTTGCATGAAAAAGGATGACCTAAAATTCAATGCTTTTGCTTTCAGAAAAGACAGTCTCCTGTAATTTAGGAAGAATTCAGGAATATGTTTTCTTAGCAAGCACAGACACACACACATACATGCACACAGGTCTAGTTGCTGCCCACAAATACATTTGGAAGGCAATGGTAATCTATGGTTCAGCTCCTTTAATTGGTAAGCCTCAAATGAAGAATAGGATGTTTACCTAAGCCAGATGTAAAATACAATATGTGGATAGCAATGATCTGTAATATTTCACGGCTGGCTGCATCCATTACATCCCAAATGCCTCCCCAAAGCCAGCATACAGGTTTCCTCTGGCTTTGCTGACTGCCTGGGGATCACCAGAAGCCGAGGGGCAGGTGTGGTATTTGTCACCTTCACAGCTGTTTGCTTCCTCTCCATGACTTGGTAAATTCACTCAGTAAGGAAAAGGCAGAGGGGGAAACCTTCCTGGTAGATGAGACCAGGCCTTAGTGCTTTTCCCCAACCTGCCTTCACTCACAGCTGATATTTTCCAAAAGAAGATAATCCAGGAAGAAGATAAATACCATGTTATTCACAATGTTGAGCAAAGCTATCCACTGGCAGATTGAGCTGATATTCTTTAAAATCTCAATCTGAGACTGCCCAGGAGAATTAAGTATGTCACCCACCGTGCTGTTCCCCCTACCCCGCTGCACACAATTAAAATAATGTTCACATACAACTCACGTCTAAATGCATGGTTATTGATATGGTTTGGTATGTGTCCCCACCCAAATCTCATGTCGAATTGTAACCATCAATGTTGGAGGAGGGGCCTGGTGGGAGGTGACTGAATCATGGGGGTGGACTTACCTCTTGCTGTTCTCTGACAGAGTTATCAGGAGATCTGGCTGTTTGAAAGTGCGTATCACCTCCCTGCTCTCTCTCTTCCACCTACCAGCCAGGCCATGTAAGACATGCTTGCTTCCCCTTCACTTTCCGCCATGATTGAAAGTTTCCTGAGGCCTCCACAGAAGCAGAAGCCTATACAGCCTGCAGAACCATGAGCCAATTAAACTTCTTTTCTTTTTAAATTATTCAGTATCGGGTATGTCTTCACAGCAGTATGAGAATGGACTAATATAGTTATCTTTATCAACTACTCTTCCCCTCCGAATACACTTATAAAATGCTTTTGTAATGAGCTGATTTTTCCCTATTGCTGTTTGTGCTCATTTTTCCATACAGCCATGCAGAAATTAACTTGGGTTAGAAATGGAGTTCTTGTCCTATCTGGAAGTCTCCCAAGAAATTTGTTACATAACATAGAAAATGTTTTAAACTATGTGGTATCGTTATGCCTCTCCCACTTCAAATGCTTACTAACTCTGAGAGCATCTTATAATTATGTTTTTAATTTGTGTGACTACTTCTTTATTATTTTTGCATCATTAAGAACATAAATTTCTTGAGAAACAACATCTATTTTGCTTAATTTACTTGCACTGTGTTGGGCTGCCAACACAAAATATATGCTGAATAACTATTTGTATGTTAATGGATAAATTTAAGAACAATTGCATCTTTCAAGAAAGTATTTCCAATTTATTTGCATTGGAAATACTGACATGTTCAGAAGTAGAAAAAAATAGAGCAATCTCCAAAAATCTCCTTGTTTTTTGATTGAGAGAGACATAGAAAATGGCAATCTTTTATTATTATTATTATTTTTGAGACGGAATCTCACTCTGTTGCCCAGGCTGGAGTGCAGTGGCACGATCTCCGCTCACTGCAACCTCCGCCTCCCGGGTTCACACCATTCTCCTGCCTCAGCCTCCCGAGTAGCTGGAACTACAGGCGCCTGCCACCACGCCTGGCTAATTTTTTGTATTTTTAGTAGAGACGGGGTTTCACCGTGTTAGCCAGGATGATCTCCATCTCCTGATCTCGTGACCCGCCCGCCTCGGCCTCCCAAAGTGGTGGGATTACAGGCCTGAGCCACTGCGCCCAGCAGAAAATGGCAATCTTGTTCAAGACCTGAATGCATCTAAATGTTGCCTCATAAGTTAGTCAGTGTTACTGAAAGATCAAATGAAACTGTCCTGGAAGTCCTATCAAAACAAAAGGTGAGCTAAACAACAAACAAGCATGGTGTTGTTCTTAACACATTTGCATAATGTTGCATAATGAGGGATTTGAATTAACCCTCAATTGTCACTTTATCTGAAAAGTAAAAGCAGAAAGGGAGAGAGAGTGGAGGGAGAGACAGCAAGGAAGAAAGAAAGAGGGAGGAAGGGAGGGAGAGTGGAGAGAGAGACAGAGAGAGAGAGAGAGAGAGAGAGAGAGAAAGGAGTTCTTAGAGGACAAAGGACAGCATTATGTACCTTCATGGTGAGGATACTGTCTTGCAGTTTTCTGAGCGACATGAAAATGAAGCACCAGCCCTGCCTGTCCCTGGAAAGGTTGGCCAAGGGGAATAAGTCTGCTTTTTAGGGTCTGATGGGGAGCCTGGGCAGGGTCAGCCCCAGGTAGTGGAGTAGGGACTTGCAGCTGCCTGAGGCCTTTGCCTTTGGCCTAAAGGAACAAGACTCTGCCAGAGGACTATGGGCTTTCTCCCTCTCTAAATAAAATTGACCAATTTCAAATTCCATGCCAAATGTCACTCTCTCTCTCGCCTAATCTGATTGTACTTCTACCCAAAAATCTTCCCGATTTGTCTGTGCATCGTTCTACAAATTCCTCTAAGTAATTTTTTCTTTTTGCTCTTGTCTGGTTTCCTCAGTCGTTTTGCCAATCTGTTGTCTCACCAACAGGTTATTTTTAATTTGCTTCTTTTAATTGTTTACACAATGAAGTTGCAGCTATGATTAATAGGTATGGGACCCAAAGCCCCTCCTTCCCATATAGTAGTTCTAACAAAAGGCCTGCCTTTCACCCTGCACCTTTGGCAGTCTTCTTGTCCTGCCACCGTAAGAGGCTAGTCCCTGCCGATGAAGTTCCCTTCAAGCATCCCTCTCCTGAATGGAGCATCTCCCAAATAGTTCTTATTTATAGAGATCTTTCTGTATATATCCCTCTCTTAAGGAGTATGTGTACTCTCTTTTGTTCTTTGGTTCTACCTCAGTGTCTTAAAATATCTATATTCTGTGAACTCACTTGTTGAATTCACTTTAGGAAATACTTGTCCATGACTCTTGTAGGAGTCTAACTATAGAAAATGGTAAGTTTTGGGGCCATTTAGGGGAGTCCATAAAATGGTATCTAGTTTTTGATTATACACAAATATAGTTTGGAAACAGTACAGAGGGAGATTCTAGATAAATCTTCATTATGGGTTTTTCTTTTCTTTTTTTTTTTTTTTTTAAAGTCAAGGTGTCACCTATGTTGCTCCAGCTGGTCTTGGACTCCTGGGCTCAAGCAGTCCTCCCACTTTAGCCTCCTGAGTAGGTGGGACTTCTGACACGTGTCACCACACTGGCTTATGGGATCATTTTAATTGTTTTGTAATTATTGATTTGCATTTAACTTAATAAAAACCATGGCATGGATATTATTAGTAAGAAGCTCTTTCCCAAAACACAGATTTGAATCTTTTCCTGACATATGACCATACTCATAACTCTATCACAAGAACAGAAAAATAAAAATAATAAAATAGAATGCTAAAATACAATTTGCAAAAGTGATGAATTATGACTCTTAAATATATATATACACATATATATACATATACACATATGCACACACACATATATATATACACACACAAATCATAGAGACTTTAACTCTCTATTAATGAAGGAATCAGGAAAATGTTATAATAGGTTCAAAGAAGTCTTTATATATGTAAATATAGCCGTGTGTGTGTGTATGTGTATATACACACACACACACACACACACACAGACAGAGAGAGGAGAGATGAGGAAATGCAATTTTAGGTAGACTCACAACTGCCTTTTTCGGCATAGGAGTAAGGGAGGCTGGCAGGATACCTGAGTGGGAAGTTAATGGACCTCCAGAAAACAGAATTAATTTGTAGATCTATAGACAAGAATTCTTTTGCATTGCTAGCAAGTATTTACAACTTACAAAAGTACGTAATAGCTCAAAGGTAATAAAAGGCAATGTGAAAGTGTGTGTTCTATACAATGTATGATTTTCCACTGGAGACACCCAGTAATCTTTTTGGCTTATCCCAAAAAGCCAAATTTCCTTACAGGAATAAGAATATTACATTAATATGTAATCATCATATTAAAAATCAAAAAATTTTACAGCTTTAATTGAACTATATTGAAAAATGTTCCTGCTAATTGCTCAACAACTGAACCTGATCATATTGGAACTAATTTCCACTTCCCCAAATTTGAACAAAAGCTGTACAGCAAAGAAGGTGTGAAAACTTAATTCTCTCTTAAAGAAATCCTAGTGATGTTTTAATAATTTAAGAACAACTGAATGAATACATATAAGTAAATGTACAAAGTTATCATGCCTCAAAAAGAAGGTGGAATCATATAAAATATATATATTATTTTTGTTTTTGGTAGTGGGAACACATGCTCCTAGGCACACAGCCTGCAAGGCACACCTGCTACTATACAAAGCTGTGGAGCTACAATGTGTAACCCTGAGGTTGTACACTCCCTTGAAAGGCACCCCAGATTCTCTCGGGGGAGGACATATATTTTTCCTCACTACTGTAGTTCCACCCACACATTGAGAATGACTGCCATGTTTCACCAGCATCAGTGATGAAATGGGATTATGCCCTTGTCACTATCACTTTCAGTAGAAGGAACAGCTTGAGAATCATGTGCAAGAAAAGCATTTCACAAAAAAACAGAAACAGACATTTAAAAATCCAATTTCATTATTAATTATCCCAACACTTCGTGATAATATTTATAGTACAGCATGTTTTATGTTTATTTTTTGACAGAAAACAATTCTGGATATTGGTGGGGTACGATGATGATGTTTCAAAGATACACATAGTGTAATGATCAAGTCAAGATGATTACCACCTTCGTCACTTTAAACATTTATTATTTCTTTGTGGTGACAACATTCAAAATCTTCTCTTCTAGCCATTTTGAAATATGCATTATTCATTGTTATTTGCTATAGCCACCCTACCTTGAAATAGAGTACCAGAATTTATTCTTCCTGCCTAACTGTAACTGTGCATCCATTGACCAACTTCTCCCAGTTCCCCCAGCCTCCCATCCCCAGCCTATGGTAACCATCATGCTACTATTTCTATGAAATCAACATTTTTTATATTTCACATATAATTAAGATCATGTGGTATTTGTCTGTGCCTGGTTTATTTCACTTAACATAGTTGTCCTCAAGGTTAATTCATGTTGTTGTAATGACAGGATTTCCTCCTGTTTTATGGCTGGATAGTATTCTAGTTTGGGTGTGTGTGTGTGTGTGTGTGTGTAATTTTTTATTCATTTATCTGTAGATAGGCATTTAGGTTGATTCCATATCTTGACTATTGTAAATAGCACTGTAATAAACATGGGTGTGCAGATATCTCTTTGACACACAGATTTCATTTCCTATGGATATATAACCAGTAATGGGATTGCTAGAAAGGCTCAAAGAACTCACATTAAGAAAAGGACAGTCTTTTTAAAAAAATATTATATAGGGGGCCAGGCGTGGGGCTCTCGCCTGTAATCCCAAAACTCTGGGAGGCCGAGGTGGGCGGATCACCTGAGGTCAGGAGTTCAAGACCAGCCTGGCCAACATGGCAAAACCCCACCTCTACTAAAAAATAAAAAATTAAAAAAAAAATTACCCAGGCGTGCTGGCAGGTGCCTGTAATCCCAGCTACTCGGGATGCTGATGCAAGCAAATAACTTGAATCCAGGAGATGGAGGTTGCAGTGAGCCAAGATCGTGCCACTGCACTCCAGCCTGGGCAACAGAGTGAGACTCTGTCTCAAAAAAAAAAAAGATGTAAGAAAAACTGAATATACATATGCAGAAGAATTTAACTAGAACCCTAGCTCTCACTATATACAAAAATTAACCTAAATGATTAAAGACATAGCTATAAGATCAGAAATTATGAAAGTACTAGAAGAAAACAGGGAAATGCTTCATGAAATTGGACAGTGCAAAGATTTTTGAATAAGACCTCAGAAGCACATTCAACAAAATTAAAAAAAAAAACTAAACAAAGAAAAAGCTTTATATCAAACTAAAAAACTTCTGCACAGCAAGGAAAACAATCAATACAAGGAGTAAAATGAAGAGATCACCTATGGAATGAGAGACAGCATTTGCAAACTATGCATTTGCAAGGGTTGCTATCCAGAATATACAGAGACACAAATAACTCAAAAGCAAAGCAACAACAACAAATCAGATTTAAAAATGAACATAATACCTGAATAGACATCTCAAAAAAGACATACAAATGGCCAACATACATATGAAGCATGTTCAATGTCACTAATCATCAGAGAAATGGAATTCAAAATCACAGTGAAATACAACCTCACATTTGTTAGAATGGTTATTATCAAAAAGACAAAAAGTAACAAATGTTGATGAGGATATGAAGAAAAGGGAATTTTATACACTGTTGGTGGGAATATAAATTAGTAAAGTCATTACACAAATTGGGATGGAGGTTCCTCAAAGGCAGAGTACTTTTAAGATATTGGAGCAATGGAAGCAACATGTATAAGAAATTTGCTCAACTTCATTAATAAACATTTAAATCAACATGGGATGCCATTATTTCTCTATCAAGTTAGCAGCATCATGTCTTGTGTGTTTATATATGTGTTTTAAATTATTTTGATGAAAATATATAGTGTTTCTAAAAGGATAACAATCATTTACAGATACACGTAAGGGAATTATAAATTATTCTGATCCAAATCTTTGAATTATTTTCTACTTAGAAAAGATATCTTCCTTTTAATTCCTTAATTTCAATTTTAGGAATAGCCAAGAAGGTCATCATCAGGGATATACAAACGTCATATATCAGAATATAATTTGCAAAATTATTTTTAGTAGAAAAAAATCTGACAATATTGCATAGGATAAAACAGCCTATAAAAATCATGTTTATAAAATATTCATAAAATATTAAAAGCTATGGGAAATGTTCATGATACAATGTTAAGAGAAAAAAAATCAGTTTCACAGTATGGTTCCAAAATTGTGTTACCCCAAAGTTGAGAACAACAGTTCCTGAATTCCACTCACCATATGGGTTAAGGTTGATATGTCCAATGAGAAGCTCTTATACCCACTGAGGAAGATGGAGGAGAAGAGACTCATTTTACAGAGACACTTGCAAGCAGATGGGACAGGCCTAAATTGTAAAGCAACCCAGCTGAGTTTCTTGACAATGCTGTGTATGAGTGCTTTGGCCTGAGCTGGTGAACTGTCCAGGGTGCTTTAAGGCCAGCTCTGCAGAGTCACCTACTTTGGTGATGACCTCCCGACCTGCAGTTCTGCAGCCCTTCCAGTTGTTGTACAAATCTCTAAGTCCCTTCTTTAAAATCATTCATTCCTTGTACACAAAGAGCGGCCTCTATTTTACTGTTCAAACCCTGATGATACAGGATTGCAAACATAATCATACTAAAACGCAGACATTCAATACAAATGTGCCTTCTACATTCTCTTGGACGCTCTATCATTTATTATAACCCGGATGTGTTTCAGGGCACATTTAAACTTTTCAAGGAATACTTCTTCAGGGTTTTTTAAATTTTATTCAGAATTTCTTTCCATCCAGACATTCTGTCCATACCAATTTTAACAACCTCCTAAACTGGGTTAAAATAGTCTGTTATGGGTGATTTTGTCCAACTTTTACATTTAAATCCTGTTTTTCCTATGATAGATAAAATCATGGAAGATGGAGGCACACTGCCTTCGCAGCAGCAGGAAAGGGGTCTCTGCTCATCGTTCATGTTGGCATTGATTCACATTTGCGGTGAAATGCCGTGTTGGTGAGTGTGCAGGGAAAAATCCACTTTCCTACAGAGCTGGTGATAGTTTGAATTGTGGAAAACTTCTTGCAGGCAATTTGGTAATATCTTTAAATTATGAATGCAAATGCCATGCCCTTTGCCTCAGCAATTCCACTTCTAGAAATTTATCCTACAGCTATACTCACATATGAGCAGAATGTTATATGAACAAAAATATCCCATTCATCATTTTTTGTAAAATAAATATATTAGAAAAATCTAAAAATACATCATTATGGGGCAGGGAAAATTGGACTTTATTACAGCAGAATATCAAGTAGCCTAAAATGTGTTTGTTTTCAGATATATATATATAAATATAGTTGCATGTGTGTGTGTGTGTTCCATGCCATACATTAATTCTGGAAGAGACATAAATAACATACAACTCTGAATGTCTCTGGGGAGGTGGGGGACAGACTCAGAAGAATAATTTACTGTAAGACCTTTTTTTTTTATTTTTATGCTATACAAGTTTGCATAAATTAGTTTAAAATTAGTTTAAACTTTTAAAGTTAAGAATGAATTTTCTCCCCCATGTTTTCCTCATGGAAGGGTCTCCTGGTCATAAGAAAAAAAAAATAGTCATTTGGTTCTTGATTCCCCAGTCTTTCTGTCATCCATTTTCCTAAACACTTAACATGTGATGGCTTGTCTGGGACAGTCTCAGCTGGCCTTCCTTGTGCCTAGCTGATCTGTGCCCATTTTCCTTCAAGTGTCCTGGTGTGAATGAGAGATTGCACAACACTCTTGAGAGAATACAGGTTACTCTTTGTGCATTTTAAGGGGATATGGACTTGATTGGGTGAGTACAACTAGAAGTAGAAGAAGGTACAGGAGTCTCCTGACATCTTCATTTTGGTGAAGCTGAAAGAAGCTGGATTGGCTTCCTGGCCCACATCTGTCTTTTAACAAACCAGTTAGTGTAGTTTGAGGAGGCTCAGACTTCTGTAAAGGGACAGAAAGTGAACACTCCAGGCAGTAGAGGCTGCATGGTCAGTTCCCCCATGGCAGCAGCATCAAAACATGGATAGAAAAGGTGTAATCAATGGGCAGGGCTTTGTCGCAATAATACTTCTTTTTATTTATTTATTATTTTATAAACACAGGCAGAGAGAGACTTGGCTGAAAGGTTCCCAACTTTTGCGCACTTGTTACCCTTCTTAGCTGTATGAAATAGATAAATAAATTTGGAAAGGATAAATTTGGAGCATTCCTCCTAGGAACACTGGCTGTTTTGATCTGGCTTCCCTGCCTCATGCCTCCCAGCCCTGATTCTCTAGGGAGAGGCACCAGTGAGAAGATGCTCATCGTGGAGTTTCCACAGAAAAGACATTTGGTCCCAAAATGAGACTACCAAATTCCTAGGGTTAAATAAATTACTTCTTAGCAAATTACTGTTAGAAAGAATGCTCAAGCTCACCTATAGAAATGTCTGAATTCTTAATTCGACTTCTTCAGGTTTAATTTTTGTGGAGTCATTATAGCTGCTAAGGAAGGCACACCTGACCCAGTTTCCCCAAGTTCTGCAGTCGCTGAGTCAGCATCCAACACCAGGCTCCCTTGTTAGTGAGCAACCAAAGGAAGACAGGGGCTCTTTTTGCTCAACCTCTGTGTGGCTGTGTGTCCCTGTTTTATTTCCTTTAGGTATAAATTCTGTTAACTAGTTCTTGCTTTTTGTAATTCTGTATGTCTCTACACCATTAGTGACCTGTGGATCTATTTTGCCTTTAATCATCTACTTCTTCTTGGCTTATCTTTTGAAAGAAAAATCCATATGCCACCTCTGAATAGAGTTTGTTTTGTTTGAGGAATTCAGGTCATTCTTTTTAAGCCTTATTAAGCATGCTATTACAGGCTTAGCTAGCACAGGGTGTTACGGCCACTGTGAAGACCCAGAATCTTCAAGATCCCTGAAGGCCCGACACACAGATACAGCATAAACAAAGGCAGAATTCTAACTTCTCACAAATAAAAAGGAAAACACAATTTCATGGGTCTATTATTCTCCTCTGCTTATTCTGCTTTCAGGCAAACTGGCCTACCCTAAACTATCCTATGGGAATTTAAAAGGAAGAAGTCCATCACTTCAAATCCCTAGTTACCTGATGACATAATATAGCCCTCACGTAAAGTGTTCTTCTGAGAGCGCCCCTTTTTCTTCTACTACAGTGACACAGGAAAATGAATGGTAGCCATGTATGTTTAGCAATAAATACATAAATATGAATAAATTTTAATAGCTATATATCTCTCTATATATGGACATTGATTGCGGGATATAGGTGCTTATATACTATTTTATTTCATCTTTACAACACCGAGAAGTGACTAATATTAGCCCTAGTTATAGATGAGGAACTAAAGATGTAATTAACCAGAATAGAAATCTGTTTGCTTAATCATTATGTATCCCAATGTTCTCTGGGATGCACCCTACTTTTAATTGATTCTCCCTGTCTCTTTCTCTCTCTATACACACACACACCCACATATTTCTCAATATTGTCCTATGTTAAATTATCCAGTGGTTATTTCTGCATGAATGTCTCACAAGAGCCTCAAGCTCAACCAACCAAAATGAAGATGTCAGGAGACTCCTGTACCTTCTTCTACTTCTAGTTGTACTCACCCAATCAAGTCCATATCCCCTTAATATGCACAAAGAATAACCTGTATTCTCTCCAGAGTGTTATGCAATCTCTCATTCACACCAGGATACTTGAAGGAAAATGGGCACAGATCAGCTAGGCATGAGGAAAGCCAACTGAGACTGTCCCAGACAAGCCATCACATGTTAAACTGGTCTGTGCTCAGATTTCTAGACCTGTACTTCCTAACCCCAGCACTGCCCAACCCTGCCCCACAACCATTTAAACATAGCGTCTTCCAAAATTAGGTTCTTTCTGTTCCTCACTTTTCCTCTCCAGTAAACTTTTACTTTTCTTAAACGTTTCAGGGTTTTTTTTTTCTAAATTATCTACAGCAAAAAATCTTTTTCATGTCTTTTATATGTTCACATAGAAATTTGTTTTAGCCCTTACAATAGAATTTATCTAATTGTGTTGAATTCTCTTCTTTTAGCTGTCTTCCCACTAATCTTTAATTTCCTTGGTGTCTCAGTCACCATCATATCCCTGGTGTCTAGCAAAATACTTGGGTCAATATAGACTCTCAAAAAATTACTTTAGGAATGTTAAATGAATGTGATACTGACAGAGATCGGAGTGATACAATTGCCCAGATACTTAAATTCTCTTTCAACCTAATTAAGTTTCAATTCCTTTACTGGACTCAATACAATGCTATCCTAGCCAGCTTTTGTGCTGTGCTGTCAATGGTAATGCATTGTTCTCACTCTTTCCGCTTCCCTTCTCATTTAGCAGCATCACTCATGAAGTGGGGTTGCATTCTCACTGAAATAGAGCCACACTTAATATGCATAACTAAACCACTCATATAGATGTGACTATATTTTTTAAAAGTGTACCTTAACCAAAAACTTTAAATAATGAATGACCTTTTATATAATCTTCCTCCTCCAAGATATATTTCACACATTGTAAATTTTTAAAATGTTGTTTTACCCAAATACAGAGACAGTTTACCAAAGTGTGAAGTTCATGAAAAACAGCATAAAACTGAGAAACTGTCACAGATTGCAGGAGTGTAAGGAGAGGTGATGATTTAATGCAACAAAGGAATATTGAATTGAATGTTGAAGAAGGAAAGATATTAAGGCAAAAACTGGTAAAATCCAAATCAAATCTGTAGCTTAGGTTACAATACTGTACCCAGGTTAATTTTTTTTAACTGTTTAAGACTTTTATTTTGTTAGAGAAGTTTAGGTTCACTGGGAAATTGAGAAAAATATTGTACAGAGATTTGTGTAATACAGGGATGTCCCATACGTCCCCTGCTCCCCTGTAAACATAGCCTCTCCCATTGTCAACATTTCCCACCGGAGTGCTCCATCGATTACAATTGATGGGCCTGCACTGACACATCACCATCAGCCAAAGTCCACAGCTCGCATTAGTGTTCACTTTTGGTGTTGTGGATTCTATGGGTTTGGACAAAGCTATAATGACATGTATACACCATTATGGTATCATACAGAGTATTTTTACTGCCCTAAAAATCCTCTGTGCTCTACGTATTCATCCCTCCCTTTTCTCCATCCCTTGGCAACCATCAATGTTTTAACTGTCCACATAGTTTTGGCTTTTCCAGAACGTCAGTTGGAATCATACAGTATGTAGCCTTTTCAGATTGGCTTCTTTCATTTAAAAATATGCATTTAGGTTTCCTCCATGTCTTTTTATGGCTTGACAGATAATTTCTTTTTAATGCTGACAAATGTTCCATTGTCTGAATGTACCAAGTTTTATCCATTCACCTGCTATAGGAGAATTTGATTGCTTCAAAATTTTGACAATTACAAATAAACATATTTGTGCATTTTTGTGCAGACATAGATTTTCACACTTTTGGGGGATAGATTTGATATTTAGGAAAGGAATATGGAAAGGAATTTGGAAAGGAAAGGAATTACAAGGAATATGATTGTTGGATTGTGATAAAACTATGTTTCATTTTCTGTGAAACTGCCAAACTGCCTTCCTAAATAGCTGTACTCTATTGCATTCCCACCAGCAAAGATAAAAGTTCCTTTTGAACCACATCCTTGCCAGCATTTGGTACAGACAGTACTGGATTATAGTCATGCTTATTATACATGTGTAGTAATAGCTCATTGTTATTTTAATTTGCATTTTTCTGATGTCATATTATGTGGAGCATCATTTCATGTGCTTGTTTACTATCTGTGTATCTTCTTTGGTGAGCAATCTGTTAAGATTTTGGCACTTTCTTAATTTTTAATTTTTGTGGGAACATAATAGGTGTATATATTTATGGGGTACATGAGATATTTTGATACAGGCATGCAATGCATAATAATCACATCCAGGAAATGGAGTATCCATCACCTCAAGTATTTATCCTTTCTTTGCATTACAAACAACCCAATTATACTCTTCAGGTTATTTTAAAATATACAATAAATTATTGTTGACTGTAGTCACTCTGTTATGCTATCAAATACTATATCTTATTCATTCTATGTAACTATATTTTTGTACTCATTAACCAACCCTTTAACCCCCACTACCATTTGCAGCCTCTGGTAACTGTTACTCTAGTCTCTGTTTCCATGAGTTCAATTGTTTTAATTTTTAGTTCCCACAAATGAGTGAAAATATACTTGTATTTCTGTGCCTGGCTTATTTCACTTAATATAATGATGTCCAGTTCCACTCATGTTGTTGCAAACAACAGGATCTCATTCTTCCTATGGCTGAATAGTATTCCATTTTGTGTATGCACCACCTTTTCTTTATCCATTTGTCTATTGATGGATGAATTGGGTTGCTTCCAAATCTTTGCTATTGTGAATAGTGCTGAAAAAAGCACAGGAGTGCAGATATCTCTTCCATATACTGATTTCCTTTCTTTTGGATATATACTCAGCGGTGGGATTGCTGGATTATATGTTATTTCTATTTTTAGTTTTATAAAGAGCTCCAAACTGTTCTCCATAGAGGTTGCTCTAATTTACATTCTCATCAACAGTGTATGAGGGTTCCCTTTTCTCCACATCTTTGCCAGCAATTGTTATTGCCTATATTTTGGTTAAAACCCATTTTAACTGGGTGAGACGATATTTCACTGTAGTTTAGATTTGCATTTCTCTGATGAAGGCCCATTTTTAATCAAGTTGTTTGTCTTATTATTGAGTCCTAATTACTTTTTTGTATTTTGTTATATATAAATACAATATATGTTGGCTTTACAAAAATTAGTTTATATCTCTACATGTAAATTTTTCTTTTATTGTAACAATTTTCTATATATTTTTTAATTGTAATGCATTTTACATATTCTGCTTTGTCTATAAATGTGTAGCCACATTCTCATTTTTAATCACTATTTAATACTGTGTTTCATTATTTGACTCATGCATGCATTCAACAAATATTCAGGTGCCTGTTCTGGACTCTGGGGACATAATCATGAATAAAAATATCCCTTCTCTCAAGGGTTTATATTCTAGTGGGAGAGCAACACACAAGTAAATATCAATTATAAACTCAATCGTGGACAAATCCTATGAAGAAAAAGAGAGCAAGGTGAGGGGTTGTTGTACAGCAAGGCAGGGTAGAGAAGGGGCCAGGGTTTCAGACCAGGTGGGCAGGGAAGGTCATCTCTGAGCAGAGACTTGAGTTAAGTGGAAGTGAGCTATCTGGAGATAGGCAGAGTTCCAGGAAAGAAAACAGAAAATGGAAAAGTCCTTAAGAGAAATAAGCTTCTTTTTTTTAGATATTTCATTTATTTCACACACTTTTAAAGATTTTGTAAAGTTTCTCCTCTATCTTCCTCTAGCATTTCAAGAGTAAGATTCATTTTTATTTTATTTTATTTTATTTTATTTTATTTATTTTTTGAGATGGAGTCTTGCTCTGCTCTGTCACCCAGGCTGGAGTGTGGTGGCACCATCTCGGCTCACTGCAACCTCCACCTCCCGGGGTTCAAGCGATTCTCCCATCTCAGCCTCCCAAGTAGCTGGAATTACAGGCGTATACCACCACATCTGACTAATTTTGTATTTTTAATAGAGACGGAGTTTCACCATGTTGGCCTGGCTGGTCTCAGACTCCTGACCTCAAGTGATCCACCCCCCTCAGCCTCCCAAAGTGCTGGGATTACAGGGGTGAGCCACCACATCCGACCTCAATTTTTGCATTTAAATCTTTGATTCAAACCAATGCATTTGTCGTGAGATTAGGATTTTAAAAATACTCTTGTGGCTGTTTAATCCCCATTATTTTTCCGATGATAATTTCCTAAAATTAGAAAGAATACATTCAAAGCATTGACTTTTTAAGGATGTTTGACGCATACTGCTAAATTGCCTACTGGGAAGATTTTAATTGTTTGAAGTACTTGGAAGGATGAATTTCAGCGTGTCCTTAAATACATTGTGGATCAGCAGCCTTTCATCTTTGGTAGTCTAGTAGAAGAAAAAGAGCATCTCCAGTGTTTCTACTGCAGTCTTTTAAATTGTTTTTATTTACTTATCTTTTTATTTGTTATGTTTTATTTTTTTATTATCTTTTCATGTTTCTGCATACATTCTCCAGATAATCATTGTTATTTCTCTGATTGAATGCTGTGATATTCTGTACATGTTGATAAGAATTATACCTTCGTTATTTGGTAATTCCCTTCATTATACCAATGTACCTATGATCAATTTAACTATCTCATATTTTAAAACTGACATTTTCTGAAAATATTGCTACTCAGCTTTGTTTATATTTTCACTTGTATATAATATTTTCTTCATTGTAGTTTTCTGTGGTGCCTAAAGGGTGTCTTGATGTCATTTATAATTATTACCACTTTAGGGAATGGCTGGTTAATTTCTTAACTTTTGATAAATATCCCATGGTGCTGGAAAAGGCTGGCATTAGGGGAAACTGAGTAAAAGATATGTGGAAACTCTTCTATAAACCTACAATTATTTTAAAATATAAAGTTAGTATTATCATTTTTGTTTCAAAGCTGCGGACTGCCATAACTAGACTAAGAAAAACAGAGTAGAAAACTACACAAGAGACCTTGGGCAAAAGACAAGGAGCCTGTGCTGTGAGCACCGAGTCTGCTTGTGAACAGGTCAGAGCCATGAGCGGGCAATGACCGGGAAGGAAGACAGCAACACCCAGGCCCAGCAGGAGAATATTTGGAACAATCTGGACTCAAAACCTCAAGAACAAACGATCAGACCTGAGATAGAAATGAGAATTTAAAAGCAGGCATTTTGAAAGCAATGTCCTTGGATAGGGTTTATTTCTGTTAGTGTCCCTTTGGTGAAGAGTTAAGCTCTAATTCTGGGGGACAAATGCACCTCATCTTAAAGGATCTTCCTTTTCCTTCAGAGCATGCACTCCTTGTCCCTTTTTTATATAGTTTATAATTTGACCATCTGTTTGTCTGCATGTCTCTGTCTCAAGAACACTTAACACTAATCCTTTGTGAATTTTGAGTAGACTAACCACAAAGACAAATACACTGTTGAGCTCTCTGGGCTGGTGAGGCTGGGCTGGACCCTCTCCTTGTTTACTCACGCTCATCAATAGATGCTAGTGCAGGGCTGCTGCTGCTGGCGTGGATTGGGAAAGACAGAAATAAGAGAAAGCAAGACCATGTTCTATCAAAAGACCATTGACTTAAATGTAATTCTACCTTCAAAAACAGTGCACTTCCAACAGCTTACTATATTACTTCAAATAATTCTTTTTTGAAAGTTTAATGTAAAATATTTAAATTATTATAGCATAAAATTTCAAGCTTATGATGTGACCTATTGTTATAATTATTATTTTCCCAAATCACAAAATGTGGGGGATTATAATTACTTAAAGAATTTTTATTGCTTTTGCTGTTCAATAGAATAATTTCACATCTTGGAGAAATGTCATACATTTAGCTAAGGATATCACATTTTAAGAGCATGTAAGAGAAATCATTTTTGATAAAAAACATTCTTACATTTTTCTAAAATATAATAATGCACTTTTTAGGACTTCTGTTTTTCTAGAGAGTGCTAAAATTGGATGTAAGAATTCTGCAAAGAAAAAAGAACTACAACTTCAAGTACACTTTTAAAATACAGATACAAAAATATGCCTATTTTTCATAAGTAAGATTGAGATTTGCTCTGTGGTCACTGGTGGAGTGACTGAATATACTGATAAAATTATACTAAATCTATCACTTGCATTTGAAAAAAACTCATAACCAATAAAATTTGAGTTAATAGCATAATCAAACATTAAGATGATACTTTTTGCTCTTTTTGCTGATTTTCATTGCAATTATATCTAAAACATTAAATATTTGAGAAATATTTGGTCCTAGCAAACACATGAAACCCCAAATAATCTTGAAAATACAAATTTTAATTCTTATGTTACATTTTCTGTAAGAAATACTATTAGTTATTCTTTATCAATAGCTATGAATTAATCCCTGGAACTGTATTCTAGCTACTTTAATTTTTTTTAAGTTTCGGGTTTTTTTTTTTCCTGTTGATCAAGTTCACTCTCTTTATATTCTTCCTTTACTAGCTTATTTAATTCTGTGGATTTAACTATCATTCATTACATGAGAATTCTGAAATTTCTTCTTAAGCTAGTGTGCTGGCTTTCAATCTATGTTAATATTCATAATATATTATGTGTATGTGTAAGTATGTTTGTGAATACATATTGCTATATAAACTTATTCACATATATGAGGAGACTTCAAAAAGTTCATGGGAAAATGGAACTAAAAGATAAAAAATTTAAAAAATAGTGACTTTATTTTTTTAACATAAGCTTCATCAAGCTTAAGATACTTTTGTAATTAATGATAGCAGCCATTTAGTTCATCCTTAAAGAACGGAGACTTTTGGGAATTTATGTCAATGCTATCATTTTACATTATTAAATGAAGAAAAATGAGTGTCCTTTAAAGACTTTTTAAAATTAGGAAACGCAATGAAGTCAGAAGTAGCCAAATCAGGACCATAAGCTAAATTTTCCATGGAAACTTGCAAAACTGCCCATTTGTGATAAGAGGAATGAGCAGGAGTGTTTTCCTGATGGTGAAGGACTCTCTGGTGAAGCTTTTCTGGGTGTTTTTCTGTTAAAAGTTTTGGCTCGCTTTCTGAAAACACTCTCATAATAAGCAACAGTTACTGTTCTTTGGTCCTCTGGAACGTCAAAAAGGAAAATGCCTTGAGCATTCCCAAAATCCGTTGCCCTGAGCTTGCTCTTGACAAGTCCACTTTTGCTTTGACTAAGACCACTTCCACCTCTTGGCAGCCATTACATTGGTTTGTGCTTTGCCTTCAAGACTATACTGGTAAAGCCACGTTTTATCTCCTGTAACAATTCTTTGAAGAAATACTGTAGGATCAAGATCCTACTTGTTTAAAATTGCCATTGAAAGCTCTGCTCTTGTCTGCAGCTAATCTGGGCTCAGTGGTTTTTGGCACTATTGAGTGGAAAGTTTGATCAATTTTAATTTTTCAGTCAGAACCATGTAAGCTAAACCAATTGAGATGTCCATAGTGTTGGCTATTGTTTCTGCTGTTAATCACTGGTCCTCTTCAATTAGGGTATGAACAAAGCAAATTTTTTCCTTGCAAACTGATGTGGATGAACTGCCACTTTGGGCTTCATTTTCAGCATCATCTCCTCCCTTCTTAAAATAAGTTCTCCATTTGTAAACTGCCATTTTTCAGGCCATTGTTCACATAAACTTCTCATAAAGCGTTAGTGATTTCACCTTTCTTCTACTCAAGGTTCATCATACATTGGATGTTTATACTTACTTCAATTAATAGCAGAACTCATGTTACTCTGATAGGGGCTCTTTTAAAACTGATGTTTTATTCTTCTCAGTGCTTCAAACTAGATCTTGTACAGACATGTTCTAATAAGTTAGTATGCATTCATTTTGGTTCAAAACAAAACTGAAATGCATGCATAGTTTTCCACAATTATTCATTTTTCATGAATTTTTTGAAGATCCCTATATATACATAGTAGGAACATGTTCTATTTATACATGTCTAAGTGTACCTCTACTTCAAAAGTATTATATATATACACACATATATGCATCAAGATCACAATCTATTTACACATACAAGAATAAAAGTATCTAATTAGACACTCATTTCTCCTTTGCAACAGGCTCTCTTTAGTATCTAACAACCCTTATGCTGCTATCAGTTTAATTACACTTTTAACAGAAATTCAGTTAAATGTTCCATCAAACCTGTCCATGACAAAACTTTTAATTAATTATTTTGTGGAAGAATAAAACGTAAATGCAGAAAGAGCTGTTGCTTCTCTAAATTAGTTTAACAATTTGGGAAGACCTAAGTGGAGTTGCCAAAAACAATTCTGAATTACATGTGAGCAAATTACCTATAAAACACTGGGGGAAAAAATCTATAAGTAATCCGCATTCGTATTGTTTTGTAAATACTTAAATTCCGGTCTCACTTTAAAATAAATCAAACTATGATTTAAAAGGTGTCATATTGTGGGTATGGGTTATGCAGAACTTTGATTAGCAGACTCTTTCACGTCACAAAACTTGGATTTCTTATTTAAAATTTGATAACTATAACTTTATATTAAAAGTTAAAACAATATGTTGCTTTGTGATACCTCTTTTTAAGCAAAATGTTCAGTTTATCCAAAACATTGAGAGTAACAGGTAAAAAATTGTGTTTGTGTTTATCATATATAATTTATATGTGTGTATATATAACATAAATTTGCACACACATTTCAAGCTCCATTGTTTTCCGTAGTACTTTATGAAATTTTTTGTAATTTCCTTTAATATAATTTTATGTTACATGTATTATTCATGTGGTTGTATGCAATATTTTATTAAATATTAAAGTAAAATAGAAGTGGAACTCTTCTTATTTTAAAGGAAGTCCCCTGCCCTCTGAAATCACAGCCAACTAAGAGTGGCATTTAGGAGAAAAAGGAGAAAGAAACAGATGTCATGGTCATGGTAGGTTTTGGAAAAATGCTCCATCATTTCCTTTGGTTCCTTTGTCCCTTTCCTTTATCTGTACTGTCAAAGATTAACACTAGGCTAGTGGCTTTGCCAGTAATCCCAGCACTTCAGGAGGCCAAGGCAATGTAACAAGACTCCATCTCTACAAAAAATTTACAAAAATTTAGCAAGGCATAGTGGCTCGGGCCTGAAGCAAGAGGATTGCTTGAACCCAGGAGTTCAAGGCTGCCATGAGCCATGAGGTCACCACTTTACTCCAGCCTGGGCAACAGTCAGAGTTAGACCCTGTCTCTAAAAAACAAAACTAAACAAAACAAAAAAGACAAAATCAGCATGTGGTTTTGAAGGGAAAATAAAACAAGTGACTTAGAAATTAATAGTAGGGACAAAAGGAGTCCTTGTGGCTCCCATATGAGAAATAAAATCAAGCTTTTTAAATCATAAACTTCTTATCAGCTGTAACCATTTCTGTACGATGTTAGATATTTTTGTGCCAACGTCTAAGTCATAAAAATGCCTCCTTCTTTTTTCTATTTTTGTTCTTGTCTTTCTTGTTTTGTTAATGTATTTCAAAGCTATGCTATTTGGCCCAGTTCATGGCTCATCTCTTTATTGCATATTGAATCCTTTATTAAAATTAAATGACACTGCCAAAATAGAAGAATAATTAAAAAGTTACATGGAAAGATAATTTGCAGACTCTCATTCTGATCAATTTATCAAATTTACATGATATTATCTGTTTCTCCTACAAAGGAAGGATATTAGCAGACCTTGTTTTTGGCAATGATGAGTGGAAATTCCACATATATGTATTTCTCTGAATATATAGAACACTTTTGAGTATTTTATATGTTTATTAATAATTTGAACTATTTATTACATGAACTGCATAGTTATGTTTTTAGTGATTCTATGTATTCTCTATTTTTTTATCATTGATATTTAGTGATGTCTTACCATTGTGGAATAATAACCCTGGTCTGCTATGTGGGTTATAAAAGTAGCCTCCTCTCCTGTCACTTGTCTTTCAAGTTTTTATTCCTTGTAGATATTTTCCAGTGTATTATAACTGGCTCACACCTAATTCAGAAGAATTGTTTTGTTTAACTCTACTTAAGTGTTTCCAAATTATTAAGCTTACATGGAAATAAATAACTCTCTTTCTGCACTTACATTTCATTCTTCTATGAAATAGATTACCTATGTAACTAAAAAGTTTTTCATGGACTGGTTTGGTAACACATTTAAGTGAATTTATGGTAAAAGTGCAGTTAAATTGATAGAAGTATAAAGGCATTGGGCTACTAAAGAGATCCTGGGGCACAAGATATTTGAGTGTACTAATTATATACACATATTCCTAATTGGGAGTCCAACAGTTGCAATTCAATTTCTTCAGCAATTAATTATTTTCACAGAGATTTTGAATGTCACCATTTTCGTATATTAAGTTCTTGCATATCTGTTTCAGAATATCTGCTCTCTCCAAGGGATTTGTCTATTCACATCCCATTGCCAGGCCCTTGTGCTACAAGGAAGGAGGCTTCCTTTGCTACTGTTCACAGGGGAATCACTGTTCCTTAGCTATTGCAATGCTGGTGCACAGTAAAGAGTCCTTGCCCTCTTGCTAAAATGTACCCCTACATTCCAGATAAATACTCTGTTCCATAAGGTAATTGATCAACCACATTACTCTGAGATAGTGCTTTGAATTACCAGGTGAGCAATCTCTTTCCAGACTAATGAGTCCTTCCCAGTCCATTCCATTTCTGACCCAACCTCGCATCCTGTCTTCTCAAACCTCACACGGTCCCCTCTGAAACTCATGAGGAATCATCAGAAAATCCCACAAACCTTAACTTCTACAAATGTTCTCTTCACCTGCCCATCCTTAATTCATCTTGCCTGTGCACTGCCCCTCAGCTGAAAGCAAAGCCACACTTTTTCTTGAATTCCAAGACCTTCATGGCTTGGACAAGAGTGTAGATACCATTCTTATTCACATTTGCCCCCTATCCTTTCTTAAAAGAAAATCTAAAGACAAAGTAAAATTCCTCCAGCAGTCTTATTGCCCGCTTTACTTCACAACCTAATATCTCCTAGTGGCTTCTACAGTCCCTGACTCCAAGCCTGATGATATAGTTTGGATGTGTGTCCCCTCCAAATCTCATGTTGAAATGTAACCACTGATGTTGGAGATGGACCTGGTGGGAGGTGTTGGATCCCAAGGCAGATCCCTAATGAATGGCTTGGGGCCATTCCCTTGGTGATACATGCCAGCTGATCTTTTATAAAGACTCTAGGACTTCCCTGCTCTCTCCTTGCTTGATACCTGTCTCCATGTGAGGCTCACCCTTGGCCATCCGCCATGGCTGGAAGCTTCCGGAGACCTCACCAGAAGCCAGTGTTGGCACCACACTTCCTGTATAGCTTGCAGAACAAAAATTAAACTCTTTTCTTTCTAAATTACCCAGTCTCAGGTATTCCTTCGTGGCAATGCAAACGGACTAACACACCCTCCCTTCCTTCCATCTCCCATGCAGTTCAGGCTTCCCACTTCCAACACTCTAAAACAATTTCTCTTCTGAAATCAGGGAAAGAACATCTCTTCTCAAAGGCAGCCACCGTGGTGGATAAATTCCATGCTCTGGAATCCTCAGTGTCCCTGCTGCTCCTGGATTTCCTTCTCCCTCATGGTTCTTGGTTTTGAGGGTTCTTCTTTCTCCATTCTCCGATCTTTCATGTTGTAAATGTTGGAGTACCCTAGGCTTCACCCTTGCCCTTCTCCATATTTTCTGCATAAGTGATCTCAAGTAGCCTGTGGTTTTAAGGACCATTTCTATGTCATAAGGAATTTATATGTTCATGATTCCCAGATTTATTTTGCCAGGTTCAAACCCTCCAATGAGTTTCAGGATTATTTTTTTCTATAGCACAGTTAACAGGACCAGCAGCATAGCAAGTGTTTTTGTTGTTGTAGAGAACACGCCCTGAACAAAACTCCTGATTTCTTCAAATATTTTCTCCTATTGGTAGTGTCCATCCCGATAAATGACACTATCATCATCCAGTTTCTTAAGCCCATAAGCTAAAACTGTTGGACCCTTCCCCTTTCCCAGTGCTAACATCTAGGGCACTAGCAGGTCCCACACTATCTTTTAGTTCAACCTCAAACTTGTCTGTATCCTTCCAGATGTAGCATTTGCCTCTCAGACCAAACCATCCCCATGGATTGCTTGAAATACTGTATTGATCTCCTATGGTTTCCATTTCCATTGCTGTAGCCAGAATCGTGTTTTTAAAAATATCAACCAGATCATAGACTGTCCTCTGCTTAACACTCATGGTTTTAGAATAAACCCTGTACTCTGGTCCCAATGCCTTATAGTACTTCATCACAGTCTATTTCTCTAACCTCATATCTTCTCTCTCACTAGTCTCCAACTCTACTGGACTTATATTTGGACTTCAAATAAATAGGAATTATTCCCCATACAGAATCTTTGCCCTTGCCCCTGCCTGGAACACACTTTGCCCTTTCTTTTGGCATAAAAAGCTTTTTTGATTGTTATTATTATAAATAGATTTTCTGCAGACAAATGTTTTTAATAAGATCAAATATTTAACTATACAACTGGACAATTTAACTATACAAACTGGGAGACATGGAGAAAAAGCAAGCCTTCCCGAAATGCCTCTTTTCAGAGGAAGGGCAGGAAGAAGGGCAGGGAGGAGAGGGCCAGCAGGGCGAAGGCAAGGGTTCTGAAATCAACAGCTGCTGGGGTGGCAGGGAGCACAGAGGGAAGATCTGGGGGCGGGCAGACGAGGGGTGTGGGGGCTGCATGTTTGATAACGTGGTGTCAGGGCCCCACGTTGAGGTAGAGCAAGGATGAGCAAGTGAAAGTAGATACGTGGGCTTGTGTCTCCGGAGGTGGGTAGCAGAGCCCAGATTCTTAGGAGCCAAAGGGGCCAGCAGACTGGGTGACCTCGAGGGCGAAGGAGACCCTACTGCAGCTGCCGCAGGAAGGCGTTGTCGCCTCCCAGAAGTCCCAGATGGCGGATGGGGCGGGCTGGACCAGCACGGAAGGCCAAGCATCATCACAAAAACTGAGGCTCCAGGGGCCGAGGCTCGGCTTCAGAGGCCCTGGCCTGGGCACGAAGGAAGCAACCGCTCCATTTTTGCTCAGGGGCTTGAAGGCAGAGGGCCGGGGCTGCAGGTTCCGCCTGCCACCCTTGCTGTCTGAGACCTCGAACCACAACGGCCCGTCGAACCTAGCGCTTCCCTTGGGGCACTGGCTGAGCGCCCCCAGCAGAGTCTCCCGGGTGCAGGGGTCCAGGAGCTCCTGGGCGGCGGGGCGGCCTGCGGGGCGGGCTCTCTGTCCAGGGGATCTCCAGGGGCTCTCCTGACGCTCAGGGGGCGCGATCCCGATGGTCACCGGGCTCCAGGTCCGTCCTGGGTTCCAGGCACGACACAGCCCCCCTTTCATGCAACCCTCCCAGGCACAGGAGAGGTCTCGCCCCAGAGCGGTCTCCCCGGGAAGGGCAGGGCGCCTCCAGCCCTCGGAGACCACCCGCTGCGGCTTGGCGGGGTCCTGGGTGGGCCGCACCTCGATGAGGTGGGTGCTGGGCACCGGGCGCCCCCACTGGAAGTACTGAATATGGCTCTGAGTCAGGGACCTCAGGGGCCAGGGACTCTGGCGACCCTGGGGAGATGGCGTGGTCTGGGGCGTGCTGGGTGACCTGCTCATGGGAGCCGCCAGGGCGTCGGGGCCTTGCAGCAGGGGTTCTCCCGCCTTCCAGAAGTTCCCGAGGTCTGCGGACTCGGCCGGAGCTGCAGCGCCCATGGCTGGGGGACCGTTGGCCTCTGGGCGCTTGGAAGGCACGAAGGACATGGGCGCGGGACACTCCACAATGGCGCCACGCGCAGGCCACGTGCCCAGAAACCCAGACTGCAGGAGGACACTGGAGGCACAAGCCTCCTTCCAGGTGCTGCCGGCAAGTTTGCCTCTGGAGAGAGGGGCCTAGGAGCTACCATGGTCTCCTGTCCTCTCCTCCTCCCTCCCTCTCCCCTTTCTCTCTGCTCCCCCTCCCGCTCCCTCTCCTCTTAGCTCCTCTACCCCTCACTCTCCCTCCCCTCGTCTGCTCCCCTTCCTCCCCCTCTTGTGATGTCGTTCATATACCAAATAATTCAGCAACTTGAAGTGTAGAATTCAATGGGTTTTATGGTACAACCACACATGTGCACCCACCACCACATTAAATTAGAAAAAAATTTTCATCACCTCAGGAAGAAGCTTTGTACCCTGTAGCTGTCACCTTCCTATCCACCTATCCACCCGTCCCCGCAAGCCGCAACAACCAGGAATCCACTTTCTGTCTCTGTAGACTTCCCTCCTGTGGGCTCTCCTATGGCATCACTTAGCATGATGATTTCTAGGTTCATCCTTGTGGGGACCTGTTCATCCTTCTTTTTCATGTCCAAAAAACGATTCCATTGCATGGATATAACACATCGGTTTGGCCTTTCATCAGCTGATGGATATTTGGATTGTTTGCATGTTTGGGCTATCATGAAGAATATTGTCATAGACATTAGTGAACAAGATTTTGTGCAGACAAATATTTTCATGTCTATGTAGTATGCAGCTGGGAGTAGAATTTCTGGGTCTGTGGTTAGTCCATGTTTAAGAGGAACCACCAAAATGTTCTCCTCAGCCTGTACCATGTTGTGTCCTCACCAGCATGTTGCTCTATTTTATACTTGACATTTAGAAAGAGAATGTATAATAATACCTGCAGAAAACTGCAGATAGACTACTGACAGAAGGGCCTTCCCTTTCATTACCATAAAAATGAACATAACTCACTGAAATGCTTTTAAGAAAAACAGCTAGTTCTGTTCTAGTAAACAAGATACATGTTTTATTCTTCTAGAATGGTTATTAATGTTACATCTTGCAATTTACCTTTTAAGGAAATGGTGTTTGTACACCACAACTTATGTTTGAGAACTGACAATGATGATTTTATGTAGACTCCTGTAATTTTAAGCTTTCATACATTCATATATAGATTTTCTTCCCTTCAGACATTAATGCAGTTTTTCTTTTTTCCATTTTTTGCTTGTAATATGTGTATATGGAGTAGAATGATTCACTTTTGTAGCCACCAGGTGAAAAGATCTGCCTACAAAAACATTATTTGAAGGCTATTGGGCAATTGATTACAGCCATCACATTTGGAGGTCTGTTCAGGGTGTTGTAAGACAGACTGCTCTGGAGAGCCTCTCAACAGCATTGCAGAAGGCAACACTTGAGTGGGTCCAATCACAGGGGCAAAAAATAGAGACTGACAAAATACCAAAGCCAATAATCCACAACAGGTTTTCTTTTGGGATTTGAGAGACAAACAAGTGAATGGTGAGGACACTGAAAAAAGCTTAATAAGAAATCTTCACGAAAGTTCTGTACTTCAGAAAGGGGCTGATTATCAGCTGAAAAAAGGCACTTTCAGCCAAGGGGAGCAGCAGGATGAAAGCCCCAGGACTTTCCACTCAGTCAGTCATTCATTTTCATTTCCCCAGATTCCTTAAGAATCCTCCAGTATAAGATTTTAAAAACAAATTTCCTATGCCATAACTGTCTTCTTAAAAAGTCATTTCTTGATAAAGATGACAATAATTTTTATAGCTAAAAAGCCTCTTTAGATGGTATTATCATTGGAGTGGACAGTTAATGCAGTGGGGGTCTAGATTTTTTTTAATGTATGTTTTCTTAGTTTCTACACAGTTCTCCATGTCCTATTTGAAGTACAACCCAATGGGTGCCATTTTGGTTTGTTTTTGGTTAAAGATCCTTCAAAAAACCACAGTCTTCCTACTGGTGAAGTGCAGGCAGCCATAAGTTAGTAGTCAAGTCTAATTATACCTTCAAAGGCAAAGGTGAGTAAAAAGTTATTTTCACAAACATTGAACATGTCTGTTTCTTTTCCTTCTCACACACTAAGAGACAACTGATTTCTTTTGGTTAGATAATATTAGAGATTAAGGTAGAACAGTAGTTTTCAATTAGATGACTTTGCTGTACCTGTACCCTCTCACCCCCACCACCCATCTGAGGACATTAGAGAAGGTCTGCAACTGAGGTTGCCAGTGGCCCTGAAACAGCCTGCAGTGATCAAAACACACTCCCACAACACAGAGTGACCTGCCCAAAAATGTGAGCACAGCAGAGATTGAGAAACCCTGCTTCATACCCTTCTCCTAAAGTTATTAAATTACATAATACCTATGTTGTGTTTATCAAAACTAATAAGTTAACATTGGTTCCATCTATTAAGTAAACTCCGGACTGTATTTGAATTTCACTGGTTTTTCTTTTAACTCGCTTTTCTTTTCTAAGAACTAATCCTCTTCAGTCTCTTCTAATCTGTGAGACTTGCTCTGTCTTTTCTTATGTCCCATGATCTTGATACTTTTGAACAATACTGGACAAAATATTTTCTAGAAACGCTCAATTTTTAAAAACTTATTTTTAGCACTTATTTAATTATTGTTTACCTGTCAACCAAATTATCCATTCAGATAGCTTAAAGTGCTAAATCACTCTAGAATTCTTATTGAAAAGATATGCCATTTATACTATTTTACTACCCAGAGAAATCTGGTTTCATGGTTTTCTATTTTTAAGCTGATTTTCTTTCCCTGAGCACTGCTGCCTATATGTTAGCTCTTTCTGTCCTCTGTTGCTCTGTTTTGCCTGAGCTCTGAGATCTTTATATTTTCTCATGTTTGTAGAGCTGATAGCTTCATTATTTTCAATAACTTGGTGCTAAAGTTTGATCATAGTTTTCTTTCCTTCTGATCTATTTTTTACTCAGGACTATTTGTCGGTAAACTCTTTAAAAACAACTTTATTGAGAAAATTCTTATACTATATAATTTACCCACTTAAAGTGCACAATCAATCACTTTTCGTATATTCACAGATATGGGCAGCCATCAGCCCAGTAAATTGTAATATTTCATCATTTCAAAAAGAAACCCTGGACCCTATAGTTATCACCCCCTACCTCTCCACCCCATTCTCAGCCCCAGGAACCACTAATCTACTCCCTGTCTCTAGATTTCCATACTGTATACTTTCATATAAATGGAATCATATAATATGCATTATTTTGAAAGATGGCCGAACAGGAACAGCTCCGGTCTACAGCTCCCAGCGTGAGCGACGCAGAAGACAGGTGATTTCTGCATTTCCATCTGAGGTACCGGGTTCATCTCACTAGGGAGTGCCAGACAGTGGGTGCAGGTCAGTGAGTGCGCGCACTGTGCGCGAGCCGAAGCAGGGCGAGGCATTGCCTCACTTGGGAAGCGCAAGGGGTCAGGGAGTTCCCTTTCCGAGTCAAAGAAAGGGGTGACGGACGCACCTGGAAAATCGGGTCACTCCCTCCCGAATATTGCGCTTTTCCGACCAGCTTAAAAAACGGCCCACCACGAGATTATATCCTGCACCTGGCTCGGAGGGTCCTACGCCCACCCACAGAGTCTCGCAGATTGCTAGCACAGCAGTCTGAGATCAAACTGCAAGGCGGCAGCGAGGCTGGGGGAGGGGCGCCGCCATTGCCCGGGCTTGCTTAGGTAAACAAAGCAGCTGGGAAGCTCGAACTGGGTGGAGCCCACCACAGCTCAAGGAGGCCTGCCTGCCTCTGTAGGCTCCACCTCTGGGGGCAGGGCACAGACAAACAAAAAGACAGCAGTAACCTCTGCAGACTTAAATGTCCCTGTCTGACAGCTTTGAAGAGAGCAGTGGTTCTCCCAGCACGCAGCTGGAGACCTGAGAACGGGCAGACTGCCTCCTCAAGTGGGTCCCTGACCCCTGACCCCCGAGCAGCCTAACTGGGAGGCACCCCCCAGCAGGGGCACACTGACACCTCACACTGCAGGGTATTCCAACAGACCTGCAGCTGAGGGTCCTGTCTGTTAGAAGGAAAACTAACAAACAGAAAGGACATCCACACCAAAAACCCATCTGTACATCACCATCATCAAAGACCAAAAGTAGATAAAACCACAAAGATGGGGAAAAAACAGAACAGAAAACTGGAAACTCTAAAACGCAGAGCGCCTCTCCTCCTCCAAAGGAACGCAGTTCCTCCCCAGCAACGGAACAAAGCTGGATGGAGAATGACTTTGACGAGCTGAGAGAAGAAGGCTTCAGACGATCAAATTACTCTGAGCTACGGGAGGACATTCAAACCAAAGGCAAAGAAGTTGAAAACTTTGAAAAAAATTTAGAAGAATGTATAACTAGAATAGCCAATACAGAGAAGTGCTTAAAGGAGCTGATGGAGCTGAAAACCAAGGCTGGAGAACTACGTGAAGAATGCAGAAGCCTCAGGAGCCGATGCGATCAACTGGAAGAAAGGGTATCAGCAATGGAAGATGAAATGAATGAAATGAAGCGAGAAGGGAAGTTTAGAGAAAAAAGAATAAAACGAAATGAGCAAAGCCTCCCAGAAGTATGGGACTATGTGAAAAGACCAAATCTACGTCTCATTGGTGTACCTGAAAGTGATGTGGAGAATGGAACCAAGTTGGAAAACACTCTGCAGGATATTATCCAGGAGAACTTCCCCAATCTAGCAAGGCAGGCCAACGTTCAGATTCAGGAAATACAGAGAACGCCACAAAGATACTCCTCGAGAAGAGCAACTCCAAGACACATAATTGTCAGATTCACCAAAGTTGAAATGAAGGAAAAAATGTTCAGGGCAGCCAGAGAGAAAGGTCGGGTTACCCTCAAAGGGAAGCCCATCAGACTAACAGCGGATCTCTCGGCAGAAACCCTACAAGCCAGAAGAGAGTGGGGGCCAATATTCAACATTCTTAAAGAAAAGAATTTTCAACCCAGAATTTCATATCCAGCCAAACTAAGCTTCATAAGTGAAGGAGAAATAAAATACTTTACAGACAAGCAAATGCTGAGAGATTTTGTCACCACCAGGCCTGCCCTAAAAGAGCTTCTGAAGGAAGCGCTAAACATGGAAAGCAACAACCGGTACCAGCCGCTGCAAAATCATGCCCAAACGTAAAGACCATCGAGAATAGGAAGAAACTGCATCAACTAACGAGCAAAATCACCAGCTAACATCATAATGACAGGATCAAATTCACACATAACAATATTAACTTTAAATGTAAATGGACTTAATGCTCCAATTAAAAGGCACAGACTGGCAAATTGGATAAAGAGTCAAGACCCATCAGTGTGCTGTCTTCAGGAAACCCATCTCACGTGCAGAGACACATATAGGCTCAAAATAAAAGGATGGAGGAAGATCTACCAAGCAAATGGAAAACAAAAAAAGGCAGGGGTTGCAATCCTAGTCTCTGATAAAACAGACTTTAAACCAACAAAGATGAAAAGAGACAAAGAAGGCCATTAAATAATGGCAAAGGGATCAATTCAACAAGAAGAGCTAACTATCCTAAATATATATGCACCCAATACAGGAGCACCCAGATTCATAAAGCAAGTCCTGAGTGACCTACAAAGAGACTTAGACTCCCACAGATTAATAATGGGAGACTTTAACACCCCACTGTCAACATTAGACAGATCAACGAGACAGAAAGTCAACAAGGATACCCAGGAATTGAACTCAGCTCTGCACCAAGCGGACCTAATTGACATCTACAGAACTCTCCACCCGAAATCAACAGAATATACATTTTTTTCAGCACCACACCACACCTATTCCAAAATTGACCACATACTTGGAAGTAAAGCTCTCCTCAGCAAATGTAAAAGAACAGACACTATAACAAACTATCTCTCAGAACACAGTGCAATCAAACTAGAACTCAGGATTAAGAATCTCACTCAAAACCGCTCAACTACATGGAAACTGAACAACCTGCTCCTGAATGACTACTGGGTACATAACGAAATGAAGGCAGAAATAAAGATGTTCTTTGAAACCAATGAGAACAAAGACACAACATACCAGAATCTCTGGGACGCATTCAAAGCAGTGTGTAGAGGGAAATTTATAGCACTAAATGCCCACAAGAGAAAGCAGGAAAGATCCAAAATTGACACCCTAACATCACAATTAAAAGAACTAGAAAAGCAAGAGCAAACACATTCAAAAGCTAGCAGAAGGCAAGAAATAACTAAAATCAGAGCAGAACTGAAGGAAATAGAGACACAAAAAACCCTTCAAAAAATTAATGAATCCAGGAGCTGGTTTTTTGAAAGGATCAACAAAATAGATAGACCGCTAGCAAGACTAATAAAGAAAAAAAGAGAGAAGAATCAAATAGACACAATAAAAAATCATAAAGGGGATATCACCACCGATCCCACAGAAATACAAACTACCATCAGAGAATACTACAAACACCTCTACGCAAATAAACTAGAAAATCTAGAAGAAATGGATAAATTCCTGGACACACACCCTCCCAAGACTAAACCAGGAAGAAGTTGAATCTCTGAATAGACCAATAACAGGAGCTGAAATTGTGGCGATAATCAATAGTTTACCAACCAAAAAGAGTCCAGGACCAGATGGATTCACAGCCGAATTCTATCAGAGGTAAAAGGAGGAACTGGTACCATTCCTTCTGAAATTATTCCAATCAATAGAAAAAGAGGGAATCCTCCCTAACTCATTTTATGAGGCCAGCATCATTCTGATACCAAAGTCGGGCAGAGACACAACCAAAAAAGAGAATTTTAGACCAATATCCTTGATGAATATTGATGCAAAAATCCTCAATAAAATACTGGCAAAACGAATCCAGCAGCACATCAAAAAGCTTATCCACCATGATCAAGTGGGCTTCATCCCTGGGATGCAAGGCTGGTTCAATATACGCAAATCAATAAATGTAATCCAGCATATAAACAGAGCCAAAGACAAAAACCACATGATTATCTCAATAGATGCAGAAAAAGCCTTTGACAAAATTCAACAATCCTTCATGCTAAAAACTCTCAATAAATTAGGTATTGATGGGACGTATTTCAAAATAATAAGAGCTATCTATGACAAACCCACAGCCGATATCATACTGAATGGGCAAAAACTGGAAGCATTCCCTTTGAAAACTGGCACAAGACAGGGATGCCCTCTCTCACCACTCCTATTCAACATAGTGTTGGAAGTTCTGGCCAGGGCAATTAGGCAGGAGAAGGAAATAAAGGGTATTCAAGTAGGAAAAGAGGAAGTCAAATTGTCCCTGTTTGCAGACGACATGATTGTATATTTAGAAAACCCCAGTGTCTCAGCCCAAAATCTCCTTAAGCTGATAAGCAACTTCAGCAAAGTCTCAGGATACAAAATCAATGTACAAAAATCACAAGCATTCTTATACACCAACAACAGACAAACAGAGAGCCAAATCATGAGTGAACTCCCATTCACAATTGCTTCAAAGAGAATAAAATACCTAGGAATCCAACTTACAAAGGATGTGAAGGACCTCTTCAAGGAGAACTACAAACCACTGCTCAAGGAAATAAAAGAGGATACAAACAAATGGAAGAACATTCCATGCTCATGGGTAGGAAGAATCAATATCGTGAAAATGGCCATACTGCCTAAGGTAATTTACAGATTCAATGCCATCCCCATCAAGCTACCAATGACTTTCTTCACAGAATTGGAAAAAACTACTTTAAAGTTCATATGGAACCAAAAAAGAGCCCGCATTGCCAAGTCAGTCCTAAGCCAAAAGAACAAAGCTAGAGGCATCACACTACCTGACTTCAAACTATACTACAAGGCTACAGTAACCAAAACAGCATGGTCCTGGTACCAAAACAGAGATATAGATCAATGGAACAGAACAGAGCCCTGAGAAATAATGCCGCATATCTACAACTATCTGATCTTTGACAAACCTGAGAAAAACAAGCAATGGGGAAAGGATTCCCTATTTAACAAATGGTGCTGGGAAAACTGGCTAGCCATATGTAGAAAGCTGAAACTGGATCCCTTCCTTACACCTTATACAAAAATCAATTCAAGATGGATTAAAGACTTAAACGTTAGACCTAAAACCATAAAAACCCTAGAAGAAAACCTAGGCATTACCATTCAGGACATAGGCATGGGCAAGGACTTCCTGTCTAAAACACCAAAAGCAATGGCAACAAAAGACAAAATTGACAAATGGGATCTAATTAAACTAAAGAGCTTCTGCACAGCAAAAGAAACTACCATCAGAGTGTACAGGCAACCTACAAAATGGGAGAAAATTTTCGCAACCTACTCATCTGACAAAGGGCTAATATCCAGAATCTACAATGAACTCAAACAAATTTACAAGAAAAAAACAAACAACCCCATCAAAAAGTGGGCGAAGGACATGAACAGACACTTCTCAAAAGAAGACATTTATGCAGCCAAAAAACACATGAAAAAATGCTCATCATCACTGGCCATCAGAGAAATGCAAATCAAAACCACAATGAGATACCATCTCACACCAGTTAGAATGGCAATCATTAAAAAGTCAGGAAACAACAGGTGCTGGAGAAGATGTGGAGAAATAGGAACACTTTTACACTGTTGGTGGGACTGTAAACTAGTTCAACCATTGTGGAAGTCAGTGTGGTGATTCCTCAGGGATCTAGAAGTAGAAATACCATTTGACCCAGCCATCCCATTACTGGGTATATACCCAAAGGACTATAAATCATGCTGCTATAAAGACACATGCACACGTATGTTTATTGTGGCATTATTCACAATAGCAAAGACTTGGAACCAAGCCAAATGTCCAACAATGATAGACTGGATTAAGAAAATGTGGCACATATACACCATGGAATACTATGCAGCCATAAAAAATGATGAGTTCATGTCCTTTGTAGGGACATGGATGAAATTGGAAATCATCATTCTCAGTAAACTATCGCAAGAACAAAAAACCAAACACCGTATATTCTCAGTCATAGGTGGGAACTGAACAATGAGATCACATGGACACAGGAAGGGGAATATCACACTCTGGGGACTGTGGTGGGGTGGGGGAGGGGAGAGGGGTAGCATTGGGAGATATACCTAATGCTAGATGACGAGTTAGTGGGTGCAGCGCACCAGCATGGCACATGTATACCTATGTAACTAACCTGCACAATGTGCACAAGTACCCTAAAACTTAAAGTATAATTAAAAAAAATAATAATAATAATATGCATTATTTTGTGACTGGCTTCTTTCATTTAGTATGCTATTTTTAAGGTTATCTGTGTTGCAGAATATACTTCATTCCTTTTGATATGCGAAATATGCTTTAATTCATGGTTATACCATGTTTTGTTTATCCTTTTGTCAGCTGATGGACATTTGGGCTATTATGAACAATGATATTCTAAATATTCGTGTATGAAATGTTTGTAGATAAATGTTTTTATTTACGTTTGAATTATACGGAGTAGTAAAACTTCTGTGTCATTTGATAACTATATTTAATCACTGAAGAAACTGCCAGACTGTTTTCCATACTGGGGATACCATTTTACATTCCCACCAGCATGTATGAGGGTCCAATTTCTCCACATTCTCACCAATGCCGATTATTATCTGACTGATTCTAGCAATTCTAGTTTGTGTGAAGTGGTATCTCGTGGTTTTGATTTGCATTTTGCTAATGGCTAATGATGTGGAACATCTTTTCATGTGTTTATTGGCCATTGGCATCCCTTCCTTGGAGAAATGTCTAGTCAGATTCTTTATTCATTTTTAATGGGGTTATTTGTCTTTTTATTTTTGAAATTTAAATGTTCATTAAATATTCTGCTTACAAGTTTCTTATGAGATACATGGGATTGCAAATACTTTCTCCTGTTCTGTGGATTGTCTGCTCATTTTCTTTAAAGCAAATTTTTTTTATTTTAATAAAATCCAATATAAAATTTTTGGTCATGAGATAGATAGATAGATAGATAGATAGATAGATAGATAGAAAAATAGATATAATGACTTATTTCGGAGGGCTTACCTTGGAGGTTACGAAGTCAGTGCTAGATAAGAAATACAGATATTCATTTATTTCTGAGCTCCTTTATCTACCATATTTACCAAATGAAAAAAAAAGTATGCCTGCCTAAGAACCAAAGCAGGGGTACATTATGACTATGACTTGTGGGTTCCTTAAAAATGTAACAAAATTATGTTTATGAGTGTGTTGATGTGTGTGTGTGTGTGTTGTGTATATATATATATCCCCACTCTGTCCTCACAGGCCATTCACTGTTTAGATGAGAAACTTCAGAAATTCTCATCTACACCAACTCCTCTCTTTATTTTAAGGGGTCTGGGAGGAATATTTCAACTGGTTCTGCAGCTAGGAATAAATATGCTTATTGTTCTAAAGTTTGTCATAGAACATCCCACAACTCTTTTTATTTGTTCACTCTGAGATTTTTCTAGATTTTACTTTGATGTTTACTCCTGTGTGTGCTCCTATATGCACATACATGAGTGCACATTTGTAACAATTCATCCTATTCTTTTTCTCTCATCTGGGAATTCCATAAAATATCTGATCCACTTATGATCCCATGTCATTTTCCAATACTGCTATCAATATATCAATATACTATTTCCTTAAATTTCTCATATTTCATTTTAAGAGTATTATAGTCAATATGGAGTTCAGTTCATGTGTCCTTTAAAAATATTTTAGCTTCCATATTGTAATTGCTTACAGTATTACAATAATTTTATAGGCCAGTAATTCTCAAACTTGCTTATGTGGCACCACAGTCGCCTGGAAGAATTTCTAAACGAACTATTGAGACCCATGCCTACCAGGTCTGGGTTGATCCCAACAACCTTCATTTCTAACATCTTACCAGGTAATACCATGATGCCTACCTGGGGACCAAACCATGAGAACCACTGCTATAGGTTTAATTGTCTATCTTCTGGTTATGATCTGAAATTTGTGGGAATTGAACGAATTTAAGTTAGATCTTAAAAGAATAGAACATCATTTGACATCTAAGTTATATTTAATATCATTTTCCTTATTTGGAAAAAAAGTGAAGATTTCTGAGGACCATTTCACAACATTTCATGTTCATTAAAATCAACTGGAGGTGGTAAGATGCCAATATTGATTCAGTACGTCTGATCTGTGGCCCCAAATTCTGCATTTCTAACAGTTCAAAAGGTGACAAAGTAACAGCAATTTTGATCATAACCTGGGTGCATGTTAAAACGCAGGGCCTCAGGCACCATCCCAGACTAATTAAGTCAACTGCTGCATTTTACTAAGACTCCCAGGTGGTTCATATGCATTTTAAAGTTTGGGAGGCACAGGTCTAGAAACAAAATTGCACATTAGAATGATGTGCAAAGCCCCATGCCCTGCTATTCTAATTTAAATAGTCTGTAGAGCTCTCCAGTGGATGTGATTGTCAGCCTGGTAGAGAAGCACTGGGCTAGCTGGGCTGGCATGTGTGCATAGCCTTCTGCAGACTCTAACATGCCATTTAGCCAGCACCGGTTGAGTCCATATGCCCAGTGTGCAATTGCTTCCTTCCATTCTCCCCCATGTTCCCCTTCCTACGACTCGACTGTGTCGGAGAATTATGCTCCTTTTGAAAAAGACCACACCTTTGATCAAGAAAATAACATCTGTCTGCTCTTCTACTATATTAGGTGATTAAATCTCAAAAATGTAATATAACTCAAAGTGAAGCTCCTATTACCAGACCATAAAGCCAGCACTGAACACAGTAGGTGGTGTATGTGTTAGCAGTTAAATGCTTATTGACAGAATATTTCCTGCAGTGTGGAATGATTCAGCTTTCACCCTTCATTCATAAACTCTGCTTCTGTAAGAAAATTTTCTTTTAGACTTACACTTCTGGTGAGTGTTTTAGAGAATAATTTCATGTTATTGCATTCTTTCTAGATTGAGCTCCTATCATGTTTCCAATATTTTGTTATATACATATGAGACAAAATGTGTGGTTGCTGCAGTCCTGTTCAGATATAATTCTATAATCAAAACTTTCAGGCCATAAAATGAAAATAGAGGTGACATTTTATGCTACAGTATTTCCTCCCAAAAATAAAAGTTTTAAGGGCAAAGATTATGTCTCTTGAGTGCTGCTGTATACAATATCTTTCCTGCCATGGGTGCTCAACACTTGTTAAATGAGAAACTCACCCCAAGGTTCTGTAAGTTAGAATTTTGATCAACTCACTGAAAATGAATACAGATGACAGAGTGGATAGCTGCAACAGGCCTTGCCTGGAAAGCAAGGATCGACACGCACAGCTGACTGAGCTGCAACTAGTTATGTTCTTGTAACTCTCCCAGATCCATAATTCAAAGTCTCACAGCTTGCATAAGATTTATCAGACAGAAAACAGTAATTACAAAGACATAATGAAAGAGTGATTTCCAGGGAAAGCTCTTTGGTGTACTGGATGGCACAGTAGGAAACGTATTTTTGTAGCTTTTAAGAAAGATGAACACCACAGGTAACTGGCATGATGGTGTGTTCTCTTTGGCAGCCAGATCTTCTTTTATTAGGACATTTCAGGTAGTCGTGGGTTCAAACGAAATTGGAAAGTTATTCTAAAATGTATTAAAAGTAATGAAAATCAAGAAAGATTAACCCTCACAAAGCAAGCATGTTTCTTGCTGTTCTGGCTTTTAATAAGCATCCTCATGAATGGCTCATTTGATTTGAAAACAATCCTATCATTCAGAACGCAGCATTGTGTCTGCCTGGACCCAGAAAAGATGATGGAAATTAACAGATTAGGTCATGTAAAAACGTGAAGGTTCAATAATCTGTGCCAGCTAGTGTTTTGTCATTATCAGGTTAATGATGACAAAGACAAACAACAGAATAAATACATGTAAAAGTTTATGGGTTTATGGTTATGTCTAAATGTAACTAAATAGGTGACTGAATGTGGAGGCATTGGCTATGTTGATTCAGTTTACTAAAAGTCATCCTGAATGCCTACATACTTAATTTCATATTCTTTGCTGAAAACAATTCATTCAGCAATTTCAGGCCAGTGTCATTTGCTAGGAAACTGATCAAGCTTTGTTGACCAGAACAAATGCATTTGGAAAAAGAATTCCATTTAATACGTAACTTCATGTAATCACTTTTCCTTTTTTTCAAGCTCATCAGAATACTAGTTTGATCACCATACTAGTCTGATTAGCAGATAAATTATGTGAATCATGTTTGCAGGTTAACTTTTGTTTTATTATTTCAATGGAGAAAGCAGTATGTTTATATGTTTCCGTAAAAAAAGTCATTTTTGTACATTTTGGAAGATATGTTGTGAAAATGTCTGACTCCTGATTCCAAATAAAAATGATAAAATATAGCTATAACTTAGAATTACAATATTTTTAAAATCTATTTGACTTTGAATTATTACTGGAAAGTATATTAATTTAAAAAATAGTCTACTGAGTTTCAACCAAACTCCTACAATATGTTTTGAATGAATGAAAATGTGTCTTACAACAAATATATTTTATGAAAATCTACCAAGAAGTATACATTGATATATTCTAAACAGTAATTTGTTGATAAATTAGATCTTGAAATCAAACTTTAAAAATTGATTTATTTTGTTCAAAAAATAATTATCTCAAAAATTATTGAGCACTTTGAATGAAATCTTGATCTCTGAACAGAGTTATGTGGTACTCCAACACTAGGCCATACTTAACGCAGATATGCCTCTGCTGAATCATCTTTACATGCTTCTGAGGAACAAGATTGATCCTTGGATTGTTTTAAGTAATTTATTGGACTATTAATACTTTAACAAAAATATTTGTATGTAAATTATAAGTAAATATCAACTTTTCGTTTTTTCCTTCTTGTATTATCCTTGAGTGTTTCCTCCCTTATACTATCCTTAAGTCAACCTCAAAATTGACTCAGAAACCTTGAGATTTGGTGTCAAAGTTACCCCAGCACAATAAAATAAGCTAGAGAGCTTTCCTTCTTTTTCCATTTTCTGAAACACTGCATATATGGAAATTTGAATCATATTTTAAAAATATATACTCAGTCACATTTTTATTCCTCATGAATAAATTCTAGTAATGTATACCTTTCTAGACTGTTTTTTAATAATTTCAAATTTAATGGCATTAAGTGGTTTATAGCATTTAGCACGATCTTAAAGTTTATCTATAATTGTGACATCTTTTTTATTCTCTATATAATCATTTATGGTTTGTCTATTTATGATGTTGAAAAATATTATTTTAAAAGTGTTATGTAAAGCTTTCCATTTGATTTTGATCTTTTATTTTATACTTTACATATTGTGGTATTTTTGTTTTCTCTAACTTTATGTTTGCTTAATTGCTTTTCTAACTTTCCAAGTTGAATCGTGAACCTATCTTCTTTTACTATGATGATACAAGCATTTTAATCTATTTTTTTATACATTTCAATATCTGTATGTTAAAAATATACTGCAATACATATTTTGTTTCTCAGGGTCAATCACATTTTTTGTTCTCTTAAGAATGACTGGCAGAGCCTGAGGAACAAAGTGAGACCCATGTCTCTATAAAAACTAAAAATCCAAAAATTAGCCGGGTACAGGGGCGTGTGCCTATAGTCCCAGCTACTTAGGAGGCTGAGGCAGGAGAACTCATTGAACCTGGGATTTTGAGGCTGCAGTGAGTTATAATCATGCCACTGCACCCAACTGAGGTGACAGAGTAAGATCCTGTTTAAAACAAAAAAAAAAAGAATGGCTTTAAACTTTCAAAAATGTGTTATTTTTCTATTTTAGCTGTCTCATTTTTATTGAGTTCTAATTTTATTGTATTGTTGGCAGAAACATGTTCTATAATTTTGTTTCCTTTTTTTGTTGAGAACTTAATCTAGTTTTCATGTGGTGAGTTTTTTGTAAATATTGTTCATTTGCATGAAAAAAAATGTATTATCCATGAAATTCAGATTGCCAATAGTGTCATTCAAATGTTCTCTAACATTTCTTGTTTTAAATGTATTTAGTTTTAATGTAAAGTTGGGTAGAGTTCCCATATGCACTCTCTCCATATGCAATTTCTCCGTTTATTAACATCTTGCAAGAGTGCAGTACATTTGTCACAACTGATGAACCAATACTGATAAATTATTAACTGATGCTCATAGTATTCACCAGGGTTCATACTTTCTGTTGTACAAGCATGGGTTTTGTCAAATACATAAGGTTGTATATCAAGCATTTCAACATCATACAGATAATTTCCCTGTCTAAAATCTCCCTGTGCTCCACGTATTATTCATCTCTCCCTGCCCCCAAACCCTGGCAACCACTAATCTTTTTACTCTCTATAGTTTTGCTTTTTTAGTTGAAGTCAGACACAATGTAGCCTTTTCAAACTGGCTTCCTTCACATAGTAATATGCATTTGGGGTTCCTCCATGTTTTCCATGGCTTAATTTCTCACTTCTTTTTAACAATGAATGATATTACATTGTATGGGTGTACTACAGTTTGCTTACTCACCTATTGAAGGATACCTTCGTAGCTTCCAATTTTTGGCAATTATGAATAAAGCAACTATAAACATTTATTCACAGCTTTTCAAATGGACACAACATTTGTTTTCAACTAATTTGTATAAATACCTTAGAGTATGGTTGCTGGATGGTGAGACTGTCTCTAAAGGACCTGCGTCATTTGCATTCCTACAGCCATGATGAGGGATCCTGCTGCTCAGCATCCTCACCAATATTTGGTAGTTTTCATGTTTTGGATTTTATCCATTCTAATAGGTGTGTAGTGGCACCTCATTGTTTTAATTCGCCAATTCCTAATTAAATATGATTTGAGCATCCTTTCATGTACTTACTTGTGACCTGTGTACCTTTGATCTGTATATCTTCTTTAGTACGTGCTCAGAACTTTTGCTCAACTTTAGATTGTTTGAATTGTAAGTGTTCTTTTAATATTTTGTATTTGCACAGATTTTCTTCCAGTCTGTGACTTGCCTTTTCATTCTCTTAACAGTGTCTTTCAGAGTAGAAGTTTTTAATTTTAATAAAATCAAACTTTTTTCTTTCAGGGTTTATTATTGTTTGTGTTGTATCTTAAAAGTCAGCATCATACCTACTGGTCACCTACACTTTCCCCTATGTTGTCTACTAGAAGTTTTACAATTTTGTGCCCTTTAGTTCTATGACCCAATTTGTTTTTAATTTTTGTAATTTTGTTAATTTTTTTGTAAATTTGTTAACTTTGAGATAGTGTGTTAATTTTTCTGTTAGAAATTTTTGTGTTAAATTTACTTTCTTGGAAGTGGATACCAGTTGTTCCAGCTTACTTGTTGAAATGACTGTCCTTTCTGAGTTGCCTTTCCTAATGATAAATTTACTCTATCTGTGTCTCTGTATCTGAGCTTTCTATTCTGATTCATTGATTTATTTGCACACTTTATTGATAATATATTTGTATTTATTTATATCATTTATACTTTCTTTCATCTTTTTTAATAAAAATTATATTTGTCCCCACCTTTTTCTTAAGTATTTTATATACTTTTCTTTGTCCAAGATAAATCTTAAATTTAAACATTACTTGACCAGAAAAACAAATATTAAGCAAACCAACATTTCTAGTCTTTTTCCAGAATAAAACTAGTACTTTACCATCCACCTTACATGTTATTTTTGCCAAGTATTTTCTTTCTTTATACTATACTTGCAAACAAAAAATCAATTATTATTGTTACTTATGCAGTCAATTCTTAATTTTACTTATAGTTTTTACAATTTAATAGTTCATTGCTTATTTCAGCTCACTCCAATCTGGGTTAATTTTCTGTTTCCTTAGGTAAATCCGTTTCTTGTTATTTTAGCAAGCATATGTGTGTGATGAATTCTCTTACTGTTTGTTTTCTAAAAACGCTTTTATAATGCTTGCACTATTCAATGATAATTTCTGCAGTTATAAATTTATCAAATGGCATTATTTCCCTTGAACACTTAATTTTTTTCCTCTAGCCAAGCACAGTGGCTCACACCTGTAATCCCAGCACTTTGGGTGGCCGAAGTGAGCAGATCGCCTGAGGTCAGGAGTTCCAGACCAGCCTGGCCAACATGGTGAAACCCCGTCTCTACTATAAAAAAAAAAATAGCTGGGTGTAGTGGCACATGCCTGTAGTCCCAGCTACTTAGGAGGATGAGGCAGGAGAATAGCTTGAACCCGGGAGGCGGAGGTTGCAGTGAGCCGAGGTCACACCACTGCACTCCAGCCTGGGCAACAGAGTCAGACTCTGTCTCAAAAAAACAAACAAAAAAAATCTTTCCTCCATTTCTTCTGTTACTACTCTCTTGAGGAGTACTCTAACAGTCTAATTTAGGGGTCAGCAAACTTTGTGTAAATGTGTCCAGAATTGGTGGGCTCTTGGTCTCGCTGACTTCAAGAATAAGGCCACAGACCCTCGCGGTGAGTGTTAGCTCTTAAAGATGGTGTGTCCAGAGTTTGTTCCTTCAAATTTTGTGTCCAGAGTTTCTTCCTTCTGGTAGGTTCGTGGTCTCTCTGACTTCAGGAGTGAAGTTGCAGACCTTCAGGGTGAGTGCTACAGTTCACAAAGGCTGCATGTCTGGAGTTGTTTGTCCCTCCCAATGGGTTCGTGGTCTCGCGGGCTTCAGGAGTGAAGCTACAGACCTTCATAAAGGAAGCACATACCCAAAGACTGAGCAGCAGCAAGATTCATTGCAAAGAGCAAAAGAATAAAAGCTCCACAACAAGGAAGCAGACCCCAGTACTCCCACACTGGTAGTGCAGGTGGCCTGCTTTTATTCCCTTATTTGGCCCCACCCACATCCTGCTGATTGGTCCATTTTACAGAGAGATGATTGATCCATTTTACAGAGTACTGATTGGTCCATTTTACGAATGCTGATTGGTCCGTTTTGACAGAGTGCTGATTGGTGCATTTACAAACCTTTAGCTAGACACAGAGCGCTGATTGGTGCGTTTACAATCCTTTAGCTAGACAGAAAAGTTTTCAAGTCCCCACCAGACCCAGAAGCCCAGCCGGCTTCACCTCTCATAAAGACACAAATAGTAAATATTTTAGGTTTTGCAGGCCTAATTTTTTCTTCCACAACTACCCAAATCTGCCTTTGTTGCACAAAAGCAACCAGCCAATAAAATCTTGTTCACAAAAACAGGCAGCAGATTGCTGACCCCATTGAATTGATTGATTTTTTTGTACTCAATTTGCCTTTTGTCACTGATTTTTAAGATTTTCACTTTGTAATCTTAGCACTTTGGGAGGACAAGGTGGGTGGATTACGAGATCAGGAGATGGAGACCATCCTGGCTAACACGGAGAAACCCCATCTCTACTAAAAATACAAAAAATTAGCCGGGCATGGTGGCCGGTGCCTGTAGTCCCAGCTACTTGGGAGACTGAGGCAGGAGAGTGGCGTGAACCCAGGAGGTGGAGCTTGCAGTGAGCCAAGATTGCACCACTGCACTCCAGTCTGGGCGGCAGAGTGAGACTCCCGCTCAAAAAAATAAATAAATAAAAAGAAAAGTTCATTTTGTATATAAAGTTAGATACATTGTATTTGTGAGAGGGGGCCTGTGGACCAATAAAAATTAGTTGGGATGAGAATAATACAAATTAAAAAAGTGAGCAACAATGATGCTCCAGAACTGGTGATGACATTAAGGAGAGCTGAGTGAGTGACAGTGAGCAGACTTGTTGAGGACCAGCTGTCAGTTGGAATTAGTTGAATTTCATTGGATGAGAGTTGACAGTTGTCTAGAACTGGAAACCTAATTCTCTCCCAATAGCATGATTTTGCCCAAGACCTAAGAATATATAGGGTGGCTTGGGGAGGTGGGGGGCATGTTAGATAAAATGACTGAGTTTAAATCAGAAATGACTGGAGAAAAAATAAAGCTAAGCTTGGCTAAGATCACATTTTCTGACACGACACATGTGAGGAATTTAAAAGTAATATCAGAAAACCAATAGAAAAGAAAACAGTTAAAAATGCCCATACCACTCTTTATAGCTTAATAATGCAAGTTGCTTCTGATCAGAGGTATACTTTTTCAGATGGTCATATGTGTTTGAATATGTACTCCGGCTTATAAAATATATCTTGTTTTCAAACATATATAGTATACCTCTGCTCTAGATATCCTTAATTCATTTGTTCTATAGAATAAAATAGAGGCAATATGGTATATTTGTAAACATCACAAATTTTAGAGTCCTAAGTGTTATGCTTGAACTCTAACCCAACTATTATTTAGAATGTCATTCATTCTTTCATTCAAAAATGAATTTTATGAACAAATGCAAATTGTGATCCAAGCTTAGTAATTGGGGATGCCTACAATGATGCATTAGAGAACACACTGCCTTCCTGGGTATTAATTATCATGAGAGAGCAAGACAAGGAAATTAGAAATTTCATGGGAGAAAAATTTATGGCTTTAAAGGGAACAATCAAATTGCTATGGAAACGTGTGATAATATCGCCTCTTAAGTGGTTCAGAAATTTCTTCAAGGAAATGACAATTAAAGTGGTTTTGAATTATCAAAATTTTAAATAAAGACAGGGGAGAGAATATTTAGTGAGGTCATTTGAATTATTGAAATGAAACTATTCCAATGAGATCATGACCAATGTGATGATTAATTTTATGTGCCGATTTGGCTGAGACACAGTGCCCAGCTCTGTGGTCAAAGATTCTTCTGGATGTTTCTCTGAAGGTGCTTTTGGATGAGATTAACATTAAAATTAGTAGACTTTGAGTAAAGCAAATTGCCCTCTACAATATTGGTGGGCCTTAACCAATCAGGTGAAGGCCTGAATAGAACAAAAGATTGACATACTCCAGTAAAGGAAAGTTGCCATCAGATTGCCTTTTGCTTTGAGCTGCAACATGGGCTCTTCCTCAGTCTCTAACTGGCTGGCCCATCCTGAAGATTCTGCACTTGCCAACTGCCATAATCACATGAACCAATTCTGTAAATTTATTACTATACATTTACACATACTAGTGGTACTGTTTCTCTGGAGAACACTCACTGCTACAACCAAATAAACTGTGCAGATAACGGTGGGGATGCTGTTAAGTGACTTGACTTAAGAGATAAGCTAACCGCTACAACACAAAATCTACCCATGTCATTAACTTTCACATGTACCTCTTGAACCTAAAAGTTGGAAAAAAGAGAGATAAGCTTAACCTTATAGTAGATTGCATAGGATGGAGGAAGAGATAAGAGATGAAATAGTCAAAGAGAATGCTTACATTCTTGGCTTAGGTCAGTTGGATAAATTATAATTTTTTTTTACTTAAATAGGGGACATACAAAATAATGAAAGGTGGCCAGGCATGGTGGCTCACGCCTGTAATCCCAGCACTTTGGGAGGTCGAGGCAGGCAGATAAAGAGGTCAGGAGTTCGAGACCAACCTGGCCAACATGGTGAAACCCCGTCGTTACTAAAAATACAAAAAAATTAGCCAGGCATGGTGGTAAGTGCCTATAGTCCCAGCTACTTGGAAGGCTGAGGAAGGAGAATTGCTCGAATCCAGGAGGCGGAGACTGCAGTGAGCCAACATTGTACCACTGCACTCCAACCTGGCGACAGAGGAAAGAAAGAAAAGAAAGAGAGAGAGAGAAGGAAGGAAGGAAGGAAGGAAGGCAGGCAAGCAAGCAAGCAAGCTGCAAGTATCAAGGAAGGATTAAGTTTTGCTTCAGGATTCCGTTTATGTCAGCAATGAGACCAAGATGTTTGGAATTTGATTCAATGTTCCCAGCATGAAAGAATTATGGGACATGGTCAGATATTTCAGAGTCAGATGGTATCCCCTGTCATTATTTCATGTTGTAAGAGTCATGAAATATGTAATTTCATGCAAATTTCATATTTAATTTCATGTAAATTTAGATTTTATAATTAAGTGGGGATAACACCAATCTTAAATGATATCTGCATTAAATTTTCCACAGTTTGCACATGGCTTTGATGTTCACTGTTGGGCCAAACAAAAGCATTGAAGAGAAAGCACTTGTTAAACTGCAAATGTCACTAAGTAAAAGTTTTACCTTAATAAAATGAACTATCTTAAGCTATAAGAAAGTTATGATATGATTCCTTTAAAAAAAAAACAACAACATAACAATGATAAACAAAGACAATGGTATCAACCTTTTTAAGTGGATTTTGAACCTTGCTGGATGGGACAAGGAGAGGGCCATTGATAATAAAATCCATGCCAGGCAATAGGCTGTGTTCTGATTGGCACAGAAGGCTGTCTAAGAAAGATCTGAGAAAGGCATTGGTTTTAGTGATCTGCTTCTGAGGCCTTTAATAAAGGTCCACCTACTGACTGGAATGCATGGAATTTACATTATATTCAAAACCAGTAAAGATCAAAGAAGTAAGAACTTATCCATGGCCCGTTCTTAAGGAAATACCACACATTTGCAAATTGATATTTGGAAGTGGAATTGCCCAAATTAACGCATGATTCAACAGCAGGAGATGCAGTATTTAGGCATCTGAGTACACAGTTTAATACATTATTTCACGAAATATTAATATTATGACATTAAATTGATTTAGATACACAAACTGTAATAGGGGCAAAAAATTAAATGTTATTACCAAGTCATCACACATTGCTCTACACAGAGCTGCTGCCAGGAAAAGAGCATATTCAAATCTAATTTCACATCTTCATTAATGAACTGAGTCGTGACAGATTAATGAAATTCTGAGAAAATAATAAATCAGTAAACATATTTAATGATCAGGGATGCATAGTACAAAAGGTCTTTTATGATTAAAATACAAAACGAGGCAACCTGTAAAGGTACACAGAGTGCATTAACTCAAAAAAAAAAAAAAACCAAAAAAAAAAAAAGAAGCAAAACAAAAAGCAACTACAGTTCCTATACCATTTCTGAACAAGGTATAAATCATACTGAAAGCATATAACCTCATAGCTTGTGATGCTGGAACATATATTTGCTTTTCTCAAGCCCTGACCCCCAATGTCTTTATTGTCTATTTTCTCTGTGAAATAAATCTTATCCTAAATTTTCAGCCACCTAATGGAATCTTTCTCAAACCAGATAGAACAAACATGAACTGGTTCTACCTCCCAACTGGTTTGGGTTATTTGCCTTATGTGGAGACATTTTTGCTTACTAAACAGGAACTGTTTCAGTTTAAACTAGATTGCATCTGGTTACTTTCTATGGAGAGGAAATTTTCAACTCCTCAATATCCCCTGCTCCCCACCGCCCCATACACATGGGCACACATTCAGCAGGAGTAAGTTACCACTAATTGGTTAGGTCCAAGAAAAGTAATAGGGTTAAAATTTATATACACATATTCTGAAAAAAATGCTATGTAAATTTTAGAAAAAAAATCATGTGATTCTTTCCTGAATTTTTTAAAAATCATTTTATTTATTTAAAATTTTTGTCTCTATTACTCAATTGCCCAGGGTTCTCTATGAGTTCTGCTTTCATAGACATGGCCTGAGAACCAGGGCAGATGCTACAATACTCTTTTTCTCCTACTGGTTCTTATACTCTTTTTCCCCTTCTCACTGGCTAGCATGCTCGGGGTCCATGTTTTATTCATTTTTTAAATTATAGGGCCCAAGAGGAATTCCCCACAGAGCAGTGCAGTGGCTGTGGCAGATCATGGCCAGACTGCTTCATCAGGTAAGACCCAGATCTATCCCTCCTCACTGGGTCGTGCCTCCCTGAGGGAATTTTATCACCTCCAGCCAGGGGTTTGCAAACGGGCTGGAACAGAGCCCCTGGAGGGAAGGGCAGCTGTGGTTCCTGTGGATCAGTGGACTTAGTCTTTCCTTCCTGCTGGCTCTGAAGAGTCTGGGCAGTCTGGACGAGGGGGATTCCCCCCATTGCAGCATGCCTTCCCTGCCAAGGGGCAGCCAGACTCCTTCTTTAAGTGGGTCCCTGATCCCTTGCCTCCTGACTATGTAAGACCTCCCAACAGGGGTTGCCAGACACATTATACAGGAGAGTTCCAGCTGGCATCATGTCAGTGCCCCTCTGGGATGGAGCTCCAGGAGGAAGGAGAAGGCAGCCATCTTTGCCATTCTGCAGCCTCCACTGGTAATACCTCCAAGTGTAGGAGAGACCCAGGTGAACAGGGTCTGGAGTGGATCCACAGCAAACCAGAGAAGCCCTACAGAAGAGGGGCCTGACTGTTAAAAGAAAAACACACAAACAGAAAGCAAAAACAACAACATCATCAACAAAAAAGACCTGAGAAAAAATGTCATCCAAAGGTCAGCAGACTCAAAGATCAAAGGTAGATAAACCCACAAAGATGAGAAAGTATCAACACAAAAACGCTGAAAACTCAAAAACCCAGAGTGTCTCTTCTCCTCCAAATGATTGCAGCACCTCTCCAGCAAGGGCAGAGAACTGGACTGAGGCTGAGATGGATGAACTGACAAAAGTAGGCTTCCGAAAGTGGGTAATAACAAATTTCGCTGAGCTAAAGCAACATGTTCTAACCCAATGCAAAGAAGCTAAGAACCATGATAAATCAATACAGGAACTGGTAACTAGAATAACCAGTTTAGAGCAAAACATAAATGACCTGATGGAGCCAAGAAACACAAGAACTTCACAATGCAACCACAAGTATCAATAGCTGAATAGACCAAGCAGAGGAAAGAATGTCAGAGCTCCAAGAGTATCATGCTGAAATAAGACAAGCAGACAAGATTAGATTTAAAATGAATGAAAAGAAACAAACAAAACCTCTGAGAATTATGGGATCCCATAAAAAGATCAAACCTGTAACTGACTGGAGTACCTAAAAGAGATGGTGAGAATGGAATCAAGTTGGAAAATACACTTCAGGATATAAGCCAGGACAACTTCTCCAACCTAGCAAGACAGGCCAACATTCAAATTCAGGACACACAGAAACTCTCAATAAGATATTCCATGAGAAGGAAAATCAACCCCATGACACCTAATCATTAGATTCTCCAAGGTAAAAATGAAGGAAATAAGGCTAAGGGCAGCCAGAGAGAAATGCCAGGTCAACTACAAAGGGAAGCTCATTAGATTAACAGTGGATCTCTCAGCAGAAATCCTAGCAGCCCAGAGAGACTGGGGGCCAATATTCAACATTCTTAAAGAAAAGAATTTCCAATTCAGAATTTCATATCCAGCCAAACTAAGCTTCATATGCAAAGGAGAAATAAAATCCTTTTCAGACAAGCAAATGCAGAGAGAATTTGTCATCACCAGGCCTTCCTTGCAAGAACTCCTGAAGGAATCACTAAATATGGAAAGGAAAAACCATTACCAGGCACTACAAAGACACACTGAAGTACACAGACTAACAATGCTATTAATCAACTACATCAACAAGTCTGCAAAATAACCAGCTAGCATCATGATGACAGGATCAAATTCATACATAACAATGTTAACCTTAAATGCTAATAAGCTAAATGCCCCAATTAAAATACACAGAATGGCAAACTAGATAAAGACTCAAGACCCATCAGTGTGCTGTATTCCAGAGACCCATCTCATGTGCAAACACAGACAGGCTCAAAATAAAGAGATATAGGAAACTTTACCAAGCAAATGTAAAATAGAAAAAAAGCAGTGGTTGCAATCCTAGTTTCTGACAGACTATAAACCAACAAAGATCAAAAAAGACAAAGAAAGGCATTATATAATGGTGAAGGGTTCAATTCAACAGGAAGAGCTAACTATCCTAAATATGTTTACACCAGTACAGGAACACCCAGATTCATAAACAAATTCTTAGAGACCTGTAAAGAGACATAGACTCACACACAATAATAGTGGGAGATTTTAACAACCCACTCTCAAAGAATTAGACAAATCATTGAGACAGAAAATTAACAAAGATATTCAGGACTTGAACTCAGCTCTGGATCAAGTGGGCCTGACAGATAACTGCAGAACTCTCCACCCAACAACAGCATATACATTATTCTCATTGCCACATGGCATTTACTCTAAAATTGATCACATAATTAGAAGCATAACACTCCTCAGCAAATTTAAGAGGTATTACCCTACCTGACTTCAAACTATAATACAAGGTTACAGTAACCAAAATAGCCTGGTACAAAAACAGACACACAGGCCAATGGAACAGAATAGATAACTCAGAAATAAGACCATGCATCTACAACCATCTGATCTTTGACAAACCTGACAAAAATAAGCAATGGGGAAAGGATTTCCTATGAATAAATGGTGCTGGGAAAACCAGCTAGCCATATGCAGAAAATTGAAACTGGACCACTTTCTTACACCTTATATAAAAATTAACTCAAGATGGAATAAAGACTTAAATGTAAAACCCAAAAGTATAAAAACCCTATAAAATATCTGGGCAATACCACTCAGGACATAGGCACGGGTGAAGATTTCATGATGAAAATGTCAAAAGCAATTGCAACAAAACCAAAAATTAACAAGTGGAATCTGATTAAACTAAAGAGCTTCTCCACAGCAAAAGAAATTACCATCAGAGTAAACAGACAACCTACAGAATGGGAGAAAATGTTTGCAATTTATCCATCTGACAAATGTCTAATGTCAAAAATCTACAAGGAACATAAACAAATTTATATGAAAAAAACAAATAATCCTGTTAAAAAGTGGGCAAAGGACATGAACAGACACTTCTCAAGATGTGTCCAACAAACATGAAAAAAAGCTCAACATCACTGATCATTAGAGAAATGCAAATCAAAACCACAAAAACATTCCATCTCACGCTAGTCAGAATGGAGATTATTAAAAAGTCAAGAAATAACAGATGAATGCTTTTACATTGTTGGTGGGAATGTAAATTAGTTCAACCATTGTGAAAGACAGTGTGGCAATTCCTCAAAGATCTAGAACTAGAAATACCATTTGACCCAGCAATCCCATTACTGGGTATAAACCCAAAGGAATATAAATCTTTCTATTATAAAGATACATGCACATACATGTTCATTGCAGCACTATACACAATTGCAACGACACGGAATGAACCTAGATGCCCATCAATGGTGAACTGGATAAAGAAATTGTGGTACATATATTCCATGGAATACCATGCAGCCAAAACAAGGAATGAGATCATGTCCTTTGCAGTGAGATGGATGGAGCTGGAAGCCATTATCTTCACCAAACTAATGCAGGAGTAAAAAACCAAACACCACATGTTCTCACTTATAAGTGGTAGCTGAACAGTGAGAACACAAAAACACAGGGGAGTGAACAACACACACTGAGTCCTGTCAGGGGGCAAGGGAAGGAAGAGCATCAGGAAAAATAACAAGTACATGCTTGGCTTAATACCTGGGTGATGGGTGGATAGGTGCAGCAAACTACTGTCACAGGGTCCTTGGGGTGTCATTTCACCAGCTGGAAACTACTGTGGCCAATGGCACCTTCTGCCTGAGTATTGCTTATGCCTCCTGGGCCCATTCCACCTACTTGGCCTGACATGCTGTGTTTGGCTTGCACTACTGGCCCAGATCTCACCCCTGCCAAGCATGAGCCAGGTGCGGAGTAGTGAGGGGTGTGTGAATAACCGAGCATGGGGTGCAGCCACTGCACATAGCCAGGCACACTTGCTGCTGCAGTGGGGCAGGCAGTTCCAGGTGCCAGCACACATGCTAGCTCCATGTAAGGCTGCAGATAGACCAGATGTACTACATGTAGCATCTGCTTTGGGCACCCACATCTGGACGAAGAGAATGCAGTGGCTCCCAGAGGCTTGGAGACATCAGGAACTGCAGAAACCCAAAGAGAATGTAACAGCCCTGGCTCAGGGAGCCTCTAGGTCTGGGCTCCCAAAAGGGCCGCAACTCTTCTCTCCTTGTCGCCCACAATGTGGCAAGTGTTGGGGACTTTTTTCACTCCTGTTCTGTTACAGCTCTTTTAGTCCTGCCTTCAGTTGGTCCAGAGTTCTTGTCCCACATCCAGAAAAATGAGGTACACAGACAACTGAAGGGTGAATATGGCAGAGAAGAGCTTCACTGAGCAGCAGAATAATAATGAGGAGACCCGCAGTGGGTTGCTTCCTTCTGCAGGCAGGTGGCCCCAAAGTTTCTGCAGCCCTCAGCAGAGAGGAGACCCAAGGTAGGTAGGTCCTATTTGCAGGCAGGTCGGTCTGTCATCTCTGCAACCCTCAGCAGAGAGGAGACCCAGAGTGGGTAGCTCCTATCTGCAAGCAGATTGTCCTGTTGTATACAGGATTCTGGCTCAGTCCAGATTTTTTATGGGCTTCAGAGGGGATCAGGTGCATGCTGATTGGTCAAGAGGTGGTCATAGGCAGGTCCAGAAAAACCACCATAAGTTCTCACTTCAGTCTGCAGACTTGGCAGCCCAGCCCCCAGGCTACCTACAGGCCATCCCTGCCTTAAAGGTTTGGGCTTCACCAGTTACCTGCCTCTTTTCACCCAGGACCCTGTCTGCCTTCTGCTGCCATCAAGCTGCTGTCCATGGCACCCAGGCTCTTCATGCTGAGAGGTGCCTTCAGGCTCGTGCCAAGCTGACCTCAGCCCCACTCAAGCCTCCTCCCACGCTTGTTAGTGTCCAAAGTCTGGAGGGGGACAGAGGGAGTAGGGGTCTGCCATGTCAGCACTGCCCCAAGAGTGTGCACACCTGGCCAGATCATGACAGTACCTGTGCTAGGCCTCAACTTTGCTCCAAAATTGGAGTAGGCACCAGGAGCGGGGAGAGGTCAGGCAGCAGGAGCAGGCACTTCTGAGCCTGTGGGACAGGAGGGCTTCCTGGGTCTCCAAGAATGCAGAGATTCCCGGTTTGCAGCCACAGCTAGGCAGCTGCTGTTGCACCTGGGAGGCTGGGGCTCCCAACTCACCAGTTCAGAAAGGGGATTGGCTGCCACCTGTTCTCTGCTCCCTCTGGCTCCATGGAGCACATAGCCCATGCCACAGATCCTCCACTGCAGCCAGCATCATGGCAGTGGCTACTCCAACCAGGTCACCACTGCCATGACCACCACGGCACATGTTTACCTACGTAACAAACCTATACATCCTGCACAGAGACCCTTTGGCTGTTAAAGCTTGAAACTTACATTTGTTTTATCTGAGTTCCTTCCTCAGGAAATGAACTTCAGGCCTCTCCTAAAAAGTATCAAAGAACTGAAACCAGATCACCACACCAGATGCTGGAGCCCTCACTCACCATGGTTGCTTGCTTGGCCCTCCTGAGTTTCTGTTTTCTTACACATTGTTACATTTCTTGCCTGATATATAAACCTCTAGATTTAGTTGGTCAAGGAGATGGATTTGAGACTTGAGCTCCCATCTCCTTGGCTGCAGCACCCAATTAAAGCCTTCTTCCTTGGCAATATTCGACTTCTCAGTGATTAGCTTTCTGTACGGCAGGCAGCAGGACCTAGACAGAACCCCTTGTGTTTCGATAACATGATTAAGGTGTCCCAGACCCTTTAAATCATGTATCTTAATCATTTCATCAATTTTGCAGGCAGCTTCCTCCCTTTCAACACTGGCTCATTGTTGAAACTCCCAGATATCAAATAATCAAGGCATGCAGATTTCATTAGAAAACATATACATTTTTATAATAATGATCTAGACAGATTTTTATTAGAAATTTGTACCACAGTGTGTTTGTGATAAATAAACACTAACTGGGAAAGCTCATAGAGTTGCTGGGTGTATGTTCTGAGTTATTAACACATAGCATGACATTTCACGCAGTATCAAAGCGTTTTTTGAAATGACCTCTCATCCCCTACTAAAATGTTCATAAAGGACAATGTACAAATTGAAAACAGACGAATGATTACAAAGTGAAAACAACATGTGATTATCATCTTAGTAGAGAAATAAAACATACTAGCTCTTCTGCAGATTCACAGTGATGATCATTACCCCGGCCCCTCCACAATGTGAGCATCATTCTGACACATTAATAATTGCTCTTTTGGATTTTTACATAAATAAAATCATACACCATGTACTCATTTCTGTCCACTTTATTTTGCTTCATATTATGTTCGTACCTTTCATTTGTGGCATTTCATATGGCAATAATCTGTTCCTTTTAAATACTGTATACAATTTTGTTGAACGAATATGCCACGGCTTATTGATACATTTTATTGGTGATAGCTTTTAGATTATTTTCACTTGGGACTGTTAGAACTAAAGCAGCTATGAGTATTTCTGTATGTATCTCTCGAAATACACATACATAATGTTTTTTTAAAAAATTAAGACAAGTGAAATTGCTGTGTTATAGTCAACTTTGATTAATAATGCCAAATGATTTTTCTAAGTGGTTTTATATCAATTTATACAGTCACCAGCAATATATGGGCTTCCAGTTGCTTCCTATTCTTGGCCTATTTGGTACTGTCAATCATTTTGACATTCTGATGCATATAAAGTGACATTAAGTTATGGTTTTAATTTGTATTTTTAAGATTTTTAGTAAGCATGAGGATACTGGGCATTGACCATTTGTATGTTATTTTTGCAAAGTTTCTGTTCACATTTCTTGCTCATTTCTAAACTCTGAATATAATTATTTGTTAGTTTCATGTTCACTATTTTTTAAGTCCATAATTCTCCTTTTCACTCTCTAGAAGGTGAATTTTGATTAACAGAAGTTTCTAAATATAATGTAATCTTATTTCTTTTCTTTATAATTTGTGGGTTATTTTGTTATGCTTAATTCTGTTTAAAAACTCCTAATTATGACAGTATGCTCCAATATTAACTTTCTTATTGTTTTATCTTTCACATTTAGATTATTAATTCAGATTTAATTGATTTTTGTGCTCACTATTATGTAAGGGATCAACTGTCTTTTTTTTTTTTTTTTCTGTATTGCTATTGTATTCCCCACTCCAGGGTCACCAACGTTGGTCTTAATGGCGCCAACACTCAGGAGGTCGCAGATCAGTTCTGGTTAGCAATATCTAGGGGTGAGGGGCTGTGGCCCCCAGTCAGCCCCACAGCCTTCTAGAACTTGCTGCCCTATCCCGCCCACCTCCCACACCACCCCACTATAAAAAGACAAAATGATTGTGAGTCCATAATTGGTGGGTTCTTGGTGTCACCAACTTCAAGAATGAAGCTGCAGACCCTCGCGGTGAGTGTCACAGTTCTTAAAGGCGGCGTGTCCGGAGTTTGTTCCTTCTGGTGGGTTCATGGTTTCGCTGGCTCACGAGTGAAGCTGCAGACCTTCGCGGTGAGTGTTATAGCTCTTAAAGTGGCAAGTTTGGAGTTGTTCATTCCTTCCAGTGGGTTTGTGGTCTCCCTGGCTTCAGGAGTGAAACTGCAGACCTTCGTGGTGAGTGTTACAGCTCATAAAGGCAGTGTGGACCCAGAGTGAGCAGCAGTAAGATTTATTGCAAAGAGCAAAAGAACAGAGCTTCCACACTGCAGAAGGGGATCCCAGCAGGTTCACACTGCTGGCTCAGGCAGCCTGCTTTTATTCTCTTATGTGGCCCCACCCACATCCTGCTGATTGGTCCATCTTACAGAGAGCCGATTGGTCTGTTTTACAGAGAGCTGATTGGTCCATTTTGACAGGGTGCTGATTGGTGCGTTTACAATCCCTGAGATAGACACAAAAGTTCTCCATGTCCCCACTAGATTAGCTAGACATAGAGTGCTGATTGGTGCATTTACAAACCTTGAGCTAGACACAAAGTGCCGATTGGTGTATTCACAATCCCTTAGCTAGACATAAAGGTTCTCCAAGTCCCCACCAGATCAGCTAGACACAGAGTGCTGACTGGTGCATTTACAAACCTTGAGCTAGACACAGAATGCTGATTGGTGTATTAACAATCCCTTAGCTAGACATAAAGATTCTCCAAGTCACCACCAGATTAGCTAGATACAGACTGACTATTGGTGCATCCACAAACCCTGAGCTAGACACAGGGTGCTGATTGGTGTGTTTACAAACCTTGAGTTAGATACAGAGTGCTGATTGGTGTATTTACAATCCCCTAGCTAGACACAAAGGTTCTCCAAGTCCCCACCAGACTCAGGAGCCCAGCTGGCTTCACCCAGTGGATCCCACAGCCTGGCCGCAGGTGGAGCTGCCTGCCAATTCCCGCCCTGCCCCTGCAATCCTCAGCCCTTGGGCAGTCGATGGGACCCAGAGCCATGGAACAGGGGGCAGCGCTCATCAGGGAGGCTCAGGCCATGTGGGATCCCACGGTGGTGGGGGGAGACTCAGGCATGGCGAGCTGCAGGTCTCGAGCCCTGCCCTGTGGGGAGGCAGCTAAGGCCAGGCAAGAAATCGAGCGCAGCGCCAGTGGGCCAGCACCGCTTGGGGACCTGGTGCACCCTCCGCAGCTGCTGGCCCAGGTGCTAAGCCCCTCACTGCCCGGGGCCGGCAGGGCTGGCTGGCATTCCAAGTGCAGGGCCGCCAAACCCATGCCCACTGGGAACTCCAGCTGGCCCGCAAGTGCAACCCCGGTTCCCACCCGTGCCTCTCCCTCCACACCTCCCGGCCAGCCAAGGGAGCTGGCTCTAGCCTCAGCCAGCCAAGAGAAGGGCTCCCACGGTGCAGCGGCGGCTGAAGGGCTCCTCAAGCACAGCTAGAATGGGCGTCAAGGCGAGGAGGCATCGTGAGCGAGCTGGGGCTGCGAGGGCTGCCTGCATGCTGTCACCTCTCAGTTGCATCAACAGATAGACCCCAGAGCTCCTGGCCTCCCACACACACCGCAGGGGCTGTCAGAGTCAAGTAGGGCTTTGGTGTCACTCAGCGGTGGCCTAGGGCTGTGCCCAGAATCGTGTTTATCAAATATGACACAGGTTCGTTTACAAATGGGGGCTCTGGAAGGTCTACTTCTGTGGCTCCAAGACACTCTCAAGTCTCTAATGGCTTCTCTTAAAGCTACCGAAAGTTGGGCCTGGATAACGCTGTGTAGGTTGGTTGGTTTATTTGTAAGAAATGTGTACGCATTTTGGTAAGTCCAACAGTAACTTCTTTTTCCACAGAGGAGACTCAGACAGAGGTGCCCTCCTTTGAGCTGCTGCAGCCCTCCGTCTTTTCCAGCTGCTCCTGCAGCTTCTTCACTGTGTCCTTCTCCCCTGCCAGCTGCTCCTGGGTCATTTTCAGAAGCTCCTGTAGTTTGGTGGCCGCCCGGCCCAGATCATTCGTTAACGCCTTCTCTTTTTCTAGTCTCTCCTTCAGCTGCGCGGCCTCCTCCATTTCTGAAGACTCCAGGATACAGGCTGCACTGAGCTTTTCCAAGTCTTCTTATAACCAACACACTGAGGCCTGAGGAGCCTCAAACTCTGCCATGAACTTCTGCAGTGGCGTTTGCTTGCCCTCCAGGATGGCTTCTGTCCGCTCCAACTGCATCTTCAGCTGAACAGGGTTGTGCTCGGCTAGGGGGTTTGGGGGTGAGTCTGGGGAGGAAACTGGGGACCCTGCTATGTCACCATCCTCTACATGGCTCTTCATTTCACTCAACTGCTGCCTGAGCAGGGCAAGTACATCCTTCTGTTTCTGGGCTTCACTCTTGGCTGCATCCAGCTGAGATTGAGATTCTAATAGAAGTTGCCTCAACTGCACCACTTCCATGGCATAGTTCTGGCACAGCAATGGGGGGCTGCCATGTGCTTCTCCAGCCCTGCCTCCAAATGTGAGGTGTGCTGCCTCACCTGGTCTGAACTTTCAAGTTCTCCTTTTAGCTTCTCTACAATCTCTTTGAGATGTTTCACTGCCCAGTGACTTCTGGAGTACTTCCTCTCTGGTGCCCACCTTGGCCCTCAACACCTGCTCCTCCTCCTCCAGGATCTTCTGCAGGCCTCTGAGCATCCCCTCCATCTCCGCCAGGTTGCTGCAGTGCTGGTCACACCCGGCCTGCAGGGTGCTCGGTGTCTCCTCAGCCTCCCTCAACTTAGAGTCCAGGTCCAAGGAGGGCCCGCAGGAGCTGGCGGCTGCTTCAGCAGTCTGGGGCCTTTCTCTTTGAGCTCCTACAGCTACTCAGTGTAATTCCGTTGTGCCAAAATCCGCCATAATTTATTGAAAAGCACATTAGTTACCACTGGTCCACACTTTCACATTTGTTCTAAATGGAATACTTACATGGGGGCGTTTATTTCTGGACTTTCTTTGGTTTTATTGGTTTATTTTTGAATCAACAGCACACTAAATTATCAGCTTAAAATAAGTTTTACTATCAAGTGATTAAATCTGTCTTTATTCTTCATGCATGTCTTAACTATTCTTAGTCCTTTAGATTTCCGGATAGATTTTAGAATCGGTTTCCAGTTTCCACACATACAAAGAGAGTACTGGACTTTTCTTAGAATGACATTGTATGTACAAATCAATTTTGGGAGAACAAACATCTTTACAATATTGAGTCTTAATAGATTTTACTTTTAAGAGCAGTTTTAGGTTTACAACAAAATTGTGACAAGTTAAAGAAATTGCCCATATACCTCCTGACCCCACATATACACACTTTCCCCGTTGTCAACATCCCCCACCAGAGGGGCACATTTGTTGCAACTGATGTGAATCCACATGGGAACATCATTATCATGCAGAGTCAATGGTTTACGCAGGTTTCACTCTTGTAGTCATTCTGTACATTTGGACAAACTTATAATGATATATCCACCATTAAAGTATTGTACAAAGTAGCTTCACTGCCCTGAAACTCTTCTGTGCTTCACTTACTCATCTCTCCCTTCCCTTAACTCCTGGCAAGCACTGATTGTTTTACTGTCTCCATAGTTTTCCCTTTTCCAGAATGTCATGTAGTTGGAATTTTAAAGTATGTATCCTTTTCAGATTTGCTTCTTTAACTTAATAGCATGGATCTGAGTTTCCCCCATTTCTTTTCATGGCTTGATAGCTTACTTATTTTAAAATGCTGAGGAACGTTTTATCATTTGAATGTACCGCAGTTTATTTATCCATTTGTCTACTGAAGGACGTCTTGATTGCTTCCAGCATTTGGCAATTATGAATAAAGCTGCTGTAAACATCTTGTGTAGGTTTATGTGTAGATAAATGTTTGCAGCTCCTTTGGGTAGATGCCAAGGAGTGTGATTGCTGGATTGCATGGTAAGAATATGTTTAGTGTGAAGTAAAATGAACACACTGGCTGTAGTGAGTGAGCAAAGGGTGATTACTCCCTGTGGCCAGTGAGTTAATTTTTTCCATTATTCTCAGGAGTGAGCAGCTCCAGAGGAATAACCTGTTTGCACCTCTGAGCTAAGACGGTTCCTGTAACCCTATGTCTGGAGCTAACATGGCAGAAAACTCCTCCCAGTAGCCTCCTGAAAGGCGTCCAACAGACTTCTGGTTTCAGGTTGGAAAATTCCAAACCAATCAGGACTGAATGAATTTGAGTTATTCATTTGCATATACAGACCTGATTGAGAGCTGGGGCAGGAACTTTCCCTATTTAAGCCAGACACCCTCTTTATCTCCAGAGTGCACTTTTGTTTTACTTTGGAGACTGCATCTCTCTGATCAGCAGATTTATTATTATTATTAGAAAATAAAACACTTCTTTATTTTTCCTCTGCAAACCTCATGGTCTTTTATTAACATTAGTTTTGTAAGAAACTTCCAAATTGTCTTCTAAAGTGGTCATGCCATTTTGTATTCCCACCTGCACTGAATGAAAGTTTCTGTTGCTCCACATCCTCATGAGAACTTGGTGCAGTCAGTGTTCTGGATTTTGCCTTTCTAATAGGTGCATAGTGGTATCTCATTTTTACTTTAATTTCCACATCCCTGATGCCATATGATGTGATGTGAAACATCTTTTCCTACGCTTATTTTCCATCTGTATATCCGCTTTGGTATGGTGTGTAATACTGAACCTTTTAATCAATGAAATTTGATATGTATATTAGGTTCAATTTAGTTTCTATCAATATATTTTTATAGCTTTTTGAGTGGAATCTTGTCCATGTTTTATATATCTGTTCCTTGAAAGATGTTTCTGAAACTATTACAAATGGTATCGTTTAAGATATTGTTTTGTATTGTTTTGTACTTCTATATAGATATAAATGTGATTTTTATGTATAAACCTGATATACATAAATTGATATGTGTATAATAAACATTATATATATTTTATTATATATCATCTTATATATTTTACATGTAATATATGTTATATATTTTTTTTCTTTTGGGAAATTGGCCCTAATATTTTAAATCTTTTGAGCTAGTTTAAATTATTCACAAAACTCTTGATAGATTTTTGTCAATCTACTAATATGGTAGTTGTGTCAATAGAGGACACAGAAAAAAAAAGGTCACATATGTTTGATAACATTATGGTATAAATGCCCTATAACAATCATAAAGAATTTTTATGTGATCATATTTTAATTAATATTATTTAATATTTAACATTTAATTATTTTAATATTTTACTATCTTCCCAATATAGCCTTATGTTTTGTTATTATTTTTGTTATGATCACATAAACATTCCTAAGAGTTCTTAAAACATTATGTTTAGAAAAGTTGGAAAAAAGCTCAATTCTCCTAAGTTATCAATAGGTAATATTTTGCTATATCTGCTCTCTGAGTAGACAGGTAGAAAGATAGAATTATTTTTGCCAAAATTGTTTAGAAGGAATTCTCAAAAAGCTATTAAGAACAAGTATCTCCTCCTACTTAGCCACGTGATGACTTTTACACCTAAGTGTGTTAGTATTAATTACATCGCCTAATATAGCTTCATGTGTTCCAAAAATGTTTTAGGACTGTTTTTTTTTTAGCCAACACTCAATATTGGTTCATTCGTTTCATTGGGTTTCCATGATTTTTATGCTTTTTTAAAAGTCTAAAATGGGTTACTCCAACTGCTTTTTTTTTCCTTTTTCCTGACATTGAAAAAGTATGCAGACATGTTTATCTGTAGAATGCCCTATGTTCTAGATTTGTCTGTGATTAGATGCAGCTGAAAAATATTTGGAAAATCTAAAAATGAAGTGATATTATGTAGTTTTTATCCAATCCCATCAGGAAGCACATTGGATGAAGTCACTTGTCTAAAATTTATGTACGGATTATTTTGTCAATAGGTAAATATATGTTCTGTGTAATAGGATACCATTGTTTCATTTTCAATCCTGTTGTGCTCCTTTTTGTGCCTTATGATATTTTTCAGGCCATCCAATAATTGTAAGGAACATTATTTTGCTCTCAACAGAAATATATTGAAATTTTTAACATAAAGTGTTTACTCTTATTTTTTTGTATATTAAATATTTCTTTCTACCATTCTAGTTGTGCAGACAGTTTTATTAACACCTATTGAGATAATTGTATCACTTGTGGTGGGGCGCGATGGCTCACATCTGTAATCCCAGCACTTTGAGAGGCCAAGGTAGGCAGACCTCATGTGAGGTCAGGAGTTCCAGACCAGCCTGGCCAACATGGTGAAACCCCGTCTCTACTAAAAGTACAAAAATTAGCCAGGTGTGGTGGCAGGCTTCTGCAGTCCCAGCTACTCAGGAGGCTGAGGCAGGAGAATCGCTTGAACCAGGGAGGTGGAGGTTACAGTGAGCCAAGATGGCGCCACTGAGCTCCAGCCTGGGCAACAGACCATGTCTAAAAAAAAAACCAAAAAACTTGTATCACCTGTTTCCCTTTGTTTTGTTACACTAATATCCTGTGGCTAAACTAAATCCCTAAAGCCAAATGAACTTGATTATAATGCAGTATTCTTTTCATTGATATATTGATTCTGTTTGCTTTTTTTTATGTTTTTATCCAAGTCCATAAAAGAGCCAGAAATAGAAATAGTCTTTCTTGTATTCATGTCTGATTTTAGTATCAAGTTCTCTTTTTCGTCAGAAAATAAGTTAGAATGTCTTTTTTTTCTAGTTTATGAAAGGGTTTGCCTAAGATTTGTGTTATTTCTGTTTTAAATATTTCATAAGATTCATCTGTGCTTTACATTTTGAGTAATGTTATTTAATTATGGTTTGAGTTTTAATGTTTTATGTTAAAAAGAAATACAAATTTTTCATTTATATTTTTTGTTTCTTATTATAATTTTTTCTAGCAATTTGGTATTTTATCTAAGATTTTGAATTTATGGGCATAAAGTAGACCATAGTATTCTCTTCTAATTTCTATGTCATTAATATCTATAGTGAAGTTCTGTTTTTTATGTCTTATATTGTGTACTTTTGTGTGTGCTGTCTCTGATATTCTCAGGTGTTAAAAATATTATTAGTGTTTTCAAAGAACAAATTTTTATCTTTATTGATGCCTTTATTATAGACTTGTTTCTCATTTCATTATCATTATTCTTAATAATAATATTCTCACATAGTGACCAGCTTTCCACTTAGGAATGTAAGACAGGGGAACAAAAGAGAACAGGATGCACAGGTAAATATGAATTCAGGTATGCCATTTTTTTTTTAGTATCAGTATATTCCTTTCCAATATTTGACACTTGCTTACACTAATATATATGTTTATCTGAAATTCAATTGGACCAGAATAGCCTGTATTTTATTTGGCAACCCTATTAATACTACTTCTTGTAGATTTAATGCCCTGATTGTTGATTTTTGTTTCTTTGGGTAGATATTTATTTACTTCTAGGCTTTGATTTTTTTTACATTTGCATTTAAGGCTATAAATTAACTCTCGGCATAGTTTAGATGGAACACTCAATTTTTAGCAAGTCTTAATTTCATTACCATTGTGTTTAAAATATTTTCTACTTACTTTGTAAATATGTTTACAAAATGACTGGTGAAAGCGCATTCTTACAACAAATACTGTGGGAAACTACTGAGATATCCATCAACAATAGAATACCTAAAGGTCTGTTATTTGTACAATGCAATACTAAAGAACAATTTTAACAGAACAAACTACTGATAAATTTAACAACTGGGATGGATCTCAAAGGCATTAAAAGTAACTACAGGGTTATACTATTCTGGCTGAGGTGCCGTTGGCTAGAAAAGCACAGGGCAAACTTTTCTGGGGAGATAAAAATGTTCTATATTATAATCTCAGTGATGGTCCTAGAAATATATGTAAAAATTTTAAGAGATACATGCTTACAATTTGTACTCTGACTACTTGAAAACTGTTTTCTTTTTTAAAGGCAATGAACAAAAAAGAGATTGGTTATGATTAAAACTGGAAAAGGATTTGCATCACCAATTACTGGTGTGGAAGAGAAACCTATCACATTAAAAATATCAGATCTTAGTTATCTCTAAACAGCTTACTTAACACTATACATCACAACAAAAGAAGTGTTAAATTCAGGTGAGCTTATTTAATAATTATAATTACGAGGCATTTTAATATTTTATTTTACTATCTTCCCAATATAGCCTTATGTTTAGTTATTATATAATCAATATTATATGTAAAGAGTCAAAACTGAAAATAATATAAACAATTTGTCAATGAACACAAGGTTGGAAAAGAAAATAATAGAGATTTAATTCCATATTACTTAAGTTTAATTCTAAGACTAATTCATTTATTCCACAAGCATTGATTGGTCCACATCAGAAAATGAGATTTCAGTTTTGAACAGACAACAATCTATGGGTGATGCTTCTTAAGCTTAAAGCTTATAAATAATTCCAATGATATTTAATATAATAGAAAAAACACAAATGGGAAAAATGAGGGGAGGCCTTTCTTTTACTTTCATTCACACTTTTAACAATTTCTCTGCAGAAAATGTAAAGAATAAACTTCATACTAAATCTACAATGTCTCCAACTTACCAAAACTCAAAAGTCAAAAATTATCCCCAAGTTCTGCCATATTACTTTCTTACTGAGTCAAATTTCGATCCATTAAACACTTTTTCAAGTAGCCTCTCATTTTAAAAAGGAAAGAAAAAACGTTTGTCGATGTGGTCTTGTGATAGGTGACATCACTCTGGTGTTCTAATCAATAATTGCACTATTGAGTTATCTCCCCCATTCTGAGTTTAATTATCCAACTTTTCTGACTCATTTCTTTTGACCTTCAACTCCAGCATACTTAATTGACTGTCAGTGACTTACACCCTAAGCCTTATTATTACCAGGAATTAATCCACCTCTGAGTTTTTTGAACTCTATGATTCTCTTAACTGGCTGATATATATTCTTTCATATCTCTCTCCCTTTTATTTCATTCTGCACTTCTTATACAGTTATCCCATCAGATCATCTTCTCTTCTCTCCTGTGTTCTGAGTCCACTCAAGGTTTTATTTTTGCACCCATACCCATAATAGAATTAGAGGTTTACCAATTTAATTGTGCCCTGAGTTTATGTCTTTCATTGTTCTTTGTCCACAAAGGACAGTGAGACATATCTCACTCACAATTATTCAACAACATTTTATCTTTCTTATTATTTTGCTGCTCAGCCTAAGCTGTTGTTGCCATAATTGTGATGACTAGCTTCACCACAATTTCGTGCTAAGCAACTTTGGTCAGGGTCTTAGAGATGCTTAGGAATGATTTTCCTCATCTCTGATTGACTCATTATAACTCTTCTTTTAGCAGCTGTTCAAAATATTTTCCATTGCCTTCATATCCCCAACCTACTTCCACACTCCACTCTTGGGTGAAGGCTCTGGTTCCTTTGTCATTCTGGAGATAAATGACATTCTGCAATCTACCATCTGTATGATGTTTCTAAAATAAAAACAAAATCCATCATATCACACTCCAGTGCCATTATCTGGCTTCAGCTTATCTTCCCAGCTTACATTTTTTAGACACACATGGATTCTAGTCTTTTTTTTTTTAACTTCTTCAATGTCTCAACTTATCCTTGCTTTCTCATACTTCCTTGCCTCTGCCTACCCTCTGCCTAGAATTTTATTTGCCCTTTTCTTCATTTCTCTCTCTTCTGAACACATTTTAAGACTCACCTTCTTTGGACTCCTTCCCCAAGCTAGTTTAAGGGTAGCTCCCTATAACACCAGCCCTTTTGTGGCAAAACCACCTTGAACATACGTCTGTTACATTTCTGTCGAATGTGCTTTAAGCAACTTGAGAGCCAAGACTAGTATCCATTTAATAACTTTTTTCTCCAAGCCAGTCACACTGCTTAACATATGATAAGATGCCTAGTAGATTGTTACAAACATATTTTCAAAAATAAATGTTCTGAACGTAACTGACAGCCACCTTGAAATTTCTGGATTGTTTTACAGAATATCTCACTTCTTTTATTTCTGTCACATTTATCTTTTTCTTTCTTCTTTTATCCATTTCCTTTTTATCCCCCATGCATTTTTCCCTCTTTCTCATTGGTAGAAATGGAAAATCTTTAATCATTGCTATAGCAGTGCAATTTGCTTTTGATTTAATCCTCTTCCACCTCTGGAATAATGTACCATATCATTCTACTTTATATTTTTTGTCTAAAAATATTTTCCCTTCTTTTCATGTTGAGAAAACATATTTTCTTAACACTGCTTCCAGGTAAAATTATCTTTCCCATGCTTTCCTTTCAAATATCTCTGCACTGCCCCCACAATTCTTTTTTTGAGATGGAATCTTGCTCTGTTGCCCAGGCTACAGTGCAGTGGCACGATCTCGGCTCACTGCAAGCTCCACCTCCTGGGTTCACGCCATTCTCCTGCCTCAGCCTCCCGAGTAGCTAGGACTACAGGCACTCGCCACCATGCCCGGCTAATTTTTTTGTATTTTTAGTAGAGACGGGGTTTCACCGTGTTAGCCAGGATGGTCTTGATCTTCTGACCTCGTGATCTGCCCACCTCGGCCTCCCAAAGTGCTGGGATTACAGGTGTGAGCCACCGTGCCCAGCCCTGCCCCCACAATTCTAAACTCTCCCTGTATATCCCTTTTCATTACTAATTTGATCTTTAACTAATGACAATCTCATATCTGCCATTACTCTTCTAGTGAGATTGCTTTCCTTATTTGTGGTTCAAAACACGCTCTGCAGCCATGATCCTCAAGCTCTCTATTCTTAACAAACTGTAAAGCCCAAGTGTTCTTAGCTAAAGAGATCCTCCACCCAAATGTTAGAATGAGCCATAGACTGACATTCTGTTCACTCCCTTTGTCTTCTCCCTTCTTCTACATGTTTTATTCTTTGAACCCATCACCTGGTGACCATTTAAATTTAAATGTCCTGCTAGCAATTACAGTCATGTGCTGCCTGACAACATTTTGTCACATACATGATGATGATCCCATAAGATTATGATACATACTTTTACTGTACCTTTTCTATGATTAGGTATGTTTAGACACACAACTACTTCGCATTGTGTTACAATTGCTGTACTAGTTTGTACCCTGGGAGCAATAGGTTGTAGGATACAGCCTAGGTGTGTAGCACACTCTCGCATCTTATGGTTATATAAGTACACTCCATGGTGTTCACACAATGATGAAATTGCTTAATGATATATTTCCTAGAACATATTCCTGTCATTAAACATTGACTATGTATTCAAAGCACAGGGTCTATCTTTCTGGACAACATGCAAATGGAGATTCTGAGCCATTTTGATAAAAATAGGTTTAGTGTGGTTGCCATTGAATTAAAATTATGTGGGGACCAGCTGCACTTTGGGCCACAGGCCACTCAATTCTCCAGAGTGTTACTCAGCCTTACATACCTTACCCACAGCCTCTTCATTGCTACTGAATCCAGCCTTCCAAAAACACAGTCATGCTCCTGGGGAAAATTTGGGATTGAGCTCCTGTGAGCCTCTGGTCACTACATTTTTATCAACTAATCAAGATATTATCTTGCTCTTTGTGTTTTTCTGTTTACAGACACCTTATCTAATATATATTGATAATTCATTAACTCTGGACTTAACAGCCAACAGTCCTATAAGTTATACTTAAATGAAGTGTTTTCTAACACAGGAATTTTCTCCATAAGGCACATCACAGCCTTCTTGCACTTAGGAACATTAGACAACACTTCAGCACTACACATAGGAACATTTTAAATGGCAAAATGACGAAGAAGAAGCACAAAAATTTAAAAATGTAACACTAAATGGACTTGAAGCGGACATTTGTTGGTTTGTTTATTATTCTTATTTATTTTTTATTTTTGAAATGGAGTCTCCCTCTGTCACCCAGGCTGAAGTGCAGTGGCCCAGTCTTGGCTCACTGCATCATTCACCTCCTGGATTCAAGCAATTCTCCTGCCTCAGCCTCCCAAGTAGCTGGGATTACAGGTGCCCGCCACCATGCCCAGCTAATATTTTTGCATTTCTTTTTGTAGAAACAGGGTTTCACCATGTTGGCAAGGCTGGTTTCAAACTCCTGACCTCAAGTGATCTGCCCGCCTTGACCTCCCAAAGTGTTGGGATTACAGGTGTGAGCCGCTTGCGCCTGGCATAGATGCTTGTTTATAGTATGAAAGTTGAGACAAGAACACAGTGTCCACTTTATTCAGGCTCAGCTGAGAATGTGCATATTGAATGGCTCCAAATTTTTCGCTCCTCTGCACATGTTCACAAATGACCTCAAAAGCACTGAAAATATTGATTTTGGAGTAACAACTCAATTTCAGCAAGTAGGTGAATTTACACATAAAATTCATGAATAATGAGGACAGACTTTATATATAGTTCTGTGGCTTCTTTATTAACTTGCACTCATTTAACAGCTGCTTAACTATTTAGAAACATTTTACAATAAAATTATTCCTACCTCCCTCAGGACACTCTCTTCCTTTGCTTGGCTAATTCTCCACATAGCTACAGTATCTCAAGCCAGATCCTGACTTTTGCTCATGCTAAACCACAATTTTCACAATGTCATGTCCCTTGTGTACAATTTGTACAGTGATAGACATTGTTTACAAATTGAAAAAGCTCTCATCTTTCCCCAAAGATGTTTTACTTGTCCTCTGCCTGGTAGAAAGATTAGGCTAGATAGAACTAATTTAAGGTTGTGCTGCAATTCTGGTAAAAGGTTTTTTTTGTTTGTTTTTTGTCTTTTTTTTTTTTTTTCACCTGTGCCTCCTCTCCTGCTATTGTGCGGTTTCCTCAATTTTCCAACTGAGATCATGGGGTGCTTCCAGTCCTTAACCCCACTGCTGGACCTCCCAAACTCTGATATTTGTTTCCCCAGTACCACAAGACTGCTATAAATTCCAGTGTTCTTTAGATTTTTCTGCTTTGCTTTTTATCATCCTATGCCATCCAGTTTTAAATTTTGGCAAGTAGCAACTGAGGATTGGACTGATTTCTCTGTCCTTCTCTTCCAAAATCACTAAATTTGTCTGTGAAGCCTCCTAGACTGCCAAAATTTTAGTTGGTTTCTTTGTTTCAGAAAGATGATCCTCTAGCTATATGTTTTGCCTGGATTTATAGGCTCAGAATTAGAAAATATACTCAGGGAAAATGGCTACAAAATATAGCCTCATCTCTCCCCAGGTCTCAAAGATCTTGGTCCCTCAAGGCTCCAAAAGCAAACTGGTCCCCACTGCCTTCTAGTGTGTGTGTGTGTGTGTGTGTGTGTGTGTGTATATATATATATATATATATATATATATATATATATATGTAACATTATGTTTATGTCTTAGCAGAAATATTTTCCCACAGCTAATTAATCCATAATAGCCACAGGTAGACCTCTCAATGAATTTTCCCTAAGAACTCTGTGTCTTCTTCCTACTGCTTGTCTATTCGTAGTTGGCCATCTTCATTTTTCTGCTGGTTTACTATTAGATTTTGATAATAGGTCAATGTGAACCTTCATGAATTTCCATACTGAAAAGTGATTTTTCTTTCTTTGGTGCTTTTGTCTTCTCTGCAATATCTTGACCTGCATAATTTGTCAGGAGTACTACTATTCAGGTGTCATGAGAGCCATCAGTTTCTACATCCTTTTAACGTTACCTAGCTATATCTTTTTCACTGTGAATAAGACCTCTTTATTATTCATTTTCCATGCCTTTATCTTACATGATGATGTGTGGACACCTGTAGGTAGAATGAAAGTAAAATATGCATTTGTTTGATGTAAATTAATTCAATGCATAAGTTAAGTATGATGGGGTCTTTTTTTTTTTTTTTTTGAGATGGAGTCTCACTGTGTCACCCACACTGGAGTGCAGTGGCGTGATCTCGGCTCACTGCAAGCTCCACCACCTGGGTTCACCCCATTCTCCTGCCTCAGCCTCCCAAGTAGCTGGGACTACAGGTGCCTGCCACCACGCCCGGCTAATTGTCTGTATTTTTTGGTAGAGATGGGGTTTCACCATGTTGGCCAGGATGGTCTCGATCTCCTGACCCCATGATCCGCTTCTAAGAAGGCTCTCTTTCAGTGGAACAACTCTGTATTGGATTTTTTTTCTTAATAATAATATTTGTAATATGTTTTAGACACTGCTGAAATGCAAATTTACCTTTGCAGAGTAACAAGTTGAAATTCATTTTTTTATTTCTTATTTTGAATGAGTTTATCAGATTATTTTTGTTTTATAGAAAGAGGAAATTTTTCAGTGCAGTTATATTTAAGCTTACGAATGAAGAAAGGGTGATTTTATTTGTTTTTTTTTCTTTCTGTGCTCGTATGAGATGTTTTTCCAGAAAATATTAAGAGAATCAAAAAGCAAGCAAAAACAAGGAGAAAATATTTTCAAATCACACATTTGAGAAAGGGTTTGTATCAAAATATGCAAGAAGTCTTAAATATTAACAATTAAAATCAAACAGCCCAATTACATAATGAAGAAAAATTATAAATAGACTGAATGAATATAAAGATGAAACTTAAAATGACTTGTCATTAGGGAATGGCAAAATAAAACCATAATGAGAAACCCCTACAATCTATTATAATGCCTACAATCTAAAAAAAAACAACTGACACTACCAACTGCTGTGGAGAATTCAGGGCAATAGGAACTCTAATTCTTTTCTGGTGGAAATGCAGAATGGGACAGTCACTTTGGAAGGCAGAGAGTTTCTAAAAACATTAAACACAGTCTTACCATGTTATCCAGCAGTTGAACTCCTATATATTTACCCAACTGATTTCAAAACCTATTTCCACACCCAAGCCTGTATATGAATTTTTACAGTAGCTTTATTTATAATTGCCAAAACTTCGAAGCAATCAAGATAGTCTTCAAGAGATGAATGGGCCTGGTGCGGTGGCTCACGCCTGTAATCCCAGCACTTTGGGAGGCCGAGATGGGCAGATCACTTGAGGCTAAGAGTTCGAGACCAGCCTGGCCAGCATGGCAAAACTCCCTCTCTACAAAAAATACAAAAATTAGCCAGGCATGCTGGCACGTGTCTGTAAGCCCAGCTCCTCAGGAAGTTGAGGCATGAGAATTGCTTGAACCCTAGAGGTGGAGGTTGCAGTGAGCCAAGATTGCACCACTGCACTCCAGCCTGGGTGACAGAACAAGACACTGTCTTAAAAAAAAAAAAAAGAGAGAGAGAGAGAGAAATGGATAAACAATTTTCTTACAAATATATGATGGAATATTATTCACCAATAAAAAGTAATGAGCTATCAAGTCATGAAAATTAGTAGATGAATGGTAAATGCACATTATTAAGTGAAAAAAAATCTGAAAAGCCTATGTACCATACACCAATTATATGGTATTCTGAAAAAATAAAAATTATAGAGACAATAAGATCAGTGGTTTCCAGAGACTACGGCAGAGAAGTATTGAATGAGTGAATGATGGTAGTTTTAGGGTGATGAAATTATTTTCAGTTTTTGATGAGCCCAGTAATGGTGGGCTCATGACACCAAGTATTTCCTAAGTGCCCATAGCACAAAATGCGTATGTTAATGCATACAGTTAAATATTTTCACAGAGCAGAAGTTTTTAATTTTAATGTAGTCTATATTATTATTATTACATTTTTCTTTTTGGATTATGCTGTTAAGAACTCCCACCCAGTTCAAAGTCACATAGAATGTTTTTCCTTACTTTTTCTCCTACAAGATTTACAGTTTTGCATTATATATTTAGGTCTATGGTCTTTTTTGAGTTAATTTTGATGTAAGGTTGTGTAAGGTTTGCGTCTGATTATATTATTTTGGATATACAGATCCAGCTGTTTCAACACTGTTTTTTGAAAAGACTATTATTTTTTCTATTAAATTACCTTCCCTCCCTTTTCAAAGATTGCTTCACTGGGTTTGTGTGGTTTCATTTTTGTATTATGTATTCTGTTATATTTATTTATGTATCTATTTTTCACCAATACCACATGACTCAATTACAGTAGCTTTATAATTTATCTTGAATTAGGGTAGTGACAGTCTTTCAACTTTGTTCTTCTTCAGTATTGTATTGGCAAATCTGAGTCTTGTGACTTCCCATATAAATTTAACAATTAGTGTGTCAATATCTGCAAAACAACTGGCTGAGATACTGAGTGGGAAGTCGTAGAATCTATATATCAACTTGAGAGGAGTTGACATCTTAATAATATTTAGCGTTCTTGTCAATGAGCAAACAGTATCCCTCACATAACTGAATTTCTTTGTTTTCTTTCATCAGAGTATTGTAGTTTTATACATAGGGATTCTACACAAATTTTTATTAATTTAATTATAGGTATTTAAATTTTGGAGCTATATTAAATGATACTTTTAATTTCAAATGTCAATTATTCATTGTTATTATATTTGAAAGCAATTAACTTTTGCATATTAACCTTGCATCTTATGACCTTGCTATAATCACTTATAAGTTCTAGCAATTTTTTTGTGAATTCTTTGGGATTTTCTGGATAGATGATTATAATTATAACCATAATTAGATCATCTGAGAACAAAGACAAGTTTTTTTCTTTCTAATTAGCATAACTTTCATGCCCTCTGTTTGTCTTATTGCATGCACTGAGACTTCGAGTACAATGTTGGAGAGATGCGGTGAGAGATAGGCATGTCTACTGACAACACTTTCCCTGAATTTTTACTTTTCTGAGAAAGTTTTTATTTCTTCTTCACTTTTGAAGGATAATAACAGAGTACAGAATTCTAAATTGGCGTCTTGGGTTTTTTGTGTTTTTTTCTTTTCTCATTCAACAATTTTTAGTATTTCACTTCACTTTCTTCTGACTTGTGTGGTTTCAGATGGGAAGTCATATATAACTCTTATTCCTGTTCTTCTATGGAGGAACTGCCCCATTCTCCCCATGTGACTTCCTTCAAGACTTTCTCTTTGTCCTTTGTTTCATGCAGTTTGACTATGATATGCCTAGATGAAGACTTTCTGGTTTTTCACCCTGCATGGTTTTCTCTGTGCCTCCTGGATCTGTGGTTTATTGTATGTCATTTATTTTTAAAAATTCTCAGTCATTATTAATTCAAATATTCCTTTTGTTTCTTTATTCTTTTTCTACTATTCCTATTATATGCATTTATAGCTTTTGTAATGATCCCTCAGTTTGGGGTATTCTGGTATATTTTTAATTTTTTTGGTTTCTGTATTTCAATTTGGGAAGTTTCTATTACATATGTTCAGACTCAGTGATATTTCCTCAGCTGTGTCCAGTCTAAGAACGAGTCCATTACAGAAAGTCTTTTTCTGTGTTACAGTGTTTTTGTTATCTGGCATTTTCTTTTGTTTGTTTCTTAAATTTTCCATCTGTATGCACGTGTTACCCATATGTTCTTGTGTATTGATGACTTTTTCTATTAGACTCCTTAATATATTATTCTAAGTTATTTTAAATTCCTGGTCTAATATTTCCAAAGTCTCTTCCATACCTGATGCTGGTTCTGATGCTTGCTTGTCTTTCCAGCCTGTGTTTTCTTGCCTTTCAGCTTTCAGTGTGTGTTGAAAGCCTGACACAATGTGTCAGGTCATCAGGTTTTGAATGTGATACTTTCTGTACATCAGACTAGGAGTTGGTCTGAGTTGAATGTCTGCTCTAACTGCAAGTGACAGAGGTTTTATTTTACTATAGTTTTTTTTTTTTTAATTTTTCTCCACTTCTGTGAGATACAATACTAGAAGATATTGGAATTGCCTAATTGATGTTCTTCCAGCTCAGATAAGGTTCTGGTAAAATAGTTTCTCTACAGAGGTTTCTGTTATTGAGAATGCTCTGAGTGTATTTCAGAATGTTTTTTCTCCCCTTCCTGCCCAAAACACAAGTGGATTTTTGTCTATTCTTCATTGAGTAAGGCTGTGAGAACTACGTTTGGTAAAACTCATGAAAATGTGGGGCCTCAGTCTAGGCCCTCAGAGAGTTTTTACCTCAAGCTAATCCACATTCAGTTGTCAATAATTCATCACAATTATCATTCTTTTTTCCTATCACTTATTGGTTTTAGCATATTTTTCTTCACTGCTGGAAGCAGATCTTCACTATACTTCTCTGTGTTCATCTGTCTCTCCAGACTTTGGAGTGGCAGTTTGTCTTATGACCTCGATTTCTGATGGATCTGAGAAGTCATTGATTTTCAGTTCGCTCAGCTCTTTCCTTATTTGAGGGCAGGAGTGATGCCTTTTAATCTGTTTATATCTTGAAGCTAATAGGATGTTTCTTCTTCACATTTGAAGGATTATTTCAGTGGATATATAATTTTTATGTTGGTGGCTTTATTTTCTTTCAATGCTTCAAATATTTCATTTCATTCACCTCCTGGTTGAATGGTTTCAGAGGATAATTTTATTCTAGTTCTTATCTTTTTTCTCCTATAGCTAAGGTGTTTGCTTCTCTAACTTTCTGGTTTCTTTCAAGATTTTCTCTTTTTCTGTATTTTGTTTTCTGCAGTTTGAAAATAATATGTCTAGGTGTAGAGATTTTTGCTGTTCTTCTTAGCAAGCTTGGTCTATTCTGAGTTTTTTTTCTTTTAAACTTTGGTTTGGTGTCTGTATTAGTCCATTTTCATGCTGGTAATAAAGACATACCCAAGACGAGGTAATTCATACAGGAAAAAGGTTTAATGGACTTACTGTTCCATGTGGCTGGGAAAACCTCACAATCATGGCAGAAGCCAAGGAAGAGGAAGTCACATCTTACATGGATGCAAGCAGGCAAAAAGAGAGCTTGTGCAGGGAAACTCCCCTTATAAAACCATCAGATCTTGTGAGACTTATTCAATATCATGAGAGCAACATGGGAAAGACCTGCCCCCATTAATCAATTACCTCCCACAGCATCCCTTCCACAACACATGGGAATTCAAGATGAGATTTGAGTGGGGACACAGCCAAACCATGACATTCCACCCCTGGCTGCTCCCAAATCTCATGTCTTCACATCTCAAAACCAACCATGACTTCCCAACAGTCCCCCAAAGTCTTCACTCATTTCAGCATTAACTCAAAAGTCCACAGTCAAAAGTTTCATCCAAGGAAAGGCAGGTCCCTTTCATCTATGAGCCAGTAAAATCAAAAGCAGGTTAGTTACTTCCTAGATACAATGGGGGTACAGGTATTGGATAGATATAGCAATTCCAAATGGAAGAATTTGCCCAAAAGAAAGGGACGACAGGACCCATGCAAGTCTGAAATCCAGCAGGGAAGTCAAATCATAAAGCTCCAAAACGATCTCCTTTGACTCCACGTCTCACATCCGGGTCATGCTGATGCAAGAGGTGGGTTCCCATGGTCTTGGGCATCTCCACCCCTGTGGCTATGCAGGGTACAGTCTCCCTCCTGGCTGCTTTCATGGGATGGCATTCAGAGTCTATGGATTTTTCAGGTGCACAGTTCAAGCTGTTGGTGGATCTACTATTCTGGGGTCTGGAGGATGGTGACCCTCTTCTTACAGCTCTGCTAGGCAGTATCCAAGTGGGGATTCTGTGTGGGGGCTCACACACCACTTTTCCCTTCCACACTGCCTTAGCAGAGGTTCTCCTTGAGGGCTCCATCCCTGAAGCAAACTTCTGCCTGGACATCCAGGAATTGCCATTAATCCTCTGAAATCTAGACAGAGGTTCCCACACCTCAATTCTTGACTGTGCACCTACGTGCTCAACACCACATGGAAGCTGCCAAGGCTTGGGGCTTGCACTCTCTGAAGCTATGGCCCAAGCTATACATTGGTTCCTTTTAGCCATGGCTTTAGTGGCTGGGACATGGGACACCAAGTCCCTAGGCTGCACAAAGCAGGCAGGGGCCTGGGCCTGGTCTACAAAACCATTTTTTCCTCCTAGGCCTCCAGTTCTGTGAGGGGAGGGGCTGCCACAAAGGTCTCTGACATGCCCTGGAGACATTTTCTGCATCATCTGGGCAATTAACATTTGCTTCTTCATTACTTATTCAAATGTCTGCAGCTGGCTTGAATTTCTCCTCAGGAAATGGGATTTTCTTTTCTATTGCATTGTCAGGCTGCAACTTTTCTGAACTTTTATGCTCTGTTTCCATTTTAAAACTGAATGCCTTTAACAGCACCTGAGTCAGCTCTTTAATGCTTTCCTGCTTAGAAATTTCTTCTGCCAGATATCCTAAATCATCTCTTTCAAGTTCATAGTTCCACACATCTCCAGGGAAGGGGCTAAATGCTGCCGGTTTCTTTGCTAAAACATAACAAGAGTTACCTTTGCTCTAGTTCCCAACAACTTCCTTATGTCCATCTGAGACCACCTCAGCCTGGATTTCATTGTCCATATCATTATCAGCATTTTGGGCAAAGGCATTCAACAAGTCTCTAGGAAGTTCCAAACTTTTTGACATTTTTCTGTCTTCTGAGCCCTCCAAACTGTCCTAACCTCTGCCTATTACCCAGTTCCAAAGTTGCTTCCACATTTTTGGGTATCTTTTCACAGAGCCCCACTGTAGTGGTGCCAATTTACTATATTAGTTATCTTTCATGCTACTAATAAATACATACATGAGACTCAGTAATTTACATAGAAAAAAGTTTTAATGGACTTACAGTTCCATGTGGCTGGGAATTGTGTGGGGAAGCCTCACAATCATGGCGGGAGGCAAAGAGAAGCAAGTCATGTCTTACATGGTTGGGAGCAGGCAAAGAGAGAGCTTGTGCAGGGAAACTCCCCCTTATAAAACCATTAAATCTCATGACACTTATTCACTATCAGGAGAACAGCATGAAAAAGACCTGCCCTCATGATTCAGTTACTTCCCGCTGGCTCTCTCCCACAACATGTGGGAATTCAAGATGAGATTTGGGTGGGGACACACAGTCAAACCATATTAGTGTTTCATATGGTTTGCCCCTTGGTCCCCACCCAAATTTTATCTCAGTTGTAATCCCCACATGTCCAGGGAGGGACCTATAATCCTCAAGTTTTAAGGGAAGCAGGTGATTGGATCATGGGGATTGTTTCTTACATACTGTTCTCATGATAGTGAGTGAGTTATCATGAGATCTGATGGTTTTATAAGTATTTGACAGTTCATCCTTCACACTCACTCTCTCCTGCCTGACACAATGTAAGACATGCCTACTTCCCCTTATGCCGTGATTGTAAGTTTCCTGAGGCCTTCCCATGCAGGTGGAACTGTGAACCAATTAAACCTATTTTCCTCATATATTACCCAGTCTCTGGCAGTTCTTTATGGCAGTGTGAAAACAGACTAAGACAGTGTGAGTTATTAATTTTGAAAAATTTTTGAACACTATTGATTCAAATATTTTTTTCTGCTCTGTCTTCTGTTTCTTCTCCTAATATTCATATTATGTGTATATTAAACCTTTTAAAGTTGCTCTGCTTTTCTTGGATGTTGTGTTGTTTTTTCTTTTAATTTTTTTTTACTCTTTTCATTTTGGTTTGAAAAGTTTCCATTGAGAAATTTTAAGCTTAGTGATTTTTCCCTTGCCCATGCCCAGTCTTCAGAGGAACCCATCAAAGGCATTCTCCAACTCTGTTACAATGAGTTTGATTTCTAGTATTGTCTTTTGTTTCATTTTTTGATTTCCCTTTTTTATAACCCATTGGTTCTTTCTCCATTAGATCCCTTAATATATTAATCATACCAACGTTAATTTCTCTGTCTGATAATTCTAACATGCTACATCTGAGCCTGGTTCTAGTGAATTTTTTTCCTCTTGACAAATAGTTTCTTCTGCCTTTATTGCATGCCTTATGATGTTGAATGGACTATAGCACTTAATGCAAGTTTTTATATTAATCTTTCCTGTCAATTTGCTGAGTACAATACGTTCTGTAACAGTATGTGCCAGAGGACTCAGATTCTTCTAGTTTTTTTTTTTTTTTTTTTTTTTTGAGACAGAGTCTCGCTCAGTCACCCAGGCTGGAGTGCAGTGGTGCAATCTCAGCTCACTGAAAGCTCTGCCTCCCGGATTCACGTCATTCTGCCTCAGCCTCCCGAGTAGCTGGGACTACAGGTGCCCACCACCATGCCTGGCTAATTTTTTGTATTTTTAGTAGAGACGGGGTTTCATCATATTAGCCAGGGTGGTCTCAATCTCCTGACCTTGTGATCCACCTGCCTCAGCCTCCCAAAATGCTGGGATTATAGGTGTGAGCCAGTGCTCCTGGCCATGTTTTTGTTTTTGTTTCCTCTTTTGACGTTGGGCTTTCCCAACTCCTCCTCCTCATAAAGCATCTGAGAATGACAGCTCTTTCCACTGCAATCCATTGCTATTCTGAGCCCTATTGGTGTGGCAGTAAGGCGTGGAAAGAGTTATCACTCTGTAATCTTACGATGCCATCCAAGCCTTTGAGTGATCGAACCTTCATAAAAGGTCCTGCAGTGGTGTATTCCATTTACCTCTAGGCCAGACCTTAAGGCTAATTGGGAAGGAGTAGGGCTGGAGTTCCTGCAGATGAGATAAAGGACTTCTTGTAAAGTCCTTTCCCCTGAAGAGTAGTCCTTTGTTATAGAAAAAACTCTGGGCACATTTCACAGTGATTACTATTCCCCTGGCAAGAGCCAGTAGATGTCTTTCTTAGAGCTTTACTGTGAAAATCTGATGGAATGCCTGGTGGTTGAACCCACAGTGTGAGGACCTCCCTCAGACTTTGGACTCCAGTTTTGTTCTCCACCACACTATTCCATGTTCGGCTCCAGTAATCCTTCATTATCATTCAACTCTAGCAGCTCCAGGTCAGCAATCTCAGCTATGATTCTCTTCATTCATCCCTCTCCCCAGATTGTGGAAGGATGATTTGCTCTACAACATCATTTCCCCAACGGGCCCAAGAAGCGTTGTTGATTATCTTCTTATTCACATTTGTTTGTTTGTTTGTTCACTTATTGATTGATGTTATGAGGATGTGGTGTCACCTTTCAGTCTCTTTAAATGTCAAAGCTGAAACCAGGAGACTACAATTTTTGTGCAAAAAGTTTCAAGGATTATTTGCATCACTGTAACTCTATAATAGGAACATTGCTTTTTATTAAATAATAATTCCTTTCATTTTGTCTTTATTTCACCATTCAAAAAAAACCCTAGTGATATGCAAGATTCACATATTTCACAATAACAAATTTATATCTCTAAAGGCAGTCTTTTTAATTGTATTTATCACAGGTGTTACAATTTTCTGCTTAACACTGTATTTAGTAAGGCATCAAATTTTCTCTAGGTTACGGGTAGCTTTATTTCATCAAAAATCAATTTGCAGTTTTAATGTGGGCACATTTTCCCCACAATAACAACTTCCTGTTGTGAAGCAGAACGAAAAAGAATAATTTAATTATGTGCATTAAGGCCTCAAATTTTGAATCTAATTGTTTGTATGCAGAAGCATGATTTATGAACTGTTAGTCTTATTTTTATGGTGAGATTTGGGCTCGGGGTCTTGGTGAATGACTTCTTCATTTACTGGACTTAAATATTCTCTCACAAGCTGCCAAATAACTTGTGGACATGCATTATCATTTTGTGCATGTGCCCTAGAGAGAAACAAAAGTAAAAGGGCTACGTGTTAAGCATTCAGCAGAGAAAAGTAAACATCATCCCCTAAAATACAATTATATAAAATCATCTCTCAGAAATAAAAGAAGCGCTTTTATTTGAATAGAAAAAAGTCATCAAATAATGTAGCGTTTAGACATACCTGTTTGATAATAATTTGTTGCTTCATCCAAATTTAAAAACAGCAACGACTATAGAATAACTATGCAAAGTTCTGCATTCTGAAACTATCCATCACACAGTATATTTTAGCCAAGGTGTTTCTAATTTCACATGCTTGTAAATACATGTGGGAGATCAAAGGCTTTTCTAAACTGAGAAAACAAAATGATATAAGGCTATTACTTTTTGGTTTTTGTTTCTTACATGTGTAATTCTCAGCAGAATTGGAAGTTTAAAGCTTTTCTAAATGAACAGGTTCGTACCTTTACACCCTTGTCACCCAGCGAATTGGCCATGCTCATTTACAGGGATATATAACTAACACAATGTTAGGAATAAAGAGAGTTTGAGCTTGAGAAAATGTCACAAAGGGACATCAGTAAGAAGCTTTTCAAAAATTTGGAGACGTGAATTATAAATGAAAATGGAAGCACTGCCTTCCTCAGATAGTAGAAATTTCATTTAGATCCTAGCACGTATGCTTAATTGGTTAACTGGAGAATTTGTTAAGAATCACAACAGAATATTTTAGCTACTCACAAATCCTTGTAAATGCCTTGCTTATATTGCCTCTATATCTGGCCTTTTGAAATGATCAATATATTTTTCTTTGCCCTTAGCATACACTTGTCTTCTTTCTTCTTTTCTAAAGAGCACGCATTGCAAAAACATCATGACTTCTTCATTTATCATGTTTTCAATGCACGTTATAGCTTGTATGCTCAAATCTGGAATATCTCTATGATATCATTATTCCTTTAAATATAGAAAACCCAAAATGAATCAAGACACTGCTGAGGTTTAGCCTCCTACAAATTACTGAGGTTCTATTACTTCTTTCCCTACTGTATGTAAAAGAATTGTATTAGTCAGTGTTCTCCCGAGAACTAGAACCAATAAGATATATACAGTCCCATGATCTGTTGTCTGCAAACTGGAGATCCAGGAAAATTGGTGGTGTAGTTCCAATCTGAATCTGAAGGCCTGAGAGCCAGGGTGACAAATATATAAATCCCAGTCCAAGAGTAAGAGAAGACTGAAGTTCCAGGTCAAGCAGCAAGCAGACAGGGAGTGAATTCTCCCTTCTGCCTTTTGTTATATTTATGACTTGAACTGATTGAAAGAGGCCCACTCCATTGAGGAGGGCAATCTAATTTCTGAATCCACCAATTCAAATGCTAATTTCTTGTGGAAACACCCTCACAGACACACACAGAAATGAACTCTAATCTACACACCTGTGGCTCAGTAGACTTAACATAAAATTAACCATCACAAGAGTTAACCTACCAGGCCTAACTGCTTATTCTTAAAATGTCCTGCTTACAAGGTTGGCCCTCTGATGGTGTCCAGGAACTTGGATTTCAGGGGAGTTCCTGCTACTCTCAGAACAGATTGGAGTGGCTTGCTATGCCTAACCAAACAAATCGTATGGTTTCTGCTGAACACACTTGCCTCATGGATTCCTGGCATTCTGGTATGTGCCAGGCAGACAATGCCTATGTAACCAGCCCCTGGTAAAAACCCTGGGCACCAAGTCCCTTGTGAACTTCTACCAACCCTGGTGTCTCCACTGGGATAGGACTCAAAGCCTGAGCCTGATTTCTTCCAGACTTCACCCCCTACACGTTTTTCCTTTGTTGAATTTATTTTACATCCTTTTGCTGTAGTAAATCCTAGCCATGGGTATGCTGTATGCTGGGTCCTGTGAGTTCTGGACAATCACAGGATCTGAAGCTGGTCTTGGAGTTCCTGAACATATCTACATTCTAAGCTTTTATTGATTTTGTCTAGAACAACACCAGCTGTCTCACTATATCAAATTGCTACCTTCTACGCAGCTTTACTTTATGTTATTTCAACGGTATATTTAATCCATTTGATTCTAGGATAGATATTTTTGCTTTTCTTCTAACTACTTTGAGATAATAAATAAATAAATAAATAATAATAAATAAAGACACCTCTTAAAATCATAATTTATAAACCTGCGTATGAAAGAACGAATCTGTAAGGCCCCTTTTTCAACAGTCTGGAAATATTGGGAATATTCTGTGTTGATCTTGTTGAGGGGGTGTCTTATCTTTTTTATTGCATAATATTAAAAGCATAAAATGTCTATTTAAATGTAAATATTTTCTTTGTACCTTATCTTACCCTATTGGCATATTAAATGTTGACTGTTTGTATTGTTGTTGTTCTGTCAGTCGGAGTGCCTTGGCTGCAAGTAATAGATTACCTGAAGCAGAATTCAATGTCTTAAACAATGAAGAGTTTAATATCATGAACAACAAGACATCCTGGAAAATGTGATTCTAGGATCAGTTAATTAAGTACCACCCAATACCACCAAGGACCTAAGTGCCATTGATATTTCTGTCTTGTGTCCTCAGCAGTTGAAATGTGTCTTCAGTCTTGCCCTCTGATGACTAAAAGATCATTTCTACACCTCCAGGCATCTGATTCTCACAATCTCAATCAAAATACAAAAAGAACAGTATCTCCAAGCACAATTTTTTTTAATCAGGGAAGAGAATATTTTTCTTACACAAATACCTGAATATATATATATATATATATATATATATATATAAAATGTATAATTTTTATTTTTAAAAGACAGGGTGTCTTTGTGTCACACAGGCTGTGTCATGATCATAGGTCATTGTAGCCTCAAACTCCTAGGTTCAAGCAGTCCTCCTGCTTCAGTCTTCTGAGTAGCTGGGTTTACAGGCATGTGCCAACATGCCTGGCTAATTTTTGTATTTTTGCAGAAATGAGGTCTCACTATGTTGCCTAGGCTGGTCTTGAACTCCTATCTTCAGTGATCCTCCTGCCTTCGGTTCCCAAAGTGCTAGGATTACATGTGTGAGCCACTATGACTGGCCAACCTTTATATATTTTGTTGGCCACTGTGCTAATTACATTGACAAACCTTGGCAAAACCATTCTCTGTCAAGATAAAGAGAATTATCATAATTTTATTTAGACTGGGCAAAAACTACATATTGTGGCTAGGAAGGGACCAATGCCCATGAGTACATGAGAAGATGAACATGAGAAGAAAAGTTCCAACATCTGCCAGGGAGGGAAGAGGAAGAATGGCAACAGGATAGACCATCAATTCTATCTGCCACTGAGCTTCCATCCAACAAGCTTCCTCTCCATTTCAGACCTTAACAGCATGGCATGTACAAGAACTAACTACTCAGATATCAAACAGGAAAAGTTGTGAATAAATCATCTGTTGTTGTTTTTCTTAATTTTACCCAAACTGTTTACTTTTCATTGTTTTCATATTGAGTAAAATTGGATTTAAGGAACATGAGCATTTGCAATACCATTCACTCATTTTCTTTTTCTTGAAAGTCTCTTCTTTGTTTTTAAGATAATCCGCTTTAAATGCAATTTCATATGCATTCATCTAATTGCTGAAAATTTCAACTTCATCTACAATGCTGCTTGTTTCTTGGATCTTAGAGCAGTTTTTTCTGCTCTTCATGAAAACTGTCATCTGGAAAAACTAGATGTTCTCTCATCTGCTTCTGTTATTTACATTTACAACACTTTTCAATAGTTTATTGGATCCAAGAGGTCAAGGATCATACCATGTTCTTTTGTTGTACTTACATCTGTTAAGAATTAGCTAAGAATTCAAAAAAACTTTTGACAGGGCATAATTTTTTTTATTTTTATTTTTATTTTTTTTTTTTTGAGACAGAGTCTCACTCTGTTGCCCAGGCTGGAGTGCAGTGGCACGATCTCTGCTCACTGCAACTCCACCTCCTGGGTTCACACCATTCTCCTGCCTCAGCCTCCTGAGTAGCTGGGACTACAGGCGCCTGCCATCACGCCCGGTTTATTTTTTGTATTTTTAGTAGAGACGGGGTTTCACTGTGTTAGCCAGGAGAGTCTGGGTATCCTGACCTCATGATCCGCCTGCCTTGGCCTCCCAAAGTGCTGGGATTACGGGCGTGAGCCACCGCGCCCAGCAGACAGGGCATAATACTTTTTATGATTTCTTTATTTTTTAGTTTTTTGGCTTTCCTATTTATAATTCAGAATATAGTATCATCTACTATAGTTATACCTATACTTTTCTGATAATATTTCCTAATTTTTTTATTTTCCAATTTTATAAACAATACTTTCACTTGATTCCAGTCTATAAACTATTTCTACACAACAATTAATAATACTATTTCTATAAACATCACGTGCTGTATACGTGGCATGGCATATACATACAGTTTTGTGTTTTATGTTTTGTTATATAACCTATATTGACTTAAATTTTGTGGAGTGTGCAAGCTCTGTGTCTAGTTTCAATTTGTTTCTTTTTTAATATGTGGATGTTCTGTTGTTCTGGCACCATTGGTTAAAAAGACTTTCCTTTCTCTGTTGAATTGTCTTTCTTCCTTTGTCAAAGCTGAGTCGATTATATTTCTGTGGGTCAATTTCTGGGCTCTCTATTCTGTTCCATTGATCTATTTGTACTTGGTGTTTGTTTGTTTCCAATAACACACTGTCTTAATTATTGTAGCTTTGCAGTAAGTGTTGAAGTCCGGTAGTCTCAGTTCTCCAACTTTGTTATTCTGATTCAATGTTGTATTGGCTATTCTGAGTCTTTGGTGTCTCTATATAAACTTTAGAATCAGCCTGTCAGTATTCACAAAGTAACTTGCTAAGATTTTGATTGAGATTTTATTGTATCTATAAAGTTGAGGAGAACTGACAGATTGGCAATATTGAATCTTTCTATCCATGAGCATAGAATATCTCTTCATTTATTTAGTTCTTTGATTTATTTCATCAGATTTTTATAGTTTTCCTTGTGTTGATTTTGTATGTATTTCGTTAGATTTATAGCTAAGTATGTCATTTTTACTGTGCTAATGTAAATGGTATTGTGTTTTTAACCTGAAATTCCACTTGTTCATTGCTAGTATGTTGGAAAGCAATTGATCTGTGTATATTATATTAAACTTGTAAATGCAACTTTGCTATAGTCACTTATTAATTCCAGGAGGGTTTTTTTGTTGATTCTTTCATGTTTTCTGCATAGCTAATCATGCCATCTGCAAGTACAACAGATTTATTTATTTCCTCCCAGTCTTCGTATTTATTTCCTTTTCTTGTCTCATCAGATTAGGTAGGTTTCTTAGTACAATCTAGAAAAGGAGTGGTAAAAGGGTATATTTTTGCCTTCTTCCTGACCATAGTAGGAAAGCTTCAAGTTTCTCAGCATTGCAGTGTTAGCTGTATGGTTTTTGTAATTTTTTTACCAAGTCTAGGAAATTCCCCTTTGTTCCTAATTTGTTGAGATATCAAAATATATATATTTAATTTCAATAATGGTATCCTTATCTTTTTCTTGCTTACAGGAAAAATGTTTCAATATTTCTTGAGAATAAGGTAAGCTGTAGGTTTTGTAATAAACTTAAGACTCAAGAAGTTTTCTTATGGCTCTTTTAATAATAGTTCTTTCTTACAATCATTCAAAGATGTTGACTTTTGTAAAAAAAAGTGTTTTTTAAACTTCTGAGATTTTTTCTTCTCTTTTGTTTACTGATAAATTTATTACTTATATTAATTTATTTTAGAATATAAAATAATCTTTACACTTCTGAAATGAATCTTATTTGGTCCTTTTATATATTGATGAATTCATTTTGAGAATATTTTATTGAGGCATTTTTGCATCTATGTTTAAAAATTTTGTATCCATGTTATTTTATCACAATGTCTTCATCAGATTTTGGTATCAAATATATGTTGGCCTCATTAAAAGAGTTGAGAAATGTTTTTGCTTTATTCTCTAGAAGAGTTTGAGCAATATTTCTGTAATTACCTTCATAAATATTTATTTAAAATTCACTAATTAATTTATTTTAGAGAAGGTCTTTAAATTGACATGATCAAATTTTTAATTTGGTTCTCCCACATCTTTGATAAGTTACATTTTTTAACATATTGGTTAATTTTATCATACTTGTCAAACAATAGATCATAACATAGTCAATATTTTTACAAATAAGTAAATTAGTTCATAATATAATCTTAATATATACTAAATCTGAAATGATGTAGCCTTTATCATTACTGATATTGGTTTCACAAATTACTCCTTCCTCTTTGTTCTGATTGACCTCTTGGATGGTTAGAGTTTGTTTAAAAAATGTTTGAGTTTGGCAGCATTTTAAAAACAATTTGAAGTGCACTTAATTCTTAGAATTTTATAGAACTTTCACTATCTTTTCATCATGAGCATTCATTTTGTTTAACCTGATGCCAGTCTAAATTTTTTTCCCTTGCAGGAGAATTACAGTTTCTTCTTCCATGCCTAAATAATTACTTATCTTCAAATTCCAGTAATTAACCATTATATATATCACCTTTTGATAAGTGAATTCTGTCTTTATTGAATGGGAAATACCCCATATTTTATATGTAACTATGCATTACTTTCATTTTCAAAATCCCCTATATTTTTAATATTCTCTATTGTGTGTCATCGATTTTTCTTGCACTTCGCATTATTATTTTTCCTAATTTCTATAATCTTTTTTCATGAATGCTTTAATGTCTTGTATTTTAACTGTGTGAAGTGAACTGTATGTCAACTGCATGTCATCTGATAATTTAGTGAAGATGTCTGTTCATTCAAAGCTACTGAAAATTTTCACAAAGTGTTTGGTCTGAATTCTGCTTTAATATGAAAAACTCCTCACTGGCAGAGGGATCCTACACTCTTTCCATGCAACAATCCAGCAGAATTCTGAGACAAAGTCCTCACTAGACGAATGTCTTCACTAGAATGAGACAACAAAGGCAGGTGACAGATTCTCAGCATATTGAATGCTCTGATACCTTAAGTCTCACATCTTTCTGGGATCTGGAAGCCACTCAGTTTTATGAAGAATATAATTACTATAATGTGATTTAATAGCTTTAGTTTAGAAGAGAATGATAAGTTTATTGTCAGATTTGCATTTTTTTCCTTAAAAAATTGCTATATTTTCTCTGACTTTGGGGAAAAATTAATGTGCAGGAACTACTAATAATTATTGTTTGGGCCGGGTGCAGTGGCTCTCACCTGTAATCCCAGCACTTTGGGAGGCCGAGGTGGGCAGATCACCTGAGGTCAGGAGTTTGAGACCAGCCTTACCAACATGGTGAAACCCTGTCTCTACTGAAAATACAAAATTAGCCTGGCGTGGTGGCACATGCCTGTAATCCCAGCTACTCGGGAGGCTGAGGCAGGAGAATTGCTTGAACTCGGGAGGCAGAGGTTGTGTTGAGCTGAGATCATGCCATTGCACTCTAGCCTGGGAAACAAGAGTGAAACTCTGTCTCAAAAAAAAAAAATTAGCAAAATATAATTTTAAATTGTGCAATATTCCAGAGATAGTTTTTTATTACCTATTAGAATGTTCCCAGATAAATAATAATGTAGGCAAGTCAACTAAAGACGAACACCTTATTCCTCTCTCTACCTCCTGTAACCCCTGACACCATGTTCTCTGTGGGCCCATCTCAAAGTTATTTGGGGTTAAGACACATGGGGTGGAAGTGCTTGTGAGAGTTTAGCTTTGCTCCATGAATATGGCCTGGAGTTGGGAGTGGAAGGCACAGATGGCAGGTCTGCCACTACACACACCTAGCCTTTCATGTTGATCATATGGACACTCAGCTTACCTCATCTCATATGCCAGGCAATACAACTCAGGGCCAGAAGCAGAAAAGTTACATTCCAAGATCTAGAACTAACAGCACATAATTTCACCACCAAAGTTCATCTTCCAAAAACTGACCTGATTATAATAGCAACCTACTTTGGCATCAGGAGTGAGAAATGAGATAAGAAAACATTAATGCTACTATTGATAAATTTTGTGTGTTCCTTTTCCAGAAAACATCAATAAATATCCATTCTTTGTTCTTTTGATGCTTGAAGGTGGGAAAAACTGAAAAAGATTATGTAAATTGCTGGGCAGAGATGCATTCAAAACACTTCCTCACACTTCTATATCTGTCACTCTTAATGTCTGAAATGCATTCTCTTCCATCCCTTCCCATAATTCTACTTGAATTTTAGTTTCCTGCTGCTCATTCTGACAATCCTTTTAAATATCTCTTCTGGATCTTTTGTAGTCTGTAAGTAAAGTCTCCCTACTCTTCAACAATTTTCAGTCAATGAATTCACTTCATATTGATTGACTACCTATTATGCCAGTATCCAGGAATCTCCAACCATATTCTTGGCTTAACTAATACAATTCTCTCTGGTAACACTTTTACATGTTGTATATACCATTGGATGCCTTTCTTTTAGTTCTAATTGCTACTGTTATATCATTACTCTTCTATCAAATAGCTTCATTCATTTGTAGGTAGCTAGGAATTATTTTTTTCTTTATTTTGCTGCTAACACATCTGGAAATGGTTCTGAAAAATGTGTTTATTTTTTAATTTATATGTTACACATTCAACATTTGTAAAAGATTAGTTGTGCTTGTTTATATGATGTATTGTGAATGTAAAATCACAGTATTGACAAAGAAATAGTCATTTGCTTGTTTTTTAACTATGAATATAGAATTTTGCCATGTTTAATTTAGGATCTTAGGAAAGGCACAAAATGTAAATAAATACTTTATGACTTCCAAGACTTTCAGGTCTGGGGGTACCTGGCATATCTGGAAACCACACACATGGGGATTAAGGAGTGCAGACAGAGAGAAAGAGAAAGGGACCAGTGAGCCAAGGTCCTTATTGGATCTAGGGCTGTATCCAAGAAGGTTTCCCACAGGGATTTTAATTGGTGGGTTTCAAGCACACAGGCTTAAGTTTAGGAGGTCACCCCATGATGGAGAGGCAGTCACTGTGTCATATCTCTACAGGCCATGTCGGGTGTGAGGGTCGGTGGGCGAGTTAAGCAGGCTGCATCTCCCATAGGATGGTGGTCACCAGAGGGCAGTTGTATAAGGCAGACAGCTGCATCAACCCCACTGAGGACCTAGGGGCACGGCAATGTCGAATTAGAAACTGTGTCAAGGGTGACTGAGCCCTGCTTCTCGTGTGAGAGTCATTTATATTCAAAATGAATGCTGAGGCAACTTAAAATTATAAAAATTCACTAAATGCCAGGTGTGTATTTAATGCAGAAATGTATTACATAGACTTGATATAAAATAGCTAGAATTTTATCTCTAAGCTTCCTAGGACAAATATTAGTATTCTTCATTAAAAGAATAATTTCAGTTTGCAATGTAATAAAGTTCACACATAAGTAGAACAAATACAGTTACTTAAATATAAGTGGAGGCATTACAAAATCAACTGTCAACATACAAAAAGTTCTGAATTATTTGGTTTGAGCTAAAAAATATAAAAGTGTTACTTTTGTATTTTGAATTATTTAAAATAATAAATATTATAAAAATAGCTAGTGACTTTACCATTATAAAACTAAAATTATTATACAGTACTTGTACACTACACTACTTCTCGATGGTATAAGAAAAGAGAAGTACTTTTAAGTTCTTAGAAAAAGAATGCTGTAGAAATACAAAGTAATACAATTATATTATGAACCAAATGCCAACATCATTAATCACTGCAAATGAAATAATCACACTGACAATTAGAGTATTATTTTGGAGCCAAAGACCTTTTGTTATCCTAAGCTACAGCAATTTATAATTATTAATGAATCTAGTGTTCACAGAAAATATTACCCATCTAAATATGAAAAGTAGCATATTATACTAAAGAGCAAACTATGTAATTAGTGTATTAAAGCCTTATTATACCACATGAATTACTCTGTTGTCTCATTTAGTGAACTGATATTTCTACTTATATTTTATTAAGACATTTCAAAAGAATATGCTAGGCAGAATGCTGTATCATCATCCATATTTCAATATGTTTTGTAACTTTATTAGTGACAAAAATAGTCTCATTATTTTCATTCGGAATACTCATGTTTTCAAATGACTAATTGAAAAGATAATACAACATTTAAAGACTCAACAGATGTTTTGTTTATTAGAAATATTATGGGGCCGGGCACAGTGGTTCACGCCTGTAATCCCAGCACTTTGGGAGGCAGAGGCAGGCGGATCACCTGAGGTCAGGAGTTCGAGACCAGCCTGGCCAACATGGTGAAAACCCCTCTATTGAAAATACAAAAATTAGCCGGGCGTGGTGGCGGGCCCCTGTAGTCCCAGCTACTTGGCGGGCTGAGGCGGGAGAATCGCTTGAACCCCATGAGGAGGAGGTTGCAGTGAGCAGAGATCGCACCACTGCACTCCGACCTGGGCGACAGTGTGAGACCCTGCCTCTAAATAAATAAATAAGTAAATAAGAAATATTAGGAAACTATTCTGAAGTGGAAAGTGAAGAGGGATGTGAACACAGAAACAGGGACAAATGACCGCGACGACTAAGTTCCCTGTTTTGAGTGCAGTCAATGAGAGTCTATGCTGATAACACTCTGCAGTGAGCACTTCCCTCAACAAGAACCACAAAGAACGATGGTGCTAGCTGAACTCAGCCAGCAAGAATAACATCTAAAAGCACGTTTATATCTTCACAATGTGAAGCAAGAGGTCATACAGTGTCCAGGCACATAAAATCCAATTCCAGGAGAAATAAAATAATAAACAAAGCATTCTATTAGCTAACATTCTTTTTTTTTTTTTGAAACAGAGTCTTGCTGCCACCCAGGCTGGAGTGAGGTGGCATTATCTTGGCTCACTGCAACCTCCGCCTCAGGGTTCAAGCCTTTCTCCTGTCTCAGCCTCCTAAGTAACTGGAATTACAGGCACCCGCCACCACGCCGGGCTAATTTTTGTATTTTTTGTAGACACGGGGTTTCGCCACATTGGTCAGGCTGGTCTCAAACTCCTGACCTCAGGTAATCCTCCAGCCTTGGTCTCCCAAAGTGCTGGGATTACAGGTGTGAGCCACCAAGCAGCCAGCTAATATTCTATATTATGATTTACTTACAACTTTGATTAATACTTGAATGACCATAGGACAAGGGAGAAAATAATTAACTTTAGGCAATTAGCCCAATTATCAGAAGATAATTTACTCCCTTATAGAAAAAACTTGGCACTTTATCATTCTATGGGCTATTCCCCCAGCTCAGAGATGCATCTGAGATCTGTAAACCTTCAGTGCAGATTGCTTGTCACACATTTGAAAATGAGATAGAAATTTTAAACATTTTAATTAAAAAAAATGAGTCAAGTGCCTTTTCTCAATGGATAATACAAACTTTGCTTTGACCTCCAATATTTCCCATTATATGTGCCTTATTTGCAACAAAAAAAAGTAATATTTCGCTTTGAGAAAATATGTTACCCTGCATGGAGACCCTCCCCTTAGCTCAAAAATAGCTTGGTTATCAAATGAGGAAACAAAACACCAAATAGTAAGAATTACAGAGTAGTCAGAGCTTCTTCAAATTTGTACAAGGACGTAAGTAATCAAACCTCTGCTTACCTCTCCAACTTCAGTTGCTTTGGCCTACTTTCTCTTTTTCTCCAGGCTCCCCAATACTGCATTTATTGTAGTTCCTCACTGCACCCCATAAGATTGTGTTTCACTGATGGTGTAAATTTGCTAATTGAAACGCACACTTTATTCTGGCTTATTCTTTCAATTCTGCTGGAATCAGCCTAAGGATGTCTCAACTTCACTGTGACGCTTTTCCTGCCCCCATTTTCAACTCTAATTCAGCGTCCTGCATCTAAGATCGCATTCAGGAAACCCAAAAAAATGTATCTATCACTGGACACCAGATGTAGCAAGCAAAGAGCTGTCTACACCCTTTGTGATAGAAGAGAGGAGTTTTCTTAGGATGCACTGGGTCTAGCTCTTTGCCCAAAGCCTAAGTGAGCAGAAACTTCAGGACATAAGCATTGAAATGTCCAGTTGGGATAGAGGGGATCTGGTAGGGGTCCCCAGTCAAGCTAAGAGACATGATATAATAGTTATGATAGTATCTACCATTTAGGGGGAATGCATTCTTAATGTTCCAGACACAGTGAGGAAGCAATACTGATTATCCTTACATGACAGAAAGTCTTCCCTAAGCAGGAAGGTCATAGCGTGTACAGAGTCAGAGAGTGAGGATCTGCTAATGTCCAAGCTTGTGCATTTTATATGCCTCTTCTCCGCCAGTTCTGTGTTCATCAGTGGTGTGATTGTACCTAATTCAAATCCACTGAACAAGGTTGTCCATCATTTCTTTTCCCTAACGAATGACAGACTTTAAAGAACTTTTACTTTAATTTAGGTGGTTGGTTTTTAACTTTTCATTAAGTTAAATACACACTGTATAGAACGTGTGTGTGTGGGTGTGTGTGTATATAACACATATATACACATGAATATATACAAAAACATATTTATATATATAATTTCTTAGTTGCTTTTTGAAGGCTTGTATAGGTTTGAAGAATAGGTGGAAAATTGAGTTTATATTCCCCATGAACTAATTTTTTACTCTATTAGTAATATTTAAAGAATATTAAAAGTGAATTTTGTTTGCCTAGTTTACTTTCCTAGTCTTTATTCCCAGTGAAAATAGAGAGAATGAAGTAATTAAAATAGATAATGAATAAATAGGTATTGCATCTTCAGCAATCTGCCAATGCCTAGTATCTGAGGAAAAATGTATATTGTGTGACCTAAGATTGTATTGTATGCAGAAAAAGGTTTCTTCCCTTGAAGGGAAGAGAAACTGAAAACTCTGCTGTGCTTTCCCCAGAAGTGTGTATTCACTCCCTCTCCCATCCTTGATTTTTTACCTAAATTTATGTTGGTTGACATTAACTAACGCCCAGGAGTGACTTTAAGCAAAAGAAGAAAATATTTTATTTTTACTTATTTTTTTTTTATTGAGAAAGAGTCTCACTCTGTGGCACAGGCTGGAGTGCAGTGGTGCGATCTTAGCTGTCTGCAGCCTCCACCTCCCAGGTTCAAGCGATTCTCCTGCCTCAGCCTCCCCAGTAGCTGGAATTACAGGCATCCACTACCACACCTGGCTAATTTTGTATTTTTAGTAGCAATGGGGTTCGCCATGTTGGCCAGGCTGGTTTTGAACTCCTGACCTCAAGTGATCTGCCTGCCTCGACCTTCCAAAGTGCTAGGATTACAGGCGTGAGCCACTGCATCTGGCCATAAGAAAATATTTTAAAGCATTTGCTACACCTGAAGTTCCCTGGTAAAGGCTTTGTCTTCTAGGACCTGAAGAGCAATTGAGAATTAACACAGCTGCTCATTCTGCCGGTTTTCACTGTTTCTCTGTGTCATTCCCCTGCATGTCTGCACAAACATGCTCATCAACACACACAGCCCCAAACACCCTTCAAATCATAGGAGCCTCAGCTGGCAAAGTCAAATAGACATAGCAAGTATCTTCTCTAAGTACCTACCTTCTATGTCTCAATTGAAAATGTAGACAGAAAAATTAGGCTAAAAAATCAATGGACTCTCCACAAGTCAAATATTTGATTCTGAACTAGTCATCCTTATCCAGCCAGAAGCTGGGGTGACCCGTGCAAGGAGGAAAGGCCATGTGGGGATACAGGGAAGGGGGGCGTTGGCAAGCCAAGGAGAGAGGCACAGGAGAACTCAGCCTGCTGACATCTTGGACTTAGACTTCCCGCCTCCAGATCTGAGATAAAAATAAATCTCTGTCGTTTAAGCTCCCCAGTCTGTTATTTTGTGATGGCCACCCTAGCTGACTCACACATACATACATACAGATGCATGTGTGTGTGGCGGGGGAGGGTGTTTGATAGAAGGTCATAGATAAATTTTATAAGAGGAAGGTAAAGATTTTTTTTTTCTAGAAGATGTTGCCATTTCTTCATTTGTTGCTTCTTTTTACACTCTGTCTTCCCGCTTTCCTGTTGTTTTCTTTGTAGGAAATGATGTTGACCTTTCTTAATTCTAAAATATATCCAGCCCCTACCTTCTGTATTCTAGCTCCACATTTACAACAATATTTCTAGCATTCATAGCAAGTTACATCACTTAAACTCAAACACACTTTATCTAAAACTATTAGTTTATACTCTTAACAAACCTTTTTTTCTCCCCCCTTAAACTCTGCCACCATAAAGTAGAGCAGGACACATTTGTGGCAGCACTTTTTTTTTTTATTTTTTTGAGACGAAGTGTCATCGCCCAGGCTGGAGTGCAGTGCGGTGATCTCAGCTCACTGCAGCCTCTGCCTCCCAGTTCACACTATTCTCCTGCCTCAGCCTCCCAAGTAGCTGGTACTACAGCTGCCCACCACCACACCCAGCTAATTTTTGTAGTTTTAGTAGAAGCAGGGTTTCTCCATGTTGGCCAGGCTGGTCTCGAACTCCTGACCTCAACTGATCCGCCACCCTTGGCCTCCCAAAGTGCTGGGATTACAGGCATCAGCTGCCACACCCGGTCCCTGAGGAGCCATTTTTGAGTCCTTGTTCTCTCCTTATTCTCTGCTGTCTCTGCTGAATCTCCTTGCCCTAGACAATCAGGCATTAAACAACCTTGCTTATTTTCTCTTTATATGTGTTTCCATTCAGGTCTCACATCCAGTTGCCTTTATTGTATCAGTAAAGTGAATAATGAGCAGCCGAGTATTATTGTTCAATAACAGAATTTACAATGTATGTGTGGGTATTTGTAAACATTTACAGGGTCTGACAAAAATGAATTTGCAGGACCAATTACTGTTGACTCATTTATTATGCAAATATTAAAGTAACTATTAGTAACTATTGACAATTGACAAGCAATTTCTAGCTCATTTCTTCTGAGCAGCTAACAGTTTCAAAGGAAGAATTTATAACTCACTAAGAGAAAACAAACAATATTTTAAAAATAATACTAAAATGTAACACCTGCATTAAAATTACCTCTGTTTTTTTCTACGAGATTCTACTATAAGATGGAATTATTGCAATGATGAAATATCATTAAGTCTTTCAGATAGGCTGAGTGGGGTGGCTCACATCTTCAATGTGAGCACTTTGGGAGACTGAGGTGGGAGCGTTGCTTGAGCTCAGGAGTTTGAGGCCAATCTGGGCAATGTAGCAAGATCTCCCCTCTACTAAAAATAATTTTTAAAAAATTAGCTGGGAGTGGTGGTGTGAGCCTGTAATCCCAGCTACTCTGGAGGCTGAGATGGGAAGATTCCTTGGGCCAGGGAGGTTGAGGCTGCAGCAACTTGTGATCAGGTTACTGCACTCCAGCCTGGGCGACAGATCTAGACTCTGTCCAAAAAAAAAAGAAAGAAAGTAAGAAAAAAGGAAAGAAGGAAGGGAGGGAGGGAGGGAGAGAGAGAGAGACAGAGAGAGAGAGAGAGAGAGAAATAAATAAATAAAAAGAAAGAAAAGAGAAGAGAAAGAATGGAAGGCAGAAAGAGAGAGAGAAAGAGAGAGATGAAGGAAGGAAGTAAGGAAGGAAAAGAAAAAGAGAGAAAAGAATGTTGTATAAGGTGGAAAAGTGGCTTTCAACAAATATGGCAGCAAGTTCAGCACCTGAGAAAATATCTGATTCTGAACTACCCAGAGTATCCTAAAAGATCTGACTATCCTCAGTAGATGCTGGGTGTGCTAGTATTTGTAGGAGGTTTTTGTTGTGGGAGGAGGTGAGGTGAAGAGACACTCAAGAAAGAAATGAGAGAATCCAGAAGAATGGGATTATAGGAATATAGGGAAGGAAAGTTTAGGGATTGAAGAGCGTAGGGAAGGAGAAATCTTCTCTCCTCACCCATCACCAAGTTCAGAGCTGAAGCCTCTAAAACAAAAGACAAACTGACAAGAGAAAAGCATACACATTTATTTAATAGAAGTTAAAGTTTTATGTTAAACAGGAGCCTTCAGGAGTGAAGAAGACCCAAAGAAACCAGCAAACTTTTACATTATTATTCTCAGGTTTGATGAAGAGTGAACAGTCCTGGAGATATATAATTAAGGACAAAGGGTCTGATCTAATGGTGATATATGGAGGGGACAGCAAGGCTTCTATGTTCAGATTCTTCTCTGTGTCCCTGTGTCTTCAGAGATAAAGATGTCCCTTTCTTTCGGGAATGGGGGCACCTCTCAAATGATGGTTGTATGGTCTACTTCATGGGAGAAGGACAAGGGAAAGAAGAAAGTCGCCTTCTGCTTCTACTGTTTTCTCAAATGCCAGGGTGCCATATTTTGGGGTAGCACGTCCTAAATCCCAACAGATCCTATCACCTAAAATATATTGTGCTTTTGGATTTGTTGAACCTTATAACTATCAGGGAATAAATTATTTGTATCCTGTGATTTCTGAATCTCAAGTAAATGTGTAACCTCTCATGCCCAACATGAATAAATAAATGAACATGAGCAAATACATCAGTAGAGAATCCAACATGTTTCCTATGGCTATTGTACCAAATTACCACAAACTTAGCTTAAGACAACACCAATTTCTTTTCCTACAATCCTGGAAGTGAGAAGTGTGACACGGGCCCCACTGGCCAGAGCTGCCCTCCTCGTGGAGCCTTGGGAGGATCCTTGCCTTGCCTTTTCCAGCCCCGAGAGGCTGTCTGCATTCCTTGGCTTGTGGCCTTCTTCCATCTTGGAGGCCAGCAGTGGCCAGAGGAGGCCTTCTCTGATTCGGACCTCCTTCCTCATTTAAGGATGCTGGTGATTTTACTGGGCCTACTGAGAAAGTCCAACGGCCTCGCCTTATCTTAAGGTTGGCTGATTAGGTAAGTCACAACATTAATTCCCACTTGCCACATAATACATTCGTAGGCTCTGAGAAGTACGACATGGACATCACTGGGGGACATTATTCTATCTACAACAGTGGACTTCACTGATTTTTATTTACTGCAGTATCGGGTCATTCTGTTCTTATTCTTGAAATTCATTCTGCTATTACTGTTTTTTTTTGGTGTTGTTTGTTTGTTTGTTTTTGTTTTGAGACAGAGTCTCGCTCTGTCACCAGTTTGGAGTGCAGTGGCGTGATCTCGGCTCATTGTAACTGCTGCCTCCCGGGTTCAAGTGATTCTCCTGCCTCAGCCTCCGGGGTAGCTGAGACTACAGGTGCCCACTACCACGCCCAGCTAATTTTTGTATTTTTAGTAGAGTGAGGGTTTCACCATATTGGCCAGGATGGTCTCGATCTCCTGACCTCGTGATCTGCCCGCCTAGGCCTCCCAAAGTGCTGGGACTACAAGCGTGAGCCACCACGCCCTACCTGTTGTCACTGTTTTTTAGTATATATCCACTCATTATTTTCTAACTCAACTGGTGGATCTCAGAGGACTGACATCTGAACTTGGCAGGTTATCTCACATTTTCCCCTTATAAATGAACCATGTTTTGAAAGTAGACACAGCCAGGGATTCTGAGGTGGGAGACAGGAGAACACATTTCACAGGACACTGGTGTTCACCACAGTATCATTAATGAATTCAGATAACTCTATAAGGAAGAGAAGAGGAAAGAGAAAGCTTAAATTGAATTTCTCTAATTACATGCAAATTAGATCATGTGGGAAAGTTTGAGTTTAATGAGTGCAAATTGATCCTGAGGGCATCCCAGGCAATTCCCCATTCACAAGGACCAAGCGAGGGGAGCCAAACAACAGCTCTCAAGAATAGGGCAGTGGGTCCCAGGCCTGCGGGAAGAGCTGGTGCAAGCCCTTGTGAAAACACCTCTTGCCGAATTGAAGTACACAGCCCCATTCATGAGCATCTCTTGAAACACTCAACTGCCCAGTCAAGGAAGACCTGTCATAGATTTAGAGTAAGAGTCTGAGAAGGAAAAGTAAAATCCTAAGCCCCTCAACCAACCGAATGGACCCTAACTTGGCACAGGGGACCCCAGAAAAACATTACAGACTGAGTTCCCAGCCATGACGGGACAGGAGGTTGAACGCGTCTCATTCTACCCGCTTCCCTTTTGCTGTTCAGACACAACAACTGACCAGCATTAGTGTTAAAATAGAGGTCATAAGGCTGACAGGATAGACTCTTTGTGGCAATAAGATACCAAATTATAAACAGAATCTAAGACCATGCCAGGCAAGGGTTAAGTCGCTCACCTCTACACTTAAAAGAATAAACCCTGTTCTAACTGCCATGAGGTTTTTGTTCTTCTTGTGGAACCAAACAACAAGCAGTGGCCTTGAAATAAGTGCTATTTAAACAATTGCAGTTCATCCACTGCCAGCTGCTGACTGACTGACTGACTTCCAGCCCTTGTTCCACAGGCTTACCACAGCTTTGATTGGATAAGGAACTGATTTCAGTAGCTTTCTCCTGGTAAGAGACCACTGACCATGGACTGGTTCTGGATGGTTTACAGAGGCTGCACACTGGGTGCCTTCATGTCCCCACTTTCCCTTTTGATGTGTGGGCCTGATTGCAATACATTTAAACAGTAAGTCTGCACAGCCAGCTGAACACGGATCATATATTGCATGCATGCTTGTTCAATATGCATGTATCAGGGCCACCTCCATGAGTATTCATGGCTCCTCCTGTCATCTGTTGAATATGTACGTTTCGCAACCAGTTCAGCATAAATTCCTGTTCTGCCCTCCCCTCCCTTGAAGCACCTGCTAACACACCATGCCACAGGCTAAGCCTCCCAGCCTGTCAGGATGTCCTCCCTGCAGGCTGTACACTTTTCTAGGAAATAAAAATCTCCTTTGCAAATTTATAAATTGTGGGATTTTTCACTTGGCAAGTCTAAGTCCTCCAGTGTACCCAGCTCAAGTTGGACGTAGGTGGAGTCTGCAAGGAACGCAGGGGGAGAAGGACTGCCCACAGGAAACTGATGACTTCAGAACACACCTACTGGCACTCAGTGTTCGTGACCTTTCAGTCCCACAGTCTCCTCTGGCCTGAATTCTTATCCCTACACTGGAATTATTTTCCAAAACCTCTAGTATGATTCTCAGGAAATCTATCCTCTGTACTGCTTCCAAGGAGGCATTGCATGACGGTTTATTCTCCACTTTTAAATGCTTCACTGGGTTCTCAGAGCTTCTAGGGTAAAATTCCAAGTCCATGTTTTGGCTCATAAAGCTTTTCATGAATTGGCATTTGCCCTCTTGGATGGCTTGAGCCCCACTCTATAACTGCCACTTTACTTTCTTCTTTGTAAATTGTGAGCATGCTATGCTATGTAGACATCTGTGCCTCTGCACATGAGCCTAAACCAGGGTGACTATGTGCATACTCTTGCCCCAAATGAACTTGCTTTTATATTTATGTAACTAACACACAGCCTTCAAACTTCAGCTCCAATACTACCTCTTATTGGAGATTTTTGATTGAGAGACTCCTTAAGTGCTTTCACGTGCTCCCTTTGCAAGTGCCTCTCACTCAGAATTCTATGCTTTTATTGCTGGTGGATCTCCCTAACATTCTTAAGAGGGCAGAGGACGTGCCTTCTACGTCTTTACATTGCCAGTGGATTGCACAGTTGTTGTCACTTTGTGGACACAGAAATACCTACAGATTGACACAGGCAAGTGCTGCATTTGAAGGGAGAATTTTTCATTTCTTCTTATTTAAATAATCTCTACTTCAATTCTGCATACCTCTGGTCCCTCCTTCATAAACTGGTACTGAAAATATCAAATTTATCTCTAGGACTGTTGAGGTGTAATGGTGCCAATAATAATACTAACAAAAGTGTTACATAAACTATACATTTGTAAAGGCTCCTACTAAAAATAATATACAACTATTTTTATCTCTCTTAGTTGCACATTGTTAATAAAATTAATTTTACAGTTACACTCTAACCTATGCTATCAGGTCATGACAGGGTTGGTTCTGTTAAAGAAAAATATTATTCAGTGATACTGGTTATGTACAATAGAGGAGGCTTTATTCAGGACTATTGCAATAGGTACAGTGATAGCACAGTGGGGTTTTGCAGTAGGGGAGATGGATTGGGTTCAACTCACAATGCAGCAAGGGCAAGTGTAAATTCATAGCCAAGGATCATGATGTGGGCTCAATAGACAGAAAAATACTAAGAGGAAACAGCCAGGGTGTTACGTAGCTCTGAAATAATTCCAGACACATAGTTTGCTACATGAATGACATGTCTTATTATAGTAAGTACTTGGAACTTATTCCCTTTCCCTTGGAGAATGTGATGTCTTATCAGATTCTGTATGCAAGAACTTTGAGCAAAGCCTCCCTCCCCTCAGGAATGTTATGTCACACCTTATCAGACTCTATATGTGAAATACTGACCTCAACTACTGGACTCCAAAATAGAACTACCAATTGATTCAGCATTCCACTACTGAGTACCTACTCAAAGGAAAAGAAATCATTGCATCAAAAAGATATATGCACTCGTATATTTATAGCAGCACTATAAATATACTTAGCTGCACCTACGTGTTCATAAACAGATGATCGGATAAAGAAAATGCAGTGTGTGTATATATATATATACACACACACACACCATGGAATGCTATTCAACTATAAAAAAGAATAAAATTATGGGTTTTTGTTGCAGCGACACGGATGGAACTGGAGACCATTATCTTAAATAAAACAAGTCAGACACAGAAAGACAAATGCTGCATGTTCTAACTCATAAGTGGGAGCTAAATAATGTGTACCCGTATATATAGTGTGGGATTACAGATGCTGGAGACTCAGAGGGGTGGGGATGGGAGTGAGGGATGATAAGTTAATTACTGGGTACCATGCACATTATTCTAGTGATGAATACACTAACAGCCCCAACTTCACCACTATGCAATATATTCATGCAGCAAAATTACGTTTGTGCCCCATAAATTTATACAATCCAAAATTTTAAAAATATATATAAACTTAAGAGAGTGACAGCCACTCTGAGAGCTTAGGTAAGGCAGGCTGTCCTTTGTCGGCTGCCTCCAGAATGCCCAGACTTTAGACAGCTGCAGGCCTGGGAGCCTGCCTGCCAGCACCAGCACCTCTGTCTTACATGAGGGGCCTTCTGCATCATCAGGAATCTTTGCACAAAGACCTGCTTGTGTCGTCACTGAGCAACAGTATTTTAATGACTTTGAAGTTCACTCCCTATGTGGTTAATGCATCTCATCTCTAAAGGTATTCCCTGTGAAGTTTGTTCATGCTGTACTCCCCCTCTTTAATCATTGCAAACCTAAGAAAAATTCTCTTTGGATGAAAAGAAACTGTGTGACTCTTGAAATCATACTTTCCCCATCTCCTTGTTTTCACCATACAGAACAAGGGATAAGGAGGATTCTACTTATCTGACCTAACAGGACTCCTGCTGAAGGTAGTCCAGGGTGATCAGATATCACTTGGGGAGGATGAGGAAACCCATCAAATATCCGAGGGAGTAATCAGATATTGAGGGTGAGGGCTTCTTGCCAAATTGACTTAGCAGTGTTGAAACTGCCTTTGCAAAAGTTATAACAGTGAGAAAATTATGACAGTGAAAGAGATTTGACCTAATCCACTCCATCTTGCCTTTAACCTCCTAATTGCCCTCATTCATTCCTGGGCATAGGCTGAGCTGATTATAGGAGGAATTTAGTTATAGTTTAATTTTGAAACAAAAATTATAACAGCCTTTCCTGAAACAAACACCCTCCTTGCCCCAAAGAGGGGAGCAGACATCCCTTGTAAAACTAACGAGTTAGTCACAAGATTAGAAAGTATGGTTTAGGAATCATGCAGCCAGAGGCCACAAGATCTCAAATCCCACCAATTGCTCCTATGGATAACATCACTGTTATACAACCTAAGACTGGTGTTTTAGCTATTTTTCAGACCCTGCTTTCTAATGGATCAGCTGTCACCATCCAGACTAGTAAACTGGCTCATCTGGTCCTGTGGCCCCTACGCAGGAAATGACTCAATGCAAGAGGACAGCTTCAACTCCCTATGATTTTTATCTCCAACCAATCAGCATTCCCATTTCCTAGGCTGTACCCACCTAACTGTCTTTAAAAAACCCTGCTCTCATACTTTTTGGGAGGCTGGTTTGAGTAATAAAACTCCAGTCTCCCATTTAGCTGGCTGTATGTGTATTAAACTTTCTCTATGCAATTCCTCTGTCTGGAGGAATCGGCTCACAAAGTTCTTTGCTGAAACTAATTCTTAAGGAAGTCCACAGATAGGCTAGGAGAAGGTTCAGGAGCCTGACCCGAGCTTGGCCAGTCCAGTAATACTTTTCAGTTCTTAAACTTGAATAGAGTTTCCACTTAAGGTGCTTTTAAACAGGTCAGATTCTCACCAATTTGCTGGAAGAAGGAAAACTAAATGGAACAAAGGATTTCTCAACCTCCTAAAAATCTTGTGATTCTATTTGCTATTAGCATTAAAATAAGTCAGAAAGTAAACTATTGATTTTATAGTTTTTCTAACCACATAGTTGTAAAAGCCTTTCTGGCCTAATCTTTCTGCCCTCACTGAACCTCATCCAGATTCTGCCTGGGAGTTACATATTCATAACACTTGTAGGTCTTATCAGTACAATGAAACCAAAGTTTAGTTCTCACACAAAAAAATACAATATAACAATGTTTCTGCAGCGCAGAATGAGTAGCTGATTTAAATTACAATGAGGCCTAAATAAAAGGAAAAAAACAAAAACATTCCATGAGGTTTGTTGACAACAAAAGCTTAAGTCAAAGATTATTTTATCATCAATTATCGCACCAACCTGCGGCATCAAAGGCCAACTCTCTGTACAGTAAACCCCAGAGGGAGTGCATTTCCCACGAATAAAAGCAAATTGGATCACAAAGTGTTAGAGTGGAAAGCAATATTTCAAGTTACTGAAACAATCACCTTACTTTGTAGTTCAAGAAACTCCATTTCCAAACTCTCCCCAACTCTGGAATCTTCCAACTGTGCCATGAGTCCAATGAACGCATTCCTTACACTGGCCATGAGCTCTCTATGCCTACGTAGCACTATTAGGGTGCAGAAAACAATGCCCCAAATTACGGGCTTTAGCACGCTGAGTGCTTTGAAAATGGGAAGGTCTCAGAAATAAGCCTCGGAACCAAGGTCTGTCTCTGAAGTTTCCCCACCTCCCTATCTCTCGGATCCTCTTTCTCAAGGCACCAGCAGGAGGGACTCTCTCTGGAATTTCCTGAGGTGATCAAGAAATCTTCTTCCCCAAAACACCAGTCATCATTCATCTCCTCTCTGAAATCCTTTTGTTTATCCCCAGAATACAACCAACTTGAATGGACTGTTCATAAGACAATATCTGCCTCTTGGGCTCATTGAAATTCCAGAGAGAATCATTACAAGCTGATTTCTGTCGCCCTGGCCCGTTCATTCTCCCTAACAATCAATCATCTCCTGCCCCTCCAAAAAGTTGCCTACACTCTTCATCTCTCCACTTCCTTATGAAAAGGGGTGTATAAGCTTCCACTGGGTTATGGGGTAGTCACTCTATGACTAAACCATGCTAGTTAAAAAATTTTAATATCTTTTCTCCTATTCACTGCCTTTTGCCAGTCAATTTTTCAGCGAATCTTCATCTATTACACAGAAAATGGAGTGGCTTGTATAAAGAATAATCATTTAGTACATCACAGTTACTAAGGGAGCAGCTTCCCTGGGTGAGTTGCAGGAGGCTACAGTTCTCTGAAGGCTGGGCCGGGTGCAGACTCCGCTTCCCAGTGGCTCGTTTTGATTCTGGGAAGCGGTGGTGGCTGCTGAAGGGAGTAGCAACTCCTCCACGGTGCCTTTCCACAGGGCCTTTGGCCCATCAGCTAGCTGCCTCAGTCGTGAGTGACCCAAGCTAGAGTGAGGTAGAAGCCATAATCTTTTAGGCCTAGCAGAAGTCACACATTTTTTTCTCTAATACTTTACTGGTGACTGTGAACCTAAAATAATCAAAAAGGTCAGAATCTAGTTTAAAGAGAGTTATTTAAGCACAAATTTCGAGGACAAGCCACCCAGGAAGCACAGATTCCAAAGAAAGGAAATCAGTATTACAAAGTGTAGAGGCTTGGGATTGCTTATCCAGACAAAGCTTAAGGAAGTTTAACAGAATTTCAAAATTTTTCTATGCAGGACTTCATGCATAGGTACAAAAATCTTATTAGTCGAGGTAGTCTTTTTCTTTCAGGAAAGATGTAATTAACATTCTGTTATAAAGGCGAACTGGGGTCTGCTCACCCAGCATAGTAAAACCAGATACCCACAATGAGTTTTTGCAACAATAGAAAAGAAGGCATTTATTGCAGGGCGCCAAGCAAGAAGAGTCGGGCAGCTTGTGCCTAAAACCTGACCTCCCCGATGGCTTGCGAGGAAGGGTTTTTAAAGGTGAGGTAAATTTCAGAAAGCGGAAGCTATAGGTAAAAATCTTAAATCGATACATGGAAGTAATACGTTGGTTTTGGCCTAAAAGAATGGGATACTGTAACGCCTAAGGTTCTTTACTAGCCACGCCAAATAGAGACATGGACCGAGGGTGAGAAAAAGCTGTAGGCTTTATTGAGCAGAGTGAAAGTACAAAGCTTCCACAGCTTGGAAAGGGTCCCGAATGGGTAGACAGAGTTAGATTACACAATTGCCTTTTAAACTTTTTAAGGTGGGAAATACGTGCTGCGGGAAGATGTTACGAGAGGGAGAAACAAAGACAACTAGCCATTTATGACATGTCTTAGATCCTGAGGAAAACCGGAATTGCAACTTAGGTTTTATCTACTTTATGACCTTGCAGCCGCATGGCAAAGGAGACAGGAGCTCACAGGACTTTACAAAATATGTTTACAAGGAACTGGAATTGGGAGCATAGATAAGTTCCGCCGGTTACAGAAAAACAAGCAGTTAACATTCCTTTTACTTTAGTTTCAGGGGATGGGGAAGGGAGAGAGGGAGACAAAAACACAGGAAAACTTACAGCAAAATTTTCTCTGTTGATAGCTTCCTTGGGAAAGAAAACACATGCACAAATCCTGGTGTTATGAATATTTTAAGCATGTATCTTCGATATTATTCATCCAGGACCGAAGTAAGTCCTGATGCAGGAAATGAGTGAGTTTCACAGCTTTCTGAGCCCTTACTCGACCCAGGAAGCCCAGCCGGTCCCTCCTCTCAATCCTTGAAGCAGGAGCTTACAGGTTGTAGACAGATTTAAAAATCCTCTGATTTGCAATTGACTGAATAAGAGAAGCTTTATTTAAAAATGTGGGGATCAGTAGAAAAATGTGAACTTCTAGGGGGTGGCTTTCTCCAAGCTCCTTAGGAAGAAACAGAACAAAGGGCAATATTTAAAATTTAGTCCTAATTTCCACCCTATCCAGGGTCTGTGTGCCAGTGGATCGATTCAGGGGGTCCTCAGTGGTGGTCTGAGCTTCTGACAGACAATTCAGTGACATAGATTAAGATATTATCTTTAGTTTCTAAGAGGAAAGCAAACATCTCCTGGATTCTAACTTATTTAACAATTGTTTTAGGCTACTATTTCTTATTTAACAAGTTGGTTAGTTACTTTTCAGGACTAGCTAGGTGCCTAGAATTTCTCTCGAAGAAACTCAGGATTTCTCATGCTTGGGTGCTCCAGGTGCCTAAAAATGGGAGTCCCTGCTCTGTCTCAATTCCACATTGAAGTTGTAACTGTCATGGGGTATTTTGTGCCATCTGATGTTAGTTTGGTATAAGACAATAAAGGAGGCAGCTAATCTGTAACAAAGATCAGTGACTGGAAGCAAGGAAGTCTGGTCTCTGGTTCATCTAGTCACAGAACTAGAGCAATGAGCAGGACAGTGAAGCTGTAATTTGACAAGCAAAATTGCAGATATGCTACTGACTCAGTCGCCAAGGTTAACTTCCCTCTAAATACATTTAGAGGGCCCTGAAATTTAGTTTTCTTTTACAGTGACACAAGTCAGCACTAGTTATTATGGGAGAAGACTACATAAAAAGTCATGAATACCAACAGGCAAGTATCGCAGAGCTATTGTGAATCTGGGAACCACAATTTGAGTCATGTTTTCCAGATGTTTCCTTTACTTCTCCAACTTTCCTGATTCCTTCCACAGCCATTACCTCCATTGCAACCTTTCCAAATGGTGACACCACTCCCAGTCCACTTTTAATTCCTTTTTCAAAACTTGGACCAATTACAAAGTTGATTAGCAGGTACAAGTCCCTGCTCTTCATTTCTGCTTCCAGACAACTACCTCTCTCACGTCCTTACAAAAAGAACAAAGCTATTCTAGCTCTTGTCATCAACTGACATGTCAGTCACACCCCATCTTTCATCAATTTCTGTCATCTGCAATACAGTCTTTCATTCCACATCAACCTTACTACCATTTTGTCTGAAGACAGCAAACAATCTTCTCCCTTCTCACTACTTTAACTTTCTCGTCTCCAAATGAGTGAATCCATTTTACTTAAGCAACCAATTCACATGACAACTCAGAATTCCAAAATCAGCCAGTATTCTCCCCATTTGCTCTTATTTAAAAATATACAAACTAGTTTTTATTTTGGGGTAATTTTACATTTACAAAAATGTGGTAAAAGTATTACAGAAAATTTCCATATATGCCACACTCAATTTTGGTTTATATAATGTTATTATCTTAAGACGTTGTGATAATCTGTCAAAACTAAGAAACCCACACTGGCACTTTGTTACTAATTAAATTCCAATCTTTGGATTCCACCGGTTTTTCATTAATGTCCATCTTCTCTTCTAGGATGCAGTCCACTTACCATATTGCATTTACTCATCATTTCCTTAGTCTCCAGGAGACTGTGACACTGTTTCAGTCTTTTTGTTTGTTTGTTTTTCTTTTTTGTTGTTGTCGTTCATGATCTTAGCAATTTTGAGTGCTGGCAAGGAATTTTGTAGAATGTTCCATCATTTGAGTTGTATAAACATTTTTCTTATGATTAGACAAGTTTTGTGGAATTCTGCAAAGAATATTGTAGAGCTGAAATGCCCTTCTACCACATCATGTCTGGAGGTACATGGCATCTACATGACAATACTGGTGAAGGTAATAATTATTACTGGCATAAGGTCATAAAGTAGTATTTGTCTGCACTGCAAAGTTATTGTCTTTCCCTTCCCATACTGTGTTCTTTGGGATTAAGTAACTAAATTCAGTCCACATTTAGCGGGTTTGAAATTAAGCAGCACCTCTAGTAGAATAGAGTATTTTGTATATTATTTAAAATTTTTTGCAAGAAATTTTAGTCTATATTCCCCCATTTCTGTATGTATGTGTGTATGATGTATGTTTTTATAAAATTATAGACATTATAAACCCATGTATTATTTTTTACACTTAGGGCTATAACCCTCTTAGCTACATTTTTAACTATGCCAAATACTACCATTCTTTAATATAATGGATCCTTCCAATCCATTGAATCTTTTACTTTTGTCTTTAATCTATAAACTGTCTCCCTTTTCTGGCTTAGATTCTATGGTCCATTACTTCACTAAATTTTTACAAGCATCTCAATTCCTCTTACTATATATCTTTTGTGTTACCTCTATCTGTTATAGTCACAGGCCTAAATGATTTCTATCTTCTTTCATTGTGTTAAACCTCACTCACAGCAAATAAATAAAGAATTATATAAGAAGATACTGAAAAATGCCAGAAATTATTACCAAACAAAAATGGACTGTCAAAATTTGTGAATAATCCTACTAAGTTACTCTAATTTGACCCAAGCAATCACTGTTTTAAAACAAATAGGCATATTTTTAGAGAAATTTTAGGCTTACAATAACTTGTATAAAAAATGTGAAGACTTCACATATCATCTCCCCTTTCATCTCTCACAGAATTTCTCCTATTATTGCTTTCTTGCATTACTGTGGTAAATTTGCTACAATTGATGAACGAATATTGTTGTATTATTATTAACAAAGGTCCATAGCTTACAGAGTGTTGTACAGTTCTGTGGGTTTGCCAAATGCATATTATCATGTATTCACCATAACAGTATTATACAAAATAGTTTCAGTGTCCAAAATAGTCCCTGTACTTCACCTATTCACATTGTTTTATCCCTCTCCCTAAACTTCTGGCATGGATAGATCTTTTTATTGCCTTCAGAGTTGTGCCTTTTTCAGAAGTCATATACAGGCATCCCTTGGTATATGCAAGGGATTGGTTCCAGGACCCTGGTATATAGCAAAATCCAACCATACTCAGGTCTCGCAGTCAGCCCCTTCAAACCTGTGTGATGAAAAGCTGGCTCCCATATATGTGCGTTTTGCATTTCACAATAATGTGTTTTACGTCCAAGTTCGTTTGTAAAAGATACATGTATTTTTTGAACCTGTTCAAACCCATATTGTTCAAGGGTAAACTGTAGTTAGAATCACTCATTTAGTCTTTTCGGGCTGGCTTTTTTCACCTAGCAAAATGCATTTAAGATTTCTCTATGTCATTTTGTAGCTTGATAGTGTATTCCTCTTTATCACTGAATGATAATCAATTATATAAACGTACTTTAGTTTGTTTATCAGTTTACCTATTGATGGGCAGCTTGTTTGCACCTAATTCTTGGCAGTTATGAATAAAGTGCTATAAACAATTGTCAGCAGGCTTTTGTGTGGTCCTAAGCTTTCGTTTCATTTAATAAATACCTAGCAACATAAATGGGAGTTGCCATTGCTTTCTGTCCTCATCAGCATTTGATGTCAGTGTTTGGGATTTTAGTCATTCTAATGAGTGTACTGGCATCTCACTGTTACTTGAGTTTACAATTCCCTGATGACATATGCTATGTGCATCTTTTCATATGTTTCTTTGCCATCTACATATCTTCTTTGATGTGATGTCTGTTCAGATCTTTTGCCCATTTGGTAATTGGGTTTTGTTGCTTAATTTAAAATAGTTTTTGTGTACTTTTATACCAATCTTTTATTAGGTATATATTTTTGCAAAGATTTTATTTCAGTCTGTGATTTGTCTTTTCATTATTTTTACAGTGTCTTTTGAAGAGCATAAGTTTTTAATTTTAATGAAATTCATATGATCAACCTTTTTCCCAGAGATCATGTTTTTGGTGCTATATCTAAAAAGTCATCACCCAACCCTATGTCATCTAGACTTTCTTTTATGATATCTTCTAAAAGTTGTTTAATTTGGCATTTTACATTTAGGTCTATGATCCATTTTTGTGAAAAGTGTAAGAGCTGTTTATAGATTCATGTGGATGTACAATTGTTCTAGCACCAAATATTGAAAAGAATGTTCTTTTTTTCCACTGAATCACCTATTTTGTCAAACATTCATTGACTGTATTTGTGTGGGTTTATTTCTGAGCTTGCTCTTCTGTCCATTGAACAATTTGTCTATTACTTAGATAACAACACACTGTTTTGATCACTGTAACTTTATAGTAAGTCTTGAAGTAGGTAGTTCCTCAACTTTGTTCTGAAGTATTATGTTGGCTATTCTTGGTCTTTTACTTTTCCTTATAAACTTTAGAATCAATTTGTTAATATTGACAAAATAACTTGCTAGGATTTTGAATAGTATTAGCTTGAATTTATAGCTCAATTAGAGGAGAATTGATATTTTATACAATAAATATAATAAATCTATCCAAGAACATGATAAAACATCCATCTATTTAGATCTCACTTGATTTCTTTCATCAGAGTTATGCAGTTTTATGAATATGGACCCTATTGATATGATGTTAGGCTTATATGTTTTCTATGCTAATGTAAATCATGTTATTTCAAATATCTATTTCTGGTATATGGGAAGCAATTAAATATTACATATTAACATTATGTTCTATGACCTTGTTATAATTGCTTTTTATTTCCAGGAGGGCTTTTTGGTCACCTTTTGGTATTTTCTAAATTAATACAATTATATCCTCTGTGATATAATTTTATTTTTCCCTTTCCAATCTGTATATATTTTATTTCCTTTTTTAACTTATTGTATTAGCTTGTATTTTTAATAATCGAATATGATTGGTTGGTGAGAGGGGACAGTCTTGCTTGCTTTTGGTTTTAGGTGAAACAAATATAGTTTTTCACTATTATGAATAATGTTAGCTAGAGGTTTTTGTAGATGTTCTTTATGAAGTTGTGGGAGTTCCCCTCTAATTCTAATTTTTTTTTCATGAATAGGTGCTAGGTTTTGTCACATAATTTTTCTGCATTGATTGATGTAATCTGATCATATGATTTTCTTCTTTAGCCTGATGATGTGATGAATTAATTAATCTTCAAGTGTTGACCCAGGCTTACATACCTGAATAAATCCCAGTTAGATATGTTGTGTATCTTAGTTTTTTGTTTGTTTGTTTGTTTTTCTTTTTCTGTTGCTTACAACAGAAAACTTGAAACTGGGTAATTTATAAAGAAAATGAATTTATTTCTTAAGACACTAGGAAGTCCATGGTTGAGGGGGCACATCTGATGAGAGCCTTGTCACTGGTGGGGACTGCAGTGTCTTGAAGACGCATGGGGTATCACATGGTGAGGGGGCTGAGCGTGCCTGCTCGGGTCTCTCTTCCTCTTCTTAGCCACCAGTTCCACTCCCACAATAACCCATTCATCCATTAATTTATTAATCCATGAATTGATTTGATTTGCTAAAATTTTATTGAGGATTTTGCCTCTATATTCATGAGAGATAATCTCTCAGTTCTGTAATCAGCTATAATTCCCTTTCCTAGTAGTGTTATTTTCTGGTTTTGGTATTATGGTGATGCTGGTCTCAGAATGAGTTAGAAAGTGTCCTCTTCATTTCCTAGAAAAGATTATACAGAATTGGTACAATTTCTTCCTTAAACATTTTATAGAATTCACAAATGAAACCATCTATGTGACTGTTTTCTGTTTTGGAAGGTTAATGATTGTTAACAAAATTTCTTTAACAGATGTAGACCCATTTAGATTATCTGTTCTCCTGGTGTGAGTTTTAGTATATTGACTCTTCAAGTAATTGGTCTATTTCATTCCAGTTATCAAATTTATAGGCATCAAGTTGGTAATAGTATTTCTTTATTATTTTTTAAAGTCCATGAGATCAGTTCGAATGGCTCTTCATTCATTTCTGAAATTAGCGATCTCTATCCTTCCTTTTTTTCCCTCCCCCCTTAAATGATTCTGGTTAGAGATTTATCAATATTATTAATCTTTTCTAAGAAAGAGCTCTTGGTTACAATTACTTTGATTTCTCTGTTTTTCTGTTAATTTTCTGTTTTCTACCTCATTGATTTCTGTTCCAAATTTTTATTATTTCTTGTCTTTTGCTTATTTGGCATTTACTTTGCTCTTCTTTTTCTAATGTTTTAAGGTGAAAGCTTAGAATGTTTACATTAATGTTTTCTCATATATGCATTCAATGTTATCAATTTCCCTCTAAGTTCTGCCTTCACTGCATCTCACAAATTTTTATAAATTGTATACTTATTTTTATTTTGTTTATTATTTATAGCTTGTATATTTTTATAGGTTGTATATTTATTTCTTGAGTTCAATACATATTCGTATAATCTCTTGTGTCAGTTTTCATCCATGTGTTATGTAGAAGTGTATTGTTTAATTGACAAATATTTGGGCATTTTCCAGCTATCTTTCATGTACTGATACCTAGTTTAATTTCACTGTGGTCTGAGAGCATTCTTTTTTTTTTTTGAGAGGGAGTCTCGCTTTGTCACCCAGCCTTGAGTACAGTGGTGCAATCTCGGCTCACTGCAACCTCTGCCTCCCAAGTTCAAGTGATTCTGCCTGCCTCAGCCTAGTGAGTAGCTGGGATTACAGGTGCCCACCTCCACGCCCGGCTAATTTTTGTATTTTAGTTGAGACAGGGTTTCATCATGTTGGCCAGGCTGGTCTCCAAGCCCTGACCTCAGGTGATCTGCCCGCCTCAGCCTCCCAAAGTCCTAGGATTATAGGCATGAGCCACCGCACCCGGCTGAGAGCATTCTTTACATGATTTCTCTTGTTTTATATTGTTAAGATGTGTCTTGTGACCCAGATTCTTGGTGGATGTTCCATGTGAACTTGGGAGGAGTTTGTTTTCAGTTGTTGGTGGATGAAGTATTCTACAAATGTAAATTATATCCAGTTGATTGATGTTTCTGGTCAGTTGCACTCTAACTTTACTGAATTTCTGCCTGCTGGGTCTGTCAAATAATACAAAAGGGGTACTGAGGTCTCCAAGTATAGTAGTGGATTTGTCTACATCTTCTCACACTGTGTATTTTGCCTTTTACATGCCTTGTAAATTTTTGTCAATTGACAGGCACGATATATCCGGTAAAGGGAGCTGAGTTCAATAGGTGTTCAGAGTACTGTTTTCTTTTTATCTGGTTAGATGTTAGGCTGTGTTGACTGTTTGCTGCACCCAACTGTGTCAGAGACTAAAATTCCCTCTGGAGTCTTATTGCTGTCTCCCCTGCTGTTTTTGGTTTCCTTTGAGCTTCATTTGAAGTAGGAGGCCAAGCTTTGCAGTTTTTTTCTCCTATAATCCTCTATTACTATGTAGGGCCCATCCACGTAGTAGTAAGACGTGGGGGGGTAGAAAAAGTGTTCTATAGTACTGTAATTAGGTCTCAATATTTTATTGAACTTATGTCCCTGGACTGCAACCTTCACAAGCACTTCTGAGTTTTTTGTTTTGTTTTGTTTTGTTTATTTCAACTTTCAGGTCAAACGGGAAGGATGGAAATGGGAAGGCCCCCATATCTGAAACCTTGAGTTGGATAATTCCCTCTCCAGTATCAGTTAAACTCTTAAAATAGTTCCCACTGAGTGCAGTCCTTTCTATAGGAACACACAGTGTTCCAGTCTAATTTTAAAATGCCTATTTTTCTCCTTCCCCTGCCATAAATGTAAGGGAATTTTTCTATAAGATTCACAATGAGAACAAGATAGGGCACCTAGAGGTAAAACTCTAAAACTCTAATGTTTATTTAGCCTGGGCCTCCAGAGATTTTAATCTCCCAAGCTAGCCCACCCCAGTTCAGCAATTTGTCCATTACCCTGTCAGCATTCTCACCCAGGGCTGGCTCCATCAGCACTTCTGACTAGTTGGTGCTCCTGATGAGCTGTGACTTTCCTTATCCTCCTGTCTTTCCAGCTTTTTTTAGAGACTGCAGAATGTGATGAGATCTCAGTTATCCAATGGATCTCAAGAGAATTGAATTTCAGCATTTTTAGTGTTGCGAGAATCAAAGGACATGACTTCCAAACTCTTCACATTTTGGACTGGAAGCCAGATGTCAAAATGACTTTTTCAAATGGTTTTCACGCTTTTGAAATTACCAAATCATGTCCTCATCATTACTCAGTATCAACAACATCGTACCTCTTACTTCTTACCTTTTTATCCAATATAGTTATTTGTTTTTATGTGTACTCTTTCCTTTTCTTTCCCTTTGATTACAACTCAGAAACCCTTTCCTCTTCTGTCTAAAGCTAGCGCCAACCCTTGTGATTTGCGTGTCATTTTATTCTCTAGTTTAGGGCCAATATCTTGAAAACTTTTTCATTTTTAAATTTTCTTTCTTTTTGTTATAGTGGGAAAACTTAAAATCTACTCACTTGGCAATTTCAAGAATGCAATACTATAGACACCATGTTGTACAATCAATCTCTTGAACTTACTTCTATGTAACTCAGATTTTGTATCCTTTGACCAAAACCTTGCCAGTTACCCACACCTTCAACCCCTGGTAATGACCATTCTACCCTCTGCTTCTACGAGTTTGACATTTTTTACCTTCCACATCTAAGTGAAAGGCTGTGGTATTTGTCTTTCTATGTCTGTGTTATTTCATTAAACATAATGTCCTCCAGGATCATTCATGTTGTTGCAAATGACAGGATTTTATTCTTTTTAAAGGCTGAATAGTATTCCATTGTGTATATATACCACATTTTTATCCACTTATCCTTTGATGAACACTTACACTGATTTTGTATTTCAGCTATTGTGAATAATGCTACAATTAGCTTGGGAGAAAAAATGTCTTTTTGACATTCTGATGTCATTTCTTTGAAGAAACACTTATTAGTGGGATTGCTGGATCATATGATTGCCCTATTTTTAATTTTTTGAGGCACCTCCATACTGTTTTCCATATGGATATACTATTTCCATTCCCACCAATAGTATACAAGAGTTCTGTTTTCTCCCCATCATCACCAACACTTATCTTTCTCATCTTTGTAATAATAGCCATTCTAACATGTATTATGTAATAGCTTATTGTGTTTCTTTTTGTTTTTTTGTTGTTTTGTTTTTGTTTTTGTTTTTTGGGTTTTTTTTGAGATGGAGTCTCGCTCTATCACCCAGGCTGGAGTGCAGTGGCATGATCTCAGCTCACTGCAACCTCCGCCTCCTGGGTTCAAGCAATTCTCTGCCTCAGCCTCCCAAAGTGCTAAGATTACAGGTGTGAGCTCCTGGCCCTTATTGTGGTTTTAATTTGCATTTATGTGTTAATTTGTTATTTTGGCATTTCTTTCATATGTCATTTGGTTATTTGTAATTCTTCTTTTGAGAAATTCTTATTCAGATCCTTTGCCAATTTTTTTAATGGGTTATTTGTTTTCTTATTATTGAGTTGTTTAAGTTTGTTATGTATTTTGGATATCAATCCCTTATTAGATGCATAATTTGCAAATTTTTTCTCCAATTCACTTTACTGTTTCCTTTGCTGTTCAAAGGCTTTTTAGTTTGATGTAGTCTTATTTTTCTATTTTTGATTTTGTAGCCTGTACTTTTGGTATATTATCGCCCTCCAAAAGCCATAGCCCAGACCTATGTCATAAAGCTCTTCCCCTATATTTTCTTTTAGTAGTTTTATAGTTTCAGGTCTTACATTTAAGTCTTTAATTCATTTTGAGTTGATGTTTGTATGTGGTGTGAGATAAGTGTCTAATTTTGGTCTTCTACATGTAGATATTCAATTTTCCCAGTATCATTTATTGAAGACATTGCCCTTTATTCATTGTTCTCTTGGCATCTTTGTCAAAAGTCAATTGACTATAAACGGATGGGATTATTTCTGGGCTCTCTATTCTATTGGTTCTACCAGTCTATACGTTTATTTACATGTCAATACCTATGCTGTTTTGATTATTACAGCTTTGCAGTATATTTGGAAATCAGGTAATGTAACGCAGGCAGGTTTGTTGTTTTTTTCTTAAGATTGCTTTGGCTATTCAAGGTTCCTTTTCTATATATTTGGCCACTTTTTTCTGATCTAGACCAACAGCATTTACTTAAAAACATACCATATGCTTATAAAAGGAAGTATACGTAAGTGCAGTATGTATAATGTGTAATAAAATGGACCAGCATATACCCAGCATTCAGCTTAAGGAATAACAACATCAAAATTATAAAAGCCTCTTGTCTTCTTTGGTTGTGCTCCCTACATGTGCCCCCAAAAAGAAATAACCATTTGCATGCCTGTTTATCATTCTTTTGTTTCTGTTGGGGTTATAATGTGTGTGTTTTGGTATAATGCAATTTAATTTTGACTGTACATATGCTTTTGTGACCAATTTTTTTCCATATTATTTTGCTGATAGTCACACACATTTTTATGGGTAGATTTTTTTTCATTCTCACTAATGCATTGAAATCCATTGTGTGACTACCCAGCAATTTACTTACCTAAGTTCTTCTCAATAACCATTTCAAATATTTATAGTTTTTAATATTGAAATAAAAATTTATTTATTTTTGTTATGACAGGTAATAAGTGGGACTTGGGGCATGGCCTCAACTTACTGGATACATTCAAATTGTTTTCCAGTATGGGGATATCCGTTTGTACTGACACTGTCAGTATGTAAGAATTTATGTTGTTTCACATTCTTAACACAACATTAAAACGTTTTGTTCTTCTAGTGGCTGTTAAATATTACCTAATTCATTATGGTTTTAATATACATTTATTTGATTACAAAGAGGTTAAAAATATTTTAAATATTTTTATTGGACATTTTCTTTTCTTCTCTGAAACATTTATGTCATGATTCTTATCCACTTTTCCATTGGGCTGCAAGTATTTGCAATACAAATCCTGATTGAATTTGTTTGTTCACCAAACTCTCTGTCTTCCTGAACAAGTAGGTGTGGTCCATGTGTCTGTGTGCGTATATACATCTGTCTATGAATTCTTGCCTGGGCCATGAAATGTGGGTGGACATGTACTGCTCCCAAGATTTGTCCCTAAAATTCCTTTCATTCTTCTCCAAATCTTAAATATATTATCACCCCGCAACAAAGTCTAGATGTAGTGAAGGATTTAAGGCCCCAGGTTATGGTGAGTCATTATTAAGGGACTCATTGTCTGAATCACCAGTTGGAAGGCCACAAGTCAAATGAGAAATTGGAATGAAACATGAATGACAAATACAACTGTATTGTGTTAAGTCACTGAGATTTTTAGAGTAGTTTGTTCTAGTAGTTAGCCAACACTAATTCATCCAGCATTTTTATTTTTTCATTGTCATTCATGTATTCTGTATGCTAGACTTTTATTAGTTGATATGTGGCAAATATTTTCTGTACTTTAGACTGTCTTTCACATTCCTTATCACAGTTTTACAACAGAAAGTTTTAATTTAAAGAGATTGATGTTCGACGGTCTTTCCCTTGATACTTTGACATATTTGCATCTTATTTAGAAATCTATAGTGACTTCAAGATGACAGAAACATACTCATTTTCTTTTAAATATTTTAAAGTTTTTACCTTTTATATTTAAGTCTTTAATCCACCCGGAATTGAATTTTATGTTTTGTGTGATAAAGTTCTAAATTTATTTACTTTTCCATATGGATAGAAATTATCTGAGTATTATTAATTCAGTGCTACATCTTTCAGTGTGACCATAATGATCTATCTATAAAATATTAGATTTCATAGACATATGCTTTTTTCTAGAGTCTCTATCTTATGTTCCATTTATATCTATGTTTGTGTCCTTATAAACATTATTTATTTTCTGTAATTTTATATAGAGATTGAATATTTTTTATAAAAATATCTTTTCAATTTTTCTTTAGGGATATCTTTTAACTATTGTTTGGTTCTCATCTTTTCATATGAGATTCTAATTAGGATTTGAGTGGAATTGCATTTGAGACTATATACAAAACAATATGAAAAAACTAACAACACTAAGATACTGAATTTTATATCATTGAACTTGCTAAAATATTTTATTGTGATAGTTTTTTTAATGTGCATGAAAGTTTTAAAATTTTCTCTACAGCTATGTTTTATTATCCTTAGGTTTGTTGTAGTTTGATATTATAAATGCAGTTTTTTAAAATTATATTGTTCTTGCTCTTGGTATATAAAAATACATTATTTTTAAAGATGTTTCTTATTTTCAGCAAACTTTCAAAACTCTCTTTTTTTATTGCAATAATCCCTTTGTGAATTATTTGGGATTTGCTTGTGGAAAAAAATTAGATCAGCTTGCAATAAAAATTTGTTGCTGTTTTAGGTAGGTTCTTCAGGATTACATGGAAAAAATAGTAGATATACTTAGTATTTGTTGTCTTGTCCTTGTTTTATATATAATGTTTGCTTTGGATTTTGGTAAGTACTCTTTATCTATAAAAGAAATTCCCCTCTGTATCATGTACTGACATTTAACTTTATCGAGCTTTTATCCCCACCTATTGATATGGCTATATTGTATGTATTGATATGGTTATGTTATGTTGACATATGTATATATTTCTTAATATATACATAATGTGTGCATATATTATATAGTACGTAAACTTTTAACCTATTAATATGGCAAATTACAGTAATAGATGTTTTAGATATATCAACCTTGATAATAAACAAAATACATTTCTTATATATTGTTGTGTTGGTTTATCAAGATTATGTTAATATTTTTAAATTTATATTTATGAGAGTGATTGACCTATAATTGGCCTGTTTTATTCATAGTATTATTTTTTTTGAGATGGAGTCTCGCTCTGTTGCCAGGCTTGAGTGCAGTGGCGTGATCTCAACTCACTGCAACCTCCCCCTCCCGGGTTCAAGTGATTCTCCTGCCTCAGTTTCCCAAGTAACTGGGACTACAGGCACACACCACTATGCCCAACTAATTTTGTGTATTTTTAGTAGAGATGCTGTTTCACCATGTTGGCCAGGAGGGTCTCAACCTCTTAACCTCATGATCCGCCAGCCTTGGCCTCCCAAAGTGCTGGGATTACAGGCATGAGCCACCGCTTTTTCAGTATATGCTTCTTTTTTCTATGTTATTGTTACCACAAGTTTATCTATATCATTAATATATATATTTGACATTATCAATGTTTTATGTTTTATTTCCCTATTTTAGTGCCTAGTTCTTTATTTTAGTTTACTATCTCTTTCTTAATGTCAATTGATTTATTTACATTTATTTATTTATTTATTTTTATTTTTTGACACGGAGTCTCACTCTGTGCACAGTTTGCAATGCAGTGGTGCAATCTCGGCTCACTGCAACCTCCGCCTTCGGGGTTCATGCAATTCTCCTGATTTAGCCTCCCAAGAAGCAGGGATTACAGACATGTACCATCATCCCGGCTAATTTTTGTATTTCTAGTAGAAACGGGGTTTCGCCATATTGGTCTCAAACTCCTGACCTCAAGTGATCTGCCCGCCTTGGCCTCCCAAGTTGCTGAGATTACAGGCATGAGCCATCGTGCCTAGCTCAATTTATTCTTTAGCTAGTCTTCTAATTTTTATGGTAGGCAGTCAGCTCTTTGATTTTTACCATTTTTGTACCTCAATAAGCTTTTAAGGGTATAAAGTTTCATCTAATACAGTTTTCACTTAATACATTATTGCAATGCTTTATTTTAATCGTTTAGTTCTAATTATATTTTTTAAATGTTATAATTCATGTTATTATCCTAAAACCATTGAGAATTTTTTTAGGTTACAAACATTGGTTTTTACTTTTTATATTAATTTTAATTTTATTGTGATTGCTGACTATGGTATGTTTTATTTTAATTTTTGAAATATCTTGAGATTTATCTCATAAGAAGTACATGGTTAATTTTTATAAATGTTTTATAGTTACTTGAAGAAATCTATAGTAATGCTTGGGTACAGGATTAATATCAATTATATTAAGCTTATACATTTGGTTATTCACATAGTCTACATCTTCTACACATTCTTTCACCTTATCATTTAAAGAAAAACCTGACCATCAAGCTGACAGAGTAACTAGACTAAAATATAATTTCACCACAAAAGACATTAACCTAATTTAGACATGATATTAAATTTACTGCCAAGTGTAACGTAATGTCATGCAAGGCGTTATCAAGAGGAGACATCAGTTGAAGAAAACGATTGGAAAACACACTCTTCAAAAACATTCCAGGCATTTTTCTCTCTTCATGTCCCTAATGTAATGTTTCTTTTAATGATTCCTGATTTTCCTAAAATTCCCTTTACATCTTCTTTGAGAGATCTATTCTAAGCACTTTCTTTAAATCTAGTGCCTCCCTGTAATGAAATCCTAAATGACTCATTTTATTTATTTTCTGAATTTTCTGAGATCTTGGCCAAATTAATCTCTGTGTGCCTCAGTTGCTAAAAAATAGGGTTAATGGTAGTATCCTGCCTAATGTGGCTCTTGGGAAGGTTATATGAGATAATATCACCAAAGCATTTGGAAGGATGTATCAATCATAATAATGATAGTGATCCTTAGTTATTTTAAGTTATCAGCTTTTACTATTGCCACCCCTGAATGATTTCTGTTTTCATTTCTTTGTATAGGAAGCATGCTTTGTCAATGAGATAAAAAACACATGAAACTAGAAACAGCACATTTTGCTTTTAAATTACCTAGGCTTGGTGGGACATTACAAATTCTTTCTCATCTAGTTTAGGGTCTAGAAATCATCTACTATCTTTTACCTAATTGTGAATATGTCCAAGTATTCATTTGCAGCTTTCCTTTCTAATGACAGCAAGTATCCAGCCATTACACTTTATTGGATCTGATTCATAATTTATATCCCTACTGAAATTTCATGGCTATTTTGGAAAGGACAGAGACACCTCTGACTATTTCTTTCCTGCAACTCTGTCTTGCTCCACAGAGACTGGCACTATGTCTTAAAAGATGAATAACTGCAGTGTGGTGTTTTCATTTGCATGTCTTTTTTATGATCCTGTGGTTCCCCTCTGCCAGGGTACAGTGATTTGGAGTCACCTGATGCTCCTGGACTTCTGTTCGTGACACCTGAAGCTGATTCTCCCTGCACTAAAGCTAACAGACAGGATGGCACTATGGAGAGAAGAGGATTCCACTGGGGTAGAGTTCTAAGAAGGCTGCAGTGATTTTCTAGGGTAAAATGAAAGTGAAGCAACAGAAGCACCCCAAGACGATGGGGCCATAAGGGAACTATGGAAACTGCTAAAGTACAACCTCGGGTTCCTCCTCCTGGACTCAACTCCCTTCTCCAGCAGTCCTCACATACAGCATAGATCCAACCATGGAGCTGGGCAGAAAAGGATCCCCATGATCAGCCACCTCTCTGCCTCCTTCCTGGCATTCTTTGGCGGCATGGTCAGCACATGTTTGCCTTCATGTTCCAAAACCCTAGTCAATTTTCCAGGAAGAAACAGAATGCAATTTATTGCAGTGGCAGTCGTCAGGGACAAGGATGTATGTCTAATTTTCTCTTTGACTTGGAGAACACTTCAGTTCCATGGTGTCACGTTTCTCATGCAGTCACCTCTGAGTCCAATAGCTAGGAATGCAAGGCAAATTGTTTGCCATCAACCATTTAACTGGGATGATATATAACCATTTTTTTAAGTGGGAGGAAGAATTATATTTTCTATTTGAAGATGGCAAGATCTACTTTTCAAAAGTCTTTACATGTAAGTGAATTAGCTGCTGTAGTTTTAAAGAAGTAGAACATCTGGGAAACAAGTTTTATTGCTTAAACATGTGGTGCTTCCCTACTGGAGAAAAACTACATTACCAAGTGAAACAGCAGAAAAGTTACAGTGTATTTAGGATTAGAAATAAAGAAATATAAAAGCAATATATTGAATTCAAGTGAAACTAGAGACTGTTTACTATTTAAAACAGTGAAGGTTTTATTACCAAGTATTACATATTGGCAAATAATAGAAATACAGAATGTGGTGTGGAAGGTGGTTGCTATCACACTTCAACACATGCCAAAAAAGCTTTGTGTTGCACTTTGACCATCTCCAATACATATTTATAGGGAACAGCATCCCTCTGGCTTAGCCACTGGTATTCACTGATGACAGGGGCTTTGAACAGAGCAGACAAACTGAGGAAAGCACTACTTTGATCATGAAGTAATTAGACAACAGCAGAGTAAGGTGTTGCTTCTTAAAAGAAATCAATAATAAAATGAATTGGGAATAAAACCAAATGGACCGCATTGAAAATGGCCAACTGTAGGCCAGGTCTATTCAGCCACACAGGCATCCAAGGCAACTGCCTGAATGTGGGACAGCATGAAATGGGAGGAGACCATGCGGCCAGCAGGAGAAGCAGCCTTTTCCAGTCTGGCTGCACGCAGGCACAGCTAGCCTAGTGGATGGGGCTACAGAATCATTCAGCCAGTCCAATTCAGGACAGGAGTGTGCACGTCTCTTTTAAAGACAAAGAACCATTTCTCTTTCTGATAAAGTTTTGAACGGCCATGGGTACACATACCTCTCAACTAATTGGTCAAAGGCCAGGGAACTGTTTCTTAGGGAATCATGCCCTTACCTACCACCCGGAGATGTATCTCCAGGCAGGGTGTCTTGCACTAGTGTTTGTTCCATGAGTTTCCAGAGTGACAGACCAAGATCTTCAATGTTCATCCACAGGTTGGAAAGAACAAGAGATGAGTCATTTTCCCAAAGCGAAGGGCAGGAATCTGTGCCCAGAGTTAAATAAATCAAGACGATGAGTCGAATCATGGATAAAGAATAGAGGTGCAGGAAGATGGGGTAACAGAAAGGAGCAGCAGAACGAACCCAGAAAGGTGAACCGGGAAAAGAGAACGCTCTGGCCACACAGCAGCCACCTAGTCATGTGAACATCTTTCCTGCAGAGAAGATCATGCGTGTGTTGGATTTCAAGCTCAAATTATAACCCATGGGTAAATGTCATGCATGGGCAGGTTTCAGCTCCCTGCAGGAAAGAATTTCATTATAATTAAAACTATTTAAAAATTGAATGGATTTTCTCATGAGATTAGGGAAATACTTGACGTTCAAAGTATTCAAAAATAAGCTAGAAAGCACAATGGAATCTTCCAAGAATTGTGTGAGTCCCAGAATATACATACATATACACATACATACATACACACACATATACACACACACAAATGTGTGTGTATATGTGTGTGTATGTTATATTACTTGTTGATACAAAATAAGGGTTTCCAGAGCTCTTTATTGATGGTGTTAGAGGTGTGGTGATAATCAAGAGTTACTGAGTGGATACTTGGCCCTGGGAACCAGACACACCCAGCTGTATGAGAACCCTTAGGGGAATTTCTACACCAGAAACAACAGCAAGCAGAACTTGTAAAATTTCACTGAGGCATTGGCCTCAAAGCATACAATTAGAAGCCCAGAGGACAGAGAATACAGCTAGCCATGCAGGCCCCCTAAACTCATTAGGCCTGAAGACTTGCCCCCATGCAAGAGCCTACCCATGCCTCTGCCTCTGCACTGTGGCCCAGATGTGAGTGTTGGTGTCTCTTTAGTGCATGGAGTGAAGAACTAGTAAGCTGTCATAATTCTGATTATACCACTAAGGAAAGGGGAGAGGCAGGTTACATAGTGATCATTCAGCTTCCAGAAGGAAGAGAGAAGAGACAAAAATCTTATCCAAAGGCTGAACTTTTCTGTTTTTGTCATCTTCCTTTTGAAATAGAGATAAGTTCAGAAAAAAACAAACAGTAAAAACATATTTAAGATAGAAATTTCAATCCACCCCCTTCCCATGTACTTGTACTCCAATGGCAACTACCTCCACATCCTTCTTTTCTGTAGGTGTAGATTTGCTTAAATCTGTGATTTAGTCTTCTGTTTCTTCTCTTAGTGAGATCAAACAGTATATACTTTTATGCATTTAAACAATTAACACTAGATGGAGTGTTAATTGTTTAAGTGCTTGAAAATATATGCAGTTTTAAATACATGATTATTTTTTATGAATGACATTCACCTATTTGGGGTCTTTGTTCTTCTATATCAGGAATCAGCAAACTTTTTCTATAAAGGCCATGTAGTAAATATTTAGACTTTTCAGACCATATGGTCTCTATTACAACTACTCAACTTTGCCATTGTACCAAAAAACAGCCATAAGCAATATTTGAACAAACAGCCAGGGCTTTGTTCCAATAAACTTAATTTAAGAAATCAGGCAATGGGTCAGATTTGGCCCACAGGCCATAGTTTGTTGGCCAATGTTCTATATAAAGACTTAAAAATTTTTTTGAAAGGAATTAAATTGAATTCAAATATCAATTTGTAGATAATCGTTATATTGAAGTGTTAAGTATTTCCATTGTTGAAGATGATAAAACATTCCTCAGTCTTTAAAAAACAAAGATATAGACTAAAATTTTAAATCAACTTAGTAGAGAACTTGAGACTCTTGTTATAATTATCCCTAGGTACCCTACAGTTTTTGCCATCCCTTTTGTGTCTCTAGGGAGATACTCTGATTAACTAATTAAATTATATTTTATTTCTTCTTCTCTTCAGATTTATAGTCTACTATTTGACTTGATCTTATTGCACTGACTGGAATCATCAGTTCATTACTGAATTGCCCCAGCAACATTGAACATGCTGGTCTGAGGGTTTCCTTTAATGTGCTAACATTAAGCTCAATGTTTGCTGTAGGTTTCTGGTAGGTTTCTTTTAAGTTATCAAATTATCTTTCTAGTTTGATTATATGTATATTTAAATCTGAAATGGATCTCGAATTTTATCAAATAATTTTTCTCATAAGTTGGTGCAAGATTATATATCACCAGATCCATGTACATTTGTGCCTTTCCAAATGTCAGACTTTTATTGATGCTGTTTCAATCACAAAAGCCACAAGCTACCTGGCATTCCTAAGGACGCAATTTTTTCCCATTCACTTGGTAGTCAGAGCCATGAGCACAGAGGCTGAAACCACTCCCCAAGTTAGTCAATATAAAAAACCACACATATTGTTATACCTAATCAACATATAAATGTTATAGATTAAACAGTCCACAGCAAACAAAGTAACACTTAACATCAAGAGAAAAGAGATAGGGGAAAGGGTTAATAAACCAGCCCAAGGAGAGTGAAAAAGACAAAAAGAGTCTTCTGGTCTGGGCCATATGTTCTGTGGGTCTTGCGAGGAAGAGTCTGTGATGTGGCAGAGCCTTCAGTGGCAGATGCCAAGTTCTTATCATGAGTGAGAGCAAAACAGTTGTGGATTAAGATGGCCATTTGGAGCTACTGAAGGCCTGCTCTTTTTATGACCACAGAGTCATCTGGTGACGGTTGATAGTGGAAGAGTGTGCTTGTTTATGTTCATACCTGGTTGGATACAGTCTCTATATTTTTATTTGTTTATTAAGTAAAATATCAAATCCTTGTTGGCAAAGTTCCCTATGACATACAAAATAGAGTCTTTTTCTAAGATGAAGTGAGTTATGTCAAGGGTGCTCTATACAGTTTTCAAGATCTGTGGTGAAGATAATAACTTTATGTTTTTCTCTTTTAATTTGTTAGTGAGGAAATGCAAATTGAATTCTTTAAGTAAGATCTAGTTTATTATAAAGCATTATTCTTTTCCTATTAAAATTTATTTTAGTTTTCTACATTTATATTAATAAGTATAATTAGTCTATATCTTTATTTGTACTCCTTCTGTCTGATTTCCATATGAGGTTAATGCTAAGCTAGTCTCTTTTGGATATTTGAGAATCATTTCAATTTCTGTTATATCCTGAAATAGTTTAGCTAATAAATCAATATCAAAAATGTATATTATTAATAATGGTTAATTATTGTAAACCAGGCATAGTATGCCCAAATATGACCAGCCCATAGCAATTGCTCCCCCAATAGAGAAATGGAGAATAGAGTTATGGCCAAATCATTCAACTATATGATGGAAAAAGTAGCTATTGAATAAGCTAAATAAGTAAAGGGTATAATATATTAGATGGCTATTAAATAATAAGGAGAATAATACAGCAGGGAATGAAAGTAAGAAGGAGTTGCCATTTTCTGTACGGTGGCCAGAGCAGATCTCAGAGAGAAGGGGACATATGTGTAGAAACTTGCAGAAGCTGAAAGATTAAGCCCCATAAGTATTTATGGAAAACAATCAGCAAAAAGTCACGGAGATTAGAGGAAGTTATAGTGACTTGAAGGACAGCAAAGAGGGAAGGAAGACTGGGAGAGAACAGGAAGATGAAGACAGAGAAGTAAATAGGAGGAGAGTAATCAGAAAAGAATATCTATAAGCCTGCTGCCGTATCACCCATTTACTTCTGTGGTCAGATATTTTGACTTTCTTTCTGTAACCAGGAATGAATTCCTTGTGCTCCTTTCAAAGCCAACCCTTCAAACTGTATACTTGTTGTGATCCTATTTCTTTTACTCAGGAACATTACATATAAATTATCTCCTTTCTAACTTAATCCTCAGTTTCCCCTTCAATGTTCATTAATTTTCATCAGCAAATGTAGTATAATTTCCCTCATTTTGAAAAAAAAAAAAAAAAACTCTAGATTTTTCTGCCCACCTCTAACTACTTCTTTTACTCACTGCTCATTTTACAGGAAAGTTTTGTGAAAATATTATTTATTCTCACTGTCTCCAATGAGTTATCCCCCATTTACTCTCAAATGCATTACACTTAGGGTTTTACCCCACAAATGCACAAAATTCACTCCTATCAGGTATACCAGTTGTTTCCAGACTCATAAGCCTAATGCTTACTTTCCAATCCTTACCTTACTGAACTGTCAGCAGCATTTGACATGGCTGATCACTCCATACTTCTTGAAAGTTCTTTGTGAAAAGTTTTCTTCACTTGGCTTCCAGGATAGCCCATCATTCTGGATTTTTAATATTTATTGTTTTTATTTTTTTGGTTCTTACTTTACCTTCTGCTCCTCTTAGTCCCATATGCTTGTCTTTTTCCATATCCTTGAACTCTAAGATTGGAGTATCTCACACTCTTGAACTTTCCGTGGTAATCCCCTCCATAGTGTAATATAACACATAAATTTGCTGATAGTTGCCAAAGTTTTGTCCCAGACCAGACCTCACCTGAGTTTCACATCATATAAACAATGTCATTGCTGACATCTCCATTAGTATGAGTAGTAGGCAACTCCAACCATGCAAGTCCATAACCAAAATCCTGCATCAGGAAATGGAAACCCTATCTTTTCAGCTTCTCGGGCTAAACACATCTTGTGTTCATTCTTCTTGTTTTTTAAAATAGGGTCTCACTCCAACACCTAGGATGGAATGCAGTGGCACAATCATGGCTCACTATAGCCTTGATAGACCTCCAGGGCTCAGGTGATCCTCCCAGCTCAGCCTTTCGAGTAGCTGGAACTACAGGCGCATGCCACCATATTTGGCTAATTTTTTGTATTTTCTTGTAGAGACAGGGTTTCACCATGTTGCCTAGGCTGGTCTCTATCTCGTGGGCTCAAGCTATCCATCCACTTTGGCCTCCCAAAGTGCTGGAATCACAGGCGTGTGCCACCGCGCCTGGCCTTGTGTTCGTTCTTTATTACTGTTTCACACTATATGTCCAACCCATCACCAAATTCTATCACCTATGTTTTCCAAATACACCTGGAATCTGTCTACTTCTCCTTATTCCATCCCTTAACATCATCACGTCTGTCCAAGCCCATACAGCCACTACCAGCCTGAATGGTTGCCATGATCTCTTTTTTTTTTTTTTTTTTTTGAGACGGAGTCTCACTGTGTCTCCAGACTGGATTGCAGTGGGGTGATCTTGGCTCACTGCAACTTCCGCCTCCCAGGTTCAAGTGATTCTCCTGTCTCAGCCTCCTGAGTAACTGGGACTACAGGCACCCACCACCACACCCGGCTAATTTTTTATTTTTAGTAGAGACGAGGTTTCACCATGTTGGCCAGGATGGTCTCGATCTCTTGACTTTATGATCTGCCCACCTTGGCCTCCCAAAGTGCTGGGATTACAGGCATGAGTCACCACACCCTGCCACTATGACCTCTTTTTTTGAGATGGGGTTTCAATCTGTCACCATCGCCCAGGCTGGAGTGCAGTGGCACGATCTGGGCTCACCGCAATCTCCGCCTCCCGGGTTCAAGCAATACTGCTGCCTCAGCCTCCTGAGTAGCTGGGGCACCCACCACCACACCCAGCTAATTTTCGTATTTTTAGTAGAGACAGGGTTTCACCGTGTTGGCCAGGCCAGTCTTGAACTCCAAGTGATCCACCCACATTGGCCTCCTAAAGTGTTGGGATTACAGGCATGAGCCACTGCGCCCGGTCTGCCATGACCTCTTCACTGGTCTACCTGTTCACTGCCTTCAGGTCTCTGTCCTTTCTAAAAATTGTATTGGAATCAAGCAAGTTACACACCATTCACATCCCACTTCACCATAATACTTTATATCTTTCGGGTTCCTGACACATATATGTTTCCCTATAGTCCTTATTATTAACTGACAACCTGCATATTTTATTTATTTTCTTGCTTTTATTGCCTGTCAGCCCCAACTAGATGAGCTCCATCAGTAGGGATATTTTCTTTATTTTGCATGCAATGTAACAGTCTTCCAATCATTAGTCCTTGCTTCTTATTCAAAGGCACGGTTTTCCAAAGTGCTATACCCATAGATTAAGTGTGCTTGTTTTAAAACTCTACAGAAATGGAGATTCAAAAGTGTATATACTCTGGAGTCTGGCTTCTTTCATTTAAAATTATTTCGTGAAATTCATCAATGTTGTTGTACACAGCTGTAGTTTATTTTCAGTACCGCATGCTATTCCCTTGTAAATATACCACATTTTGTTTATCTTTTCTTCTGTTGATGGTCATTTGTTTGTTTTCACTTTCTGACTATGTCAAATTAATACTTCTGTAATTGTTATTCATGGATTTTGCTTCACATATGTCTTATTTCTGGAGCATATATGCTGATAATTACAATTACAGGAAAAATATGGTTGTTATATGTTTTAATTTGATGTGTTTTATTTATGATTTTTGCATCTGTGCTTTTGAAAAATACTGGCCTACAATTTTAGTTTTCTAAAACATGTTTGTCAAGCACCAGTATCGAAAGCATGTTGGCTTTATAAAATGAGTTGGGAAATATTTCCTCTTTTTACATTATCTACCAAAGTTAATGTAAGATTGGTGTTATCTTCTTAAATATTTGGTGGAGTTCACCATTTTCATTAAAACAATATAACATCAATGATAATAAAAGTATAGCTCAATGCAGAAATGCATCAGCCTTACAATTATTTTACATTTTTATAAAAAGTCAACCACCTTTTCTATTATGATCTAAGATTGTTTCTGACCTTGAGATGGACATGAGCATGCAGTAAGCCTATTGGTAGTGTTCTTGAGAACGAACGCTACCTACAAAAGAATGAAGAAAACAGGTTTGCCAGAGCGGCTGATAGGAATCCAGTGGCCACAAACAGGTCTGTGTGGACTCCTGACCCTGACATGGCATCCACAGCTGTCTTAAATGCAGAATTGGGATAAGGAGGCTCAGTCTGTGTACTCTACAAATAGACCTATCATTGGATGGAGGCTGTCCCTGAAGAGGATGTGTAACTTTGGCAAATTGGCTCTTTTTAAACTGGGACAGTTCTTGGGGAGGCACGTGGCCCTGAGTGGTGAGCAGCTGTGGGAAGGAGCTCCACTGTCTGATGGGGCATCATACTTTAGCATTAACTACAAGCATTTTAATTCTCCAAACTGGAAGAAGAATGGTGCCAGCATTGAGCTTATTTAATGTAATATAAAGAGGCACAGAACATTCACTTCTGTAATTTGTACTGAAAAAAAAAGGGAAAGGGTTCAAAGGAAGAAAAGAGTTTCTTTATTGGAGTGAATACATATAAACTTGTTTTAATTCATCTGTACATTACTAAGAATATTAAGATTAAACATTTTGCAAATTAAATTGAACTTGGTTAATGCTGCTGATTTGGAATAGGTTTGGGAAGGAAAGTGGAGAGGAGGAAAAACTAGAGAAGTCAAGTCCTAATTCCTGGGAATTGAGTAACAGAGAAATATGAAGGTCAAAGTGGGAAGGAATGTCCCCTAAATCTGATAATATTTCCTCAACTCCCACCATGAAACATTTTCTGGGTATTGAGATGAGGTAATAGTACATATAGATAAAAAAATGAAGGTCACTCCAAGACTCTCTGCCCGGTTATGGAGACAGTTACTTAGGATAACCAGGGTCTGCTTTTGGGAGGAGGTGACGGAAGGAAAGAAGTTACCTTGAAGTTAATTGGAGGAAATGTATGAGTGGGTGGTCAGTATGGAAATAACTGTATAGGTGGATATTTCATTAAAAGAGGTAAACTACTGAGGATATTTAATTTTTTTTCTCTTTAGCAATAGAACCCCTGTATTTCTTCGAAATCCAAAATTGTATGCCACTCAGTAGAAGGAAGGGTGATTGTTCCCATTCTGAAAAAGCCCCTCAAATATTAGCTTTCCTTGATACCTGGAAGCTAGGGCATGGGCACATAACTGAAGTTGAACAAAATGGAAGTTCTGGGATAGAACATCCCATCCAGGACTAATATGGAAAGGAGCTTGGGTTGTTTGGAATTCCTTCTGTTGTCAGAGGAGTGAGTAACCAATGTCCAGTAGCAAGTGGTAGTGGAGTATCCTTGATGAGGGGGCAGCAGTGACAGCCATTGTCCCTTGTCCAGGCTGGTTCTGTGCCCGAGGCCGGATTCCCTGGTTTCCTAATCATTTTTTTTTTTAATTTTTTTAAATTTAATTATTATTATACTTTAAGTTTTAGGGTACATGTGCACAATGTGCAGGTTAGTTACATATGTATACATGTGTCATTCTGGTGTGCTGCACCCATTAACTCATCATTTAGCATTAGGTATATCTCCTAAAGCTATCCCTCCCTCCTCCCCCACCCCACAACAGTCCCCAGAGTGTGATGTTCCCCTTCCTGTGTCCATGTGTTCTCATTGTTCAATTCCCACCTATGAGTGACAATATGCGGTGTTTGGTTTTTTGTTCTTGTGATAGTTTACTGAGAATGATGATTTCCAATTTCATCCATGTCCCTACAAAGGACATGAACTCATCATTTTTTATGGCTGCATAGTATTCCCTGGTGTATATGTGCCACATTTTCTTAATCCAGTCTATCATTGTTGGACATTTGGCTTGGTTCCAAGTCTTTGCTATTGTGAATAATGCCACAATAAACATACGTGTGCATGTGTCTTTATAGCAGCATGATTTATAGTCCTTTGGGTATATACCCAGTAATGGGATGGCTGGGTCAAATGGTATTTCTGGTTCTAGATCCCTGAGGAATCGCCACACTGACTTCCACAATGGTTGAACTAGTTTACAGTCCCACCAACAGTGTAAAAGTGTTCCTATTTCTCCACATCCTCTCCAGCACCTGTTGTTTCCTGACTTTTTAATGATTGCCATTCCAACTGGTGTGAGATGGTATCTCATTGTGGTTTTGATTTGCATTTCTCTGATAGCCAGTGATGGTGAGCATTTTTTCATGTGTTTTTTGGCTGCATGTTTTTTGAGAAGTGTCTGTTCATGTCCTTTGCCCACTTTTTGATGGGGTTGTTTGTTTTTTTCTTGTAAATTTGTTTCAGTTCATTGTAGATTCTGGATATTAGCCCTTTGTAAGATGAGTAGGTTGCGAAAATTTTCTCCCATTTTGTAGGAGGAATCGATATCATGAAAATGGCCGTACTGCCCAAGGTAATTTATAGATTCAATGCCATCCCCATCAAGCTACCAATGACTTTCTTCACAGAATTGGAAAAAACTACTTTAAAGTTCATATGAAACCAAAAAAGAGCCCGCATCACCAAGTCAATCCTAAGCCAAAAGAACAAAGCTGGAGGCATCACGCTACCTGACTTCAAACTATACTACAAGGCTACAGTAACCAAAACAGCATGGTACTGGTACCAAAACAGAGATATAGATCAATGGAACAGAACAGAGCCCTCAGAAATAATGCCGCATATCTACAACCATATGATCTTTGACAAACCTGACAAAAACGAGAAATGGGGAAAGGATTCCCTATTTAATAAATGGTGCTGGGAAAACTGGCTAGCCATATGTAGAAAGCTGAAACTGGATCCCTTCCTTACACCTTACACAAAAATGAATTCAAGATGGATTAAAGACTTAAACGTTAGACCTAAAACCATAAAAACCTTAGAAGAAAACCTAGGCATTACCATTCAGGACATAGGCATGGGCAAGGACTTCATGTCTAAAACACCAAAAGCAATGGCAACCAAAGCCAAAATTGACAACTGGGATCTAATTAAACTAAAGAGCTTCTGCACAGCAAAAGAAACTACCATCAGAGTGAACAGGCAATCCTAATCATTTTCTAAGCCTAAGTCTTCAACTATCCCTTTACTTATTTTAGCTCAGCCATAGCCTTCTAATAATTTCTGCTTTTGTTAAACCTACCAATGATTATTGATTTCAGACTGTTTTACTGCTTAAATTTTGACACTATGAAACTCTTTTCACTTGGGAAGACAAAAATCAAGGTGAGGTCTTAGAAGCTGTCTCTAGGACAGTTCCAAGTCTCTCTTCAATGTGGTCCCCCCAAGTGGGGTTGGCATGGGAAATGTCGGCTCTCAGAGTTCTGATCCTCGCATCAAGGATAGGGGGTATGGCCTCAAGAGTTGTTAATCCATTAAATTTTTGTTCCATCACATGGAATAGTGTAAATCTTTGTGCTTTATTGGAAATCTTAAATCTTAAAAATATTTACCTAAAAACAGATATCAACTTAGTTGACTATAGAAACTTAAAGCAAAAGTCTTGACAAAGAATATTTACAATTGTGAGTTTAAAGTTTTGGGTGAAAAGTTTTTCTCATCACATGAGGTATGCTTTCATTTCAGGCAATATTTTAAAAGATAGCATCACAGGATGAAACCAAGCAAGCCATGAAGCATTACCACAGGGTGGGCATGTCTCAAGATCATTTTATTCCTTTATAGAGCTATTGAAGGATTTGTGAGGGGACAGGCAATTTTAGTTTAGACATAACATGCTGATAAATGATGAGGGCAAGATATAAGGCAGGGAGATTATTTTGCAAATCATTTCAATAATTCAAGAAACTTATTATATTTGCCAAACTAAAGTTTTGGCAATGGAAATAAGGAGACGTGAAATAATAAAAGAACACTTAGGGTAATAAAAGTATTGGTAGTCAGGTTTCCATAACAGATTACATCATAGTGTCTTAAGACACTTATTGTGTGCAATTAACTAACATATCCTGTGCAGCTGGAAGAGTATAGTTACTCACCGTCTTTGAAATAATGGAGAAAATAGTTCCTTTGTTCTGTAATTCAGATGAATTGAAAAGAGACTTGGAAACATCGTAAGACAGCTTCTAAGACCACACCTTGATTTCTTTCCACCCAAGAGCAAATTGTTTCAATGTCTCAGAATTTGCACAGTAACATTACTCTTAAAACAATAATCCTTGGTAGGTTCAACAAAAACAGAAATTTTTAGAAGGCTATGACTGAGCTAAAATAGTATTTCCTTTGATCTGTGATTCAAATAATTTCCTTTGTTCTGTGATTCAGATAAGGAACCTGGTTGGGAAAAGCTAGCCTTATTTGGCGCTCTGATACTGGGTGACTTGGTGGATAACAGGTAATAATTTACCAACCCCATGACTTCAGGAATAGAGAAAATTTGGAAAAATAAATACAGCAAATTTTATTTCAGACTTGGAATTTAAAAGATTCATGAGATGATATTTAGTAGCCAAACTGTATTGGTTTGGAAGTCAATTAAAAAATCTAAATATAAATTTGGATCTTTTTTTATGATTGCTAAAGTCAGGGGCCAGGAATGAGATCACAGAGGGAGAGTGGTAGAGAAGAAACAAAGGCTACAATCCAAAATCTAAGGGGAAGCTAGAGCGGAGCAGCCTTTGAAAGTATGTGGACAAGATCTGAGACATTGACATATCAAATACAAAAACAGGTTTCCTAGGACGGTAACCATTTGTAATCTATATCATATGAAGAATTTTTAGAGGAGCTTGGGAGAAAAAGGTTAAGTCACTACTGTCAGGAATATTGGAATGACTGACTACTGAACAGAATTGCAAATTCAAGCATGGCTTAAATCATTCTGCCAGAATCAAAGTACAAGGAACCGAAATGGAAAATGTATATTTCGATATGATAAAAGCTCAGATACTTATGTTGCAAACATAGAATGCCAAATAGAAGGAGTTTCAATAAAAAGGAAGTATTTTTGAGCTCTCATTACACATCTTAGAAAAGCCAAAACAGCTTTCAGGAACTTCGGTTTTTCCAGGACTCTATACATACACAAGTTTGTTCTCTCAATCCGCATTCATCCATAGGGAAGGGAGATGTGGCAACATTAGCCACCATGCTTCATATAGCAACATTTTTCCAACAAGAGGGATGAATGCTCTCTGGCTCCTGTGAAAGCAGCCTCTGGAAACTTCGTTGGCCTGCACTGGATCTTGTGCACATCCTCGAGTGTCGTGACTCATACTCTAAGTGGCAAGTACCTACACTTTCTGCCTCTATTAGAAGTAAATTATTATCATTATTATTATTTTGTGACGATGTCTTGCTCTGTTGCCAGGCTGGAGTGCAGTGGCGCGATCTCAGCTCACTGCAACCTTTGCTTCCCTGGTCAAGCCATTCCCTTGCCTCAGCCTCCCAAGTAGCTGGGATTACAGGCACATACCACGAGGCCCAGCTAATTTTTTTTTTCTTTTGTATTTTAGTAGAGACAGGGTTTCACCATTTTGGCCAAGATGGCCTCGATCTCCTGACCTCATGATCCGCCCAACTCGGCCTCCCAAAGTGCTGGGATTACAGGTGTGAGCCACCACTCCCTGCCAGGAGTAAATTATTGATGTTCAAACAAACAAAAACAAAAACCAATCAAGTAAACTAACAAAAAAACCTTTTCCAAGAAGAAAGAGAAGCAGTTCCAAGGACAAGCCAATAGAGATAGATGAACAACCCAGCAGCCTCCACCAAACACATTCTACTGGGAGGAGCTAAATAATGGTTGAATGGGCTTCCTCTGTATTATAGGCAGCTTCCTATCTCTACATACACCCAAGCAGAATGTATTGAGTGTTCGCTGGTTAATTGACCTGAAAATAAAGGGGAGAAATAAAGGAAATGAAGGCAGGAGAGGAAGTGACTGATTACTTAGGATATGGTAGTCATCTTGCTTTGTAGTTTCACAGATATTACCTCATCTGCTTCTCATTATTGTTTTATCAGTATCATCATTCACATTTTTATACGTATCTCACACTTCAGAACACATTGCTATCCACCTGATTCCTACATTTCTTTTTTTGGCATGGGGAGGGATGTGGGGTTCTGTTGGATCTATTTGACTCTAAGTAGACTTCCCAGTCTCCTGATCTCTTCTCCGTACAGCTTTGGCTGTTTTCATCTCTTGGCTGAAAACCAAGGCAGGCATGGGACTTAGTCCCTTTTTTAATCTCACACGGGTCCACACATACATGCACATATGTCAAACAAAAGAGACTAATAACATAGGGCATGTGTGTGCTCACATCCCAGAAAGAGAAAAAGTTAAAGTAGAAAATACATTTATAATATATATCTCACTTCTCATAATAAAGTAATTTAACTATAATAACAAGCTTCACAGCCAGTCCCCCTTTCTTCTTCCTCTTCTCAAGTGTCTGTTCTTTTTATTCATTAGCAATTCCAGCTATTTCTTTCTAATGCAGACAGACAGACAGACACACACACACACACGCATATTCCTTACCTTTTTTTTTATTATTATACTTTAAGTTCTAGGGTACATGTGCATAACGTGCAGGTTTGTTACATATGTATACATATGTAACATTCGGAGATATACCTAATGTAAATGGCAGGTTAATGGATGCAGCACACCAGCATGGCACATGTATTCTTTACCTTTTTCTAAAGCTTGATTCCAAGTCCTCCACAAAGGTAAACCCATAGGGATATGGGTACACCTATGGGTATATCCCATAGGGATATGGGTACACCTATGGGTATATCCCATAGGGATATGGGTATACCTATGGGTATATCCCATAGGTATACTGATTAGAACATTCTGATTAGAACCTTCTGTCTATTCATTGAGACATAAAGCAGATTAGAGGTTTCCAAGTCTGGGGGAGAGGTACATGGAGAGATGTCACTTGACGTGTACACAGTTTCTTCTTGGAATGACAAAAACTTTTGAAAATAGATAGTAGTGAGGTTTGCACAACAATGGGATTACAATTAATCTTTACAATTGTAATTGTATCTTTAAACATGATTAAAATAGCAAGTTTTATGTCATATGTATTATACCACAATATATAAAATTATTAAAAACAAAAACAAAAAAACAAGGAGCAGTGTGTGGCCCAGACTGGGACCCAGGGAGGTTCGCAGGAGCATTTCTCAAGCACTGGTCTCCCTGGCACCTGAGCCCCCGCCAGGCTGCTCTCCCAGTGCCCAGGGTGCATCACCCTCCATCGCCTCCTGCCCTGCTCCTCTGGGTTGCCCCAGACTGACATCACAGCTCCCCCACAGTGCCTGAGAGGCTGCAGCGCCCTCTAGCAGCATTCTGCAGAGAGCCTTTCACCCCACCACACACACAAGAGAGAAAAAAAGACACTCAGTTTTACAGAGACAGTTCACTCATCACCCAAGAAGACACTGGAGAGCATCGATTTAAATAATAGGTCATTTAATCTCTCTACATAAGGAAACTGAGGAACAGAAAGGCTATGCGGCATGCCTAAAGTTTCATTAACAGCTCTGGGATTCAAGTCTATGTTTACTTCCAAATGGTTTTCTCTATATACACACAGGGCTCACTCTACTTGTCCTTCAAAACAACAAAATGTAAACTATTTCCTCAGGCATTTGGTTGGGCACATTTCTTCATATTAAATTGCAATAATGAGAAAAATTATGTTTAAAGAACATCTTAGGAATGGAGTAGAACTATCTCACTATTTCATATGGAACTATGCTGATGTAGAATTTTAAAAAAATCTAGGGGAAATAAGTTTTACAAGATGGACACTATTAATTTCTCCTTTAAAGTATTTTCATGGGGGAATTTACATGTTTATTCATTGTGTTAAACTCAGTGAGTCTAATCCCATCAAAACTAATTTCTAACAAGGTAAAACTAAAGCAGCCAGATAATTTTATTGTATTGTATTTATTTGTTATTATTATTATTATTATTATTATTATTATTATTATTATTGAGACAAGGCCTCTCTCTGTCCCCCAGGCTGGAGTGCACTAGCCTGATCATGGCTCACTGCAACCTCTGCCTCCTGCACTCAAGCAGTCCTCTTACCTCAGCCTCCTGAGTAGCTGGGAATATATGTGCACACCGCCATGCTTAAGTTATTTTCTTTTCATTTTTTATAGAGATAGGGTTTCCCTGTATTGCCCAGGCTGGTCTCAAACTCTTGGCCTCAAGTGATCCTCCTGCCTTGGCCTCCCAAAGTGCTGAGATTATAGGTGTGAGCCACTGCACCTGCCCTACAAGGTAATTTTAAAACAGACATTTAACATTTAACCTTAAAAGATATTTGGTATTTTCAAGAAGATATCTTGCGAAAAATATATCACATATATAGAGTTGTAAAATTTTATTTAAATAGAAATCACTTTAAGTAATAATTGTTGTTTGTCATTTGGGGAAAACAAAGTAAAGTAGTAGAATCACAAATAATTGCTCCTTTGAGAATCAGATGAAGATCCAAAAACGTATTGCATTTCCAAATCAGAAAGTGAAGTGACTTGACAAGCAATTAATAGCACTCAGTCTATTTTAAGTTATAGAGAAGGGAAATTAACCTATAATGATGTAATAAAGGCAAACATTAGAGACAAAGTCCAAAAAATATGGATGAAATAATTGGATTAGTAAAGTAGAGTACATATCCTTTATACAAAAATGTATGACTGGGAAGAGCAAGAAGTTTCCCTTGAACTACCAATTAATGATCACCCGCTACATTGCAGACCTGATACCAAGGCTTTTATGTTCATAATTTCTAAACTTCACAGCATCCCTGTAAGGTAGATATTTTATAGGCATGATATATAATGTATAAGGGGATGAAGAGAACTTCAGAAATATTAAGAGAAATGAAGAAACCTGCTGGAAGTCACACAAATTCTAAGTGATACACACACACAGGTACACACACATTCACACAGGGAATCAGGATGAATATGCACAAACACAATAGTACTCAGAATCAGACAAATATCACACAAACTGTGGCATGGCAACTTCCTGGTTCCATAGGCTTGGGCGATTAAGTGGACATTTCTGTTTCTGAACTTCAATTCAGTATTGGGAATGAATATTGCACTGGTGTCAAGTTTGTTGCTAGTACTATCTTCTCCATCAACCCTGGTGCAAAGTGAATCTTCACAAATGCTATTGTCCCTTATTTCATTTAATTTGGCTCATCTCCTTTTTATGCCTCACTTTCAGTGGAATTTTGTCACTACAATAACTTTCTCCCCAAATCTAGTTGTGAACCTTCACTGTGACGCTCATCCAAGTAAATCCTTCATCCCTGATAACTTCACATCACTCCTGGTGGTTATTTACACCTATTTCCTTGAACATTGCTCTTGTATCCACATCACTGCTTCCCACATCAAGGTTGCTCTTCACTTGGTCAATTTTGTCTCATGATTCTTCTTATCATCTATCTAAAAAAAAAATTTCACCTGAAATTTCTTCTATTTCCATGGAAATGGAATGAGGTAAAGCTCATTTTCACCTGACCTTCCTATTCACTCCTCTCTCAGAGTTCTCAACTTTTTACTACTCATCTCCCTTAAATGTGAAATATGTGAAAAGGTGGTCTTCCTCCCCACTAACCAATGCCACTCTTGAGCCATCAATCATTTCATCGCCATTTCCATCTCCTGAAATGCAGCCTAATTCCTTCCATCACTGCCTTCTTTAGGCCATCTCACCTGAACTAATTGTTTTAAAGAATTTTATGGGCTCAGTATTGATATCTTTCCAAAAATGACATCAAATTCAGAAGCCATAATTGCAAACATGGTTATGCTTAGACATGTAACAGTCATAGACAGCCTTGTAACAAAGTTAAAAAGAGCAGAAAAATATCTGTAATCCAAAGCTTATTTTCCTAGTAATAAATAAGCTCTTCGAAATCAGAGAGGGACTAAAACCTCTCCCCACCCCTGCATTTAGCATTCGTTATGGCGCTTCTCTCTATCACTCTTCCTTCTTTGGAAATCATCCAGTGTCCTTGCCTTCTTTTAATGAGGGGTTCTGCATTGCCTGGCCCCCTCTGTACACCTGAATCCTGAGATTGGTGCTGGGTTTTTGGCGTGTGGTAAAGATGCAGACGCATCCTGTGCATCTTGCATCAGGCCTGGGCAGATATCGGTATTCCTCTAAGTTGATTCAATTTGGGGCTTCTGATCCCTAACAGTGGTAACTATGGGATGTGTAATTCTCACGTCCTTCAGAACCCACCTCAGCCTCTGCATTCACACTTCAAAGAGATGATTGATTTCCAGATCTAACACCCTTTTCTGGGTACTTTGAATTCACTTTCGGTGAGTTCACCTTGTTATGTGTTTCCCCACTACCCTGTATTTCTTTATTTGTAATATTTACCACCCCAAAAATTATTTTTCCTGTTTCTTTCTCCATCTCCTGTGCTTTCTCCTGAATCCTCTGTGAGGCATAGCTTTGCCATTTGCTTTTTCTCAGTGCTTGCTTTTCTCCCTCTCTCCCTCTCCAAAGTTCATACAATTTCCAAAGGACTTCCTTTGGAAGACCACCTTTGCAACCTAAAAAATCATAAATAAATAACAAAATTATCAGCCGGGAAGTAATTGCTGATCACTTCAGAAGAAAAGATATAGCTGTGAGAAAAACACACAGCTGACTCTCAATGAAAAGCAAACCCAAACAAATTAGCAGTCTTCACACCCCAACGCAAGGACATGTCTGCCCCAGAGGATTAGGCAGCCATGACAAGGATTTTGAATCATGGGAAGTTGACTTTACTGAAGAATGCTAGTGCAGTGAAGTCCTCATCCTGGAAAAATATCATAAGTTCCATCTATCTTAGATTTTAAATTTTAAAAAAATTAACAGGCTTTACTTTTGGAGGCAGTTTCAAGTTTACAGAAAAAATGAGTGGAAATTACAAAGTATTCCTACACGCCTCCTCTCGTCTAGCTCCCCAGTAACCCCTGTTCTTCATAACTTTTTTTTTTTTTTTTTGAGATGGAGTTTCACTCTGTTGCCCAGGCTGGAGTGCAGTGGCACGATCTCGGCTCACTGCAACTTCTGCCTCCTGGGTTCAAGCCATTCTCCTGCCTCGGATTACAGGTACATGCTGCCACGCCCAGCTAATTTTTGTACTTTTAGTAGAGACAGGGTTTCACCATGTTGACCACGATGGGCTCGATCTACTGACCTTGTGATCCGCCCACCTCAGCCTCCCAAAGTGCTGGGATTACAGGCGTGAGCCACCGCTCCCAGCCTGTTCTTCATATCTTATATTAATGTGCTGCATTTGCTACAGGTGAGGTTTTAAATTTTTCTTACAATTGGGTTTTGGCTCAGCCTGCTTGTGAGCAGTGTGTGAGCAGAGCTGCATGTGCGGGTGTGGAGGGAGTATAGTTTCACAGATAACCATTTGGAGAGAGGTGAGAGGTTATCTTTAAAATTTTACTCATGCGGAAATTCAGGTCTGGCTTCATGCAGATTTGTCAGTGTCCAGCTCTAAACCTGATCACCCTCCACTTATGTATCCCCCTACTCCTTTCCCCTCCCAGAACTGCTCTGATTTCTACTGCCTCTTGCACTAGGTGGCTCCCTGCCTTTCAAAGTTCTTATCTCTCTCTGCCTACGTATTAGCCTGCATCTCTGCTTTTTGGTCCTTTATCTTAATTGAATATCCTCAACTGCTACCTTCCATTACGTTCTGAGCCTGCAGGTCCTCAGTGCATGGACCTGCTTAGATGTTACAGTTGACACTGGAGTTTTTAAAGTAAACATCAGCAGAGTCAGTGGAAAGATTATTTGGAGACAGAGCTTCATTGAGGGGTTGATGTATTTTCTTGCTCTCTTTTAAGTCAAACCGTATAATTGACTATTTAATATGCCTATGTGTTAGACAAGTTTGGTACATATATTAAAAAGCTAAACTTGGTATTAAAACACTTATAAGCTTTAATTGACAAAGCTTAACTTTATCAAATAAGATTTGCAGAGAGATGAAAATACTAAGAAACTGTTTCTTAGTATAGAGCTTCTTTCCTGCCCTTCCCGTTTCGCCAAGCAACAAAAAAAGTCCTGGCTGTGGCTGGCTCGGTGCCAATGGCACTAAAGATGACATAAATAGCAGTTTACATGGGAGAAATCTCTAGAAACTGTCTCTTTCTTGCTTATTGTTTTTAAAGCTCTGTCGGAACTCCCAGCTTTAAAACTCACTTCTTTTTTTTTCCAGAGGTGATGATTAAAATTTTAGGGTATTGCAGCCGAAAAAGATCTTTAAGCTCTTGCTCAAGTCAAGCAGAAGTTACAGCGGTAACTGGTATCTTTAAAGTAGGAAAAGAAAGGCTCAAGGGTTCAAATGGACAGAACAATGTTTATTAGGACACTAATAATTCTTTGGATCCATAGAATAATCAAAGCTGAGATTCAGGACAAACACAGTCCAACTTCGGAAATCCAGGCTAATGAGATGGTTGGCTGAATTAGTTAAAAATCTGAATTACATAAGATTGGGAAGAAATCCAATTTTTAAAGTCTAGAATTTTAAATAGAGGCAACCGCTAATATTGCACTGTAGCAAATGCATATCTGAAAAAGTTTTTCCTAGTTGAGATGTATAGGGAAACTTATTTTATAAACAGATATCACTTATAAAAACAATAAACCATCTTTTCCAAGGAATATACGGTGACTAGCCTATTTTAAATTACTGATATTTGGATAGCTTGATTATAATAGTCACTGTGTTTGAAAAGAATGTCATAGCACACAAAATATAATATGACTCACAGTACATATAGTATGCCAGAATGAGTTGTATTGACTAACAGAGTCCATCACTTTTAAATTAAACTAATAACAGAAGACAAAATAATAAAGTCTTAGTGTCAGACACAGATCACATATTTATGTGGTCAATACTTGTAATGAAATGTATACTTATATTTATTGAAAATTGCAAAATATTTGACTCCATCTCTAGATATATAAAGATAAATAGATATATGTGTATCTTTGTGTGTAAATATATCTGTATGTACCTATATACTATATATACAGACACACATATGTATATGTTTGCATTGTGTTTATATACTATGTCTATGCAATCACGCATGCATGTGTTTAAAAATTTGGTTACAGGACTAGAGAATGGAGTATGACAAAATCACTAATCATCAGAATTGAAATTGGAACTAGAAGATACTACATTAGCTCTGTTGTAAAGATACACATATACATTTGTATTAGTTGATTTTTCTTAAGGTCTCAGTTTTTTTTTTCAGCATATTCTACTGACTGCCTCCTGCTTCGAAGTGAATGAGGTCTGACCATTGAAATTGATGAGATTTTCACAAATGGAGGAAGCTTGAAGGAAGCATTATCCATCAGTCCATTATGGTTGGCGCCATCATCATCTTTTCACTGTTACACAGGATGGGTCACTGTAACATCAACAATCTGTCACTGTATCTGTTGGATCACACATCCATTATTCACTTTACTGTAGAGTAATTTTGGTAAAATTATTACAATGTGATTTTTAAAATTATCTACCATAATTCTTTTTTTAGTAGAAGATGAAATAGTCACACTTGTCTTTCTTACTTAAAATTGCCTTAAAACCAGGACAGAATGCATGGAGAAGCTATTAAGGACTCTGAAAATAAATAGTAGCAGACAGTTTGGGGGAAAAGATCAGAATTTAAAGTACCACTGAACTGTCAGTATTGCCTCCAATATCCTCTAGCCTGAACTCGACCACACCTCCAACCCAGAAGTAGTCATCAGAGCATTGATATAGAAAACGACAGGAGCAATCCTCTAGTTCAAACTCAAGAAACATGGCTGGGCGCAGTGGCTCATGCCTGTAATCCCAGCGCTTTGGAAGGCAGAGGCGGGTGGAGCACTTGTGGCCAGGAGTTCAAGACTAGCCTGGCCAACATGGAAAAACCCCATCTCTACTAAAAATACAAAAAAAGAAAATTAGCCAGGTGTGGTGCTGTGTGTCTGTAATCCCAGCTACTTGGGAGGCTGAGGCAGGAGAATCACATGAATCCGGGAGGTGGAGGTTGCAGTGAGCGGAGATTGCACCACTGCACTCCAGCCAGGGTGACGGTGAGACTCCATCTCAAAAAAAAAAAAAAAAAAGAAATAAGAAAGATAACTCCTAACACTCAGTGAGAGTAAGAATTATTATGCATTTTTCCCCTCTATTCTTGGATGACCCAGTCCCCAAGCAATCTCATGGCAGCATTGGCAGTAGAGCCAAAACTCTAAGGAAGGGCACCTCCCTGTCTGATCAGAGGAGTTATGATCACCTACGGGTCGTGTGAAACTCTATTGCTTTTGCCTGTCTCTGTCTACCTGTCACTGAACAACAGAGTGGGACACCCAAAGCCTTAGATTTCTGGTATGACAACCACAAGGGGAAGACCAAGAGTACTGCAAAAATACTAGGGAGATTGCAGGGAGAGGAGAGCTTGAGAAAGTGATCCCTGAATGTTGACTTTGTACTTCTGAGTTCATCTCAAATGATATATGCGTGGCTTTGACCCTCATTAGTGTCAATAGACTTTGAGAACTGAACTATGGGATAAACCACTGCACATGTCCCAGCCTGGCCACTGGGTGGTGCTCGCCTGGGTCAGATATAAACAACACCGCAAAGGCTTTGAAAACAGCTGATATTGGATAATTTATAATCCATAAAAGACTGGTTCGAACTTGTGGTCTAAACCCGACTGATTGCCTGTTAAACAAAAATATCAACATTATTTGTAGGATTTTTTTAAAAGACCCACAGTCTCATAATAAGATATTAAAAATATCCTGGATAATATCCAAAATTATTGGGCATCCAAAAATCTAGGAAAATCACAACTCGTATATGAAAGAACAGTTAATTGACATATATGCTGAGATGATGCACGTTAGAATTTTCTGAAAAAGATATTAAATCAACTATTATAAAAATGGCCCAATAAACAAAGGCAATCACTCTTTTAATAAATAAAAACATGGAAAATCACAGGAAAGAAATAGAACAAAAAATAAGCCAAGGGGAACTATTTAGAACCAAAAGATAACATTAGTTGAGAAGCAACAACAAAAACAAACCTTAGATTAGCTCAGTCCATGCATTCGATTCCCGTGACTCTTGTCACAAATTACTACAAATTGGGTGACTTAAAACGACAGAAATTTATTCTCTCACAGATCTGGAAGCGAGAAGTCTGAAATGAATGTGCTGGCAGAGCTATGATTTATCAGAAAGCTCTATGTGAGATTCGATTCTTTTCTTCTTCCCAGTTGTGCTGGCATTCCTGGGCCTGTGGTTGTAACAGTACAATATCTGGATCCATTGTCACACTGCCTCCACCTCTTTGCTGTGTGTTCCTTATAAGCACACTTGTCACTGGATTTATAAACCACTCCATTAATTCAGAATGACCTCATCTAAACCCATTTTCCATGTAAGGTCACATTTACAAATCCTGGGAATTAGGACATGGACATACTTTTTTTAAGGGTCACTATTTAGTTGATTATAGCCTGTGAATTTCAAGATAGTCCTATGTAAACTATTCAATGTGAACAACAGAAAAAAACTTTTACATGAACAGAACTTGAGACACCTGTGGGAAGATACCAAAATATCTAACATTTGCATCACTGAAATTACAGAACTGGTGAAAGATGTGGTGTTCGACAAAATGTAAAAAAAATATAAATGCAAATTTCTCAAATCTGTCAAAAGACATAAACATACCAATTCAAGATTCCAAGCAACCCCCAACTGCTGAATAATAAAGGCAAGTACATTGAAAACAGAAAAAGAATGACACATTGTTTTTCAAAAACAAAGACTCAAATAGATGTGGAATTCTTGCCTAAGAGCCAGAAAGAAGCAGGAGGAAACATTTTAAGTGTTGAAAGAAAAAGAACTGTCAACATAGAACTAGATATCCAGGAAAAGTAACCTTTCAGATTTATGTGAAATTTTCAGAGGTAGAAAAACTAAGATAATTCCATGCAAAACATTTTCTCCAAGACAACTGGTAAAGAAAAAAGAAAGGTATTGAGGTAGAAGAGAACTGATAATGGATAAGTCCTGGAATATCAGGAATGAAGCAGGAGCAACAGAAATGGTAAATACCTGGGGAAATATAATAAACTATTATTCCCCTTTGGAGATTTTTTATAATATGTATGAAGGTTTAAAGTCAAAACCTTAGCATTGCTGGAAAAGTTTTTTATGTATATCAACTTAAAGCATAAGGCAACTAAAATATAAAGTACGGAAGTGTACAGGAACATATATGGTTGTAAAATTACTATATTCAACTTAAAGAGTAAAATATTTATTCTAAGTAGACTGTAATAGAATACTAAAAAATGTTCAAGTAACCCAAACCCAAAGGGAAGGAAAACAAAAGTGTAAAAGAAAGGGAGCACCTAAAAAACACATTTTAAAAAGAACTAAATTTAAGCCTGTCATAAACTAAATAAAAATGATCAAAACATCAGTTAAAAGGCAGATATTGCAAAATAACAAATAAAATTACCTGCTTAGAAGTAATTCACTTCAAATGTGATATTATATGCAGGTTAAAAGTAGATGTATGAAAAAAGATAAACAGCAAATATAGCAAGATTATATGATACGAGGTTAATATCTAAACACCCTACCACTTTCCTATATAATAGCAATGAGCAAATGAACTCTAAAATTAAAAACACACAACCATTTACACTTGTACCCCCAAATATATATAAGTATAAATCCAACAGAATATGTACAATATCTATATAAAAACAACTACAAAATCTGTTGAAAGAAGTCAAGAAACAACTAAATAAATAAAGAGACATTCCATGTTTATGAATAGGAAGATTCAATATTGCCAAGATACTGGTTCTTCTCAATTGATCTATAGATTCAACGCAATCCCCATCAAAATTCCAGTGGGCTATTTTGTGAATGTTGATAAACTGATTATAAAATATATATGGAGATATATTAGATGCAGAATAGCCAACGTTATATTGAATTAAAAGAACAAAATTGGCTGGGAGCAGTGGCTCATGCCTGTAATCCCAGCACTTTGGGAGGCTGAGGCGGGCAGATCACAAGGTCAGGAGATCAATGCCATTCTGGCTAACACAGTGAAACCCCGTCTCTACTAAAAATACAAAAAAAAAAAAAAAAAAAAAAATTACCCGGGCATGGAGGTGGACACCTGTGGTCCCAGCTACTCGGGAGGCTGAAGCAGGAGAATGGCGTGAACCCAGGAGGAGGAGGTTGCAGTGAGCTGAGATCGCGCCATTGCACTCCAGCCTGGGAGACAGAGCGAGAGTCCGACTTAAAAAAAAAAAAAAAAAAGAAAGAAAAAAGTTAGAGGACTGACACTACCCAACTTCAAGATTTACCATAAGCTAACTTTATCAAGACTGTGGTGTTGATATAATAATAAAGAGAAGCACATAAATACAGTCAACTGATCTTTAACAGAGAATAAATAGCAATAAAATAGAGAAAGGATGATCTTGATAGTCTTTCAATAAACAGTGCTACAACTGGACATCCACATGCAAAAAAATAAATTTACTAATAGACTTAACATCCTGCACACAAATTAATTTCAAGTGCACAAAGATCTAAAGATAAAACTCAAAAGTATAAAACTTCTAGAAGATGACCTAGGAAAAAATTTTATGAACTTCAGAATGACAATGATTTTACAGATTTATCATTAAAGGTATGATCATGTTAAAGCAGATTGATAAGTTAGACTTCATTAAAATTAAAAACTTCTGCTGAGCAAAAGACAATGTCAGGTGAATGAGAAGACAAACCAGAGACTGGGAGAAACTATTTGCAAGAGACACATCTGAAAAAGAACTGTTCTCCAAAATATAAAAGGAACTCTTAAAACTCAACGATAAGATCAGGAAAAATCTAAGTAAAACATGGCAAAGGACATAGACATACATCTCACCAAAGAAGCTATGCTGATGGAAAATAAGCATGGGAAAAGAAGTTCAACATCTCATCATTAGGGAACTGTGAATTTAAACAACAGTGACATAACACTCATACCCTATTGAAATGGTGAAAATCCACAACACTGACAACGCCAAATCCTGGTAAGAATATAGAGCAACAGGAACTATCATTTATTGCTGGTGGGAATGCAAAATGGTACAGTCACTTTGGAAGACAGCTTGACCACTACTTAGAAAACTGAACATGCTTTTATCATACAACCCAGCCATACACTCTTTAGTATTTACCCACATGAATTGTAAACTTATATCTACAGAAAAACCTGCACATAAATGCTTATAGGAACTTTATTTATATAGACCAGTCTCAGAAGCAACTAAGATTTCCTTAAGTAGGGAAACAAACTATGCTACACGCAGACAATGAAGTATTACTCAATGCTGGAAAGAAAGTATTGAACCAAGAAAAAATATGGAAACAGAAATGCGTATTACTAAATGAAAGAAGCTAATCTAAAAAGGATTCCAACTACATGACATTCTGGAAAAAGCAAAACTGTGCAGAAGTAAAAGATCAATGGTTACTGGCAGTTGGGGGGAAGAAAGGGATAAGTAGGCAGAGGACTTTCAGGGCAGTGACACTATTCTGCATTACACTACAATAGTGACACTATTCCACATTATACTACAGTGGTGACACTATTCTGTGTTAATTATACTACAACGGTGAAACTATTCTGTGTTATACTACAATGGTGAATACATGTCATTATATATTTGTTAAAATCCATAAAAGGCATAGCAGTAAGTGAATCCTAACAAAAACTGTAGACTTTGTGTGATAATCATGTGTCAATGTAGGAACATCCATGTTACAGTGTGCCATTGTGGTGTGGGATGTTGAGAGTGAGGGGAGATGTGAGTGTGTGGAGTCAAGGCATACATGGAAATGCTCTACAGGTTCTACTCAATTTTGCTGTAAAAATAAAACTTCTGTAGAAAATGAAGTATATTAAAAATATGTGGCACTTTGGGAGTCTGAGGCAGATGGATCACCTGAGGCCATGAGTTTCAGACCAGCCTGACTAACATGGTGAAACCTCATCTCTACTAAAAATACACACACACAAACACACACAAAAAATTGGCCAGGTGTAGTGGTGGGCGCCTGTAATCCCTGCTACTTAGGAGGCTGAGGCAGGAGAATCATTTGATCCTGGGAGGCAGAGGTTGCAGTGAGCCGAGATCGCACCATTGCACTCCAGCCTGGGCAACAGAGCAAGACTCCATCTCAAAAACAACAACAAAATATTTGCAACATATTTACCTTAAAATCTCAATAAGAAATTTAAAAACGAACAAAATATAAAGAAAGCTGGAAGCAGCTATATTAATATTAAACAAAGTAGACTTCAAAGAAACAAATGTTACTAAGGACAAAAAGAGGCATTTCATTGTGATGAAGTCATAATAATCCTAAAAGTCAAAATAATCCCCTGCTGCTTTGGCCGACTCCAGACTTTGGTCACTGATGAACACGGGAGGGAAGCTAAGGGGGTTGCTGAAGGCAGCTTGGCACTGTCCTGCAGGCGCCCCTCATATGAACCTAAAAACAAGGCTTCAGAGACATGAGAAAAAAACTGAAAGAACTGAAAAGGAAAACAGACAAATCAATAATGTATTTGGGTATATCCTCCCTCAGTAATTGATAGAACCAGTAGACAGAAAATCAAGTATACAGAAAAAATGAACACCACCATGAAATGACTGGATTTAACTTACATTTTTGTAACACTCCACCTGCAAATGGTAAAATACGTATTCTTTTCCAGTGCACCTGGTGCACAGCCAATATAGATAATATCCCAAACAAAGAAAGCAAAGAGCAAGGAATTGTAGAGGATAAAAATCATATGAAATGTATTCACTCCATAATAGAGTAAAACAAAGAATGAGTAACAGAAAGTAACAAGACAATAACCAGAAAGTTGGAAATAAAGCCATCACTTCTTAATTTTGAATAACTAATGAGTCAAAAAGGAACTCCCAAATGAAGTTAAGAAATTATTTTGAATTGAGTGAAAAGTACAAGATAAAAAATTGTTAAGTATAGGCCAGGCACGATGGCTCATTCCTGTAATCCCAGCACCTTGGGAGGCGGAGGCAGGCAGATCACCTGAGGTCAAGCATTCGAGACCAGACTGGCCAACATGGCAAAAACCCGTCTCTACTAAGAATACAAAAATTAGCCAGGCATGGTGGTGTGTGCCTGTAATCCCAGCTACTAGGGGGGCTGAGGCAGGAAGATCACTTGAACCTGGGAGGCAGAGGTTGCAGTGAGCCAAGATTATGCCACTGCACTCCAGCCTGGGCAACAGAGCCAGACTCTGTCTCAAAAAAAAAAAAAAAAGTAAGTATACAGCTAAAGCTATTCATAGTGGGAAATGTATAGCAGTGATTGCTTGCTTTAGAAAAGAAAAAAAGTCAAAAACCAGTAATCTAATTGTCCACCTCATAAAAAAATAGAAGAGCAAAAATATACCTAAAGCCAGAAAAAAGGACGGAAAGTATAAAGAAGAAAATATAAAGACTGGTTGTGGTGGTGTCATGGAATCCTTGGGGTGTCACTTCGCCAGCCAGAAACCTCTGTGGCTGGGGACACCTTCTGCCTGAATATTGTTCATTATTTTAGCTTGTTCCGCTCTACATAGCAGGCTGCATTCGGCTCGGGTCTCACGTCTGCCAAGGGCAAGCCAGATGCAGAGCGGTGAAACATGTGTGGTGAGCAAGTGCAGGGTCCGGTCAGTGCACACAGCCAGGCAGGCTGGCTGCTGTGGTGTGTCAGGCAGCTCCAAGTCCCGGCACAGGTGCTGGCTTATTTGCGAGGCTGCTGCTGGACCAGATCTACTGCACTGCTGCTTTCATTGCAAGCACCTGTGTCTGGACTAGGGTAATGCAGTGGCGCCTGGAAGCTTGGAGATGCCAGGAACCACAAAGTCCCAAAGAGCGTGTTACAATGATGGCAATGGCGGCCCATCTAGAGCAGCCGCTGCCATGATGCTGGCTGCAGTGGGGGAGGTGCAGCCAGGCTGTGCACTCCAGGGAGCTGGCGTGAGCTGGGAACAGGCAGATGCCCTGCCCGCTTCTAAGTTGGCAGGGCAGGAGCCCTGTGCCCCCCAGGCACAGCTGTGGCTGCCCAGCCACGGCTGCAGACTTGGGAATTCCTGTGCTCTTGGGGACCAGGAGCAGGCTGGAGCTCTTCCCTCCCGGATGCGGATGCAGCTGCCACTGCCCAGCCACGGCTGCGGACCCAGCCATCTCTGCACTCTCAGGGGCCTGGGAAGGGCCCCCCTGCTCCCCTCTCACCCTTGGAAGTGCCTGCTCCCACTGCCTGGCTTCTCTCCACTCCCAGTGCCCACTCCAATCTTGTAGCAAAGTTGTAGCTAAGCCTGGGCACTATCACAACCAAGCTGGGTGTGACACACTTGGGGCAGCACTGACATGCCAACCTCCTGCTGCCTTGGCCCATTCCAGACTTTGGGGACTGATGAACATGAATGAACAGTCTCGGCACCATGAACAGTGCCAAGAGGCAGACAGACTCTGGGGAAAAAAAGGGAAGGTCCCTGGAAGAGCCCCATCTTCAAGCCAAGGAAGGCCTGAAGCCTGGGGGCCAGGCTGCCTGTCCTGCCGATCTGAATGGGAATTTATGGGGCTCTCTCCAGGCCCACCCATGGCTTCCCATAGACCAATCAGCACATGCTTTCTCTCCTATGAAGGCCAGAAATACCCCAGGCTTGGCCAGACTCAAAGAGAGACTACAAGATGGTCAGCGGCAGAGAAGAGCTACCCACACCAGGGTCTCCTCTCTACTGAGAGCCAAAGAGATGATGAGATGACCAGCTGTGGAGAGGAGCTACCCACCCCAGGTTTTCCTCTCACCTCGGTTTCTGGAGTAGCTGGAAGCACAGGCATGTGCCACCATGCTCAGCTTATTTTTTAATTTTTTGTAGAGGGGAGGGTCTCACTATGTTGCCTAGACTAGTCTTGAACTCCTGGGCTCAAGCAATCCACCTACCTTGGCCTCCCAAAATGCTGGGATTATAGGTGTGAGCCACTGTACTAGGCCAATTGTAATTGTTTTGAGGTACCAAAAACTAAGCCCATATAAGATGGCAAACTTAGTCAATACATGTTGTGTTTGTTTTGACTGCTCTGTTCCTCCATCGGTCTTCTTCTCCTCTGGCCTTCCTATTCTCTGAGACACAACAATATTGAAAATAGGCCAGTTAATAACCCTAAATGACCTCTACGTGTTCAAGTGAAAGGAAGATTCCAATGTATCTTACTTTAACTCAAATGTTAGAAATGATTAAGTTTAGTGAGGAAGGCATGTTGAAAGCAAAGATAGGCTGAAAGCTAGGCCTCTGGTGCCAAACAGCCAAGTTATGAATGCAAAGGAAAAGCTCTTTCAGAAAATTAAAAGTGTTGCTCCAGTGAACACACAAATAATAAGAAAGTAAAATACTAATAGCTTTGTTGCTGAGATGGAGATAGTTTGAGTGGCCTGGATAAAAGATCAAATAAGCCACAACCTCCCCTTAAACCAAAGCCTAATCCAGAGCAAAGCCTCAACTCTTTTCAGTTCAGTAAAGGCAGAGAGAAGTGAGAAAGTTGCAGAAGAAAAGCTTGAAACTAGCAGATGTAGGTTCACGAGGTTTAAGGAAAGAAGTCATCTGCATAACATAAAAGTGCAAGGTGAAGCAGCAAGTGCTGATGTGGAAGCTGCAGCAAGCTTTCCAGAAGATCTAGCTAAGATCAATGATGAAGGTGAAGACATCATTGGAAGAAAATGTCATCTAAGACTTCTGTAGCTAGAGAGAAATCAATATCTGGCTTCAAAGCTTCAAAGGATAGGCTGATTCCCTTGTTAGGGGATAATGAATTTGGTGACTTTAACTTGAAGCCAATGTTCATTTACCATTCTGAAAATGCTAGTGCCCTTAAGAATTATGGTAAATCTAGTCTGCCTGTGCTGTATCAATGAAACAACAAAACCTGGATGACAACACATGTGTTCACAGCATGGTTTACTAGATATTTTAACTCCACTGTTGAGAACTATTGCTCAGAGAAAAAAAATAAAAATTTATTTCAAAATATTACTGCTCCTTGACAATGCACCTGGTCAGAGGTAAGAGTTCTGATGGAGATATACAAGGAGATTAATGTTGTTTTTATGTCTGATAACATGTCCTTTCTGCAGCCCATGAATCCAAGAGTAGTTTAGACTTACAAGTCCTATTATTTTAGAAACACATTGTGTAAGGCTATAGCTGCCCTAGATAGTGATTACCCTGGTGGACCTGGGAAAAGTAAATTGAAAACCTTCTGGAAAGGATTTGCTATTCAAGATGTCACTAAGAACATTTGTGATTCATGGGAGGAGGCCAAAATTTTAACATTAATAAGAGTTTGGAAGAGGTTGATTCCAACCATAATTGATGACTTTGTGCTGTTCAAGACTTTAGTAGAGAAAGTAATTGCAGATGTGGTGGAAATAGTAAGGCAACTAGAATTAGAAGTGGAGCTTGGAGGTGTGACTAAAATGCTGCAAATACATAATAAAATTTAAGGGATGAGAAGTTTCTTCTTAACAATCAGCAAAGAACATGGTTTTTTTGAGATGGGGTCTACTCCCAGTGCAGATGCTGTAAACATTGTTGAAATGGCAACAAATGATTTAGAATATTACATAAACTTAGTTGATAAAGCAGTGGTAAAGTTTGAAATAATTGTCTCTAATTTTGAAAGGCTTTCTAATGTGAGCAAAATTCCAAAGAACAGCTTCACATGCTACAGAGAAGTCTTTTGTGAAAGGAAGAGTCAAATGATGCAGAAAGATGTACTGTTGTCTTCTTTTAAGAAATTGCCACAGCCACCACAACCTTCAGCAATCACTGCCCTAATCAGTCAATTGCCATGAACATGGAGGCAAGACCATCCAGGAAAAATTCCAACTTGTAGAATGCTTAGACAATTGTTGGCATATTTTAGCAATAAAGCATTTTTTTTTTCTTAAGATATGTCCTCTTTTTTTTTAAGTCAGAGTCTCACTCTCTCGCCAGGCTGGAGTGCAGTGGTGGGATCTCAGCTCACTGCAACCTCCACCTCCTGGGCTCAAGCGATTCACCTGCCTTGGCCTCCCAAGTAGCTGGGACTACAGGTGTGTGCCACCACACCCAGCTAATTTTTGTATTTTTAATAGAGATGGGTTTCACCATGTTGGCCAGGATGCTCTCAATCTCTTGACCTCATGATCTGCCCACCTCGGCCTCCCAAAGTGCTGAGATTACAGGAGTGAGCCACTGAAGAAATTGCCACAACCACCGCAACCTTCAGCAACCACTGCCCTGATCAGTCAATGGCCATGAACGTGGAGGCAAGACCATCCAGGAAAAAATCCAACTTGTAGAATGCTTAGATGATTGTTGGCATTTTTTAGCAATAAAGCATTTTTTTCTTAAGATATGTACTTTTAAAAGATAATGCTATTACACACTTAAATGACTACAGTATAGTATACACTTTTATATGCACTGGGAAACCAAAACTTTATTTCAGTGGTATGGAGCAAAACCTGCAATGTCTCTCGGGTTTGTCTGAAGGTAGTAGGTCCTGAGAGTGGCCTTCAGGTGATTGTCAGCAAATAAGTGAGGACCTTAGTGTTAGACCCACAGGGAACTGAATTAGTTCAACCATCTGAATTAACTTGGAAGTGAACTTTTCCCCAGAACCTACAGATGAGAGCTCGCCTTGATTTCAGCCCTTGAGACCATGAACAGGGAAAGCAAGCATGCTGTCTCTGAACTTCTGATTCAGAGAACTGGGAGCTAACAAATGGGTGTTGTTTTACTGCTAAGTCTGTGGTAATTTGTTATGTTGCTAAAGGAAATCAATGTACTCTGATAACACAAGCAGACAGATAAAGAAAAGTTGTATACTCATAGACCTCATGAACACAGACAAAAACATCTTCAACATGTTGGCAAATCTGCTCCAGCAATATATGTAAAAATAATGACAACAAAATGTGCTGTTTCCTGAAAATGCAAGCTCATTCCATGTTAAAAACCAATGGGGATTGTATATCATATTTTTAGTTTAAAGGAGAAAAACCATACAACAATATCAAATGACACAAAAAGAAGGCATTTGATAGAGTTTGGAATCTATTTATTAGAAAATCTGCAGCAAACTAGGGATAGAAGGAAATTTAAACCAGGTAAAGGGCATCAAAATAGCACACAGCAAATGTCTTAAGTAATGACGAAAGACTCAGTGGCTTTCACCTTAAGATTGGAAAAAAGGCAAGGATGTCTACTTTTCAAAACTGTGTTGAAAGTTCTAGCCATTACATAAAATATGAATAAGAAATAAAAGGCTTACAGCTTAGAAAAGAAGAAATAACGTTGTTGCTTTTCACAAACAATGTGAATTGTCGATGTAGAAAATTCTAAAGAACATACAAAAATGCCTTCTAGAACTAATAAGTTAGCTTATGAAAGCAGTGGAATGCAAGACCAACACATAAAAAGTTAAATTTATATTTTCACTTGTCAGTAATACAAACTGAAAACCAAATTAGAACACAACTACTACCATTTGCAGAAGTTCCCCCAAAAGTGAAATACTTAGAATTTATCAAAACATAGAATAATCTGTAGGCTAAAAACTACAAATACCAATAAAAGGAATAAATAGAACCTATGTAAATTGAAAGACATACTATTTTTATGGATTGGGACACTCATTATAATATGAGTGTCACATAACCCCAAATCAAACCACAGATTTAACAAAATTCTTAACAAAATCGCAGGATAAATTTTTACAGACATAGACAAACTGATTTTAAAATTTGGATTCAAGTCAATGGAAGTAGTATACCCAAACCAATATTGAAAAAGATAAATCATGTTAGAAGAGTCACTTCACCTGGCTTTAAGACTTATTATTGTCAATCTTAAACATCGAGATTCAGAAAATAGAATTAAGTATAAAGTTTATTTGAGTTCAAGGCCTGAGGATGGCTACCTGGAAGTATAGATTTAAGTTGCCCTGAATATACACTTTGATTAAGCAGTTACAACTGGGTTTTTAAGGAAAAAGAAGAGACAGTTTCTACGTTGTTTACCAAATAATTTACTTTAAAATAACATAAGCTGTTGATTGGCTGTACATTGTTCTTTACATCACAAATTCCAGGAGCAAGAAGATAATGGGTGAGGCAGCTAGTCAGGAACAACATGCTTCTAAACAATTGTCCTATGAGTGTGGAGGGCATGCTTGAAGTCCATACTGATCTCCCTGGGCATGATAAATTTTGCATAACTCACATAACCCAGACTGCTCTGAGCTTTTCTTTTTTCCTTTTCTCACTATAGATAGTGAAAACTGATTACTGTTGCTAGGTATGGTACTCAATGCAGTATGGTATTGGTGAACAGTAGACACAACAATTAATGGAACAGAACAGAATGTTGAGGAATGGACCCATTACTTTTGACAAACATGCAATGACAATTTAACAGAGAAAGCCATTCTCTTTAACAAATTATATTGGGACCCTTGGAGGACTATACACACACACACACTAAAAAACTTTAACCTAAACCTCAACAAATCATACAAAGTAACTCAAAACGGATCATGTATTCAAATATTAAAATGAAAACTATCAAGCTTTTAGAATAAAAGTAAGATATCATCCTACCTGAGGTAAATATTATAAGACTTACCACCAAAAGCACAACCCATTACAATGTTAAATTGGATTTTATCAAAGTTAAAGCCACCTATTCTGTGAAATGACAGTTGAGAAAATGAAAAGACTACCTGGAGATGAGGGAAAAAATATTGCAAATTGTGTATATGACAAATGTCTTGTCTTTAGAATAAACAAATTTGAAAAACACTAAAGTTCAACCATAAGTAAATAAGCAGCTCAATTTTTAAATGAGCAAGAGTGTTGAACAGGTTCTTCACCAAAGAAGATATTAACAACGACATAATAGGCTGGGCACAGTGGCTCATGCCTGTAACCCCAGCACTTTGGGAGGCCGAGGCAGGCGGATCTCAAGGTCAGGAGATTGATACCATCCTGGCTAGCACTGTGAAAACCCGTCTCTACTAAAAATACAAAAAAATTAGCCGGGTGTGGTGGCATGTGCCTGTAGTCCCAGCTACTCAGGAAGCCGAGGCAGGAGAATCACTTGAACCTGGGAGGCGGAGGTTGCAGTGAGCCGAGATCACGCCACTGCACTCCACCCTGGGTGACTCTGTCTCGGAAAAAAAAAAAAAATACTCTTCAACATCACAGGCAAGGCAATTCAAGGTGACTGTAAGCTACCACTACACATGCATTATAATGGCAGGTACATAAAATGCTGACAATACCGCCGGTGTGGATGTGGAGCAATGGAGCTCTTGCATGCTGTGAATGAGAACTTCACATTGAGAGTGTGAACTAATACAGCCAGTCCAAAAAGTTGGCAAGAAGCTTGGTGGCTCCTGATATGGTTAAACACATACACACCATGAGAACTAGGCATCCTACTCTTTGGCTATGTGTCCTAGAGTTACGTAAACTTATATTCACACAAAACTTTCTACACAATTATTGATAGCAACTCTATTCATAATTGTCTCAAATTGGAACAACACTTACTTCCCTCAACAGTTTAATAGGTTAAAAAAAAGTTGCAAATCCCTACAAGGGAAGAGCATGCAGCAATGTAATGGAATAGACTATGAATATGCTCAGCAACTTAAGTGCATCTCAAAAACATTATTCTGAGTGACTGAAGCTAGTATCTAAAGGTGAATACACACTGTGTAATTCCATGAGAACACATCAGCAGTTGCCCAGCTCTAGGGGCGGGTTGGGCCTGCAAAGTGATTGCATGGAGAATGAGGGGAGGCCTTGCAGTGAGGCCATTGCTCCGTGTTCTGCATGTGATAGTATTTTATCCATCTGTGCATGTTTTACAAATCATAGAGCTGCACTCAGAAAATTCAGTTTTACTGTATTTCAATTTTAAAAAATTAAATTTAAAATACTCCTTTTATAAAACAAACGTTTTGCTGTCACTTAAGGCTTCTAGATGGCAATCATCTGTTGTTCTCAGAATCTGTTTTGTAAATAAATAGCTCCTTAGCATTTGTTAGGTGTGCTCCTGGAAAAAAAATGCAGTAAGACTTTCACAGAAAATAATGCAAACATATCTGTAGTCCCTGAATGGAGGTCACGCATTCTGAATGAGTAGAGTCTGAAATAATGAGATTTTGCTCTGCTTAATGAAACACCTTCTGCAGACTGGAATTTTATTCATTTTTTTGTGTACTCTAATGCCAACATTGAATTTTGACTCAGGGACCAGACTTCTCATCTTTAGATGGAATAACTTTGCTAATTGGTAAGGTTCCCCACTCTGCCATCTGTTGCTCCTGTAACTCCTAGCATTTTCTCAGAAAGCTGCACAGTTGTCTTTCTTGTTAACCAGTTAATCAAGCCCAGGAAAGCCCAGAGAAGACGGTCAGAGTCCCACCAATAAAGAATCCTCAGAATGAAAGAGGTTTTGGAGAGGCTTCAGTCTAGTAGAAATCTTTTGCCTGTGCAATGTCCTTGAGTGCGTGGCTGGAGTCCCTGGAACTTGAAATGTGCCCTGGGCTCTTCTCTGAGCTTCCTCAGAGCACAAAGCGCAGCTTCTTATCCTACACTCTCATTTTCCCCACCCCCAGCAGCCCCTGGGTCCCTTTTCCATTGTTTGCCATTCACTCCAGAAGACACACAGGCAGGCAGCCCCCTTGTAAGACCTCTCGCCTGGTTTGCAGCACAGTAATTTCTAGTCATCATCTCAAGTCATGAGAATGGATTTATGGGCAGGTGATTGGGGAAGCTAAGAGCAGAAGGGAACTGTATGCAAACTCTCAAGGGGAAGAGGCAAAGAGACCCTTAGACTGTGTACAGCAGGTGGTGTTTTAACAGATAACTTCCACGCTTTTGTTAACACTCTACCACCAAATTGTTAATTCTTATACAAACAGGGGGCTAATGAAAGGCATCCCTGAGGACAATCTGGTCTATGCCAAATATATCTGTGACCAAAATGGGGCAATAAAGTTTCTATAATATTCATAATGTGTAGAAAGACCTCATTAATATTAGATTGCCCAGTGGCATTTAGGATGACTTTTTGTCATTGTGAAAGCATCCCTTGGTCATTTTTTTTTTACTGCCATCAATAGCAAGGAAATATTCAACATGCCATTTGACATAAAGGACAATTTCAAACCTAGGCAATGTTCTGAGAAAAATTAATTCCCAGCCCCACTCTCAAATTTTCTCTCTCCAAATATCCACTGTACAGCCTCATTGTTTATGTTTTTAAATCTATCTCACTTTTTCTCCTTCTGCCACGTAACCATCATTTTCTTTTCATTTTGTCCATGCTATTTGTCTATTTATCTGTCTCCTCTCCTCCTCTACTAATTCTATGGCTCACAATCATGAGACAGCACCTCCAAGGGGCTTCTGAAAACTGCTGGAGGTGCTTTGTCTCAGTAATTGACATGGAGTGAAGTAATGCTACTAGTGTTTTGTAAGGAGAGCCCCAAGCACTACATGTCTGCAACATGAAGGCTTGCACACAAGGTGTTGCTTGCATCTCATATAAAAGTTGTATAGCCAGACCATAATAGAGGTGACCTGTGTTATAATTAACCCTGTAGATGATCAATCTGTATTTTCCATATTCATAAACATGAAGTATCTTGTACAATTTTAATCCACTTAATCTTCCAATACTATAAAAATGCTTCCAAATACTGTAAAAATTGAGTGAAGCTTATATTTGTTTTATTTAAAACTTTAACAACTATTTGTCTGCATTGCAGGGAAAAACTACATCACTGACAGAAATAGCATATAAACATGCAGGTGCCCATAGGTCCACCTCTATTGGTCTGTGTTGGTGGCTACCCGCTCACTTGGTTGTCAGTAGCAGACAGAGGGTTCTGTGCTTACTAAATCCTGTCTCCATTTTCTCCTTTCTGTCAAGCAGCTGACCTGCATTTTCCAGCCTCCCCTAAGTCAGGCGGGGCCATGAGAACATTTTTCACCAAAGAGCACCCCTCTGTACCCAGGTGTTTAAAAGCAGGTGCCTTCTCAGCATGCTGTCCTTGCAGTCTCCTAGAGAGGCCAAGGCTGCTGGAGAACACTGAGGAGGGGCACGAGGTTTGGGTGCCTGACAGTCACATGGGGCTTGAACCGACCCCAGAGAGAAACCAGCCTTTGGCCTGTGAAGCTGCTATAATTGAGGCATGATTATTTCAGCAACTGCTGTTGCTTTCCCTGATTAATATAAGGCAGAAGGATCAGATTAGTTTGCTATGTCTACTAGGGCAGTGATGCTTTAGTCTTCACATATGAAAGTATATACATTATTTCATTAGCTATTGCTTTTGTATTATTTCCCTTTGTGTTACGATTCAGCAATGATATATGCAGATATATACATAATATATCTACATATATAATATGCCGATATAATATATAGTATACATCTGCCTATATAATATATATGATATATAAATGCAGATATATATATCTGTGTGTGTATACAGAGTTGAAATTTTCTTCTACATAGGTTATGTTTCCATGATTTCATTTCAAATAGGCTGTTACACAGTATTTGTTAGAAAAGTAAAGTGGTGGGTTAACCAAAATACTAAAAACAGCCTCAAAGGCTGCCTCTTCTAGTTTTCTCCTGTGGTAATTTTATGGCTTACACGGATGACGACCTAATTTTGACTGAGCATGGATCTGGCTAACAAATACATTTTCATAGGACAGGGCTTTATATTGAAATATGGATATTGAAAGCCCTATTTACCCTCCAGACACAGTGGAGCCTAAGTCCCCACCCCAAAGCTTAGGGTGTGCGTAGTGACCTTCTCCCAAAGAGGCCAGATGAAAAGGGCAAAGAGGAGCAAAGGGTGACTTTGCAGTGGAATAGCCTGACACACACTCCTCTAGCTGGATGCTTGAGGCTCTTAAAGCCTGTGGCTAGTATGTGGCCTTCACATGCTGTGACCAGAGTGGCTCTCTACCGATGTGGTCTTCCTCCCCAAACCTTGATCCCTGTGGATTCATGAGAAAGAAAATCAAATCAACCCCAGTTGAGAGACATTTTACAAAACACCTGACCCACATCCCTCAAAATTGTCAAGAAGAAGAATCTGAGAATCTGTTAGTTCCAAGGGGCCTGGGGAGACATGCTGGCTCCATATAGTGTGGTGTCCTGATAGAAAAAAAATAGCTCAAACTAAGGAAGTCTGAATAAAGTGTGAGGTTCCCTTATGAATAATGGATTAGTTCTTACATTATGGCAGATGTATCATGCTAATGTAAGATGTAAACAACAAGGAATATGAAGCATAGGGTTCATATAGGGACTCTTTTGTGACTTTTATGCAAAACTATGCTAAAATAAATTTAAAAGTTACTTTTAATAAAGGTTTAGCTTTTCTCCATTTCCGATCCCTCCATTCTGTTCCTCCATATCTGTTAATGGTTAAATCTAAACCTAGTCCTCAATAGCAAAAAACGTAACTTTAGCTGCAAAACTCATTTCTCCCTTGTCACCATTGCTTGAAATTCTTGTCAAATCTATAATCACAATGCCTTTTTACATGTATTCACCCTCTGTGTTAATTCTGTCATTTCTCTAAATACAAATATCATACCTTCCTTTCTGGACTATTGCAATGGGCTCCTACCTGCTGTTCTTGCCTTAATCATTTTCACACCACAGACTAATCTTTTTTTTTTTTTTTTTTTGAGATGGAGTCTTGCTCTTGTTGCCCAGGCTGGACTGCAATGGCAACAATATCTTGGCTCACTGCAACCTCTACCTCCCAGGTTGAAGTGATTTCCCTGCCTCAGCCTCCCGAGTAGCTGGGATTACAGGTGCCTGCCACCACACCCAGATTTTTTTTTTTTTTTTTTTGTATTTTTAGTAGAGATGGGGTTTCGCCATGTTGGCCAGGCTGGTCTCAAACTCCTGACCTCATGATCTGCCTGCCTCAGCCTCCCAAAGTGCTGGGATTACAGGCGTGAGACACCACAGACTAATCTTAATAAATATTGGCATATATTACTTCTTCCCTTAATGTCTGCCTGACTCAGGACCCTCCCCGTTCTCCAGTTGACTTTTCTCTTTAGTTGATCACTGGTTTATGTGACCTATACTCAAAGGGATTGTAATGATGTCCTGCTAAATCCATGCTTTCTCCCCTGGAGATTATCATTTTGATGATCTTTCTGCCTGACTCTCTACTCTAATTCCATGAATGCCCCTCTAGTCCCATAAATTCTAGTTGCACAGATTCTCTCTCCAAAGAAACAAACTTCACAATGTTCCTAGGTTAAAATATTGTACCCTTTCATTTTGTCATAGTGTTTTATGTCTTTATTGTCACTTAGCATAGCAATGTCCATTTCTTCTCTTCTCATTAAACTATGGTTCTTGAAGGGAGGTTGTCTCTTGCGGTTTCCCAAGATACCACTGTACATTATTGGTGCCTAGTAAATGTTTATTGTAAAAATGTGAAACAAGTAAAGAGTGAAAATATGTGCAAGTTGGGCTTATTGATTTATATTATTCTATATTTTGATATATTCTCTAAGATTCTAAGAGCATGTATTAATTTAAAATTAGAATTGTACAATAAATCTCTAGAAGACTCAATTTTATATTGTGTAATACATGTCTCTTCAGCTTAGGCATCAGGTCTGTGCTGGTGGATGGAAGGAAATGATGGATTAGGGAGGGAGGGAGGAATGGAGGTAAACACAAAGTGAAACATAGCCAGAAATGGGATGAATGAAACAGACCCAAAATGTTACCAAGCACTTTCTTCAGCATTAGTCTTACTGAATTATATGGACATAGACTCTACTGAAAGGGATGTATTTGACAGAATATATTAGAACCTAACTCTTGTCTATCTCTAGCAATCCTTTTAAAATTATTATGAAATTATAATTGTATAGAATTAAATTGGAAATTACACTTACGAATATCCATTCATTAAATGCTGGGCAATTAGGCTCTGAAAACATGATCAGTCCCTAAGTATGTAGAATTATATCTTGCCATATCAGAAATGACTTTGCTGTGGTTTATCAAGACAACATTGTGTTGTGTGTGTGTTTCCCAACTAAAGCAACAATGTCTAGGGAATATAAAAGTTGTGTAGTCAATTTTCTTGCAGGCAAACATTCTCTTATAAAACACTAAAATGCTGATGAATCATTAGGAACAATCCCAACTGTAATTACTTTCACATAAATGGTTTTTAAAAATATAACTGTATTTTACATTGAAATTTCTTGTTCAAGAAAGCCAGAAATGCTCTTGAAGGACCAACATTTGGCCTGCAAACCTACACAGGCAACAGCAAGATATGTGATGGGTGTAAAGTTCCCTGATGTTTGTGGTGTCAAAAACAAGTTATTTTGCTTGAGTTCCAATTCTGATGACAGTCACCTATTCAATCTTCCTTGCATTATTGCACATACCCTGCACGCAATGCACTGTCTTTAGAAATTTCTGATATTATTGATATCCAAACCTGGCATAAACAAGGGGGCCTCACTGAAGAAAGTTCAGCTGTCTAAAAGTAACAGGGAAAGAGGCTTCATTTTTCCATCAAAATGAGAAGTCAGGTGCATGACCACAAATGAATTCCATCCTTGTGCTTTTCTTCCAAGGGTGCACATGTGAAAACCCTGCTGACTTTCGATAATTCTAGCACACAGAGCTTCCTGAAAACTTCCAAAGAGCATAGGCAAGTTCTAAGGGTAAGCAGGAGCAATATCATGATTTCTGCTTCAGTGAACTCTGTGCCACCTCCGCTGCCCTACCGTCTCGTCTAAAATTACAGTGAGTCTACACTGAATTTCTAGCATTAGGTAAACTTTGTATCTCAAGTAACACCCACCCCACTTTACAAGAATCACATCTGCTACCAAGAGAAACAGGAAACTTTTCAGGGTATGGGACTGGATATTGAATAAAAGAATATAGATCCCACTGCTATAAGAACATTGCTGTGGTTTCTTTCCTCAAACAGATGCTCAGAGAGAGAAAGAATCCTATTTTCTTACCCTTTATGTAATTCCAGGGCAGAGCTTGGTTACTTTACTTTCTTTGATATGCTCCACATGGTCAAGGGTTGGAGTTAGTGATGAAGGACCTCAGAATCTCAATCTCACGCAAAGGCAGGCATGAGTGTGGATGTGCCTGCCCAGCACAAAGATGTGGACTCCTGGTAGGAACAGAGGAGAGTGTGTTTTCTGTCACTGGATGACGAGCTGATGTGCAAATGCTTAACATCTCCCTCCTAACCTGCTGTCCCAGGTGCTGGCTTGATTTAAAACCACAGAAAGTCCTTTTCATCCCGGTGTCTTGTATCATCTCTCCATTTTTTCCCCCAAAGAATCAGCCCTCAACTTTCTTTCTGCCCCTCCTGGCCCACCCACTCCCTCCCTCTCCTCCTTTCTCTCTCAACTAGTTAGCTCATGGGTATGTAACAAGAAAATCACTCTGAATCTGATTAGCACTGTTGGTAATATCTGATGGGCCAAAGTACTGTTACCCCTTTCCCTTTCATCCTTGACCAGGATTGAGGTAATCTGTGTTAAAAGTTCAGTGATCATAGCCTGCCAAGAGACCATCGCGCAAGTGCAGAAGGTAAGTTGAAATGCGGTCATGGAAACTGTAATGGGAGATGGAGCCACAGACTCGGGTGGCTGGGGCTGGGCCAGGGCTGGATCTTGGCCAGAGTTTCCAATAGCAGAGTACTGCCGGTGAGCAGGAGGGGCCTGACAATAGAGGTGGTGGCCAGGGAAGAAGATGATGAGGGAAAGTTGTCTTGAAAAGTCTTTTTAGTACAATCTAGAAGATGTTAACAAAAAAAAAATATGAAAGAGAACAGAATAAAAACTGGCAGACATTGGCAAATACAACTCTCGTAGCTGTACCACGCCAGAGAATCACCAGCACTTTTCAGCTCCTGAAAAAATGTCAGGGCAACAACAGAATGTTGGCATTAGCTTGGGAAATAAAAATTCCAATGTGAGAGAAGCACAAGATATCCATTTACAGCGGAGAAATAAACTTTCTAACTCAAGTACTGGCTAGATATGTTGAAAAAAAAAAAAAAGAAAGCAAGCTTTCGTTGTAGCTAACAAAATAACCGGCTCAGAACCAGGGAAGTTAGTGAATTCGTCTGGCATGGACTCCAATGATGATAACAACTCTAGGGTTGTATTTGTGAGATTTGCAAATTCTTCTTCTGGAAGCTGACATTCCAGGACAAGGAGAATCATTCCAAATAGAAAAGCAATGTTTGCTACTCTTCAAGACACACTTGGATTTAATTTTGCATCTTCTAGTTCAGGGGAAAATTAATTTACTGATGTCTTACCTAGAACTGTATCTGTATGCTTCAGGTTGAAAAGTTTGAACAATCTATGTAATTGTGCTACATCGAATGCCTTTGACACCAATCATTTGGTAGGGAACTCTTTTGAATTGAAAGAATTAGATTTTGAGACCTGCTAGTAAACATAATATGCCTGAAACTGAGGAACAGAATATCTGTCAGTGGAACAAGAAGCAAAACTTATGACCAAAGCTGATGCACCCAGAGATGTTTACTAAAACAGATGATTCAGTCTAAATCTGAAAAAATAACATTAAACATAGGAATAAAAAGAGAACAGAAAAGCTAACAGAGCGAGAAAATTGAAGGCTATATCAAGGTATAAAGGAAGCACAATTAAAAATTTCTTAAAAAACGATTTGTGAAAAATTGCATAATTCTTTTAGTTTTAGCAATGCTTACAATTTCAATTTGACAGTGGATATTAATATTCCTCCTTTCTGAACAAATACAATGGGCAAAGATTCTATAAAGGAGAGGAAATGAACAATGAGTCTGAAATAAGCATCCAGGAATCAAGTGGCTCTGAGGAACTCTATTTGCCTCCTGAAAACACTTACGAGTACAGTCACGTGTCACTTAATGACAGGGATGTGTTCTGAGAAATGTGTCATTAGGCGATTTTGTCATTGTGTGAACATCATATAGTGTACTCACACAAACCTGGAAGGTAATGCCTATTACACATCCAGGGTATATGGCACAGCCTATTGCTGCTTGGCTACAAACCTGTACAGCAGGTTACCATCCTGAATACTGTAGCAACTGTAACACAATAGGAATTATTTGTGCATCTAAAAATATCTAAACATAGAAAAGGTACAGTAAAAATACACTATAAAAGATAAAACATGGTACACCTGTATAGGGCATAGCCATGAATGGACCTTGCAAGACTGGAGGTTGCTCTGGGTGAGTCAGTGAGGGAGTGGTGAGTGAATGTGAAGATCTAGAAAATTACTGTGCATTGCCGTACACTTCATAAACACTGTGCACTTAGACTACACTTAATTTATTAAACATCCATTTCTTCAATAATCAATCGACCTTACCTTACCATAACTGTTCTACTTAATAAACTTTAACTTTTTTTTACTTGCTTACTCTTTTGTAATAACACAGCTTAAAATAGAAGCACAATGTATACCTATATATAAACATTTTTTCTTTATATATTTTTAATGTTATTTTTATTTTTAATTAATCAATTAATTATTTTTTTTTTTTTTTAGATAGAGTCTTGCTCTATCGCCCAGGCTGGAGTGCGTGCAGTGATGCGATCTCTGCTCACTGCAACCTCTGCTTCCCGGGTTCAAAAGATTCTTTTGCCTCAGCCTCCCGAATAGCTGGGAATACAGGTGCATGCCACCACACCCAGCTAATTTTTTATATTTTTAGTAGAGACGGGGTTTCACCATGTTAGCCAGGATGGTCTCGATCTCCTGACCTCGTGATCCTCTCGCCTCTGCCTCCCAAAGTGCTGGGATTATAGGCGTGAGCCACTGCACCAGGCCTTATTTTTAATTTTTCTAATTTTTTTACCTTTTAAGGTTTTTATTAAAAACTAAGACGCAAACACACACATTAGCCTAGGCCTACACAGGGTCAGAATCGTGAATATCACTGCCTTCCACCTCCATATCTTGTCCCACTGGAAGGTCTTCAGGGGAAATAGCAGGCAAGGGAGCTGAAGGGCCTGCCTGAGGCTGTTTTACAGTAAGTTTTGTTTTTAGTAAGTAGAAGGAGTACACACGAAAATAATTATAAAAATATGGTAAATACATTAAAAAGTAACGTCATTTATTACCATTATCAAGTATTAGGTACTGTGCATAATTGTATGTGCTAGACATCTTTTTATTATTATTATTATTATTATTATACTTTAAGTTTTAGGGTCCATGTGCACAATGTGCAGGTTATTTACATATGTATACATGTGCCATGCTGGTGCGCTGCACCCACCAACTCGTCATCTGGCATTAGGTATATCTCCCAGTGCTATCCCTCCCCACTCACGCCACCCCACAACAGACCCCAGAGTGTGATGTTCCCCTTCCTGTGTCCATGTGTTCCCATTATTCAATTCTCACCCATGAGTGAGAATATGCGGTGTTTGGTTTTTTGTTCTTATGATAGTTTACTGAGAATGATGATTTCCAATTTCATCCATGTCCCTACAAAGGACATGAACTCATCATTTTTTATGGCTGCATAGTATTCCCTGGTGTATATGTGCCACATTTTCTTAATCCAGTCTATCATTGTTGGACATTTGGGTTGGTTCCAAGTCTTTGCTATTGTGAATAATGCCACAATAAACATACGTGTGCATGTGTCTTTATAGCAGCATGATTTATAGTCCTTTGGGTATATACCCAGTAATGGGATGGCTGGGTCAAATGGTATTTCTGGTTCTAGATCCCTGAGGAATCACCACACTGACTTCCACAATGGTTGAACTAGTTTACAGTCCCACCAACAGTGTAAAAGTGTTCCTATTTCTCCACATCCTCTCCAGCACCTGTTGTTTCCTGACTTTTTAATGATTGCCATTCCAACTGGTGTGAGATGGTATCTCATTGTGGTTTTGATTTGCATTTCTCTGATGGCCAGTGATGGTGAGCATTTTTTCATGTGTTTTTTGGCTGCATAAATGTCTTCTTTTGAGAAGTGTCTGTTCATGTCCTTAGCCCACTTTTTGATGGGGTTGTTTGTTTCTTTCTTGTAAATTTGTTTGAGTTCATTGTAGATTCTGGATATTAGCCCTTTGTCAGATGAGTAGGTTGCAAAAATTTTCTCCCATTTTGTAGGTTGCCTGTTCACTCTGATGGTAGTTTCTTTTGCTGTGCAGAAGCTCTTTAGTTTAATTAGATCCCATTTGTCAATTTTGGCTTTTGTTGCCATTGCTTTTGGTGTTTTAGACATGAAGTCCTTGCCCATGCCTATGTCCTGAATGGTAATGCCTAGGTTTTCTTCTAGGGTTTTTATGGTTTTAGGTCTAACGTTTAAGTCTTTAATCCATCTTGAATTGATTTTTGTATAAGGTGTAAGGAAGGGATCCAGTTTCAGTTTCTACATATGGCTAGCCAGTTTTCCCAGCACCATTTATTAAATAGGGAATCCTTTCCCCATTGCTTGTTTTTCTCAGGTTTGAAAATCTAGAAGATATGGATAAATTCCTCGACACATACACTCTCCCAAGACTAAACCAGGAAGAAGTTGATTCTCTGAATAGACCAATAACAGGAGCTGAAATTGTGGCAATAATCAATAGCTTACCAAACAAAAAGAGTCCAGGACCAGATGGATTCACAGCTGAATTCTACCAGAGGTACAAGGAGGAACTGGTACCATTCCTTCTGAAACTATTCCAATCAATAGAAAAAGAGGGAATCCTCCCTAACTCATTTTATGAGGCCAGCATCATCCTGATACCAAAGCCTGGCAGAGACACAACAAAAAAAGAGAATTTTAGACCAATATCCTTGATGAACATTGATGCAAAAATCCTCAATAAAATACTGGCAACCGAATCCAGCAGCACAACAAAAAGCTTATCCACCATGATCAAGTGGGCTTCATCCCTGGGATGCAAGGCTGGTTCAATATACGCAAATCAATAAATGTAATCCAGCATATAAACAGAACCAAAGACAAAAACCACATGATTATCTCAATAGATGCAGAAAAGGCCTTTGACAAAATTCAACAACGCTTCATCTAAAAACTCTCAATAAATTAGGTATTGATGGGACATGTCTCAAGATTATAAGAGCTATCTATGACAAACCCACAGCCAATATCATACTGAATGGGCAAAAACTGGAAGCATTCCCTTTGAAAACTGGCACAAGACAGGGATGCCCTCTCTCACCACTCCTATTCAACATAGTGTTGGAAGTTCTGGCCAGGGCAATTAGGCAGGAGAAGGAAATAAAGGGTATTCAATTAGGAAAAGAGGAAGTCAAATTGTCCCTGTTTGCAGACGACATGATTGTATATCTAGAAAACCCCATCGTCTCAGCCCAAAATCTCCTTAAGCTGATAAGCAACTTCAGCAAAGTCTCAGGATACAAAATCAATGTACAAAAATCACAAGCATTCTTATACACCAACAACAGACAAACAGAGAGCCAAATCATGAGTGAACTCCCATTCACGATTGCTTCAAAGAGAATAAAATACCTAGGAATCCAACTTACAAAGGATGTGAAGGACCTCTTCAAGGAGAACTACAAACCACTGCTCAATGAAATAAAAGAGGATACAAACAAATGGAAGAACATTCCATGCTCATGGGTAGGAAGAATCAATATCGTGAAAATGGCCATACTGCCCAAGGTAATTTACAGATTCAATGCCATCCCCATCAAGCTACCAATGACTTTCTTCACAGAATTGGAAAAAACTACTTTAAAGTTCATATGGAACCAAAAAAGAGCCCACATCGCCAAGTCAATCCTAAGCCAAAAGAACAAAGCTGGAGGCATCACACTACCTGACTTCAAACTATACTACAAGGCTACAGTAACCAAAACAGCATGGTACTGGTACCAAAACAGAGATATAGATAAATGGAACAGAACAGAGCCCTCAGAAATAACGCCACATATCTACAACTATCTGATCCTTGTGCTAGACTTTTATAGGACTGGCAATGCAGTAGCTTTGTTTCCACCAGCATCACCACAACCCCTGAGTAATGTGTTGTGCTATGATGTTACAACAGCTACAGAGGTCTAACCACTGGCATTCTTTGGCTCCATTATAATCTTATGGGACCATCATCATATAGGTAGTTGATGTTAAAAAAACATCATTATGTAGTGCATGACTGTACATTCAAATTCTTTCCAGCAGAGCCAACAGGAGCCCAACCACTGGAACTTCATTTAGAAGAGAGCAAAGGACACCCATGAAAGAGAGATGGAAGGTGCCCAGACAACACAAACTCCTATAGCACACCCCTTGAAACTCACCAGTCACCTCCTCATATCCTAGAGGACATCACTAATGCCAACCTTTCTACTGTAGTGAAAAATCAGAACACTTTTATTCTCCAAAACTGAATAACAAACTGAATAAAGAAATCTCAGCAGTGTCTCTCCCTAAGAACAGGTGTATAACCAGTGTGAACTATAAGGAAAACGCACTAGCATGGCGACAGAGAATAAGACACCTTTTCTATAGATTTGTTTCCTGAATTCTGTTTTCAAGCAGAAAAAGACTCTAGACACCATTCTTAAAAAATGTATTAAACAAATACAATGAAGCTTTTGTTGGATGCCACTGAAATTCATCCTACACTCCTCTCAATTTTTCAAAGAGAGATTCTGTTCAAGTCTAAAAGTGGGTCATACTAATGCCATAGACTATTCTGTTGACAGGATTCTATAGATCATGAGCAGTTTTCCAAAACTATACTTAAAATGTGATAATATTTTATCTTACACCTTTAATAAATTTTGGTTTAATTTTCTTTGAATATACATAGTTGTCTTAAGCACTGTACTAGATTTTTTATAATGCTTAAAACCCTTAATTTTACAAAAAAAAATGTATATTGAACTACTGTTTTGGAAAGTAATAATGATTATTAAAATTAAGTGTTTTAATTATAAGTTTTTGACATCATTATTTTTCCCTTAAGTGGGAGACACTACACTGAATGATTTATGAAGACAGGGTAAGAAGCTTTTGAAACTCCTTATTAAAATATTTGAGGAAAGAAAACCCTTTTCGCTTACAGTAGTGTATAATCTATTTTTTATGTATTCCTCATATCACTGTTGCATTTAATTTCTCAGATAAAATGTATATGAGATTGTATTACTCTCTTTGGGCTGCCATAACTAAATACTATGGACTAGGTGGCTTAAACAAGAGAAATTTATTTTCTCAAAAATCCAGAGGCAACAGAATCCAAGATGAAGATGCTAGATGAGGCAGATTTTGGTGAGAGCCCTCTTCCTGGCCTGCAGGCAGCAGCTGCCTTCTGTCTGTGTCCTCACTGTCCTTCCTCAGTGTATGACCACACTCGGTCTATGGGCAGACACTAGGTAATGACAGGCTCTGAACTTCAGGGTGTAAGTGTGCATTGTTCAAAGTGGAGCCTCAGTAAAAATCCCAAATTACTATATAAAGGACCTTCAGGATAGTTTCCTAAGTTAAAAATTTAGAATATTAAATACATGAATATTTATAAAAATTTAGAATATTAAATACATGAATATAAAGTTTTTCATCAGCCAGTAACCTAGAGTTCATTCAGTTCAGAACATTTGAAGCCTACACTTGCATGTATCTCATCAAATTTTTGAAGCAAATGTAGTTTATCCATTTCTAAAGATCAACACACTTTTGTATAAGATTTTTTTTCTAAGTCAAGAGATGATGCTTCACTATGTGAGAAACATTCCTGCCCCACTGTGCCCCTGCCCACAGCTTTCACTCTGAGCTCTGTTTTTCCACTTGGGGCTTCCAGTTCTCTCCGGTTGCCTCATCTCTGAATTCCATGTTCTATTCTGCTTAACTTGGATGCAAATTCCCTCCCTTAAACCATCTGATAAACTCTTGCTGTTGCTGTTTTATTACTTGATATATAAGTGTATTCTCTTCTGCTTAATTGTTCTCTTTTGCTTAACTTGAATGCAAACTCCCTCCCTTAGACCATCTGATAAACTTTCACTGTTGTTGTTTTATTACGTAATATATAAATGTATTCTCATCTAAAGAATTAAATAATGCATAATATAACAATCAAAACTTGAAAATCCTCTTTGATTCCTTTTTCTTAGATGTGTGGACAGTTTGGCAGGTCTGTCAAGCATTAAAAAATGCATGTTTCATTTTGTTTCTTGGGGCTCATTTTTATATGAAAATATCATAAATATATGTGCATTTGTATATGTGTGTGCATATATAAACCTATAAATATATTCAGATAGAAGAGTGAGGGTGAGTAGGAGAATGTGACATCTTTTTGATTTTGTTATTCAACAACATATCTTGTAAATGTTTCCAAGACCATACCTACAGGCCTCTGTTGTTCTCATCATAACTGCATAATATCCCACAGTAAGTATGCACTCTGCTTTCCATAGCCACTCTGGTGGATAGTAATTTATTTATTTCTATTATAAGCAATCTGGCAATAAATAGCTTTTTAAATAAATTGCTGTGCCTTCATTTACTTTTTTGTAAAATACATTCCTAGATTTTATAATACTGCATTCTGATTAAACAAAACAGTTAACACTCCCATGAAGAGTCGTAGAGACACAGTTCTCCAAGTCCACTCGGCACCTCACATGATCGCCTTTCTCACCGTCTCCACATGGTACATAAGATATGGGACCCTACTGCATACGCTGCGTGTCTCTATTCACTGCTAAAGATGAGCACCTGGCATGATTTAGTGGGCTTTCTAATATATTTTTTTCATGATTACTCTGCTTATAATCTTGGCTCATTTACTATTAGGTTGCTTTTCACTTTCACTGACTTTCAGAAGAAATTTAAGGTCTGATTTGCTTTTCATATGGTTTGACCCAATATTCTTTCATTTACTGACATAGGCAGGACATCTAAGGAAGAAAACCTCGGCCTTGAGACTGGCGCAGTCAAGAGATGTTCATCTCTGCCTCTTTCCAGTTGTATAACTAGGTAATGCACATGTGTGCACACACACACACTCGTATTAATGATCTGTTGGTATAAAATAAGCCCCAAGAAACAAAAAGAAACATGTTTGTAAATGCCTGCAAGGGACGCCAAAGCATTCACACTTCTACGGAGAGGAGTGAAGGGCTTTCTAAGCATATAAGCATTTTTTGGTTGGATTTCTGCCTGAGCATTTGGGTCCAGACATAATTGTCACAATCTCTGTTCTTAAGGACTTACAAAGTGATTGAAGAAAAAAAAACAGACTGGTATATATTAATAATAATAAACAGTGCAAAGCAGCATAAAATTAACCCCTGATGTGTAGATTTTAGACTCAAATAAATGCTACAAAAATCAATGAAATCATTAATGGAATAATATCTTGAAACAATGATAGCTAATTAATCTTATGAATAATCATCAAAATTCTTGTCAGTGAATATTATGGATTTAATAAAATAAAGTTTTCAAATGGCCACAAGAACAAATGCCAGTGGAAAAGCTTAGGTGGGTATTTCTATACTTAGACATAGGTAAGATAAACTGACCTTAGAAGATACTCAGAATTCAGAAATGAATTAATTAGACTATTTTATAGTTTTTGAAACCTAATCCATTATGCATAAATCACTCAAAAGAAAAAATAATAATTTTTCTTGCATTGATACTAGATCTGCATTTAATCAGAAACTGAAAGTTCTGTCATTTCCAAGTCAAATAACTTCTAAGGAAGGCCAGGAAGCAGAATTGAATGTGATCTTCTCTTGCAAACTGAGATATAAGTGGCAGATGGAAAGAGGGATATTGAAAAGCACACATACTCATGTGGAGGAATCTCACATTAGAGTTTTGCAAGTTGGTAGCATTTTGTCCCTGAAACACAACTCAGAGAAGAAGGAAAAAAAAGAAAGAAGAAAGGAAAGAAAGAAAGGAAAGAGGCAAGTTAGTTAATTTTCAAAAGAACAGATTCTAAACATGAAAGGAATCATTAAATTTAGTGAAAAGAAGGTACGGCACAATATTTTAAAACACTCTGGAAACAGAAAGTATTAAAACAAAATAAAACTGAAATATTACAAGTTGAAAGAGTGGGCAAAAAATGATGGTGGATCTCAGGATAATGTGGTAATATCTCAAGTGTTACAAATTATTCTATAACAAAAACTACTTTTAAAAATCTTAAACTTTTGTGTGAAGCTTGCTGCATAAGTGCTTCTGTGAATGGTTTTTGTTCATCTATGTGATTAAAAGACATTTTTTTTTTGAATCCTGAGCATTATTTTTCTGCACAATTTTCTCTCTTTAGTTCTGGCTTTCTGCTACCTCAAGAGAAAAAAATATACTTCTCCCATCTATGGTTTACATACATACTCTCTTTCTCTCTCTCTCTCTCTCTCTCTCTCTGTGTGTGTGTGTGTGTGTGTCCTTGAATGAAGTGGTTATTTGTTCTTTGAAAACATGTTACTATAACAAATTTTAAAATTTATTATCAAAATATGGCATGTGACCACCGTACTCTATTGGACATATTTTCAGTGTCAGTAAACATGTTATACAATATTTCAGGATGATTGTAATATAAAGTTTCTGGCAACGAAGTTTATAAATAGAATGGGTTCTCTCTGTTAACTGAAATCACATATCAACAACACAGTTTTCAGTAAAGTTAGATAAATGTGCAACTAAAGCAAGTTATCTGTTCATGCCTTCGTTCCTTTTGTTCTTTCTCACAAAAGATGAAACTGTGTATTATAAAATTGCTTTCAGCTGCAAGTGCCAGAAGATCCAGTTATAAGAACGGCTATTACAAGAGTTCATTAACTCACGTATCTAGAAATCCAGAAGTAGGTGGTTCTAGAGTTGATGAATTTAGGGGCCAACTGCTTCTATTTCCTCTGCTCTGCAACCTTTTTGGGCCATGTGGTCCTCATGGACCCCAAAGTGCGGCAGTTCTTGGCATACACACAATAGTGCCAGGGAAGAGCACGACTTTTGGGCAACTTTTTATTGAAAGAGAAAATCTATCTTAGAAACTCATCAATGGACTTCTCATGTCAGTAAATCAGGATGTGTTACTCAAAGACCTAAAGAACTCCCTGGCCAGAGGAATGGACTAAGTCAATCCTAGTCATTTCCATGTATGTCTTTTATGAAAGTCAAATGATGATGAAATGAGGTTTTTTTTGGAGGGGGTAGGTGGCATTGGCAGTGGGTTAGCAAGGACCCCTATTGAATAAACAGAAAACATCTTTTATGGAAGATATTTATGCTTCCATTGTTGAATCCCAACCTATTGTTTCTTTCCACTCTGGAACATATAATTATGACTCTCTAATTTAATTAATAATATATATCACAGGACACAGAGATACAAATTTTATCTGGGAGGAGAGGGCCAAGAAAGCATTTTCTGGAGAAATTCACTAACATTCTTATGTATTAAGGAGCAGCTTGTGCCTAGAGCAGCCAGCCATGAATCTGTGACCAATGCTGAAGACTAATTACCAAACAAAGACCCCAGGAAAGTCACCTACTTAGAAGGTTTTTTCATTAAATATCTAGGCCTAAAGCCAAGCCTTGCAGTCTTTCTGCCCTAAGTATATATAAATATGAAATAATCTCATAGATAATAAAACCCACAGTTTTCCATCCTTGAAAAGGCCCCGTGTCAGGGAGGAGGGCCTGATACTTCTTTGGACTGCACCTCCTCCTGCACACAGCACAGAAACTTAACGGGGAAAACCCTCCCCAGAAATGCTTGCTGTGAAACAATGTTCCAGGGACACATTTCTATTAAATTCTGCTATTGCTAAGGCAAGGCCTGAGTGGTCCCCATGAAGGGCTCCACCTAACCCCAGGTCTACAAATACCAAGTCTCTGATGTCACAGAAAAAGTCCAGGATTCAGGCCAAAGCCTCTGGGACCTCCAGATGTGTGACCTCCAGGGCTTCTGGGCTGCAGACACTCTGGGGAGTGGTCATTAGGTTTGCCAGTTTTTGTCCTGACAGCCCATCATTGTGTTCAGAGGGGTGCTATGTTGCATCCACTCATCTGTGGCACCCTTGGCCTTTCTCTGGCAGCTGTGCCCTTTTTTTCCTAGCTTTGCCTTAAGGACATCAGATTCATAACCACTATCTAGACCTGTGGGGTATCACACCACAGTCTTTCTTTCTCTTGCAGAAGAAAAATTCTCTTCCTCCCGGGGCGCAGAGTTAAAGGGAAACTGCAGCAGCTCCTGGATCCCGCGTTTCCCTTGGAAGGGCATCAGCTGCGGTGGCTCTTTCCTCCTGCACTGGGCAGATGTGCACCTCCTGCCAGCCCGCTCCGCTGCTGGGTGCCCTCTCTGCACCCTTGCTGAAGGAGCCTGTGTCCTGGCTTGCCTGTTTTCTCTCTGTGTGGTCCATTTAGCAGAGCAAGCTCTGCTCTTGTCTTTTTCTGTTTATTTGTTGTTTGGGGGTGAGGTAGGGTGTGGAGAGTAAACGACTGCATGGATTAAAACATTGAATTCTGGTGAGTAGCAAGCCCAGTTGAAGGCAATGCCAAAGCCACATTGACTTACATATATTACAGTTGATTCCCAGTCTTCGCAATAATTGTGTTCTACTAAGGGGTCGCGAACACTGAAGTACTCACTGTCCATAGGGGAAGTACAGGCTTAGATTCCTGTGAGCCTCTGATCTACATTTTCATTAGCTGGTCAGTACATGACCTTGCTTCATGTGTGTCTCTGTTCAAAGACACCTTGGTTACTGCATATTGTTGCTTCATTAACACTGAACTCCCGCAATCAGCGCCATAACTCGCATCTAAACAAAGGTTATTCATCCCAGGCATTTTCTCCATAGGGAACATCACAGACCACTGATGCTTAGGGACACTAGAAGGCACCTCAGCCCTAGGCTCACAGGGCATTGAAACAGTGAAATCACCAATAAAAAGAAAAAAGTGTGAAACTCACAGCACTACCTGGGCCATGGAAAGGACGTGTGTTTACAGTGTAAGCTGATGAAGAGAAGGTACCTCACCTGTCTCCACCTCAGCAGGGAACATGCAGATGATGGACTCCCATTTTCCACAGCTTTGTGAATGGCAGAGTGGTACTGTGAAAATGCCACAGGTATGAATTTGGGAGTTACAAATAAATGTTAGCAAGTAGGTGAATTTGAAAAGACCAAATCCATGACTAATTAAGGTAAACTGAATATCAATACATCTCCTCCCCACACACTGTCCCCCATGTCTCCATTAGTATCCAAACCCAGAAAGAAAAAGGAAAAGAGGAATTTTATCTTCTTGCATTGCTTAATTTTGAAAGCTTAGAAATCTAAGGAAATTTTAACAAATAGTACAATAAACACCACTATGCTTTTTACCAGAATTCACTAGGTGTTAACATTTGCTACATTTGCTAACTCTGTCTCCATCTACCTATCTCTACACCATGACATTTCACCCTTCAAGTCAGTATGCATCTTCTAAGGATAAGTCTATTCTCCTGCTGACCACAATACCATGATTGTGCCTGAAAATAGCAAAAGTTTTATTGTGTCATGTAAGAAATATGCACAAAATGTTCAAATTAAAAATATGTTATAGTCTTTTAAATGAAATGTTCACTTTAGAATCCAACCAAGGCTTACATACTAAATATCCTTGTCATATTTCCTTTATTTCTTTAGATGAAGAACAATCCCTTCACATTGATTGATTGATTTAGTTAGTTAATTGATGGTTGAGTTAGTGAGCTAGTAACATTGCTTTTCATGAAATCAACTGTTAGGAAGAGTGCAAGCCAGTTGACTTGTAGACCACTCCACATTCTGGGTTTTTTTTTTTTTTTTTTTTTTTTTTTGTAGAGTTTGCTCAAGATTGGTTTTAAATTAATCAACTTTAATCAGAGGATATTAATATTAAAAGTCAATGTTGAGTATTTCTTATTGGATGACATCAAAAGGTGTATCATGTCAGCTTTTTCTGCCATGGATGATGCTAAGTTTAATCATTTGGTTGAGACGGTGATAGCAAAGTGAGAGAGAGATCACATTATTTAGCCTCCTAAAACCCCACTATTTTATAGCTAATCTCCTTCTTCTTCCGAGACCTTCTTCTATTGAATGCTTTTGCTCTCTTTTGTCTTTAACAACTGCTTCTAATTTCTTTATCTCTACCCAGCACATACATTAATCTTCTTAGGTGTTTCCATGTCTAAAAATATCAAGAATAAAGTTCCCCAGCTCTGCAACTGCAGCCCACCATGTTCCTTTTAAACATACATTTCTTGAATAACTGATCCACATAATGCCTTCAATGGCTCACCACTAATTCACTCATTAATCAATAAAATTTGGATTTTGCCATTATTATCCCACTGAAATGGTGCTTTCTAACATCTGCAAAGGTGTGCCAAATGGAAATCCTTCTTTGTTTATTTCATTCATTGTTTCTGTCATATTTAAAGCTGTTTGCCACACCCTCATTCTTAACTCTGTCTCCTCTCTCCACTTTCACTGCACTGTCATCTTTTATTTATTTCTCTAACAACCTCTCTGACTTTCATTTTAAGCCCCCTTGGGAGACATTTCTCTGCCTGCCCCTAAATATTGATCATCCCCAAATTTCAATTCCTATTTCTCAGTTATGTGAAACATATAACTTTTTATTAATGTCCACAGCTTCCATGACAACATGAGTTCTAATAATTTATACCTGTACACGTTAGCACTGACTTGTTTCCTAAAGTCAGGTGCCACATGCTAGAGGTTATGTAAACAATTGATTGTCCTATAGCTACTTCAACTTACGTTTTTATTTTTATATCCTGTTTATATCACTTTATATTATTTTACATTATTTTGTGAGAATTTTCCCGAGGGAATTTTCCCATTCTTTTGTTCAGTCTTTCTGAACAAAAATTTTAAAATATATTTTGAAATGTAAAATATTTTAATATGCTATGTTTTATGTAGCATCCACTAAGTGTCAATGTGTTAGTCCTTGCTAATCCAATGGTTTCTGCAGAGTCCCTTAGAGTCCCTGCTTACAGCATCTTATAGTGTAATGAATCAATGCTAATAACCCACGCTGAGGTTTATCAGAGAAGTAGAATCCCTACTGATGTGGATATAGACATATATTTATAATGGTTTTATATATATGTATATGAGCATATACACATATATGTGTAGTTGTTCTGTGTCTCTGATGAATATACATTACATATGTATGTGTGTGTGTGCCTGTCTGTGTGTACACACACATGCACACATGCATGCATGTAAATATAGCTATAGAGAGAGATCCATGTCCATCTATGAAATGATTTGTTGTAGATACTTTGCCTTTTTGGATTGTGAGGGCTGATCAAGCAGCATCTTCTAGGCTGCCATTTTCAAGTCTGATGATGGAACTTGAAGTCCACGGGGCAGACAGCTGGGAGAGGAGGATGGATACAAAGATGTAGAGTGAGAGGAGAAAAAGAACAAGCTGGGCCTTACAAGCATGGACTGGAGCCCAAGGAGATAAAATTTATATATGTTCTTGTTTCCGTGACTTCAGTGGTATGGGTGTTCTGCAGTAACTGAGGCTACACACACAACTGTCCCCAGGGTTGGAAGAAGCTACGAGAGGAGCCAGGGAAGGAAGGAGCTGTTGCAAGCCTGGTTGCTGGCTCATGTCAACAAGGTGAGCCGGCAGACAGGTGACAGCATGTTTCCATGATAATACAGAGGCTGCTTCAATTACAGTCTTCCTAGATGGCTCAAAAACCTTTCCTGTGGCTCATGCTAACCAGTAACATACAAGGGAAGAAATACTAAACAATGTAGTGCAGCCTAGCCCAAACCAACATGCAAAATAGTCAATTAAAATTAAGTATGATAAGTGGTTTCTTTCAAGTAGTAAGCTAGATGTGAGCAAATTCTTCCAGGAAGAAGGAAAATGTATTATTTTTACAAAAGCATGAGAGTCAGGAAAGATTTAAAATATTTTGTCATGCACAGATTTTAAACTGATTTGCTATCCTTGAATGTTTAAGTGGGTACCTTGTCAGGTAAGTAGAGCACTCTCTGGTTCAAGACCTTTTACCATATTTTAAAAACAAACATAAAAACTCCAAGTTCTGATATAGCCATCAGCCAAAATTTGCCTCCAAGGCATTTTCTTCAAATGTTGTTTACCTGTTTATAATTATGAAACCTGTTTATAATTATGTAATCTGTTTCATGAACACCCTGAAATCTTGACTGTCTTTTAAGTCAGAGAGAATGAGGTTTGAGAAAGTGTGATACGTGAGACAGAAGGGCATACAATGCTATAAAGAACACGTTACCAACATTTACCGCAAAACGAAGACTCACGTTTGGCTTTGGAAAAACAGACCAAATGTTTCAAAGCTTGAAAAGTTTCTTCAAAACTCAACTACCAACAATCAAGCCCTCTGAGATGCTGCTTCCTGTTACTCTTCATGGCCACTTCAAGCTTCTTCTTTATATTGGCTTTCTTTTTTTTTTTAGTCACTTTTATCACTGTTTCCAATCCTTCATTAATTTGATTGCTCATTTGTAAATTTTTACAACAAAATTGCCACCTGAAGATATGCTAAACTCTATTTTGCTAATAAATGAAAAAATAACATTATCACTAAATATATTGACATGTACTTGAAATATGGGTTTTTGAATACATTTCATATTAATATAGTAAGTTGTTATTATAGATAATTTACTTGGATATTTTAACTTAGATAGTCAATTATGCAGAGTTAGGATTTGAACACAGATCTGTTCAATTCCAAAGCACACTGTTTCAAGAAGTTAACTGTTTAATGGAAAGAAAAGAGGCCTATAATTAGTGAATTTCATCCTTAGATGCTCAATGTATTTATCTAAAAAAAAAAAAAACCAAGAAGAATGTGATCAATTAGCTTAGACTGAAGAGAACTTTAACTTATTCTTAAAGGATTAGCAATTCTTTATTAAGAGGGTAAAATGAAGGAAGACTAATTCCAGAATCAAAAAAGAGAGTAGTTTATAAATACAAAGCTATGGAGAAACAAAGACTTATGTGAAGATCTGTGAGCAAGATACAGTGGCTGCAGAGAAGTGTTAACACAGGGATACGTGGTAGGTGAGGACAGGACCCTGGGGAATGGATGTCTCCTAAATCTGTGCATCAGCACTGGCTGCCATGAGAAAAATACTAGAGACTAGGCAGCTTAAACTACAGATACTGATTTTTTCACAGTTCTGGATGGTAGAAGTCCCAGATCGTGGTTCAGCGGGGTTTGATTTCCCCTTTTGGGGCCTCTTTGCCTGGCTTGCAGGTGGTCACCACCTTGTGCCATGCTCACATAAACTCATCTGTGTGCATGCACAGAGCCAGTGAGAAAGAGAAAGCTCGCTGGCATCCGATACTGATTCTATCAGATTAGGGCCCCACCCTGATGAGCTCATTTAGTCTTAATTACCTTCCTATAGGTCCTGTCTCCAAATCAGTCATGTTGGACTTTAACATATGAATTTTGGGGGTGGATCCAAGTCAGCCCATTGCATTCCACCCTTGACCACCCAAAATACATGCCCTTATCACATGATGCAAAATACGTTCCTCCTACCTAACAGCCACAAAAGTCTTATTCCAGCATCAATTCTAAAGTCTCAAGTCTAAAGTCTCATCTAAAATCATAAAAAAATCAGAAATAGGTGAGACATCATGTTCCAAAGTACAAATCCTCTGTTGTCCACATGGGATGAGTTTTTCATAATTTGAATGAAGAAAAAGAAGTATGCCAATTTTTGAAGTCTGAAGGAAGTAGAATTAACAAGATTTAGGAGCCAGGTGGATTTGAAGAATTAGGAGTAACGGCAGTTTGCTAGATACCCAGTTCTCTAGCTTAGATGAAACAGTGCATGATGTTACCATTGATCAAACACATTGGGAGGAGAATAATGGTGGGAAAATAATGGAGTTGGTGTGAAGGAACACACAACTGTTGTCTTCATTTTTTACTGTAAATCTCCAAATCTAATATAGCTAATAGAGTCCATCGATTTACTTTCTGCCTTTTATCAGTTCTTTTTGACCCCAGCCTTTCTCACTGTGGGAACCTTCATTTAGATGGGTTCATGACAAACTATAGTCAGAGTCATTGAGAAAATAAATGGCTCTCTAATATAAGACCTTGTCTAGAAGTTGACATTTTGAAATTACTCTATTGCCTTAAACCAGAAATATGCAAGGTGGATCCTGAAGCTCCCTTCATAAACTAAGCTCTAGCCTCTATGTTGTTGAGACTGGGCTTCAGCTCTGGTTTCTGATTGGTGTTGCAATTCAGCTTCCCCTGAAAAAAGACCTTGCTTAACTAATGAGCCTGATGACCTTCCCTCTTCCTTCTGAGAAATTTACAATTGTCCTCCTACTTTGGCTACAGGCAGCAATCTCCAATGACCCCTTCTCTCCACCCCCTACCCCTCCAACACAGGTTCCTCCACGAAGATGCTCTTGTCCAGAGCAAGCACCACCTTAGACTGCTTCTGGGCATCCTTCCCTTACAGAGGACACTTGGCTGAGAGCACACACATGTAACAACACAGGCTTTCTTTCCCTTATTTCACATCATTTAAACTGCTTTGGGGCACTGCTAATAGCTCCTATTGTTCAATCGATGCCTACAGTTGAAGGTCTTTTAATTTTCTCTCAATGTTCGCATTAGGAAAGGCTATGGTTATACTGACAAATCTTACTGTAATTATTTACCTAAATATTTACTTTAAAGGAGTTTTTTTTTTTTTTTTTTTTTTTTTTGAGACTGAGTCTAACTCTGTTGCCAGGCTGGAGTACAGTGGCATGATCTCATCTCACTGCAACCTCCATCTCCTGGGTTCAAGCGATTCTCCCATCTCAGCCTCCCGAGTAGTTGGAACTACAGTCGCACCCCACCACACCCAGCTAATTTTTGTATTTTTAGTAGAGACGGGGTTTCACCACGTTGGCCAGGATGGTCTCGATTTCTTGACCTTGTGATCCGCCCGCCTTGGCCTCCAAAAGTGCTGGGAGATTACAGGCGTGAGCCACCACAACCGGCCAAGAAGTTTTCATTTTTAAACTGTGAGTATTTTAAGTTTCAACTTAATTGGCATATTCTCAAAAACTTTACAATAATGAGAAATATGTCAGGTTAATAGTCTATATACAAAAATAAACCTCCATAAAGATAATTTCAAATATTATATAATCAAGTTATTTAGTTTCTTTCATATTATTTTACAACATGCACAAGTATATTTCTTAATTTATTATTCTTTGAGCTTAAATTACACTGTGTAAACAACTACTAATTGATGCTCTATTAAAAATCTCCTGTGAAATACATAGATTTAGTTAAATATTAAAAATAAATACTAGTAAATGCACCACTTCTGTGAGTACATAGCATAGCACTTGCGTTTGCATTGAGCATCCACTTTCCCTGACAAAGCTGATGACAACACTGAAAGGTAAAGTGTTGTGAGGAGTAATATTATCTCATCTCATTTGGAATGATTGCTTTGAAGCAATTAAAATTCTAATCACTTTTTCTGCTCATTTGGACTTAGGAATACATAAGACAATAATATGAATAAATAATGATTTATCCTTTAGAAAAAAATTTCTTTAGAGTCCAAAAATAATAATTGCATTAACAGTGATAAGTACTTTCAATATAGTTTCGAGAATGGAGTTATAATGGGATATAATTTTATTACACATTTTTGTGATTTGGTTAAATATTTGTCTAACAATTTTTATGTGTACCATTGTATTGTCTAATAAGAATGAATGTATTTAATTATTGCCATAAAATCTTAATTCAAAACAAAGTAATGCCAACTCTATTAGTGGAAAAGAAAGCAAATGAAATAAGGTTAAATATGAAGGCAAATTAATCATAAAATACTGATAAATACTTTGTGAACTACACAAATTAAAATTTGATATTATGCAATATTTTTCTTCTGAAGTATTTAAGGTTGTAGCAAATATCCTTACAGGCATATTTGTTTTTAATTTTTGTATAAGAAACTTACTAGGCCTATTTCTTGGCTAAACAGACCTTTCCAGAAGAAGAAACACAAGATAAAAAAAGTGGAGCAGATAACTATTACAAGGAAATATTTTTAGGTTTCATATGTCATCATGCATTTGGTTAAGAACACAGGTTAGGGAAGCAACACACATTTATTGTTTTTAATCTGCCTAGCATCCACCTCCCCTTCTCCCAGTAGCAGCCTCCAGATCTTCCTTTGAGAAACTATCCCTTCCCCACTCTGTATTGTCTGAGGTTGCTTACTAGTGAAGCACTGGCTCTTTCCTGTCTGGGGGCAAGCGAGGCTAATGGGAATCTCTTCCCTTTGTAGTTAAATCTTGAGCAAAGTAAAATGTTGCATCAAAAGTAGTTGGAAAATTCCATTCTGAAAATGGAACCCTTAAAAGACTGTAGTTTAGATATCTTCTGATTTCTCTACCCTGTAGGCCTGGGTTGCATTTTATCAACTACCCAATTCCTTTCAAGACTTTTTTCTCTTAAGCTTACCAGAGTTGGATTCAGTTGTCTTTAATCAAATAATCAAGAATAATACACTGGAGTAAAGCAAATCATTCCTTCTGAAATGCTTATGCTTTGATTCAGATTTTTCAGAAAATACTGAAATAGTGAAAAATTAGTGCTTTCATTTAAAAAGGCAGGTGAATACACAGCGACTGCTATCTGTCTGAATGTTTGTCCTCAGATTTCATGTTGAAACCTAAACCCCAACATGATGTGATTAGAAGACGGGACCTTTGGGAGGTGATACAGTCATGAAGGTAGAGCCATCATGAATGGGATCCGTGCCCTATGAAAAAGGCCCCAGAGAAACCTCTCATCCCTTCTACCATGTGAAGACAGAGTCAGCAGGTCCCATCGATGAAGAACTGGGCTCTCACTGGATGCAACATCTGCAGGCACCTTGATCTTGAAATTTCTAGCCTCCAAAACCGGGAGCAACAAATTTCTGATGTTTAAGCCACCCAGTTGATGGTATTTTGTAATAGCAGCCAGAACAGACTAAGATAATAACAAATGTTGTTCCAAGGATTGGAATTCATGGAGGATTAGAACCAGAGTTCTGGCCTCCACTAAGATTCTTGTGACATTGTGCAACCTTAAGCAAAATAATCACATTTCTTTTTTTTTCATTTAGAGAGAATTTAAAAAGCAAGGTCAGATACTATTAAACTGTATTCTCAGTGCCTTATGATTCTGCCATAAAATTGTTGTTCAATAAAAATTTGCAAAACGATTAAAAATGTATTCTATTTGCCCCTTATTTGGTAAGGCAATTGTAGTAGACATCCATTATCCTTTAGTGTCTGAACCCCCTATGTAACAAAGTTCATTCGTAAAAACAACCCATCAGTCTACAAACAACTATGGAATCAGAAGTTGCTTTGAACTCCTCCTTATGGGCAAAGACAAGGGTGTCTGATTTAAGCTCCACCTAATCATATGTATCTATCTTGGATTCTGAATCAGCAATATGAGATGCAAAGAGGCAAGGGGTCACAAACATAATCTCTGGAGGCAAAGTAATTTTAGGAAAATTGAAATTGCAGGAGAACATTGGGAGCAATGCTAGAAATGGTATCAATGTTCTGCTATAAGGATGGGCAGGAGGTTGATCTGCAGCATATACTTATTCCAGTGTTTGATGTGGTAGGAGAAGTAGTGGTCATGGCTGAAGTTCACTGATGGATTCCACCTCTGATTTGAGCCACTGAAGTAGCTTCATAGCCTCTGAGTCTGGCTCTCTGGCCCTCGAAAAATAGTTATCAAGAATGGAGGTTCTTAAGTTTTGGACTTGAGAACTACTAGCATTAGCATCACTTGGGAACTTCGTAAAAACTCTCAGGTCTCACTTCCTACTTACTGAATCAGCAGCTTTGGAGAAGAGCCCAGACCAGTGTAACATAACCTGTCCTCCAGGGAATTCTGATGCAGCTTCAAGTTTGAAAATCACTGTTCTGGGGCAAGTATGTAGTACAAAATCATCTGGATTCAAATCTCACCTTTACCACCTATTGTTTGTGTATGCATGTGCCATCATTTGTACGTTACTTTATCTCTGCATTTCTCAGTTTCTAATTGGTAAGGCAGAGATAGTAATTCCTATGTTTTAGAAATGCATTTATAATTAAGTGTATGTATATCTCCAAAGTGACATACATTTCCTCTTTAAATATTGGTTATTCAGTAGCCTCTTAATAAATTTATATTGCACTAAAATATCTAGAATAAGTTTATATTGCTAGCAACTTACAGCAACAAATTATAAAAGGATCATAAAATACAAAACTGCTAACCACCAGCCTGTTCACTCCAGACAAGGTGGGGAAGGAAAGGATGAGCTTGGAGATTCCAATTCCCAGCTTAAGCATTGCATAAATGACCTGAAAGCTTCTATATGGCCCTGAAGGATACTCTTATTACCTGTAGGCACAGGGCAAAGATTGCTGAAAAATCAAACACAGAATCTCTTTCTGTAACTTGCTGAATTACAACAAAATTTGAACTCCCAGCCATACAAAGGATCTGCCATTGAAGTGAAGGCATTTTAAGGAAGGAGTGGGATCCTGCAAGTTGAAATGAGGATGACTGGAAAGACTGATTATGCTGGGACTACTGAGTCCCTACATTTTGATAAGACATTTTTGCTAGTGGAAACAGTCTCTCCACTTCCAGTGGGAACAGCCTCTGCATCACCAGTGGAAACATCCTCTCCACTCCCAGTTGAAATAATTTTTCCACCCCTAACCCCCTATTTGAGGGGACTAACCCTGAATTGCCTGAGAAACCTGTAATAGCCTCCTCTGAGCCAGTTGACATGGAAGACAATGCTGGTTCTCTTCAGAACACACCTCTAACACCCACCACTTTCATCCTACCCATATCTACACTCAAGTCCCAGTAGGCCTCTAAAGGTGAGGTTTAAAGTGTAACTCAATGAAGAGAATTGCTATACTTCTAAAGATCTACTTGAGTTTTCTAATCTATGCAGATAGAAATCAAGGGAGCACATATAGGAATGGATATTAAAGTTTTGGTACAATGGTGGGAGGAACATAAAGTTGGGCCAGGCTGAATAGATAGATATGGTCTCACCAAACGTACATTCTGTATGTAATATTGTACCTCAGGGAGTTAGAAAAGGCTCTAACAGTTTGTTTGTTTATTTGTTTGTTTGTTTATTGGGCATGGAACAAAAAGGTAGCCTACAGTGAGCAAGTTAGAAATGCTGGGCATGCCTTGGTTTAATGTACAAGAAGGGATTCAAAGTTTAGGGGTTTGGGAATGTTAGAGTGGATTTGTCATCCTCTCTGGGAGGACCACTTCTGACTATCCACACTGGGAAGGCCCAGAAGACATACTTGTTATCATAATGTAAGAAATAAATTTGTGGGCAGGGTGCAGTGGCTCACACCTGTAATCCCAGCACTTTGGGAGTCCGAGGTGGGCGGATCACGAGGTCAGGAGATCAAGATCATCCTGGCTAACATGGTGAAACCCCGTCTGTACTAAAAATACAAAAAATTAGCCGAGCTTGGTGGCAGGCACCTGTAGTCCCAGCTACTTGGGAGGCTGAGGCAGAAGAATGGCGTGAACCCGGGAGGCGGAGCTTGCAGTGAGCCAAGATCACGCCACTACACTCCAGCCTGGGCAAGAGAGAAAGACTCCATCTCAAAAAAAAAAAAAAAAAAGAAAGAAAGAAAGAAAGAAATTTGTGAGGAGAGCCCCAGCATCTTTGAAAAGCTCTACAGCCTCTCTTTTCTGTAGTCAAGGTCACCCAATAAGAATGGTGATCACAGCCAGCCATACTGGCTCACCCCTGTAATCCAAGCACTTTGGGAGGCCAAGGCAGGGGGATCACTTGAGGTCAGGAGTTCAAGACCAGCCTGGCCGACATGGTGAAACCACGGCTCTACTAAAAATACAAAAATCAGCCGGGTGTGGTGGTGTGTGTCTGTAATGCCACCTGTTCAGGAGGCTGAGGCAGAAGAATCAGCTGAACCTGGGAGGTAGAGGTTGCAGCGAGAGGAGATCATGCCACTGCACTCCAGTCCGGGTGACAGAACGAGACTCTGTCTCAAAAAAAAAAAAAAAAAAAAAAAAAAGAATGGTGATCACTTAATTGGGAAACCTAAATGCAATGGGAGTAATTGGATCCTGAGGTGGTAGAGGCCAAGTGGCAGCACTCAACTGCAAAAGGCAAGGTGGCACTGGACAGCAGAGGCAAAGCAGCAATCAGGATAGTCTGCCTAGTGCAGACCCATGGCACTGACTAGTTGGTCATGGTGTTACGAGAAGTGAAAGATAGAAAGTCTTCTGAATTCTTACACAATCTGTATAAGAATAAAAGTTTGAGATCATACGAACAAAAGTATAACAAAATAACAGAAATAACAAAATAACAGCTTCTCAATCCCAGACTTGAGCCAGTTTATAGATTCTGAAACCCTGGAATGAAGTGGAGTCCAAGGCTCCTTGAGGAAAGACTTTAGTACACAGCCACATATTTATACTAGTCGTCTTTCTTCCACTCTTCCCCAAAGGGGCCTGTAGCCTGTTACCAGGATAACCACACACTAGAAAAAAGAAAATTATCAGACTTTCTGGGGACTACTAGATACAGGCTCTTTCTGACACTAATTCCAGGAGACCTAAGACATCACCAAGGTCCATCAGTCAGAAAAAGGTGTTATGAAGGTGAAATGTCCAGTAAAGTTTTAGATCAGGTATATCTCACAGTGGGGCTAATGGTTTCCCAAACACATTCTGTGGTTAATTTATCATTTTTGGAATGCTTAACTGGAGTAGATATACTCAGCAAGTTGTAGAATCTACACATTTATACCATGACTTGTGGAGTGAGGGATATTATGATAGAAAAGACCAAGTGGAAGCCACTAGCAATGTCTCTACCTAGAATAATAGTAAGCCAAACACAATACTGCTTTCCTGAAGGAATTGCAGAAATCAATGTTACCATTAGGAACTTGACAGATGCCAGGGGTGTGATTCCTACCACACCTCCATTCAATTCACCTATTTGTCCTGTGCAGGAAACAGATGGATCTTGAATAACAGTGGATTCTCATAAGAATAACCAACTGATGGCTCTGATTACAACTGCTGTTCCATATTGAGCTGTTAGAGCTTGAGCAAATTAACACATTGCTTGACACAATGTCTGCAGCTACCTATCTGGCAATTTTTTTTTCTTCTATTTAACAGTTTGTGTCTTCACTCTTTGATTGTTTGCTTTGGTCTGAAGAAGCTGTGTTTAATATAGTCTCATTCATCAATTTTTGTTTTTGTTGCCTGAGCTTTTGAGATCTTAGCCAAAAAATTTTTGCCTACAACAATGTCCTGACTTGTTTCTCCTATATTTTCTTCTAGTATTTTTATAGTTTCAGGTTTTACATACAAGGCTTTAATCCATCTTGGATTGGTTTTTGTATATGGTTAGAAATAGGGGTCCAGTTTCATTCCTTCACATATGAATATTCAATTTTCTCATATTATTTAGTGAAGAGTATGTCCTTTCCCTAATTTAAGTTCTCGCTGCATTTGTCAAAATCAGTTAGCTATAAATTTTATGGATTTATTTCTGAGTTTTCTTCTCTGTTTCATTGGTCTATTTGTGTGTTTTTATACCAATATCATGCAGTTTTTGTTACTATATCCTGATGATATATTTTGAAGTTAGATAATGTGGTGTATCCATCTTTCTCCTTTTTGTTCAGGATTGCTCTGGCGATATGAGCTCTTTTTTGGTTTCAGGAAAATTTTAGGTTTGTTTTCTATTTATATGAAAAAATGACATTGATATTTTGACAGAGATTTCATTGAAGCTGAAGATTGCTTTGGGGAATGTGATTGTTTTAACAATATTTATTTTGATCATGGGCATGGGATATCTTTTCATTTGTCTGCATCCCTTTCAACTTTTCATCAGTGTTTTATAGTTTTCTTTGTACAGGATTTTCATTTCCTTCCTTAAATTCATTTCTAAGTATTTCATTTATTTTATAGCTATTGCAAGAGAAATTATCTTCTAGATATTTTCTTTGCTAGGTCATTATTGGCATAAAAACACTGCTAGTTTTTGTATGTTGATTATGTATCCTGCAACTTTATCAAATTTATTATCAGATCAGAGAGGATTCTGTGGAATCTGTAAGTTTTTCTAGTTATCTGACCACATCTTCAGCAAACACATTGATTCCCTTATGTACATTTGGATACATTTTATTTATTTATTTATTTTTAATCTTGCCTGATTGCTCTGGATAGGACTTGTAGATCTATGTAGAATCGGAGTGGTGGAAGTCAGCATCATTGTCGTGTACCAGTTCTTAGAGGTAAGGCTTTCAGCTTTTCCACATTCAGTATAATGTTAGCTGTGGGTTTTCATAAATGGCCTTTATTATGTTAATATACATTTCTTCTATGCATAGTTTGTTGGGAGTTTTTATAATGAAGGGATGTTGAATTTTATCAAAACCTTTATGTGTCTATTGAGATGATCATATAGTTTATGTTCTTAATTTTATTGATGTGATATATAATGTTTATTTATTTGCATATATTGAGCCATTTTTGCATCCCCAGGATAAATCCCACTTGATTATGTTGTTTGATGCTTTTGATGTGTGGTTGGATTCAATTTGCTGGTACTGCGTTGAGAATTTCTGTCTCTATGTTCGTCAGGGATATTGCCCTATAGTTTTCTTTTTTGTTGTGTCCTCGTCTGATATTGGTATCAGGGTAACTTTGGCATCATAGAATGAGTTAGGGAGAATTCCCTCCTCATCACTTTTTTTTTTTTTAATAGCATGAGGAGAATTTGTATTAATTATTCTTTGCATATTTGGTAAAGTTTTATTGTAAGGCCATCTGGTCCTGGGCTTTAATTTTGGTGCAAGATTTTTTATTACTAATTCAATCTCACTGTTCATAATTGGACTGTTCAGTTTTCTATTTCTTCCTGATTTAATCTTGGTACTTTTCTTAGTTCCAGGAATTTATACATTTCCTTTAGGTTTTCCAGCGTGTTAGTGTGTATTTTGTTCATTATGGTCTTGGATGACCTTTTGTATTTCTATGGTATCAGTTGGAATGTCTTCATCTTCATCTTTTATTTTACTTGTTTGGGTCTTCTCTTTTTTCCCCCTGGTTAATCTAGCTAGCCATTTATCTATTGTGTTTATCTTTTTTTAAAAAAATCAACTTTTCATATTTTGTTTTTGTCTCTATTTTGTTTACTTCTGCTCTGGCCTTTATTATTTCTGTCTTTCTACTAATGTTAGGTTAGGTTTATTCTTGGTTTTCTAGTTTCTTGAGATGCAACATTAGATAATTTATTTAAACTCTTGTAGGATTTTTTTTTTTTTAGTTTCAAAAGCTTTGGGGGGTCTAAGTGGTTTTTGTTACATGGATGAATTCCATAATGGTGAATTCTGAAATTTTAGGCAACCATCACCTAAGCAGTGTACACTGTACCCAATATCTAGGCTTTTGTTCCTCACCTCCCTCCCAAAATCCCCCTGAAGTCCCCAAAGTCATATCACTCTGTATGTCTTTGCATCCTCATAAATAAGCTCCCACTTATAAGTGAGAACATATGGTATTTGGTTTTCTATTCTCGAGTTACTTCACTTAGAATAATGAACCCCAGCTCCAACCAAGTTGCTACAAAAGTCATAATTACATTCTTTTTTATGGCTGTGTAGTATTCCATACCACATTTTTTTTAATCCACTCATTGGATGATGGGCAATTAGGTTGGTCCTGTACCATTACATTTGTGAATTAATGTGCTATAAACATGTGTGTGCATGTGTCTTTTTCATATAATGACTTTTTTTTTGGCAGGGGGGTAGATAACCAGTAGTAGGATTGCTGGATGGAATGGTAGATCTACTTTTAGTTCTTTAAGGATTCTCCATGCCATTTTCCATAAAGTTTGTACTAATTTACATTCCCACCAGTAGTCTAAAAGTGTTTCACATTCCCCTCATCCACACCAACATCTATTGTTTTGACTTTTTAATTATGGCCATTCTTGCAGGAGTAAGGTGGTATCTCACCATGGTTTTATTTTGCATTTCCCTGATGATTAGTGATGTGCATTTTTTCATTATGCTTATTGGCTGTTTGTATATCTTCTTTTTAGAAATGTCCATTCATGTCTTTGCTCACTTTTTGATGGCATTATTTGTTTCTTGCTGATTTGAGTTCCTTGTTGATTCTGGATACTAGTTCTTTGTCTGATGCATAGTTTGCAAATACTTTCTCCCACTCTGTGGATTGCCTATTAACTCTGCTGATTATTTCTTTTGTTATGCAGAAGTCTTTTTGTTCAACTAGGTCCCATTTATTTATTTATGTTTATGTTGCATTTGCTTATGGGGATCTTAGTCATGAATTATTTGCCTAGGCCATTGTCCAGAAGAATTTTTTCAATGTTATCATCTAGAATTTTTATGGTTTCAGGTCTTAGATTTAAGTCTTTGATCCATCTTGAGTTGATTTTTGTATAAAGTGAGAGATAGGGATCCGGTTTCATTCTGCTACATGTGGCTTGCCAGTTTTCCTAGCACTATTTATTGAATAGGGTGTCCTTTCCCCAGTTTATGTTTTTGTATGCTTGGTTAGAGATCAATTGGCTGTCCATATTTGGCTTTATTCCTGGGTTCTTTATTCTGTTTTATTGGTCTATGTGTCTATTTTTATACTAATACCATGCTGTTTTGGTAAATAAAGCTTTGTAGTATAATTTGAAGTCTGATAATGGGATACCTCCAGATTTGTTCCTTTGCTTACGATTGCTTTGGCTATGGAGGCTCTTTTTTGGTTCCATATGAACTTTAGAATTGTTTTTACTAGTTCTGTGAAAAATGATGATGGTATTTTGATGGGACTTGCACTGAATCTGTAGATTGCTTTGGGCAGTATGTTTACTTTCACAATATTGATTCTTACAACCCAGGAACATGTAATGTGTTTCCATTTGTTTGTGTCATCTATAATTTCTTTCAGCAGTGTTTTGTATTTTTCCTTGGAAGATCTTTCACCTCTTTGGCTAAGCATATTCCTAGGTTATATTTTTTTCTTTTGCAGCTGTTGTAAAAGGGATTGAATTCTTGATTTTATTCTTAGATTGATCATTGGTGGTGTATAACAGTGCTACTAATTTCTGTACACTGATTTTCCAACCTGAGATTTGACTGAAATTATGTATCAGGTCTAGGAACCTTTCGGATGAGTCTTTAGCATTTTCTACACAATCATATCATTGGTGTATAGCAATGTTTGACTTTCTCTTTTCCAATTTGCATCCCCTTATTTCTTCCTCTTGCCTGATTGCTCCAGCTAGGACTTTAGTAGTATGTTGAATAGAAGTGATGAAAGTGGCCACCCTTGTCTTGTTCCTTTTCTCAGGGGGAATACTTCCAACATTTTCCTATTCAGTGTGATGTTGGCTGTGGGCTTGTCATCTATGGCTTTTATTATTTTGAGGTTAAGTCCCTTCTATGCCTAGTTTGCAGAGGGTTTTGATCATAGAGGGATGCTTGATTTTCTCAAATGCTTTATCTGCATCTATTGAGATGATTATATGGATTTTGTTGTTAATTCTGTTTAAGTGATGTATCACATTTATTCACTTGTGTATTAAATCATTTCTGCATCTCTGAGATGAAAGCCACTTGATAATGATGTATTATCTTTCTGATGTGCTGTTGGATTCAGTTAGCTTGTATTTTGTTGAGGATTTTTGCATCTATGTTCATCAGGGATATTGGCCTGTAATTTTATTTTGTTGTTGTTGTTGTGGCCTTTCTTGGAATTTGTTATAGGATGATACTGGCTTCATGGAATGATTTAGGGAGGATTCTCTCTGTCTCGATCTTTTGGAATACTTTCAGTAGGATTCATATTAATTATTTGAATGTCTGGTAGAATTCAGCTGTGAATCCTCTTGTCCTAAACGTTTTATTGTTAGCAATTTTTAAATAAATGATTTAATCTCACTGCTTGTTATTGGTATGTTCAGGGTTCCTATTTCTTCCTGATTTAATCTACAAGGATTGTATGTTTCCAGGAATTCGTCCAATTCCTCTAGACTTTGTAGTTTGTGCACATAAAGGTGTTCATAGCAGTCTTGAATAATCATTTGCATTTCTGTGGTATTGGTTGTAATGCCTCCAGTTTCATTCCAAATTGAGTTAATTTGGATCTTCTCTCCTCTTTTCTTGGTTAATCTTGCTAATGACCTATTAATTGTGTTTATCTTTTCATAAAAACACCTTTCTGTTGCATTTATTTTGTTTGTTTCAATTTCATTCAGTTCTTCTCTGATCTTTGTTATTTCTTGTCTGCTGCTGGATGTGGGGTTAGTTAGTTCCTGTTTCTCTCATTCCTTGAGCTGTGACATTATGTTGTCAATTTGTACTCCTTAAGACTTTTTGATGTAGGCATTTAACATTATGAACTTTCCTGTTAGCACTGCTTTTTGCAGTATTCCTTAAGTTTTAATAAAGTGTGTCACTGTTATCATTCATTTCAAAAAATTTTAAAATTCCCATCTTTATTTCACTGTTAAAGAAGAAGGTATATTCTGCAGTTGTTGGGTAGAATATTCTGTAAATACCTGTTAAGTACATTTATTCTAGAGTATAGTTGAAGTCCTTTATTTCTTTGTTGACTTTCTGTCTTGACAATCTGTCTAATGTCAGGGGAGTATTGAAGTCCCCCACTATTATTGTGTTGCTGTCTGTTTCATTTCTTAGGTCCAGTAGTAATTGATTTATAAATCTGGGAGCTTTGGTCTTAGGTTCATATAAATTTAAGATTCTAATATCTTCTTGTTAGATGGATCCTTTTATTATATTATCATTATTATCCTTTTTTTATTATATAATGACCTTCTTTGTCTTTTTTTACTGTTGTTGCTTTAAAGTCTGTTTGTCTGACATAAAACAAAACAGCTACTCCTGTTCACTTTTGGCTTCCATTTGTGTGAAATATCTTTTTCCACCCATTTACCTTGAGTTTATGTAAATTCTTCTGTTCAGGTGAGGCTCCTGAAGACAGCAGACATTTGGTTGGTGGTTTTTTATCCATTCTGCCATTCTGTATCTTTTAAGTGGAATATTGAGGCCATTTACATTCAATGTTAATCTTGAGATGTGAGGTCCTGTTCCATTCATCCTATTAGTGGTTACCTAGATACTTTTTTATTATCGTGTTATTGTTTTCTAGGGCCTATGCATTGTATGCTTTCAGGGGGTTCTCTTTGGTGCATATCAAGCTTCTGTTTCAAGATTTAGAACTGCTTTTAGCATTTCTTGTAGTGCTGGTTTGGTGGTCTGAAAAATACTTTATTGCTCTTTCAGTTATGAAGCTTATTTTGCTGGACATGAGATTCTTGGCTGACAATTATTCTGTTTAAGGAGATTGAAGATGGAACCCTAATCCCTTCTAGCATGTAAGGTTTCTGCTGAGAATTCTGCTGTTACTCTGATAAGTTTTCCTTTATGGGTTACCTGATGCTTTTGTCCCACAGCTCTTAGAATTTTTTCCTTCATGTACATTTTAGATAGTCTGATAATTATGTGCCTTGGTGATGATCTTTTTGCAATGAATTTCACAAGAGTTCTTTGAGCTTCTTGTATTGGATACCTAAATCTTTAACAAGGCCAGGGAATGCTTCCTCAATTATTCCCTCAAATACATTTTCCAAATCTTTAGACCTCTCT